>NC_000014.9:79611713-82111713 GCF_000001405.40 Homo sapiens
TTCAGAAAGCATTATTGTTCAGTGGTTTCAAGTTTTGGATGTGCACTCACATTGCCTGTATGGAATCCTGGCTCCACAAGTAGTTGTGTGAGATTGGGAAAGTTGCACTTGTTTAATCTGTAAAATGGAAAATATCTGAGGATTAAATTAAAATATAGCTGGATCATGCATAGCATAATACTTGGAATATACTAAGTCATGAATAAATAGTACTGTTGTCATTTCTTTGACATTAATTATTAAGGCAATTAGGAAATTTTCCATCTAGTTAACATATAGCAAATCAAACTAAGCTGTGAAAAATATATAATATGCTATGGTAATAAGACACTGAACTGTGATGCTATTATTGGGGTCTGTCTAAATCCACAGAAGCATCAGAAATTCACATAAATCAATGCTAATGTCAATGCCTAGTAAATTATAGTCTCAGAAACATGAAGATTCTAGATGTTTTCCCCTTCTTTGCACACTTTGTTTATATTTCACCCTATTACTATTATCACCTATATTTATGGTTTTTCAATCATTTGTGAGTGCTTGGAGGAAATTCATTGGTTCAGCAGTTGAACCAGGGTATTGAATAGTACATGAGGACTCTCAGACTCTGAAGAGCTGGTCGGGTGTCTCTGGCTAACACATTTCCAGTGGATAAAGAGCTGCTCCAGGGACATCTCCTTCCTCTGCAGTACAGTGATCTTTTTGCTGGTGACTAGAAAGTCCAGGGGAAAGGACAGCCAGCCAAAGGGTGGCAAACTGATGGAAAGTGGGGGCAAGCTTTCTGTAACCATGTAAAAGAAACTGCCAATTCCCATGAAAATCCATTGTCTCTTTTTCTTATTAACAAATCCCCAACAAGCCACCATGGCTCAAGCCTGTAATCACAGCATTTTAGGAGGCTGAAGCAAGAGAATTGCTTGGGGCCGGGAGTTTGAGACCATCCTGGGCAACACAGTGAGGCATGCATCTCTACATAAAAATTTTACAATTAGTCTAGTGTGGTGGCACATGCCTGTAGTCCCAGCTACTCAGGAGGCTGAGGTGGATCGCTTGAGCCAGGAGTTCAAGGCTGCAGTGAACTAGGATCAAGCCACTGCACTGCAGCCTAACTGACAGAGCAAAATCCTGTCTCTAAAATAATAATAATTTTAAAATAAAAATAAAATGCTAAAATGAACCAAATCTCCAATTTTATTTGAAATAACACTGCCTTAGTTTTTTAAGAAAGAAAATAAAACATTTCTCACCTTTTCTAACAGTCAAGCTGGTATGTTGCTTTAAGTTTGGTGAGTGTCAGGTATGCAAAAGTGTTGAGTGGCAGATACAGAAAGACTGCTTAAAGGCATCTGACTCAGTTGCAAAGGACATCCTTTGTCCTTCTTGCTGCCTGTACTATGAATGTAGTGGTTGGATCTTCAGAAGCCTATTTAATCATAAGGTAATCTTAAAGATGGAAGTTATGATTAAGAATGCCAGAACACAAAGATAAAAAATATAGAAGTCTCAGATGAAATTTCTGAATCAGCCTTAAACTATAATGCTTAAACTGTTTAAATGTGAAGGGATAAAATTTGGGGCATTTATGCCACTATTTTATGTTATCGTTGTTACAGTGAGTACAATTTTTAATTGGTATGTGTGTAAGATTTGCTCAGATCTCAATCAATGGTTCTAAGAGGAAAAAGCTTAATTCCAAGCTGCCTCTCTCCTGTCTATGATATCCCAAGCATCACAAAGTACACTTCCAGCTCCTCAGACCCTGTCCTTGTTTTGCATTGTTTAGCCAAACCACTTCTTAACTTCAAGTAGCAAATAGATAACTCACATTAGCATTAGGTTCTCTTATTACAAGTAATTGACAAGAATTGTACCAGTGATTAGGTGTTGCCCAAAGATCTTTTAAAATTCCATGTGACCCAAATACTACCAAATCCTAAAAGATTTAACTAACTGGCTCACTAACCAATGCACACACATACTTACTTATTTCACCCAGTATGTGTTGACTACCTTTTGCCCACCAGGAGCTAGGCAGGTTCACAGTGCCTAGCTCCCAGGCACAAAGATAAATCAGAAACCATTCTGTCTAAGTCAACCTTTCATTTTAGCTTAGCAGGAAACACACTAAACCACGGCTGAAATATGCCAGGAAGTTGGTAGCTGGTGATGCCTCTACCACACCGCAGTGCGGTTAATCCAGCATTCGACTTAGTCGAAATCACTTTTTTCTTCCAATACTGGCATTTTTATGGATGGATGGATGGATAGATGAATATCAGTATCAAAAGGTCCATGCTTTATTTTCTAATAACAATTCATGTCCAATTATCTGACTGCCAGCACAGTTATCTGCTATGGTTGTTAGAAACTTTAGAAAGAAGTAAATCCTCCAAAATTGTCACTCTTAAAATCTGAGAGAAAACAGAATGAATAGATAAGAGATGCTTCAAGGCAGTTCAGCTCTGTGATGGTTCCGTTGAGATAGAACACACATATACAAAGTGTTTGAAGTAAGAATTTCCTTCGAGGAGAAGCACAAAGGGAATAGAAGACCCAGCATTTGTTACTGGCCTTAGATAAGCTTACTGTTCACTTATTTATCAATGTAAAAACGCCCAGTTAGTTTTTAGCTCAAGGAAGAGAGGACATGGCCAAAGATGGCCTTCATGAACTTTTTTTTTTCCTGTGTGAAGTATGGAAACTCATTTTCAGTATTGGATTTTGACTGGATTGTCTTCTACCCAGAAGCTGGCTCTGCAGAAGTTATGATCAGATCTTTGGAAGTAACATTTGATCTACCGCCGAATATAGATCCCCTTCCTTCCCTCTTCTACTCCCTCCTTGCTTTTCCTTCTTATTACACTGATTTCATGCAAAATTAATTATCAGTCCTGTCACATCTTGCACTGCTAACAGTGGTCAGTATTGAATTATGGGGAACGTGAACAGAATTTTCAGCAGCCTAATTGCTTCTCCTGTGCCCAGCAAAATGTTACGTTAAATACTCACAGCAAGTAGACTAGACTGTATTCTATTTCCATAACAAACTGGCGGGATTTCATTACCAGAATCCCTAGCATCTACTCACATGACTCTTTCCTAACTGCCCTATCAGACTGGTCTTGGATAAAGTAAATTCCTTTCCAAAGCTGCAGCTGCCTAGTTAGGTATTGAAATATTGTATCCACTTGCAGGTCAAAAAGGAAAAAATAACAACAACAGCAAGTGGTCCATGAGAGTGAAGTGGAGGTATTAAAACTAGGCTGGGTCTTCTCTTGGAAGATGACAGACTGAGTCCCACAGTGCCTCACTCCATTCAAAGCAATTAGGAGTGTAGGATTGCAGTGACAACGGATCTCCAGGGCTATCATAGTGCTTTACCTAAAGATAACAAGAGATTAGCCCTTAGTGACAGATGACTAATATATTCTGTGGACACTGACTGAGAGTTTGGGAGTTTCTACTGTCCCTCTCAAGGAGCTTAGAGAATATGTACACGGGAAGACAAAAATTAAAGAAATAAATGTAATGCACTGTATAATGCATAATGATAAATGCATCTTCAAGGTACCTAAGTAATTTAGAAGATATTGCAGTGGGAGAAGAGTACTGAGATATTCACCAAATTCCTACCAGAAAAAATAACACTTGAGTTGGCTGATGAAGGTTGACTAGGAGTTCATTAGACATAGTAGAGAAAGTCATTTTAGAAAAAATGATAATAACCAGCTTTGATTGAGAGCTCAATTTTGCTTGTCCTTTTTGGAAGTGTACTGTATGTATGTATTAGTCCATTTTCACATTGCTATAAAAAACTGTCCAAGACTGGGTAATTTATAAAGGAAAGAGGTTTAATTGACCCACAGTTCTACATGGCTGGGAAGGCCTCAGGAAACTTACAATCATGGTGGAAGGGGAAACAAACACATCCTTCTTCACATGGCAGCAGGAGAGGGAAGTGCAGAGTGAAGGGGGGAAAAGCCCCGTATAGAACCATCAGCTCTCATGAGAACTCATTCACTATCAAAAGAACTGCTTGGGGAACCGTCCCCATGATCCAGTCACATCCCACTGGTTCCCTCCTACAATACGTGGGGATTATGGGAACTATAGTTCAAGATGAGATTTGGGTGGGGACACAGCCAAATCATATCAATGTATTAAAACAGTTAATCTTTATAGTGATAGTGATTCTTTGAGGTATTATTCCCATCTTAAGAATGAGGAAACTGAGGCACTGAGAGGTTAACTCACAGCTAGTAAGTAAGAGAGCAAGAATTCATACCCAGCAGTATGAAGAAGTGAAGGATGAGTTGGGAATACAGAACTTGATCATTGAGAGTCATACTAGTCACACCAAGGAAGTTAGAGTTAATCAATTGACAACGGGGAGCTCTTGAAAAGAACTGACAAGGTCAGATTTGCATTTTAGAAATATTGTTGTGGAAACAGAAGGATTGATTAGAAGGAAGCCAGAACTGGAGCCTGGAAAGTTGGCTACATGGCTTTCACAGTAATCCAGGAAGGGGATGATGGAAGAGAGGCTGCAGCATGGGAGCAACAGCTGGAGTGAAGAAGAGAGGATATGTGTGGGAAATCTTTAAGGGGTACATTTGGCACAACTAGGTGATAGACAGAAGTGATGGGTGGGGAGTAGAATTGGTGAATCTACTCTTCTAACTGCCTTTCCCTATCTCCAGTCTCACCAAGTATCTTGAATTAGGAAGCAAGGAAAAGGGGTCAATTAAGAAAAAGGGAGAGCAAGGTTAATGGAGAACAGGCTCAAGAAGGAAGAATTTAAAAATGGAATAAGGCAAGAGAGGATAAAGAAACTACCTATGGAGTGCTATGCTTGTTACCTGGGTAGCAAAATAATCTGTACACCAAATCCCCATGACATGTGATTTACCTGTATACCAAACCTGCACATGTATCCCTGAACCTGAAATAAAAGTTTAAAAAAATAGAATGAGTTAAGAGATTTGGTAATCTTGAGAAATGTCTGTAAAGTGTCCATGTATTCCATGGGTTCAATGGGGATCTGCCATTGAAATTCATAGACCTGAATATCAGAGAAGGGTAGAAGATTAGAGAATTTGCTGTTTGGATAGTCGAACTCCTTCTTTCATAGATGAGGAAAGTAAAGTCTAGAGAAATTGGAGAGACTTGTGTTATATCACTTAGTTTGTTACAGAGCTGAATTCATACCACCCATTTCCATGTGCCCTCAAATAGTAGCCGACCTCTTCCTTCCTGGGAGAGAATCCTTAACCACCAAGTCCTGATCTCATAGGCCTGATAGTCAATCCTTGGAAGGGATACTGTGGTGCATTGCTTAGATCCGTCCCACTTAACCCTGGGACCCACATACTCACTCACCAACCTGCTGGGAGTGCTGGTCACTGACCTGTCTCAACTAGGTTGACTCCAGGAATTGCTCTCTGCTAAAGGATTTTTTCTGTTTCAGGGATATACCAAAATGAAAAAATAAAAATTTTATATAAAGAGCGTTTGTTGCCTGGGTTGTATGCCTGTAGAATACATTCAGAGGTAGAATTACTGTTTCAATAGTATTAATAAATTTTTACCCAATGGCTTTTCAAAAGTGTGCATCCCCAATGGCTTTTCAAAAGTGGGCATCAATACACACTTAGAAATATGCAGTAGGATCAATTTCACCAATTATCTCACCATCTTTTTAGAAGCTAATTCATTTTGCATTCTTAAATTCCACTAAATTTCAAGAGAGCAGTTAAAGAATAATACAAAACTTTGAAGCACTAAATGTATATATTTAAGATATTATGTCTTCTGTAGTCAATGGCAAATATCAAGAATAGAGAAGATGCACAAAACTGACCAGTAGCAGAAACAGAGATCCACATTCTAATCTCACGTCTTTCTACTTTGGTTAAAGGCAATAATTCCTATTTCACTCACTGATGAGTCTTTCCCTAACGAGAATGTGACTAAAACCAGTTGAGTTTGCGAAAGGGATGTAGAAAGAGACAATTAGGTAAAGGTGAAAAATGAGACTGACGAAGTGACGTTGGTCAATCTCCTGTTTACTGAGTGCAGGTTAGGAAATAACATCAACTAGGTTTTCTGGAATTTGAGAACTGAGTATTATAAAAACACTGACTCCGTTATTATTATTATTGTCATTTTTAATTTTGGATTCAGAGATAGGAGCTGAATAGCAGCAAAAAAAAAAAAAAACATGCTTATGAAGAGCTGCCTAGTGAAAATGACACTCCTTTGGCTTAGGAAGAGAAAGAAAATGAAAGCCTTACTTCTTTCTTCTACTGATTGAAGTTTTTACTTTCTGCTGTTTACTTGGGTTTTTAATATTGAAGACTTCTTTGTAGTCTCTGATGAGTTTTGAAGATTAATTTTGCAGAAGTAAGATAATATTCCTGTTTACCAGAAATATTTCTGACCATAAGACTCATTATTTATTTATTATGGATGGTCATTTTATATATTTTTAATGCTTATTTAAGACTCCGGAGTACATGTGCAGGCTTGTTACATGGATAGATTGTGTGCCACTGAAATTTGGTGTAAGAATGATCCCCTCATCATTCTTAGCATAGTAGTCAATAGTCAGGTTTTCAAGCCTCAACCCTTCCCTCCCCCTCTAGTAATCCCCAGTGTCTATTGTTGACATATTTATGTTCATGAGTACTCATAGTTTAGCTTGCAATTACAAGTGAGAATATGTGGTATTTGGTTTTCTGTTCCTACATCAATTCACTTAGGGTAATTGCCTCCAGGTGCATCCATGTTACTGAAAAGAACATGATTTCATTCATTTTTCTTTTCTGTGGCTGTGTAGTATTCCATGGTGTACATGTACCATATTGTTTTTATCCAATCCACCATTGATAGGCACCTAGGTTGATTCTATGTCTTTGCTATTGTGAATAGTGCTGCAGTGAACATACAAGTGCATGTATCTTTTTTGGTAAAATAATTTGTATTCCTTTGGGTATAAACCTAGTAATGGAATTGCTGAGTTGAATGGTAATACCATTTTAAGTTCTTTTGGAAATCTCCAAACTGCTTTCAACAGTGTCTGAACTAATGTACATTCTCACCAACAGTGTAGCTTTCCCTTTCCTCTGCAACCTTTCCAACATCTGTTTTTTTGTTTGTTTGTTTTTCACTTTTTAGTAATAGCCGTTCTGACTGGTGTGAGATGATATCTCATTGCAGTTTTGGTTTGCATTTCTCTAACTAGTGATATTGATCACTTTTTCATGTAATTGTTGGCTGCATGTATGTCTTCTTTTGAGAAGTGTCCGTTCATATTCTTTGCCTATTTTTAATGGAGTTATTTGATTTTTGTGTTGAATTGTTTAAGTTTCTTACGGATTCTAGATATTAGGTGTATTTTAAATGCATAGTTTACAAATATTTTCTCCCATTCTCTAGGTTATCTGCTTACTCTATTGATAGTTTCTTTTGCTGTGCAAAAAGTCTTTAGTTTAATTAGGTCCCACTTAGCAATTTTTGTTTTTGTGGTAATTGCTTTTGGAGATTTAGTTGTGCATTCTTTGCCAAGGCCAACGTTCTAAATGGTATTTCCTAGGTTTCCTTCTAGGATTTTTATGATTTTTAGGTCTCACATTTAAGTTTTCAATCTATCTTAAATAATATTTGTATATGGTGAGAGGTGTAGGGGTCCAGTTTCAATCTTCTGCATATGGCTAGCTAGTTATCCCAGCAATATTTGTTGAATAGTAGCGAGTCCTTTCCCCATTGCTTGTGACCATGAGATTTTATGTGATGTTGAAACCCAAAACTACCCAAAGGAATTAACTACTGCTGGTTAATTGTACCTATATTAAACACTTTCTTTATAGTATTTTCCTTATTTGGGGGCCATCTCAAAGTCCTAACAATCAGAATTTGTGTCTTCTCATATGATTTTTACTCAGAATTACACAGAATACAGTATTCATAAAAATGAACCAACCATAAAATATTTATTCTTCTACTGTGTCAGGTAGTCTTGTAGGTTCCTAAGAGATACCAAATACAGGTTCATAATTCTTGTCCTCGAAGATCTCCCAATCTACTGATAAAGCAAGTACCATATGCATGAAAAGATAAATGTCTTTATAAAGTTTCTTAATCATGAGTGCCCATTTGAGTGGTCTGTGGGTTTTTAGAAGTTATTCACAGAAACGAGGCTCCTTAGTTCTGACATGGGGACCATTTGTTTTTATTTTCAAAAAGCTCTATGAAGTGATTTGGATGTAAACCTCTGAAAAGAAGTTATTGTCTTAAATATTCATGGGAGGCTAGGCCTACTTGCATCTGGAGTTGGCTCCAGAAGTCTTTACAAAGTTAGCTTGGCATTGGCTGGGTTTCAAAGAATAAATAGAAGGGGATAAACCAAGAAGAAATGTGGATATATATGGGGCACGATTGAATAATTTCCAGAAAGAAATCAGATAGTACAAGGAGTGTCCAGAGAATGATGTATATGGCTGAAATGGAAGTGTTATAGAATGGTAGTTAGTAATAAAGCTTTAATATCACAAGCATATTGAAACAAATTGCATGTAAAACACTGATGTAATAAAAAGATTTAGATTGTTGGAGTATTTTGATGTCAAGTACTTGTCTTCCTGGTGATGTGAAACCATGCATATGTGTTTTAAGTAGAAATGTGACTCCATGGGAAAACATGTAAGAACATGAGCAAAGATGGATGAGAATAGGGTGAGTGTGAAGGGAAAACTTATTAGGATGCTAGTTCTCTGAGGTTATAAAGACCATAAGGTAGTGGCATTGGAGTACAATAAAAAGATGACGACATTTTAAAGGAAGAACCTCCCTGGCAGCATGGCTGAATAGACCTGGGAAGAAAGAGAATTTATGCCTGAATGAATGGAAAACTGATGATTTTGTATCTCAAAGTGGATAATTTATTTAGAGGCAACTGGCTTTGGAGGAAAGAGAAAATGAGGGGTTTTCTAATGTTTGAGATGATAGAGAAACAGGCAAGCATAGATACTTTGGAGGCAGTTGGATATGTAGCATTGGAGTCAAAGGCCAAGTAAGAGGTAGAGAAAGAGATTTTGGAGAACTTCTCATGGAGGAAATACTTGAAGTCTGGAGAATGGATGAGACCTGAAGGGAATAAGATATGTAGATAGAGACAAAAGTTGAAGGGTAACACTCAGACTTTGGGGGAGATCTACATTTAGGAAGTAGGAGGAGAAAAGTAAAGGCACAGTAAGAAAAAGAAAGATTCAACTAAAGAAAAGGCCAAAAAAAGTGTAACCCACAGAGAAAAGAGCATTTCTGGGGCTAAGGAGTGATCAACACTATCAAAATACTACAGGTAAACTAGTAAAACAAGTAATGTCAGCATTAGTTTCCTTGTCTGCATAACAATAATAGTTATTATGAGGTATTTTTGTGAATAAACTGAAATGATGACTATTAAGCATTTAGCCCAAGGCTAGGTAAAAGAAAAGGCTAGCCAAAAGCATCTGTTATTATAAATATAATAATTACTAATCAGCACCCAACTATGCCGGGCACTTTTGTAGTTACACATTTGAATAAGATGCAACCCTCAATTTCAAAGAGGTAAGTGTCAATACAAAGATAAAGATGTGAAGAATAGATAGATACCATTTTGTGGTATTGTTTCTACAAGAAAGATGTAAATACAATGGAAAAGGTGCCAGTGGAGAAAAGTGATAACTTTATGAGTCCTTTGCCAGACATAAGTGATAGGGTTTTCTGTACATATTACATGTTATTCTTAGACTTGTGCAATTTGCTAAGCCAGTTTATAGACTCTTGAATCTGTGTAATTGCTATGTTCTTGACTCAAACCTGAAGGGACAGACTCTTGGGAGGGAATAGCCAGGTTCAGCCTTTTATCTTTCTTCTGTGCACAGAACTCTTGCTTACTTTCTCCACCATGGGTAAATCAGAATGGCTTTGAACAATGAGCATTTTCTGCAGCCTGAGCAGCAGTTGCTCTTTAGACCCAATTTACAAATTAGGAAAAACAAATAAATTATTTATAGCATGACAAAAATAGGATTTGGCTTAATCCAACAGCTTTCTCAGTTACAATGCTTGCTGCTCAAGTAATGGATCAATTCACAGTTGGCTAAATCCAGGTGTTTTTGAACCTTTCTATTTAAAGTATGGTTCTCTGACCAGCAGCATGGAGATCCCTTGGATATTTGTTTCAAATGTAGAATCTCAAGCCCCACTCCAAACTTAACTGGATAAGAATCTGCGTTCTGTCAACAACTTTAGAGGCACTGTATGCAGATTGAGAGGCACTGGGCTAGAATACTGAATTAGGGCTGAGGAACATCATCACATTCTCCACGCTGTCCCAGTATACTGTTGGATGATGTCAGAGCAACGTGAAAGGATTTTGGGTTATGGTTTAGCTCATAGTCCATGCAGAAGAGGCCATAATTAGCACAGGGTACCATGGCACTTCTCATCTGAGACATGTGACATGGATTTGCACAGATGAGTACTTCTGACCTATTAATGTTAGTAGTAGAAGTGATCCTTTTGTCAGTGGAAAAAGCTGCCAGACTCAGAAGCAAGTAAAACCTGAAGAATCTTTTAGAACTGTTAGTCAAGAACTTCATAGGTGGTTTATATAAAATTTATTGTCACTTGCTAACTGCATGGCTTTCGGCATTTCTTAACCTTTCTAAACTTCAATCTTTTCATTCATGGAACGTAGATAATTATTGTACCTGTATGACAGGGTCAATGAAAGGTTAAATGAGTGAAGATACATAAAGTAGTTAGCACAGGATCTGGGATTTAGTGAGGGCCCAGATACTACTTGTCTGTTATTATTTAGTTTATTTAGTTTATTTTTATTTATTTATTTATTTGAGACAGAGTCTCACTCTGTCACCCAGGCTGGAGTGTAATGGCGCAATCTCGGCTCACTGCAACCTCCGCCTCCCAGGTTCAAGGGATTCTCCTGCCTCAGCCTCCTGAGTAGCTGGGACTACAGGCATGTGACACCACGCCCGGCTAACTTTTTGTATTTTTAGTAGAGATGGGGTTTCACCGTGTTAGCCAGGATGGTCTCGATTTCCTGACCTCGTGATCCACCTGCCTCGGCCTCCCAAAGTGCTGGGATTACAGGCGTGAGCCACCGCACCCGGCCTATTACTTAGTTTATTATTATTTCATTATTATTGAGTATCTATTATTTGATCTTTTATGTAATAATAGTGAAATAATAGACTTCTGAATATTTGCAGAGAAATCCAATAATTTTAAGTGATATTGGCAAATACTATGATATTAGAAATCTAGGTGGTACTTAGGAATCTATTTTCTTAGTCTCTATTCTGTGGCCAGGGAAACTCTTTATTCCTTTTGTCCCTGCTATATTTGAGACAAAGATCTTGAATGCATCCACTCTTCCCTAAGGAAATGCCATCAACTCATCATCCCCATACCATGCAAATGCCTTTTACAGCTGCAGAGCAGGTGTGGGCAGATGCATACAGCAGCATATGAACACATGTTTACCCTCCTTGGCCACACTTTGTCTTACTCTATGTTTTCTAGGAACACATTTTGGGGTGGAAATGCCTTTATTCCATTTATATTTAGTCAATTATCTGGTTTAGCTTCCATTCTTACAACCTAATTAAATTCAGCCCATCAACTCAGTTTAAGGCATAGCAGCTGTAGACACTTCGTTTATCTACTTGGAGAGAAAAAAGATAAGTTGGTACAGGGGTTCCCCATCTTGTGAATGCAATTCCCATTCAACTACATGCAATTGAATATGAGCATGGGATGGTATTCTGGACCTAATGTTAAATTCTGCTACTAAGCTATCATAGTTGAAATAATATACTCAACTGCAACTTTACATATTTTCCAGGGAAATGCAAATGATTGCTTTTAAAGGAATGACAACTCATTTGCCTGCAGATTTCATTCAGGATATTTAATTCTGAACTACTAGCCTATCACCCATTAACTGCCATTTCTAATATCTTTTGACTCCCTCAAAGAGGGAAACTCATAATTTGTTTCACTTAGAATTTACATTTTTTTAATATTCTAGAAACCATGAAAGAAATCACTGAGTCCTTAGCTCCTGTTTTTTTTTTTTTTTTTTTTGGTTGTTGTTAAATTGTAGAATATTAGAATGTTTCAGTTTTACTGATTGTATTTGTTAATCATTCTTCTTCCACTACCGTTGTCTTTTCCCATCCTCTTGGAAGGGTGTTAGAGAAGACTCTATATCTCACCTACAGATGATTTCACCTAGAAGCTTAGCCTCCCTTCATGACTACTGTTAAAGATAAAGACTGCCTTTGGTTGACACCATAACCCACAAGAAATGATTGCATTCCTCCTGGATGGGGAGCAGGTGACATTGCAGATGTTACACTTCCCACATGGCTAAGCCACTGATCGAGATTAAAAATTCAAAAGACACCAAAGAGCCACGTTATTGTCCCCTCACAGGGAGCTCTAGAAATACATGACCTAAATTGTTTCTTCTAAGCATATTATCAGTTCCATTTTCAAGGTATCAACATGATATCTTTCCATTGGTTCACAGGAAGACCAAAGAGTGACAAGAGAAAAATGTTTCCATTTGTAGTTTTTCTACAGACTCATGGTATAGGTCAGCTTTTTTATTGTAAATATTTAAGATGTACATTTAAGGTGTCTCCATATATGTATATATATATATATGTATACATAGTGAAATTACTAGTAGAGTCAAGAAAATTAACATATCCATCATCTCAGTTACCTTTGTTGTCATAACGGCACATAAAAATCTACTCTCTTAGCAAATTTCCATGATACAATACAGTAGTAGTAACTATAGTTATCATGCTGTACCTTAAGTCTCTAGATATTCGTTCTACATAATTGTAACTTTGTACCCTTTAACCTATATCTCCCCATCTCCTCTTCCACTGCATCTGGTAACCAACTTTCTACTCTGTGTTACTATGTATTTGACTGTTTATTAGTGTCGACTTAGGAGTGAGATCAAACTCTTTCACTCTCTCTTTCTTTCCCGTTTTTTTTTTTGTTTGTTTTTGTTTTTTTTTAAACAAGATCTCACACTGTTGCCCAGGCTGGAGTACAGTCACATGATTCCAGCTCACTGCAGCCTCAACTTCCCAGGCTCCAGGGATTCTGTCACATCAGTGTCCTTAGTAGCTGAGACTACAGGCATCCACCACCACACCTGGCTAATTGTTTGTTGTAGAGATGAGGTCTCACTATGTTTCCCAGGTTGGTCTCCAACTCCTGAGCTCAAGTGATTCTCCCACCTCAGCCTCCCAAAGTGCTGGAATTATGGTGCGAGCCACTGCTCCTGGCCTCTACAGTATTTTTCTTGCTGTGTCTGGCTTATTTCACTTAGCATAATTTCTTCTGGGTCCAATCATGTTGTTGCAAATGGCAAGATCTCCTTCTTTTTAAGACTAAATAATATGCCATTTAATATGTACATCTACCACAATGTCTTTATTCCTTTAGCATGAGGAGAATATTGAACATTACTTTGAGAACTAGAAAAAAATGAACATGTGGGTTATTTTAGTGGTTAAAAAAAATAGGAAAATAACTATAAAGACATGAACCAACTATCAGGGGATGTTTGGGTTGTTTCCATATCTTAGCTATTGTAAAAAATACAAGAAAGAACAGACATCTCTATGGGGTGCTTATTTCATTTCCTCTGGGTATACCCAGAAGAACAATTGCTAGATAATATGGTAGTTCTAGTTCTAATTGTTTGAGGAGCAGCCATTCTGATGTTATAATGGCTGCACCTATTTATATTCCCACTAACAGTGTACAGGCATTCCCTGAACTTCACTCTATATTTTATTTCCCAAATGAGATGGAAGTACATGGAATAAAGTAGTATTCAAGCCAGTTTAGTCTTCACATTCTAAATCACCCCTCTATGAAACCTCTCCAGATTACCTTTTCTCCCCATGTGGATCTGAATATGCTCCTTTATTCCCAGTTGTCCTGTATGTATCCAGTTTTACAGACATAGCATCTGTAAAGGACACTGTTGTCTTACACCGAAGTGTAGCAGTTAAGAACTCAGGGTTTGCACCTTTCCAGCTCTGTAGACTTGGGCCGGCAACTGAGCCTCTTTCACCCATAGTTTCTTTATCTAGAAAACAGGAGTGATGCATGTCTCATAGGACCGGTGTAAGGATTAAATGAATTGTAACTAGAAAATTGTTGGGAAATACCAAATATAATTATATAATGACTAGCCTCTGTAGGTATAAACAGTTTAATTACTTATAAGTTTACATGTCTGCTTATATTAAAGAGGGAAAGACTTAGACTGTAGTTCATTTTCATGTCTCTGTAACACAGCACTCTGTTTAGTAGTTACATAAATAGTGATTGAATGAATGTACAAGTGAGTGAATAATCATCTCAAGTCTATCCTTTGTCAAGGAAAATTTCCAGATAGAGTTCTTTCTCCTTTAGGGGGTCTTTAAGATGGTCCCAGTGCCAGCCCAAGAAGAGCCAGAGCTAGATCTTCAAGGCAGTCTGGGACCTGGATCCTCCCCTCCAGATGCCTAGAGGTATCTCCTGGGACCATGATGGGTCTCAGTCATACCCCTTCATTCATTGGTTCATGTCTTCATAGTCATTTTCTTTTTTTTTTTTTAAACCACTGAAATAACCCTCATTGTTTGTCATTATTTCTAATACTCAATGTAGTTTTAAATTTTCTCCCCATGCTCAAGAAGAGAAATGGAAATATGGCAAACATCTCCATGAACCCACATTTTCTCACATCTTTAGATCAAAAACTCTTATTCTTCAGATAAACAGGTTGTAAAATTTTCAGTGTTGAAGAGAATGAAATATGACATTTGATTTTATTGATTCATTGCTTATTTTTGGCAGAAGTTATCCTTTATTCAGTTTCATCTCTTTATGTCTTACCACCTCTTTGTGAACTAGCCACTTGCCTTGAGGGTTTACAAATTCAAGATTTCTCAGCACGATTAGCCCTAATAGTATGCTTTCCTTCCAAGGTTTCCAGATTATCCAATACAGTATTATTTCTATCCCAATCATGTTTAAGGATTATTATTTTACATAGAAATAAATAAAGAAAGGGGAACCAATACAAAGTGTTAGAAAGACAGCTACGATTAATATATTGGACTGGCCCATTATCAGACCCTCTAGATTTTACAGGTAGCTTTCTGATCAGAAATCTCGGGTGAGAAATAGTAAGAATGATGGCCTTAGTTAAATCCTCTATCAATATGACAGGTTAAAAAAAAGACATATGAGTTAGTTAAAAGCACCTCTCCCTTGGTAACTCTAAGTGTTTTAGTTTTTCAGATGGCAATTTGTGACTTTCTATAGCTTTTTCTTGAGATGAATTTGTGGACCAGTTGAATAGTGATAGAAATACAGGACTTGCTAAAAATTACAAAGTGTTTATGGCAGTTCTGGCAAATATCCTCTAGATCACCAGATAATGCCAAGTCAGCAATATTATCAATAATGAGTTGCCTACTAAGAACCAGGGGAATGGGGGCATGGACTGAAACTTTACCATAGACATCTTTGCTATTCTGGACTGTTGGTTTGCTTCCTAGTGTACTTCTGCTTATCCTTTCTTCCCTTTGGCTTCATTGAGATCCTCAGCCACTGAGTTCTATCTTGGTGCATTCCAGCCACACCCCAAAAGAATAACAAGAATGAATAAGCCATCCATCTCTGAATGTAGAGCAGGTTGGAAAATGATAACCTTATTCATTATTATTGCTTGATACATTTCCGAATTTGTGTTATCTGTCATTAAATAGCTACCACAGCCTTCTTTCATTCTTCTCGGTATCAGTTTAATAATTTGTTCAATGAATATGAGAAAGAACAGGATCACATCCAGATTTTACCACTTACTGGCTGTGTGACACTGGGTATGGTTATTAACCCCATGGAACCTCATCTTTAAAGTTCAGATGATGGTAACTAACTCATGAGGTTGCTAGGGATTAAATGAAGTACCATGTTTAAGGCTTCTGGCGTGGGTGCTGAGATATAGCAGATAAGAGATGGTAGTCAAAAAGAATGTGTCTTACTTTTTTTATAGTATATAGAGTGACAATTTTCAATACAAATAGTGTCTGTATATATGCAGTCTTAACACGGCATTTTAAAATTTCATTGTAGACTTTAAAAAACCTAACAAATTGGATTTCAGCCTCTTTCTTACTATATTAGAAAATAAAAGAAGATTAAAATAAAAAAAGGTTTCCTTTTAATCAATCTATTAATAAAAAGATAAGTACTGAGATTCCGTTGACATAAAAGTAATTGAAAGTTTATAGGCAAATTCTTGAAATAGAAAGGCACTTTTTTTCCTCATAAGAGGACAGTTTAGAGGATTTAAAAAGCAATCAAAGGTCTCATGTTTTATATGATCAATTCAAATTGACTGAATTTTCATCATCATCCTCCTCCCTCCTTCTTTCTGATAGTCTACATTTGTGGAATAGAGAGATTTTTGTCTTTCAAATTCTAACCCTGAGGATTTTTGCTAGGCACAAGTTAAGACCTGTATTGTTTTCTCCTAACAGTTCCTATGACATTTTTAAAGTATTTACTTTATTCTAGTATGTCCATTCTGTTGATCTTCGAAGGACCTGTGTCTCTAGGTGACATCTGTATTCAACCAATTTTGAAGACTCTTCTGATTGGATTTAGCAGGAGATTTGTAGAGTGTGGGGCTTTGACTAGGCCCAGGTCCTTTGCCAGCCAGGCATAGTTTGTCCTTGTGAGGGCAGATATTGGAAAGGTGGAGGAGAATTATGTTCTATGGCACTTTCAGAAGCTCGAGAATACCTTGGCAGAGCCAAGCCTTCTGCTTAGGGAATGGCTAGCAGTAACAAAGCATGGTACCTGAGATCAGGTACATAGTCAAGAGTTAGGTTGAAAGTCGAATATTAACCTGAAAAAGGAAGATTTGGCAGCACAGTGTATCTTACAGTCCCAGGAAAAGAGCCAGTTGACATGTTCTGTGAGACTTCAGAAAACTGTACGACGTGAAAGTAGAAGCATTTCTAATCATAGTTATATTTTGAGTAATCTCTTCACAGTAGAATGAGTCCCCCAACACTGGATGTACTAAAGCCAAAGGAAGGGCCACCACTTTTCAGAGTTATTGAAGGAATTCACCCATCAGATATGTTTTGATTTTATTCAGTGATTGTTCAAACTAGATCCGTTTCTCTACCTTATTTTCAATGGGCAGTGGTTCTCTAGTTCATCAAAAAGTTTTTCCTCTGGAATTTTTGAGAAGCAATAGAAATCCAGAGCATTTAAAGGTGATGATTAATTAGTATATTAATCTTAGATAAATGTCCCCAGATAATTTTTAAATGATCAAATTTGTATCAAAGACATTATTTATTTTAGCATCATTTTGATTTCTTCTACTTTGTTGCTGGGGTTGGGGTAAAAGAGGGAGAAATGGAGACCATATATAATTCCGAAATGAAAAAAAATAAGCAACAATACACTGAATTTTCTTAGAGTAAACATAATGCTATGCTGGGTTGTTATAGCATTTACAATGCTCATCTTCCCTTACACTTGAATGACTTCCTCCTGGATCTGAAACACCTTCCTCAAGAGCATCATCACAGGACTGTTAAAAATCCTAACATGTTACAATTTTACTACCTTTCTTCTTCCAGTATTCCAGCTTGGAGACTTTGCGTAGCCCTGGTTAATTAATGTTGAACTTTTCAGGGTATCTGTGAATCATGGTGGGGGGTAGGGTTGGGGACTAGAATTTAATTAAAGGCACAAGCTTCATGGGGATTGTGAAATCACAGATTCCAAAAGGGAGACAGCCATTCTAGGGAGACTGCTAATAGGGAGTAAGCAGGGTGACAAAGTGTGCAGGAACTGAAGGAAGATGACATTCAAAGGTCTAAACAGGGGAGAAGAAAAACAAAGAGATCAGCATGTTACAGCTGAGCCTTTTCAAATGCACGGTGATAAAGAACAGATATGTTTTGTGTGTGTGTATGTGCGTGTGTGTGTGCGTGTGTGTGTGTGTGTGCGTGTGTGTGTGTTATGCACAGTGGCTTGAAGGTAGCAGCCCTTTCCCCTGATAGAAATTTGATGATGGCAGCAACAAAACCTAAACAGAGAATAATTAAAGAGTAAGGGGGTAGTTAATGAAATGAAAATAACTTTAAAAGGATGAAAAGAAATTGTTGTTAACACACCATGTGGTTTACCTATGAACCTAGCTGCTGTGGAAACATAATAACACAGAGTCAGCTCCTGCAATGCAAGTAAGCCACTTCCTGGGTAGAAATGGGGCTCTTCGGAAAAAGATTAACTTTTCTGTCCACAGGGGTATTATTTAGCTCACTGGAATAGCAATTTGACAAATGGTGCCTTTATGGCCCAAGTGAATACTGCTGGTTTCTGCTAAAAGGGCAGGTGCTACAAACCCAAGAAGAAAAACATTCTTGCATACTTGCCCCCCTCAGCATAAGGACAACTTTGAGCCTGTTCATTTTTGAGAGTTCCAGCAGTGGAAAGAAAGCTCTAAGGTTTGGTAACCTGTGACTCACAGAGAGCAGAATTTCAAGCCTAGTTGAGAAAACATTCCTTCAAGAGGGTGCTGCTTATCTGCTTTGGCCACGTTGGATTTTGGAATCTTAACTGTTCTTGTCACTTTGGTCCTGGTTCAAGTCAAAAGAGTTTCTTCTACTTGGGACTTGAATTAGGTGAAGACTGACGGACATTTATTTACGTACCAAAATACACAACATATGTGTTGCAGTTAGTTCCTCCTTACAGAGGAACTGGTAAGCACTTTAGCCAGGTAGGGCTAAGGCAATTTTCACAGTTCTGACTGTATGAGGATTCCTGTTTCTTTGTTGTCCTATTTTATGCATCATCCACTGATTCTCATCTAAACCCCAGGCCATTTTGCGTGAAAATAGTCCTTCTATAAATAAAAAATTTAGACCAGAGGCAAAGGAGCCTCCATCTCTCTGCTTACAATTATTGCTCAATGTTCAAAGTTCTCAAGACTTATCTCTTCCTATTGCAATCCCTAATATACCCGTATATAGATACATTTAGGTCTGAGAATGCTTGAGCTTAAAGAGAGTAAGTTCTTGTTTGGTACAAGCTCTGCATAATACGTCTGAGCTGTCTCCCTGCTTTAGAATGCAGTGGTAGAAGTTTTTTTTACAGCACTCTGATTTTAGCCAAGGAACTAACAACCGTTGTGTAATGCACTAGCTAAAATAGTCTCCTTTATCGTGTAAAAGTCATCCATTGACTCATTTATTTATTTACCAAGTGCCTACTATGTTTCAGAAAGGGTTGTAAAGGGAACAGCTAAGACAAGGTCCTTGTCCTCATGCATGTCATACTCTAATGAGAGGAGACAGATCATACTTTAATTGGTAAATTATAGTCAATTGCCAACAGCAGTAAGTGCTAGAGAGGAAAGGACCAGAATAAGGGTAGGAGGTACTTTTGAGAGGTGACAACGTGCTAGCAGCCCTCGCTCGCTCTTGGCGCCTCCTCGGCCTCAGCGTCTGCTCTGGCTGCGCTGGAAGAGCCCTTCAGTCCGCCGCGGCGCTGTGGGGGCCCCTCTCTGGGGCTGGCCAAGGCCTGCCCTCTGCTGGCGGGGAGGTGTGGAGAGACAGGCAGAGGTGGGAGTCGGGGCTGCACTGGGCGCTCGCTGGCAGGCAAGGGTTCGGGCTCCGTGGCCCCGCACTGGGCGCAGCCGGCTGATGCCTGCTGGGCTTGAAAAGGGACGAGCTCCCTCTGGGCTGCCGGAGTGCCCGTGCTAGGTTCCAAAGTCGCCAGTGAGTGCCACTGAGAGGTGAAGCCGGCTGGGCTTTTGGGTGGAGTGGGGACCTGGACAACTTTTCTGTCTAGCTAAAGGTTTGTAAACACCCAATCAGCACTCTGTGTCTAGCTAAAGGTTTGTAAACGCACCAATCAGCACTCTGTGTCTAGCTAAAGGTTTGTAAACGTACCAATCAGTGCTCTGCATCTAGCTAATCAGGTAGGGGACTTGGAGACCTTTTCTGTCTAGCTAAAGGATTGTAAATGCACCAATCAGCACTCTGTGTCTAGCTAAAGGTTTGTAAATGCACCAATCAGCTCTCTGTCAAAACGGACCAATCAGCTCTCTGTAAAATGGACCAATCAGCAGGAGGTCGGTAGGGCCAGATAAGGAAATAAAAGCAGGCCACCTGAGCCAGCAGCGGCATCCTGGTGGGTCTCCTTCCACACTGTGGAAGCTTTGTTCTTTCACTCTTTACAATAAATCTTGCTGCTACTCACTCTTAGGGTCTGTGCCGCCTTTATGAGCTGTAACACTCACCGCGAAGGTCTGCAGCTTCACTCCTGAAGCCAGCCAGACCACGAATCCACCAGAAGGAAGAAACTCTGAACATGTCCGAACATCGGAAGGAACAAACTCCAGATACACCATCTTTAAGAACTGTAACACTCACCGCGAGGGTCCACGGCTTCATTCTTGAAGTCAGCGAGACCAAGAGCCCACCAATTCTGGACACACTTCGAGTAGTGTGGTTGGAGAAGGTCCTTGGGAGAAGACAACATCACACCTGAAATAAGAGAGATTAGAAGGAGCCAGTGATAACAGACCTGGAAGAAGGGAATTCAGGACAGAGGGAGCAGAAGGCTCTAACGTGGAAACAAGAAGGCCAGAGTACCCAGAGCAGAATGAGAAGGGGATTCCTAATCAGGAAGGAATCATATGTGGTTGTTCACTGAGAGCAATCATTGACAGTCTCACCCATGTTCTACAAAATTTCACTTCATGATTAAAACAAATTATATCTCTGTCTTTGCCTAAGACGTGTATTAAATAACAGCAATACAAATAATAAACA
The DNA here is from genome assembly GCF_000001405.40 of Homo sapiens. Taxonomy (NCBI): domain Eukaryota; kingdom Metazoa; phylum Chordata; class Mammalia; order Primates; family Hominidae; genus Homo; species Homo sapiens. The sequence continues at coordinate 79,632,680 of NC_000014.9, forward strand.
TATTAAGTCCATTCTGTGTTCTAGTCACAATATTAAGTATTTTATATATATTATTTAATCTTCACATTACTGCTAAGAAGCAGTGATAAAACCAAGATTTTAAAATATTAACCAATTTCTCAAGACTAAACACAGCTAGTAAGTTGCACGACCTGGATCAATTCTCCATTGGCTTGTTTCCAAAGCCACAGGTTTACTTTAACATATACAGCTTTTATAGCACTAACATTGTGTTCTATGTGTCCGTCATTAAGTTGGGTATTTTACACACATTATCTTAATATATAAAACAATTATATGCAGCAGATGTTATTACCATGATACTGCAAATAAGAAAACTGAGAAATAGAACATTCAAGGGATTTGCTCACAGCCAAATAATAGTAATTGGCAGTGTTAGGATTTAGACTGATTTCTGTGTGATCTGTAGTCCATTCTGTTCAACACTACATGTACCTGCCTTCCCGTGGTATCATTGCCCCAGTTCTGAAACCTAGGTCTAGGTCGCAGGAGAACTAGCTTGATAAGGATGGGCTTTAGAGCCAAAATTTAAGCCATGCTTTGTCTTATCTGCATAATTTTATGTTCCCAGTCAGGTAAAACCTTACCCATTTATCTTTATTTCCTATCAAATGCAGACTTCCCTATGAGCTGTTGCTTGGTAAGTTCCAACCCAATATGATGTCACCACTGGGTGGACCTCTATGGCACCTGTCTCACTCTGCCTTGGTTCCAGTTATTTTTGTATATGCTTCATTGATTATTTCTACTCACTTCCCGGAAATGTTCCCTTTCCCTGAGAAATGGAGTTGTATCTCCCTCATTGATGCATCCTCTGTAACATCTAGCTGTTTAATGTGTCACTCAGAATAAGTGCTCAATAAATATTTATCAAAGTAGCTGATGTTTCAGGAAGTCTAGGAAGCAAACCACCTCTTCTGTTCTGCTCTTGGATTCAAGAACTTAAGAGGATTTTGTTGGAAATCCACAAAGAATATTTTAAACGAGACACATAATAAGACTCTCTTTTGAGATGAGAGAAACCAACAACAGCAAAAGATGGGTGGTAACAGAACGGTGCTGTTTGCTGCCAGCTGATGTTCTTCTTGCCTCCTGGAAAGATAGAGCCAGAAGTCTTCCATCACTTCTTGGGATGAGCCAACTGGCCTGTTTTAACCTATATTACTTGAGTTTTGGCTACCAAAACTCTAAGCATTCACATGGGCCCCCACGAAGCTCTGCCATCTGACACTTTCAGCACCTTCAACTCTATCCAGTCTCACTCCTGCTGTACTAACAAACATTCCATAAACACAAAACCAAAACCACTTAAAAAAAAAAATCTTAGGCTGTCCCTACAACTTTTGCTATCCTCACGAAAGAGTGTTACTCCAGTGAGACAAAAGTCCATCACAAGAAATGATTTTTCTACGGAAACAGCTGTGATTGGAGCAAGATACAAGGTAAAACATGTTGTGGTCAAGTTCAAGGAGAAAACAGGGTGGCTAGCCCTAGCAATCCTACTGGTGGACTTACTTCTGCACACTTCATGCTACTATCTATCCTGTGTTGTCTAAGGCTATATAATGTCGAGAGACGGGCTAGTCCAGGAATCATGACAGCAAATGAGGGAGAGAGAGAGAGAGAGAGGAGACAGAGAGATGGCTCTTGCAACCTTTCCAATAGCTTTTGATAGGTTACGTATGGAAAAAGCCTCATATTGACATCAGGTTTACTTAGGTTCAAGTGAAAATAATGTCTTTAAAATAAATTATCTCTTTTGATGAAGGAAGTCCTTTTTGTTTTTTGATACCATGTTGCTTTTGGGAAAACATGCCTGAAAGTAGGCAAGTTTCTCTAAAGCAAGAACTGTAAAACTCACAGAAACATAAAGTTGACTTGATCATGCCCATTTTATAAATAAAGGAATGGAGACTCAAAGCGGTTAAGGGACATGTCTGCAGTATTTTACCCGTGAGCTATATGCCCTCTGGGTTTCTCCTCATCCATCTGCCCCCAACAACTATGCTCTTTCCTCTTTCCTTTACTGTTTCTGGGCATATCAAAGCCAAACTTAACAGCACCAATTTCACATTAAACAAAAGAAGAGGAACCTACTGACCAACCTTTCCCCATCGCCACCACGTCTAGCCTCGCCAGACTCTGGTAATCATTACACTACTCTGTAATTCTAAGATCGACCTTTTTAGATTCCATATATGAGTGAGATCTTGAGGTATTTGTCCGTCTGTGTTTGGTTTATTTCATTTAACATAATGCTCTCTAGGTTTACCTTTGCTGCAAATGATGTTCTGGTGTTCTGTTGCACAGTAGGGTAACTAGAGTTAACAATAATATATTGTGTCATTCAAAATAGCTAGAAGAGAGAATTTTGAATATTCTCACCACAAAGAAATGACAAGTGTTAGAGGTGATAGATATGCTAATTGCCCAGATTTGATCATTATACAATATACACAGGTATGGAAACATCACATTGTACCCCATAAGTATGCACAATGATTATGTGTCAATTAAAAACAAAATAAAACATAAACAGGAGAGAAACATGAGCTAAAAAGAAAACCAGTAAGCAAATGCACTAGCTGAATCAGATCATTTTATGCCTCTTGATCGGACTTTGATGGTGGGAACATCAGGCTACAACTCTTGCCTGAATCCACAGACATGGAAGGCAAGAGAAATTATTTAAGCCTATGCAATCATCCAGGAATGGAAAGTGGGAATGGGGTTCACCAAACGTACTAGTTTTCTAGGGCTGTTGTAACAAAGTGTCACAAACTGGGTGGCTTCAAACAAGACTTATTTTTTTCCTATTCTAAATGCTAGAAGTCTATAATAAAGCCAGGGCCACATTCCTGCTGAAGACTGTAGAATCCTTCCTTGCCTCTTCATAGCTTCTGGTATGTGCCATCCACCTTTGGTGTTCCTTGGCTTGCAACTGCATCACTCTAATCTCTGCCTGTGTCATCAAATGGCGTTTTCCCTGTGTGTCTGTATTTGTCTGTTCTCATGCTGCTTTGAAGAAATACTGGAGACTGGATAATTCATAAAGGAAAGAGGTTTCATTGACTCGCAATTCCACATGGCTGGGAAGGCCTCAGGAAACTCAAAATCATGGTGGAAGGGGAAGCAAACACATCCTTCTTCACATGGAAGCAGGAGATAGAAGTGCAGACCAAAGGGGGGAAATGGCCCTTATGGAACCATGAGATCTCATGAGAACTCACTATCATGAGAACAGCATGGGGGAAACTGCCACCAAGACCCAGTGACTCCTTACTGGGTCCCTCCCATGACATGTAGGGATTATGGGAACTACTATTCAAGATGAGATTTGGGTAGGGACAACCACATCACTGTCTGTCTTCACATGGTGTTTCTTTCTTCTTATAGGAACACCAATCATTTTGAGTTAGGATGCATTCTAATGACATTATATTCGTTTGATTACATCTATAAAGATCCTATTTCCAACTAAGGCCACATTTGCAAGTACTAGGGATTAGGACTTCAACATATCTTTTTGGAGACACAATTTAACCCATAACTCCATGTTATAACTGTACTTTTTCAGAATATCAGTACGATGGTGCCCCTAATCAACAAATATATTGTCACCAATATGCTGCAGTCTGGGAGAACATTCAGGGATTTAATTTTTCTGACACACAGACTGTGAGTTCTTTTGTTTTTTGTTTTTGTTTTTCTTTTTTTGTTTTCAGCACATCACACTCTGGCTGTCATTATCAGTTCCCCATAAACTGTGATAATTTTTGTGTCACATAGAGTGTTTAGGTTGGCCTCTGATGAAATGAAGCCCAAGTACTTGCTCTTCCAGGCACCTAACCCAGGGCAAAAACACAGAGACCTAAATGCCTTCTCTCAGATTATTTTTTTATTATATTTCCAGTGAGCAGAAACATTACAGATGTGAGACTTGTTCTAGAAATCAGAGTATTTCCCCAGGGAAGCATTATCACTGTTCAGATATTACTAAGAAGTGTAAAATGCTGGAGGGCAATTGCATCCACACCGTCCTCTGCCCATCACTGCAAAGGGAGAAAGGAGAAGGCCATGGGGGGATGCAGCAAGACCCCAAGGTCTAGGCTCCTCTGCCAAAGGAGCATGGATGACCAATTTGGAAAGAACACTTGAGAACCTCTGCTCTGTCCTCTTCACTTCACTAGTGAGAAAGCTAAAGCTCAGAAAGGATAAATGACTTGACTAAGCTACTTATTGGAAGGTGGGTGATTAGGATGTAGCATAGGGGTAAGACTGTGTAACCAGCTGACACTGCTTTAAATGATAAAGCATTGAGTTGTTCTGTTTTAATGGTACACAAGTCAAAATTGTTCAAGGATTGAGAGTGGAGCCAGAAAGCCTGGGTGTAAATCCTGGCTCCTTCACTTACAAGCTGCGTGATTTGGGGCAAATCAGGTAACCCCTTCCTACTTCTGTTTCATTGTCTGTAAAATGGATATTATAATAATGTTTACTTCATAGATTGATGTAAAGGTCAAATTCATAATATGCTAAAAGTTCTTGGAACATTGCCTTACACAGATCAAGTGTTAAAGAAGAATTGATATTATTATTATTGTTATTGTTATTATTCTTATTATCCTTGAGTTCATAATCAGGGTGTCCTGAATATACTACACCCAGGAATGGAAGCCCCACCACATTGTAAAGACACATTCACTTCCCTTAAACCTCGGCATATTTGAGGTGGTTGTAGCAATAGTGGAGGGAGAGCAGCAAGGATGGACACAAAGCTTACAGTCACCCAGCAGTGTAGGAAAGGGGGGAATCCTGCACACACTCCCAGACATGGTGGAGGTCCTCAATCACTGCAGAGAAGACTGTTGTGGGAATGACAGCAAACATGTAGCTCATCAAGAAAATCAGCTGACTTATTAGTTCTTCTGGATCTGGTTGGAGTCCCTGACCCCAGAGCTAAATTATAAAGGTTATTTTGTTGTAATTTTGATGCTCTAAGAAACTGATGTAAGATATAGAAAAGTTCTTTTTTTTTTTTTTTTTTGAGATGGAGTCTTGCTCTAGCACACAGGCTGGAATGCAGTGGTGCCATCTCAGCTCACTGCAACCTCCACCTCCTGGGTTCAAGCGATTCTCCTGCCTCAGCCTCTTGAGTATCTGGGATTACAGGTGTGCGCCACCATGCCTGGCTAATATTTTTATTTTTAGTAGAGATGGGTTTTCAACATGTTAGCCAGGCTGGTCTTGAACTCCTGACCTCAAGTGATCCACCTGCCTCGGCCTCCCAAAGTGCTGAGATTACAGGCATGAGCCACCGTGCCTGGCCTTATAAAGTTCCTCCTATATTATACGTGCCCATACCTCTATACTAGTTTTTCTCTCTTAAAGCTACATTGCCATCTCTTGTATTATCCGTGCATTTGTCACCTGCCACTTGTCCCCCATGCCCCTCCTTTCTAGCCTGTGGTTTATAACATGCTGTAAGTCTGGAAACCAAATAATCATGTTTATTAGACTTGTATGTAAATCGAACCTAATGCTCCTTTCCTTTGTTGTTGTTTTCCTTGATAATGTGGTCTTTTAAAAGAGTAAAATTTGAACTAGGATTTATGAAATCTAGGTTTAAGTTTGAGTTCTTTTTCTACTTATGTGATCTTATTCGAGTCTCCTGACTTCTTTGGATAAAGCCCAAAACACCATTTTACAGGTGAGAAAACTGACAGAGTGACGTATGAGTAGAACAGAGGAGAAAAGGAATTGAAAATTCAGGTCTGTCAAACTGTAATACCCAGGTTCTTTCTGTTTGATAACACCGTTTTCAAATGTTGAGAATGACTAAAGAAAGATATAGAAATTTGTAATGATTAGGTATTTATACATTCTCAATAATGAATTTTGGTATAAAAACATATTTTTTTATCTAACTATATTTTTCATGCAGTCATTTCAGTCAGTATCACCATCTAGGTTTCCTCTAGGGACCACATATCAATGACTCTTAAAATCACTGTTGTGCAAGGTGAGTGGGAAAGGAACAGGATGGTAGAGTTTGGATTGGGGAACAGACTTTGAGCACTGAACAGCAGGCAGCATTGCTGTTGGCAGAGTAACGGAGAAGGCGCTGAGGCTTACCCATGCCATCATGGCAAAAAATAGCACGGAAACAGCTGGTGAGCTGTCAGAATGATCTTAAGGAGGAAATGTGAAATGTTTCTGCTTGGTGCATTAATCGAGAGTTATTTGGACAGAACTGAATTGCCAGGGGAGGAACAAGCAAGGTGGTAACTCACCCTTCCCTGCCCTTTCATCTCTCTGTAATACGGTTCTATGTCATGGGCCTCCTTCACATACACACTCCCCCAGTTGTCCATTACTCCCACCCTCTCCGTCTTACCCACACCTAGAGATATGTGTGCACACATCCAAAGAGATAACAGAAAAAAAATCCATTTGAAATGCTTACAGATATTTCAAGACAAAATTTAAAGAGATATTGGACAGATTAGCAATTATGACTTTTTTAAACTTTTATTTTAGGTTCATGTGAAGTTTTGATATATAGGTAAACTCATGTCACCGGGCTTTGCTCTACAGATATTTTATCACCTGTGTATGTAAGCCTTGTACCCAATAGTTATTTTTTTCTGCTCCTCTCCTTCCTCCTACCCTCTACCCTCAAGTAGACCTCAGTGTCTGTTGTTCCTTTCTTTGTGTTGATGAGTTCTCTAGAAATCTTTGTGATTAGTTGTAGTTGAGTACTAATGTGGCTTTGTTTTTTTTTTCATGGAGTTGTTTAAATATGTGTCCTGATTAATTTTTGTTAACTGTTATACTAAGACTTTTCACCATCAATGAATTCAGTGAAGGGTTGAAGGGAAGAAGTGCAGGAAAGGAGAACACACAAATGAGAATGTCAGTCTTGACTGCTGGGTGAACTTTTTTTCGCTGTAGAAGATGAAACAAATTGAGGGCCAACCTCTTGAATCAAATTGCAAAGTAACTTTCTGCTGGGAACAGTTTGAGTAACCCGAAGTAGCTAAGGTCATAAATATTTTTACAGGTGGCTAAGGAAAGAGCATTTGCAGCCATGGAATCAGGTGTTGTTATTTTGGGTGTGACCTTGAATAGAGGCTGCTAACTTTTGGCTTCTGTTTCCGATAATAAATCTCCCTCCTCCCCACCCCCACCATCAGCCCCAAGGAAAGATGAATGACTCAGGTGCTTCAGAGACTTCCCAAGAAGTGGTTTCAGTATATGCAGCAAGTGGACATTTAGAATGGCACAGTTATCCATATAGGAATATTGTTGAGGCAGTTCATCTTGTTGTCCCTATAGTGTAATTCTTTGGAGTAGAAAGCAAAGAGCAATAATTTGTCCAATAAATGAAATAAGGAAATGAAGAGAAAATTTACATAAGCCAGGGAGGCCAACTTAATTTTCTAAAGTAGTGAATTGACTTTTTTTCCTTGGATTTTGAAATAAATGGCAATAAATCCAGTTGTGGGGTAGAGTTCTTTGCTTTCAGTGATAGCTTAGGAACATTCTGCAGATTGTTAGGATTGCTTGTATGTGGTTTTAAATGAATGAAGCTGTTTCTATACAGCTATTTTCAGAAATTCTATGATCTAAATGTTTTAGATTCAGGCAAATAAATACATATCTATATTGGGAGATAAGGTTTTTGCTCAAACAAGCAATGAGTAGTTTTCCCATTCCTAATGTCCACACTATCTTGACCACTACCAAGAAACACTTTTTGCACCATGATGTGCAAACCATGTATTTCTTATCATCTTGATGCTGTTGCTCATTTTGCTTAAGTTTTAAAGATTTGGCCTTTCTCTTTTTATGTTGATTACCAAGAGTGTCTTTGCAAAGTCCTTTATGCAGTACTCAAAGTATGTCCATGCCATTTAGCTCCTATAAAGAAAACAAGTTTTTAGCCTTCCTAGGAAATTAAGTTTCCTACAAAATATATGCTCTTCAAAAGCTCTCTCGGCTTCATTTCAAGCATGGAAAGCTTGCTGGTGACTTTTGTTCTACTTGATACGGCATATCCATTCTTGAGTGAGGCTGAGTACAAACAGCATTATCCTGATGTAAAGGAAACAAAAATAATTCTAACCACTAATTAACTAACAGCAAAGAGACTGATAGTCTTAAATGGAAAGAATACTTCCATGGTCTAGTTTCTAGAGAACACTACCAGGGGCTTGAAGGTAAGTAGCCTCTACTGGAGGCTAAGGGAAGCTAAACACTTAAGTTTTCTTCTATATTATCAGTTGCTGTTTAGAATAAATTATAATCTCCACGTTTTTTTTTGAGACAGAGTCTCGCTCTGTCTCCCAGGCTGGAGTGCAGTGGTACAATCTCGGCTCACTGTAACCTCCGCCTCCTGGGTTCAAGCGATTCTCCTGCCTCAGCCTCCTGAGTAACTGGGATTACAGGCGCACAGCACCTCGCCTGGCTAATTCTTCTGTATTTTTAGTAGAGATTGAGTTTCACCATGTTGGTCAGGCTAATCTGGAAATCCTGACCTCGTGATTTGCCCACCTCAGCCTCCCAAAGTGCTGGGATTACAGGCATGAGCCACCGCGCTCGGCCTCTTCTTTACTATAGAGTAAAAGTTGCATGGTCGTTTTCTTGCATTTGGGTCACAGCTTCAGAAGGTTATTACCAATCAGAAAAAGGTTTTGAGTCTTTTATTTCCTAAAACTGAGTGTATTCGTTATTGTCTAATGACACAGCATAACAAACCACTGAAATTCAGTGGCTTATCATACCAAATATTTACGCCCATGTTTACAGGCCTGCAGGTTGACTGAAATTTGGCTTGTCTCCGCTGGGCTCAGCATGTTGGCTCTCCTTTGGACTGCAGGTCAGCTAGGATTGGCTCCAGGCTGGGATTAGGTTCAGATATGCTCCATGCATGTTTTTTTCTGGGGCTCAAACTGAAGGGACAGTGTCTATCCAGGGCTTAGTCTTTCATGGTACATTTCTGCAGCACACAAAGGCTCCCTCCAAATGCAGCAATTCCTTCCTCAGCGGTAGTAGTCCAGACAGAAACAGTTTTGGTGGTTGCTTGAGTTCTCCCAGTTGTTCTCCTGTCATTTTGCAGGTCAATCTGCTTCATTATAGGAACATTCTACTGGAGAAAAAAGTCTATCATTATTCAAAATATCCCTCCTTATGCATACTTCCCACTGCTTAGATGTCTATACTCAGAAAAGTTACTATGTGGTTTTTCTTTATGGGACAATACTGCGTGATCGTGGCGTTCACATTTCTCCCTCCAAGTCCTTGCTTTTCTAGTTTCTGTAATCATTCCTCAGGTGACATAAAAGTATTTTCCGAAGTTTTGCCATTTTCATCACACAATATTGTGGACAAATTAAAGCCTATTGATGACTTTATTAAAGCAGGGTATTTACCACAAATTAGGATTCTCTGCATTTTGCCTGACTCCTGCAGAGCACAGAGACCATTCTTGTCTCCAATAGCAACACTCTTCTATTAATCAATCAAGAGCTGACATGAATGTTTTTATAGAGATTCTGTTCCACTTAGCGATCCTATTGAACCCCTGGCCATGTGGTATCCCCACAGCTCTTCTTCTGAAATCCCATTTTGACCAAGCCATCCAAATTATACACTTAGACTGTAATTGTTTCTTTTCCATAAATGAATTTACATTCATCTTAATTCACATTCGTTGAGATTTTTTCTCTGTTTCCAAGTCTCTTCACAGCATTTGTATTCTGTCATTCAATACATTTCCTCCAATACATCATATCACATTCATATGCAATATGAATGAACTTGTAACAATATCTCTCTTTTTTTTTAATTCAAGCCACTGATACAAATATTGACCAGGTAGGTTGTAAAGGACATGGTTCTGTGGCCAGCCCTGCAAGATCTCCTTATCTGTTTGTTTAGTACACCATGTATATAATGTGTAAGCCTGCCTCAGTTTTCTTCATGGTGGCCTCAGAGATATCACTGAAGACCTATCTGATGCTTTGCTGTGATTTTTATTCCCTGTTCACGCCATTCTCCTGATTTCCTGTATAGTAACTATATTCTCAAGAAGATGAGATTAGTTTGATGTGACTATTCTTTGTGAAGCTGTACTAGCTAATTGCATTTCCTCTTAGTTTCTAAAACCCAGAGGTCCCAAAGTCAAATGCTTTGCAGCCAGGCAAGTAACAAATGTCTGGGTCAGAAGCTGGGTATTATTCGTCATTTCATGAACAGAAATATATATCCTCTGAGTAGAAGACTCTGCCAGCAGAACAAAATTCTTCTGTTAGCTAATTTCACTAGCCATCATATGATTTAGCTTCTGAAGCAGCTTGCTGCTCTGTTATTCGTGTGAACTCATATCCTTTCTCATTTGGAAAGTCAAGACCACATGGGTACACCTCTTATCACAAGCTTCGTAGAGACCACAAAGATGCCACTTTAGTCCCAACTCACTAAATCTCCTCTACAATGTCTCTAAAAATTATCCAATAGTGTTTTTTAAAATATATATCAAATTATGCTATCTCACCACATCACAGTATAGCTGCTACTATTCCTCCTGTCTTCCTGTCTCAGAGGAAAAATTTGCTTATCACCTTCCACAGTTGAGTCTACCTAGGTCCTTGGCCTCCTGCCCTTTTATCTTTTCTGAGATCTCATGCCATCTGTTACCTCATCTCTATTTTATCTGTTATAATTCCTCTCCTCTGCTTCTTCCCCAGCTGCTCAGAACATACTGAAATATATGTAAGATTTTGGGTTTTTTTTCTGGTCATTTTGCTCAATGACTTCCTAATACCAACTGAAGAGAGTTTATATTTCTTAATACAACATTGAAAGCCTAACATGATTTGGCCTCAACCTACCTTTTTTTATCCAGTAAAATTCATTTCTCTCTAATGTATACTATATTCCATCCAAACTAACCCACTGATTAGACTTCATTTTTCTTTTAATTACTGCTTTTTGCTGTGCTGGTCCCACTGCTTAGAATGTTATTTCCTCAACCTTATTTCTGTTTCCTACATTTGTTGAAATCCTAGATGTCCTTCAGAACCCAGCCTCTGAGTCACCTCTTGCAGGAAGCCTTCCTTGCTTTCCCTAGCAGAACAACAATTTCTACTGAAACCCTGTTGAATTTTGTCTCCATTATTGCCTTTACCACCTTCTATGTTTTGACAGCTATTTTGACTATGTCTTATCTACCCAATTGTAAACTTAATGAATACCCACACTGTATCCTATTTATCTTTATATCTTTAGATTGCAACACAATTCTTTGCACATAGTGTGTGCCAAAAAATCTCTATTGATTGATGGTGCAATTCTGATATTTATTAATAATGATCAATCTAAGTATTTATCCAAATCAACCCAATGCCCTATATTTTGGGACAATTACCCTTGAGATTTTTATAAACCAAATTCACCCCATGTAAAACAGATGAAATTAACCTTAATTTTTATCTGATGTGTAATGGCTAATTGGCTAAATTTCTTTCATAAATATTACATATGTACTATTTTTTATCTCTATAAGTATTCTAGTTTGTCTAGATGAAGAAACAGAGGCTAAAAATAGTTAAACAAAAAATTACCTGTTTCAGAGCTTGAAAGCCAGATCTGTCCATGGAAATCTCCTGAGAGAAGAAGGTTTGGGGATGCATATAATGAGAGCAGAGAACTGGATAAAGAGATGTCTGGATCTATTTTTGGCTGTTGTTTAGATTTACTTTGTGACTGAAGGAAGTTTATCTGAGGCTTTCCCATTTGTAAAACTGAGATTCATATACAACTGTGCAAAATATGTGTCCCTTTACTTACCTCCCTCTAAGAGATTAATGAGATGATACTCAAGAAGCACTTTGATTTTCTCTGATGAAAGAAATGGATAAGTATGAAATGAAGCATTTACTACTTCTATCGAAGGTTTTTAAGATGGCAGCCTTTAAAAATTATCAAAGTGAAAGCTAAAGGAAGAAACAGCCGTGTACATTTTAAATCAAGTCAATAATTATTGTAGTGCACCTAATGATTCTCTGATATGTGTTTTGTGCATTAAAATTTACCAAGCACTTTTACATATATTATCTCATTTGATCCACAAAACTATCCTGTGAAGTATGTAGGCTAGGTGGTTTCATTACCATTTTTGAAATAAGAAAACTAATACTCAGGCCAAATGACTTGGTCACTGCTGCTCGACTCATGTGAAACAGTCCAGGGTTAAACTCAAGTTTCCTGGATTCCAAATCCCAATTCAGGTATCTTGCATTTCTGTCCACTTGTTAACATCATAGCATGCACATTGGACCATCTCCTCTGTGTTCACTTACATTCTATCCATGTTCAGGATTGAGTTTAAATCCCATTTCTGCTCTTAAGACTTCCCTTATCACTTTAACTGAAAGGCAGACTTTCTTATTCCATATTTTTTTTGTCCTTAAATATATTGTTTCCTGGAGGTCTTTCTAGTGAGTTGGATTTCCTGTATTCCATTCTTCCTTAAAATAAGCCTTTGGAATTCAGCCCAGCTTCCACACTTCTTGATAGCTGCCACCATCCATTTCATTCCTGGGACTGAGCCTCAGCACAAGGATTATTTAAAAGTTAAAAATAGTTGTATTCATAATCCCAGCATTTTGGGAGGCCGAGGTAGGTAGATCACCTGAGGTCAGGAGTTCGAGACCAGCCTGGCCAACATGGTGAAACCCCATCTCTACTAAAAATACAAAAATCAGCCGGGTGTGGTGGCAGACACCTGTAATCCCAGCTACTCGGGAGGCTAAGGCAGGAGAATCACTAGAATTCAGGAGGCAGGGGTTGCAGTGAGTTGAGATGCGCCACTGCACTCCAGCTTGGGTGACAGAATGAGACTCTGTCTCAAAAAAAAAAAAAAAAGTTTTTTTCGTGTCGGTATTAATGCCTGGTATAATACCTCGCACACAGAAGGTGTTCCATATATGCCTGCTAAAGAAGTGGCTAGACTAATCAACAATTATGGATGGGAGGGAAGGTTCAGAAAGTTTGGTGACAATACTGGGAAAAAATGTTGGCACCTGATAATGGTGGACCTGGGATACCAGGCTGAAGAGTTTGAAACTTGCCCTTTTGGCAACAACAGATTTATTGGCACCAAGGAATAGTTTTGCTGGATTCCACTTTTGAACTCATCAAATTCCTTGCTTTTCTTTTCCTTGTCTTTTCAATCCTACTGGGACCTCCTCCCACCAGTGCCACTTTACTGGAGGCTTGTGATATGTATGACAGGCAGTAAAACCCAAGTGAATCAAGGAAGCCTGTTAAGAGCACTGATTTCTATGATGTCTCAGTTTGTTAACTAAATTGCAGGTTGTACTGCTTGGCCAGAGACAGCTGACAGGCAACTCTGCCTGAACAAGTAGCATCTCCAAAATGACATGTGCACTTTAGTTTCATTAGAGGCAGTGGTATCATGATTGCCTGGGCCATTGCAATAAATATGGTGATCATATGTATCCCTTGGGATTTGGGGTTGACAGCATAGTTGGGCTGCACTAAAGAGTCTTACTCTGACATAAATGACGGCAAAGTAGATCTCTGGGCCCCTCAGCAAGGAGGCAGAAGTTCATGTTGCAAAGAAAGTTCCACGGGCCTACTGAAATATTACCAATCAAAATTACAATTTCATTTATTGACAAGTCATATTTAACATTCTTCTAATGTTTTTTCTCACATGCCAATGTCCAAAAAGCTAAACCATCAGCTGCATGATGCTAAGGCTTTCAGCAGTCAGCAGAAGCAGTGGTAGTTGCGAGCTGGTTATTCAGAGGCAGCTACTGTGCTCCACATAACCATAAAGTGAACATTTTGACATTCCCGAAAATGTACCAACCTCCAAGTCACAAATCCTCTGTAGATGCCTGTGGATTGGCTTTTCAGATCCTCTTAAAAGCCAATCTGTGGTGGCAGGATTGTCTGAAGAGGGTAGACTTGGGCTTCTGGTACGTTACAGAAGGCATGGTTTCTCCATCTACACTATGCTATAAGACAACTGCTCTTCTCTGAAAAGAAACTACTGGAATCACACTTCTTGTAACTTCTCTCTATTCCCTTATTTAGTTGGTGGGATTGGATGAAGGATCTTCACATGTCTAGTGAGACTCCTTTCTTCTCTTCTTCCTATCCAAAGGGCTTTTCTTCCTGGGCTGAGTGTATCCAGGCCTATTTCATCTTTGTAGGAGGCAAAGGGAAAGAGAAGAGAACTAGAAATTGGTGTAGGCAGACTGATCTGTGGCCAGGTCTAAGTGTTGCCCCAATCCGTTCTCCCATCCAACTCCACAAGCAGTAAAGTTTGCTGGTCCTTTCATCTATGTCTATTTCTCAATTGGCTTGGATTTCACAATGAAGAGGGCTATGATTTATTGGCCCACTTAAACCTCAACATGGTAGAGTGGCAATTTTGTTTTTCTGGCTCTTATATTGCAATGAATATTTTTTATTTGACAGTCTGTTATAAACGAAAATAATTTTTTTCACTATCAGTTTCTACTCAAAATTAAATGGTAGCTCTAGAATAGTGGCCTGCATTAAATTTTTCTTTATGGTTATAGCCATGCAGATAGATGCATGAACTCAGAGGACTAAAAATGTGTTTCCATGTAATTTAAATGTACCTTTCTATACGGAACGGTCTGCTGTCATGCAACTTTCAAATAATGCATTTTATTATCATTATCTTTTCCGGCATTGATTAATCCTACTGTTTATTGGCTAAGTGTACATTTCCTATTGGTATGTTTCTGAGTCAAGGTGAAAGCAGTTAATACTTAAGAGTTGAGAAGCAAGTTTATTTAAATCTAGTCTTTCTTATGAGTCTGCCTAACAGTGATAGATTTTGTTGTTGAGCCACAGTTTATGAAAAGTGCATTAAAACCTCGAGCCGACCCATCTCTCTGAAGCAGCAGTTGGGCCATTACATTTTGGCAGGCACTTCAGATGTGTGTATGATTTTATGATCAGGTCTGCTTAATTCATCCCAACTCTTCAAAGAGGAAGGGAACTAAAATTCCTTGAGCATCTTCTAGTATGTGCTAGATGCCTGCATATGTTGTTTTATCCTCATGACAATCTCTCATGGTAGATAGTATTTTTTCAGCATTGAAGGTGAGAAAATTGAGGTTCAGAGAGTTTAAATAATATTGTCAAAAACATATAGGAAGTGATGAAGTTAAGCTTTAAGGCCAGGCCTGTCTACTCAAAAGCCTGTGATTGTTATATTAAGGGTTAAAAAAACAAAAAAGTTTGCAAGAGACAGACAAGTTATTTGAACGGAATGAAGTATAAGAAAACCTGTGCTTTCCTTAATTTTTCTTGAATCCTGTGGCCTTCTCAGTCTATCCTTTATTGAGGTTCAGAGAGGTTGCTACTTATATGGTAGCAAAAGTATTTCCCTTCCCTACTTACCCTACTATACAAAACAAACAAACAAACAAACAAACAAAAAACAGAAAACTTGATGATAAATGTCAATCAACACTCAGCCTCTGCATCTGATGAGCAACAGAAATTAGCGGGGACTGTGGTGAATTGGAAAACCTGTGCCTTTCTCTCCCAATCAGCTCTGGCTGATTGTCCTACAGAAAATGTTGGCTCTGTGTTACTAAATCTTACCATTTTTTAAAAGAACAGTCTAGCTGTTCACGAGAGATCTGATCTTAAAATGTTGAAAACTAATTCACATAGAAAAATACTATGTAGTACCCACCCCTCAAAAATAAAACTTATGTGAGCACTCGATCCAGCATAAAGTCTCTGAATTTGTAAGTTCTGTATTACACAAGGCAGCTAATAAGTAACTACTGGGAAAAATAATTAACAAACAAAAATCAAATCAAAATAATTTTCATTACTCTTCCAATAATTGTGCCTTCCAGATTTAGTACTGTTTGTGTATTGTGCCTCTCTGTGGTAGAGGCATGACTTCTGGTCCTCTATCTGCCCTTCACAGAGTGGAGATGAGGCCAGTATGCAATGACTACTCAAGTTTTAGATGTTCTGAGCACTTGTTTCTGTGCTTTCTCTGGATAGATCTGGTAGTTTGGTGAGCAGAGTTGGCGTGGCTCATCAGCAGTCACCCTTTGGCAATGGAACCAGAAAAGCATCATGCTGTCTGTTAAAGAATGTGTCTATGCTTGTAGCTAGTTTCCTAAGATGTTTGCCTCTAGGTATTTGCCTGCAGAAAGTTTTTTGAAGTCAATACAAAGTAGAGTGGCAAGCGATGCATCCATGTTTGAGGATTTGGGAAGCATTTTTCTGTATTCTTTCAAGTAAGGCCTGGTCGATAAGTTTAGCCACACTCAATCTAATTCCTTGTCTGTATCCTTATTATCTCCCCTCCTCTTCTTTAAGTTTTCACTTCCTTCTGACCTTAATCACTCCCTCAATGAAC
The DNA here is from genome assembly GCF_000001405.40 of Homo sapiens. Taxonomy (NCBI): domain Eukaryota; kingdom Metazoa; phylum Chordata; class Mammalia; order Primates; family Hominidae; genus Homo; species Homo sapiens. The sequence continues at coordinate 79,649,160 of NC_000014.9, forward strand.
CCATAAGTATCACTGAACATGGGTGTCACCAGTTAGCAACAGTAAGATAACCGCTAACTTCTGAAACATGGAAGCTCTAGCATTGCTTGGATGATGTCTTCCCTGACTGCCTGTGAGCCTCTGGCCAGGATCCGGGGTAAGTGCCTCACAAATCACTGTTCATCTAAACAGCTAAAGCTCTTCTCCTGATGGAAGAGGGATACCTACAGCAGAAAGCAAGGGAGTCCACCAGGCACGTTTGGAAAATAAAAGATTTTATTTATATTTATTTTGACTCTATAGTTTCTAAATTCCATAAATGAAATTTTGCCATTATCAAGGAAATATTTGCTAGGGAGTATAAGGAAGGCCCTTTGGGTAAGAGAGAAGATATTCTCTAAGCTGTAGCATGTTTATGAACCTTAAAAATTACTTGTCTGTGTTTGTATATGTTCAGCTCTGAGAGTCTTCCTTAACATTCAAATGTCTCTGTCTTGGCAAAAATTAGTGAGGTTTTAGAAAGTAGAAAAGCTGGTTGATAGTGTAAGGAATTTTTAGGCCAATTTTCTATTTTTTCCTTCTATAGACTGAATTTTATTTTTATACCAATAGTTTCAATCTTCTAAACTTCTCCCATTCCTCTTTACTTTCTCAACTGCATCCACTTAAATACATCTTATTGTTTCAGTCAGCCTTGGCTGCTATAACAGAATGGCATAGATTGGGTGACTTAAAAACAACAAATATTTATTGCTCCCCATTCTGGAGACTAGGAAGTCCAAGGTCAAGGTGCCAGTCAATTTGGTTTCTGCTGAGGGTCCATTTCCCGACTGACAGATGGCCACCTTCTTGCTGTATCTTTACATGGAGGAGAGAGAAATCATGCCTAATGTCTTTTCTATCTCCGGGCAGGTAGTGCAGGAATTGAACTTGGTTGGAGGACATCCAGCTGGTGTCTGCTGCAGATTGCTTGCTTGCTTGCTTGCTTGCTTGATGTGTGGGGAAAAACCTCCACACATCTAGCGTCAGAAGCGTGTTGTGAGAGTATAGGAGAAACTGAGTTTGTTTTTTCTACACAGAAGAATTTCCTATCCTGAAGGCCAGGTAATGAATCCTCTTTCTCTGGTTACTTGGGCAATTTATCAATGACTGTCTGTGGATATTTATTTGGAAATATTATATGGGAACGTTCCTTCATTTTTTATATCTCAATTTAGGAAACCATGTGCTTCTTTCTCATTTCTCTTTTGTCCCCATCAGCGATCTATATTTTTTTAAATTGTTATTAGAAACATCTCTTATTTAATCTCCATCATCACCCAACAAGCTCAGCAATGTGACTTTGTCTTACGGATGAGGAAACTGGGTGCAGAGTATTTGTGGCTTTCCCCAAAACCTGCAGTAAGTGAACAACTAGAATTATATCCAAGCCTTCTGATTCAAATGCAGTTGCCCTATGCACCACACCAAAGTATCGTTTACACTCTTGAGGGCTAAAGAATGCCAGATGTATTTATCTAACTTCTGATGTGCCTCCCAAAATGCCCTATACAGAGGATAGGATCAATACACACTTGATTTCAAAATTTCTATGACTTGATTCTACTTACACATCTTATTGATTTGGAGAAATAAAGGTACTTCTTGGGGGAAAACATGACTACATGTTAAAATTCTGAATTTGGCAAGTCTAGTGCAAACTGAAATGGATGGTGGTTGAAGTACAGCCAACTCATGGTGGTCCAAAAGACTGTGGTGAGGGGATGGCCTCCCAAGAGGCAGGGATTGAGCCCTACACTGACCAGAAATCACTGCATTACAGAATAATGGAGAAGGCAAGACAATGAAACTGAGTTTCTCTGAAAGCTTGGCATCTTGGATATTTCAAAGATTAAAGTTGTATTTAATGGGAATCACGTGGTTCAATTAACTGGTAATAGGATGGATCAGTGTCCACCTCTAGGACTTCAATTTGAGTCTAATCCAAACACAGAAGCAGAGTAGGTTGAAGCCCTTGGTAATGAACACTAAGCCTTTCACCTCCCGGTCCACAGAGAAAGTTCCTCTCAGGCCACAGAGGCCTGCTGGCAATTTTCCTGAAGACAGTTTGGTAGACTATGTGAAACAAGTGAACAGCTATGGTCACCTGAGAGGTAGTGGTACTCTACATTTTCAAAAGTTCTCTCCCAAAGCAAAACCATAGCAAAAATTGAAAAGCAGTAAATGAACCATGGATGGAGATATTGCACTATGCACTTGTCTTGCTAGCAGAAGAATGCAAAGGTGCTTTCACCATTGTGTCAGATGCTTGGCTGAACATTTATTAAACTTTTGATATGGAGGAAGACATAGAACATAAAGATGCATTTTCTTCCCTCACAATGCTCATGGTGTGACAGGAAAAAAAAAGAATTGTTCCATTAAAAAAACATTGAAATGAATCAACACAAACTGATGTTATTATTGAATAGATAATGGAGAGATTGTGGGATAATTAGAGAATAAATCTGGTTATCAAAGATGTCTCTGGAAGGCACGTGTGTAAAGTTGTTTTCAGCTCTGTACACCTGTGCACACTGGCCAGGAAAGCTGGACCTTCTGCAGAGAAAACTGTCTTCTCCAGATAGGAAAGTGTGCCTCATTGAGCTTTGGGCTAGGCCAGAGCTAGAAGATCTTTCCTGTGTTTGGGTCATTCCTAGATCAGTGATCCCTAATGACCAGTTCCATTCCCTAAAGCTAATGTTGACTCTAGATCTTTCTGACATTTGATTCATGCTGGAATCCATAGTTTGTTTTGAGTCAGGTCTATAATAGATTCATATTCCTGAGAGGCTTCCTATTGAAAGTGAAGACTCAGGATTCCACTGACTGTTCTGCCACTGTTTAAGGACGATATTACAGTTGGATTATAGATGACCTCCAGTGGACACAGAGGTGCTTAGATTCTACTGAGCCACCATTACTTTGCCTAAAAGAAAATAAGAGGGTCAAAGGGACTAACTTTTGTGTAAGTTTTAAGGTTTTATTCAAACACAAACACACACAATCACACACACATTTACATGGCAACATATCTACAAATAACTATTTCTCTAGCATTATGTTCCTCAGCCTCTTGAATGACATCATTTACCTTCGTCATGTTAATGAACAAAATTGTAGCTCACTCATAAAGAAGAGAGAGAAGAATGTTTGTGCCCTTTAAATGTCAAAAAATAAATGCTTCTTCATATTGTGTATGAGTTCACTATAAACTCATGGATAATTTGTGTATCTGAAGCTCTGACCGGCTTCCAGAGGGCTTACAGTGCCTGCCATATCTTAGGGGAACAATGACCTCATGCTGTTCCAGGGACATTTCTATTTCTCCATTTGGCTGAAACTTACTCACTTTATACTTTGGTAGGGATACTGAATTCAAGTAAATTAAAATTAGGAGATGTGTTCTCTAATTATTCTATCGAAAGAGCACATAGCTTTGAAATAATTCTCAATGCTAGTATGGTGGACTCTTTTCAAAAGGTATGAGTCAGCTCCCTGTGACATGTTTTCCAGTGTCTGCTTGGGGTCACCTTTACTAATTTCATCAGGACTGAGGGAAAGCACTTTCCTTTTCATATTTCTGCTTGGGTGTCCAGATCATTCTCCCCTACAGAGGCTTTGATGCTGTCATGGAGGTCATAGGGCCGGCCTTTTTTCGAAGTACTGGAGCTTTTTAAATTTCACTTTTTAAAAAATTTTTGTTGCTTTTATTATGGTGGTTGGGGGTAAGTAAGGACCCACCTTTTGAATTAGAATTACTGATCTTATCCAAGAGAGAATGTTGTAGTGGGTGATAGTTGACGAAGAAGAGAACCATAAAATATCACCTGGATGAAAGACCTAACTGCAGCACTATCTCCAGGACACACACACACACACCAGAGTCCCCACGTGCAGACAGGCACTGCTGATATATTACAGTCTGTTGGCCATTTTGTTTATGATAACTAGGAAAGGAAAAATGAGCCCTTATTTCAGTGTGTTCATCCCAAGATGATGACACAGTAGATTCCCCTTGCAGGTAAACCGAGAGAGCTCAGTTAATCACCATTTATCACTCAAGTGACTCAAGTATTTTGCAGATGCATTGGAGCCCTGGAGACTGAGATATTCATTGGGCTGCAATGCTATTCTCTTTTCTCATTCCATCTAATATAATAAAATAAACTCAAATCCTAACATCAGAGTGATGTGTGCTATCTTTTAGAGTCCCAAGCCTTTAAAATGTATTTGATTCACTCCCATAGAACTAGATACATTTTCCAAACGAAATGTGATATCATTACAATTTTAATGACTTATAACTTTGCTCCATCTCCTCCATTACCAGACTATTCCTAGCTACTACCATCTTTTGCCAGAAGCCTCTAATTTATTTCTCTGCATCTGCAGCTGACCTCCTTCAAACAGTGTTATTTTGAGTTGATTTTAGTATATAAACCACTCTCAGTGGGATCTAAGATAGATTAGTTTATGCCTAATTGAGTGAGCTTTTGTAGATCCTCTTATTTTATATAACTTATTAGAAAATATCTAAGATATATTGTTCTATTTGCCAAATAATAATTGTGAATCAGGTTCATTGTACACTGGTTACCAATATGCCTGAGCCTAGTGAGAGAGAACACCCCCACACACAAGTCACATATAGGCAGTAAAGGACAGCAGAAGCTGGGGAATCATTTTGAGCTCATTCTCCAAGGCTCAGGAAAGCTGCCTATGGCAAATGGAATCCACCTGTGCACGTACTGCACCTAAGGGACCTTGGAAAGTACCCCACTCTGGGTTTTATACCCCAGGGGCAATATGACTCAATAAGCTGAAGTGTTGAAGGACATCCTGTTCTGGTAGGAAGTGGAACAGAGACTTGGCTATTCCAGCCAGTTCCTCCTTATCTGAGAATGTTACATTTCTGGTATATTCTTTAGTTATTTTTGAGAACTACAAGTGAGAAAAGAACACAAACCAGGTTGGTCCGAGGCTACCTAGAGAACTTTCTTCCAATAGGTGAATGAGCAGGTATGTTACAGGTTCCTCATTTGATCCTCTCACCCTATTTGAGTTATTCTGACCACTTGTACATCAACTATTGATTAAAATCTGAAAAAAGAAAATCATAGGTGACCTTAAATTAAACTTAAATTAAACTTAAAAAAAAAAACTTAAAAAAAATTAAACTTAAAAAAAGTTCCACAACGAACAGGGGTCAGCAACTTTTTCTGTAAAGGGCCAGAAAGTAAATATTTTAGGCTTGTAGGCCACATGATCTCTGTTGCAGCTACTCATGTCTGCTGTTGTAGCATGGAAGCAGCCAAAGATAATAATACATCAATGAATGAGTCCAGCCGTGTCCCAATAAAACTTTATTTATAAAAACAGGGAACAATTATATTTGGCACACAGTTTGCTGATCTCTGCTCTAGGCCAATCTATCTCCTCCAACTTTTGCATATTCATACCTCAAACATATCATAAAAAACTGCCACAATCTAAACCGTATTATCTGATGACCCTAAGTACTAAATCTCTCCATTCTGAAATGTGTATATTAATTTTTTTTCAGGTAGAGAATGGTATAGAATTTAGACAGGGAATTTATCTGAGGGATTGACTGAAAATGCCTTACTTATGAAAAAAGAGTTCTTGGTTGGTGTTTATTATTCATGTAGGTCCATTTACCTTGAAGCCATAATGCTAATATAGCCTGTCATTTGGAAGTTAGATAAATAGTAAAGCACTTTAAAGAATCACTAAAAGTTTCCTCACAACCACAGAATAGGTCTTGGAGGGTTACTCACGCTTTGCTGATCTCTCATTTATAGAGGAGCAGCTGCTCATTTTTGGCCTAGAATATCCACCTCTAAGAGAAGAAATTTCTCCTTTGCATCCTGTTCAGAGCTGATCATGCATATTCTTGGAAACTGACTAAAATGACCTAGTCTGTAGTAAAGTAACTAATTTAGAGTTGGGACTATCAACTAATGTTATTTTGCCAGAGGAGATGAATGAAAAGACTTCCTTAGGGACTAGCAGCAATCAGTCAGTAGGGAACAGGGTTACCAAGACCAGATGGAGAAAATGGCATAGGACATGTGTATTAGACCTGCCACTTTCTGGCTCTGTGAGCATGCATTTCAAAGTTTATACCTGCAAAGTGGGCATTTGACAGAGTAGGGGACAGTCGGAGAGCTTATCGATACATACTTATTGCTCTCCTTGTGTTCTGTTTGCTGGAACACAATTTTAGATCAAATATTTAAAAATTCACACGTGCGTGCTCATGGCTGTGCACTCATGTGCATGTGTGCCTGTTGTGTGCGTGCATATATACCATACAGAAAAGTACTGTCTGGAGAATACATTAGACTATGCATGTAAATGTGTGTAGAATGTTTTTCTTTTTTTTCATGCAATACATGCTCTATGGATATTTGTTAAGTGACTGAAGTTTTGCACTCCCTGGTGCAGTTTCTCAATAGTGGCACTATTGATATTAGAGCCAGCTATTTCTTTGTTGTGTATCATTGTATATTTAGCAGCATGCGTGGCCTCGACCCACTAGATTCTAGAAGCACTCCACTTCAGTTGTGACAGCCAAAAATGTCTCCAGACATTGCCAAATGTCCCTGGAGATAAGCATCCCTGTTGAAATCACTGCCTTAGTGAACCAAGACATTAATGTAAGAAAGTGGTTCCTAAACTTTAGCATCTGAATCAATCACCTTAAGTTCTTGTGAAAATACATGTTACTGGGCCTCACACTAGAGTTTCTGATTCAGAGGGTCTTGCACTAGCACTAGACCCAACAATTTACATGTCTAATGAGTCCGCTGGTGATACTGCTGCTGGGGGTCTTAGAACCTCACTTTGTAAGCACATAAGTAAGGTGTAAGATGTTCTGGAAAAATTCCAGATGAGTTAAAATGTGTTTCCTCATTTCAAGGACTGTAATGTTTGTTGTTAGTGTGAGCACAGGGCTTAAGGTTTCTTTATGAAGACCGCTGGGTGGTTCCTCACAGCTGTGGTTGAGATTTAGCGGGGAAACCGGACGTTTATGGGAGACGTTCAGTCTGTACTGGATTTTAGTCAGCACTGCCCTGCCAGCTGTCACCTGAGTCCTGCCAGGAGACTGCTCCAGGTCTTGGCACAGGGCTGGGGCACCTATGGAAATGAACTTGAAGTTTGCCTTGCAGTCAAACTTAACTACCAAATAAACCAGCATGACATTGGGGTCTGTGAATGAGAAGTGGATGTTCCGAGTAGATTTGAAGGACGTGATGACTCAGGATGCCAGTTGTGACTGGTGACTTAGAGCCGTGGTAGCTTTGACTTGCATCTTATTTACTTGCATCGGCTGTCTTGTCCTTCCTTGCTTCTCGCCTTTTCAGGTCATGGTTCCTGATGTCCTAAGCTGTCATCCCTACTCTCTCTCTCTCTTTTTTTTTTTTTTTTGCTTGGAGTCAGAGATGGAGCTGTCTCGAGCTATTTATCAGTCTTATCTCTCTGCGCCCTCTGTTAGCATTTCAGACTGTGGATCTAATCCACTTTAATTGATTGACCTCGTGCAACCAGACATCAGTAAAACACCAGGTGAAGCACAACTGCAGCCAGGGGAGAGGTGGATGTAACTTTCCTGGTTGGGTGCAAAGTTCGCTGAGGCCTATAAAGATTTAGAAAAGGAGAAATAGTTTTCAAGCCATTTAATATGAATTTTCTAGGGACAATGTATACAGATCCCAGAGTCGATGACCTTGACTGGGAGACAGTCGTTGTAAATAGAGCAGTATCCTATAGGGAGTGTGCAAATGCCTCTGACTCACCTGTCATCCATATTAGTACTATTTCTCAGCTAGCATCACTATTATCACCATCTCCAAACCCATCATTAACATATTTTTACATCATTGTTTGTAGATACCTTCAGAATTTGCCAAGATTTTATTTATTTCTCTTAATAAGTACTATTTAACACAAGTATTACTGTTGCTCTTGTCTTCGTTATCGTTTTTCTAGACAAAGCTTGAGCCATGGATAGTTGAGGGACCTGCTCAAGATCACATGGAAAAAATAATGTGGAGCCTCAATCAGTCCCAATTCTTTTGATTCTAAATCTCAAATTCTTCTAGAACACAAAGTAGACATTTTCCTCTCCCCTGCTTTTCCTGCCACAGCCACACTTCAGCTTCTCAAGGGGAGGGGACTGGGTCATTGTCATGAGGTGATCATGGACTTTGAAAGATCTTCAAGCTCTACAGCCGTGGTCTTGTCAGTTTGGGTGATTTCTGAAAGGCATCTTCTCTGATTTAGATTTTTCAACGGAGAGACCTGGTCTCTTACCTCTCTTGAAATACCTTAATAATGAAGTGCTTACTCTGTGCTTATAAACCAACAACTGTCCAGAGTGTAGAACAAGAAGACCATAATGTTGAAAGAGTAGAGACTAATGATCTTCACTGAAAGACACTTAATAGCCACAAAAAGAGCGCAAATTATGTTCTACTGAGTTCAATGTTTTATTCTAAAGAACTGCAGTAAAAGCCTCTGTTAGTCAAAGTCAAAATTGATCAATCAGGTAAGCTGTAACTCATCTTTTTGTATTTTACAGATGCATTTATAAAGCATAGTGAGATGTTTTGCCTAAGATTTATTGCACGAAATTTGAATATGGTAGCAATAATTTATTTTATCCTATAATACTGAAATCATATTTGGTCTCTTATGGTACAAAAAAGATTCTTCTAATTTTTTTAAAATCACAACCACACATTCTAATTCATCATTTATTCATTTCCATATCCATTAATTTAACAAACATTTACTGAGCTCATGTTAGGATACTTACATTTAAAATACTCACAATTAGGCTAAGTGGACAGATAAGTTAGGCCTACATAAAATATGTAATATGTAACACATGTATTTCTGTTATAGAAATAACTCAATTATAACATGTAAAAGCTGTGATTGTCGAAAATGCATGGATTTTAGAGTCAGACCTGGATTCTATTTTTCCATAAGTCTCTTATTGTGTGAATTCTCTTGTAATTAATTGTAAGAATTTGAATATACTTCTATTATAAAAATATTTACTGAGCACCTATTCTGTCCATTTAGGTAGCCTGGTTTATGTTGCAGTGACAAAAGCCTCAAACACTTGGTGCTATAAAGCAACCAAGCTTTGTTTCTCAGCCATCTGCATGTCCGTAGCAAGTTGGCTTATTGCCATCCTCACTCAATGACCCGGAATGACAAAGAAGCCGCTACCAGGAGTTTGCTGGGTGCAGTGGTTGACAACAAATGAGAGAACTCTCGTGGGTCTCACACCAGCAACTAAATGCATGGCTCAGGAATGATACTCAATTTATCAGTTAACACTGTTCTCTTGGCCCAACCCATCACAACGAGACCCAAAAGTCCTCTCTTACTACAACCCTATAATGGAGGAGAACTAGGAAAGTGTGGTAAACAGTGCCGCTCATTATTTTCTTTACTAGGAACCAGACTTTGAAATGGGTATGGAAGACCTTGCTGTGCCTGGCCCACAAGAGGCATTATTTACATATTGCCTTCCTTGTGTTCTTGCCTAGCACTGAACTAACAAATTCTGTGGGAAGCCTAGCAGTTAAGACACTGAGACCTGCTTCCATTGCCCATATCCCTGGCATACATTTGAAAATCCCAGTTCTGTTTCTCTCAGCTGCAATTTTCTAAAATAGCGGATGATGCATTCCGTCTTCCCCAGGGGCAGTCTGGAATGAACGAAGAGATAGCCTTCAGTGACATCTTTATTCCTGAGAATTCTTCTTGCCCCTGAGCATTTCTGCTCCTGGAGTCTGACCCTGGTGTCGGTAGCATCTCTTAGGTCAGCACCAATAACTGCAGTGTGACTGATTGAGGATAGGGCAGCTGAAGCTGGACTAATTTGGGGAGCCAGGTGGGCTTATAAACAGTCATTATTGATGAAGAGTGACTTACTGGCTATTTAAAGACAGCTGGTTTCTGTGCTGTTCAGTTTTTTTTTTTTCCTGAATGCACTTGAGGATTCTTTGGTAATGTCTTCTGATTTACCACTTGTTTTTGTTTTTAATATCAAGGAAGAATATAGATTGAAGCAATTGTCTTGGTAGCAACTTTAGTGGTGATGGCTGTGGAGTTATTAAAATTTATAGTCATGCTGTTTTTGCAGCTACACTTTGCATTTCTTAGAGAGGCTTATAATATCTGGTTACAAAGAATGTAGAGAGATAGCAACTACCAAATTGGGATAGGAAATCAACCCTGCATAAATTGTTTTAATATATATTCTGTTTGCTAAAATTTACATTTATTTTCACAATATGTCTTGATGACAGTGCCCACCAAGCCAACTAGCCCTTAGCTCATGACACTACTTTCAGTTACACTAATGAGGAGAAAGAAGGGAGAAAGAAGACTGACATTTTGTGGGTCCAAAATTATCCACAGTGAATGCCAGGTGCTTCACATGTCTGTGCTCTCCTATAACCCTCACAGCAAGCTTCAGAGGTAACAACTGGCCCCTCTTTCCCTCCACACATCTCTTTATGAAAGAGAAATCAGAAGTAAAATAACCAGACCAGGGTCATACAGCTTTAAGAGCCATCGCTGTTATTTGAACCATGCTAGGCTAAAACCCACATTTATTCTATTGAAACAGTTTCTCCAAAAATCAGAGTGTTTTATATCTGATCAAATGATGGGTGGTTCCTTCTCCTGATCTGTTTTATCTCATATATTTATGTAATGTTTTATTACTTATAAAGTACCATCATGTTCATCATATTATATCATCCTTACAACAGCCCTATGAAGTACGAAATGCTGATATCCTGTCCTTATAGTGTATTATCAAGAAGTGGCTTCAGAAAAATCAAGTAATTTGCCCAAGGTCAGTCAGGTCTGACACCAAAGCCAATGCTTTTGTTCCCTCACATCTTCTCTTTTCTAGACACATGAGCCAGCGGAGTTGATTTGCATGGCAGCTGTGCATGATAGTTTCAAGCCTGGGCAACTCTATGGGTATTCGCCACAAGGCTTCCGTGACTTCTAATGAACTGAAACAAAGCAGTTAGCCATGGATTATAATGCCACCGTGGTCCCATGACAAATGACAAGGAGGTTGCAGTAATGAAATTTTATTACTGCAAATAGAGACCACATCTGAGATCTAGCACGGCCACATTTACCATTGTGGGAAACAAAATGAAACACCTGGGAAAGGATCTCCACTGACTTTAGCAGTGAGCTAACAGGATTAAGAAGATCTCCCAGAAACACTGATTACAATGGCAAATGTGTGGCACCTAAGATAAGGACCAAATATTTATTCTGGCAGAGATTAAATCTTTTCTTTTCCTGAATCAAATATGGATCTTGCAGAAAATCTGCCCAAGAATATATCTTGCTGATCAGCGAACTCACTGAGCCAGAACCGTACTTGGCCACTGCTGTCACTGAAAAGCTACAGAATGCTGCTTTAAAGGTCTCCATGCTTCCCCTAAAACTGTTTTCCATCCATGATTAATTAGTGACTTAGGGGTGAATTGAATCACCAGCTGTCCTTTCCATGCATCCAGGATTTATGTACTGGTTTCTCATTGAAGAACAGTGGTGCAATAAACAGCCCTCATTTGTGGGGTGGGCAGAGGAGTAATGGTGTCTGCAGTCATGGTTTCTTAACTCCTCTAGTACTTCCATTCTGCTAAGCAGGTTATGGCTCACATTATTACAGCCTAGCTTATTTAGGCATGAGGGTCGTGGGCAGTGACACACACACACCCTTAGAAATGAATACCAGTTCTTTAAGAGAAAGCAGAAAAGTCATATTACCATTTCTGAATTCCTTGAGAAATAAGAAGAATAAAATGGACAATAATATTAGCTATGGGCATGAAAAGTACAAAAAGAACCCATAATCAGGTTCATTTATATATGCATGCATATTTTAAAGCTAGGTGCTTTTCCTAGTGCAGAGATGTAGATAGCGGTTTCAACAAACAGATTTACGAAATCATGAGTGTGTTTAGTCACAATTTTGGGAGGTACCTGGAACTCTTTTCCCAGAGAACAGAACATGGGGATTGCAGACATCATTTTATATTGCATATTATGTAATCAGGGCACAAAGGAAATACTGAGGTCCACCCTGTATCTCTGCATCCTTGAATGCTCACAGCCTGCTTTGGTTGATCATTCTATATTCCTCGCTTCTAAGATCAAGACTTCTGCATGACTTGTCCATTCTTTTATTGGATACAAGATGAACTGACATACTAAGTGATAAATGGAAACTTGAGGAAAGCCTTCATTTTGGGAAAAGAAGTGAAGTGTACCAAACTATATATAGAAACCAGTGTCCCTCCCTCCAGAACTCTTAATTTGTTGACTTTAGGTGTAGTAGGTGCTTAATAAATTTTGTATTTGTGTATTTAATGAATACATGAATGAATAAAACAAATGACTAAATCTGAGATTTAGAAAAACTCTTTTCTATATCTTGATTTATATGGATTCTGGACTTTTCTCACATTCTTCTTTTTCTTTTCCTCCTTCTGGTTTTCCTCCTTCTCTTCCTTTTACTTCTTCTTGAATAAAAAAATAATAGAAGATAACAAAGGATCGTGAACTAGTACTGTGACTCAGTCTTGTAGAATGTCAGAATTACTACTGATATGGTTTGGCTGTGTTCCCACGCAAATCTCATCTTGAATTATAGTTCCCATAATCCCAACGTGTTGTGGGAGGGAGCCAGTGGGAGGTAATTGGCTCATGTGAGCAGTTACCTCCATGTTGTTCTCATGATAGTGAGTGAGTTCTCATGATATCTGATGGTTTTATGAGGGGGTTTTCCTCTTTTGCCTGGCACTTCTCCTTCCTGCTGCCACGTGAAGAAGGATGTGTTTGCTTTCCAGGCCCCCACAGCCATGCTGAACTGTGAGTCAATTAAACCTCTTTTGTTCATAAATTACCCAGTCTCAGGTGTGTCTTTACTCACAGAATGGAAAGGACTAATACAACTACTAAATTTTATTATCCTTGAATGCCCAACATATTGCCAGTAATTTGGAAAACTAAAGAAATTGAGCAAGATGTCTCCCTTCTGTCCTTACACATGCCTCCAACACCCTGCAATGCTATGTCTTTCCAAGAGCTTAAGAGAGGCTGATTATATTTGAATAGTAAGGTTACATTTATTTCATGTCTCATTGTGACTACTAGTTCCAACTTTTAGTCATAACCAATTATTAGAGAAGAGTCAGAGTTTTAATAGCATTATTATGTATGCTTTGTGTTTTAGTGCACTTCCCAGGAGGTTGGTGATATCACCACCAGCATCACCATTTGCATCATTATTATCTGTATTAGTCCATCCTCACATTGCTATAAAGAAATACCTGAGAATGAGTGATTTATAAAGAAAAGAGTTTTTAATTGGCTCACAGTTCTGCAGGATGTATAGGAAGCATAGCAGCATCTGCTTCTGGGGAGCCCTCAGGAAGCTTCCAATCATGGCAAATAGGGGAGGAAGAGTCTCACATGACAGGAGCAGGAACAAGAGAGACACAGGGAAGATGCCACACACTTTAAACAACCAGATCTCATAAGAACTCACTCACTATCACGAGAACAGGACCAAGGGAATGGTACTAAAACGTTCATGAGAAATTGTCCCCATGATCCAATCACCTCCCACCAGGCCCCATCTCCAACACTGGAGATTACAACTGAACAGGAGATTTGGGTGGGGACACATCCACACCATATCACCGTCTTCACTGCCATAGTGTTACTCTTATCTAATTCATTGCAATTTCCCTTCTGACAAGTCTTTGATGGCCACAGAGGTTCTCTTCTGCTGTGTTGCATAAGCTCTGGTCTTGAATATATCTCTCTTTGGATTAATCTGAGGAGTAGGGCTACAAGTTGGGAAGCATGGCAGCCATCTAATCATGAAAATTCTAGGTGAGTTTCATTGGCCTCTACTGGGGTTACCTTTTCTATGTGGTTTGGAACTGCAGAACCATTATGTGCATGTGTGTGTGTGTACGCGTGTGTGTGTGTGTGTGTATATTTATATACACACACACATATATCCAGCCCCTCTGACATTGGCTCCTAACCATTCTGTACACCTCTGCTTTGCCTTGATCGCATGAAAATATGCTGAGAAGCTCATATTTCCACTTTAATTGTAAATCTGAATTGATAAATGATTTAAGGTCCAGTGTCTTGGTGTACTCTCTTAGTAAACAGGCCTAATTCATCTCACAGAAATAAACTTTGCATTGTCATTGCATAGCTACTAGGTAGTTCCAGGCCTGATTTGCCTTGAGGGGAATTGAATGATGTAACCTGTGCGGTGCAGCCTGTGAGAGCAATTTGGGTGGTTTTTATGCCATTGGTTTTTATGCTCAGGATGAAAGCTCATGGAGAAATGTAGAATGCTATTATTATCTTATCTTCATGCTGACAGCTCCCTCTGGGCACCTACAGGTTTATTGCTGGTTGGAGGATCAAGTTTAAAGGGAGAGAACTTCGTGGTTGGTGATAACTATGCCTTTTGTGTTTCTTTATTATAGGAACAGGGGAAAATTGGAGTTGTCTTCAACATTGGCACAGTTGACATCTCCATCAAAGAGGAGAGAACCCCTGTAAATGACGGCAAATACCATGTGGTACGCTTCACCAGGAACGGCGGCAACGCCACCCTGCAGGTGGACAACTGGCCAGTGAATGAACATTATCCTACAGGTACATGTTGTTCGCTCAATGGTCCTACTCTTTTTGACTCTCCCATTCTCACTTTTCAGTGGTGATTTTTCTCATGACTGTCACCAAATTCCAGAACACTGAGTGAAGTACACATTCATGATTTTTTTGTATGAGAAGATAAGTCATCTCTTTAGGACTTGATCCAGTATAGGGAGCTTCTGGAGACTTTACCAACTATGCACTGGACACTTTTTGTCAACCTTTGACTGATACAGCCTGACTGGCTCATACCAAAGACAATTACGGTAGATTTTGCAGGGCCTGTAGATGAGGAGCAGTGAAGGGAAGGATCATCTCTATCATGAGCTAGTGTCGATAATCATAAGATGCTCCATTTGAGACCCAGACTTTGTGGTGCCATTTAGTCGGATGCAGTTGAAGGTGCAGATGCCAGAGAGAGACTCTAAAAGGACAATTACTGAACTTGAAGACACAGATCAAGTCATGGTAACAATGAGAGAAAAACTAAGGTGGAATTTTATTCGTTTGGTGGACTTTGCTAGTTTTTATTTTCTCACTTACCCTAAGCCTGCCTGGATATTCAAAGGTTGGTCCTAGTAGTCATTTTAATAGCAAGCATGCTGGTGTGGCAGGAAAAGGGGTTAATCATCTGTTTAAATTTTACAGTCAAGAAACATTCAGCAACAAATTCCCAGAGCCAGATGGCTGAATCAAGCACAACGGGAGAAAAGGTTGCCTTCCTTAAAAGAGATCATTCAAATAATCCCTCAGCTTTCCCTCTTGCCTCTCACTTCTCCCAGGAAAAGTCCTGAATGCTGATCGTAAAAGTGCCAGGAATGGAAGGGACAACCCTTCAGCAAAGGGCCATTGTTCCACAATTGCACTGTCATCTGATGGATGCAAGAGAATAGTGAGAATATTGCACTTCTCACTAATGTGGGCATGAAGTGATGTGCTACTCTCTATCCTACACACCAAACTCCTCACAATTTTCTCACCACTTTTCTCTAACTTCCTTTACAGTGAGGTGGGCACAATAACAAAGAAGCTTGAAGCACATTTTCACATGTCTAAGAGCCATTAGCTAATAATGGTTATGCTTGTGAGAAAGATACAAAGTGAATTTGCCTATTTGTAGGCCAAGACTTTGAATGGCTTGAAGGCTGTTGTATCTCCACACCTAACTCAGCATTAATTTTCTTTAAAAGCCTATCAGAAGTATCTGCGCTGTTGGGTTGTTCCCTAACTGCTAGAGTCCCGCTATATCTGTTTAAGAATTGTAAGAGCATCTGGAAACAGCATGCAAGACCCCCAAGGTATTGAGGCAAAAAGCTCCACCCACTATTGATTTGCCATCTCGGTTTCCATAAAACAGCCAGCTCAGCCATTGCTAGGGGTCTCAGAATTTCTTAGATTAAGGCACATAAATGCCCTTATGAGGTTATCTTTGAGTATTTGAAGAAAGCCAAAGCTATTAACAGCTTCTAGGAATTTTTATCATTCAAATTCACTACACACTAATAGACTTAATTTTTAAATGCTTCCTGCTTAATCCCTGATGGATGGGGGAGAGGGTGAAAGGAATAAAAGCAGTCCAGTATCTTAAAAGCTGTTCATAGGCTCATAGAAAAAAATCAATCTCTCTCTCCATATGTGTTATCATTGGCCTTGCTAGTGTTGCTGAAGGGTTTGTTGTGTTTCTGTTAGGAATTTCAAAGATTTCTAAATTGATGTTAACCACTTGCCTTGAGCCAATATAGAATCTACAAGTTTGCTGCCAGCAATGAGCAGGCTCTTTAATGGTCATTTTTAAAGCCACAGCTATGTAACCAAACCGGAGATTCTTGCTGTGCGCCTATCTTTTGGTGTCTTTCTTTAGTTCCAAATTATGGGTTGCTTCCTATATGTTTTCAAAACAGATTAAGCCTTTCTTTAATAGCATTGCTCCCTCCTGAAAACTATTATTATCATTGGAAACTGTTATTTAGTAACGATATGTGTTATTATTTCAGGACAGGGTACAGTATAGCATTTATAAGTATGGGCCTTGGAGTCAACTGGCTAGAGTTGGGATCTTGGTTTCATCACCTGTGAGTCTAAAGACCTTGAAATGTCCTAAGCATTGAAATATTTGGTGCCTCTCCCCACATGTAATTCAAAATACAGTAACACTGAACCATAAAATAAGTGTAAGAATTTCTAAGAGTTTTTATTTTTCTCCTCTGATGATTTCTGTAATGCTTTCAAAATATATTAGATTCTTTCTTCCCAAATTCTCATTTTGTACTTTCTCTGTTTTGTTGTTCTTTAAGAAGATGTTCATTCTTCTCCCTGAGACTGTTTCCTAGTCTAGACAACCAGGGTAATGATAATACCTGGTTAATGTGAAGATTAAGTGAGTTGACCACATGTATAATGCTGGGACAATTAAGTCAATCCTCAATAAATGTTAGCTGTGAGGATTACCAATCATTTGGCTAGCATTTTAAATTAGGACATATTTTTGAGTACAGATTTCTTCATTTTGAAGATGAAATACCCTATCAATTAGACAAGGTAGATATTTTTTATTCTCCATTTCAAATAAAAACAGAGACCCAAGGAGGTGCTATGCCCTTCCTAAGGTCACATAGCAAGTGAAGGAAGACCTAGGACAAGATTTTTCTGTTTCCAATTGGGCAGTTTTCACTATTGCTCCCCCAGAGAATTGGGGGATGTTCTGAAAAATGCATAGCTAGAAATGAGTATTTTTCTTCTTGTGTCATCTTAGATTTCTTTCTTTAAAGAAGTGTCATATCTCAAAGGTCACTTTCCAATGATCACACAAAAGTGGTTATTGTGAGGTGTTGAGTTCAAAATCCTCATTTAAAAGTTTTATTGGCACCAGTGACCCCAAGCTGCTCTCCTTACAACAATGGCAATGTGCTCCCATGAAGCAGCTGAAAGAATAGTGAGTATTTAAAGGAGCTATATCCCCTTACCTTGCTGCCTCAATTAAAAAGTTGTTGTGTGATATACTAGATCGAGGTTTATGTTCCACTCTGCCAAGACTTCCTAGGAGCGGTTCACTTTTTGAGCCTTGGATACCTTATTTTCTCTCCTCTCTGCTTCCCTGTGCTATTAAAAGGATCAATTTAACTATTAATAATTTAAAGTATCATGAGAAAAATCTGGCAATGTTTATTTTAAATCATAAGATCAAAATTCCCCGTGTCTGGGCCATCAAACAAAGCCATCAACCTGGCAAGGCAGTCTTGACAGTTTCTACAAAAATGTGTCCTTTTGTTTTCTAAAGTCATTCTATTTTATTATTTTATCAATAACAGTAGGTTTAGAAATCATCAAGGGTTTAGTCTCACTACTCACTTATTACTAATGTTTAAACAGTAAAGACATACAGAGTAGCTCCTATAGAAGATTTATGTTAAGTTATCTCACTTGGAGAACATGCTCTCGGGGAATTGTTCCTGCCTACAAGGTCTGAATGAGTCAGCTGTGCACCGGGATGAATGGGTCATCTCCACAGTCTTCTCATGGGCATTTATGGGGCTCTACTGAAACATCCCACCGTGAAATATTTAGAACCCAGCTGGGCACAGGGCATGTAGCACTGGCTCTTTCTTTGTGAATCAGGGAAGAAACAGAATGAAAATAGTTCTATAGCAATCGGAATCTTATATCACTAAATTCTGGGAGGTAGAACTGAAAAGCAACTTCTTTCTTTGAACCTGAAAATAGAAAAGCTAAGAAACAGGAGAGGGAAATAAAAGAAGAATCAGCCCAGAGCTATCATCCAGGCACTGACAAATGTTCCTTATAAAGTCTCTGATTGTTGTCCCTATACAATGCGGTGGTAGGAACAAGGGAGGGGGGGTGAAAGGTGACTTGAGTATGAGGAATTAATTTTAGCCACAGCTCTAGGCCCCCTGGAAGGCTGAGCTGACTGGGTTTGTTCCATATCTTCTCTCTGCTGTGAGTGGGTGGCCGGTGATACTGTCACTGCTGTAAGATCCCTGAGCATGGTCCAGTAAAGGCTTTTCAGGTCCTATCTAGGCTTCCTGGGACATGCAGACTGATACACAGCTTCAATCTTTGTATGTCAGGGGGTGCTGAGGAGAGCAGGGCATACCAACTCAGTTCAAGTGCTCTTCACAGAATTCCTCTTCTTCAGTCTTTAAAATGCACACGGATGACCTACATTTAAATCCTATTTGACCACCCAACTTAGAACGTGAAAAAGAGGTAAAAGTAGCTCCCTTTCAAGGATGCTACATTAGAAAACTCTCTTTATATTTGAGTTTGTCAAATTCCACAGAAACTTGTCTTTATAGGGGTTGGAAGAGAAAACATTGCTATGGTACTTATAAAACATTGCTATAGTACTTATTGATGACCAAAATACCTTCATATCGGTTATTACATTTGAGCCTCACTCCATCCTGTGAAGGACAGGGTTTGGTATTATTACTCCTGCCATACCCATTTTAAGGTTACGTTATCAAGGCTCTGAAAGGCTAAATAACTTTCCCAGTGTCACACAGCTTAAGGAGCAGAGCCAACACTTTTCTATCCTGATCCTCAGACTGCACAGCCTCAAACTTTCTGCTCACTTTCCTATTTCTCAGAGCCACGATTTTATTAATAATGACAGTATTTCTTTTTGTAAAAACATATTCTCAAATGGAAATCTCTGCCTGGAGTAGTCTAGTTAGTAAGGTTTTTCAACCTATTGACATTTGGGGCTGGACACATCTTTGCTGTTGGTGTGTAAGGAAGGGGGCGGGGTACTGTTTTGCACATTGCAGGATGTTTAGCAGCATCCATGACTTTTACCCCCTGGATGCCACTCTCATGTTTCCACAAGTGCCAAATACCCTCTGGTCAGCAAAATCACCCCCATATAAGAGCCGCTGACTTAGAGAAAGTTTCCAACATATTTTGTTTAAATGTTCATCATGTTTTTGTAATTTAGACAGTATACATCGGTATAAGAAAGATTTTTTTTTTGTCCACATCTCTTCCTCAATTATTGAGACTTTAAAGGATTAAAAACAAGTCTATGTACTTGACATGATGCTGAAATTTCTCAGGCCTTGGGTTTTCATTAATTCCTAGCCAGGAGGTTTACTTTCCTTTTCTTTATGTCTTTTCCTGCGAACATTTGAGACCTTGCCAGATTTGAAGCATGCATTAAAACAAGCCCCATCTACCTGCTCATTCATCCGTTCAGGACTAGCGTTGCTTTCAGTTCAACAGGGGGAAAAACAGAGAGAGCAGAGTCCTGCAGAGGGAATAAGAAGTATAAATACAATCAAGAAGGAAAGCCATATTTGAACAAGGTTTCAGGACTACAGACATATAAGGGCAACCAGAGAAAGCCTCACTTAATGAATGTGTTTGAACATTGTGAGGAACATTTTAAAACCATCTTATAAAGAAGGTGCTCCAACATTCAGTCACAAAATGTATCAATTAATCACTCAAACTAGTGTATCTTGAATATTCACACTGCTAACTAGTCATCCTTTCCAATTTGTCAGAAATGAATTAGGATTCACATGTTTGTGAGTTTCTATTTCCAAGGGAATTATTTCCACATTATGCAGTTTGTCTTCGGTTAACAAAAATGTTTTAAAAGAATGTTTTCAATAGGCACTTATATATACATATTTGTGTAAAGCAATGGTCTGCAACCTGGCTGAAATTGAGAATCCCCTGGGAAGTTTAATAAATTGCCAGTGCTCGGGCACTGGTCTCAGGGCATCTAATTTAACTGAACTGGGGTGTGGTCCATGGATCAGCAGCATCAGCTTCCCCTGGGAGCTTGTTAAAAATGCAGACTCTCAGGCACCACCCCGTACCTGCAAAATCAGATCCCCCAGTGCTATGGGTACATTGTAAATTGAGAAACACTGGCCCAGGCATTTTTTTGTTTGTTTTTTGTTGTTTTTAAAAAAAGCTCCTAAGGTGATTCTCTGTGTAGCTAAGTTTGACATTCACTGATATGTAGAAGCTAAAAAATGTGTCTTTCTTTCAGACTGACTACCGGTACTGTTCAATGTGGTAGCCGCCAACCATATGTTGCTATTGAGCAGTGTGGCTGGTATGACGGAGATTCTGAAATTTTTGTTTTATTATGTACTTATGTCCTAGGCACTGAAGGCTTTAAATACATTTCTCATTCAGTCCTCACTCCAACACTATGAGGCTATAGGTTAGAGGCTAGTATTAGCCAGTGCAGGACTACAATATGCCATCTTTTATTTCCTTTTATGTGTTTTCTACCATGTAAACGATGGGCATTTGCCTTCATGTACCTTCTGAACTCATCTAATGAGTTTTGATATTATACAATCACAGGGATAATAACTCCACCCTATCCAAGCAGCTGTTGGAGAGTCATTAAAGGGTGATGATTAAGCATGAGGGTTTTGGAGTCAGACTTTCTAGGTGTAACCAAGGGCCCCTGGCCCTGTCACTTGCCAGCTTGCCCACAACCTTGAGAAGGTTCCCGCTGTCGAGAAGTTTCTCTATGCTTTGATCTCCATGATCATATATATGCATTTTCTCGCATTAAAACCAAGTGAATGCTCAGATTGACATTACTATAGGACACTTCACAAAAAAAGAAAGTACTGGCTAGAGGTATGTTTCCTAAACACACATGGCAAACTACCCTTTCTTAAGCTATATTTGTATGCTCTGACAGCATGGCTATGGTGCAAATCTATCAACAAACTTGACCCTAAGAAGCCAGTTACATGACCTATAAAATGGGGATTGTGTTCATTGTTCTGTCTTAGAAAGTGGAAAGTTCTTTGAATACCTTAAAGCATTGCATGAATAATAATTGTACCTGCAGGTGTATTGTCTGGATTATCTACCACCCGTATACATTTTAGGACCATTTTTTATCTTGACTTTCTACAATGAAGTTTACTTATGAAAGGTGAGAATAGGGGACTAAGAGATTTTCCATCTTGCTTTCTCATCCTTCATGGAGAATTCCACAATAGTAGAAACGGTTCCAAAGTGAGGGACATGTGCACTGAATAAACACTTTCTCCCAGAGGTGTAGGAAGTGGCAGATGGTGCCATTCACCGTCTCTCAGCCAAACTCACCCAGGTGGTGATGGCTGCCATTTGCCGAACATTTATGACATACTCCCCACTTCATGGGCAGCATCCTACTTAGTCTTGAAACCACCCATTAGGACAGCGTTGGTCTTATTCCCATTTTTTTAGATTAGGAACAGTCTATGGGAGTGTAGCTTAGTTTGGGAAATGCTGGTATTCAACCCAGAACCATCTGACTTAAGAGTCTTAATGTTTAATCACACTCTGCTCCTTCCTTAGATTCTCGTAAACACCCTAGAACAGTTGCATATCCTAGAAATTCTGGGTTTAACTCAAATCTTGACAATTTAGAATTTTTCTCTCAAGTTAAATTATAGAATTCCCCCCTCAGGTTAAATCTCTGATTTCTGCCCAGTCTAGAAGTCAGCATTTCCTTGGGCATCTATACATATTTGGCTTTATCTATATCATCGGTGTGGCCTCTGGAAGCCTTGTCAGCCTCTTTCTTTTTGCGATCTTGTTTTACCTTCTAGTGCCATATCTATGCAAAAAGAAAGAACTTTTAAATGAAGGTTTGTTTTGCCATTTAATAGTCTTGCTTGGGGAGTGACAGAGTGGCAAGAAGGTGCTTAGTATTTTTTTAATTTAATTTTTGTTTTATCAAGGAAACTTCCTTTCTTCTCTGTGAATTCCCAGCCACAGATAAACAGGCTTGTATCTTATAAGTTAAATACAATTACTGCTATCAAACCTAGAGCCTTTTTCTCTCTCCCATAAATGTCTCTAAGAAGCTGATAAGCATTTCAAGGCAAACTGGAGCTTGGACTAATGCTAAAATTAAACATAACCACCCAGAAGACAAAGAGACCAGATAGAAATACATAAAACATTTGAGGTGGTGGGAACACATGGACACAGGGCACATAGAAACTTGCCCCCAAAACATTAGGTTAATACATAGCTCAAGGTTATTTATAAAGGAATTAACATACACAAAGGAGCTTTTTATAATTATAAGGATTTACATCAGATAATAACAATTGTAGTAGCCAAAGATATTATTTATCTAGAATTCACTTGTGAACAGGGCATGCTTTTGGTCTACAGGGCTGTTGAGCAAAAGAATAATTTTGCTGCAACCCTCTGTAGGACTTTATAGGATGCACATTTACATTTTCCCCATTTTTAGTAGACTATCTTGGGATTTAAAGAAGAAGTTGGAATTTTAAAAATTAGAAAGCACATCATATTTATTTAGCCATATGTTAAATGTTATAAATATTATAGTTTAGGGACTCAGTAAAATGAATAATTAAAAATTTGAGGGTCACTTCTAGGTACAATGTAACCAGGGATGTAAGATAAAGAATTTCTTGATTTCCAACCATAATGCATCTATTTTAATTAAATAATATCTTTCAAGATTAGAAATACAGTGTAGTCACACTTTATGGGATTTTTAAAATTATACTTATCTGAAATAGTGTGACATAAATAAAAATATTAATAACATCTCCCTCTATGTGAGGCATCAGTAATAACATACATTCTTCTGAATTAAAACAATCATCAAATATTGCATAATTTCAAAGCTGGTTAGTGAATTACAAGTTTTGTTTTCCCTATTGTCACATGGAAGCTCTAGTTTAAGTAGTTAATACAAATTCTGGCCTGCAGAAGTTGTCTCTAATTACGAAAACTTAGAATTATTATCCCAGCCATAAAATACAATTACCCTGTACCGTTTTTCCTCTGCCCCAGAGCTGCCTGAACACCAAGTGTCCTACCACCCATACAAGAGCATAGTTTTATTTATGGGAAAAGTTTCCAAGTTCCAGTCTCTTCAATTTAAATTTTGCACAAGGTTGCAGAGTCTCTCTAGTTATTTAAAGTCTAAAAAGAACACTGAGCTTCTTTGAGAAAGGTGGTACATAAATATCCAATAATAATAATATATATTCACATACAGTATGTCATTTATACTTCTATAAAGCAGAGAAGGTAATGAAAGGTGCTCTATACTGTAAATCACTCAATCGATTGTAATCATATTGCAGCTCATCTCAAAGAGATAAAGACCTTCCACTCCTCTAAAATCCCTGTCAATATCCTAGCAGGCTGAAGAGAGGGGAAAGGGGGTCAGAAGAGGAAGGAGGGAATGAGTCAAGGACAAAGCGGCACTTTGAGTCTTCAGTTCATGGAGTTAACATGAATTTGATTGGATTCCCAGTGATATTTACAGTTTTCTCCATAAGATGCATTTCTTTTCCACACGGTACTTTTACAGCCTTTCAGTAAGTCCCTGATGCTCTGTGTTGGCCTTGATGGCATAGTTTACTAAGTGCCAATGGTAGATATATAGCACAGCATAAGAAGACTTAGGGACTAAGTTTATAAGTAGCAAATGTCAATTCGACAGAACTTAAATGCTGAAGTGTATATCAAACAATAGAAGTCGATTGATCATGGGCTAGCAAAAAATTTATATTGCACTTTCAAACAGCAGAAACACTGTAAAAACCTTTTTACTAACTGCTGTTGCCTTTAATGTAATAGAAGTATTCCCCTATCCTCATCACCGGGGTAGCTCTGAGTGGAGCCATTTCTTTATGCACTTATTCATTCACCTTCATTCACTATTCAACAAACATTTGTTCCACATCTACTTTATATGTGAATTCATACTAGGTGATGGGTATATGGTGAAAAATGAAACACAGCTCCTGACCTCAAGGATCCTCAAGTGTAGTTGAAGAGAAATACAAGTACACAAGGAAGACATTTTTATTGAGCAGTTATTAATTGCCAGGTAGGGTACTGGGTTCTTGTATCAAGTCTTTGCAGTAGCCCCAAGGGGTAGATATTACTGTTATCATTTCACAAATGAGAATCTGGAGCTTCTCCTAGGGTCAAGCTAGCACATGAATACCTGGAACTGAAGCCTGTATGTCTTAGAAGGCAAACCCAAAGCTCCCGTACGCTGCCCTATCTTGAACCTACAATTCCACAAAGTGAAAGAAGGTGCTACTATTGAGGTGAGATCCAAGTTCAGTAGCGGGTACACATAAATGCCTAATGGAGCCTGAAGATCAGACAGGGGCGAGCATGGAATACAATTTGGGATGTGACCTTGAATTATCTGGAACAATGCCAATAAGCTCTGCTCCCCTACCTAGTGTGAAAGATGACATGACAACTTATACCTTTCTCATTGAGGAAATTAATGACCATGGAATTCTTTCTTTTACTTAAATTTTTTTTTTACAGTTTTATTGAGGGATGATTGATAGGCAAAAAAATCCTGCGCATACTTTGATGAGTTTAGACATGTGCGTACACCTGTGATACCTTCAACACAGTCAAAATAAACACATTCATCGTACCTTATTTTACTTAGTGTCATCTCCCCAGTGGTTCCAAGGTAGAAGTATTAATCTCCCTCATTTACAGATGAGTAAACCAAGGTTCAGGGAGGTTGAGCACATTTGCTGTGGTCACTGTCCACCAAGGGTCAACTCTGAGATTCCACACAGATATGTTTGCCCTCATTTGCCCTCACAACCTAATACCCAGGTTGCCCACTCCACTTTTCCAATGTCTTCCAAGAGCACTCCAGTTTGCATCATCTACAGAGCTCAAATTCACATGGTTGACAGATACAAATTCACATGCAAATGTACTATTATTTCCTACATCCCAGTGCATGCAGAACACTGTAATCCCATTATTAAACATTTACTAGAAATGTGCTTCTGCCTGATGCACAATTGCCAGCCTCAATGTTTAATTAAACTAGATTTGTTTTCATTTTAATCACATTAGAGAAATGTGTTTTTCTCAGAGTTCAGTGGTGAAATCTTCATTCCAAATGCCTCCAAGTGACTGAAAACTGTATATCCCAGAGGAAGGGATGAGGGTATTACAACCTATCCTTGCATAAAATATTTTAGGGGAAAAATATTAATTAATAACAGGTAAGACTGGGATACACTATTTGTTTTTGAATCATCATAGCATCCTGGAAAGGGGTCCTATTATTATTATTACCATTTTAGAGATGAGGAAACGAAGTCTGAGTGGTTAAGTAACACACTCCAGTGTTGCACAGCTAGTAGGTGGCAGAACCAACATTTGGATGTAGACAGGGAAACCCTGATATCTTTATTTAGATTAGGGATCACCAAACCTTTTCCCCCAAAGGCCAAATAACAAGTAGCATAGGCTTTAGAAACCAACCTATCTTATAAATATAAATATATTTAGATATTAACTTCAATATTTTATTAATATAAATATGATATGATTTGCATGATCTTTGTTGCAGTTATTCCAGTCTGCTGTTATAATGCAAAATCTACTATAGACAATACATAAATGAATAGGCACAGCTGTATTCTAATAAAACTTGCTTTACAAAAACAAGCTGTGATGAACCACGTTTCCCCATTAGGTTTAGCTGGGGGAACCCTGATTTAAATCACGGATAGTTGGAAGCCTACAGCTTTTACTAATCCATCAGCTTTATTTTTTGAATTGTCTTATCTGTTTGGAATAAAGAGAGCAAGAGTATCTCTAAGTGGATGGGTTAAATCCCTAGAGAGACAGAGAATAGTACTACCGTGTAGGGTGACATAGACCTACTGGTGAGGTTAATTCAGGATAAAGAAATAAAGAGATACAATATGTAAGAAGGACAGGCACTCCATTTACGTATAGTTAAAAATGACAAACAACAAAATAGCTAAATACCATTTTTTTAATTCAACACCAAAGACAGACACAGATTCCATTCTAGAGCAAGATTTGAAGATGATGGACAGAAAGCATTGTTTCTTTACTTCTGTTACTTCTACTTAATAAGCCGTGGTGATTTAAATACACCCCTCTCTCCTAAAAAAATAGTGCTTACTTTTCTTTTAAATTCAAGAATTTTGATTAGCCACCCTAGCCTATTTCTCATAGCCCTTATGCATAAAGGTGCCAGTTGATGCCTTGCATTGATCTTTCTTTTCTCCTACCCGCACCCTGATTGATATGTCTGTCTTCTAAGTCTTAGAGAGCATGCCCTTCATTATCTCAGCATTGGTTGTCCCTGTCTTGCTGCTGAGAGCTTCCTGCTTGAGCTTCAGTTCCATTTTCAAGCCATTGATCTGATGTTCTGAGGATGGACTAGCCCACTTTAGAGGTGGCTCAGCCCACTTCATGCTATTGAGTTTTAGAGATTTTAGAATCAGATCCCCTATTTATTAAAGCAGCAAGACCAGGCTATCAGTTTTTATAGATGTGCATATGCCTAAAACCATGTAGTATTTAAAATAAATTTTGACCTACATCCTCTATTCCCCACCACGCCTGGTACCCACCATTTTACTTTCTCTTTCTATGTATTTCCTTCACTTTTATTTTTTGCTTTTTGGATTCCAAAAAGTGAGATTGTATAGTATTTTTTTTCTGTGCAAAGTTATAAGGGATGAATAAGTCTAGAGATCTAATGTACAACATAAGGACTATATTTAATAATATTGTATTATTATATATTGATAATTTGCCAAGAGAGTAGATTTTAGGTATTCATACGACAAAGAAGAAAGAAAGGAAAGGGAGAGAAACAATCACTGTATGAGATGATGGGCATGTTACTTTGCTTGACTACAGTCATTTCAGTGTTTATATGTATATCAAGATTACATATATACCTTATATGTATATATACCTTAAATATATACTTTTTTTAAAAGCCAAACTAAAGCACACTGGGTTTTTATTTACAAAATAGGGACCCCCTTCACAGTTTGCTGACCTCAATTTTGACTCCAATTAAGTTATCAAAGTTCTAACTACCAGAATAGAAAGCATATACTGCCAGATTTGGCCCTATAGTGCAAGAAAAGTGGTCACAGTTTTCTTAATCCTCTTTTAAAAAGGAAAGAAACAAACATAGTAGGTAATCAGTAAATATTAAACTGTACAACTGAGGTTTTTGGAGCTTTCTGACTTCAATGACTGCATATACACAACAAAAATATAAGTTGTTATACAGCATCCTTGACAAGCATTAACTATAAATACTTTTATAACAAAAGAAAAATATCATTTACTACAAAACTTTTAAGCTTTTGCTTTAGAAATGTTTCTTTATTGAAACAAATATGATTTTATTGAAATATTTTTTATATTAGTACGATGACTCTTTATTGGTCTCAAAGGGTGGATTGCCAAGTATAATTAAACAAAATGATAAATAGGAGGAAGATTTCAGTATCCTTGACAGAAAAATACATATAAATCTAATATAGATATATATGTAAAAAGTAAATCTAAAATCTTAGCCAAGGTTTAGAAATCTTATTACTTCATTTTTATACCTTTATAAAACTGTTGCGAGGTGCTGTTTCAAATAAAATAAAAATTTATGTAAGTAAAATACAAGCTAAAATAGAACTGAAATGTCTTTAGGTTTACAAAATGAATAGCTGGATTAGTTTACTGAATTTTTTTCTGTGGTATGGGTGGCACTGGATCTCTAGAATCGGTAAAAATAAAGGCAATATATTGTTCTCAGGGAGCAATTGAGCTCTCCTAGAGGAGGCAAACCAAGTGAAATCTAATAGTTTTGCTTCATTCTGTGACTTTCCCCCGCTATGACCTCAGAATTTTGAGCTACAAGTAGGTCTATAAAGGGAATTTTGGAATACTCTTAATAGATCTGTTCTTGAAATAAGTCAGCTAAACTGAGTGAGGTGCTTTGCCAACACATTAACTGAAAGTCCTGACCAACCCTGATCCCAGACCTTCATGGACAATTCTCTTGTTTTATTTCCATTTCCAGTAGTTGTATGTAATTCTTCTAAGAGACTTGTTCCAAGCCAACCTTCCTAGTGGTCTTGTTGAAATGAGATAGTGGTTGTAGGTATCATTGATGAACACATAGGCCAAAACATTATTGAACTATTCAGAAAGTAAATCTAGCTTATTCTGTGGCTGCATAATTATATAACTGTAGCTTTCTGTCAGGTTACAGTGGCTTTAATTTTCTGATCAAATAAAACAATCAATATAATTGTACTTTGTTCCTCCCTCTTCTGGCTTCGATTCTTTGATTTGTGCCACTCACCACTCTCATTCTTCCAACCTCCCCCTACTCCACTGGCCCCTGCAGCTACTTAGAATAGCTAGCTGTTGATTAAAGGGACCAAGAGTTTGAGCAGTTACTGTATACTTTCAAACCCCACTGCCATTTGGAAGTGAAGTCCCAACTGACATAGCCAAACTGTAAGGACAAAAGCAACTCTAATACCTGCTTTCCTTTGTTTATAGCAACTGCTCAAATTCTCCTCTAAAAGTATTCATTAAGCATCCTTCTCTATAAATCTCTGTGGTAGAAACTGAATAATAGGACTTGAACCATTATTCAATCAGACCAAGTTTAAACCCAGGTTAAGGAAAGAGGAAGTCTACACGTCTTTGCTGCTCACTGTGTTTAGTATATATCCTCTATAATTCACAATCAAAAGTAAATCTTTGGACAGCATTCTTGTTTGGGTTAGAAGAAAAATTTCAATCCTTGTTCAGAAGTCTAAGCACTTGTGAGGATTCCAATATGATTTTTAAAGGCCACCATCCCTGATAGTCAGAAATAAAAACATTAAACCAAGAAGACTGCAGGCTTTCTTCTCACCTGTCCATCTCTTGTCCTAATTACACCTTATACTTACTAATGTTGTAAGTGCTTTTTGACAAGACAGCAATGGTACATCAATAGATACTGCATGAACTTGAGTAGGCAAATCAAGTCACTCAGAGGCCTTCTTTTAATCTCTTGGATCATTATTGCAAAGATAAAAGCAGGTTTCTGAAGGAGTGAAATTCAAAGGAACCTAGTAATTAGAATGGTGAAAATACCAGGTCACCCGGTCCGTTTCCCTGCTTGGTTCAGATATTTCTAACAATATGTACTAGTTTAATTTTATTCATCTAATTTAAAATGAGAGACTTTATCTTTCTTCCACCAAGATAATATATCTGATTTCTCCTCTTTGGCTTAAATTTTTTTTTTCATTCACATCTTTTATTATTAGGGTTGTCAGTTGAAATTATTTTGAATAATTTCTTTAAATCATGGATTTTTTTCTTACATCTCATATCTAGGAGCTATTTCTTGTTGCAAGGTGCAAGGTTCTATGGCACATACAAAAGCATGCTTTCATTTGGGATATTTATAAAATCTCTCTATACACACACACCCATCAATGGGCAAATATAAAAAGTATTGCCTTTGTGCTAGCATGTAGTTAATATTCAATGAATATCTTTACACGTAAAATCACCTATAATCTTTAGACATGTTCCTCAGATAGCCAAGATTTAATATTACATATAAAGTCATATGAAATAGCTTAAAGAAGGAAGAGGCATTGTTATTTTATGTATATGTCTCAAATGTTATAAAGGTTATAAGAACCTTTCTGAACATCGAAAACTTCAAAGCTAATAGTTTAATAGTTTGTTGGATACCTGCCATCTTTTGAGGTGGCCAATAGTTGTCAACTTTTTGAGTATCCTTGAGCACTGAAGGTATGTCAATGTTTGGTTTCATTGTGTGTTAAGGAGGGAATTATAGAAGTAGAATGGAGTAAAAAGCTTAAAAAAGAAAAAGCACTGCTTCTAAGGTGATTCTAATTTCATAGGAAAAAAATACTTTAAGGACTAATATTCAATACAGAGTAGCGGAATCTGGGTGCCAGATAAATATTTAACATTTGTGGATAATTTTACATAATCATTGGCCACTTTCTTAAAAGTGTTTTTTAAAGCCCTAATTTTAAAAAATGCTATTCTGGCCATCACATTTACAATGTGAATAATATTTGAGTCATGACGTAACTATAAGTTACTTCTAATGATTGACTGTCACTTGAGTTGTAAATCACAGCATTTAGCAGTGCTAGTTGTCCTTACTTTTGGTAACCCCTTAGTCCCTGGATCTTGATCATTTTGGGGTCTTTACTCTAGAGTCTATCTTTGCTCTAGAGTCTAGCTGCCATTCACATGCTAAAGAAATGCCCCTTAAATAGTACCTATAACATCCTAAGGAAATGATTTCTAAACTCTTCTCAATGAGTTTAAAAAGGCTGCTTTTTGCTAATCCATAAACTTTAACAGGGGCTGAAGAGGCAGTGCCTGCTTTTTAAAAACCAATGTTGCAGGCTGGGCGCAGTGGCTCACACCTACAGATGCATGCCTATAGTCGCAGCTATTTGGGCGGCTGAGGCAGGGGAAGGCGGGAAAATTGCTTGAGCCCAGGAGGTGAAGGTTGCAGGGAGCTAAGATCCTGCCATTGTACTCCAGCCTGGGCGATGAGAGTGAAACCCTGTCTCAAAACAAAACAGAACAACAGAAAAAAAGGTAAAACCAAGGTTGCAAGGTAGGACTGTTTGTGTGTGTGTGTGTGTATGTGTGTGTGTGTGTCTAGTTTTGATCTTTAATGAGAGTTTTGGTTTGTTTCTATTGTTGTGTGTTAGTAGGGAATGTGGTGGAGGAGTGCCTTTCTAGTCTAAGTATACGTAAGTGTATTCATGACCAGTATTCAAAGGGTATTCATACCCTGCAGGGACATAAATGGTTTTGTTTTGGAATGTTAGGGTTAAGAATGAAAGTGATGGCCCTGTTTGCTCAGAAAAAAAAGAAGGTAATCCTTCAGTGCTCTCTGTGAAATCATGTATGGAATGAAAAAATTCATTGATGGGGTGAGAGGTCTCAGTGCCAGCAAGTCTTACTAGTAAATTCAGAATTCAGCCTGCTGTTCCTAGAGATCTTCCTCTCCACTCCTCATCCAAAGAGTGATAGAAGGAGGTCAGATAAGTAGGTCCTTGTCCCTTTAGGGAGCTACTTAACTCTACTCATTATCGTCTTGGAGTCAATCCCCACCTCATTCCCTGCTCTTCCCCTAGTCTGTGTCTAGAATCAAGGATCAGAGAAGCATCAACACATGCATCAACCTTTCTCCAATTTTCCTTCCCTTTCCCAACTCCCTCAGCCTTACCCTCTCCTCTCAGGAACTGCATTATTGCATCTCTTCTTTTGGATTTGGTAATTCTTTCCTTAGAAAGAGGAACAGGGCTAAGGATAGGCAACAGGGGCCCAGCTGTCCATGTCTCCATCCTTGGACCCCTAAGACTTTTGCCACACAAACTCCTTTGAATCTGGAGACTGCAACGGAGCTGCTTCCCTCCTCCTGCTGAGCCTTCATGGAAATCCTCATAGGAGATAGTGTTTCCTTTACCCACTCTCGGACCCCTGTTCTTCCTGGATCTCCTGAATTCCTGGCTATATCATTTAGGTTCGCTGCATTGCAAACCACTCCAAAATTTCCGTGGCTCATGTGAGTGTTTTTTTCTCTTCTGGGTTGGCTTGGATGGAGCTAGATGATCTTGATGGCCTCATGTACCCCTCTGGGGTCTCAGTTCAGATAGCCGAGTAGGTTCACATGGCTGGGTTTCTTTTCTCATGGAAGTTCACATGGCAATCTCAGGTGTAGGCAGCAGGCAAGGGCAAGCATTCATACACAGATGGCTCTTCAAGCTTCTGCTTATATCACATTTGCTAGTGCCCATATGCCCAAGCAAGTCTCACGGCCCACCCAGAACCCCAAGGGTGAAAAGATAGATTCAAACTGTTATGAGAGGAGTAAGAGTCTCACTGCCAAGAGACAGATTTTGAAATGGGATTGTAGCTATTTTTTTTTTTTTTCCAATTTAACACACTGGAAAAGAAGAAAGGCTCTGGTTCTACTAATCATATTTCCCTCGTAAATTTTCTCCTTCCAACCCTGATTCAGGTCTCAAGCTGTGGTTGGAAATCAGTGACTTTCACTAAGGGATTGTCCTTTCTTTTCTTTAGGACATGGCTTTTTGAAATTAATCTTGATTCTTTCTGCCATATCCCAAGCCTTACATTTTTTTCCTTTTTTTCTCTATGTCTGATCATTTTGCTTTAAGTCAAATTGATTTTTTAAAAATTAAATGCCCATTAAGAAAATTATCCACATTCATGTTCCCTTGGATGCTTTCAAATATTTTATTTTCCTTTGCTTTTGGCAGTTACAATCTATCAGTGTTATTTGTAAAATGTCTTATATTTGTATAGGGTATGTTCTCCCTTTCCTCTTTTCTTCTTTTCTTTTTAAACTAAGATAGATGTGTTATAAAACAGCCCCCATGCTGATCCATACTTTTCTCTAGACATTTCTGTGAGCTCAGTACTTTGTTGTTTATCATTATCCTTTGTTTGTAGCCAGATTTGAGGCCATGTTGCAGTTCTCACAAACAAATCAATTTGAATTAATTTGCCAAGTAGAATTAACGAGGCATTGTATGAATTCAAGACATACTACAACTACGGCATCCCCTGAGGTTATTTCTTCTCTGGGAAAATTTTGATTCTTGTACCACATTTTAATAGTGTATATCTGACCTTTGAATCTTGCACTAAATGATACATGGCTGCCAGCTGGTTTAATTTTTGAGAAGCCTTAAAAATTCTATGCAGCCAAACAAATAGGAGTGTAGACAATTCTTTAATTATTAACTTTACGGGGAGAAAGTTGTCTTCAAGATCGATACTCTCTGATGCTTGCTTGTTGCTAGGAGTTCTTTTTCTAATGATGTTCTAAGCAGAAGTTTGAGAAACATCAAAATAGAGAATATATATTTCTTAGATGGTCTTTGAGGTCTCCACAACCTAAAAATGATGGGCTCCTTCTCTCAAATTATAAGCTATAAATCCCAGCAAACTCTACTCCCAGAAACTGTTTTTATTTAATTATAAAATGGGAAAGCATTTACTCTAAAGAGGGACCATGGTGATTACCTGAAATTCCTTCACTCCCTAAATGGACATCTACATCTGTCACTAATATATTATTTAGCAAAAGAATTTCCTTCAGACTATGATGACCAATGCAAACAAAATAAATAAGAAAATCCAGTCCCCTCCCACCCCTCACACGGTGAGGAAATGGTAATAGAGTTCTTCAAAGAAACTCTAATTTCTGGGTCTTAGATGAATAACATTAGAAGTGCTTAAGGAACTTGAATTCTAAGCCCCTTTAATGTTCGCTCAGAAATAATTAACAGGAGCCAGTCAGAATAGAAAACTAGTCTGGGAAAAGTGTCCTAAATTTTACACTGTATAATAGGATGGATCTCTTAAACTCGGGACTGATATATAAAACTTCTCCAGTGTTTCATTTGACCAAAAATTGGCACACATTTAGCTAGATTTAAAAAAGAATATGGTGATGGCTGAGAACTAACCTGGGCTCATTAAAAAACAAACAAACAAAAACTCACGCATGCTAGTGTAACTTTCTCTTGGATAGCAATAGCAAATTGGCAGGTGAGGAGGATATTATAAATACCATGCACAGTGTATCTTCATTTCCCTAAAGCAGTATACTGTAATGTACAGAGAACTATGAAGGGATCTTAAAGAGACCTGCCTGTGTTCCATCATTTGAAGCTTTCTGGTTACACTGTAAAGTTTGAGGTAAACTAAAATAATAAAAGTAAAATTTATTATCTCACAGTTTCTATAGGTCAGAATTTGATAGCAGCTTAGTTGAGTGATTCTGGCTTAAGGTGTCTGATGAGTTGCAGTTGGTATGAACTACGGCTGCAGTCATCTCAGTGCTATCTAGACCTGGGAGATCTGATTACCTGGAAATCTTTCACTCACATGGATGTTGACTGGAAGCATCAGTTACTCTCTGGCTCAGTTCCTTGCCTTATGTATGTTTCCATAGAACTTCTTAAGTGTCTTCATGACATGAGTCTAGCTTGCTCGAAATGAGTGGTCCGAGAGAGAGCACCTTTTATGACTCAGTCTCTAAGTCCACACACTGTTCCTTCTACCGTGTTTTACTCTGTAGAATCAAGTCACTAAGTCCAGCCCACAATCAAGGTTGAAGAATCAAACCTCACCTCTTACACAGAGGAGTTTCAAAGTATTTTTAGATATTTTATAGCTCCATCATAATCTTCCTATTCAGGGACTAGAATGAATGCACAAAAAATATGCTTATTAAATTTGCAGATAACACAAAGCTAAGAGAGGTATCTCCTACCAGAAACAAAAAATCCTAGAGTTAAACATTTTCTTACCATGTTTGGATGCTGTTATGAAACAAAAAGAATACATTTAATGAGATATAAATACCTGTTGGACGTTCATAAAGTATGTTGTATGAATGCAACGTGGAACAATTTCTTTGGGAAGCCATTCAACTAGAAACTGGCTTGAGTTTTAGTTAGAAACAAGCCTAATATGCGGTCCTGTTATGATGTGGTTGTTGAAGCAACGGTTGCAAATCAGTATACTAGTCAGGCCTCCTGTGGGTGGTGACTAGAACAGTGATTGTTACTTTTAGATATTTTGGGAATAATAAATTCATTCTTAGGCAAGGGGGTTCAAGGATGGTCTAAAATGTCTACAATTTTATAAACACTGGCAATTCTATAGGATGTATACAGAAGGATTACTATGTCATAAGTTTCTTGAGCATCGGAGATATTAATAATAGCATGACTTTCCTGTTGTCGGGATGACAATGTTCCTGTGTTGTGCAGCGGAATTGTCCTCCCAAACCTCCTCCCTGTCCTCTGAGCTGTGTGGGGACACCACATATGTATGTTTAAATGAACAGAATTTTAAAAAATCAAATATTCTGGCATTCTGGCTTCAAAAACCTTGCGTTTGATGTTCTCTACTTAGAAATAAATAACCAAACATGAGAGGAATGAGAGGAGATGGGGATGGGGAGTGGGAGGAAGAGGGTAGATAGAAATAAAAGGAAGAACAACATTACAGAGAAGCAGAGATGACACAGAGGGTGGACACGTGGGAAGGCCTGGATCACAGGGGAAAGAGTGAGCCCCAAAATAACACTGTGGCTTTTGCAGCAAGGAGGAAATAAGTGATAAGAGGAAAGGCACCTGGGGAAATCTTGAAGGGATCATATGTCAAACGGCTGAAGAGCAAACATTAAAGCTTTATTTTGAAAAGGATATTTGAAAATATTTGACACCAAAAATTCTGTAGGGAAGTAATTCTTGTGGAGTTTGCCTTCTTTTTAGTTTAACTCTTCTGAATCAGGTACTTGTTATAACAAATCATATATTGAGGGATTATTTTGTGCCACAGATTTGCAACATGCTTTATATACATTTCCTTTTAATTCTCACCGCAATCCCATGTTGCAATTATTATTACGATCCCCTTTTAAATATGAAGAAACTAAAACTTAAAATGCACTAAGACATGGCTAAAACTAAGCATGGTTACCAGAAAGGAACAAGACAAAATTCAGACATTGAAATCAACTACTGTAGCTTCAGTGCATATTTCAGAATAATTGTGGAAGGAAAAAAAAAGTGACATTTGAGGAAAGAAAGCAAATTTTACAGTCAGTTTATGTTTTGTTAATTTATAACATGGCCTTTTTGAGAGGGGCTCTTAAATAAAGAATTGGTGCCAGGTTAACCTGGCATACTGAAGAAAGTTTCATTTGAAGTTGCTTGAAAATATTCTCTTAAATTATAGGAATGAATAAAGAGGTTGCAGTCGCCTGGGCCTAGTTTTATTAACCTAACTGGGATTGAAAGTATCCTTGATAGAGGAGGAGAAATGAGCTTCAGGAAGTGAGTTACAAATGGCCTCAAAGTACTGAGAAAGGATAATGATTGGTAAAATATGTTGTAATTATTGCATCAAAGTAAATCATTTTAGTACATAATACCTCAGCAGAAATGGATTTTTGATTTGTTTAGGATATGAAAGAGAAGTCTAATATTAACATGTATGCACAAAACATGTATGTTCAACCAGCAACAGACAGCAAGGAATAGGGGCATGAACATTCGGATAGCTGGACGTAATACACCAGGGTTACATCTCCGGCATGGTTCCATTCCCATTCCATAGCCTATAAGATATTTGGACATGATAGGCCAGGTGTGGTGGCTCTTGCCTGTAATCCCAGCACTTTGGGAGGTCGAGGCGGGTGGATCACGAGGTCAGGAGTTGGAGACCAGCCTGGCCAACACAGTGAAACCCCATCTCTCCTAAAAATTAGCTGGGCATGATGGTGCATGCCCATAGTCCCAGCTACTCGGGAGGCTGAGGCTGCAGTGAGCCAAGATCACACCACTGCACTCCAGCCTGCCTGTCTCAGAGAAGAAAAAAAAAAAGATAGTTGGACATGATAACTACATGTCTACAGGCTCATCAGAGAGAGAGCACAGGCAGAGGCTAGAGCTCAATGCAAATATCGAGACTGAAAAAGGTTTTGGAAGGCTCTCAAGGCAAGGATTTACCCTGACTCCCATCCCCCTGCTGTTCAAGGCTCCTTACTGGGAGAAAGAACTTTCTTTTCTAAGCCTTAGGTGAGTGTTAGGGAAGGATCCTAAGAATTAAAACAAATCACAGGCTCTCTCAACTCCCAACCTCTTTTGATTCCCCACAAGCTAAGCCCTTGCCTGAGTTATTGCATTTAATTTGGATAAAACCATGCAATATAGATATTACCTTTTTTAAAAAAACAAAAAACAGATGAAGACACCAAGAGTCATCTAGATTAAATAAATTGCCCAAGTTCACAGAACTGATAAATGTCTGGACTTGATTCAAAGTTTGTCTGACTCCATATCCAATATTCTTTTCACTCATGTTTGGGCCATCTTTGCTTAAACAGATCAACTAGCACAGCCTAGAGTTGGTAAACCCATACTACAACTTTAATTTAGGAAGGAAATGATACTGTCTGCTCGTATATATTTGCCATTATCAGAACATATCCAGAAGACATGTAGAGGTGAGCTTTATCAGCCAACTTGGTGTACGACAGGGTGATTTGCACTTCTTTCCAGGGTCTCCCTGGCTCAAGGAGCCACTTAAAAAGCTCCCTTACTTAATAATGCCCTTGTGCTCTGGGTCTATTAATTTACTTCCCACAAGCTGATCAATTTTCTGTTCCAAGACATTAATTTCTTTACCTTGGCACATTAAAGGATCAAAGCTCACAACATATAAATAGTTCTTTTTCCTTCTGCCCCAAAGGTGTGTAGTGAGGATTAATGAGATGATGCTTATAATTGCATTTTGAGCTCCTTGGTCGAAAGGCACTTTATAAATACAAGATATTAGTTTTTTGCTGAGATCCATCTATCACTTACAAGTGGCCAAACATTCTAGATGGCCTTTGGGTGTGCAACACCTCCCTCTCTGACTCTGAGTTGGTCTGGGACAATGCCAGAAATGTGGCTCAAGCCAAGTTCAGAGTTTCTGGAGTTCCCTTCCTTTAGTGTCATATACTTTCTCTGAAACTTAACTTAGAAAGTGTTCTTTGGGGGAAGAGACATGGCAATAACCTCTAAACTGCCCTAGTACTTGAGGGCAGCAGTACCACTACATTGATTTTCTTTTGCCTCTGACTTTAATACATAGCATTTATTCTTTGACTGTTCATTAGACCCACAGTCTGATTTTTTAGTGTCAACAAAGCAATAAAGAAAATTTGTTCCTCCTTTATTTCAGGGCTCAAGACAAAATTCAAAAATGCCTTTGGCATTCATTTTGCACAGACGAATGTTGTTAGGATATTCCTATTAGCATGTCCACGTGCTTGACAACATTTCAGGTGGTATTAATAGTCTACCTGCAAGAAAGTGCTTTCTGCCAGCCTGGTGCAAATTGGCAGAACCTTTAAGCCACTCTTTCTCAGCTTAGCAGCAGTATATCATCATTACCTGTGGCTGGACCAAGAAATCACATTTGTCAATGCCTGAATTGCTCTTTTACTTTCAGTGGTTTTAGAAATCCACTTTGTTTTGGAAATGGGCTTAGCTGAGTATGTTAGAAGATACAGAAACATATAAAGTGATAGATAAGGGATTTAAGGGAATATTAAGGATGTTACATTTTCTATGGTCAGTTGATCTTTGGAAGATGACTTTTGTGGGACCAAATAGAATATGGTCATCTTTTGAATGAAGGACTGGTAAGTGGGACCAAATAGAATATGGTCATCTTTTGAATGAAGGACTGATAAGGTAGTGAGACAAGGGAAGCATACCGTGGAACTAATGAGCTTCCTTCTGATCACTAGAAAAGAGTCGAGTCATATTAATAATGATAGTTTAAATATGCTGTACTCCCTATTATTCTATACTAAGTCCTATGGTAAATTGAGAAATGGGGAAACTGAGGCCAAGTGACTTGCCCACGATCACACAGCTAATAAGTGATAAAGTTAGAACTCAGGACCAGATTTGTCTCCAGAGCCCATGGTCTTAACTCCTATGCTGTATTGATTATGGCTTTAAGAGTATTAGTATACCTTCTAATTAAATAGGACCCATGTTTGGACCAATAAAGTGTAAGCGCAGTGTTGTAAAAGTTATTTTCCATGTTATACAAGAGTTCTATTTTTCAGTTTTTTCACTTGAAATAATTGTATTCCTTGGAGACTGTTAATAAATTTCGAGTCTCACCTTAAAGAGGAATTGATGTATATTGAGGCCTACTCAAGGGTCAGTTTGCTTTCCGTTTCTTTCCCTTTTACTTTTATCCTAAGTGGATTCACCCAAAGTGGAAAATGTGAGGTTGGAGTGTAAAGGTTGGAACTATGAACCAGTTGGGCTTCAATACTTTCACCTCAAAGTATTCTGTTCTTCACAATATTATAATTCCACAGTGCATGTGCTTGTTGCACACGTCTCCAGGAGTTGAAATACTTGATATTAGAGCCAGTGGTCCAAATGAAAATGACCAGAAGAGGCCAAATGTATAATGTTCTCAATCCCTTATCAAAAATAGATGGGAATAAACACACATATATTTAAGTACAATAAAATGTGACTAATATGTTTTTTTCTAAAACCCAGTCCCATATAGGTGTCGGATCCACAGAAGTAATTTAAGAATGGTTTATTTGAAGATCTCTTTGTATAATTTATAGATTTCTCAGTGTGATTAAGAAATGAAGTTATTACATTTTTTTCTCTAATTAGTAATGCACGTATGCCTCCTTTTAATGATATTATGATGTTTACTACTCATAGGGCCATTCTTTCTTGAGTATAGCCATCACTTTCTGTTGAAGAATTGATTTCACTCTTTGTTTAAATGTACATACTTGTTGCTATATGAAATATATGACTGAATATCATTAAAGATTTAGCAAGAATGTAGGTGAATTTGGTGAGGTTTGTTCAGCTTTTAGAGTAGCCCTGTATAAGAATACTTATATTTAGAAGGTTGTTTGCGCTTCAGTCAAACTAGCAAATGAGGCATGGGGCAAATAACTCATTCTCATGCACATGTTTCTAAAACAGTTCTTACTAATGTTTGAGATAAATTAAAATAAACACCAACAAGAACATGAAAAGAGACTAAGAACAATGTTAATGCGGCAACTTAAACAAATTTGGTTTTCCAAATGACCTTCCATCTTTCACAACTTTTAACAGCATGCAAGATTGCTATCCTTAGTGCCAGATACTATCAATCTGGTGTGGAAAACTTAAAACTTTTTTCTAAATGTCTTTAAAGCTGAGGTGGAGAAGAATGACTCTCTGTCACTTTCAGAAGGGTCTAAGGTTGAATCATGACCATGCTGTCCTTCCCCATGTCACTTACTGTTTATCTAACATAGTTATCTCTTTTTCTAGCCTGTATCATGCCCCCAGATTATTTTCTATGGTGCTTTACGTTTGAAAGAGAGTAGATGATGAGGGTGGGGATGCTTAGGAGGGACAAGGGCCCTGTGTATTTGGAGGAAGTAAATTAATACAGCTTCTTAATTAATTTGGTGTATATTAAATTCTAGAAATTTGGAATTTTAGTTACTTCTGATTTTGCCCTGCATTTTGCTAAGAATATTTAGCTTTATACTTGCTATCGACTACACCAATCTATTCCGTAGTGAGTAGAATGAAGGTCATTAATATATTTAATGTGTAGCCAACAATGGCAGATACAGAAAACCCAAAGTAATAGAATACATTCAAGGCAGATCTGGCGCAAGCCAATTACCTTTTCTCAGTATAGTATTCTGTTGTGTCTAAAACCCTAGAGGATGAATGACATCCTTTATGATATCTGTCACCTGTAGGGTAGGATTATGAGTTATAGATGTATATTCGTTTCAAAAAGGTACACGTTCTTTTTCTATGAAAACGTCTAAAAAGTTTACTCAACTTTATTTTGAATGAATAGAATGTTGTACCAAGATCTACCAAGGTAGACCATTATAATGATCTCTAATCGATAGCTATATTCTTTCGCCATGGGCTATTGAAACACCAAGAAATTAACTTGCCTGTCTCTTTTTCCTCTTTGCCTGCCCTCTCCATTTTTTTCTATGAGAAATGATTCCTTGAGGAAAATTTTAAATTATCCACTGCAGTTCGAAACTGTTAATTGTTCCTATTGCATTTTATTTTTCAATACATTAATATGTTATACCCTGTACCAACCAGATACAGTCCCAAAACATAGGCTAGAAGCAGATTCATAGTTGCCTCTTTTATGAGTTCTTATTTTAAAAATTCCTGGTAGTAAAGATATGAGTCAGCTTGTTAGAATAATTTGTCTGTATGAGAAGTGAATGGGGAACCTTGTGAACATCCTCCAATATTGCTACCCGTTTCCTATCCTATACCCCCACCCTCACAACACAGAAGGTAGGTACCAGTTTATTCCCAGGTGGAATCTCCTCAGCCAATAATGACTCCTATATGGAGATGGCCCTGCAATTGAAATGCTTTAGCATGCCCCTATTCATTTGGTCTGATGCTATATGCAATTCTAATATTCTTTATGGCTTTTAGAATTCTTTGTAAATTGTTTCCAAGCCACCTGGTTTGAGATTTTTCTTTCATTTTTAATATTGGTAGTTTGGAATGGAGTTCCCCAAGTTGCAATATAGGCCTATGAATCAAAAGTAATGAATTACAATTCACTAATTTCTGCCAGATCAATGTGAGGTTGGTTGATGAGATAGAACAGTTCCCAAGGCATGGCTTCATCATTTTGTTATTTGAAGCATATTCATTAAGGGTGTATCTCCACAGCACCACTCTCCAAGTCTGTCCTAATTATGGAAACCATTCAGCAGTGTTAATAACAGTTACGAAGGAAGAGGGGGGGCATACTGGCAGTTAAAACCACTATGTTTGAGCCTTGAAACTAATTAGATATTTCATGCTTGGAAGAAGTATTCCTAACAGGCTTTATGAATGGATGCTTGTTCAGAAAGGTCCTCTTACAGTAAGGTAAGAGAAAGAGAAAGCAGGAGGGAGAGAGGAAAGGAGGGAAGTGGAGGGAGGCTAAATATACAAAATCAGTGTCTATTATAAAATATCGGTGCTCAAAAGTCTACAAATGTTGTACCACTATATTATAATTACCTCTATTTCCTTTGACATTTGAGTTTCCTTATTTTTAAAAATGTGGAACAAATCTGGAAAGATAGTGATATAAAAGCTTATCTGTACTGATCTACCTCTTTGACAAAGATAATGAGATGCAAGGACATCCTTTATGTAATAAGAAGTCTCCCTTGGCCATCAAGGCTTAAATTGTCCTCTCCTCCTTTCCCCTGTCGGAACATAAAGCTGTTGCAAACACTTGAGAGGAGAAGAAAAGAAGGACATGGCCCTATGTTTCTGATGGGAATACGGTAGATTAATAGTGCAGCTTGCGTGACTGTGGAGCGAGGGTCCCGTCTCACATGTGAAACTGATCTGGCAGGTGAATTAGTCATGGGTCAAGGAGATCCTTGTGTCTCAACTGGCCCAATTAAGGTGTGGTTGAGATGAGACAGAGAGAGAGTGAAGGTAAATCCATTTCCGTAAACGGCCAGACCTCTTAAGGATTCCCATTCCATGCCACTTTTCCAAAACATGATGGAGTACTGCATGGCTAAGACTAACCTGACCTTTAAACCTATCGACCAAGGGCAGAGTGACTTCAACTCCACCTCTACTAAAGATAAATTGATATCTATCTCTAAAAACTTCATAAAACAAACCAAAAAACCTAGGATGTTTTTTAATGACTTATTGACTTTTCAGATTGTTCTTTAAGCTGTTTTTTAAACTTTAAAGGCAACACTGATAATGAACGCTTCCAAATGGTAAAACAGAAAATCCCCTTCAAATATAATCGGCCTGTAGAGGAGTGGCTGCAGGAAAAAGGTAACCGTCATTAAAACTTTCATTTTAAAATCATTTGATCCTAAACCCTCATTTTTAAAGCCTGCAAATAAATGTTCCTTAAATGATAATCGCCTGCTGCATAAATGACTGTTTTAATTTTCATTATAATTTGTGTCAGCTTCCACCTGCCATATGTTGATAAATCATGCTATAATACATTGCCATTAAAATACAGTTAAAGGGACTAACTTCTAGCCTGCTATCAGCATGACAAACACAAACAAGAAATTCCAGGAACTTCTAAAACAGAAATGTATTATGGCAATTTAACCACTGCATGACATTATTTATTAATTTGTTTTAAATTACCTTTTACACCAAAGCTTTCTAAAGAAATTCCAAAAGGGCTTTTTAAACTTACACCTGGAGGCTGTTTTGGCTTGTAGCATGCTTAACAAAACAAAAAACAAACAAAAAAACAAACAAACAAAAAACCATAGATTGACTCTTGTAACTTAAACTACTTAAATATTGTAAGGGGAGCATTTTTTTTTAACATTTGTTCTTAAAGAAAAAAATGAAAAAGATGAATTTTGCCTTTAAAACCTACAGAGGCAAAATTATTTTCTAAGAGATTAAGGTTGTGTCCTAGTTGCTGACTGAAACTAAAAACAAAAACAAACTTATTTTACACTTCGGTTGTGTGCATACACTTGTGTATTTGATGTTTTATGCAACAAAAGTGTAAGAAGTTAACATAATGAGTTGGAAAAGAAAAGGTTCATGAAAGGCAAAACAGCAGTCTCTGATTTGCTGGAGACAACAACCACTGTTAATAAAAGAGGGCAGCGGTTATAACTGATGTTAGAATTTTCCTGTATAGCTTCTAGCTGTTAGAAAATAAACCATTGTTTTTCAATGAAAAACAGTCTCTAAGAAGATACGTATTCTTTGTTGTTGTTGTTGTTGAGCCAGTGTAAGCTACTCTTGTCTCAACACCTAAAGGGAGCTCTTAACATTTGTAGAGATTTCATTGAGTTATATAGAAGAAGTAACCAGGTATATTACTTAGTATACAACTTAAAGAGCAAAGGACTACTACAGTTTTAAGTTGGAGGAAGACATTCAGACCTTTAAACGTGG
Organism: Homo sapiens; assembly: GCF_000001405.40. Classification (NCBI taxonomy): domain Eukaryota; kingdom Metazoa; phylum Chordata; class Mammalia; order Primates; family Hominidae; genus Homo; species Homo sapiens. Next base: position 79,693,367 of record NC_000014.9, read on the forward strand.
AAAATCCTCACGGAGTGTTAACTGTTTGCCCTGTTTTTAATGTATGTGGTCTAATTAAAAATAAGAATAACTCTAAAAAGCAAATAATTTTGTTTAGTAATCATCAGCTCATAAAGTCCCTTTAACATTAAAGACAATGATTGCCTCACTTTAAACAGGAAAAGCAAACTAGATGCATGTCTGAGTCTCATGTGCCTGAGAAACCTTTTTGTTTCTTTCAATTTTATGTTAATAATTTTTATTTTACTCCATTGCCTTTTAAGTCTAAGTTTAATAGCATGCCAGGCATTTTCATTTGTATAAACCATTATAAAGTTATTAGTAGGCTTTTAGTTTTTCTTACAATAGAATTGTTACCCGTTGGCTTTCACATAAAAGGTGCTTTCAAATATACAAGTTGAGGGGTTGGGATGGGGGGAGGGGTGGCTGAGGTGGGACTGGGGAAGATATCCTAGTTTCTTAAATATATGTATGATTATATATGCATATAAATCTGAAAAGAATTATTTGCAAACCGTGAGTTTCTCTTCTACATTTTGTTCTCTGAAAAAAAATTTTTGTTGTAATTTGGGTGAGTAACATCTATGCATTCTATTGTCTTACCTCTTCCTCTGCCTAGCTAACCTTCCCTTCAAAAGGAATAAAATATACCAAAGACTTGTAAAGACAATGAATATAAAGGATAAAGATAGATGGATGATTAGACAGATGCATTTGGAAGTATTTGGAATGCCTCTTTGGAGTTATTTCTGTCACTGGGGTGGAGAGCTGGGTCATAGCATTCCCAAGTCTCTTTTCTGGCTCTGTCTACTATTGACTAACTTTCTGACCTTAGACAATCCACTTAACCTCTCTATATCTCAGATTTCCCATCTGAGGACGGGCAAAATAATACTGCCTATTCCCCAAGGGTGTTCTGAGGTTTAATTAATTAGTCTTTGTGCAACACTGACTGGAGACATGCAAAGATTTAATTTAAGCAGTATGTGAACTTGATGTCCAAATGAGGTAATAATTAATGACTTCCAAGAGGATGGGTATCTAAAACAAAAAGTAACCTGCTACAATTCCTCTACCAGTGTTTGTTATAACCAAATTTTGCATTAAGAAAGATAAAATAGTTCTCAGATTAGGATATATATGCATAAATATGCACATATATATATATGTTTTTATGTACATATAATGGTCAGTTATTATAAAAATCTGATCATAAGCCATGAGTGAAAATAATGAGAATAATGAGATCTGGCATTGATTTGGGGAAATCTTGGGCAAATGATAAAAAGAAACTGGTCAGTTCTTCACATTCTTCATAGGGAATGAATAGTGATGGTTTTTTCTGTTATTCACTAACCCCTGTTTATCTGAGAGATAAATTAATCAGAGTAAGGGATGGCAGGACACGAAGAGTGCTCTACTGTTCCTTTACTGATTGCTAGCTTTGCCATTAACCACCTAATCCAAGGTACAGGGAGCTAGGAGAGGGTTTTACTACAGCAGAAGAGCAGATCTAGCCAGAAACAGACCATGAAACAAACAAGCAAACAGAAAAGCAAACACTCCCTATGGCAAGATGAAAAACTGAAACATAGACAACCCCCTTTACTGTCTCACTCCATCAGTGTCTTATTCTCAAGAATTGATTAGTCAGATCTCTCTGGGAAAGTAGCTGTAGTCAGGAGTAGAGGGGTAGTTTAAATCTTGTAGCCCAGGAAACCTGCCTTGCCTTTCCTGATGCTTGGGTCAGTCTTGAACAGGCAAAGAGCACTTTGTGGAGTGAATGATGGCAACTGGAATGAAGGAGACTCATCATCTCTAGCCAGTGTAATTCAGCTTTGCATTTTCAGTTTTCTCTGATCCTCTTTTTATTTGTAAGCACTGGCATAATAACACCACTGGAGAGATAAGATGAGAACTATTATAGAGGTTATCATTGTGAAGTATTTTCAAGGATATTAGAATGTAAGATTTTCTACCTGTAATCAAGTATAACTGTTAACTTATCACCAGTGCTGAACTATACACAAAATAAAGAGATGGATAAATATTATGATTCGCCAGCAGTTGTGTGCATGGAAAGTATCTCTTGGCATTAGGCTGTCTAATGTAAGATACTGAATTTTTTCCTAGAAATCTCCTGCTAGGCAGCTGCTTCTAATTTCTAATTCATTATGTTAAGCTGCTTCAAATGCCTCTGTGGGGTTGAGGGAGAATTTATTTTCCCCTTCCATCATTTCATGTCTTTTGTAGTAAGCTCAGGGCTTCCAGAAAAAAAAAAAAAAAAAACTGTCATCAACAATAAACAGTAAAGAGGTATGAACTCCAGCATATTACTTAGTATTATTATGCATTGAACTTTCTGCTGTGTCTTGTGTGAAGAGGACAGAGGACAAAATACAGACAGTGATGCATATGCACAACACACTAAATGAATTGCTGAGAAAATGATGAAAATCTATGAGATCTGTTTTGATTGCATCCTTGGGATCTGGGTAATTCTGTAGTCATTAAGGCCAGCAGATCCCATATTCAGGTTCTGGAGATTTTTATAAAGTATAGATCATTTTCACTATAACAAAGTTCTCTGGCCAATTCACCATACTGCAGTGTTGAAAGCTTCCAAAGGGCTATTATTTGTAAATCATTCTTGATTAATGGGCACTATGAGTTGCCTAGTGTGCAGAATTAACTCTTGTCTAAGGAGTATCCTCTGATCGGATGAGCATTCTCTTCTCTGCCACTTCCATTTCTTTCATTGTTATACATTGAGAAGGTATTTCACATTATACACCAGGAATTCAAGGACAGATCAACATTGTGTAGCCTTGAAGACCATGTAATAGTGGTAGATTTTTAAAGCCCAAACGTGACAATATCCCTCTATTCATATTGGAAATTATAAAGCAAAAAGCTTTATAATTTTGTTAAAAACCCTCTTTTTATTAAGTAGTCATAAATAACAAAATTGTTTCTAGTTATTTCTAGCTAAGGTAATTCAGGTGATTAGATTAAGAATGAGTGGAGCGTTGTTTGATCACTAAGTAGAGAAAACTTCAGAAGGCGTATATTTAATTCCATTAATAAGTCTTTCTTTTTTCCTTTCTTCATATGGAAAAGCAAAATGAAGTAATCTGGAGACATAACAGTAAAGAAGGCCTTAGCATATTGCTGTTCTGATAAATTGCAATAAATTTTAAAAAGCTCTTACTTTGAGTTTGCTTGGGAAAAAAATCTCATACTTGAGAGTTTTATAAGTAGAAAGAGTTGGGAGGAATTTTAGTTGGGTTTCATTCTTCTAAACTCTATACTGGTATGTTTTTTCATTTTGATACTTTTCAGAGCAGTATAAATGGTGTCAAAGTGGGAACTCGAAATAAAGTGAACTATTGATATTCTTCAACTCATTAACACACCTCTATGTCATTTTAAGGAGTTTTATATGTTGCTTTCTTCATTAATATCCATCCATTTTAAAAAATTTATTAAATCTGAAGGACAACTTCCCCAGGACTGGAGCATTACCAATATGCTTATATTTCATACTGAGGGAATAATTTAGTTGTGGGACCATAATCCATCCTCCTAAAAACAAATTAATAGAGATAGGAATTTATCTCTCATGATTTTGTTAACCAGAAAATAGAATATTATGCCCAATGAAGATTTATAGGAAATGATACGTTTGGTGACTAGAAATGATACGTTTGGTGACTAGTAGTTCATTTTTACAAGTATGCAATGAATCCAAGTCTCTTAACTGAAATTTAATTTCAGCTAATTTAATTATCAGACCTGGTTTTTAAATTTAGTTTTCTGAGTCACCTCACTGAGTTTTTTTGGCCATATTTAATTCTTTTCATTCTCATTATTTTACTTCGTAGCTTTAAACATTAATGCAGTAGGTATCCGTAATTTATTCTGGTCATCACCTGATTTGAGTGTTTCTTTCTGTCATCCTCAATTATATACCCAAGAAGACCATAATACTTCTTATCATTGAACCAAGATTTCTTCTTCCTCACTATGAAGGAATAGAGACTTGATTGTTCAAGTTATCAAAGATTTTCAGCTAGACAGTGGAAGAGATAACCATAATGAAATGTTACTTGCTAACGTCAGTACTGAGGTTTTGTTGTCTATTTTTTCCTCCCCTTCAATTGCTCAAGGAAGCCTGTTATGATGCCTGGTCCATTCAGACCAGGTAAGGCAAACAAGGAAAACGTATGAGAATAATAATGTTTCCTCCACCCAACCCACTAGGCCGGCAGTTAACCATCTTCAACACTCAGGCGCAAATAGCCATTGGTGGAAAGGACAAAGGACGCCTCTTCCAAGGCCAACTCTCTGGGCTCTATTATGATGGTTTGAAAGTACTGAACATGGCGGCTGAGAACAACCCCAATATTAAAATCAATGGAAGTGTTCGGCTGGTTGGAGAAGTCCCATCAATTTTGGGAACAACACAGACGACCTCCATGCCACCAGAAATGTCTACTACTGTCATGGAAACCACTACTACAATGGCGACTACCACAACCCGTAAGAATCGCTCTACAGCCAGCATTCAGGTAGGCCTTTTTCCAAGTATTAATTGCGTCTGTATTTTTATCTTTGCAACATTGTTATCATGGTCATTGCTTTATGTAGCTAAAGAGTTTGAATTACTATGTAAGAAGGATGCTGGCAGATACTCATAGTAATGAGACCCAGGAGAAGAGAAAGGTGAAGTCATTGCTAAAGAAGTCATAAAAGTCTGTGGCACTCCTGGGTTGTTATTCTTATTGTATTTATCACTGAAATGGTAAAGCTGTTATTCAAAACGAGCAATGGACTACACTTTCAGTATGAAATACTCTCTCCTTTAATTTTATTACCTTTTCAAATAACAGAAAGGGCAAGGGAGGGAAGGAAAATCTGTTATCATATGAAAAGCTATATCCTAGTTCAATTTCATTCACATTCTCCAGATGGCTTTGCTATAACATGAATCTTTCATTATTGAGGTCAATGGGTACCATTAAATCAAGGGCAGTTAAAGTTAGAAGTGCAACTACTCCTTGTAAAATGCAGTCTTTATGTTTGTTATCAAATCCTGATTAATCATGTGTCAGGTTTGTGCCCATTTTGTTTTCTTTATATTTGATCAAGATACTAATTACAGTAGAAAATTTGAAGGTTTGAGTTTGGCTATACCGGAAGTCCTTGTTTTTGTGGCAGTTTTTTTCCACTTGAAAGTAATTATATCCAAACTAAGCTTAATACTTTGCTGACTCCCTTGGCATTTCATAAATCTAGTTAGTAGGGGGTAGGAGGTTAACTGAATTATTAGCCTTAAATGCTCTGGCATACCATGAGACATTCCAATTGCTGCTGCGACAACAATTACTTACCCCTATCCTAGTTAGTGTTTATAGAAAAATCAGTAGATTAGCACTTGTCCTGTTTGCTTCTTTGTTTTAAGACATTATCCAGGAGCTCAGTTGTGTCTTTAACATCACCTTTACACTGACTCCAATGGACGTGGTTAACTTAAAGTCAATAATCAATTATACCACCTATGTGTTCCCATTTTTCAGAATTAAATGTATGTGAGCTAGGTAATGGTAAGTGTATTATCTGTTGCCTTCCTTTTTCCTTTTCCTTGAGCAGAAGTATCCAGACAGCTCTTTGCATGGCTCCACAGTAACAATTTGGAGTTATATATGCTGACAGTGTCATAAGGGCAATTTTATCGTTTTCAAAAGGCTTCTAAAAACCTGGTTAGCATAGTACTGTTACCGTCACACATGCTATTACCTGCATACCTACACACATGCTCACGAGAAAAAAAATAGCTCTTCTCTACTGATATTAAACCAATAACTCCTGACACCTTGCTCTACTCACTGAAAAGAAGATAAAAGGCAATATATATTTCTATTATGACTCTCTCTAGCTCAAGAGCAGATCTGTTTATTGTTGGTGAAAGGATAGTTCTGTCTGCACAGGTCTTGGCAGACTTGTTTTGTTTCTGTCAGAATGTATTCTGCTAACTCTGTGGGAAGCAGAGAAGCAAATGGCTTTTTCTTCATAGGAATGGCTGGTCCTGTAGTTCTTTTTAAGGCCAAATTTTCACTGACCTTGAGATGATTTAATGTTACACGGGGATTCGGGAACCAAGCTGTAGTAATTATTGGTTTTTTGGCTTTCCCTCCTGTAGCACATACATAAATGGGAATAAACTGGGTGAGTTCCTGAACTCTTTCCGCAAATTAAGAAAGTCAGAACTTTGGAAGAAAAGTAGGGTACAAGATACAAAATCTTGCTAGTGATTATAACTCTAAACGTTATAGAACCTATGGCCATTTTAGAGGAGATGAACAACTGGGAATGCCTTCTCCAATAGCCTCTCTCTGGCATGTGTTTCTTTAAGTCCAGTAATTATCGAACTACATCTACATGCTTTTCCTTTTACTTCCACCAAGTCTACAAAAATGAGTTATAAACCTGTTGAGACTCTTTGGTTTTAAGGGTAAGTACATCCTCTTGGAGGAAAGCCAATAGCCTACAAGAATTGATTAGACTGCGATGAGGGATTTTAAAAGCCCTGGATTTTTTGGAAGACTAACTAGAGGAAATAACTTTCTGCCAAGGGTTTTGGAAATCTTTTTTGTTCTTGACCACTAGTCATCAGAACTCTGCCCTGTGCTCCATTAAAAACTTAAAAGCCTCATCTTCAAGCCTAGTCTGGTCTTAAACACATTCTGTTGATCACATCAAACCTATGTTAGGACTGGGGACCCAACAACTATTGGATTCTATTCAAAGTTTAGGACAATTCCCAGACTCTAGAGACTGCAGGTAAGGAAGGTCAGTCCCAGAAGCATTAATATGCCTATGTGACCCCACTACTTTTCTTAGATGAGGAGGATTCATAAAGTTCTGATCTCTGGGAGATACTTCAGAAGTGAGTGGGGAAAAAAAGGTAGGGAAGACTGGATTTCATATTCACCGGGCCCATTATTCACTTTTTTATCTATATGTGAAATCATACATAGAACATTTTCCAAATGATACCACTGTTCTGTCCTCTTTTGCTAAATTTAATAACATTGTCAAAGCAAAGTTTTCCTAAAATGAGACTCCTCTAGGAGAAAGAAAATAAGCATGTCAGTCCACCAGTATAAAAACCTGTCTGTTCAAAAATCCTCTAGTTCTTTCTTAAAGCATAAGCAAAGAAAACATCCTTTCAAGAGTTCTTTCCTGGTCAACCTGAGGTAGTGTTGATTTCAGATCAAAGGAAAACTGTAAGGTGCTTTCAGTGCTGCTTTTAACCGTGTGTGAATGTGAACAAGTAGTTTTTGAGTTGGTATGTCTGTCTAGTGTTATAGCCTCTTAGAAGTAATTGGTGCTTTGATCTTTCTGATTCCATTTTGTTACAGGTAAGAGTGTAGAACTATCTGTGAATAACCTGGCTGATGTTAATTTACTCATAGCAATCATGCCCAAGCATCAGGTCTTGATCCTACATTGAGAAGGATAGCTCTAGGTACTCTATTGAATTTTAAAAAATTTAAGATGTGCATTGAGAAAGCAGGTGTGTGAGTGATAATTCTCAAGTAAAGGCCTGGCACTTCATAGGTGCTCAGTAAATATTTACTGAATACATCTGAAAACAAGACAGGCTTTATTACCTACTTTAGAGTCATTTCACAATGGAAGGTAGCATAGCTTGAGGAAAGTGTTTCCTCCACAGTGATCAGGGTGCTTTGGCCAAATTTGTTGTATTTTTCAGTAGTAAGGCTATAGCATAGTGATTCAGTGCATGCACTTGGAGCTAGATTAGCTGGGTTTAAAACTTTGTTCATCCTCATATTAGCTTACATGACCCCAGACAAGTCATGTAAGTTCTAGTTAACTATTTATATGAAACAAATTTTCCCATAACTTGGTGGTTTAAAACAATTATGTCATTAGATTTCAAAATTCTGTGAGACAGAAATTTGGGCACAGTTCAGCAAGGCAATTCTTCTGTGCCATCTAGAGAGATGATTGTGTTCACTCAGTGGCTGACTTTGCCTGGAGGGTCTGGCTTTATTTACATACCTTGTGCTTTGCTGGGTTAACTGGGAAGATGGGACTCAGCAGGGCCCTTTTCCCTCTCTATGTATTCTCTGGGATTCTCCTTGTGGTTTCTCCAGCAAAGCAGATGGGCTGTGTTTATAGAGGCTCAGGGCTTCCAGAGAGAGTACTTCCAGGGGCAGGAAGTAGAGGGTGCCAGTTTTATATAGCCTGGGCTGGGTAACTGGCAGTGTCACTTGTACAATATGCTATTAGTCTAAACAGTCACAGAGCTTTCCCAGTTTCAGAGGAGGAGACATAAATATCACTTCTCAATAGGAGGAGGAGTAGCAATAATTTGCAACCAACCTAAGTCTACCACATTACTAAGGCTACCATATTATAAAGTAGGGAGGGTGGTGTACTTCTAGTGGCTATGTTATATGATTGTCATAAGGATAACTGAGTTGATATAAGTAAAATGCTTAAAATAAGTGTACCATTCAAAGTAAGACTGCATGCGTTTTAACCATTATTATTATATTCTGTTTCCCACAATTGGTGTATTAAATCAAGATCCTCTCAGGCAAATATCTGCCTCAGAAAATGGGGCTGTGACTACCGACAGTAGTGGCTATAGTTTAGAGTAAGGGCTAGGAAGTTTGGGGGAAATAGAGATTTGAAGGTGGATCCAAGCAGAATTTAGGGGCTGAAATTAGTCCTGGCAAATCAAAATTTCTATGATCTCAGGAACAGACTTCTCTGACACCTCACTACCCATCTTTAAAGTTCTGTTTTATTTTAAACCAACTTAGAGTTCTATGAGTCTTTGAAAATATGTTCTGTCTATCCACATGTCTTTTAGGGTTGCAAAGAAGACAAATCCAGATTCCTTACCATCGTGGAATTTACAATCTAAATAGGGCAAGAGGGTTTGACATGAGCTATCCATATGAAGTAGTGACTCATGAATGGCTCTTTGTGCTGGGGATGGCAAGTGTTGCATGGTGTGGCTTGACTGGATCTCATGCACTCATTCTACTAGGCCTTGTTGTAAAAAGAGCACAATTGGACAGGTGGTGAGAGGAACATATTCCTGGTTGGTCAAATGTCAGCCAGAAGCTAAGTTGTTAAAAGCAGAGATTATAATCTCTGGGAGAGATAGCCAAGTCCAAGTAGAACAGAGAATGCATAAGAGGGAGTTTGTGAGTAGCAAGGGGTCCAGAATCAAAATCTTGGCCTGAAACTTTGCCAAGTGGGAGAGGGCCCAGAGGGGTAAACTGAATTGGGTTCCCTGTGTACCTTACTACCAGGAATGCCCCAATAATTGCACAAACACTTCCTCTACAACTGACTCCAATATTGGTGGGTAATTATTATGGTGCTGATAGGTCAGCTTCTAAAATAGAAAAGTTCAACTCAGTCTACACTCAAATTCGTTGGTCTTCCTTCAGGATAGAAGGAAAAAGTGAGAAACAAGTCTTTTACCTTATGTCTCCATCCTGAGTTATCAGCAGAAAAAAAAAAAAGCTCAGTGTGTTCTGTGCAAATCACCATTTGGAATCATTTATAAACTATTTGCAGGATACTGATCATGACATACTTTTTCTGTGTTGGGCATTGGTAAAGTCACCTTGACATTGGCAACTGCTGCCTGAAAATTGCCAGAAAATCACAATGCTCAGCATGGATTGGAACTATCCTTATAACTAGTCAAAATGAAAGACTTAAGAGGTTTGTGAGATTTCATTCTCAAGCTTCACAAACTTGGTGGTTGAATGTGAACCACTTTTGCAAATTCCAGAAGGAAGCCACAATTTCTCATGTTTTGTAAAAATTCTTATAGGCAAAGTACTCTTAGCTTTTCAGTGTCAGACTGGAGACAGTAAGAAGCATGCTTCAGCCTTGATACTGATGATTACAAAACAAAGAAAAAACTTTGGATTAAAATGTTCATCCTGCGCAACGTCTGTTCTGGGTAGAGTCTCAGTGTGTTGAAGAGCGTGGGCTTTTGCGTCAGAGTTTCTGAGTTGGACTCCAGGTTTTTCCAGTTGCTTAGCTGTATGTATAAGTCTGTTCTCACACTGCTATAAAAAACTACCCGAGACTAAGTAATTTATAAAGAAAAGAGGTTTAATTGACTCACAGTTCCGTATGCCTGGAGAGGCCTCAGGAAACTTACAATCATGATGGCCGGAGAGAGAAAGGAGAGTGGGGAAACTGCCCCCCTGATCCCCCCTCCCACCAGGTCCCTCCCTCTACATGTGCGGATTATAATTTGAGATGAGATTTGCCTAGGGACACAGAGCCAAACCATATTGCTGTATATCTCTGGGCAGGTGATTAGCCTCTCTAAGCCTCAGTTTTACTGTCTGTAAAAGTGGCCTTACAGTACCTTTCCCGTAGGCTCCTTGTAAATAGTAAAGTGCAATCATGTGTGAAAAGCACCCCATAACTTTTCAGTAAAAATTTTCACATAAGGAAACCACTTCAACCTAAGGGACTCTCCCAGAACTCACAGATCTCCCTAGAGCTTAGCCTTCCTGTGGGGCTGGATAAGCCCAGGAACAATTTTGTTTATACTCATACAAACTCACAAGGGCCTGGATTGTGAGTTCTTCTAAGGGCCCCAGATTGAATCAGAGCCCCAAGCTCATCAATCAGGAGAGATTGCTACGGCAGGCTCTTTCATATTCTGGAGTGGGAATTGGCTTTGCTGAACAGTTACAACACATAGACTATTCTATTAGGTTGAAGTGTATGAAACCACTATTTTTGTAGATCAAAATGGTTAAATATTAGCAATATCACATGGTTCTACGATGACACACAGATTTACAGCATGTTGTTATCAATGGCACTTCGAGGCCCAGACTAGAACCTCAGATATTCTCCAGGTCTTCAAATAATCAAACTGCCTTGCACTGGGAGACAAGATAGATCCACCTTATCCCCAAATACTGTGCTATAGCAGGATGTAGATCACACTGTATCAAAACTGGTTATATTTACCCAAAGAATTATCCCCTCTGGGTCCTTCCACCTTTTCCCTGCTGCCACCAGCTTGAGAGAAATGAGATAAGGAATCTACACAGTTTTCATCTCCTTGCTTTTACCACTAGACAACAGAGCCTCCGGGGGAAGTTTATTTTTAGGATCAGGGCTCAACTAATATTGATTAACAGCCTTACATAATGTGAGGCTCCAGGGTTTGTTCTTTTCCTGCCAAGCCTCATAACTGGAGAAGGCGCTGAAGATTTGTCAGTCTAATCAGACTTTAGCTGCCAGCCAAGAAATATCTTCTGTCTTCTCCTTACCCTTACGCAGGTACTTTCTTTTTCCCTCTTAGAGAATAATTTGGGGGGAGAGAAATTGCACTCTAATTTACTTGTTGCCTGGTAAGATTCTCTGGTGACATTTACTCTCTGGAACTGCACAGTTCTAACAACAACAGAAAAGGGAGCTTGATGGGTTTACCTTCCTCTTAAAGACTTAGATGTTGGCAGTACAAATAGGCAAGTGAAAAGAGTGCAGTGTAGTTTGTTTTCATCCTTCCTTTAATACGTAATTTTGGTGGATGGAACAGGTGCTTTCCAAAACTAGGTCTAGTCGATGAAAGGGTCCTGAGGGCAGACGAAGTGTGAAAGCTCCCAGGAGAATTCATAGAGATGCCCTTCCAATTAGGATGTAATATTTACAGGATGGAATTTCCACCAGAACTACTAATAAAGTGCTGGCTCTTATTTCTAGGCATCTGAACAGCTGGGAGGGAAGTGGGGTCAGTTCTTGGCTACCCACGGGTGGAGGTCCCTGAGTGTTTTTAAACCTCAGGGTGGTTTTTCTAATTACCTAACAGACTCTTTAGCCGAATCTAAAGCCAAAATCCTTGCTGCGTGGCATATGGTTCTCCTCCTTCCTATTGCTCTGACCATATTTTCCACCACGTTGCTCCAATCACACAGGTCTTCTTGATCCTTCTTGAACACAGAGCAAGAAGAAGGGTGAAACCGGTGAGGCAGGATTATGCAATTGCAAGCTTAGATTTTCATCTTAAAATTGATATTTGACTTTTTGCTTTTGCAGATTTTTTTCCTGCATTAATATTGATTTTAAAATATTTCAGCAAATGAAAACAAAGTTTTAGCAAACCCCCGTTAAATCTTACACCTTAAGCGAGTGTCTCATTCAATCTTCTCAGCCCTGCCTGAATGTGCCAAGCGTGCCTGTGCCTTTTCACCTGCCATTTCCTCTGCCTGCAGCAGCCCTTCCCTGCTATTCACAGTACTCACTCCCTCACTTCACCCAGGTTTCCGCTTATATTGCACCTTCCAGAAAGGACCTTCTTGACCGTCTGTAAAATACAACACTCTATCGCCTTTTCCTGTTTTGTTACCTCTCATAGCACTTATCACTGCCTGACATTATAGCTCACATTTATTTGTTTATTGTCCCTATTTAGTAGATTGTGAGTTCTAGGATGGCAAGATCTTTATTTTAGGCACTAAAATAGCACAGTGCCTAGAACAGTAGCGAGCACAGAGTAATACGCAGTCAATGTTGGTTGAAAGGTATAAATAGTCAACCATCCACCAGTACCTTCTCAGGGAGTCCACAGGCCACACAATATTTACAGGCTGAATCCAAGCCCCTGTTTCCCAGGACCCACTCCCTCATGAGGCTCACCAGTGAGGGTGGGCACCACTGGGTTTGCTGCTCTTGGATCTTTGCTCTAGGAATAAGGAGTCCCAGAGATATCTCCTTGTCTCTGGTATGTAAGATTATTTTTGTTAGCTTCCAGTCTTGTTGCTCAGCCAAAAGCAAGGGCTAATTCTAGCACGTATAGTTTTCAAATCACTTTTGGAAATGTAATATCACCCACCTTTCCCTTTCCAGTTTCTTCTTCTTCCTTTCCAAATAACTTAATCCTTAATTCTCCTAAAACCCACTTTCAAATATATGCAAATAAAAATTACTTGGTAAGGATGGAAAATTAACTTGAGGCTTTTTTACTTTTTTTTTTTTTTTTTTTTGGTCTGTTGAGAAAAGGGCTTGTAGGGTGGTGCCTGCATAAACTGGCCATAAAAATATGGGACAATAAGTTGTTGAAAGCCACAAGAGGCCTCTGAGGAGGAAAGCCTCCTAAATGCCATCATGTTCCCAGGCTCAGAGCGAGATCTGCTCTCTTATCTGTAAACACTGTGTTCAAAGGAGAAAGACTCTGCTTTGAAGCATTGAAATGTGGCCAGATATGCTGGCTCCTAGTGAGGCCCACTCCCCCCAGCTGCTCTCCGATAAATTAAAGAATAAATCAGTAGTTAATTTTATGCTGCTTCAGCACAAAGAAAATTTACCTAAACTGCCATTGCTATAGATTAGGTGTATGACACACCGCCCCCCTTTCACCGTTTCACCCCTGAACATCTGCTTCTTAGAGCTAAGTGATTGTACTCAACAAATAGTGTGGAGACCAGAGCTTGGCGCCTTTGCAGCCTCCATTTTACACTTGGCCCCCTGGCACTCCACTCTTTATGCACTCTTAACCTGTCTATTCTCATTCGTTTGTCGCCACCGGACTTCGGGTACCCTACGGGTGGTGCTGAGGCTGGTCCCCAACATTGGTCTAATGGCTGAGTATATTGTGTGAGCACCATTTATTCATGTCTGAAACCCTATAATTTGACTAGCCCCATATTTACCCATTTTTAGTGATAATTTGAAAAAACATTGATGATTGAGAGAAGGAACAATAGCTATGTTGCTCATCATTGGACATTTAGAGCCTAGAATGGTGCCTGCCACAAAGCAGGGCTCAAAAATATCAGTTGAAGAAAAATAAATGTGTTAAACGAATGAAAGTAAGTTAAGCAAATGCTTATCATCAGAGTGAAGAGGCAGTGGGGGCCAATATAATTTATTTACAAAGTAGGCAAAGGGAGTTAGGAGGAAGCAGCCTGGTACGGAGGAAAGTGCATTGAAGCAGGCATCAGGAGACTTAGCTCATGACTGGAGAAGTTCTTAAAACCATGACTCTAGGCAGACCTTCATTTCTAGCTGTAGAATTTTGGCCAGGGTCCTTTGTGGAGCTATGTTTTTTTATTATCTGAAATATGGGGATGATTTCCAACTTCAAGGGTAGGTTAAGATAATATAAGTCAAGGGCTTAAATGGGTGCGGCTCAAAGATTATTATTGCTGCTGTCTTAAATGGGATTATAATCTGGTCTCAGCTGATAAACCAGTATTGCAACTATATTTTCTTTTTTATTCTGTTGCTAGTTTGTGGTCTCTGATATGGCAATTAGCTTCCTTGGGCCTATGCTCTTTCCTCAGAAAAGAAAGTTTTATTTTAACATTATCTAGCATAGTGTCTTGGGCACACACACACAGGGACAGTTAAATGTAGGAAACAATGAATTAGAAGAAGTAAAAGAAAGGAGAAGAAGTAAAAGAAAGGAAAAATTGAGAAGGAGAGAAAGACAGCAGCGATGCTCTGTAATTATTGCTATAAGAATTACGTGCCCATTTCATGGATTTGTATGGCTTAGGTTGAGAGAGATGAATAAAATATCTTTGATATAATTAAAATCATAATATAAATAATATTTTTTCTATATCTCCCCTCTTTGCTGAAAGCTGTTGGGTGAGACATCACAATGACCACTTCTATGTAAAAGGTAGATTATAGATGGCCCTCTGCATATGTGGGATTGCATCTGCATTCAACCAACTAACTGTGAATCAAAAATATTTTTAAAAAATTGTGTCTGTACTGAACATGTACAGACTTTTTTCTTACTATTATTCCCTAAACAATACAGTATAACAACTATTTACCTAGCACTTACATTGTACTAGACATTGTAAGTAACCTAGAGATGATTTAAAATGCACAGGAAGATGTGTATAGGTTACATGCAAATACTATGCCATTTTATATTGAGGACTTGAGGATTTTGCCATCCATGGGAGGTCCTGGAACCAATCAATCCCCCACAGATGCTGAGGAATGACTGTACTTGATAAATGTCTCTTGAATCATCCAAAAAAAAGAAAAAGCCAATGGTTTCAATTTAAACTGAGGTAAGAATTGTTTTTTTTTTTTCTGAAAATATATGATGTTCTATTTATATATAATAGGAAAACGACTTCAAGCAGCAATCGTCACTTGCCAGGCATCAAGGCGGATATTTCCATTATGTCTATGACAAGGTGGTGGGAGGGGTGGGATGTGGTTTCATACCTTTCTGGTGCATGTTTGAATGATTGTAAAAATTAGAAACACACTGAGGCTGTTATGACAGCCTTGCCTTTTGAAACCTTCTAATTAATGCCTTGGGTTGTCTAGAGAGCTTGTTCTGTTAGCTAAATGGTGATTTGTAAGGTTCTCCTTGATTTCCTCATCATTCATGGATGAAATAATTGGGGAAATAAAATGATTGGGGAAATAAATGCACACCACGTCTGTGGTGGCTAGCAGTCACTGAGAGAATTACTTGATGGGAATTTGATTGACTTGTGTGTATAATGCAACCTCTTATATCTCTGGCCCCATCTTATTATGTGTGTGTGTGTGTGAGAGAGAGAGAGAGAGACAGGGAGAGAGGGAGGATGCTCGTGTTTGCTTGCACTATGGAGAACAGTGCTTCTTAAACTTTAATGTGTGTATACAGATCACCTGGGTAATCTTATTAAGCACAGATTTTAATGCACGTCCGGGGTGGTATCTCAGATCGTGCACTTCTAACAAGCTCCCAGATGATCTCATGCTGCAGATATGTGTACCTCACTATAGAGTATAGAGCAAGGCTCTAGGAAATATTTACGGTTCCTTGCTGAGTAATCATGGTATCTGTTTACCTATCTCTTCCAAATGGTCTTCCCAAACTTAGCTCAGTTCTCTTCAAGACAGGAAATTTTGTTAACCCAAAGTATTAATGTAAGTGAAAGGGTGGATACCCCAACTAAGGATTAGAAGAGAAAACTGTATCCCATCAGACAATGCTGCTCCGGGTTTCAGATGCCCCTTCTTCCTGTCCCTTACTTTACTGCATACCCCCAAGGCAGATGGAAAAAAACATAGGTAAAATTTAACTTGTCATAATATTTATCCCCCTTTCTGAGAGGTGACCTCCAATGGAAGCAGAAGGATGTGAATGATTTTAATCCACGGTAACAATGGGGAGCCAGTCCTGACCATCTTAAGCAGTATAAATGTATAAAATGACAGATTTTTCTGCTCTGCCTCTCCACTTTCTCCTCCCGGATACTGAGAGAGACACATATTCATGCACCCACAACTCACACTATAATGCACAATGAAATTTCACCCAGCCTTTATCTCGGGGCTGCTGTTCTCATGATTAATGCCCTACTGGCTGGGAAGCTATTCCACTGAAGACAGACAAGGAGAGAGGAAGATGCATGAAATATATCTCTGAGGCCATTTCTCATTATTATTATTATCATTATTAGTTCCTTACTACCCTATCTATCTATCCTGTTAGAGGATGCTTGATCTATTGGCAAGGGGGAGGGGATGACATTTGAAAGCAGGTTTTATGAGGGAGAAATGAACAAGGACAAAGAGAGAAATAGACAGTTTTTATGAAAGAGAATTAACCTGGATGGGGTTTTTGTTATGATTGTTGTCCTTTATTTGGGGGTTTGTTTGTTTTATTGTTGCTGTTGTTTTCCATTTAAAGTCAAAAATAATAGATGCCTCCATCTGCGGCTTCTGATTTTTTTCCCTAGGGATTTATTTTTGCATGTGTTCTTTTGTCTTTATTGAGTCTCTGTCTGCTAGAATCAATATGATATAACTTATGCAAATTATATCCCTGACCACTTATGCAAAAAACAGAATAATTTCGTTGCTCTGTAACACTCTTAATATAATTACCTCCATATCCTGGTTGATTTCAAGCTTTTGAAAGGGCTACTTTAAAAAAAAATAATAAAAATCTATTTATGTGTTGTATAAACCACAGTGTCTGATTCTCTCCTGTTTCTCATTCAAAGAAAGGGTGACTGCTAAATGATTTCTGGCTCTGTCATTTAAGAAGACTGCACAGCAGTGGTCTTAGTTGGGAAGTTGGGACCACAATAAGAGTGCTATTGTAACACGTGTCTACTGATAAAATGGCAAATTCATTAGCCTAGACAAGGAGTACTATGATCTGGTTTCAAAAATGCTGTATACTTCCACAGTCCAGTTTATGAGGGCATGAGATATATAACTGAGGTGCCCCCATGTTACTTCAATTTTAGTTTGACTTTGAATTTCATTAAAAAATATTTGAGTTATTTGAGTGCCTAGTATGGGCTAAGTACTGTCCTGGGCACTTGAACAACATCAGTAAACAGACAAAAACCCTCTTTTCTTATGGAGAACATTTTCTATTCCACAAACATTGGGTGTCTCATAAGTGCAAGACTTTGGAGAAATAAAGAATGAAATAGAAATTTTTCTGCTTTAGAGGAACACACAGTCTGGTACTGTTCTTAAATATTTTCAGACTACAAGCGGACTCACTTGCAGCCCAGTTTTTTACAAAAACTTTAGCATGCTGATTGGCTAGTACAGTTGCAAAGGCAGCAGCCATCTATATTTACAGAGGTCTATTCCAAGAATAGGGTCTTTAATTTCTATTCAAAAAAGACCAAATTTCAAATGTAAACAATATATGTTTTGACTAAAAAAGACAGAAACCGTAAAGCAAGTTACAATAAAGTGATTGAAACATATTTCGGTCCTGGAGACTAAATTTGCAATGTTTATGGCAAATATCTTCTTGTGTTGGTTTGAGATTATAGTTTTATGGAATGTTTATATTGGAAGAATCTCAGAGATTGAGCCCCACACAACCAGATGAGCTTCAGAGATGGGCCATTCTGGTTTCAAGTACTAGTTTCATTGCTCAAAGCTCTACGTCCAGGGGCAAATTGCTCAACCACTTTATAAAAAATGTAAACAACAGGTAATTTCACATTTTAATTTATTTTTATCTAAACAATATATTCACATAGTTTATTTTTAGTGTATATATGTATATATATTTATTTCTTATTTATTTCTTATTTATATATTTATTTATAGAGATGAGGTCTTACTTTATTTCCCAGGTTGGTCTCAAACTCCTGGGCTCAAGTGATCCTCCTGCGTTGGAGTGCTGGGATTAGAGGTGTGAGCCACTGTGGTTGGCCTAAGTAATACAGCCACACAATTTAAAACCTTGAACTGTGCCTAGATATCCCCTTTGGGGAAAAGGCATCACCTTAGTTGCTAGAGTGCTGGCTGATGGCTGTTGGCTAAATCCTTCACGAAGAACTGCCTTTGACTATTGAAGCCACCTTGCCCAACCAAGGTCAAGCCCCTTCCTGAAGGGTGGCCCATATCCAATTAATGATGGTGAAGGGTGGCCCATATCCAATTAATGATGGATGATGGAGCTGGGGGGATCTATCAAGACTCAGCCCATTGTCTCAAGACTGGATAACTGGGAAGGGCCTTTTAGCTAGAGAGTTTCCTAAGGCCAGCTGAGGTCTCTATTGCATGAATGTTCACCTCCCCCTTCTGCCCAGACTCTGATGTCACTCTCCCCAAACTTCCCAAACACGATACCGGGCCTCAGACTTTGTTTTCTGAAAACGCAGCTGAAGATAGATAGATAGCATCGTGAGACTTAAAATAAGAAAACAACAATAACAAAAGAAAAACAGTAGTATCTTTCTAACCTTGCCCTAAAGTCCTGCTCTATACTGGTAACCCTTTTATATCCTTTTCAGACATTTCCCTTCATAGTTCTAGCAATATGCTTGCATTTCTATTTCTTGACTTTTTCAGTTTGACATATTAACTAATGACTTCTGCTTCTGGAAGTAAAAGTTGAGCTTTCTCATGCTCTCCCTGCCCTACAACCCACACACACTTTTTTACCTTCCAGTTTCCCAGTAAAATTCTATCGCATTTCGATTAAATAAATGTTCAGAGTTTGTTATTATGACTTTGTAATATCGCCTATTGAAAACAATGTAAGATCATACATGAACTGACTTGTTCCACAACTATTCACCAGCTGCATAGAATGTGCCAGACACTGTTCTAGAGACTGAGGATACAGCAGTGAAAAACAACAGACTATATTTCTACCTCTGACAAAACATTATACTGTTATGACAATTTCTGTTTTCCTGTAACTCTTTGTTTGTTAATGAATACCCTCGTTATCTCGTTAGCTTATTTTTCTAGCCACCCATCAGTGCCACAGCCAACAGCTACAAAAGACCTCACAAGATAAACCGACAGGACTCCATTATTTCTTTTTCTGTCTTGGAGGTCTCCCTTCTGGAGTCGTCTGACCTCCTGCTTTAGTCTGGGCTGGGCGCTCGCTGAGCCTGCCTCACAGCTATCATCCTGCGTCTTCCTTGCTCGTCATGCTGGAAAATCCCTGGGCCCTGCTCCTGTATTAAATCCTAGTTTCAGCTCTATTTATTTCCTCATTTTCAAGGTGCACATTGTCCTGTAGCCTCCTGAGAAAGGATAGCTAAAAAGTAAAATCATTGAGACATTGCTCATCTGAAGAATGTTTTATTCCATTCTCACCCTTGACGATAATTTGCCTGGGAAGGACTTGTATCTTGGAAATTATCTTCACTAATAAATTTAAAAGCATCCGTCCAATGTTTTTGGGCATCCAATGTTGCAGCTGTTGACATCACAGTTTGGTGTCTAATTCCTTGACTGCACTGATTTTTACTTTTTTTTTTTTTTTTTTTTTTTTTTACCCTCTCTCTGAAATATCCTTATCAGTGGACCTCAAAGTAGCACTTACAACTCAGGTCTCTTGAACCACATGCTGCTGCCCCCTATAGTTCTTGCTTTTGTAAAGTTGTGGTTATTTGCCGATTAGCTGCCCTGTGTTGGCATCCTGACTTTGGTATGATTTGATGAGCTAAGCTATTACTAAACTATAACACACACACATACACACAAAAAATGAATAGCTATAATTAATTAGCATAAAGTTTTGAGGGTAACCAACTTTAGTAGAGATCTGAGATATATATAATGTATATATATATATATATATTTGAACATTTTGCCTTGGGTTAGAGAGGGAATTGGTGGTACAGTAATTCTTACTGGAATTGTGTAGTGATAGCTAGTTTATATATACATATATATATACATACATATACATATACATATGTATGTATATATAAACTAGCTATCACTACACAATTCCACTAAGAATTACTGTACCACCAATTCCCTCTCTAACCCAAGGCAAAATGTTCAACTCTTTTTTGTATTCCCTTAAGAGCCCTTATTTTTTTTTTCAGTTTCACCAATCATGTTCATTTCTTAGCCACCTCAGAAAGAATGAGAATTAAATAATATGTATAAACCCTTTGAATTTTTTACATCCAGAAATGAGCATAAGCTCATTCCTCTGCTTCACACCAGATGCTTATATTTTTGAGAGGAGCAAGGATTAGAATTGTCACTCTGGAATTTTTATGCTACAAAATGTCAATCAATATGTTTGCATGTCACTGGGTTCCATCCTACAGTGTTTGGTGATAAAGTCTTTTCATTTGGCTCCCAGCTTTATCACCATAATATATTTATTTACTTTACCTTACATGTGCTAGTTGGTAGAAGCTGTAGAAAAAGAATTACTCCCACATATTTCTTTCCCCTAAAGAGAAACAATATATTGTAAGAACACAGATGGGGCTCCACACAAAAAGAATGCCGAATTAATGTTGGATGGATGTACATATACAAGAACTTGCTATCAGTACACAATTCCAATAGGAATTATATATACACACACTGAAAATAGAATTTGATTAAATAATTACACTAGGTACAAGCTACATTTTACTTCCATTGAAGGAGAGCTAAGTGGAAACTAGTGTGAGACAATCATGAATAGAAAAGTGCAGAAGGAATTTGATGAGGATGTTCCCAGGGCTATTTCTAGCCAGAAAACGAAGCTGGAGGCTTTGAAGTAAATCAAAATATTTGAAGAAGTAAGAGGATAAATAGCAAAACTCACTTCCAACATCATACTAAAAGCACCATGCAACCATATAGAAAACATGCATAATTTATTTTGACTCAAATAACTATAGGGAGATTCTTGTTTTTTTTAATTAGGAGATTTGAGGTAACTGTCTAGACTACCTATTTTTATGTTGCATTCAGCAATATGTCTGCTAATAATTAGAGGGAAATAAATTACATAAAACAATGCCAGTCATGTCATTGATAAAAAGGAAATTAAAGTGTGATTGTGTTTCTCTTTCTCTCTCTCCCTCATTTTCAGTGAGCTACATCCTCTTGTTGTCCTCCTCACCTGATTAGGCATTTTTGTAAGGGAGTTTGCCTCCGTCCTCTGTTGTAAACATTTTCCTTACCTCAGCATCCTTTTTAAATTCAAAAGACACTTTCCTTTGCAATGCACTATGAAAGGCGATTGTGTTAGAGAATATCAGAGATGGCTTTGTCATGTCTGGTGCTCTTAAATCCTTTTCTTTTTTTTCTTTTCTTTTCTTGAGACGGTGTCTCACTCCGTCACCCAGGCTGGAGGGCAGTGGCGTGATCGGGGCTCACTGCAACCTCTGCCTCCCAGGTTCACGCCATTCTCCTGCCTCAGCCTCCTGAGTAGCTGGGACTACAGGTGCCCACCACCGCACCTGGCCAATTTTTTGTATTTTTAGTAGAGATGGGGTTTCACCGTGTTAGCCAGGATGGTCTCGATCTCCTGACCTCGTGATCCACCCACCTCAGCCTCCCAAAGAGCTGGGATTACAGGCGTGAGCCACTGTGCCCAGCCTCTTAAATCCTGTTGTGTCCTAAAGAGTCCACTAAACGAGGTTGAGGGTATGATTTGACAATTGAACAAGGCCTCAGCCAGCTCTCCTAGACTGCCCCAAAACTCCCTGAGCAGAGAGACCCAGGTGGTGATGGAAGTATTTTTCCTCTAAAAGACTGTGGAGATTCTGGCAAACCTATATTTTGGGTTTAGCTTTCAAGGAAGAGGTGGCATTTGAAAAGCCAGGGGCCTTTGTAGCCATTTTATTCACTACCTAATGTGAAGGTGGTGGCAGGGAATGGAAAAGGGAAGATTATTTAGTCGATAAACACTTAATGGCCACTGCCTGCTGTGTGGACAGATCTGGATAGAGTTAAAAAGATAATAAAGCAAGTGTAGGATGCCTGTCTTCATGGTACTTATATCATGGGAAGAAGGCATGAACAAACCAATTTTACACATAATTATTCAATCACAATCATGACACAGTGTGATAAAGGAGGACAGGCTTCTAAGACAGCAGAAAAGGACCTGAGGTAGTGTTGTCATCTGGGGAAGCTTTCTTGTAGAAGCAGTATAGAAGCTGTCCTGTGCAGGATGAGATATTAGATTGCAAAAGAGGACAAGGGCCAGTGTTCCCGCCAAAGGAAATAGCCTATGCTGAGGCCCTGCTGTAGGGATCATACTGTATCGCGTTCCTCTGGCTTTGGACTACGCATTGATGCTAAAGTCTGGAAGCATACCATATTCGACCAAGTAAAGTGACCAGTTAAGGTCCCCACTTAATGGGCTAAAGATAGGTCATTCCAAGAGTGAGCCTCCCATTATTATGACTCATGACAAAGGGGTGTGGGACTGGTTGGAAAAGAGTTTCCAAAGCTGGACTGCATCACATGGTCATGTGGAATGGGCTGCCTGCTCTCCCAGTCTGAACCCTACCTCTGTGCTATGCCAAAGGTGCAGATCCCCTTAGTGAAAATTGGAGACATGAATCATTTAAGGCAATGCCTCACAGACCCATGTGCAAGGTTCCATGGAATGTGTTAATATATCACACTCATCTCAATTTTGCACGGTACATGAAACTATGCTTGCTGATGAGGGACCATACACATTGAACAGATCATATAATGGTTATGGATGTAATGTCAATAATGTCATGGAACCTATCATATGTTGTAATATCAAGAAACCTTTTAGCATGTACATTTGTCTAGGTTTCTGGACTTTACAGCCTTCTGGTATTTCACTTGCTTGTGTCTTTCATTGAACACTAATAACCAGAAATCAGCAACGTGAAAATTTGATTCTTCTTCCTATTTTTCTCATGCCTTACTTTGGTCTTTCTTTCTGCTTGGTGGAAACTGCGGAGTTCAGTGGAAGTTTTCCTGCAGTCTAATTAGCCCCTCTGTTTAATTTTGTAATAAAAACGCTGAACCAGAAGCTGGAGATAATGTGCCCAATTCAATTCACAGATGTCAATTTCTTTTTAATTGTAATCCTTTTCTTGAGTTCTTCCCACTCTTACTTCCCTGGCACAGCTGAGGCTTGGGTGATTACAAAACTTTCATGCCTACGCTGGAGATTATGCCTCCTGCTTTAGGATTAAATTCATTCGTTATCATTGTTGTAATTATTAGTAGTAACAATGGGCATTTCCACCCAAACCTGATGAATAGTAGTTTTCACAGTCTTTGCCTCCAAACTTAGCTTATTTCAGTTCTTTGCCCAGATAAGTTCTTCACTCTTTAATGGCAGGGAGCATTCCGTTTTCTGTTGCATTTAAATGCTATTTTGAGATCATTCAGAAGACAAGGCTCTTTTTCCTTTTTAGCAGGTTCTCCTGGGTGTGGAGAGATGGCTTCTTTCCCCAGAGTAGGAGTCACCACTTAGTGAATGCTAATGGGGTCTTTTCTTCGTGATGCGACTGCTGCTTTGAAGATGCATTTGAACTGGCAAGGGGCACCTCTTAGCTGCAATCTCTTCCTTAGAAGGGTGCCAGCTCCAGGCCCTAAAAAGCACACATAGCTTTGACTTCCATGCTGACTCCAAAAGAACCTTTTCTCTGCCTTTTTGATGGAGTAGTCCCTACCACTAACAGAACAGCAGTGTGGCCCAACCAACTTGAAAATGGAACTGGCTCCTCAGCAACATGCTAATTCTTTCAAACTTCCTTGTCAGACTCAAACCTCGATGTGTCTTTTGTTCTTAAACTGCATTTGTAGTAAGATCTTCAGGAAAAGCAATCAGTGAGAGACTGGGTCAGGCTTTTATTTAATTACTTTGCACTTTTTTTCCCCCTCTGAACCTTCTCCAAATCAAAAGAAAGCAATGCAGTTTAATTCTGAATATATGAAATGTTTGCACTTTAAATTATAAATGTCTCTCAACGATAACACCTTCTGAAAATAATGCTCCGTGGGCTCTTTAGAAGAATATTTAGGACAGTTCATCTCAGGTTTAAGGTGCCCAAGCTACTATAGTGCCCTTTCTTATCTTGGTTTTATGTTTTTCCACTATGGCTTACTGATATAATTTCCTAATCCTTCTTATCTCAAATGTCTCTTAGACCGTTAAACCTTTGCCTATAAAATGAAGGGGTTTGACTTTGAATCTAAAGGAGTGGACCATCCCTCAAGCACCCTAGTCTCTCAGCGCATTCATTCCACAAACATTTTTTTGGGAGAGCAGGGTGATTCCTGCTATGGACCCATCACCCTTGTAGACTCTGAGGCTGCAATGAAAATACAATAAAATCAGTAATTCTAGTTCTTATGGAACATACATTCTGGGAGTGGGGGCAGAGACTACCGATAAATAAATTAGCAAGAGAATATAATATGCAGGGACAAGTGCTATCAAGAAAATAAACCTGCGCAATGTCACACAGAATGCCTGATGGGTGGGTAGGTAGTTTAGGGGAAGTTACTCTAAGGAAGAAACATTTAACCTGAGATTGGAATGATAAAACATGTCAGGTCTGTGAAGTCTGGGGGAAGAACATTTACAGCAGAGGGAACGGTTAGTGTAAAGGCCTTTAGGCTGGAACATGTTGAGCAGTGTTTGAAAGATGATGAATATGGCTGTAGCAGAAGAAATCTGGTGTGAGGTAAGATCTGAGAAGTGGCAGGGACTGAAACAGACAGGGCCTGTTTGGCTGTGGAAAGCAGTTTAGGTTTTATAAAAGTGCAATGGCAAACTATTAGAACGTACTAAGTAAAGGAGTGACATGATGTGACTTATGTTTTTTAAAGATTACTCTGCCATGTTGAGAAAATATTGTAAAGCAGCAAGAGAGGAGGCAGAGAGACCTAATACATGGCTATTGCTTTAATTCTGATGAAGTTTGATTGTGGTTTGAACTAGTATAGCAGCCAGGCCCCCACTACAGGCCCACCCAGCTTGATGGCCTCACCCTGCATCTTGTCCTGTCTCTGAACTGCTAAATCTCAAAACTTTAAAGCCCTAATATCTTGCTGATTAACCATAATTTCCAAATCTTATGCTTAAGTCCAGGCAGTTTTTAATTTTTTTTTATTTTTTGGCTTCAGCAAATTTTTCATTTGTCTATATCTATAAAGTACTTCTCATCATCAACCCAGATTCCTTTTTCTCTCTGTTGTGTTCATTCTAGATCATTCCAAATGGTCTCTGTTCCTTCTGCCTTCAACCTGGTCTTAGAAGACTTCTCTGTTTTTTATCTCTCCCCCATTCCACCTCCAACTCTTGATCAGCACCTATTTCAAACTCTCAACTTGGTCTCCTTTTTCACTTTTTACACACTTGGATTTTAAATGTTACCTTCTTTTAGAAAACAATGCTGACCAGTCATGAGTTTCTTTGAATTCCTCCATGCTTATCCACATCAGTCCTTACTTTAGGGGAATCCCTTCGTCCCTTTGTTTGAAATCTTATGCTAATTATCTCTTCACTCGGGTCTCTTCCCAAGGTTTGGACATCATTTAGTGTTCTCATTTTCCACTGGTGCCATTAATATCATCCCGTCATCATAGACATATATGTGTGTGTGTGTGTGTGTGTGTGTACATATATATGTATGTATGTGTATATGTATGTGTATGTATACACGCGTGTGTATATATATGTATATATACACATATATGTGTATTGTGTGTATGTGTATATATATGTGTGTGTATATATATGTGTGTATATATATATATATATACCTTTCCCATTTCAAAAACAAAATCAAAACAAAAAAGGCAATTATCTATGAACCTGATTTCTGTCCCTTCTATTAGCACTTACTGTCCCCAGATGAGGACACTCTTTCACTTCCCCATATGCTCAAATATCCTGAATTTTATACTCTCACTGATTTTACTTTCTAAACAAGGAATATATACGTATTGTAGAAAAAAATCACTGTGAAGTAAATTCCACCCGTGATCCAACCCTCCAGAGAAAATCGTGCATAAAAGGTCCCGCAGATTCCCACCTGTCTTTCTTTCCTTCCTTATCTACCAATATTTTTTCACATGCATGCAACATTCTAGTCATACCTTGTTATACTTTCAGACATGTTCTTTCTACTTGAGCACATACAACATACAACTTGAGCATGCTTGTTTATCTATAAAATGAAGATAATATGATCATTTCTGTAGGAGTTTTGAGTCAAAAATAAATTTATGTATTTCAAATGCTTAGAATAGTGTCTGTTGCATAGTGACCTTTCAATAAAAATTATTATTATTATTGCTCTTTTGTCCACTTTATCTACCTGGAAAAGTAATAATCCCTCAAGACTAAGTTGAAATATAACATCCCTGGGGAGTGTATTAGTCTGTTCTCACACTGCTAATAAAGACATACCTGAGACTGGGTAATTTATAAAGGAAAGAGGTTTAATAGACTCAGAGTTCCACATGGCTAGGGAGGCCTCACAATCATGGTGGAAGGCAAAGGGGAAGAAAGACACGTTTTACATGTCAGCAGGCAAGAGTGTGTGTGCAGGCGAGCTCCCATTTATAAAACCATCAGATCTCTTGAGACTTATTCACTACTGTAAGAACAATATGGGGGAAACTGTCCCCATGATTCAGTTATCTCCTCCTTAATAATCCCCTTGATGCATGGGGATTATTACAATTCCAGGTGAGATTTGGGCGGGGACACAACCAAACCATATCAGGGAGTTATCCTTCTCCTCTGCCATCCTGTTTCACTCTGCCAGGCTCCTTTTCTCAGTGCCTCCACAAGTGGTTTACTTGTTGTGATGAACACTATGCACAGCAGAGAGTTTAAGGACCTTAGTCATGTTTCCTACCAATCAGCGGTTGGCTTCCTATTAAACCTTTCTCGATGTTCTGGACCTCTAGAGAGCCATTCTGTGCTGCTATGCAATCTATAATGACTCTTCAACTAGGTTTCTATTCATTTCCAAGTCTTCCCTACCACTGAGATACTTCAAGGAGATATGAGTGGATCATGAATAAATATCCTAAAACTAAAGACAGTTAAGTCAATTGCACTCTCAATATTATCAGACTATTTTAACTAATATGCTATAGACAAATAATTCTTCAGAATGGTGTTTGCTTTGTGTGTGTCATAAGAGATTCTTGTCTTTAGAGAATTAGGGAATAATATTAAAATGAATAAATAGTAAAGGTGGGAATATTTTTAATATTATTAAAATAAATAAATGATTAAAGTAGGGAGCATGTTTGAAGGTCCATTTTAAAAAATATATGTAGACAGAGGAAACCTAAGAGTTAAAATACTGAGTGAGTTTTGCTCTGCATCAGTGGAGGCTATAAAATGCAGTATTTATCTGTATATGAGTTCTATACCAATGTGATCTATCTCTCTAATTAGATAGTCAACTATTTTTAAAGAGCTGCAAATAAGCCTTACAAGAATGTCATAAATGCATTCCATTTAGAAACATCTTGCAGATAAATTGTATTTTTATTCTTCCTGCAGCCTCCTGTAGCCTTAAAAGAATAACAAAAAATAAATTCTTACTACCTAATTCCAGACACAGATCATTACTACCAGTAGTATGTTAATCATGCTTGCCATTCCTTCTCCTTCGATATCATTATGCTTTAGGATAGAAAAGGTGGGTGGTATGTGAGCCTCCTTGGATAAACAAAACGTTGGAGTGCACAGGCTTCTCAAGAGGTACAATGTTATTTTCATGCAAAAAAATCCCAAGTATTACAAAGGGGCTTGAAAATGTTGAAAACACATTGTGAATAAGTAGAATTACTAACAAGAGCACTGTATCTTTTGCTTCGATAGGCTCTTTCAAGATGTAGACAAATTGGAGGTAGGCCAGACAGAATCTACGGGAATGATTAGGGGAATTGAAGGAATGACTTCGGAAAAAAGATTAAAAGAGCTAAATACGTATAGGTTGGCTAAGTGCCAACTCAGAGAAAATGACATTATGGGCTATAGATATTTGAAAGTGGCTGGCTATAAGCAAAGCAAGGGATTACTTAGGTAATTGGATTAAATCAAGGGGGTAAACATTTTAAACTCAATATCTGGATTTATTTTGTTGACTATAAGAATTATTAGATTTTAGAACTATCCCATAACCTACTGCTTGGATTAAAGCAAGAGGTAGGGTGTGGTAGCATGAAGTCTCTAATAGTTTACCCAGTTCTGAGCATCTTGTTGCCAGGAAGCAGATCTTACTCACTTTTAATCCCTAGGATTTAGCACATTAAAAGAACTCCATAGAGAGCTAAGTCATGTTTAGTTCAGCGAGAAGAAAATGGTCTGTGGAGTCAGACATTACAGATTTTATATCTCTGCTGTTTTATTGTTCTATAACAGTCAGCAAGTTACTTAACCTAAGCCTTATCCATAAGGTGCGTATTAATATCAACTTTATAGGATTGATGTGAAGTTTACATGAGTTGTCTTGATCTCTTCTTTTACCTATTTAACAGCGGTTAAATACACCCCTCCTCTCCATCATCACTGCCATTGTGTTCCTTCTGACTTTAGTAATGTCTTCAATGGTTTCCTGGATTCCAATTTTGCCTATCTTCAAGTTTCCACAATATAGTCAGGAATAACTTTTTGCAGCGCATGTATGAGTAAGCAAGCCCTAGCTTAAAAACTCCAATGGATCCCATTGCCTGCAGGATAAAATCGAATATCCTTAGGATGACAAACTTCATGCCATCATGCCTGTCTTTCTAATTCCAACTCATATTACCCTACCCTTCTCACATAATGCTCTAACTACATTCACTTGCTTGAGTTTTTCTTTTGTACCTTGTACAAATGTATAAACATGCTGGTTCCTCTGCTGAGAACCCACTTTCCACTCCAATTTGCCATTTCTTTGCCACTCTTTGTCTTCTGCCTTGCTTCACACTCTTTCTAAAATGCCAATCTCAGATTTTACCTCTTTTGAGATTCCAGGTGCCTCTCCCATGTGTTTCCACAGTAAATGGAGCTTATCATTATCCTGCTATTAATTCTACTGTGTTCTAAGTGTCTTTTCACTCTGCCTCTCCTAATAGATGTTAGGATTCATTTGGGCAGATACTTAGATTAGTGCCTACCATTTAGTAGGCATTCAACATATTTTTAGATTCAAAGAATGATAAATGGTAGATGGATAGATGGATGGATGGGTAGGTAAAAAGATATATGGAGTGTAACAAAGTACCTACAACATAAGAAATTATCAATTAATTTCAGTTTTCTTTCCTTGGAGTTTTGAGATTAAGAAATGCACTTCGTTGTCCCGAATAAGCATAGTCTTGAGTGGGCTTTAGTCAGAGTTATTTGTGTGCATTTATGTCGATACTACCCACTCCATTCTATCATATTGGGAAAATAATGCAATCTCGAAGGAATAGGAGTCTAGGAAACCTAGGATATAAGTGAGCACATACCGGAGAAAAATATGCCAACATAGTAGCTTGGAGGAAATACTTGGAAATATCTTGCCTTTATAGCTAGATATAGAACTTCATTTTTTACAACTAGAAGCTTTGTGACTTCTGAGACCATGACTGAAGAAAAATGGAAATGAAGACAAAGGGGACTGAAATGGGAGTGGAAGTAGGAAAAGGGGATCCATAGACACAAAACAAACTTTTCCTTTTACACACTCCATTTCCCTCTCTGGTGCTTGCCCATGGCCCAGCTATTTAACCTTAAGA
This sequence comes from Homo sapiens, assembly GCF_000001405.40. Classification (NCBI taxonomy): domain Eukaryota; kingdom Metazoa; phylum Chordata; class Mammalia; order Primates; family Hominidae; genus Homo; species Homo sapiens. The sequence goes on from NC_000014.9 coordinate 79,723,394, forward strand.
CACATGGCCAGCCCCCTTGTCTAGAGTTTGCCCTAATTGTTGGGCGCATTGTAGCGTCTTAGATGATCAATTGCTCATGCCAAAAGCAGAGTGTTAAGATTCATGAAATTCGAGTCTGTGCTATTAATAACCTGAGCAGGGTTTTCATGCCTCCTTCCCCTTTGTTTTCTCCTTTGCCAAGTCTCCATTCTCACTCTTTTGTGGATGTGTGTGTTATGGAGACGAATGAAATTTCAGACACAGCAATGAATTGCCACCTAAAAGGATACACCCCAGGGTCTTCTGTGTTCCTTTGCAGCTGTGTGATAAATTGCCATCTCCAAAATTAATTGTTACCTTTTCAGGAAGTGTTTACTCATTTTCATCTCCTCACTGGCATCAGTGAACCTCTGAGCTAGAAAAACCAACTTTCCTTTCCCTTCTCAAGCCCTTGATATGCAGCTAGAACGGCAATCAGTGGAGCTGACAAGGGCGAGCAGTGGTACCTCCGTGTTGTTCTCTAGCCCATGAATTCAATGAACATCCAGGCTATGCCTTTCATCTCAACTGCCTTTTAATAGACTAACCCATTTCTCTTTACTTTTGGCTCCACATTAAAATGTCTATAAAATTTTACTCCAAGCTAGGTCTTCCAGGTTTACGGAAGAAGGAACATACATTCAGCAAAACAGTTTTCTCTTTTTGTTAGATTTCTGCTGTTCTCAAGAGCTGAAAAAAAGTGTGATACTTCACATGTACTCTTTAAAAAACTTACTAAGCCTGCTCAGCTTTTACACAGGGTACGCCGGCACACAAGTGTGACCTGGTCCTTACTCCATCCTCAAAGATAAGTTGTCCCCACAGTCTGCCAAAAAGATGTCCCTGATGCAATGAGAATGAGCTGGAGTCCTGACTGTGCTACATTTTTAGTGGTATCCTAACTCTCTATTCCACAGACATCAGAAAATGTCACAACATACTCTTTGTAACTAGTCCCTTTATTATGTCCATGAATGTAATATATACAATGATTTTCAAAGAGGGTGATTTTTCACCCCTCTTCTCTCCCTGCCCCACATACAAAGGAGACTTTGCCTATGTCTGGAAACATTTTTGGTTGTCACAATTGAAAAGGAATGTATGGAGGTGTTGCTGTTATCCAGTGAGCAGAGGCCACAGATGCTGCTATACATTTTATAATGCACATGAACTCTGGAATATATAAATCAAGTAAATCTCAGTATTCTGCCATGTACTCTGGGAGATACTTAAAATTATAAGCCATGACTTCTATTTTCCAAGCATTTTGGAGAAAAACAACCAATTTTGTTTTTGATTTCTGACTATATGGTAGAGTTCAGCTACACAGTATATGGTACTTTAACAAAGCTATACGGTAGCTGCAAGACAACACCATGGCTGGGCCCTTCAGAGCCTCATAAGTGTATTGGGGACACTGAGAATCTAGTAATAGACTAACACATATGTACCACCATTGAGTGGCATCAAACATGCTTTCATTTAGTGCTGAAATTGATGATATAATGGAGGCTAGAAAGATCTAATAATGAAAAAAAGAGGAATTTAACCAGTCTTGAGGTGATCAAATGAGGAAGCAGAAAGGTAGGATTGATTGTAATGTGTGCACAGAGGAGTGAAGCCTGATTACCTGTACTACTCATTGCCAGACCTTCAAGAATCGCGTGCCAAGTGCCAGGTGCAGAAGTTGCAAAACTGTTTGGGAGATCAAAGAGAAAATATCAACCTGGCTTTCAAGTCTTTTCAGGGTGCTTTCTTAGAAAAACTGTTTTTGGTCTTGAAACATGGGCAAACATTGGCTGCGGGCCAAGAAATTTATAGTTCCTGAGGAACTTTAGATTGATACATGTCTGACAATTTCCATTTTGCAAAACAAGAGAAGGCAAAAGTGGGCTTGGAAGGCATTCAATCTTTGATGTTGTCTTTGCTTCAGCTGAGCAGAAGTGAGAATTTAGACACACTGAGCCATTACCAGAGTTTAAGAAAACTTACCATCAGTGTGGTTTCCCCCTTTCTCTCAGTCAAGCACATGGGTGTGTGTCATTGTAAAAGGACTATAGGATTGGAAGTGGACACGTGAATTCCATTTCTTACTCTCCACTAACTACCTGAGTGACATTAGGCAAACTTGCAAATGTGGAAGTTGGGCCGGGCTAGGTTATGTTCCGCTCTAACCTTAAACACTGATTTCCCCATTGACTTTCTTGTTCCATTCAAAGAGATTAGGAGGAAAAAAAAGTGGTATATCCCAGGCACGTTTTGTGATATTTCAGTGAAATATTGAAATAAGCAATGTCAGCAGCCTCATGTTCTCGCTAATGGTCTGGTATACTTTATGAATAAACAACACTAGCTTTATATTACTGGATCTCATTTCCAGCAGATTTATAAAATTGTAACTCTACAGTGTTTTCTGACAGAGCTTCTGGAAGGGGAAAAATGACAGTGCAGTTGTTTGCTAACATCTGGGTGTACTTTTTGCAACATGGGGAGAATTGTTCCAAGGCAGGGAGCTAATCTGATTCATATCTCTACCTAGAAGCACTTAAAGAAGCTGTCAGATGATTCCCACAGTGACAAATTTGAGTCCCAAGGAGATGATGGAGTGAAATCAGACACATTTTGGGAAGAAATTCCTACTATCTTTTCAAAGGATAAACTCCCACAGTATTTGTGCCAATCTCTTTTACAGCATTCCTATCTCAAAAACCAGAGACTTAGGCTAATTTTTTTTGTTTCTGTTATTCTCTAATATATTTGTTTAAAAAGGAAGTTTTAATGAAAAGTCAGTCATGTGACTTAGAGAATTAAATGTAGGGCTCTAGCAAGGATTTGCTTTAAAATGTTTCTCTCCGATTTAGTTGCTGCACCTGGGTAATAACTACCTTGGAAGTATTAGTGTTGTTTCTCTGTCATAAAATTGACATGCTTGGTGTGGATAAGAATATTTGATTGTAGAACTGCTTCTACCTAACTGCATTCTGTTATACTAACAATTTGGCTAGCAGAATTTTTTTTTAAAATCCTCCATTTGCAGCTTTTTGTACTCTGATCACAATATATTAAATCCCCCAGAAGAACTACTACCTTGAATACAAAGCACATAGCGGTGCTCTTTTAATTGATTTGTAAAGGTTAGTTGCTCAGTACTAGTGGAAAGTTTCATGATTACTTAATTGAATTACCTGCTTCCCCCAGTAGAGTGCTTACTGGGCACCATACAGTAAGCTGAGAGTTTTACATGCCTGGTACTATTATTTCCCCAGTTTACAGATTAGGAAAGCAAGATGTAGCTTACAAAATATGCTGAAAGACCACTGGCATAAAAGCCTTTTAATTCCTTGCTGAAAAACTCCCTGGGTTTTGAAATATGATAAACTACATTTTTGTTGTTCTCTGAAGATTCAGGTTCATATAGTATGACAGTTTTATTTTTGTGACTCTCAATCATATATGAGATAAATGATGGGGGAAAGAGACCGCTTTGAGGTCAAGCAGACCTATGTCCAATTCTAACATCAAGGAGAAGCCACGTGCTTTGGCAAAGTTTGTGTATTTACACTGTTGGGAAAACTAAAAGTAATTTATATAAAGTACCTAGCATAGTATCTGGCAGGGTAGGTGTTCAGTAAATGTTGCTGGTATTATTTTTGCTAGTGATAACATTATTCAGCCATATAAACACATAGCACTAAGGTTAAGCAAAATATGTATTGACATTACAGCATGCCTAGGTATTTATTGCCTAAAATATATTTCCGATAAGCTTTTCTTAGCATTTGCTGCTTTCTACTAAGAGTTGAGTGAAACTACGATGACCACAATTTAGTCTACTTATTTAAACCTTTAATTGGTTGGCTTCCGGTAAATTGCAGTTTGAATGACTAGCCCAATCATGTATGAGTAGCCGGGAATATTCGATAGGTATAGAATTCTTCCTGCCTAATCAAGTCAGGGATACCGATGTTAATTTCTGAAATAAATACTTTCTCCTCTCAAGATCTACCCAGTGGTTCGTTGCCCCTTGGGATCACTTCTACTTTTCAACAAAGAGCAAGGGACAGTAATTGCAACTTCAGGGTAGAAGGAGAGTTTGCATGCCTGGCCCAGAATGAAATAAATGTGGAGGAACAGAGCCCAAATGACTTGTATGTTTCAGGTACAGCTCCATGTATGCTGCAGATGATTTGGGTTAAAAAAAAAAATTGGCCAGCCTAAACTTTGAGGCAAAGAAATTGCATTTCCCAATGTCTCATTTCTCTTTCCTTTTACTTTACTTCATCTACTGTGAATGACCCTTATTTTTTTGTTGTTGCTTTATGGCAATAAATAAACGAACCCCCATTGTGCAAATATTATGCTCTTCTCATTGGCCTGGAGGGAAATTGCTACGAGAGAAATCCTGGACTTTTTTCCCCTTTTTAGAAGGAAATACCAGGTTACGAATGGCCCTTCTCAGTCTCTAGATTGAGACTAGGATTCTTCTGTCACCTCCTCAGAGCCCTGGATGCAGAAAGCAATTCATTTCACATGTGTGCAAATCAGACACAGAAATTCTGCAAGGCACCTCTTGGCAGTAAAAGTGGACTATTAACTCTCAAATTGCTGGCCTCTACTGAGAGGCAACTTCTCCCTGAAGCCAGGTGGGAGTGTCCCTTTGAAGCCTTACACAACCCGACTTCTGTTGCTAGGGTAGAGTACTTTAGAGCAAGAGTAGTCCTGCGGTATGTTAACTGAGTAGGTGTTTCCCAGAAAATTAAAAGCAAAAGTAACTACCTGGAACAGTCTGATTTTTAAAGCAAAGCAGGATCTTTGTACGTTTAAAATTTAGTCCAGCTACTTGATAGCCTATAGAGCCCCCAACTCCTTCTTCCAGCCCAGGGAGAGTCTGCAGTGAGCAAGGTAAGAGGTAGCTCCAGCATTTTCAGCATGGGGTTAGGTTGGAAGTCCCAGTTGACAGGGACAGTCCTTCCTGCTCTCACCTGCCAAAATCTCTCTCCTCCCAGGAGATAGCTCCCTTTTCTCCCTGATTGCTTCCTCTCATGAGGAGAAGGTCATTGGCGCTCACCACTTCCAGGGCAACCCTTTATGCAAGCAGTGGGTGCCTTTGAAAGGCAAACCGCAGCAGGAAGACTTTGAAGGCAAGAAGAGACTTTTTCATCTTTGCAGGCCCCAGCCAGAACATTGGTTCTCAGTGCAGTACAAGCAGTTTCAAAGTTATCTCCCTTGCTGATATGGATGTGATAACATGGAGCGGAGAGGTGCCATAATGATTTCCTTTCAAATGGCTGCCTCACCATTTATCTTTGCACACTGTCAAAGACTGATATTGTCGGGAGTTAGCAGTGGCATGGAATAATTAATCTCGTACGGGGGAAGTAAGTTCTTCATTTGTCTCCTGAGAAATTAGCACTGCATTGACAGCAAAAGTAGATGATATCATCGGAAAGGGAAAGGGAGGTGATCTTTGTAACTCCAGATGCCAAATTGTAACATTGATTCAGTTCTGTGAAGTTTTGATTGAACACCTACTATGTGCCAGGTGCTAGAGATACAGATACAGATTCCTGTGCTACAGTAGATCATAATCCCTTGAGGGTCACAGCTTATTTCAAAATCCTTGTCACCTTGACAAAATGCTCAAGACCACCATGGTGACATGTGTGCCACCATCATTATTATTATCTAAAGAGTTTTACCAAGTGTCTGTATCATTAATATTTATTGTAAAGGCTCAACTTTTATAAGAAAGAATCCTTGTCTCCCACACCACCAGTGCAAAGTAGATTAACAAAGTTGGCATTTATTTATTTTATTTTTTCTTTAGGGGAAAATCAAGAAGTTAGTGATCTAGGGCTAATGGGGATATTGTGTTACTCCCAATATGTGGTTCCCATATTTGGATTCAAGTTTTTCCTATTTTCCAATCAGTGGGAGGAGAAAAAGAAAAGCATGCCTGCTTATATCCTATTAAGGCCACACCTGTCTGCAAAACAGGTGGGATCCATGTGAACCAGAAGCAAGCTATTAAGGATGCAAGAAAATGTAGTGACTAGTTGGATGGCCATATACCTTGCTTAAAACCAGTTAGGGTCTTTTATTTCTGAAAGAAAGAAGGGAAACTAGATATTTGGGGATGATAAGCAATCTCCCCACAGAGATTCTGGGTGAAATCCTTTTTGCTTCTCTGAATTTCCAATAACTCACCTCTTAAATGAGAGAATTGAAGGAGGTGTGCTGTGTAGTCCTTTTCAATTTCAAAGTCAAAATAACAACTCTAGGCTCCTCCTCCTTCCTCAGCTTCTCCCAGGCAGTAGGCACAGTGATGGGCTCTGTGCTGGGAATTTTGTTTTGAGCCTGTTTCTTTTATTTGGAAACATCAGGTGCTGAACCTATCCTGGATTCGAGTGAGTGCAGGGCATGGCTCTAAGAAGCATTTTGTGGAAAGAGTCAAGCTTGTCATCCTCCTCCTTTGAGGCACTAATTGGGCTGACTGGGCCAAGCAAAACAATGGTATGATCCATGTGAACCAAAAGCAAATTATTAGGCTTGGAGAGTGGTGGGTAGTCAGAGAAGCACTTCTGTTGTAGACAGAAAAACAGCATCATGCTTCTCAGAAAGAAAGGGGGCTGCTATCTGGGTGGAAAGCTTAGAATCAAGGGAGAATTATACATGTTTTTAATGGACCGAGGAAGAAGCCAGATTTGTGTATGCGGAGTTTGATAGGGAAGGGCTTCTCTTCTTTTTCCTACTAAAGGAATAGTGTTTTTGACAAGGTGCCAAAAATCTAGGCCACAGCATCCCACTTTGTGCCACAGCATCCCACTTTGGTGAGCCATACCAGGTTGCAGGAAATTAATTGCTTTAGACTTTGGGCTGGCTGAGTGGGGCCTGAAGCCACCGTAGTCCCTGGGCAAGCCCCCTCCCACTACACAGGCCTCCTCCATCTCCCTCATTTTCTCTGTGTGCTGTGATTTGGAAAAAATTGACAAGCACTTGATAGAGGCTACCAACCAATTAGAATTGGTTCACACGAGACACTTGGGAATGAACTCAGCTGGTCACTATGGTGATTTAACTAAATTGTGTTATCCAGACACATTAGTGAATCAAGTCTGGCATTTCAATTTTCTCTATAAGATGAATTGTGGAAAGAAGTTCATTATAATAATTAAGGAAGATTTATGCAGTGAGTACATTTTTATCTCTGTAGCCTGTTATAATGCTGGTATTTTGTGACCAAAAAAATTGAGTTGTAGATATTAACTATGTAATTCCACAAACTGTGCTCCCGAACGAGTTATTTATATAGTTAGAATTTAATAAATGGAAACTTTTTGAATGCACCTGCTTAGGAAAATATTGAAAGAAAACTTACTGTAAGTTTTTCAGCACAGTGAACAATCATCCCCCAGTGAACAAAATGCTAGCCTTAACCCGGTCAGTAAATTATTTGGCCATAGGCAGATATCTCATCTCCCTGTAAAGGAAAGCCAGTTTCCTCCACTGTAAAATGAGTCTTAGTAGGAAAGGGGGCATTAGCAAAGTAATCCCTGTGCCTACCCAATCGTTCTAATGTGATGTTTCCTTTGGAAAAAACCTACAACTCAGAAATATATTGAATGAAAATCTCCCTATTACAGGAAGACACTGCGGGTTGCTAAGGAGTGTGGTTTCTGTGGTTGGAGTAGAGAAAAATAGTGGTGTTTTCTGAGATCTCAACTCAACTGTGCAGGGTAGATCGAATGAACACAGCACAAGCCACAGCCACTGTTCTGCTTCTGCCTGATTTGCTTCTCCAGAAATTTCCCAGATTACAACAATGCCGAAGTGCCCATTGGCTACCACGGAGATAACTTCATAAATTGTTAAACAGGCAGAGCTCAGGTTTAAAGAACTGCCTTTATTTTGAGCTGTGATTTTACTTGTGTTTCAGACATTCCCTCAGATATTTTATTTAAAAGATTTCACAGGAGCATCATGCAAAATGGTAAATAATAAAACATTCTATAAACCACACATCCCATCTAGGACTAATCATTATATTTTCCAATTTAACATTCATTCCTTCCAGATATGTTCTTACTCGTTCTTTAAAACTATCATAAATGGAAAGCTACCATTTAAGCACAAATAAAACTCTTAAGAAAGCTAAGAAAATCTGAACTCATTAAATATTTCTAACTAGTGAACTCCTTGGTTCTCCAAATGACCTATTTTTTCCCTTCCTTCTTTTTTTTTTTTTTGTATTTTTAGTAGAAACAGGGTTTCAACATGTTAGCCAGCCTGGTCTTGAACACCTGACCTCGTGATCCACCTGCCTCAGCCTCTCAAAGTGCTGGGATTACAGGCGTGAGCCACTGAGCCCACCCTCCTTCCTTCCTTTTTTAAATTAGAATTTTTTATTTTTTATTTTTTTTTTTAATTTTTTTTTTGGTTGCTTTTAGCCACCTCAGTTACCTTGACCATCCGATTTCACTTACTGTAGCCAGATTTCTAAAGTATGTGTTTCTGTGGCTTTTCCATAGTTTTTTTCCCCAATATTTTGGCAGTGGTTGAATAGAATCCTTTTATTCCTCCCTCCCTCACCCCTCCCAATCAGCTCCACCTATAGATATAGAAATACAAAGTGAACAAATGTGCCATGCAACTTCTATTTTTGTGCCCGTTCTTCCTCTTTGTCTCTATTTTTGCCTCTAGCACATAGTATCCTGGTAAACTGGATTTTTTTTTAAGAGACATGGAGAACACAGTGCAGTGCTCATTCTCTCTCAGCCTCTCTGTTTTTACTGTAATGAATCTATTCTACATACCATGTTCTCAGGATCCCACTGTATGTCTGATAAACTAAGTCAAGCTAAGGTCATTATTACCAATAAGTAATCAATAAACTCAATGTTTACCCTAAGTTTGATACGGTAACTTAGTTATTTTAAGAGGAAATTTTAAGTTCTTGTGTGTGTGAGTAAGAAGGAGCATGAGAATAGGGAAAGGGCCGTTTCACAGAAGCGGTCCTATCTGGTTGGCCTCAATTGTGCCTCTCAGGCTTGTATCTCATCTGCTTAGCTGTAAGGCCAGTCCTGTTAGGCAAGAAAAAATTTAATTTGCAACCTAGTTTATGAAAGGATAAATTAAGGGACCTTGTGGGAATTTAAATCATCTAAGGTAATAGAACATGAAACTTGCCTAGATTAAAAACTGGGTCTTTTGTGAGGTTTCATTCATTATGGCCCCATAATAATAGCTACATGTCTATGCACTTTTGAGCTTGGGTCTGTTTAAAATACTTATTTGTTATTTCACTTAATTCCCACAATAACTGTACAAATATGGTTCTCTTGCCTCCATCTTATATATGAGAAAAATTAGGAACAAAAAAACTTAAGAAATTTCTTTCACTTTCTATAGCTGATAAACTTTGGAGATCAGTTTGAACCCATATACTCTTAAACACTATTTATACAGTATTAATGTGATTTGACAAAAGTGGCATAAAGAGCAATGACTCTTTAAGACTCAAAAGAAGATGTTCAGATTTATATTTTGATATTAATATTAATATCAGCAAGATAAGCTGTTAAATAAGCATTACATGTAAGAATCCTGACCTTGGATAAAATTAAATCTTTGTCATAAATCTACTACTGTGACAAAACTGCAAAATATGCAGTGAATAATTAAATCCAGATGTCTCTTCCGGCAACAGCAGCAGCAAAAACTGGAGGTGGGGGTGAAGGGAAGATGGAAGTGACAGACTCCATATTCATAAAAGCTCTGATGATAAATTTTTTTAAAAAAATGTGTTTGTTTTAAATACCAGTCTTCCATGAATCCTAAGAATTGCACAGTAAAAAATAAAATCTGCCTACCATTTAACAGCCCGCAATACAAAAATCTTACTGTGTCAAATGTAATATGCATACCTGGCTTCCCAATTTGGTTTTCTTAAGGAGGAGTAATTTAGTTGTCATTAAACTCTTTGGGAAACCGTTTTAATAATGTTCTTTGGTTATCAGGGGTATCCTTTTTTTCCTTAAGGCAAAGAAGAGAAAACGTGCCGCTAAAACCTTTACTGTGTGTGGTAATGAAGTTGGTCCATTTCTGTGCAGGATTGCAACAATTCTTTATCACTTAACACGATCGGAGGTGTGAGAGCAGACAGTTTCTCAAACTGCAGGAAAATGCTGAATTCACCGATTGCTATCTTGACACAATGAAGGGACCATACATTATATGAAGCCCACATTTGGTTTGCTGTTGTTGTTTTTTTTTTTTTTATAACTGTGATTATTTTTTGATGGAATAATAATCACAGAAAAAAGAAAAACCTGTAAGAGAAGACACCACTGTATCATCTTTTTATGGCAATATGCAAGAGGGTAGAAAAAATGAGAGTGTCTAAATTTATCTTATTTTCCTGTGGGATTTTCAGCACAGACATATTCCTACCACTACAAGGACCAAGGACATTCACTTGCCTGCTTGCTCTGATAATGGCCAGTAGCTGGTCCCAATGTTGATACAATTAATTAAAATGATAAACATGACTCTAGCTAGCTTCAGCACAGTAAGAGTACCACAGCATTTTCTGGATCATTTATTCAAGATTCACTGACTTGGAGTCACTGATGGTACCAATCATTTTATGAAATACCTTCCACTAGAGACAGAAAAACGTTGTTTTGACAAATTCATGGTCTGCACCTCCCCCAAACCAGTGCATTTCTAAACAGACTTGTTTTTCCTCTAAATAGCTTTGCCAATCCGGCCAACACCCCAATATTTCTTTATATTTTGAAAAGTAGGTCTTTCACCTGCTGATAATGGAGGATCCAATTCTGTGTAAACTCTGGAATTCTATTTAAAATTGCAGATTTTAAATGTAGGGACCAAGACAGGATGTAGGTTGTGTCAACTTGGGAATGCTGAATGACTGAACTGTCATGACATTTACAATCCAGATGTCATGGCAAGCTGGGAGACAAGACAGCTTGGTTGATAATTAGATGGCAGATGTCCATGCAGTCTCACGTGATACACGTTACTTTTTGTATATTCAAGATTTGGGACTTTAGCCCTGAAAGATAGGTGATACATCATCTTCTCTATACAATAAAAAATAGTTTCAATAATTGTATATTATTTTGTTTTGCTTTTTTTCTCATTTATTTGGAAGTAGCAAATACAAGAAACAAAAATTACTCATAACCCCTATTTTTGGTGTATCTCTATGCAGGCAAATATACTGATGATGATTATTTTCATTTTTTGAAAATTTAGATTCTCACACTCAATTAAAAAAAGAAAGCCTGAGGAAATTAAATGATTTCTAAAATCACCCAGCTAATTAGTGGCAGAAATGAGACCAGATTCCAGTCTCTTGCTTTCCCGAATACCTTATTCTGGAATTCAATTATAAGTACAAGGCATCCCACTCTTGGCTTCCTTTCTGAATAAATGCTTGCACCAAATCCCCAGTGGCTTCTTGAGAAAGCTGGCTACAAATCTTCAAAGCCTCAGTTGAAGAATTCTTATTAAGCCTACTAGGTACCAAAGCAATAGCCTGAAGTTTGGAAAAATTCTAGTTGGTGAAGCTAGAATTTTATTCAATTTAAAGAATACTTGGTAGGGGGGAATGTAATGAATTCACTCCCTAGCCTTTCTTGAACTCTACCTATTTAACACCCTATTTCTAATACAGCAGCTTCTCACTATAGAATGTTAGGTTTATCAAATCTCTCTTCCACCCTGTTATACGGCATTTTCCATCCCTTGGATGTTTCAAGTCCAGGACCTTGGGCTTAAAGGCAAAAGTAAAATCTATTACACATTTGTAGCTTTGTACACCAATCAGGGAAAAGTAGTAAAGTGGGCTATTATGTACATTATTTTACAATGCAGTATGTTAGTTGTCAATTGTTACGCAAGACTAATTTTTTCCACAGCAAAAAATAAAGCTATTTTAAAATATTTTGGAAGCAAGTCATGGTTGAAGAGAAGCATCCCTTGAAAAATTAGACTTAAAGCTGCAAACTTCCCGGGGTTGACATTAGCTTGAACTTGATGAAAAAGGAAAAATTTTAGGAGGATTTGTTCAGCTGTCTTCTGAGTTATGAAAGCAGGAAGAAATGAGTTTTACATATTGCCTGGAGGTAATTTGTGTACATATAAGTCAAAAACAATTAAACTTCAAACTTCACACACAGCCACTGTCCTGTAAAGGGTGGTAGTGTATAAGCAGAAGAAAAATGACTAGAAGAGAACAGGGTTATAAAGCATCCAGACATTTCCCATGTGAGGATCTTGAAAAACTTCTGCAGCCCTGTGACTGGATTCTTTCTCCTGATCTAATAGGGCTGTTTGGAGGAAGTATTTCTACTGCTCTTGAGTTGTTGCTAGTTTTCCTTTGAATATCCTGCTCAGTTCCCTGCCCCAGTTCAAGCTTCCTTCCAAAATGTGTTTAAAATAATTAGCTCTTCCTGTTGGTATAGGAAAAAATTAGTCACACATAATTGGTAATTCACATATTGTATTATAAAATAATGTACAAAATTACCACCCTTACTTCTTTTTGGAGGGCCTGTGGCTTGTACCAATGGATTTATCTTGTTCCAGGGCATTGAGAAATTTTGCCTTACTGATGGCATCACCACTTACATTTCTCAACATCTTTGCCTCCCATCAGACCAGGATTTCAGTTACTAGGTATCCTACCTTGTTCCATTGATCTGAGACCCTCATTAATACCCTAGCTGACAGTCTTAACTCAGCACTGTCTTCTATTTTCTACCAAATAGAATACAATAATCAGATACATTTTACTCTCTCTTCTGAATAAAGATATTAACAAAATTTCCATGAGTACTTATAAGGGTGAGTTTCCAGACCAACCTAGATGAGTTACCAGGATATATAGTTTGAAATATTAACTTTAAACATTTCTTGATTTTTCTGACCCCATCAGGTATTTTTTGGAAACTGGTATTAGGCTTGTAGAAATGGACAAGGAGCTCTACCATGCTTGAAGATGGTTTAAGCCTTCAGCAAAATAATTGAGAGCTTCCTCTTCTGAATATTCCGAATACACAGGTCTATCAGTTAGTGTATCATGTTATGTGTAGATGTGTGTTGGGGTGATCAGATCCAACACCAGGTCGTGGGGGTGACAAAGGCCGGCAATTCAAAGGAATGAGAAAAAGACAGTTTGAGAGAGAAAGTGGGACCAGGGGGCCATCGCGAGTGTGGAGGCTGTGAAGGCCCCAAGTTCTGGGAGCCCATGTTATTTATGGGTGCTCAAACAGGTGGTGAGGATGTCGAGTGAATGAGAAACATATGGCTGTTTGACATAATGGGAGTACTAGAAGCAAGAAGCCAGCAAGTCTAGCAGACATGCAAGCCCTGCCTCAGCTTCTCTCCCAACACTCAGCTTTTCTCCAACAGATGTGTATGAATAAGGCTTATTAATAACAAAGCCTGGCTCCACAGGTGAGAGGGAAGATGTAACTTAATCTACTGGAAGTCACCAACATAGCCCTCTAAAATGAGTCATTATTTTGACTCAAAAATGAACAGATTAAAAAATGTTTCAGCTAATCCTCTTAGCTATTTGATGTACATCAAGCATCCAGATGTTCACAACATCCAAGCTGCAATTTTTTGTGTGTTATTTAAAAGTTTTACACTTGCATATATTATTCCTTTCCTCAAAGACAAAGTATAGAACCCAAACTGGACTTTTTAAATTCACTCCTTAAAAGTGTGGTAACTTACCATTCCAGAGCTGGTGGGTCCCCGATTATTGGCCCATGGGTTGTCCACTTTGTGGTTTTGCTGTTAGGAAATGTTGGCTGATGGCTTCCTTAACCACTCAGCAGTTAACCAACAATAACTTGGAATGTGTCTAATAAGTGCAGCCTAATCTTAATTTTATTGGGAGTTATCTCAGCTAAATAATGGAAAATTTGACAAACCTAATTAATGAATTATCCACTGTTAAATCTTCTGTGCCACTGAGTCCTCTTTTTAGTAAAATGATTAAAAACATTAACTATAGTGGTATATAATTACTATTAACAACTATTATGCCAATATATATTGTTATTCCTGCCTAAGATACTATGTCTCAGCACGGAGTTTATATTAGGTATTTTATTTTAACAGTTTTCTAATTGCTGCCACTTTTTCGTCAGATTGCATATTTTGACCCACAACATTGATTTCACCTTAATGTCACCAGTGGGAATTAATTATCTGAAGCTTGGCATAATATTAATTAAATCCATATGTCACATCATGGTGTGGCATTCTTTTCTTTCTTTCTTTTTTTTTTTTAAGTCAGGGTCTCCCTATATTGCCATGCTGGTCTCAAACTCCTGAGCTCAAGCAGTCCTCCCTGGTTGGCCTCTCAAAGTGCTGGGATTACAGGTGTGAGCCACCATGCCCAGCCCATTGTGCAGTGTTCTTACAAAAGTATTCTAACAATCCAAAATCAAGACTACTTCCAAAAGTGGCAGGCTTCATATAGAATCCAACATTCTGTTGCAATGAGATTGGGATGAGTGGGTTTAGACCAACATTGATATCAAAGGCCAGTTTCCCTTTAAATCAAAATCACCTGTAAACTAGCATCTTGACATTCAAGATCCCACCAGGGGGATCTAGCTGGGAATGTCACCATGCATGTCTTGAGAGAGTGCATTAGCCCACCTGCAGTAGGTTGAAAAATATCTTCCAAGGATAATTTCTTAAGCTGTATATTTTACCTTATTTAGAAAAAGGGTCTTTGTGAGTGTGATTAAGTTAAGGACCTTGAGATGAGGAAATAATCCTGGATTATCTGAGTGGGCCCTAAATATCCTCAAAAGTGTCCTTATAAGAGTGAGGCAGAGGGGGCATTTCCCCCGCCACACACACACACACACACACACACACACACACACACACAGAGGAGAAGGTGATGGAGGCAGATACTGGAGTGAAGCAGCCACAAGCCAAGGAATGCTGACAGCTGCCAGAACAGTCAAGAAACAGATTCTCTTTTAGGGTCTTCAGAGAGAATGTGGCCCTGCTGATGTCTTGGTTTCAGCTCAATGATACTAATTTCAAATTTCTGGCCTCCAGAACTATGAGAAAATAAATGTGTTTTTGTTTTGTTTTGTTTTTTTGAGACAGAGTTTCACTCTTGTCACCCAGGCTGGAGTGCAGTGGTGCGATCTTGGCTCACTGCAACCTCCGCCTCCCGTCTTCAAGTGTTTCTCCTGCCTCAGCCTCCCAAGTAGCTGGGATTACAGGTGCTCACCACCACGCCCAGCTAATTTTTGTATTTTTAATAGAGACAGGGTTTCACCATGTTGGTCAGGCTGATCTAGAACTCCTGACCCCAAGTGATCCATCTGCCTCGGCCTCCCCAAGTGCTGGGATTACAGACATGAGCCACTGCGCCCAGCCAAATGTGTTCATTTTAAGTCACTCACTTTGTGCCAATTTGTTATAGCAGCCACAGGAAACTAATACAATACTTGTGCCAACTTAAGTAACAGCACCAGCCAAAGTACATAAAGTGGAAATAAAGGTATTTTTAGAAAGTCTCATTACTATAAAATATGGTGTAAATAAAAACAGATCTGAATATGCAAATTGAAGTTTCAAAATAAGTCTCCTGCCATCCCATTTCAAAGACACTGGAAATCTTAAGCTCTTTTCTTTACAAATTCTGAAACTATCATTGCCTGTGGGTTGGGTTGAAATGAAGGCACGTGGGTGTTTCAAGGGTATGTTCTGTGACAAAGAGACAGAATAGAAAAATCCAAAGTCATAGCCTGGAGCTAATACAGTAATATGAATACATAAAACAGGAAGGACAAGAATATAAAAGTGAATTTGGGGACCTGAGAAAGTCAAGAAAATGATTGGAGAAATACAATTTGGGAGACCACTTTAGAACCCAGCCCTCACTGGGCATGGTGGCTCACGCCTGTAATCTCAGCATTTTGGGAGGCTGAGGCAGGTGGATCACCTGAGGTCAGGAGTTTGAGACCAGCCTGGCCAACATGGTGAAACCCGTCTCTACTAAAAGTACAAAAATTAGCCAGGCATGGTGGTGGGCATCTGTAACGCCAGCTACTCAGGAGGCTGAGGCAGGAGAATCACTGGAACCCAGGAGGCGGAGGTTGCAGTGAGCTGAGATCATGCCACTGCACTGCACTGCAGCCTGGGTGACAGAACGAGACTCTGCCTCAAAAAAAAAAAAAAAAAAAAAAAAAAAAAGAACCCAGGCCTCCAATGGTGCGATCAGGTGCCAGGTACTCTTGTCTACTGTGCTGACCATATGCTGTTGAGGTCATCACCAGCTACGGGAAAGGGCATTCTCATAGGGGCAAGCCCAACTCTATGTATCTTACGTTATTTACCACTATTTCCCAAATAAACCTGTTTCAAAGAATACCATCTTTAATGTCTTTCACAGGTACCTATCCTCCACTCTGCATCCTTTTCCATGCTATCACTTGCAGTGAAGGTCTGTTCACCCCTTTTTTAACCTGTCTTCCATCTTGAGTTCCAATTTCCAGCTGCCCTCTGAATATGTCCAGAGGATGCTGGCTGCTGCCTCAGACTCACTGGATGAAACAGTTTCCTGTTTTCTTTACTAAAACTGCCAACCTTCCTTTTCCTTGTTTGAGTTAGTGTATCACTGTCCTCTAGCCCCTGAGCTGAAACCTTGGAATCATCTTTCACTCCTCCCTCCCCCTTTATATTCAGTCAACTGACAGTACCAATATTTCTTCTCTTCTCCTTTTATTTCTTTTGCCACTGTCCTACTTTGGGCACTAATCTCTCTTCTGAAGTATAACAATAGCCTCCCAACTGGCCACTCTGCTTTAGCTGCTCCATGGTCCAATCTCCCTTGTCACATGTGTTATCTTTCCCAAACACTGTCACAACTTGTCAGTCTACTGCAAAACTTTCCGTGACTCCTGGGGGGCCTGCAGGAGAGAGTTTCAGATTTCTGAGTCTGCCTTCCTGGCTCTTCACAATGCAGCCTGAGTCCATCTTTTCAACCGTCTCTCTGGATACATACCAACACTTGCCCTTTGTCTCAATGAATGTGCCTGCCACTTTTGTATCTCCTTACCTTTACTCATATTGTGGTTTAACTATGTGGTTGTCTTCTCCACCCTGACAATAGATACATCTATTGTCCATCAGCCCAATTTACAACTTTTGCATCTCTTCTGATTTCTATCCTCTGCTAATGACACTTATTAACTACTGCCTTTCCACTGGACTTTGCATTTAGTTTTTTATATATATATATATATATATATATATATATATATATATATATATATATATATATAACCTTACTTCTGCTTTTAAACATAGATCATTATTTCCATGTCTACCTTCCACTTTCTCCAACACTAGATTGCAAATTTCTACAGGGTGAAGCTTATGTTTTCATCCCTTAACACCCAGCTTAAATGTCACCTCACATACTGACTAATGCTTTTTATCTCAGTTCTAAAACATTATTAATGTACATCACATAATTTAACTCCATTTTGAAAATTAGTTCTTGTTCCAGTATCTTATCTCTTAAAATAGACTGGAACCATCTCAAGGTTAGAGAGGATCCACTATATTAAATTCTTATATATCCCTCAGTAGATGGCACTTTGTTGGATGATTTAATTGACGTATCTTCTTAAAAAATAAAAATATCTGGCTCTTCAAATAATTAGCTTTGTGACCTGAGGCAAATCATTTATCCTCTAGGACATTTAGTTTACTACATGGTGAAATAAATGATACCTTCATTCCTTAAATATATAGATCCAGTGACATGTTGCTTTGAATCACAGAATTTGGTTTCGTGCTAAATCTAAGACCAAAAACAGAGCACAAACAATTCAGAATCAACAGCATGCTTTCTGGAAGCAATATGAAAGGTGTTATTAATAGAATTCAGCATTATTCTAATTTCCTCTTAAAATTTCAAGAAATATATCTGACATTTGTCCTGTCATTGTAAGTTGAAATATGTGTGTGTGTGTGTGTGTGTGCATGTATATATAATTTTTTGTTGTTGTTTTTGAGACAGTCTTGCTCTGTCACCCAGGCTGGAGTGCAGTGGCATGATCTTGGCTTACTGCAACCTCCGTCCCCCAGGTTCAAGTGACTCTCATGCCTCAGCTTCCCGAGTAGCTGGGATTACAGGTGTGCATCACCACACTCAGCTAAGTTTTTGTATTTTTAGTAGAGATGGGGTTTTGCTATGTTGGCCAGGCTGGTCTCAAACTCCTGGCCTCAAGTGATCTGCCCACCTCAGCCTCCCACAGTGCTGGTATTACAGGTGTGAGCCACCATACCTGGCCAAAATGTGTATACATTACACACACACACACACACACACACACACAGAGTATGTATACGTATATATCTGTATATAGGTAAGTGTGCTTATATGTATATACACAGACATATACACACACAACATATACATATAGATTTGTTGTCTAGATATTATAAGAGTATTGCACTAATGTTTCTATAAAACACCAGTTCACAGGCTTCTGTCTTCTAACAATATCCTTATACATATTTGTCAGCCACTATTTACCTTAAAATGAAACAGAGGGGAGCCTGATATATAATTACGGTCACTGTGCTTTGTTCTATTTTGTTTATCCCTTTGCAATATAGTGTGGCAGACAGAAAAATGTATGAAATTAATTCTTTTGGTTTAGAATGACATTCCTATCATTGTTAGAACAAGGGATTACATTATACACTACCTCTAAACTCAAATTTTCTGAGCACTTTAACTATTAAATAGCAATAACAGAAAGCATTGTAAATCTTTTGGAGTTTTGCATGATAATGTACCTCTTGTTAATTGAATTGAGAGATGATTGCCCTATGATTACCTCGATTCATTTGCTGCATAATTTACCATAATGATAATTAACTCCTTGTACTGAATGAGGTAAGATGTGTGTTAGTTAGACACCCCCTCCCTCCCTTCTTGCCTTTCCTTCTTTCCCTCCCTATTTTAGTGTTTAACCATTTTACACACAATTTGAGACTTGTTTCAGAATCTCTCCACCTATATTATCATGTCAATCCAAGTATTTCTAAATAAAAGTAGAAGTTGGGCCATGTTTTTAAAATTTCTAGCTAATTGCCTGCTACTTGGCTTATTGTTGTGATCTAATTATGTTCTGGTTTTTGAAAAAAGGACTATTGCCTGGCCCACTGTATGACATTTGATTTATGTAGTCTCACCTCTCCCTAAATAGCCCATAGTTCACAATGCAGCAGAGCCTATATTACCGCAATTTCTTCTGCACTGAAATTAGACAATTATGAAGTTAGTAGATTATTAAACTAACGTATGCTTTATAAATACTTCTTCATTCTAGGATAAGGGAGAAGGAAGTATACTGTAATTCCCAATATGTAAATGCCCTCACACATTTGATAGTTGATGGTTCCATTTTTTAGATGAAAAAACTAAAGCACAAAGAAGATAAACAATATTTTGTTCTGCCCTATAATAAAATAAGCAGGCAAATATTTATGGATATGATTCTGGGTTGCCTCAAAACTTTCAGGGTCAGGGTAGGCAGGCAGTTGGAGATATGAGATAATGTTAGCCATGAATTGTGGCTATTTTTGTGGCACCTGGGTGATGAGTCCACGGAGGTTCATCACATGATTTTATTTACTTTTGTATGTTTCATATTTTCTATAATAAAGGTATTTTAAAGGAATATATTTAGGTATCCACAGTGTGTGACACCTGTCAAGGAGCACATGCTAGAGGCCTGGCTCTGCCAGTGACATAGGCTACGTGACTGTCGGTGGGTCACAACTTCCTAGACTTCATTTTTCCCTCATTAAAATCAAAGTATTAGAAGAGATCAGTGGTTCCCAAGGAGGTGGAGTTGCTTAGGGAACTGTCTAAAATTTCACTGACAACTCAGAAATCTATTTGGATTTAGAAGCTGGAGGGGAATGTATATTTCAAAATAACTTCTCAAGTGACTGTACTGTGACCATTCCTTACACACAAACTTGGGCTAACAATGAGAATGACTTAACCCCCCACCCCACAACACTTTAATAGGTTTAGGATGGGTTCTGAGAAATAAAGATTTTTAAAACATTCCCCAAGTGATTCTAATAGGTGGTCGACATGCCATACTTTGAGAAACACTTTTTTAGCTCATCTCAGGGTCCCTTCCAACTCTGACACCTCATGATATTACTTGAGCATTCTTGGTTCTCTGCTTCTATGATGTACTATTCCATGAGCAACTGGAGATTTAGTTACAGGTGTATACAAGTGTACAGGAGTCAAGAAAATGATGCTAAGTTTCTTGCACTGACTGAGGAAGCAAGGTAGAAGCAGACTCTGGCTTAATTGGAATTCATGTTTGAGGCCTCTGGGCCCTCACTAGGAAAAATATTCAATTTATATGTAAGCATATGTATAATACACATATCTCACCAGCATTCTTTTTGGGAAAAGAGAATTTCCAAATTAAATTTAACCTATCAATTTTATACTGACTAAGATGAACACATTATTTTAATATATTGTTTCCTCTTGCTTCCTAATACTTACATTGTATAGAGTTTCATTCTTTATGCTAATCCTAATGCATAGATTGGTAAATTGAGATTAATGAGATTCTTCCTTTACTACCACCTGTTTTTAACCAAATGCCTACATGCTGCATGAGCAGGAAATGAGGTGACTACTGTTGTTGGCCACAGAGCTTCAATATGTCGTGAACAAGGGTTAGATGTGAATGTCAGAAAAAATGTTATGATCAATTTCTGCCTCCAACAAGGAACTACAAATATGGGTCACAAAAGTTCTACTAGTAGCCCCAAATACATTTTTTGAAAGGAGACAATATAAATAAAGCTGAAAAGCAGTCACAACGCTTTAATGTGTCATTCTCTTCTTCACCTTTCTATCCACTTAGATGTTTCCTACCCCCCAAAAATGAACTTATGTCACATCACACTTGTGACTCCCACTGACATCTAAAGTAGTGTGAGCCACACAGATAGAAGCACAGGTAAATGCCTCAAAACCTAGTTATTATATTTGAAGGAATTTCTGATTCAGTAGTGTTTCTGTAATTGTTACTAACATCAACGCTTCGCTTGCTTCTAGGAAGACAGGATGGTAAATTCCTAACAATGGAATTGCAAAGTTCACAGTGTGCTTTAAGGAGTCCCTTTCTCCATAAACACAGCTCTTGTGATGGCTTTGCAGATTTTGTTTCTGCATTTAGTGTAGATAAGTTGAACAATCCTAATTCCTGAGTTCTAACTAGTGATAGAGCACATTATATTGTTAAGAATAATGGATGTTGGAGAAAGTCAGGACAAAAGTAGGTATGAG
This sequence comes from Homo sapiens, assembly GCF_000001405.40. Taxonomy (NCBI): domain Eukaryota; kingdom Metazoa; phylum Chordata; class Mammalia; order Primates; family Hominidae; genus Homo; species Homo sapiens. Next base: position 79,744,833 of record NC_000014.9, read on the forward strand.
GTGTCCCTGGTATGTGGCCAATAGGAACCACGGTCCTGAAGTATCCGGAGCAGTCCGGACATCCTCAAGTAGACCCAAATCAGCCCTATCAGGAGCCAACAGAAAAGCTTGCTAGGGCAAGGTCAGAAGATAAATTTATTAGCCAGGACCAGTTTAAGTCAAAAGTTGAATATAAGTCATATCTTTAGAAAAAAAAAAAAAAAGCAGGTAGAAAGGCACATTGTTTTTAGCTAACTCTACAAAAAGTTCAGAGCGAAAAGAAAAACAGTGATGCAGAACTAGGGGAGAAATTAAGGAGCAAACATTCCAAAAATAGAATGAGTTGTACACTTGGTTAATTTCATTGCTCAGTGATGCCTCCATAGACCAGATTCTTCTCTCTGCCATCCTCAGAAATAGGCTCTAGGGATGCTCTTAGATAGGCTATTCTGTATGCAAGACCTTCTGTAGCTGTTCTAGATGCCAGATCCTGAAATGACAACATTCAGTGAACAATAATAGCTCTTCTTCTACGTCATTTCCTTAGATGTGAAGAAACCATTTCCAGCAAACTCCCCTCATGTCCACAACACCTCATTAATCAGGATTAAATCATATGTTCATTTCTAAACCAATAAGAGAAAAAGAAGTATCGTGGCTATATTATACTGAAATGCAATTGATTTTGGAGAGTTAAAAACAAATCCAAACCAGCAGCAGAGCCTGGGGAGAATCCACGTCTCCTTCTCAATCCACAAGACATGATGGGTCTGCTGCAGTGTGGTACTAAATTTGGGGTTACAAGAAATTTTTGGCTTATTAGTTTCCTAGGGCTTCTGTAATTAAGTACCACACACTGAGTGCCTTAAAACAACTGAAATGTATTATCTCATAGTTACAAAGTCTAGAAGTCTCAAAACAAGGTGTCAGCAGAGCCATGCTCCCCCCTGCAATCTGCAGGGGAATAATTTCCTCTTCCTAGTGTCTGGTGGTTTGCCCAGCAATCTTTGGCCTTTTTTGGCTTGTAGTTGCTTAACTCCAACCTCTTTCTTCCTCATCACATGGTGTTCTCCCTGTGTGCCCCTTTCTTCATATGGCTATCTTCTTGTAAGACACTAGTTATATTGGCTTAGGGTCTCACTCAACTCCAGTATGATCTCATCTAACTTAACAAATTACATCTGCAACCTTCCTATATTCAAATAACTTCACATTCTGAGGTAGCGGGGATTAGAACTTCAACATATGTATTTTTGGGTGGAACAAAATTCAAGCCATAACAGGCTTCTATAGACCTCTCTAGTTTTACTCAGTCTAGATCCCAATCCATGGAGTTTGACCAAATGAGTTAGGGTGCTATTCCCTAAACTTGCTGAAACATAATAATTGCTAGAGGCCCTTAGTAAAATACAGATTCCTGGCCCTCACAACAGATGTACTGAATCAGTCTCTCTAGGGGACATGCCTAGAAATCTGCTTTTTGACAACTGCCCAGTTCAATTTTATGATGAAGCAAGTTTGGAAAGCATAGAGTCAGGGTGCTGAGCACTTTTTGAGCATCTTTGAGCACTTTTTGACCATGTTATTCCTGGCTGTGAAAGAATTCTTTTTGTATGAAATCTCATCTACCCATAACAAGTCTTGGAAGCTGCTCTTGTCATCCTCATCACAGACCTGCAGAAATGGAGGTTAGGTAAGAGTGGGGCTGGAAATGGAGCTAGGTCCAATCTCAAAATACATACTTTTTCAATCATACTAACTCATCATGTTAGTAGTAAGTTAAAGAATCTTGAATCATATGGTCCACTGTAGTTTACTTTTCTTGCCTTATTCCCAGGAGTTTTGTTTTTATTTGTTCTTGTCCTTGGAGGGAACAAAAGACAGCTGGTAGCTGTTCCCTGTTTGGTTTTGCATGTATTCAAAAGGCATCATCTTCTACTGCTCTCTTACTCCTTTACTTTGTGGTCATTTGTTTTGCAGCTATTTAGACAGTTACTTCTTAAAGAACCCCTAAAACTATTTAGACAGTTACTTCTTAAAGAACCCCTAAAACTATTTAGACAGTTACTTCTTAAAGAACTCCTAAAACTACCATTTGTTCCTCTAGAAAGGATTAAAGATTTGCTGAAGCAAAGTTCTCCTGACACTTTACCTAGAGCAAGGCTGAAACAAAAGCTACCTACACCTGTATTTTCCTTCTCTTATCCCTCAAGTACACAATAGGGCATTTGGCTCTCAGCAGTTGATGCCAAGTTCTGCTAGGGAAGAAATGAGACTTCAGAGCTCCCTACAAGTTGAAATGGAGTCAGAAAAGCTACATATATAAATGTCAGAAAAGCTACATATATAAGCTACATACATAAGCTACTTATAAAGTTTCTGCAAAACTACCTCAAAGGGCAGGTAGTTTTGCAGAAACTGGAGGGACACTGTTTTCTGGAGCACTCTGCCACTAGGATTTTACTTTTAGTGTAATGAAGGATCACTGAAGACTTTTAAACCAGACGGTGACATGATAAAATTTCATTTCAGAAATTTCATTTCTGAAAATTATGATGGCTGTTGGAAAAAAGTAGATTGGAAGAAGCAAGAAAATGCTAGGTTACTTCACAACTTCTCCAGGAAAATAGTGCAGTGGGAGAACCCTGAACTCAGGAAATATGGCCCATTTCCTGCACTATGTTTCCCAATTCAAAATATCCTATTGTGGAATTCTACAGCTCAAGTCAAGAGCCCCTTCTGAACTACAAAGGACAAGGACTGATCTACTAAAGCCGTGTAGTAAATGTGAGGAATTTGCCTAACTCAGCCAATTGATGTGTCAAAATCTAACCAATGTGTCTAATAATCTAACATATATTGTTATTGATTTCAGGTTTTAAGAACCAGTTTTCTAAAAATGAAAAACAAAATCAAAGCACTCTAGAGGAAGTAATCATATGTTTAATGTCATAAGTCACTGATTGTATACTTAATAGTAAATGGTGGATATGAACTTGGGCCCTGGAGTCAAACTTAGGTGGCTCGGTCATGCCCTTGATGTGTGTCTTTGGGTGGGCTACTGAAACTCTGTCTTAGTTTCATCTATAAAATAGAATGCTAACATCGACTTTATAGGGTTATTGTGAACTCTAAATAAGACAACAAATGGAAACCCAACACATGTTCTCACTCAAAAGTGGGAGCTGAACACGTAGACATGGGGAGGGGAATAACACACATTGGGGCCTGTCGGGGAGGGGGAGGGAGAGCATCAGGATAAACAGCTAATGCATGTGGGGCTTAATACCTAGGTGATGGGTTGATAGCTGCAACAAATCACCATGGCACTTGTTTACCTACGTAACAAACCTTCACGTCCTGCACATGTAGCCTGGAACTTAAAATTAAATTAAGTCAAAAAAAGCTAAAAGCAAGCTTTATGCCAAAAAAAATTTTAAAAACTTAAAAAAAAGCGCCTCTTAAAGTTATAAGGGAGGGTACACAGTAAGCACTTAGTGAGTGAGTGTTGTGGTTGCTGTTTTTCTTAATAAACATATTTTTATCCAAATTATTAAGCAGAAATATTGGACTGGAAAAGGGTAAAGTGTGGATTATTAACGGTTGACATTGGAAGAGCAAAGAGATAGAGATGTTCCATGTGGTTCCTTTGCCAAGCCATCCAGATACTCACCTCCATCCTTTTGGTCATTTCCCCTAATACACAGTATATTTATGATCCCCTTCTGACAACCCCTTGAAGAGTTGCTTGCCTCCTGCACAGTGCTGAGTTATGGACGATGCATTTGAAGCCATATATTCACTCTGTCTTCCCCACATGTGCCTAGTAACTATGGCAGAGCTCAATAAAGAAGAGGCCAGTGGCGGGTTTACTCATTTTTAAAAAAATTTCCTTGTTGTTCTTTTCTGTGATTGTAATGGCTAGCACTGGTACTCTTTCCCTCTCTCTCCCCTTCTTTTGCCATAGAGCTATTGTCAAATGTACAAATACATAGTGAATTGCGATGGTTTCTGGGACTGACAGAGAGAAGGAACCTGTTTTCCCCATAAATGCTGTAGAATGAAGGGTTTGCAAACATTGTGATTGTGGCAGATTAAAAAAAAAAAGTCAAGCAGGCTAAATTGAAAGGGAGGCATGAGAAAAGCTGGTGCAACCTGTCAGCTCCTGGTCCGAAAGAAGCTGATGGTATTTTTTTTAATATTGTGAAGAGAAGGAAAATTTTTTATAGTAAGTCTATGGATCTGCTTTAGGAGGCTTTTCTCTTGATCTAATTGAGCTGTTTGAAGTGTGCTTGAAAGTTCTCACCCAGCCTGTGTCAGCCACCTGCCTGCTACAAGCTGTGAGAAGTTAATCGTCTTGGGCATTGTTAGGAGGAGACTGTCTGGTATCTGATGGCTTTCCATTCTGAACAAGGGTGTACGGATATGGAAAATGTGTGTGCTCACATTTGTCTTTGGGGTGTGGGGCTGCTTCACTATGCATGAGAGCACATCCACACCTCCATCCAGATGGTGCCTGCTCATAGTGGCAGTGCTAGATAAATTCATGTCAAACAGGCAGATAATCCAAAAAAGCAACTGTAAGTATCCACATTGCTGTTTTCTGCTTCCAAGCTTCAGTGTTGTTTTTTTTTTTGTAGTGACAGGGTATTACTATGTTGCCCAGGCTTGTCTCAAACTCCTGGGTTCAAGTGATCCTCCAGCCTTGGCCTCCCAAAAATCTGGGATTATAGGAGTGAGCCACCGTGCAGTGCCTGGTTTTTTAACATGCTATTCCCTTGCCTGAAACAACCTTGCCATTTGCCATCAACACTGGCTTCATCTTCCAATCTCTTTGCCTGTTGCCTCACATTGGATGTCACCAATCTGGGAAGCCTTTGTCACCCCTCACCACATTGAGGTGAGGGGTACCTCATATTCTCTCCCTGTTCCTTGATTTCCCATTCAAAGCACTTAATGCACCAAACATTTTTTTTTATTGCATGTCTGAATACATTCCTTAGTAGTTCAACATTCTTTGAGGTTATATCATGTTCATCACAGAATTTAAAGCAATCTCCTGTGTATAGCAGATTGACAATAAATTAGCTATGAAAACAAATGAATAACTATGGTTTGGGAAGAAAGACATTGTCTGAGCACACAGAATTCTAACTCATGACTTGTGCACTGTCAAGAATCACTTGCTTTCAGATAATTTTGATGAGTCTGATTTTACGCTTTTCAGTTTGTATGTCTCATGATTTGTCCTTAATAGACTGAAGAAGTCCTAGCCCTTATAATTGACCAGTGCCTGGTAGGGGAAGGGCAGCAGAGAAGGACTGGATTAGAACCATCTCAAATGCTTCTATTCTGATTAGTACTTAGGGTTGGTTGGAGAGTAAGAATAGGGACTCAGCCTAGTTGAAGGAAAGCCTGTATAGTGGTGAGTCTGAGTGACAAACCAGGGAGAAGTAATAAGACAATTTATTTCTATTTTTTTATCCTACACCTGAAATGTAAACAAGGACACATTAAATTTTTACTGGTTAGCATTTTTTAAGTAATTATGTGCTCAACTATGTCCTTATATTTGCATTCTTACCAATGTAGACTCTGTTATGGAAGTAACCCATGCTGCTGCTGCCTTTGGACCTGAATCTCTTTTTGCCCTTGTCCCATTTGTGAATTTAGACTTTCAGCAAGTTGTCTTTATGATTCTCTATTCTATGACATACTTTGTGAATTCATCTGTAATCAAATCTGTTTGATGAAGGTCACAAAAGCTAAGTCAACATGAGACCTGAAAGTAGAACCTGGGGGTACTGATTTTCCTACCCATTAGGAAACAGCCTCCCCACCCAATCAGGGCAGGTTATAGTATTCAATGCCATCTTGTCTTATTGACTGAGTCATACATCTCTCATTCCGCAAAGTCAGGGTCCTAAAATACTTCTGTGGAGTCGCAAGGACTCTTCCTCATTAGCCATCTTTGACTTTGTCATTGATACTATTTTCTACCTGTTTCTGATAATTAAAACCCCCCAAAAAGTAAAATGTCAGGGTGACCAGAGAGAACCTTAGATAGGACAGCTAATCTCTTGCTTCTAGAGAAAGGTATGAAAATATACTGTGCTTATTATGGGGATGATGGTATGCTCTCTGAATTGAACCTTACCTTTTAACATGAAATTTCTAATTGAAACAAAGCTGTGATGCCTCCAGCTTTGTTCTTTTGGCTTAGGATTGACTTGGCGATGCAGGCTCTTTTTTGGTTCCATATGAACTTTAAAGTAGTTTTTTCCAATTCTGTGAAGAAAGTCATTGGTAGCTTGATGGGGATGGCATTGAATCTGTAAATTACCTTGGGCAGTGTGGCCATTTTCACGATATTGATTCTTCCTACCCATGAGCATGGAATGTTCTTCCATTTGTTTGTATCCTCTTTTATTTCATTGAGCAGTGGTTTGTAGTTCTCCTTGAAGAGGTCCTTCACATCCCTTGTAAGTTGGATTCCTAAGTATTTTATTCTCTTTGAAGCAATTGTGACTGGGAGTTCACTCATGATTTGGCTCTCTGTTTGTCTGTTGTTGGTGTATAAGAATGCTTGTGATTTTTGTACATTGATTTTGTATCCTGAGACTTTGCTGAAGTTGCTTATCAGCTGAAGGAGATTTTGGGCTGAGACAATGGGGTTTTCTAGATATACAATCATGTCATCTGCAAACAGGGACAATTTGACTTCCTCTTTTCCTAATTGAATACCCTTTATTTCCTTCTCCTGCCTAATTGCCCTGGCTAGAACTTCCAACACTATGTTGAATAGGAGTGGTGAGAGAGGGCATCCCTGTCTTGTGCCAGTTTTCAAAGGGAATGCTTCCAGTTTTTGCCCATTCAGTATGATATTGGCTGTGGGTTTGTCATAGATAGCTCTTATTATTTTGAGATACGTCCCATCAATACCTAATTTATTGAGAGTTTTTAGCATGAAGGGCTGTTGAATTTTGTCAAAGGCCTTTTCTGCATCTATTGAGATAATCATGTGGTTTTTGTCTTTGGTTCTGTTTATATGCTGGATTACATTGATTGATTTGCATATATTGAACCAGCCTTGCATCCCAGGGATGAAGCCCACTCGATCATGGTGGATAAGCTTTTTGATGCGCTGCTGGATTCGGTTTGCCAGTATTTTATTGAGGATTTTTGCATCAATGTTCATCAAGGATATTGGTCTAAAATTCTCTTTTTTGGTTGTGTCTCTGTCCAGCTTTGGTATCAGGATGATGCTGGCCTCATAAAACGAGTTAGGGAGGATTTCCTCTTTTTCTATTGATTGGAATAGTTTCAGAAGGAATGGTACCAGTTCCGCCTTGTACCTCTGGTAGAATTCGGCTGTGAATCCATCTGGTCCTGGACTCTTTTTGCTTGGTAAGCTATTGATTATTGCCACAATTTCAGATCCTGTTATTGGTCTATTCAGAGATTCAAATTCTTCCTGGTTTAGTCTGTTTTGGTTACTGCAGCCTATACTACAAGGCTACAGTAACCAAAACAGCATGGTACTGGTACCAAAACAGAGATATAGATCAATGGAACAGAACAGAGCCCTCAGAAATAACGCTGCATATCTACAACTATCTGATCTTTGACAAACCTGAGAAAGACAAGCAATGGGGAAAGGATTCCCTATTTAATAAATGGTGCTGGGAAAACTGGCTAGCCATATGCAGAAAGCAGAAACTGGATCCCTTCCTTACACCTTATACAAAAATTAATTCAAGATGGATTAAAGACTTAAATGTTAGACCTAAAACCATAAAAACCCTAGAAGAAAACCAAGGCATTACCATTCAGGACATAGGCATGGGCAAGGACTTCATGTCTAAAACACCAAAAGCAATGGCAACAAAAGCCAAAATTGACAAATGGGATCTAATTAAACTAAAGAGCTTCTGCACAGCAGAAGAAACTACCATCAGAGTGAACAGGCAACCTACAAAATGGGAGAAAATTTTCACAACCTACTCATCTGACAAAGGGCTAATATCCAGAATCTACAATGAACTCAAACAAATTTACAGGAAAAAAAACAAACAACCCCATGGAAAAGTGGGCAAAGGATATGAACAGACACTTCTCAAAAGAAGACATTTATGCAACCAAAAGACACATGAAAAAATGCTCATCATCACTGGCCATCAGAGAAATGCAAATCAAAACCACAATGAGATACCATCTCACACCAGTTAGAATGGCAATCATTAAAAAGTCAGGAAACAACAGGTGCTGGAGAGGATGTGGAGAAATAGGAACACTTTTACACTGTTGGTGGGACTGTAAACTAGTTCAACCATTGTGGAAGTCAGTGTGGCGATTCCTCAGGGACCAAGAACTAGAAATACCATTTGACCCAGCCATCCCATTACTGGGTATATACCCAAAGGACTATAAATCATGCTGCTATAAAGACACATGCACACGTATGTTTATTGCGGCACTATTCACAATAGCAAAGACTTGGAACTAACCCAAATGTCCAACAATGATAGACAGGATTAAGAAAATGTGGCACATATATACCATGGAATACTATGCAGCCATAAAAAATGATGAGTTCATGTCCTTTGTAGGGACATGGATGAAATTGGAAATCATCTTTCTCAGCAAACTATCGCAAGGACAAAAAACAAAACACCGCATGTTCTCACTCATAGATGGGAATTGAACAATGAAAACACATGGACACAGGAAGGGGAACATCACACTCTGGGGACTGTTGTGGGGTGGGGGGAGGGGGGAGGGATAGCATTAGGAAATATAACTAATGCTAAATGACGAGTTAATGGGTGCAGCACACCAGCATGGCACATGTATACATATATAACTAACCTGCACATTGTGCATATGTACCCTAAAACTTAAAGTATAATAATAATAATAATAATAAAAAGAAATTTCTAATTGAGTTGCCTAAGCCTGCCCACCTGTCATTCTCATATGCCTAACACGATGTGAGATTTTATATATACAGTCCTCTGTATATATATTCACAGGTTCCCCATCCACAGATTCAACCACCCATGGATTCAAAAAGCAAAGCAAACAAACAAAATAACAACAACAAAAATACAAATTTTAAAACACAGTATAACAGCCATTTACACAGCAGTTATATTGTTTTAGGTATTATACCTAATTTAGAGATGATTTAAAGTACATGGGAGAGTACTTTAAAAAAAAAGTACACAGGCATGGGGGCAGTGGCTCATGCCTGTAATCCCAGCACTTTGGGAGGCCGAGGCAGGTGGATCACGTAAGGTTGGGAGTTCAAGACCAGCCTGGCCAACATGGTGAAACCCCTGTCTCTACTAAAAGAAGAAAAAACAAAAACAAAAACAAAAATTATTCAGGTGTGGTGGCACATGGCTGTAATCCCAGCTGCTCGGGAGGCTGAGGCATAAGAATCACTTAAACCAGGGAGAGGCAGAATTTGCAGTGAGTTGAGATTGCATCACTTCACTCTGGCCTGGACGACAGAGCGAGACTCCATCTCAAAAACATAAATAAATAAAGTACAGGGAGGATGTGTATAGATTATATGCAAATACTGTGCCATTAGGGACTTGAACATCTCCAGATTTTGTATCCACAGGGGTCCTGGAATCAATCCCCTTGATGGATACAGAGGGAAGACTCACTCTCACTCTCTCTTGATATATATATATATATATATATATATATATATATATATATATATATATATATATATATATGCACACATACACACACACACACACACATATATATACACACACATACACACACACGTATGTATATTTACATGTATTTATAAACTGATATTTTATTCAAATGTTTCAACTGGCCCCTAGGAAGAAAGATCCACTCTGATGTGTTCTGGCTCTGTGTGCCCACCCAAATCTCATCTTGAATTATCATCTGAATTGTAATCCCTGTTTGTTGTGGGAGGGACCTCTCGGGAGGTGATTGGATTATGGAACGGTTTCCGCATGCTGTTCTTGTGGTAGTGGGTGAGTTCTCACAAGATCTGATGGTTTCATAAGAGGCTCTTCCCCCTTCGCTCTGCTCTTCCCTTCTTTAAGCTGCCATGCGAAGAAGGTCTTTGCTTTCCCTTCATCTTCTGCCATAATTGTAAGTTTCCTGAGGCCTTCCCAGCCATGCAGAACTGTGAGTCAATTATGCCTTTTTCCTTTATAAATTACTCAGTCTCAGGTATATCTTTATAGAAGTGTGAGAATGGTTTAATACACTCTGTAAAAGCAAAATAATCACTCTTCAGAAGCAGAAAAAAACTTTTTATAAGTGACTCAAAGTCAAGATGACCCATTTCTCATTTATATGATATAAACCTATACATATCCTCTCACGTACTTTAAATCATCTCTAGATTAGTTATAATACCTAAAACAATGTAAATGCTATGTAAATGCCTGTTATACTATGTTTTAAAATTTGTATATTTTGTTGTATTATTTATATTTTTGTTTTTTGAATCTACGGTTTATATGAATATCATTCTCTCTCCCTCTGCATCTATCTGTATCTACATATGTATATTTGTTTTTTTCTTAGAACATAACCTAGATTCCTCTACAGTGTAAATCCCTTGCTTTCTGGTTTTCTGCCTAATAAAAGGCTCTCATTTCTATCTTGGTCTGGAAATACCCCCACTTCCATTTTTTATGAAGTAAAAATACCGAAGATTTTTTTTTTTTTTTGCTAGAAGTAGTTTACTGTCTTTCTCTACAACTCATTCTAATATTTTTCTTTTCAACTCCCTACCATTCTTATTGTCTTCCAGCAATGTCTCTATGATCATAGAGAGACAAACTGCAGCCACACTTAGCCAGGATCATTTACATTTACTTGCATGGCTCTGTGTAGCTTGCTTTTTATGCTAGGCAGGTTCCTGAATAGTCAGATAGGAATTGAATTCTTGGAAATCATGCCATTGTTTAAGGATGAGGAAGAACTTACTATTTTAATGAACTTTATTATAAACCTTTTTTCTAAGCAAATAATCACCCCTTACTTTATCTTATCTCCTATGCAAATCCTGATTTTCACATTTAAGCTTTACTTAACAGTGTCAATTTGTATAGTTATCTTTAAACAATGGTCAGTCCCCACTCTTATAATTGAAAAGTAAGTAATTTTCATTTACTTTCTGGCTTCTACCTCCAGAAAATCTCTTACCTCTATCTTTATTTTGGTAATTCTCTTGTAGGGACTTTAATAGCCCCTGGAAAATCATCATAGCTCTGCTTCAATCTGAAAACATAACTGGCAGGCATGAGTCTGGAACACATACGAGGGAACGAAGTACCCAGAGCCAAGTTAAATGAACTGTTGATGACTTTTCTGAAAATCATAGTAAACCATGATTTCCTCACAAAATATAGAAGTGTCTGATTTTTGGCATTTAATTCTCAAACATACTCAGATACACTTTCCTTCTTCCTCTCCCACTCTGGGTTCATATCATCATATAAATCAGAAATGGGTCATCTTGCCTTTGAGTCATTTATAAAAAGTTTTTCTTTTCTAGCTCTGAAGCGTGATTATTTTGCTTTTAGAGAGGATCTTTCTTTCTGGGGCCAGTTGAAACATCTGAACAAAATAAAAATCAATTGAATATGGATATGAAACTTAACTTGTCTTTTTACCATTAAATATATATTTGAAAAATGTGCTCTTCTTTTATAGCTTTTGTCACATCAGCATGTACCAATTCCAACCAGAGAACGAAATATTAATATTCTGCCCCAAAGTGCTGTTTTCCAGCCTGTGCCAAAGCAGATAATGCCAGTAACAGGGAGTTTTCCAATCTAACTTTCTTATACCAGTCAAATTATCCATTTCAAAAAAGCATCCAGTCAAAGTGCTCCCAATAAGTGAATATTTTGCCTAGAGAATTTTGGGCTTGAGTTATCCATCCCTCTGACCAAAATCTATAAGCCCACTCACCCAGGAGATCTGAGAATGAAACTAAATATAAAAACTGGCTTTACTACTGGGAACCCGAAAGTTCAGCTAGTGAGGGAAGGAAAACAAAGAATAGAATGTTTTCCGACAATCCTTGCTTTTGTGAGTGGTCAGCAGATGTTTTGTGCCTCTGCTGTATTCCTTAGCTAAGGGTTCACATGAAATGTACCCTCTGAAGGCTGTGGCCTTGTTGGAACGCCAAATTAGTAGTTATTCCTCATGCTCTGAGGTCTAGCTTCACCTTCAGAACCAGGTGAGCTTGGTCCCCACAAAGCCCTACTGGTACTTAAGCTTCCCATTTCAAGAGGACATTTGGGTTCACTACACCTCTCCAAGCCGTCTGATTAATTGCAGCTGTGTGCAAATTAGTTTTCTTCAGGGGCTCTCTCCTGCTCTCAGATTAGCAACAACGTATTCAGATGGAAAGCAAATAAAGATAGTTGTAAAATGAGGACACAAAAGAGATGCAACATGTTTGCTCTTGATGGGTGCATTGATGTCAGAACAACTAGGGGGAAATAAGACCACCTTGGTACTGTTATCATCGTCCTGATGATGGTCCCGTCTTGCAGAAAAGCCCAAACAGAAGCAGGGCGTTGTCTAATCACTGATGGGTTTCCTGATATTATTGAGAAGACCAAGCAAAATTAATGGTGATATTATATCTGGTGAAATTATTATAAATTCTCCCTGCAGTTTTAATTAGCTCTGCTCTTTTTCTCCTCCTGTTTTAATCCAAAGCATATGTGTATGTTTGTATCAGCAATTTCAAAATTCTGTGAAGCATTTGGTGTCATCCATCTAGTTTCAAAATAGGTACAGCATGATGCAGTGGGAAGAATGCTAGCCTAGAAGTTAGGACTCCTGAGTTCCTGCCTAGGTCTGCCGCTAAGCTGTAGTATGACCTTGGACATGACCTTTCAGGACCTTGATTTCTTCTTATGTGAGATGAAGGATTAAAATCCAACAGTTTGTTAAATCACTCTCAACTTTTTAGATACTATTAAGTTTAGGATCCCGTGGAGAGGCCTATCATCCGAGAGACCATCCTATCATCAAAAGGTGAATATCAGGTCAAAGCAAAAGAAACCACATTAATTTTTTTCTGTTGTCAGCTCACAAAGCTATTTTAAGCCTTTGGACAATAAGAAATATACTTTTTTTCCCCTCCAATAAATATACATTATCCATTAAAGTAGAGTGTGTTGTGAACTGACCTTAAGGGAATTTGCTAGTTTTTTTGTTTATTTTTGTTTTTTACAGGAAACTAAGTCCTGTGGAACAAAATAGAATTACCTTCATGGAGCAAGTTTAACAAATTGTCTTCATTTTTGGTCAGCAGGTTGATTTCTAATTCCCTCTTATTCCCTTTATATGTATTTTTGGCTTCCTGTCTTTGTTTTGCGTTGCTATAAAGAAACATGTGAGACTGAGTAATTTACAAAGAAAAGAGGTTTATTAGGGCTCATAGTTTTGCAGCCTGTGCAAGAAGCATGGCACCAGCATCTCCTTCTGGTGCTGCCCCTAGGAAGCTTTCACTCATGGCAGAAGGGGAAGGAGAGCTATGTGTAGAGATCTCATGGAGAGAGAGGGAGAGCAAGAGAGAGGATAGGAGGTTCAGGCAGTTTTTAACAATCAGATTTCATGAAAATAAAAGAACTCACTCATTACCTCGAGGAAGGCACCAAGCCATTCATGCGGGATCTGCCCCATGACCAAACACCTCCTACTAGGCCCTACCTCCAACATTGGGGATCACATTTCAACATGGGATCTGGAGGGGACAAATATCCAAACTATTAAATTCCTAAAGGACATAAAAGGGTGAACTGCACAAGGATACTATATCTCCAAACAAATGCCCAGTTAGGTCCAGGACGTGTTCAACAGTGTCCAAAATCCAAAGAGAACCAGAGATAGTGTGGCTTAGTAGAAGGTAAACTGATTATACACACTCAGCATTGCAAGAAACCTTAACGGGACTGTTGTCCAACCACACAAGCATTATTCAAAAACCTTTTTACCTCTCAAGGTTTGGTTTTCTAGCATGGGTTGCCAAGCTACAACTGCCCAGAGAAGTCATTTAAACTGCAAGAGACTCAGCTTTCTCATCCTTGGAAGAGAGAAATTGGACAAAATTATCTTTAATTTTTTGTTTGCCTTAATATCCTCTTATTCTACTAAACATTTTCAGTATTACAGAAATCAGCTCTTGGAGGAAAAGACATTGCAGGGGGTGGGAGACAAAGTTGGTGATACCATGTAATAAGATTTTTTTAGATAGTGGCAAGATAAAATGTTTTGAGGTTTGGCAAAACCATCTAGTAGTTTCAGTTCTCCCTGACAGTAAGAAGTTAAGGAGGCCAATTTCTCTTTCAAGTCAGAACTTCTTGTTATAACTGGGTAGTAAACATACTTTTTAATAAGAAGTGGCTAAGGCTTAAGAAGACCAACTGCTGATACCCAGAAATAGCCAAAGAATACTTCATTACTGACAGTGCACACTTTGATAGACCTGTCTTTTACTATTGACAGTATTCTTTCTCTGCTGTTTTTACAAGAAAAAAAGCCCAATGAAATGTAAACCTTGTTTTCTTCAGTTATTGGTCCTAGGAGTATTCAGAGTAAATAAAAAAAAAATACCTTACGTATACTTCTATAAAATCTTTTATTTGAGCAATTAAAAAAAGCTATCTTCTTTCAGTCTTATCAAGGAGAGCAAATTCCTCCTAGAAGTCTTATTTCTACTTCTAATGACAATTGCTTTATTATGTGACATTCAAAGGAAAAACTTGAAGTCATATTTCTAGTAAAGTATTTAATTTCAGAAATAATTTAAACTGTTACTTCAAAGCAAATATCTGCTATTCCTGACATAAAGTTTTTACCCAAGCTTGGTAATAAAGTTATCATAAGAATAATATGGATTATTCTCAGGATGGAATAGAATGTCTTGATTAGGAAGAAACACACATAAGAAATTCATTTTTTTGGAAGAAAGAAAATCTGTGCTGTTTATCTGGCAATGGAAGTCAGATCAAAATATATCTATATGACATTTGAATGGGGTCACGTGGGAAGACAAGATCTGTCTGTATGAATATTTTTAGCTTCTGAATTTGACATAAGAATAGGATCAGGAAAATGAATTCTGTGTTACATGACTAAGATGCATATTAGAACTCAGGCAAGATGATTCCTGTAGTTGGTCTACTGGGAAATTACCCTCTGCCTACAGCTTTCAAATACATATATATACTATGTGTGTGCATGTGTGTAAATTTCCAACTGAGTACATCAGCACATAAAATACACTTGTCCAAGGTAAAAAAGACAAACAGTTATTAATAGGGCAAAAATAAAATGGGGTTATATCCAACCATGGCATAATACTTCTCATTAGAAAAAAGTGTGGCGAGCTAATTAAGACCCAGTGATAGTTAGAAAGTCTGAGAACATTTATCTTTAAAAATGGAGTGGTAACTAACTAAAAGAAGGACCCAGAACCTCCTAATACAAATATCAGTTATATTCCCTGAGATTTAAAAATATAATAATTCTTATTTCTAATTCAAAGGCCTAGAGTGTAAGTAGGGATAACTTAACCTTTTTTTTTTTTTTTAAGCCTCTGTGAGAAATAACGCAGCTGTTTGGCCCGTGGTATTCTCTTTAAAGGAAAGAAGTTACAAAGACAAGAAGAAAAAAGTGGAAGAGAAAAATAAGGAGAAAAAATATTCAAACAGTACATAACTAAAAAAAAAATTTTTCACAAACAGCAAGGGGAATCTTGAAACAAAATAGATTTGTTTTAAAATGCAAAGAAAGAGCCTTACCCGGGATGAATTGCTCAGTTCTCTTTTGTTGGTTGAGTTCACTTCCTTCCATTTCTGCTAACTTTGACCAGCTGCTAACAAGCAAAAGAGCTTCATAGAGGCCATCTACACGTGTTCTCTTCTGGGTTATCGCGATGCTGACAAAGTGCACCTACCGCAAATTAGAAGAGCACAAAGATTTCTGTGGGTATGCCTGCAAAACTCTGGCTGCGAGGCATCACCTCAGCTCAGTAGCCTTGGATTTACATGTGCCTGCCCCCCTGCCCATGGTTACTGAGGGTGGCCTGAGGATGGATTCACTTCATAACCCTTTTCCATAATTATGTGAATAACAAATGAGCTCTATCCAATAGAGAAAAAGAACACATTTTAATACTTTGTGAAGTGATCATGAGGAAGGGGACAGAGGAGTTGAGATGGCCAAGAGAGATCCCGCCCTCTGGAGATGTAATAGAACAGTGACAGATAATGCAAAAAAAGATTTAATATATTTTTATATATTTAATATTTGTCTTCTGTTGTTGACCTTAGCTTTTGAGTCAACAGTAACTAAGAAGCATTTTGTCATCCGACGGCTCCTCTTCCTTTGGCCTTCTGTATTGTATTATCTGATAAGGAAGCAGCGAACTTAAAGCTCAGTTCAACGCAATGATCCTTCATCATAGCTGGGTGTGAAGAATGTTGTTCCCTCAAATATGACACAAATTGTTTGGTCAATAGAGAAGAGAACTGCATTCTATTTTTTTCCAAACATCTGTTATACTCCAAAACCTTTCTCCTTAGGCCATGGCTGTCTGACCAACAGTAGGTGGATTTCTTTGAAATCTTATCTTCTGTAGAACTGGATCTCATCCTGGCCAACATGGTGAACCCAGTATCTACTAAAAATACAAAAATTAGCTGGGCGTGGTGGCAGGCGCCTGTAGTCTCAGCTACTCGGGAGGCTGAGGCAGGAGAATGGCGTGAACCCGGGAGGCGGAGCTTGCCAAGATGGCACCACTGCACTCCAGCCTGGCAACAAAGCGAGACTCTGTCTCAAAAAAAAAAAAAAAAAAAAAAAAATAGATCTCACTAGAAGTATTCTCAATTCAGCAGTAGTGTCCAGTTTTGAATCAAATAATTTATATTTTGATTATGTGTATTAAGAAGCTAAATCTACTCATATACAAAAGGAAAATCTTTAGCTTTTCATGTGTTCTGGCTAAAGGCCAGAATTAAAAGGAAGAGGATGTCTTATCTATCAGACATTTTTGTGCCTTTGAAGCCATAAACTTGAGAGAAACATTAGCTTGTTCCTGACCCTGCACTCAGCATAAGCATTTGCTTGTAGCAGTCACTCTTGGGTGACTATAAATTCACAAAGTCAAGAATTTGCATCCTGAATTGATTTGTGTAAGATGTCTAGGGGAATGCTGATTTTATATTGGAAACAAGGTTAGGGGGAAGCCTCAAAACTGCCTTTATGGAGTTCTGTATCTCAGCATATTATAATTCTTACTTCTACCATACTCCAGAGGAATCAGTCTGGGTGACTTCATAAAACAGTATTAGAAAAATTGCTAGCACTACGAAATCAAGCAGGTTATGGCAGTATATTCCTTGTAAGAAAATTAGTGCATTAACTCTTTCCAATAAGTGATTGAATTAGTTTTGCACATAATCTGATTTATGAAATGCTGCACTCGCATGCTCAAGTAGTTAGAAAGTGTGTCGAAGCAGATGTTGAACTGAAGAAAGAAGGTTGCTTGAAATGTAAAGGTATTATAAAATGGCTAATCTGTGGGTATGACCCAAAGCTTTCAGAGATTTCCTGGCTTCACTTTTTTTTTTTCAATTTAATAAATTTTTTTTCTTAAAAGGTAAAATTGCCAATGAGTTAAATGTTGATGCTCTGATGTTAGCAAGACTGAGTTCATATGTCCATCGCTTATTAACTCCATTTTCTTATCAATATGTTTGGCTTCTGTAAGTCTTATTTTCTTGTTTGTGAAAGGAAGATCTAATAATAGAACTGGCCTTATAGAATTGTTGTGAGGATTAAATGTGGCAACCCATGGTTATTGGTTTCGTGCGATGCCTGTCACAAAGAAAAAACCCAATAAGTTGTAGTGGCTATTTTTCATCTTCTCATTATCACCATTACTTAAGAGAGAGGCAAAGTGATAGTATCATACAAACATTTTCATGGAGAGTTAAATGAACATCTGTTTTTTCTTTTCTTCAATTTTTTAAAAATTATACTTTAAGTCCTGGGGGACATGTGCAGAATATGCAGGTTTGTTACATAGGTATACACGTGCCATGGTAGTTTGCTGCACTCACCAACCTGTCATCTACATTAGGTATTTTTCCTAATGCTATCCCTCCCCTAGCCTCCCACCCCCTGACAGGCCCTGGTATGTGATGTTCCCCCCTCCCTGTGTCCATGCGTTCTCATTGTTCAACTCCCACTTATGAGTGAGAACATACGGTGTTTGGTTTTCTGTTCCTGTGTTAGTTTGCTGAAAATGATGGTTTCCAGCTTCATCCATGTCCCTGCAAAGGATATGAACTCATCCTTTTTTATGGTTGCATAGTATTCCATGGTGTATACGTGCCACATTTTCTTTATCCAGTCTATCACTGATTGGCATTTGGATTGGTTCCAAGTCTTTGCTGTTGTGAATAGTGCTGCAATAGACATACATGTGCATGTGTCTTTATAGCAGAATGATTTATACATACGTGTGCATGTGTCTTTATAGTAGAATGATTTATAATCCTTTGGGTATACACCCAGTAATGGGATTGCTGGATCAATTGTTTTTAAGGACAGGTTGCATAAAACTGACTAATGCCATTCATGACAGTGAGTTTCAAAGGCAGATAGCTATCTTAGTCCATTTAGGGTGCTCTAACAAAATGCCACAAAGTTAGGTACATTATAAACAACAGAAATGTATTTGTCACGGATCTGGAGGCTGGGGAGTCTGAGATCAAGACCCTGGCAGATGTGATGTCTGGTGAGAGCTTCTTCCTGGTTCATAGATGGCGACTTCCAGTTATGTCCTTACATGGTGGAAAGGACAAGGGGTCTTTCTGCGACCAGTTTTTCAAGAGAATTAATCCCACTTATGAGGTCTCTGCCATCATGACCTAATCACTTCCCCAAAACTCCACCTCCTGATACCATTACACTGGTGATTAGCTTTCAATATATAAATTTGGGTGGCGGGGTGGGGCACACACATTCAGATCATAGCAATGGCAGCTAGGAGGAAGTAAATTTTGAATCCTCATTTCCATGTAAAGACTTCATTTGCTTTAAACAATTTATTTAACTTTTATTGTGCTTTTTCTGAAAATGAAATAACATTTAGCTACACACAGGGAGGGTATGTTGTTTCTAAAGTAAAAATTAACTCTTTTGTAAATGTGGCATTGTTTAATAATAGTTCACCCTGTCCAATGATACTTAGCTTTTTTATATATGTAAATAAATTATTAGGTTACTGGTTTTTCTTTTTCTTTTGGTGGGTGGGGGGGGTGTTAAGATCTTATTCTCAGTCCTCAAAACTCTGTTGAACAGGGAACATCTGCCCTCATTTTCAACCTTATTTCTTTAGTACCAATTGCAGCCATGTTATAATCTTTGTTTTCATCCAGGTAAAGCTGAGGGAAGGGAAGGAGAATCCACTGAGAAAAAGATTTTCCCCAAAGAGTGACTCAGCCTTTGAAAAGAAAATCAGCTATATGAAAAGGGAAGAGTATTTAATCATTCGGAGCAATAATTGCATTGTAAATATTAGCTCAGCTGATAAGGAGTAGAGAACCAAGAGAATGAGGGAGCCGTTACATTGTTTTATCTTGTTTGATGCCTTTACTCAGTGCTCTAGCATGGGGGCCATGTCTAGGGAGGGAATCCACTGCAGCTACATTTAAGGTCACCTAATAAACCGTGCTGTTTTCTTTCTTTTCTTCTAGACTCTATTCCTTCATTTTTTTTTTCTGAACTTTAAGCAAGGAAACTGCCAGTCATAGAGCATTTCCTTATACACTTCCATGTTACTGTTATGCAGAGAAATCTGACTGGCAGGCTGATGGCCAGGCTGCTCTGGAGGAAAGTAATTAGCTATGTGACTTTATCTAGGCCAAAAAAATGGGATAAAAAACATGCAAAACCATTCACCTATACAGACCTGTTCTCAAGGCAGTGTTTACCCTAGTGCATCTGCTAATTCCTTTCAAGTCTGGAAAACTGTTTTGTTTGACATTTTTGGAATGCTGTGATCTGAACCATTAGACTATTTTTTTCTCCTTTAAGGTACTAATATTCTGATTTTTAAACAATTAAATATGCTCTAAATTTGTCTCGCCCACTTCTACATCTTCTTCCAACATTTACATAGACATCCATGCACATTCATGCACACCACACAACTACAAGTCATTTCAGACAAATGGTCTTATCTAATTCTTTTTAGTGTTTCCATTTTATTATTTGTCAAATTGAATGGAACTTCCATGTTTTGCCCTGCTGACATTTAGGCAGACTTGCATAAAATACAAGATTATTTCTAGCTGGATAAGAAGCTCAGCTATCAGATAGTGTTGCTGATTTATACAGTAGGAGGAAGGAGAAAAGACCAATGGGTGAGTATAATAAATAGAAACGTCCTGAAGCAATTCACTTGTAGCCTATCCAAATCTTGCAAACTCTGCATAAAACATCCTCCCAGTTCTCTTTCAATGGAACAATTTTTCTTTTCTTTTTCTACTCTTCACTGAACATTTCCTGTATTCTACATGCAACAGTGCACCTTTTACATTCGTTTGGCTTATGTGCTCTTGCAATAACCCTTTGCTGTGTGGTAATATCTCATTTGTGGGAACTTCTGTGACACTATTAGGGGACAGATACAATGGCTATGTGCCTAGCAATGCCTTCACCGTGCTCTATTTAAATAGATTGCTCATTTATTTGCTACTTTGCTCATCACCCTGTCTCTCATTCACTATAATATCTTTAGCAAATCACATAGTGCCAGGTAAATAAATGGTACTCATTCAATATTGACCATATGGATGAATCTCTGCTTATGAAATATGAGAGCCCCGTGCAGGGTCATTCTGTCCAGGAACTCATCTTCTCTGGCGGTGTGAGACCATATGTTTAACATGACCAGTAAGGAAGTAGAAGGAATCTTCCACTACTTTTTACATTCTTTTTTCTTTCAAAAAGTTTTGTAAACTTCAAGTATGTAAAAAAACAGTTCTTATATGTTCATACAGTTTGCTTTCAACAATAACTCCACACATGTGCATTGACATGTAAAGATGTTTCCAGTATAAAGTAGAAAAAAATGGGTTTTAAACATCATATATAAAATTAATCAATTTTTTAACATATAGCATACCTGTATTCAGGAACATGTTCTTTGGTTATTCTCATTTAAACAGTCCCCTATTGTTGAATACTTGATCTGTTTCTATTGTTTCATTTTATATATAATATATCCTATACCAAATATCCTAATATAACTTCTCTGTGTGCTTGTCTAATTATTTTGTTTAGATAAAAGGTTTCATATGGTGTCCACTTCATGCCATTATGTGATATGATTTGCCTCTCAGCCTCTAGGAATGGGTTTTTCTCTAAGGATAGTGGCTGCCACTCTATCTAGTGGCTGAAGTAATATGGCTTCATGTCATGTGGCTAACGATTCATGCCAAAGGTTGTCCGCATCTTATGTATCAGTGAGTTATCTGACACCCCTAATAGACGCTTATTTCTTTTTTCAAAAAGCTTGTTCCTGAGCTGAATTTCCATGATCAGATGGTGGCAAGAGCCAAGTCTTCTCACATAAAGAGAAATCACATTGAATCTGCTACCTACGACCACTGGCCAAGGGGTCTTGTCATCATTGCATTCTGGGGAATTGGATTCAATTTAAAAAGTTGAAGCTGCTTGCTGGCTTCCTTCCTGGTAGTTTTGAATGTGTAATCTCACAAAGATCTTCTTAGCTCTGGCAAAGCTGAGCCTGTCTAAAACATTTATGTTAGAATTTACATGAGTTCATTTGTGCTGGCGTCAAACATTTCTTGAGTATTTACCATGTTATTGGCTGATCTTAAAGCCAAGCTACAAAGGACTAGTAGGGGTTAGCAGGCAGGCAGGAAGAAGAAGGGCATGGTTGGCAGAGATTGCCACATGCACAGAATATAGTGGTGAACCTACATGGTGCATTTGGAATTGCAAGTAGTCTGGCTTTGCTGGAAGTGGGTTTGCAAGCTGAGGAGTAACAAGAAATAAGGCCGAATAGCATACCAGGAAGTGGTAGATGGCAGAGACCCCTGGATCACCGTGATACTTATGACACTACTTGCTCACTTGTTTTTTGGTTTATTTCCTGATAAGCTTTGAGCCAGAACATTAATGCAAATTCTTGTTCTTGTGTAAAAATTACTGCAATGACTTCCCATTGCTCTTGGAGAAGACAAAATCCTTAATATGGCCTACAAGGTCCAGTACAATCTGTCTCCTGCCTCTGTAGTCTTATTCTTCACTAGGTCTGCCTTCTTCCTCCCAGCCCTACTGGGGCCCATTCTCTGGGCTTCAATATTACAGACCTTACTTTAATTTCACTAATGGGAAATGTTGCTGCCTTCCAACAAAGGGCTTTTGCATGTGCTGTTTATATGAAATCCTCTTTTCTTCCTGCCACTCTTGCCTATTAATGTTCTTATTTCTCAGCACTCACGTTATTTTTTTACTCAGAGAAATCTTCCCTGAGTTCCCTGACCATGTCAGATTTTTCACTTATATGCTGTCATAACCTCATGCATTTCTCTTTTACAGTGCTATAAATTGTCAGTGACACATTTGTGTAATTAAGTGATGAATGTTCCTTTCTTCCTAATAAGTAACATCATCTATACCATCATTATTAAATCAGCCAGCATCAGCTGGGGTACTTATCATATGTCCTATACTGTTCTAAACACATTATATGTA
Organism: Homo sapiens; assembly: GCF_000001405.40. Classification (NCBI taxonomy): domain Eukaryota; kingdom Metazoa; phylum Chordata; class Mammalia; order Primates; family Hominidae; genus Homo; species Homo sapiens. The sequence goes on from NC_000014.9 coordinate 79,767,642, forward strand.
TTAATTCACTTAATTCTCATAACAGTCCCTATTAAATGGATAACACTGAGGAATAAAAAAAGTAAGTCACCCAAAGTTACACAGCTGATAGGTGATGAAGTTAGAATTAGAAATCAGGGGGGAGGAGCCAAGATGGCTGAACAGGAACAGCTCTGGTCTACAGCTCCCAGCGGGAGCAACGCAGAAGATGGGTGATTTCTGCATTTCCATCTGAGGTACCGAGTTCATCTCACTAGGGAGTGCAAGACAGTGGGCGCAGGTCACTGGGTGCATGCACCGTGCGCGAGCCAAAGCAGGGTGAGGAATTGCCTCACTCGGGAAGCGCAAGGGGTCAGGGAGTTCCCTTTCCTAGTCAAAGAAAGTGGTGACAGACGGCACCTGGAAAATTGGGTCACTCCCACCTGAATACTGTGCTTTTCCGACGGGCTTAAAAAATGGCGCACCAGGAGATTATATCCCTCACCTGGCTCGGAGGGTCCTACGCCCACGGAGTCTCCCTGATTGCTAGCACAGCAGTCTGAGATCAAACTGCAAGGCAGCAGCCAGACTGGGGGAGGGGCGCCTGCCATTGCCCAGGCTTGCTTAGGTAAACAAAGCAGCCAGGAAGCTCCAACTGGGTGGAGCCCACCACAGCTCAAGGAGGCCTGCCTGCCTCTGTAGGCTCCACCTCTGGGGGCAGGGCACACACAAACAAAAAGACAGCAGTAACCTCTGCAGACTTAAGTATCCCTGTCTGACAGCTTTGAAGAGAGCAGTGGTTCTCCCAGCACGCAGCTGGAGATCTGAGAACGGGCAGACTGCCTCCTCAAGTGGGTCCCTGACCCCTGACCCCCGAGCAGCCTAACTGGGAGGCACCCCCCAGCAGGGGCAGACTGACACCTCACATGGCAGGGTACTCCAACGGACCTGCCGCTGAGGGTCCTGTCTGTTAGATGGAAAACTAACAAACAGAAAGGACATCCACACCAAAAACCCATCTGTACATCACCATCATCAAAGACCAAAAGTAGATAAAACCACAAAGATGGGGAAAATACAGAGCAGAAAAACTGGAAACTCTTAAAAGCAGAGCGCCTCTCCTCCTCCAAAGGAATGCAGTTCCTCACCAGCAACGGAACAAAGCTGGACAGAGAATGACTTTGACGAGCTGAGAGAAGAAAGCTTCAGACAATCAAATTACTCTGAGCTACGGGAGGACATTCAAACCAAAGGCAAAGAAGTTGAAAACTTTGAAAAAAATTTAGAAGAATGTATAACTAGAATAACCAATACAGAGAAGTGCTTAAAGGAGCTGATGGAGCTGAAAACCAAGGCTCGAGAACTACGTGAAGAACGCAGAAGCCTCAGGAGCCGATGCGATCAACTGGAAGAAAGGGTATCAGCAATGGAAGATGAAATGAATGAAATGAAGTGAGAAGGGAAGTTTAGAGAAAAAAGAATAAAAGGAAACGAGCAAAGCCTCCAAGAAATATGGGACTATGTGAAAAGACCAAATCTACGTCTGATTGGTGTACCTGAAAGTGACCGGGAGAATGGAACCAAGTTGGAAAACACTCTGCAGGATATTATCCAGGAGAACTTCCCCAATCTAGCAAGGCAGGCCAACGTTCAGATTCAGGAAATACAGAGAACGCCACAAAGATACTCCTCGAGAAGAGCAACTCCAAGACACATAATTGTCAGATTCACCAAAGTTGAAATGAAGGAAAAAATGTTAAGGGCAGCCAGAGAGAAAGGTCGGGTTACCCTCAAAGGGAAGCCCATCAGACTAACAGCAGATCTCTCAGCAGAAACTCTACAAGCCAGAAGAGAGTGGGGGCCAATATTCAACATTCTTAAAGAAAAGAACTTTCAACCCAGAATCTCATATCCAGCCAAACTAAGCTTCATAAGTGAATTAGAAATAAAATACTTTACAGACAAGCAAATGCTGAGAGATTTTGTCACCACCAGGCCTGCCCTATAAGAGCTCCTGAAGGAAGCGCTTAACATGGAAAGGAACAACCGATACCAGCCGCTGCAAAATCATGCCAAAAGGTAAAGACCATCGAGACTAGGAAGAAACTGCATCAACTAACGAGCAAAATAACCAGCTAACATCATAACGACAGGATCACATTCACACATAACAATATTAACTTTAAATGTAAATGGATTAAATTCTCCAATTAAAAGACACAGACTGGCAAATTGGTTAAAGAGTCAAGACCCATCAGTGTGCTGTATTCAGGAAACCCATCTCACATGCAGAGACACACATAGGCTCAAAATAAAAGGATGGAGGAAGATCTACCAAGCAAATGGAAAACAAAAAAAGGCAAGGGTTGCAATCCTAGTCTCTGATAAAAGAGACTTTAAACCAACAAAGATCAAAAGAGACAAAGAAGGCCATTACATAATGGTAAAGGGATCAATTCAACAAGAAGAGCTAACTATCCTAAATATATATGCACCCAATACAGGAGCACCCAGATTCATAAAGCAAGTCCTGAGTGACCTACAAAGAGACTTAGACTCCCACACATTAATAATGGGAGATTTTAACACCCCACTGTTAACATTAGACAGATCAATGAGACAGAAAGTCAACAAGGATACCCAGGAATTGAACTCAGCTCTGCACCAAGCGGACCTAATAGACATCTCCAGAACTCTCCACCCCAAATCAACAGACTATACATTTTTTTCAGCACCACACCACACCTATTCCAAAATTGACCACATACTTGGAAGTAAAGCTCTCCTCAGCAAATGTAAAAGAACAGAAATTATAACAAACTATCTCTCAGACCACAGTGCAATCAAACTAGAACTCAGGATTAAGAATCTCACTCAAAGCCGCTCAACTACATGGAAACTGAACAACCTGCTCCTGAATGACTACTGGGTACATAACGAAATGAAGGCAGAAATAAAGATGTTCTTTGAAACCAACGAGAACAAAGACACAACATACTAGAATCTCTGGGACACATTCAAAGCAGTGTGTAGAGGGAAATTTATAGCACTAAATGCCCACAAGAGAAAGCAGGAAAGATCCAAAATTGACACCCTAACATCACAATTAAAAGAACTAGAAAAGCAAGAGCAAACACATTCAAAAGCTACCAGAAGGCAAGAAATAACTAAAATCAGAGCAGAACTGAAGGAAATAGAGACACAAAAAACCCTTCAAAAAATTAATGAATCCAGGAGCTGGTTTTTTGAAAGGATCAACAAAATTGATAGACCACTAGCAAGACTAATAAAGAGAAAAAGAGAGAAGAATCAAATAGATGCAATAAAAAATGATAAAGAAGATATCACCACCGATCCCACAGAAATACAAACTACCATCAGAGAATACTACAAACACCTCTACTCAAATAAACTAGAAAATCTAGAAGAAATGGATAAATTCCTTGAAACATACACTCTCCCAAGACTAAACCAGGAAGAAATTGAGTCTCTGAATAGACGAATAAGAGGAGCTGAAATTGTGGCAATAATCAATAGCTTGCCAACCAAAAAGAGTCCAGGACCAGATGGATTCACAGCCGAATTCTACCAGAGGTACAAGGAGGAACTGGTACCATTCCTTCTGAAACTATTCCAATCAATAGAAAAAGAGGGAATCCTCCCTAACTCATTATATGAGGACAGCATCATCCTGATACCAAAGCCGGGCAGAGACACAACCAAAAAAGAGAATTTTAGACCAGTATCCTTGATGAACATTGATGCAAGAATCCTCAGTAAAATACTGGCAAACCGACTCCAGCAGCACATCAAAAAGCTTATCCACCATGATCAAGTGGGCTTCATCCCTGGGATGCAAGGCTGGTTCAATATACGCAAATCAATCAATGTAATCCAGCATATAAACAGAACCAAAGACAAAAACCACATGATTATCTCAATAGATGCAGAAAAGGCCTTTGACAAAATTCAACAGCCCTTCATGCTAAAAACTCTCAATAAATTAGGTATTGATGGGACGTATCTCAAAATAATAAGAGCTATCTATGACAAACCCACAGCCAATATCATACTGAATGGGCAAAAACTGGAAGCATTCCCTTTGAAAACTGGCACAAGACAGGGATGCCCTCTCTCACCACTCCTATTCAACATAGTGTTGGAAGTTCTGGCCAGGGCAATTAGGCAGGAGAAGGAAATAAAGGGTATTCAATTAGGAAAAGAGGAAGTCAAATTGTCCCTGTTTGCAGATGACATGATTGTATATCTAGAAAACCCCATTGTCTCAGCCCAAAATCTCCTTCAGCTGATAAGCAACTTCAGCAAAGTCTCAGGATACAAAATCAATGTACAAAAATCACAAGCATTCTTATACACCAACAACAGACAAACAGAGAGCCAAATCATGAGTGAACTCCCAGTCACAATTGCTTCAAAGAGAATAAAATACCTAGGAATCCACCTTACAAGGGATGTGAAGGACCTCTTCAAGGAGAACTACAAACCACTGCTCAAGGGAATAAAAGAGGATACAAACAAATGGAAGAACATTCCATGCTCATGGGTAGGAAGAATCAATATCATGAAAATGGCCATACTGCCCAAGGTAATTTACAGATTCAATGCCATCCCCATCAAGTTACCAATGACTTTCTTCACAGAATTGGAAAAAACTACTTTAAAGTTCATATGGAACCAAAAAAGAGCCCGCATCACCAAGTCAATCCTAAGCCAAAAGAACAAAGCTGGAGGCATCACACTACCTGACTTCAAACTATACTACAAGGCTACAGTAAGCAAAACAGCATGGTACTGGTACCAAAACAGAGATATAGATCAATGGAACAGAACAGAGCCCTCAGAAATAATGCCGCATATCTACAACTACCTGATCTTTGACAAACCTGAGAAAAACAAGTAATGGGGAAAGGATTCCCTATTTAATAAATGGTGCTGGGAAAACTGGCTAGCCATATGTAGAAAGCTCAAACTGGATCCCTTCCTTACACCTTATACAAAAATCAATTCAATATGGATTAGAGTCTTAAACGTTAGACCTAAAACCATAAAAACCCTGGAAGAAAACCTAGGCATTACCATTCAGGACATAGGCATGGGCAAGGACTTCATGTCTAAAACACCAAAAGCAATGGCAACCAAAGCCAAAATTGACAAATGGGATCTAATTAAACTAAAGAGCTTCTGCACAGCAGAAGAAACTACCATCAGAGTGAACAGGCAACCTACAAAATGGGAGAAAATTTTCACAACCTACTTATCTGACAAAGGGCTAATATCCAGAATCTACAATGAACTCAAACAAATTTACAAGAAAAAAACATACAACCCCATCAAAAAGTGGGCAAAGGATATGAACAGACACTTCTCAAAAGAAGACATTTATGCAGCCAAAAAACACATGAAAAAATGCTCACCATCACTGGCCATCAGAGAAATGCAAATCAAAACCACAATGAGATACCATCTCATACCAGTTAGAATGGCAATCATTAAAAAGTCAGGAAACAACAGGTGCTGGAGAAGATGTGGAGAAATAGGAACACTTTTACACTGTTGGTGGGACTGTAAACTAGTTCAACCATTGTGGAAGTCAGTGTGGCGATTCCTCAGGGATCAAGAACTAGAAATACCATTTGACCCAGCCATCCCATTACTGGGTATATACCCAAAGGACTATAAATCATGCTGCTATAAAGACACATGCACACGTATGTTTATTGCGGCATTATTCACAACAGCAAAGACTTGGAACCAACCCAAATGTCCACCAATGATCGACCAGATTAAGAAAATGTGGCACATATACACCATGGAATACTATGCAGCCATAAAAAAGGATGAGTTCATGTCCTTTGTAGGCACATGGATGAAATTGGAAATCATCATTCTCAGTAAACTATCGCAAGAACAAACAACCAAACACCGCATATTCTCACTCATAGGTGGGAATTGAACAATGAGAACACATGGACACAGGAAGGGGAACATCACACTCTGGGGACTGTTTTGGGGTGGGGGGAGGGGGGAGGGATAGCATTGGGATATATACCTAATGCTAGACGATGAGTTAGTGGGCACAGCACACCAGCATGGCACATGTATACATACGTAACTAACCTGCACAATGTGCACATGTACCCTAAAACTTAGAGTATAATAATGATAAATAAAATAAAAATAAATAAAAATAAAAAATAAAAATAAAAATACAAAAAAAAAAAAAGAAATCAGGCAGACTGGATCTGGAATCTGTTCTCTTAACCTCTCTCTCTGCTCACCGGTAGGTTATAGACCTAACATAAAGTAGTTGCTCAATAAATATTTGTTGAAAGTATAAATGAATAAACTAATTAATAAATACTTTATATGTGTCCCACTCTTAACTGGGGAAAATTGGGTGGGTAGATACAAAAGAACCCTAGTAGACTGTTCGCTGGCAGGAATGTGTTCTAGAGGATTGGGGAAAGAGAAACCCCCGAATAACTGTACGTGATTTATGATGAAAATCTTTCAAGTAGTGGAAAGTTATAAAATGCTAACCAAAAGATTAGTTATTTGGTTTATATGTTGATCACTGTGATCTTTCCCAATATTGACTGGGGTTTGTTGAGTGTCTGTAATCCCACAGGTGGATGTTCATGATCTGAAGTGACAATGGTATATTTGCTCAGCATTTCCTGTACCTGAAACAACCCTTGAAAACTGAAATAGAAAGAGCAAGTCAATGGTAATATCATCCAGCACTCTGCCAGGCTTATGGCGACCTTGCTTACCCGAAAGCAAATTACTTCCCTCTCATTTCTATATAATAAGTACTTTACGGCTTTGTGTTTTCATGCATTGAGATTTCCCTAGGAGTCTGAGAAGATGTCCAGGAATAAAAGAGGGAAGAACAATGATTAAACTATTTCTAGGACTTTAGACATTGGATTATATTCAGAAACCCATAATCAGACCGTTAATGAATGTCTTCGCATTCATTATCAGACTCTGAAAAAGCATATCCAGTCTCTCCATGGACTGGCCTTCACATATGCTTTGCTATCTGGTAGAAATATCTGCCCAAAAGATTATTTTTTATGGAAATAATAGTGCACATGCAGATTCTAGATATTATTTTCTATTTATCAACTGCATTCAGGCAGTGCTAAGTAGATGACTGATGCTGAAATTTTACTAGATAATCTTTGCTCTCTATTTTGTTATATGACACATGGGGCAAATACGTGAGATGAGCAATTAGTGAAATTCTGGAAGGGACAGATTTATGTCATACTATTGAAAGGGACAGGAAGTGGATTAAGTATGATATATATATAGTATGTGTGTGTGTGTAGGTGTGTGTGTGTACGTATAACAAGTTAGTTTCCTTTTCCTACCACTGAAATTGTTAAATGGAATGGTGACGTAGACACTTTACTTCTCTACTCCTGGACTTACTAGTAAAGAAGAAATATATAAAAGAGCAAGATAGTATTGATCTGGGGTGGTACTATGGTATGTATTAATACCATACCGTAATTCTATGATCTATTAATGTCACAACCAGCTACATTTAGCTGGCTTTTATATACGAATGTGCATAGTACTGTTTTGTATTAAATATCACCAGAAGATATTTGTCACATAAAAACAGTGAGATTAATGTTTATATATTTTGGCACTCATGCTAGAGTTGAATGAGGTTCTGTCTGTGGGGATAATTCTAGGTATCCTGGAAAACCTCCACATATACACCAAACCCAGAATCAATTCAGATAGGCATTACTGTTCGCAGTCATCTAATTTCAAGTTAGGGTAGTAGGATATGGATTGGGGGGCGTGATTCTTAGTGCCAGAGAAAGATTAAATTATTCATAGGGAAAGATATTCAGCCTAAGATGGATAAGACTGAAATCAGGTGCCTGGACTCTAGAGGATTGGGCTCTAACCGAAAAAAAAAAAAAAAAAAAAGGAGAATCCAGTAGGAATTCATTGAGTAAGCCAAGGTTACAATCTGCTGGACTTCAGAGGTAGAGTTCTAGATGCCCATTTTACCACCCTAGGTCAGAAGTGGGGAGCAGAGAGACAGAAGGCTATAAGTGAGGAGACAGTACTGAGACACTAAGTAGACATTCTAGCCAACTCTGTAGAGGATTCTCATGTTATGAGCTGAAGTAGAAAGGCTATGTTTGAAGATTCTGTCTGATTTTGGGCATCTTGGTTCTAGATCTATCATAGGTGCAGATTAAATTGTTTCCAGGCTGTACTTGATAGTTGGTAAGGATCAAACAATACCCTCACATAACTTGTCCTAGAACTGGTTGTGCTATGGCATCATTGTAGTCCCACATCCTAGCATGGAGCCTAAAAAAAAGTAGGTTCTTCATAAATAGCCAAGGAATGAATTAATGAGTGATGGGATGAGTGTGAGTGGAGAAATAAGCAAAATTCCTAGAAATATGGGGTGGGAGTATGGCAGACAAACGTTGGCATCATCCTTCAAGGACCAGATCAAAATGCCACATTTCCACTACAGCTTTCTCTGAGTTAATTACTTCTCTCCACTGTTACTATGGTGATGTATTTATTCTGCTTTAATAGCATTTATCAATCATTTTGTGGTTATATTTTATGATTTCTCTCTTCCTCCTAGACTATGAAATCCTTGACTGTAGAATTGTTGGTTTGTACCTACATTACTGCAGATAGTATCTGGCAAGGGCTGGGCTCTCAATAAATATTGACCAAATTGAGGCTGTAAAGATTCCAATGGACCAATATGGCTTGTGACCCATGCTTCATTTACCTAAATGAGGCCACAAGGCTCTGTGATCACGTGGCAGTCAAATAACAAAACTCTCCAAAATCAGGATTTCTTCTTCCATTCCTTCAGGTTCCCTCCCCCATGGGCATGGTTATCTCATCCTTTACCTCCTGGAAATTATATATTGGAGGTTGTCAGTGTGTGCTGTTCTGTATTGCCCTATAGTTAATGCACTTCTCTGACGTAGAGGACTGAGCTCTCTATAGAACTATGCAGTGTCAAGGACCCTCTGCCTTGACATAGATGCTTGGACCACACTGTTAGGTAACTGAGAAGACAAAGAATGTGGCTAGAGGCTAAAAGGGACAGAGCAGGAAAAGCATGAAGGGCATGAAGGAAGGAGCTTGAATTTTTTTCCCAATGTACTGGGGAGCCCAGGAGTGGCATCACTTTGTACTCCAGCAGTGACATTTTAATTTACAAGCCAAGAATGCACTGATCGCCAACTGCAAAAATTGATTTGGTTGTTCATCTGATTCAACCCATGTCAGAGTTTGAAAGTAATTATGATAGTGGGGCTGATAGGCAGGCAATTACATTTTTGTTCTCTTGCTTTCTGGCTCCTTCTCCCTCTCTTTCCCTTCCCACACCTCCACCTGCAAGGTTGTTCTTGTCAGGAAGGCAATGTAAGCAGGAGACGAGAGAGTAATCTTTGGAGATGTGGTATATGGACTCTTGTGGCAGAGGCTATAATAAATAATAGTATGGCTGGTTCTTTATCCTAATTTTTGTTAGCCTCTTATGAACTCTAACCAGATAAAAGATGCAAACTATTTTGTCTCCTTCTTTAAAGTACAAAATAGAAAAAGCACATGTACTGTAAGGCAGTTTCTGTTTCTGATTTAAATTTGAGTTGTCTTTGCAACATCTATAGATTCGGTGTCTTTCTAAAAAGGTTTGCTCCAAATCATAATACAAAAGGAACCTGGGATAGGGAGAGATTTAGGCAAAGCTAAAATCCATCTGAGTTGGGGAGCAGATTCCATGGGAGACTGAAAATGTGTTTCAAACTGTAGTGCAAGAAATTGAACAAAGTATTGGAATTTTTCTAAAAAAAAAAAAAGGTTCCTTTGCTGAAAGTAGTACCTGGCATGTAAACCTAAAGTAATATAGAAGATGAAGTGGAAAAGTATATCACAAGGCAAAAATTACTTTTTAGACTGATGAAGAGATGGATGGATGGATGTGAATTTTTTTTATCTATTTCTTATTTTGAAGGTTATTTATTTATTCACAAACACTGGAAAATTCAGTGTTTTTCACTGAGCAAAATAGCTTGTCTGGTCCAAAGCCAGTAAAATAAGAATTTTGTGGGTGGGGTATCTACTCCATTAGTATAGCAAATGTTGAGATATATAAATTATTTTAATATATTTATTTTATTGACAATATAAAAAAAAATTTAACAGGCTCCACACCAAGGTCAATAGAATTCAGAAGCACATCTGTCCTCCCAGGAAACTTGTGGTTTAACTATTTACTATAGCTACCTCAAGATTTTACAGAAAAAAAAAAAAATGAGACCTTCTCTTGAAAACTACCATATCCCAGATCTAGGCTTTTCTATGCACTGTAACTTCTCTATAAACCTCCTTTCTACTGACTGCCCCACTTCAATTTGGCACATACACCCTTTAACCAGTAAGCATGTGCATGTAGTCAGTGTGTCAGACAGGTTTGGCTGAATTGATATAAGACTGGTAGCATAGGCTGGGCGTGGTGGCTCACGCCTGTAATCCCAACACTTTGGGAGGCCGAGGCAGGTGGATCACGAGGTCAGGAGTTTGAGACCAGCCCGGCCAGCATGGTGAAACCCTGTCTCTACTAAAAATACAAAAAATTCACTGGGCATGGTGGTGCGCGCCTGTAATCCCAACTACTCAGGAGGCTGAGGCAGGAGAATCACTTGAACCCAGGAGGCGGAGGTTGCAGTGAGCTGAGATCATGCCACTGCACTCCAGCCTGGGCAATAGAGTGAGACTCTGTCTCAAAACAAAAAAACAAAACAAAACAAAACAAAAAAAGATGAGCAGCATGGAACATGATGTTGGCATGAGGCCCTACTACCCGGCAGCAGACTATCAGGGAATAAACTAGATAAACCTGGAAAATGTTTTAACTTCAGTTTATTTTATTCACATTAAGTAATGGAGTAGCATGTTGTTTGTTTGTTTGTTTGTTTTACCTCTAAACCTCCTGTATAGCCCCCTTTTAAAAGAAGGGCAGGGGAAGAGGCTTAAAATATGGTAGTATTGACTCCCAGGCCTGTTCAGTCTATACGAATTTTCAGGCTGTATAGTTTAAAAAAAACATTGTTCAATTTCTTATACGTTTTTACTAGTGATATTACTTTAGAAATGGGCCTCGAAAGACTCAGGTTACTTTTAGATTTGTTCAGGGTTTAAAGCTTCTTTTAGGCACTTCTTGGGCTTCTTCTACCTTTCACTGTAATATAGTGGTGAAGAGAAAGACTTTGGAATCTGATAGATTTGGGTCAGAATTGTAGTTTTGCCACTCATTACCTTTGGGTAACCAAGCTCTGTGAACCTCAGTCTCTTCTGCAAAACAGAAATGGTGACATATTTCCTAAGTCTCTTGGCAGGATTAAATGGAATACAGTGCACAAAATACTCAGCACAGTGCTTGGCACATAGTAAATGCCGAATTAATGGCAATGAATTGTTGTTGTTGTTGTTTTCTTTTTGAGACAGAGTTTTGCTTTTGTTGCCCAGGCTAGAGTGCAATGGCTCAATCTTGGCTCACCGCAACCTCTACCTCCTGGGTTCAAGTGATTCTCCTGCCTCAGCCTCTCGAGTAGCTGGGATTACAAACATGGGCCACCCATGCCCGGCTTTTTTGTATTTTTAGTAGAGACAGGGTTTCTCCATGTTGGTCAGGCTGGTCTCGAACTCCCGACCTCAGGTGATCCGCCCACCTCGGCCTCCCAAAGTGCTGGGATTACAGGCGTGAGCCACCATGCCCGGCCAATCAATTGTTATTGATTTATTACTGAGATTGCTTTAAATAAATTCATCCTTATTTCTGTTGTAGTCTTTACCTTGTCTCCAGATCTTTGGAAGTCTCAGGTTCATTTGTCTGGACTTTGGGGGTTTTGTTTAAAACTGCCTAGTCTCTGCAGCCACATCCTCCACCACTGTAGCACATGATCAAAAAACTTTTCTCTGAGGATACTGAGTATTTCTTAGACCTATGTCACTAGCTCCCTGGGAACTCTCTCTACCCCCATCCCATCAACTCTCTGACCACAAGTTTTCAAGGAATCTTCCTCATTATACTCATCTATCATTCTTGCAGTTTTCTGTCTCATCTTGAGCTGTTGGTCAAGAGTAGACCAGAGTATCCATTTCTCAACTCATTTCTTAATAAGGCAACACCATGTTCAATGGGCATTCATTGGGCCAGTTGAGGCTCCTCTGTAATTTTATTTTATTTTTTGAGACAGAGTCTTGCTCTGTTGTCCAGGCTGGAGTGCAGTGGTGCAATCTCAGCTTACAGCAACTTCCGCCTCCTAGGCTCAAGCAATTCTCCTGCCTCAGCCTCCCAAAGTTCTGGGATTACATGTGTGAGCCACCACGCCCACCCTTCTCTATAATTTAAATGTTATCTCTCTTTATAACATTTTCATAAGAGGATCCACAATTCTATTTTCCCATTCACTTATAAAGAACAAAAATATATCCCTAAGGTTCCACAAGTACCTCTGGCCTTTGGGGAAAAAAAAAAAATTCACAGATGCTTTTTTGAGGAGGTAATTATTTGTTTGTTGTGTCCTTGCTATTCATTTTGAGATAGATACTCAAGCTCTACACCTCTTAGCTTATATACCAGTTTCAAATTTATGTCTTTATTATTTATTATAAAATCTTTTACCAGCTGGGCATGGTGGCTCATGCCTGTAATCCCAGCACTTTGAGAGGCCGAGGCAGGCAGATCACAAGGTCAGGAGATCGAGACCATCCTGGCTAACACAGTGAAACCCGGTCTCTACTAAAAATACAAAAAAAAAACAAAATTAGCCAGGCGTGGTGGTGGGTGCCTGTAATCCCAGCTACTTAGGAGGCTGAGGCAGGAGAATGGTGTGAACCCGGGAGGCGGAGCTTGCAGTGAGTCGAGACTGCGCCACTGCACTCCAGCCTGGGCGACAGAGCGAGACTCTGTCCCTAAATAAATAAATAAATAATCTTTACCTTGAATATTGAGATGGGTTCAATACAATCTCAATTTAGAATACTTAAAAGATGAAAAGTTCCATAAAATAAATTTTCTAATCAACAGAAAACATTTTGTTAAGATGTTGCTGATGCAAATAATTCTAGCATGTATCACTGTTAGTTTTCTATCTTTGAAAACTATCATTCAACTACCATCGTAGTTACTAGACTTCCATTCAGGATCTTGCATGCCTAAGAGTCATTTCACTGCCAAAAATGAGGAAATATAGAAAACTGAGCTGTGTTTTTATCATCTACCATTTCAAAAAACCCTGTGGAAAAAATATTTCTTTTAGCAAATCTCAGACATTATCTTGACTTATATGTAAGATGTACCTCTCTCTTTAAATCCAAGTGCATTGAAACTTCTGGCTCATAAGGTAATTTTTTTTTTTAAATAATTAACTAAACCCTTAAAACTACATAGAAGTCTACTTTGTTTTATAAATTAACCCCATTATTTTAGGAATTAATATAGCTTTGTCTTGTGAGATGCTGAAGTTATTTTTCCTGGTTCTTAATATTCAGTCTTTCCGCTTATCTATTTAATTCCTGATCACTAGCCAAACTATATACTACAGTTTGGTTCATCCAATTTAAATAGCTGGCCTGTAACTAAGAAAAGAAAAATATATTTTGTGAAGAATAGGTATGAGGTAGAGAAATTAGTGGTAGTATGATACGGGAAAAGAGTAATGTCAAAATGCATGGTAATTTATGTGATATGCCGAGGACTGCAAGAAGTCAAGAAAGAAACATAACAAGCTAACAGCTGTCACCAACAAATAGCAATTAATTTCAGCATTCATTCCCTTGCTCATGCTTCATGAAAGTATATAGGTAAACAGGATTCGTATCATGTTCTATTTTCTTCTCTGGGCCTCAGGCTTCCAGCCCTCTGAGCTACTGTCTTATAACATTCTGAGGATGTAAGAAAGAACTTGATCCTGTTTTCTTTTTCAGTCTGGAGCAGAGACACGGTGAAGTTCAGTAAGGTCTGACACCCATTAGCATTTTGTGTGACTCAGGATACGAATCAAACCTACTGTTGTGGAAGCAGCTTTCCATATAAATCTAATTCCCACCAACTCCTGCCACCACCAAAGCTAATAGTCAAGTGCTTGTATTGCTGATAGCAAAGGTCCAAGATTATTCTTATTGTTTTACTGGGGCTACTTATCAAAATCTATTTACTTGTCTATTCTATGGATGGGGAGGTGGTAAAGAAAAGGCTTAAGTGTCCTACAGAGATTCATTCTATGCTGCCTCAAATGCTTTGAAGCAGTACAATTTCTCTTTTAACTGCCTCGATGTAGGTGAAGAGTCTTGCAGGATATGTTCACTGCTGAAGAGCAAGCCTGCCTCATTCATAACCACTAGTAGCTGACAACCTTTGGATTCTTTCCACAGCTTGAAAATTCCTCCATTCCTTGAAAGCACCCTGCACTAATGCTCGAAGTATTAAGTGTGTTTTTATTTCCTAGAAGGATGCATTTTACACAAGTCACTTAAAAGCTTCTGGAAGCTTTAATTACAGGTTGACTAATATTTAGAAGAATTGAAATACCCCTCTCTCTCCTCTGTGGTATGCATGAGCCAGATTCTGGTTCATTAACCAGAAGTCTATTACTTTTCCCCTATAGTTTCATGGAGTAAAATGGTAGATGCAAACCAAGAGAGGTCAAGGGACCTGAGCTTGGTTCTGTCTTTGTCACAACTAAGAGTCTGACCTTGGATGAGTCATGGTAAGACTCTGTGTCATATATAAAGAGTATTCTGAGAGTAAAACACGCATACAAATGAAAAGTATGGTTATTATGGTCTCTTGAATATTCTTAGATCAATTTCACCCATTGGATGGGGCTAGTATATGGTTGATGGATGGTATTTGTTTCATTTATCTGGCATGCATTTAAATCTTCAGGTGCATTAAACGAACAACACAAATTTGGTATATGATTTTCATGCTCTCTTGCATGATAGATATAAAATCTTAATCAGTGATTGTCTGGAAACCACAGTCTCCAAAATGCTGCCTAGGAGTGCTAAAGAGCTGTCAGATCTAACTTATATGAGTTGACAACATAGAGAAGAGAAAGAAGTTGAATTCAGTTAAACCTGGAAGGAGAAACCCATAGGGTGGAATTATCTGAATTTGAATTTTTCTGAGTTTTATTCCCCCCTACATTATGACACACTAATAAGTGGTCTACCTTGACCCAGAGATACGAATTTTGGCCTCATTTGTAGAATAGCACCTGGATTCAGGAATAACTCCTTGAAGTGTCCCCCTTAAATCTCTATGTGGCATTCAATGTTCACTTACTCATAGACCAAGGAGATAAGGACATTTATCTTCTCAGGTAAGGTCCCTCTGTTGAACACTGAAACAAAGGGGTTACATTACCACTGCCTATCTTTCAGAAAAATGACTGCTGTGATAGCATAAATGTCCCGAGAGCTTTGCTTTGATAGAAGTGTGTTTTTAATGATATGATTTTGGTGTCTGGCCCTCTGTGGATAGCTTGGCATGTGTCTTGTTCTATTTAAACAGCACTGACTGATAAAGTGGACGTTAATTGGCAGTTAGTGACGAGGCTGCAGGTCTTTGTTACCCAGCCTTTCAGCTAACTGATCATTAACTAGGAGGAAATGTGTGACCCAGAAGGTCATTACTGTTATTACGTGGGAAAATACATTTAAATGTTACAGATTGCTTTTTTATGAATCAGGTGAGCATTTTTAGAAAAGAGAGAGCTTGATTTACAATGGAGTCTGTTTTCAGTCCTGCTCTTTTCCTGTCCCTTTGAAGACTAAACGGTATATTTCTAGATTCCCATTGCTGTATTGCCTAGAACCTCACAATGTTGATATTGACTAAAAAACAGAAATTTCTTCAACTCCATTAAGAGCTTTTCCAAAATCTTAAAATTTCCAAATAAAATCCTTTCGTCTGGATGCCACTCACTTTAACAAGCTTTGAGTAACTTTTTTTAATGAAAATGTGATAGAAAGTAATGTAACTGCATATGTTTTATTATGTAAAATTCTGATAGTATCATGTATGTCTTTAGAATTTCCGTTGTCACACATTGTCTGTGCTTTGTAGGATTTTGCAGATTAAGCCTTAGCACTCATTTTGTGAGGACAGTGAATCCTAATTCCTCTTCTTCATTCTTTCTGTGACCTTTTTGATTTTGCCTCTTTAGTAATCTCCTCACTGCCCTTGTAATGCAAAAAATAAGAATAAAAATGGTCTGTTTGGGTGCTGTGAGTCTTGGCAATTAAAACTTCACATGAAATTTGTCTCCTGAGAGAAAATATTATTCTCCCTTTTAATAAAAGGATACAATTAAATACTCCCTGAAACCTCTCTCCTTCAAATATATTGTCTTATGTAAAAGATGGAAATGGAGCCTTGTTTAGCTGAAAAACTGAAGAGCCAAAAACATTTCTAACTATAAATTAGTTTATGCATATTAAATATCCCAGCCTTAGCTCTAATAAAAACAAAAAAAATGTGAAGCATGGTGTGCTCTGTGGTTATTAACCTGTTGTTGAAACCCTGACTTCAGTTCTAGGCCCTTAGCATGATTACTTCTTTCCTTCTTTGGGTTGCATGATGCTTCAAGGTCTAGAAATGCCAATGTCTTTCCCAAGGGGTTTTACCTTTTACCTCTGAAGATTGAAGAAAGCAACTGAGTTGTTCAGAAATCTCTTTAAATTAGATTTAAAAGGTACTGGGTTTATTTTTGCATGTCTTCTTTATTTTTTCCTCCAAAGATTAAGATTGTATTTTAGAAGGCTCTTTTGGCTCCTTTAAAAAGAAAGTTTATCCTTGTATCATATAGGACTGAAGGAGATAGGCTGCAGTTTGAAGGCAAGAGCATCTGATCTCCAAAGAATCAGAAAATCTCTTCTTTTGTTGCATTTGTAGGTACTTTTTGTTGTGTTGCTTTTTTTTTTTTTTTTTTTTTTTTAATACAGGTAAAGTTCAAACGAGCACAGCATGGTCCAAATGGTGTTTAAAGCTGTCTAAGTTTCCTTTATGTAACTTTCACTTCAACAAGTATGTTCCAGCTGGGAGTCTATCGGGCTGTTAAAATTAACTTTATTCTTCTTTTGTTATTCTCATGCACACACACATACACACATGCCTACATGCACATGTGCACACAGACACACAGGTGTGAACATGACCATTTAATCACATCCAGCAGGGCTGAATGTCACTCTGCGGGGCTTTATTGACTGTTGTACAGGCTAAACATTTCATTCAGTTGCAAGACAGAAAAACTCTGCAGGATGAATTTCAAAACAGAGAGCAGAATTGTTACCCACAGATAAGAATTCTTTGTAAGGCTTTCACCTTCTCATAAAAGTGTTAGTTAAGAAGAGGTGAAAACAGGTATTCCATTCATCTCTGAAGTGTATGCAGTAATGGCCTCATTCGGCTGAGATTTCCCAGCAGCAAAAAATGTGCTTGGCAGAACAGTTGCTCTAAATACCTGGGACATACATTCTTTCTAGGATTAAACAAATAATACTTGCTGCCCTTTGTATAAAAAGATCACTTTTCTGGTGCACCATTAGTGTACATTTGATTTGATTTGTTTGTTAAGCAGCAAAGGTGGGTTTCCCTGGAGCCACTTACACCTCCTCTCGGTCCTCTTTGCCTCTGGCTGTATATGCATGTTCATTCTACCACCTGATGACTTCATGCTTACTCTGTGTTCTAACTAAATCGAATGAGTCTCTTATTCCCATTCCTTCCTTTTTACTTTCCTGCCTCTAGGCATTAATTTGTGCCATTTACCTGGACTATCTGCTCCCACCTTTGACTATTAATATCCTATTTATTATTCTATCAAAGCCAAAGACCATCATCCCCATGAATTCCTCTGACATCCCACTCAGAATCTATCTCTCTTTCCTCAGAGCACAGTTTTTTTTCTTTTTACTATCATTTAAGGACAGTTAGGCCAAACACTTACCTACTTAATTATAAGCTTCTTGAGGATTTGGGCCACTTCATATGGCTTTTGGTTTTCCCCAAAGCATTAGCTCCAAAAAGAAAGGTTGAATGAATGATTGGTGAGTCATCAACCTTGGCATAGTTGGGACTACCCTTTGAGACCACTAACCAGAATTTTTCTCAATGAAATGAAATTTATTCCCCGACAAATTGACTGCACCATGTTAGTCTCCTTAACATCATCTGCTGAACCATCTCTTAAGAAACACTTTGATACTAGATGGTAAATAACCACTGTGTCAAGACCTCCAAGTGCCCTTTACCTCCAGGTCACCTGTGTTCCTGCAGCAAGACACACCTCTGTCCCCACCATGAGGCAGAATGAGGCTTGGGACAGATAAGACTTCCAGAACCCAGCTCCAGCACTGTGGCCACTGTCTGATTAATCAGTTCTTCTTCTGCACTGATAATTAAATACTCACTGTTAAATTTTATATTACCCTTGCTAGTATCATTGTTATAACCAATGTGACAGCCACAAAAGAGAATTAAAGCTATAGACTGTTTATGGACTGTCTTCACTTCAGCACAGCAGGGAAGAAACCAGGGATCTGAATAAGTACTAGGGATCCTTGCTCATTTTCCCAATTTGGCTACAAAAGTTAATGAAATTGGGGCCAACGCTTAAAATGCAGATATTGTTATGGATACATTTTATGATATAAATAGAGATACACTTGTTTCATGGAGGGGTAACTAGGGACTTAGATTTCATTTGGACCTATGTGTGCCGAGCAATTGGAAGCATATTAAAACTGTTTTATGTGTAAGCATTTATTGCTTTTGCCTATAAGATGTTGCTTATGTGGGAAATTAAGAGTCCAGTCCAATGTATTCCTGGGTATACAGCTTATGAAGGCATTTAAAACCTAAAGCATATTTATTCTGCATTTAAAAGTGTTTAGAGACTGCCTTGTGTGTTAATGTGTGCTGTGCGACTAGCACTATTTAAATCCTATCCCCCTGCATGCATTAATGTGTGCGTCGAAGGGAAGAAGAGCAAGGGATGATAAACTCTGTTAACTGCCCAATGTTCAACTAAGATTTATGTAAGAAAGAACAGTCTAGTGCATTAATGTGAATATTCTAAGATAGATGTTTATCTTAATGGACTCAGAGGTACTTACAAACAGCATAATTGCTGAAGTCATTTTACAGGGCATTTATTCAGAGTGATTACACTACTCTTACTTTTCTTTACATAAAGAATTCCACTTAAGGGTTTAAGTGAGACAGGCTAGTGTGGCCAAAGAATCATAGGTTCCTCCTATCTGCTGCTCAGCGCTAAGGCTATTTGAAAGGAGGAGAAGCAAAACCCCAAATCTCCATTTTGGCACTTTGCAAGAAATTGGTCCAAATGTTCAATCACTCCAGTTTTCAGATCTACATGATATTTGACTTACTTTAAACCTATAGTCCTGCAAATAAGAAATTTATCTCTCTGGTACATGGTTGTAGAATTCAAACATTAGTTGTTTATGGACTTTTATGGACCACTGAGGCATTTTCTGTCTTGAAAGCAAATGTACTCTTCCAGAGAAACTCCTGTTCTTTTTTTAAAGTTTTATTTTTAACTGACAAATTAATAATTGTATATATAGGTACGACGTGATGTTTCAATGTCTATATTCATTGTGGAATGATCAACCCAGGATAATTAACATACTCATCACCTCAAATTCTTTGTAGCAAGAACATTTACAATTTATTCTTTTACATGAATGAATTTTAAAATATATAATTTTGAAATAGGCAATTCATTATTAACTCTAGTCACCATGCTGTGTAATAGATCAGAATCTACTTCTCCTGTCTGAAACTTTGTAGTCTTCAACCAACATCTCCTCATTCCCCATTGACCTTTCCTTTCTCAGCCTCTGATAACCACCACTCTACTCTCTATTTCTGTGAGTTTGACTTTTTAGATTTCTACATACAGGTGAGATCATACGGGATTTGTCTCTCTGTGCCTGGCTTATTTCACTTAGCATAATGTCCTTTAGCTCCATCCACATTGTTCCAAGTAGCAGAATTTCCTGCTTTTTAAAGGCTGAATATTATTCCATTGTGTGTGTGTATATATATATCACATTTAAAAAATTTTATTCATCCATTAATGGAAAACCTTCATTCTTGAAAAAATAGCTTATAAAGCTATTTATGTCCCTGATACCTCCAAAGATCAGAATGAGTAATAATCTCACAAGGATGGGAAATACTTCCTCTCTTCCACCTTTTGCATGTCCATCCTTTGAACATGACTCCTGGTGTGTTAGTCTAGTCTGTTCTCATGCTGCTAATAAAGACATACCTGAGACTGGCTAATTTATAAAGGAAAGAGGTTTAATGGACTTCACAGCTCCACATGACTGGGGGGGCCTCACAATCATGGTGGAAGACAGAAGAAGAGCAAAGGCACATCTTACATGGTGGCAGGCAAGGGAGCATGTTCAGGGGAACTCCCCTTTATAAAACCATCCGATCTCATGAAACTTATTCACTACCACAAGAACAGCATGGGAAAAACCCACCCCCATGATTCAATTACTTCCCACCGGGTTCCCTCCCATGACACGTGGGGATTATCGCAATTCAAGGTGAGATTTGGGCAGGACACAGAGCCAAACCATATCACCCGTCTTACCCAATTCTGTTGAAATAAACAGACATTTCCTGAGTACCTGCTATCCATTCAAGTTTTTTCTATGAGCTAGGCTCTGGTCCAGGAGTATAGTAACCCTACGGGTGATTTCAGACCAATAATAAGTAACACTATTAAGAACACATCACAGAAGAGTAACATCTCTGACTCGCTGATATCCATTTCAAACCACATAACAATAGCATGAAGTAGATGTCACTGACTCAAATTAACAGAAGAGAAAACTAGGGTGCAGTGTTTGTGATTACCTTGGACTCTCACCATAATAGACTGAGCTCATGTTTTCTGACTCAAAACACAAAACTTTTCCCTTGATATAGTTGCCTCTAGAAGAAGTCCCTTGTCTCCCTCAAATAGCAATCAAGTAGAAGGGAAAATAGTGTAAGTCAATATATATTAAGTACTTTCAGTGTGATTCCAAGAAACTATTGAGTTGCGATGCTAAAGGGAGCATTTTATTTTTCAGCCTTGGGATCAGAAAAACATTACATAAAGAAGTGTTTGGGTTGGACCTTAAAAAAAGGTATACCATTTCAGCAGGTATAAATGGAATGAAATGCAAATAGAGTTGGGTAAGGAGCAGTATAAGCCAAAACATAAAGTTATGAACTTAATACCCTTGTTCAGAGAATTGAAAACATTTAATAGTCAGTATGTGGAGGCATTTATAGGGACAAATGGTAATGGAAGATGATACTACAAAATTACACTGGAGTCCAGAGGTGGAGGATCTTGAATTTTAATTTTTTTTAAGTCTAGACTTTTGATAGTGAGATAAATTTGAACCAACAGAGTGAAACATGAAAACTATATTTTTATCCTGGAAGTACTTTCTAGAGTTCATTAACAGGAGGAGGTAAGGGTAGACAGGGAGTCTGGGTAGGGAATTTTAGGATTCATCCACATAAGCAACCAGGGAAGTAGGAATGAAAACTGGAGTAACATTTTAGAGATGGCTTTGCAGGACTTGGTGCCTGGAGGTGTGACGGGGAGCAGGAAGGATTTGTTACAGGAAAGAGGTCCCGACTTAGACCCCAAGAGAGGGTTCTTGGATCTCACGCAAGAAAGAATTCAGGGTGAGTTCACAGGGTACAGTGAAAGCAAGTTTCTTAAGAAAGTAAAGGAATAAAAGATTGGCTACTTCATAGACAGAGCATCCCCAAGGGCTGCTAGTTGCTCATTTGTATGGTTCTTGATGATATGCTAAACAAGGGGTGGATTACTCATGCCTCCCCTTTTTAGACCTTATAGGGTAACTACTCTTGTCCCTTGATGATATGCTAAACAGGCCATGGCATTTGTGAACTGTTATGTCGCTAATGAGAGTGTAGCAGTGAGGATGACCAGAGGTCACTCTCATCGCCATCTTGGTTTTGATAGATTTTGGCTAGCTTCTTTACTGCAACCCGCTTTATCAGCAGGGTCTTTATGACCTGCATCTTGTGCTGACCTCCTATCTCATCCTGTGACTCAGAATACCTTAACTATCTGGGAATGCAGCCCAGTAGGTCTCAGCCTCATTTTACCCAGCTCCTATTCAAGATGGAGTTGCTCTGGTTCAAGCACCTCTGACAGATTTAAAGATGACCCTGAGAGTTTGGGCTTGTTCCTAGAGAGTAAGGACACCATAGACAGAGGCCAGGAAGGCAGCAGAGGGAGGAGTTAATCAATTCAGTCTGGGATATGCTGACTGCTCATGTTTCCAAGATATTTAATCAAAAATATTGTCCCTTATGTGTTAGTCTATGTTCTATTACTATAAAATAAACTTCTGAGACTAAATAATTTATAGAGAAAAGAGGTTTATTTGGCTCACAGTCTGTAGGCTGTACAAGCAGTGCCAGCATCTGCTTGGCTTCTGGTAAGGCCTCAAGAAGCTTTCACTCATGGTGAATGGCAAACAGGGAGCAGGCATGTCACATGGTGAGAGAGGGAGAGAGGGAGCAAGGGAGACAGGAGGAGGAGGCGCCACCCTTTTTTTTATTATTTAATTTTTTGAGAGGGTGGCACGATCATGGCTCACTGGAGCCTCAACCTCCCATGCTCGAGCAATCCTGCTGCCTTAGCTTCCTGAGTGGCTGGGACTACGGGCCTGCACCACCACACCTAATGTTTAATTTTTTTTTAATTTTTTGTTGAGATGGGATTTCATTATTTTCCCCAGGCTGGTCTCAAACTTCTGAGTTCAAGTAATCCTCCCTCCTTCATCCCCAAAAGTTCTGTAATTACAGGCGTGGGCCACTGTGTCTGGCCCAGGCTCTTTTTTTTTTTTTTTTTTTTTTTGAGACAGAGTCTCGCTCTGTCACCTAGGCTAGAGTGCAGTGGTGTGATCTCAGCTCACTGCAACCTCCGCCTCCCAGGTTCAAGCGATTCTCCTGCCTCAGCCACCCGAGTATCTGGGATTATAGATGCATGCCACCACACCTGGCTAATTTTTGTGTTTTTAGTAGAGGCAGGGTTTCACCATCTTGGCCAGGTGGGTCTTGAACTCCTGACCTCATGATCCACCCGCCTTGGCCTCCCGATCTTGTGATCCACCCGCCTTGACCTCCCAAAGTGCTGGGATTACAGGCATGAGCCACCTCACCCGGTCCAGCTCAGACTCTTTTAAACAACCAGATCTCATGTGAACTCATTACTATGGGGAGGGCACCAAGCCATTCATGAGGGATCCACCCCTCTGAGCCAAACACCTCCCACCAGCCCCACCTCCAACATTAGGGATTATATTTCAATATGAGATTTGGAGGGGACACACATCCAAGCTGTGGTGGGCATTGTAATCACGGTGGAGCTTTCCTCATCAGGCTGATACCCAAGTCCCACCCCTGGGTATTGCTAGAATGTCACCTGGTGACTAATGAGTGCCAAAGGAGGAGACCAATCCCGTGGCGCCCTTGCATCCTCTCTGCTTGTGGTTGCTCTCTCTGTATTGTTCTCTCTGTTATGATTGGCTCTAACTTCCATTAAGAGAAAACTTGACCTGCAGTGACTGAAGACAGGATACATTTTCTTAAACAAGAATTCCGAAGTTTAGAGAACATAAAACTGCTTAATTTGGCTCCTATAATAGGAGCCAAATTTTTATTTTATAATAAATAATTATAATAATAATTATATATTGTAATAATTATAATTAATTATATATTGTAATTATAATTAATTATATATTATAATAATTATAATTAATTATATATAATAAATTATTTTATTCTAATTTATTTTATAATTGTCAAGTTTAATATTTGACAATATCTGAGTCAGCTTCCCAGTTCTTTTCTTGGCTTTCCCCCCAACTTGCCACCTTATGGGCACAAGCTGATTGCTGCAGCTCCACATGTCCCGTGCAAACCCAAGGAAGAAGGGAAAGCAGTCAGACCAGCCAAGTCTTTTTCGTTTTATCAAGAATAGAACAAGCATTTCTAGAGCCTCTAGAGGATTTCCTTGTTTAGCTCTTTGTCCAGAGCTACCACATGGCCACTTTTAGTTGCAAAGGAGGCTTGGTTAGGCCGGTCACATTGCCAGCTCTCGCAAGGAGGAAGAGGGGAATGGATATTGACAATGTCTGCAATAGTCATCTTCCCTGCTACGCTGAAAGCACTTTAAAGGCAAGGACCAAGCTCCGTCAGGCCATACTTATGTCCGTGCTATGCCACACTTCTCACCTGGCACTTTGCTGGACATATGAAGACCTGAGATGAGAAGGGTTTGAGGAGACACTTCCTGCCCACTGTGCTAAGCACTTTCTTGTGTCTTTTGGGTTCTCTGAGCAGCTGTAGGAGTATAGAAGCCTCCAGATATACGTTAAACTCTTTTTCAGCACCTCTCAAAACAGAAAAAAAAAGCAAGAAAAAGACTACAAGCTGGGAGGAAATCTATGCTGCTGTAAAAATAGAATAGGGCTGGAGTGCATTCTTCAGTAATGAATGCATGAAAAGCAGCCTCTTCAATTATAAATGTGGCTTCTCTTGTTTGTTGCCCAGTAATTCTGTTTTATTGATTTCTGTTTACTTCCAATCACCTCAAATGAGACTGTGTTGCTTAGAGATCTTGATCCCTAAAAGTTTGTCATTAAAGCTACTCTGCTGTATTTAGTTATTTTTTGCTCAAAGCATTTGAATCAATATGTATACAAACGAAACACTTTTTCCTTTGCTCCCTAGAAGACTACAAGAAAAAAGAATCTAGAAAAACTAAATAAAGATGCTTAGATTTTTTTAAAAAAAGTCCCAGCAAATGACATATTGATTTCTTTCAAAGAGGCAGAGTGTAAATTAAAAATATTTTTCTGACACAGTTTTTAAAGATGCCACTGACTCAGCAGAGTTTGTGCTTATTGACTTTCTCTTCCTAGAGGGCCAGGGTGGAAAGGCCGCCCACTTTTCCTAAGATCAGCTGGCTTTCAAAATCCTTTGAGGGAAGTTAGCCTTAAAGCCAATGCGAGCAAAGGTTCTTGATTCCCTGTGATCAGGTCTGAGTTCCGGTTTTGTCATCTACCACATCACTTCTGTGTATAAAAAGGTGTTGTAATTTTTTTTTCCAGAAAATTATATGGTCATCATTCTTTTTCAAAGTGGTTGCATTAAAACCCAGAATTCTCAGAGGTGGAAATAAACAAAAGCTGCGCCCTTATTAGAGAATACTCTCTGGAATGTTATTAAATGGGTCTGGGCAGATAGAGAGGGGAGTTAGAGTGGGAGCATGTGCATTAAAAGAGCCACACCAATACAGGAATACTAGTGCTGTTTCCTCCTGGTACCTTTGAGAGAATAAAGCTAGTTTAGACCCACAGTCGGCCGGGCGCGGTGGCTCAAGCCTGTAATCCCAGCACTTTGGGAGGCCGAGGCGGGCGGATCACGAGGTCAGGAGATCGAGACCATCCTGGCTAACCCGGTGAAACACCATCTCTACTAAAAATACAAAAAAAAATCAGCCGGGCGCCCCAGCTATTCGGGAGCCTGAGGCAGGAGAATGGCGTGAACCCGGGAGGCGGAGCTTGCAGTGAGCCGAGATCAAGCCACTGCTCTCCAGCCTGGGCGACAGAGCGAGACTCCGTCTCAAAAAAACAAAAACAAAAACAAAAACAAAGACCCACAGTCATGAGGCTAGGAGGGAAGCACGAGGGACCTGGTTTCAGGAACATAATCTATTTGTCATAATTTGAGTTTCTGAAACCATGTCACACTCCTTTGGCCTGTTCAAAATCATTTTTCAGAACTGTTCTCAGGGTTAGCTATATAATTTGTGGAAACCAATGCAAAATAAAACTAAGGGCCCCCTTGCCCAAAAATCCAGAAAAAAAAGTGTTAAAAGTGCTAGAATAGAATTTCTTTTCTCTTTCTTCAATAGTCTATTTGTTATGTTTTTTATTTGCTATTGAATGACATTTAAGTAAATAAAAATGTAAATTAGCATGAATATTACCATTCGTCCTTATATTGTGTGCAATGCCAGTTTTAAATCCAGATATAAGAGCATTCAGCTCAAATGCAGAATCATTGAAATAACACAATTTGTATGTCATAGCCCATATATGCATGTGTCTTTTGTTCTTATTGGAAGAGTGGAAATGCCATCCAAAAGTAACTTACTGCTTTTTGTTTCACTTCTTGATGCATGCACATTCTACCAACGCTTTTTAACTTCAGCCTACCGATGCATCAGGTAGAACCAAAAACAAGAGGTCTCTTGCCCTGTGCAAGCCAAGCCTTTCTGATTAGCAATCCTAGAGAGAACAGGTGGCTCACGCCTGTAATCCCAGCACTTTGGGAGGATGAGGCAGGTGAATTACGAGGTCAGGAGTTTGAGACCAGCCTAGCCAACATGGTGAAACCCCGTCTCTACAAAAAATACAAAAAATTAGCAGGGCGTGGTGGCAGGCACCTGTAATCCCAGCTACTTGGGAGGCTGAGGCAGAAGAATTGCTTGAACCTGGGAGGCGGAGGTTGCAGTGAGCCAAGATGGTACCGCTGCACTCCAGCCTGGGCGACAGAGTGAGACTCTGTCTCAAAAACAAAAACAAACAAACAAACAAAAAAACAAAAAAAAAACAAGAAGAGGTCTCCGGGTTGCCCTATCTTTCCCTTTCATGTCATCGTCTTTACTGTAAATGGTTGGTTGATACAGAGACTTAAGAAAGGATGTGATAGGTTCTCCTGAATGCCATTGCCTTCTCTCTGTCTTCTAAGCAACTTCTGGTTCAAAGGGAGAGCATGAGCTCCTGGGGATGTCAGTGTTCCTACTCAGCCTGTAGATATAACATCCTTACCTATTATACAGAGGACACGATATAGAATCCGGAGAGAGGAAAAGCAAAGGAGGCCAGCTTTGGCCTGAGAACTTACCCTAGTCACTCTTGCCTAGAAGACAGTACCAACCTCCCAAGGAGAAACATTGGGGGATAAATTCAAATAAAGCTGTTTGATTCAGATTACTCCTATATGTAAGTGAATCCACAGGATCCTGTGCCATTGGGGCATCAGGAACACTATATGAGGATGAGCAGCAAGGAATGGAAGTGGACACACACATTGCATGTATCTCCTCTGCTTGCTTTCATGCCGCACTGTTCCACTGAACTTCACTTACAAAACACAAGTGCAAAGATAAATGATTAGGAATTTCAAGATGGTAAGAGCAGAGCATACAACCTAACAAAGGGTCTTTGTGAGCAAAAAACCCTGTGGATGACCTCATGGATCTCATGCCTGTGATTACACCTGCTACATTTCCAACACCCATTTTGACAGCAAATGAGTGTTGCTGTTTATGAACTGGAACGGGGAAAATTATTAGCCTCACTGTCTATCAGAAATGAGAAACAATTCATCTCATCTCTTTCCACATAGAAGTTCTGTTGTGTTTGCTTTTGTAAATTATTTTGAATCAATATCTAAGATGGGTTTATCTATTTACTACTAATTGCAGCCTGGGAATAAGGATGTGACTTCTGGGGTTGAGTGGGCCCATCTGGGTTTCTGAACTTCTCAATTTAATAGCACCTGAAGACATTCCCTACCTAGAGATTTTTTATATAAATCATAGAGCTTTATGGGAACCCATCCTCCCACATTTCTCTGTGGGAGGTTGGTATTTCCTTCTAGGCATGAATAGGGATAAATTCTCAATCGAAAGCTGACCTCCTCTGCATTTTTCCTCTACTGGGACTTCATACCATGTTCTCAAATTGACTCTCATTTTTCCTTCATAGTTCTGTCTCAAACTTACTGGCCACAGATCACTTGTAACTCCCTATTTTATTAAGTCCAGTTTCAAATACCAAAACTTGCTTTAACTTCTGCTATTGCTGTAACACCTGTCTCTGACTTTTCTAACATTATATTACATGGCTGAGTGGGATATACTTTTTTTTTCACAGTGTAATAAGGAAAAGATAGCCTTGTATTTCTAGAAGTTGTATTTTATATTCACTTCATTGCATTTGATTGTTCTGGATAAGTTTTCTGTGCCACATACTAAGTTTTGGGATGTACTAACATGCACTCTTTTCTTGTGTTTACATCTTCTTGAGCTTGCATCTCTTTCTTAGAGGGAAGGCATGAGGGAGGAAAATAAGAAGAAAGAAAGGGAAAAAGGGAGGGAAAAAAGTAGATTTGGTCTTTGGAGCTTCAGTTAAATTTCCCTTATAATGGTTAGACCCTAAATACTCAAAATGAGTATTTGTGGTGAAAACAAAAGAGCTGACAGTGGAAACACAGCCAAGCCTTTCTAATTAGCAATCCTAGAGAGGACAGCACCAATAAGAAAGAAGAGCAGCCATCAAAGCCAGGCCTTTATATGTATGTAATCAACAGGCATCTGATCTAGATTCTTAAAGATGGTGTGGTTTGGGTGGGTGATTTTATTTATTTTATTTTTCTGTCTCCTAAATAATATGTAATTTCTTCAGGCCAAGAAATAAATTGAAAGGATTTAGAGGGATTTGCTTATCAGTGGAACACCACGTAGCATTACATTCCTCCTGCTTTTGGGAAGGTACATTGAAGTTTGGTTAATCTTCTGTGGTTCAATACTCCTCTTCCCTCTGTCAGCCTGCCTTGAACAACAGATTAATCCCTTTTCCACCCACTCTCTTCTCCTTCCTCCCTCCCCTCTCTCTTGATCTACCCTTCCCTTTTTGAGCAAATAGAAGAAAAATCTTAAAAGTGGGGGGAAAAAAAAATTAAACTGCTGCACTACATTTATTTATATAATCCTAGAAGA
The DNA here is from genome assembly GCF_000001405.40 of Homo sapiens. Taxonomy (NCBI): domain Eukaryota; kingdom Metazoa; phylum Chordata; class Mammalia; order Primates; family Hominidae; genus Homo; species Homo sapiens. The sequence continues at coordinate 79,796,579 of NC_000014.9, forward strand.
CCTCAAGGGTAGAAATAAAGGATCCCAATCCTCGGCACAAAATTTGGCCAAGCTTAGCTTGGTTTTTCTACTGTTAATTAAATCTTGAGTCTGCAAAGGGATTTCCTTAAAGACTAATTCATTAGCAAAAGTTATTATAAGTCACGTCATTCTTTATCCTGCTCTAGTATATGCATTGTGGAAAAGAAGAAAAAGAATATGCTGGCTATTGAGGATGGGTAGAGGTTTTAGGGAGTGGGTGATACGATTTGCTTGAATTCCTATGTAGTCTGCTGTCTTTAGTGACAATGAATAATTACTGTTGGGTGACGCTTATGAGCCCAACACTAATTTTAAGATTTTATAGCTAATGATTTGGCAACTAATCAGTGTTTTCTGGTTTGACTTGGCTTAAATCTCAGTAGTCTATAAAGTCCATGAGGACAAGGACCAGGTCAGCCTGGTCCCAAGCACAGTGATTGACTGGCACATCATAGGCAATTAATAAACACTTGTCAAGGAAATTAGTGAGTGAATGAGTCAATGCAAATGTCAGTACAAATGTAAATAAAATCATATATTCAGAATATTTTTTTAATTCAGTTTTAGAGAGCTCTGTTCCAATAACCTAATTTTGGTCAGACAGAATGCAATATCTTTAGCTCAGGGTGATTCTCTTTAAAGCTATCTCATTTCATGGCTATATGAGCAAGTAAGTTATGCATGTAGTCATATCTTGGCAAGTGATTATCTTCAGGAGTAGGTAGAGGGAAGAGGGGAAAGTAATAGCTGGAAGAACCCATGGCATAAACCTTGTAAGACAGTTTTAAAATTCACAGGGTGTTGTTCCAATCGAAATACTTAAGCTCATAGACATAGGATACAAGGGTCACCTTAGATAGTATCTTAACAAGACTAGAATTCTGTCCCTTCACCTCCAACATTCAGGACCTGCTTCATGAGATGCCCCCATCTTTCACACCTGAGTATGACAAGTTAGAGTCATTTATGTTTCATTTGATCATAACAATGTCAGTGGCTTTCAAAGGTAACTATAAATGGGATGTTTAATCAGAATAAAATAAGAGTATAGGTATGACAGTCATACAATCTTACCACACTGTGAGGTTGTTTCTGTATTGGGCTTAAATTGAGTGAGTGAGAGGGATGGGGGAGAGAGGGAGATAATGGCTTCTAACAAGCTTGCCCAAGCTCTATGTTTTTTCTAGTTTTGATTACATATAAAAATCATTGGCAAGACATAGTGGCTCATGCCTGTAGTCCCAGCACTTTGGGAGCCCAAGGTGGGTGACTCGCTTCAGCCCAGGGGTTAGAGACCAGCCTCGGCAACATGGCAAAACCCTGTCTCTACAAAAAAATAAAAATAAATAAATTATTCAGGTGTGGTGGCGTGTACCTATAGTCCTAGATACCTAGGAGGCTGAGGCAAGAGGATCACTTAAGCCCAAGGAGGTCAAGGCTGCAGTGAGCCATGATTACGCCCCTGCACTCCAGCCTAGGTGACTGAGAGAGACCCTGTCTCAAGGAAAAAAAAAAAAAATCATCCAGTTGTATGTGTGGGTATTAGCACTGATCAAAGATGAGACTGTGATGGCCACAATTTAGTAAAGAAAATCTTAATAGATACATTTAAAAAAAAGGTCAAACTTTTCAAATCTCATTAAAGGTTATAGGTTTACTTAGAGTCAATAGGTATTAGGTAATTGAAAAACTCAGGCAGCTTGTATTTAAATAGAGAATGAACATTCATAATGAAGCTAGATGGGTCCTCTCTCATCTGAGATATTCAGAGCTCCAACTCCATCTCAGAATGAAGGTATAGAGGGGAAAGAACTAAAACAGCAAACATTTAAAGGAATTTAATTCTTTTTAGCGTGGAGCAGCTGCAGAGATGTATGGCTGTTTTCTGTGGGGCTTCAGAATATTTATGGGCCTTTCCCTTTTCCTTTTTCACCGGAAGAAAGGAGATCATCATTCTTGAGTGTGTTATTTATAATTTCATAAAGCTGTTCTGTGGCAGGACTTATTTTATCTCATACTAAATCTCAAATAACTGTGCTTCCAAGGAGATGGGTGGGGAAAATTGATTATCCCTCAAAATGATTAGCCTATTACCAGTGTAAGATAAAGAGCTGAAGGGTGGAATTTGAAGTTACAAAAGGCAGTTGGGCAGTAAGGAGGGGACAGAGTGAAACGGTCTTGAGCAGTTCTGATCACAGCTCACAGCAGTAGACACTTTTCTCATGCCCAATAATGGATTAATAACGAAGAACAGTGTAGAACCATTGCCAAGAAAGGGTAAAACCCTTCTGAGTACATAATTAGAAGCCAATGATTATAGAAGCAATAACTCACTGGAGGAAAATACGTCAGATTTGTGAAACTTAGGGAATTGGAAGGTAAATATACCCATAAATTTACTTGGGTGGACAGAGTTCTGAGCTTTCTTCTGTCCCAGCTTTATTCTAAGGTAATTTCAATAAACAATGTTAGGAGGAAAAAAAGAACATAAATGCAATAAAAAATCTTCCAGGAAAGGAATACATAGGGCTCCTGCCAGACAGATATTTTATTGAAAGTTATTATAATACCTATCTTTAGTTTTATGAGTCCTAACACAGAACAAAGTAATTTCAACACGTGGATTAAAAATATGAAATACATATTTTAACATGTAGTAGTATGAATTATTGTTTTAAATATAGGACTTGGCTAATATATAGGGGCAGAGGAATATTTTTCTCCCCTTGAGAAAGCAAGTTAAGGTGCTTAATATGCATTGTGAAACTGCATTGCAGTCATACTCATGCACTATGTTCTATAAACCATGTGTAGTAGCTTCCAACCAAATGGGACAGATGACACTGGTGAGATGCAGGGAGTGGAGAAAGGAGAGAAGTCTGATAGGGCAGGACATGAAATTCATGCTCAGTATCTAAGTTTTCAAGAACAACATAGCTCAAGTAGTGGTCACACTGTCATTCTAGTCCATCCCTTCCCTCCAGTCATCCTCTACTACTAGTGGGTGTATAAATAAACCGTGTTTTAGACCTCTAAGCCTTTGCAAATACTATTTCACCTGAAATGCCCTTCTCCTTCTCCAGCCCACCCGTCCTCACTTCCTTCCCCTGTCTCACCACTGCCTGTCCCTGAGGGCTCATTTCCCACATGCTCTCTGCCTTCTTGCTATTTCCTTCCTTCACACATTAATGCTTCCTCTTGTCAGAGCATTCGGTTTACTACATCAAGTTTGCCTGTTTACTTGCCTGTCTCATCAGACTGTGAATTCCCAGAGCAGAGGAACTGTGTCTTATCTATAGCTTTATCCCTTATAACTGTTAAAGTGCTTGACATATAGGTGTTTGAAAAAGATTCATTAAAGTAATGAATGAATGAAAAAAGCACCTTGATGACATATACCACTGACAGTAAATCTAACAGCCCAGCCACTGTGAAAATTATTTGGTGGGTGGTCATAGAGTTTTTAAAAAATGCTTCCTTGAATAACTTATAGAGAATATTGGTATTTGACATAGGGGAACCATCATACGTCAGCACTTTAAGCATAGCCATTGAAAGTTATGAGAGCTTTAGACAATCATTGTGAGGGGAAAAAATGTGAAGATGACATTGAACGCAACTTGATAAACATTCCCAACGTAACTATGAATAGAAGAGTTTCCTAAAGCAACACTGTTTCCTGGAGGAGCGTGGATGGTGGACAGTTAAAAATAACAATTCACTACAAGTGTTTATACCCTTGGTTACAGTGAATACTAAATTAATGTGAATTAACAGCTCAGCACAAAGCCTAAATGTAGCCAGTGTTTATTAAGTGGTAAATGTTATTAGTAGGCATGAGTCTAGATAGTCTAGATATCCATTTCTTTGCAGGCATACTAACTGCTCTTTCTTCTAAGTAATTAAAAGTAATTACAGACAATGGTTGTGATTATAGGAAAATACACAGACATGCAGCCTAAGGCTACCACATTTTATTAAAAGGCAGAGATCCACCAATTTGTTCTACTTATAGCAATTCTATTCTGAGTCTGAGTCTATCTGCAACATGAAACCTGTTTTACAAGCCATGGAAAGCAATCAAAGAAGTGTGCCTTTTCTTTCAAGGTTCAACATCAGATCCTGCATTTGCTTACATCTGAAAAAGAACACAGACTGAAAAAGCCAAAACAACAACAACAACAAAAAACTGCTAAAAGAAAGCCCTGGGTTTTCTGAAAGTATCTTTGAATCCAATTGCCATTAATTTAGGATATGATCTTAAGCCGCTCATATCATCCAAAAGCCTTGGTTTGTAATGTTTGGATTTTCTAGATGTTAGGGACAAAAGTAGTTTCAAAAAAGTCTAAGTGTAGCATTCCTAATTCTAAGCCTTTTTGCAAATTAAGGCCTCTGGCAGAGGAAGTCTTTCCATACTACACAGTGTTCTGTGGCAGGTGTGGCCAATGTTGCATGCCAGGTTCTTGAGGAAAACATTGGTTACCAAAACAGGCAAAGAGGGACTGAGATGTTTGTAACTGCTTTGGGAGTTTCAGTTGGCTGTACCTCTAAGTGGTAACGATGAGGTCTGAAAGACACAAAGGAAGGAACTGAATTCATATAAGACCCACACAGATTGTCTAGATTCACAGCCACTGAGAACAGATCACCTTTGAATGATTGTTTAAGCTCTTTATGAGTACATTTTTCTTTATCACTCCTCATGGCAGGTGCAACCAGAAATAGTATGTGTACCATAAAATGGAAGTAATGAATTGTCAGCAACAAAGAACACTTCTAATGTGGGGTAAATCGTAACAAATAGAGCACATAGGCAGATACCAAATTTATTTAAATTAGGAGTGGCTATCAGGCTTGGAATTACTTTGATTGAGAGGCTGATGTTGATTAATTGTGAAGTTAAACTATGATGTTGATTAATAGTGAAGTAACTAAGTGACGTGTGTGCACGCACACACACACATCCCAGGTCACTTTCTGAATCTACGTAGAGGAGTTGGGATTCACAGTTGTGCTATGTCTAGGGCCAGGCCCATTCTTACGACACACTGCTGGATCATTTCCCCTTCAAACTCCTTTGAGTCTGGGCACCATTGCTAGGAGCTACTGGTAAAATGTGGTTCTGTTGCCTGGGAAGAACACTGTATTCACATGTACTCATATAGAAGATCAACAGAAAACAAATCTTTGGGCAAAGTGGAGCGCAGAGAGGGTTAAAGGTGGAAAAAGGGGGTCAGAAGGTGAAAGATGATGTGTGGGGTCTGCAATGGGGATTAGGGGCCCATTCATGGGATGGAATTGGAGGTAGAGAAGGGGTGGGAGAGTGGGGCTGGGGATGGTGTCACCTAAACCACAGGGGAGAGAAACTTAGTAGTATGAGAGGAAGCCAAGGAAGCTGAGAGGAAGACAGTATCTTTTCAACCTCAGAGTCTACTCCTTTTTCTGAAAAAAAAAAAAAAAATTACATTTCTTCTTTTGGCCCATGCAAATGAAGAAGTCTCCTCTGAGTTAAAGATTCAACTAATATTATGTTAATGTATGTTTTGGTTTCTACTGAAGTTATGCATTGTTTTTTAAACATTTGTTCAATGGCCTTTAAACTTTATTGCCAGGCTTTCAGTTCTTGAAAGGAGCTCATTAGATTTTCATTAACTCACCAGCTTTCACTCAATACTAGGGACCAAAGTCCTACCGGGCCATTCTGCAAGGCCCTTACAGTCAAATCATTAATAATTTCCAGTTGAACACACTTCAGCAGTGTATTCTCAGCCTCTTTATTACCACCATCCTAAGGAGTTTTTTCAGATAAGTTTTCCCCCTAATTGCCCTTTTCCCACAACATTTCAATTCCAAAGATATACTACATATTCATTTATGTAACTGTGGCCTTTTGGAGGGTCACAAACCATTGTAATATTTAAGATTGTCCCTCAGCCCAAACCAAACTTTCCTGCCTTTGGTGGGAGACATTGCCCCTATAAAGAATGCATGCTTAAAAACTACTAAACAATGATTGTGGTCCTTCCAAAATAGTGTTTTCCTCTTATAATTGCCGTATTTATTTCAACAGTTAACTCTTTTCCCACTTACCAGCTCCTTTCCCTAAGTAACTAGAAGTAGAGCTATTATAGGGCCCCCTCTCAGCAGGAAACACCAAGGGAATATGCTTACCATGTCTCTAACACAAATAACAGCCCCCCAGGATGTAACTACCAGTTTCAGTTGCTGGAACTGAAATGAACAATTCAGTAGTGTGTGTTTTTTTTAAGTATGTTTAAAAATTCTTTTTTCGGTGTGGAGAAGGAGAGCATCAGGATAAACAGCTGATACACGCGGGGCTTAATACCTAGGTGATGGGCTGATAGGCGCAGCAAACCACCATCGCACCCATTTACCTATGTAACAAACCTGCACGTTTTGCACATGTATCCTGGAACTTTAATAAAATTAAAAAAATAAAAATTCTTTTTTTCTGCTAGCCTTGAGGAGCAAGGTTTGAATTATACCCCTTTCAGATGTAGAATAAAGATCAATATTGTTGTGTAGGGCACTTCTCTGCCATTGTTAATTAAATCAATGAATTATCTAATGTGGTTTTTCCAGTTCTTTGCTGTGTCCAGTAATTCCATACCTAGGATGTCTATTTAAAAAAAGGATGTTTTCTGGAACTCCTAAGTAGAAAGGCTGTCATATATATTCATTTATTAGGGTTGTCATAACAAAATATCCCAGACCAGGTGGCTTAGACAATAGAAATTTATTTCCTCGAAATTCTGGAGGCTAGAAGCCTGAAATCAAGGTGTCAGCAGAATTAGTGTCTTCTGAGAACTCTCCCCTTGGCTTGCAGATGACTATCTGCCAGCGTCTTTATATGGCCTTCCTCCCACTGGGTATGTCTGCGTCCTACTGTCCTCTTTTTAGAGGGACACAAGTCATATTGGATTAGGGCTCATCCTAATGCTTCATTTTAACTTCATTACCTCTTTAAGGCTTTGTATCAAATACAGTCACATTCTGAGGGGCTGGGGAGTAGGACTTCAACATATGAATTTTGAGGGGACATAATTCTGTCCATAATGTAAGACCAGGTATAAAGAAGCCTATTGCAAGCCACAAACACAGAATTTGACTAAGATGTATTTATTCAAATTCCCACTATGTGTTTTACTAGCTGTATGTCTTTCAGCAGCTCACTTAACCTAACTGCAATTCTAATTAGTCATGTAATAGTCATCCCTGTCCCAAAAGACGGTTGTGAGAATCACGTCTAATTAATAACTGTAACTAAAAAGTGTGTGTGTATATATATATATGTATATATATATATGTGTGTGTATATATATATGTATATATATATACATATATATGTATGTATGTATGTGTATATATATATGTATGTATGTATGTATATGTATGTCTAGGACAGCATCTGGCTTGTAGTAATTGCTCAATAGAAGGGGAGTGGTTTATTACCTCTTCCTCTTGAATTTGGATCCAGACTTTAGTACATTTGGGAATTGGAAGATCAACAAGTCAGTAAATATTGGTCACATGAAGAAGGGGAAATAAATGAGCATTATTGAACTATAATATATTGAGTCTTCTTATGCACATAGTAGGCCAAAAGTTTTGTTTTTTGCATAAGATCTGTAGATTCATTCATTCAATATTTATTGTGCATGCAATATGTACCAAATACAGAAAGCAGTCATCTCACCTACTGTATGGAGGGCTCTTCTCACAGCTGATACTCAGTCTCCTATATTTCTTGTAATAGATTCCCTGGGACTGGGGAGTTTCTGCGAGACTCAGAATTTAAAAGGTGCCTCAAGTCGAACTACTATTATTGCAGTCAGAACTGTTTTTGCTCTCTTCAGGAACAGCCTTACCTGTGTTCAGGGACTATTGTGTGGTATCATGCTACTGGTCTACATTACCAATTCAGCTATTGCAGCAATTACATGAAGGAATTCTTGCTAATGATAAAAGCCATTATGCAGTTCCTAAAGAGAATGCATTCCACAGCATTCATTAATTATGCCAGCCTGTAGATGCACAACTACCACGGCATACACTTGAGACCACACACCATAAGGATTGAAACTCTCTCAAAGCCACAATGTATGTCTGTGTTGCTTTGCACTCTTACATTGCCCATCCTTTACAACAGCCCTTCTCCTGTCCTTCTGATTCCTAAAACTCAAAACCAGAATGAAGTAAGGCTACAAAATGTCATTTATGGGGATGGGTGAGGCTTAAGTCTCCTGGAACCATCTTGGGTCACTCAGCTCTACGGAAGACCCCCCTAAGACGGTCTAGACCCAGAGTCATTCTCAGTCACACAGTAGTTAAGAATTCTTCATCCTACGGTATGCCCTCTCTAGAAAAATAATCGTAATGATGGGAGATGGGACACAGTGATAAATCTTTGATGTCTTTGTTCATTAGTTTCCTTATCTCTCTCTCTTCTCTCTCTTCCCCTACCCCATTATTTTCTCTTTGACATAAACAGCCAACATCAGATGATCTTGTTTCATCTGCTGAATGTTCAAGTGATGATGAAGACTTTGTTGAATGTGAGCCGAGTACAGGTAGGTCAGGTCAGTCTTATTTTGCTTGCTTTCTTTTTTCTTTTGCAAAAAACAATACATACATATATGTGATTATACATGTGTTTTATATATAGATTATAGTGTGTTAATGTGTGTATATTTTTATATCTATATATGTATAAGTATACATATATAAATATTATATCAATGAAAGCATCAAATCCCATGGAAAGAGCAATAAGATCCTACAAAAATTAAGTCAGTCTCTTGATAGCTAACAAAAAATCATGGTATATGACTTAACATTGGGCAAGCAGATGCCCAGACTTACCACTGGAGCAGCAAATGTGTAGGAGCCAGTGGCAGCTATGAAATTCACAGAGGGTGGGAACATGAGGAAATATATGTTGGAATGACATCAAGAAAGGATGAACCCATGGAGGAGCTTAAAGATTGGTAAGTGGAGCCATAAAGATTGGTAAATGACTTAAAACTCATGAATTATTCTGAGCTAAGAGAACCAAAAATATATGTATATATATATTTTCCATGGGATTTCAACAGCAGTTAACATGGTATTATCTTTGTACTAATTTTGTTAACTGTGTGTCTAGAAAACTTGTGCAACAATATAGTAAACACAAAATTAGTGCTGTACCATGCCGTGTCAACAGCTGTGATGCTTCAAAATGTATCTACTGTGCTGAAGTTGAGAAGACTTTAGCAATCAGAAGCTTCAATGTGTTCCCCATTTGGACCCAGATACATTTTGATGTTTTATGGTCTTTCTTTATAGTGAGCTACATATGACCTAATGTCCAGCAGGCAATTGCAGTCCCTGATTATTTCCTATCAACTTTTCCCAGTTGTCTGTTTTGAGACTTACTATAAGTTAAACGTTTATATGTATATAATAGAGAACAGATATCATCGAATTTCTGTGTATGTTTAATAGAATTAATAGCTGGAGTTGGGCCAGGATCTTATTTCTGTGAAGACTAAAATAAATAGAATTTTCTAGTTATTTTTTGCATTGCTTTCAGATTTTTTTCCTTTTAAGAAAAGGAAAGCCATTAAAAATTCTCTTTTGCTAATTCTAGAAAATTTAAGCTTCATGAAAAAATAATCTAATAAAAATAAAAACCTTCCATTTCTGACCCCTAAATGATTTACAAGATTTCAAATCTGTTGAAGCCTGACTGCTTTGGTTTCTTGCAAGTGGAATTGGATCCAGGAAGTTCTGTGGGTTCATACCCTTAGTATGACACAGGGACACATCATTAATATGATAGGGCTTCCATTCTGGAGTGTAATCTGTTCCATTGGGAGCTCAGCTGTGTGGAGGGAAAGTAAATGTGATCTGGTCAGGGCTTTCTTTTTCATATTTTTAGGTAATAATCTGTATGTGCTATGTGAGGTTTTAACCCTAAAAGGGCAGATACATCCGAACTATACCAGAACTTGGGTGCCATGTTTTCATTAATTTATTCATTCATTCATTCAATAAATATTTTTGAGCACTCAGGCAGGATACAATATATCTCTAGATTTGAGTCCTTCCTATTCTGTTTTTTTTTTTTAAGAAATTAGCTGTCAGAGAATAGAATAGTTTTGCTATCTAACTCCTCGCGTAATTCAATTCAACAGATATTTTTGAGAGTCAACTGTATATGTTAAGCATGTGCTAGATATTAAGGGTTCATATATTAATAGGTCACAATCCTCAATACGTACATTAAATTAGCTTGTTTTGTGGCAAACCCTTTAAGAAATCTAGGCTTTAATTTTATATATATATATATATATATATATTTTTTTTTTTTTTTTTTTTTTTTTTTTTTTTTGAGATAGGGTCTCACTCTGTCACCTAGGCTGGAGTGCAGTGGCGTGTTTATAGCTCGCTGCAGCCTTAAACTCCCGGGCTCAAGTGGTCCTCCTGCCTGAGCTTCCCAAGTAGCTAGAACTACATGCACCACTATGCCAGCTAATTTGTTTTATTTTGTGTACAAATGCGGTTCTCACCATGTTGCTCAGGCTGGTCTCGAGTTCCAGGCCTCAAGAAATCCTCTCGCTTTGACCTCCCAAATGTTTTTCTTCCTTTCTTAGCAGTGATATCTCTATATGCAGCAATGTTTATCAAATCTGTAGATTTTAAGGCTTATCAAAATTGAGGCTTGGTCATTCTGAAATATTATCACCATCTTTCCTCAACTACTCACCCTGCCTCAGAAAGTCATCTCCACAGCAACATTCATAATAAGGCAGTGGGCTTTTCCAGATCTCAGCTTCAGATTCTCTAGCTCTGTAGCTCCCCAGTTTATGGGTATATATTGCTATTTGTTATGAGACTTGAATAGCGTAAACCTGAATGGCCCCAAACTAAATCCATTTGTTTTCTAGAGGCCACGCAGGTATTTTCTCTGATTCAGAAGCAGAGGACAGAAATTCAACACCAACATTTCTTGAATAACATGGGGTGGGTGGGGAGATACAGTTTTTAGAACAATCTGTTGTGTTCTGTAAGGGAGCATGAGAGGAGATAAAGTGAGTGACAGAACCCCTACCTTTAAAGAGTGAACATGTAGCTCTAGGAGGCTGATATTGATTTCCTCCACCTGTGATTATTCAACTCATCACATTTGAAGAATGAGCATTGCATTTTTCTAATTTTATTTACTCCATAAAGTATTCCTGGTGAGTGATTTGGATATACAGGGAAATACGTCAGTGGTATATTTAATACAAGAAGTAGGTAGATATTCCTAGTAATGCAGAGAGAGAAGAGGTTTGCCCAGAGGACCTGATTTCCACTAATGGGGATTACCTGCTTAGAGCTATCAAGCCCTCTTTTTCATTACATAAGAAATATCTCCTCAGAAGTTCAAGACCAGCCTGGCCAAGAGGGTGAAACCCCGTCTCTACTAATAATACAAAAAATTAGCCAGGCGTGGTGGCAGGCGCCTGTAGTCCCAGCTACTCGGGAGGCTGAGGTAGAGAAGTGCTTGAACCCGGGAGGCAGAGGTTGCAGGGAGCCAAGATCATGCCACTGCTCTCCAGCTTGGGCAACAGAGTGAGACTCTCTCTCAATTAAAAAAAAAAAAAAAATATATATATATATATATATGTATGTATGTATGTATGTATCTCAGGCTTCACATTTTCCAAAAACAATACAGATTAAAATCAGAAATCAGTTTCTTGGGCAAGATTTGCACTGCCTAAAGAGAAGGGACCTACTGCCCATGCAGCAACAGATAATGGTGACATTTACACATCTTTGACATAAATTGCCAATCTTGCAATTCTACATTACCACTAAGATTAAAATTCTGGTTTTGAACACCCTAATTCACTGCCTCCATTTCTAAAACATTTTTCCAGGCCTTTTGCTTGATGGAAATACACTAAATTTGGCTAACTTCCTTGGCCTTGTTCTATCATACTTACTACTTTATCTTCTTTCACTTTGCCAGCGAGTTTATTATTTTCTAGCTGTCTCCGTTTATGAGGCATTTAACTTCTACAGGTTATTTCCTGATTAATTTACATCCATTTGAAGCTCTCACTTTTCATAAATTTGGGTAGTTTAGTGTGTGCTATAATTCAATTTTTATTTTCATATGAGCATCAAATTTTAAATGAAATAATTTATTTTTTCTTCAAATCACATTGGATTTTTAAACTGCTGGTTTTGAGTTAGTTATAAGCAATCGCCTTTCACTCTCAGAACTTACTTTTGTGCTTAAGGGTCACCACGGTTTGGTATAGCTTAATCTTATTATATTTAGGAACAAGGTAAATATTTTTGGAGTTTGGTCAATAGGAGTCTAGAAACCTTGCAAATCCAATGGAAGTCAAGTTTTCACGGTATATTTTTGCTGGTAAATATGTAGAGAAATTTAAAGAAATCCCAAATCATGAGAGCAAGGCATAAAGTAAAAGCTCAATTAGGATTTGTCGACTAAATTAGTTTGAAACAGAACTTTATATCTCTAACTTCATTTCCCCTTTAACAGCTAAAATTAAACCTATTGACTCATTTAAAATTTATGATTTCATATAATAGGGCTGCCCTGACAAAATCTATATTTTTAACAAATTTGTTTTAGAATTTTTATTTCTTTATTTTGAGACTGGGTAACAAGACTGGCTAACTTTTGTATTTTTGGTAGAGACAGGGTTTCGCCATGTTGGCCAGGCTGGTCTCAAACTCCTGGGCTCAAGTGATCCATCCACTTCAGTCTCCCAAAGTGCTGGGATTACAAGCATAAGCCACTGTGCCTGGCCAAAACCTACATTTTTTTTTAACAAAGTTATTCTCTGCTTTTTCCTATCCCTACCTTTTTCTGGGAACTAGATTATTTTATAAGTCACAGATACAATCACATTTTCTGAATATTTGCTTCAAGAACCCAGAATTGAACCTTTAAACAATAAAGTTATAATAAAACCATCTGCATCAAATGAAGATATTCAGAAGTGTATCTGAATAGCTATCTAGAGGCGAGGGTCTGGATTTTAACTCGATTTGTAAATGTTAATTGTGTTCTTCACAAAACAAATCAGTATCTAATACTTTAGATTCGTTCTTTGCATATAAACTGTTTCATTCCCAACTGCACTTCTATTAATCTTAAATTGTGCAGTAAATTCATATTTCATTGTCCTTTTTCTCTTTGAATCCAAGAAGAAAAACGGATGAGCTGGAGAGCATTCAAATAACCCCTAGGAAAAGGATACCCTCATGAGATTATGGAAGCCAAATAGCAATTAAGATCATTAGTAAATTCACATTTGTAATCTAAAATGTGGGAATGAATTCTGAAATTCAGAGAAAATAATACAATTCACTTCCCATTTCTTCTCTTTCCCTTACCCCTGCTGCTATCCCTAGAATTCCCATCTTTGGAAATAGAGTAATAGTGAAAACAAATGTATTCTTGGATGAGCTTTTGTATAATTAGATATGATCAACTTCCTGGATTTTACATTTTTATAGTTTCAAGATTCTAAAAGTCTTGGGGGCAGGAGGCCACAGAGCAGAGCGAAAAAAAAAAGTAATACTTTTATACCTAATAAGTGGGCATGGCAATACTTAACCACATTGATTCATCCAGTCGTTATCCAGGGGTATATTTTTCAGTTTGTCAAGTAGCTAGTTTTTCTGCCTTCACTTTTCTTAAATGTCCTTTGATCAAATCTCAAGGGACAGCACTTCCACCAGAGGGCAGACAGTAAAAGGAAGTGAAGATGAAACACATCCATCCATCAATAAGACTGTGCTAAGCAGCTTTCATAATGGTTGGGAAGGAGATGTTTAAACTAATGGCAGTAATATGAGATGACAAAATAATTGCTATTCCCAGAGTGGTTCTCAGGTATATTTTTACTCCTCAAATCTACAATATTCACATTTGCATTTCGGTGTTACTGCTACTTAGTTCCTCTTTGTTAGCCCTACTATAATATACAACCCAAGCTGAGTGAAATTTAAATTTGGCATAACACCAAGATCACATCTAGTATTTTCCAGGTGGAACTGGATTCTTAATCTTTATCAGTCTGAGATGCCTCGGGAAAGTATCATCTGAAAATCTGGCACTGAGTTACTAAAAGCTCACCAAATCATTTTACTTTTTATTTGCTGGAACATGGTAGAAAATGCAGCTGAAATGTTAATAGATAATAATAATTTTCCAGTGAAGGATCAAGAGAAGTTTATACCAGAATTTATAGATAACAAGTAAATGTGCTGATTGTTGGCCTTAAATATGATGTTTGAAATCTTATAGAGATACGTTTTGTCATTTGTGTCTTTGTCAAGTTTGAAGTTAGCAACCTGTATGTTTTTATTACAAATAAGTCAATTTTATTTAACTATTTATTCACTTTAGATTTTTCTATATGAAAACTCATTAGCAAATAGAATCATGTTAAAATTTCATTAGTCAATGGCTATTCAGAATATAGTACAAAAATAAATGTCCAAGTAAAATCTCATAGGAATGTTGGAGTATGACAGATCTATAAATTCAATGGTCTGTAAATGCTATAAATTCTGATAAAAGGCTCAGATCCACTTAAACACTTTGACCAAAGAGATAATGGAAATAATCTAAGATAAGCATTTTAGCTTTGGAAAGAGAACTGTATATCGATAGAAAATTACTTAATTTAATTCATTATTATTGGCTGTGGACATCAGTCATTTTAAAATTTGAGTTACAATACATGTCTAATGCTCACAAAAGCAAATAGTTGTTCACATACTTAGGTCTAGGCTAAATCATATCCATTTTTCAACCGCCTTCATTGATCTATAAATGAATATAGTATGTTCATGGGAGTATAATGTTCCAGATTAATGATACAGTTTTTGTCTTTGTTAACCCACCAAGTTATTTCACTTTCTTTTCTTTTTTCTTTTTTCTTTTTTTTTTTTTTTTTTGAGATGGAGTGTCACTCTGTCGCCCAGGCTGGAGTGCAATGGCATGATCTCGGCTCACTGCAAGCTCCGCCTCGTGGGTTCACGCCATTGTCCTGCCTCAGTCTCCTGAGTAGCTGGGACTACAGACGCCCGCCACCACGCCCGGCTAATTTTTTTCTATTTTTAGTAGAGACGGGTTTTCACCATGTTAGCCAGGATGGTCTCAATCTCCTGACCTCGTGATCCACCCACCTCAGCCTCCCACAGTGCTGGGATTACAGCCGTGAGCCACCGCGCCCGGCCAGTTATGTCACTTTTTTATAACAGCCCCAACCCAACCCAAGTTATTTTTTAAACCATTGCAGTAACTATGTGCTTTTAAAATCCTTAATGGTGAAATGCTTTGAAAATTAGGGTAAGAACAGAAATATAAGAATAGGAAAGATCTACTAATTAGCTCTTGCACTTTAGGCTGAGGAATAGTGTGCATAATATATGTGGCCCATAGATCGACTATTGTGGATTTCATAACAAATATATTTAATAATAAAAAAATGAAAAAAATTCTATCCAACTCCATTACCCAAGATTTTTTAGTAGGTTGGAGAGCGAGGCAGGGGAATCCATAAAATCAATGTATGAGTGTATATACTTCTATCTGAAAGTTTGATAAATCTCTTCTATATGTAACACTTTTGAGTAACTATTACATGTAGGCACTAGAATAGGTGCTGGGAAAACAAAAGTATTTTGCTTCAGAAATATCGCTTCCAGAAGTTCAGTTTATTAGGAAAGGCAGATATAATAAGAGGAATAAAAGGAAGGGAAGAAACAATGAGGACAATGAATGGAAATGCCCACGATATTATCAGCACCCTAAGGATGTTGGAGCACTCCAATTCAGTGAACAGCATACCTTATCAGGGATATGCAAGAAAAAAAAAATCACACAAGATGATGCCAAGCAGTGACAGATTCAACTAACCCCAAGGAGCATTCTTCTGTATTTTAGTTTGGTGACACAGAATTCTCATTTATTACGATTGAAGAATTAGTACAGTTCAGTAAAGTAAAAAAGCAACACTCTTTTGGAATTAGTACAGCTCAGTAAAGAAAAAAAGCAACACTCTTTTGGGGACTTCACATATACAGTATGGTCAAAGGCCACACCGTTTTTAGGTAATAGGGTAAAGGATGGACATGTTGAAGGGAGAATTTCAATCTGAACTCATGAGAACTTCCTGATTCCAAATGCCAATGCAAGTGGTACATAAGGAGTGAGCTTAATGACATCATTAAGCAAGTCCCCCAAAAATAAATAAAGAGGGATTGGGTTTTAAAAGAGAAGTTTTTATGGGATTTATTCTTTTTATTCTACATTTTTCTTCCATAAGCCCCAAGTATATGTACTGTGTGTATATATATATATATGATATGCACATATGCAAATAATATACTGCCTGTCACTCCATATATATGTAGACACAGTATAAGTGATATTAGACTAATGTAACCAGAGATTAACAGCCCCTACCATCAGTCATGTGTTTACACAGAAATTCACACCATCATTCTTAACCAGCATCAGCCAACATAGACATGCATGATACTGTTTTAACTTGGCAAACAAAGCATGTTGATTTTTCTTTAAGATTTCTTTATCATAATTATAATGCTGACTCCATAATTCAGTTATCCTTGGGAGGGGTGGAAAGAAAAAATTATACAGATATATCTATCCGTATATGCACATTCCTGTGTATATATATAAATAGATATATACCTTGTATATATTTGAAGAACATTTTGTTGTTTCACCTCATCTTGTGCCGCATGAATTTTTGGTGGTTCAATTTATTTTGTTTTCATATTTACTATTTTGATCATTATGGCTATTTTTAACTCATTGCTATACTTTTATGAGTAACTATAATCATTATTTTCAAATACTGAGAGATATATAGATATACAAATCAAACAAGGCAAAAAAATCTTTTCTTGCCATCCTAATCTCAAATTCCTCCCCTTTCAGCATATCCCTCCAGTATTTATCTCAAAACAAAACAAACCCCAACGAAATCCAAGAAAGTTGTGTACAAAAGAATGAATACTGTGTTTTCCTCTTCCTCCTTCTATGCATATTTTTCCTTTTAATTTCCGTTTCTTTCCTTTTGATTTACCCCCATATCTGCATGGACCACTTGCCTTTACTTTCCCCTTTATGACAATGTAATTAATTGAAAAGATAAGAGTCAGAAAAAAATAAAAGAAAAACACATAGAAATGACAGAGAAACACACCCCTCTCCACAAATTTCAGATGGCATAAAAAGAATTTTATTGCAGATATAGAATATTTGTTGTATCTTTTATTTCTGTCTGGACAAGCCCAGGATCATTGTGTGGCATGCCGTGACAAGTTTTGTAGCGCATCAACTAACCATGGCCTCCATCACAAGTGCATGACACCATCTTGTGTTTCATCCAAGTGACACATCTAGGCTAACCCAGCAAGTCCAGTGTATGAGTTGTGGGAATTACATTCTTTTGTAGTTATAATTTCATGGGTCCTTGTTTTTATTATTATTTCCATTGGATCATGACAGCCCTAAGAGCTGCTCTCGCAGCATCTCTGTATGGTTTTGTTCTTGTGTTTTCTTTTCTTGGCACAGCAGTCAAGCATGTGTCTCTTGTTTGGCACATCTGTCTTGCCATCTTGTCTTGTCCACTGTCGTGGTGTTGTTCTGTGATTCTGTTCTCTGTAAGATGTGATTTGAAATCCTCTGCCTTTATTTCTCACTCTCCTATTGTCTCTACTTTTAACCTTACCCCTAGGGAACTTCACAAAGAAGCAAAACAAACTTTCAGTCACATTATAAGGCTGATCACTGGTTTGCATCTGGAAGTCATAAGTTGTACTTTTTACCTGACTTAAGGAGGAAAAACTTACAGTGGGAAACTACTGATAATTATACTCAAACAGCAAACTGATCAACGACAATAAGAAACCCTTGTTGATTATTTTTGGTATGATTAAATGGGCTTACTGTTAAAGGGACTTCATGTAAGATCTTATTTCCAAAGAGTTTTTTTCATAAATTATCAGTCTTCTAGTCAGAAACTTTTCTTCAGGAGCAGATCAACGGAAGATGTTTTTCGGGAATTGTTAGTGAGGGAGCATCATTTCTGCTGTGTAGAACAGTGCCTGTTCCTGAATTGGGGAGGAACTTTATGGAAATCTGCAAATGTTTTATTACAAAATGCATTTATGTTTATGTATTAAAATATAAATGTGTTCAGCAAGGCATCTGAGGATGGGAAAAAAAAACTTTTTAACTCACTGGTTCCACCTCATGCATATTTTGAGGTAAGATTATCTTTTGATCTTTCTGAGTCAACTGATATACATTTTACTTTTTTATTTTTTAATTCATGGAAGCATTAGAGAGCCAACACTTCAACTTTGACCTAAATTCATTCTTTTCCCATTCCAGAGAACACGACATACATAATAGCTTTAGTTCTGAGAATAGAGTCTGAATTTGAGACAAACGTAGAAGGAAGTGCCCAGTTAATTATCCAAATGTTGGACTCTACCTGTGATTATCCAGGCGATTTGATGCTTTACTTGGAAGGATTTGATTAGTTGGATACGAACAGCATGAAAATGACACTTTGTAACAACTTTCCCTCTTTAAGGGTTGAGCACGAGAATATCAAATAGGTATAAAAATGAGTAATAGGTGATATATTAATAGATTAAAGATTATTCAATAGGCCTAAAGATTTCAGATGAAAAATCTGTATTTGTAATCTGAAAAAGAGAAAGCATATCCAGACCTGTGGTTTTCTGATGAGATCTTTCAGTCAGGCCAGGGTAGCTATTGGTTTTTCTTAAGGGTAAGGGGAAAAAGGCCAAGGATGAGGAACTGGATGGCTCTGTGGACTAAGAACAACTTTCTGATGAAAGAAGGAAGGGAAACAAGAAAGGCGAAGAAAGAGGAGGAGGGAAATGTAAAAGAAAGGAAGGAGGAAAGGAAGAGATATTGATTATGAGCCAGGTAAAGCTGCTTGCTGATAAATATTTTAAAACCAGCACACACACAGAGCTCTAATTTGCAGTTTTCCAGTTTCTGTATGGTGTAAAATATTCCCACCATGGCTGATTTCTAGCTACCAATATGACAGCCCTAAACTCAGAATTGGGAAGTGTCCTTGCTCGTACACAATTATATGGCTTTTTCATCATACGTACACTATAGACGTCAAGAACCTCATAGATAATAGTAAAATTTAGTAAAATAATTAGGAAGTACCGAGTTTTAAGTTTTTAATTACCTGTTTTTAATATACTTGTAACTTTATATATATATTAACTTTTGAAAATGGCCATGTTTTAACAACCAGCTTACAAATTTCCTAGAAATTTTGCAATCAGTTGTCATAAACTGGCTCAAGCACACCACTAGCCCAGGTACTATACTGGGTACATGAAAACATAGTATTTTATTTAAATCTCATTTTAAGTTATTGTGAGATAAAAACTAGCTTGGTCATCTTACAGTTGAGAAAATTGGGATTTTAAGTTTGCTTGTTCAAGGTCACATACCTGCACATAAATGGTAGAGGTAATATTCAAGTCCAAATCTGTTTGAAAATAGACATTTTCTTTATATTACAGTGTGCCAGTCATTCTTTCAACACTTCTCAAAGTACTAAGTTATCGAATTTTGACACGCTCCTTTGTGGAGCTTAGCATGACTCGGGTTTCCCTATTGCCTCAAGGAGGTCCTTGGCTTTAACTGTCTTAGATAAAATGGAGTTTAAATGTATTATGGTTGTGTCAATGGCAAAATGAAGACAGTGAAGCAAAATTAGAACTCCTGATTACTCTGTTTGTAAATGCCACCAAAGTTATGACCATGTCTTCATGAGAATGTCCACTTTGACTAATTTTGTTTCCTCCAAATATTCCTCTTTTACTAACATTGACAATGAACAGGATATTTCTTAGGTTTTCATATTCTGTCCCTTGAGCTTTGGAAAGACTATCCCAGATACATTTTCTGAGCACATAGAATCTATAGCATGATCCCATTACATAGTTAGGTTTTATAACTTTTAAACTCTAATGAATTTTATTTAGTTACAGTATGTAATGCATGTTAATTAACCAACTGCACAGTGAAATATGTCAATGTCCTTTGCTTCCACATTTTCTAATAGAGTAAGCTAGTATATTAACATTTAAAACAGCATGAGAACCATAGTACTGCAGAAAGCAACTGCAGTTTTTAAAAAGATGATTTTATTGTAAGATACTTAATCATTGCTCTGTAAAAGAGTTTGAGAGGCCTGGGAATTAAAAAGGAAAGTGTTGCAGCTTTTTAGTCCTTCTAATTTGACAAGATAGATAATTTGATTGGGTTTCTGATAGTGCAGTATTTTGCTTTAATTTGGTGTGAAGTTTAGTTGCCCCCATAATTATTATTATTTTTTTTTGGTCACTCTGTCACCCATGCTGGAATTTAGTGGCATGATCTCAGCTCACTACAACCTCCACCTCCCGGATTCAAGCAATTCTCCTGCCTCAGCCTCCTGAGTATCTGGGACTACAGGCGTGTGCCACCATACCCAGCTAATTTTTGTATTTTTAGTAGAGACGGGGTTTTACCATGTTGGCCAGGCTGGTCTTGAACTCCTGGCCTCAAGTGATCTGCCTGCCTTGGCCTCCCGAAGTTCTGGGATTACAGGTATGAGCCACCGTTCCGGGCCTCCCTATATAGTAAACTTTCGATGGCAGCATACACAACATTGAATAAAGTCCTTTGAAGTGACTTCTAGGCTTTCTCCTATAGGTTTGCCACTGCTACAACTTTGTTTCATCATTCAGTGAATATTAGCACTTCCTTTAGTGAAATATAGTCTTAAGTACTTCACATTGTTAACTACTTTAATCCTCACAGCAATCATGTGAGAGTCTATTCTTATTATCTCCATTTTAAAGATAAGTAAATGGAGGCACAGAGGAGCTAAGCAAATTATCAAGGTCACACAGCAAGGAAGTAGAAGAAATGGGATCTGAACCCAAGCCAACTGCCCCCAGCGTGGACACCCATCACTATGCTATCCTGTCTCTTACGTAGCGCTTATTTTCCATTAACCTAAATATACGAAATAGCTGCCGGCCTCCTTGATAATAAAAGAAAGTCTGTGTATTGAATGTATTACATGGTTGGGAAGTAGTTGATAAATGGGTTAGTTATTATGTATCAAAAAGGCTTTAACAATCTTGGTTGATGGGGGTTATAAAATTGTTCCATTATGATTTATTCAAATAACCGTGGTTAAAACAAGTTACCCTGGTTTCCCATAAGGAGGAATGACTCCAATATTGGAGAGAAATACCAACACTTATGTGAGGTGAGTCTCCCTTGATGTCACCTATGCAATAATATGTGCACTTGGGTTTTTTTTTTTTTTTTTTTTTTTTTTTGAGACGGAGTCTCGCTGTCACCCAGGCTGGAGTGCAGTGGCGCGATCTCGGCTCACTGCAAGCTCCGCCTCCCGGGTTCACGCCATTCTCCTGCCTCAGCCTCCCGAGTAGCTGGGACTACAGGTGCCCGCCACCACGCCTGGCTAATTTTTTGTGTTTTTAGTAGAGACGGGGTTTCACCGTGGTAGCCAGGATGGTCATGATCTCCTGACCTCGTGATCCGCCCGCCTCGGCCTCCCAAAGTGCTGGGATTACAGGCGTGAGCCACCGCGCCCGGCCGCACTTGGGGTTTCTAGCTCATTATTCATGATCAATTCTGTTCAAAACATATGCCCAGACAACAGCCACCTTTAACTGATGTTAGGAATCTAAGGATAGAGGCTCTTAGCGAGAGCTTGGGTTAAGATACTGCATTTTCTTTATTTCAGAAATAAATATGTTCCTTAGAACACAGTGATTTAGGTGTTACAGCTAAAAGAAAGCAAAAAACAACAACAACAACAAAACGAACTTGTATTTCTTATCTTAGACCCTTTCTGACACCCACATGCTCTTGACATCTCTTAAAGTTGTAACTATTTGTTTATCCTCCCTTTTTCCTCACTTCCTTGCATTATGCATCCAAAACTATTTTAAAAGCCAAAACACACACACACTTTTTGTGGGTCTTTGAGTTTCCTATGCAAGAAAAGAATCTTAAAATGAGTTATAAAGAACTAAAAATCACAATTAAAAAGGAAACATAATTTTAAAACTGTGTTTGCTTGTATTATAATCCTTATTCCAAGGCAAGTATGGCCTGCACAAACATCTGAGGATTCCATTACAAATTATATCAGTCTCAACCCATCCCGAATCCAGATCATAAACTCATAAACTGGAAAATGTGTATAGTTGAAAATGTTTGCATACCCTCTGTCCTAGAGCAGTGCTTCCATCTTAGCTTTGAAGCACAGAGACCTCCTCTTACTAAAAGATCATGAAAACTGGCAATACTGTATTGCCCAGTGTTAAAATTTGTCAGATTAATTACCCAGAGCCAAAGTTAGCAAACTTTTTTTCTGTAAGGGCTGGGGTGTAAGTATTTTACACTTTGAGCGTCTTACAGTCCCTGCCCTATCTCCTCAATCAGCTCTTATAATGACACATAGCAGCCATGGAAACAAATAAATGAGCAGGGCTGTGTTTTCATGAAAGTTGATTTCCAAAAGCAGAGATGGAGCTGGATTTGGCTCAGAGGTCATAGTTTACCCCAATCTAGAGAAGTCCCATAGGTTAAAAATGTGTAGTCTTTTTTTTTGTTTTTAATAGATAAGACCTTCTTGCCCATTTTATAGTCGTTCCCAACATTTGTTGAGTTCTCCACTAAGTACATGAGACCACATAGGATACAACAGGACATTAAAAGCTTTTTTTTTTTTTTTTTTTTGAGACGGAGTCTTTTTCTGTCACCCAAGCTGGAGGGCAGTGGCACAATCTCGGCTCACTACAACCTCCGCCTCCCAGGTTCAGGCAATTCTCCTGCCTCAACCGCCTGAGTAGCTGGGACTAAAGGCGTGAGCCACCACGCCCAGCTAATTTTTGTGTTTTTAGTAGAGACGGGGTTTCACCATGTTGGCCAGACTGGTCTCGAACTCCTGACCTCGTGATTTGCCCCCCTCGGCCTCCCAAAGTGCTGGGATTACAGGCATCAGCCACCGCACCCGGCCCTAAAAGTTCATCTTTAAGGACATTTCCCACCTTTGTTTTAGATATGCCACTATCTCAGACATGAAACACAATAACAAACTAAACCAGGGTCATCTCCACCCAGCTTGTACACTACATATTTGGGTAGGAGCTTAACGTCTTGCCCTTCGCTTTGCCAGTGTGTCTTCTGAGCTCCCCACCTCTGCTAGGTGTGGGCTGCATTCACCCCCAATTTTAGACCTCTTTGGCAGTAGCTTCCTTGATCTCCCGCCCACATACTGTGTCATATCCCAGTAATTCTTCCCCAAACCTTGGCTATGGGTTATTGAGCTGACAAATGTCTAAATGACTGAGATACGATTTCACAACCTGCTGAGAGCCTCTTCTTTCCCTGTACTCTTTGATTTGTAGCTTTGTAAGTTTTGTGAGGAAAGTGGGAAAAACATTCTTGGTGACACAGGCAGTGAATGAGGAGGACACAATGGAGTGGGCACCATATCTAGGACTCCTGCCTGCATTGCGAGCAAAAGCATGTATTTATATCTTAGCCCTCTGAATGTTAGAGGTAGCAGATTATACAGTATGGTGCAGGAAGGAGCATCCTATGTCCTGAGGTGAATAACGTGTTCTACCACCTGGCAGCAGATTAGACCAGATCAGGCTATGAGAATACAGGTTCACAGCCAGATTTAGTACTACCAGCCAGATTTAGTACTACTGCAAAAATGGCTTTTCCTTAAGAAGTTTTTGTTTCTAACTTTTATTTTAGGTTTATGGGTACATGTGAAGGTTTGTTACCTATGTAAACATATCATGCGGTTTTGTTGTACATATCATTTGATCATCTAGGTATTAAGCCCAGTATCAAAAAATTATCTTTTCTGCTCCCTCCATCCTCTCACCCTCCCTGCTCAAGTAGACTCCATTGTCTGTCGTTTCCTTGTGTTCCTAAGTCATCATTTAGCTCCAACTTGTTGAGAACATGCAGTATAAGTTAATGCTTACTCTCTTTAACATCTTTCACATTAGAAATCTATGGAGAAGAAATATGAAAGACTCATATATAAACATGGGG
This sequence comes from Homo sapiens, assembly GCF_000001405.40. NCBI lineage: Eukaryota > Metazoa > Chordata > Mammalia > Primates > Hominidae > Homo > Homo sapiens. Next base: position 79,820,838 of record NC_000014.9, read on the forward strand.
CAAACCATGAAGCTAAATCTTAATGTATCCCAAACCCCAGAGGGAGCATAAGGTTAACTTTGGGTGGCCAGGGTGCTTAGTGATAACATTATGAGCTTTCTACATTAGCAGGGCCCCCTGGTGTGGTTTTGTGCCTGGAGATGTAAGGTTCTGAACTACAAAGGAAGCAAACAAAATGAAGAGATGATGCAAGGAGGCAAAAAAGATGGAGGCATTAGGAAAGGCTTTGAGGGCAGGAGGCACGGGGTCATCTTCTAAAATAACCTATTGGAATGCATGTTTTAATAAGCTTTGAAGATCAAAGAGATTAACAAGAACAAGAGGAAAACAAGGGTAAATTAGGCACTATTGATGGCCTGACAAGGACTTTTTTCTCCCTTTCTGCTTACAATAACCTCTCATTTTACCATGTGGCTAGTTGGTTTGTTTACTTGTTTGTTTACACTTACTCATTACTAGCTTTCCCTATAAAGCAAGGGAAAACACTCTGTCCCCAGGGGCCAGCTGCATAACATGAATAGATGAAATAGACCAGACCAGATGCAATCTGCAGTCATGGGAACTCTGAACTGAAGAGAACATGCCCTCATTTAAAGGCATCCAAATGAAACATTTTAAAAACACTAAAATAAAGAGACCCCATGAAGGTCAAACAAGGCATAATGAGACACACAGTGTTTTTTATTCTTTTGTTTCTTAAATTCCTTTAAATATAGCCCTTTCATAAATTTGGCAGGATGTGCTCTCAGTAAAATTTCTGGTTTAGTAAACTCTTGGTGACATTATCAAATTAAACAGCAATCCCTTCCAAATTCCCCTAAAGCTAAGACCTTTTTTTTTTTTTTTTTGCATGTCTTTTTTTCTCTGATAATCCCAGAGTTTATATAACCTCAAACTATAAGCTTGATGAATTTTAGAGTTCATTGTAATGCTTTTGGTTTAGGTGACAAAACTGATGCCTACAAAGATAAACTGATTTGCTGAAGGTCATGGACCTAGTCTTTATTGGAGTTGTAATTCAATCCCAGGTGTCCTAAATCTTTAATCCATGCCATTTTATTGATATTATATATTAAGATTTTTTTTATTGTATATCCAAAGATTTCTATTTTAAACTGAGATAACATCCAACAGAGAATTCAGAAGTAGTATGAAATTGATTATCTTCCCTCTACTGGACATTGTTGCCATACAAGACGATATCATTGACCCACTTAGGGCTCAAATATACAACTCTGTATTATTTTAGTCACAAAGGGAACTAAGAGATTATAGACAAGTTGTGAAGCAGTTAGTGGGGACTGGAAGTCTCCTGTGGCACAGACTCAAATATATGCTCTAGTGATGTGTTCTCAGTCATGTTATCTGCCCACACAGAGGACAGATTAAGCAACCTAGAGTACTGGTTCCCAAGCTCGAATTTAAAACTAGTACCAGTCTATGCCAAAGCTTTCAGTGACCCATAGTGAAATGAGAAAAGCAAGGACAATATGGTGAGTCTGCACAAAGTCAAACTTACAGAACTGCCCTATATTTGGATACTGTATCATGTTTTTTTGGATGGCTAAAATCAATGTCTTTTACAAAAGCAGCATTTTGTTACTATGTATAGCATTCTTAATCAGCAAAATAAAGGTTGGCAATGGTATGTCAGTCCTTCCCTACAGTTTTTCTTTGAAGTTTTTTTCTCAGGCATTGAAAACAAACATCCGAAAAAGCAAAAAAACAAGAGTTTTAAAGTTTTAAAGTGTTCTCTATGTTGCCACATTAGATTGAGTAGATTTCAAAGACTGAAGGCCTTTTTACATGTAAAGTTTTATTGTGAACTAATAATGATGATGTTAAGACCCATCTATTTTATTGAGGTCCCAGGAAGTTACTAGTTTAAGCATCCGTCACTTAGATAACAAGCATTAAGGTAATTTTTAATTTCAGTTAAAAAAATAGATTAAAGGCACAAAATAGATTTCCAAACAAACAAACAAACAAACAAACAAAAAAACCAAAAAAGCCACCCTAGGATAAATATAACTAGAAGGCCAAGATCAGTTTAGAAGTCTACTTAAAGAAAGACAGAAACTTCTAAGGACTGTGTGGAAAGATAATTCATGCCTATAAAAAAGTCTCTGTGCTAACTCTAGATTTTTTTCACTGTAAGCCTTGTAACAAAGGAGAGAGAGCTATTTTGGAAAGCTGAATTAGCCTACATTTGAGCTAACATGATCCATCTTTGTGTCAAGAGAAAGTCAAATATTATAGTCCCCAGCCAAAATAAGGCATGTGATCTACATCAAAGGCAATTCCTGAATGTGTATCTACGTCCTCATCCCCTCTCCTCTTTTTTGTCTCTTGGGTAATCTATACCAATAACCTCCTGATTCATGAAATTTATTATCTAAATATTGAAAATATTACACTAAATTTAGCCTAATAAAAATTCATGCCAAATTTACTGAGTATTTATTGGAAATCAGAGACTTAAGGTCCTGAATCAGGTGTAAGAATTGTATTATCAATAACAGACTTAACAGTGATTATCTCTAGGTGGTGACCGATATTTTGATAATCATACTCCAAAACATCTATGTAGAAATTGGGCATGGTGGCGCATGCCTATAGTTCCAGCTACTTGGGATGCTGAGGTGGGAGGATTGCTTGAGCCTGGGAGGTCAAGGGTGCAGTGAGCCATGATCACACCACTGCACTCCAGCCTGGGCAACAGAGCAAGACCCTGTCTCAAAAAATGAAACAGAACAACAACAAAAATCGATGCAGAGCATGTATTACATTTGTAATCAGAGAGAAGGGATATCTGTTATTTCTTAAAATATAGAAGAGTATACTAGGAGACCAGCAAGGGAAATGTTTTAATATTTAGATACGGAAGCTTCGCCAGACCCGTAATTTTTTAAAAATAGTGAATCCTTTTTCCTGGGTTGAATTATGATGTATGGCCCTGCAAGGAAAGCTGCTGGAGGAATTCAAAGATGATGATGATGATGATATGCAGGGCTCTATATAGCTTAACACATTAGTTCCATAAGGTCAGTTCTGTTCATCAAGTGACAAATTGTCCATGGATACACCAGGTGGTAATGCAGCAGCAGTGGGCACAAGCTATCCTGTAAATGACCCATTACCAGAAAGTTTAAAATTTCTGCTTGGAACCCAGGAACACAGATGGAACACGAAGTGGCTTTCACCAGAGTCTTGGGAATATGCTTGATCCTTTAACCCCAGCTTCAGGTGTTGTGTACATACTTAATGCCTGAACAGTTCTCATCTGTACATCTGCTGGTTAGATGAAAAGATGCAGTTGCAGACAAGTAATTTAAAACTTTACATTCATGTCTCTCTACCTCCCTCTTCCTCTTCTGTCTCTCCCTCGATAGGATGTCCAGAAAATTAAATCAGCTGCAGATTAATTGAGACTCTCTTCCATGTAGGGAACATCTGTCACTGCAGCTACAAAGATTATATTAATGAATTAAAACATTTGATTACCTTTAATCCAAGAGAATGCAGCAGTCTCTTTAGTCATTTAGTTTATCAGGGTTTTTTGATGGTTTTTTTTTCCACGTGCATCTTACGACTATAGTCCACCCCTGAAGCTGTGAGATCTTTCAGCAGATGTTGTTTTCCATATCTTTACCCTTTCCGTTGTGGAAGGGGGAAAAAGCCCTCAGAAAAGCAATTTTGGAGGAGGCAGAAAAGGTTTCCATCATGAACATACTTTTAGAAACAGCTGGTAAAACAAATGGTCCAAGTGCAATGCCTGGAGCATATCTATTCAAACAAGGTTGTTTAAAGATAAAAGCACCCACTTCTAAATATCAGCATTAGTAGTGATTTCCTCACGTATATTTAAGAGATGGAAGAGCTTGTGAAGACTTTTTGATTTCTATTTTGTTTTCTGAGACTTCTTTAACTCTTTTGGTTTTGTTAGTATTTGAATTTATCAGAAGCTGCTCAAATTGTTAAAACTGTATCATCATATGTAAAATATATAAATTTACATATAACGGATGCATAAAGATTTGCTTTCTTATTCTAAGAATGTTCTTATTTGATAACATCTATGCATAGTCCAGAAGATTGACATGAAAAACTGATAATGTACTTAGGTATTACCAATCCTATAACCCAATTTGTGAAAAGGTCAGGCACTCCTACTAAAGAACAAACGTTTGTATTTGTAGCATTTAAAAATCTGATTTTATTTTGTATTTGCTACATTTGGAGTCAACCTTATCCCTTCCCTTCTAATGACTTCATTTGTTTACCAGGCTGTTTTGTTCTGCATCCTCTGCCAAATGCCATTACGTAACTTCCTTTGTCAGACCAATTGGTGAAATAATTCTTTGTGTGCTTTTTTTTTTTTTTTTTTTTACGGCCGTCCAATTTTCAAATTATATGTGGATTTTCTGAGTCAGGCATTGCACAAATGCTGATTTGTTAGCTTGAACTCGATAAATGTGTGTTCACCCTATCAGTTGTCATTCATGCTGACTTCTTCCTCTACTCTCTTCACTCTGATTCTGTTTTCATTTAAGAAAATTTCAGAAGTAGTGAAGCTAGGAGAGTTAATGAGTAGCCACGTTGACCCTAGTAGGATCTTACCCATTGGAGAAAAGCCCTGTTTTAAAACGATGCACAAAGAATAAGCTTCAATGTCTTCCTCTCCTCAACCCCAGCATGGAGCACAATGCTTATGTGATACACGGAAGTGAGAAATTTAAGAAGTGCTTCACTTTAACTTTTCTCAATAAGTAAATAAAACTGTCTTTTCTAGAGTCCAACACATCCCAAAGTGTGTGACTTTGCTATTTTACCTTAAACTGACTACTCTCTGAATAGATTTTCATGTTATATAGTCTGAGACTTTTCTTTCCATCCTGCTGGTGCTGGAAGACATGATCATAACTACTCACAACCCAGATCTTAAAATATATATATTGTTACACTTTTATATACTTGTATTAAAGCATCAGTTAGTAAGTTTCATGGTTGTTTCTTCTGATGTAAAAGTAACTGTAGTTATAGATCCTCCAGCACATGTCACACTGAAAACCTAATCACAAAGTCAAAATATGTGCATAAATATTAGCTTGATTATGTGTCACATGTACCCCAAATTACACATATATATACCTTCCTCAAAGATTTTTTTTTTGTGGGGGGACAGTCTCACTCTGTAATCCAGGCTAGAGTGCAGTGGTGCGATCTCGGCTCACTGCAACCTCTGCCTCCTGGGTTCAAGCAATTTTCCTGCCTCAGGCTCCTGAGTAGCTGAGATTACAGGCACCTGCTACCATGCCCAGCTAGTTTTTATATTTTTAGTAGAGGGGTTTCGCCATAGTGGCCAGGCTGGTCTCAAACTCCTGGCCTCAGGTGATCTGCCTGCCTTGACCTCCCAAAGTGCTGAGATTACAGGCATGAGCCGCTGTGCCCAACCTGAGATTTTTTTTTTAAACCTTGGATTTTCAAATAACTTTATAGTTGGAGAAAAGTTGCAAGAATAGTATATGGAATTCGTTATGTCCTTACTCAGGTTCACCAGTTGTTAACATTTGCCACATTTGCTTTACCATTCTCTATATGTGTGAGTGTACATGCACACATGAGCCATTTGAGAGTATGCATACAAAACATATTTATGTAGATATGTATTTCCCCTGAACCATTTGAAACTCAGTTGTAGTCATCATTCCTTTTTTAAATAATTCAGTGTGTATTTCCTAACAAGGACTTTCTCTTACAAAATCAGAGTACAGTGATCAAAATCAGTAAATGTAATCTTGACACAAAATCTCACCTAGAGTACATATTCACATTGCACCAGCGTCTGCATAATGGGCTTTGGGATTATTTTTTTCCCAGTCTGTGATCCAATCCAAGATCACACATTGCATTTAGTTGTCAAGCTCACCAACTTTTGAAGCATCTTCCTGATACGTTATTTTATTTCCCCATTTGTTTACTGGTCACAGACCAGTAAGAGCAAGTAAACTTCTTAAAGTCCTGCCAGGTGTGTTGGTGTAGAAGCGGGAAGATAGAGCCTGTGCTTCAGCACAGGAGGAAGATTTCAATTTTTAGAATTAAAATTATGGCAAGGAAGGACCTGTGTTTCATCTAGTATTCATTCCTTAGAGAGCACGGATATAATAGTCTGACAATGCTTTTTATTAGTGTTTTCACTTAGCTGCAGATTGAGCATTTACTGTGTGCTAAGCACTGAGGATGCAAGAGTAAGCAAGAACAGAGATGGCCCTTGTGGGCCTAGTGGGGGACACTGTCATGTAATTAAGTGACCTCCAAATAAATGTGTGATGACAAACGTTGATGAAGGCTATGAAGCAAAGGCACTTGGTGCCATGAGCATACCATGGTAGGACAGGTAACAAGGCAGGGGTGGGTGCTAGGAATGTAGAGAAGGATGAGGAAACCTTCTCTGAAAAAAATGATATTTGAGCAGAAGAGTGTGAAATAAGTGACAGCTAAGAGGAAGAAAAAATGCATTAGAGCTTGCAAAAAATTCTGAACATTAGAAAAAGTCAGCCATTTCTGGGAGAGAGTTATCTGGGAGCAGCAACTGTCTCACAGGATTTTGTCCAAAGTATAAAATAAGGAAGTGTGTTAGGCTATTCTTGCATTGCTATAAAGAAATACCCGAGACTGGGTAATTTATAAAGAAAAGACGTTTAATTCGCTCAGAGTTCTGCAGGCTATATAAGAAGCATGGTGCTAGCATCTGGGGAGCCTCGGGGAAACTACAATCATGGCAAAAGGTGAAGGGGGAACAGGTATGTCATATGGCCAGAGCAGGAACAAGCAGGGGTGGAGATGCCACAAACTTTTTTTTTTTTTTTTTTTTGAGATGGATTCTCACTCTTGTCGCCCAGGCTGGAGTGCAAAGTCGTGATCTCGGCTCACTGCAACTTCCACCTCCTGGGTTCCAGCAATTCTCCTGCCTCAGCCTCCCCAGTAGCTGGGATTACAGGCTCATGCCACCACACCCAGGCTAATTTTTCTATTTTTAGTAGAGACGAGGTTTCACCATGTTGGACAGGCTGGTCTCAAACTCCTGACCTCAAGTGATTTGCCCGCCTTGGTCAATTAAAGTGTTGGGATTACAGGCGTGAGCCACAGCACCTGGCCGCCACAAACTTTTATATGACCGGATCTCACTGTCATGAGGACAGCACCAAGCCACAAGAGATCCACCTTCATGACCCAAACACCTCCCACCAGGCCCCACCTCCAGCTTTGGGGATTACAGTTCAACAAGAGATTCAGGCAGAGACAAATATTCCAAACTATATCAGGAATTAAGTAGGCTTTGCTGTCCTTTTGCAGCTTTGAGTCAACCCATATGAGAGTGAATTCTCCGATCCTGTACTGCTCCTGGGAGGAAAGGGAGTGGGCTTTGTGAAAAATGGAGATTTAGTGAGTAAAGTGATGAGTTCACTGGAGGAAGGTTGGCTAGAAAAAAAGTGACATGGCTGGGCATGGTGGCTCACGCCTGTAATCCCAGCACTTTGGGAGGCTGAGGTGGGCGGATCACCTGAGGTCAGAAGTTCAAGACTAGCCTGGCAAACATGGTGAAACCCCATCTCTGCTAAAAATTCAAAAATTAGCCAGGCATGGTGGCAGGCACCTGTAATCCCAGCTACTCGGGAGGCTGAGCCAGGAGAATTGCTTGAACCCGGGAGGTGGAGGTTACAGTGAGCCGAGATCACGCTCTGCACTCCAGCCTGGGCAACAGAGGAAGACTCCATCTCAAAAAAAAAAAAAAAAAAAAAAGTAAAATTGTCTTTTTTTTTTTTTTTGCGTACCAAATCCTATCAATGAAAGAGACAGGAATAGATTTGACTGGAATAGTCATGGGAGCCATTTCCAGGCTCTCATAGTCTTAGAGATGACACTTGGTAGTTCAGTGTCTTATTGTGCTTCTTCAAGCACATACAGCCTGATTGAGAGAGACTCAAGACAGCATACAAATTCTAGGCATTTTTACATCTGCCTAGCTGTAGTGAATTAGTCATACAATAATTATTTAAAGAAAGAAATGTTTCCTCCATGTTGTGCTGGAGATACAATGGTGGAGAGGAAGTGGAGATCAACTATTGATCGATTTATAATTTACACAATTCCACACTTTGGAGAAAACACATTCCTTCTTCCTCACCATCACCCTCACCATTATAATTATTATCAATTAACTTGTTCAATATGTAATTTTGAAGTTGCCAATCATTTACCAGTGTGATTCATCATGTTAAAAGGAAATGGCTTTTACATTATTAATATTCTGCAATAAAAGTTTGGGTTTGTGTGCTTACAGTTAGAATAAAAGAAAAATGCTTTGTACTAAGACTATGTTAATAATAATGATAATAATAAAGAAATAACACTTTCTCCAGAAAGGAAATTTCAGGAAATCTGTTTCAGAATACCTGTCTCTACCACAAGAGCTTTCTAAGTCATGTTTTGATTGCTAACAGCATTCCAGTACTGGGTTGGAACATATGTATTCCTTCTATCAACTGAGGAACAGCAGGTTTTCTGTTATTGCCCATGCATGGTCACTCTCTGCTTATAAAAATTCATCACTTCTGCTGATTGCATTGTGTAGGATTCCTACTGATTACCATTTAGATTTGTTAAGTGACATAGCACATTTTATGGAGTCAGGAGCCAGTAACCATCAAGGTCAATAGCAGCAACCTGAATCAGTTATAAATGAATTGTTTAATTACCCACGCATGATCAATGTGTGCACTGCCATAAAAGATTAGTTCTAGTCCCTGAATGTGTGTGTGTGCCTGTGTGTAGTTCTAAGGGATTACAGACTTCTCTGAAGTCTTCTTCATTGAAAGAGATTGCAAGTGAGTATCTTTTCAGTGGAATAGAACTGAGTTATGGTAACAACATCATCTATACATCCAGTCTACCGTGGCCACTGAATCCAATGACTTTTTTTTTTATTAATATGAAGGTGCCTGCCTATCCAAAGCACTGCTTACTGTATTTCATTACAATGTATTGCTTCACTCAACACACTCTGAATAGAGAAGATATGCTCTACAGCTTCAAATTCAGGCACTTCCTCCAAGCAGAGCTTGTTTATCTGTCTGCAACACACTTGGAGCATTTGAAAGACTAGTGATGAAATCCATTCATGCTGTGAAAATGTGTTGAGCATCATGGCCGCTTCCTTTACAATGGCCTGGCATGGAAGGTTGGAGAAGGCCATTGTTACCATATAAATGACTGTCTATTTGCCTCTGGCATGACTTGTCCAGACAAGTTGCATCATTTTAAAATGAATGAAGTTCTAGGGAGCATTTTTAACTATAGTACCTTAGTTGTAACTTTGAGAGTTTTTAATAAGCTTGCAAGGAATAAATTTGGAATCTAGAGTAGTTTGTTCTATTTCTGGAAAAAAAGGAATGCTTTGTACATATGTAGGATCCTTTACCTGGCCACAGAGTTTGGTTTGAGAAGTGGACTTGACTCTGGATAGTGAACAAAATGCTTTTTCAATTTTTAAAATGGAGGCACCTTTTTTTCTGAGAGCATAGTCAGTAACTCCCCAAATGTGTGTCTCTTGTGTGATAGAGGAACCAAGTAAGAGAATAGCTTGGTGTGTGCCTGGTTTTCTTCCACAAGTACCCAATTAGTAAAGGGGGCTTTTGCTTTTTACAAAGCATGAAAATTAGGGGTTGCCTATAGGCCTGAGAGCCCTGCCAGACAGTTGCCTAATGCCACCAGCCAGGATTATGGAAAAGAAGCCTTGGCATACTATTCAATGGCACCGATTCACCCAAATTGCAACTGAGGAAAACGTGTTCATTTTTCAAATAGAGTTTGAGTAACCATAGACACAGGCAAAGTAATCTCTCCATTTGGTCACAATGGACTAAACTACCTTGTTCTATTGTCTACCTTCTCTCTCACTGACTCCATCAAGGCAGACTTGTTCGGTAAACTATTCAGGTGACTTTGTGAACTTTTATTTGGTGCAAGGCTCTGTTAATAGCTGTAAGTCAGCTGTTTTTGGTCCTCCCTCTCATTCTCTTCACACTGATTGATGAAATGGGAAACAGGTTGAAGAAGCTCACTTTTTTAGATGACAAGTATTAAGTTGACAGATAAACCTTTAGGAGGTTCCAGTTCATTTCAGGAACGTGTTGACATGAGGTCTTTAAAGATCGACAGTCCTATTAGAGATAGAGACCACCAGGAAATCATAAGGAAAAGAAAAATGAAGGAAATATCTAGATTCAGTAGGAAATTGGGGGTGATGAGAGAATTTTAAGAAAAACGCTTGCTTTATCACCAGCTGTGTCATTTTGTTCAAAGGGACAGGAAACATAATACTCTCTCTGAAGCTTAACAGAACTGCAGACCTATTGCCACAGTTTTCTCTTTTGCATAATCTTGTTTAGTCACTTAAGAGCTAGTGAGTGACAGATTTCACATGAGAATTGGTCACGTACAAGAATGTTAATGCAGAACTAGGTCAGATTATGGCATTTCACACATGCAAGATGGGAACACGCTTCCTCTGGTTAGACAAAGGCTTGACGATTGCCCATGCATCTGGTCCTGCTTTAAAGGAAGCTCATGTAATCATGAGAACTCACAATGTATCCATAGATTTCTTAGATATCAAGTTTCTATGAGCCTTGGCATTGTGTATGGTTTTATTGTTATTTTGCCAAACGAGGGTTTTCTAGCTTCACTTAGTATGCCTGGAGAAAGCTATTTTGGTTCGGCCCAGCTCCATCACTCTAAGAAATGATGAGGATGAGCGCTCTCAGTTTGTACCGACTACTCATGAGAGACTAAGAACTGATCATCTGGCTGCTGGCAACATTCCACTGCAACAGCTAATACAGTGTTTTGGAAAGATGCCGACAACAACCAGATTGCATTAAGCACTTTACCGTTTAAGATCAGTTTTGCAGTTCAGAACTTGAAGTCAGCAGCAGATCTACCTTTTAGTTTGCAGTTTACTTTGCTCCGAGTTTTTCATGTCTTCTGTGAGCCCCCCACGTTTATCTCAGGGTGGATTCTAACACACATATGCTTATGTGAAAATTTCATAATACTTTAGTATTTAACAGGCACTTTTATATAAGTCAATTGATTTCAGGACACCCCCTCGCCGCCCTGATACCAAAATCTGCAGACGCTCAAATCTCTTACATAAAATGGTGCAGTGTGTACATATAACTTACACACATACTTCTATATAATTTAAATAATTTCTAGAGTACTTATAATACCCAATCCAACATAGTTGTTATACTGTATTGTTTTTGTGTTTTTAATTGTAATATTTTCATTTACCTGCAGTTGTTGAATGAGTCGAGGGCAGGTAGATATGGAAAGCTGACTGTTACTACTTCCCTTTTACTTATATTACAATATTATCTATGTTAGTGATGTTCATAGTTCAAGAGACACACTAAAGGAATTACAGTATGGAGTGTCTCCTAAGTTGCATTGTGGAACTAAACACTAGAGACAAGAGTCGAGCCCTGGCTCAATAGAGCCAGTAATAACTCAGTGTCTTTATGACCCTGAGCCGGTGCCTTAAATTCTCTGCAGCGTAGTTTCTTTAAACGGTGGTTCTAAACTAAGGGGACTTTTGTCCCCAGGGGACATATTGTCAATTGTCTGGAGATGTTTTTGATTGCCACAACTGGGAAGATGCTAACGGCATCTAGTGGGTAGAGGTCAGGGGTGTTGCCAAATAGCCTACAGTGCTCAGACAGCCCCCACCACAGAGAATTATCCCACCCAAAATGGCAATAGTGTAGAGGTTGAAAAATGTCACTTTAAAATGTAAATAATGTCTATCCCATTATCACAGGATTCCTATGGGGCTCAACCCCACATTTTGTTTAAAAAAAGTAAAAAAAACATAAATTGCCCTTCTATGTCTGATGTTACTACTATGGGGCATTGCACATATGGACACCAAACTTTTCCCTTAAAAAGGAAAATGGATTTATTCTTTTAGATTAAAAGTTATAAATAAAGCTATCAGATTAAAATATATTAAATATATCCACTGAATCTTGGTTTGTAATTTTATGGTTTTAAATGAATGCTCTAAATATAAAGAGAAACAATGAAAAGTTATTAAGTAGGAGAAACCTACTATTCAGTGACTAATATAGATAAAGGAAATTGGAATCCATGCAACTAATAGACTTTTCTATTAGGGTACAGCCACAGCACGTCTTTCCTAATAGAAGCAAGCCTGAAATGATAAGTTGTTTGGATCACATTAATTAACATTCAGCTCTATTAGATTTGTACCTGAGGTTGGGTTCATTTTACTGGTGCTGATGAATATCAAACTACACAATATCTACGCACATTATATTAGAATAAAACATGTTTTACATTGAAGGCAAATTTTAGATTCGACTCTTAATAATGGTCTTTTATATTAACTCAGATAACTAGAGATAGTAAAAGAATGAATTAAAATTCCAGTGAGCCAAACTACAACATTGATAATAGTAATGAGAATTAATTCTGTGTTGATTTTATGGTGCCTTTGCCTCGTAGGTATATATAACTCTGGAGTTTATGAGGCATGTTTATAGATCTTAACTTCTTAATTTTGTAATGCTGTCCTCTTAAAATTTTTGCTTGAGACGGACAAAACCTCCTGAATTTCTTCAATTTACATGGGCATTTTTACTAGGAAAGAGCATGCAGCCTTCATCAGATTCTCAATAGGGTTTATTAACAAAAAATGTTGAGAAATCACCTTAAAAGGCAGGCAGCTCTTAAATGCTTGTTCTCACTGAAGTCCTTCTAAAATGATATTGCATGGACTCTATCAGTCTCTTAGCAGCTCATCTGTAGAGGTACCAACTGATCAAAAATTCAAAGTTCTTAATTGACATACTCAGGTTTTTTAAAATTTAAAGATCCAGATTGGTAGCTCAGCCATATAGCTAAATTGAATAATTATGCAAATGCTGCACAATATTTAATTGGACCTTTTGGAATGAAAATAACCCAGGTGTGCACAATTCTTTGCAATCTGGAGCAACCATTCTAATATATATCTGCAAGTGACAACATCTTGTATGTAAACAGGCAGAGGAAAAGAGTTCTGGCTGCCCTCCCAGGAAAATATACATGAAAGAACGTTTGTGTTACAGCATTTGTGTTACAGCACATACATATTTCTGAGTTGTTTGTTATTAAAGTCCCATTGTATGAAAACAACTATATAGACAGACTGGCAATCCAGAGAGTTGGTAGTTACATAAACAGGTCCCACGGCTACCAATAATATTAACACGGTATTCTTAGCCCTTAAGAAACAAAACACAGAAATTTCTAATACTGGGAGTTTAAAGTGCCACAATGGAAAAGCAAACTCAATTACAAATGCTGGATTCCACCTGGAGCCTATTCTTTTCATTTTCTTACTTCTGTTTCTGCCACCTTCCCTTCTTCCGATAACAGATTTTCAAGTACTGCTCTTAGAATTGCTAAATGTGTTCAGAGAATGTGTGATAAGATCTGATTCTCCTGGAAGGCCAGGTTATTTTAATCTTTCCATTTCTCACACCAACCATTTAACTAGGTATTATTTGTTTCTGGACGTCACAGCTAAAGACACAACATTTTACATGAAAATGTCAGTGTTGAAAATATTATTTATCTATCTATCAAAATGTAGCCACGCATCTGTTCTTGTTTGATTCTAGTAAACCATAACCCTAAACATGACACAAAAGGGGCTAGTGAAATATTTGCCGAGAGCGGTACTCTAAGTTAACAGTAAATAATTGAAAATAAGTAAGTCAAAACCAAAACCAGGAAAGTTTGCATTCATTCCCAATCATACTTTAACAGAACTTGCAGCTGCCACAGATTCAGACATCTTCATCTTCCTGTGGAGCATTTGTCTTTTCATAGCAGAGGACAATCTCTGTGACTTTCTTATATCACTGAGACCATCTTGTACAGTTTATTTCAAAAGCAAGAGTGTTCTTTTTCGTTTCATGCCACCAGTGACAATACGAAACCAGATCTAACTGAAACTTCACTCAACACATTCCCGACCCGCCACCCCAACCCTAATAGCCTCTCATAACCACCGTTCTACTCTACTTCTGTGAGTTCAACTTTTGCAGTCTCCAAAAAGAAGTCAGGTCATGTGATATTTGTCTGTGCATGGTCCATTTCACTTAGCATAATAGGGGGACTAAGTTCAAGAGATCTATTGCACAACATGGTGACCATAGCAAATAATAACATCTTGTATTTTGAAAATCACTAAGGGAGTAGATTTTAAGTGTTCTTAGCAGAAAAGAAAATACAATGAGGTAATGCCGGTATAATTTAGCTTGATTCAGCCATTTCACAACTTGTATACATTTCAAAACATTATGTTGCACATGATAAATATGTACAATTTTTATTTGCCAATTTGAAAAACAGAGAAGTCCCTCTTCAGATCCTGTCCTATGCAGCTGTCACTCACTTGGCTTTGTAAGCCTGCAGACAGTGTCATTTAAAATATTTTCCTCTGTACCATAACGCTTTTCCTTTTAATGATATATAAGAATAATATTTCTCTCTAAATAGTTATTTCTTTAACTTTGAAATAATTCAGCATCTCATGATTTTGATTTCCATTTCTCCATATATACATTTTTTGGGGCTCTGTTCTGGGATTTAGGGCTAACCTTTGTCATGGAGACATCTGTTTTTGGCAGTCTTTGTTTCCAGGGAGTGAAAATGTGTGTAGAAAGAATTGAATAGCTACATCTTAGGTGACACAATTGAGGAACTGGATGAAAGATATTTGTGGAAAGCAACATAATTATTCAAACTGGAATATGGCCATTGCCCTGGGTTTCATATTTATCTTCATAAGCAAAGTGGTTTGGGATTCTGTGCAAGTATAAGGATTTAGGATTTAAACACTAAACCACATCCCTGCACGGAGCACATGGGCTTTGTTGTTGATAATCATGATAGTCGCACAGGAAACTTGACAGTGACAGCAGGGGAACAGCACAGTATCCTACTTGGCCACTGGTAGGAGGATGCAATTTAAATCCTGGCATGCGTAGAATAGCCTCACTTATCTGTGGATTGTTATTGTAATCTACATAGTAAGTTTCAATCAGAACTCAGTTTTGTGCAGTTGATTTCCAATTCCCGACTCTGCATCATTAGGGTACAATGTTTTCTGTAAGATTTCTTTGTAATATTATAGAGAGAAGAGCAGAACAAATGCAGTTATTCCTCTCAAAGTTCAGCTGAATGCTACTAATAGTTCAAGAATGTGGATTGTAATGGTTCTGTGCATTGAAAGAACACAATGGCAAATGACAAAGATGACACTAAGTGTGAGCCACAGCTATTGTTTTGATAGCCCACTCTGCTTTTCTAGTTAACTTTCTTACAACCATCAGTTCCATATTTAAGACTAGAGGATCAGTTCTGATGATGCTCATTCAAACTCTTGCCAACTGACATTTAATGCACTTTAAAGTTGTTAAAACCAAGAGCAGGAAATGTTACACTTGTAGTATCAAGCCTGGCTCATGAGAAAGTTCCATCCACTATTCTGGAAAAAAAATAGAACTAGCCTGCAGGACACAAAGCTACCTGTGGTGATCCGAACTATGCTTCTCAAAAATCTTTCTTTTGTTTGGCCACCTTTATAATAGGAGTTCTCCAACAGAGAAAGAGCTGCTTACAGCTTCAGAGTACAGATGGATAATTGTTGCTGTGCCATCTCTGAACATCTTAGATTGAGGGTCCCAGAGAACCTCATGTATGTGAATGTTAGCACAGTACAAAAGATGGGACAGAGCTTTCCAGAGCAGTAACAGACAGCTGTGCCCAGCACTTTCTTCTAAAAGTTGGAGATGCTGGATGGAAAATTTGTCATTGTTTACATAGCACCCACACACACACAAAAAATCCTGACTCACTAGCTTCTGTGTTGTCATTTTTTTGTCCATGGTTCTATTGCTGCCTAATTTTCATACGGGACCCTCACAGTGGTTAGTCTGCACAGTAAGGAGTCAACTGTGACATCCTCATCCTTGAATGCTAGACTCCCCACTTTCTCAGCTCAATATTCCATGTGTCCAAAGTAATACTGTTAGTATCCTACATTATTCCAGGATCTTGTCATGCCACTTCAAGAAACAAATTATCACCGCTTTCTAAGACTTACCAAGCTAGGGGTGTTGTAAAGTATGTATGCAATTGACTTTTGACTTTTGATTCTTATGTTGAAAGGCAACATAGAAAATAAGCTTCCATTAATGTAATGATATAGTGTTAGGAAGACAGTATCTACAGTCCATTCAAAATATTCTGAAAATTATAGTATTGATTTTGGAACAGTTTTGATTCCATTGGCCATAGCGCTTACCTTAAGTCATTTTTTTTTAAAAAAACCGTCTTATCCATTTCATATGTTTTACAGGCACTAAAATGGGGCACAGAGACTAAGTCACTTAGTTGAGTTAACCAATAAGTAAAATTGCCTTCATATTCTGCTTCCTAATGTTGTATCTTCTCTAGCAAGTTCAAGAGAGCTTACTTTCTGGAAGCTTTGCTTGTTAGTAGGATGTATAACCTGTGGGAAAAGACCCAGCAGCATCCACTTTTACTTATCTCCTTGCCTTCTCTGAAAACACACTGAACAGAAATATCCCCATCTCTTTCTCCATCGTGGGTTTTTCCTTTGGGCCACAAATAGTGAACGCCACTGCTTTACAAAGTTATTCTTTTCACCACTAATAGTTCTTTGATGTCATTTTTTGTACAAGTGTCAAAGTTTTTCTCTAGAGGCTTCCACACAGTTAAGTTCTTGCTTTTGGATTCTTTCTAAACCAAATAAATAAATCTTCGAGACTGCAGGTTAATCAAATGCCTTCAAACATGAAGGCTGTTTAGGAGCTAAGCTGCACAGACATTTTCCAACATTTAAACTCTTCATGCAGCATCTTCCTATCTCAATTTGTACCCGTTAGCCAGTTCCACAGGGCATATTGGGAAATACCTTTTATTTTCAATATTTATATTTGTCTTATAGATATTTGTCCTTTCAAGTAGGACAAAGTGGTAATGACCTGCCTCTATCAAAAAATTCTACCTAGTAATCCAAGATAAGCAGTGTGTTCCTAGTGAGTTGCTTACATAAAAGCCAATATATTTTGTACTGAATAGTATACAGTGTTAAAAACTCAGCTTTTTGAGGGACCCAAGCAAGCCTAACCTACATGATTTTACAAAGACAATACTTAAAAGTCATAAAGTACTAAGTCTCAACTTTCAGACTTAAGACTCATAAACGTTTTAATTTTTTATCCCTTAAAAATGTTATTTTTTGGCTAACAGCATTGAAATAAGCGTTACTATAGATTAATACTATGAAACAGGAACAAAACTGTTGAGCAGACATTCTCCCAGGGAAGGACTGTGTGTGAACACATTAAACTTACGCATAAAAGTGGAGACTGTAAGTGGGTTCCAGGGTTTCCCCACGCTGACTTTTTAAATTAAATGTGGCAGTATTGCTAAAAATAAAATTTAGTGTTTCTCAAATTTTTTTTAGATAGATACCTCATATGGTACTCACAAGTAGTGTGAAAACTTAAGTAGTATATCCATCTAAAGCAGCACAAGCAATATGTCAGCACCTTTTCACTATTACCACAGAGAAATAGTGTTGGAGACCATATTGAAAATGACTGTAGTCTGGCTGAGGAGATATTAAGTGACCAGATGGCCTCTGGCACTTCTGTTTTCAAAGCTGCCTTATAGTGCCTTTCTCACTTTGTGATACCAAGCTGCTGCCATGCTAGTGTCCACCCTCGAACACCATGCCACTCAGACATGGTGGGATTCGTGTTTCTGAAGGGGCACAGTAGGAAGCTCATTCTTGGGCCTTCTGGCCTGCCTGAGACTGTGCTAGCAATACAGTCTCATTGTGCACAAAAGAAGCCATTTTTCTTAACACCTTTGAGCCATTAATGAAACCTACCAGTTAGAGGTGGTCAAAAGACAAAATTACAACAAATTTAGCTTAAAGATGTATTGGTTTTACTTGCAATTGTAGAATTGGGCAACACCTTGTTCTATAAAATAGTATGTTCTGATGAGCTGGGCAAGGTGTTGTCTGACTTTATGGACAGAAAAGGACTGAAGAAAGCAGAAACAAAATGAGAAGTAGACAGGTTGTTTCAACATTTCCTTCTTTCTAGGCTTTAAGCAGAGGGTACTTTCTTATGCTGGATCAGGTAAAGGGCCCCTTCTGCTTGGTTGCTATGAATCTCCTGTTTAAAAAGAAAACAAAAACACCACACAAAAAAACCTGACCCATTATGGTTTGGTCTGGTTGGCTGAGGCCTAGGGCCGGAGTCTAGTCTAAAACAATGGCCTCCCCTAAACTTGAACAGGGTTACATTGTAGAATAACATAACAGGAAATGAAAAGAGAAATGTGATGCTCTTCAACAATTGGTTTATGGGGCCTTTTAAAAAGTGTGTATAGAGTCAATGATGAATTAAGATGCAGTGTGAAAGAAAATGACACAGGACAGATATTCAGAGATCATTTGTTCAGTTTTAAAATCAGATTATTAGTATTGCTGTTGAGTCATTTCAGTTCCTTGTGTATTCTGGTTATTAATCCCTTGTTAAATGAATAGTAGAAAATATTTTCTCCCACTTTTTGGTTGTCTCTTCACTTTGTAGATTGTTTCCTTTAGTGTGCAGAAGGTTTTTAACTTGATGTAATCATGTGTCTATTTTTGCTTTTGTTGCTTATGCCTTTAAGGTCTTATCCCCCCAAAAATCTTTGCCCATACCAATGTCTTATAGCATTTCCCCAATGTTCTCTTCTAGTAGTTGCAGAAAGCACTTGTAATTTAACAGCTCAGGAAGGGAATCAAATCATTCAGACCAACTGAAGCTTTCAAAATGTTACTGCTTGAATGGGCAGAATATCCAAAAACATTTATTGTGTGATCCTAACATCTACATATTAGAAACTGATAGAAAACTTCTGATGTATCAGTAAGATGATAATTACCCTTGTAACATTTCTGGAAGCATGTATGTATGTATGTATGTATGTATTTAAACGAATGCTTGTATATCTAGCATCTCTTTCAATTGACTCAATACCCAAGGAATTTTATCTCCATTTTACAAATAAGAGAGATTATGACTTATTTCAGGTCACAGAAGTTGGATCACAGCTGGAACTTTAGTCCAGTTGGGTCTAGAAATTCAATTTTCTTTTTACTTTCATGACTAAGGACCACTCTATAACTCTGAGGTAAAAAGAGCAAACATAATGAAGTTATTTAGAGTAGTGTTTCTAAATCTAATTTTGCATGAGTCCCTTGGGGAACTTTTAAAACATGTAGATAACCAGGCACTTCCTGTTATCCTTTTTCCACTGCCCCTAGCAGACAGACTTAGTATGTCTAGCTTAGGTAACCTGGGATTGTGCAAAAAAGTAAATCTTCAGAGTCCCTCTGAATATCAATTCTCATTATGCAATTATGACTCCTAAGGCTTAAAAGTATGAAATAAATCTGTAGAGATCTTAGGATCTCCTGTGGAAGTTGTTTTTGTGCCTAAAGATTAGCTTGTTTGTAAGTTCCCATACTCAGTGAGAACTGAATATTTTAAAAAACTGGTGAAGGGTGGCACTGTATTTTAACGTAAAACATGCAGGACTAGATACAGTCACGGCCATTCAATTTTTTAAGTTGTATATCTTTGGGTGAGTTACTTAGCTTATTTCAGCCCAGATTTACTGCTATGTAAGGTGTAATTATAATTATTGAGTAAAATAAACTAAAGCATTTAACACGATGTCTGGCAGAGACTAAGTTTTTAATACTCTTAAAAACATCTTCTGGAGGTAGGCTTCTAGTTAATTAGTGTTTTAATTATGTAATTATAATTTTTGTTTCCTTTCTCTGTCCTCATATTTGCTAGAAAAACACTATGTCAACCATTTGATCATACTCATTTGTTTCTAAGCATATATCTTAACTAATCTAGAGACCCATATTCATTGAGCTTTTGGAATGACTGGAAAATTTCTCAAAGCTTCCTCCCTTATCTACGGTTTAGTTTACAAAAATTAAATAAGCTTATGATGTGTGTCTCATCCACCCAAGTACATCTGCAGGGCTCCTCTATTGTAAATCAGCTGCCTAAGGCTCAAGTTAGACACAGTCAAAGCCGTGTATATTTAGGGTACATAATCTTGATGTCAAGTGCTGGAGTCTTGGGCAAACTTTTCATCTTTTTATGTAAAACTGATTTCCATTAAGTATGAAAACACCTTGGTGGTATTGATTTTATGAACCCTGTACATTCCCTGCAATGAAGACAGATTTTAGGGTAAAAGAGGATGTTTGCAAGAAATGGTGAGTTTTATTGTAAGAGAACTTACCGGCCCTATAGAGAGGAGAAAACAGGTTGGAATGTCCAGCTGCTACCACCCAACGGGATCCCAGCACAAAGAAAACAGTCAAAATTATGTTCATCATGACAGAGCAAATGAGCTTTTGGGGAAAACAGAAGCAAAATAAACCTTTTTGAATAATTTATTATTCTATAAACACAATCATAAAGCGTAATGGTATCAGTTCAGGAGAAAGGTCCCACTGCTCCTGTGTTCTACGTCAGTGGCTGCAGGGCCACAGCAGGCAGAGATAACCAAGCATGCTTTCACTGCCCTGATCACCATTCCCCCATTAATAATTTGCTTGGCCCTTTCCTTCCTACTGCCTGAAGAAAATCAATGTTTGGCAGCTCTAGGTTGAATTACTGTTTATTTTATCTTTAGCCTACACAACTGCAAAAGGAAAGCCTGAGTTTTCCAGTGCATATTCCAATACCTGTTTATGGAAGTGAGAACGAGTCAGATAGTGATGTATTTTTTCAGAGAGTTTCTTAAGCCAGCTGTGGATAAGAAGGTCCAATTTGCATTGGAACTGCTAACTAGGACTCAGGGAAATCCCATCTGGTTTAGAGAAGAGTAAATGAAAATAAAACAGAATTGTGAATGCAATGCTTCAATAATTAGTTTGCAAAACATGTATCCACTGCCTTGTGTGGGCAAAGCACCATATTAGGAACTATAGAGGACTGCAAGAAAAACAGAAAAACAGAGTGGGCTCCTTTTGCAAGGTATTCGTGGCTATTCCAGGCATCCTTTCTTCTTTCAGCAGTGATCTCCTGAGTTATTACTATGTGCCTGGCGCTGTTCTGTGGACTGCGGACAAAGACAAAGTCTCTGCTCTCTTGGAGCTTATATTCCAGTGAAGTGGGGGAGGACTAAATGTAAATACATGGGCAAAAGTCAGCTAATAAATACTGTGCAGAGAATCATGAGGAGTTGATGTTCAGTTAGTGAGCAGGCTGGTTCGTTACTAGGGAAGATGTGAAGGGCCTCTGAGAAGTAAAATTGTAGCAGAGACCTAAATAACGAGAAAGACCTAGCCAAGCACTGAGCAAGGCAAGGGATGTTCCTGGAAGGGAAGCCAGAGAGTATGGCCAGAGCCCGAGATATCCTGGGTCTGGTGAGTCATAGATGAGACTGGAGTACTGGAGTAGGCAGCTGGCAGGTCACAGTGGACTTTCCCAGTGAGTCAGGGATTTTGATTTGGGGAAACCTTTGGGGATTTTAAAGAGGAAAGTGACTTGATCTGATTTTTATTGGATACTTTAAGAAATAAATTTTGTTTTGTATACTTAAGGAATACAACATGATTCTATGAGATATATATATATAGTAAAATAGTCACCATAGAGAAACAAATTAACATATCTATCATCTCACATAGTTATACATTTTCCCCTTATGTCAAGAGTAGCCATAATCTGATTTAGCAAAAATCATGAATACAATACACTATTACTAACTACAGTCCTCTGCACATTAGATCTTTAGACTTGTTCATCCTAAACACCTGTTACTTGGTATTCTCTCACCTACATGTCATTTCCTCTCCCACCTCTAGTAACCACTGTTTTATTCTCTATCTCTGTGGGTATTAGACATTGTTTTTTTAGATTCCACATATAAATGAGATCATGTAATATCTTTCTTTCTATGCCTGGCTTATTTCTCTTAGCATAAAACCCTGCAAGTTATGTATATTGTAGCAAATGGCAGGATCTCCTTATTTAAGGCTGAATAATATTCCACTTAATATTTTATAATGTGTCCATCCCTTGACAGATACTTCGATTGCTTTCTATCTTGGCTAATGTGAATATAGGTCGGGTTTGGTTCCAAACCATTTCAACAAAGTGAATATTACAACAAAGCAAGTCACATGAATTTCTTGGTTTCCCAGTGCATATAAAAGTATGTTTATACCATACTGTGCTTTGTTATATGTGAAACAGCACTATATCTTTTAAAAAAATACTTTGATAAAAAATACTTTACTGCTAACAAAAATGCTAGTGATCAACAGTATTCAGCGAATGTTTTTGCTGGTAGAGGGTCCCGTCTTGATGTTGATGGCTGCTGACAGATCAGGATGTGGGTGCTGAAGGTTGGGATGGCTGTGGTAACTTCCTAAGACAAAAATGATGTTTGCTGCACTGACTGATTTTTCTTATCACAAAAGATTTCTCTGTAGCATGCAATGCTGTTTCATAGCATTTTAATCAGAGTACAACCTCTTTCAAAATTGGAGTCAGTCCTCTCAAACTGTGCCTCTATCAATTAAGTTTATGTGATATTAATATTTAAATATTTTGTCATTTCAGCAGTGTTCACAGCATCTTCACCAGGAGATTACTTCTTATGAAGTCATTTTACTAATCCATAAGAAGCAACTCCTTAACCATTAAAGTTTTTTAAGAAAAATTAATTTTAATAGTTTTGGGGTTATAGGTGGTTTTTGGTTGCATGGATAAGTTCTGTAGTGGTGATTCTGAGATTTTAGTGCACCCATCACCTGAGCAGTGTACATTGTACCCAATATATAGTCTTTTATCCCTTGCCCCCTCCCAACCTTCAAGTCCCCAAAGACCATTATATCATTCTTGTACCTTTGTGTCCTCATAGCTTATCTCCCACCTATAAGAGAGAGCATACAATATTTACTTTTCCATTCCTGAGTTACTTCACTTAGTATAAATGGCCTCGCACTCCATCCAAGTTGCTGCAAAAGACATTATTTTGTTCCCTTTTATGGCTGAATAGTATTCCATGGTGGATATATATACCACTATTAAAGTTTTATCATAACATTACAGCAATTCAGTCACATCTTCAGGTCTTACTTCTAATTATCTTGCTATTTCCACCATATCTTCAGTTACTTCCTCCACTGGTCTTAAACCCCTCAAAACTCTCCATGAGGTTTTGCATTAAACTTCCTCCCACCTCCTGCTAATGTTGATATTTTGACTTTTCTCATGAATCACAAATGTTCTTAATGGTATCTAGAATGGCGGATCCTTCTAACAATTTTTTCAATTTATTTTTCCCAGATCCATTAGAAGAATCACTATCTATGGCAGCTATTGCCTTACAAAACGTGTTTCTTAAGTAAGATGTTAAAGTCAAAATTGCTTTTTGATCCATGCACAGCAGAATGGATGTTGTGTTAGCAGGCACGAAAACAATGTTAGTCTCCTTGTATATCTCCATCAGAGCTCTTGGATGACCAGGTGCACTGTCAATGAACAGTACTATTTTGAAAGGAATCTTTTATTCCAAGCACTAGGTCTCAACAATGGACTTAAAATATTTAGTAAACCATGCTGTAAACAACTGTCATCTAGGCTTTGCTAGTCCACTTAAAGACTACAGGCATAGTACATTTAGCATAATTCTTAAGAACCCTAGGAATTTTGAAGTGGCAAATAAGTATTGACTTTAAGTCACCAGCTACATTAGCCCTTAACTAGAGAATCTGCCTGTTCTTTGAAGCTTTGAAGCCAAGCACTGACTCCTCTTCTCTAGCTGTGGAAGTCCTAGATGGCATCTTTTTCCAATATAAGACCATTTTGTCTACATTAAAAACCTGTTGTTTAGTGTAGCCACTTTGATCAGTTATCTTAGCTAGATTTTCTGGATAACCTGCTGCAGCTTCTACATTAGAACTCGCTGCTTCACTTTGTGCTTTTATATTATGAAGATGGCTTTTTTTTTTCTTAAACCTCATGAACCAACCCCTGGTAGCTTCCAACTTTACTTCTGTAGCTTCCTCACCTGCCTCAGCCTTCATAGAATTGAAGAGTTAGGGCCTTTCTCTGCATTAGGGTTTGGTTAACAGGAATGTTGTGGCTAGTTTGATCTATCTAGACCACTAAAATATTTTCCATATCAGCAATAAGGCTGTTTTACTTTCTTATCATTCGGGTATTTACTGGAACAACAATTTTAATCTCTTTCAAGAACTTTTCCTTTGCATTCACAACTCAGCCAACTGTTTGGCCCAAAAGGCCTAGTTTTTGGCCTATTTCAGCTTTCAACATGCCTTCCTCACTAAGCTCAATCATTTCTAGCTTTAAAGTGAGAGGTGGGTGACTCTTTCTTTCACTTGAACACTTAGAGGCCACTGCAGTGTTATTAATTTGTCTAATTTCTATATTGCTGTGTCTCAGGAAATAGGGAGATGGGGGTGGGGGGCTGGAGAGAGACAAGGATAGACAGAGAGAGAGAGAGACCGACCCAGAGAGACAGAGAGAGAGAGAGACAGAGAGAGAGACGGAGACGGGGAGAGAGACGGAGACGGGGAGAGAGACGGAGACGGGGAGAGAGACGGAGACGGGGAGAGAGACGGAGACGGGGAGAGAGACGGAGACGGGGAGAGAGAGGGAGACGGGGAGAGAGAGGGAGACGGGGAGAGAGAGGGAGACGGGGAGAGAGAGGGAGACGGGGAGAGAGAGGGAGACGGGGAGAGAGAGGGAGACGGGGAGAGAGAGGGAGACGGGGAGAGAGAGGGAGACGGGGAGAGAGAGAGATGGAGAGAGAGAGAGATGGAGAGAAAGACAGAGAGAGAGACGGAGACAGAGAGAGATGGAGACAGACAGAGACAGACAGGGAGAGAGATGGAGGAAGGGCAGGTTGGTGAAGAAGAACACAGACAATATTAAGTTCACTATCTTATGAGTGTGGTTCATGGCACCCCAAAATAGTTATAATAGTAACATCAAAGATCACAGATCACCATAACAGATACAGTAAGAAAAAAAGTAGAAATGTGAGAATTACCAAAATGTAACACAGAGTTGCAAAGTGAGCACAGGCAGGTAGAAAAATGGTGCCAACAGAGTTCCTGGATGCCGAGTTGCCAGAAACGTTCAATTTATTAAAAATGTATCTGTGAAGCACAGTAAAGCAAAGCACAATAAAACAAGATATACCTGTATTTGTTTTTAAATATAAAAATAATTTGCTTTAATGCTGAACAAAAATGTCCCATGTAAAAAATTCATGTGCTATCTGTTCCCAAACTCAGTTTCCACACCTAATTACAGTAAATAGAAAGGAGAGAAAAACCAAACTTTCAAGATGGAAAGGAGAACCCAGGACAGCCTCAAACCCAACACTTAGAATGGTATTTCTGCATGCCCAATCTACAGCAAACTTTCAGACTTAAGAAGGAAGAGAGAATGGATAAAACGTTACAGAAGACAGTATTACATTTTAAAAATTGGTAAGATAGTAGAATGTTTAGATCTGGAAGGACTTTAAATTAATCTTTTTTCCTTACATTCAGATAAGCTTTAATGTGTACTAAATTCTATCCCAAAATCTCTATTCTTTGTGACCCTACTGTACCCTACGCAGATTTTTGTTGACTCAATACTCCACTGCACTTAATTTGTTTTTTAGTCTCAGCTAGACCTGAAACAACTTTAGGAAAGGGATAGTGTCTTCTTGCTTACTTTTATTTTTCCTACCAACTAGAATACTAATAATCATTCAAATGTTTATTGAATGAATTAATGGATAAGCAAATGAATTAATATAATTAGTTGCTTATATTTTACCCCCCACACTAGCCTATAGCTTTAAAGTTGTGGTGACTACAATGTCTAGTCACTTAACCTCACAGGGCAGATTTGCTCAACTAATAAGATTTTGAATGAGAAAGTGCTTAAAAATTCTAAAAGTGCTTCTCTAATATTTGTTACTATTGTGTTCAAAGACTGTTAGCTACCAAATGAAGGTTTCATAGTCAACAGAGGAGGCTGAATCCCAGACAATTACAACTGAGGCCCGGGCTACTCCAAGTGTGATCTTTGGAGTATCTGACTCAGCAAACAAACAAGAATCACCTCAACCCAAAACCCTAACCCAAATAGCCATCATTACTACTTCCTTCCAATCTCCATCTCCACACCCTCCAATAATGATGAATTCTTAAAGCTTGAATACATGTTTTAATTGTAAATTTGGGTTATTTCTGCATGTAATTTTACAGTTATTTTATTTCACCCTTGTGAGTTGGAGTTAAGCTCTGAAAAGGTCTTATTTTGATGTCTTTCCATAAGATTGTATTCCTTTTTTGGCAAGAGAACAGATCTGGAGTTGAGCTCCTGCCCTCTACCAAACTGTGAAATTTGAGACAAGTCACTTGTCCCCCATGCCAACCCCTGGGGCCTCACTTTTCTTATTCAAAAAGATCAAAGATTTTGTCCTAACTCATGAAATCATGAGCATTACATGTAAAATTACCTTAGAAACTATAAAATATTCATTTCAAATGCATCAAGATGTTATTAGCTATATTTTATGAGCTCAGCACTCCTTGATGGTCCTGAAGAGACCAAAGGGGCTGAGGCCAAAGGGAGAATTCTCCTTAAATCTCTTGGAAACAATCTGACAGACCTTAGAATTGTGTAGTAAGATGAGGACATAAAGGAACAGAGGGTCAAGGTAGTATCTTAGCTCCTTTCTCCCAACGTGTTGATACTGGTTAAGATACACAAAAGGGAAAACCCACCTAAGAAACTGCCAGGAATTCTTTTTTTTTTTTTTCATTTTGTTTTAATGCTAACTTAATAATCATGTCTTAGTGTAACTAAGCTTTTCTTCATCAAGAACATTATAAGCTCATTGATGCACAGGCTAAATCTTTATGCTTATTTGGTGCTTTTTAATCTGTCTAGCACAGAATAGGGCACAACACAGGTCTTCAGTGTGCCTTTGCTGAATTGAAATACAAAAAAATAGCACATCTTTCAATACTTGAAGCTCATTTTTATAAAGTATATGTGTGTAGTAGGGAATTCTAAAAACTATTTTTTGCTGGTACTAGTTTATTTAATCAAGAGGAAATATCTTCATAAAGTCAAACAACCAGAAAGGACAGTGCAAATGGCCCTCAAAGCTTGAGCTTAGCAACTGCTCCCCTGTTCTTAGTCTTGCCACTGTGTGGAATTTAGGACTTCTATATGCAGATAGTTTGTTACTTGCAAACCATTAGACCAAGCTTGTCCTACCCACAGCACACAGGGCGCATGCAGCCCAGGACAGCTTTGAGTGTGGCCCAACACAAATTTGTAAACTTTCTTAAAACATTGAGTTTTTGCAATGTTTTTTGGTCTCATAAGCTATTGTTAGTGTTAGTGTTTTTTTATGTGTGGCCCAAGACAATTCTTCTTCCACTGTGGCCCAGGGAAGCCAAAAGATTGAACACCTCTGCATTAGACCCTTTTAATACTATTATAGGTAATATATTTTACAACATAAAAAAATCATCTGTGTACCAGTCAGAAATGAAGGTTTTGTATGAAACATTTTCATTCTTCAGTATCAACAGCCCAAGATTCTCCTGACTTTATTTCTCCAGCCCTGGCCCCTCACCTCACCATCTCTTAGCTGGCCCCAGATATGGCCCAGGTGTTTTAATCTTCTGGGTGATCTGATCCAGCCTCTTGACTTTAAATGGCATCTATATGATGATAATTTTCAGTTTAAGCCTCCCTTCAGAATTCCAGTTTCTCAAATCCATCTGGCTATTCAACCTTTCCACTTTGATATTTAAGAGACACTTTGGGTTCAGAAGAGCTAAAACAGAACTTTGGATTCCCCAAACTTGCATGTCCTCCAAATTTTCTCATCTCTTAAATTTGATTCAGGTGTACAAACTCCACATTTGTCATCATTCTTGGGCCCCTGTCCCAACTCTCTTCCCCACACCCAGTCAAGAAGTCCTGTTGACTCTGCCTCGATAACAAATTGCTCACACATTTCCTTTGCTCCAGCTACCCATGCTGTAGTGTAAGTCACCATCATTTCTTGCTTGAATTCTGCAACGGCTTCCCAATTGATCTCCCCAATTCTACTTTTGCTTCCCAAAAGTCCATTCTCCATACCGAAGCCAAAGTAATCTTTAAGAAGTATACATCTAAACAAAACACTTCTTCACAGCAAAGAAATCAATACAATGAAAAGGTAGCCCACAGGTTGAGGAAAACATATTTGCAAACCATATATCTAGTAAGGGGCTAACTTCCAAAATTTATAAACAACTCATACAGCTCAATAACAAGAAAACTTATAACCCGATTTTAAAAATAGACAAAGTAACCCGAATAGACATTCCTCTAAAGGAGACAAAAGTGGCCAACATGTATGTGAAAAGATGCTTAGCATAACTAATCACCAGGGACATGCCAATAAAAATCACCATGAGATATCACCTCATACATGGTAGGGTAGGTATTATCAAAAAGACAAGGGACAACATGTGTCGATGAGAGTGTGGAGAAAAGGGAACCGTTGTACACTGTGGGTGGGAATTTGGATTGGTCCAGCCATTACAGAAAACAGTATGGAAGTTCCTAAATTAAAAATGGAATTGCCATATAACCCAGCAATGCCTTTTCTGAGTATATACCCAAGGGAAAGGAAATTACCATCTTGTAGAGGTATCTGCACTCCATGTTCATTGCAGCATTACTGTACCGCATTATGAAATGGGTTCCTTCACCCCTTTTCTGAGCACCCTCCATGTCTACAGAAGAAGTTATGAGGAACAAAGGTATATGCAGGGCTCGTTTTGTAATGCTGACAACAGCAATCCTCACATCCAGACTTCCATGTCCATGTACAGGGTTCTCTACTTTCGTTCTAAGTCAAACTGTGATTCAGAAATGAGCCATCCATTCTCCCAGAATTCCTCCATTCACCCCACAGACACAAAAATCAAATCTATGAAAATGTTTTTGTATATTTCATAGGAGAAACAGATGTGGAGGCTTAACTCATGTATCCAATGCCAAAAGTCTTCAAAATCTTCATTAGGTATTTGTTATGCCAACTTCTTTCTCAGCCCTCCCGGTTTGTAACTTTTTAAATCTTTACCCAGTGTTGCACGAAGACTGTTGAGATGGTTCCCTCTGCCTTCCTCTCTCTAGTATTCTCCCTGGGAAGTTTAAAATATATAATGTTATGTAAAGTAACTCACTGGGGCCTTCCTCTTGGGCCTCACCTCTATACACTGAAGACAATGCTTTCTAGCAAGGAGGACCCATGCTTCCAGAGAGGAGGGTTTGCAACTGGAGTAACTTGAGTATGTCTTTGGGATTCTTGAGCTCAACCCAAAGCAGTTCAGAAACATTTCTTTGAAACAAGTTCCCAAGATGAATTCTAACAACTGTAATATCGCATTTGGCATTTTAAAAATTTTGATTTTACATTTAGACAGAGCTATTAGGACATGGTGGGATAAAAATGGTAGTATCGAAATATACTGTTTCAAATCAAATTATTGTATTATTTGTTCTCAATGACAGACATAACCCAAACACATTCTTAGTACCCAGAATAAAGGCACAGCCATGAAATCAGGCAGTTATTAATAAAAACCTAGTGTAGATAGCTAATGAAAGATGAAAATGAAGCTGTGACATGATTATGAACTGCTATTAGCAAGCAATGTCATTTTGTATCTTAGAGACCAAACAAGGTTTGTGTATGTGAACTAATGGTTGACTTATATGGTAAAGATATACATGCATTATATTCAGGCTATGTTGGCTTCATTTGAAACTACAGCTTCCATGGGTTTAAAAAATACACATATGATTTGCAAAGTGACAACCCTAAATTTTCGTATATTCAATTGTTCAAACCAGTGATTTCTAGAATGTAAGTGGTGTCCTACTTGTAAGAGTTTTAAAACAGGCAATTTTGGAATAGGTAAATTACTCAGTAGAAGCCTTAGAGAACCCAAATTGCTGATGTATCTTTTTCGAAATGCCTCTCATTATCCAGGAGAATGTGTGTATTGGAAGTATCTTATTCTTTAAGTCTCACACTTAGACCGGTTATGTTTCCTACTTTTAAAAATTGTAGAACTTTATTCTACAGATGTCATTTGATGCCTTTTGAGACCGACCATATATGCATTTATACAATCTTAATTCAATGTTAAAAGTATAATTAGTCCAAAAAAATCAACTAAATGGCAACAAGGGTTTTTCTTTTTCTATATTATTAATTTTTTTTTCCTCCATCTAAAACTTTCCAGCTGCTCTTTGTGAAGTTCCCAGAATAATGATTAACATTATTAAACCAGAGACTAAAAATCTTGGTACGGACTGACCCATGGGGACACATTGCTATAATTATTTTAAAGTAAAATAATAAAAGGGGCGTCCCATAGCGGGCAAAAGTTGGACTCATCCTCAAAATTTACTCTATTTGTCAAAGTCCCCTAAAAGAGTTCTTAGGAGTGGTTGGAATTGGTTGTCAGAACCAGGTGCTCTCAAGTGTCTTGCCTTTGTGGTTCGCCTACCTGGGTTTCCCAGTCCTTGGTTGAACATTAATGTTCTCAACGAGATATAATACTGAATATAACTCTTGTGATCTCTTCCAGTGGAGGCTGAGGCCATTTCTAAAAATTCCTTCCCTCTGTTTCTTCTACAGTATCTTCCTCTCCGTGTGCATACATGTGAGAGGCATAGTTTTCCCCAACGTACTTCAGATAAACCTTATTGGCATAGTTTTCCTCAAAGCACTTCCAATAAACTTTATTCCTTTCATGATTGTCCTGTAGTTTACAGACACTGATATTGTACTCTTTGGAGTGGAGAGGGGTTTTGCCATTCTTACAAAAAAAAAATTGGCTATTCCTCCATTTATCAGGCTCATTTTATTAACATTCTACTGTCATCATTGTGCTCTGTCACTTTGACTAAGCCCAAGAACCCTCCCACAGAGCAATGTTAATTATAACCCCTCTATGCCCGTAAAATATGCCATCTAAAGGCTTTGAATAAATTTGGGATAAATTTCCTGAAGCAGAACTCATGAACCCATATGTATTTTGATTCCAATTCCTGTCAATACAGGTTCTAGTTCAACTCCCAACACACACACACACACACACACACACACACACACACACACACACACCTCTCACATGCTTTCCTTCTAATTGGCAAGAAGCCTTCAGATGTCCTTCACCCCTACTGGAAAGGCATGAAACAAAACCCAGTACCTTCCTCCTACCCCTAAACTGGTTTTGTCTTGCTGCCCCTAATCCTAGCTTGCTGTTCTGTTTTTCTATTTTCCCCTAAATGCAACTTACTTTAAGCATGTGTTAACTGGATTAACATTCCTACAATTGAAGGATAGTATATGATAACCCATTTGTCAGTCTAGCTACTTTCTTCTCTTTTAAATGTCTACTTACGACGTACATCCAGACTGCACGCCCTTTTTATTTTTTCAAAGCAAAGCCAAAAAATAAAGAAAACGTAAAATTAGTTTTTAAAGAAAATGCACAATCTGTTTTTAATTTTGGCTATCACGAAAAGGGGAATTAACCAGCCAAAAAAGCAAAGCAAAAAAAACGTGTCCCCTGACTGCTCTGTCTGTGCCTTTCAAGCCTGTGCGTCTGGTTGTTCATCTCTGAAAGTGTGTGAAATACTTTTTTCTTTAAACTTTTTGTTTTTTTCTCCCTTCTTGTTTGGGAATTAAGTGCTTTTTATATTATATATATCTATATATATATATCAATGTGTTTCTTTTAATTGCTAGATCTTTATCTTAGATTTGATTTTATCTAAAATTATGAGAAAAAAAGTTATGAATTGTTTTCTGCAGTTTTTCCCCACTCCCTCTTTAAATGTGGAACAACTTCAGCTGCAGAATCCTCACATCCACATCTTTCAAATTAGCCTGGTCTCATTGCCAATTGCGTGCAACATGGGTGGCATAAGGAAGATGGATGATGTCGTTTGGAAAATGCCATTTCTCTATAGAGAAGTAATTAGCAACCCAGTGCGTGGGCCCCCTGCTTAGTAGTGCGTCTCAATCACCTCTGTAGATTTCTGAACCTCCCCCACTCTAGATGGGGCTGTGTGGCTGCCGATGAAGTTGTTCAACTTGAATGCATAAATCTAGTCTTCTTGTTTTTGCTTTAAACTTTTTGATCATGACTACTAGTATTTTATGTATTTTGGCTATTTTTAGTAGGAAAAAGTTTAACTGTTTTTATTATTTGAAAATCTTTAATGAAACTGTAATAATTTTTGGAGTAATTGCATGTTGAAGAAGTTGCAGCTTAGGGTGTGTGAGATTGTCAGTGTTAGAGTTCTGTTCTTTATTTCCATAGATGGGCATGTGTAGGCTCATTTGTTTTTGTATATTGCCCATCCCTTCCTTACAGCCAGAAGCTCTAATGCAGCTAGATCACTCCGTGCCGCCCTTACATGGACATGGCGACTCACTTACACATTTACTCCTATCATCTTCATCTCCTGTGTAGTTCACTCATAGATATGACCCTCCCCTTCCTGCATCTTTCCTTCCCATTCTCCCCCTTTCTTTAGCATTGTTAAAATTTATGTGCTGTCATCCATCTCCCTAAATTAAAGAAAGCCTAAAATTTGTCAAAAAGACAAAAAAATATATATATCTGAAAACTTATAAATGCAGAAATTCATTCAAAACCCGTTAGAGTCATAGAATTTTTTGAAAGGCAAATTATAAAAGTAAACAGGTTTTTTTGTTTGGTTTTTCAATCATAGCAATCGGAATTATTTTAAATTCAAAAATTGATGCCCTCCCAAACCCCCCAAAGTAAAAATTTGTTAAAGTGCAGATTTTTTTTTTCTTTTTATGTTATGTGGTGTGGATGTATGTGTTGTTGCCTCCCTGTATCATCCTCTGTTGTAAATTATTATATTTGAAAAATTAGACATTTTGCTCAAAAGTTTTTAAGAAATGACAACAAAAAAAGCAAGTTACAAGAATGTGGCAATTCTATTTGTCCAAGAGCATTCTTACACAACTTTCTTTTGTAAATTTTTCTTTCATGCCAAAAAACATGCGGGCAATTTGTTGATGTAAGTTGACTATAAATTAATATGGTATGCTTTTTTAGTTTAAATTATTTTGCCTATATGGAAATGATTTCTTTTTTTCCCAGAACAGCTTCTATTTTTAATTTGCTTTTACTTTTTCTTTCCATTCTTATTATATTGTGAATGCCTCAATGTTATTTGCTCTCCTTCTCCCAGCTTACTTTGGCTACGAAGTTGATTTTATTTTCTACTATATAATTTTGAAGACTATATTTTTTATTTCATTTGTGTCGATTTGCTGAATTTTCACTGTTATGTTTTGTGCTGAATTGCTTCTAATAATCAATGTGAATTCTACTCTCAGTAGAAGGGGGTTAATACATTGTTCTTACCACCCAAAGAAAGCCTGGCCTCTTTGCCTGAACTTTTTCACCACCGTGTTTAAAGCCTTGAAAGTATTGGTAGGCTCTATTTGGTATCTTAAAATTGTTTCCAGCCAGTGGGAGGCCTGTACCCTAGAAGAAAATGAGTTGAGTTAGCTCCAAGTAGTACCAGTGGTATTTGCATCTTTTTAAAATTCCTTAAAAAGCATTTAGGAAATTAGTTCTTTTCCTTCAGCAAAGGGGAAATAAGGTACTCTCAAGTGACTATGGTAGAGTTTGGTTATCCAGGATCATACTCTCACTTTTGCTTCAGGCTACAAAATCAATTATACTGAAAATGCAGATATCAAGAATCCCAGGTGTTTCGAGTATTGTTCTATGATACTGACGCCTTCCAGTGTATGGAACTAACAACTGGCAAAAACACAGACACACACAGAAGGCACACACACATTCTCTCTCTCCCTCTTTCCTTTGTCTCTTCTCCTTTTCCCTTTTTCATTTCTCTCAAGGATTTAATCAGGTAAGCTTTCAGGGATCTTAAGATTCTACCAAGAAAACATGATGATTTTCATATCTAAAGTTATACTTAGAAAATATTTCAGGTGGGTACCATCATCGTGTAACTACAGGGTAAGACTATTCCTTCACCTTAAGATTATTTGAACCAATGCTGCCTTATGTACTTCAACATACATAAGATTGGTAAGAAGCACTATATAATTTTTTCATCAAGAAGTTACTTGTTTTGCTTTACAGATATTTGTGTTATTTGAACTGTTATAGAAATATCAAACTGAATGGTGGATAAGAGTGTTTCCAAGCCAGCAGCTTAATATTTGGGCTCTCTCTACCTCAGTTTATGCGATTTTGTGTTGTTTGACATGCTGGATAATATTTTAGGTCTAAAACTTAGAACTTCCTAAATGGGATGTTGTTTTATCTTGATGCATTAAAATATTTTCTTTCTATGAAAAAGATATCCAAAGGTAAATTTAATAAAATGTTATTTTTAAAAAATACAAGCTATTTGAATTATAAATTATTTCTTATATTCTATTATTTAAAATAGCCTCAATATATAATTATACTTCTACTTTAGCATGAAGCCACTAAATAAAAAAGGGTTAGAAGAAAGTGATTATGTAAGTGTTTATAGCTCAGATACATTAGTAGAAATAATAACATTAGTAACTAGCATTTCTGAATAGTAGTAGGTACTGTGTTAACCATCTAACATATAAAAAATACTTGATATGCATTATTTTAATATTTGCATTGATGGTTTGAGGTAGGGTATTTTATTATTCTCATTTTCCAGAGTTTAAGAAATTTGACCAAATTCCTAGCACTAGTAGGAACTCCTAGAGAGTTCCGATGTTAAGAGTCTGAGTTACTTCAGAAGCAAAGCTCTTAATAAGCAAATGAAACACTCCACTTGACATTTCCTGTTTTGTAATACATAATGATATCAAGGGGCTGTGGCTCATCTTATTGTTGAAAAATATAATCTGTAGCCTTTCCAAATCAAACCTATTTCAGACAAACCCTTTGCTGGGGTGGAAGGGTGGTGGGGAAGCGAGGGAGAATGCCCTACCTAGAAATTCTCATCCTGTTAAAATACAAGTTAAGCCTCTTTGAGACACTTGAGTTTTTCTACTGTCTTCTCCCCAGGTACTTGCCCTGTTTGTCCATGACTATTTTTTCCCGAAGGTTGATAGAGAGCAATTTCATGGTTACAAGCTTTATGATATTTATGTGTTACAAATACACACTTCTATGTCACCAAAGAGCTAAATATCTTTGAAAAATTAATTCTTGGGGGGAAAAGAATTATTTCCCCTTATCATGTGAATTTTCAGGAAGAAATTTGGAATAATGCAAATAAGAGATGAAGTAAAATACCCAAATATATAAAAAGAATTCAAGGAATTCAAGCATGGTGTCCTGTCCCAGAGTCTCACTGTTCAGCATCACTGTTTTGGTATTTTCGTGAACTCTCAAAACCCAAATATCTCCAGAGAGGCAAGTGTTGAAACTTCATGCTTGTTTTTTTGTTCTTTTTTTTTTTTTTTCCAAAGATAACCCACTGCATTCACTATCACCCACAACATTCTCACAGTTCAGAAGAATTCTATTAAATTTTTTATACACTGTCTTTTTTGATGGCAGTGAGCCCCTTTTGCTGGATATCAGCCCTAGAGGCATGAATTATATATCTACAAATACACTCATAAAGCAAAAAAGCCGGGAAGCCTTCAGGGCTAAAATAGACCTTTTATATCTCTAATGATCTCTCTAGTTTAAAGAAAAGCACAATCCTGCCAAAAAGGGGTATGTATGCCTGATTTTAAAATGCTAACTTTAAAGAATATAGATAGCTTTTATCCCAAACTAAAGAAAAATTCTGGGGATAGCATAGGAAATTAGGATTTTGATGGATTACAGGTTTTGTATTACTCTGCTCATAACCCTTTATGACTTTGGGTTATTTGCTTCCATGAATACTTTTGTAGGCATGGGACACATAGTTGATCACTGACTTCATGATCTCTGGGAAGTGAAGAAAATATTATCAGCTACTTGAACATTTCTCAGGGTAGTCACTTTTGATTAAAATAAACAAGAAGCTTTGAATAGCTTCCCACCAAACTACTTTTTTGTTTGTTTGTTTGCTTTTTGAGACAGAGTCTCGCTCTGTCGCCCAGGCTGGAGTGCAGTGGCGTGATCTCGGCTCACTGCAAGCTCTGCCTCCCAGGTTCACGCCATTCTCCTGCCTCAGCCTCCCCAGTAGCTGGGACTACAGGTGCCAGCCACTATGCCTGGCTAATTTTTTTGTATTTTTAGTAGAGATGGGGTTTCACCGTGTTAGCCAGGATGGTTTCGATCTCCTGACCTCATGATCCGCCTGCCTCGGCCTCCCAAAGTGCTGGGATTACAGGCGTGAGCCACCGTGCCTGGCCAAACTAAGTTATTTCTATTAATGATCTTATAGTAGGAGAAATACATCACTTTCTCCTCTCAAATGATGTGTGCCTTTGATCCCCCAGGACACTATTATCATCTGCAATCTTAAACATGGAATTTAATATTAAAATTAATTACACCAACATATACACTTGTCCCAGGCATTTTTCATGTTTACAGTTATCTAAAATGTTCTACCTATTTTCATTAGAATTGCTATTTGTCATAAGGACCCCCGTGTACTGCAGTTGACTTCATTTTAAACTAAAGGCAATCTTCCCACTTCTTGAGAAGCCAGGAAAGAGGGGTTAGGAAAGCTTCTACCACTTTGTTGTCTAAAAATCAGCATAATTTGGGCTCAGATTTTCCCAACAGAGGGTATCATTTATCATTTTTATCGCTGCTACCGAGATTAATAACAAAATGGCAAAGAAAACTAGAGATCAGTAGTTCTGAAAGATTTTGTTTTCTAAACTCTGAGATGGCATACCCATCATTTTAGTTTTAAAATAAGCTCTTATCATTTCACTTTGGGACTCACCAGGCTTTTAGAAGCTCTTTATAAATTAACAAGCTTCAGAACCCTCTTACTGTAGAGTTATAAAAAATGTGGTTACTCTTTTTTTTTTTTTTTTAAATCTAAGATACTTGCATTAGTGTGTTAAATGAGAGGGAGATAGCAAAGTAAAGTAATTCAACTGCAGAGTGAACAGTTTGTAGATTTTGAAACAACAAGTACACTGTGGAAACTTTAGCTGGTATTGAAAGGAGAAAAAACAAACCGAAAAAACAAAAAGGCAAATTTAAGACTCCGGTTGGGTGTCACAGATGGTACACTAAAATTGCAAATGAATGCCACTCTGTAATCATGAAGATGGTGATCTTAATCCCACTTAAAGGGACACTAGCCTCTTACCCAACAGTTTGCCTTTATATTCAAACTATTTGTACCAGGGCTTTGCCTCCTAAGATATCAGTTATTCCTTGTCCTTTAACCTAGTTTCCTCTTTGCTTACTCTACATGGGGTAGATTTGTCATTGCCATAAGGAACAAATGACTCGGTGTTTGTGCCAGAAAAGAACACACATGTTAAACCTGTGTTACAGATAAGTTAAAAAAAAAAATCCTGCCTTGTCCTCTGAAGGTAAGTAAAACTGTGCCTGAGAAATCCTTACGGAAGCTTTAGACAGAGTCCATGGGCCTTCACTTCCTCTCTCTCATCACTGCTCTCCTATTACTCAAACCTTGCCCTCTTTCATATATCACCTTAAATCTACCACTTGGGACCCCCTAGCAGAAGAATAATAAAAAAGTTTGCTCAGAGTTAGTTTTAGGACTGGCTTACCTTTAGGGAACTGCACTCCAAATCCCATTTGTAAAAACTAGCAAAAGTGTGTAAATTATGCATTAAATAAGTTGTAAGGCATATGAATTATATATGTTCACAATGTAAAAAAAAGAAAAAAAAAAAAAACAGGTGTCTGCTGGTCTAGTACAGTAAGTGTGAATCTTTGGCAAATCTGCACAGATCATTTTGCTCAATAGTTTCAAACTCTGAGCACCAGAATAGAGGCTTAGGTTTAGAGCACATACTACAAGATCATCTTGAGAATCTCAAAAAGGTATTTTTTTAAATTTCATAGTAAAATTATCACATAGGCCAGAGATGACACTGCAACATTCTGTTGTCCCTTCCCTTCTAAATGGTACACATTATATGCTTTCTCGGTTCCCTCAGAAACTCAGTTTCTTTCTGCAGAACACAATTGTTATTGGCTAAACAGGGAGAGAATAAAGGCTTCTGACATGGGCACCAACAGTTTCTCAGTGCTTGAAGGTAGGTATTAGCTTTCTTCTCAGGAAGCCCTTCTCTTAGCACACCTGAAACCTGGACAATTTGGATGCATGGGAAAGGTTTCAGGATGCAAGGTGTGGAAAGGTTGCATCTTGAAGCATTTCCTATGCATTCAAAAGGAGAGTTTTAATTTGTGAATCAATCTTCATAGGAAAAACCCTGGAAGACTGTGTAGGCTCCAAGGCTTATTCACTTGGAGTCCCCTAGAACTCTGGTACTGAATCACCTCCTTGTCTGGCTTTGTTACTGATGAGGTGGGTACCTCAGCTACAGTCTTATCTGTTAACAGCTACTCAAACACTGATTATACTATCACAGCAAAGTTATTACCAAGTGTAAGAGACACACGTACGTGGTACCAGTTGACAGCTCAATGGGTCAGCTCAGAAAGAGGCCTTCAACAATAACGTCACATTAGTACCTCAACCTTCTAAATAACTGGGGCAGGGAAACATTCGCAGCATCCCTGCGAGTGGATTTTTTTTAAGTGATAGTGGGAATACATTTTTCTGGAATATATTCAATAAAGAGACATGGACTATGACTTCTTAAGATTCTTCCTTTGCTTGGAAAACAACATTATAAAGACACTGAAGAGAGATCAGTTATCCTGCTGACATAGATGCATAGCAATCTTGGCCTTACAGTAGGGTAAGCAACCACTACTGCAGAATATTTGTGGTACCCATGATCTGCAAGGCCCTGTTATTTAATGAACTATTCTGAGCTTTCTTTCCCAACTTAGTCTGTATGATTCTAAGTGCAATAACGAGGGTCTATGGGTAAACAGATATGTTTTTGCCACACTAGTTAGCAATCACCAATTTAAAAAACTCACTTTGCTAAGTCAACATTTCTGAGTCTAACAGTTTCAAGTCATGGATATCTAGGCTGAGTATTTTGAAAATCTAGCTTCCAGCTCAGCATATATTGCATACAGCATGAAAGCAATGCATACAAATATTAGACTAATGCAAGGCAAGCTGTCATTTAATAGTCAGGGGGATTTCTGGAAAAGCATGGTCAAAATGGATTTGTTAGATGAATATTTTTAACTTTTTAAAAATCCCTATTGCTCAGCTTATAGTAAACAAGGACTGTGATTAATAAGTGTGAAATAAAAGGAAGTAACTTAAGAAAACACAAAAGACACAATCTTTTATGTTTCTTGATCTTGGTCTCAATAAGATGGTGAATCGGTCATTCTCATCCTCCTGGGAGCAAATGAGCAGAATCCCAAGAAGGCAATAAAGAAATCTTAAACGCATGTTAATAAATTCTTAAGTTAAGCACACAATGTGTGCGTGTACCCACACATGCCAATTTTGATAGCCAGCCAGTATTTATAACAGTATCATTGACTGAATGTCATCAGCCCATAAGCAGATCCTGGAAAGAACATATATAGTTGAATTTTATCTAAATAATTACTTGAGAGTATCTTTAAAAAATCTAAGCCCCTGATCTAGGGATTTCAGGTTTGGGTGGCAAGAGGCATACAGAAGGCTCCAAATCTGCCTAGAATGATTAGACTCCATCCAGAAAAGATCCAGATCTTTTTATTATAATTTCTGAGGCATAATCTGTGAATGACGTTGGTTGAGTGAGAGTTGTTTACAAATATACTAATTGTTTTTCTTTTTCTTTTCCATCCCAGGAGGTGAATTAGTTATCCCTCTTCTTGTAGAAGACCCTTTAGCTACCCCTCCTATTGCTACTCGTGCACCTTCCATTACACTCCCCCCTACCTTTCGCCCCCTCCTCACCATTATTGAGACCACCAAAGATTCCCTGTCCATGACCTCTGAGGCGGGGTTACCTTGCTTGTCGGACCAAGGCAGCGATGGTTGTGATGATGATGGCTTGGTGATATCTGGGTATGGCTCAGGGGAAACCTTTGACTCTAACCTGCCCCCTACTGATGATGAAGATTTTTACACCACCTTCTCCTTGGTAACAGATAAGAGTCTTTCCACTTCAATCTTCGAAGGTGGCTACAAAGCACATGCGCCCAAGTGGGAATCCAAGGACTTTAGACCTAACAAAGTCTCCGAAACTAGTAGGACTACTACCACATCTTTATCCCCTGAGCTGATCCGCTTCACAGCTTCCTCCTCGTCTGGGATGGTGCCCAAATTGCCAGCTGGCAAAATGAATAACCGTGATCTCAAACCCCAGCCTGATATAGTCTTGCTTCCGTTGCCCACTGCCTATGAGCTAGACAGCACCAAACTGAAGAGCCCACTAATTACTTCCCCCATGTTCCGTAATGTGCCCACAGCAAACCCCACGGAGCCGGGAATCAGACGGGTTCCGGGGGCCTCAGAGGTGATCCGGGAGTCGAGCAGCACAACAGGGATGGTCGTCGGCATTGTGGCTGCTGCCGCCCTCTGCATCTTGATCCTCCTGTACGCCATGTACAAGTACAGGAACAGGGACGAGGGGTCCTATCAAGTGGACGAGACGCGGAACTACATCAGCAACTCCGCCCAGAGCAACGGCACGCTCATGAAGGAGAAGCAGCAGAGCTCGAAGAGCGGCCACAAGAAACAGAAAAACAAGGACAGGGAGTATTACGTGTAAACATGCGAACACTGCTCACACGCGAGTTTTCACAGTTATTTCTATCCACGCCTATGAATCTTTGGACGGTGAGATCTCACAGATGTCAGAACTGCTGGAACTATGAAATGGGGTATATAACCACGACTCTGGTGGGGAAAACCGTTTTTTAAAGGACACACACACACACAGCGATGCATCTCTCTCTAAAGCTCAGCCACGGCTGCGGCAAGGTCCCAGCGGTCGCTGGGAGACAGAAGGTTTTGTGCCCTGCTGTATCATAAAGCACACACTTAGCGCTCTGGAGCCGGACGGTGGCTCCACCACTTCCGCAGGCCTGGAAACTTCCTTCTCCGGAGGACCTTTTACTAAAAGGTAGAAGACTTCATGGCTTACTTGTTCCATAACTCCAAGTGAGTCTGTAATGTTTGTGAAGCTTGACTGTAACCATGTTTTTTCTGTTTAATTATGTAAAAAACAAAACTACAACAACAAAAAAAGAAAAAAGTTAAAAAAGAAAAAAACACCAAAAAACAAAAACAAACAAAAAAAAAAACCCACAACCCTTATCTGGTTCTGACCAGTGTGCGTGTAACTTTATGATCTGAGGGGAAAAATGGCTTTTGGGTTTTTGTTTATTTTTTTGATAATGACTGGACATCAGAAGAGGAAAAAAACTCAAAACAAAAGCGAGAGAGACTATTGCCATATGAACTCAAAAGCTATCATGGTGTTCACTCTACATATCAGGTTATGGTGTCTCTAGAATCTGTTGTTTGTTTCCTATAAGATGCTTTGCTGAACACATAGCAAAATTCATGTGACGGATGATAAATTGATTCGAAAAGCTGGTCCCCCAGGATCTAATTTCAGAATTTACCACCCAAACCCGGAACAGATGGGTTTAGGGCTGGTGTTATCAGAGCTATTGGCTTTACGTAACAATATTGTTCCTGTCCATTCACCCAGCCAAATTGTGTTAAAGAGGAAAGCCCCACAAACTAAAACAGCCTTTCCTAGGGAAGAGGAAGGGGAGGTGGGCTGGATCTGTGACTGATTGAAATGCATGCAAATAAAAAAGACAATATTAAAGTCTGTTATCAAACCAGACAGTAGGGGAGTTCAACTCGTGATGGAACCACAAAAGGTCACACAAGCCAACCATGTCATGCCAGAGTACAAAACACATAGTTCTTTCCCCGCCCCGAATGTGACAATGGTTTTCATAGTGGTTTAATTTTGTAGCCTGACATTTATGGATAACTCTGTCCTTCCATTTGCTCACTTCTCTCTTCACCCATCTTTTTTAAAAACAAATAAATGAATAAAGCTGCTGTGACACACACACAAAAGGAATTTAATAGTATAATATATATATAAATAAATATATATACAGATATATTTATCATGGTATGTTTGATGGGATGACTGACACAGGAAATCTGTTAAAGTCTTAAAATGGAATGAGAATGTTGTTTTAAAAGAAAATAGCAAAACAACAAAAAAGCAAACCTTAAAATGTGAAGAAAGTGTGAATTTTAGTTTTGTCACAGTTAACTGTGTCAAAGAGAATTAAAAAAAAAAACTTCAGATTTTGTTTACATATTTTACTACATTTTTGCTGGTATAATTCCTTAGCCACCTATGTACATACTGCTTTAAGAAATGTTTTTTTCCTGTTTATTTCTGTTTGGTTTATATTCTGGTTGTCTTTTTCTTTTTGTAAAGAGGAAACAATGTACAGAAAAACAATAAACTGGTTGTATGGCCATAGCTATCCGAAAAGCAAGAGACAAAGCAAGACAAATATTCACACAAAAATGAAGTGTGTCCTCTGGAGGGTCAGATATACAATTTCTTTTGTACAGATGAAAATCAATCAGCTGCTTAGATTTAGAAATCTACTCTTGCTGGTCTTTGTAAGTTGCATGAATATTTGACTTTGAAAAAATATCTTAACGACATGGGGCAAAAAGTGCAATCTAAATGGTAGCCTTTACTAATGTGTGTGGAAAGAGGTGTTCCTCATTATCTAATATTTCAATGTGTTAAGAGTTTAATTTTTTTGTTATCATTAAAAAAGACAGGATTATAAAGAGATATCAAAGCACGATTTTAGATAACCTAAACGGCCCAGCCTATACGAAGTTGATTATATCTCGATGTCTGTAAAAGATTGCTGTTCTTGGAGTCTTGAGGTCTTGTGAATTGATTTCCTGCTTTCTTTCATTTTTTTCAATTTAAGTAATAATACATTTGTTATATTCCTTTCAGTGTAAGTTTCTATTTGGACAATTTTATGGGAACATGTGCATTCTCTATGTGAGCTTCTATCATATTCCTGTTTTATTAGCAGAACCTAAAGGAATTTATTTAATGATGTTGTGACATTACTGCTTTTTCTTTTTTCTTTTCTTAGTTCATATTTGCATTTTCGTTCA
The DNA here is from genome assembly GCF_000001405.40 of Homo sapiens. Taxonomy (NCBI): domain Eukaryota; kingdom Metazoa; phylum Chordata; class Mammalia; order Primates; family Hominidae; genus Homo; species Homo sapiens. Next base: position 79,864,385 of record NC_000014.9, read on the forward strand.
AGGATATGCTTAGCAATAAAATGTTCTTCCCAAAACCTTGTATGCTGATGCACTTTTATTTTCTTAACATTTGAGAAAATCTCGCACTGAAGCTAATTATGTCATATCTTATTAAAAGCCGAGTAAGAGCTAGACCACTTTCATGTGATAGAAGATATTCTAAGCAGTTACTAATTATTACATTATCAAAATGCCATATTTATGAGATAATTATCTGTTACTTGAGGCATTATTTTTTAGATTGCTATGATAGAATAACCAGGAGGGAGTGCATTTTTCTGGAAAGATGATAGAAACATTGTATTCTAGAAAAGATTATTGGATACTATGGTTTTGTTTGTTTGTTTTTGTTTTTTGTTTTTCGTTTTTTGTTTGTTTTTTTTTTGAGACAGAGTCTCGCTCTGTCGCCCGGGCTGGAGTGCAGTGGCACGATCTCGGCTCACTGCAAGCTCCGCCTCCCGGGTTCACACCATTCTCCTGCCTCAGCCCCCCGAGTAGGTGGGACTACAGGTGCCCGCCACCACGCCCGGCTAATTTTTTGTATTTTTCGTAGAGACGGGGTTTCACCGTGTTAGCCGGGATGGTCTCGATCTCCTGACCTCGTAATCCACCCGCCTCGGCCTCCCAAAGTGCTGGGATTACAGGCGTGAGCCACCGCGCCCGGCTTGGATACTATGTTTTTTAAAGGCATTTCGTACCTTTTACGTATTTTCTATAAGTCAACAAGCTTTAAACAGTATTTAAAACTATGTTCACATAGTGCCATAAGCACTAGAAAGTCTTAGATGTCTTCTTTCCAAGCCTCCCACCATATTAAAATTTAAAATTAAAAAACAGAATCCAAAACCAAAATTTAAATGAGTTCTTCAATTTTAACAGCTTCTTACAAGAATTTCTGATTACAACTTGTTTCATACACCCATTGTAGCAGTAATGTCTCATATTTCTCGTTCTCTCAGCACACACTTACTTGGCCAATTGGATAATCCATCTACCCTTTGTTCTTCACTGTAATCTAGAAATATAGATTTAACTGAACAGCTGTCCTTTATCCATATGTTGGTTACCAGTTTTCAAAGAGTTAGAATTTTAAAAATATATATTTAGTTAAGCCTGTGCCTTCAAGATAACATTAGTGGAGTGGTTATACTATCGACTATGTTAGGAATGGGGGGGAGAAAGTCAGGTTCAGTGATGTCAAATTATGTAAAGTTTTTTTTTTGTTCCTGTCTTCAAAGTTCTGTATTAGATGTTCTCCCATCATTTTTTGAGATGGAGTCTTGCAGCCTACAGTGCAGTGGCATGATATTGGCTCACTGCAACCTCTGCCTCTCAACCTCAAACGATTCTCCTGCCTCAGCCTCCTGAGTAGCTGCGACTACAGGCATGGGCCACCACACCCAGCTCATTTTTTAATTTATTTTTTATTTTTTTAGTAAGGAAGGGTTTCACCATGTTGGCAAGGCTGGTCTCGAACTCCTTACTTCAAGTGATCCACCCACCTTGGCCTTGCAAAATGCTGGGATTATAGGTGTGAGCCACTCCTCCTGAAATCTTTCTAAATCTCACTAATATATAATTCTAGGACTACTTTAAGCATTCACTTTTTCTTTAATTCAAGAAACATTTATTGAACACTTATGTACAAGCTAGTCTACTATTGGCTATTGTTACTTTGTTTCAATGAAGGCAGAAAATGGCTAGAAGGATTTTAAGCCTTTTTGTCTCTTGTATAAATCTATACAGGTCCAGTCTCTCTTTGCTCATATTCAAATTGAAGTTTGATCTTTCTCCAAAAAATATCCAAGCCCTGTGTTTGTCCCAGTTGAACTAATATCTTGATTATATAGTTTAAGATCAGTTTGATAATGTCTATTGAATATTTACTAAATGATTATGGGATATTAAATTGAGAGCCTTGGGAGCTTATCATCTAGTAAAGATGAACAAAAAATGGTACTATAGTGAATGCAAATAAGCTATCAAAAAGTACAAACTAAGTTGGGAGCTTAGAAGAAATTATGTAAGGGAAGGCTTCATAGAAGGGGTGACATTTTGGTAAACCTTGGAAAACTGATAGGCAGAAATAAGGGCTGTATATCATTCTAAGCAAACCCTTAAAGTGGGAGCAAGCAGGATCAAAACCATAATTTGGATTGATGACAGACTGCAAAAAGTACATTGGAGGAAGATATGAGTAGGAAGGTTTTTGAAATCATGTCAATGAATGGGAAGAGAGAAATGGGAGAATAGCTTGAGAAGTTCAAGGTCAAGGGCTGCTTTGTCGAGTACAAAGGACTCGAGCATATTTGAAATGAAAGGTAATAACTGATCTACTCTTATGGAGCAACCGAGTTTCCTGATAGAGATGTTTATCTGGGGGAAAAAGGCATAAGTCAATCTTCTTGGAGAGAATGGGATCAGAAACTGACATATTGCTACAGAGGTTACAAAAGCTGTAGTCAGAGGGCTTCAGTGTTCTGGATATATTAAAGGACAAGGTCAGATACCCAAGTGGGACCGTGAGTGATTAATGGCAGCAGTCCACTGACAGCACCAGTAGGAAGGCGCTAATGAAAAGATCTCTAAATATCAGTAAGGGGTTAGCTGCCATTAATAATACAACTTTATAGCTTTACTATTTTTTCTTTTATTGTTGAAATAGTGAGGGCACGTATTTTTCTAATTGTGTTTATTACAAAGAAAACAGACCCGAAGAACTTAAATGACTTCTCCAAGGTCACACAGCTAATACATGACAATGTCATGACTTAAAATCCAGTCTTGTGGTTCCAAATTTAGAGCTCTTTCATAAACCTGTCTCTAGAGAAGCAAGTCATTTTCTACTTTTTCCAGAAGCATTTGAAGTGGAAGCTAAGGCAGGAAATGAGAGGATATTGTGTTAGTCTACTGGGATTACCCTGGCAAAATACCACAGGCTGGGTAGACAACTGAAATGTATTTCTCAGTTCCAGAAACAAAGTTGCAGATCAAAGTTTGTTAGGGCTCAGTTTCTGGGAAGGGCTCTCTTCCTGGCTTGTAGATAATAAGCTACCTTCTCACTATGTACTCACAGGGCCTTTCTTCTGTTCATGCACTGAGAGATTTCTTTTTCTTGCTCTTCTTATAAGACCACCAGTGCTATTGGTTAAAGCCCTGCCATTATGACTTTGTTTGACCTTAATTACTTCCTAAAGACACTACCTCCCAATACAGTCATGTTTGGGGTTGGGACTTCAACATATGAATGTTGGAGGGGATATGGTTCTGTTTCTAGCAAATGTATAGTAGTGGGAATTGCAAAGGTTGAAGTTCCAAAGTATCAAGGGAATCAGAATTGGGAAGCAATTCTAACCTTTTTGAAGTGGTTACATGGCCCAAGTAGAAGAGCAAATAATTCCAAGAGACACCAAGCCACAGAGCAGGTAGGATCACGTGAGTAGGGCCCAGGATAGAAGAGCAGTGTTAGGGTTGCATGAGAGTGAGGGCATATAAGACAACAACAGCTAAAAGCAATGCATGCTCAGATCTTGGGAGATGTATTAAATGAGTAGAGTGAATTTCAAGATATCTGAGTTTTTTTTTTTTAATGATTACATGGGTTCTAGAGTCAAAATGCCATGGCTCATCTGGTACTGTAACTTAAGATAAACTGCTTAGCTAAGGCTCAGCTTTCATACCTATAATTTTGTTATACTTATCTTGCAGGTTTCTTGAGAAATATTGGATGAAATAATTCATGTGAAATGCTTAACATATGTGTGACAAATAATTATCCTTAAATAAATGTTGGTCGTTATTACAATTGGCTTTGTTACTTGATTCAGGCAGGATCAAAATTAGCTGCTATATGCATGACTAACCAGGACCAAAAAGTTAATAAAAATACGAAAGTTTGGCACTCTTAGTTTTTCTCTAATTCTTTCATTTGCCAAGACAATATAAAATTTAGTTGCTAGCTCATTAGCAAAGATTTTCCTTCATCAGCACTAGTTATTTGTTTCCAGCTACCAGCTTCAGTTAGGCCCAGGGAAGCCCTGCATCCCGAGAATGTCACTCCTTTTCTGAGTTTCCATCCTTCAGCTTTCTTGTGGCCCTTGGTCAGCCAAATACCTCAGGCAACCTTGCACCCCTTTATTGATATGCATTATTTTGTTTTTAACTTTTTATTGTGAACGTTTTACAAATATACCCCAAAGAGAATGGCGCAACAAACCCCCATTTATCCATCACTTGGTTTCAAGATCAATATTTTGTTACCCTTGTTTTATCTGTGCCCACCTCCCTATGAAAGAATATCTTGTAATATTACACAAAGTTATAAAACAAAAAGCATTCAAAGAGTTGCTGCTGGGCCTCTCGACCTGAGTCTTATTTAGTGTTTCAGTGTACCTAAGCCTAACGTTCTTTCTGATGGACAATTAATGGCATGATTCTAGTTCTTTATTCAGTGACAACCTAAAAGAGATTAGCTGCTAAGTAGACTCTTCATCATTTAATGAGATTGCCTGAAAAAGTGAAAGATGTTTCAGCTTGTACGTATTTCAATTCAACTGTGCTCAATCACCTTTTAAAATGAATAAAAAGCGGTCTATAGATTATATATTGCTGCTATATCTTTTGTAAAATGTGCCATTGTGGAAGAGAATCTGTACTCTTTCAAGAGAGTAAGTAAAAGGGGAGACTTCTAATTTGTACATGTGAAAGCTAAGAAATACCTTTACCTCTAAAAACATGATCACAGATCTACTAGCATATTTTAAGAGGGTTATATTCATGTATTTTCAATAGCTGTAACTATACTGAATTTACATGAGTCTACACAGAAGAGATATCCTTAAGCACATTTTCAAGTTATGATTTTTTACTGCTCCATTGTCTTTTGACAATGATTTTCTTCTTTGTTCTCACTCACTTGCCATTTTTGACCTAGAATTTTCACTATAAAAATATCATGAGAGAGAGACTCAGAGACACAGAGTTATAGACTATTTGATAGTACATTCTTTTCTACCATAAAGTCAAGGTAAGTGTTAGGATGAATGGACAGAACCACTATAAACTTTTGCTTCTTCATTTCATGGAGCCAAATGGAACATAGAATAATTAGTTTCAACAAGTTAATGATTTTTCTGTTCCTACTCTGCATTTGGTAGTTTGATATTTTATTTATTTTGGAAATTTAGCAGAGCATATATAAACATTCTTAAGGCAGGTCCTTTAGGTTTGCAAAAGAGTACAGTAGACAGGCTGATGGGTGGGGGTCAGAAAGTAGATAAAAACAGAGGCATCATTAAAACTGAATAGCTAAAACTTCCTTGGCATTACAGTATAGTTTTCAATGTTCATATACCACGCAGGAAAATGTACTTATATGCATGTATGGGTATGAGTAACCAGATCTGGTTTGATGTCAAATTTGATGTGGGAAGTCTAGGACAGTTCTTTCTTAAAAACCAAAGCAAGAAAGAAGAAAAGGTAGGGCAGGGGAAGAGAGCAGAGGCAGGAGAGCTGCTTCTAAGCAGTTTGTAACTGCTCAGAAGACAGTTCCAGAATTAAAGCATGTAAAATAATAATGAGGTCTCTCCCTTCATGCCAGTAGTGTCTGATGCTAACAGATAAGCTCTGAATTCACGCACACACACACACACACACACACACACACACACACTCTCTCTCTCTCTCTCTCCTGTCTCTCTCTCTCTCTCTCTCTGTCTCCACTTCTTTTGAACAAAAGGAAAAAAATGAGTTGCTTGTTCCTATATGGTAATACATTGTAAATCGCTTCAGGTATTGTGCTTGTCTTTTGTACTAGAACTTGTGTATCTTTTTCTTTTAAAAATGCAAAACATATTTAAACACTGCTATTATAAACACCACTTCCCTAAAATATATTTTAAGAACATAATTCCCATATGTGCTTAGGTGGACAGGCTTGACTTCCTCATCTGGCAAATGACAAGCTGCAATTTGGTACATATATGTACACCAGGGCAATAGCATTTTTTTTTTTTTTTGAGACGGAGTCTCAGTCTGTCGCCCAGGCTGGAGTGCACTGGTGCGATCTCGGTTCACTGCAACCTCTGCCTTCCTGGTTCAAGTGATTCTCCTGCCTCAGCCTCCCAAGTAGCTGGGATTATAGGCACTTGCCACCATGCCCGGCTAATTTTGTGTATTTTTAGTAGAGATGGGGTTTTGCTATGTTGGCCAGGCTAGTCTCGAACTCCTGACCTTGCGATCTGCCCACTTTGGCCTCTCAGAGTGCTGGGATTACAGGCATGAGCCACCGTGCCCGGCCGGCAATAGCTTTTATAACTAGACAGGTTGATGTTATGAAGTAGTAACTGGCAAGTGTATTTTACTGAGAACATTAGGTATAGATAAGTTAATGGGCTTTGAAAAAAAAAAAGGATAAAAAGTAATTGGACCACTCCTTGGTCACGATTAACACTGAAAACAGTAATATTTTTTTTTAATTAAAAGATTTTACAGGTCAACCATACATGGACATGTGACTTTGATATTTCTATGACATAAATCAGTTGAAGTGGGACCGCCATCATGCCTATATCAAAAAGCCCTCTACATGCACACAAAAAGGAGAAAGTTTTCAAAGCCTAAGCCAGTCAAATAATGCTCAGATGAAACAGCGGATTACAAGGCCTCGGTTAACAAGTACTCCAGCTCCCGAACCAGTGGGCATCCCAACATTGACTTTGGCAGGCAGGTGCTGGATGACATGCAGAAGGGGTCCTTAGAGGCTGTTTCCCCTTACACAACCTCAAAGAAGTTTAAATTTTCAATTTACTTTTTAAAAGCAGATACACAGTAAACATTGGAATGTGAGTTTTATGCTAAATACATTTTGGTTTCAGAGTAGTTATCTCATGCTGCCAGAATAGCCCTGAGGATTAAGATGGTTTATTGGGATCAAATGCCTAGGAGATTTATTATAGTGCAGACTGTTTACTCATTCCCATTAAAATGCTGATAATGCTTATTTCTTTACCTCTCTCTCCCGCCTGCTTTCTTCCTTCCTCCATAACCCATATTCTATTATTTTATTTTCCTGCTTTAGGTTGAATCTACTTAGATTTTTATTCTTTATTAAAAATTGAATCCTTGGAAGCTCTCTGACTTTATGGCTGCAAGAAAGTGGCAATGGCATACATGCAGCTCATTAAAGCCTTGGGAACACGGAATCCCTGCTTAGCAATTTAGATCTAAGAAGTATTTTCAGGGAGAGTGTCTAATGACTGGAGAGATGGGTACACACTGGAACAATTTATATTAAAAGATCAAAAACACCCTGGCTATCATCATCTATAATATAAAGTCACGTAGAAGTAAAGATAATTTTCTTCCAGGTAGATGCTTTAGTTGGATAAAGAGGAAGATTATCTACTTTATGGCCAAATTCTATGTAAATTATATGTAAAACATTCAAGAAGGCAGATGAGTTTACACACAATATAGCAGCTTTTAGGAAAATAGACATGAGACATCAGAAAATATGATCACTTAAACTGGAAAGCTAGAGCCCAGGAAGTAATCCTGGAGAACTTGATAATGCATCCATATTTATAAGAAAGCCAATCATTGAATCTATGAAAATATGTAGAATGATTTTATGAAAGTTGTGGTTGGTCAGGCAAGTGTTTGCCATGATCTAAAATATTCATCTTGAATCCTCAGTAACCCTTACAGTGTCTGGCACAGAGGAGGTGACTGAGCAACTTTAGTGGAAGGAACAATTGAATATAGCTGATCTGATACTCATGGGATGTACAAACACATCTTTATCATTTTCCTTTTTTTTTTCCCCCAGTACTTTGCTTTGAAAATTTGAGGCCAGCCATTTGTCAAACTTTAGCACGTGTGAGAATCACCTGGAGGGCTCTTCACGACACAGATCACTGACCCCACTAACTACAGTTCATCTGGAATGAGATCTAAACATTTGCATTTCTAACCTGCAAAGGCAGTTCTGTGCTGCTGGTCCATGGACCACATTTTGAGAAGCACAGTAGCCTATAAAGTCACAAAAGAGCAATTATATACTTCAGGGCAAAAGAGTAGTCAACTCCATTAATTTAAAAAGCATGACTTGATGTCTTTTCCTGCCCAATGGCTCAGATGTCTTCCAATCTGAAAGCTCTTTGAATCTATGATGAATTATTTGGATACTGCTGATGTGGCAGAGAAGGAAGCTGATTTGCTAGAGGAAAGTGATAAAAGAGGAATGCAGCCAATTGAGCCTTACTATTAGGATCTGTGCTAAACTCTTATCTCTTGTCACAATTGAGAAAAATCAGGCTTAGAGAGTTTAAGTGACTTGTCCAAGTTCACACTTCCAGTAAGTTGTGAGATCAGAACTTGATCCTTCCCTGATACCTAAGAAATTAAGACATGTAAGCCAAATTCCAAATATAGGCCATGGTAGCAGAACCAGTATTGACAGCAATATTAACAGTGCCAACAATTATAGCAATTTGAATATTACTCCTAAAGAGTCCTATGATATGGATATTATCTTCATTTTATCTTTGAGAAAACTCAGAAAAATAATCTGTCTGAGATTACATAGCTAGCAAGATATGGACTAAGGAGTATAAACTCCAAAGCCTGCCTTGTTTATACACCACTAAGACCTAACATCAAGCAGTACCCTTCCTAGACCCTTTAATGTAAATACATTTATCAAATGTGGATGGCCTATAATGTTACTATAGGATTCCACTAAATGAAATTTTGTCATTTGCCCATTAACGACAGATGAATGCTGTGATGACCTACCTGATGCATAGTGTCAAACTTTTATGTCCCTATCCATAGGTTTACTGGGTCCAATAGTACATTTTTATAATTTATTTTAACAAAGCAATATATACATATAGTTTAATGGGACAAATAAAAGCTTTACAATAAATAACAGCAGCCCCCTGCTCTAGTTTTCCTTCACTCCTCCCACATCCTGCTTGCCAGAGGAAACCACATTCTGGTCTTATTTTCTCTGGTAATTACCTCCACATTTCTCCAGATAAAATATGAACCTATCTTTTGACTCACTGATTTCAGATGTTACTGACTTCCTAATGTTAAATGTTAGGATTTTGTCTGACACCTCCCTTTCTCTTCCTCATTCTTCCAATATAGTTATATTATACATTTTAATTAAATACTGTTAGGTCCTTTTATGATTATGACTACAAAAATACTGTCCTGTTGACTAAAGTATTTTTAGAATTCCTTTTGCTTTTCTACCTAAATTTTTATAAAATGCTTAGCTTTTTCTGGAATTGATAATCACTTTTCATTCCCCCCCCACCTCACCTACTTGGATTCATTTGGCTAAATCTTCTCACTCCCATTAATAGCTTTCACAAATGACTCAAGATAAGCTTTCACAAATGACTCAAGACAAGCTTTCACATTGTCAAGTCTTACTAATGATGTATTCAATCTCCTTGTGTTAATCTTTGAGGCATCTCCCCCAGAGTTCTCTATTTTCTTGCTCCAATCTGAACTGGTTGCTCTTTCAACCACTTTCACAGCTACTACCCATCATCATCAACTTGGTTTTTTCATCCTCTCCTGTGATGGATTTCCTGTTTTCTGGTTTCACATTGTTCCTTTACATTATTCCCTTAGTTTAGTAAAGCACATTCTCTAGTAGCCCCCTGAAAATGGATGTATCATATGTATCTCAAGATTTTTCATATCTGGAAATATTATCATTTACATTTGATACTTTTCTTCAAGTACAGAACTCTAGAGATAAAATTCTTTCCCCTATTTATTGTATTTCTCTATGGTCTTCTAGCTTCTAATGTTCCTGCTGGGTGGACCAATGACATTTTGGTTCTTTGTCTTCTGCGTGTGACCTGTTATTTTTTTTTCCCCAGAATATTCTCTCCCTGGTGTTTCAAGTGCCATGATGACATGCTTTGGTGGCTGCTGCTTGGTTAGCAACTCTATGAACCTTACAATCTTGTCAGCAGAATAAGGATTATATTCAGAGTTTAATCAAATATTTCCTCCTCCCATCTTTTTGTAACCGTATGCACACACTGCAAGAGAGACTGCATGCTTCCTTTTTGCAAAACTCTGTGCAAGGCATGGTTCCTCCTTTCAGGATGCTTGACATCTAGTAAAGTCAGGTGTGATAAGCACCTAATCTAAAATAGAAAACAGAATTTTAAGCATCATATATGAAAAGTATCACATTGCTTCAAGAAAGATAAATAATTTTAGATAGGGAGATGGGAAATATGCTAAGAGTGAGGGGATGTTTGGTGAGTTAAGAATGTTGGAAGAGTGGTAAAGGTAGACGGGAAGTTAGCATTGGAAGGTGTCTGAAGTCTGGGTGGTTAGCACCTGTAGAAGAGGTAGAAGAGGCATTCAGTCATAGGCATCAATATGTGGAAGGCATAAAATGGGAAAATGAAAGACTTTTCAAGAATAACAAGGTGGCTGGATTCTAGTTGACACATGGGGAAATGGGAGATACATAAGAGGAATTTGGGGCCAAAATACGGCAAGCTTTGCATGCAAACTCAATTGTAGGGAGGTAATTGATTTCAATTCAATTTTTTCATTTACTAGTTCACATTTGCTGACAGATTACCGTGAACCAGTCCCTGGCTGGGTGCTGGAGAGAGACCTGAAAGAAACAAGGCTCCTGCTCTCAAGCAGTTAGGTGTCTGTCTCACGTGAGACTATGTTGTGTTGTACTTCTGTTTGTACCTAAGTTCTACAGATGAAGTGTGAATGAGATATATAATTTGCATTGGGAACACAGAAAAAGGAAGAGCCAGATTGCCTGGATTGTTTAGAAACGGCCAAAAAGAGATGATGGCACCAAGAAGAGAAATGCTATTGGTATAGTTTATTGGAAGTATTGGTAGAGTATTCTTGGCAAAGGAAATCACACATTCAAAGACACAGAGATAAGAACACTGGTATGTATATACACTTATATTTATTCATTCATCCTACAATTTTTTTTTTTTTTTGAGACAGAGTCTTGCTCTGTCACTCAGGCTGGAGTGCAGTAGTGTGATCTCAGCTCACTGCAACCTCTATCTCCCAGGTTCGAGTGATTGTCCTGCCACAGCCTCCTGAGTAGCTGGGATTACAGGCACACACCACCATGTCTGGCTAATTTCTTTTTCTTTTTCTTTTTTTTTTTTTTTTTTTTTTTTTTTTAGTAGAGACGGGATTTCACCATGTCGGCCAGGCTGGTCTCCAACTCCTGACCTCAGGTGATCCACCAGCCTCGGCCTCCCAAAGTGCTGGGATTACAGACATAAGCCACGGCACCCAGCCACAAATTTTTGTTGAGTGCTTATTAGGCACTAGCCATAGTACTAGCCATGCTCGAGGAACTATAGATCTTTCAGTAGAGAATATGGTGTCCCTCCTAGGCTGTCAGCTTCATGAGGCCAGGAGTTATATCTATCTTATTTGTTGTTTTGCCAATACTTTATATTTGTTAAGTGAATATATACGGTACTATAGTAACAGATATCTATAGAGAATATGAGTACACAATGATAAACATGTTCATGAAAGAGATGTTTTAAAAATTAGAAATGTTTAATGTTAATTAAAATAAGGAGTACAGATAAAATTGTTTAGAGGCTATGTGTGTATATACATATGTGTGTGCATATGCACGTGCATATATGTGTATACATAGACATATATAGACACTGAGGGCTGACTATGTCTATAGTCATTCTCCTTCCTCAGTGTCCATGGGGAATTGGTTCCAGTGTCACCCCAGGGATACCAAAGTCCAGATGCTCAAGTTCCTTATATAAAATCATGTAGTATTTGCATATAGCCTATGAGCATACCCCTGTATACTTTACGCCATCTCTAGATTACTTATAATACCGGATAAAACTTATAGGCTATATTAATAGTTATTTGTATCAATTAGGAAATAATGACAAGGAAAAAAAGTCTGCACAAGTTCAGTACAGATGCAACCATCCTTCTTTGTTCCCAAATATTTTCAATCTGCAGTTGGTTGAATCCCTGAATGCAGAACCCATGGATAAGGAGGGCCGACTGTACACACACACATACATACACATGTACGTACATACACACATATACACACACACGTATTTCCAGTAAAAAGAACAGAGGTCAAGGAATGAAATACATGGGAACTCAAACATTTTTGCACGAAATAGGAAAGTACTATCATTACAGGAGAGGCGACATCTACCACGCCAGAGGGAAGGTTTGTTTATTTATATCCCCTGTAAACTTTGACTGGTAAAATTGAACAACTTATCTCTGGAGAATTTTTTTTTCTTTTTTTTTAGACGGAGTCTCACTCTGTCACCAGCCTGGAGTGCAGTGGCACAATCACAGCTTACTGTAATCTCCGCCCCCCCAGGTTCAAGCAACTCCCCTGCCTCAGCCTCCCGAGTAGCTGGGACTACAGGTGTGCACCACCACACCCAGCTAATTTTTTTGTATTTTAGTAGAGACAGGGTTTCACCATATTGGCCAGGATGGTCTTGATCTCCTGACCACGTGATCCACCCACCTCAGCCTCGCAAAGTGCTGGGATTACAGGAATGAGCCACCATGCCCGGCCTCTTTGGAGAATTTTATAAGTGCCCCTTCTAAAAACCTCAATGCTCTGTCTCCCTCAGCCCTTGAACATTTGGTTCCACCAGCCAACATGATTCCTGCCTCTAGAATTGGTGTTTCTACTTTGCCTTTCTTTAGTCATTGAATCCTAGTTATATCCAAACTCAAACTTAGCTCATGCCCTGTGTGCCTCACCAAATAGAAACCAATCCCAGTGTTTCTTCCCCATGGAACATAACCATGATCTAGCCACTTGACCACACTACAATCAAGAAAACCCTATCCTCTTCTCAATGGGGCATTTTGACACGGGACAAAGTGGCCGCAGAAGGTACAAACTACTTTAAAGCATTATCACCAAAGCATCACGAAAGGGAGAACTGCCTTTTTGAAGCACAGCATTTAATAAGACCTGAAAAGTAGGTCGGACCCAGGGGCTCACACCTGTAATCTCAGCACTTCGGGAGGCCGAGGTGGGTGGATGACCTGACGTCAGGAGTTCGAGACCAGCCTGGCCAGCTTGGCAAAACCCCCTCTCTACTAAAAATACAAAAGATTAGCCGGGCATGGTGGCAGGTGCCTGCAATCTCAGCTACTCAGGAGGCTGAGGCAGAAGAATCGCTTGAACCTGAGAGGCAGAGTTACAATAAGCCAAGATCACGCCACTGCATTCTCCAGCCTGGGTGACAAAGCAAGACTCTCTCTCAAAAAAAACAAAAACAAAAACAAAAACAAAAAAACACCTGAAAAGTATTCTTCGACTTCCAGGAATAGAACAAAGACAAACTTTTTGCCCTCAAGAGGCTCAAGGCCTTAAGAGACAACACTCACTATAGGTAAATATTTAATTCCCCTAGGTAAGCCCAGCGCTGCAATAGGTTTATGGTGGGTACCCACTGTATGGTTGTGGAATGAATTAATGCACATGCCATCCACGCTCTCACCTGTTTCTTTGACTTGGGTTTGGCACCTAGAAGGTCATTGTTGCCCACATAAGAAGATTTTCCATGCAGTAATAGAAGCAGAAGTCAGACAGCAAAAACTAAGGACTGTGTGAAAGATGAGAAAGTCAAGTAAATGGGCAGACAACCTACTATTCTGGAAAGATTAAGTTTTTAAGAGACATACAAATTTTCTTGATGGCAATTATTTGAAAATAAAAGTCAGAGTGCCCCACGATTTTACAATGCAAGTAGATTCTCCATATGCCTTCTATCCCTCAAAAGTATAAAAGACAAGTAGTCAGTTTGCTTGGCAGCCTGAAATCTCTTTAAGGACAAGGACCAGCTTTTATTTATTATTGCCATTCCTACAGTTCTTAACTTGGCATTTGTTGCATAATAGGTACAATGTTTAAAGTACATATGTTGAATAAATTCACTTATGAATAACACAAATAATATGCTGGCTATTTTTACATATTCTACAGTATAAGCAAGGGGAGAGGAGTAAAACTTTAATAGCAAAAGATGGAAATTGGGCAAAATGTATCACTTGGCCACATTTTACACATGACATCCCCATGAGATAAACAAACTGTTGGTGGTAAATGACAGTGAGTGAATGAATAAATGCAACATTAGATAGAAAATATTCAACATATGTACAATCTTAGTTATGAGGTTATTTTAATGATCAAAGGCCTTACTGGATATTGAAGTGTTTGTTTAGTCGATGTGTGTTCATCAGCATGACACCTACAACTGTTCGCCAAGCATTTTGGGGTGAATTTATCAGAACGGACTCCAAGCCATCTCTAATGATAAAATGCATAAATATATCCAGAAGGAGAAGCAGGTCACTTTTTCCTACCTCACATTCCCTTTCCCAAAGGAAACTGATTGCCAAAAAGTGCCACCTCTCTGCTTATTTTTATTATTCAGCAGAGAGTGGGGAATATAGTGCCATCTCATGCATTACCATTCCAGAGACGTGATCAGTAAGTGCAGTAATTGCTATGTGGAAGCAAGAACAGATTGTCATGATTCCTTAACCTGGGTAGAAAACAGTGCATGCATCTTGTAATTTGCTTTGTAGATTGCTAAAGTGATTGACACTGTGGGTTACAGTGTATAATTTTCCCTTTTTTGTGTGTAAGACTGCATAATTCCAGGCATGTTTGCCATCATATGGCACGAGGCATTATCATTCACCTTGAATTTTTCCTAAACTTGTCTTCCAGAAAAAAGGACGAAAACAAGGCAGCACCCTGTCTTCCCATGGCCATATAACCACTTTTGAGGAGAGAATGCAATGAAATAAGTACCATGAGAAAGGGACTAATCTTTCTTTAAATGACAAGATCTTCCATAGAGACTGCAGCCCAGTGATAGAAACTTCTTCTACACTGTTCCTGATGCTTTATTTTATTTACCACAGCAGCTAACACTCCACTCTGGGACCAGAATACACCAGCAGAAAGATCTATAAAGAATCATTAGAGTTTTAGACAGATGTATTCACAATTCTACAAAATACATTCTCAACTGGAGTTAGTTATTAGCTGGTAATCAGCTTTGGTAGCAACATGTATCAAAGCTCAAGGAACCTCCTCATACTGATCACTCACCATCTTGTGCCATCTGGGTAGAAATGTACAAATTCAGATTTTACACATTTATACCGACAATGGGCTACACTACTAGAAAAGGTGGTGGGAGAGCTACTAGCATCACCTGAAATGTTTCCTATCTGACTGAAATATTCAATTATGGCTACTCCAATAAAGATACAAGTTCTGGGAAATAACTGTTTTCAGAACGAAGTCAGTTCTCTATCAGTGGTTTGACAAGGCAGAATGACTGATTGTGAAGAGAGTCTTTCAGAGAAATGGCCAAATAATTCCTAGTGGGGACATTGCATCACTTTAATGTAAAATGTTGGGAAGAAAATTGAAACAAAAATGAATACATTGAACGACACTTTGAAAGTAAGTACAAAATAGTAAGGATACCTGTCTTTATACAGAGAAGTTTCCATTTAACTGGTAGGCATTTCCAGAAACTAGACATGTTTTATTTATTTTTAAAACTAAAATGTATTTTTTTATTTTTATAAATATGCTATAAAAATAAACAAAATAAATAAGCCTATTTTATGTTTCCTTTTTCTACTACTCAAAATATTGCTTCACAAAAGTGAGATGTCATTTTCCCAGAATTTTTTTTTTTTTTACATTTACCTATTTTTATACCTGATTTAGATTCCCTCTTCCAGGAGCTAAAACTGGCTACCATGCAGATAATGTCAAAGGAGGAGGAATAAAATATAAGAGGTATCAATAGGAAGCTTGAATTTCCTGAGAGTGGAGAGTCATGAGATCTGCTCATCTTTCAATGTGTGCTTAAGATGCCATGCCTTTGAAGAGACAGGACACCAAGCGCAGGATAACATCCATTGTTTCACACCATGGAAATATAGCCTATTTTAAGATAGCATCTACAGAATGCCCCAAAAGGAATTCCAGTGCTTTCTATTATTTATTTTAGTTTACCTCAACCTCCTTTTGGGATTGAAAGTTAGTGGTTCCAGATCCCTAAATCTTCCTGAGGACTAAGGGTACATTTGTTATTTTTTTTTTGTCCTGTTTTCAGCCCTACTCCTCTGAAATAGCCTGAGTACACACGTTTTTGCCTTGCTGAACTTTTTTCCTTTTACCTCCCATTTGCCCTCTCCAATTCAATTTCCTTAAAAAAATAAAATAAAATAAATGGGCTGTCAGAAACTAAAGCTTTACACACTGGAGCCTCCCTGCATTCAGGAGGTAATGAGTGATTCTTTCACTTGTTCACTACACTCTAATCCTAATTTAAGGCAATTCATTTTATGATTTTATGTCTTGGTGATAGTATCTCATGAATAACAATGAAAGAATGAAAGAATATTCTATCACTGCAGACTCTCTTACAAAGTGGTGACATATAAATGCAAAGATAATTGCCATTTAAAAATAAAGGTTCTTTTTTCTTTAAAGGCAATCAGTTGATACTAAAAACTAGTCAAAACATATGTTTTCCACTTCCTGCTTTAGTCTGATTAATACAGACAAGCTTTGACCCAAGGATACTATCACTTTGAGAGTGTCACTGATGTTTACAGTAAAAGTAACGAGTTCTACTTAAAAATTGACACTATGCATTAGAAGCAAGAAGTTATCTAATAAAAGAAGATTGGTACATATGCAATTAGGGATTCAAGGATCAATTGTGCTTTTAATTACTTAGCACATCAGGAACTTGATCTCAATAATCCAAACCATGTAGACAGATCTTGATTCTATGGCAAAAATGATCTGAGAAACTGGAATAATTAAAACTCACAGATAATCCCAAACCGTTATGGCAACAATTCATTAAGATCTCCTTCCTTAGAGAAATGGTTTTATAAGAGCTACAAATCATTACAAAACTGGCTGGCTTATGTCTCCTCTCCTTTGATGATTCCACTGAAATCTCCGGGGAAGGCCATGCAAAGCAGTGAAATAGCCAAGTCAGGAAGGAAGAGAAAAGGGACAGAGCTTCAAGGAGAAGCCATAAAACTTCCAAATGCACTAGACTGTCAGTGGTGAGTGTGTCCTCGAGAATAGTTGAAAACAGGATTTGCATCATTCCACGTAAAACAGGAGTGAGTGAGTAACCTATGGGAGAAGGTGTGTGCTGATCCAGGTGGCAATCCCCAAGCTAGAACATGAATAATTTATAGTTTGGTAACTACGTAGAAAGACGTTTTAGACATCATTTTTCCCTTATTTTCTGCCTCCCTTCTATTAGCCTCAGTAATACCAGCATACAAGACTCTTTGTTATATCCAAGTAAGAGAAAATCGCAGTACTCTCAACTTTATCTTTCTCCTTTTTGTTATTTTTCACTGGCATACCCCCTGCCTTATCAGTCACAGCCTGGACTAAGCTCTTGTTACAGACGACCTAACTTCTGATTCACCAAGTTCCTTGATTAAACAATATTTTATCCTCAAAACTTCATTTTACAAAACCTAGATACATGTCTGCCAGGTCTTCATGCCCTCATTTCAACAAGACTCTAGAAAACTCTAAGCAAGCTTTATCATTCTGTCTCACAGTCATCTATCAAAATCTATGTTTATGCATGCTCTTGACAGTAATTTTCATCAGGATGTTGCAAACACATTTCCCAACATGAATAAAGGAAATCATACTCAGGAATGCCAAAGGAGCACAGTGACTTATAGACAATTGACCCAGGAGGGGTTTTCCTCTCTCAGAGGGATATCCTTTGGCCAAGGATGCAACATGGAGAAGGGGCATATGTAGAATATTAATAGAGAAAGAGGTTTAGGCCCAACAACTAAAATAATCTGCCAAATTAACCTGGGCAACCAATACATAACAAATACAACAATACCATTGTTGATACTTTCTGAAATCAGGCAAAAAAATACTGCCTCTTTCTCTTTTCCCTCCTTCCCTTCCTTCTTGTCTTGCTTGACCCCTATTAACTTCCATATGGACGGCATCAGATTCAAGAGGTTGAAGAAGAGACCCGGAGCCAGAGAACAAATCAGAGTTCAATTGGGAGAACTTACTTACAGGGAGGTGCAACCGCAGTAGGCTGGACAGGAGAACAGCAACCGCTTCTGAAGAAGCATGCCATTTATATAGCAGTATCACTTAGCAACTCCCCTCAGCGATCTCCACATTGCAACCCTCATTTCTTAAGCTAAGTCAGGTGTGTCTGCCATAAGGTCATCATTAAGTTACTGCTGTCAGGTGTGTCCATCATACAGGGTCCTTCTCAAGGTTTACTTAATTTATTGCTGTCAGGTGAATCTGCCACACACTTTCTTTTTTTCTTGGTTCTTTCCCTCCTTCCTTCACTATCACTTCTTGAGCACGATTCCAGATACTCTAAGAGGTACTGATAAAATGGTGAGGGAGATAGACTCAGGCCTTGACCTGAAGCTTACAGTCCAATAGGAAAGTTGCACAAATTAAAAAGTTCAAAAAACAAAAACAAACTTAACAGGGTAAAAAAAAAAAAAAATTGGTGCATCCACCCAGCAGTTGTCAATTGTAATTAATTTAGTCTAGGGTTTCTATCAGAGTCAGAGGAAGGCTAAGGAAGTAACTTTCGAAGTGAGACCTAAAGGATGAAGAATTAACCAAATAGCACAGTAGAGAGGAGATGAGAAAGTAGGCAGTAGAAGCCTTTCAGGTAGAGAATAATAGAAGTAGAGAGGAAGCCTCAGAGAGCATGAGTCCTGCAAGGAACAGAAATGAGGCCGGTTAGGCTGGAGCGGAGGATGCAAAGGGAGAAAACAGAGAGTGATAAGAATACAAACGTAGGCAGGAACCAGAGCATAAATATTCTTGTGAGCTAGGTGCTCATGGTGCAAAATCCCAGGCTCTAAAATTCAGACATGAAAGCATCTATCTCCATTTTACCTTAACTCAACATATTTTTAATTATGAGTATTATGATAAAGATCGGTTAGCTGTTTACCAAATCCATTTCCCATTCCTCCTAGACATGTGAGTAGACAAGGTTTGCCAATCTGTCTCGCTATTAGTTATGGCATGAGTCTGAGTTCTGACCAGTGGAATGAAAGATGATAACATATGCATCTTCTAGGCCTGGCCCATAAAAACCTCCAGTGTAGTCCTCGCTATCTTCCACTATCTCTTCCACTATCAGTCAGTGGGATATTGATGTCCAAGGTGACCTTGGAAACCATGTGGAAAAGAGCATTGCTACCCCATTACTGTATGCACATGCATGCACACAACCACACTGAACAGTTGTTATAAGGATGATGTTTCTATTGTGCTAAGCATTTGAGATTTTCGTGTTTATCTATTATGCCAGCAAATCTTAAAATATGGTTTCAGGAGTAGCAGCATCAGCATCACCTTGTAAGAAATGCAAATTCGTGAGTCCCAGCCCAGAACTAGAGAATCAGAAACTTTGGAGGTGTGGCCAGCAGTCTGTGATGTATCAAGCCCTCCAGGCGATCCTGATACTGGTTAAATTTATGAACATTCTATTACATCATTTCACATTACCTTAATCCACTCAATCCATAATAAAAGTAAAGTGTAATTAATTCAGGAGAGTTGCAACCAATTCAGTGTTTCCTTAGTCAATTCAACCCATGTACAGTGCTAATGCATAAGATTGGGTCCATCTGACCCTTAGTTATTTTACTCACCTGTGTGATCTTTACGATTTCTTTTTCTTTTCTTGACAGGCTTTGGTTGTTTCTCTGTGAAGATTTGTCTTCCTTATGTCAACTTATAAGCTTCTTCATGTTGGGCCTCCAGCTACTTTTGCATCTTTCTTTACACACAAGACCTGAATGCTCCCTTCAGGAAAACCTAAATTCTCATGCAGTTGTCTCTGCTCTAATGTTTTCTGCTGTAGGAGAGCTCTTTGTTTTCCAACTCCTCAGACTCTCCCTGGGTTGTTAGGTACAGGTGTCCCATATTCTAAGATCCCCCTCCCAAACCTGCCTGAGTTTTACGCTCCTCTTTAACCAACTCACCTAGTACAGAGGCAGGAGTAGGACTGTCTTAGAAACAAATAACACAATATTCCAATGAGATAATATATGGCCAGTTTTTAAAAACTATCTCAGTGAATCCCTTTTCTCTGGCCTATTATGAAGCAAGGAAAACTGGCTCTTCAATTGCTGATATTTTCACGTTTTGCTAAATCTATTCTTTATGGCATAAAATTTGTGTTTTAGTTTTTATGAAGTCAAAAGGTAACTGAAAGAAAGTAAAAAGACTAGCAATATACTGGGAGAACATGTTTGCAACATATAAACACAAAGAATTGTATAGTTATACATATGTTCATATATAAACATACCTATATAGGTAGGTTAATACAGAGATAGATAGCTAGATAGATATCTTACTAAATCAATAGAAAAAACAAACATGCCAATAGAAAAATGGGGGAAATTCAGAAATAGCTATGTACAGGAAAGTAAACACATGGTTAATAAACAGGTTCGGCCATGTTACTAATGCTTTAGAGAAGCTAATAAAAAACACATGAGATATAATTTGATCTCATTTAATTGGTAAAACAAAGTCAAGAAAAACCAGAACAGTGATCAACAGGGTTTCTAATACAGTACTCATTGAAGGATAAATTGATACAATCACTCTTTTCTTTTTTTGAGACCAAGTCTTGCTCCGTCACCCAGGCTGGAGTGCAGTGGTGCAATCTCGGCTCACTGCAAGCTCCGCCTGCCGGGTTCACGCCATTCTCCTGCCTCAGCCTCGCAGCAGCTGGGACAACAGGCACACGCCGCCACGCCCGACTAATTTTTTTTTTTTTTTTTTTGTATGTTTAGTAGAGACAGGGCTTCACCGTGTGATACAATCACTGTTTAAACAATTTAGCATTATCTATTATGGTTGGATATCTAATGAGGTTGCTATGTTCCAGCAATTCTTCTTCTGCTTACCCAAGAACAATTCATGCTTATGTGCTCAAGAATGAAATTACAAGGTGAGGATAAACAAAATTTGGGAGTTATCCTTGCGGGGTAGGCAGAAGGGTGAGATAGAAGAAGAGCATGTAAGTAGATGCAAGTTATTGGTAAAGCTCTTGTTCTTGGATGGTATGCTGAGTTTGTGGGTGCTCCCTACATTATTAAAAATGAAACAAAATAAATAAGGGCTTTGTAGGAGCCAATGAAAGGGGGTTTCATGAGCCAAGGGTCAGAACTCATTTAATGACGAGCATGCAGGGTCCATAGGAGAAAAAATAATAATAATCCTTTGGCTTTTGTAAGTCATAAGCTCTTTTTTTGCTGAGACCGGTAAGATTTTAAATTACATTAATTATTACAATTATTATCATTATTATTATTTGCTTCTCTGTGGCAACTTTTCTCTCCTAAGGCATTGAATGGATTCCATGAGGTGAAAAAAAAACCATTGCTGGCAGCAAAACAAGCATTTGGCTGGCATATGAAAAAACTATTAATAATAAGATGTGTAGATGTACACTTTTAAGGGCTTTTCATTTAAACAGAATTATGGGGTCTTCATGAGTTATATAGAATATTAACAAATTAACATATCCTACATTTTCAGAAAGTCTGAGATAGGTCAGTTTGCATGATTAGCTACTTTCTAGTCATTTATCTTGAGACAAAGCAGTTGTTCCCATTTATTATTTGTGAAATGTGGTTTATGTACTATTTGCTTAACTTCCTCACAGACATGCAAAGAAAAAGATTTTCATTTTTTCAAACAAAGATGATGCATTGTGAAAAGTATCTGTGAAAGAAAAACCTGATACCTAACCATTTCACCCACAAATAAATATTCTTTGATAATACAGTGTCTGGGTTAATTTTTTTTCCCCCAATCCAAAGTGTCATTGGTGGGTCCCATTGTAGCTTTTAACAACATGAAACACATTCTTAAACTGTAACTTAGTGCTTCTAATGAAGGACACTTTCTTTTTTTGTGTGTTTTTGAAACATGATAGCAATTTAATATTAATTCTTCAATTTGGAAAATATTGGAAATATTCTAGAAATATAAACAGAGGAAATAGAGATAAACAGAAGAAACACTATCATATCATAAACTCCTGACAACCATTAGGCAATAAACACAGTTTTGAGAACATACAATTAAAAGATTATCCTCACTGGTAAAGGCCTGACTTCGTTCAAATTATGAAAGAGGATTTCAGAAAAGCTGCTCTTAAGTAAACTTACACACAAAAAGAAACAATAGGAAGGCCCCAAATAGATTTTTTAAAGGAAATGTTACTTAGATATATTTTAGCTAGTTTGCTTTAAATGAAGGCCCCAATTTGTGCTCTGTAGGATATTGTTTATTTTAAAATATATATAATTTTAGTAATAAGTTCTTTATGTGAAAAAAATGTACCTATAGCTATGAATTACTATAATTAAATTGAACATCCAATTGCTTGTATCATTATTTATAATATTAAAGAAAGTAGACACAATATTCAATAGGGAATTATTTAAATTATGTTATATCATTAAAATTCAACTAAAATAAAAATAATTATTAGCCTTTGCAGTACTGTTTCAATCATTTTGCGGATATTAAAATACATGTTTATCACAATTGTAACTATATGAGCATTTTATTATTGCCCTGTTGCTGTGTTGGGAGAGCAAGCAGTATTTTTCTATATTTCCGAATTTTTTATAGAAATTACAACCACCATGATAAGCATCCTTGTGGGAAAAACCTTTGTTCATATTCATCGTTGCCTTACAACTAATTCCTATAAATAGATTTGTTAAATTAAAGAACATTTTCAAGACTTCTTACCTAGTGCCAATTGCCATCTGGAAGTTTGTACAAACGTACATTCCTGCCAGTAGTAAATAAGGATGCCCCCATTGTTATTGTGAAGAAAGAATGGTGGAACAAGCCATCAATATTTGAGCCTCCTTTTCCCAAATGCGATTCTCAAATAGCATCATTTTTTTGGTGAAGGAATTGAAAAAAAAAAGCATTAAGTCATGTGCTGCTGCTTCTAAGCATGGTAGCAAGTGCACTTGGAAATTGCCCAGTGTTTTCTCTGATTAAGAAGCTTTGTATAGATCCTTGGGAGACATAATCCCTACAAGTTTATGTAGTCAAGGTAAAGCTAGTTCTGGCAGCTCCGGGTGAGATCACTCTGCAATTACTACCCCTTGAAGACCACTTCTACTCTCTGTGGGCCACCCAAAGTAATTTGTGTCTGGATTTTTCTCACTTTTGAGAATCGTCCTTACTTTCATTCAGTTTCATTTGTCCAGATTTCCCATGCTAATAATTAAACACCATGAAATTTTAACCAAGTCATTAGCTAAGTTTTTTAATGAACTATAGCACTTTATGAATTTAATAAATCACTTTTCATCTTGTCATTCAGTAAATTTTAGGAAAATGAGAGAATACATTCTTATTCAAAATAAGAGGTTCACTTTCATTTTTATTTTATTTTTTGTTTCATTGTAAACTGCAACACTTATCTGTGCCTTGGGCATCATTGGTTGGAATTTTCTACAACTGAAACACATTGATATGTTATAAAAAAGATGTAATGAATTCTGGAACTAGAACATCTGAACCTAATTTTTTTTTTAATAATGCTGTAGTTTCTTCATCTAATGGGAGGACACTAATAGTAACTGCCACATAGGGTTTTATGAGTTTAAATAAGATAATATTTGTAAAACATTTAACAAATATGAATGTATCACTAAGTATATGCCAGACACTACTTCACTTGTTGTCATCACCATCATCATTAACAAACTCATTGTGGGAAACCTTCTCAATAAGTAGTTCTCAAACACCAGTGAGTGATTTTAAATGAAAATTCTTGGGTCTCCATTTCCAAAAATTCTGACTCAGTATGTAAAAGGTGGGGCCTGGGTGATTCTGATGTAATTGGTCAAATGAGGGCATTTTGAATAATTCAGAACTTCTGACTTATTTAGGAGTCAAGGTAGATAATTTAACTCTCCTATTATTTGTTTTCAGTCCAATAACACAGAAGAGGAAACAATTAGAAAAATACTGTTTCAAAAAGGCAGTTCGTTTCTAAATTGGTTATCCCATGTTAAGATGTGAACAGCTATTGATAATCTACCAAAGTGTACATGTCTTTGGTGCATATAGAGTCCTCTTCTTTTCTCTCCTGATGCTTTCCTTCCGGGAAATTTAATTGTTCCACTTAAATGGACTGGAACAGAAAGAAGAGGAGATCCAAAGCAGTTTACCGTCACCAGTGCAGTGGTCAAAACATGAATATTGATGCTGCATGGCCTAGAAACATATTGTGGTTTAATCACTTAACTCCTCTGTGCCTACATTCTTACCTGTAAAATAAGAAACTAATAATACCTAACTTAAAGCATTGTTGTGAAAATGAAGTAATCGGAATTTGAAATGGTATGACTAAAATTAAAGTGCATTTTAATTAATCATCTTTGTCCAGCTGTCTTCCTCCCCAAAAAGTGGGCAGTCATTGATCAAACAATGTGTCCTATTTCCTCCTCTTGCCAGCCAAAGATGCTGCATCGGATAGAGAATACACATTATAAAAGGAAACATGGAACACTGGTCAAGCAAAATGTATTTCTCTGCCTGCAATTTCCCTTCTCTACTCCAGATATTAAAAACTAATTCTCTCAGTTATTCATTGCTGGCAGAGATGATTAATTTAACCTTTATAGATAAAGTAATATGTTTGGATGAAAGGAGCAAATACTCTGCTGAGTCTAATTGCAAGGCACCTTCGGGTGAATAATTCATTGTGTACAGTATAATGATATCATAGATGGTTAGCCAAGAACAAACATCAATTGTATAAAGGAATTAAACTAAACTGAGTCCATTTGGCAGTGAAAAATAGATAGAGCCCTTATCACCAATATGGATCTTGTTTTGGTAAATCTTACCATGGTCTGAGATTTCATTTTTACCAATTTCTGATAACCTGTCATGTGTGCCTTCACTTCTCATACAGATTCTCCACTTAGGTAAAAAACGTTAGAGTAACTCTGGTGATTAGAAATGTGTGAGAGTAAGAGAGACATTGGTAAAATCCCACACTGCTACTAAGCTTGGAGGCCTTGGGCATGCGACTTAACCTCCACAAGCTTTCCATTTCTCACCCAAAAAATGAGGAAACAAAACATCAGGTTGTTGTGAAAATATGAGACTTACTTAAAACTTCACGTAATACATTGCTGGGTTTATAGTAAATACTTGATCGGAAAGAAATATGGGGACATATTATATGTGAACATGTATAAACATACATATAAATACATACACACATTCTGAAAAATATTTCTACTCATCCTTCTATATTCTACCTATCTTTATTTTTACCACCCAGCCCTGTTCATTTCTGTCTTTTTTCAAGGTATTTTTCCCCTTTCCTCTGCACATTTTATAATCCTCATCAACAAATACAAAAAGAAAACAGATGGAAAGATTCTTTTTCTCATTAGTAGTTAAAAATGCAAATTATAGCATCCTGGAAACTAGGATTAAAAAAAAATAAGCTGATGTGGCTAAGATAAACCAGTTTCTTCCTATCACTACTGCCAAACTGATGCAATCTTTTTGTAAATCTATATTTCAAAAGTAAGAGCATAAATGTGTCCATAGCCAGCACCCCTTCTTTAAAAGTTATCTCAAAGGAACAATCCACCTAAAGTGGAATTATTGTGACACAACTAATATTTGCATGGATAAATCTAAAATTGCAAAAATTTTTTTAAAAGAGCCCAAATGGAAGGTTGTATAATTTGACGTAACCAATGAAATGTTATACAGTTATTAAAAGTGGTAATAAAATGCATAAAAATATTAAAACCTAAAAACATTTGATAATGTAAACATAAATAAATTGTATATTATGATTGTGACTATTTGGATGTGTATATGTAGAAGTTAAAGCAAAATTAGAGCTTTCAGAGAGGTGAAAATATGAGCAATTTTTGCAATCACAATTTTTTGAACTTTTTTTATTTTGGCTTTTTCTTTACTGAAAAATGAAGATTTAACTCTGATATACTCTGCAAAGGCTTCCCAATATACGCAAATTATATGCATTTTCTTCCCTTTTTTAAAAATAGTACAATACCATTTCGTTTTAGTGCTTATTCTAGACCTTACATTATATTGGCTTTATCACTCCCTACTTCTCTCATGTTAATCTCTTCCCAGAAAGACTCTGAACCTTTTAAAGATAAAGGCTGGGTAATTTCCATTTAAAAAACACATCACAATATCTAAGCCAGAACCATAAAGTGTAAGTATGTTTTTAAACTTTATGTCTGAATCCCTAAGGACCGGATGGAGGTAGGTGATACCTTCACCCTACCCGACAAAATTGGGGTTGACACTGAATGCAGCTATATTACCTGGTAGTAAAAATAGCACAGCAGTTTTGCACCTCTGAAACCCTACCCTATGTGAACGGGAATGGACTGAGGGCGAGGGTAAGAAAAAAGAAATGAATAAATGGATATGTAATGAGGAAAATCCAATCATGGCTTCAACACTTTAAAAGAGGCTCAGAGCAAGAGATAATAGTGTGCCTTAGATTAATTGTATCAGATGCCCTTTAAAGGGTAAAGTTGTATGTTTGCTGAGACCACTTTTGCTTTCACAACCTGACAAGATGCAATGGAAGTCTGCAAACCTGAGTGGCTTCACCCTGAGAAATATTTTTATAAGATATAGATATATAATTATGGACTTAGACTAATTGACAGTGGGATTCTAGTAACGTGGCAGTATCTTTTGAGTTGTATATCCTTTTGATATAAAGGATCCATCTTCAAAGACTGGGAATGAACTGTGCTATTATAAGCTGTAATAACATATATATATTTGGTCTTCCTCCCCATTTCCAGGCATGGAGTTCGTAGATCCTTTAGTGTTACAGGGAATTGGCAACAAACGTGAATGAATCACAAAAGTGTTAGCAAGTTACTTAAATAAAATTGATTTTATCAACTTTAGAAGTGGTTAACCAAACCAAAATGTTTGTTAGGCATCTTCATACAGTTTCTAGTAAGCACTGTGAATCCCAACTATCTGAGACAGGTCTCAGTTAATTTTTTTTTTTTTTTTTGAGACAGAGTCTTGCTCTGTTGCTCTGTCGCCAGCCTGGAGTGCAGTGGTGCGATGTCGGCTACCTTGGCTCATTGCAACCTCCGCCTCCCGGGGTTCGAACGATTCTGCTGCCTCAGTCTCCCGAGCAGCTGGGAGTACAGGTGCGTGCCACGATGCCCAGCTATTTTTTTGTACTTTTAGTAGAGACGGGGTTTCACTGTGTAGCCAGGATGGTCTTGATCTCCTGACCTCGTGATCCACCTGCCTCTGCCTCCCAAAGTGCTGGGATTACAGGCGTGAGCCACTGCTCCCGGCGGTCTCAGTTAATTTAGAAAGTGTATTTTGCCAAGGTTAAGGATGCACACCCATGACCATGATAGAGCCTCAGGAGGTCCTGATGACATAGGCCCAAGGTGGTCAGAGCACAGTTTGATCTTATACATTTTGAGGACTCATGAGATATCAATCAACATATGTAAGATGAACATTGGTTTGGTCCGGAAAGGCAAGACAACTCAAAGCAAAGCTGGGACAACTTTTTTGGGAAGCAGGGAAGGGGCTTCCAGGTCAAAGGTAGATAAGACTAGATAAGAGCCAAATGGGTGCATTCTTTTACCTTCTGATTAACCTCTCCAAAGGAGGCAATCAGATATGCACGGATGACTTTGAATAGAATGTTAGGCAGGTTTGCCCTGAGCCGTTCCCAGCTTGACTTTTCCCTTTAGCTTAGTGATTTTGGAACCTCAATGTTTATTTTCCTTTCACATTTCTCCCCTTTTCTTTGTTAAAATCTTTTGGAGAAAGCATTTTAGAGGAAAATGAGTCTCTGGTCTCAGGTTTCATCTGATCTCTGATGGCTAAGATGGTTTATTCCTAGACAGGTAGTTATGCCTGTTTCCATGGTATCTGTGCATATGTGCTGGCAGATGCTAGAGTGACTGCAAAGGTGAAGTTTCTAGAGGGAGGTGGGCACTCTGCAGTGTCTCACTGTGGGAAGATACTTGTTTAATAAGGACAAGGGCATGAAGATTCAGTGACTGGGGAGGGTAGATGTATGTATGTGGATGCAGGGAATGAAGTCAAGGTCGGAAAACTCTCAGATATGGCAGAGGAATATTTTTCTCTGTTTACTTTATAAAGCAATATAATTTGCCAAAGTGATATATGTTGATTTTTTTTAAAGTATGTTCCTATGTAATGAAGTTAAAACCTCCCTCATCCTCCATTTTTCCATCTCTCAGGTTTATCCAATCAAACCTCTGAATCATGAGAACTAATAAATATTGTTTTGAGTAAGTTTTGGGGTAGTTTATTGTGCAGTAAAAGTTAACTCATAGAGACAGGTATCTTGCAATGCAAAAATATAAATATATGAACATAAATATACAAAAACCACTCTTGTTTATAATCACCTGAATAGTATATGATTATATTCTTTGAAACTCCAGCCCTGCACACAAGGTGAAAGAATCCTTTAATCAGAAGCCCACCATCCTGGTCTCGTAGATGCTGTCATGACTGAGTGTGCATCCTTCTGGATTTCTGCCAGCTTTTTGAATTAGAAAACAGAAATTTTTACCTTATTTGCTTTTACTTTAAACACAACAGCGTGTCTTGGAAATATACCCATACCAGTAAGCATAAATCAATTCCTGTATACACAGAAGACTGCTTTAATTCCTGAAGCTTTATGAGATGATTTGAATTCTGTTAGATCAAGTTATTCTCATTTATTCTTTTTCAAGACTTCCTTTTCTCATATTTATTCCTTCACTTGAATATTAGACTCAGCTGGTCAAGATGATGAAAATATTTCTGGGGGGAATTTTGGGGGATTCCATTGAATTTACTAAGTTTGAAAGAATTGATGACTTTAATAAAATATTGCAAGCATCTTCCCATTCATAAACTTGTTATAGTTTTCTTTTCTTTTCTTTTCTTTTCTTTTTTTCTTTTTTTTTTTTTTCTTTTTGAGATGGAGTCTTGCTGTGTCGCCCAGGCCGGAGTGTAGTGGCACGATCTTGGCTCACTGCAACCTCCACCTCCCGGGTTCCAGCAATTCTCCTGCCTCAACCCCCCAAGTAGCTGAGATTACAGGCATGTGCCACCATGCCCAGCTAATTTTTGCATTTTTGGTAGAGATTGGGTTTCACCATGTTGGCCAGGCTGGTCTCGAATTCCTAACTTCATGATCTGCCCACCTTGGCCTCCCAAAGTGCTGGGATTACAGGCATGAGCCACTGTGCCTAGCATATTTTTCTTTTACTGAAGTTTTTTTTCACCATCTGTGGTGAATTTTTCTAATTTTCTATACATTATTAGACATTTATTTCTAAATTTCTTCCCTGTTGCTTTATATTTCTCATTGCCATCAGAAAAAGGATCTCAAATTTATTACGTTTTGCTGGTATACAAGAAAGCTTCAGATCGTTTTTATCATCTATCTTGTTAGGCCACAATGCTGAACTCTTATTTATTCTAATAGAAAAATTAGGACAATCAACTGACAAACTATGTGGATGATGTTATTACTTGTAAATAATAGCAGTTTGGCCTCTTCCTTTTAGTATGTGTCCTTTGTATATTTTTCTTATTAGCTTGGAGTTCCAATGCTATGTTAAGTAGTAAAGGAATTAGCAGGCATCTGTATCTAGTTCCTGACTTTGATGGAAATGTTGCTAGTGATTCACTGTTTACTGTGGTGTTTGCTGTAGATCACTGGTAGAAATCTCATATCAAATTAGTTGCCTCTTAGTTCTCATTTGCATAGAGATATGCAATAAAATTGCTTTTTTTTAAAAAAAATAAAGAATGGCTTTTGGATATCATCAAATGCTTTTTTAGTATCTACTGAGATGATCCTACAGTCTTTTTCCTTATTTATGAACTGAGTTACAATGTTAATAAATTCTAATATTAAACAACTCTTGCATTCTTGAGTTAAACCATAATTAATCATGTTGTATTATTTTCAATACATTTTGATGCTCTATTAATAGTATTTTGTTTTAGATATCACACTCCTGTTCACAAATGAAATTTTTTAACTGTTTTATTTTCTCATTCTCTCTTTATATAGCTAGATTTGTTTTTTTTTTAGATGGAGCCTCACTCTGTTGCCCAGGCTGAAGTGCAGTGGTGCGATCTCGGCTCACTGTAACCTTCGCGTCCTGGGTTCAAGCGAGTCTCCTGCCTCAGCCTCCCAAGCAGCTGGGATTACAGGCATACGCCACCATCCCTGGCTAATCTTTTGTATTTTTGTGGAGATGGGGTTTCACCATGTTGGTCAGGCTGGTCTCGAACTCTTGAACGCTGCAAACTGCCCACTTCGGCCTCCCAAAGTGCTGGGATTACAGGTGTGAGCCACTGCGCCCGACCTTTTTCTAGCTTTAATAACACATAAATATATACTCCTTTCTCCCTGATAATCTAAGATTTGAAAATGATATCTTGAGATTAAGGTGCTATTTCTATGCTTGTGTCTGTGTTTTGTTCTGCCAATGGCTTACATTTATTAAGTTCAGGTAAAATCTTCTTATTTATCTTATGCCCATCTTTCTGCTGTTGGCTCCCCTGAGTAACTTCTGTTTGCATCTTCTAAAATAGGTGTTGAAATTTCTAATTCTTTCTCCAATGCCTCTCACTTTCTCTTAAATTTTTCTCAGCTTTTTTAGATAATAGTTAATAATAGTAGCTAGTGTTTATATAGTTCCTTATACACACACACTATTCCCAGTGCTTTACACATAGAAACTCAATTTAATCTCCATTACTACCCACTCCTGACTGAATATGATAGGATTGATTCAAGAAAACAAAACTATACTAGATATTTCAACAAAGAGAGCTAACGTAGGGAATTGGCTAAGTATTGAAGAAACAAAATGAGAACACTGAAGTAATCTAGAAGCACATAGAAGTAATAAAGCAGCTACTACTCCCATGTCTAGGGGAACCAAAGGAAGATTATTCGAATCTAGAAACTCCATAGAGTGGGAGTGCAGAACTCAGAACAAGGGATGCCACTCTAGGTAACACAGTGAAAGGAGGAGTCTCTTGGAAATGAGGCAGAGCCCATTGTGCTGACACTGGTGAGGGAATGTGCAGAGGCCTGTTCAGGGAGGCTAAAAGATAGAAACTAGAACCAACCGCTGCTGCCAGAATTGCTTCCTGCTGTTAGGACAATGGTGACAGAAACAACAGCAAATTAAAAGATTCGGTCCATCCCTCCTACCCCTTAGGAGCACAACCCCTTAGTTGTGCTTTTGTGCCCTCTATTTTAGCATGACTTTACAGGAAACCAGTGGAAAAGGAGAAACTAGCCCCTGCTTTACAAATAAGAATATTAGAAGGTATGTTTGGAGCTCAGAGAAAATAGATTAATAATAAACACAAAACAGTGAAATTTTTTTTTCAATGTTACACAGCTAGTAATTCAGATACAGTATTTGAATCCAGGCGGTCTGTTTGCAGAATCCTTTCTCTTAACCACTACTCAATGCTTCCTCTCCAACAATTTGAAATCTAGAAAAGTCCTTGGCTGAAATTCCAGCTTACTCATTTCTCTTGAACTATGGCCTTTCTTCTCTGTTCAGCCCAGCTGCTGAGTTTTATGTCCATGATGACAGTTTTGATTTCCACTATCTATCATGTTGATTTTATTATGGGTGGAATATCTTCTTACATTTCTGAGGCTGTAAATTGTACTTCCTCTGAACTTCCTGTTCTACTTGTTCTTCTAAGTCTCTGTTCCCCAGATTAAGTTCTTTTGTTGAGGAACAGCAAAGCATTGGCTTTCCTCAAATGATAGGCAGCTCTTGACGTGCCTTCATCTTTGCACCTGAGATACCCTGCTGGATTGTCTGTTGCATCTGCTTATGAGAAAGGCTGAGCTGACCTGTTGTGACTTGTGCGTTGTGCAGCTTTCTTTCAGGATGGGAGGCTTGGGATAATGTGCCATGCATGTAGTACCATAGCAGTCAGCACTGTCTCATTTCTCTGACCCCAAGTTCTCACTGGATAACTCTCCCCATCCCACCTGAGTCAGATACCCCTGTAGCTGCTTTTTGGACTATGTAGGTAGGATATGTAGAAGCTGACCTGCTTGGCCCTTCTGATTATCCAATTGGTTACTCTTAAACTTCTCTTGATCCCAGTATCCATACATACACACTCCCTTGGTACTGTGCCCAGATTTTCTAACAGAAAAATTCACTCTGTGTTTGGGGACCTTACTTTTTCTAATCACTTTCCTTTCATTTCTCATCTTTCAGGAATTTTTCATGCGTTTTGTTCCATCAGGGTTTTCCTTCTTGATTTACATAGTGGTTGTGAATTTTAAAAGGAAAATACATGATCATTTCTAGAGATTTTATAAGAAATGAGAAAGCTATGTCTGCAATCTAGAATAGAAATTGTGTTTCTCTTAAAAAACGGGATTCTGCTGCTCATAATGTTTTGCAAATTATTTTTTTAATGTATCAATAAAACACGGGCATGTTTCCATGAAAGTAGATATGTATTATTTTAATGGCTGCAAAAGTATTCTAGATATAAATGTGCCACACAGACATTCTCCTATTGATGGCCATTTTAGTCTGTTTTCCATTTTTACTATTACAAATAATACTGCAGTGAGCATCCTTATGCACTCCTAAATTATTTCTATAGCCTAGATTTTTCAATGTGGATTTGTAATATAAAAGGGAATGTTCATAGGACATGGTTTTCAAATAAATAAATAAATAAATAAATAAATAATTCTTTTTACTGTCAGGCGGTGTGTGTGGGGAGACAGAGTCTCACTCTGTCACCCAGGCTGGAGTGCAGTGGTGTGATCTCAGTTTACTACAACCTCTGCCTCCTGGGTTCAAGCCATCCTCCCACCTCAGTCTCCTGAGTAGCTGGGACTACAGACATACATGTACCACCACACCCGGCTAACTTTTTTTTTTTTTTTTTGTAGAGACAAGGTTTTGCAATTTTCCCAGGCTGGTCTTGAACTCCTGAGCTCAAGCCATCTGCCCACTTTGGCCTCCCAAAGTGCTGAGATTACAGGCATGACCCACCGTGCCCGGCCCTTTTTTTTGTTTTGTTTTGTTTTTTTTTTGTTTTTTTTTTTTTTTTTTTTTGAGACGGAGTCTCGCTCTGTCGCCCAGGCTGGAGTGCAGTGGCGCGATCTCGGCTCACTGCAAGCTCCGCCTCCCGGGTTCACGCCATTCTCCTGCCTCAGCCTCCCGAGTAGCTGGGACTACAGGCGCCCGCTACCACGCCCGGCTAATTTTTTGTATTTTTAGTAGAGACGGGGTTTCACCGTGTTAGCCAGGATGGTCTCGATCTCCTGACCTCGTGATCCGCCCGCCTCGGCCTCCCAAAGTGCTGGGATTACAGGCGTGAGCCACCGCGCCCGGCCGCCCGGCCCTTTTTATG
The DNA here is from genome assembly GCF_000001405.40 of Homo sapiens. Taxonomy (NCBI): domain Eukaryota; kingdom Metazoa; phylum Chordata; class Mammalia; order Primates; family Hominidae; genus Homo; species Homo sapiens. Next base: position 79,898,040 of record NC_000014.9, read on the forward strand.
CTTTTGTAACACCCAACTGCATTAGCTCAAGTTTCTCTTTCTGGCATGTTCCATAATTTGGCCACTTCCATCCAGGGAAATGGCCTTGGAGAGGTCAGGCTCATCACTTATCAGTGTCCTCACTGGGTCAAGGAAATAGCACCAGGACAGAGCAGGAAATTATTTAAAGACCTGGAGAAGTTGGAGGCCAAAAACCTGTATCACTCATATATTCTAAAAACATTAAATATTGGAGCTATAATACCACTTGATGAATAAAATAAGAATTTTTTTCTTCATATAAATGTTTAGGCAGGGCACGGTGTCTCACACCTGTAATCCCAGCACTTTGGGAGGCTGAGGCGGGTGGATCACCTGAGGTCGGGAGTTCGAGACCAGCCTGGCCAACATGGAGAAAACCTGTCTCTACTAAAAATACAAAATTAGCCAGGCGTGGTGGCAGGCACCTGTAATCCCAGCTACTCGGGAGGCTGAGGCAGGAGAATCACTTGAACCCAGGAGGCGGAGTTTGTGGTGAGCCAAGTTTGCACCATTGCACTCCAGCCTGGGCGACAAGAATGAAACTCCATCTCAAAAAATAAAATAAAATAAAAGTTTACTTAGTTGTGTGTAGGAAAATAACATATCCTAAAATCAGAATATCTTCAGAAGTTTCACATATACCAAGAAACATTTAATTAATCCCTTTCAGCAAAAAGTTCTTTCCTTCACACCCTAAATTCCTCCTCTCAGTAGAGTCAAATCCCAATATTTGACCTTGTTCTTCTTCTAAGCATTTTATTTATCCTGTTCTTTTTTTTATCCTCAAGCACAAACTTGAAAATACCTGTATTGGAACCAGTATCTGGCATATCTACCTTATAACCCATCTGCTATAAATCAGCTCTTTGCAGACAAGTCTAATCTGTAATGAGCTGATTTATAACAGATGATCAAAATACCACTAGAATTTACTAGAAATACAGTTTTCATGTGTACTTGCTATTTTTCTTAGAAACTATAAGAAAAGCAAAAGCAAGACATAACCAAAAAAAAAGAAGAAAGAGAAAAAGAAAAAAAAGGAAATAATCACTAGCAGATTGTATTTTCCAAAATATGTGCACAGCCATGTTCCCAGTTCCACAATCTCAGAACCCTGATGCTTCTCTCATCAAAACATGGAGTTGAATTTCTACCCCTTGAATGTAGGTCACTGTGACTGCTCAATAAGTAGAAGCAAATGAAGAGACATTTGTGACTTTTGAGACTAGGACACAAAAGGTGATACAGCTTCCATCTGGCTCATTCTCTCTAGGGACACTCACTTTTGGATCACAGCCACCATATTTTGAGGAACCCCACTCCACATGGAGAGGCCACTTGTAAGTGATCTAGCTGACAGGCCCAGATTATCTCCCAGCCGATGGCCATTATCAGCCACCAAGCATGTGAATAAATAGCTTGCAGATGATTCTAGCCTCCAGCCTTAGAACCTTCCAGCTGAGGCCTCAGACAATATGGGTTGTAGAAAAGCTATCCTTTCTGTGCTGTTATGGTTAATTTTTGTAGCTTCATATTGCCTCCACATCCACTTTGAATATGGGTTTAACTTACGTAAACCAGAAGCAGAGCTTACTTGCCCTCACCACAATTTCCAGTTCTCTACCTCTTGCCAGTTCCTCAGTGTGATGGACCCAGATAACTCCTCATACAACACCTCCTGGCGACCACCTCCCAGTGGGACAACTACCTACAACCTATTTGGCTCACCCCACTAACCCCCACAGCCCACATGGACTGTGCAGATATACCACTGTGACCAATTCTCTGTCACAGTGTGACTCCTCAGAACTCATGCCTGCGTGCTCTAAACCCACCAATTAACTCCCTGAAGGAAAACCTGCCTGGGTAATACCCTCAATTCCAATAAAGGCACTGGTCTACAAATCCCTTGCTCTCTTTTTCTCTGCTGATTTAATATGTGTGTCCCCGAGGGCTCCCCACTTCCTCCTGGCCCTGCAAGGTATGCTGCCCTCTCTTTTCTCTGCAATCTGTGAGTAATACGTTGCTTCTTTTATTTCAGGTATGTTGTTGAGTTACCAGCTCTGTGTCTCATCTGTCCAACACACTCTAACCTAACTTCTTTCTATCTCAGGGCTCCTCTAGAGAGTGGCTATCTTGGTAGAAGTAAACTGGACACAGGGGAGACAAGAGCCATAAAGGAACCTGTCAGTATAACAAGTTTCTTGTGATAGGGGTAACTAATCATGGGTTGGACAACTGAGCATTAGGCTGTTGGCCAAAATAAACAAGTATCCTGTGTGATCACATTATATGTGGTCTTTTGTTACTGTATCCTTTCACTTGACAAAATATTTTCAGGGTTCATCCACACTGTAGCAGGTATCAGTCTTTCATTCACTTTCCTGGCTAAGTGGTGTTCCATTGTGGATGTATCACATTTGTGTGTGTGTGTGTGTATGTGTATGTGTGTGCATTCATCAGCTGATGGACAGTTGAGTTATTTCCACCTTTTGGCTATTGAGAATGGTGCTGTTATAGACATTGATGTACAAAAAGAAGTATCCAGTGAAAGGTACACTGTAAATATCCATGACCTATACCCCTAGAGCCCAATCAGATCAGGACTAGAGTTAATAGCCACTCTCCTAAGACAGACCTCCAGACCAAATTAGAGGAAAATACAACAGCTCTGTTCAAATTTCTGACATACAAAGAATCTGCAATGAATGGCTGTTTATACCATAAGTTCCCCCCCGTTTAAAAAAATTGTGGTAAATATGCAACATAAAATTTACCATCATAACCATTTCTCAGTGTACAGTTCAGTGATTTAAAATACATTCATAAAGTTATACAACCATTATCACCATCTCTCTCTACAGTTTTCATCTTGAACAACTGGAAACTATGTTCATTAAACAATAACTCCCCACTCCCCAAGCCCTTGGCAACTACCATCTACTACTTTCTGTTTCTATGATTTCGATAACTCTAAACACCGCATGTAAGTGGACTCATACAATACTTGTCTTTCTGTGACTGGCATTGGTATAAGAATAATGTTTTAATGTTCTTTCATACTGCAGCATATGTCAGAATTTCATTTCTTTTTAAAGTTGAGTAATACTCCATTGTATGAATATACCACATATTACTTATCCTGTCAATAGACATTGGGTTGCCTCCACATTTTAACTATTGTGAGTAATGCTGCAATAAACATGGGTGTACAACTATTTCTTTGGGATTTCCTGTTAATTACTTTGGGCATATGGCAAGAATTAATGTTGCTGATTCATATGGTAATTAAAGATATATGTGTGTGTGTATATATATATATATATATATATATATATATATATATATATATATTTTTTTTTTTTTTTTTGAGACAGGCTGGAGTGCAGTGGCACGATCTCGGTTCACTGCAACCTCCACCTTCTGGGTTCAAGTGATCCTCCCATCTCAGCCTCCCAAGTAGGTGGGCCTACAGGTGAGTGCCACCGTGCCCGGCTGATTTTTATATTTTCAGTAGAGACAGGGTTCACTATTTTGGCCAGACTGGTCTCAGACTCCTGGCCTCAAGTGATCCGCCTGCCTTGGCATCCTGAAGTGCTGAGATTACAGGCATGAGACACTGCGGTCGGCCCATATGGTAATTATATTTTTAATTTTTGTGGAACAGCCATACTGTTTTCAACAGCTATTGTAAAATTTTGCAGTCCCACCAACAGTGCACAGGAGTCCCAATTTCTCCATGTCCTTGCCAATACTTGTTATTTTCTTTTTTGATAAGGGTTATCATAATAGGTGTGAGGTGGTATCTCATAGTTTTGATATGCATTTTCCTATTAGCGATGTTGACCATCTTTTTGTGTGTTTATTGGTAATTTGCATATTTTTTGGAGAAATGTCTACTCAAGTCCTTTGTTCATTTTGAACTGGGTTGTTTCTCTTTTTGCTATTGAGTTTTAAGAGTTATCTATATATGCTGGGTATCAATCCCTTATCAGATATATGATTTGCAGATATTTTCTCCCATTCTATGAGCTGCTTGTTTTTACTCTAATGATGTTGTCTTTTGAGGCAAAATTTTTTAATTCACGAAATTCAATTTGTGTATTTTTGACTTTGTTGCCTGTGCCTTTGGTGTCATGTCCAAAATATCATTGCCAAATCCAATGCCATAAAGTTTTGCCCAGTGCTTTCTGCTAGGATTTTCATAGTTTTCAGTCAAACATTTAGGTTAGAACTTTCAATACTATGTTGAATAGAAGTGAGAACAGTATGCATCCTTACCTCATTCTCAATCTCAGAGGAAAAGCTTTCCATTTTTCATGATTTGAGTATCATGTTTGCTGTGGGTTTCTCATATATGGCTTTTATTATATAGTTTCCTACTATTTTTAGTTTGTTACATTTTTTATCACAAAAGGGTGTTAAATCTTGTCAAATACATTTTGTGTATCAATTGAGATGATCATGTGAATTCTTTCCTCTTCATTGTGCTAATGATCCCTTCATTCTGTTACATTGATTGATGTGCATATGTTTAACCATCTTTGCATTCTAGGAATAAATTTCACTCAGTCATGGTGTATAATCCTTTTAAAATGTTGCTGAATTTTTTTTGCTAGTATCTGTTAAGGGCTTTTGCTTAAAAGTTCATAAGGGGCTGGGTGTGGTGGCTCATGCCTGTAATCCCAGCACTTTGGGAGGCCGAGACAGGCGGATCACGAGGTCAGGAGATCAAGAACATCCTGGCTAACACGGTGAAACCCTGTCCATACTAAAAATACAAAAAATTAGCCGGGCACGGTGGCGGGCACCTGTAGTCCCAGCTACTCGGGAGGCTGAGGCAGGAGAATGGCGTGAACCTGGGAGGCAGAGCTTGTAGTGAGCTGAGATCATGCCACTGCACTCCAGACTGGGCAACAGAGCGAGACTCTGTCTCAAAAAAAAAAAATGTTCATAAAGGATATTAGTCTGAGGTTATTTTCTTGTAGTGTCTTTGTCTGATTTTAGTATCAGAGTAATGCTGGCCTCATAGAATAAGTCAAAAAGTATTCCCTCTCATTTTATTTTTTGGAAAAGTTTAAGAAGGATTGGTGTTGGTTTCTCTTTAAATATTGGGTAGAATTCACTAGCACTAGTAAAGCCATTGATCTAGGACTTTTCTTTGTTGAGAGATTTTTGATTATTGACTCAATCGCCTTAATAGTTATAGGTCTACTCAGATTTTGTATTTCTCCATGATTTGTCTTGATAGGTTTTCTGTTTCTAAGAATTTATACATTTTCGTTTAGGTTATACAATTTGTTGGCATATAATTGTTCATAGTACTCTTATAATCTTTTTTATTTACATTGAATTGCTAGTAATATGTCCACTTTGATTTTAGAGATTTGAGTATCCTCTCTTTTCTGATTACTTCATCTAGCTAAAATTTGTTGATTTGGTGGTTTTGTCAAAGAACTAACTTTTGGTTTCACTGATTTTCTCTATTATTTTTCTCTTCTGTATCCTGTTTATCTCTGCTGTAATCTTCATTATTTCCTACTTTGTCTAGCTTTGCATTTAGTTAGTTCTTTTTCTAGTGCCTCAAGTTGTAAATGTTAGGTTGTTGATTTAAGATCTTTATTTTTAACATAAGCATTTATAGTTATAAATTTCATGTCTAATACTGCTTTACATACCGTTTTTCCCACCTTGGCTCCCACAAGCTCTTTGCAAGTTGCTCCAGGAACACATGTACGGCTCACTGTCATGTGGCTGAGATAGGTAATTACTACTGTACTCATCTGAAATTGACTAAAATTAACCACAATTTACCATCCAAGTCTTTCTTTGTAAGTTGCAAGCCTTCAGTAGACTCCAGAGTCCCAAAATAATTACATCGAACAGCTTCTGCTAGTGCAATTGTTGTCTAAGTAGGTAGAGAGATTCCTGGTACTCCCTACTCTTCCATCTTCCCAGAATCCTCTCCTTTTTTAAACCTCAGTCTTGCCACAATATTTTATGTAGTAAGTGGAAAAATCACTGCAACCACTAAAAACAATAAAAAAGTTCTCTTATGCTATTAAAATAAATAAATATTGAAGGATATATGTTTAGAGCAGTAGGTGTGAACAGGGCTAGACATGTACACCTTTCCACCACTGATGCTGCTTCTAGTGTAGAATTAATGCTTTCACTAGAGAAGAGAATCAGTATCAATGGATCTGAAGAGATTCAGGAGGGCATCTTTTCCCATCTTTGGGCATTTTCTCCGGTCTATAGTTGGAAAGGTTTAAAATGGCAATAGATTCTCCTCATGTTTAATTGAACATTGCCCTTGCTATGTGTTAAGGCATCTTCTCTGAGCTTCCTATCTAATGACTTGTCAACCTTGACTCCTCCATTCCATACTGCACATTTTTGGCTGAGATTCAGTTCTCTTCCTTAGCACCTATATATTTCCTGTCAGGTTTGCTAGACTTGATTAGAATTAATTATTTATTTGGAAGAAATTGGTGTTTATTATTTAGCAAATATATTTCAGAATGCCTTAGCCTCATCTATCAATGCCTCCTTTTTCTTTAGCTTGTGAAAAAAGCAGTAAGGGCTTTACCCAAGTTATTTATTAGGCCAACCCTGTGAAGAGAAATCAAACTGGTTATGACTTGTTTTTGCTTTTAGTTTTACTGAGAAAGACTCCTTGAACTAAAAGCTTGATGCAACAGCTAATGGGAAATTTTTTCTCTAGCTCTCTCTTTGTTATTGTGTAAAATAGTCACACAGTTGTGTGTACGGCATATATTCAATCAGAGATTAAAGCCTCCACTCACATATGGTATCTTCAAATCTGTTTTAGTGAGATTTAATACAAAAAATTACACTGCAGGTAATTCTAATACAATTGTTATCTGCCTACGTTTATAACCCCTGCCATGCCGTTTTTGGACAAAAATAATGAAATTTCACAGAGGATTAATTTTCTATATCTGTTTTTTCTTTAATTACCCAATATGGCTATGTGAAAGAAGGGTGAAAAAAATCTTTAAAAACTGGATTCTATTCTGTTGTTTTTGTTGAATCTAATGCAGCTGTGATTTTCCTCTTCCAGATTTTTCAGACTGAAGACTTTCCACTGATATTGGTATTTTATTTCCCCAGGTGAAACATAGGTAATGAGATGCTGCTGCCCATTTTGGAGAAGAATGTGTTGGAAAGCTGTTAGGATTAAATACCAATTTGCAATTTGTTGGGTTAAATAGTCCAGTATTACTTTAAAGTCACCATCACATAAATAAAAACAGCCCAAAGTGATTAAAAGTGGGAAATATGTAGCATTGTTAATCTACTCACTGTGTCTGAAAAGTACTAGTGGCTAATTTGTTTATGATCTGGGTGTGTATGTATGTATATGTGTTCATATTTATAAAATGAAACAAAGACCAGGAAAGTCTATTGTCTGATAGAAATAGCATAAAAACAGGAAAAGCTTTTGTCCCTGGAGTTATTGGTAACCCTTCTTCTAGTCTACTTTCAGACTGTTTTTCTCAAACAGTTGTAGTGTTGAGAGGGGGGTGCACAGCAGACAATAGGATATTACCCCCGCTTCCTCTGCACCTGTAAAAGTAGACTACTATAAGTTTCCATCTCAACCAATCTTCCTTTTTGACAGTTTCCAAGCTTATTTCTACTGTCATAACACAATCATGTACACAAGAGACCTCTAAACATAGTGGATATTGCTAGACAATCTTTATTCAATTATGAGCTAAAATATAAGTGGCTAGAACCATACACATGTGCTCATATAAAAATGTGTTTTGTGCACATGAAAAAATGCTCATCATCACTGGCCATCAGAGAAATGCAAATCAAAACCGCAATGAGATACCATCTCACACCACTTAGAATGGCAATCATTAAAAAGTCAGGAAACAACAGGTGCTGGAGCGCATGTGGAGAAATAGGAACACTTTTACACTATTGGTGGGACTGCAAACTAGTTCAACCATTGTGGAAGTCAGTGTGGCGATTCCTCAGGGATCTAGAACTAGAAATACCATTTGACCCAGCCATCCCATTACTGGGTATATACCCAAAGGACTATAAATCATGCTGCTATAAAGACACATGCACACGTATGTTTAATGCGGCATTATTCACAATAGCAAAAACTTGGAACCAACCCAAATGTCCAACAATGATAGACTGGATTAAGAAAATGTGGCACATATACACCATGGAATACTATGCAGCCATAAAAAATGATGAGTTCATGTCCTTTGTAGGGACTTGGATGAAATTGGAAATCATCATTCTCAGTAAACTATCGCAAGAACAAAAAACCAAACACCGCATATTCTCACTCATAGGTGGGAATTGAACAATGAGATCACATGGACACAGGAAAGGGAATATCACACTCTGGGGACTGTTGTGGGGTGGGGGGAAGGGGGAGGGATAGCATTGGGAGATATACCTAATGCTAGTTGACGAGTTAGTGGGTGCAGCACACCAGCATGGCACATGTATACATATGTAACTAACCTGCACAATGTGCACATGTACCCTAAAACTTAAAGTATAATAAAAAATAATAATAATAAAAAAAGTGTTTTTTGTTTGTTTTTGGTTTTAAACAAGGTTTTGCTGATTTCAGATTTTGCTTCACATTCTTGCCTGTAGGAGGAATTTCCAATGTGTGTTTTATTAGGCAATTAATCTCATGCTTTCTAGTTATTGTGATAGAATTTTTGTAGTGGCTATAATTTTCTTTCTTTTTTTCTTTATACACCACTACAAAATATCCTTCATCTAGTCAACACTTAACTGTGGTCTATGATGTGTGACCGAATCTGTTGGTAAAGTTATCTATTCATGCAAGAAATCAGTGCATACAGATTTGGGAGATAATTAGTTTGTACTCCACAATCTCAGCTATTTTTTCCTTGAAGAAACTCTAGGTATTATTCTTAGACCATTTAGGTTGCAAGTCTTTTGGTCACTTTTTTTTTTTTAACAGCAATTGCCACCACTAAGTATTACTATCATCACATTTTTTTGTAGATACCTACTAGACGTCAGACACTGCTCTAGATGCTAGCTAAACATATGTGGCCTCCTTAATTTTTTTGAAGATGATATCAGTCCTGTTTTACATATGAGGAAATCATAGTCATGTGCATAGTGGAAATAGGAAAACTACTGATGTCAGACAGTTTTGGACTCACTCTCTTCTGCTTTGGAGCTGTATTATGATTGTGCCAGTCATTGGATCTCTTTGAGTCTCAATGGTGTATCAGATAAACATGTTTGATTTCAGGTGATCATGATGAAAAAAGCAAATGAAAACAAAAGCAAAATGTAAAAAACTACATTAACACAAAGCCGAAACGGGTAACCAAACTTTAAGGTCTTTGCTTCCTCTGGTTGCATATATTGTTATTAAAGTTACTCAACTAGAGGAACTTTAACTTCAGATTTTTTTTTCCTTGAATTGTAATAGAACAACCATTCTCACTGATATGCTGAGGCTTTTAACCAATCAAGGAATGAATTTTATTTGTGCACTATGCACTATGCACATAACTACGATTTGCTCATATGTAAAATAGGGCTGTTTTTATATATGCATTTAAATTTTAAGCTCCTAAAATATAATTTTGCCCCCATTTTAAAGATTTCTGGACATTATGATAGAATCTGTGATTAATCAAGGGTTTTGCTCATTTCACTTTGAATCATTGTCTTATTGAAGAAAACCTAAGAATTAACTGGATTGAGGTTGATTTCAAGTCATTGTGTCTTTGGTCATTCTTCCTTTTCAAACGAAGTTCTTTAGTTTTTTGGTTTTTGTATTTTGTTTTTACTAATACCTTTAAATCAAGACATGTAACTGACACTAATTTAGAAATAATTTTTTAAAGGACACTATGGAGTATACAAGGGAATTTTAAACCTTAGCTATGAAAAGACAATTTACATATCCAGTCTTTAATGGTTAATGGAAAACATTAGTCCAGATGTAAAATACTTCTTAGCAAGATTTTAAAGCCTTCATTTGGCCCAGTGTATGAGAAATCTTTGACGCTTTCTCTGGGCAGAAATGTATATAGTAAAATATCACCTCTGTTTGCCCACAGAGGCAACCTTCTGGGGTTACAGCATCCTAACCTAATTTGAATGGTCTCTGTGATATCCTGTGTCCACAAAGGAAGAGCTGTGTATTGATGTCTGACCAATAGCTCATACTACTCTAGAATCTTCCCTTTTCATCTTCTGTTTTCAGATGATCATCATAATCCAGGGGGAACATTGTTTTATGCTTAGGGGACCTTTTTCTTCTGAAAACTTCAAGGTGAAACTATCATTAAACCCAAGTGGCAGTCATTATTTGTCCAAAACTCAAGTGAATATATGAATTGTGACTAAATGGCTAAGGGCTTAGTCACTAACAGAATTCTAAACCTGAATTCTGAACCTATGCATTGTCATATAGACTGCAGGGACAGATTTTATATTAGGGAGGTTCAGTAAGGGAGATATTCTCTAATTGTGGTTAGGGTTTATTCATTTAAAAATACTCAGCACACATTTATTGAATGCCTACCATGTGAAATGTAGGCCCTGAGTCCAGTCATTCCCTTGGAACTGCTCTGGGAAAAAAGAAGTATTTTCAGAGGAGATGCTAAGCCCACAGTCGTTTTCAAGTTCTCAACAGCTAAGACTTTAGAAGTGTGGTTTCACACTAAAATTTTCCAACTGGAATTAAATGCTGGAAAAGACTTGAGAGTCAAAGACATAGCTAATTCCACACCCTACAGTCAGATACAGAACACTTAATTAGAAAAGACTTTACTGAAAACACAATTCTCTCTAGTGTAAAGTGTCTTAAGGGGAATATTCACAATTTTTTTATAGAGGTCCAAACCCATGGTTGTTAGAAATTGCTGTCCTCCTGTTTCCTTGAATTTTAGAGATAATATTTTTCTTTCCCTTTTTGAACTGTTTATCTCCTGGTATTTCTTCATTATATAATGCTTACTCTATTCCATTATCATTTCCATGGAACTGTGGTTTGGATGTTGATACCTGAACAATTTATTTTGTTGTTTGAGACAGAATCTCACTGTCACTCAAGCTGGAGTGCTGTGGAGTGATTGAGGTCCACTGCAATCTCCACATCCTTGTGCTCAGGCGATCCTTCTACCTTAGGTTCCTGAGTAGCTGGTACTACAGGTGCATGCCACCATGCCCCGCCAAGTTTTGTATTTTTTGTAGAGATGAGGTTTCACCATATTTCCCAGGATGGACAATTTCTAAAGAGTTGGCCAACCTCTTCCCTGCCTGAAAGGCAACTTGATAATCATCTCAGACTCACTAGAATGTCTGCAATTTATATTACATATAAATTAAGAGTAAGTACATTTTTGAGGTAAAATATAAGGCTGAGAAAGCCACATTTAAATAACCCCAGGTGAACATCTCTCTTTAGTTATCAGTTTTTAAAATTATTCCCTTATTAAAATCTGAGGTAAATGAAGGCACGAAGGGTCTCTGCCACTTTGATCATTAATTATCTGCTTTTCTTCCCCAGATAATGAAAGATAATCTTTTGCCTTTTGGTTTTCTTTCATTTGTATATTAAAGAATGCTTTGCCTGAATACCTTTGACACATTGCATTTCATATCCTGCTTAGCCTTTTGTGATCCAGAGAGCTTGGCTTTTCTTCCTTAGAAGGCCCATTTACTTAGAGACAAATGATATGAAATAATCAGCAAAAATGGCCTTGGGTGATAAACATGTGCCTATGCTGTTCATCTTCATGCCCTTCAACTCAGTGCAAATTAATTTTCTATCCATTAATTAAATCATTAGCTCCTTATGGGCAGAGAGTACATCTGTCTCTTTTTCTTCCTCTCTCTCTCCCTTCTCTGTCTCCTTTTCCTTGGTGCCTAGCAGAGTGCAATATACATCGTGAGCACATTGAGAAAAGGGTACTGGCATACTTTGGAGAAATAGTAATATAATAATAATAAAACCTTCCATTCTCTTTTCTAGTTTCCTAATCTAAACTCTGTATCTTTCTATCAATCATTCTTATGGTCCCCCTCAGCTCCCTTCTTTTCAATTGTATTCTTCCCCTAAGAAAATGAACAAACCAATGTCAATTTTCACGTGGCAATCTCATGCATTTCCATGGCTTTATTTACTATGCATGCAGGTGACAGCCAGATCATTCCATCAATCACAGAGGTAAATTCCCATGAGTCCCCAAGATGCCTCGATTTATTATCCTTGGACTATTCCCTTTGAGAGATTTATCAGAGAAAGGGTATTTCAGAGAAACCTAAAAATCCTTGCATTGAGGTTCACTCAATCATTCAGACAGTCTAAGGAATCATATTTGTGAAGGCTTTTGATGCATAGAATAATGCATAGAGAGAAATAAAACTCACACTGGACTTACACTAGTGAGAAGGCCATGATTATAGTGATTAAAAATGCAGTGATTCAGATTCAGTCTAGGTTCAAATCACAGCTCACTGATTACTGACTGCGTGTGGGAGCCAGTTTCTGAATCTCATATGAAACAAAACAAACAAACAAACAAAAAGAATACCAACCTCATAGGTCTGCTAAGAATTTCAAATGAGATGATATTTATAAGGAAGAAACCTCGAGAAGTATCTGGAACATGCTGCATCTTCCTAAAACTGTAACTATAGTTATTCTTAAAGGTTGCAAAATGGTTAATTTCATTATGAGGAGATTTGGTATCACAGTTCCAGAGGTACTTTTAGTTAAGTCATATTTTAAAAAAATACCCCTACTGAACATGGTGGGGAGCACATATTATCAGATATCAGTGGTTCCATTTTGCCACCTCCAGCATTATCGAGGAGTTGGGGAATGTTCAAATTGCACTTTAACTCTCTCAGGATTAAGAAAAAAATATATAACCTGAATGATAGGCTATAGGTTAATTAGTTCAAAAGCCAACGGAGTACTTGATTTTAAGTTCAACTTGAAAATTTAAATTTATTTCTCAGTTCAGTGGACTAGTAATGTTAATAGCTAATATTAATTGAGCGACTCCTTATGCTAGGCACTTGATTTCCTAGCCTAGATATTTCTTCATTTAGAAGAGATTTCTTAGAGTCCCTGGGACAATGATCTTTGGGTAGGCAATAACTATCATGCTTTCTCCTCAAATTAAAATTCAAATCAAGCTCTCCTTTGACTTTGGGTATGCCAACACCTGGCAGCTACATTGACATCCATGTCTCAGCAGGCCATTTATAACTCTCTAATTTTCCCATCTCTCTGATGGCTGTATTTTCATGAGTTCCTCACCAATGTGTAAAGCCTTTAAAGTTTAGTGGATGTGCATAGTCAGATGAGAATTTTCAGGGACCAGCTGTGCTACTGTGATGGTCATTTGCACCACCACTGGGACATTTCTTCTTGTCCAATTTTTATCTATGTGATGACAAAGCAGAGGAAATATTGGATAGTTAAAACTGTTAACACAGAATGATATAGCTGAAAAGCTTATAAATAGAGTAACAGGCTGCACAGGACTAAAAGCAATAATTTCATCATGGGAAAGTTGCCTAAAGGTCTTATTTCACATTCTGATGATGTAGCAGATCTAGACACCAGCATTTTAGAGTAATACCTGAACTGCCAAACATTAACCAGAAATCATTGTCCATGATACAGGTAGCAATCTATCATCGTAAATGTCACTATAGGGAAGACCTAAAAGCCAAATAAAACAAAAAAAGACGAGACACAGAGCTCATCCAACTGAACTTTGCTCTCCAGAGGAATGGTAAATTCAGATTATAATTGGGTGACTTCTGCTTTTTACAAGTTCTCAAAAACTTCTCTGGCCCTGGGTGGTGGTGTTACGGCCCTGCATGATTACATATCACATCCCATTACAACACAAGCAGTCTTTGGATGACATAAAAGTTTTGCAACTTTTAAATCATGGCCCATGTTTTTCAAAAGATAAGCTCAACATGATAAAATTTCAAAGTAGCACCAATAATAGAGTTGGATTCATTCTCGGAATCAGTACTAACTAAATAAGCTCTCTCTCTTGAGTTTATTTTTTATTTTTTTTGCAAATAATCTTTCAAATAAAACCAAAACTAATCAAAGATCACAAGCTAAATACATGAGCTTCCACTTTTGATCTAATATCCTTATTTCTATCAATGATATGATAAAAATGTCATATTAATTTTTTTCAAAATAAAACTTAAATATAATGCTTATCTGATCAAAAAGCCTCCAGGACACTTGTCCCAGAAATAAAGCCTAAATCATCAGCAGAATGTTTAATTTTCCTAAGTGACCCCCAACTTAACTTTCCACACTTTTTTTCTACCATTTCCACATACCTCCAAAATTCATACCTAAGTCACAGCCACATGGATCAGTTGCTATTTCTCCAATGTGTCATATACTTTTTCTTCTCTGTATCTTCTGCTTAAAATGACTGACACTCTTCTGCATAAACAATTCTAAATTATCCTTAAACCTCAGCTCAACTACAACTAACAGAACTTGTTGCTTTTTCCTCTATCTGTACACAGTGCCTATATCAGACCTGCCACATTGTGCTGGCTTCTGACTGTATCACAGACAGCAATCAACTCTATTTTGTCTTTGTATCTCCAGCACTCAAAATATCATTTGGGAGGCAGTAAACAATAATTTATTTTTTCTTAATGAATCATTCCCAGGACTACTGTGTACATCAGGACATCTAGGGCCCACAATTCAGATAGACTGTGATTTAAATAGAAACCTTGCAGTTGTGAAGTGTACATTAAGAACAACCTTACATAGCAGCGTGTCACTCACTCATGCTAACATATTTATATTCTTGCATGATAAATTTTAATGTTTTCTGCATGCCCTCCTCCATCAGTTGTGGAATCCTAACAAGTCAGTATAAGCTAGGTTTTGCTGCAGTAACAAGTACCCAATTTCAGTACTTTGATATACAAAAGTTAACTTCTCACTCATACTACATGTCTGATACAGTTGGCAGGAAAACTTCATAGTCCATCAGGGAACAGAGCTGACAGAGGTTCCACCTTGACACATGAATTCATAATCACCGAGGCATTAAAATCAGAATGCAGCAGATTATGTACTAGTTACTAGAGCTTCTATTTGGATGTAGCACACACACTCCTAGTCATACTTCACTAGCCAAATGTAATCAAGTAGCCGTTAACTTCAAAGGTGCCAAAGGAAATCCAATTTTACCATGTGCTATAAAGAAAAGAAAAACATTTAAAAATGTCTTTATTGACAGGTACAGTCAGCTCCTTAATATCTCACAATTTCTCCTATTCATACTCCATTTAATTGTTTTAACTCTTTTTTACTTCATCCTTGGACTATTGTAGCAGCTCACTTAACCTTCCTGCCTTCTTTTTCTTTATCCCACTTTGCCCTCAGCCCTTCTCCCTATAACCAACAGGTTAGCCACCCTAAAGCGCAACTCTTTACTTCTTTCAAGAAGGTATTTTTAATTAATACCTTTAGTGATTCCCCACCAACTATGAAATTAGGCCCCAGTTTCTTCCTTCATTAAATCTTTCCTTCCATTTATTCCACAAACAGCATTGACTACTTAAGAGGGATGAAAAACCATATGAAACTCTGAAAGAACAAAGAAAAATAGTTCCTGGACATAATAGACCTCATCGTTAGATAGGGGAGTTGGCCACAAAGAAAATGAGGGCAAGTCAGTGTGATGAGCTTGATGCTAAAGTGGCATAGTTCAGTGGTAACATCAAGGAGAAAATGACTTTGATGGGAGATCAGTGAAGGCATCTCTGAGGAGGAGATGTTTAAGGTAGTTCTGGGATTTTGAACACATGTTTTCCAAGCAAATATAGTTGGAGATAGAAGAATGGAGGATGGATGAGGAACATGGAGGCATAAAAGTTAGGTATGTTGCAAGAAATACCAATGTTTCTATAAGCTGGAATTGAGGTTAGTGTGGTGGTGGGATAGGAAGAGTTCTGAGGGGATAGAAAGTACAACTGAAAAGAGAGATTGAGACAAATTAAGAAACAGAGAAGGCTTAAATGTTAATATTAAGGAGTCTGGCTTTTTGTCCTTTGGGAAATGTGTAATTATTGAATAGTGAGCCTGAGAAGAAGAAGACTTGGTGTGGAAACATTGGCCACATTCAAGTATGTTAAGTGCTGTCATTCATGAGGACAAATCTAGTTTTAGTAGCTCCAGATTGCAAACTGTGGAAATTATAAAAAGTACCAGATTTCAAGTCAGCTGGAGAAAGAACGACTTGAGGTGCATTTCATTGTTGTATGAAATTTCCAGTAAAATGTTGGATATTTTGCATTTTATAAATGTTTTTTAAATGAGTGAAATAAGTTATAAGCATTAGATTGATTTGGCAAAAAAATGTGTAAAGAGGCTGAAGCTTTGATAAAATTGTAATGAAAACTAGAATTTGGAATTTAAGATGCATATCATGGAAAAGTAGGATGCAAATGTCACTATTAGTGCGTATAAATCATGTTGGAGCTCACCAAGCTCTGATAAATTAATACAATTTTCCCAGGTAGCTACCTGGAACTACCTACTGGTAGCTGTTTTACAAATGTAGGTTGCTTTACAGTTTAGATCTCATTTCATACACTCATCTCACTCAATCCTCATAATAGTCTTCAGTGCTTAGAATTGACAAGTCAGGAACTCATCCAAGACATGTTAATTGGCTTGCCAAAGACAGCAAAACCTAAAGTGGAAGAGGTGTGACTTGAACTCACATTTACCTGTGCTGTTTCTGATATTTATACCCATTACCCAAAAGCTACAGGAAAACCTTGATTTCAGTTCCAGGAACTTACATTTGAATTAAAATTTACTGCCGAAACTAGCTCAGTGCTTTTCAGGATGATCATAATGCAGATACTAACTAATGATTTGCTAACAATGGAGGTAGACATAATCTGATGGGATTGATCAAATGTGGCTCCGGTTGCCCCAGAAGTAATTTCCATAGACTACACAGAGAACCTAATTATGTAAATCACTCGAGAGATCCCCAACTGACCTTCTTGACAAGAACTAACCAGCAGTGATCAGTGGGAAGAAAAATAAAATTGAAACCTGGATCATTTCCTCAGACAAATCTAGAGTTGATTACACCACCATTTGAATTTGGATGCTGCAGCTCTGACTGGGAGCTATAACATGTTGATTCAAACTCTCTAAATGGGCTGATGTATAGATTTACCAGGAAGTAAACTAAAAAGAGACCTGTTTCTGTATGACCTACTTTTATGTTTATTAAAATTTGAAATGTTTTTTAAAGTGTTGATAAACTTCAACTGGCAAGGAAAAAAAAAGTCACCCTGTATTTTCTAATCAAGGAGGATTAAAAGGCTGTGAAACTATATCCAATGCACAAATGTTGTAATTGCAATAAATATTTGTCCTTTCTGTTTTCTCTACAAACTCAAAAATCCTAGAGTCTGTGTTTGGCACATTCGGGAGATTACAGCCATCTGCTGGGAGACAAAGCTGTCAATTACAAAGCAATCTGGCTTTCTGTTCCATTCCATTTCCAGGTTAAATATGGCCCAATTGAGGTAGGATCTTTTTATTATTATTATTACAATTGGAAGCTTCTTGGTACTGTCCAACCTTTGACCCTATTCTCAGGATCCCAAGAGAGATTTACATGTCTCTGAACTTGGAGTTTGCAACACAAGGTCAACCATGTCTTATACAAGCCGTTTAATAAGGTAAACCACTCTTAGGCAGGGCTCTGAGCTCGTTAGCCAACTTGAACACAAGATGAGGGTTTCATTCAATTAAAGTGTGCTTTAGCCTGAGGAGGAAAATCATAGCAAATAGAAACTAATAAATAGAGACAGGGGTATCTTCTGTTTGCTGGGGTGATGAGCATTTAAAACAGAGGCTTTAAGGATTGAAAACAGTACAAAAATGCTCCATGAAACATGGAAATTAATAGCCAATTTAATAATGTAAGATTCGGCAACATTGAGGAGGGACAGTTCAAAACCACAGCAGAAATATTTTAATAGAAGAGGCAGTTGGCCCTAAAACTGCGGACACTAAAGACCTAATGGAAGTGAATTAGCCTTTCTTTCGGCCAGATTCCAAGCCTGAAAATTCACCCTGTTTCCTTTAATTCTTCCTGCAGTTTTACTGGAAACAGTTACCTTGTGTTTTGTCCTAAAACAGTTAAATTGCCTTTCAACAGACTTTTCAGAAAATCTTGTGTTCCTCAGCAGGAGTGGAAACAAGAATTGGCTTTTAAGCAGACATGTAAAAGTAGAGAAGAAAATTTTTCTCATCTAGATCTGTGCTTGGGTCAAGCCTGAGGGCACCTCTAAGGAGTCATTGAAAGCTAATAATTAAGAATCTGTTTATATAGCACTAATCACATGATTATCTGGAAGAATTCTCCAGCAAGACCATTAGTGACCAGAGGGAAGTGAAAATGATCCTTTAAATTTTCCCAAGTGCACCTGATTCCTCACCTCAATTCAATTCACACCCATATCTTGCATTTCAAAATAGTGACCTAATCTTGGTCCATAATTTTACCCACTGACTCTTGCAATCAAGGGGGATAAAAGACTATTTTACAGGTGAAGAGCCCACTGGAACCTAATTGAAAAATTGCTAATACTTCTCAGTTAAATATTAACATACTTATGTAAAAGGATTCAGTTTAAAGGAAATTGGGTAATAATTAAGGGCATCTGGCTCTAGCTCATGGATGCAGCTTTGGCCTCTGGGTTCAGTAAGAAGGTTAGGTTGGATTTCAAAGTCATCCTCAACTTTCCAGCTGACCATATTCTCCCATATGGTGACCACTTACCATCACAGGATCCCTAAAGCCGTTATTTCATTTGCTGTTCTTCTCTCTGGCTTCTCTTACCCAGCCATCAATATTTATGTGTCCCAGGTCTGCTTCTGTCAACTGGGTTAAATGTTAATCTCATAGTGAGGATCAGCTGACTAATCTTACTGTCCAGCACACCAGTTCTTAGCTTCAGTGTCATATTATACTGCTAGGTCATAAGCAACTGTGAGGTTTGTCACAATCAACTTGACACCTTTACAGAGATTCCTCTGGTAAAGGGCTTTCAACTTCAGTGCTTTCATAGATATAAATGAAGCTTCACTGCAAAAGTATATTAACATTTTTGTCTCCAACAAATGGGATCAGTGATCCTGCAGATAAGTGTTAAGAAAGATCAGGATTTGCCATCCCAACATTTGCTACTTTGGCACAAGTATTATTCTGAACTGAAGGCAATTGAGAATCAACAGATGCAGGAAGAGTTCTCTGCCCTCCCCTTATCTACCTAAAAACAGGGCATACATTTCCCTTTGTGAAGGTACCCCCATCTTACCAGAAAGTGAAGACCAACTCTTATCATTGGAGATGGAACATTTATGCAGAGATGAGTTTCTATAAACAAACTGAACTAAAATAACCCTTATCTTTCATTAGTTCCACAAGATATTTCCTAGTTACTTTCCCATGACTTATTGTCCTTTGAAGCCCAAATCTCCTTTCCTTTGTTAAAGTGGTATATAACCCCTGAGTTTAACTGCTTCTTTGAGTTTCACTTATTTTCTATGACTCTAGTATACACATAAATGTTAATAAAAAGGTATGCCTTTGCCTTTTCTCCTGTTAACATGTCTTTTATTAGTTTAATTCACAGGCCCCCAGTTACTGAGCCTAAGAAGGCAGAAGAAAAATCTTTCCTTCCTGACAATGTCCAGAAATTAAATTTCAACATTGTTTGCCCAAGATTAATATAGGAGGAGGAGAGAAGTATATTTGAGACTGTAAAGCCTACATACAGTAAAGTTACTGTTGCTGAAAATTTTTCTCAGAGCTATGAATTATAGTTCAGACTCAAGGCTATTTGCACATCATAAAGGCGAATGTCAAGGAAGAGAATGATGATAACCAACGAAGTTTGTAGAGGACATGAATTCCCTGTGTGGCACCCACTGCTTAATAACCTACAATATCTATTATCTTTTTCTTTCTTTTTTTTTTTTTTTTTGAGACGGAGTCTCACTCTGTCGCCCAGCCTGGAGTGCAGTGGCGCGATCTCGGCTCACTGCAAGCTCTGCCTCCCGGGTTCACGCCATTCTCCTGCCTCAGCCTCCTGAGTAGCTGGGACTACAAGTGTCTGCCACCCTGCCTGGCTAATTTTTTGTATTTTTAGTAGAGACGTGGTTTCACCATGTTAGCCAGGATGTTCTCGATCTCCTGACCTCGTGATCCACCTGCCTCGGCCTCCCAAAGTGCTGGGATTACAGGTGTGAGCCACCGCACCTGGCCCAGCTCTATTATCTTTTTCTTATTCATAACTATTAATTCCTTATCAGGTCTTGTTTTATTCAGGACCCCAGTGTTTAACTGTTTAGGCCAGTTAAAATAATTTTCCCCCTCAGACTCCCTTGCAACTAAGAAATTATGTGGCTTTGTTGTCACTAAGGAGGGGAGGCTTCCAGGCAGGGAATGAGAATGCTACTGTTTTCCTGTCAAAAAGGAATAAATTCAGCCAGCATGAACATCTTGCTGTTTATTCTTCTCTTATTTTTTCTGCTAGAATCAAGACAAAATGTCTGGAGTCTAGCAGCCATTTTACAATCATGAAGTTAAAAGGTACAAGCTAAGGGTGGTGGACCAGCAGGTAGAAGGAATCTAGTTCTTTGATGACTTCCTAGAGCCACTGCACCAATTTTGGACTGCCACCTCTGGAATTCTTGTTATATAAGAAAAATCTTTATTTGCTTCAGCTCTTGTCAGGGTTTCTATTGCATGCCACCATCACAATTCCAAGTGACACACACTGCTATTGATGACATATGTTTGTTTTGGTGAGAAAAGGGCTTAAAAGGTCTGATTTTAAAGCTGAAGGATCAGATTTTAAATCTGCAGGATCAGCTCACATTTCTCTTCAGGAACACGTACTGGATGAAACAAGTTAATTTTTTCCTTTGTAGCTATGGATTTATAAAAATAAAAGAAGAAAGAAGAAGGCTTACATAGAGACATTTTGGCTATTTATTTTCTTTGTCAAAGAGCTAAGATTAGGAAATTATTTCTCTCTATATCAATTAACACTCACTGAAGAATATTTCCTATAATAATGCCTTCCTCCCTCCCTCCATTGTCCGTGGAAGTTTGCCAGTTACAATAGAAGGGTGGAGCTCCAAGTAACAACTTGGAATTGGGCACAGTCATGAACACACCTTGGAAGTCTATCTGGTTTGAGAATATCCTTGGGCATATTTGCACAGGGAAATAGTTTTAAACTGCTGGAAATAATAAAGTCAGCTGGTATTAGTTCTCTGAATTGACACACTTCAATTTTTATAATCTATCTTTAAAATGCAAAATCTTGATCCAGCAAAGTGCTGTGGGGGAAGAAGAAGGTGAATATTTGGGGGAATTGCAACTTTTCAGTATTCTTCAACATTTTCTCTACCTCCATGGCTAAGCTCTTCTAGCATATGAATGCTACATGGAGTCTATGCTGGTGGAAAAGCTAAAGGAGGAAAAAGATGTGACCTTCTTTACAGTACTTTGATTATGCATCCTTAAGCTCTCCTCAGTAGGTCTGCTTGCACAGTAGTCATTCCTTAGAAATCCTGCCATCAGGTAGAGATTCTATCATCAGTTTTGTGACTTGGAAAATTCCATTGCTGCCTCACTGTCACTGGCAGGAACCACACTCATCAATCAGCATCACTTCCCCAAAGCTCTGTTTGCAATCAAAAGGACCAAAGGTCTCCTTGTTTATAATTATGCCAGGGAAACACCCCGCTAGAACTAGATCCACATGGGATCACCAGCATCACACATCCTCACCCCAACACCCAGCTCATAAAGAATACACACTCTTCTGTTGCCTAGAGAGAGCTTAGCAAGCTGCTTAATAGCTACACAGAAACCCTACACAGAACTGAAATGCAAAGGCATGTAACGGATCTGATAGAATGGCAGGGGAAATTTCAGATGGCAGAATGTAATTACCTAAGTTACTGAGGTTAAATAAACACCACACTCTCTTATCTAAAAGATGTCCACGATCTTCAGTATCCATAAATGACCTGGATCTTAGTTTTATAACTCCATGGTTGAGAGGGAGGCAATTCTCCAGCAGCACAGGAGCCTTTCGCTTGGAAACTCTTGTTTCTCATCCGGCACCACCTGTGTGTCCCCTTGGCTGCCCCCCAGCCAGGTGCTCATGCAGCCAAACCCAGTGAGCCCATAAAAGTGGCCAGAGATGCAGCAGAAGGTGTCGGGCTTTCTGGCCCCTGGTTGAGGCCATCTGGACTCTCCGTTACACCTGTTTGGGAGGGTTTCCGTGGCATGATTTACAAATGTAAATGCAACTCTGGAAATATTCCTGTCCAGTGCGTATCTCTTGCTTTCACTTTTGGAGGAGTTAATTATGCAACAAGATCATTTCTATGCCCATTTTCCTCTTCCATTATAAACTTTAGATGGTGAAAAATGTGCTTCTCAGTATTTTTTTAGTGAATGAACAGATGTAAAAGTGCTTTCAATTCCTTAATAAATGTGACATTAGGCCAGATTTGATATTACACTAAGTCTCACATAACATTTAAAAATGGGTTTTTTCAACCATAAAATTACTAATTGATCTGTCTTGTAAAAAGATAAAGGAAATGAATGCCTATTTGAGTTTCATTTCTGTCAGGCTCCCGATTTCTTATTTTATGTAGCAGAAAATGAATTTTAATGAAGCAGCCTCCAAATTTCAAAATATGCCATTACCCTTCCGAAGTAATTGGCATATTTGACTGCCTTTGCCTTTCTTAGAGTCTGTCTGACATTCTAATCTTGAAGTCAATGTTCCATTCAAGATGTTCTTCTGCATACCATCTGAAAGAAGTAAATTAGAACAAGGGGAAGAACTACAACAGAAAGCACTCATTCATTTAGGCATTCAAGAACTTATATATGGAATCCCCATTGTATATCAGGCACTGTTTCAGATGCTACAGAAGACAGTAGAGGGCAAGATAGTGAAAAATCCCTGCTCTCATGAAGTTTCTATTTTAGTAGAGTGGGATAATACAAAAACATAGACAAATACTGTATGCAACATCCAAGTGATAATCAATGCTATAAGGAAAAATAGTGCACTTTAATGGGTAGGGAAGGGCAGAAGAGAGGACCGTTGTATATAATTTTTTATAGAGGGAAGCCCACACAGACTTCTCTAGGGAGATGATGGTTGAGCAGAAACCTGAATGAAGTGAGAGAATGACCCATACTGGGAAAGAAAATCAACAGATAGAATAATCTTTCTTCTATATTTTTTGCCCACTTGGTATGTATAAGGAGAAAAAAAATGGCTTTTTTCAAAGCAAGTCTAGTTATTTTGTCTAATCTGGGAGGATACTGAGTGGGTGAAGGAGGAAGGCAACTTTGATTGAGTACCTACCTATCATGCCAGAATATGCATCATTTATGCTTTTCATAAATGTGTGTGACAACTCTCTGAGGCTGATGATCTGAGCCTAATTTTACAACTGGGGAAGCAGAAGCTTAGGGGCAGGTAGCTTGGTAGTAGAATGTTTCTTCTTTTCTTGTTCTTCTTCTTGTTCTTCTTGTTCTTGTTCTTCTTCTTCTTCTTCTTCTTCTTCTTCTTCTTCTTCTTCTTCTTCTTCTTCTTCTTCTTTCTTCTTCTTCTTCTTCTTCTTCTTCTTCTTCTTCTTCTTCTTCTTCTTTCTTCTTCTTTCTTCTTCTTTCCTTCTTCTTCTTACATTTATATAGAGACAGGGTTTCACTATGTTGTCCAGATGGTCTCGAACTCCTGGCCCCAAGGGATCCTCCTACCTCAGCTTCCCAAAGTTCTGAGATTACAGCCTTGAGCCACCATGCCTGGCCTATTTATTTTATTTGTATAAATTTAAGGGATTCAAGTGCAGTTTTGTTACATGGATATATTGTGTATGGTGAAGTTTGCACTTTCAGTGTAACCATCACCAAAAGAATGTACATTGACTACTTTTAAGTAATTTTTCATCCCTCAACTCTCCACCCTTCTGAGACTCTGATGTCTATTATTCCACACTCTATGTCTATGTGTATACATTATTTAGCTCCCACTTGTGAGTGAGAACAAGTGGTATTTGATTTTCTGTTTCTGAGGCGTTTCACTTATGATAACAGCCTCCAGTTCCATCCATGTTGCTGCAAAAGACATGATTTGTTCTTTTTTATGGCTGAATAGTATTCCATGGTGTGTGTGTGTGTGTGTGTGCATATACACCTATACATACATACATATATATCTTCATATATATATACACATACACTATTGTGAATAGTTGTTGCTACATTACAAACTTCTAAATTCTATGGCTTAAAATAAGAGCAATTGCTTGTTTTTCTTATGAACATGAATTGTGGGCAATAATTAATAGAAAGGGCTGAATCTGCTCCATGTGGCACCAGTTGAGAGCACACCTTGAGGCTGGGTGATCAATTCCCAAGACAGCTCCCTCCATGGCTGGCAAGTTAGTGCTGGTTATTTGCTGATAGATCAGCTGGGCTTGAAGGCCTGTAGGCCTTTATTTCTCTCTATGCTGATTGGACTTCCTCATAGCATGGTGACTGGGATTCTAGGGCAAGTGTTCTAAGAAAGAGAACAAGGCAGAGGAGTATTGCATTTATGATACACTTGCAGTCTTGGAAGTCTCATCAACCCAGCTCTGCATCTCACTAGTGATGAACTTTCAGCAAATTGACAGCACTGGAACCCTTCACAAGGACATTTTTTCCCAAATAACAGGCTTTGTCTGTTTTCATCCATTTAGTCAGCAGGCATTTTTGAGTAATTCTAGCACAATTGTTTGAAATACCTGCTGTGAAGTCCAATTGCTCAAATTTGCATTCCAATTCTGCCACTCACTTCCTGAAAAAACTTCTGATTTTTACCTAAACTCTGTGCCTCTATTTTATTAAATGCAAAACATGAGGATTTAAGGAAATTCTAGAGAACTTCTCATGCACCTAATAAGGCTACCCCTATAATTCTAGCACTTCAGCTCCATCACCTAAAATAATCAATCTCAAGGAAGGAGCTAAAATTAGAATGATGGCCCTTCTTCTCCAAAAAGACTCTCATGTCTTATATTTCCACAAGAGGACCAAGACACACATGATATCTTTCTTCACAAACACTACTATTTTCCTATGGTTCTGTATACACCTGAATCTAACTCAAGCTCTTACTCTTCCTGATCCACTAATCCCCTCGACTTTGCCCTTGGAAATTCATAATCTATCATCAGAAAAAAAAAAACCTACTCTCTAAGTAGTCCCCTCACCTTCTTTCTGTAAGGGAAAGTGAGTGGTTTCCTAAAGTTCTCTTCTATGATAGTTATTTCTTTACCACCACAATCCTGTGTAGCCTAGGGCTTTTTGGTGGGATGGATACCCTTTTTGTTCTTTGTTACCAGGTCTACATTATTTCTTCTTTCTACATCCCCAAATCTAATGTCCTTTGAAGCAAATGCCATCAGGCTATACTGCCTACAATCCTTTCTTCACAAAGTCATCCATCAATGCCCCTGACCATTTCTCACCCTTTACCCAAGACTTTAGCACCTGGCTCATTCACTAGATTTCTCTCTACCAGTATTCCTGTCACCATGTTATGTGTCTTTATCACACATGTAGATGATCCATCCACCATCTTGGCCTCTAACAATAATTCATGACTTCATTTTTTCAGGCTGCTGTAACAAAAATCCCATAGCCTGTGTGGCTTAAACAGCAAACATTTATTTCTTACAGTTCTGGAGGATGGGAAGTCCAAGTTCAAGGCATCAGCAGATTCAGTATCTGTTGAGGGCCCACTTCCTGGTTCTTAGATGGCCTTCTTCTTACTGTGCCCTTACATGATGGAGGGGTAAGGATATTCTCTGGGGTCTCTTTTATAAGAATACCAATCAAATTCATGGTGACTCTATCCTAATGACCTAATTACTTCCCAAAGAACCTACCTCCTAATAACTTCACATTGGGGGTTAGGATTTTAACCTGCACATTTTTGGTGGGGAGGGGACAAACATTCAGTCCTACACAATTCCTCTTTCAACAATCTCATCTTTTATCCCATCTCAACCACCTACTCTTATAGCCATGCCATATCCTAGATGTCATATCTTTCCAGCTTATGTCTTTTACAACCTGGATTCCAATTATTCTCCAACCAATCAAGTGTTTTAATCCACTTTTTCTTATTACCTCTCTCATGTTACTTACTTACACAGAGCTAAGTAGGATCACATGTCCATTATTAATAATCACCCTTCACATACTATCTCAACAACTTGACCTTCACTACGTGTATATTAGTTTTATATTGCTGCTGAGACAAATTGCCATGAATTTATTATTTTAAAAGAACACTCATTTGTTATATCACAGTTCTATAGGTCAGAAATCTGGAGGGCTCTTATCTGAAGGCTCTAGGGACTTACAAGCTCCTTCAAATTGTTGGTGAATCTAGTTTCTCAAGGTTGTAGCACTGAGATTTCTATTTCCTTTCTTGCTAGCTGCTGGCTGGAGGCCATCCATAGCCACTTTATGTCTCTCTCTAGTCCTTTCATGTGGGCCACTACATTTCAGAGGCAACAAGGTACATCAAAACGTTCTCACAGTTTGAATTTCTTTGATCTTACCTTTTGACTCATCTCTCTGCTTTTAATGGCTCATGTTAATTATATTGGATCCATCCGGCTAATGCAGGATAATCTCCCATCTTAAATTCAGCTGATTAATAACCTTAATTATTCTTCAAAGTCCATTCACAGCAGGACCTGGAGTTGTGTCTGAATAATGTAGGGGATGGAAATCCTGAAAGGGCATCTTTAGAATTCTGTCACCACCACCCATGTAATTTTTACCTGACAAACTCCACCTTGATTTAAACCTGACTCTTCACCCCTCCGCAACTGCTCCATAGCACCTCAGTGTAGCTGAAGAAAAATACAACGTACTAACAAGGCTCATTCTAAATTTGTGATGGGAAATCTCAAGGAGGCCTCAGCACAGCCCAGCAATCATTTTACATTTCCCTAAACAATTCCTGTTTCCACTCTCCCAGACAACATTTTGTACATTTTTCTTCTACTCAAAACTCTAACCATCTTCCTAACACTCCATGTTCAGAAGATGACCTCAACTCTTATTTCACTGGAGTGGAGATTTGAAGAGATTAGAAGAAAACTACCACATTTCCTCATCACCAAATCTAGTAATCTGCCTGCATTTTTATGCATATATTCAGCCTTGCTGCTCCTGTTTAACTCTCCTTGCTGTTATCCTCTTATTTAATGACAACCTCCCATGAAGGTACTCTATCTCTTTCTCTCTTGACTGTTCAATTATCTTTCTATTACAATTACTCTTTCTCCCCAGGATTCTTTTTCTCTCTCTACTGCTTTGCTGCTATAACCATACAAAATATTTCCTAAGAAAGAAAGAAAGGAAGAAAGAGAGAAAGGAAGGAAGGAAGGAAGGAGAAAGAAAGAAAGAAAGAAAGAAAGAAAGAAAGAAAGAAAGAAAGAAGAAAGAGAAAGAAATAAGAAAGAAAGAAAGAAAGAAAGAAAGAAAAAAGAGAAAGAAAGAAGGAAAGAAAGAAAGAAAGAAAGAAAGAAAGAAAGAAAGAAAGAAAGAAAGAAAGAAAGAAAGAAAGTTAGTTCTTCCCTGGACTTTGTTTTAGTAAGGGGTTCTATGGCTTTTAGATGTAACGCAATGTATTTTGGCCCTTTTATCTTACATTGTGCTAGACGCCTTACCTCTTACCTTAGACTGTGCTGGAATTTGCCTGGTAATGCATAACAATCTTAGGAAGAGTCCAAACATTCAATGTTCAATATTTTAAAAATAGTAACTTAGTGAAAAGCTGAAATTAATAGTTTTCTAATTGGCTTTTTGGGGTTTCTATATCAACTGGTAGTTAGGACACATTTCTTCTTCTGCACTCCCATTAGACTGCCTCTGCCCTTAAGTCCCATGAAATCCTGAAGCACTGCCCCATTTCTCTGCTCATCTTTATAGCAAAACTCCCCAGAAAATTGTCTGTACTTTCTACCTTGATATGGTTTGACTCTGTGTCCCCAGCCAAATCTCATCGTGAATTATACTCCCCTAAATCCCACCTGTTGTGGGAGGGATGCGATGGGAGATAATGTGAATCATGGGGGTGGTTCCCCCATACTGTTCTTGTGGTAGTGAACAAGTCTCATGAATCTGATGGTTTTATCAGGGGTTTCCGATTTTGCATCCTTCTCATTTTCTTTTGTTGCTGCCATGTAAGAAGTGCCTTTCACCTCCTGCCATGATTCTGAGGCCTCTCCAGCCATGTGGAACTGTAAGTCCAATTCAACCTCTTTTTCTTCCCAGTCTCAGGTATGGCTTTATCAGCAGCATGAAAACAGACTAATGCATACTTCTTCTTCCTTAATGGTTATCTTCTTTTAAACCCATCCTTGTCAGTCTTGTCCTTAGCGTTTACTGATATTCCACTTCTGAAGGTCACCATGAACCTCCAGTATGCTAAATCTAATGAACAATTCCCAGTTATCAGCAGCATCTGACACAGTTGATAGATCCCCTGTTCTAAAAACACCTTCTTTATTCATCTCCTGGTGATTATAGTTTCCTGGGTTTTCTTCCCCCTCCATGACAGTTCATTTTCAGTTTTCTTTTCTTGATTATCCTTATTCTTTCTGAGCTCTAAATATTGGACTTCCTCAGGGCTCAGCCCTGAGCCCTTTTCTATTTTCTAGCTACACTCTCTCTATAATTGAAATTAGTTCCATTGTTTTAAACATCTTCTATATGTTGATGACTCCCAGTTTTACATTTCTAGCACTAACCTCTCCTCTGAGCATTAAATTTATTTACCAATTGCCTCCTCAACACCACCACTTGGTTGACTAATAAAGTTCTCAAAATTGGCATGTCTAAAATAAAATTCATGCTTTTCTCTACCTCTTCTCTTCCTCCCTTTGCACTCCCATTCATTTTTCTGACTTTCTCATCTTGTTCAGTGTTACACAACCACTCATCTTGTTGCTCAGATGAAAACTGTATTAGCCAGGGTTTTCCAGAGAAGCAGAATCGATAATATGTGTCTACATCTAGAAAGAGGGATTTATTTTCGGAAATTAACTTTCATAATTATGAGAATTGGCAAGTCTAAAATCTGCAGGGAAGGTTGACAGGTTAGAAACTTAGGGAAGAGTTCATGTTCTAGCTTGAATCCAAACAAGATCTAGAGGCAGAATTCCTTCTTCCTCAAGGCATCCCAGTTATTTTCTTAAGGCCTTCAACCTGACTGGACAAGGCCCACCCACATTATGGAGTAATGTGGTAATCTGCTTTACTCAAACTCTACTGATTTAAATGTTAATCACATGTTAAAAAATACATTCATGACATCTAAACTGGTCTTTGAAAAACTAGGTATCATGGCATAGCGAAGTTGACACATAAAATTAACCATCACAGCCTACTTCTTTTCACCTCAGCACCCACATCTATTTCCAGACTTAATCTCAAAAGAAAGACAATAATAAGGTCATACTTCTGACCTAACATGTTCTGCCTAACATGATACAACTCTCTTGTGTACAACCAAAAATGCTGTGTTAGTCAGTTCATGCTGCTATAACAAAGTGCCATAGACTGGGTGGCTTATAAACAACAAAAACTTATTTCTAAACTGCTCTGGCTGTTCAAAGTCCCAGATCAGAATATCAGCACAATCGAGCCCTTATGAAGGCACACTTGGAGGTTGTGCACTGCCGGCTTCTCCTTGTATCCTTATATGGTGAGAAGAGAGCTAGAGAGCTCTCATAAGGACACTAATTCCACCTCCCAATGCCATCACATTGGGGGTTAGGATTTTAACATATGAATTTGTGATGGGGAAAACAAAAACATTCAATCATAATAAATGTCCCAATGCTTTTTCTAGAAGATGCAAAGCTCTTAGCTGATGTTCACTGAACATAATATCCTATAATTAAATACTATAATGCAATGTTGATACATATACAACAAAGATATTTGCTATATGCGTATACACACATATATACATATACAAACATTCATAACAAAATAAGGAATATTTATATAATAATTACAGTCCTCATGTTAATAACTGGTCACATGCTTATAGCAGGTATTTATAAGCTTTTTTCCACTATGAATTTTGTATTTTCTTTGCTTTCAGTGAGAACCTCAGCTAGTCATGATTCTTTACCTAGGAGGTGACCCAAAACTTATTCCTGAAGGATCTGGACCATTCATAGCCCTGTCTCAATTGGGTTGTTAGAGTATTCTATTGTATTTAGTCAGAGAGCGTAGTAGTACTAAGAGATGCTCTAGGAAATCTTCCATATTTCAAACACACACTTCCTTCTCTCCATTTTAGAGCAGTCTAAATTTCTCATGGTGATCAGGATCAATCATCCTAGCTAGCAGAACAGCTCCCTCCTTTGCCTGTTCATTCAAAGGTATAAAGCTAAAAGTGGCTGAGGGGCAATCTTTCCTTCAAGTTATCATTGTTGTAGTTCTAGTTGGACCACAGTGACATTTGAGACCTCCTAGATGTAGTATCTATTCAAAGTCAGTCCAGTAATCCCCCAAAAGTCTGATTATTTCCTTTGTTGCAATGTACAATCACCTTGGTGAAAGACCATAAGTTTCTCTGAAGAAGACTGAGAGAAAGATTAACAGTATAAATTGTTGTCAGTGCAGCAAGATCGTTTTTCATAGAGACCCAGCCTCCCCTTCATTTGAGAGGTTCTAAGCCCATAAACTGGCTCAAAGTCTGAGAGTTGATTAAAGGAGTCTAACCCTCTGCTTTTGTGACTTTTGTTCCCTTAACCCACAATTCTCCACTTATACAGATTAGGAACAATTTAGCAGATTTCCCACCTATGTCACTTTCTAGGGACACAATGATTAACTAGCTAACATCATAGATCTCTGTGAGTCATTTTATTCTGATTGCTGCTTTGATTCTGTTTTCCATCATGGTAACCATGCTTACTTTGCCTTTGGTGAGTAAATGCCATCACTTTGTCCCTGCCACCCTGGGACCTAGTTATCCTCATTGCATTTAGGTTTACCAATCCAGTGGCAGCAATTACCACTGTAATTTCTGACCCACAGAGAAGAGCTATCACAAGCTCTTCAAGGATGCATTGCTCCCCTCGCAAATTCATTTCTCACTGTTATGGTGAAAGCTGTCCTCTGGACCCTTCCCAGTGGGTGAGAAGATCGTAAGTGATAAATCCACTTGAATATTCCAATTTTTCTAAGGCTTTAAATACCTTTTTCTATAGTATACCAAGGCAGTTATGGTATTTCAATTCGTTTAGTGTATGTCACCTTTTGGTCCATGTTTCAGCCAACCAAACAAACAATTTGAGCTCTTTCTAATACCCCAAGCTGCAACATTAAATCTAGATTTTTTTGCTTAGTGGGCCCATGTCAGTAAATTCTGCCTGATTCAATCTCCCAGTATAATACGCCCTTAATACTGAAACTGCCTTTGCAAAATTATGATGGAGAGAGTGAAAAAGGTCTAACATAACTGATTCCATCTTGCTTCTAACCTCCAAGCTGTCCTTGTTCACTCCTGGGCATAGGTTGAACTAACTTTGGGAGGAACTCAGTTTATAAAACAAAGACAATAACAGCTTTTTCCTAAAACAAACATCCTTCTTCCTTAGGGATTAGACTGTCTTTACAGGACTAACAAATTAGCCACAAGATTAGAAATTATGGTTTAGGAGTCAGGCAGCTGGAGGCTACAAGGTTCTGATCCTCCCTAAAATGCTGCTAAGATCAGTGCTTGAGATATTTTGCGGACCCTGCACTTGATGGATCAGCTGGCACCACCCAGATTGATAAACTGGCTCATGTGATCTTGTGGCCCCCACCCAGGAACTGACTCAGTACAAGAGGATAGCTTCAACTTCACATGATTGGTTGGGTCAAGAGTGCTGACCCAACGAATCAGCACTCTTGAATCACTGGCCTTCCTCCACCCACAAAATTATCCTTAAAAACTCTGATCCATGAATGCTCAGGGAGACTGATTTGAACTCTGGTCTCTCACACAGCCGGCTCTGCACAAATTACTTTTTCTCTATTGCAATTCCCCTGTCTCAATAAATCAGCTCTGTCTAGGCAGCAGGCAAGGTGAGCCCATTGGGTGGTTACAATATCCACTCCCACACATTCTCTAGATTTCTGTCTGTAAATATTAGAAAAATCATATTGTTATTTTGTAGTGTAACAACCTCCTCATGGGGCACAATTTGCATCTCATCTTTAGAGGCCTACTGAGACTTGAGTTTAGTTATAGGTCTACGAAAAAAAGGGGTTGTAAGGGTGGGTCCTGAGGAGAATCAGCAGTGTTTTGTAAGGCAGTTACCTCAGAGGTGACCATTACTCTTTCATCAGGCAAAGCAGAGGTCATCTTCTCAGATAGAGATGGAGTGGCTTCTTCTACTGACAAAGCATCTTCAGAATGTAGGAGTTTAATGCCCCCCAGCTTCATCAGGATCTTCCCATATGTCCCCATTCCAATTTTCAGGACCCCATTCCTTTCCAATTAATGCTACCACTTTAACAGCAGACACCCTGTGAGCTTAGGAATTCAATTTGCATTGTAATTCAGCTACTTGCAAAATGGCACTGTGTTTAGTTTTCAGCAATCTCAGCTTTTTGGCTACAGGTAACAAAACTTTCTTCCAGGGCATTCATACAAAATTTTAGGTCATTTATGCAGTGCATGAGCTGGGAATTTGAATCCTTGAATTCATCCTTTTATTTCTACACTTTGTTTACATCAATAAGGAGCAACCAGCCAATCTCTTTGTACTCATCAATTTAACAAAATTGTTCTAGGGTATCAAATACATGGTCACTTTTGTCTCTTATAAGTATTGATTATGGTCACTGAAAACTTTGTCTCTTATAGGTGTTTGATTAGGAATATCCACAGTAATATTTTGGGTATCTCAACTGATATGTCACACCATGTACTATCTATGCTCTTTTTGCTTCTAGAAATATCATTAGTGCCTTTAAATCTAGTTAGATTAGAGAACCAGTTCCAGAAACCCCATAACCAATTCAGAAATCTCATCCTTAAGATTCTGTTGCTCTAGAACAACTCTTCTTATCCAAATTTGTATTAGTCATGATTCTTCAGATAAATAGAACCAATAAGATGTGTATTACACACACACACACATATATATATACACACACACACATATATATGATGTATAGATAGATCTATATATCTGAGAGAGAGATTTATTCTAAGGAATTGGCTCACTTAGGAGGGCTGGCAAGTCTGAAATCTGCAAAGAATGCCAGCAGGCTGGAGCCCCAGAAAAGAGGTGATTTTGCAGTCCTAACGCAGTCTGCAAGGAGTCTGGAAGCAGGATTTCTTCCTGGGCAAACCCCAGTCTTTTCTCTTAAGTCTTTCATCTGTTTGGATAAGGCTCACCCATATTATTGAAAATAATCTGCTTTACTAAAAATCTGCTGATTCAAACATTAAACACATCTAAAAATATTTTCATATGAACATCTTGACTGGAGATTGACCAAAAGCCAGGTACCATGGCCTAGCCAAGTTGATACATAAAATGAAACAACATAAAAATCTAGAAGTCATCCTTAGTATCCTTCACTCTTACCACACATCTGATTCATCAACTCTACTTTCAAAATATATCTTGACTCTGATCACTTATCATGTGTGTCATTCTTAGCTTCCTAGTACAAGCTACCTTCATCTTTACCTGCTGTCCTAAACAGTCTTTTTGTTCTCCTTGCTTTCACTCTGCCTTCTATCCTGCTGGCCCCCTGCCCTCTGAGCCCACTATTCAGGCAGCAATCAAAATGATCTATTTAATGACCTAAATCTAATTATTCTACTCAACAGCTCAAAAACCTCCAATGGTCCCCATGAAACTCAAAGCAAAACCCAAAACTTTGTATTATTGTTACAATCTTATTTATTCTGGTTCTGCCTCCCTCGCTCTGACTTCATTTAACATGCACCAGTGTTTTCACTCACTTGCTAATGTCCATCTGAAGGTGTTTTTGTCTCTTTGGTCTAGAAAACTCCTAGATGTTTCTATGGCTCCACTCAGATCATTGCTCAGAAATTATTTCTTTAAAATTCTTTCAGGATTACTGTATTTCAGCTAACAGTATTACATACTATTCCTTTATGCTAATTAATTTTTCATAGAATTTATTACTGTCCTGACTTGTATTATATATGTGTTTGGTTTATGTCTGCCTTCTCAATCAGAATAAAGCCTCCAAAAGGACAAGGACTTATTTCCTACCAAACCCCAGGGCACTAGTACTAGGTCTAAGGCACAGTCATGCACAATCATATTTGTCAAGTGAATGAGTGGGAATAATAATACTTTAGAGTGAGTATTCACGGGGTTGTTGAGAAGATTCAATGTCATAATGCATGAATGTTAAAGACTTCTAATTGCTTTGTAATGTCAATTCTCACTTCCTTCCTTACTAATATAATCTCCAATTTGTATGTGGGCACATGGCTGCCTGGAATACAGACTTCCTTTCTTGCCCTTTCAGTTAGGAATGGTCTTATGACTGAGTTCCAGCTAATAAGGTGCAAGCAGAAGTGCCACATTCAACTTCTGGGAAGAGAGCTTTAAAATAGGTGGGTGGGGGAGTTTGTTCCTTTTCTCTTTCCCTGCTGACTGGAATTGGGGCATCATAACTGGAACTCCAGAGGCTCTAGATGAAACATGAGATGACCCTAACAGTAGAAATCAACCAAGAAGGATCACTAGGAACAAAAAGCCTGGGTCCTTGCTACCATGGAGTGATATATCATGCCCAGATCGACAACTTTGAAACTTTTTGAATATGAGGGAAAAATAAACTACTATCATACTAACTACCTGCTATTTTTGGGTTTTCTGTTCCTTGCAATCATATCTACTTCTTGCAATTTTAACATGTAAATTGATCATGACAAATATTGACTTGTAGTAAGCCCTCAATAAATATCATTGTTTGCTTCATATTCTTATAACTGTTTTCAATTTTTTCTATTTCTATCTTTTCTTGTTAACATTGTTTTTGTTGTTATAGGCTGTGTACTATGTGAAGTGCTAGGGATAAGAATGAGAATAAGATAGAAATTTCACTTAAAGGACATTGTGGTCTAGGGAGCATACAAAGAAATTATAATACAACGTGAGATGTATTTTCATGGCAGCAATAAAACCATGCTGTGGGGACACACAGGAAGTACAGAATAAGTCTGCCAGGGGATACCAGAGACAGATTCATTGCTGAAGATGTAGATCTTAAATCAAGACTTAAACATGCCTAGAAGACTATCATGAGGACAAGGGGTGGAGAGTGCAGAGGGAAAAGCAAGGGAATTGACTGCACATAGGCCTCCCTATTAGGTTCAGGAAAAATATGAATCATACCCCCAACCTAAAAAAGAAAAAAAAAGACTTCATTGCCCCTAAGGAAGCTAAGGCACTCCATTTTTCTCGTCTCATCTGAAACTTCATTGGAAATGTGGGGTTGCTGTGTTTAAAAAGTCATTATTTCCAATTCTGTGAAGAAAGTGATTGGTAGCTTGATGGGGATGGCATTGAATCTGTAAATTACCTTGGGCAGTATAGCCATTTTCACGATATTGATTCTTCCTACCCATGAGCATGGAATGTTCTTCCATTTGTTTGTATCCTCTTTTATTTCATTGAGCAGTGGTTTGTAGTTCTCCTTGAAGAGGTCCTTCACATCCCTTGTAAGTTGGATTCCTAGGTATTTTATTCTCTTTGAAGCAATTGTGAATGGGATTTCACTCA
Organism: Homo sapiens; assembly: GCF_000001405.40. Taxonomy (NCBI): domain Eukaryota; kingdom Metazoa; phylum Chordata; class Mammalia; order Primates; family Hominidae; genus Homo; species Homo sapiens. The sequence goes on from NC_000014.9 coordinate 79,934,071, forward strand.
TGATTTGGCTCTCTGTTTGTCTGTTGTTGGTGTATAAGAATGCTTGTGATTTTTGTACATTGATTTTATATCCTGAGACTTTGCTAAAGTTGCTTATCAGCTGAAGGAGATTTTGGGCTGAGACAATGGGGTTTTCTAGATATACGATCATGTCGCCTGCAAACAGGGACAATTTGACTTCCTCTTTTCCTAATTGAATACCCTTTATTTCCTTCTCCTGCCTAATTGCCCTGGCCAGAACTTCCAACACTATGTTGAATAGGAGTGGTGAGAGAGGGCATCCCTGTCTTGTGCCAGTTTTCAAGGGAATGCTTCCAGTTTTTGCCCATTCAGTATGATATTGGCTGTGGGTTTGTCATAGATAGCTCTTATTATTTTGAAATACGTCCCATCAATACCTAATTTATTGAGAGTTTTTAGCATGAAGGGTGGTTGAATTTTGTCAAAGAACTTTTCTGCATCTATTGAGATAATCATGTGGTTTTTGTCTTTGGTTCTGTTTATATGCTGGATTACACTGATTGATTTGCATATGTTGAACCAGCCTTGCATCCCAGGGATGAAGCCCACTTGATCATGGTGGATAAGCTTTTTGATGTGCTACTGGATTCGTTTTGCCAGTATTTTATTGAGGATTTTTGCATCAATGTTCATCAAGGATATTGGTCTAAAATTCTCTTTTTTGGTTGTGTCTCTGCCCAGCTTTGGTATCAGGATGATGCTGGCCTCATAAAATGAGTTAGGGAGGATTCCCTCTTTTTCTATTGATTGGAATAGTTTCAGAAGGAATGGTACCAGTTCCTCCTTGCACCTCTGGTAGAAATCAGCTGTGAATCCATCTGGTCCTGGACTCTTTTTGGTTGGTAAGCTATTGATTATTGCCACAATTTCAGCTCCTCTTATTCGTCTATTCAGAGATTCAACTTCTTCCTGGTTTAGTCTTGGGAGAGTGTATGTGTCAAGGAATTTATCCATTTCTTCTAGATTTTCTAGTTTATTTTCATAGAGGTGTTTGTAGTATTCTCTGATGGTAGTTTGTATTTCTGTGGGATCGGTGGTGATATCCGCTCTGTCATTTTTTATTGCGTCTATTTGATTCTTCTCTCTTTTTTTCTTTATTAGTCTTGCTAGTGGTCTATCAATTTTGTTGATCCTTTCAAAAAACCACCTCCTGGATTCATTAATTTTTTGAAGGGTTTTTTGTGTCTATTTCCTTCAGTTCTGCTCTGATTTTAGTTATTTCTTGCCTTCTGCTAGCTTTTGAATGTGTTTGCTCTTGCTTTTCTAGTTCTTTTAGTTGTGATGTTAGGGTGTCAATTTTGGATCTTTCCTGCTTTCTCTTGTGGGCATTTAGTGCCATAAGTTTCCCTCTACACACTGCTTTGAATGCGTCCCAGAGATTCTGGTATGTTGTGTCTTTGTTCTCGTTGGTTTCAAAGAACGTCTTTATTTCTGCCTTCATTTCGTTATGTACCCAGTAGTCATTCAGGAGCAGGTTGTTCAGTTTCCATGTAGTTGAGCGGTTTTGAGTAAGATTCTTAATCCTGACCTCAGCCAAAAGAACAAAGCTGGAGGCATCACACTACCTGACTTCAAACTATACTACAAGGCTACAGTAACCAAAACAGCATGGTACTGGTACCAAAACAGAGATATAGATCAATGGAACAGAACAGAGTCCTCAGAAATAACGCCGCATATCTACAACTATCTGATCTTTGACAAACCTGAGAAAAACAAGCAATGGGGAAAGGATTCCCTATTTAATAAATGGTGCTGGGAAAACTGGCTAGCCATATGTAGAAAGCTCAAACTGGATCCCTTCCTTACACCTTATACAAAAATCAATTCAAGATGGATTAAAGACTTAAACGTTAGACCTAAAACCATAAAAACCCTAGAAGAAAACCTAGGCATTACCATTCAGGACATAGGCATGGGCAAGGACTTCATGTCTAAAACACCAAAAGCAATGGCAACAAAAGCCAAAATTGACAAATGGGATCTAATTAAACTAAAGAGCTTCTGCACAGCAAAAGAAACTACCATCAGAGTGAACAGGCAACCTACAAAATGGGAGAAAATGTTCGCAACCTACTCATATGACAAAGGGCTAATATCCAGAATCTACAATGAACTCAAACAAATTTGCAAGAAAAAAACAAACAAACCCATCAAAAAGTGGGCGAAGGACATGAACAGACACTTCTCAAAAGAAGACATTTATGCAGCCAAAAAACACATGAAAAAATGCTCAGCATCACTGGCTATCAGAGAAATGCAAATCAAAACCACAATGAGATACCATCTCATACCACTTAGAATGGCAATCATTAAAAAGTCAGGAAACAACAGGTTCTGGAGAGCATGTGGAGAAATAGGAACACTTTTACACTGTTGGTGGGACTGTAAACTAGTTCAACCATTGTGGAAGTCAGTGTGGCGATTCCTCAGGGATCTAGAACTAGAAATACCATTTGACCCAGCCATCTCATTACTGGGTATATACCCAAAGGACTATAAATCATGCTGCTATAAAGACACATGCACACGTATGTTTACTGCGGCATTATTCACAATAGCAAAGACTTGGAACCAACCCAAATGTCCAACAATGATAGACTGGATTAAGAAAATGTGGCACATATACACCATGGAATACTATGCAGCCATAAAAAATGATGAGTTCATGTCCTTTGTAGGGACATGGATGAAGCTGGAAACCATCATTCTCAGCAAACTCTCACAAGGACAAAAACCAAACACCGCATGTTCTCACTCATAGGTGGGAATTGAACAATGAGAACACTTGGACACAGGAAGGGGAACATCACACTCTGGGGACTGTTGTGGGGTGTGGGGAGGGGGGAGGGATAGCATTAGGAGATATACCTCATGCTAGATGACTAGTTAGTGGGTGCAGCGCACCAGCATGGCACATGTATACATATGTAACTAACCTGCACATTGTGCACAGGTACCCTAAAACTTAAAGTAAAATAATAATAAATTTAAAAAAAGACTAATCCCAAAACACATTGCAACTACAAGAAAAAAAAAAAGTCATTATTTCTAAATAGTCTGATTACAAGAGGAGTTGACTTAGAAAGCAAAGAGGCGATTACTATATGGAATATACATAATCAGAATTGTCCAAAGAAAGCACAATGGCATATCCTGGATGTGAGTTTTTTGGGAGATAGGAACACAGAAAGGGAGAGAGGACATGACGGGAAAGTACATAGACAGATAAAATTAGGGAGGTTTCCCAGGGAAAGGGAACCACTTACAGTACTTAAGGCAACAATTTTTGAAGTCGTTTCTAAAAAATGAACTGTAAGAACTCCCTATTCTATTCCTTACATTGACAGGCTATAAGCTACTTAGGATAATATTCACTTTACTTAATATTCAGTGCAATGCTTTGTATAAATTTCAAAATCTTTACCCTAGCTGCACTAGATATGTTATGTAGTATAAGGCAGAGGGCAAGGGAGGCAACACTAAGCAAAATAACAATAGACAGGTTAGAATTTCCTCCTTAAGACATCACTAGTGCAACATCAGCAGATTTGCTGACTCTTAATTTGGGCTCTCAGTATTCTTGACATTGTCCATTTAACTGCTTGGAACTAAATTAACCTTAAATTTTCTTCTAAACTTTCCCTTTACTTCTAACACTAAGTTTAACATTTGCTCACAGCTTCTCTAATACTATATTTATCTTGATACTGTCTCACATTAATGATCATTTTAAACAAAATTTTTTATGTATCTAAAAGCCAAGTGCATTTCTATGCAAACATGCCTCTGAAAATATAATGGAGAACTGTTGGAAAACATGTGGCCTGTAAACGTTCGATCTACAGATTTTAAATTTCAAGAAAGGCTGTATAATAAAAACAAAATAATAAAATTTAATAAACAAAAATAAACAAAAACCCCACAAAGCTACCCTATAGAAATTGATTTCTGGGGCTGAAGAGAAAAGGAAAAATAGCACTTCCTTAATATTAATCTATTATAATGTATCCTTCACCTCAGCTTCTCTTTGCCACATTATAAAGCAGCAACGCTTTGCATTGACCGTATAATTCAAATCTTTCTTTGGAGAAATATGCAATAGTTGGTAATTGTCTGCATTCTGAAGCATCTCATTTTACGCCCCCCAAATGCATGATTCACTTTGAATGATAAATATGGCTATGAAATGGAGTGTTTCCGACATTCACAGATCAAATGTAACTGGGGAGGAATAATTCAGATGCATCCTGATGTTTTATATTTCCATGCACTAATATTTGCTTCACACCATATGTCACAGTAACACAAGAGTGTGATCATGTAGAACAGCCCAGTGGTTTTCTCCTCCAACATCTGGTCTTCTGAGGAAGTCTAGCACTTTAGAGATTCATGTGTAAATCCCAAGACAGGTGGTAAAAATCAAATGCCTTGGTGACGGGAAGTAAAAAGAAGGCTAGAAAGGCTTTTTCCTGTCATCAGATTGGCATCAAGGAATGCTGTGATCATCTTAGTGGAATTAAACAAACAGAACCAGTAGTCCACTGGACCCTCTCTGAAAAGCCACACACTATGTACATTCACAGGGCAGTAAAGAGAACCAGTTGTCAGCAGGCGTTTTAATCGGTGGCCCCCCTCTTCAAGTCTGCTGACTCTTGGCTCTGTTGAAGGCATCCAGCCCTGGAGGCACTATAGCTTCGTAAGGAGCAATGGCAACATCATCTTCCTCTGGAAGCTGGCTTGACCACTCTCCAGAGAAGAAGACCAAGACCACTTTAGGTGTACTGACAGCATTTACAATACAAGCTAGTCTCTCTAATCCTTAAAAAAAAGAGAGGAGTGGGGGGAATAAGCTTTCATATTTCCTACTCTCCTGCAGGCATAAATTAGCTAGATTTATTCTATTTCCTCAGCTCCTCTTTATTCTTCAGGTTGGTACAGTGTGGTTTCTGTCCCTACCACTTCATAGAAGCTACCCACTGAGTTCCTAAATGGCTACTGTGTAAGCTAAACTTCATTTACCCTTTTCTAACTTCATTTTGCTTCACCACAGTGTTTAACAGGGTTGACTGCTCTCCACTTCTTGGAACACTCTTTTTTTTTTTTTTTTTAACTGAGTTAGATGTTACACTTCTCTGCTTTTCTAACTACCCTCTAAATCTTTTTTTGTGATTCCTTTACTTTCCTAGACTTTCAAGTTTCGATGTTTAGCAAACTGTGCTCTTACGCCTTCTTTTTGTCTGTTTACATTGACTTCTGGATGACCTAAGTCCCTCTCAAAATTCCAATTCCTAATCACCCCTATGCTGCAAGTACTGTCATCCTGTGTTTGCTGCTGCCTATCTATTACCCACCCTTCTCCACCCTGCCCTGGGCCCTGGGATGGTGATCTCTAAAAGCTGCATCATCAGACTCCTCGTATTTTGAATGATGGTTTGTTTTGTTAACGGCAGATAGTATCAGAAAATGGGATGGTAGGAAGAAAAAGAGGTGGGACGTTAATTTTTTTTTTTGTAATTTAATAGACTTTTCCAACCTTGCGTAATTAGGATAAATCCCCCTTGGTCATCTTGTATTATTCTTTTTATAAACTGTTAGATTCAATTTGCTAACATTTTGTTGAGGATTTTTGCATCTATTCTCATGAGAGATATTTGTCTGTAGTGTTCTTTTCTTATACTGCCTTTGTTTGGCTTTGGTGTTAGAGTAATTCTGGCCTAATGGATAGAGTTAGGAAGTATTCCCTCTGCTTCTATCCTCTGAAAGAGATTGTAGAGAATTGGTATAATTTCTTTCTTAACGTTTGGTAGAATTCACCAGTGAACTATCTGGGTCTAGTGTTTTCTGTTTTGGAATGTAATTAACTATTGATTTGCTTTTAAAAATAGATATAGGCAAATTCAGATTGCTTTTCTCTTCTGGCATGAGTTTTCTCTTCCATACTTTTAATCTGCTTTTTGTGATTTTAATTGAGCATTTATCGTATTTTATATTCTAATTCTACAAGTAGTCCAATTCTGCTTTTAAATAACCCCATACCACTTCACAAAGCTAGTACTTTGTAATAACACAATACTAATTCCTCCCTTTCATCCCTTTTGCCATTGTTGTCATTCATTTTCCTTACATATTTGCATACCCAAGTGTCTATGTAATCATTGTTGCTATTATTATTATGAACAAACTGTTTTCTGTTTACTAAATTAAAAATAAGAAAAAACAAATGTTTTCATTTTGCTTTCCCTTCTTCCTTTTTATGTATTGATCCAAGCTTCTGGCTTATATATAATAACTTTCCTCCTCCCTAAAGAACTTCTTCTAATAATTCTTGCAAGGTATGCTGTCAATAAATTCCATCAATTTTTGTTTGTCTGAGAAAGTATTTATTTCTTCTTTATTTTCGATGGATAATTTTACAAGACATGTAATTCTAGGTGTTTCCCCGCCCCCCCCCCCTCAGCACTTTAAATATTTCACTTCATTCTCTTTTTACTTTTATGGTTTCTGAGGAGAAATCAGATTTAATTCTTACCTTCGTTCCTCTGTAGGTAAGGCTTTTTTTTTTTTCTTCTGGTTTCTTTCAGAACATTTTTTTTAATCTTTGATTTTTCTGTAGTTTGAATATAGAATGCCTATGCATAGTTTTTAGTTTTTGGTTTTGTTTTTTCGCATTTATACTGATTGGTGTTCTCAGAACTTCTTGGATCTGTGGTTTGGTATCTGACATTAACTTGGGGGAAGTTCTCAGTCATTACCTCAAATATTTCTTCTATACTTCCCTCTCTTTCTTCTCTTTCTGTTATTCCCATTATACATACATTCCATCTTTTGTAGTTGTCCCATCGTTCTTGGATATTATGTTCTTCTTTTTCAGTCTTTTTTGTTTGTTTGTTTGCTTGCTTGCTTTTCAGTTTTGGAAGCTTCTATTGAGATTTCAAGTTCAGAGACTCTTTCTTCAGTTGTGTCCAGTCTACTAATAAGCTCATCAAAAGTAATGGTCGTTTCTGCTTTAGTTGCTTTTGATCTCTGGAATTTCTTTTCAGTTCTTTCTTGGAATTTCCATCTCTCTGTTTGCATTGCTGATCTGTTCTTGCATGCTGTCTACTTTATTCATTAGAGCCTTTAGCATCTTAACCATAGTTGTTTTAAATTCCCAGTTGAATAATTGCAACATCTTTGCTATATTTGAGCTCTGGTGCTGATGCTAGATTTATCTCCTCAAACTGTTTTTTGCCTTTCAGTATCCCTCATAACGTTTTCTTGATAACTGGACACGTTGTACTGAGTAAAACAAATTTTTACAAATATAGGTCTTTAGTAATGTGGTAGTAAACTGTGTGGGGAGGGAAAATATTCTATAGTCCTATGATTGGGCATTAGTCTTCTAGTGATGCTGTGCTCCTGGACTATGAACTTCACAAGGGCCTCTCAGTCCCTTGCCCCTTAGTTGGGACAGGTTGGCTAGAGTGGACTGGAGTTGGCTAGAGTGGGCTGCAGTTGGATATTTCCTCTCCTCCACATGGAAGCTAGAGGGGACTGCAGTTGAGTATTTTCCTTCCCCAAGGTCAATTAGATTCTGATAAAACCCCAGCAGGTTTAGATCTAGTGAAACAGTTTCACCTAAGGATAGGCAATACATTTCTGTTTAAGCCTCCCAGTTCATGGTCTTTGTTACAGCAGCCCTAGCAGAAGAATACAGCAGGAATCATGTCTGCCTTGATTACTGTGATATACCAAGTTTCTAGCATGTGTCAAACATTTATGGTAGGAATTCTAGACATATCTATTGAATGATTGATTAAATTCCTATAATTACTGTGAAGTAAAATGACATATTGGGAAAGTAATTAAACCAATTTGGTAATGGGACATAATTATTGAAATACAAGGTTATCACGTTAAAACCTGATCCCACATCTGAAAATAGAAGAAAAATGTTTTAATCAGTCCACACCACATTTAATATTAATTAATCAAGTAGGAAAACGGAGAATATTTTCTATCAGGGAAAGTAATAAAATAAATACTAAAGATCACTACTCAGAATAATAACTTATTTTTAAAATGCTATATCAGGTTTTCTTACCTCAATTCACGAGCCCTTTAGATTTTACGTTTCTAAGTAATAGTCTTTATTGTCAATAGAGTCTTAAGCACAGGGAGTGAAGGAGTTTGAGTGGGTCCTTTGTCATTTTTACTTATATCAGAGGCAAGAGGCGAAGGAGATTGTTTAGTTGCTACTTTCTGAGTTTATCTCTTCATAATTCAAACCTGAGAATTTCAACTCCCCCAACAAGGTACTTACAGGCTGAAGTTAAGAAACCCTTTAAAAATTTTGTGGACCAGAATAAAATTATCAGTTCATTCAACTTTCCATAACGCTTCCAAGGTAGAGGTGATTCAGCTAAGAGACAGCATGTGGATTTCTTAATGAATAGTAAACTTTGTAAGTTTGTATGTACCCTAAAAAGTTTTTGCCTTAACCCAATCACATATGTTAAAGTCAGACAATATCTTAGAAACAAAGACCTTCCTTCCATTCCCAAATGACAAGTTGGCATTTCACAAATACCTCTTTAGTTAAATAATGGGGTGGTCATAATGATGAAGTGGTGAATATAATTTGAACTAAAATATATTCTGAATGCTCATGTGTAGAAAAATAAGCAGCCTAATAAAACATATTAGTAGTGACTTTGTACTAGATGTCATCAATGATATCTTCTAATCCTGAGTCTTCAAATGTAGTCACAAACATGCCATTGGTACATTCTTATGAGATATCACCAAGGAACGGAGAGTACTTGAATTTAGCCACTTTAATTTCCTTCTTACTAACTTCTATTTTCCACATCTACAGCAGGAATCAAGATTTTAAATGTATTTGATTTTGTCATATTATACTCATACAACTCTGTAACCCCAGTTAAGTCCTCCACAAAGAGAAACTAAGTGACCAAAATCTTGCATGCACTTTCTTTAAATAATAAATCTGCTCCATATCATGTGGCCAACTTTCAAACAGAGAAGACCTGATACACTGGTACATTCTTGGACTATATCCCAAACTCAATTGCCTCATTGAACTTTAATTCTTCCTAACATGTTATTGGAACCATCGTTTTATTGAGCACTCCAGCCCTAGATCTGATGATCAACAATGACTTTCTGCTATCACTCTTGACTTCTCCCCAAGCCAAGCCCTACAGCATACCCTCATTTTGTATTACCCTTTGGCTAGCCATGCAAATTTTACACTACCTTGAACCATTCAGATCTTAATACTTTACCATGTCATTGATCATGTAGGCACAGATTTCCACAGTCCTGAAGTGGAAAACCAAATAATTATGAAAGACGTACATTTTGCCTTTGTTACTAGTTCAAGGCTCCCTTTTCTATACCCATAGTCTCTTACAATCTTGGTTCATAAACTCTTAGAGATATGTCGATGTCATGATGGTTGCTCTATAGACTCCTTCTGCCTAAATCAGAGATGTACAATTTTTGTAAAAGCTTATAGATGTCACAGAATACTTCCTCCCTCAGTGAAATATTTTATAGTATGCTTCCTGTGTTCGTCTTCTTCCATCACCATGGTGATTAAAGGACTGATCAGTACCACGGCTACCTGGAACACAAACTCAGACATAATTGCTCTGGAACTTCTCCTGTAGTTCAATCGTTGCTTGAGCCAGCAGAAATTTGATTTTATGTTACTTGCAAATAAAAGATGCCTAGCATCTAATTCAGTCTTTCGTCTCAGGGAACTGCTTATTCTACTTTAAGACTTTAGGAGACAGGGGAAGAAGACAATAGGAGACAGGGGAAGAAGACAAGGGCAGCATGTGACAAGAGCAAAAAATCAATTTGATGGACTAACATAACAAATCTTGTGTTCTCTGAAACAACGGGGCCAGCTTAACAGACTTCACAAGATTGTCATGATGAACATATTCAGCAACTCACTGCTCAGGCAGTGTTTCAGGAAGCTTGTCCAGGTATCTATGAGACAATCATCAAATCGTTGAGTCTAATCAGCATGAAATAAAATGGTTGCTTTTAAATATTCTTAAATACTCTCAGTTCTGAGCCTTTGGCACTTTTAAAATACATGCAAAGAATAAGTTTTTCTTGAGTTTTGATATGAATTATGAGAACTGAGAATTTGACACTGACCTAAATTACTAACAAAAGGCTTTAAATATCAATGAATAAAAGTGGAACAGAAGAAAAATGTTCATTTTAATTTTTAAAGAAAACATTTTCATTTTATTAATCTTTCTAACAAAAATATAATTATCTTCAAATGAAAGAGCAAGATTATTAATAATTTTCACTTTTAGAAGAACTTGAAAGAGAATAGAAACATTTTCTAGTGGAGTGAATCTTTTAAATGCAGGTGGCCGGGCGTGGTGGCTCATGCCTATAATCCTAGCACTTTGGGAGGCTGAGGTGGGCGAATCACTTGAGGTCAGGAGTTCAAGACCAGACTGGCCAACATGGTGAAACCCTGTGTCTACTAAGAATACAAAAATTAGCTGGGCGTAGTGGCGGGTGCCTGTAATCCCAGTTACTCAAGAGGCTGAGGCAGGAGAATCGCTTGAACCCAGGAGGTGGAAATTGCAATGAGGCAAGATTGTGCCACTGCACTCCAGCCTGGGCAACAGAGTGAAACTCTGTCTCAAAAAATAAATAAATAAAAATAAATAAATAAATAAAATAAAATGCAGGTAAATGTGATCTAGTGAAGACATTATGAACTCAGGCCTTTTATTACTAAGTAAATATAATTCAATGTTTACCCTTTAAAAAATATTGAAATCTGGCTGACAAAATGCATCATAAGTGGAATTCCATTTAGGGGAAGAAAAGTCAGGCCTTTCCATGGTTTCTTTAGGTCAGCATTGGAATAATTATACACTAGCATATAAGCAAAAAATAAGCTAAATATATATAACTTGATCTGATATAAAATTCAAATGTCTTCTCATGGCTCAGTTCGTCAACATTTTTCTCAATTTTAAAGAAAAAAAGCACAAGAAACACAAGCAATTTTCTCTTTCATGTTGACTTCCAAAATAATGTCTGCATGAAGCCTGCAGGGAAGCTTGGGAATTAGAATCCTTTTTCAATTAGCAAAGGAAAATCTAAGAAAATTTCCAGTAGTGACTCAATTAATCCAACTACAGCAGGGAGTATATACTAATAGTTAGAATAAGAAATGGAGAGAAGGTGCCTCAAACACCCTTCTAATTCCAAAGCCTGAAAACGGAGTTGCCAAAGGCAATTCTACTTGCCTGCCTGTCCTTCAGATTTCCCCATTGTAAAAATAAACAAATGAAATTTAATCTAGTTCAATCATAGGGCAATGTTTATAGAATACTTACAAGTTTTACTAACAGTGTTCATAGAGCAGGGCCAAGAAAGGGTCTAGAGACTGACAAGGCTATTAATTGCTAGTTACGTCCTACATTAAGTTTGTGTTCCTCACATCTTCCTTGACGATGAGAATATTTTCACATTTGTCTTCATTCTCAGATAGTTCTACTTTTCTGGATGGGGAGACATTTTGTCAGTGTAACTGAGACAGCTTTAATAGAATCAATTTCAATTTTAAATCTCTCTTGAGAGGCACTCACATCTTGTAGGTTCACCTAGGCTGATTCCAATGATGTCTCTTGAGTAACTATCCTCGGGCCATATGCATGCATTTTGGCTTCTAGCTGAGATTCCGCTGAATTAATAGTTGATTAAAATTGTTTTAAGAAAAATGTCACTGAATGGCAAAATGCCAAATAACAACTGAATTCATTTGTGAGGCACAAAGACGAGTGTTACTATCTCCACCCCATCTCCCACAGGCCAATGGCAGTCCTGACAAAGTACAAAGTGAAGCTCTCGTCTCAAAGAAAAGACACAAAATCCCCAGCAGCCCCATCCCAGAGAGGATATGACAGCAGAGCTCCAGGGGGGACACAGCTCATGATAACAGTGGATTTCTCTTGCTTCCCCTTGATATGATATCATACCTTTTATTTTTTCCAATCAAAATGTAGATTAAATTTCATAATGCACTGCAAAGTGTTTTCAAAATGCAAACTCGTTACAAAAACCCATTGAGTAATATTATTAATTTATGTTTATTGCTATATAGAAAGAATCTTGCTGCTTTTCTGTTTTTGACTATTTGCACATGCTCTTTCCTCTGTTTGGAATGCCTTTCTCATTTTCCGCTTGGAGAAAGCCCAACCCACCAGGAGAAAAACCTTCCTTGGCAAACTTGCCACTACCCCAGAGCCTCTTGTGACTCCTATGGGTTCCCAGAGCCTACTGTGACCCCTCTTACTTCTTAGCTCTTGGCATGCTCTAATATAATGTTAGATTAATATAGCTCTTCTGGCTGCTAGACAGTGACTGTCCTGAAAGTAGAGGAAAGAGAGCATCATGTTGGTATCTGGTGGGTGTTTAAGAACAATGCCTAGTACAAAGGTGTACTAAAATAAACATGTTTTTTGAATTAATGTAACTAGTGCTGCCCAGTAATAAATGCTTTCAATAAGCAACATAATTTAGATTTCTGTATCCTATGGAGTTACCTCAGTACTTTCAAAACACACACTAGCAATGTAGGTAATGGGTTATCATTAAAGTCTTACTTTTTTTTAGGTTGACTGCTGACTCAAATGTGCTTTATTTTGTAGCCATAATTTGTTCACATTTGTCTTCTTTATTACCCCATAGGCTCTTTGATAAAAGAGATGGTGCCCCAATTCTTGTGCCTAGCAGGCACAAAAAGAAATACATTTGAATAAGTAAATAATCAAATATGGAAAGATGACTTATGGTGCCCATGGCTAGGCAGAGGGTGTAGGTATTGTGGATTGATTCAATAGCTACACAATCAAATAGAGATGATAACTGGAGTTAAGATGTAACATTGGATCTGGGACAGGGAGAGTTTAGGAAACTAACAATAAAATCCTTCCATAAACTAAAGAACGCTCGCCACTATCAGGATGAAAAAATATGTCCTATGGAAAGATGTTGCCATAGAAATAGGGTATATGACCCTACAATGCAGAAGAGTTAAAACTGGTACTGATGAAAGAGGTTTGTTATTCATCTGAGAATTAGTAAAATAATGTCTAGCTATCCCAACTCCATAAATGGCCTAAAGGAAAGGACTGTAACAAGCAGTTTTCCAGAAAAAAGGACAAGTTGCTTGGACATAGAGCAAAGGGGAAAATATGAGGACATGATCGATTCCATCCATGGACAACTGCCTGAGAATCAGGGAGGAATGAGGTTGGAAAATCCCCCTTTATTTTTTTTCCGCATAGGTGTGTTCATTTCCAAGCAGTTTGGCTTCTTTCAATCCTGGCCTTCTTCCTGCTGAATACAGAATCATTTCAGGGGCCCAATAGTTTACCAATACCTAGTCCAGATGCACTGACAATTCTGGCATGCCTCTCCATTTTATCAAAGCACCCAGACATCAGAGCATCTGTATTGCACCAGCTGGAGGCCAGCCCCTTTATCCTCATGCTTATGTGTTCTTAGGATACATAAGCACTTGGAAAACCACTTAGAGGGATTACCAGCCAAGGTACCACATAATGCAGCTAGCCACTATTACCAACAGAGACCTAACACCAGTACATGTTTTGTTGAGAAAAATTAAAAAGCTACTCAGCTGTAAAAGCCATTTCCCACTCAATTGTTGGCAGCCTCAAATTGCAGTTATGTGGACCCAAGCAAGCAGTAACACACACGCATACCCTTCAGTTAAAGCTCAAGAGCCACATGATTTAGCTTTGAGTCCCAGCAAATAACTAGAAAGGTTTTCCTTTCTTTTTCTTCTTCCAGTTGGTCGACAGGTATAACAAGTTGACTGGGTCTGCAGTCAGCTCCATCAGAGAGTGTGAATAACAGAGCAAAAGGCAGAAAGATTTTATGTGTCTGGCGAACAGAGCATCCCCAGGGAAATCTTCAGAGGTTGAAAACATTTTTCGGAATTACTGCAATATACTACCTTTGTCAAAGGTGCTTACAGTGATTGAAACATATTAATTAAGTTTCCTTCCTGACCTTTGGGATTGGGACTGTAAAGTAGCATTAAAGCAGATTTGTAGAAGATAACAAAGGGGCTGTTATCCAACCAGTGCTGACCCAATCATGCATGCATAGGGTCTCCTTATCACCATGCTTTTTTCTCCACAGTCTGTATAGCCAGAGAGAAGTCAGGCTAGGCTTATATTCAGGTACTTTCTTCCGCTCTCTAAAGTTTGAAGGATATTGTAAAGCTTATAGTAGGGTGGGGAAAGGGGGTCTTCAAAGACATGAAATGGCAAAAAAGAAATATGAAATTTGGAGAGGAGCAGTATAGTGAAAATTGCTCATGGCTTTTCTTACCAATTGGTTTTTAGCAATGATGATCTCTACAAATAGTGTTCTCAGTCATTTTGAATGGAGAGATGAACTAATACAATTCATTTTTAATCAGTATTTAGGAAAACTGCCAGATTGCAGGAAGCCAAAATTGGTTGACTGTTAGTCTTTCCCCTGGATTAACAATCATCTCTAAATGGATAACTTCCTTGTCTGTGCCTCAATTTCAATGTTCTCAATAGACCTCATATGGCATTTCCTGTTGAAATAGTTCCTGAGCTCTCTGGTGAATTTTGGAGGTGTTTGAGAGGTAGATCATCCTCCTGTTCATGAGCCCCTGGCCTTTTGTGAGTATCCCTTACACTCTTCAGGACCCTTCCTCCCACAGCACTGCCCTCCTGCCAGGGAACCCCACTGCGCTCGGTCCTGCAGGCCCTGACCTGGCCTCACTTGGGGATGGACTCCTCATCTAACAAGAAGGAAAGTTTCCTAGTTGAGAAAAGGAGTGAACTTTGGGATTAAAGCTCTTCTTATTTCCTTGACTATGGCCAGATTGTTTAACTGATTTCATTTCTTTTCTCTTCCTGAGACATTCAGTCCTTACAGATGTCCTGCTGTTTGGGTTTCCAAATTACACTTCTTACACTGACTACCCAGAGCATAAATTCTGTTGCCACATGGATGTCCTGGATTGAACCTGGCTCTAACGCTAGTAAACTTTGGGTCCTTAGGTAAGTCACTTAATTTCTCTCTGCCTCAGTTTTTCCATCTGTAAAATGAAGTTAATAAGCTATTTTTATTTATAGGTTTGGTACAGGAATTGTATTTTCTAGGTTTTCCACATGTCTCACATTCCTTTTGCCATAGGATCACATGTTGGCCTCCTAACATGCATGGTCCCTGAAGGTATTTGAATTTGCAGTTTAAGTGTTTTCAGAGTCCTCATTGACCACTGTAAACCAAGGTCTAGGAAATATCATAGAAGATGCTAAGATTAAATACTTAGATTAAACAGATAATTCTTCAAATTAGAGATTCTTCTATTCAACTTTGTTCATGGGAGATTTGGAACCCAAACCACCTGATAAATCATCACTGCCCCTCTATGCCCAGAAGGCAGCCCAAAGAGCAGTGTGAGCCCTTGGGAGAACTGCAATTCAATGTTTACAATGAAGAATGCTCCATTTATGAACGTTAAAGACTAGGTAATTCAAAATCAATTTCATATTAGACAGTATGCAAGTTGTGAGTTCAAGGAGGGGAGAGCTAGCGGGAGGTGGATTAGGCCAGCAAGTCTCAGGACATTGGGCAGGTTCAACGGAAAGGAAAGAAAGACGACAAAGCAGTTTTATCTGGAAGAGTGAGAAGAGGTCAAGGGTAGCACAAGTAGCTATGCAAACCCTTGGTCTAATTAAATAAAATTTTGCTTTTCCAAAAAGCTTATCATACCTGCAAGTTCAAAATTTAAATTTGAAGAACTGAAATACACACACACACACACACACATACATACATATATTTCAGTTCTTGCTGATACAGTCATCACAAAAAAAACTAACAACAAGATCTTCTAAAATTGAAAAGCTCCACCTAAGAACTGGAGACAGATCAACCATGATGACATCATGAAATAAAACTTTTTTAAAAAAACTGGCTAATGCTTTACAGACTCATACTTGGATGCTGCCTACTCTGTGTCTACAGTATTTCTGCTTTCAGTGTTTTCCTACCTTTTACAGCTCTAGCATCAGATCTTTTTCCCTCTTTAATGTTTTTATTCTGCAATCTAAAAACATTTTACTTCAAACACCTGTACATCTTCTTGCAAATGATCAATGAAAATGTGTCAAATTGAATTGATCTTGGTGGCCTCCCACAAAGCAGCTGCACCTTCCTCCTCAAGCCCCTTCCTGTCCCCTCCCCGCATGTGCCATGCCACACTCTGCTATAGGTTGCTATTTATCAATAATTATTATGTAAAAATCTGTCAACTTATATTTGGTCCACATGCTCATGTATTTAAAGGGTAGAAATTCTTTTGAAATTACCTTGTAAGATTGAAGACAGGAGGGAAGCTAGGGAAATCCTTTCACTTTTAGATAAAGATTGAAAAGTTAACTCTTGAGTCACAAACATAAAAAACTACGTAAATTCATGAATATACATTGGGCATTATTTTTATAAAAGAGACCCCCCCCCCAAAAAAAAAAAAAACTACTGTTGCTTTATTTCTTTCCTCTTTCTCTTTCTTTCCATTGCTTTTTGGACTAAAATTCTCTAAGCCCAGAATTCTCATTGGAAGGAACATTTATTATTTACTTTGGTGATTTAGAAAGTGCCTATTCTGGCAACTATTCATTGAATTTTAAAATTAACCATAAATTACATGAGTTACTCCCAATGAATATCATTGACCAATGTTTCTGCCATTACCGGGCATAGATTGATCTGGCAAACTACAAGAAATGAGACAAAAATACTAACCAGTCAAAAGCTAGATCAAATAAACGTGCTTTGCATTGCGACCCAGTGATGGCAGCTTTCAACAGGAACTGCAGAGGGGAAGTAGTTTTTGGTTTTGTTTTAAGTGCTAGGACCCCTTTTGAGTAGCTGTCATCATTTAATACTCTAGGATAATTTAAGATAAATATTGATGTGTCTCTCAGAAGTTTAAGATATAACAGTCACATGTTTTTCAACAAATAGGAGAGAGGACTGCTATCTATTTAGTTCATTGCAGGAGCAAGAAGCAAATTTTCCCCAAAAAATTACAGTTACAGTGGGAGTAACTGTCAACAACATTAGCTCTGTAATGTAAACAAGTAGAAAACTGAACAAAATGTATGAAACAACTATTTTTAGGCATCGGACCACAGACAGCCTAGGACTAAGGTTGCTGAGACTGCTAAGATTCCCTTGCTGTGATTGCAAAGGAAACAAATTTGAATTGCCCAGGCATTCTGCTTGGGGTAACTTTCCAGATTTGGAAAGAGAGAGAAAGAACTCAAACAGACACAGCATGGTGATTTTAGTGCATTGAATAGGTAGAGATCAGAGTTCCAGGAAGCTAAGACAGATGGAATGTGTGGACATAGTACTAGACAGAAGAGGAACACATAGAGGAAAACCTTCAGAAATCTTCATAGGTGCATAGGGCACCTTTGAATCTGTTATTGAATACTGAGCTACACATGCATAGAGTAGAAAATCCATAAAGTCTGACAAAGAACTCTCAGGGAGCCATAAACTGAACAATGCCCAGAGCTCAAACAAAGCTGGGAGACATGCGAATTCCAATCAGCCAGGATGGGGCATTCAGGTACAACTGGTCCTATGGTAAATACTACATTACACTACTAAAAATAAGGCTTAAAAAATGATGAAGTTAATCTGCAAACAAATTCAAGGCTAGTTAAAACATTTTTCCAACACTTTATTGGGAAAAAAACACCTTAAATGACATAAAATATGATACTTTACATATTTATACTATTAGATGATAGTGTCTGATATCCAAAGAAAAAATTACTAGCCATAAAAAAATGAAGAAAAATGAGATGAAGAGCCAGGTGAAAAGTCAGCCAATAGGAACAGACCAAAAATGACAGAAATAATAAAATTATCAGAAAAAAACTTTAAAACTGCTATTAGGAATAAATTCAATACGTTCAAGTGTTAAACCAAAAAGATAAATGTGATGTGAGGAGAAAGGAAAGCTATAAAAAAGTTCCAGGTGGAAATGCTAAAGACGAAATATACGATATTTGAAGTGAAAAACTCAGTGGATGTGATTAACAGCAGATTGGATAGTGCAGAAGTAAACATTAGTAAATTTGAAGACATTGCAATAAAAACTATCCGAACTGAAGCACTGATATAAACGACTAAGCAATCAACACAATGTCAGAGGCCAGTGGGACAATATGAAGTATTGTAGCATATGTGAATACAGAACCCCAGAAAGATACAGAAAGTGTTTGGGAGGTATAAAGAAATAATGCCCTCAAATTTTCTTAATTTGATAGAAACTCTTAATCTGAAGATTCAAGGAGCTCAGTGAACCAGAAGTAGCATACATATACATAAACACAATACAGACACACACACACACACACACACACATACACACACACACACAACCAACTATGAGACCAAGGTACATCATAAACACATTTCTGAGAACCACAATAAAGAAGATTTAAATCTACCAGAGGTGAGGGTGGAGACATGATATATAGAGAGAAAAGAAAAAAAAATTACTGAGGACATGTCAAAAGAAATAAGATAAATGAAGGAAAGAAAAAGAAAGACCCAGTTTAAAAGTAGTGAAAGAAAAAAATAAACAATCAAATTGCATTCTAAATCTAGCAAAAATATCTTTAAACATGAAGGCATAATAAGGAAATTTCCAGACAAACAAAAGCCAGGAGAATTTGTTGCCTGCAGACTTGGATTTAAAGAAATAATATAGAAAGTTTTCACACTGAAGAAAAATGATACCAGATGGGAACATGGCTTCAAAAAAAGAATTAAAATACTGGACATGACAAATACGTGGCAAATATGAAAGTCTTTCTTTCAATAACAATGAAGGGTGGGGTTTATAACATGTAGAGTTAAAATGTTTTAAAAGAGTGCCCAAAGGATGGGAAGAAGGAAATGAAAATATACTGTTATAAGGTTCTTATCTGTGAAGTGGTATATTATTTGAAAGCAGAGACTCTGGTTAACGATGCACATTTTAAATCTTAGAGTAATCATGAAAACTAGCAAAAGGTGAAAAAAAAAAGGTGTTGTATTTAATAAACCAACAAGGACAAACACTCTCAGTCATTCTCTCTGTGGTATTCAATACTTCAGATTGTTCAAGCTCTTCTCTTCTGCCATTGGTTTGAGTAATATAAAAGTCCCTGTGGGTTTAGGCCCAGCCTGATAAGAAGTGAGACAGGCTGAGTACAGTGGCTTACATCTGTAATCTCAGCACTTGGGGAGGCTAAGGCAGGAGGATTGCTTGAACTCAGGAGCTCAAGACTAGCCTGGGCAACAGAGCAAGACCTCTTCTCTATTAAAAATCAAAAAAATTAGCCAGGCATGGTGGTATATACCTGTAGTCCCAGCTACTCAGGAGGGTGAGGTGGGAGGATTGCTTGAGTCTGGGAGGCAGAGGTTGCAGTGAGCCATGAGCCACTGCATTCCAGCCTGGGTGATGGAGACCCTGTCTCAAAAAAAAAAAAAAAAAAAAGAAATGAGACTTGTGGTTTTTAGATTTAAAACCCATGATGCTTTCAGTACTAAAGCCACTTGGAAATAAAAATTTCCATCAGGATCAGCCATAGGTAAGATTATAAAGTAGGAAAAGTCTATCATCCTTATTATTCCTTTAATGGACAAGCTACTATTAAAAAAAAAATTAGAGGAGAGGCCAAGATGGCTGATTGGAAGCAGCTGTGGTCCACAGCACTCATGGAGAGGAATGAGTGCCTCCTCACTGGGTGGGATCTTCCTGTGGGGGCTTCAGCCACTCCAGCCAGGGTTATACAGAGAGAACTCGTATCTTTTCCTCAGATGGCGCTCCCAGGGGCAGGGGTGGCTGCCATCTCTATGATTCAGTTGTCTCAGCCATCCAGCCTGCCAGCTTTGGAGAGTCCAATGGTCTGGATGAGGAAGGGTCCCTCACAATGCAGCACACTTGCTCTACCAAAAAGCAGCCAGACTGCTTCTTTAAGTAGATTATTGATCCTGTTCCTCCTGACTGATAGTGTTCCTCTGACTCCCATCCAAGGTCTCCAGCCACTTTTCACAGGTACGTTCAGGCCAGGAACATGTCATTAACCCCATGGGCTAGAGCTTCCAGAGGAAGAAGCAGACTGCCATCTTTGCTGTTATGCAGCCTTCACTGGTGATACCTCCAGGTACAAAAAAAACTGAGGCAACTCTAGGGTCTGAAGAGTACCCCCAGCAAACAGCAGCAGCACTACAGAAGAGTGGCCTGATCACTAATAGAAAAACAAACAGAAAACAACAACAGAACATCTACAAAAAGACCCCACAAAATCCCCATTCAAAGGTCAGTAACCTCAAAGATCAAAAGTAGATAAGTCCACAAAGATGAGAAAAATCAATGCAAAAATGATGGAAATATAAAAAAGATGGAATGCCTCTTCTCCAAATGGCTGCAACACCTCTCCAGCAAGGATACAGATCTAGGCTGAGGCTAAGATGGCTGAATTGGCAGAAGTAGGCTTCAGAAGGTGAGTAACGATGAACTTCACTGAACTAAAGCAGCATGCTGTAACCCAATGCAAAGAAGCTAAGAATCATGATAAAACAATACAGGAACTGATAGCCCGAATAGCCAGTTTAAAGAGGAAAATAACTGACCTGATAGAGCTGAAAAACACCATACAAGAACTTCACAATGTAATCACAAGTATCAATAGCAGAATAGACCAAGCAGAGGAAAGAATCTCAGAGCTTGAAGATGATCTTTCTGAAGTAGACAGGCAGACAAGAATAGAGAAAAAAAGAATGAAAAGAAACAAACAAAACCTCTGAGAAATATGGGATTTTGTAAAGAGATTGAGTCTACAATTGGTTGAGGTACCTGAAAGAGACAGGGATAACGGAGCCAAATTGGAAAACATACTTCAGGATATCATCCAGGATAATTTTCCCAACCTAATAAGGCAGGCCAACATTCAAATTGAAGAAATGCAGAGAACTCCAGTAAGATATTCCATAAAAAGATCTACCCCGAGACACATAATCATCAGATTCTCCAAGGCTGAAATGAAAGAAAAGACGTTAAGGACAGCCAGAGAGAAAGGCCAGGTCACCTACAAAGGGAAGCCCATCAGACTAACAGCAGACCTCTCAGTGGAAACCTTACAAGCCAGAAGAGATTGGGGGGCCAATATTCAACCTTCTTACAGAAAATAATTTCCAACCCAGAATTTTGTATCCAGCCACACTAAGCTTCATCATTGAAAGAGAAATAAGATCCTTTTCAGACAAGCAAATGTTGGGATAATTCCCCACCATCAGGACTGCCTTGCAAAACTCCTGAAGGGAGTACTAAATATGGAAAGGAAAAACCATTACTAGCCACTAGTTCAGTAAAAACACACTGAAATACACAGACCAGTGACACTATGAAGCAACCACATAAACAAGCCTTCAAAATAATCAGCTAGCATCATGATGTCAGGATCAAATTCACATATAACAATACTAACCTTAAATGTAAATGGCCTACATGTCCCAATTAAAAGACACAGAATGGCAAGATAAATAAAGAGCCAAGACCCATTGGTATGCTGTCTTCAAGAGACCCATCTTATGTGCAAAGACACATATAGGCTCAAAATAAAACAATGGAGGAAAATTTACCAAGAAAATAGAAAACAGAATAAAGCAGGGGTTGCAATCCTAGTTTCTGACACAACAGACTTTAAATCAACAAAGATAAAAAATGACAAAGAATGGCATTCCATAATGGTAGAGGGTTCAATTCAACAAAAAAGCTAACTATCCTAAATATATAAGCACCCAATACAGGAGCACCCAGATTCATAAAGCAAGTTCTTAGAGACCTACAAAGAAATTTAGATTCCCACACAATCATAATGGGAGAATTTAACATCCCACTGACAATATTAGACAGATCATTGAGACAGAAAATTAATAAAGATATTTAGGACCTGAACTCAGTTCTGGATGAAGTGGACCTGATAGATGTCTACAGAACTCTCCACCCAAAAACAACAGAATATACATTCTTCTCATTGCCACATGGCACTTACTCTAAAATTGATCACATAATCAGAAGTAAAACACTCCCCAGCAAATGCAAAAGAAGTGAAATCATAACAGCCTCTCAGACCACAGCACAATGACATTAGAACTCAAGACTAAGAAATTCACTCAAAACCACACAACTACATGGAAATTGAACAACCTGCTCCTGAATGACTCTTGGGTAAATAATGAAATGAAGGCAAAAATCAAGAAGGTGTTTCAAACTAATGAGAACAGAGAGACAACGTACTAGAATCTCTGGGATCCAGCTAAAGCAGTATTAAGAGGTGAATCTATAGCACTAAATGCCCACATCAAAAAGCTAGAAAGATCTCAAGTTAACAACCTAACATCACAGCTACAAGAACTAGAGAACCAACAGCAAACACACCCCAAAGCTAGCAGAAGACAAGAAATGACCAAGATCAGAGCTGAACTGAAAGAAATAGAAACATGAAAAATCTGCAACAAGTCAATGAATCCAAGATCTGGTGTTTTGAAAAAATTAATAAAATAGACCACTAGCTAGACTAATAAGAAAAGAGAGAAGAATCAAATAAACACAATCAGAAATGACAAGGGGGATATAACCACTGACCCCACAGAAATACAAACAACCATTAGAGAATACGGTAAGTACCCCTATGCACATAAACTAGAACATCTAGAAGAAATTGAGAGATTCCTGGACACATACATGCTCCCAAAACTAAATCAGGAAGAAACGGAATCCCTGAATAGACCAATAAAGAGTCTGAAATTGAGGCTGTAATATAATAAATAGCCCACCAACCAAAAAAAAGCCCAGGGCCAGATGTATCCACATCAGAATTCTACCAGAGGTACAAAGAAGAGCTGGTACCATTTCTACTGAAACTGTTCCAAAAAATTGAAAAGGAGGGACTCCTCCCTAATTCATTCTATGAGGTCAGCATCATCTTGATACCACAACCTAGCAGAGATACAACAATAAAAAACTTCAGGCCAATATCTTTGATAAACATTGATTCAAAAATCCTCAGTAAAATATTGACAAACCGAATCCAGCAGCACATCAAAAAGCTTATCCACAATAATCAAACTGGCTTCATTCCCATGATGTAAGGTTGGTTCAATATATATGAATCAATAAATGTGATTCATCACATAAGCAGAACTAAAGACAAAAATGACACGATTATTTCAATAGATGGAGAAAAGGCCTCTGATAAAATTCAACATTCCTTTATGTTAAAAACTATCAATAAACTAGATATTGAAGGAACATGCTTCAAAATAATAAGAGCCATTTATGACAAACCCACAGCTAATATCATACTGAATGGGCAAAACCTGGGAGCATTCTCCTTGAAAACCATCACAAGACAAGGATGGCCTCCCTCACCACTCCTATTCAACATGGTATTGGAAGTTTTGGCCAGGGAAATCAAGCAAGAGAAAGAAGTAAAGTCTATT
Source organism: Homo sapiens (assembly GCF_000001405.40). Lineage (NCBI taxonomy): Eukaryota > Metazoa > Chordata > Mammalia > Primates > Hominidae > Homo > Homo sapiens. The sequence goes on from NC_000014.9 coordinate 79,957,735, forward strand.
CAAATAGGAAAAGAGGAACTCAAATGATCTTTGTTTGCAAATGACATAATTCTGTACCTAGAAAACCACATCATCTCAGCCCAAAAGCTTCTTAAGCTGATAAGCAACTTCAGCAAAGTCTCAGTATACAAAATCAATGTGCAAAAATTAGTAGTATTCCTGTATATCAGCATCAGGCAAGCAAAGAGCCAAATTATGAATGAACTCCCATTCATAATTGCTACAAAAAGAATAAAATACCTAGGAATACAGCTAACAAGGGAAGTTAAGGTCCTCTTCAAGGAGAACTAAAAACCACTGTTCAAATAAATCAGAGAGGACACAAACAAATAGAAAAATATTTCATGCTCATGAATAGGAAGAATCAATATCATAAAAATGACCATACTGCCCAAAGTAACTTACAGATTCAGCGCTATTCACATTAAACTACCATTGACAGTATTCACAGAATTAGAAAAAAAAATTTAATTCACATGAAACCAAAAAAGAGCCTGAATAGCCAAGACAATCCTAAGCAAAAAGAATAAGGCTGGAGGCATTATGCTACCTGACTTCAAACTATACTACAAGGCTATAGTAACCAAAGCAGCATGCTACTGGTACAAGAAAAGAAACATAGACCAATGCAACAGCATAGATAACTCAGAAATAAGACTTCACAACTACAACCATCCAATCTTTCACAAACCCGACAAAAACAAGCAATGGGGAAAAGATTTCCTATTTAATAAATGGTGCTAGGAGAACCAGCTACCTAAATGCAGAAAATTGAAACTGGACTGCTTCCTTACACCATATACAAAAATTAACTCAAGATGGATTAAAGACTTAAATTGAAAACCCCAAACTATAAAAAACCCTAGAAGAAAATCTAGGCAATACCATTCAAGACACAGGCATGGGCAAAGATTTCATGATGAGCTTCAAAAGCAATTGCAACAAAAGCAAAAATTGACAAGTGGGATCTAATTAAACTAAAGAGCTTCTGCACAGCAAAAGAAACTATTATCAGAGCAAACACACAACCTACAGAATGGGAGAACATTTTTGCAACCCATTCATCTGACAAAAGCCTAATATCCAGAGTCTACAAGGAAGTTAAACAAATTTACACACAAAATAAAAACAACCCTATTAAAAAGTGGGCAAAGGACATGAACAGACACTTCTCAAAAGAAGACACACATGTGGCCAACAAACAAATGAAAAAAAGCTCAACATTATTGACCAAAAGAGAAGTGCAAATCAAAACCACAGTGAGATACCATCTCACGCCAGTCAGAATGGTGATTATTAAAAAGTCAAAACAGCAGATGCTCGCAAGGTTACAGAGAAAAAGGAACACTTTTACACTGTGTAAATTCAACCATTGTGGAAGACAGTTTGGTGAGTCTTCAAAGATCTAGAGGCAGAAATACCATTTCACCCAGCAATCCCATTACTAGATATATATACCCAAAGGAATATAATTCATTCTGTTATAAAGATACATGCACGTGTATGTTCATTGCAGCACTATTCACAATAACAAAGACATGGAATCAGCCAAAATGCCCATCAATGATAGACTGGATAAAGAAACTATGGTACATATTCACCATGGAATACTATGCCGCCATAGAAAGGAATGAGATCATGTCCTTTGAGGGACATGGATGGAGTTGGAAGCCATTATTCTTAGCAAACTAATGCAGGAACAGAAAACCAAATGCCACATGTTCTCACTTGTAAGTGGGAGCTGAATGATGAGAACTCATGGACATATTGCGGGGAAAAACATACAATGAGGCCTGTTGGAGGTGGGTAGGGAGAACATCGGGAAGCATAGTTAATGGATGCTGGGCTTAATACCTAGAAGATGGGATGATCTATGCAGCAAACCACCATGACATACACAAACCTACACATCCTGCACATGTGCCCCTGAACTTTAAAAAGCTGAAGAAAAAAAATTAACTTGTTCATTGTGCCCTAGATCCCTCTTTGTCAACCTCCTCTTCTCGTGGCTTTTCAGCTCCTTCATCCAGAATCTGGGTGCTTTATGCTGTGATTGATATAGTGGCCACCTTTCATTCAACAAAATTTTTTGAGCTTCCCTTGTTTACCACACAGGGTTATCACGAGGAGGCCCTTTTTCTTCTCTGTACATGCAAATTTAATTGATTCCTTAAGCTCAATTTCAAATGTTTTTTTCTGTGTGTTTATTTTTTGTTTTTGTTTTTCCTGTAAGGCTTTTCACTGGTCACAAAGATCCTTCTCTAAAAAATCTCTGTTTTTTTTTTTGTTTATTTGTCTGTTTGTGTGTTTTGAGATGGAGTCTCACTCTTTTGCCCAAGCTGGAGTGCAATGGCACAATCTCAGCTCACTGCAATCTCCATGAAACCAAAACTTCCTGGGTTCAAGCAGTTCTCCTGCCTCAGCCTTCCGAGTTGCTGGAATTACAGGCACGCACCACCACACCTGGCTAATTTTTGTATTTTAAGTAGAGACGGGGTTTCACTATGTTGGCCAGGCTGGTCTTGAACTCCTGACCTCAGGTGATCTGCCCACCTCAGCCTCCCAAAGTGCTGGGATTACGGGTGTGAGACACCGTGCACAGCCCCTAAAAAGTGTTATCTGAAATCCATAATGTGTTGTTCTTTTCTTTACAGCTCCTCACTACCCTGTATTGTTACAATCTGTTTCCTTATCGGTGTCTTACTCACTGAGCTGTATATTGTCCATATTTGCACTTGCTTCCCTGCCCAGGGCAGAGGCCTGCACTTAAAAGAGATTTCATCCATGGAGCAGGGGGAGGAGACAGGCTTTTGAGGTTATGGAATCCATCACTTTACTCTTTTATAACTTGGAAAGCAAAAAGTGTCTGAGAATCAAAGAAAAAGAAAGTGATTATTGCCAGGTAACTTGCAAATGTAAGATAAAGGTCTATTTTTACTATTGATAAAATCTCATATAAACAACTCAAACCCTATCTGTATCAGCTTATGTAGAGAAAACAGAAGAAAAAATGAGCCATGTTAGGGCAGTGAAGATTCTTGCCCTTTGTTAGAGAGCTTAGAAACTCCAAAGTATTTCATGTTCTCCTTTCTGTTTCATGGGGACCAGCGAAGTTCCCAAAGGTGGAGGTTCAGTCTGCCTGGGTCTTCTGTGACAATGACATGGAGCAGAGTCCAAACTCCACCTCTGGGCAGCCAATCTGAGATTGAGGTCAATATGATCTGGGCAAGAAATAAGCAGTTGTTGTTACAAAGCATCAAACTTGAAGGATTGCCTGCAGTAAAAATATAACCCATCCTCTCCTGAATGACAGATACCTACAGAATCCTTGCATAAGCATCCACACAGCATCTGCTAAACATAGCAACATGATCACCAGATTAACTGGAAGGGGTTGGTATATGTCATATTCAAGAATACCAACAAAACAATACCAAGAAAAATGCAATGTCAATGGTTAGTCAAACAATCAGGTGATCTGTGTTTGTACTTCACAACGACTTCATACAAGTGGTATCATATTTTCCAAGTTGTAAAGCAATTGATGTGGTTGCATATCTGTAGTACCACTTTTTGGTGTGTTTACCTAGCTTCAAACCATCCTCCCTTCCTTGGAAAATGTGCCTCATTTGTACTATGTGATTCAATTCTCTGACAATAACTGCCTGTAACAGGAATGGGTGGGAAGCCCAGGCTGTGCCAATTCATGGCAGTCACTTCCCGTAAAATTTGGAGCTGGGATCATGAAATTCCAGTTTTATCTTGGTCTGGGCTCATACATGAAGAGGATTTAAAACTAAGAAATTGCAAAAATTCCCTTTTTCTGATATATGGAAGGTAGAAGTGAAAAGAAAAAACTTTTTTGTTCAACTTTTATTTTACGTTTGCGGGGTACATGTGCAGGTTTGTTAGCTGGGTATATTGTGAGATGCTGAGGTTTGGGATACAATCAATCTCATCACTCAGGTAGTGAGCATAGTATCCAACAGTTAGTTTTTCAACCCTTGGCCTCCTTCCTCCCTCCCCATTCTAGTAGTCCCTAGTTTCTATTGTTCCTATTTTTATGTCCATGAGTATTCAATTTATAAGTGAGAACATGCGAGATTTGGTTTTTAAGTTCCTGCAGTAAACTGATTAGCATAATGGCCCCCAACAGCATCCATGTTGCTTCACAGGACTTGATTTTATTCTTCTTTATGGATGCACAGTATTCCTTGGTGTATGGGTACCACAGTTTCTTTATCCAGTCCACCATTAATGAGCATCTAGGTTGATTCCATATCTTTGCTGTTGTGAATAGTGCTGTGATGAGCATAAAGGTGCATGTGTATTTTTGTTAAAATGACTTATTTTTGAGAAGTCATTTTGAAGATATATAAATGAAGTGGGCATGACCAAAAGAAACAGAAATAAGAGAAAGAGTATTCCTTCAAATGACTTCCAAAACTCTGACAGAGTTGGCTAAATTTCTGCCTCCTAGTCTCAAAAAGTATATGTAGATTTTTTAAATTTGAAAACTCTTTGTTTTGAAATGACTTAAGATTCACAAGAAGTTGCAGAAATAGAACACTTTCTCTGTACACTCACCAACCTGAACTCTCCCCCCCAAAATAACATCTCATATTATTAATACTGTAATATGTCATCAAAATCAGAATTGGTGTTGGTACAATACTATTAACCAGAGACTTTATGCAATTTTTACATGCACTCATCTTTTGTGTGTTTGCTTTTAGTACTATGACACTTTATCTCATATATAGATGTATAGATTCTTGCAACCATCACCACAATCAGGACACGTAACTGTCCCAATACCACAAAAAAATTCCCTCATATTACCCCTTAATAGCCAGATCCTCCCTGCAACCCTAACCCTGGCAACCACTGACTTGTTCTTCATGTCTAAAATTATGCCATTTAATACTGTTATATGAATAGAATCATGAAGTATGTAGCCTTTTGAGATGAGCTCTTTTCACTTAGCTTAATTTCCCTTAGATCCATCCAAGTTGTCGCATGTATCAGTAGCTTGTTCCTTTTCATTGCTGTATGGTGTTCCATCATATGACTGCTCCACAGTCTGTTGATTCATTCACTCACTGAAGAACGTTAGGATTGCTTATAGCTTTCTAGCTATTATAAGTAAAACTTCTATAAATGTCCACGTGAATGTTTTTGTATAAACGTAAGTTTCATTTTTCTAGGATACATACCCAGAAGTGTTATTGCTAGGTAGTTTGGCATACCTGAAATTTTAAAATGCATCTTTCCTTTAATTATTCACTATGATGTTGTTTCCTTTTTTACAAGTCAAGTTTCCCAAATAATATAATATCTATATTTCCCACCAGAATATGAGTCTTCCAAGGCAGAGGCCATGTCTTAATTATGATTGCACACCCAGTGGCTATTTCCATCACAAAGTAGACATAAAATAATGTTGTTTAGCTTTTCTCTCAAAATATCCAAGGCAGCTCCAAGTCATTTCTGATGGATCAGTCACTTATATTTACAACGAAGTCAATCACATATCTGAACAAAGAATTTACAAAGTACAGGGAGCCTGTGTGGTGCCATTCTGAGCAGCAATGATCTGAGTCTAGAATTCCATGCTTCGAAAACAGCTCTCTCTGCTCATGGTAACCACCATCTTGATCTTCTCTTCAATCTCTTAAACACATCAAGTATAACCACCAGTTACCCCAATTTTGGGGTGCTTGGTTGATTTTGAGCCTCTTTTATTGTAAAAGGCAAGTATTTAATCAAATCTCAAGGGAAGCAAAGGACATGTTCTAATAGAGAAGAACAAGGATCATATTTAAGTCATGAAGAGTATGGTGAGCACAGCTGAAAACAGTCATAATGGGAATAAAAAATTTACAGAGAATTTGGCTCCTGAAAATGTGCCAATGTACAATTTTAGTTAATAAAGGCAATTAATGATTTAATCTTTCAACTGTCTGAATAGATATTATTTTTCTTGAAATGGCAAAGTACATCTGTTGTTTTTGCTACTCACAACTTTCTCTTGATATCCCTCCTCCTCCTCCAAATCCAAAATTATATAGAGAGACATCCCCATCCCCACCCACTAATTGGAGCATGGGTGTTCATGTATTTGCATGACAGGATTTTCTCATCTCTTATGCTTCATGTGCTACTTATTATAGAGCCCTCAGTATATGTTATTGGCATCAAAGAACTCAGCCATGGCTGCCTTAGAACCAGAATGGAGCTAAATGTGCCAGATAAGACAATACTGACAACATGGTAGCAATTAAACTGCCTCAATATTTTCTGTTCATCATCTCTGTGTAAGAACCTAGGAAACAAAGTGGATGAAAAAATCTAGGGAAAGGAAAAAAATGGATAAGGACAGTGTTTGGAATCAGCACCTTGTTATCCTTTCATGGAAGGAACCACATCTCTTTCTTTCTCTCTTTTTCTCTGAAACTGTGTCAGGTCATTGTCAAAAAGTCATACAAAGGCAGGTTCAACTAGATAAAATGGAAAGTAAAATAAAAACTGAAAGTAAATGCAAATCTTATTTTTGAAAGTGATATTTTTCTCTCCTTGTATGAATTGCTTTGATCCAGACATGAAAAACTAAAGACTTAACTGAAATAAGAGTCTTGTTCCCACATGAGTTCCCATATGAGTACCAGTACTTGGAGGATTGCTTATTCAACATTTTGTCCACAATTGAGACATGGTATCAGGAAAGAGTAGTTTTAGCTGTGAGTGATAGAGATGCCCAAATAACAGTGGCATTTTGAACCATTGTTATTTGGTTGAAATGTACTGCTCTCATATCAAAATTAATTCTAGACATAAGCATTTCAGAGCTTATGTAGTCACTCCATGATCATTAGAAACCCAGGCTTCTTAAATTTCATTGTTCTATCATCCTTGACTTGTAGCTTTCACCCTATGGTCCAAGATGGCTTCTCGGGCTTCATGTTGTCCACAATTAAGCAGCAGAAGAAAGAAAAGTCAGTAGTACTTAGTCCCACTTCTAAGCATTCCTTGCTTAAAAATCTGCAGAAGTACTTAGTCCTACTTTTAAGCATTTCTTAAGCTGTATGTACTTATATCTCATTGGATAGAAATTAGTTACATTGTCACATCTAGCTTCAAAGAAGTGTGGGAAATGTAGTCCATATTTTGATTGGTCATATGCCCAGTTAATATTCAGAGATTCGATTATTAAAGGAGGGGAGAATGAATCTTGAGAAATCAATATCTGGCTCTGTCACAGGTTCTATATAGTAGTGATCTGTTTTTCATGGCTGCCCCAAATCTTTTGAACGTGCTCTTTTTTTTTTTTTTTTTTTTTTTTTTTTATGGAGTCTTGCTCCATCGCCCAGGCTGGAGTGCAGTGGCATGATCTTGGCTCACTGCAACCTCCGCTTCCCATGTTCAAGCAATTCTCCTGTCTCAGCCTCCCATTTTGCTGGGATTACAGGTGCCTGCCACCACTCCTGGCTAATTTTTGTATCTTTAGTAGAGACAGGGTTTCACCTTATTGGTCAGGCTGGTCTCGAACTCCTGACCTCAGGTAATCCATCCGCCTTGGCCTCCCAAAGTGCTGGCATTATAGGCGTGAGCCAGCGCGCCCAGCCTGAACATGCTCTTTTTTTTAATAGTTTCACTTTACAGTTTCTTTTATCATTGCAAATCCCTAGTGAGAGCGGTTAAAAGGCCAGAAATGAGGCTGGAAAGAGTGCAGGAGGCCAGTAGTGAAGGGTCTCATTCATCATGCCAAAGAGTACGGATTTTATAGGGAGGAATCTTTAGGTTTCCCTGGAACTTACAAAAGATACAATGGATGAGAAAGAGAGAGAGAGAGAGAGAATGCTTTTGATTACTATGCTTAAATCTATTTTAGCATGGAAGATGAAACAAAAATAAAATTGACATTCATTGCTCTTAAGTAGCTTATAATTTTATAGAGAAAATATGTCCATAACTAAAATCCAATGCAAAGTGATAAAAGTTTATAGCTCCTTTTAATTTACAGAGTACTTCTACATAAATGATTGAGTGAATGACTGAAGCAAAGAAATGGAATCCAAAGAGGAAAAGATATTTTGGGAAAATGAGTAGTTTGTTTTGACCAACTAGAAACTCATATAGGAGAAAAGTAAAAAAAGCCTAACAAAAATAATTAAGACTAGATCACATAATATATTGAGCATAATATTCCTTGTTTCCGAACTTATAAAAGTAAGAACATAGACCTCAGAATCTCTGAGTACACAAATCGCACTTGCTTGCACTTAAACCTTGACTAGACTAAATACTATTTCAAATGCTGGTGATTCCAAGAAAAATCTAGTCACCACTGACAAATAAATACTACTGCTGATTCATAATCAACTACATAAGGCCAACTATGTGAAGCTGTAGAAAACTATAACCTCACTGCTTTGATCTTTTCACTGGCTCCTGAGTAGTGACCTAGGATATTTGCAGTCTGTCTCCACATATACTTATTTTTGTCTGTTATCTATTACTGTGTAACAAACCATCCCCAAGAGATAGTGGCTTAGGACAACAGCAACTTAGTATTTCTGAAGGTTTTGTGGATATTTCTGATTCACTTGGTATCAGCTGAGGTGCTGGGAAGACTGGATGTTCCAAAATGCTCTTACTTATATTTTTAGCAGTTGGTGCCCTGACTGGGAGCTCAGCCAAGGGCCTCAGTTTTTATCTACTTGGGCCTCCCCCTTGAACTGCTTGGGCTTCCTCGCAGCATGGTAGTGAGCATGGTAGTGAAGATCTAAAAAGGACTGTTCCAAGTGGCAAAGGTGGAAGTTATAGATCTTTTAACAACAAAACTCTGAAGTTACACAGCATAATATCTGCCCCCATTCTTTTGTTCAAAGTGGGTCATTGGAGCATCACAAATTTAAGGGGAGAGAAAATAGACTTCATGTCTCGATAGGAAAGTGGCAAGGTCATATCACAAGGAAGTAGATGGGATGGCCGATATTATTATAATCATCTTTGTAAAAACAATCTACCACTATTTATCTTCTGGACATAAGAATTCATATTCCTGACACTTGAAAAATATTCTTAGCCTATCTCCCCAAAATCTCATCCCATTTTAACATTAGGCTCATACTCAAGTTCCAGGACTTTTTTATCTAAATTAGATCAGGTTAAGAATGAATCCTCTTGGGTACAAAGACCTATGAACTATCTACTACTCCATTCCTATGCCCAACAAACAATGGGGAGATGTCTCCCCGTAATAGACATTCCCAATCAAAAAGGGGGGAACAATTACATTTAGGTCAACTGTTTATACAAATTTTGATATCCAGCCAGACAGATGTTGGTAATCTGTGTGCCAGTTTCAAAAAATTTACATTGATTGGGGCCCACTGCTGGTCCCTATGAATAATTCTCCTTAGTTTTTTGTTCTGCTTTCAAGATCTTAGGCCAGTGAGTCATTCTTTCTTTTCCATATGAAGTGGGCAATGTTTGTAGTTGAGAAATTTTCTCATCCTGCTTTCTGACCATAGAATGTTAGGAGTCCAGAAATCTTGATTCATTTTGAACTCTCAGTCCTTTTTAGTCTAAGCTGGTAGTACCTACTCTGACAGTTTTCTTAGGAACTTTGTAGGTTTCCTGTGACTCTTATTGGAATTAGCATCATTGTACATAAGCCACACACACTTAATAGAACTAGCATCCACACCTACTGGGGTTAAGGTCACACTCTTAAAGACAGGCACCTTTCAACCTTGAGGTGAGGATTGGGGCGCTGTGAGATGTTGCCCTTGAAAGTTTTACAAGTACTTTTTTCTACTTTTTTCACCTGAAACAGCATGAACTCAAGATGTTTAAAAGATTTTTTTTTTTTTTAAGACAGAGTCTTGCTTTGTCACCAGGCCTGAAATGAAGTGAGGCAATCATTGCTCACTGCAGCCTTCAGCTCCTGGGCTCAAGCAATCCTCCTGCCTCAGATTCCCAAAAAATTAAGACTACAGGCATGTGCCACCGTATCCAGATAATTTTAATTTTTTTTTTTTTTTTGTAGAGACATGGTCTTGCTATGTTTCCCAGGCTTCTGACCTCAAGTGACCCTCACCCCTCTGCTTCCCAAAGTGCCGAGACTACAGACATGAGCTACTGCATCTGGCCTAAAAACCTTTTTTTTTTTTTTTTAATCTAGCTGAGAAGTCTAGGAAGCAAAGGCTTTAATATTTATGAGGTCTTAACAAAGAGTCTAACGAACACATCCTTTACTTGATTCTGATCTGAGACATTGTATCAGCATCATCCTGGGTTTGATCTTTTCCCAGAGCCATTTCTTACTTTGCCAACTTATTGCCATCTGGAGAGGCTTGGACCAAGAAACAGTTTTGTTTTCCAACTTTGAAACTTTTAGTTTGGAAAATTCTTCTCTAAACTCTGCTTGAAATCCGAATTTGTTTTTTTAGGTCCTCTCTCTTTTTCATCACTTTATTATCAGCAGTTAAAAGAAGCTAATTGACGCACTCAGCATCCTGCCTGGAAATCACTTTTGCCAAATCCTTAAGTTCATTATTTGTATTTTTTGTTTTCTGTGTTACTGTAGATGACAGTGTTGCCAAATTTTCTATCACTATATGATACTGGGCACCCTTCCTCCAGCCTCCAATGTTAATTACCGCATTACATTTTTAGCCTCCACTAAGTCTTCCTACTTTTCTCTATGCCTGTGCTCAGTCTCAGCTCAAAGACAATGCCATGTGTTTTAGGTTTAGCTATGGCTCTACTACATCTCTATACTGCCCCCAAATTTAGTTGCTTATAACAATAAAAATTTTTCATATCTCAAGTTTCCATGAATTGACTAGGGGGTTCTTTTGTTTCCAATGATGCTGGTTTAAGTGCCAGGACAAATGGGAAGTCCAAAAATGGTGTCACTGATCTGCTTGGCAGTTGGTGCTCAGTGCTAGTTGATAACTCATCCAGTTCTGACAGTTAGGGGTCTTGGTTATCCTGTATATGGACCCCTCCACACATCTTTTTATGCTTCCTGGACATGTTTTACTAAATTTGTTTATTTTTTGAGACAGGATCTCACTCCAGTTGCCCAGGCTGGAGTACAGTAGTGTGATCTCAGCTCACTGCAGCTTCGACCTCCTGGGCTCAGGTGTCAGAGTAGGTACTACCAGCTTAGACTAAAAAGGACTGAGAGTTCAAAATGAATCAAGATTTCTGGACTCCTAACATTCTACAGTCAGGAAGCAGGATGAGAAAATTTCTCAACTGCAAACATTGCCCACTTCATATGGAAAAGAAAGAATAACTCACTGGCCTCCCAAAGAGTTGGGATTACAGGCATAAGTCACCATGCCCAGCCCATTAAATTTAGTTTATTTCTTTAACTTTAGCATTGTGAGGTAGATCTTATCACACCCATTTATTCAACAAATAGCACCAATGAGTAGCAGCGATATGCCAGGAACTATGGTTGATTTATAAGAATAAAGAGTCGAATAAGACATTATTCCTTGCCTTAAAAGCTAATATCTCATGGAGGATTTAATCAATGATTACAGTGCAAACTTATATGGTGAAACTGAGGTTCAAAAGTTTAAGTACATTGCTTCTCATCTAACAGCTGACCCAAAATTTGAACATTTATCTGCCGGATTTCACAATGTATACTTTCCCTGTGGCACAACTGAGTATTTAGAAAGTTAATATGAGTGTCCAAACCAATGGCAATTAAGATTTGGAAACTGGAAATGAATAATGAATCAAATGCAAAAATACTGCCCAACTGGAATAGACAGGACTTGATGATTGCTTAGATTTGGTAGATAAGGCCAACAGTAGAATAAAAGGTGAGTCTTATGGTACTGAAGTTGGGAAATCAGAAGGAAACGTAGTAAATGATGATGCTATTTGTTTTATCCATGTTTAATTTAAGAGACCAACTAGATATACAGATGTTATCCAGCAAGCAAAGATTAAAACTTTTCTTTCATTTATTTTAATTTTTATGAGCACCTACCATATGTCTGGTACTGAGTAGGTGAATAAGAAGCCAGATCTCCAGTGTCAATGATTTATTAATTGGCAAAGACAGTCCTACAGGCAAGTGATTATACTTGGATGTGATAAGGGCCACAATAAAGGTAAATACACAAGTAGGTGCAAGGGAACAGAATAAAGTAAAGATAACACTAGGGGAATTAATTGTATTTGGGTGGCCATTACAACAGGGTGTGGATGCAATTGCTAAGTGAAGGGAAGAAAGAAAATGTTCCAGGACAGTCACTAGGATAAGGATCCACGGAAGAGAATAGGAGGAAAGTTCAAGAGGTAGGAATAGGACCACCCACAGAAGTTAAGAGAAGATTACATTTCCAAAAAGACACCGCAGTCCTGGAAGAGTCACAGGGAGGCAGCCCAACAGAACGAGATGCGTCTAGAGCATTAATGTGTAATACAGGTAAGATAGACAAAGAGGATGCAGACCGAGAAAGAGATTGTTTTATTGGACTTGAATTCAGTTTTTCTTTCTGTTTATATGGAAGTCAGATAAACTATGATAATTCCATCTTTCAGAGACATTAAAATGACTCCCAGACAAGCAAGTATATTGGTTATATAGCTGTATCATAATGACTCATATCCCAGGAAGGGATAAATGAACTATAAGCTGAATGAGAAAGAAACACTTAGCTAAGATAATTAAGTTGGCTAGGCTTAATTGAGGGTTCAGAAGCTCCTAGATTTGGAATGAAAATGGTAGAGGAAAAGCTTATTTCAAATATGGAAGGACAATTTCGGGTTAAAAACTGAGTAGGCCTCAGGATTTAGAGTCTGAGCTGTCCCATTTCAACTTCTTATTCTGCATGAAGAAAATTTCATCATAAAAATAGAAATAGCTAGATGTTTGGAAAGTACAGGACAACAATTCATTTTTAAACTTTCTATTTCCTATAAGAACCATTTAACCAATACAGAAAAACATTTATAATAGGATGTTAAAATTGTTCTTTCCTTTCTCTGTTTCAGCTGAAACCCCCCAAAGGCTGAGAACAAAATGATTGGTGCCAAATAACCTCCACAATCTAAAATAAGAAGCCAGGCCATATATGCAGGACTTGCAAAAGAAGTATTCTGGAAATTTCCTTTGGCAACCCCTAGCATAAGAACTGTCTCAAGGATATTTAAAAGGTTGGAGAGCCAAAAAAGAGGACTACTATTTTTTGAGACTTCCAATTTCTTTGGAGAGAGCTATTAGAATGGTATGGCAATCACCACCAATTCTGACTTAACACACACACCTCACTGCCCTGACAGAGGAGAGCAAAGTGTACTTATCCCTGACCTCAAGCCAAGTAAGTGGAGATGAAGAAAACTACTCAAAGAAATTGGCAATCTATGAAATACATAGACTGATGCCATCTTTATTTCAAGAAAAGTTCAAATGTAGGACATTGTGGTGGCTTCATTGGTCAGCAGCTGCACTCATCCCATGTTTCCCAGGAATTAATTGTAGGGCTCAAACTGGGATTCAGCTTGGATCCCACACAAAAAGAGCTGTCTAGAGGGAAGACAAGACCCCAACAGAGTCGACAGACCACTGGGTGCCCATGGTCTGGGAGGAATTATAAGCAGACACCTAGCAGAGAACCTCAGGAAATGTGGCTGGAGGTTGCCAGTGGGAAAATCTTTTAGAAATCCATAAAAGCTCCTCATGAGATAATGAGTCAGCTTTGGACAACCACCAGGCCCTGAAATCAACAAAGTGAGATCATGATGGTATGACAGTACTAGCATGTTAAATCTTTACTGCCCCGAACGTCTCTTCCTCCTTTCACTCCCACCCCCACCCAAGCCACTCCCAAACTGAAGGAGTCAAAGGCATCTTATTATTGTATGGTGACATAGGAGCTTTAGCCTCAAATGAAGCTTGGAGTCCTGATTACCATCATGGACTGGCAATTTTAATTCTGAAGTAAGATGGTTATTGCATCTAGAAGTATGAGGGAATTTTTATTAGCTAAAAATAATATAGCCACTGGAGAAGCTATGAAACCTGCTCAAGATTTTATTCAATGCCCAGGGAAGAAATTGTCTACACAGCTGTTTTAAAGGAGCAGTGTATTTTGTTTTCTTCTCACATTCTGAATCTCACATATTTGTTATAATCTTTACACTTAGATTGTGTTATCTTTTTAGTCCAGTATAACATAATGATTAAAGGTGCTACTTGTGAAGAAAGAGTTCCTAGATCCACCACCCACAGCTTGTGTCAACTTGGGCAAATGACCTGGTCATTCCAAGCTTTCTGCTCTGGAAAGTGGAAATAGTAATTGTACTTACATCATAGTGTTGATGTGAGGGCTAAAATCAAATTATGTAGGCAAATCCCTTAGTATTGCAGCTACCATAGTGAGTGCTTGATAAGTTTTAGCTACCTAGTTATTAACTAGTTATCAAATGGTCACAATTAGTCTCTTTTTTCTCATCCCAAAGAGCTTACTGGTTGCTATTTGTCTGTACCAAATACTACTACTAATTTCATTGCTACTCATTAAACTCACCATGTGGATGTAGATTTGTAGCTCTTCTCTGAAGTACAGTGTCACAGCTCTGCAAAAATGTAGGGTGGGAAATGGAAGGCACTGCATCCAATTGAAAACTGCAGGCAAACTTGAGCAAGCAGAAAGTGATTACTTTGGCATCTCCCCAGTTCCCTGCAGAGTAGAAAATTCTCTGAATCCCTGGTAGGAATGGCCTAGCATTTTGGAAGACTCCTGGACTCCTCCTAGTTATTCTCCACCGTTTTTGAGAGAATCACTTCACTGAAACTCTAGTTGTGTGGGGCACATGCCATTCTGATTTTTTCAAATATTTCAACTTATTTTATAAGAATGGTTTTCTGACTCCTTCCTTATGGTAGAAAGGGAAAGCGTCAACATAATTTAAGCTGAATGTTCTAGAACATTGAAAGCCACCCATCTTAAAGAGCATGAGATGGTCAGTTTCAGGTGTTTTCTCTTTCTTGCTAGATCTTACGAGAAAAGAGCCCATGAAAACTAAAATGCAAACGATAAGGTTACTCAAAAAAAAAAAGATTGGCACTCAGAAGGTAGTATGCATATTAAGCAGCTGTTGTTTCTGTCTAGCCATATAGAGGCGTCCATCATTGTGCTACAGGAGCTTATAAACGAAAGAGACCTTAGGGGTCATCTACATCAGCCCTAGTCCCTTGCTATCCGGCATTCATCTGTAACTCTCGCAACTGATGATCTATAGTTTCTGTAATTATTTGTTTGGCTTGGATGCTGAATACTTATTTTATTTTATTCAATGGTTTCCTTTGGAAATATAATACATTAAATGGTTCAAAATTTAAAAGGCACAAAAGAGTATACAGTAAAATGTTTCTATCTTCCCCTTAGTCACAGCCAACCAGCAGCTCTTTTCAAAGGGAATTAATGTTATCAGTTTAATATGAATCCATTCAAAGAACAGAATTGGAACAATGAATGTACGTGCGTAGAAATTTCCCCTTTTCTATTACACTTGTTGCAGTATATTACTCATATGTTTTGTACCTTAATTTTTAACCTAAAAATGTATTTCAGAAATTATTCCATATCTGTACATACACACTTCCTAATTTTTTAGAGCTGCATAGTTTTCTGTTGTATGCGTGCACCATAATTTAACTACTTTGCTATTTGTAGATATTTAAACTGTTTCCAATAATTTGCTACCTCAAATAATGCTGTGATGAATGATTTTGCAGAAAAGTGTTTCCCTTAGATATGTGATATAATTGTAGACCAAATCCCAGAAGTAAAATTGAGTAAAAGGATACGTGCATTTGTCATTTGGTACCATGTGCCCCTCCTCAGGATATTAACAAAACTGTGGACACTTGCACACTGTTAGTCCTACTGCCTATGAGTTTTCTGAATAAGCCTAATTTTCTCTCACCCCACGTGACATGAGTGTGAATGTGTGTCAGTTACCTTTGCATAGATGGTACCAAATGACAAATGCATGAATTATCAAAGATTAAAAAATACAATAATGTCTTTGTGGCAGGGTTATGGAGAAATAGGCACTATCACTCATTGGTGGTGTGAGAGTAAATTATTTTT
The DNA here is from genome assembly GCF_000001405.40 of Homo sapiens. NCBI lineage: Eukaryota > Metazoa > Chordata > Mammalia > Primates > Hominidae > Homo > Homo sapiens. The sequence continues at coordinate 79,973,871 of NC_000014.9, forward strand.
GTGTCTGTGGAAGTCGGTTAGACTATGTCTAGCTGAGGAGAGAGGATTCTTCTGACTCCTGGGTATCCCTCACAGCTCTGTCTCACCTGGCTTTTTATCTTCCCCCCTAATAGTTCCAAAGATCAGGTTCACCAGGCTGGAGTTAGATCGTTGGGTTAACACAAGACCTCTTGTTAATATCAGGAGCATTAGTCTGCAAAGGCTGCAACTGAGCTCTGGTCCCACAAGAACATTTCCCACTCCAGGAATCATTGCTTGTTACAGAACTAAGGAAGTATTTTCTGTCTAGTCATTCTGTAAATGAAAACAATAATAAAAAAGAATGAAAACTATTGTATTTAGTTTAAATTTCGTCATTATCTGATCTAAGCATCTTTTCATATGTTTTTAAATAACTTATTTTCCTCTTTTTACCTGTTCATATCATTCTGTTTTTATATTGGATTATGTGTCCTTTTTTATTGATTTCTGTAGGAAATTTTTATCTTCTTATAAAGACACCAGCCATTGAATTTGTGGCCCACCCTAAGCCAGTACGCCCTCATTTTAACTAATTACGTGTTCATGGCTCCATTTCCAAATATGGTTGCATCAGAGGATGTTCGCAGACATGAATTTTGAGGGCTAGAATTTGACCCACTACACTACATATATTTTATTATTACTCTTTACTGTCTACTGTTAAAGCAAACGAAATATGGCCTGAGAAAGACTCCATACTTCTATATTTGAGCCCTTGTGGATGAACTGCAACCTAACTTAATAGGTAGACAAGTTCAAAAACCTAACTTAGGAGTATGCACCTGTAACAATCACGAGTTCTGGCCAATCCCTCCAGCCATACTTCAACCAGTCATACACTGCTGAGTGTTCAAACTGTGTTTAAATAAAGCAAGCACTGAGCTGTAACCAATCCAGCTGTTTCTGTACCTCACTTCCAATTTCTGTACCTCACTTCCCTTGTTTTTGGTCTATAAATCTTCTTCTACCACATGGCTGTTCTGGAGTTTCTCTGAATCTGCTGTGATTCTGGGGGCTGCCTGATTCACAAACCATTCATTACTCAGTTTAAATAACTGAGCAATAACTCCTTTGAATTTAATTCAGCTTAAGTTTTCTTTTTAACACTACTCATACTTACCTTTACAAAAGAGTACCTTAGGAATCTCTGTGACATATCATCAGGGACCATCTTGAGCTTCATGTGTGAATAACACTCTTGGACACAAAGAAACACAAATATATTACAACAAATTCTTCCATTATTGACTCGGTTCATTCCGGTTTGCTGAAGCAAGCAGAACATATTTATTCTGAAGACATGCCATCTTCCCCTTTCCTTCCTCCTTTGACTTATTAGATGTGAATATGAATAATTTTAATTGGATGAATTTAAATGATTTTAAATAAATGATTTCATCATGCATTCTCTAGTTTGCCACTAATTTGTATAGGGTAGTATAATGGTTTTCAAAGTATGGTCCCAGTGATACAGGAAAAATGAGCCCCAAAATTGAGGCATAGGCTGTGAGAGTTCTTGGCTTTGCCCAGGAAAAAATTCAAGGGTGAGCCAGTAGTGGTGTTAGACAGCAAATTTATTGCAGCAGCAGGGTACAGCAGTAGTAGAGGTACTGCTCTTTGCAGAGCAGGGCTAAGCCATAGGCAGTGTGCTCAGAGTGGGAGCTCGGGGGCAGCGCTCCAGTCATATTAATACCCACTTTTAATTATATGCAAATTATGGGACAGGTTATTCAGAAATTTCTAGAAAAAGGGTGGTAACTTCTGGGCCATTGCCATGGAAAGCAAGAGTAACTATTGGGTGTTGCCATGGCAATGGTAAACTGGCATGGCACTGGTGGGCTTGTCTTATGAAGAAGTGCTTTTGCCTCTTCCCTATTTCAACTAGTCTTCAATCTGGTCCAGAGCTCAAGCCCTGCCTCTGGAGTTGAGTCCCACCTTCTGCCTCACCAAGGCCACATTATCAGCATCATCTGAGAACTTGTTATAAATGCAAACTGAATCAAAATCCTGGTAGTGGAGATCACGCTCTATTTTAACAAGCCATCTAGGTGATTATGATGCATGTTCAGTTTGACAAGCACCTGAATAATACGTAAGAGCACCTACTCTAAATTCAGAATGTCTGGGTTTCAAGCCTAAAGAGCTTGTCTCATTTTACCTGAGTAACCCTGGACAAATTACTCAACTTTTCTGTTTCATCTTCTATAAAAGGACATATTGGTGGTAACAGCATATTTCTAAAAGAGTTCCTACGAGGATTCAATGAGTTAATCCACATAGAATGCTTAGAACAGAGCTTGGCACTAAGCAAGTACCAGATAAATGTCACCTGAATCTTTGCTGCTGTTACAACAAAAACCTGCCTGCTTCACTCATTTGCATCACATTCCCTTGCTGCTGAAGACAATCAAATTTGCAGTGCTGGCCTAAAATGTCTTAAAATATACTTTGCCTCGTTTGGGAAATTAAAATATCTATTATTTTCTAAGCCTCTTACCTGCCATTTTCATCATCTCTCCAAATAAAGGGAAGCTAGTGGTACTATAATCACATCTGCAAGTCATTTTTGTATTCTGAAACGTAAACCAATTGAATAAAGGGTACTTCTCATGGGCACGGAAATTAGACTTAATTTAAACCATGAGGAATTCTCTTACCAAGTTCTCACCCATTCCAGATTTCACTTTTTTGCTAATGATATTTTTCTGTATTTCCCCAGATTAAATGTCTTTCTCATTAATAGCTAGTATGAGAGAAAAAAGTTCTTCCTTTATTATAATTAGAGCATTTGCATTTTTTCCTGATGATGGGTCTATTATTTCATTGGGTCTATACGCTTCTTTGAAATGGTACATGGTGAAACTGCCTTTAGTCATTTATTCAGTAAGTATTTATTGTGTGCCTACTATATGCCAAGTAGTGATCTGTGTGTTAGGGATACAGCAATGAACAGAACAGACAAAACTTCCTACCGTCATGAACTTTACCCTTTAGCTGTAGTAATAGACAATATACAATAAACACATAAATAAATAAAATTACTTTGTAGTTCAAGAAATCAATGCTATAGGAAAATACATGATGAGGTAAGGAGGATTGACAGTATTAGTGAGTGCAATTTTAAACAGTGTTTAAGATGATTGATTTACTATTTGTTTCATTATGTTTTCCCCCTTTAGAAAAATGAAAGTTTAGGGTGAGACCTGCACCCTTTGTGTTAAACTTCCTGGGGTATCAGTTCTATCTAGGTCTCAGTGAAAGTAGTTTCCAGGACCTGATCCAGATTGACCAATTCTTTTCATAGAACAGTCTATTCATTCCCTAGAGCTGCAGTCACAGATAACCATGAACTTTTACTACTATTCCAGCCTAAAGCAATAGAAATGTACTCTCTCATAGTTCTGGAGGCAAGAGTTCAAAATTAAGGAGTCTGAAGGATGGATTCCCTCTGCAGGTTCTGAGGAAGAACCCACTTCATGCCCCTTTCTAGCTTCCAGCAGCTTCCAGCAATCCTCAGTGTTCTTTGACTTGTAGACTCGCCACATCAATCTCTGCCTCCATTTTCACATCACTTTCTTCCTGGTGTCTTTGTGTGTCTTCTCCTCTTTTTAAAGATGTTTTATTGAATTTTGGGCCCACCTGGATAATCCAGGATAATCTAATTTAGAGATGATTAACTAAACACTATCTGCAAAGACCCTTTTTCCAAATAAATCATATACACAAGTTCCAAGTAAAATTTCTCTATATCTATCTATCCAGCTAGCAAGTTATATTGCTATCTAGCTATCTATCTGATATGGTATGGCTCTGTGGCCCCACCCAAATCTCATCTCAAATTGTAATCCCCATGTTTTGAAGGAGGGAGCTGGTGGGAAATGACTGGATCATGGGGGCCTTTCCTCCCATGCTGTACTCATGATAGTGAGTGAGTTCTCATGAGATCTGATTGTTTTACAAGGCAGTTTTCCCTGCTCTTGCACACTTTCTCTTGCCTGTTCTCCTTCTGCCATGATTGTAAGTTTCCTAAGGCCTCCCCAACCATGTGGAATTGGGAGTCATTTAAGCCTCTTTCCTTTATAAATTACCCAGTCTTTGGCAGTTCTTGATAGCAGGTGAGAACAAACTTATACAGTAAATTGGTACCATGGACAGTGGGGTGCTACTGTAAGGATAACTGAAAATTTGGAAGTGACTTTGGAACTGGGTACCAGGAAGACGTTGAAATAGTTTGGAGGGCTCAGAAGAAGACATGAAATGTGGGAAAGTTTGGAACTTCCTAGAGACTTGTTGAATGGTTTTGACCAAAATGCTGATAGTGATATGGACAATGAAGTCCAGGCTGAGATGGTCTCAGATAGAGATGAGGAACTCATTGGGAACTGGAGCAAAGGTCACTCTTTCTATGCTTTAGCAAAGAGACTGGCAGCATTGTGCCCCTACCCTAGAGAACTGTGGAATTTTGAACTTGAGAGAGCTGATCTGAAATTAGAACTTATGTTTAAAAGGGAAGCAGAGCATAAAAGTTTGGCAAATTTGCAGCCTGAAGAAAAACCCATTTTCTGGGGAGAAATTCAATCCTGCTGCAGATATTTGAATAAGTAACAAGGAGCCAAATGTTAATCACCAAGACAATGAAAAAATGTCTCCAGGGCATGTCAGAGGTCTTCACAGCAGCCCCTCCAAATCACAAGCCTGGTGGCCCAGGAGGAAACAATGGTTCCCTGGGCTGGGCCCAAGGCTTTGCTGCTTTATGCAGTCTCAGGACTTGGTGCTCTACATCCCAGCCATGGCTAAAAGGGGCCAATGTACAGCTCAGGCTGTTGCTTCAGAGGGTGCAAGCCCCAACCCTGGGAGGCTTCCATGTGGCGTTGGGCCTGCAGGTGCACAGAAATCAAGAATCGAGGTTTGGGAACCTTTACCTAGATTTCAGAGAATGTATGGAAACACTTGGATGTTCAGGCAGAAGTTTGCTGCAGGTGCAGAGCCCTCATGGAGAACCTCTATTATGGCAGTGCAGAAGGGAAACGTGGGGTTGCAGCCCCCACACAGAGTCCCTACTGGGGCACTGCCTAGTGGAACTGTGAGAAGAGGGCCACCATCCTCCAGACCTCAGAATATTAGATCCGCCAACAGCTTGCACCATTGCACCTGGAAAAGCTGCAGACACTCAATGCCAGCCTGTGAAAGCAGCAGGGGGCTGCATCCTGCAAAATCACAGGAGTGGAGCTGCCCAAGACCCTGGGAGCCCACCTCTTGCATCAGCAGATGCAAGAGATATGGAGTGAGATATGGATGTGAGATATGGAGTCAAAGGAGATTATTTTGGGGCTTTAAGATTTAATGACTCTGTCATTGGATTTTGGACTTGCATGGGATCTGTAGCCCCTTTGTTTGGTCAATTTTTCGCATTTGGAATGAGAGCATTTATCCAATGCCTGTACCCCCATTTTATGTTGGAATTAGCTAACTTGCTTTTGATTTTACAGGGAGGGGCTTGTCTCAAATGAGACTTTGCACTTGGACTTTTGAGTTAATGCTGAAATGAGTTAAGACTTTGGAGGACCGTTGGGAAGGCATGATTGGTTTTAAAATGTGACGACATGAGATTTGGGAGGGGCCAGGTTTGAATGACATGGTTAAGCTTTGTGTCCCCACTCAAATCACATTGGGAATTGTAATTTCCAGGGGTTTAGGAACAGACCTGGTGGGAAGTGATTGGATGGAGGGGGCAGTTTTCCCCATGTTGTTCTCATAGTAGTGAGTGAGTTCTCATGAGATCTGATGATTTTTGTAAGGCAGTCTTCCCTGCTTTTGCTAGCACTCTGTCTCCTGCTGGCATGTGAAAAGATCCAAGTTTGCTTCCCCTTCACCTTCCACCATGATTGTAAATTTCCTGAGGCTTCCCTAGCCATGTGGAACTGTGAGTCAATTGAACATCTTTCTTTTATAAATTATCCAGTCTCAGGTAGTATCTTAATAGCAATGTGAGAACAGATTAATACACTATCTATCTATCTATCTCTAGATATATACAGATACAGATAGAGAGATAGATAGATAGATATCTCTATGTATCTAGAGATAGACAGATTTTTTTTTGGTGGAGGGGTACCATTTAACCCACTGCAGTTAATGCCCTGTATCTAAAAGTTTACAGCTATTGTAGTGATAACTCCCTGCCTGCAATAATAAATACTAGGAGGCAACAGCTGTTGCCAATTTAAGTACAAAATTAGGACACCAAGATTAGGTTTCTCCATTGCAAAATGTAGGCCAATTCAACACCAACCTGTGACTCTACCTGTACACTGGTGCTGGTCTAAAAACTTTGGCTTGTCCATGAGGTTATAACAACAGAATTTAAGAGTAAGCATTTAAAAAACTCCATTAGCAATTTGACACGGTAAATGAAAGATAATAATAATAATGAAGCTTCTATTTTTAAAGTCTTTTTAGAATTTTATAGTTCTAGTAATTCAGTTTTATTTTTTAAAATATTGGTCTGAGCTGAATTTAAAAAGTATATAAACCTGATCCTTCATCACAGGTTGTTTGAGAAGCACTGGTATAAACTGTCATTGGTAAAACTAGAATATAACAATATGCCTCCACAATTACGTTCATTCAAAGGAGAGAAAACACATCAGTCTCAGGAACTGAAGGGATGTGCTTCATGGACAATGTGCTGTATATCATAGATAATAATTTCTAATTGCCCTGTTTAATGTACTTCAGCATGTAGCTTTTATCACTGCTATGGTACCTACCTATCCCACACTGATATAATAAAACCCCAAAATACCTACGAGGTCAGGACAATTGAGTCAAGTTTTGGCTTACAAGTTAATATCTGTTTTACTATAGACAGCTCATTCTGCCTCTCTAGTCAAATTTTCTCATCTGTAAACAGATATGTATCTTTTTGGCTTTGACATTCTATTTAGCACCACTATCACCACCACCACCACCACCAAAAATAAAGTGTAATACAAAACAGGAACTATCTCACTTAGAGGGTAGCTAAGGAGATGAACATCCTTTTCCTAACTAACATTTTAATACACAATTTTTCAAACACTAAACGGAGTAGAACAAATTTTGCAGTAAACATACATATGACCACAACCTAGTTTACCATTAAATTTTTTCTTGTGCATGTGTACCACCCATCTCTCTAACCCTCTCTGCAATAATTATTTAATAAATTTTCATGATCTTGATCAGAGTTTTTGATGTATTTCTAAGGAAACAGTAAATAGCAGTAGACTTCTACTTAAATACTTCAACATACTTATCACTATTAAATATTTGTATATAGTTTTATTTTGATGTAAAATTTACATACAATGAAATCTTAAAAGTATTCTGAGAACTGACAAATACATGCATTTGTGTAACCAAAACACCTATCAAGATATAAAACATCAGCATCAATTCAAAGACAACACAGTGCTGATTTTTCTACCCTAGATTAGATTTTTCTGTTCTAGAACTTCATATACATGTAATCATGTTTGTTCCTTTATATGCAAGTATGTTAGTCCGCTTTCACACTGCTATAACAAAAAGCCCAAGACTGAGTAATTTAAAAAGAAAAGAGATCTAATTGACTCACAGTTCTGCATGGCTAGAGAGGCCTCAGGAAACTTACAGTCATGGTGGAAGGCAAAGGTAAAGCAAGTACCTTCTTCACGTGGTGGCAGAAAAGAGAGAGCTAGCAAGAGCACAGAAAACTACCTTATAAAACCATCTGATCTCATGAGAACTCACTCAATATCATGAGAACAGCATGAGGGAGACCGTCCCCATGATCTAATCACCTCCCATCTGGTCCTTCCCTCGTCATGCAGGGATTATGGAGATTACAATTTGAGATGAGATTTGGGTGGGGACACAAAGCCAATCCATATCACTGAGGCTTTCTTATTTTTACTCAGCATGAGGGTTTTGAGATTTATCAATGTCATCTGTATTAGTTTTCCACTTTGCTGAGTACTATTCCATTTTACGACCACATGTGACTATACTACAATTGTTTATCCATTCTCCTATTGATGAACACCTTAACTCTCTTCAGGTTTAAACTATTATGAGTAAGACAGCTATGAACATTTCTGTACAAATGTTTTGATGAACATATGTTATTATTTTTCTTGATTCATTTGTGTCTCTATATTTTTGTTTATGGTTTCTTTTAAGCTAATTTTGTATATGGTGAAAATAAGCATAATCATTCATTCTTTCCACATGGATATCTAGTTTTCACATCTAATTCTTGAAAATTTATTTCTCCCCTCTCCTCCTCATTGAATTATCTTGGCACCTTGTTGAAAATTAATTGACCATATATGTATGTTTCTTTAGGGCTTTCTATTCTGTTACATTGATTATATGTCTATTTTTACACCAGCATTACGCTGTCTTGATTATTGTAGTTTTATAGTAAGTCCTATACATTTGTTCTTTTTTAAAATAATTTTCTACTCTTTCGGATTTCCTGCCTTTCTGTATAAATTTTAGAACAAGGTTACCAATTTCTGTAAAAGAAAAAAAACAAGAAGCCTCCTGGAATTCTGACTGAAATACTGAAATTGCATCGATTCTATAGATACATTTGGGGAGGAAAAACTTCTTAACAACATTGAGTTTCTATTCTGCAATTAAGATTATTTGGTTATTTTTACAATTTCTTATGTATTTTTAAATTCTAGAACTTCCTTTTTTGCCTATAATTTTTATTTCTCTTTTAATTCACTATGAGCATATTTCCTTTTACTTTCTTAAACGCAGTTTGTGGAGCTGCTTTAAAATGCTTGTCAGCTACTTCCAGTATCTGGCTCAATCACGTTGGCATCAATCTCCATTTACATTTTCTCATATCTTCTTTTGTCAAGTGGTTTTGGATTGTTTCCCATACATTATGCAAGTTATATTGCAGAGGCTCTGGATTTATGTTTCTCTAAAAGAAAGTTAGTAGTTTGTTTTGTTTGTGCAGGCTTTGTCATTTGTTAGAGTCCACCTGCAAAGGCTCTCTTTCAGATGTCAATTTAAAGCTCAGTTCAGTCGTTTTATTTTCTAGTCTTGAAGTCTGCCCTAAGCATGCATTGTTCATGTGTCAGTCAGAGATCTGGGGAAAAAAAGTTTAAACAAAGAATTTGCATCTCCTCTTCTCTGGCTCTCTTCTTTCTGGGATCCCCCCAATCCCTACCTGACTTTCCAGAAATGGTATTTTCCCCAACTCTGTCCTCTGGTTTTTAGGCCTGAAAACCTGTGGGTTTTGTGTTAGACCTTCACCTGACCTGCCTGGCTCTGCCTGCCACTTGCCCAAAGTATAAAAACTGTTATTAATTAGAAGAAGAAGGGGAAGAAGAGGAGGAGAAGAACGAGGAAGAGGAATATGCAGAGGAGGAAGAGAGGGAGAAGGAGGGTGTTGGGAAGAGGAGAGAAGCAGGAGGAGAAGGAATTAAAATAAGAAACACATTCAGTGCCTTTTGTTTCTCCCAAGTGTCAACTTCCCTCTAGAATCTGTTGATGTTAATTCTCGAGTGCTTTCAGATACTTTACTGTGTTTTGTCCAGAGTTCATAGTTGTTATCTGTGGAAAGACAAATTAGTTAGGAGCTTACCGGTCCTTCCTAGAAGCAGTGACAAACAGAAAATGTAAAAGGCGCTTGTAATTAGAACCTATTGATAAGAAGAGGGCAGCATTGCTTTTAAAGAAATAACTCTTGGGAAAACACTTTAGTGGTCCTTTTGCTTACGTAAAGGTTCAGGTCAGGGCTATAAGGGATAAAGGAGTATTACAGAAAAGGAATGCAAAAGTTGTTCTGCATAATCAAATAACAGAAATACAGTTTCTTAGGGAAGGGAGTGGGAGTTGTTCTGACATAAGAAGAGGATGGGAAAGAAGGGTGACAGTAAATAAGAAACCTTAGCTGGAAACAGGGTACTAAGAGGTGGAACAGCTGAGACAAAAAATAAAAAGACCCTCCAATAGAGAAGAAATTTGGGGTCATGACTGTTATCATGTCATGAAAGTTGTATCATTGTTTTTGTTTTAATACTTTATCCCAGACCTATTGTATACCTCCACTGCAGCAGAGAAAGTGGGGAGTGTATTCTGCTACTCACTTGATTACTTTCCTCTATTGATTACATACTACTTCCTTAGCAGGTATATTATCTGAAAAAAAAATTATCACTAAATTAACTTTAGGACAGCAGTGTTCTAGAAAGAGTAATGATATATAATTTACATTTATGAAAGAAGCAAGCATCCAATAAATTAGAAAATGCATACCATCATCCAAGTACATTGTTAAATATCCCAAGTGCTCACCTTATTGAGTATTTGACAAATGGATTTCACATTTATATCAGTACTATTTTTATGTCATCTGCTGTGTTTGCTTAAATGTATGTGTTTTCACTAACGATGTTAAGTGTACTTAACTCCATTTATACTGTCTAGGAGGGATACTCAGGAAGGATGATCATTTGAAAACATTGAATAGGCCCTGATCATGTGTTACTTATACCGTTGCTGCTGATTCTTAGATTTCAATGATACTTTCATTTTGTCTGTATATGATGCTAAGGGTTGAAATGTTTTCATACAAAAGATTCCTTTATTATTTTCTACACACCCCATGACTCCATGTTTGGAAATATTTGGTTCCAGGTAACAATTTGCCTTCTCATTGAATAGGAAAAATAGAAATAATTGACAAGCAGAGTTCCTGCCTGGGGAAGAATAACAACTAGATTGAAAGAATTCCATCTAAACACAAAATATTTGAGTTTTAGTTAGTCTGGTAGCATTGTCACAGATAAATATACAATTTCTGTTGTATTTATTTTTTAAATTTACTTAGGTTTTTATTTTGTTTTTTTAAAAATATATTTTGAAATGTAAAAGAGAATAAAAAAATCAAAGCACGTTTCATTTTATTTCTAATCTGCACAAATAAGAAGCAAAAATAGTCTGTCAGGTAGCCTGTCCCTGGGGATCCTCGTTAATGTTTCCACAAGTCTCTAGAAATAAGTACCCTGGTTTCATAAACACACTGGCTTTCTAGTCTATACGGATCACACTAGTTTGAGAGCAACAAATTATCAAAGAGGAAAAATCTTCCCTCTAGCATTTCAACATGCTTTTGAGGGAGTTAGAGCGAGATATCTGATGTATCTAAAAAGAGGCCTTTCCTGGTTATAGCAAAACCAATTGTGTGTAAAGGTCTTGGATTTAGAGATAAACTAAGCACCTAAGAGAGACTCATTGGGAAAAGTTGTTTTATTTTAAAAATAATTTTAAAAAATTGCAAAGTCTGTACTACATTATTTACTTTTATGTTTCCTTCCTTCAAAGGCAGAAAAAGACTGATGTTCCAGGTCCAGCAATCAGGCAAGAGGAGTTCCTTCTTACCTGTGGGACGGTCAGCCCTATTGTTCTAATCAAGCCTTCAATTGATTGGATGAGGGCCACCCACATTAGGAGGACAATCTGTTATGGGAAAGTGGTTCTGATCCAGACCCCAAGAGGGGATTCTTAGACCTGGAACATGAAAGAAGTCAGGGCGGGTCCATAGAGTAAAGTAAAAGCAAGTTGATTAAGAAAGTAAGGGAATAAAAGAATGGCTACTCCATAGGCAGAGTAGCAGTATGGACTGCTGAGTTGAGTATATTTATAGTTATTTCTTGATCACATGCTAAACAAAGGGTGGATTATTCATGAGTTTTCTAGGAAAGGAGCAGATATTTCCCAGAACTGAGGGTCCTTTCCCTTTTTAGACCATATAGGTTAACTTCTGGACATTGCCATGGCATTTGTAAACCATCATGCACTAGTAGGAGTTTCTTTTAGCATGCATATGCTTTATATTTAATGTAAAATAAGCAGTGAGGATGACCAGAGGTCACTTTCATTGCCATCTTAGTTTTGGTGGGTTTTGGCTAGCTTCTTTTAGCACATTCTGTTTTATCAGCAGGGCCTTTGTGACCTGTATCTTGTGCCAACCTCCTGTCTCATCTCATGACTAAGAATGCCTAATCTCCTGGGAATGCAGCCCAGTAGGTCTCAGCCTTATTTTACCCAGTCCTATTCAAGATGGAGTCACTCTGGTTCAAATGCCTCTGACAAATCTGCTTTATTCCATCTATTATTTCAAAGATTTACCTCATTCAAAAACAGCCTGACAGACCCACTGAAAATAATATTTGACCAAATATCTGGGCAGCTCATGGTCAAGTCAAGTTGACATGTAAATTAACTGTGATAGAGAGAGACCAGTTCCCTAGGCCATGTCTTGAGCTCTTAAATTTAGGCAGGCTTGCATAAAACTCTACCCTGGGCTTTTCAGTTAGTAAATGATGTATTTCCTTTTTTTTAAAGTCATTTCAGCTATCTTTCTAATTGAAATCTTCATTATTATCTTCATGATATACCAGGACCCATATGGCTCCAAGTGGAAATCATTTGCAAATACCATAGCTGAGATTATATTCTCCATCTGTCATCATCTTCAGACATTTCAGGGGCTAACATAGCTCAATGTTCCACTTGGCTACCAGCCAACACTATTCGTTACATAAATAGAAATAATATGCTGTAGTGTTGTTTTTGCTTCACTAAGGAAAGAGATTCTTCTTTTAAGCTAGAATGTGTGTGTTCATAGTTGTGTCCCCAAACCAAAATATCTCATTGGAATATTAAAAAGACAATCAACTAACAGTCCAGGAGAGCAGGTAACTTTACATCTTAGCATAGTGATTAAAACATTTATACAACCCAAGCAGAATTCAAAATTCTCCTCAATTTCATGCAGTTTGTAAGTTGAAATTTTTCTAGCCCTTGAGATCTCTGTATTTATGACTCTATATAGAGAGAATTCAATCCAACAGGCAATACAGACTGCTGTTTCTAACATTCGCTTTCTGTAGTTTTTTTTAAATTGCAATGACATACAACAATAAAACAATTGCCCCCCACAAGACAGAAACTATACCAACTCATGCATAAAATAAATCATCTAAAGGCAGTAAGACTGCCAACTATTGCTAACAAGATTCATTTTACTTAAAAAATACCTAAAACTTACCCAACCCTATTTTACCTTTTTCTGGGGCCTGATTCTGTTTCTGCATGTTAACGTCAATAGTTAAAAATGGGGTTGAACTCCTGAACCAGGTGACCAGTGCTTCGCTGGACTTTTGCAAATGTTTCTGGAAAGTTATTTATAAATTAAATCAAATCAGAAACTCTCTAGAGGAAATTGTTATCTAAAGAAATTTTATAAGAAAATTTTAAAAAGGAAGGTATCTGGTAAAAGAAAATGTCCTCGGATTTGATGTTCATGTATACATTTTGTTTTTCTTATTTTGGACATGCATTAAGCAAAGTATGTCTAGAGTTCTCCTTTTTGAAAGTCATCAGAAATCAAATGACATTGAGGTATCAGACCACTCTAAAGTAGTGTGCCAGAGCAGGAGGATGTTGGACCTAGTTAACTGAGGACTGTGCCTAAGTGAAATTAAAGCCTTTTCCTCTTCCCTTTTTGAGCCAGATTTATAATATTTGGATTGAAATATTTTTATATATAGGGATAACATATTTATTTTCATAAAGAAGTTCTTTTTTAAGTTAGAAGAAAGGAGAAAAAAAGCTCTCATCTGGTGAGTTTTGAACTCATTCTTTGGCAGGTGACAGAAAGCCAATTCAAACTAGTTTGAGAGAAAAAAAAAATCAGTACTCATGAGCCCCTTAGCAGGATGAAACTATCTAATTCCTCAAATCGTTGCTAAGAACTGACAACTTTTTACCAATCTGAAAAATTTTCTTCCTTTGATTATTGGTGGTACTTACAGTCTTTTTCTATGCCTATTAGCTGTTCAACTGATTTTGTCAATTGCTCATTTGTTTATTTTTATTAAAATGTTTTAAAGTCAAGAATGCTAATATTTTGGTTATTAAGGGTTACACTTGTTATCCTATTGCCTTTTGACCTTATTGTGTGAATTTTATTTTGCTCACCATTTAAAATTTTTACATAGACAACCCTGTCAATCTTTTCCTATATGGAATTATGGGTTAGTTAACACACTTAGAAAAACTTTCCTACTTCACAATAATTTTCTTGTTTTTGTAGTGTCATTTTTTACACTTAAATATTTTATTTGGAATTCTGTTGTAAAAAGTAGCTACCTAGTAAACTTTCCTAAAAAACACTTTTGGTGCTGCAGTTATTGGCCATATCAATTAAAATAGGGACAATCATGGACTAATTTGGCTCGGAAAAATATCATGAATTTTCTTGTTTTGTCTTGGCTTTATTAACTGTATTAGTTAAGATTCTTTTGGTATACTTGTAGTAGTTGTCTTGTGTTAATATTTTAAGTCACATACTGACTTAAAATAAGAATAAACATTTATTATCCTCAGAGTTTCTGTGGGTTATGAATTTTGTAGTGACTTCTCTGAGTGGTTCTGCCTCAGGTTCTTTCATGAGATTGAGTCAAGATGTGAGCTGGAAGTGCAATTATCTGAAAGTTTGGCTGGGACCAGAGGCTCTGCTCCCAAGGTGCTCATCTAGCATGGTGGTGCTGTTGAGGCCTCAGTTCCAGCCCACATGGGCCTCCCACAAGACTGTTTTGTCTTCATGATGTGGTGCTGGTTCCCTCCAGAACTGGTGACCCAAGAGAGCAGGCTAAGTGAAAGATACCCTGTCTATGACCTGGCCTGGAAACTCAAACAGCATTTCTTCTGCCATATTTAATCTGTTAGAAAAGCATTACTAAGGACTCAAGTAAAGTTGCCAGGATTAGAGTTCCCTTTCTCCATCTTCAAGCTCAGCTTTCTCAGCATTAATTTGCTCCAGAGAAGCTCTTCTCTTGGGTTGTAAGATGATGCCAGCTTAGGTTACCACATTCTATCATCTTGATATACTGATTTGCTTAGCCCTGGGTTACATGGTTTACCCCATCTCTAAGATCTGCTTCAGACCACATAAATAGAGAGTGGAGGGAGAATATACCCCTTCACAGAAAGAAGGTATATTTTTAGAAGAAGATGAAACTGATGCTAGTGTGGCAAACAACAAGTGTTTTACTGTACTATCCACATATATGTACACCTGAATGGCCCATCAGTATATCTTAGATTACATTTCACATAGGACAGAAATCACATTTCTCAAATTTATTTTGTATAGTGCCAATTACAGTATCATGCACTGGGTTGGACTCACCTAGTGCTTCTGGGTAATCATTGATGAATGACTTAGCATTAGTTGAGCATGGATACGCAAGACCAGGAATCCCACACAAGTGTAGAATACCAGAATGTAGAGCAAGGTTAAAGGCAGCCTGGGTTCAATGGGTACTGAAGAAGGAACCATGTATTGCTGGGAGACCTTCATAGTGGCAGTTGAAATAGCATAAGTGAGTAGATGACACTGCTTAATGTTTTGTGTTCCTGGGACCACTGAGGAGGAATAGTGTCAAATCCCATCGCAAACCTCTTGAAATTAACAAATGTGAAGACATGTGATTATTCCTTTTGTACAGCATATGCTCCCTTATGTTTATCCCAATTTGGTAGTAACACGTCACAAACTTACAATTTTCCCAAAGTTTACAAACATTATAGAGATTGGGGCTATATTTTACTCTCCTAAAAAGTCTCGTTGCAGAGAGTTCTTGACAACCATGCTGTGGAGATCTCTCGCCTCGTGCCATCATTCAAAGCATCTGTTTAGCTGAATGGCAGCTGGGGAGAAATAGTTGTGAAGGACCCCATAAAGAAAAGATGAAGTGTGCAAAGGGAAACACAGGTGCTATAGTTTCTCATAAAGCCCCTTCTGTGCTAGGAGTGTCTGTGTAAACAGCAGCCCCAGCAGAAAGGTGAAGCTTCCCAAGGAGAGCTAACAATTAATACAATTCAGGTTAGTTCACACTGTTTCTTTTTTCTTTTATTTTACTTTCTTTCTTTCTTTCTTTCTTTTTAGAGACAGTCTTGCTATGTTGCCCTGGCTGGACTTCAGCTCCTGGGCTCAAGTGACCCTCCTGCCTCAGTTTCCCAAGTAGCTGGGACTTCAGATGCCTGCCACCGCACCTAGTTCACATTGTATTTTAAACAACTTTCTCATGATGTAACTACATCTCAGCCTTCATATAACTAATCATGTATTTAGTCACATCCTTGGCATGACTTGCAGAGTGTTAAAGCCAACTTCATCCCCACAGTGTGCATCCTCACCTTCACACAAAGGCTGAAGTCTCGTATGAGTGATGCCTTCAGACAGGTTCTTTGTTACAATGCCAGGGACAACAACAATAGAAAGAAAGTAATCTCAGAATGGGCTCTTAAATGCACATCAATGTCTAGAAAATGAATTTTCTAGTTTCTTTCTCAGCTGCTGTGTGCTCTATAAGAGAGAGGCAGCCCTATCATATTTTAAATTTCTGCATGGTCCCAGGGAGGAGTGCTCTGAGAACATAAAAGTATGTGTCCTTTTGTGTGGGAGAAGGAAGATGATGTTATAGGTTGGAGGAGGACATGGAAGAAAGAAAAAGATGGATTTGAGGACAACACTGTGTACTTGAATTTGCCCAGGGGAAGCTCCTACTCATTTACTAGGGGATAGGAATTGAAGTTTTAGACTATATTAAATTGGTTAGGCAGTTGTGACCTTCAAGTCCATCTTCACTGTATTTGTCAAGGTCAGCCAAAGGAGCGAAATCAATAAGGGTGTGTGTGTATGTGTGTGTGTGTGTGTGTGTGTGTGTGTAAAGAGAAAGAGAATAGGTCAGAGATACAAGTAAGAAGAGTTCAAGTCTGAAGGCACTGTGCTAGCAGAATTCCTTCTTCCTTTGAGAAGGCAGTCTTTTTTCTTTTTTATTTGTTTTTTATTTATTTATTGCATTTATTTATTTTTATGTATATAATAGTTGTACATATTTGGGAGGTACCTGATATACTTTGGTACCTGCATATAATGTGTAGTAATAAAATCAGGGTAATTGGACCATCTATCACCTCAAACATTTGTCTTTTCTTTGTGTTGGGAACATTACGAATCTTCTCTCTAGCTATTTTGAAATATACAATAAATTATTGTTTCCCTACTGTACTATCACATACTAGAATTTATTTCTTCTACCTAACCATATTTTTGTACCTCTTAACCAAGTTCTCTTCACCTTCAACTTATTGAGTGAAGTTCACCTATATTTTGGAGGGCAATCTTTACTCAAAGTCTACTGATTTAAATGCTTATTTCATCCAAAAATACCTTCACGGAAACATTTAGATTCATGTTGGGTCCAATAGCAGGGCACTGTTGCCAGGCCAAGCTGACATATAAAATTAACCATCTTATTCACTATGGCCACTGATAGAGAACACGCCAGTGGTTTTAGGACCAAATCTTCCAATTCTGTCTTGAATAATAAGAAAAGGGCTTCTCGTGATGAAGTTTTTAATTATTCCTCTCAAAACTTATGATTACAGAAATATGACATGTGATAAGGAGTTGGCAACATGATGACCTTTGTCTTATTCCAAGGAGTTCACTGAGCCACATAGTTCAAAGACATTAAATATGGCACCCGTATCAGAGGTGAGAGTTCATACAGCTGTTAATTTCCAGTCTCTGGGGTAAAATAATTAATGTTTAATGATCTGCTGGCAGGGCTCACACCTTATAGATTATATGAAGAAAACCATCACTTTTATAGTTTATTTGTTCACTACTCAGCAAAAACATTTAATGCCTATTATGTGCTAGTATGTGAGCTAGATGCTGAAGAGACAATTAAGTTAAAAATCTCTCTCCTCACAATCAAAATAGAGATACAGGTCAATACCCTTCCCTCCCTAAAACCAAAAACGATAAGTATTTTGAAAGTTCTTAATTCCACTTTGAAGGAGTTAGGTAAAGAAATGATTGTCTGAGGTCACCGTGACTTCTGAAATAAGACTTAAGTGATGAGTTATAGGAATAATAATAAAAGATTCCTTGAGTACTTTTTTATGTTTCAGGCATGGTTATAAGCACTTCCCATGTATTCAATTATGTAATGAGTAATATTTTTCCGGTAGCTCAGGGTGGGATGGCACACAGCATGTAGATGAAAACACAGTGGCCTATGAGAGGAGGACACACATTCAGGGAACTGCAAGTAACTTAGCAGTGGAACACAGGGCTCCTACGCAGAGGATCAGTCAGTGAGACTAAAACCTCTCTCCCTAAGATATTCCCAGTTGTCAACAGGCACTCTCTGGTTTGTCTCTAGTGCCAACATCGATCCTCAGTCCTTTAGACCTGGGCTGTGGAGCCTCCCAAGCCTTCACCCAACAGACCCAGGAACTTGGAATACACTTACTTTTTATTCACAGTGTTAATTGCTTCAGGGTCTCAGCCTGTTTCCTTTGTTAACTGAGTCACCTACCATCCTTGCCACCATCATAGCTGACCCCTCCTCCGGTACCTTGAGTTATAGATTCTCATGATATTTTCTCTTTGTCAACTGGCTTCTACCTGCTTTATATCTTTAAGGAATTCATCACAAATTTTTGTCAAGACAGTATCTTTTATGCTTTAATAATATTCTTGAATTCATCTTTATCTAAATAATTTATAAATATGTATATATTTATGTGTATGTACATATGCATATGTATGTTAAAGGATTTGGGGCATCAGGAGAGGTCAGTATATGCTCATTCCACCATTATGATAATTTTGACTGCTGAGTCAATGAATTAAGCATCCCCATTTTTTTATTTTTATTTTTTATTTATTTTCATTGGTTTTTTTTAGGTTTTGCTGCTGATATTCGTTGCACTGGCCTCGTGGTGAATATTGAAATCCTCCTGACCTTGGAATCAACTCTCCAGTCCTCATCTCAAAACCCAAGGGGCAGTTTAATCTGTCTCTGTAGTTTGAGAGAGCAGGGAGAGACACTCAGCATCTGGATCTGCTGACTGTCCCCGTAGGATCCTAAGTCTTTTTTTCCTTGATGGTCTTTGTCTAGTGTCCTTTCAAAGACTCTCCCTTAGTCCCCTGCTGAGGATCAAAGGAAATAACAGAATGGCTTGATATGCAAACATGGTAGTTTATAAACTACTGTCATCCCAGGCGAGAGGCCCTCTGGGGTACTTTAACTTCCCTTTTCACATTCTTGTGCTGTTCTGTGTGCCTGACTTCTTTGTGGTGGCAGGGTGAAAATGGTTGGAGGACTCAGCTCAGAAAAAAAGGAATTTCTGAAGTCAGAGTGGGGTTCATAACAGAGATTCAAAAAGTTGGAAACACCTTAAGTATGTAGGTTTCTAAGGCCAGTCACTGAAAGGAACAAAAGGTCAAGACATTGGAATTAGAGGAACTGCCTTACAGGATATGGCAGCAGAGCACGAGATCAGATTTTTCCTTAAGCCATCTGGATTTTCTATCAGAATTTCCATCATTTCACCTGAGCACAGTGCTTTGGGGTCCCTGAGAGACCCAGACTGCATCTTTCTCCTACTCTTTTTTATTTCTCTGCTTCCTGCTTATTATTTAAAACTTTATTTTTTGTCCAAATTGTAGGAAAGTTGCTCTGATATCATTTCCTTTATTTGCTCTGACTATTTTAGTAAAACTGGATGGTCCAAAGCCCACCATGATTGATTTCTTTTTAAATCACACTTTGTTCCAACTAGAATTTTTTAAATCACCAGCTTGATTGAAGTAGAATTCATGTAACATAAAATTTAGTCTTTTAAATTATACAATTCAGTGATTATAAATATATTCATGGAGTTGTGCAACTATTGCCACAATCTAACTACAAAACACTATCAGCACCCCAAAGAGAAACCCCATATACATTAGCAATAATTTCTCATTTTCCTCTTTCCTCCAGCCTTTGACAACCATGGATCTACTTTCTTTTTCAGTGAATTTAACTGTGCTGGACATTTCACATAAGTAGAATTATATGATATGTGATTTTTTGTGACCAGTTTCTTTCACTAGGCATAATGTTTTCAAGGTCTATCCATGTTGTAGCATGCATCAGTACTGCATTCCTTTGTATTGCTGAATAATATCCCATTGTATACATAGACCACATTTTGTTTACCCATTATTCAATTAATGGAAATATGAGTTATTCCTACTTTCTGGCTATTATGAGTAACACTTCTATGAACATTCATGTGTAGATTTTAGGGTACACTTGATTTTCAATTCTCTTAGGTGTATGCTTCAGTTCCTGGTTTGTATGGTAAGCCTACGTTTAACCTTTTGAGAAACTGTCAGGCTCTCTTCAAGTAGGCTGAGCCATTTTACACTCCAACCAGCAGTATGTAAGAGTTCCAATTCTCCACATCCTTACCAACAGTACTATTATATGTCCTTTTGCTTATAGCTATCCTTCTGTGTATAAAGTTTTATCTCATTGTGATTTTGATTTGCATTTCCCTGCTAGCTAATGATGTTGAGCATCTTTTGATGTGATTATTTGTCATATGTATATCTTCTGCGGAAAAATTCCTTTCAAAGACTGATCATTTTTAAATCTGGTTGTTTTCTTATTGTTGAGATTTAAGTTTTCTATATATTCTAGATACAATTCCCTTATCGGATATATGGTTTACAAATATGTTCTACCATTTTCTGGGTTGTTTCTCACTTTCTTGTGTTCCTTGAAGCACAAAAGCTTTTTAATTTTGGTGAAGTTCAGTCTACTTATTTATCGTTTGTAACTTGTGTTTTCTATTTGGTTCTTCATATGCCAAAATAGTTGTTGGAGTTTAGAAAAACTCTGCTCTCTATGCACACAGTATGCCTATAAAAATTGTTATCTCATCGTAGACTTAATAAAGTCCAAACTCAAAGGCTGATCAAAGACTTCTTTGTCCTAGAAAGTACCTGAAGCAATAATCTTTAATGGAAGATCTGCTAGGAGAGTTAAGATGTGGAAGAGATTGATTTCTGCTGGGGAGGACCAAAGACATATCAAAGACACTTTTTTCAACTTTGGTAGGTTTTAAATACGGAGAAAAATTTACAATCCCAAGGGCACTGCGGACCTATTCTAAAGACAAAGATGAAAAGGCTGGTTGAAATCTGAGTAAGAGAGGAGGAGTGCATGATAAAGCATTGAATGCCAAGCCAAGGATGAATTCATATTCTCTTATGAAGAAACCGTTAGATAGTTTAGGGGAAGGTAGGACTGTGAGTCCTTCTGGACTTTGCAAATGTTAATCAGATTATAGTCTGGAGAAATGATTGCAAAAAGAGAGCACAGAGTCAAGGAAGCCAACAGGGAGACTATGGCAATGGGATAGATGAGAGTTAGTACAGATGGAAGCCTTGCTCGTAACTGTAGGGCAAGGAAAAACAAAAGATGCCGCAGTGGTCAGTTTGTCAAATACCTGGCACTACTAAGATGCAAGATGGGGTCTCGCAACGGGAATAAGAAAACAAGCTAATTGCGATGAAAAAAAAATTCCGATTAAATAAACTTATTTTGAATTCATTGTAATCCATTGTTCTGATGTTCCAAACATCAGAAGTTTGTAGATTCCTTAATAAAATATAATCTAAATTATATTGTTTTTTGAAAAATATTCCTGCAAATATTTTTTCAGCTGCAAAGGCAGGAACAATGTTGAGAAAGAAAATTTATTTACTTTGTCATTTTGACTCCAGCTGTAATGGAGAAAGAAGCCTGAACTCTATTTTCAGCTCTTCATGGAAACATCTTAAAATTCTCATTTCTTTATGCAGATTAGGTGCAACTTAAATGGTTGTATGTTTTCCCCTCTTGAAGACAAAAAAGATTGTATATATGTGACTGCAATAGCATATGAGGCAGTGTTTTTCTGTATTATATTTTTGTTCTTATATATTGCTCCACTGAAGCCCCTGGGGGTTCTAACAGATATTAAATTTGTACAGTAGATCTAAAGGAGTGAGAAGAAGTTCATTTTTTCTGGCTTTTCTTCCTATAAGCTCTAGTGACTGCTAAAGAGCAAAGATAGTTAATCTAGTTTAGGTTTAAGGAAATCAGGTAAAGACAAGAGATATTCTAACTACATTTAATTAGACATTTCTTACCTAACAAAAGAAAGATGGGGAGATAGGGAAAAAGTATTTCCCACATAGATGTGTGATGACAGATTCTTTAGTGCTGGTTCTAATTGTGTTCTAGGTGGCCGTTTTTTGTTTATATGTTTTTTTCTTTTTAACCTCCTTTTGTCATAGTGACTTTAGGAAACGTAATGCAAGCCATGGACCTTTTCCCAGGAAACACACTGCAATAAGCATACAGGTTCAGGGGTATGCAGACTCCCCTAAAACCCAATTACAGACACACCATGAAGAAGTCACTAGCACCACACTTGAGTGATGTTAATACCCAAGATTATATTGTAAAGATAATAATGTTAAAATAATCACATTGATATGACTGTCTAAAAGTCAATCATGAGTTCAGAGTATATTAAAAAATAAAAACTCATAGCAGAAGAAGGGCACTTTAGGTATCTTAACACAAGACAGTTAATAAAAGAGTTGGTAACTTCTCATGTCTTAATCACTTTACAGTAGCCATAATGCAGTCAACTCTTCATCATTCCCAAATAATCTAATAAAGTTATATATTAAGACAAATCAGAAAGATATGGAATAAGTGTCCCCATTCCATTTGTCTACTCAGAGCTAGCTTCATGCAAGGTACATAACCTCAGTCAAGATTTACTGGGTGTGAATTTTTCAAAAATTTGCTTGCTGTTTGCTTTGATGAAATTAATTAAGCACTTTAGTTGAAGAGCACTTTTACTGTACTGCAGGTAGCAGTAAATGCAAAGGTGCTGGTTCTACCATTGTATGGTAAACTTGGGGTGTGCCTGATCACACCTTAAGCTCTCATTCTTGCAACAAGGCAGTCTGTGAATTCATGGTTGCTAGTGTCTATCAGGAAGCAGCCTCTTGCCTATGACCTTGTCACAAGTACCTGTACAGATGACCCTGAGCTTAGAGATTGTAATACTGGCTTCCCATACCCTCTAATGTGGAAGGGATTCAGAAGGGCAATGTGTCATGCCAAAGAGAAGGTCACTAAGGACTCAGTGGGCCAGCAGTTGCCTGACATTGAGCTGCAGACAGAGCAGAGGCAGGAAGCTTTATGAGAAGCAAAGCTCACGACAGGAGGTCCATGTATGGCTGTGCAGGTTGGGCCCTGTGCCAAAGACCCCACTGAAAGGGTTTGCGGACACAACATTCTGCATCCAGAATCACTCGCTTTGGTGGATAGCAGTGTCTACCTGCAGGGGAAATCTCTTCCCAGTTCTGACAAATGTCCAAATGCCCCACATAGGCTATTGGTGGTCCTGATTCCAGGTCAGTGGCAGGTACTGACGTCTTCACAAACTCAGTGGGAACAGCCTCCATCACGATCAAAATCAGGACTGAGAGAGGCTGATTCTCTGAGAGAAGTGGAATAAGATGATGACATGAAAAACAGGCCAAACCTCAAAATACTGAGGTTATATCAGCTCCCTTTGAACCAAGATTCTACTTTTGGAAGGAAAAAGTTGAGAGGATAACCAGTCCTGGATGGAAATTGGAGTTTAAAACACCTGAGTATTTACCCAGATGACCCTGATCAACCTGAGAGAGACAATGCAAAAGTAAAAGAGTTTGCTGGAACTAAAATTGCCAAGTTTGTATCCTTACATCCTACTCCAACAGACATATCCAGCCTCTGAAAGTTATTGAATGAATTTCATGTAGGAGATGACTACATTTATAGAAAGCCAAGAACTCTATGTTTTTGATGATTAAGCGTAAAAACTTATATATCACATCTATTCCCATATAATTTTAAGTCTCTCCCCCCAGTATTTATTTTATTTCCCAGAAGCTCTTGAGAATGCTTTGAATATAGCATATTGTAGATGCTCAATATATTTGCAGACGAAGTGTTTTGCTAATGGCTTAGGATATCATGAGGCATGTTTAGCTCTTCCATTGAAGACTGACTGCCTTTTCAGACTCCAAATAACTTATGTCGCTGTTTTTATCACATTGCATGTCTTTGTTGTCAATGTTTTGGGTTTTGGCAGAAGAGAGAAGGAAAACCTGTTAGCTATATTTGCACAACATATACAGTCAAACGTTGGCATAGCTACAGGCTAAACCTGATAAAAATCTGCTCAACAATCTTTCTAAATTAGTTCTTTAATCCTATGAAAGGCAAAAAAAATATTGGGAGATGAACAGAATGCTCAGAAGATGCTAGATTAACAATTCTTGAAGCTGAAGATTTCTCTAATTAAATCACAAATAGTGAGACCCATTTCTCCTAGCTATACTATACTCACATCCCTGGCTGAACTATGTAATATCTTTAGAGGGTGACATTAAGTGGTCTTCTACCTTTTGTGTGTGAACGTTACTTGTGTCACACTGAGACAGGAAAAAGCTGGACGAGGCACCAATATGAAAAGCTTTCTTCCTTGTCTGCCTGCTATATGCAACAAACTTTTACTGTAATTATTTCACTTGGTTAAAATATTTTTATATTTATTTATATTTTTGATAGTGCAAGATTTATATCCAAAATGGAAATCTTTATTGCTTTGCTTTAATTCCAAATGTATCAGGTAAATAGCTTATATTTTCATATTAATAACTCATGGTATAAATATTACTTGATATTTTTCTACTTTTCTTCACTGTGTATGGAGCATCATCTCAGCACACATAGACTGCCTTAATCTTTTTAAAAGAATGTATGCTATTACATTGTATAGTCTCCACATAAATATGTATCAATGGAAAATGGATTAAGATGGTTTTTACCTTTTTAGTGCTTTTGCAATCAATATTATATTAAACAACTTGAACATATATCTCTGTGGATTTTTCAATAAATTTCTCTGGGTCTCTATAAACAGAATTGCCAGGTTAAGCAATATGTGCATTTAAACTGTTGATTTGCATTGCCAGCCTACTCTAGAATGGTTGTACTACTTTGGACATTAACGTGGCACTTACCATTTTTTTTCAACTCATGATGCATAGAGGAAATGAAAGTGTCTGGATGATATCTTAGATCGTTTGGGCTGCTATAAAAATGCCTTAGACTGTGTTGGGCACAGTGGCTCACGCCTGTAATCCCAGCACTTTGGGAGGCCGAGGTGGGTGGATCACGAGGTCAGGAGATCGAGACCATACTGGCTAGAGATGGTGAAATCCCGTCTCTACTAAAAATACAAAAAATTAGCCAGGCGTAGTGGCAGGTGCCTGTAGTCCCAGCTACTTGGGAGGCTGAGACAGGAGAATGGCATGAACCCGGGAGGCAAAGCTTGCAGTGAGCCGAGATCGTGCCACTGCACTCCAGCCTGGGAGAAAGAGCGAGACTCCATCTCAAAAAAAAAAAAAAAAAGCCTTAGACTGGATGATTTACAAACAACAGAAATGTATTGCTCACAGTTCTGGAGGATGGGAAGTTCAAGATCAAGGCACCAGCAGATTCAGTGTTCGGTGAGCGCCCACACTCCACTTTATAGATGGCACCTTTTAACTGAGTCTTCAAATGGAGAAGGGGGGACTAGCTTCCTCCAGCCTCTTCAATAAGGATATTAATCCCATCCATGAGGACAGAGCCCTTATGACCTAATCACCTCCTAATAATGCCACCTCTTAATACCGTTCTACTAAGGATTCAGTCTCGACATAAAAAGTTGTGGGGACACAAACATTTAAACCATAGCAAATGGCATGCAGATAAACATAGGAAGTTGTTCTCAGCTAGGCAAACCAGCCAGAGGGCTTCAGTTACACCTAAGGTTAAGAGTATGAGTATTCCTCCAGACCATTTCTGACGCCCCATATAGGAAGCATTATTCTGACCAACAGTGTGTTGAAGTCTATTATCAACATTTAAAAAAATCTCCATTCTAATCAGCAAAATTCCTTTTTTAATTTTATATTTCTTTGACAATTAGTGACATTGAAATTTTTTTTTTATGTCAATGGATGTCTGTGTTTTTCTAAGAATTAGCTCTACATGTGCTTTGTCCATGTAACCCCAACCTGTGCCACCTGGATGTTCCCAACTCCACACTTCTGAACACTCTTTCCACTGTATAAGCCCTCTCCCCACACCCTAGAGAATCATTACCCTTTCCTCATCGTTTCTGAGAGTTTGGCACATGGTGGGGTTGGTTATACCCATTGGCTCTTCCCTTGTGGCTGCTGTTCTTATTCAACCACTTGCCCTCACCCCGTGAGGGACACCACTCCTTTTTTTGACTAACACAGTGTTAATAGAAGCCCGTTTAAGTTGTAAATGTTTAAGCAAATTTGGAGTCAACACGGGGTTACAACATAGAATAGCCCACGCATCATAAACAGTATTAGACTTCAGTGTTCCCAGGATGGATCTTTGCCACGCCCACCAATGGGAGACTTTCTCAGCTACCCTGTACCTGCTTAGTTCTTACTTAAGCTTCTCCACACTTCTTGGGCCCTTTCTTTTCCCTGTGTCTACCTTTCTCCAAATTCTAGACTCCATAGTCTCTCCATAAACTCTAAACTTCTGTTAGTTTAAATATCAGGCAATCTTGATCGTGTACCTACACTTTTCAATTAAGCTAAAACTGGAGGACTTCTTCTCAGACTATAAGGTCCATCAAAGTGTTTCCTGAACAGGAAACGCATTCTCTTCTGTGATAAAGATAAAAATACTGTACCCTTTCCGTCATTTCTGTTGTTGTCTTTTTAAAGAAGATGTGCCCCATTTTTCTAGTGGGCTGTTTGCTTTTCATTTTCATTTGTAAAAAAATCATTTATATCTTATTTTTACCACTCACAAGCTGCATGCCTTGGATAAGTTTTTAAATTTCTCACTATCTCAGTTTCCTCATCTGTAAAATGAGTCTAACAGTAGGACATACGTTAAAGTCATTGAACAAACCAGATATATACTTATTCCAATTACTAGCATGTAGTAATCACTGTATATATTAGCTATTATTGTTATAATTAGTACCATTATGAAGAATATTAACCTTTTCTGTGTATTGTAACTAATTTTCCCAGTTTATAATCTGCATTTCTAGTTTTTGCCCTCAATCTTTTATTCTACAAAAATTCTTAGGTAATCTGTCAGGTGTTTTCTTTTATGCTTTCTGCCTTCCCCATCATGTTAAGAAAGACTTCCCCCACCCCAAGATTATTTTTAAGAAATCATTTTCACGTTTATATTTACTATTAAATTATTATTTAACCTGGAAACATTTGTTAAAAGTGCTAGACAGGAATGCAATACCTCTACTCACCCAAATGAATATTCTCGTATCCTCAGAATCTATAAAGGAGTTCTTTAAACTCGAAATTTAATAAGGATAACAAAAGATTCATCATAGAATAGGTGTATATTTTTTATCATGTAATGGGCTTAAATAAGCATAAAATGGACACAAGACTGTAAACCACAATTACTGGGTTCTTACTTTAGCTTCTAGACCTTCCTCAGTAAGGCCTTTGTGAAACTTGAGCCAGGTTCACGGAGAAAAATATCCTCATGGAAGAGTTTGGATTCTCCTATTCTCACTTTCTATTTAGCACGATCCTCACCTACCTAAGGGCTCCACACTCTCTGTTAGTCTGAATTTGGAGACATTGTAGCAACAAGACTTAAATTTCTTTATATTAATATAAAGCCTGTGATACATGGCGGGGGGCAGGGGTGGGTATCAGTTCCATGCAGACCAGACGTAGGCTCTTCCTCAACTGCTTATGAAGACTTCATCCCTGATCTTTCTAGCCACTGCAGATCCCCATGATAATGAAACCTAAGGAGATCTATCCTTCAACAAACTCAGCTTCATTCCTGCTGCGGCTGCCAATCACTCAAAAACAGCTTCTATTTCTCTGTACTCTATGTCTTTGAGTTTGGAGAGAAAGAAGTAGTAGAAAAAAGCAGCTTTGAGCTGGCTCCTACAACTCTATCCAGCCTTTCAGGAATTTATGGCACTTTCTTGATGAGATTACCACATGTACCGCTCATAGATTTTGAAACTTAAATTTCACTGTGGGGGTATTTTAAGCCTACTTGGACTAAATAGTCATTCTGCTATACTGTGGGCTCACAGGGGGAAAACTGTACTGCAAGATACCCAGCCCTAGGTGTAGGGAGAATAAACATCTGTGTAAAAGAGAGATGAAAAATCACCCTCGATGGATTGTTATGGAACCTACAATTTCATTAACATCCTTTTTAAAGGCCTCCTTGAGAATACAAGTGTTTGCATCTCAATTAAATAGGCATAACCATTTTTTAAATTGTGAATCACAAAAATTTATGTATCTCATAATTCAGTGCTCGTGATAGCATTAAATTAGTGGAAATTAATAGGGAAGTGGTCACAAGCAGGTGACAGGGGTTAGGGATGGGAAAATATAAGTTGTAAAGTGTAGTTGAAAGAGGACTAGTTTGAAGTCAGAATACTCCAGTTCATTCATTCACACACAAAAAATTTAATCACAAATTAGTATGTGCTGAATAATGTGTATGACGGGGAGTATATGCTGGTGACTAGGACAGATATGTCCTCAGCCTCGAGGGAGCTTATACACTGTTGAGGAAGACCAATGGGTAGATACATAATTAGAAATGGCTATGCGTGCCACAGGGGCAAATGAGCAGGGTGTGGAGATAGGAACAGACTTTAGAGGGGGGACTTTTTCATTAGATTGGTCAAAAAAGGGGCCTCTGAGGAGATGATTTTTAATTCAAAACCCAAAGCATGATCAGGAGTCAGTGATGTGAATGAATCAGACAGAGAGGAAATCACATGAGAAGACCCAGAGAAGTGAAAAGATTATGGAGTTTGAGGACCTACTGGGGGTTGCATGACTGGAAAATGATGGAAACAGCAGAGAAAAACATAAGATGAAGTTGAAGGGTAGGCAGAGGTCGCAGCATGAAGGGCATTCCCAGCTACCCTATGGACTTTGGGCTTATTTGAAGTGAGGGGAAGTCGTAGGAAAGTTTTAAGCAAAAGAACATGTGATCTGATTTGCATTTAGAACTATTTTCTGGCTACTGTACGGGAATTAGACTGTTTTTATAGTCTCGACTCTGCCTTAATTTGCTATTAGATCCAGCCCTGTGGATTGTAGATGTTCTCTAAGTTCCCTTCAAGTTGTAAAATCTCAGACTCTTACTAGCTCTAATGAAAAGGTGTGATGGAAAACTGGGAGAAATGTGTATCTTGGTGGTGATGGGGATTTGGAGATGATATGTTAGAAACCGCTAGATGGGTATTTACGGCAGTGTGGAAAAATGACAGTCAAATGGTTCATGTCACAGGCTTATCCAGAGTCAATCTTTCCTACATGCCAGAAATGTGAATAACACACATCTTTACTTAGCACTGCTTGACCTGATAATCCTTTATTTACATTTGGGAAATCTAGTTCAATAGTCTTTTGTACACTCACCAAATATTTATTGAATGCTTTGTATTTACATAGCACTGGGAGGGACACAAAGAAGGTGGTGTGATCTAATGAAAAACATGTGGGACGTGGAGTCAGTTCTGAATTTACATCCCAGCCGTACCATTTATTAAACCAATAATGTCAGGTCTCTGAGTCAATTCCCACTTCTGAGAAGTGAAAATGATGACACCAACCCGAATGAGATGATATACATCAAGTACCTAATATAAGCATCTATCGCAGAGTAAACACTCAATAAACATGTGCAACATTTTAGGATCTCAGTGACTGTTTCTCACGAGGCAGGCAACTTAATATGCAGTCTATTCTTCCAATATAGTAAAGTGAGTTCAAGATTGCAAACTCATTTCTCATAAGTTCCTAAAAGCCTGTATTTTTTCTAATGTAAAAGGGAAACAAGTTGAACAGTCACACTAAGAAAAATTGTTATCTAGCAATATCTATTCCCCAGAGAAATTTAGCCTTTCAATTTTTCTCTTAAGAAATAGATATGTACAGGCGTTTGCAATTTTGTTGACTTGTATATTTCCCCCATAGCTCATGAGGCCTGTTCAAATACAAACTTGGCTTTCATACAAAGCCCTTGATTTGTAGATAATACAGTCCTAAAAGGTGCTATGTGGAACTCTCTTTAGCAACATTTCTTAAAGCTTAAGATCTTCTCATTCAGACACTGGCATTAGAACTGAATCGTATTTTTGGCTAAAGAAAATAGCATAAGCCACTACAGGATTTTCTTTTCATTTTTGCAAAGGATTCATCAACTTGTCATAGAAGCAGCAGGGCTGACTCCTCTACCATTCCTTCTCTACTAACTGACACTGATGCTTGTATTTATAAGAAAGCTAAGTTCTAAAGGCCAAAAGAAAACCAAACACCCTGTTGTAAATAGCCGAGAGACAGATTTCATAATATGTGTACAAATATTAATGTTTTAGCATAAGCAATACAAACATCTTGAATGAGTTTTGCATCTTTATACTGCAAAGCGGTATCCTCTCTGAAATAAAACTCAAGCAAAATATTTAACTAAAACGATCACTTGCAGCATGTGGGAGGTAAGGTTTAAATGGCAATTTCTTTCTAAAAGACATAGCCAGAGTCTAGAGTTAGTGTCACTTATACCTGACCTCAGAATATGCATATGGAGGTAAATATTCCTATTAATTCAAACGCACTGGTACCTGCCATGGCCTTACTTTATTTGATGTATTCTTTTTACAGTGGGGTCCCCACTGTATCATCCAGCTCGCCCAGACAGCAATGACTTTGTTGATGCAGTATTCTCAGGAGCTGCTTACCTCACCCAATCTTCTTTATGTATAGAATCTGAAATTGAAATTGCAGTTGTCTACCTAGTTTAAGTACCCTTAGCTACCCTTACCTTCTTTTTCAACTTATAAAGCACTTATCCAGAATGATTGAATCCCTATCCCCAAAACAACCTATATATAATCTAATGATCAGTTATGTATAAATGCAAAGATACATGTCATATGGCTATAGTTTTATATCTTTATCCTTATTCTTGAAATTCTCACCCATGACAATTTGTTCTATTTGTGCTAAGGATCTTTACTGGTCCTCTATTAAAATGCAAATACTTTAACAGAATTTCTGGGACTTTCAGCCAGGGATTGGCTTTACTGTCCTTACTATAAATGTGTTTACCTGAGTAGTAACTGCAGAGGTAGCTGAGATTTAAGTCGATATGGAATATGACATCAGCAGTTTCTGATAAGCTGACAGGACAGAGTGTGGGAAAATAGTCTTAAAGCAAGGGGATGACCAGAGGAGGTGAGGAGACAGTCTTTCGTGGATTCTCATGTAGTTAGAAGAATAGCGTGAAGGCCTTGAGTACTCAATGTAGGAAGAAAAAGAGTAGCCTGGAAGAAGAAAGAAGCTCTAAAAAGTGAGTAGGAATATCCAGCCATCGGTTTACTTCTTCATAGTCTTAGAAGTGACATTTTTGTTCCATAAGTGATTCTACCTCAGTACATGTTTCAGAAGGTGCTTGGCCTATGTGCTGTCTATATCTGACATATGATAGTGTTAAAACAGATAACACAAAAAGTTGCTTTCTACTCAAACATTCCATGAACTCACTCCCCAGTGAGGAAGATGGAGGCAAAAGCGAAATCTCCTTCATTTGTCCATAAGAATATTGATTTGTTTATGCCACAGATACATAAATAGCAAGGCAAAACCTCCACAATGGAATTCATGCAATTTTCATGGAAACTAGAGTGTGACAGCCAAGGCTGGAAAACTGACATTGGAATAATATCATTCTTATAAGCCATCACCCTGATTAAAATGGAAAGTTGCCAGGGGCTTGAAAGGGGTTTCAGATGAATGGTTTCATTTGTTTTGAGGATATTTGCAAACCCTAGATTCAATCATGTACTCATACATTAAAGGACCTGGTGAAAACAAAGACACTCTTGAGATACTCTGAATGAGAAAAAAAAAGAAAAGTCAAAGCTTGACCAGAACGCTTTCAAAATACTTCCACTAAAAGTACCCAAATGTGGACTCATATTTCTTATCATTTGAATAACTCAAATCCATTTAGTTGCAAGTTTACTGTTTCCCCTTGCTGCCATAGTCATTTTCAGAAAGTAAATTAAATACCCCCACAACCTTCCATAACTCCTTATAGCCTTTTTCTGATGTTTAAGATCCTCCAAATCTTAGTCCCAATTACTCATATAATGTTACTTTTTCCCACATGTAGATATCTACTGATTGAAA
Organism: Homo sapiens; assembly: GCF_000001405.40. Lineage (NCBI taxonomy): Eukaryota > Metazoa > Chordata > Mammalia > Primates > Hominidae > Homo > Homo sapiens. Next base: position 80,006,167 of record NC_000014.9, read on the forward strand.
CAAATTTTACATTTATAAATACATGAACATGCTGGGTCATTTTGCTTTTGTTATTGTTGGAATAACAACCTTTCTCCTACTTCCTACAATAGATATTCAACTCATCCCTCGAGATTCATCTATCCTAATCTCCCCAGTCACCAGCTTAACCTTTTTCTCCTTTAATTCACTCCACCACCATCTCAAAGCACTTAATATTTAATACTTTTTATGACACTTTTAATATTGTGCCTAAAATCTGGGGGTTTCTTTTGTTATTATTTTTTACTTTTAGAGAATGAGGTACTTATCTAAGTTTCCCTTCTGGATTGTTTCTATTTCAAGGCAGGAACTAGGTTTCACTCACCTTTAGAACCTTTAGGTATCTCTCACATTTCTGTTGAATTAAATGTTAATGTTGACTTTCCTAGACTTTTAAAGGCATTCCCAGATATAACTGAATTTTGGAATTGTGGAAAGAACATAACAAAAGCTAAGGCATGCTGGTTAGTTGAATAATTCAGCCTCTTGTGTAGAAACGTGCCTAAGATTACTGTCCAAATTATCTGTCGTGTTCTTAATACAAGGAACCACTCAATAGGTTTCTGTTTGACTTCTATAGCCAGAAAAAAATTTCCTGCTGGTGTATCTGTTCACTCATTTTTTTTTTCCTTAATGTTGTGAGCACTCACTATGTACTAAGATTAACAAGGGAAAAATAAGAGAAAGTCATACATTTTGGTGTATATTCATCTTAACAGCCTTTCCAAAATGGTTTGTTCTACTTAAATCCAATACCTGAAAACATCTATTCCCCCCATTATTTTTCATCCTCACATGTCATATTTTGCACTGTTTAAATCTGTAAGTTGCTACAGATCCCTTTGGACGTAGGCGAAGGATGCATAGTGAATATTAATGACTACATCTGCTAATACTCATCATCCAAATGCCTCAAAAGTTCCACAGATCATATCAACACCTACAGAAAGCACTCTGAGATACACGCTGCTCCATTTGAAAACGGAGTGATGTGTAAGATAATCTCATCAAGTTTCTTTCTTTTTGGCTGCTGTGAAACATGAAGATTTTGGGCACTGAGCACGTTTTGCCATTAAGGATCTCACAGCACAAATTGTCCACAACGAGATGCTCATAACCCAGACACCTTGGCCTAACTCCAAAGAAAGTAATTACATTCAGTCTACCTGAAATTCCCACTGCAGTGAGAATTGGAATCAGGTCTGTCACCTGCTTAGTTGAACTATTATGCAGCATCATTGTACAGCAATAAAACAGCTGCTCTATCTGACTTATTTCTACTTTCTCCCAGTTTGGGCAACTAAAATGGCTCTGTACAAAATTCTTTCAGTAAGAACTTGGACAGATAAGACCTAGAGATTACTTCATCTTTCTCTAAGACCCAGGAATTCTGATGTTAAGAAAATTTATTTATGGGGCTATATAAGCTCAGCATTACAAAGAGCCAAGTTGCTACATGGTATAGACATGTTTAAAATTACCATTTTTCATTTTTCATTATTATTGTCAGCAAAAAGAAAAGTCAGTGGCAAGTCCTACAAAGACTCTCTAGTTTCTTCAATGACAACAACAACAATATCAACAATTTATACAGTTAGGATGAAGCACGTCTTTTATTTTTATTTTGTTTTACTAATAACGCTAAACTCATGAGAAATTATGATGCCTATTACAAGTAGTTCTTAATACATCATAGTTTTTTTCCTCTTCTTTGCAGGTCAGAATATATTTATTAATTCCTAATCCTAGAATTAGAAACGTTTTATATACTTTTACTGAGTGTCATTCATTATCGGATAACATGGTAAACTGCTATAGGAGAAACTCTTAACACCTGTTTTTGCAGGCAGATATTTATTTTCTTTTTTATGAGCTACAAACAAAAATGGCCAAGTCTTTGACTGGGCTATCAATGTAAGATCAAAGTGAAGCAACATCTCTCAAAAGGAATAGCTAATTATCACTAGCACTTATTGGTGACCTCACTGTGTGTCAGGCTCTATGTTAAAGAAATGACTGTGTGTTCTCATTTAATTGTCACAGTAATCCTATAAAGTAAGTGGTTTTAGTCTTCTTAGGTTAACTATGAGGAGAACTAGGCTTTTAAAAGTAAATAACTTGCCTAGTATCACAGACAGAAAGTGGCAGAATCAGAATATAAAAGTCAATCAGCCTGACCCTCAGTCTATAATATAGATATTGTGGAAATGTTAAATGTTGAAATATCTTAGAATTTTTAAAAAATGAAATACTATGACAGAAACTAAGAAAAACTCTCGAGTCCTTTGTAAAAAAAAAGGCATTAATTTTCAATCTATTTTTAAATAGTCAAAATAACTAGTTATTTAAATAAAACAATGATAATAATAAAGTTCAAAGGCACTTGAGCAACTTTGCTTTAGAACATGGCTTGATAGAACAGCTTATTTTAAGTAGGACATTCAGATAAGTGTTATTATTTTTGTGCTGGGGTCTGAGCAAAACAAAAAAAGACCGGAATCTGCTAAAACACAATCCTTCTAGGGAATGTTTCTTTATTACCATAAAACAATTAGTAATACTTGGCATAATGCAATGAGAAAACCAACAGCACCTGCTCATCCAAAAAAGGTTCATTAAGGTTCACTTTTCTCTACTGAGACATGAATATGACTGAGCAAATACAGTCCCTTTTGTTTGACCCCTGTTGAAAGTCTAATTTGTATTTTGTTTTGGCTTTCCCTCCAACTTTTTTGTGTTGTTGTTGATACCTTTCTTCTCCAGAAAATCCATTAAATAGAATGATTTGCTTCTTGTGTATCTCGCTTAATTTAGGGTTTGCCATGTTACTCAGTAAAAGACAATGGGGCACTAAGAGAATGGGATACTAATCCCATACAGGGATTTTGGAGCACACTTCCTTCTGGCAAGAGGCCTGGGTGGGGAAGAAGTTTTCTTGAATGAATGGTGTTTCTTTAATCTTCTATGTCAGGTATGCCATAATCTCTCACAGATATTTGTAATTACTCAAAAGTAGCTACCACGCCCGGCCAAAAGTAGCTCTACTTTTTAGGGTAGTGGCTTTATAAAGTTTGACACACATCAGAATCACCTGAAGTGCTTGTTAAAACGGATTCTTAGGACCCACCCCACAATTTCTGATCAGGACTCTAGAGTGAGGCCAAGGGTTTGTATGCCTAACATGTTCCCATGTTACTGATGTTGCTGGTCTGGTAACCATATTTTGTGAGACACTTTTCCAAGTTATATGGAGGCATTCTTTTGCCATGCTGACATTTTTGAAATCTGTAATAGTTTTTATTTTCCTCTTACCGCACCTTCTCTTGTTGTGTTACATCTTCCAGAAATTCCAACCATGCACCTCCCACAGTATTGTTCACATTCTACAGCTCACAATCATGGATGACTTGCCCAAATCTATGCACCTGTCCGAATATCTGCTAATAAAGAGATTTCCCTGGGATTTTTTTTTCTAATGGAGGGCAGAAAAGTGCAACTCTTTCTTTTTCTGGTGCAAGAGTCTCAAGGTATAAAATGTAGGAGCTCTTGGTATCTATATTTCCTTCACATGATGAAGTTTAGTCTGTAGAGCAGAAGATTAAGGAGCATGCAGTGAGAAGTAGAGGTGAGAGGCTGAAGAAGGATATTAAAGCATTGAGTTCTAGCTGTTCTCGATGTATGGCTACTCCTGCCCTTCCTGTTGTTGGGGTAAATGAAGTACTCTAGTGAAGTACCCTGCTAAACAATTTTTTTTTTTCTGAGCCAGCCAGAGTTGGCTTTTTTGTTACTACTGAAAATGTAACAGCCCTTTTGTCTGCACTTAATGTATACACCATTGATTTCTCCTAATGAGTTAAAACCATGTAAAATCAAGTAGCAAATCACCAAGATTTAGTGTTTAATTAAACTGACTTATGGAAACACATCCCAGATTACTTGACTCAGAAATCATGTTCCTAACAATGGGACTTAAGAGAAACAAACTCTCTTGCCCATGTATGGATTGTCCAAGGTCACCACTGCTATACAGACATTGAGACCCCATGTCTTGATGGCTCCCTAAAGCCAGACCTCTAGGGACCATAAGGACTATTCCAGAAAGAAGATATTCATGTTCTGCAACAGCCAAGACCACATACATATATGGCTCCTGGAACTCAGCTTGCTTTTCACTTTGAGGCTTTGTGGTAACCAATTGTTCTCAGTTTGTCCAGGACTATCCTGGTTTTTATTTATTTTTTATTTATTTATTTATTTTTTTAATGCTTTTTTAATTATTTTATTTTATTTTATTATTATTATACTTTAAGTTTTAGGGTACATGTGCACAATGTGCAGGTTAGTTACATATGTATACATGTGCCATGCTGGTGTGCTGCACCCATTAACTCGTCATTTAGCATTAGGTATATCTCCTAATGCTATCCCTCCCCCCTCCCCCCACCCCACAACTGTCCCCAGAGTGTGATGTTCCCCTTCCTGTGTCCATGTGTTCTCATTGTTCAATTCCCACCTATGAGTGAGAACATGCGGTGTTTGGTTTTTTGTCCTTGCGATAGTTTACTGAGAATGATGATTTCCAATTTCATCCATGTCCCTACAAAGGACATGAACTCATCCTTTTTTATGGCTGCATAGTATTCCATGGTGTATATGTGCCACATTTTCTTAATCCAGTCTATCATTGTTGGACATTTGGCTTGGTTCCAAGTCTTTGCTATTGTGAATAGGGCCGCAATAAACATACGTGTGCATGTGTCTTTATAGCAGCATGATTTATAGTCTTTTGGGTATATACCCAGTAATGGGATGGCTGGGTCAAATGGTATTTCTAGTTCTAGATCCCTGAGGAATCGCCACACTGACTTCCACAATGGTTGAACTAGTTTACAGTCCCACCAACAGTGTAAAAGTCTTCCTATTTCTCCACATCCTCTCCAGCACCTGTTGTTTCCTGACTTTTTAATGATCACCATTCTAACTGGTGTGAGATGATATCTCATTGTGGTTTTGATTTGCATTTCTCTGATGGCTAGTGATGATGAGCATTTTTTCATGTGTTTTTTGGCTGCATAAATGTCTTCTTTTGAGAAGTGTCTGTTCATGTCCTTCATCCACTTTTTGATGGGGTTGTTTGTTTTTTTCTTGTAAATTTGTTTGAGTTCATTGTAGATTCTGGATATTAGCCCTTTTTCAGATGAGTAGGTTGTGAAAATTTTCTCCCATTTTGTAGGTTGCCTGTTCACTCTGATGGTAGTTTCTTTTTGCTGTGCAGAAGCTCTTTAGTTTAATTAGATCCCATTTGTCAATTTTGGCTTTTGTTGCCATTGTTTTTAGTGTTTTAGACATGAAGTCCTTGCCCATGCCTATGTCCTGAATGGTAATGCCTAGGTTTTCTTCTAGGGTTTTTATGGTTTATTCAAGATGGATTAAAGACTTAAACGTTATCCTGGTTTTTAAAAGGTAAGACTCACATCCCAGAATCTGCTCAGTCCTGAGTAAACCTAGACATTTGGCCAATCTACTTTGAACTCACTATTCACTGAAGAAATGATTCTCTGCCCTTTTCAAATGGGAAACATGACCTTTCAAAATGGAAGCTTATTAAGTAAACCTGTTGGTCTTGATTTCAGGAAAATAAGCTATGAATAAATATATCCTTTCACCAAAAAAACCTTAGTAAATCTTTGTAACTATACACTCCTAGCACGTTATCAGTCTGTGCCCACATTATTTTCAGTACTTTTTTTTCCATATTGAAGACCAAACTTCACAAATGTAGTCTTTTTTCCCCCACACTTATCTGTCACGTCTGAAAAACTGTTTATCTAGACTTGTCAATGCTAAACTGTGTAGAAGCTGAAGATGTTGACGTATTTTCTGAACTCTTACTAATTGCCTCCATTTTTATTAGCAATTTACCTTAACATATAAATGGCTAATAATATTTTACTCCCCTGGTAGTATTTGTTTTTGTAATAAAGGCTCTTACGAACATAAAACCTTTCTCTCAAGGGAGTTTCTATTGCTGGAATTTATAAATCAATAATTGACCCAAACTGAATCAGTGCTCATTTGGAATAACATTGTGTTAAGAGATTTGTTGCATTGCATTAAATGATCTGGTCATCATTTAATCAGATATAACAGGTCCTCTCAAGGATAACAAAGTACAGAGTCAGCATTCACCAAGTATTTGTTAAAGGAATAAAAATATGCCAGTGTGACCATCTTGAAGACAGTTGCTTTTGAAAAATATTCAGATACGTTTAGCCACAGCTATCCATCCCATCTAGATTAACATAGAGTAGTGACTTTACATTTCAACCAGCAACTCCTCCTAATGTTCTTTCTCATAATTCAATTTCCAAGAATGCCACCATCACTCTTCCAGTTATCCATGCATGAAACCTGGGAGTCTTTCCTTTAATTCATCATCTTCAAGGAAAACAAATCTCCTAGTCTTATAAATGTCTTACAGTAACCCCTCTGCTGCTACTATCCTGGTTCTGGTCACACTAACTTCAGCCTGAACCTCCTACCTAGGAGTATTCTCCTGTTTGTCCACTATTTAATCCATAGTGTCATTTTCACAATGCTAATATTACTGAAGTATAATTTGATCATGCTATTAACATAATGAAAAATACCAATGTCTCTTACCTAACTACTGAAAAAAATGATGCATATAAAATAAGGATCATTCTCAAAGTATTTTCAATAGTAATTTCAATTAAAATGGTATTATTTGCAACAATTCTAATCAAAAGTCATTTCTAACGTTAGAACCTGGTTGTTTTTCTAGTGTCTACCATGGATTTCATTCTTCTCCTATAGTACTTTTGTTACCCAACTCTGGGAATTTGTAGGAGAAAATGGCACCATGTGGTACATATTGATCTACAGGGAACAATAAACTGGGGGTAATGGAACCAAACTCCCAAGATAATTTTCTTTTTTTGTAAATGCAAAACTCCACAGCTGCTAATCTAATGAATTAGCCCAGCATGGAGTCTTAATTTTTCCATGCTTTTCCCCTTCTTGAAAAATGCTATTTATATTCATTTAAGAAATCACATTGTAAAAAGGAAACATCATGTGAAATTAATTGTGACAAAACCTAACTATGAAAATAAATATTTGTAAAAATAAATAAAGCTTCTGGAAGATTTTTAACAAATAGTTATCTCAAAACTTGAGCTGTAGAGCTTGGCACTATGTTAGGCATCCCAACACCAAGTTTATTCCTCCACCTTGCTCAGTTTCCACTGCTACTCTGAGAAAGGCACAGCCCTGGGGATTTCAGCATCTGGAAGGTTCCAGACTTCTAAAGTAAGCTGCTGAACATGCACTCAAGGCACCCACCAGAGGTAATTTTCAGAGACAATGGAGTGTTATCTTCTAGAAAAATATCTGTGCATTATATCAAGTTCTCTGTATAGTATTATATACCCAGTAGATAAACTAAATGGGTCCAAGAGCCAATGTGTGGTAGCACGTGTGGTGGTCCCTTTTATAGTTACTTCAAATGATCCATTGAAAAACTATTTTTTTCATCTCTTTGTCTTAAGGTCTCTGGTCACTGAATGCAGTATGCTTTCCTAGGGTCCCATTGAATTAAAGGTATTGCTAACATCGGGGCTCTTTAGGATCCTTGAATCCAGAAACCAGCAGGTAAGAAGTAGAGTAGCCATCTTGGCAAGGACAATTTACCCAGATCATCAGGAAGAGTAATCCTGCTGTTACACAGTGGAAACCAGGTGGTCCACTTGAGTGCATCTTGGTAATTACTTGCCCAATTACTGCTTTAGTTGGTCAGGTACAGGCCTCAGAAGGATATGGTGACAAGGGTTTTAGGACCCTCAGGGTCAAGAATTTGGGTAGTGCCACCAGGGATACCACCAAGTTTAGCAGAAATAATAGCTAAAGGTGAGAGAATATAGAATGGATAGTGGAGGAGAAGAGTGATAAGCATTATTTTTAGACTCAAGACCTGTTGCAGTGACGGAGGCCTGCCTTCCTAGCGTAACTGTTGTAAGTTTACTCTCAAGAGGAGAGGCTACTAGAGTCCTGGAAGAGCTACTCCCAAGACATATTAAGAAGTGGACCTAGGCAGTGCAATGGATGAATATTAGCAGATATGGAGATATGTTACCTAGATTCCCCTTCAAAGAATGAATTGCCACTCGACTGTGAGCAGTTAGTCACCTCCCATATTGTCTGCTTCAGCTTCAAAGAGCTTCCTTGTGAAAAGTTACAACCTTCCCTTGAAGCCCATATTTGGTGACTGAATGAGGCATCAGCATAAGATTTTGGCCATCTTGACACAATGTTCAACAACTTTAATGGATTTTCTTTAGAGTGCTCTATTTTGTTGGGTAAGGATTTGTCAGAATGCATTTCAGTTCAACTTCTCTCTCTGTCCGATAATGGTTCTCCCCCTTCCTTTACAGATGTTGATTCATAATAAATACCTTATATCTAACCCCTAACCTGAGATAACTTTCAAACGATTTGCAAAGACTTGAAGCTGAATTTCTGAGAATATATTGGAACATACGTTCCCCCAGTAGACAGACCTGGATCTACTTGATCTGGAGGGTCTTTCTTGATCTGGAGAACCTGAGCTTGAATCCTAATTCCACTACCCTTAATGATTCTCAATCAGGGACAATTTTGCCCCTCAGTAGACATTTTTCAATGTTTGCAAGCATTTTGAGCTATTAAAAATGAAGCAGGGTGCTACTGGCATCTAGTAGGTATAGGCAAGGAATACTGGTAAACATCTTACAATGCACAGGACAGCACCCACAACAGTGAAGTCCTGCTCAAAATGTCAATAGTGTCAAGGTTGAGAACTCTTGTCCTAGATGAGGAACCTTGTGGGAATTAACTACTCTTACTAAGTACATTATTTTTCTCTTGCTGCTATAACAAATAATCCCAAACTTGGTGGCTTAAAACAATGCAAATTTTTTCTTTTACATTTATGGAGGCCGGAAATCTGAAATCAGGTTCATTTGGTTAAAATCAAGGTGTTGGTAGGGCTGGTTCTTTCTGCAGGGTGTAGGGGAGAATTTGTTTCATTGCAGCTCTAGACCTCTTCCAGCTTCTAGAGGTCACCTGCATCATGGCTCTTTCCTGCATCGTTTTATCCTCTGCTTCCGTCATCACATCTCCTACTGTGTTTTTGACTCCTAGTGTGTGTTTTGTTTCCCCAATATAAGGACCCCTGTGATACATCTAACCCACCTGGATAATCCGGATAATTTCTGCATCTCGAGATCTTTAACTTAATTACATTTGCAAAGTCCCTTTTGCCATATAAGGTAACATATTCTCAGGTTTTCAGGGATTAGGAAACTTACACCTTCAGGAGCCATTATTCTGTCCGCCACACTAAACTTCCATTTTCTCATGTCCAAAGTAAAAATAATAAGAGTAACTAGAGTTATTCTCCTGGAGTTGTAACGATAAGATGAGTGATTGTATGTATAGTCCTTAGCAGAGTGTCTGGCACATAATTATAGCTAATATTATTTATCTTTACAAATATTATTTAACTAGGCCTATGATATAAATAATGAGTCCACTATTTATATCATAGCATTTTATCCATGACCTCCAAATTTTTATCTACAGTGGCAGACACACAAAACATGCTTCCCTATTTCCAGGGTGCTTCTGGCATACTTCTGGATTTGGAGAGTAAAAGATTTCAACTGGTACATCTTATTACATGGGTGGTCGAGTTATTGAACTCTATTGACAAAGGGCTGGATTTTCCAGCAAGATGGAGCTTCATTAAAATTCTGCAGAGACTGAAAATTCAATAATCTCTCTCACAAAGAACTGCATGAGCAGGGCTGATTAGGCAATTTCTTTCTCATTCCATTTCTTTTGCTAAAAGCACTGTTACTTCTTGTTTGGTACAAAAAGACAATCATTAAATGAACATTCGTTATAGGTGATTAAGCGGAAAGTTTTAAAGGTGCTCTGACTTCTTTCTCAAAGTCTAATTGAGGGCTTGAAGGGGAGTGTGGAGAAAAATATAAAACAAAACATCATTACCATATTCTGGTCTAAAATATGAAAAGTGCGATGCTAATAAATACTTTGCAGTTTGCTTCTTTTCAACTCTTGATCTCTGTCTTGTTTACTCAAACATGCTTCCTCTCCACTATCCCATTGCCTTCGCCCTTCTACTGCCCACTCCTTTTTGTACTCTCCTACTTCTGTCTAGAAGAATACACTCATGTTGGACAGAATACACAATAGTGCCCAATGAGCCTTACATTTCCCTGATTAAACCCCCCATAATTATTGAAATCAAGAGACTTCCCAGGTATTTATCTTTCTATCCACACTTAATATCGAATACCCGATTGCATTACTGTAGTAGCTTTAGAAAACTGAACTAGTACACGCAAGTAAAATTTTAGGATAAAGACTAAGGCATCTTTTCTTTTTATTCATGTATTACCTTTCTAGATAGATAGATAGATAGATAGATAGATAGATAGATAGATAGATGATAGATAGACCTCTCAATCTTTTTTCTGTATGGGACATGGCTTTGCCATGAGGGCAGAGACTTTTTTGGTCGCTTTTATTTACCGTTGTATATCAAGTACCAAGTAGAATGTCAAGTACATAGACCTGTTCAATAAATATTTGTTCAGTTAATGTATCTTGAGTGTAATAACAGATATGATCTTCCCTGTACAGAGGTCTTATCTAGAACAATAACTTGGTGAGGTCCTTTAACTTGAGTCTTTACGAGGATAGCAATCTTTACTGTAAGTAAATAAAGCATATATTTGTTGTCAATTATTTTATACTTAATTATGTTTAAGAAAAATATAAATAGTATCTACTGGGGTTCCAACAGAAAATTTTCATTTCTTTTACAGAAGATGTCCTTGAAATATCTTGACTAGATATTCCCAAGACTCTCCTTTCTAATTCAGTCCATATTCCTCATGTTTCACTGAGTCCTGCTGATTCTCTTAAGCTCAGGCCATTTTGTTCTTGTCCCATAACAGCTTGCTGTGGGATGTCACTTTTTAATATCAGGCCTTTTATCCTCAATATTTTATGAAGTAAAGATCAAATTACCAGTAACAGGCCTTTGTCCACCGTTATTTCTAAGAAGACTTTAATCCCAACCAATGCCGGTGTAGATTACTTGCTATAGATCACTCACCTAATCATTTCCAGACGACTTCAGGTGTTCTCACTAACGTGAGCACCCACAAGGTCTTACCTCTGTGTTTTGCCTGTGCCTCTAGAAAAGGGAAGAATATTTTCCTGTTCCCTTTGGCAGGAATAGAAACAAGTTAACTCTATTCCACGTGAAATCTCTGTCTATCAAACTCCATGAGCCTCCCAAAGTATTTGAATATATGGGAATTATAAAATAAAAAATATGCACAGGCCTTACCTACAAACCTCAGAGCTTGGTCTTCCTGTGTTCTGAATTGGCAAATAAAAATGAGTATCCTGAATCTAGCATGAGAGAGAGAGGAGAGGAGGCACATTCTAGCTCATGCCTTTTCTTCTCTGGAATTCCTGAATGATTCTTTATGAGTTGATATGGGGTTCTGTGTGTAGTCAGAGGAGTTTGATGGGATGGGATGAACAATAGGAAATGACAAGCAGAAAGGCAATGTATTCCTTGTGGCAGGCTAGATGGAAGTACATTGCAGGGTAGCTGCACTGTGAGTGAAGACAGATCAATGGCAGGCAGAGAAGACAGAGCTATGCCTCCGGATTCACAGACACTGCCTCCAGTGCTGACATGGTGCCAGAGGCATCTGGGAAACTACTACAGCTGACGGTTTGACAAGCCAGTCTGGTCTATGGCTAGGAGAGGTGAACTTGCTGTCTTTGAGCAAAGAATTCAGGCCAATTGTAACTACACAAAGCAGCGCAGGAAACAGTAATATGTGCTATGTGTATTAGCAGAGCCAGGCCCAAAAGATAACGAATATTTATAGGTGACCCTGGAATAATGCAGGGGTTAGGGCAGGTGTTAGGAATGCAACTCCTCCCCCACCTCCACACACACACACACACACACAGTCAAAAATCTGTGTGTAACTTTTTTGGCTGCCCCAAAACTTAACTACTAATAGCCTAGTGTTAAATGGAAGTCTTACCAATAACAAGCAGTTAACACATATTTTATGTATGTATTAAATACTATATTCTTTTTTTATTATTATACTTGAAGTTCTGGGGTACATGTGCAGAATGTGCAGGTTTGTTACATAGGTATACACGTGCCATGGTGGTTTGCTGCACCCATCAACCCATCATTTACATTAGGTATTTCTCCTAATGCTATCCCTCTTCTAGCCCTCCACCCTCAGACAGGCCCCCGAGTGTGATGTTCCCCTCCCTGTGTCCATGTGAAAACATGTGGTGTTTGGTTTTTCTGTTCTTGTGTTAGTTTGCTGAGAATGATGATTTCCAGCTTCATCCATGTCCCTGCAAAGACATGAACTCTCCTTTTTCACGGCTGCATAGTATTCCATGGTGTATATGTGCCACATTTTCTTTATCCAGTCTACCATTGATGGGCATTTGGGTTGGTTCCAAGTCTTTACTCTTGTGAATAGTGCTGCAATAAACACACGTGTGCATGTGTCTTTATAGCAGAATGACTTATAATCTTTTGGGTATATACCCAGTAATGGGATTGCTGGGTCAAATGGTATTTCTAGTTCTCGATCCTTGAGGAATTGCCACACTGTCTTCCACATGTTTGAACTAATTTACACTCCTACCAACAGTGTAAAAGTGTTCCTATTTCTCCACATCCTCTCCAGCATCTGTTGTTTCCTGACTTCTTAATGATTGCCATTCTAACTGGCATGAGATGGTATCTCACTGTGGTTTTGATTTGCATTTCTCTAATGACCAGTGATGATGAACTTTTTTTCATATGTTTTTTTGGCTGCATAAGTGTCTTCTTTTGAGAAGTGTCTGTTCATATCCTTTGCCCACTTTTTGATGGGGTTGTTTGTTTTTTTCTTGTAAATTTGTTTAAGTATTAAATACTGTATTCTTAAAATAAAGTAAGCTAGAGAAAAAGGTTATTAAGATAATCATATAGAAGAGAAAATATATTTACTATTCATTATGTGGAAGTGGATCATCATAAGATCTTCATCCTCATTATCTTCTTGTAGAGTAGGCTGAGGAAGAGGAGAGATTGGTCTTTCTGTCTCAGGAGTGGCAGAGGTGGAGGAGAAGGCAGGGGAGACAAGCACATTAGATGTAACTTTTATTGAAAAAATTCATGTGTAAGTGGATCCATGCCGTTGAAACTTATGTTGTTCAAGGGTCAACTCTGCCTAATTTTAGTCCAGTTGGCTGAAAATAACTGAGTTAGGAAGTCCGCTGAGTCTAAAAAACCCAAGCTCCCTGTTCCTTGCTCCACTCTGCTCATCTTTCTACATAACTGTGATGCTCTATGCAAAATCACAAAATAGGCAATCATCATATTCAGCCCACACTCTTTCATTTTATTGGCCTATCTTCCTTTTCCATTTTGGAATCCTATATCCTCAAGAAATTTTATTCACCCTCCTTGAAAGGCCCTTCTCTCAGGCTGCCCATGAGAAGAATCTGTTTTCCGTCCTGCAAACCTTCATGTGAATGTTAGCTGATCATTTCCCCTCATTTACAGGAATTGATATTTTAAGCCACATAGTTCTATAAGCACAAGGAAAATGCTCTATCATAAAATACAAATTTTAGAATCAGAAGTAACTTAGAGGTAGGTCTTTTGTTCCAAGAATTTTAGGTAACAGAAATCAAACAGGAAAAAAAATATGGAGTAAAGATAAGAGATTTCTTTTCCCCAGGCATCTCAACATCAACTGTGTTGCCAATCCAAGGATAAATTTTATAGTGGTTGAAGTGAAGAGGACAGCTGGTCTATTCTCAGCCATGGTAGCCACATGTTTTTACTAAGAATTAGTTCAATGTCGTGGATCTCACTTCTAAAAAGAGAGGCAACAACATTGTACATTCTTTGGTCCTGGCCCTTAATGGTCAGATCCTGCCTCTCCCCCCAGTCTCTTGACTCCCTAAGAGGTGGGGAAAGGAGGATAAAGGGTGAGGTTAGATCCTTATCTTTCTAATCCCAATCCCTAATCCTGAGCCTGATATCTGTTAGGTGCTTTTGATAAGGATAGCTAACATTTTGCAAATGTTACTAATGCCAGGCACTTTTGTCTTTACAACTGTCCTTTGAGAAAAGTATTATTATCAATCCCATTTTAATGATAAAGAATGGGTACACTGTAAGCCCAACCCCCACCTGTACACAATATACCCATGTAACAAACATGCACATGTACCCTCTGAATCTAACATGAAATAAAATTTAAGGAAATCAAAAGAGCAAAAGATTCACTCTCCTATTATGGCCCAGTAGCAACAGCAGGATTTTTATCCAAGTCTTGTGACTCCGGAGTCCAAAACTTAACCACAATATTATGTTTCTGTCCAATATTTATTGTCTGAAAGTGAGAGTGAACAAATGGTAGTTATATATACGCATGCCTCCAAATGACTTTTTTATTTTCCCACATTTTTCAAAAATTTAAGTTAATGTTTGAGTACATAAAAATTTCATGGCAAAATAAAAGAAACACCTCTCCAACTATATTCACTTTAACAATCTTGTCTTTTAGCAACACACACAGGCCACTATGCAATGCAAATATGAATCTTAAAGCTCATAGTCACTCTCTTTCAGAGAAGGTAGCTTGAAGTGAAGGGACTAGAGAAAATGCTTATGTAAAGGATAATTTTTCTGAGATGGACTGAGAGTCCACCTAGCTAAAGATTTGTTAACTTTGTTGATCTTTTTGTAGAGCCAACTTTTGGTTTTGTTGATTTACTCAATAATTTTTCCATTCTCAGATTCATTTATTTATGCCATAATCTTCATTGTATGTTTTCTTCTCCTAGCTTTGGGTTCAGTTTGTTCTTTGTCTAGTTCTGTAAGTTGTAAAGTTAAGTGGTTGATTTGAGATCTTTCTTGTTTTTTAATGTAAGCATTTATACCTATAAATTTCTCCCTAAGTACTGCTTTTGCTGCATCCCTTACATTTTAATATATTGTGGTTTCATTTTCATTTGTCTGTAAGTATTCTCTAGTTTCCCTTGTGATTTCTTCTTTGATTCATTAGTTGTTCAAACATTGTTTACTTTCCATAATTTTGTGAATTCTTAGCTTTAGTTCTATTATTGATTTCCAACTTTGCCCTATGGTGGTGGGAGAGGATACTTTGTGTGATAGCTATCTTATTAAATGTATTGAGACTTTACTTTAGCCTAACATTTGTCTATCTTGAAAAATGTCCCTTATGCACTTGAGAAGAATGCATGTGCTATTTCTGGAAGAGTGTTCTGTACATGTCTGCTAGATTTAGTTGGTTTATTATATTGTTCAAGTCCTTTATTTTCTTATTTATCTTCTGTCAGGTTGTTCTATCCACTGTTGAGAATGAGGTATTGAAGTTTCCAACTCTTATTGTGGATCTGTCTATTCCTTCCTTCAGAGGCAAAATTTTGTTCGTTTTTGCTTTATATATTTTGATAGTCTGCTAGTGTGTAAATGTCTATAGTTATTTTATCTTCTTGCTGTATTTTTTTTCTTTCCAGCTTTTATTTTACATTTAAAAGGTAGATGTGCAGGTTTGTTACATGTGTAAATTGCATGCCACAAGGGTTTTGCATACAGATACTTTTGTTACCCAGGTAATCAGCATAATACCTGATAGGTAGTTTTTCAATTCTCAACCTCCTCCCAACCTTCACTCTCAAGTAGGCCCCAGTGTCTATTGTTCCCTTCCCTTCTTTGTGTCCATGTGTACTCAAAATTTAGCTCCCACTTATGAGAACATGTGGCATTTGGCTTGCCTTTCCTGCATTAATTCGCTTAGGGTAATGGCCTCCAGGTGCCTCCATATTGCTACAAAGGACATGATTTTGTTCCTTGTTTATGGTTATGTAGTATCCCGTGGTGTATATGTACCACTTTTTCTTCATCCACTCCAACGTCGATGGGCATCTAGGTTGATTCCATGTCTTTATAATTGTGAATAGTGCTGTGATGAAGGCATGTGTCATGTGTCTTTTGGTATGATCATTTATATTTCTTTGGGTATACACCCGGTGATGGAATTGCTGGGTCAAATGGTAGTTCTATTTTAACTTCTTTAGGAAGTTAAACATTTGTTTATCTTGAAAAGTGCCCCTTATGCATTTGAGAAGAATGTGTGTTCTGTTGTTGGGTAGAGTGTTCTCTACATGTCTATTAGATTTAGTTGGTTTTTTATATTGTTCAAGTCATCTATTTTCTTACGTATCTTCTGTCTCATTGTCCTATCCAGCAACCAGACATCTCCAGACTGGGAAATCTTCAGACTGCTTCCTAGAGTAACTGGACTAATTTACATTCCCACCAGCAGCATATAAGAATTCCCTTTTCTCTGCAACCTCACAGCACCTGTTATCTTTTTGCTTTTAATAATAGCCATTCTGACTAGTGTGAGATGGTATCTTATTGTGGTTTTGTTTTGCATTTTCCTAATGATTAATGATGTTGAGCATTTTTTCATACGCTTGTCACAGATGTGTCTTCTTTTGAAAAGTATCTGTTCATGTCCTTTGCATATTTTTCATGGAGTTATTTGCTTTTTGCTTGTTAATTTACATTCCTTATGGATTCTGGATATTATGTCTTTGTTGGATGCATAGTTTGCAAATATTCTCTCCAATTCTGTAGGTTGTTTGTTTACTCTGCTGATAGTTTCTTTAGCTGTGCAGAAGCTCTTCAGTCTAATTAGGCACCACTTGTCGATTTTTGCTTTTATTGCAATTGGTTTTAGAGTCTTCATTATGAAGTTTTTGCCAGGACCAATGTCCAGAATGGTAATTCCTAGGTTTTTCTCTAGGGTTTTTATAGTTTTAGATTTTACATTTAAGTCTTCAATCCATCTTGAGTTGATTTTGGTATATGGTGAAAGGTAGTGATCCAGTTTCAATCTTCTGCATATGGCTAGCCAGTTATTTCAGCACCATTTATTTGATAGAGAGTTCTTTTCCCATTGCTTGTTATTATTGGCTTTGTCAAAGATTAGATAGTCATCAGTGTACACCTTTATTTCTGGGTTCTCTATTCTGTTCCATTGGTCTGTGTGTCTGTTTTTGTAAAAGTAGCATGCTGTTTTAGTTACTGTAGCCTGGAGGTACAGTTTGAAGTCGGGGAGTGTGATGCCTCTAGCTTTGTTCTTTTTGCTCAGGATTGCTTTGGCAATTTAAACTCCAGTTTGATTTCAAATGAATTTTAGAATTTTTTTTTAATTCTGTGAAAAATATCATTGGTAGTTTGATAGGAATACCGTCAAGTCTGTAAATTGCTTTGGGCGGTATGGCCATTTTAACAATATTGATTCTTCATGTCCATGAATGCGAAATATTTTTCCATTGGTTTGTGTTATCTCTGATTTCTTTCAGCAGTCTCTTGTAATTCTCATTGTTGAGATCTTTCACCTTCCTGGTTAGTTGTATTCCTAGGTATTTTATTCTTTTTGTGGCTATTGTGAATGGGATTGCATTCTTGATTTGGCTCTCAAAATTCTTGATTTGGCTTGGATATTATTGATATATAGAAATGGTACTGATTTGTATACATTGATTTTGTATCTTGAAACTTCGCTGAAGTTTTATCAGATCCAGGAGGCTTTGAGCAAAGATTATGGGGTTTTCTACGTATAGAATTACATTGTCTGTGAAAACAAATAGTTTGACTTCCTCTCTTCCTATTTGGATGCCTTTTATTTCCCTCTTTTTCCTGGTTGCTCTGGCTAGGCCTTCTAGGACTATGTTGAATTGGAGTGGTGAAAGTGGTTATTCTTGCCTTGTTCTGGCTTTCAAGGGGAATGCTTCCAGGTTTTGACTGTTCAGTATGATGTTGGCTATGGGTTTGTCATACATGGCTCTTATTATTTTAAGGTATTTACCTTGAATTCCTGGTTTGTTGAGAATTTTTAACATGAAAGGATGTTGAATTTTATCAAAATACTTTTCTGCATTTATTGGGATGATCATGCAGTTTTTATTTTTAGTTTTGTTTATATGATGAATCACATTTATTGATTTGCATAAACAGAAATCAATAAATGTGATTCTTGCTGTGTTGAATTTTATATTGATATATACTGTCTTTCTTTATCTCTTGTAACATTTTTCATTTTAATGTCTAATTCATCTGATATTATCAGATTACAAAGATTATCATTTTGTAAATTTTTAAATAATCGAAGTTTACTTTTGATATAAAAACTTTTTAAATGTGATATTTCTTAATTTCTTTCTTTAACATAAAATGCTGATCTTAACATTTTCTTTACTACTCAGAGGCAGTATACTGAACATTCATTTTCACCGGAGTGTGCTGTAACCATTCTTGAGGTTTTCTGCCCCTTCCTTCAGGCTCGAAGACATCATCTCTTATTACCACTAGGATGCCTACGTGTGTGAAAATAGAGCTGGCAAAACTACAAAGACATGAAACAAAGATAGCAACTGCACTTAATCTATCTGAGACCCAATTTCGTCATTCATAAAGATTATTATGTTTGTGGGAATTAAGAAGTACTGTCCTTCACATTGAAAGTGCTCAATGAATAGTAAATATTAACATTATTATAATCAGCAAGCAGAAATGACAGGGTGTATAAGAGGAGGTGAGGACATGAGGAATAGTTGAAGGGTGGAAAGATAACATTAGACTCAGAAATATATAAACTTTCATAATCTTCCCACTTTCCAGTAACCTTTACCTTATCTGTTAAATCCTACTGATCCTTCATGGCTTAACTCAAAATCTCCACCACCAAGAATTCAGAACGAACCCCTGTATCTGTCAGGGTTCAGCCAGTAGGAGATATATCTCAAGAGATTTACTGCAGGGAATTGGCTTAGGTGATTGTTGGGGCTCATATGGCAAGTTAGAAATTTTATAGGATAGGCCATCAGGAAAGTCAAGCCACAACTCTCCATCATGAGCTGAGGCTGCTGTCCACAGGTATAATTTCTACTTCTAGGAAATCTCAGCTTTTCTCTTAAGGCCTTTCAACTGGTTAAATCAGCCTCACCCAGACTATCTAGAATAATCTCCTTTACTTAAAATTAATTTCTCATAAATGTTAATCACATATACAAAATACCTTCATACAAACACCTGAATTATAGTTTGATTGAATACTGGGGACTATAGCCAAGCCAAGCTGACATATATACTGACCATCACAACCCTCTACCCTGTTACTGTTATATCTCCATTGAAGTACTCACCATGGTGTGTCTTGTGTTAGAATTAGGTACACAGCTGTTCTTCCAACAAAGAAACCCTTGAGAACAAACACCATGAATTAGCATTGTTGTTTCCTGCAGACTTGAAATTGAAACTCAATTTACATTTGATTAATTAAATTCTCCCACAATCCCACTTTAATAAAATACTATGTTTTCTGTTCGCTGAGTTTGCCCAACGTTTAATCTCTGAAGAAATGGGATTTTATCTTATTGTACATTGGCCACAGGAAGTAGCTAGTATTTACTTCTCCACTCTACAGGAGGAAAATTGCATGTTTCCTAAATCAACTTCTTTAGAAAACGTACTCTGTGCATGTGCAGACACGTATGTGTATACACACACACACACACACACACATGACAGGTTGATAAACAAAATGAATGAGAGATAACTTTATTTCACCTTAGTTTTCTCAATGCATTATCCTGGGCTTAAATGTCTGGTAGACTATGTTTTAGAAATGCTGTTCATTATTTCTGAACTGTTAATCCCTCTCAGAGAGAAAAGTAAAATGAATATATATATATATATATATATATATATATATAGTCATACTTTGTTTTAGTAGAGGTTATACTAATGGTCATGAGTCATGTCAAAGCATCATTTTGAAGGAAGGACTTTTGAGCTACTCCTTTGATGTAGCCATATTCTTGCCCTCCCAAAAATAAGTTAATAAAACAAAATTAAGTAACAATGTGGAAACAATTTTATCCTTTCAGAAAATGCATAAATAATCCCACTGTGCCCTGGGATATGTTTAGGGATAGAAAGAGGGATTGTAAATAATGGTCTAATAAACAGAGATGAAAAATGAATAATTAAGTAGTGACCGAAGAAAAGCATGCTCGTTTAGAAAGAGAAAAATGGATTCTAGTATTATCTATGAGTGTGTCTTAGAAAGAGAAACAGAGACAGACTGAGAGAGAAAGAGAAGCACAAAAACGAAAATTACTCTTCTGGGTCTAACTCTGAACAAAAGAGTAGAAACTGAATGGAGAAGATGTGATAGATGCCCCAAGAGAGACTGTCAAAAACATTTATAGGGATATGGTCAAAGTCAAATGTGTGGCATAAATTTCAAAATAACTTTATAAAGTCTAGAAGGAAGATGGAAACACTCCAAAAGGAAATATGGCAAAAAGGGGGTAGAGAGCAATAAAAAAAAAAGACATCCATTTAAATTTTTCAGAAGTCTTAAAGAGAAAGAAATAAAGTAGGAATTCAAAGAGATCAAGGTGTCTGGGAAGCAAGCCTTCTGGTGGGCTCAGAATTGAAGGATTTGAAAGAGTATCACATAACCAAGAATTAAGGCATCTAATAGAATGCCCCCATGAAGTGTCCAGATGCTTATAATTGCACGAGTGAACACAATGTCTCATTTAAGAGCATACTGATGATAGAAAAAGGCACTGGAGAGGCCCAAACAAAGTTATGTAAATAACCAAAAAGTCACAAAGTACCCACTGCACTGAAGGAAACAGTGCAGTGGTTTGATAAAAATGGCTCACCTTGTCCTCCTCCACTAGGCAAGGTTCTGGAGCAGAGTGGGAAAATATGCACAAATAGACCAAGGCCTTCTGGAGAAAAGGTGGGTCACAAATGTATGTGTAGGAGAAGACTGTAAACTAGCATGATGCTGAAGAATGTCTACAGGCAGGATAGAATACTAGGTAAACTCATCAAGGGAGGGTGATTCTCAACTGAAGAGCTGAGCTAAACAATGGTCTACAGGATCCTGAGAAAGGTTGCTTCCAGTACAAAGCCCCTCTGTTCACAATTGCCACAGGATGGTAATATGACTTGGAGAACCTTGGCTGAGTATAAAATGAAAGAGCCCTTGGCTAACCTCCAGAATGAGTGAACCTTCAGAAACGCATTAAAGATAACCAAAGAGCTATTAGAGTGATGTCACCTAAGATGATGGAATAGGAGATACCAGCCTTCATTATCCCACAGAAAAGCAACACAGATGGCTATTCACAAACCAAAATGGTGCAGAGAGGACTCCATGGCCTATTAAAAATCTGAAGCAACACAGTGGAGCAAAAACACAGAGAATATTTACATAGAAAAGACCACTGGTGAGATTGGCATACATGAGATGTCAGGAGATGTCTAGGAGCAAAGAATAAAGGTGAAAGTTATTGGTATCAGCCACACAGCAGAAACCATCATAGTTCCCAGCAGCCTTCTCTGCAGAGGACACTAGCATCTCTTGCCAATGAGGTAACCAACAGCTATTTTTATTGAGGAACCCCAGAGAGGGAGAATTGGCTGCATACCCCTCCCTAACCCAAGAAGCAGCTGCTATGGAGTCATTTTGAGAAAGGAGCCACTCTCTCTCCCAATCCTGTGCATGTCCCATTTCTGGAGCCATGGCTACTCTGTAAGTGCCTACATTCCACATCCAGGCCCTGTAGCTACATTGGGTCTGCCCATGTCTCAGACTTTGAAGTCATCACCATATACAGCTAGTTTGCACTCTGGGCCCCAGTAAGAAGCCCTCATTGCAAACGCCCATGCTATAGACACTGGCTTACCTAGAGAGCTAGGCCCCTCCCTGACCCTGGAGCTGCTTTAATGCTGCACACATGTGTGTTTTCATTCTAGGATCCCCCTACTGTTTCACAAGCATCCTCATCTCACACAAAGATATCAATTCAACGTCAGAGGTGGCTGCCCGACGAGCACCAGTGCCATTGCTACTCTGGATCCTAGAACTGCAGTGTTTCCACTCATGTCTGTTTTTCAGACCTCAGCTCCATGGCCATTTTGGGGTTTCACTCATCAGACACCAGTGCCACAGCCACTGAAAGTGAAAATCCACAGTTCTGCAGACACCGCTGCTGATATCCAGGCAAACAGGGTCTGGAGTGGACCTCCAGCAAACTCCAAGAGACCTGCAGCTGAGGGTGCTGTCTGTTAGAAGGAAAACTAACAAACAGAAAGGACATCCACACCAAAAACCCATCTGTACGTCACCATCATCAAAGACCAAAAGTAGATAAAACCACAAAGACGGGGAAAAAACAGAGGAGAAAAACTGGAAACTCTAAAAAGCAGAGCGCCTGTCCTCCTCCAAAGGAACGCAGTTCCTCAACAGCAACGGAACAAAGCTGGACGGAGAATGACTTTGACAAGTTGAGAGAAGGCTTCAGACGATCAAACTACTCCAAGCTACAGGACGAAATTCAAACCAAAGGCAAAGAAGTTGAAAACTTGGAAAAAAGTTTAGACGAATGTATAACTAGAATAACCAATACAGAGAAGGGCTTAAAGAAGCTCGAGAACTACGTGAAGAATGAAGAAACCTCAGGAGCCAATGCGATCAACTGGAAGAAAGGGTATCAGTGATGGAAGATGAAATGAATGAAATGAAGCGAGAAGGGAAGTTTAGAGAAAAAAGAATAAAAAGAAATGAATAAAGCCTCCAAGAAATATGGGACTATGTGAAAAGACCAAATCTACATCTGATTGGTGTACCTGAAAGTGACCGGGAGAATGGAACCAAGTTGGAAAACACTCTGCAGGATATTATCCAGGAGAACTTCCCCAATCTAGCAAGGCAGGCCAACATTCACATTCAGGAAATACAGAGAACGCCACAAAGATACTCCTCGAGAAGAGCAACTCCAAGACACATAATTGTCAGATTCACCAAAGTTGAAATGAAGGAAAAAATGTTAAGGGCAGCCAGAGAGAAAGGTCGGGTTACCCACAAAGGGAAGCCCATCAGACTAACAGCAGATCTCTCGGCAGAAACTCTACAAGCCAGAAGAGAGTGGGGGCCAATATTCAACATTCTTAAAGAAAAGAATTTTCAACCCAGAATTCATATCCAGCCAAACTAAGCTTCATAATTGAAGGAGAAATAAATTACTTTACAGACAAGCAAATGCTGAGAGATTTTGTCACCACCAGGCCTGCCCTAAAAGAGCTCCTGAAGGAAGCACTAAACATGGAAAGGCACAATTGGTACCAGCCGCTGCAAAATCATGCCAAAATGTAAAGACCATTGAGACTAGGAAGAAACCGCATCAACTAACGAGCAAAATAACCAGCTAACATCATAATGACGGGATCAAATTCACACATAACAATATTAACTTTAAATGTAAATGGACTAAATGCTCCAATTAAAAGACACAGACTGGCAAATTGGATAAAGAGTCAAGACCCATCAGCGTGCTGTATTCAGGAAACCCATCTCACATGCAGAGACACACGTAGGCTCAAAATAAAAGGATGGAGGAAGATCTAACAAGCAAATGGAAAACAAAAAAAGGCAGGGGTTGCAATCCTAGTCTCTGATAAAACAGACGTTAAACCAACAAAAATCAAAAGAGACAAAGAAGGCCATTACATAATGGTAAAGGGATCAATTCAACAAGAAGAGCTAACTATCCTAAATATATATGCACCCAATACAGGAGTACCCAGATTCATAAAGCAAGTCCTGAGTGACCTAAAAGAGACTTAGACTCCCACACAATAATAATGGGAGACTTTAACACCCCACTGTCAACATTAGACAGATCAACGAGACAGAAAGTTAACAAGGATACCCAGGAATTGAACTCAGCTCTGCACCAAGCCGACCTAATAGACATCTACAGAACTCTCCACCCAAATCAACAGAATATACATTCTTTTCAGCACCACACCACACCTATTCCAAAATTGACCACATACTTGGAAGTAAAGCTCTCCTCAGCAAATGGAAAAGAACAGAAATTATAACAAACTGTCTCTCAGACCACAGTGCAATCAAACTAGAACTCAGGATTAAGAAACTCACTCAAAACCTCTCAACTACATGGAAACTGAACAACCTGCTCCAGAATGACTACTGGGTACATAACGAAATGAAGGCAGAAATAAACATGTTCTTTGAAACCAATGAGAACAAAGACACAACATACCAGAATCTCTGGGACATATTCAAAGCAGTGTGTAGAGGGAAATTTATAGCACTAAATGCCCACAAGAGAAAGCAGGAAAGACCCAAAATTGACACCCTAACATCACAATTAAAAGAACTAGAAAAGCAAGAGCAAACACATTCAAAAGCTAGCAGAAGGCAAGAAATAACTAAAATCAGAGCAGAACTGAAGGAAATAGAGAAAAAAAAAACCCTTCAAAAAATTAATGAATCCAGGAGCTGGTTTTTTTGAAAGGATCAACAAAATTGATAGACCACTAGCAAGACTAATAAAGAGAAAAAGAGAGAAGAATCAAATAGACGCAATAAAAATTGATAAAGGGGATATCACCACCGATCCCACAGAAATACAAACTACCATCAGAGAATACTACAAACACCTCTATGCAAATAAACTAGAAAATCTAGAAGAAATGGATAAATTCCTCGACACATACACTCTCCCAAGACTAAACCAGGAAGAAGTTGAATCTCTGAATAGACCAATAACAGGAGCTGAAATTGTGGCAATAATCAATAGCTTACCAACCAAAAAGAGTCCAGGACCAGATGGATTCACAGCTGAATTCTACCAGAGGTACAAGGAGGAACTGGTACCATTCCTTCTGAAACTATTCCAATCAATAGAAAAAGAGGGAATCCTCCCTAACTCATTTTATGAGGCCAGCATCATCCTGATACCAAAGCTGGGCAGAGACACAACCAAAAAAGAGAATTTTAGACCAATATCCTTGAGGAACATTGATGCAAAAATCCTCAATAAAATACTGGCAAACCGAATCCAGCAGCACATCAAAAAGCTTATCCATCATGATCGAGTGGGCTTCATCCCTGGGATGCAAGGCTGGTTCAACATACGCAAATCAATAAATGTAATCCAGCATATAAACAGAACCAAAGACAAAAACCACATGATTATCTCAATAGATGCAGAAAAGGCCTTTGACAACATTCAACAACCCTTCATGCTAAAAACTCTCAATAAATTAGGAATGGATGGGACATATCTCAAAATAAGAAGAGCTATCTATGACAAACCCACAGCCAATATCATACTGAATGGGCAAAAACTGGAAGCATTCCCTTTGATAACTGGCACAAGACAGGGATGCCCTCTCTCACCACTGCTATACAACATAGTGTTGGAAGTTCTGGCCAGGGCAATTAGGCAGAAGAAGGAAATAAAGGGTATTCAATTAGGAAAAGAGGAAGTCAAATTGTCCCTGTTTGCAGACGACATGACTGTATATCTAGAAAACCCCATCATATCAGCCCAAAATCTCCTTCAGCTGATAAGCAACTTCAGCAAAGTCTCAGGATATAAAATCAATGTACAAAAATCACAAGCATTCTTATACACCAATAACAGACAAACAGAGAGCCAAATCAAGAGGGAACTCCCATTCACAATTGCTTCAAAGAGAATAAAATACTTAGGAATCCAACTTACAAGGGATGTGAAGGACCTCTTCAAGGAAAACTACAAACCACTGCTCAATGAAATAAAAGAGGATACAAACAAATGGAAGAACATTCCATGCTCATGGGTAGGAAGAATCAATATTGTGAAAATGGCCATACTGCCCAAGGTAATTTATAGATTCAATGCCATCCCCATCAAGCTACCAATGACTTTCTTCACAGAATTGGAAAAAACTACTTTAACGCTCATATGGAACCAAAAAAGAGCCCACATCGTCAAGTCAATCCTAAGCCAAAAGAACAAAGCTGGAGGCATCACGCTACCAGACTTCAAACTATACTACAAGGCTACAGTAACCAAAACAGCATGGTACTGGTACCAAAACAGAGATATAGATCAGTGGAACAGAACAGAGCCCTCAGAAATAATGCCACATATCTACAACTATCTGATCTTTGACAAACCTGAGAAAAACGAGCAATGGGGAAAAGATTCCCTATTTAATAAATGGTGCTGGGAAAACTGGCTAGCCATATGTAGAAAGCTCAAACTGGATCCCTTCCTTACACCTTATACAAAAATTAATTCAAGATGGATTAAAGGCTTAAATGTTAGACCTGAAACCATAAAAACCCTAGAAGAAAACCTAGGCATTACCATTCAGGACATAGGCATGGGCAAGGACTTCATGTCTAAAACACCAAAAACAATGGCAACAAAAGCCAAAATTGACAGATGGGATCTCATTAAACTAAAGAACTTCTGCACAGCAAAAGAAACTACCATCAGAGTGAACAGGCAAACTACAAAATGGGAGAAAATTTTCACAACCTACTCATCTGAAAAAGGGCTAATATCCAGAATCTACAATGAACTCAAACAAATTTACAAGAAGAAACAAACAACCCCAACAAAAAGTGGGCAAAGGATATGAACAGACACTTCTCAAAAGAAGACATTTATGCAGCCAAAAGACACATGAAAAAATGCTCACCATCACTGGCTATCAGAGAAATGCAAATCAAAACCACAATAAGATATCATCTCACACCAGTTAGAGTGGTGATCATTAAAAAGTCAGGAAACAACAGGTGCTGGAGAGGATGTGGAGAAATAGGAACACTTTTACACTGTTGGTGGGACTGTAAACTAGTTCAACCATTGTGGAAGTCAGTGTGGAGATTCCTCAGGGATCTAGAACTAGAAATACCATTTGACCCAGCCATCCCATTACTGGGTATATACCCAAAGGACTATAAATCATGCTGCTATAAAGACACATGCACACGTATGTTTATTGCGGCCCTATTCACAATTGCAAAGACTTGGAACCAAGCCAAATGTCCAACAATGATAGACTGGATTAAGAAAACGTGGCACATATACACCATGGAATATTATGCAGCCATAAAAAAGGATGAGTTCATGTCCTTTGTAGGGACATGGATGAAACTGGAAATCATCATTCTCAGTAAACTATCACAAGGACAAAAAACCAACACCGCATGTTCTCACTCATAGATGGGAATTGAACAATGAGAACACACGGACACAGGAAGGGGAACATCACGCTCTGGGGACAGTTGTGGGGTGGGGGGAGGGGGAGGGATAGCATTAGGAGATATACCTAATGCTAAATGACGAGTTAATTGGTGCAGCACACCAGCATGGCACATGTATACATATGTAACTAACCTGCACATTGTGCACATGTAGCCTAAAACTTAAAGTATAATAATAAAAAAAAAAAAAAAAAGAAAGTGAGCTCACAAGTCAGATCCTATGCCAAAAGGGATCCCCTCAGGCACAACTTCTCAGGGGTGGAAGAAAAAGACATTGGGAAGACCCTGGCAACTATCTAACCAAAGATCCCAAAAACCCACAGTGCCATTGCAGACATCCACGGCATTGCCTACAAAGGATCCCTGCAATCTTTATCAATGCCAACCTTACCTGGCAGAGCTACACAGATACTAAACATCTGGCACACTCACTGGTGCCAGATGTTTTCCAGGTTTTCCAGAGTGAAACTAGCTGGCAAAACCTGCAAGAGTTAACTGCTCTACCAAACGCCAGACATCAACACAAGGCAACAAAAAACACAAAACCAAGGAGATGTAACACCACCAAAAGAACACAGTAATCTTCTAGTAGCTGCCAAAAGAAAGGCAGATATACAAACTACCTGACAAAAAATTCAAAATAATTGTTTTAAGATAGTGCAACAAACTTCAAGAAAACATAAACAATTCTATAAAATTAGAAAAACTATAAATGACAAAAGGAGAATTTAACAGAAAGATTGAAATTATAAAAACAAAAAATCAAACAGAAATTTTGGAGATGAAAATATGATGAATGAAATTTAAAAATGCAATAGAGAGCATTGACAGTAGAATTGATCAAGCAAAAGAAAAAAAAACTGTGGGCCGGGCGCGGTGGCTCACGCCTGTAATCCCAGCACTTTGGGAGGCCGAGGCGGGTGGATCACGAGGTCAGGAGATCGAGACCATCCTGGCTAACACGGTGAAACCCCGTCTCTACTAAAAATACAAAAAATTAGCCGGGTGTGGTAGCGGGCGCCTGTAGTCCCAGCTACTCAGGAGGCTGAGGCAGGAGAATGGCGTGAACCCGGGAGGCGGAGCTTGCAGTGAGCCGAGATCGCGCCACTGCACTCCAGCCTGGGCGACAGAGCGAGACTCCGTCTCAAAAAAAAAAAAAAAAAAAAAAAAAAGGAAAAAAAACTGTGAACTTGAACACAGGTAAATTGAAAATAGAGTCAGGCACCACATAACAACATTTCTGTTAATGATGAGTCACAAAAATGATGGCCATCCTATAAGATTATAATAGAGCTGAAATTGTCTAGTGATGTCATGGTCATTGTAACACCATAGTGTAATATATTACTCGCATGTTTGTGGTGACATTGGTGTAAAAAAAACTGACTGTGCTGCCACTTGTATAAAAGTATATCACATACAACTATGTGTAGTACATAATACTTGATAACAATAGTAAACTATGTTACTGGTTTATGTACTTAATATACTACTTTACTATTATTTTACATGAAATTCTTTGACTTATTAAAAAAGTTAACTGTAAAACAGTTATACAGTTCTAGTTTTACAGTTAACTTTTTAACTCAGGCATGTCCTCTAGGAGGTATTCCAAAAGAAAGCATTATTGTAATAGGAGATGACAGCTCCATGCATGTTAATGCCCCTGAAGGCCTTCCAGTGGGACAAGATTTGGAGGTTGAAGATGGTGATATTGATTATCCTGATTCTGTAAGCCTTAGTTAATGTGTGTGTTTGGGTCTTAGCTTTTGCCAAAAAAGTCTAAAGAGTAAAAAGTAAAAAGAGTAAAAACTTACAGAGTAAGGGTATAAAGAAGAAAATACTTTGTACAGCTATACAATGAGATTGCATTTTAAGCTATGTTATTATAAAATAATCAAAGAGCTAAAAATTAAAACATTTATATAAAGTAAAAATGTTATAGTAAGTTAATTTATTATTGAAAAAAGAAAAAATACTTTTAATAAATCTAGTGTAGCCTAATTGTACAGTGTTATAAACTACAGTAATATACAGTAATGTCCTTGGTCTTCAAATTCACTCAGCACTCACTCATTGACCCATGCAGAGCAATTTCCAGTCCTGCATTTCCCACTTCCTCCATTTGTGGAAAGTGACCTATACATGTGTATCATTTTTTATCTTTTATGTCATATTTTTGCTGTACCTTTTCTATGTTTAGATATGTTTAGACACACGTCTATGTTTAGATATGTTTAGACTATGAACAAATAGAAAATTTGAACAGACCGACAACTAATAATGAAATTGAATCATTAATAAAAAGTTTCCCATCAAAGAAAAGCTGAGGACCTGATAATTTCATCACTGAATTTTATCAATAGTTTTAATCTTCAAACTCTTTCAAAAAAATAAAGAAAAGGGAATACTTACAAATTTATTTTAGAAGTCCAGCATTACCCTGATGCCAAAGCGAAACAAGGACACTACAAGGAAATAAAATTACGGGTCAATATTCCTGATAAAAATAGATGCAAAAATCCTCAACAAAGTACTAGCAAATTAAATTCAACAGCACATTAAAAGGATCATTAACCATGATCAAGTGGGATGCATCCCAGGGATGCAAATATGATTCCACATATGGAAATTAATAAATGTGATACACCACATTAACAGAATGAAGCATAAAACCCATATGATTATCTCAGTAAGTTCAGATAAGGTGTATTACAAAATTCAACATGCTTTTATTTTTAAAAACTCTCAAGAAATTAGGTACAGAAGGAATGTACCTCAACACAATAAAGACCATTATAATCACTGGTGCAAAATTAAATATTTCCTCTAGTATTAGAAGCAAGTCAAGGATGCCCACTCTCACACTTACAACACAGTACTAGAAATCCCAGCCAGAGCAATTAGGCAAGAGAAAGAAATAAAAAGCATCTAAATCAGAAAGGAAATAGTTAAATTGTCTCTGCAGATGATATAAGCATACACATAAAAATCCCAAATTATTTTACCAAAAAGCTGTTAGAACTAATATAAAAATTCAGTAAAATTTCAGGATACAAAGTCAACACACAAATATGAGTAGTCTTCCTATACACTAACAAACTATCTGAAAAAAAGTCAAGAAAACAATTCCACTTACAATAGATATAAAAATAAATAAAATACTAAGAAATATATTTAACCAAAGAGGTAAAAGGTCTCTGTACTGAAAACTACATTGATGAAAGAAATGAAAGAAGACACAAATAAATGGAAAGATATCTCATGTTCATAGATTGAAAAAAAAACCTTTAAATGCCCATATAAACCAAAGCAATCAACAGATTAAATGCAATCTTTATCAGAGTTTCAATCACATTTCAATAACAGAAATTTCTTTTAAAAAAATATTAAAATTTTGAAGGAACTGCAAAAGACCCTGAATACAAAAAGTAATCCAGAGAAAAAAGAACAAGGCCAGAGGCATTATACTACCTCGTGAGAAAATCTAATACAAAACTATAGTAATTAAAACAGTATGGTACTGACATAAAAACAGACACATAAACCAATAGAGCAGAACAGAGAGCCCATAAATACATCTTTCATTTACAGTCATATGATTTGCAACAAAAGTGCCAAGAACACACAATTGGAAAGGAGAATTTCTTTAAAAAATGGTACTGGGACAACTAGATATCCAAATATATAAAAATGAAATTAGATCTTTATTTTTTACCATATGCAAAAATCAACTCAGAATGAATTAAAGACTTAAATGTAAGAACTGAAACTCTAAAAGTAGCAAAAGAAAACACAAAAAGCTCCATGACATTGGTCTGGGCAAAAATGTTTTTAAAACAACCTCAAAATCACAGGCAACAAAAGCAAACATAGACATATGAAATTACATCAAACTAAAAAGCTTTGGTCCAGCAAAGGAAACAATGAACAGAGTGAAGAGACAGCCTATAGTAGGGGTCTTCTGGGCCGTGGGTTGCTATTGGTCCATGGCCTGTTATGAACAAGGCCACAGAGCAGGAGGCCAGTGGCAAGCCAGTAAGCATTACCACCTGAGCTCCCCCTCCTGTCAGATCAGTGACAGCATTAGATCCTCACAGGAGCACAAACCCTATTGTGAACTGCACACGTGAAGAATCTAGGTTGCTCCTCATGAGACTCTAATGCCTGATGATCTGAAGTGGAACAGTTTCATCCCAAAACAATTTTCCCTCCCCCAGACCATGGAAAAATTGTCTTCCATGAAAGTTGTCCCTGGTGCTGAAAGGTTGAGGACTGATGACTTATAGACTGAGAGACTATATTTGAAAATCATACATCTAATGAGAGGCTAATATTCAAAATACGTAAGAAACTCAAACTCAGTAGTAAGAAAACAATCTGATTAAAATCTGGGTGAAGGACTTGAATAGATGTTTCTCAAAAGAATACATATAAATAAACAACAGGTAATAAAGAAAAATGTTCAGCCGGGCATGGTGGCTCATACCTGTAATCCCAGCACTTTGGGAGGCCAAGGTGAATGGATCACCTGAGGTCAGGAGTTCGAGACCAGCCTGACCAAAAAGGTGAAACCCCATCTCTACTAAAAATACAAAAATTAGCCGGGTGTGGTGGCAGGCACCTGTAGTCCCAGCTACTCAGGAGGCTGAGACAAGAGAATTGCTTGAACCCGGGAGGTGGAGGTTGCAGTGAGCCAAGATTGTGCCACTGCACTCCAGCTTGGGTGATAGAGCAACATTCTGTCTCAAAAAAAAAAAAAAAAAAAAAAAAAAAGAAAGAAAAGAAAAAGAAAGAAAAAAAGAAAAAAGAAAAATGTTGAACATCACTAATGATCAGTGAAACAGAAATTAAAACCACAATATTGCTTTATACCTGTTAGAAGGGGTATTACTAAAAAGACAAAAGATAACAAGTGTTAATGAGGATGTGGAGAAAAAAGAATCCCTGTATACTGTTAGTGGAAATATGAATTGCTACAGCCATTATGGAAAATAGTATGGAGGTTTCTCAAAAAATTACAAGTAAAATGTATGATTCAGCAATCTCACTACTGGGTATGTATCTAAAAAATATGAAATTAGTATGCCAAAGAGATATCTACACTCCCATGTTCATTGCAGCATTAGTCACAATAGCCAAGATATGAAATCAACTTAAGCATCCTGAAACAGATCAAAGTGCTAAAAAAGTGATATATATATATATATATATACATACACACACACACACAAAAAAAAAAGGAATACTATCCTGCCTTTTAAAAAGGAGATAACCAGATCAGTTTCAAGATGGCTGAATAGGAACAGCTCCAGTCTGCAGCTCCCAGCGTGATCGATGCAGAAGATGGGTGATTTCTGCATTTCCAACTGAGGTACCTGGTTCATTTCATTGGGACTGGTTGGACAGTGGGTGCAGCCCACGGAGGGCAAGCCGAAGCAGGGTGGGTTGTCACCTCACCCGGGAAGCTCAAGGGGTCAGGGGATTTCCCTTTCCTAGCCAAGGGAAGCTGTCACAGACTGTATCTGGAAAAACGGGACACTCTCACCCAAATACTGCACTTTTCCCATGGTCTCAGAAACCGGCATACCAGGAGATTCTCTCCCTTGCCTAGCTCAGCAGTTCCCATGCCCATGGAGCCTTGCTCACTGCTAGTGAAGCAGTCTGAGATCCACCTGCAAGGCAGCAGCCTGGGAGGGGAGGGGTGCCCACCATTGCTGAGGCTTGATTAAGTAAACAAAGCAGCTGGGAAGCTTAAACTGGGCAGAGCCCACCACAGCTCAGCAAGGCCTAGTGCCTCTATAGACTCCACCTCTGTAGGCAGCGCATAGCTGAAAAAAGCCAGCAGAAACTTCTGCAGACTTAAACATCCCTGTCTGACAGCTCTGAAGAGAGCAGTGGTTCTCCAGCATGGCGTTTGAGCTCTGAGAGCAGATAGACTGCCTCTTCAAGTGGGTCCCTGAGGCCCATGTAGCCTAACTGGGAGACACCTCCCAGTAGGGGCCGACAGACTCCTCATACAGGCAGATGCCCCTCTGGGATGAAGCTTCCAGAGAAAGAATCAGGCAGAAATACTTGCTGCTCTGCAATGTTTGCTGTTCTGCAGCCTCCACTGGTGATACCCAGGCAAACAGGGTCTGGAGTGGACCTCCAGCAAACTCCATCAGACCTGGAGCTGAGGGACCAGGCTGTTAGAAGGAAAACTAACAAACAGAAAGGAATAGCATCAACATCAACAAAAAGGACATTCACACCAAAACCCCATCTGAGGTCACCAACATCAAAGACCAAAGGTAGGTAAAGCCACAAAGGTGGCAAGAAACCAGAGCAGAAAGCCTGAAAATTCTAAAATCCAGAGTGCCTCTTCTCCTCCAAAGGATGGCAGCTCCTCACCAGCTATGGAACAAAGCTGGACAGAGAAGGACTTTGATGAATTGACAGAAGTAGGCTTCAGAAGGTTGGTAATAACAAACTTCTCTGAGCTAAAGGAACATGTTCTAACCCAACACAAGGAGGCGAAAAACCTTGAAAAACAGTTAGATTAATGGCTAACTAGAATAAACAGTGTGGAGAAGATGTTAAATGACCTGATGGAGCTGAAAACCATGGCACAAGAACTTTGTGACACATGCACAAGTTTCAGTAGCAGATTTGATCAAGTGGAAGAAAGGATATCAGTGATTGAATATCAAATTAATGAAATAAAGCAAGAGGAGGAGTTTAGAGAAAAAAGAGTAAAGAGAGACAAACAAAGCCTCCAAGAAATATGGGACAATGTGAAAAGACCAAATCTATGTTTGATTGGTATACCTGAAAGTGATGGGGAGAATGGAACCAAGTTGGAAAACACTTTTCAGGATATTATCCAGGAGAACTTCCCCAACCTAGCAAGGCAGGCCAACATTCAAATTCAGGAAATACAGAAAATACCACAAAGATACTCCTTGAGAAGAGCAACCCCAAGACACATAATTGTCAGATTCACTAAGGTTGAAATGAAGGAAAAAATGTTAAAAGCAGCCAGAGAGAAAGGTCAGGTTACCCACAAAGGGAATCCCATCAGACTAACAGTGGATCTCTCAGCAGAAACCTTAGAAGCCAGAAGAGAGTGGGGACCAATATTCAACATTCTTAAAGAAAAGAATTTTCCACCCGGAATCTCATATCCAGCCAAACTAAGCTTCATAAGCAAAGGAGAAATAAAATACTTTACAGACAAGCAAATACTGAGAGATTTTGTCACCACCAGGCCTGCCTTACAAGACCTCCTGAAGGAAGCACTAAACACGGAAAGTAACAACTGGTACCAGCCACTGCAAAGCATGCCAAATTGTAAAGACCTTTGATGCTATGAAGAAACTGCATTGATTAACGGGCAAAATAACCAGCTAACATCATAATGACAGGATCAAATTCACACATAACAATATTAACCTTAAATGTAAGTGGGCTAAATGCCCCAATTAAAAGACACAGACTGGCAAATTGGATAAAGAGTCAAGACCCATCAGTGTCCTGTATTCAGGAGACCCATCTCATATGCAAAGACACAAATAGGCTCAAAATAAAGGAATAGAGGAAGATCTACCAAGAAAATGGAAAGCAAAAAAAAAAGCAGGGGTTGTAATCTTAGTATCTGATAAAACAGACTTTAAACCAACAAAGGTCAAAAGAGACAAAGCAAGCCATTACATAATGGTAAAGGGATCAATTCAACAAGAAGAGCTAACTATCCTAAATATATATGCACCCAATACAGGAGCACCCACATTCATAAAGCAAGTCCTTAGAGACCTACAAAGAGACTTAGACTCCCACACAATAATAATGGGAGACACTAATAATGTCTAATATTGACACCCCACTGTCAATATTAGACAGATCAATGAGACAGAAGGTTAACAAGGATATCCAGGACTTGAACTCAGCTCTGCACTAGGCAGATCTAATAGACATCTATAGAACTTTACACCCCAAATCAACAGAATATATGTTCTTCTCAGCAACACATCACACTTTTTCTAAAATTGACCACATAATTGGAAGTAAAGCACTCCTCAAAAAATGTAAAAGAACAGAAATCACAACAAATTTCCTCTCAGACCACAGTGCCATCAAATTAGAACTCAGGATTAAGAAACTCACTCAAAACCATACAACTACATGGAAACTGAACAACCTGCTCCCGAATGACTACTGGGTACAGGCAAAAATGAAGATGTTCTTTGAAACCAATGAGAACAAAGACAGAACGTACCAGAATCTCTGGGACACATTTAAAGCGGTGTGTAGAGGGAAATTTATAGCACTAAATGTCCACAAGAGAAAGCAGGAAAGATCTAAAATCAACATCCTAACATCACAATTAAAAGAACTAGAGAAGCAAGAGCAAACAAATTCAAAAGCCAGCAGAAGACAAGAAATAACTAAGAACAGAGCAGAACTGAAGGACATAGAGACATAAAAAACCCTTCAAAAAATCAATGAATCCAGGAGCTGGTTTTTTGAGAAGATCAACAAAATTGATAGCCCTCTAGCAAGACTAATAAAGAAGAAAAGAGAGAAGAATCAAATAGACACAATAAAAAAAAGATGAGATATCACCACCAATCCCACATAAATACAAACTACCATCAGAGAATACTATAAACACCTCTACACAAATAAACTAGAAAATCTAGAAGAAATGGATAAATTCCTGGACACATACACTCTCCCAAGACTAAACCAGGAAGAGATTGAATCTCTGAATAGACCAATAACAGGCTCTGTAATTGAGGCAATAATTAATAGCTTACCAACCCAAAAAGGTCCAGGACCAGAGGGAATCACAGCTGAATTCTACCAGAGGTACAAAGAGGATCTGGTACCATTCCTTCTGAAACGATTCCAATCAACAGAAAAAGAGGGAATCCTCCCTAACTCATTTTATGAAGCCAGCATCATCCTGATACCAAAGCCTGGCAGAGACACAACAAAAACAGAATTTTAGACCAATATCTCTGATGAACATCGATGCAAAAATCCTCAACAAAATACTGGCAAACTGAATCCAGCAGCACATCAGAAAGCTTATCCACCATGATCAAGTCGGCTTCAACCTGGGATGCAAGGCTGGTTCAACATATGCAAATCAATAAACATAATCCATCACATAAACAGAACCAACGACAAAAACCACATGATTATCTCAATAGATGCAGAAAAGGCCTTTAACAAAATTCAACAGCCCTTCATGCTAAAAACTCTCAATAAACTAGGTACTGATGGAATGTATCTCAAAGTAATAAGAGCTATTTATGACAAACTTACAGCCAATATCATATGGAATGGCCAAAAACTGGAAGCATTCCCTTTGAAAACTGGCACGAGAAAAGGATACCCTCTCTCACCACTCCTATTCAACATAGTGTTGGAAGTTCTAGCCAGGGCAATCAGGCAAGAGAAAGAAATAAAGGGTATTCAATTAGGAAAAGAGGAAGTCAAATTGTCCCTGTCTGCAGATGACATGATTGTATATTTAGAAAACCCCATCATATCAGCCCAAAATCTCCTTAAGCTGATAAGCAGCTTCAGCAAAGTCTCAGGATACAAAATCAATGTGCAAAAATCACAAGCGTTCCTATACACCAATTAACAGACAGACAGCCAAATCATGAGTGAACTCCCATTCACAATGGCTACAAAGAGAATAAAATACGTAGGAATCCAACTTACAAGGGAAGTGAAGGACCTCTTCAAAGAGAACTACAAACCACAGCTCAACAAAATAATAGAGGACACAAACAAATGGAAGAACATTCCATGCTCATGGATGGGAAGAATCAATATTGTAAAAACGGCCATACTGCCTAAGGTAATTTATAGATTCAATGCCATCCCCATCAAGCTACCAATGACTTTCTTCACAGAATTGGAAAAAACTACTTTGAAGTTCACATGGAACCAAAAAAGAGCCCGCATCGCCAAGACAATCCTAAGCCAAAAGAACAAAGCTGGAGGCATCATGCTACCCCTGACTTCAAATTATACTACAAGGCTGCAGTAACCAAAACAGCATGGTACTGGTACCAAAGCAGATGTATAGACCAATGGAACAGAATAGAGGCCTCAGAAGTTACCACCACACATCTACAATCATCTGATCTTTAGCAAACCTGACAAAAACAAGCAATGGGGAAAGGATTCCCTATTTAATAAATGGTGCTGGGAAAACTGGTTAGCCATATGTAGAAAGCTGAAACTGGATCCCTTCCTTACACCTTATACAAAAATTAATTCAAGATGGATTACAGATTTAAATATTAGGCCTAAAACCATAAAAACCCTAGAAGAAAACCTAGGCAATACCATTCAGGACATACGCATGGGCAAGGACTTCATGACTAAAACATCAAAAGCAATGGCAACAAAAGCCAAAATAGACAAATGGGATCTAATGAAACTAATGAAATGATCTAATGAATCTAATGAAACTTCTTCTGCACGGCAAAAGAAACTACCATCAGAGTGAACAGGCAACCTACAGAATGGGAGAAAATTTTTGCAATCTACCCATCTGACAAAGGGCTAATATCCAGAATCTACAAAGAACTTAAACAAATTTACAGGAAAAAAACAAACCCATCAAAAATTGGGCAAAGTATATGAACAAACACTTCTCAAAAGAAGACATTTATGCAGCCAACAGACACATGAAAAAATGCTCATCATCACTGGTCATCAGAGAAATACAAATCAAAACCACAGTGTGATACCATCTCATGCCAGTTAGAATGGTGATAATTAAAAAGTCAGGAAACAACAGGTGCTGGAGAGGATGTGGAGAAATAGGAATGCTTTTACACTGTTGGTGGGAGTGTAAAATAGTTCAACCATTGTGGAAGACAGTGTGGTGACTCCTCAAGGATCTAGAACTAGAAATACCATTTGACCCAGTGATTCCATTACTGGGTATATACACAAAGGATTATAAATCATGCTACTATAAAGACACATGCACAAATATGTTTATTGTGGCACTATTCCCAATAGCAAAGACTTGGAACCAACCGAAATGTCCATCAGTGATAGACTGGATTAAGAATATGTGGCAAATATATGCCACAGAATACTATGCAGCCATAAAAAAGGATGAGTTCATGTCCTTTGCAGAGACATGGATGAAGCTGGAAACCATCATTCTCAGCAAACTATCACAAGGACAGAAAACCAAACACCGCATATTCTCACTCATAGGTGGGAACTGAACAACGAGAACACTTGGACATAGGGCAGGGAACATCACACACCAGGGCCTGTCAGGGGGTGGGGGTTTGGGGGAGGGATAGCATTAGGAGAAATACCTAATGTAAATGATGAGTTGATGGGTGCAGCAAACCAACATGGCATATGTATACCCATGCAACAAGACTACACATTGTGCACATGTATCCTAGAACTTAAAGTATAATAATAATAATAAAAATCCTCTAGTGAAAAAAAAAAAAGGAGAAAATCTTGTCATTTGCAGCAAAATGGATGAATCTGGAGGACATGGTTAAGTGAAATAAGCCAGGTACAGAAAGACAAATACTACATGATCTCATATGAAAAGTATTTTAAAAATCAAACTTACAGAAAGTTTGATTTTCAAATCAAATTTTATGAAAATTTTATATCAAATTTTATATTGGTATGAAATGGTGCTTATCAGTGGCTGGGGAGCAGAAAGCTTGGGGAAATGTTGGTCAAAGGCCATTAAATTTTAGTTAGGAAGAATAACTTTAAGAGATCTATTATATATTATAGTGACTATAGTTAATAACAATGAATCATATACTTGAACATTGCTAAGACAATGGATTTTGTGGGTTCTCACCGCAAAAAAATGATAAGTAATGATCTGAGGTAATGCATATGTTAAGTAACTTGATTTGGCCATTTCACAATGTATACATACATCAAACATTGTGTTGTACACCATAAATATATATTTTTACTTAATTTTTTAAAAGGCCAAAGATATCTACAAATTATGTTGGAGGAAAAGACCAAGAAAGGAATAGTCCCAGCAATGATGGTCTGACAAAAGTCAGGGATAATAAACAGAACTTCCTAGAATAATATTTTACCTTATACTCACTGTGAAAAGGCTTGTTAGGATAAGAGATGTAAGAAAGAACTAGTTTCACTGACTGAATTTAAATCTCCTAACCAAAATGAGTGATTTTCCTGACTACAAAGAGTCTTATTTACGAGAGTACTAAACCCTTTATTAAAAGGAAGGTGCAAGAGGATAGGATATGACCGTGTGGTCCTGTGAATGATCGCCTGGTTAGATTTCTGGCAATTTGGTGCAATCTATTCACTTATAAGGGGTTTATGAGCACTTTGATAACAATGATTATTATTTCATTTTTAAGCTTGAGTTTACAATGCAGAAGTCTTACTAGATCTACCTCGTTTTATTTTTGGATAATTTCTTTTTTCTTTTTCTTTTTTTTTTTTTTTTGAGACGGAGCCTTGCTCTGTCGCCCAGGCTGGAGTGCAGTGGCGCGATCTCGGCTCACTGCAAGCTCCACCTCCTGGGTTCACGCCATTCTCCTGCCTCAGCCTCCGGAGTAGCTGGGACTACAGGCGCCTGCCCCCACGCTGGGCTAATTTTTTGTATTTTTAGTAGAGACAGGGTTTCACTAAGCTGGCCAGGCTGGTCTGGAACGCCTGATCTTGTGATCAACCTGCCTCGGCCTCCCAAAGTGCTGGGATTAGAGGCATGAGCCACCGCACCCGGCCCATTTTTGGATAATTTCTATCCTGGTGGATAGCCCTGTGTGAAAATAATGTTTCTGAATTTTATCACTGCATTTGACAAGGTGTCTTTCATAAAATGGTTGTGAACTAGATGGAAAGATATACTTGGACAACAACAATCAGGTGCCTTAGTTATGTT
Source organism: Homo sapiens (assembly GCF_000001405.40). Taxonomy (NCBI): domain Eukaryota; kingdom Metazoa; phylum Chordata; class Mammalia; order Primates; family Hominidae; genus Homo; species Homo sapiens. The sequence goes on from NC_000014.9 coordinate 80,046,454, forward strand.
TAATAAGTATACGCTTTGAGTGATAATACATTGATATGTAGAAGAAGGTCTCATTTTTTGTTTTGTTAAATGTTATATAACTAATTATTACATGAATACAATTAGTTAACAGCTACTATTACAGTTTTTACACTGTACCAGATTCCAGGATATGTGTACTTTCTCGTTTGATCTTCTCAAAACTCTGTAAGGTAGATACTAATATTACCTTCATTTCACATAAAAGGAAGCTGAGAGTTAGAGATTTCCACTGCCAGCTGACTAGCAAAATAGCAGTGATGGCTCACTCACACTGCTATTTTATTCAATCCTAGAGAAATCTTAGAAATAAAAAGAAAATGTGGATCACAGCAACTGACAGTAACAAAAGCAATATCAAAAATCTATAGGAAACCCTGGGCTATTTTTGGCTGGCAAATTCAGCCAAAGTAAGAAAAGGAGGCCCAGATGTTTTCAGACAAGAACAAGTAAGAAAATGAAGACGTGGATATTTCACACTGTTTGCCTGTGGTATCTTAAGACAATTATTGGCTGCTGCTTTAATGGGAGGGGCCTACAGCAGTGAACCAGAACCCCAGTGCAGGTTTCTGAGGGGTTAATAGGGTAGTTGCAAAACTCCACTAGGGTAAGAAGTTGATGAGAAGAGACATGGTTAACCTCTTCTCCTCAGGCCTTTATTGTCCACGCCTTCAGATCAAAACCTTCAATGTTGGTGTTATACTATGAGGAAACTGTCTCTGACGGCTTTTTCAAGGTTTAGAAGATGAAGTTATAACCAGAAGAATTGCATGGTAGAGCGGCAGCAAACGGGAGTGGTAAAAAAGGGATCTCTGGCACCTGCAATTTCTCAGTCCACAGATTCACCTCTTCCCATTAAAATCACTAAGCTCTAACACAGATGAGAGCTTCTTTTTTTTCTAGGTTTTTCTGCAAATCACATTACCATTCAGAGGAGCTGATGCCCTCAAGTAATATAAACTCGGAGACTATAATAACCAGATATTAGAGTAGCACAACCACCTCAGAAGGCACACGAGGACTTGAATTTTTCATATGCTTTCTCAGGTAAAAGTACTAGAGAAAAGATGGACCGAGATTTTAAAGTAGTTCAGGAGATAAGAAAAAATATAATCATTATGAAACAAGAAGAAAAAAAATCTTTAAAAAAAACCCACTGGGAATATTAAGTTAAAAAAATATGATAGTTTGACTTCTCTGGGCATAATGGAGTAAATGGAGCCAAATTTGATCTTCGATGGTGAAAAATTAGAAAACTGAAATAGATGTTACACACACAAACACACACAAAATTTTACTATATTTAAATATTTAACAACAAGCAGTAAAGAACCAGGATGTGTGGGAGAAGGGAAATAAATGAGATAAGCCCCATGACTTACCAAGATTTCCACCTTAAGGCATTTTTCAAACTATGGCAGGAAGGGTATAACCAAGCTGAGGTGAAGGGCAGAGATCGGAAGTGGAAGCAGATGGAATTTGTGGGCAAATGGCCAGGAATGAAGACTAGCTCCTGTTAGATGCATAGGAGTCTGTTTAAGTCTGGCTGAATACGAAGTTGAGCATTTATAAGATAAAACTTCATGAATCCTGGTAAAGAATCACCATAAGTGAAACAATTCTCAAAGCTCATATAGAACGCCATGGTAGTCAAGGTCTGACCTGCTAAAACAGAGAAACCTTAATGAAGCTGCAGCATATTTAGTATAGATCCCATGATGACCGTGCTTTATTTGTAGATTTAAACTAGACGTGGGTCCTCAAAGTGTGGCCTGTAGAACCCTAGGGGGCCCCTGAGATCATTTCAAAGGGTCCATAGTGTCAGAATTCTTTTCATAATAAGAAGGTATTTGTTACCTTTTTCATTACATTGATATATATACTAAAGGTGCAAAAGCAATTGTGGGTAAAACTACTGATGACTTAGTATGAATCAAGGAAGTAGCATAATAATGTATTAGTTGGTCATTGTATTCTTCATCTCAATGTACTTGTGGTTTAAAAAATAAATTTCAATTATGAATATTCTTGAAGCTGTAAAAGTGATTAATTTTTTAAAATCTTAACTCTTGTTTACATATATTTTTCTTATTCTAGGTGACAAAATAGGGGATACATAAAAAGCATTTCTACTGCTTACTGAAGGATGGTGATGACTGCAAGGAAAAGCACTTTTATAATTTTCTGAGTTACCAGATGAACAAGCCACTTACACAAGTAGTGGTTTCTTAAAGGTTAGTTGCAAAGTAGAATCTGAAACCATAGCAATGAACTTCTGTACTTTAAAAATATTAGGGCACTTTCTCAAGCTGTGAAGACAAAAAACCTATAACCAATGTGATGGCTAAATTTATGTGTCAACTTGACTGGGCTAAAGGATTCCCATATACAGCTGTTAAACCTTATTCTGAGTGTGTCTGAGGGTGTTTCTGTAAGAGATTAGCATTTGAATTGGTAGACTGACGAAAGAAGATCACTGTCACCAATGTGGGTAGGCTTCATTCAATTTGTTAAGGCCCAAATACAACAAGAAGGTGGAGAAAGGGGTAAATTTGTTCTCTTTGCTTGAGCTGACACATTCGTCGTCTTCTGTTCTCAGACACTGGCCCTCCTGGTTCTTGAGGTTTTGAACTCACACTGAGACATACACCATCAACCTCCTAATTCTCAAGCCTTTAGACTCAAACTGAATTACACCACCAGCTTTCCTGATTCTCTAGCTTGCAATTGGCAAATTCTGGGACTTCTTGACCTCCATAATCACATGAGTCAATTCCTATAATAAATTTCCTCTTATATAAACAGTTCTCCCTCAGTATACATGGGAGATTGGTTGTAGAATCCCACCACAAATACTAAAATTTGTGAATCATCAAGTTACTTATATAAAACTGGGATAGTATTTGCCTATGATCTACACACAGCCTCTCATACGTTTTAAATTATCTCCAGATTACTTATAACTATGTCATTTTAAATTCATATTCTTTTTATTACTGGATTGCTATTTTTTAATATTTTTGATACACAGCTGATTTAATCTGTGGATGTGGAACCTACAAATATGAAGGGCTAACTGTATCTATATATCTCCTATTGGTTCTATTTCTCTGGAAAACCCTGACTAATACAGGCAACTGAATAAGACTAATTTTTTTTTCCTCTTGATGTCAGGAACAAGGCAAGGATGCCCACTTTCATCATTTCTTTTCAACATTATGCTGGAGTGCCTAGCTATTACAATAAGGTAAAAAATAAAAAATGAAAGTCATAAATATCACAAAGAAATTATTTCTATTTATAATATTATTATTTACATTGGAAGCCACAAGAAATGTCCAAAATAACTACTAGAACTCATAAGTAAATCTAGCAATGTCACAGGATGCAAATTGAATATACAAAACTCAATTACATATTTTTAAAAATTGAATATAAAATATTTTAAAATTATATTTTTATAGTACCATAAAACACATTTAGGAATAAGTCCAACAAAGGCACTCAAGATGTTTACACTGAAAACCATGCACATTGCTGAGGAAAATTAAGGACCTAGATAAATAGAGAGGTATGTCATCTTCCTGAATTACAAGATTCAATATTGTTAAGATATCAATTTTCCCCAAAATAACCTATGGATTCAATGCATTCCTAGCAAAATTCCAACAAGCATTTTATAGAAACTGCCAAACTTATTCTAAGCATTATGTGGAAATTTAAAGAACCTAGAATAACTAAAGTTGTTTTTAAAAAGAGCACAGTTAAAGGATTTACATTATCTAATTGCAAGACTTAACACATATAGTCGGCCCTTTGTTTCTGTTGGTTCAGCATCTGTGGATTCAACCAATCATGGGTCAAAAATATTGGAAAAAAATTTGGATGATTGCATCTGAACTGAACAGATACAGCCTTTTTTCTAATCACTATTACCTAAACAATATAGTCAACAATTATTAACATAGCATTTACATTGTGTTAGGAATTATAAGTAACCTAGAGATGATTTGAAGTATATGGGAGGATGTGCATAGGTTATAAGCAAATACTACAGCATTCTATAACAAGAGCTTGAGCACTGAGGATTTTGGTATCTTTGGAAGGTACTGGAACCAATCTCCCATGGATACTTAGGGAAAACTGTAATTGGTAATCAAGACAGTTCAGTACTGGCAAAAGAGAGAGAAAAAATTCTAGATAAATGAAATAGAATAGAGAATCAAAAATGGAGCCCCCACAAGTATGAGCAATTGAGTTTCAACAAAGGTCTTCGGATAATTAAATGAGAAAAGGAAATTGCTTTTCAACAAACCATGGTAAATCAACTAAATATTTAAAATGATAAAAATGAATATTGACCCTTACCTTATACCATGAACAAATTTAACTTGAAATTGATAAAAGAAAAACTTCAGCCGAATTAAATTTAAAAGAGTTTAATTAAGCAATGAACAATTCATGAATCGGGCAGCCCCCAGAATCACAGCAGATTCAGAGACTCCAGGGGTGCCTTGTGGTCAGAACAAATTTATAGACAGAAAAGGTAAAGTGACATACAGGAATCAGAAGTGAGGTACAGAAACAGTGAGATTGGTTACAGCTCGGCGTTTGCCTTATTTGAACACAATTTGAACATTCAACTGTCTATGAGTGGTTGAAGTATGGCCACTGGGATTGGCCAACACTCAGCCATTGTTACAGGTGCATACTATTAAGTTAGGTTTTCAATTTTGTCTGACTATTAGGCTAGGCTACAGTTCATCCACAAGAACTCAAATATAGAAGTATGGAGTTCTTCTCAGGCCACAATGAGTTTGCTTTAACAAAATCAATTATAGCTCTAACTTTAAAATCTATAACTATAAAACTTCTAGAAGAAAACATTGAAAAAGATCTTTGCAACTTTACAGTATGTAAAGTTTCCTTAGACAGAAGAAAATAGCATAAACCATAAAATTTAAAGAATAGACTAAGCTTACTTCATCAACATTTAAAACATTTGCTCTTCTAAAAGCACCATCAAGATAGTATGCCATAGAATGGGAGCAAATATTTGCAACACAAATATCAAACAAAAGACTCATATCAATAATATATAAAGAATTCTTACAATTCAAAAATTAATTATACAATCTGATAAAAATACAGGCAAAAGATTTGAACAGATACTTTATGAAATAAGATAATCAAATGGCAAAATTTCACATGAAAGATACTTAACATCATTAGTAGTCAGAGGAACACAAACTGAAAACAAAATGGGATATAATTATGTGCTCGTTAGATTGCTTAAAATTGAAGTGACTGAATATAACAAGTGTTGACAAGGTAGTGGAGCAACTAGAACTCCTAAACACTTCTGTAGAAAATGCAAAATGGTAAAACCACTTTAGAAACCAGTTTGTTAGTTTCTTATAAAATTAAACATAATTTTAATTTGATCCACTACCATATGATGTAGGCATTCCACTCCTAAGTATTTACATAACAGAAACAAAACTTATAATCTACCCCAAGACTGGTGCACAAATGTTTATAGTAACTTTATTTTTAATAGTCCCAAATTGGAAATATCCACATGTCCATCAACATGTTAACAAATAAACAATTTGTGCTATATCCACATGAAAGAATACTCCTTAGCAATAAAAATAAACCATTGATATACACAACATGGATAAATCTTGAAATCATGATGCTAAGTGAAAGCATGAAAAAAAGAGAATGTGAGATATTTTATACAAAATTCTAAAATGTAAACTAATTTATGGTGATGGTAAGCCGGTCAATGGTTGCTTAGGGATAGGAGTAGTTGGAGGACAGATTACAAAGAAGTATGAAGAAACTTTTGGCAGTGGTATAAATATTTGTTTTGTTCATTATGATTTTGCAGGTGTTTGCATATATCAAAACTGATTAAATTGTATTTTTAAAATAGTTGGGTGTCTATATTATTCTTTCATTATGTATCAATAAAGCTCTACAAATTCAGAAAAATTATTTATTATCTCTTTCCACAGAAGCAGCCTAAAACAATGACAAACTCAGTTGTGATGAGAACCCCTAACAACCACTAGAGGAAATCATGGCTCCTTGGGAACAATAGTAGGTTTCAGGTCTGGAGCAGAAACTGAATGTTGAGCATAGATCATGTTATCATACCAGGGAGCAAGAAAGCTGCTATAGTCTGACTGTTTGTGTTTGCTCAAAATATATGTTGAAATTATAACCCCAAAGGTAATGGCATTAAATGTTGGGTCTTTGGGAAATAATTAGGATTATATGAGGTCATAAAGATGCAATCTTTATTAATGAGATTAGTGCCCTTATATGTCCCAAGAGAAGTTGCCTCCCCACTTCCACCATGTAAGGACCCAGCAAGAAGTTGGCATCTACGAACCACAGAGCAGCCCCTCAACAAAGACTGAATTTGCTGTTGCCTTGAACTTGGACTTCCCAGTCTCCAGAATAGTGAGAAATCAATGTTTGTATTTAAACTATTCAGTTTAGAGTATTTGATATAGTAGCCCGAAGAGACTAAGAAGCTACCAAGGACTTCTACGGTCCTATCAAAAGGAACTGTAGGCTATGAAATCATAACTATACACTAAAGAAAAGTAAAAAGCCTCAAGCCTCCAGATCTATTACCAATCAATAGGGAATAGAGGGGACAGGCACCATAGTGATAGAATCAGCAAAATTCAAACTATTAGAAGCAGCTGGGTTTCTTCCACACCACAACAAAAATTAAGTAGTTCATTCATTCATTCACTGAATTACAAAAAAGAGCAGCAACTATATATTATATATATATATATATATATACACACACACACACACACACACAAAGTGATTATTAATTAATTGAAATGTATAGGCCAGGCTTTTTAAGGATTCTAATTTTAACAATGAATTGAACCAAAAGATTCTAAGATATTTGGGGAAATGTACACACTGCTTGGATATTTGATGATATTGAGAAATGACTGCTTATTTTGTGAAGTAGCAATTATGAATAAAAACAGAATACTAATCACTTACTAGACCAACCTCCTGAAATATTTGAAGATGAAATGTTAGATTAAAGCATTTAGCTAAGCAGAAAGATTTTGCTAGTCAAAAAGAAGAGCTTTGTGTAAGTGGAGTTGCCCAAAGATGGAATGGAGTGTCTTGACAAATAGTATGCACTTTATCACAGGTGGATAAGCAATCAGGGTTTGATGACCCCGGTAGAGAATATTGAGGAAGGACTTCTGGCAGTGTGTTAAATAATATCTAAGGTTCTTCTCAGCCTCATATTTTATGATTCTAAATAGATTTTATCTGTGTACCAATAATCTTAAAACTAAAAGTGATTCCTGGGATTTCCAGGACTTCAAATAACCTTTCCCATCTCTTCTCTGTCTTACATGCTTCAGAATCGTTCATGGGTGTCCAATCTTTTGGCTTCCCTGGGCCACATTGCCACATTAGAAGAAGAATAATTGTCTTGGGCCACACATAAAATACACTAACACTAAAGGTAGCTGATGAGCTAAAAAAAAAAAAAAAGATTACTAAAAATTCTCATAATGTTTTAAGAAAGTTTATAAATTTGTGTTGCACCTCATTCAAAGCCATCCTGGGCCGCATGGAGCCTGTGGGCTGCAGGTTGGACAAGCCTGATATAGAGAGATTAAATAAATTGGTCAGGGTCACACAGCTAATAACGATATGTTCTTTCCATCACATCACATTGTAAATTTCTTCTGGCATTGTTTGGCAAGTCATTGGCCTCGTGGATTTTAATGTTTAATTATAATACATTCTGGTCATTCATGTTCTGTTTTATTTGCTTTGCTGATTATTGTTCTCCTTATCATCATCATCATCATCACCATCATCATCATCATAGTTATTAAGTATTTATATTTTTCCATGATTGTTATAAAGGTAGCCATGACTTAAATTTAAATAAATAGTATTTTATCCACCTTTTGTTTACTACTTGAACCTCAAATTTGTAAGACTGCTATTTCAAAAAATAATAATATATCTTTTAGGAAGAGGACTTTGTGGGATTTTTTTAAAGGATATCTACTACCTTTTCAGCTATATGATTTCTTTTTTCCAAAAGAAAGTGTGATCTCTTTAGTAAGTACCACATATCCTCCAATTTCCTTAATAATCTCAGGTGCCTGTCTAGCTGATTTATAATTATGCAAGTTTTCCAAGTTCTCTATTCCCTCACCTGATTTTTGCCAATAGCTATTTGGCAACGTTTATATCCTAATAGTCCAAATTTGTTGCTTCATTTTTCCTGTTAAAAGCAGATTCGAAGCATGAGTTCAGTGTCTCAGCCATTTTAGAATCATCCTCAATTTCATGTCTACGCCTGCTGATTGGCAGCCTTGATTTCTCCTGGTTGTTCAATGTCCCTGGACGTATTTATTAACGCCTTCTTTTGTACTTTGAAACCCATTTTAGCACTAATCATTTCACTACCTTTGTCTTTTCTCTACCAAGTTTTAACTGATGTGGAATATTTTTACTCTATGCTCTTCTTTTTAGGCATGTCAAGCAAGAATTTTGCTCTCTCATCAGTCCTCTGTGATAGTACATTGAATGTGTCATGCAATTAGCATTGCTGTTTTTCAGAAGAATTGAAGCACTATCCTGATAATTTGGTTCTGAGCTTCACTTCTGCCTGAAATGTCTAGATAATTGCAGCATATGTGGGTGTTGTGAGGTTTTTTTCTGCTTGAATTATCCAAATAATTGCTTTAATTCTCCACTTTGCCTTACATATAGAGACACAAAGAAAGTGGATCAAGAAAATGGAGGAACCACGGGAATTTTTTTGTGGAATCCTTATTCTGTGCAAGGCTATGATCTGATTGCCTTCTCTTCTGAAAGGAAGTGCCTTCTGGTCACCAATATGTCACTTGCCTGGTATCTCTATTTTGAGTATTTCTCTCTGTGTGAACTGCTGCTTAGCTGGCCAGGACTCAAATGGTTTCTTACATAACCCAGGATATTTTCTTAGATTCTCTTCTATGAGTCAGTGAATCATAATATTCAGGGCATATCAGAGATAAAAGAAGTCCAGAACATCAACCACCTCTCAACCTCTGACCACTGACCCCACCATTATATAGATGTAGTCATTGAGACCTAAAGGGGTAATGTAAATATATACGCTTTCATAGAAAATCGGTGCAGAAGCAGGAACAAACAAACACAGGATGTATGCTAACTGTGGACCAAAAACAAAATGAAAACTCCAAAACTGATTTTACTTATCTTTTCCCTAAATGCAAATAAAGCTCACAATATCAGTTGAGTCATCTATAAAACATGATTTAGGGAAAACTGGACGAGTGACAACAGAGGCTCTCTCCATCTCTTCCCAAGGCGGTACTCTCCCCTCTTTTGTTGAGTAATGTAGGGTAGAGAAAAAAATAAAACAGACCTACATAATTCCTCCAGAAAAGGGGACGGCACCTGAAAGCAAGAAGTATGTCTCCTTCCTCTTCTTCATCCTCTGCAGAGTTGTTCAAGAAGTCAGCTCTCAGGCACCAGCTAAAACTCTGGAGCCAGCACAACTCCAATTTTGGAAACTACCATTATGGAAAGAAGAAAGTGAGCACAGCCGTGAGAGGTCTATGGCTCCGAATATGGAACTCTTCATCCTCTCAAACCTTTCTCCAGCTTCCATAGAAGACTTCATCTTCTTATCTCTATTATCATTTTCCTGCTCAGTGAAAGTTGCTCTTCTACCTCCACCCCCAGGCCTGGGGTGTGTGTGTGTGTGTGTGTGCTCCTTTGCAACTCAGCTCTAGGTGTCCAAGCAAAAGCTTGAGTTTTGCCGTCTCTTCCTTCAGCTTGGGATTCCTGTGGAAGGAATTGCTGACAGTGAACACTGCCCACCACTAGAGAGCAGTCAAAGCCAACATTTTCCTGGGCAAAAACTTCTAAGAAGTTGTTTTCAAAGGAGCCAGGTTCTCTTGGTCCTCTCTTTCCCTCTCTCATCTTTCTCAGGGCGGAGCACCCTGTCGGTCTCCTTCACAAAGGCATATTCTACATGTCTATTTAGACATTATGGGCGCAATGAACACTGTGTTAATTCTGCCAGAGAAGCCATTGTCAAAAACGTTTGTTCTTGAAATCTTCATGTTTTTACCCCATCAGCACAAACACAGCATCAAGCTGACCTAGGTGAATCATAAAATGTTGAAAATAAAGGCAATCTTGCAGTTAAAAAAAGAGTTATCTTCATAAATCCATAAAGGAAACAAAATCAGACCTTGGTTGATTCTTCCCTAACCCTCTTTAGTGAGACTAACAGCAGACAAACCTAAGCAGGGTCCTATGCACATCTTCAGATATGCTTTATTCCTTCAGACAACATGCTTTTTCCAACCTTAATGAAGAGAACAATTGTGCCTCATATAGGCTGTCTTTCAAATTTCAGTAGGTCCATGTCTACATTATTTAACTTACTTTAATGAACAGTAAAAGAAAATAATTATTGCAGATTGGCCTGTTAGTGTGCAGGAAGAATCCTCTAGTCTACTAGACTGGAAGGTGAAGAAAGGGAAAAAGAACTTCTGGAAGGAAAGGTAGCTGGATTCACATTCACTCTGGATTCAACCTTAGATTTACATTTGAATCATGTCTTTGCCACTTGCTTAAGTGTAACCTCAGGCAAGTTACTTAAGTTCTCTCTAAATCTTAGTTTCTTCCTCTGTAAATTGGAGGTCATAAGTGTTTTCATCAAATAGCATAGTTTTAAGAATTAAAAGAACAGTGTATGTAAAGCACTTAATAAAGATTTGCTGTTATTGTTCAGGAAGAGAACTTTGTGACTTATTTCTGACTTCTTCCTCTATTGCTTTATTTCTATACATCCAATTTCAATTTTAATTTTGCTAAATATTCATTATACATGTTTTATGTTCCATGTATAATATAATTCTGATCCTCAAGAGGTTACAATGTGGTTTTTAAAAGAGATAAATATGAAGGAATGAAATACAAAGAAGACACATCTTATAACATTAGATTCTAAAGATAACACATAACACAGAAGGTCTATATTGTCAATACTACCCGCAAGAGTCCCAGAACTGGGCTTCTCATAAAGTCCAGTTCTACATATACATATATATGAGTTTTTTTAACTCTTTATTACCCAGCATTAAAGATTAATAAATTTATGGCTGAAATGAATGCACCAAAGTCACCCCTGTTATTGGTATCACCAGCTTCTTGCTTGACCTCTTACATAATAAGAATCACATCTCAGTCATGAAAAAGAACTTTTAAATCAATTCACACTTATTTTCTGAGATTCTTTCAGGCTTGGTTGCATTCATTGCCTGTTTAATATAAATGATGCAATAGCACCATTGCCAAGCACCTTGAGTTGGATTCTTTCAGCCGATGCCCTGAGCAATTTAACTCCACGCTATGGGCTAAATGGAAATTCAGTCCACTTGTTGTTGGAGCACAAAACAAAGTTCAAGTAATTATCACTGTAGGGCATTTAGGGAAGGATCCACAGAAGATGGAATTGAACTTGCATGATGAGTTGGATTTTAATAAAGAAAGACGATGAGGAAGAAAAGGAGATTATACAAGGATGAGGGAAGAACATGATTAAAGACAGCAAGAAAGAAGGGAAAATAGCATTTATTGATTAACCCCTATGAAACTAGTTGGACACCTTGACTCCCTTAACTTGTTTCATTGTCTCCACAAACCTGAAAGGTTTATAGGATTAGCTCCATTCTTGCCAATCAAGGGAACATGAGATGGAGGATGTGCAATAAAGTCACACAGCCAGTAAGCAGCAAAACCAGGATTTGTATTCAGATGAACAGAATTCCAAAATACATGCCCACTATGCCACATTGCCAAAGGCAAAAAGAAGTATAATTACAGAGGAGGTGATGCTGAAATAAAAGCAAAACCATTGCATTGTCTCTTTGAGAGACAATAAACATTTTAACAGGGTTTTCTTTTTTATTAAAAAGTGCTTGCTAAACATTAAAAAATGATAACTATACGTTGCCACAATTTTCCCCCTGCAGCTGGGGACTTGCTCATAGATGACCACTGACTTTTTCATAACCAAGGCTAATCAAGAGACCAACTAGCATTTTGAAAAAAATGAGAGAAAGTCTGAGGTTAAGCAGATAAAAGAGTTATGAGTGAGTTAGAAAATAATGGATGCTAAGTGGAAAGGATGCTATAGATGGGAAAAGAACCTAGCCACTATGAATATATCAAGTAGTCAAATGTGTCCTTTTTTAGGAAACTATAACCCATCTGTTTGAAATAGAGATATTTCTTTATTATTGCTGTTCTTTCATTAATTAGAGCTGATCCAAGTCTAAACTCTAGCCCCTACCTTAAGAAGTTACAAAGATCTCATTTTTCAAGATCTAGCTAAAAAAGCACTTCTTTCTAAAAGGCTTATTTAATCCCTTACAGCGAGATTTTTGAACTCTTACAGGCATTTTTGTTTGTATCTATATTTTTTATTTATTGATGGCTTATCTTTCCTTTTAGACTGTAAGGTCCTGGAAACTACGGTAAGTATGATTCATTATTGTATGTCCAGACCCTGCTTTACATATAGTCAGCACTCAAAATATTTGTTGGGTGAATATTGCAAGTGTTTCAGATGGGTTAGCACCAGCTTTTCAAATCAAGCGTTATGTATACATAAATTATTTTCTGCCTATTCTTTTTTTCCATTAGTCATCTCATGGTCACTGCAATAATTGTAGATTCTATAACATCCTGAGTGAATGGACTACCCTGCTGAACAAATAAACTTAGTGAATCTGGATTTCCAAATGAAACTGGTTCCCCATCTCTCACTTTAAACAAAAATAAACTCAAGATGAATCAAAGACCTAATTCAAGACCTGAAACCCTAAAAATTCTAGAAGATAACATTGGAAAAACCCTTCTGGATATTGGCCTAGGCAAATAATTCATGACTAAGACACCAAAAGCAAATGCAACAAGAACAAAAATAAGTAAATAGAAGCTAATTAAACTAAAAAGCTCCTGCACACCAAAAGAAATAATCAGCAGAGTAAACAGACAACCCACAGAGTGGGAGAAAATATTTGCAAACTATGCATCTGACAAAGGACTAATATCTGGAATCTACAAGGAACTCAAACAAATCATCCAGAAAAAGTCAAATAATCCCATCAATAAGTGGGCAAGATATGAATAGAAAGTTCATCATCAAAAGAAGATGAACAAGCAGCCAACCAACATATGAAAAAAGTGCTCAACCTCACTAATTATCAAGAAAATGCAAATTAAAACCACAATGGGATACTGCACCTTTCTTCTACGAGAATGGCCATAATTTAAAAGTCAAAAAACAATAGATACTGGCATGGCTGTGGTGCAAAGAGAACACTTTTACACTTCTGCTGGGAATGTAAGTCAGTACATCCTCTATGGAAAACAGTATGGAGATTCCTTAAAGAACTAAAAGTAGATCTACCGTACAACCCAGCAATCCCACTACTGGATATCTATTCAAATGAAAAGAAGTCATTATGTGAAAAAGACACATACACACGCAAGTTTATAGCAGCACAATTAACAATTACAAAGATACAGAACAAACCCAAGTGCTCATCGATCAAAAAGTAGATAATGAAAATGTGGTATATGTACACCATGGAATACTACTCAGCCATAACAAGGAATGAAATAGTGGTCTTTTGCAGTAACTTGGATGGTGCTAGAGACCGTTATTCTAAGTGAAGTAACTCATGAATGTAAAACAAAATACCATATGTTCTCACTAATAAGTGGGAGCTAAAGCTATGAGGTCACAAAGACATTACAGAGTGACATAATGGATTTTGGAGACTCACTGTGTGGGTGGAGATTGGGAGAGAGGGTGATGGATAAAAGACTACATATTGGGTATGGTGTATACTGCTCAGGTGACAGAAAATGTCAGAATTCACCATTATAGAATCCCATCCATGTAACCAAAAACCACTTGTACCCCAAAAGCTATTGAAATAAAAAAAAAATAGAAATGATATTAAAAGATCAAAATTCTGCATAGAATTAATTATAGGAAAAATATTTATCACTAATAGCCCAAAGTGATTATAGCTTTTGTTAAAGCCACCGAATAAAACTTTTCGTCAAAAGGGTTCCATAATTTCAGGCTTCAATTCACTTCTAGCAGTGACATTTAAAACCTACAAAGAGTAAAGCAATGAGACATAGTTATGGTGAAAACAAAATAAATAACTATGTGGACCAAAATCCAAGCCCACAAGTGATGCTGAAGCTCAAAGCTACAGAGGTCTGAAGTCAAAAGCAGACTAGGCCACTCAGAGAGCTGGCTCTTGCAGAGACCTAGTGACTACAAGGGTTCAACAAGAGTCGGGAGGTAGGAGGGAGCAGATTCACTGTTTAAAACCAGGGAAAAGTGGATCTCTTCACCTGCAAAAGCGTGGTTTGGGGTGGGTGGGTGGGTGGCTGCTGTGATGGTTAATACTGAGGGTCTACCTGATTGGATTGAAGGATGTGAACTATTGCTCCTGGATGTATCTGTAAGGGTGTTGCCAAAGGAGATTCACTTTTGAGTTAGTGGGCTGGGAAAGGCAGACCCACCCTTAATCTGGGTGGGCACCATATAATCAGATGCCAGTGTGGCTAGAATATAAAACAGGCAGAAAAACGTGAAAAGGTTAGAATGGCTTAGACTCCCAGCCTACATCTTTCTCCCGTGCTAGATGCTTCCTGCCCTTTAACATTGGACTTGAAGTTCTTCAGCTTTGGGACTGGGACTGGCTTCCTTGCTCCTCAGCTTGCAGATAGCCTATTGTGGGACCTTGTGATTGTGTGAGTTAACACTCCTTAATAAACCCCCACACATATCTAGAGGATATATATTTACATATCCAGAGGAAGTTGTTATACAACTATCTAGAGGAAGCTATATATACTTATATAAGATATATTTACATATCTAGAGGAAGTATATATTTGATACACAACTTCCTCTAGATATGTAAATATATCTTAATATTTTTCTGAATCATATAAAAGAAAGCTACAGAAATTATATCTATTTACCCCTAAGTACTTATATTTGTATAACCACAATAAGATAATAAAAATCAGGAAAATAATAAAGATACAACACTATTCTATAATCTATAAAACTTACTCAAATTTTGTTCATTGTCCCAATATTATTCTTTACAGCAAATAAAGAAGAATAAATATGCTTTAGGATCACATAATTCATTTAGTTGTCATGTAACTTTCATATCTTGAATCAGTCTCTTTTTGTCTCTAATGACATAAAAATTTTGCAGATGTCCCTCAATTTATGGATGTCTGATGTTTCCTCAAAGTTAGATTTGGGTTATACCCTCTTGTCAGGAATACTACAGAAGTGATTTGGCTTCCATGGCTTTTAATACAAAGTCTGCAGTAATTCTTATCTTTTGTCTCACTAAATAATGTTGGGGGGTCGTTCTTGCTGTTTTTAAGATTCATCACTTTATTAATGGTTTTTACTAATTTAATTACCATGTTCCTTGCTGTAGTTCTTATTTTCCAATTATATATATGCTAGGTCCCTTGAAAGTTCCTCAGGATACTGAGTCTCTATTCATGTTTTTAAATCTTTTCTCTATGCTCCATTTAGTTAGGATAGTTTCTACGGCTGTATAGCTAAGTCAAATAATCTTTACTTCTGCAGTGTCAGTTCTGCTGTAAATACTGTCCAGTGAATTTTTTAAATTTCAGATACTGTATTTCACAAATAAATGATTCTTTTGGTGTTTTTATATCTCTTAATTCTCTCTTCATTATGTTCATATTTTATTTAAATATTTTATTTTATTTAAATATTTAAATATTTAAATCCTTGAGAATGTTATATATATATACACACACACACATATATATATACAGGGACATATATATATATGTCCCTGTTCTGCTAATTCCATCGTCTCATTTTTATGTCCGTTTCTACTAATTTATTTTCTTCTGATTATGAGTCATATTTTCCTAATTCTTGACATGTTCTACTAAAAACATTCTAGTAATGTTTTTATTAGATGCTGGATCTTGTGATTTGTATGTTTTTCAGTGCCTGGATTTTATTGTTTTCCTTTAAAGTTTGCTGGACTTTACTCGTGAATTAGCTGGATCTTTCTGTGGCTTGATTTTAAGATTTGTTACAGAAGGTCTAGAGTAGCCTTTCCTCTCAGAGTTGTTTAGCCCTACTACTAAATTTGACCCTTCTAGGGTCTCTATCCATCGTTTAGTTAACCAGTGACAACTCTTAATTCTAGATGGTTAGAGCCTGAACATTTTCCCCACTCTCTGTACACTCTAGGAATATTTCAATTTATTGCTCCATAAAAGTGATTCTCTCTTCAGCCCCATGGAATTTTATTTTACACATGTAGAGATTAACCATCACTAAATACCCAAGATTTATGTAGATTTTGGAAGCTGTGTGTGTGTGTGTGTGTGTGTGTGTGCATGTATGTAGTAGTATCAGTAGCAGTAGTAGTAATAATAATAGCTCCCTCTTCTCTGGACATCTGCCCTAAAACCTCTGCCTCCATGACCTGTGTCTGATTTCCCTAAACTCAATGAGGCTAGTATTCTGCTTAGGATTCTCGTCTTCACACCATAGTCTAAAATGTGCCTCCAGTTAGGAAGTCAGACTAATCTTAGGGTCCACTTTTATTTTCCTACTCTCAGGGGTCCCTGTCCTGTGCTGCCAGTTGTTCACTATCTGAAAACAACTGGTTCATATACTTTTGTTCATTTTTCTAGTTGTTTACAGAGGAAGTGTAAGTTTATTCCCTGTTATGTCATCGTTGCCAGAAGTAAAAAATTGCCCCTTCCTCTTTCTTCTCTTCTCCCCAAGAAACAATTCTTGTCTAATACTGTGTTCCAGGACACTACAAACTTTTACATCAGTGCTCTGATTTACTAGGATTGTTCCTCAGTATTTTTGTACTTATGAAAACTTTGTCTTTCTAGTGTAGTTTTCTCTTAATCTTCTCTCCTCTGTGTACTTTCACTCTTTCCTTTTGTTCCCCACAAAGCCTTATAGTAGAAGATGAAAAATTAGTTATCCCCAAAATTACTGTTTTTTCTTTTTTATTTATAGAAATTTATCTTCTGTAATTTGAAGTCTATGTTTCTTTGTCTTCTAGTTATGATGAAGGTTTGAGATTTGTGTGCATTCATTTATTTTTGCTGTATATTTATTAGTCCGTTTTCAAACTGCTATAAAGAACTGCCTGAGACTGGGTAATTTATAAAGGAAAAAGGTTTAATTGACTCACAATTCAGCATAGCTGGGGAGGCCTCAGGAAACTTACAATCCTGGCAGAAGGAGAAGCAAACCTGTCCTTCACATGGTGGCAACAAGGAGAAGTGCTGAGCAAAGTGGGGGAAAAGCCCCTAATAAAACCATCAGATCTCATGAGAACTCACTATCATGAGGACAGTATGAAGATAACTGCCCCATGATTAAGTTACCTCTTACCAAGTCCCTCCCATGACATGTGAAGATTATAGGCACTATGATTCAAGATGGGATTTGGGTGGGGACACAGCCAAATCATATCAGGCCAGAATAAATAAATAAACAAATAAATAAATAAATAAATAAATAAAATACCTAAGAATAAATTTAACCAAGAGGTGAAAGATCTGTATACTGAAAACTATAAAACATTAATAAAAAAGTTGAAGACACAAATAAATGGAAAAACAGTCCATGTTTACAGATTGGAAGAATTCATATTGCTAAAACGTCTGTGATATCAAAGCGATCAACAGATTCAATGAAATCTCTTATCAAAACACCATAACATTTTTCACAGAAACAGAAAAAACAAACCTAAAATTTATATGGAACCACAAAACCCAAATAGCCAAAGCAATTTGATCAAAAAGAATAAAGCTGGAGGCATCATACTATAACTTCAAAATATACTACAAAGCTATAGTAACCAAAACAGCATGGTACAACATAACAACAGACACACCAACCATGAAACAGAAAAGAGAACCTAGAAATAAATCCATGCACTTACAGCCAATTGATTCTTAACAAAGATTCCAAGAACACACAATGGGAAATGAACAGTCTCTTCAACAAACTGGATATCCACATACAGAAGAGTAAACTTAGACCCTTCTCACCATATGCAAAAACCAACTCACAATATAGTAAATATATTAAAGACTTAAATGTAAGACCAAAACTATGAAGTTCTAGAAAAAAACATATGGGAAAACTCCATGACATTGATCTAGACACAATCTTTTTGTATATGACCTCAAAAGCACAGGTTAGAACAGCAAAAATAGACAACTGGGATTACATCAAACTAAAAATCTTCTGCATGGCAAAGGAAATAATCAACAGAATGAAAAGACAACCTACAGAATGTGAGAAAATATTTGCAAACTATAAATATGATAAGGGATTATATCCAAAAAATATATAAGGAACTTAAAAAGCTCAATAGCAAGAAATAATCCAATTTTTAAAATGGGCAAAAGACCTAAATAGACATTTCTCAAAAGACATACAAATGGATGATAGTTATATGAAAAAAATGTTCAACTTCAGTAATGATCAGTGAAATGCAAATCAAAACCACAAGAGATATCACCTTATTCCTGTTAAAATGGTTACTATTAAAACAGCAAAAGATGACAAGTGTTAGCAAGAATGTAGAGAAAAAGGAAACCCTTACACACTGTTGGTGGAAATGCAGATTAGTATAGCCATTATAAAAATTTAAAGTAGAACTACCATAGGATGCATCAATGCCACTACTGGGTATATATCCAAAGAAAATGAAATTAGTCTTTGAAGAGATTATATATATTTATGTTTATTGTAACACTATTCACAAAAGCCAAGAAATGGAATCAACCTAAGTGTCCATCAATAGATGAATGGATAAAGAAAATGTGTCATATATGCAAAATGTGATAGTATTTAGCCATAAAAAAGAAAGAAATCCTGTCATTTGTGACAATATGGATGAACCTAGAGGACACTGTGTTAAATAAAACAAGCCAGACACAATTAGATACATACTACGTGATCTCACTCATATGTGGAACCTAAAAAAGTTGATCACATAAAAGTAGACAGTAGAATGGTGGTTACCAGAGGCTGGGGTGGATAGGAAGATACTGGTCAAAGTATGTATATTTATAGTTAGATAGGAGGAATAAGATCAAGAGATCTATTACACAGCATGGTGACTATAGTTAATGATGATAAATTGTATTCTTTAAAAATGCTGAGAATGGATATTATGTATTCTCACCATAAAATGATAACTATGTGAGGTAATGTATTTATTTGTTAATTAACTGTATTTAACCACTGTGCAAGGTATATATGCTGTGTTGTATAGGATAGATATAATTTTAATGTAAATTTAAAATAAATAAATAAAACAAATAAACTTTTTTTTAAGGAAACACACAAATAAAGTCAGGTTTATTCAATTTGATACAACAAGGGAGAATACATCCTGGAAGAACCTTAGGAGAATTTCAGGAAAGGGATTTGAGGGTATGTTTGGGTATAAGTTGGATTATTCTAAAAAAGGATTAGGAGAGTGGGGAAGATTTCTGAATTAGAGACTGTTAAAAAGAAGCAGGAGCTAGGGATTCAGTATTTGGATATGTCAGAATTTCTTTGTTCACAAGGTGGGAGGAACCAAGCAGCACTAGGCTATCAATGGCACCAGGATAACAATAACTTAGAAAAAAAAATTGCCACCCATTATTACAGTTGTACTCTGACCTTGTATAGAAAAGGTGCCTACTTTCCTTGCCATGTGGTAATAGAAATATTAGTTACAGTTGGTTAGCAGAATTGCTGATTTTCAGTCTCTGAAAATTACTGAGTTAGAATATAGCTTAAAAGAATTCACTCAGAATTTAGGTCAAAAAGTCATAGATAAATATATAAATATATATATTATAAACTCACAAAAAAGAGATGAAGGAGCTTGCTCAAGAATCTCCAAAAAACGAGTGAGAAGCTATATTTAAAGGGACTGGAGCTTTTGCCAGAGAATTTTCCAGAATTGAATAAAATATTATTCCTTAGATTCACTTCAGAAATGAGTAATAGTAAAAAACAAAAACTGTAGACATTAATAACAAGATGGTAAAGGAATGTCCATGTAACATTAAAGAGCGAAAAGTTTCTTTTCATGTCTTGGAAAATAAAAACATAATATACATATGAAAAATTAAGGTAACCACAATACAACAGTAAAATATATAACATATACAATAATATAACACTATATCTCCCAATTCCACAGATGAAAATTGACGAAATATTTTAAAAATTATCCTTCAAAGAGAAAACAAGCAAAGAGAAAAACAAAAGGAAAGAAAATTATAAGTAGTATGATTAAGATGGTAGGAATATTTGCAAATGTATTAGTGATCATGATATATGTTAATTTGCAGGGTAGAAAACAGAATATCCAAATGGACTTTAAAAAATATATCTCAACAATTCTTTTTTTAAAAAAAAATCACACAGACAAGTTAAAATCACATGGATATCAAGTCACATCAAGAAAGTACTAACCAAAGCAAAGCTGTATTAATAGCAGACAAATTAGAATTCTTGGTAAAAATCAATAATAGTGATGGGGAAAAATCCACCAAGATAGTTTGATTATCAGAAATTTAGATGCACTTACTGATTTAAAATTAAAATATATAATGCAAAAATTGACGTAATTGCAAAGAGTAGTTAGCAAATCTGCAATTAGTAGGGGACTACACTCTTCTTGTAACACTCTTCTCTCAGAAACCAGTCTATGAAGATGACAAAAATTAGTAAGTACAGTAAATTTAAATAATACAATTAACAAGATTAATCCAATAGAAATGTTAATAGAACTTGCATCCAGTAAATAAAATATACATTATTTGCAGGTATTCATGAAATATTTACTAACAACTAAGGTTTAACAAATTCCAACAATTATAGACTACATTCTGTAACCATAATTTGATTAAGTTCAATTAACAATGAAAATAGCATTTTACTAAAACAAACAAAAAGTTTGGAAACTTTAAGGTGCATTCAGGAAGGCTATCTAGTTTAAGATAAACTGCACTAAACAAATCATTTCTTACCCATCTGTTTTAGTTTACCAATGTGTGTAATTAATAAACTGGACAATTAGAAGATCAGGAACTCTACTATGTTTTATATTACAACACAAATTGCAGAAATCAAAGAGTGATGATAAAATATTGAGAAACAGTGTACTTGTTAATTTGTTAAACCAAAAGATTTTTGAAAGAACCAAGATTCCTTTTGAGAAATGTGGTAAAAATAAAAGTTATTTGTGTATTAATAAAAATGCAATGACATTTTTTAAACATAGTTACATTTTGCTATTACCATTTGCTGCTTACTATTTTAAAATATAGTTACATTTACCAAATTACATTTTTGTAAATGACTGCTTTATATTACATACTGTAATCTCTTTTAATATTAACAATAGCAATAACAGCTTATGATAATGACACTTAAGGTTATTTTTATCACCTTCCTTAAATAACTACATTTACTCAATTATAGCTTTAACCCTCAGAATACTGTAATTTTTCAAACTCCTGGTCAATTGAATATTTAGGAAGAGTGAATCCTTGTTTTTATTGATCATTCCAATGACCATTGTCTTGGTTGTATTGCTGAGATTTCTTTTTTAAAAGAACACATTCTTCGTTTTGTATGTTGAATAAATGTCTTGATTCTATCCAAGGACACATTCAATGTGTTTTCTTTCACCACAACTAAGCTTTAGTTCACTTTCCAAGTCGACTTTGCTAATTTCAAGTCTATCTTTCATATTCTCCCAACAATTTAAAACATTCATGTTTATGTTTCCAAGATCCCCCTTTTCCATTTCATACATTCTTTTACTCTTTCAACAAACATTTACTTGCTTCCTGTTGCTTGCCAGGAGGTGTAAGGCTTTATGCCAGGTCCAGTGTTAAGAACTTCCCCTAAATAATCATATTTAATATTCTCAACAATCCAAAGAAATAGATATTGATCTTATCCCCACATTACAGATGAGAAAATATAAGTACAAAGATGTTAAGAAACTTGCCCAAGGTCACACTTCTACTAAATTCCTTAGCTAGCTCTAAAACCTAGGCACAGAGCATAGTCTCTGTACTGTGGCTAACTTGGGAAAAACAGTAGTGGAAGTTTTCACTACATCACTCCAATACATCACCAATTTTGTACATAGCCCTCTGCCATGTAACTTTCCTGACCCTCAGGCTAAAGGCATGATATGTTTTTCCACTCTATAAATATTGGGTATGGCCATGTGGCTTGCTTTGGCCAGTGAAATATTTGCAAACATAATACAAGCAAAGGACTGAAATAGCTTATGTGATTGAGCTGTGCATTTTTTCCATCACATACAAAGGTAGCTCCTTGGCCCCAGACCTGACCTTAAATCAACTGAACCCAGTCAACCAGCAAATGCTTATCGAGAAATGAGTCTTGTTTTTGCATGCTACTGAGATGTTGTGGTTGTTATGCAACAGCTTGTCAGCAAATAACTGACTGAAACAAGTGACAAGTAAGCAAATAACACTAATACATTGTTGTCAGTGATTTTATAAAAGACATTCTGGGTGCTAAAAAACAGAGACAAAGCAGAGGTTTTGGTATGCTATCTGGAGACAATGATACCTGAATTAGTTCTAAAATAATCTATAATTTTTTTCTGAAAATGGGTTTTGTGGGGAATTGAAGGCTGTTACTAGAAGAGGGCAGCATGTTTGCTGGCCTGGCCTTGAAAGAGAGGTAATTTTAGAGATTCGTTGCAGCTGGAATATAGGGTTCCACAGAGGGAATGATAATGATAACGATCAACCATTCCCAATCTTCCTGGAACTGAGAGCTTTTCCAGAAGGTAGAATTCTTAGTGCTAGCACTGGAATACTTCCGGGTAATCCAGCATAGTTGTCACATAAAACTGAAAAAATATTATAATAGACAAGTAGGGGCCAGGAGCAGTGGCTCACACCTGTAATCCCAGCACTTTGGAAGGCCGAGGTAGATGGATCACCTGAGGTCAGGAGTTCGAGACCAGCCTGGCCAACATGCCGAAACCACATCTCTACTAAAAAAAAAAAAAAATAGCCAGGCTTGTAGCCCATGCCTGTAGTCCCAGCTACTTGGGAGGCTGAGGTGGGAGAATGCTTGAACCTGGGAGGCAGAGGTCACAGTGAGCCGAGATCATGTCACTGCACTCCAGCCTAGGTGACAGAGCGAGACTCCCTCTAATAAAAACAACAACAACAAAAAATTGAAAAGTAGTCAAATGTTATTTAATCTTTTTGTTCACTCAATTTTTTATCATTCTATATAAATTAAAATAAAATTAAGGGGAAATTAGTGAAACCTAGGTGCTCATGAGTGCATGTAGAAAAGTACACTGATACGTTGTACTTTGCTAGTTGGTTCCATGCAACTATCTACCTCTTAAACACATTTCTCCTGAAGTTTTAACTCCATATATATGATTACACATTTTGTTCATTCAAGCACAAATTTCAAGGCTAGGACACACTTTAGTCAGTAGAAGTGGCTCATACTAGCAATGATTCAAAACAGGGGAGGGGAAAGCATATAAGCATCTAGAGAGAAGCTGGAAATAAAAGAATAAAAAGCTCAGCAAATTGTCTCCCTACAAAATATTTATAAAACTGGAAACAATATAGAATTATGGAAATTGACTAAAAGAATACACCAAGTTGAGAGGTGAGTGTTTTTCAAGAAAAGAAAAAGAAAACTAAGCTATGGATTAGAACAGGGAGAGTACAGCATTTCTCCCATGGGCTAATCCCAACCCTCACCTCAGCTCAATTTGCACACTTATTCTACCAGTGCAGGGCAATGAGGAGAGGCATGCCTTGATTGGGGTCAGAGCACAGAAAGGTCTCACAAGTGGCATTGTCTGAACAGTTGTGATCTTAGTGGCAAATACATTGTGAAGACCAGTGCTAAGTTAGCCTGAGGTTGCCCTTCTGCCTGGGGCAAAAATGGACCAGGAACCTAGCCAGAAATTTTACAAAGAGATACTCCAAATAAGTTATTCATAGGGTTCTTTAACAAACTCTTCACACACCTGCACAAAAGAGACTGGAGAGAGTCTAAGCTATCTATCCATACACCCCTGGTTGATCTTGATATGCATATCTTCATAGAAGAGAGGCCAAAAATCCTAAAAGCTGGGCTGATTTAAAAACTGCCTGAAATTTGAATGTATTCCCCAATACACAAACATATCCACTAATATAGGGTAGAAGCTTTACTGGCTTGAGGTCTTTGAACACAATCTCTGACCAGTCATTGACTGACCACTAAGCTATGCAGAGAGAGGTGACTCTTATGTAAGCAGGCTTAAAATAATAATAATAATAAAACAAGAATTAAATGTGTGTATGTGCATGTGTGTATGTGTGTGTGTGTGTGTGTGTGTGTGTGTATGTTTGTATACCAAGCAGAGATACCAGTATCCACAAAGCATCATCAAATTCCAGAGATATAGTCCAGGCAAGTTATTAAACAGGCAGAAGCAACAACTTTAGGGATAAATTATAATACAGACTTGCTGCAATATGTTATCTAAAATATCTAATTTTTAACACACAAAGAAATGAGATATGGAAAGAAACAAAGTGTATCTCATTAAAAAAAATAGTAATAGATAGAAACTGTTTCTGAGGGGGCCCACATTTTGGACTTAGTAGATAAATACTTCAAAGGAGTTGTTACATATGTATGTTAAAATGACTAATTTTGTATAAAGAATTAAAAGAAAGTATAATGACAATAATTCAACAAATAGGTTATTGTGATAAATTCATAGAAATTATTTAAAATATGGAAATTTGGGGGTGACAAGTAAAAGAACAGAAATTTAAAACTTACTAGAGGTGCTAAAGAGTAAATGTGAGATGAAAGAAAATGAGTAAATTTGAAGACATGTTATTAGAATTTATTGAATATGAAGAAAGAAAAATAAAGAAATATGAACAGAATCTAAGAAACTTGTAAGAAAACACGAGGCATATATGTGTCCTAGAAGTACTAAAAGAGGAAAGAAAAAAGCAGAAATATATATTTGAATAAATAATGTTAAAATATTTCCAAATTTGATAAAAATATTTAAAGATGTAAAATTTTCAACAAACCCCAAATTAGATAAACTCTGAAATTTTACACCTCAACACATAATAAGAAAGGCAAAAAAAAAGAGACAAAGGCATCTACAATTTTTTTTCAATCTATCAACACAGAACTGTACTTCTTTATTTGACATCTTCAGATTAGTGATGAGCCTTGAAATGAATCAATTTGTGACAAGACACAAGGAAAGGCAAAGCAAGGTTAGGGAGTGGAGAATACTTGTTTTTCTCCAAGTTTCAGGGCAAGATCAATTAAATCTTGGACGTCTAGCCATCGCCCCTCTTTCTCCAAAGAGTGGGCCCAGCTGCCTTCATGGGCTGGCAACACAATTCATTTTTACTCACAGCCAGTCTTTCTGGCTTTCTTGGCTCCTCAGGTCTGAGAAAATTGGACCTGGCAGTGTCAGTGCCACTTGACAAAAGTCTAGATAATCTATTGTATCCATTCCCTGAGTAGTATGAAAAACAACTCATCACATACAGGAGACAAAAATACAATTAAAGGAATTTTCATCAGAAATGATGGAGTCAAGAAGGCAATGACATGACATATTCAAATTACTAAAAAAAAAAATTGTCAACAAAGAATTCTATGTTAAGCAATGTGTAACAACAAGCAAAGATTAGTTCTGATGGTTAGTTTTATGCATCAGTTTGACTGGACTAAGGGATGCCTAACTAGCCAGTAAAATACTATTTCTAAGTGTGTCTATGAAGGTGTTTTGGAAGAAATTAGCATTTGAATCAGTAGAATTAGTAAAGATCAGCCTCACTAATGTGGGAGAACATCATCCAATTCATTAAAGGCCCAAATAGTACAAAAAGGCAGAGGAAGGGCAAATTCTGTCTTCTGGAGCTGGGATATTCATCTTCTCCTGCTTTTAGACATCAGAGGTCCTGGTTTCAGGCCTTTAGGTTTCGGGACTTACACCAGCAGCCCCCACACCAGTTCTGAGGACTTTGGCTTCAGACTGGCAATTGTACCACAAGCTCTCCTTGTCCTCAGGCCTTTAAAATTAGACTAAATTACACTACTGGTTTTCCTGGTTCTCCTCTCCAGCTTGCAGACAGTACATCATGGGATTTCTCAGCCTTCATAATTGTGTGTGCCAATTTCAATAATATGTCTCTCTCTCTCTCTCTTTTTTCTTGTGTGTTTGTGTGTGTATATACACATACACACACACATATATATACATATATTATATATAATATCTCACATGGGTTTTGTTTCTTTGGAGAACTCTAATACATTAGTTGTTTGAAAAGACCAAAAAATTGGCAATCCTTTAGGTAGACTGAGAAAGAAAAAAACTTTAATGAAAACAGAAGAAAAGAGGAGACATCACTACTAACCATACAGACATTAAAAATATTAAAAGGGAACACTATGCAAAAATTTATACAAATAGTTAACTTAGATGAGATGGACAAATTCCTAAAAATACACAAGTAACTGCAACTGACTCAATACGAGATAGAAAATCTGAATAGGCATATATATAACACAAAAAGAAATTGAATTAGAAATTTAAAATCTTTCCACAAAGAAAAGCGCACACCCAGATGACTTCACTGGTAATTTCTAGCAAACATTTTAAGAAGAAATAATACCAACCACTCACAATTTTTTTTTTCAAAAGTAGAAGAGGAAGGTACAATTTCCAACTAATTCTATGAGGTCTGTGTTACCTTGATACAAATACCTGACAAGCCCCACAAGAAGAAAAGACCAGTAACCCTCATGAGCAGAAATGAAAAAAATCCTTCAAAAAATTAGTGAACTAAATCTAGCAACATATTAAAGGGACTCTCCACCATGACCAAGTAGGATTTATTTATGTAATGAAAGATTGCTTTAGCTATCAAAAATAAATTCATGTTAACAGAATGAAGAAAAAGACAATCATCTCAATAGATGCAGAAAAACACATTTGACAATATTCGACCACTATTTATGGTAAAGTCTCTCAATAAATAAGTAACACAAACTTTCTAAATATGATAAAGGAGCTAGGAGGCAGCAGGAATTGACTGCACACAGACAAGAAAGAACTTACTTGGGTGAGGGAGATGTTCTAAACCTACATCATGGTTATGACTGTACAATTTTATAAATTTACAAAAACTCATTGAATTGTATACTATAAGTACTTTTAATACTTAAGATTTGTGCATTATTGTTACATTAATTTTACCTTAATAAAGCAATAAAACCTAATGAACAGCAAGAGGTAAATGGGGGAAGCTGTAGATGAAACAAGGTTAGCAATAATTGCTAAAGCTAAGCCATGAATAATAGCAAGTTATTACACTATTCCACTCACTTTTATGAATGTTTGAAAATATATCATAATAAAATGTTGGGGTTTTAAAAATTAGAAATATCAGGGAAAAACAACTGAGGGCTTGGAGAAGGAGCAAGTATAATATGAAAATGTCCCTTGAGTTATTCCAATATTCCCTTATTCTCTCCTTAAGAAGCACCTCCTTAAGTTCTACATTGCTTTTACAATTTTTTCTTTGGTTAGTGAATTTGATCCTAACACTTGGAGAAAGGAAGATAGACATCATTATTTCGCTATATAGATGAAGAAACCACAATCCAAGGGGAAAAAGTAGAAAGGGGGGAAGCTGTGGACAAAGTCTGCATGTCCAGTGTTCTGCTCACTGCATTGTAATCATCTGTGCATTCCAGGCCTAAGCAATGCTAGATGTAAGCTAAATTGTGTAGTAGGTAAGAATTGTCTGCAGTATTCTCAAAATCCTCATTTGGCCTCATTGACATATTTTAACCTAGCTTTACATTGTTCCTGTCCCAAACACACACATATACACATAGATTTTATTTTGATACTTCTTGAAAGGCAGTTTTTTTTCAAATAGCACCCTTCACTCTGCTTCTCTTCCATCTCACTTTCCCTACCCCATCAGTACCTTCCCTCTCAATTCTTGGTTGACAATACTTAATAAAGTATTCTCTCCACAGAATTATTAGACTAATGCTACTCTTATCAGAAGTATTTACATTTTAACAGAATCCAACAAAATCTTAAAGAAATGTATATCTTACTGATAAAACTTTAAGGCTTTGTGGAATGTGGATAGGGAGAATATTTTAGCCTAAGGAGGAAATTTATTGGGCCCTGTGTATTACCTTCCAGGTTACGTATTATGTCAAACCTGACCAAAGGCAGCATTAACAAATATTGAGAATGAGGAACAAATAAGCATCAGTCTAGTGAACTAAGCTTCTGCTTATTAACACCAGAAACTAATATTTCATTGTTTAGATAAGATGGAAACACTGTGCTGAGTCAGCTATAAATGAATTGGTGTGGACAATTCCACAGGGGACAATAATAGTGGACAGTGTTTGGAATTTGTCTAGTCTAGTGGCCTGCTTCTCTCTTTAATATGAGAGAATAAGATCACTCTTACATTCAAATGTGGATCAGTGAATCAGAATATTGGATATTTGGTTTAAAGGCAGTATTTCTCTCAGAATCATCCCCACATTCTCTCCAGTTGAGACTTTGCTGTTTGATCCACACACTCAGATATCTCTTCACTGACATCATCATGTTGCATTGAATATGTGCATATACACTTATTCTTTCAAAAAATATATTTGAGCACCTGCTATGTGTCAATACTGTTCTGGGTATATAGGAAGTCATCAGTGAACAAAATAGAGGAAGATTCCACCTTGTAGAGGAAAGTGAAAATGAAGCAAATGGAAGGAGTTCTTCATATATTCTGAGTACGTATATGTCTGACAGATTTTTTTTTACTGTTCGTTATGCCTTTCACTCTCTTGGTGGTGTCTTTTGATAAGCAGAAGTTTAAATTTTAGTATTATTAAAATAAACTTGTATAGAATGTTAGGAGTTTGTCGATGCTAGGAAAGATTAGTCATGCAAATGGCCAAAGATTGCTGAATGTACTGGTTGTCTAAGGAGCAATAAAAGAGGACAGTGTGGCTAGAGAAGACTGAATGGGATAGGAGTGGGTAGGGAAGAACAGCAGGAGGTGAAGTCCAAGAGTCAAACAAGGAGAGGCCTCTGCAAGGGTCTACTTCTTTGTGCAATAGGGAGTCATTGCAGATTTTGAGAATTGACCTTGCTTACATTGGAAAAGAATCACTCTAGTCGTTATGTTGATAATAATATAGAATATAAAAGCACAGAGATCAATTAAAAGCCTATTGGAAAAAAAGCAGGTGAGAAAAGCTGATCCAGAGTGGTAGTAGCAGAGATGAGGACAAATGCTCTTATGGATACAGTGAATATAGATCCAAGAGACTTTCCTTCTACAGAGAATATCTCTATCTCCTTCACTAACCTGGAGCTTAGCATCCCTGAACACACCATGTGTTCAATGACTATGTGATTAATGGGTTAAAAAATCAAAGAATGAGTGCTGAGCAGCTGTAATCAACCTGGAATGGAAAGCTATTTCAAGACAGTGTGGAAAAAAATAAACATTATCCATAGCCACAAACTTTTAATTGTTAGAAAGAATAGCTATAGTCATCTTTGAGTACAGAGGCTACTGGTAGTTTTCATTTGAATATATCTGAAATAAATATTTATGTAATAGAATTGGAGGGTTTTTTTTTTTTTGCTTGAGAATTGTCCTCAATAAATGCATAAAATGAACGCTCCTTCATCCAGCAGCTGCTATTAAAGAAATGTGTATAAACAACATACAATTATAAAATGCTACTGAGTTCCTAAAATGTGGTGAGTGGTTGACAGGCCATAGCAATAGTCTTCTAACTCTTCTCCTACCTCCAGTTTCCCTTGCTGACATTGATCTGTACCACTCCTAGGGCATGCTTTCTAAAGCACATTTCTGCTAAAATCTTTTAATAATTTTTCATAGTCTTCTGATTTAATAAATATCTTCTCAGTCTTGACATTCAAGGTATTTCTAAATGTCTAGCTTTATATCTCCAGCCATTACCTATACTCATGACAAATATAGCTAATATTGAAAGGAACTTAAGTTCTTATTAAGGTGACAAGTTCTGAAGATAAGCTACCTGGGTTTAAATCCCAGCCGAGCATAAAAATTAACCCATTTAGCTTTAGCATCAGCTTTTGGAAAAATGGGATAGTAACAGTTCCTACCTTATACCTTGTGAAGATTTATTGAGATAACAAATGTAAATTATGCTAGATTGTAAGCTCCATGAAGGCAGGAATCAAATTTATGTTATTCCACACTAAACTTCAATGCCATGTACATAGTAGACACTGAAAATATATATATATATATATTTATTCAGTGTCTAGTATCTGCCTGGTTCTTTTCTAAACCCTGAGGATACCATGGTCTATATCATGAATTCTCATGAAGCTCACCTTTTGGTAAAGGAAGATAGATAATAAATCCACAAATAAATACACATTTGAACACTATATATTGAAAAGTGTTACATTAAAAAATTACAATGGGGTAACATATGGGGGTATTTGATTTTGTAGTCATGGAAGAACTCTGAGGAAGTCACACATGAACTCAGATCCAAATATTGGGAAACAAAAATCATGCAAAACTAGGGGAAGTGGGAACATTACTAAGTATTCCTAGAAGGAACCTAAAGTTAGCATGCCTTATGGCAGATGGGTTCAATGAACAGAGAAAAGACCAGCATAGCTATGTCATGCTGTCATGGTAGTGGTGAAAATAATACAAGTGGAATTCAGATTAGGAGCCAGGGCTCCCTAAGAAGATGAGATTTTATTTAGAGTGCAATAGGAACCAACTGGAGCTATTTAAGCAGAGGAATAATCACAGTTCACTGGGCCATTGCATAGAAAATGGATTGTGGGGGACAAAAGCAAAATTAAGGAACTGGTTAAGAGTTCACACTTTAATAGATATAAGAAATTATGGTGGTTAGCTTTTGTCTGACAAAATGGAAACGGAGTGAATGCAAAATATTTGGAATATAGTTTGTAGGTAGAAACAAAGGAATAAGAGTCAAAATGGTTTAATTCAGGGCCATGTTGTATCTCTTATCGGCCTTCTGCACTTTTGCTTTCATGGCTCTTTCCACCATGAAAACAATATTAAGAACTGTATTTCACAAGTGCACTGGAATAAAGATGAATATAATCCACTCTGGATTATATTATTTTTCCTTTTGGTTTAAAAAAAATTAAAACATTTTCAATAGCTCCTAAAAGATTTGTGGGTCCTAAGCACTCTGCCCAATGGGTAAGTTGACTCTGGTTTTATTTCTAACAACAAAAAAATACAACTATTAGTAGACTACATTTGAAAGTGGTAAAACTTTAATGCATATTAGCTATCACATTATTATTATTATACCCTGGACATGACTTGTGCTTCCTTACCTCTGTGGATTTGCTCGTGTTGCTTCTTGAACTTCTCCCTTCCTTACTTGTCAAAAATTCATCTACCCTTCAGTGCTCAGACCAAATGCCAGCTCTTTTATAAAGTCTTTTCTGATTCCTTCATTGGTCTTAATCCTTCTCGTCTCTGTCTCCACAAGTCCACGTCAGTATCAGTCTCACGGCTCTAATTAGAGTTTGGTCTTGATTTATGTTAATTTATATACTTCTTTCCCTTACACATGTTTTAACTCCTTTAAATCCTTAGTGATACCTCATAAATCATAGCTTTATCTCTTACTGTGCCTAGCCAAGTGGCTTGCATAAAGTAAAGCCTCAATAAATATTTTTGACTTGAATATCCACGAAAACAGTCAGTCAGCCAAGTACTCTCACCAAAGCTTGTTGGGGCAAGATTGGTCTTCAGTATTGCTGCCCAGACTGTGGCACATGATCACTTTGAGACCATCTATTAAGCAACAAAATTCTAAGAGGAATGCCAACTGTGACTCCCCACTTTACAAAGGATGCTGCCAGGCTTCTAAATAACAACTCTATGGAGCATCCATCCAAAACACCAGCTGGAGTGCAGACAGACTTGCACCTTGTTGACTCCCAGAACCATAAATCTAGAGCCTTGGCTAGTCTCCATTTTGGTTAATGATGATTGAGATCTGAAGCAGCTGAAAGATAAGGATTCTGATTAGATAGAGAAAGGAAATTAGATCCTGGGTAAATGGAAGCATTATCCATTTAAACTGCGTCTGTCCTAATACTTACTTTGTAGAAAGCACTGTGCTTGGTACCATGGAAAATACAAATAGATCTTAGACCCAATCCTTGCTCTCAATGGAAATTATTTACAGCAGGGAATGGAGCTAGAGGAAAAAGATACTAGTGGAATCACAAATATAAAAACGACTCTGTGTCTTCAATGAAAAGAAGGCATTATTTAGCTCCAGATGGACACTGACATATGACATCAGATGAATAAGCCCATATTCCTTAATTTCATTTTCTCTATAGAAAAACAACAACAGCAACAACAACAACAACAACTACTACTACTACTACTATTGCTACTTTTCCTTCTATCAGGAATACTAGGTGGTCTCACTACGTAGGAAACATAATAGTTTCTTTTCTTTTAAACATTTTTATTGCGCAGTTTTCAGTTAAATGCATGAATTCCATTCAATTTGCAATTGAAATTGCAAATTTCAATTTTTCCTACTATTTTGAGAAAGAAAAGAGGAATTAATGCCCCAATAAATTGATAATTAACCATAATTGATATTCATATATTTATCAACAATTGTTTATTGAGCACCAAATACGACAAAGGAATTTTGATCAGTGTAAACTTGTGGTTCTCAACTGTGGCTAGCTTGTCCCAAATTCACCCTAACTAGCATTTTCAAATAGTTAGGGAGGTAGTTAGGGAGCATTTGACAATGTCTGCCAGTATTCTTGGTTGTCTATTTTTATGTCGTGTGTTTTCTGGAAAATAGGCATTTTCTCATGCATGTCTCTTTTCTTGGAAGATACGTCCTATTATCTGTTTTCAACTAACCTTTTCCTATTGAAAAATAACCAAGACACAAGTAATTTTCAACTGGGAGTATAACAAAAGGAATCATGAAATATTAGGTCAAATAATTCTTTGTTGTGGAGATTTTAGATATTTAGCAAGCATCCCTATGTCTTCCCCACTAATGCCAGCAGCACCTCCCTAGTCATGAAAATCAAAATGTCTCCAGACATTTACAAGCATCCTCTGGGTGGGGAGGTGGACTGAGGTGGTGGTGACCAAGGGGATGAGAGGAAGCACAGTCAATTTCACCGTTGGTGTAGGGAATTAAAAGGAACTGAGAAATGTAGTAACATTTTATAGATACAGGCCCTTGTATATACTACTGTGAAGAGTAAAGCCATTTTGCACTCTTAATCAGAAGGTTTAACAAATGCTCCTAACCTTTGAGATGTTAATTCCACTTCTAGGTAATCTGTTATAAGGAAATAATTGTAAAAAACAAAAACAAAAAACAAACAAACAAAAACTTTAAGCAGTTCAATGTCTAACATTTCCCTGAGGAAAAATTAATTATAGAATAGCTACATCATGAAATATTAGGCAAACAATAGTATGTTTAAGAAGAGGTTCTTTTTTTAATGTTAAGTGAAAAAAAGTAAGTTGCTAAATCACAATTACGTTAATAATACTCGGTAAACAAACAAACTAAACTAAAAGGAAAAACAGCAAAAATTTCAATAATATTATTTTCAGATTCAGGACAAAATATGGATATTTTACCCCTTTGTATACTGTATATTTTAATTTCCTTAAAAGTATACATAGAGTCAACATATTTTTTCTTATTTTTGAAAGTCTGAGTCAATGTAAAATACTAAAGGTGGAATCATTGGTAATGTCTCTCTGTAATGATGGATTGAGCATCGCAATGTTTTCTTCAACCCTCTTATGATATTGTTTTGAAAAAAAAATGTTGGTTCCATTGTTGGTATTCTGTTCATTGATAGAAAAGAGCAAATAATCAGTAGTTGGTTCTCCTTTTGCCCCAAAATTTGGCATCCAAAACAAACCACTGATGAAATCCATTTGCATTTGAATTATATCCACCCCAGAGCCAATTTCAGATCTCTTCCAAAAGCTTTTTATGTGCGATGTGAGTTCTTGTTCAGCTCGTTCCAATAGTGGGGCTCTCTTCAAAAAAATGACTTCCAGTTTAGCTGAGTGGGGGTAGGGCCTGCCAAGAGAGAGCCGTCACTTTATGAATATGAAACTTTCATAAAGAACACAGCTTCAGTAAGTTGTTCCTCAAAGGAAATGTTGATGGTGTAAGATTCCATAAATTAGAGTGCAAAGGTGTAGCTTCTGATGTCTATAGGCAAATAGTTTTATAAAACATGCAAATGTATTCATTTGCTGTTATCAGATATTCCGTTTTCTAGATGATCATTTATAAACAACTTGAAATCAAGCAGAACAATGTTTAAAAACATAGTATTAATGTGTGGGAGTTGTTTTATAATGCATTGAACTTTTTTATGATAAATGGTAGGAAAAATGCTTGTAAAGGGTATACACACATAATTGCACATGCATAGACTTACACACACACCCCGGATGTAACCTGCTTCAACAAGCTACACTGGAAAATACAATTTCCTTTCTTTGTAACCATACTTCATTTACTCAATGCAGTAGTACTTTGAAAACTGATCTTTTCCTTAGCTATGCTGAACTTGCATGTAACTGGGCACATCAAAATATCCATGTTTTTCTTTAATGCCAAGGAAAAGTGACAACATCCTTTCTTTGAGACTTTGATTAACAACGTCCTTCCCAGAACACCACCAGAGAAAGTTATTTCACTGATGGGATGCAATGGTATGCTTCACATATGCCACTCTCCTGAAGATGCTGCCTAAGAAAATCAGAAAACTCTCTGAGAGAGTGGAGTAAGTCATTTTCCACATGAAATTTTAGCCACTGCCTGAGTTCGTCACCCCTCTGAACATGGTGTGCAATCTGGTCATTTTCAAGGCAAACCTATTCATGGTGAGTCATTTTTCCCTCTCAATGTTGGGTTCTCTCATATGTACAACTGGCTGAGCAGTAAGAAGAAATGATACAAAGATGCATAATTATTCAATCTGGGTACAGTAATGGTTTTAGTGCACAGTTCAATCTTAATTTCTATCCAACCTTTCAAATTCAAGTGACTGCCTCTGCTTTTTTATATGTAGTTTCCCTTGAGTCCCACCCTTTTGTACAAAGATATTTGAAAAGAGGTGATTTCAGGGAACTTAGCACAGGAATGAAGGTCTGAGAGACTCATTATTCTAGACTAGTCACTATGAGCATTATACAAACACTCAATGAGCTCTTGCATTTAAAATGAAAAGCACATTGCTAATCTGATGTTTTATGCTATTTAATACATGAAACAACTTTGTAAAATTTACTTTATTATCCTCAGTTTACAGCTTGAGAAACTGAGGCACAGAAAGACACAAGTTCTCATAGCTGAGACAAATAGGATAAGCTGGAAATTTTAAGTAGAGTTTATTGGGTCTCTGGGAAAATTACCTAATGTCTCTGTCTTAGTTACAAAATCCTGAAATAATTTAGAGATTATAGCTCTTTGCCACCCCCTGCCCCAAAGTACAATTCTCCTCAGATCAACTGTGCAAGGCTTGTGCTGCACCTAATCTTATAACCAAATGCCTTTTAGCTTTATGGAACAGTATAACAATAACCCTCTTCAGGAACGTGAACCTAATCTAACCCTACCACCAAAAATGTGGCACATGTACTATGCACTAAGAACATGCCTCCAAGAGAGTGTTTCAGAAGCAGAGAAGCTGGAGGTGTGGTTGAGGTTACACTGAAAAAGATCCACCGCGGAGGATGAAAATACACACGTTTAAAATAATGACTGACATCTCAGATATTTTAGATTGTCATGAGGGTAACTTCAACTCTGAGGTAGGGTTCCCAACTTTTTTTTGTTTCTTTCTTTCTTTCCTTTTTTTTTTTTTTTTTTTTCAAGACTTGCAGTCTTGCTCTGTTGCCCAGGCTGGAGTGCAGTAGCACGATCTTGGCTCACTGCAACCTCCGTCTTCCGGGTTCAAGCAATTCTCCTGCCTCACCCTCCTGAGTAGCTGGGATTACAGGCATGCGCCCCCATGCTCAGCTAATTTTTATATGTTTAGTAGAGACAGGGTTTCACCATGTTGGCCAGGCTGGTCTCCAACTCCTGACCTCGTGATCTGCCTGCTTCGGCCTCCCAAAGTGCTAGGATTACAGGCATAAGCCACTGCCCCTGGCCAGGTTCCCAAGTTCTATTCACAGAGTAAGCTCTACCAAATATGAAGTAGAGGTGTAATCATATCCACACATTCTTGCTTCCTTTATCTGTCTCTAGTAATTTCCTTATTCCCAAATTATTTTCACCAAGACATAAGGAATATCAGTGGTGCATCACTTGTAGAATATTTGCATTAAAAAATGGGCCATGTGATAAAGCAATTTTGGAACAAAGAAATACATCTCTAAAGCAGTGTGACTTTAGGCATCACATTGGCATATTGGGGACAAGGACTTGCCCAGGGCCCCATAAATTACTACCTACTCAGACAGTGCAGTAGGACAGAGATTATTAGATTTTTCTATATTCTTTTTCTCTAAAAACTGTCCTTAAGGGAGTTCTTGGGGCAAAGAAAGTATTAGCCACTATGTCTTCATAATATAATTCATATAATTAGCCACTATATCTTCATAATATAATTCATATAATTAGCCACTATATCTTCATCTCCAGCCTTCAAACTCCTCTGAGCTTCCGACTTATATGTGTAACTTTCCACTATTGGTCTTCACCTTAGTATTATATAGACACCTCAAATCCATGCACAAAACTGAACAGAATGTTTCTGCTCCTAAACTTGGCTTTCTCCTTGTTTCTCCTCTTCTTACTGTGCCACACAAGAGTCTCCAACTCTTCCTATGCCCAAACTGATGTTTACCATCTCTACTCCTCAAAATTATCTCACACCCCACTGTTCCATCCTTGTTGCAAGGCCCTGATTTAAGCCTTCATCATCTCTCACTTGATTTTCTAAAAAGCCTCCTATGTAATGTGCTGTCAAAGTCACACTCCCTGAATCCATATCCTATATTGTTACTAGAGAATATTTATAAAATATAGCTAATCATGTTACTCCTCTGCTTGAAAATATTTACTCTAGAAGTCACTCCAAAATTCAAAGTCCTTGTGAGTCAAGGCACTTTAAAATCTGACCCTATCTACTTTTCTATCTCTAACGGGCATACTCTTTATTTTCACAATTGCACACAAAACTCAGGTGTATAAAATGCTAGGTTCATTTTTGTAGATTTGAAGCAAACTTACCTTTGAGCCACAATTTTCACTCTGTACTAAATCTTGAAATTTTAAAGTTAATTCGATCACTTCTGGATTTTTTCCCTGTCCTAGTTCAGTAATTTATTAGTCACTCCAAGTTTAAAGCTTAATATAATTTGGGACTTTTTTACCCCTCATTCAGGCCCTTTAGAGTGTTCTCTGTTTCCCCGTCTCTTGGTTTTGATTCCAAACCTCTGGGTGGTTCAGCAATTCCCTCCATGTGACTGTAGAGTAAGCAGCACATTCTTTTGGCTTCAGGGGCCATGCTTGGCACCTGTAGCTAAAGTCCTCATCCTGTCTGATTCTCAGCTGAGATGATGCCCAGTGCTTGTTGAGAGGTGGAAACTGGTCCATCTGTCACTCTTCCATTGACTCTTATGTGTATTTCTGGCATTTAAATTTTAACAAGGATACGGTTACATCCTTTTCCACTCTGTATGGGTGATCCAAACCCCTACTCTGCATTGTGGTCTTCTGATTGTCATATTGGCTTTCCCTCCCACCTAATATATGGGTTTTACTCATGGCCTCAGAAGACAACAATATCTTCTCAAAGTCACATGGGGACCCACAGGAAGTTGAGGGAAAGATCTTCCAGATAGATATGGATGTTACCATGTCATCTACCCTTCATGCATTGGGTCCATCCGTGGAGCTGCTACACTCAAAAACTTACAGAAAGAAAGCTGGTTCCAAATATACCCAAATCTTGGGTCTCAATCTTATAGGCAAGTTTATTCTAGGAAATGGTATGAAGTACCAGGCTCCTCCATGGTTTCATTGTCTCCAAATTCTCTCTCTCTTCTTCAGATCAGAATCCTTTCACCCAGTTGGACAAGAACATGAGTAAGGTGGAGAAAATAATCCCTTGTCTGATTTCATCTTCCTACCAATCTATCAGTTGTGTGCACAGTGAGGAGATAGAAGTAAAACACAGCTATCGTCTTCAATTTAAGACCTCTACATTGAAAACTAAAAAAAAAGTATATTCTTGAGAGAAATGAAAGAAGACTTAAATAAGTGGAAGGATATATCATGTTCTTCAAATGGATGATTTCCAGTAGTGTACTTTATTCAACTGTGTCCTTCAAGATTGTTTTTCTATTCTTAGCTGTTTGACTTTTATATAAATATTACAATTAGATAATTAATCTCTAAAAAAATCCTGCTGATAGTTTGATTGAAGTTTCCATGGTGCTTTCCAGCACCATTTCGTATATCAGACTTGTGGGCTTTTTTCGTCACACCAACAAATGTCTCAACTCTCTACACACCAATTGAGCATCCTACAATTCAGTTCAGATCTGACACTATCTACCTGAAGTTAGCATTGGGTCCCAGGAGTCAACAAGTCATTCCTATAAGACTTTCCTCACTTCAGTCCCAGCCACAAGTCTCAGTTTGTCACCCATACTTCTGGGTGAACAACTATAAATTCAGGGGCTCTCACAACCACCTCCTAGGGTTTGATAATTCGCTAAAACAAGTCACAAACTCAGGAAAGTGTTTGATTTACTATTGCTGGTTTCTTATAAAGAATACAACTCAAGAACAGTCCAATGGAAGAGTAAGATATGGGGGAGCAGAGGCAAAAGCTTCCCTGCCCTCTCCATGTGCCCCAACCTCCTACCACCTCAATGTGTTCACCAATCCGGAAGCTCCATAAACCCCATCATTTAGGAGTTTTTAAGGAGGTTTCATCTGGTAAGCCTGATTGACCAAATAATTGGCCCTTGTGGGTGAGGCTGAAAGTTCCAATCCTCTAATCATGGCTTGGTCTTTCTGGTGACCAGCTGGCATCCTGAAGCTCTCTAGAGATAACCAGCCACCAGTCATCTTATTAGCATAAAAAGACACCCCTATTACTCCAAAGTATCCAAGAGTCTTAAGAATTGTGTGCTATCAATCAGGGAAAATCATCAAACATTTATTTATTTTTTGTTATATCACAGAATTACATTAATTTACTGACCAATTTAGGGAAAATTAACATATTCACAATACTGAATCTTCCATAATGTTGAGTAAAAGAAGCCAGACAAAAAAATCACATAATGTATGACCCACTTATATAATTTTTTAAAGTATACTTGTTTATTCCCCATTTTCTGTGCCTATTAGGCACTTTCATGCTTCTAAGCTTTGCACATGCTGTCTCACTCCCCAACCTCATGATAATCTCATCATCCATCAAGGCCCACTAAAAATGTCACTGCATTTATGAAGTAAAGAACCAGAGAGCTATAAAAGAAAAACCTCTGGGATTGATTGATTGCATCAGTAGCCCGAATTCCTCATACCTTCCTAGGTGCTCACCTTTTGCTATGCCACATTGTAGTGTATTCCAGTTCTGCCTCTGGATCTGGCCGTGAGACTTTCCTTGGCCAATGAGATGTTCACAAACCTAATGTGAAGCAACGCTTTAAAACACTTGCATAATTGGGCTTTCTTCCCTCTTGACCTCTGCCACTGCCATAAGAACATGCCCAATTAACACATTAAAAGATGGAACCCTTAGGGATCAGAGCCTGGTAAACCAGTTGTCCCAGATGAGGCCTGCTTAGATCAGCCATCTGACAGCAGATTTTTAGACATGTGAATGAGCTCAGCTAAGATCAGCAGAGCCACCTAGAAGACTTGCAGCTGACTGTAGATGCATAAACCAGGCCAACTGACATGATCAGCTTACCCCAGATCAGCAGAACCCTGCAGACTCATGAACTAAATGACTGTTTATTATTGTATACTGATAAAAGTTTGTGTCCATAGATCATTGATGTTATCTAGAATTCCTTCTGTCTACTTAGTATTGAAATTCTATAAAGTTTGGTGTCTTGGGCTTTCACACATTGTTCCTTGAAAATGTGGATAAAATCACTGGTTGTATTATATGGAACAAGAGGGAATATTTCTCTCTTGATGCATGGTTCTGTTTTTTAAAGACAATGTCTGTGTGGCAGGGCTGTGATCTGTAGGAGGTCACAAACAAGAAGGGAGAAGGTGGCCTTCATTAGTGAACCTTTTCGGGGGCAATCTTTGATCTCAGCAAAGATTAATGGATGGGAATTGAATTGCTTTGGAAACGTATTCTTGTTTTGCTTTCAATTCTCAGCTAAATCTGAGAAGACAAGTTAACTTGGTTGAAGATTATAAAAGTATAAAAGATCTTCATCTTAGAAAAAGACCTGGGTGCAAATCCTGTCTGTGTTGCATTACTTCAGGCCAGTGCCCATAAAATAAGGACAATCTTACCTATATCACAACTCTGTTGTAAGGATTATGTGAGCCACAGTCTTACCCCAGGAGGAGTCTTTTCTATCCTTCTGGTCACACAGCCAAAACAGGTGACATGACCAGGTTCAACAGCAATAACCAAAAGAATATAATAGAAACTAGGTACAAACTATCAGACTGAACACTTCTTATAAACAGGTTGTCCTTCACCTGCTCGGATGTTAGTACAAGGCTATATAAATCACCAGTTAGTACCTTTTATTCAGGTTTGGTCAAGAGTCAGAACTATGGCTCCAGGCCATAAGATAAGCACAGCATTGCAACAGAGCAGCTGACATGAATTCTGTACCTACACAGTTCATTCTCCAAATCTCCACCAAACTGTCTTAATTATGAATCTCTCATCATCATTCTTTCTGAATCTTTTATGATATTTATAAACAAACATGGTAGACCCATAATAATTGAATAAATGCTATTCGAATACTGTTGTGTAACATGTTTAAAGAGAAGTTTGGCTGGTGGTTTGGTTCATTTTTTCCTACAACCTGCTTCAAGTCATCCCTGGTGTGCTGTTCCTTCTTTCAGAGTAAACACTTATTTGACGGTGATATGATGGATAATGACAGCATGGTGGCATTTAAGAAGCTTATGCATAAATCTTTTATCCTTGTTTGAGTTGAGTATGAAATCACTCTCAGGAACAGTAATAAGTGGCAACCAGCATGTTGCTGTCCCATCAAAGGCCTATCATTCATGTAGCTAAACTCTGAGGTGAACTTTTGGGCACTCTGAGCCATTTTGGGAAGAAGTCGAGTATAATAAAGATGTTCTTCCTCTGAAATGATTCCACCAAATCAACTGAGGTCTTAACGATGTTTGTGTATGTATATGCGTGTGTGTGTGTGTATTTCTGTACTGACCCTTCTAAATAGAAGCATAGGTCCTTATCGCCCTGACCTCTCCCACACATATTTATAGATTTTTTTTCAATATAAGAAATAATTTTAGAAATCAATTTATTAATTTTGGAAAACATTAAATTGATTAATTTTCAGAAATTAATTAATTTGAAACATAATGTTTCAGTCAATGAATGACATCATGCAAATCTATGGCTCTTCTCAGTCATCCCACTACCAAGAGAGAATGCAGAGGCTAGGGAGTGGCTGCCAATTTAAATGCTTTATGTGGAGGGGAGGAGCCAAAATGGCCGAATAGGAACAGCTCCGGTCTACAGCTCCCAGAGTGAGCGACGCAGAAGATGGGTGATTTCTGCATTTCCATCTGAGGTACCGGGTTCATCTCACTAGGGAGTGCCAGACAGTGGGCACAGGTCAGTGGGTGCAGCACACCGTGCGCGAGCTGAAGCAGGGCAAGGCATTGACTCACTCAGGAAGCGCAAGGGGTCAGGGAGTTCCCTTTCCTAGTCAAAGAAAGGGGTGACAGACGGCACCTGGAAAAACGGGTCACTCCCACCCGAATATGGCACTTTTCCGATGGGCTTAAAAAACGGCGCACCAGGAGATTATATCCTGCACCTGGCTTGGAGGGTCCTACGCCCACGGAGTCTCGCTGATTGCTAGCACAGCAGTCTGAGATCAAACTGCAAGGCGGCAGTGACGCTGGGGGAGGGGCGCCCTCCATTGCCCAGGCTTGCTTAGGTAAACAAAGCAGCCGGGAAGCTCCAACTGGGTGGAGCCAACCACAGCTCAAGGAGGTCTGCCTGCCTCTGTAGGCTCCACCTCTGGGGCAGGGCACAGACAAACAAAAAGACAGCAGGAACCTCTGCAGACTTAAATGTCCCTGTCTGACAGCTTTGAAGAGAGCAGTGGTTCTCCCAGCATGCAGTCAGAGATCTGAGAATGGGCAGACTGCCTCCTCAAGTGGGTCCCTGACCCCTGATCCCTGAGCAGCCTAACTGGGAGGCACCCCCCAGTAGGGGCAAACTGACACCTCACACGGCCGGGTACTCCTCTGAGACAAAACTTCCAGAG
The DNA here is from genome assembly GCF_000001405.40 of Homo sapiens. Taxonomy (NCBI): domain Eukaryota; kingdom Metazoa; phylum Chordata; class Mammalia; order Primates; family Hominidae; genus Homo; species Homo sapiens. The sequence goes on from NC_000014.9 coordinate 80,089,330, forward strand.
GAACGAGCAAACAGCAGCATTCGCAGTTCACAAAAACCCACTGTTGTGCAGACACCGCTGCTGATACCCAGGCAAACAGGGTCTGGAGTGGATCTCTAGCAAACTCCAACAGACCTGCAGCTGAGGGTGCTGTCTGATAGAAGGAAAACTAACAAACAGAAAGGACATCCACACCAAAAACCCATCTGTACATCACCATCATCAAAGACCAAAAGTAGATAAAACCACAAAAATGGGGAAAAAACAGAGCAGAAAAACTGGAAACTCTAAAAAGCAGAGCACCTCTCCTCCTCCAAAGGAATGCAGTTCCTCACCAGCAACGGAACAAAGCTGGATGGAGAATGACTTTGACGAGTTGAGAGAAGAAGGCTTCAGATGATCAAACTATGAGCTACAGGAGGAAATTCAAACTAAAGGCAAAGAAGCTAAAAACTTTGAAAAAAATTTAGACGAATGTATAACTAGAATAACCAATACAGAGAAGTGCTTAAAGGAGCTGATGGAGCTGAAAGCCAAGGCTCGAGAACTACGTAAAGAATGCAGAAGCCTCAGGAGCCGATGTGATCAACTGGAAGAAAGGGTATCAGCGATGGAAGATGAAATGAATGAAATGAAGCGAGAAGGGAAGTTTAGAGAAAAAAGAATAAAAAGAAATGAACAAATCCTCCAAGAAATATGGGACTATGTGTAAAGACCAAATCTACATCTGATTGGTGTATCTGAAAGTGACCAGGAGAATGGAACCAAGTTGGAAAACACTCTGCAGGATATTATCCAGGAGAACTTCCCCAATCTAGCAAGGCAGGCCAACATTCACATTCAGGAAATACAGAGAATGGCACAAAGATACTCCTCGAGAAGAGCAACTCCAAGACACATAATTGTCAGATTCACCAAAGTTGAAATGAAGGAAAAAATGTTAAGGGCAGCCAGAGAGAAAGGTCGGGTTACCCACAAAGGGAAGCCCATCAGACTAACAGCAGATCTCTCGGCAGAAACTCTACAAGCCAGAAGAGAGTGGGGGCCAATATTCAACATTCTTAAAGAAAATAATTTTCAACCCAGCATTCATATCCAGCCAAACTAAGCTTCATAATTGAAGGAGAAATAAAATACTTTACAGACAAGCAAATGCTGAGAGATTTTGTCACCACCAGGCATGCCCTCAAAGAGCTCCTGAAGGAAGCACTAAACATGGAAAGGAACAACCAGTACCAGCCGCTGCAAAATCATGCCAAAATGTAAAGACCATCGAGACTAGGAAGAAACTGCATCAACTAATGAGCAAAATAACCAGCTAACGTCATAATGACGGGATCAAATTCACACATAACAATATTAACTTTAAATGTAAATGGACTAAATGCTCCAATTAAAAGACACAGACTGGCAAATTGGATAAAGAGTCAAGACCCATCAGTGTGCTGTATTCAGGAAACCCATCTCACATGCAGAGACACACACAGGCTCAAAATAAAAGGATGGAAGAAGATCTACCAAGCAAATGGAAAACAAAAAAAGGCAGGGGTTGCAATCCTAGTCTCTGATAAAACAGACGTTAAACCAACAAAAATCAAAAGAGAGAAAGAAGGCCATCACATAATGGTAAAGGGGTCAATTCAACAAGAAGAGCTAACTATCCTAAATATATATGCACCCAATACAGGAGTACCCAGATTCATAAAGCAAGTCCTGAGTGACCTAAAAGAGACTTAGACTCCCACACAATAATAATGGGAGACTTTAACACCCTACTGTCAACATTAGACAGATCAACGAGACAGAAAGTTAACAAGGATACCCAGGAATTGAACTCAGCTCTGCACCAAGCCGACCTAATAGACATCTACAGAACTCTCCACCCCAAATCAACAGAATATACATTCTTTTCAGCACCACACCACACCTATTCCAAAATTGACCATATACTTGGAAGTAAAGCTCTCCTCAGCAAATGTAAAAGAACAGAAATTATAACAAACTGTCTCTCAGACCACAGTGCAATCAAACTAGAACTCAGGATTAAGAAACTCACTCAAAACCACTCAACTACATGGAAACTGAACAACCTGCTCCTGAATGACTACTGGGTACATAACGAAATGAAGGCAGAAATAAACATGTTCTTTGAAACCAATGAGACCAAAGACACAACATACCAGAATCTCTGGGACACATTCAAAGCAGTGTGTAGAGGGAAATTTATAGCACTAAATGACCACAAGAGAAAGCAGGAAAGATCCAAAATTGACACCCTAACATCACAATTAAAAGAACTAGAAAAGCAAGAGCAAACACATTCAAAAGCTAGCAGAAGGCAAGAAATAACTAAAATCAGAGCAGAACTGAAGGAACTAGAGACACAAAAAACCCTTCAAAAAATTAATGAATCCAGGAGCTGGTTTTTTTGAAAGGATCAACAAAATTGATAGACCGCTAGCAAGACTAACAAAGAGAAAAAGAGAGAAGAATCAAATACACGCAATAAAAAATGATAAAGGGGATATCACCACCGATCCCACAGAAATACAAACTACCATCAGAGAATACTACAAACACCTCTATGCAAATAAACTAGAAAATCTAGAAGAAATGGATAAATTCCTCGACACATACACTCTCCCAAGACTAAACCAGGAAGAAATTGAATCTCTGAATAGACCAATAACAGGAGCTGAAATTGTGGCAATAATCAATAGCTTACCAACCAAAAAGAGTCCAGGACCAGATGGATTCACAGCTGAATTCTACCAGAGGTACAAGGAGGAACTGGTACCATTCCTTCTGAAACTATTCCAATCAATAGAAAAAGAGGGAATCCTCCCTAACTCATTTTATGAGGCCAGCATCAACCTGATACCAAAGCCGGGCAGAGACACAACCAAAAAAGAGAATTTTAGACCAATATCCTTGATGAACATTGATGCAAAAATCCTCAGTAAAATACTGGCAAACCGAATCCAGCAGCACATCAAAAAGCTTATCCACCATGATCAAGTGGGCTTCATCCCTGGGATGCAAGGCTGGTTCAATATATGCAAATCAATAAATGTAATCCAGCATATAAACAGAACCAAAGACAAAAACCACATGATTATCTCAATAGATGCAGAAAAGGCCTTTGACAACATTCAACAACCCTTCATGCTAAAAACTCTCAATAAATTAAGTATTGATGGGACGTATCTCAAAATAATAAGAGCTATCTATGACAAGCCCACAGCCAATATCATACTAAATGGGCAAAAACTGGAAGCATTCCCTTTGAAAACTGGCACAAGACAGGGATGCCCTCTCTCACCACTGCTATTCAACATAGTGTTGGAAGTTCTGACCAGGGCAATTAGGCAGGAGAAGGAAATAAAGGGTATTCAATTAGGAAAGGAGGAAGTCAAATTGTCCCTGTTTGCAGACGACATGATTGTATATCTAGAAAACCCGATTGTCTCAGCCCAAAATCTCCTTAAGTTGATAAGCAACTTCAGCAAAGTCTCAGGATACAAAATCAATGTACAAAAATCACAAGCATTCTTATACACCAATAACAGACAAACAGAGAGCCAAATCATGAGTGAACTCCCATTCACAATTGCTTCAAAGAGAATAAAATACCTAGGAATCCAACTTACAAGGGACGTGAAGGACTTCTTCAAGGAGAACTACAAACCACTGCTCAATGAAATAAAAGAGGATACAAACAAATGGAAGAACATTCCATGCTCATGGGTAGGAAGAATCAATATCATGAAAATGGCCATACTGCCCAAGGTAATTTATAGATTCAATGCCATCCCCATCAAGCTACCAATGACTTTCTTCACAGAGTTGGAAAAAACTACTTTAAAGTTCATATGGAACCAAAAAAAGCCCGCATCACCAAGTCAATCCTAAGCCAAAAGAACAAAGCTGGAGGCATCACACTACCTGACTTCAAACTATACTACAAGGCTACAGTAACCAAAACAGCATGGTACTGGTACCAAAATAGAGATATAGATCAATGGAACAGAACAGAGCCCTCAGAAATAACGCCACATATCTACAACTATCTGATCTTTGACAAACCTGAGAAAAACGAGCAATGGGGAAAGGATTCCCTATTTAATAAATGGTGCTGGGAAAACTGGCTAGCCATATGTAGAAAGCTCAAACTGGATCCCTTCCTTACACCTTATACAAAAATCAATTCAAGATGGATTAAAGACTTAAACGTTAGACCTGAAACCATAAAAACCCTAGAAGAAAACCTAGGCATTACCATTCAGGACATAGGCATGGGCAAGGACTTCATGTCTAAAACACCAAAAGCAATGGCAACAGAAGACAAAATTGACAGATGGGACCTAATTAAACTAAAGAGCTTCTGCATAGCAAAAGAAACTACTATCAGAGTGAACAGGCAACCCACAAAATGGGAGAAAATTTTCACAACCTACTCATCTGACAAAGGGCTAATATCCAGAATCTACAATGAACTCAAACAAATTTACAAGGAAAAAACAAACAACCCCATCAATAAGTGGGCAAAGGACATGAACAGACACTTCTCAAAAGAAGACATTTATGCAGCCAAAAAACACATGAAAAAATGCTCACCATCACTGGCCATTAGAGAAATGCAAATCAAAACCACAATGAGATACCATCTCACACCAGTTAGAATGGCAATCATTAGAAAGTCAGGAAACAACAGGTGCTGGAGAGGATGTGGAGAAATAGGAACACTTTTACACTGTTGGTGGGACTCTAAACTAGTTCAACCATTGTGGAAGTCAGTGTGGCGATTCCTCAGGGATCTAGAACTAGAAATACCATTTGACCCAGCCATCCCATTACTGGGTATATACCCAAAGGACTATAAATCATGCTATTATAAAGACACATGCACACGTATGTTTATTGCGGCACTATTCACAATAGCAAAGAATTGGAACCAACCCAAATGTCCAACAATGATAGACTGGATTAAGAAAATGTGGCACATATACACCATGGAATACTATGCAGCCATAAAAAATAATGAGTTCATGTCCTTTGTAGGGACATGGATGAAATTGGAAATCATCATTCTCAGTAAACTATTGCAAGAACAAAAAACCAAACACCGCATATTCTCACTCATAGGTGGGAACTGAACAATGAGAACACATGGACACAGGAAGGGGAACATCACACTCTGGGGACTGTTGTGGGGTAGGGGGAGGGGGGAGGGATAGCACTGGGAGATATACCTAATGCTAGATGACTAGTTAGTGGGTGCAGTGCACCAGCATGTCACATGTATACATATGTAACTAACCTGCACATTCTGCACATGTACCCTAAAACTTAAAGTGTAATAATAATAAAGAAAAAAATGCTTTATGTGCAAACTTTTTGGGTTCTTTATCTTAATGTCAGCTCTCTGTTCAGTCTAATTTGCCACCAATTGTACAGCACATCAAAATTGAAAGTTTTTTTTAAGGGGGGTCAGGTAGCCAGCTGCTTCTAGTTTATTAATAAAGATTTCAAAGTACAGTGGTTCTCCTTATCCATGGTATTGCTTTTTACTCTTTCAGTTACCCATGGTAAACCGTGGTCAGAAAGTAGGTGAGTACAGTACAATAAGATATTTTGAGAGAGAAAGAGACATAAACATAACTTTTACTACAGCATATTGCTCCAGTTGTTCTATTTTATTATTAGTTATTGCTGTTCACCTCTTACTGTGCCTAATTTATAAATTAAACTTTACCATAGATATGTACATATAGGAAAAAAATACAGTATATATAGAGTTCAGTACCACTCGCATTTTCAGGCATTCACTGGGGGGTCTTGGGATGAGTTCCCCACAGTTAAGAGGGACTACTCTACATTATATTTCAGAAACATAGAAATGAGCACACGCAGGTGTGGTGGCTCACTCCTGTAATCCCAGTAGTTTAGGAGGCCAAGGCAGGAGGATTACTTGAGGCCAGGAGTTTAAGACCAGTCCGGTCTTAAACTTATAGTGAGACTACATCTCTACCAAAAAAAAAAAAAAAAAAATAGAAAAATTAGCTAGGCATGGTGGCACACACCTGTAGTCCAAGCTACTTGGGAGTCTGGGATGGGAAGATTGCTTGAGCCCAGGAGTTCAAGGTACAGTGAGCTATGAGTGTGCCTCTGCACTCCAGCCTGGGTGACAGCGAGATCCTGTTACTAAAAAATCTTAAAAAAAGAAAAAAACTAATGTGGGAAAATATGGATTCTGAATTTGTGCTAATGCATTATTCTTTGCAGTATGCATTGTCATTGAGAACTAAGTCACTGGGACTTTGATGTTGTGTGGTATTTGCACAAACACACATCTCAAATGTTCCAAGAGATGAGTCAGTGGTTAGAAATAATGGTCTATGTTCATTTTAAATACTAGACCAGACTCAGAATTCAGTCACTGCTTTTCATTCCTGAGAGAGTCCAAATGATTTAAAGTCATGAGTCAACACTACCAAATGTCTTTTTCTATTAGGTGATAAAGAGGTTCAGCATTGGTGGCTTTTGTGGAAGTACAGCATGGCAGAAATTGAGTAGCCTCGGGAAATGCTTGAAGCAATTGCTTTGTTTTTGGAAGGGATGCCTCACGGCATGCACGTATTTTATCCTGAATATGATAAATACCAGCAGCATTCACGCAATAACCTAAGAAAACAGCAGTGGAAATTTCTCAGTTATCTTTCCCCGCCTTGCTTTACTTGGATACTTGAGTGTTGAAGCAGTGTAGTTCCTTGAAGTTTTTCTGCAAATCTATGATGTTGATCTTGGAACATAATAGAAGTATGGTGTTATATATGGAAACCTAGGAAACAGATTTCTCGTTAAGTCCTGGAGAACATCAGTAGCATCAGAAATGCTGAACAGAAATTGCTTAAACCACTGTTATCTTTAATGGGGACAAGTGTTTAGTTGTCTGTAGTAGTGTCCACAGTGATAATCTGGCATTGGTAGCTTCGGTAAAATTAAATTCTTGTAAGATTTTCTATCTATCAATGTTAGCAAAGAGCCGGATGAGGTGATTGCGGAATGGAAGGTCTAGCCATAGTACATGTATTGGTCATCTCTGAAGCCATAATAAAGTACCATAGACTGAGTGGCTTAAATAACAGATATTTATTTTCTCACAATTCTGAAAGCTGGAAGTCTGAGATCAGGGTACCAACATGGTTGGGTTCTGGATGGTGAAGGCCCTGGGGGAGTCAGATACTCCCCTCAGCCCTGCTTAAACTTGTTCCTGAAACAACTGATGCTGGCAAGGCTGTGGAGAAATAGGAACACTTTTACACTGTTGGTGGGAGTATAAATTAGTTCCACCATGTGGAAGACAGTGTGGCGATTCCTGAAGGATCTAGAACCAGAAATACCATTTGACCCACCAATCCCATTACTGTATCTATACCCAAAGGATTATAAATCAAGCTACTATAAAGACACATGCACACGTATGTTTATTGCAGCACTATTTACAATAGCAAAGGCTTGGAACTAACCCAAATGCCCCTCAATGATAGACTGGATAAAGAAAATGTGATACATATACACCGTGGAATACTATGCAGCCATAAAAAAGAATGAGTTCATGTCTTTTGCAGGGACATGGATGAAGCTAGAAGCCGTCATTCTCAGCAAACTAACACAGAAACGGAAAACCAAACACTGCATGTTCTCACTCATAAGTTAGAGTTGAACAATGAGAACACATGGACACAGGGAGAGGAACATCATACACTGGGGCCTGTCAGGGGTTGGCGGCAAGGGGAGGGAGAGCATCAGGACGAATATCTAATCCATGCAGGGCTTAAAACCTAGATGACGGGTTAATAGGTGCAGCAAACCACCATGGCACATGCATACCTATGTAACAAACCTGCACGTTCTGCACATGTATCCCAGGAATTAAAGTAAAATTAAAAAAACAAAACAAAACATAACAAAACAAAACAAAACTTCTTCCTAAGCTCCTATTGGGAGCCATTGGACTAGTGACCAAGAAACCTGGATTCTGGTCATGACTGCTACTTCCCATCTGTAAGACATTCGATAAGTCAATTAACTTCTAGACACTTTCATTTCCTCATCTTGAAAAATAAGGCTGAGCCAGGTGCAGTGGCTCACACCTGTAATCCCAGCATTTTGGGAGGCCGAGGCGGGCGGATCACTTGAAGTCAGGAGTTTGAGACCAGGCTGACCAACATGGAGGAACCCTGTCTCTACTAAAAATACAAAATTAATAGGGTGTGGTGGTGCATGCCTGTAATCCCAGCTACTTGGGAGACTGACGCAGGAGAATGGCTGAGCCTGGGAGGCGGAGGTTGCAGTGAGCCGAGATCGTGCCATTGCACTCCAGTCTGGGCAACAAGAGTGAAACTCCATCCCAAAAAACAAACAAACAAAATAAGGCTGATAAAAGTATTCAGTGTCTATCTCAAAAGGCTGTACAGCTCTAACTAGGGTGTTGTATGAGAAAGCACATAACAAATCATAAGTTCGTGTTAATCCAAGTCATCATTGCCGTTGTAGCAAGCACTGAGGTGCATGAAGATCTTCCACTGGTTAAGGGACATTAGTGGTCAGATTGTGACAATGTACATATTTATACCTGAACTAGATTAATGATTTACTTGTGAATATCTTCCTTGAGGTCACAGCCAAAAAAAAAGTTTCACACTTCCCATGAAATCTTGCCAAGTTTTTTTTTTCTAATCCAAAATTGTGGGAGCAAATTACAGAAGAGAGCTAGGAAACCATTCCCAGCTCCTGGTGCATGGGATCTTCCTTTAGCAACTTTCCCTCCCACCCTGTGAGTCTGCTCTGTGCAGGTCACAGATCTGTTCACGTATCCTAGGCTGATGAGTCTTGCAATTCCCCTTTGCACAAGATTGATCTTATTACCCAGAAGCTATTTGAGGAAGCAACAGATTAAATTATCTTTTCTATATATTTTTTCGGATAATTTTGGATTTCTTATGAAAGTGTTCACATACTTCAGCAGTGTCTGTCATCTCTAGAGTCTTAGGTCACAATTATACGGCCTTCACATGAATAGGGAAAAAAAAAGAGAAGCTCTTTCAGTTTTTAAAATTCTTCCCTTTATGAGGAATCCACTTGCAAAAGGAAATATGAAAAACATTAAATCATGGAACAGCCAAATTGTTTTAAGCAGACAATTGTTCAAAGTTTCCATGAAGGCCTTGGTGGCTCTTTTCTGATACACTATTCTCTTTTATGTACATAATACTGAGTATTTGGAGGCTTGGGTTTCCTTATTAAGTCAGAAGTTTGTCAAATTTAACTCCCTGGGGGCTAGAATAAACTTATTTTCTTTCTTTTTCCTCTACCAAATTCCATAGTTCTTTCCCTCCCATATTTCTCTGTTTGTCTGAGGAAAGTGACTCCTTTGCCCACATTCCCCACATCCCAAAGGGTAATAATTATTTTTTATATTAGCTAATACCCACTGCTATAAGGGAGGCAAAAAGCAGGAACCTGGGGAGAACAGTCAAGAACTTCAATGGCCACAATGCAGGCAGTGAAAATTATTACCAGGGCTGGAACTGTGAAAACAGTGGGTCACTCTTAAAATGGGTAATGTGAGAGTCCCCAGAGAGCATTTGGTGATTGCAAAAGTCAATCTTTGAGCTCATGATTCTTGGCCCAATTGGAGCATTTTCCTTTATAGTCTTCTTACCTTGGACTCCTCCTCATTCCAGTGGCCCGAAAAAGTCTACCTTGTTTCTTATCCAGAGAAGGGGGAGTGGATTTTATTTTTCAAGGTCTACATGTGCTCTAGACACAAGAAGATGCCATCCTCTGACTTAGAGTTTTAGTCCTCCCCGACCACATCTGCACACCCCAGTAGTGATGATAGATAGTCACTGAGCCACTTTCTTTGAAAACCATCTTTGCATTTGTGAAAATAGGGAAAATTAGCAATGCATGTTCTCTACACAGGATACTGCTATCTTTCCTACCAATTCACTAGTATACGGAAAGCCTGTGAACTGTGAATGGGTATCTCCAACAGAGTCCTGTTTCACCCTCGACCAGCATGGCAGGCTCAGCTCATGGGATCTCCATATTTCCCATTTAGAGGTTTTCCTTTTGCTTTGCTTTGTTTTTCAACCTTAATTCCCCACCAAGGAAGAGCAAACTGCTGTTTAGGAAGTAAGTTACCACATCATCCACCCTTGATTTCAATGTCTATTCCCACATTAGGAACATACAATGTGAAGTTTAAGCCAAACTAAAGCTAAAGGCAAAGGTCAAGTTCACTCAGCAGCCTACTGACAGGTCTAAACCTATTGACCTGCCTGAAGAAGTATGCTTCATGGTTAACCAGAGTGAAATGTTTATTCCACAGCAGGAGGGAAAAACCAAATAACCAAGTTGTTCACCTGAAGAGTAGGATTCAACATGTTAAAATTATGTGAACAAACAGCAGTAGCCTACAAGCCACAGCCCAAATAAAGAGCAGCAATTAGTTGATGAATATAAACCATTTTGTTGTGAATTTTAAAACATTTCATACTGTTTTATTATTATTATTTTGCTTTTACCGCTTTTAAGTACTAACTCTCTACAAAGGTTGGTTTATCACTATCCCTGGTAAACACTCATAATCCTAAGTTAGTTTTAAAGAAAATAGTCTTAAAAGTTACAAGAAGAAAAGAGCACCAGACTTCAGCATGTGAAAAGCTCCTGGGAGGATTCAATGGATTGTGGTCCTGTTCCCTCTGCAAGTGGTACGAAGAGTCCTTTTGCCCCCAGTTTGCTTGTGCCTTGGGACATAAAGTTGTTCCTAAGAGTGGAGACAAGCACCATCCTTCTAGAAGGCCTTGGGGACAACGCACCTTACATAGACAATGGCTCAGAGGCTGATGGATTAAAAGATGCTGTATCCCCCATGGGATTCCACAATCCAAATGACTAAGTAATCAGAAAAATTATTTGATACCCTTTTTTTTTTCTTTTTCTCGACTACAAGGAGACAGGCTCAGTCGTGAATCCCACCCAGGCTCACATGGCTCCAGTTCTGGAGTCCGGGTCACCTATCAATTTTGTGCATGGGTGCACAGGACAGGATTTGGGATCTAGGGCACTCATAAGAAGCTGGTTCTCTTGCTCTTATAACCATGCCACAGTTGTGCCATACAGAAAGAGAAAAGGTATATGAAAGTTATTAAGGGAGTTTCACCAATAGTTAATTATATTAATCTATTAACATGTAAATGCTCCTCTCCAATTTCAGCTAAGATACCGGTACATGGGCATTGAGGATGGCATCTGCAGAAGAAAGTGGATTTTTTTTTTTTAATTATAGAGAAACGTGTTGACCAACAAGGAGAAATCCGTATGGTACTGTGAGAGAACAGCTCCCTTGTCACAGATCGGGCAGGCAGCAGTTGCTAGCTAGGACTGGGGCTTATGTAAGACACTGCTCTCAGCCCTGGGGCCCTGGGGCCCAGTTTCCAGCCAGGATCCAATGGGTCAGCGTGCCAGGTGAATGAAATCCTGCCTTTGTTTAACTGCCCCAGAGTCTCCCTTGCTCTGGGACGTTCCGTGCAACAGAAACCCAGACACGCTTATTATACAGAAACCCAGGAGGGGAAGAGGAAGGAGGCTTGTAGGTGCCAACGGCAGTGGCAAAAACTGAATAGGCAAGAACTTTCTCTCAGCCAAGTCAGCAGAGTGTCCCAAAGTTTCAGAGATTCCAGTCTATGGGGATGGGAGAAAGTGTCCTATAAAAGCAATCCAACCACCATAACTCAGCACCCACATAAAAAGTAACGCTGATTTTAACAACTAAGTTATGCAGAGAGGATTTTTTAGAAGATATTTAAAAAATTGTTTTTAAATGTAGGTTTTTAATCATATGTGTTAGCTAGGTTGAAGGCTGTTGGGTTCCTACTAAACAGACCCAGATTATGTGTCACAATAATAACATCATTGATCCATCAAATTAACAAAAATACATAAACTATTAGGTGAAATCATATAATTCACATGATTATTTTTATTATGAAAGTAATAAAAAATAGAAAATAAAGGCAAATTGTCACATCCAATGTCACTAATCTAGCCCAATCACCATTATATACAAAACAATTTTTAAAGTTTTAATTTAAGCTGCTCACAATTGAATTGTTTGTTCTCAGTCCTACCTCCCAAGAAGGTGGCAACAAAAAAGGTACTTTCCTGGGTATTTGTAAACACTCACACAAATATAAATATGAGAGAAGGCACACTGAAATTTTAAATTCAGCAAACAAAAGTCTATCAGATTGTTGAAAACCAACTGTGTGCCTCACACTGTTGGTTATTATTTCATACCAATTATATTATTCCATCTATATACTTGAAGCTCTTATCCTCAAGTAAATTAGTTCATATTTTCACACATAAATACATTCATATTTTTAAGATTTTCCATGTTAGTTACTTCTTTATGTGGTGGACTGCCTAAAGTTACTTTGCATCATGGTTGTAGCATCACAGGATGGGGTAAAGTTTTAACATGAGATGTAGAAAAATAATAAGCCTTAAAAATCAGCCAAGTAATTAATAATATTTATCAAGTACCTGCCCCATGCACAACAGGGGCCTATAGTAAGCTGGTTAACAAGCAGTTTCTGGCCATCTACTCAGTATGCAATAGACCAAGTGCACTGAGAAATGAAAGAGAAGGACATTGCATAGTCCATATTCTCAAAGAATTTTCTTCTAAACACAAAATCTACACATGGGAATTGACTTGGGGGCACTTATAAAAACACATGGGAAATTAGCATATTTCAAACTGATTTTAGAAAATATATCCAGAATACATAATAGAGGAGCCAGCATGGCTGGATGGGATTCATCACAAAGTCTTCTGCCAGAGAGAAAGGAGAGGTTTAGGGACTTGCTCATTTCATTTAGAAGCCTCATGCTTCACTTTGCACCTTACTTTTGCATTTCCAAGGTTTAATTTTTTAATTGCAAAGTTAAAATTGTAGTCTCTCAGTGCACTATTCTCTGACACACTGTTGGAGATCAGGCTCTGCATAAATACCTGGAGAGAAATCTTAAGTAAGTTAGCGCTACTGGCAGGGGATTGAAACTCCTCCTACGCAGTTCCGGAGCAACTCTTTAGGAGGCCTGCCTAACCATGAGTGATGGCACACAAAAAGAATGGTGGGAATTGAAAGTGCAAAAACAGTCTTTATTTTTCTTCTGGAATAACTGCAGTTTTTAAATAAAGTACAAATTTGCCAGTGATTTAGATTTTCGTTTAATTCCACAAGTTTCTCTCTCTCTCTCTCTGTACGTATATATATACACGCATACATATATACACATACATATACATACACATATACACACACAAGTCTATATACACAATTATATATTATGTAATAATATATTATATAATATAGACTTGTGGAATATATATATAAATATATATATTCTACAAGTCTCTCTTTTTTGTGTGTGTATATATACACATATATATACACAAGTCTATATGTGTGTGTGTGTGTGTGCGTGTTTTATATTTATATATCTACATATATATTTTTATATCTATATATCTACATATATATATACACAGCTATATATATGTAGATATATAGATATAAAAAATCCATGGGCTCTGGAGGAGATGGTCTGTGATCCATCCCAGCTCTATGAGATGGAAGAATCTCTGATCAGCAAAACTGGTAGCACTGCGGAGGCAGAAGGGAGTCTATAGTACCTAAGATCTTTCTGGAACAGTCTGCAGGAAAAGCCTCCCTTCCTTTGCAAAGCAAGAGATAGAGCCATTTCCAGAATGCCAAGAGGAGACACCAGACAGAAGCAAGAAGAATTGCAGGAGGCCAAGGGTGAGAAAAGATCGGCTGTGATGAGCACCAGGAAGGGGCCCTGGAGACACATAGCTCAATGAAGACTTTGTAGCAGAGTTGCTTAGTAAGGAAATGCTACCAGGAGGTCCTTGGCCCTAGAGCTTTGCAACCAAATGTCAGACTCCTTAGAATAGAGGTCCTCAATAGATTTTTCTTTTATTTGTTTTTTCCTTTGTTTCTTTTGTTTTTTATATTAATATAAATATGCTTCCATGGTATATTCATGGTATGTTAATTTCAGCTATAAGTCCACTTCTGTCTCACTCAAAAGAATATTCTAGAAAATGAGTGAGAATGATTTTATTACATAAATATCCTTGAATCTCTTCTAATTTAATATTTTTATTTAATTAAAATTTTAATCAAAATTAGTTTTTAGAGACATAAAGCAAACTACATTATTACACATAAGTTTATTTGAACAATTATCTTCATAATATATAAAATAAGAGTTGCTAAATTTTTCTACATTTTTAAATAAATATTCAATTATATTTCAAAAATTACCTTTATGTACTAAAATTCAGTTCTGTAAAAACTTACTTGGAAAAAAACATTTTAAGAATTTATATCTATTAAAATGTCAAGAATATTATCTTTATCACTTCTGAAAAGAATGTCTTTAAACACTAAGAGCTAGTAACTGTTGAAATCAAAGGAAGAGAGAAAAGCACTGAAACACTGTTAGCGTTTTCTTCTTCACAAACCTCCGAAACATCACATGTACCATTGTCTTCAGTTTAGCCTGTATTGAAATTCAGATTTTTCTTCACTACTTTAAAATTATTCCAATAAGGATTGTATTGGTGAGCCACAAAGTTTTCTTCATCTCTGATAGGAAATGCAATTCTCTTTGTACCTAATTCTATATTCTCATGTAGATATTTCTCATTTATATTTTAAAAAGTAGATTATTTACAATTTTGGTACTTTATCCATTAGCAATTACAGTTTGCTAATACCTCATAAATAACAGCAGTACACTGAGAACCACTGTTTTAGAGGACTGGGCTCCTCAGTCCTGTCCTTAAGGGCAGAAAGCCAATGAGAAAGGGCAGCATTGAGAAGCAATGCTAAAGAGAGCTTAGGTTCGCCTGTTCCAGGAGCTAGGGAAATATGGATGAGCTCAACACCCTGAAATAAAGGATAGCAAGAAATATACAGAAATATCATAGGTTTTTCCTACTAGAAAAAGAGAAGTGGTAGCCTTTTGGCAAATTAATGTGATGCCTGGCATGTGTATGTACACTGAGACAGAAACCAATATGAGGCACCAGAGACGTGATCATGAGCAAGATAGAAAGTTGTGTATATAAAACTGAACACAAATTAGTCTTCTCTAATGTATTCTATACCAATATCTAGAGATATGGCCCTAATAGAAGACTGAAACTATATGGAGATAGTCAGCATGAAACAAAGGTAGCCAGATTAGTACTGAAAGTCTGTTTCTAAGAAGTTCAATAGTTCCTTAGTATAAAGAAGCATTGGTGATTAACACCATGCTTCTGCTATTCTAATTGCAATTAGGTACATAGAATTTTTCATCAAATGCCATATTTTTTAAATCCAGTATATATAAAATTTTCTTAACTTGTCTAAGTTATTTATTTCCAAAGACCTAATATTTAAGAATTGTAAAAACTGCAACTCTTGAATTTAGGTGAACCTAACTAACCAATGGATCATGATTTTGATGCTCAGACAAGGCCTACCTTAATTTAGTTTTACATAAGGAGTGATATATTTATTTACTTATTTATTCATTCCACAGACATTATAGAGACACCATATTCAAGGCACTGTTTTAGACTCAAGGTCTATGATGGTAAACAAGGCAGGTAATTGTGCTCTTATCTGAGATCCAGATGGAAACATTCGTCGCTATAGTTATGCCAAGGCAGGTTGTACTTGCTCTACCTTGCAATCCTCTTTGCGCTCCTTGAGTTGCTACTATCCTGGAAACCCATCCCCATGAGTTAAGCCAGGTGTCCAACACAGACTTCAAGCCAGGATATAGTGATTTTCTTCTTATATCACAGTTTGAGGAGAGAACTCCACTGGAGGTATGAACAGATTTCCTAGCCTGTATGAACAGAGAGTTACCCAACACCCAAGACATAATTAGGCTGATTAGTTCCTTTTGCTCTGGCTGGACAAATTTTTTGTGACCTCATTATAAAAACCAGGAAGCCAGAAGAAGAAAATGAGGAATGCATATTGGACATTCCCAAGCCCACTCCTAAATGTCCTTGTTTTGTCTTTTGTTTTTATTGCGTTTTAAACTCAAATCAGAAAGGCAAACATGCAAGCAAGAAACGTCAAAAATACAAATTTTGCCTGATAGAAACACCAGATTTTTATAATAAAATAATTTTCCACATATTAACCCATCCATAATTTTCTCAAATGAAATATTCCCATTGTTGCACAATAGTCCAAATTCCGCTCTAAATTGTGGACAAATGTCCTTTCCGGGAATAAAGCTTAGTTACACACAATTTGGACAGCATTTGCCTCAACACACAATTGAGATAGGAAGTGCCTTTCAGTTTTTGTGTTCTTTGGCAGCTGGATGTCTCTGATTTTTATAGGCCTCAAACTTAGGGCAACACGAAGGGTAACTGCAGGTTGACAATTTTTGTTTGTATAACATATGTGTGTTGAGTATGGCTCTGCAATGATATGAGAGCAAATTCTAGAAATGAAAGTATTAGGTACCAAAATATGTCTTTTAGAGTTGTTACTGAGCCATAAGAAGTAATTCCTCGTAAACACTGTGTAAGAAACAGATTTTATAACACATGTAACTTAAAACCAAATAAATGAATGAAAAACAGAATGCTTCTTTCTGGTATCAGCCCAATAAATAATTGATCATCAACAATTTGAGTTGCTGTCATCTTTGCACTACTTCTCAGTAATGTATATTTAAGTGTCCTTAGGCTGAAATCCAACCCCCTTCCAGCAGAAGCAGATTATTTTCTCTACCTCTTACCAAATTAGGGTCAGCAAATTCATGGTTGGCTCACCCCCACTTTCCCATACCACACCCCTGACAGCAGGAAAGAATTATTTAATTGATTAGAGATGTGCAAGATACAATGCTTTGGAACCATTCTCAACATAACCCTCCAGGCAGCCATGACCAATCCATTGGAGTAGCCACGGAGATGAAATCCTTTTGCCATCAAATAAATAACAAACCAAATTGAGATGATGAGCTTAATGAATGAGGTTAGCAAACGCTTCTGCCAGGAACATTTAGATAATTATAAAGTTCAATTAGTTATTTACTGAACATTTAGAATATTCTTAGCACTTTGCTAGGAAAAGCATGAGATTAAAAATAAAGTGTATGTCATAGTGTAAGTCAACCTAGATAGGGAGGCAACATTAACATGTAAATTTTTTAAAATGTGTTAGTCATTGCATAGGTAGGAAGAATCACTAAAGAAATTTAAAACGGACTGAAATCAGCAAGGTCGGTAGTTATGAGTAAAATTTTCATGGATAAAGCTTGAAATGGAACTTAAGCAGAGTACATTTTAACTAGAAAAAGGGAAGTTAGAAGAGCATTCCAAGTTAGGAAAAATCATCTAATGAAAAGCAAGACGTGGGACTAGGTATGGAATAGTCATCAGAACACAAAGAGACTAGAATTAGGAAGAAGGGAGCATGACAGTAAAAATCCAACAGTAAGTGGGAAATAAAGTAGAATGGGTTCTAAAAACGCAGGACCAGAAACCCAGATAGGGGTATTTAGAACCGACACAAGAAGGAAGGAGGCCCTGTTCCTGTTTTCCATTTAGAATCAACTCAATAAGTTTTTCTAAGTAAGCCATGGAGTGTGACTTGGAATCCTGGCTCCCCTCCTTATTAACTTAAATATTAACCCTTGTATCTCAATTTCTTTTTCTGTAAAACAAGCATCATATTATCACCACAGGGTGAAGGTGAGGAATAAATGAATGAATATTTGTGAACTTCTTAGAATAATCCTGGACACATTGTAGTCACTGCATGGATGTGTGAAATAAATGAGAAGCATAGCATGGTTTACAGAAACAAGAATAGATCTGAGATGTACATGGCAGGATGTCTCCTGGGCTCCATCATCTTTTCTCCAATTTTTTTTTAATCCATTTAAAAGTAGCATCAGGGAAGTCTCCTCTTGATACTTAATATCCTCTTGCCTCCCAGAGTGAGTGACAACTGAGTTATGTGAGGGCATAACTCAGGCTCCCACAGGCCATTAGGAGGGCTGAGGAATGGACCACATCCTTACAGCGGTTTCAAAGAAACCCTCCTTTTATGTTCCTGAAGATGTAGGGGAGGCTTATACAAACAACCAAAATAACTTTAGATTTCACTGAACATGGAAGTGAATTCTCACATATGTTCTCTCAATTTCACACTCCCTACGAGATCCACCATGCCAACCACGGAGTCTCGGAGAGGTCAAAAACTCCCTATTTTTACAAAAAGCCTTACAGTTTAGAAAATTGTTTGCTTAAATTGGCTTCCAGGATAATTCCTATGTCCCTTCAAGGTGAGTGTGTGGAATTCTTTTATCTCACTTTACAGATAAAGGGACTGAAATTCAAGTCACACGTAAGGGGTCAGGTCTACCATCTCTTACTCCCAGGCTCTTATACTTGGCTATTCTAGCCCTTAGACCTAATGCCTCCCGGTGTCTTAAATATGTGCTCTATTCTGTGTCACTCCAGAGGAAGTTATCATGGGGACAGCATTGGATTGCCCTCCTATTTTGTCATCCACCTGAAAGAATAAGCTTAGCTTTACTGTCGATATTTCCATGTTGGCAACTTCCAGTTGAAAACTCCTTCAAAACGTCTGAATCAAATGGATATATATGCCCAGTCATATTGATAGGGTGAGCTTTGTGACTGGCTGGCATAACTTAGTCTGGGTCAGCTGGACCCATGGGGAAGCTGAAGGGACATGTAGAGGCAAACCCACGGGCTCCAGCTCCAGATGGATGTGCATTTGATCTCAGTCTGCCACCCTAACATTTAGGTCTTTACTAGCTGCGTGACCTTGGTTAAGTTACATTACCTTTCTGAGCTTTGGTTTTCAACAATACCTATCTTACGGGGTTATAGGAAGGAATAAGGGACAAATAGTTAGAGATGTATAGTTACACACACATCATGGGTGCTAAGTAAATAGTTACAACTATTTTTATTATTCTAAAGCTCATCATTTGCACAAGCACAATGAAAGATGGTAGATTGTTATCCTCAGGAGATCCCCAAGTAAGTCCATTCTAACCTCTCTTCTTACTGTGCCTCTGTCACCAGATACCCACAGTCAGTGACATTATGGGCAGAGTTCAAGTTCCTTCCATTCTCCACTGTGCTAGAAAGTATTGCACGTCCAGAAATGCTGGGTATGGCCCTCTTTTCTCACTTCCTTACAGTGAAACCTTAGGGGAAACCCCTTATACTTCTCCAGAGGGGTTTTTTTTGTTTTTGTTTTTTTTGTGGCAGAAAGTGACAAATGAAGGAGAAGTATAAGAGTGGTAGAAGGTATATATAACATACGCCCTGCCTACTTCACAGAGTTCTATGGAAGATGAAATGTGATCATGCATGTGAAATTGTCATATTAATTCAAGGGGCAACGGAAATGCCAGAGACTACTACGTGGAATTTTGAATATGCCTTCTACTCTATATTGCATGCACTTTTCATAAGGTAGTTTTTTTGCTTTGCAAAAAATAACAAATATTTGACCAAGTAAAACCTGATGGACACATCTACCAGTGACTTCCCTCCTAGCACATGCTCAGTTTTCCTTCCCACCACTGCTCACATACCCAAGGAATTGTTGGCCTTTGCTCAAGTATCAAATTAATCTAAAGAAAACCTTTCCACTCCTATCTTGCT
Source organism: Homo sapiens (assembly GCF_000001405.40). Classification (NCBI taxonomy): domain Eukaryota; kingdom Metazoa; phylum Chordata; class Mammalia; order Primates; family Hominidae; genus Homo; species Homo sapiens. Next base: position 80,109,143 of record NC_000014.9, read on the forward strand.
GACCATTAAAGGAAAACTGCAAGCAACATCAAAGGGAACCCAATCTTTATATTCAACACAGGCTGTGAAAGGCTGGGGCAAAGTACCCAGCAGGGATTGGACTGCATATCTATCTAAGACCTTGAAACTCCGTATTTGTCTAAGACCTTGAAACCAGCTTAACCATGGAGGATCTGATGCAGAGAGAACAGACTCACTCTGCCCAGACCTGATGCAATAAATTAGACTCAGAAAAGCAATTTAAAATTTTATCAAAGAGAATTAGCCCTTTCTGATAGGGAAACCAATTTGAGAATTCCAAATTTATTGAACACTTGATATGTACAAAGCACCGTGAGTGCTACAAAGATGTCGTCCCTATTTTTAAGAAGGCTGTAACCAAATATGGTGAATATGAACACACATCATAGACTAGAATCAAGGTTTTGCTGGAATGCAGGATTCCTATTAAAATAGTAATGGGGAATAAGTCTATAGAGCCATACTATAGAAGTCTCAGGGATACAGATATCTTCTGTGTTTTGAGTACCTATAAATCACTATCTAGTATCATATTTAATTCTCCCAACAGTCCTATAAAGTATTTATCATCAACTTCATATTATAGATGAAGAAACCAGATTTCAGAGATGTGAAATAACTTTTCCCAAATTACCCAGCTAGAAATAGGTTTAGCTGGGATTTGAACTGAAGTCTCTTTGATGCCAATACTCAGGGAATTTCCAGTACACTTCACTCTCTCCCTGCATAAGAAATTTTTATAAAAGCCTAAGTAATCAGGAGCTGTTGAAAGTTATTGCACAAGAGAAGAGAAGAATAGATTTGGGTTTTGGAAGATCAATTTGACATTAATTAGTAAAATGGGCTAGAAACAGGGGAGAGATAATAAGGAAGACAGTTAAAGTTATTTTAATAGCCTAGCCGAAGGAAATAAAGGTCTGGTCTAGATCAGCAGCAACAGAACGGAAAGGATGGATCAGAGACAAGAGACTGCAAAGTTTGATTTATTAGATATGGCAAATGTCTAGCTGTGGAGGAAACCAAACTGAAATAAGATGGGTCGCAGTTGGCTAACGTGAATACTTCTATGGCAGATGCTTTACAAGGGTATACTGACCTTGTGTTTGATCTGCCAACGAGATGAGTTTATTTGTAACTGTGAAGTCCATAATTTTAAGTAGAGTCAAAATTAGGGCCTTTTTTTTGGAAAACTGATGACTTGGACATCACGGTCACTTCATAGTTGATCTGAAGTCACAGTACAGCTACTCAAAATGTTAGCTTGGTCCCACATGTCCACTGGTCCCAACTTAGGATATGTGGGAAATGGTTGCTTTAACACAAAAGAGTCTACCCAGTTAGGTGACAGGGGTTCTGGGTCATTATCAGTTGAAGTTCAGCCCCTAAACTCTTAAGGAAAATTTCAAGCATTTTCAAGTACTTAACTTTCATTTTTAGAACAAAATAAAACAGGAGGAGAAGCAAGAAGGGAAGCTGAGTTTCAAAAGATGCCATTTTGCAAGACAATGTGCAACTGGAAACCTTTATAGAAAGTCATTTTAGGGAGCACTTATCTCTTTTTAAATTAATGGAGCTTGCTAGTTCCAAGAATCTCTTGGGCCACCTAGGATTTATTCCACATGTTGTTAGCAAGTGGCAATATATAAAAGACGAGATCTAATATTCAAAATGCTTGTAATAGCAACGTCCTTCCTGCCAATTGTAATAGCATAAAAACAATTGCACACATCTAATAAATCTGCTGGCTTTCAACAGTTGGAATCAGACCAGCGTCACCTTCTGTCTGCTGCATGAAGCCAGAACTCTGAAGACTAAAAGAAAATCAGTGCTGGTATGAACTCTGACCTCCCGATCTTCTGACCTGGGTGATCTACTGTTACCCCCATTAGACTCGACTCATGAAACCCAACGTCTCTATCATTCAAAAAATGGACAGCTGGGGAGCAGGACACATGGAAACAGTATCTAGGGACTTGTAAAATCAGAGAGAGAAAATTGCAAAGAAGTGTAAATGAGGCAGATGAGCCTTTTCTTATGTGCATGGCAAGAAAATCAAGCTTCATCAGAAGTAATATGTACAGAGCTGAGAAAAATGTAGGAAAAGGCTTCCAGGGTGATGGGATAGAAACCAAAATTATCTAGAATGAATTAGAGTTGTGGTGGACACAGAAGAGAAAGGATTAGAATGGTGATAGGCACCTAAGTGAGAACAGGAAGAATAAGTCAAAAAGAGAACCATTTCTCAAGGAGGAGCCTGGTTGCATTGCAGTGGTCTCCTTGGTTACCCATCCATGCTAATTATGGCAGTGAGAAAATTAAGGAAAAGCAGAGGTCCCATTGGAAATACAGCGAACTACATACTGAGGCATCTGGGTTCTCATCCTGATAAAGCTGACAACTAACTTGAGAAAGTCATTTAATTTCTCTAGTCTTTAATTCCTCAGCCATAAAGATGGTCCTATTCCATCTCTGTGGCTTTGATGTAATAAGATTTAACCTCTATGAATTTCTAATATGAATTCTAGAAGTTGGAAAATTGGAAGAGCCTTTGAAATTGTTCAGTCCAACTCCTATTTCCAGAACCCAATAAGGACAATAAAAGGAACATGGAATTTTGAGATCGTAAGATTTTTATTACTTAATCCTGTGCCTAGAACATTTCAATAAATGTAAATTAATCTAATAAGAAAATATACCAAAATGTATATTTAAATTACCTTTAAAGTTTCTTTACACATACCTTAAAAACTTAATAAAAATAAAAATTATGTGTCTAGCTTTAGCAAAAATTGATATGGAAAATCCAAACTTTTAAAGCCAGTGAGCTAAAAGTTAATGCCTTTATAAAGGAATTTAACTTAGCAATCTTTTCTGTAAAAATTGCCCTTCCCTGCAGCATTTAAGACATTTAAAAACTGAAGTTTGTAAATTAAAACCAAATTCCAATAGAAAATTTTTGTATAAAACTAAATGCCCACAATAAAATATATTCAGAAATCTAGAATTTAAAATGCTTTGTATCAGGGTCAAGCTCTGAAATTACCAATGCATGTCTGCATTTTGTTATAAATATTTTACTAAAGATCTAATTTCACAGAGAGTAAAAGTCGAATTCCTTACAGTGACCCTGCGATTCTTTCCTCTCCTCCCACCACACCGGGTACCATGTATCTTCATCTTCTACTGGCCTCCTCTCTCCACCCTGGTTCATTTCTCTCCAAGCACATTAATCTCTTTGTTGTTCCTATAATGTGCCAGGCATGCTCCCATTGCAGGGCCTTTGCACCTGCTATTCCCTTTGGCTAGAATGCTCTTCCCCCCTCAGATATCCTGAAGAATCGTTCTTTGCCTTTTTGTGAAGCCTTTCCTGGAGACATATTTAAAATTGCAAAACCATTTAACAGTTTTATTTTCTTCCTTTAGCACATATCGACTATCTAACATACTAGAAATTTTACTTAGGTGTGTTGTTTATCATAAGCTTCAGGAGGCCAGGTGTTACATATGTTTTGCTGTGTTCCTCTGCACCTTGAGCATTTCTTGGCATAGAGAATGCAGATACTTAAATATTTGCTGAATTAATAAGTAATCAATAAGATATGGCATCATGGCCCTTGTTGATTTCTGATTCTTGATAAAAAGATAGCTAAAATGATCTCACCAATCATTTTACAAACTGTTAATAATCAGATATGGGTGTCCTCATTGGAGGGGGTTGTTGTGAATCACATGATTAGAAATCCATATTTATGGGATCCCCTAATCTTTTATGAATTATGCCTCTTTACTTTTAACTTAAGAGAGTTCAAAACAGATTTTATCAATTTTATCCAAACAACTGATAAAGTTATGGCCTCATTGTACCTATGAATAAAATTTTATTAGTAAGTAGGAATATTAATATTTGGTACACTGTATTCTCAAAAATTCTGGGGGTTGTTTTAAATGGTGAAACACCTCAATTTGAACCTGAAATTTCAGGTGTCCTGAGCTTCATATTTGGTCCTGTAAAATTTCAGAATATTGCAGCTTTTTTTTTTGTTTTTTTTTTTTTTTTTTTTGAGATGGAGTCTTTCTCTATTGCCCAGGCAGGAGTGCAGTGGCGTAACCTCTGCTCACTGCAAGCTCCGCCTCCCGAATTCATGCCATTCTCCTGCCTCAGCCTCCGGAGTAGCTGGGACTACAGGCACCCGGCACCACGCCTGGCTAATTTTTTGTATTTTTAGTAGAGGCAGGGTTTCGCCGTGTTAGCCAGGATGGTTTTGATCTCCTGACCTCGTGATCTGCCTGCCTCGGCCTCCCAAAGTGCTGGGATTACAGGCGTGAGCCACCGTGCCCAGCCTATTGCAGCTTTTTAAAGCATTTTCTCTTCAAACTTAGCTACACAAATATGACACACTGCTCAGTGATCCTAGGGGTTTGCCCTTATCAAAGACAAGTGCAAAAACTTAAAGCCCAATTCAAACTCATCAAAGTTTGTGAATTTCTTCTGAAAATGTAGCTTAATCTCCACCCAATAGCAGTAATTCTATTGAACTCATCATACTTTAACAATGGAAAATAAGGGCAGCATGAAGACATCAATTTCCTTAACCCACTTTGATAATGGATGCAGGTATTTCCTTGAATAAATCCATAATGTTCTTGATCTCCTTTCCACCACCAGTTTAAGTTTTTGTGTTCGGTTGCTTTCAATGTCAATCAGAATGTGTCTACTAGAGAACAATTCTAAACAGTTCTTCATTTTAGTGTAGGTTGTTGGTTTGATTACAGAAACAAGGTATTTGCCAAGCTGCTTCTTCATATAAACTTAATGTTTATATTCTACATGGGCACCTTTAAGCATCCCACAACCTGGTGGGGACTGTTGAGTGTGGACATCAAGAAACTCATGATTTTTATCTCTCCTTTCATCGCATCTGGTAATTAAGCTAACTTGTAAAATTTGGCATACTCTTCTGAAAAATGATGCAAAGAGAGCTAGTAAATCATAATTGTAACTTTCCTTTTTCCCCTTTCCTTGGTAAATGAACTCAGTATTTCCATGCTCAGGCTAAACATCTTAAATTCCTTACTAGTTGGGGGGTTAGACCACACTGGTTCATGTATACCATCTAGTTTGATAAAATCTCTTTTGCTGAATTCTCAAGCATGAAGCACCCTGGGAAAAAATAAGTGGAATTGGACCTGTGGACTAATTTTTGAAATAAGACCTGGACTATGAGTCAGATGAACTGAGTTTCTATCTTGTACTTCCAGTTACAAATTCTGGAAGTATGGGCAAGTTATAAAAGCTCCTTGAGCCTCAATTTCCTCTTATATATAGCAGAGTAAATATATACATATATAGTATCTTCTTTACCCTCAGAGGGATATTGAAAAAATGTTGCTCCATTACTTTATAAACTGCATGATACTATTTAAATGATGGATTATTACACTTATTCCAGCTATTGCCAAGTGAACTGCGGCTGATGCTTTGCTTTGTCTGGGCTATATGCTTCTCCTTTATCACTTGGCTACTACCTGACACAATCCAAAAGCTGCACAAATGATTCAGTGCACTGGACATTTGTGAAATTGCTTAAAATAAATACCTTTGAGAATGATTTTTGCTCTGAGTTTTCTTTGTGATTTTTTTTTTCTGTTAGATCAACTCTGGGCAAAATTATGCAAGAGTATTTTTAGTAACCCCATTTTTCTTCTCACAACACCATCTGTCTTCTCTACGCCCCTCCCCTTTTTTTTTCTAGGAAATCTAATGCTTCATCAACTCCAGTGATGGAAGAAAACCTTAACATAGTAACTGTGGGGCTTCCTCCTTTATTGCTCATGAAAGTAGTACCCCCACTGCTCTCCTATTCTCTAATATATACTTTCAAATGTGGCTGATTGGAGCTGCATTCTTAACAGATACAGCCAAACTGATTAACTAGTTTGCACTACATTAATAATGAAAAATAATGGCTTAATACCTTTTCCCCACCCACGTTTAAAATTTGCATTTTAATACTTGTTTGTAATGCCTTACCTCAAAAGCTATCTGTTCTTTCTAGGGTTCCTTATCCACAGGGAGGCCCCTTCCTTGCCTCTTCCCTTCCTTTATCTAGTTAATACTTATTCTACCCCCATCACTAAGGAAGAAGTCTTTTCTGATCTCCCTGACTAGATTAATTCCTTCCAACATAATTTCTTAGAGCATCATGGGGTTTTTTTTCTTCACATCATTTATCATAGTTGTAGTTTTATATTTATTCACCCAATTTTTAATGACTTTCTTCCCAATCCCACTCAAAGCTCCAAGATAGTATAGACTATAATACATTGTACTTTTTATCTTCATGCCCAAGGGCCTAGATAATGATAGACACTCAACAAATATTAAATGATTGACAGTCTCATCCGTGAACAAATTCATTTTTTATCAGAAAGATTCATGAAGGCAATTACTTTTGAATTGCCTTCTGAAGGTGATCAAGAATCTTCAGTGGGAGTTCTTCTGTAAGCAAAACTTGACCCTCTTTCTGGCTATTTGAAATCAGAATAGATGTACTCAAAGAACTTTTGGGGTAGATGGCAATAGGCATTCACCAGCAACTCATCGGTATGCTAAGAGATCAGACTTGAAAATAGTAGGAAATAAGAGAATTCCAAATGTTTGAAACCAGAAAAGAAGAAGCACAACCATTCCCTGGGCAAGAAAAGTGGTCTCAATGCCTCTTCTGCTGCTACTCACACTGCTGTCTCTCCCACCCCTGTCACTACAGCCCCTATTTCTGTATCAAAATGAATCTGATCTTCAAATTCTGCTATATTACCATATCACCAACTAAACAGTCAAAATTCTGTTTGGCTGAATTTAGGTCATGTGCCAGGCCTGGCTAGAAGATGGAGCCTTAGTGGGAAAAGATCTCAGCAGGTAGATAACAGGAATTACAATTCAACTCAGACTATTTCTACTTTAGAGAAGGAATTCCCTTAAAAAATTAATGGGATGAATGCCGGGCATGAAAAAAACCTGATCAAAATAAACCGCAAGTGACTAAGCAGTCAGTATAATTCTAGCTCTGTTTATCCTAAAGAAAATAAGTCTGAAAATGGCAGAAAACCTAAGAGAAGAACATTTAGCATCCTCCAATAGGTCCAGACATAAGTATAAAATGCAGATATGGTAAATTCCTCACAAACTCACAGAGTCAGCAAAATGTAGATCCTGCTAGTCTACATTTAAAAAATCACTTAGGAATTAAAATTTCAGTCAAGCTCTCTGTCTGTTCACTGATTATAATAATTGGTCACTATCCAAAATGGAACAACATCTGATTCCTCAAATAAACTTATCCCAAAAGTTAAAGATCAAAAGTTAGGGCAACAAAACTCTTAGTTAGCTCTCCTCATCTTATTTCTTCTAATGCATTTAGATTCTAGTGAATTACTGGAATGCAGTAACTGGATGTTACATCCATATGCTCAATGCATTGCCCAAGAGAAACAAATTACTTAACCATCAGATGCTGCTCTGCAGAAACTTCCATAATTCCCTGATCCTACCACTTAACTGCTCCCCATGTTCATATTATGTGTGCTGTTTTCTTTTATGAATATTTTACTTTATTTTCCCATTTTATTGTGCACCTCTTTTAATCTCCACTGTCCTTCCTGTTCATTAACTTAGTGATCTGAAACTTAAAAGCAGCCAATATCAAATATTAAGTGGGAACCCTTATTTCTAATTCCTGATGATTCCTTTCTGTGCAAGAATCCAAATTAGTATAACACCTAACCTCTGCTTCTTGACTCACTGGCCCCAGAAGCACAGCCTTACCTGAAGAATAAACCTGGCCAGGATAACCCAACTCCACACTTCCATAGAGTGTGCTACTACCCTATCCCCCTCAGTTGCTCCTCTAGGGCAGGATCTTACCCTCTTGCCCATGTCCAGTGTTGGAAGAGACCTAGAGCTTAAGCCTGCCATATTCTGGGAATCTGAGCTCTCAGGGTAGGTGTATTAGTTCATTCTCATGCTGCTAATAAAGACATACCCAAGACTGGGTAATTTATAAAGGAAAGAGATTTAATTGACTTATAGTTCCACATGGCTGGGGATGCCTCACAATCATGGCAGAAGGTGAATGAGGAGCAAAGTCATGTCTTACATGGTGGCAGGCCAGAAGCTTGTGTAGGGGAACTCCCCTTTATAAAACCATCAGATCTTGTGAGACTTACTGACTATCATGAGAACAGTATGGGGAAGATCTACCCACCATGATTCAATTACCTACCACTGTGTCCCTCCCACAACACTTGTGAATTATGGGAGCTACCATTCAAGATGAGTTTTCGGTGGGGACACAGCCAAACCATATCACTAGGCTTCCCAGCTTATGAGATAATATGCTTTCCTCCAATTGCTACTCCTTTGTTTCATTTCAAATTGTTCAAAACCTAAATGGAAGGAGAGGTGCAATTTGAGGGCCATTAAAACCCAAAACACAAATACTCTTCACCTAATTTTATCTCAGCAGTATTTGTATCTCCATTTTTGCCTCTCTCTATTAATTGAGTGAAAACTGAGAAAAAGAAATGAAGTATCCAGGGTTCTTGTCTGAGGCTGCTGGGCTAAAATGCATTCTTCTGGTCTAGGAGGTTTTTTGTGCAGGATCAATCCTGATGAAATCATAAGAAGAGAATTTAAAATGAGAACATCTGGCTGGTAGGCTCCACAGAGGTTAAAGAACTGATACTGTCCCAAATATGCTATCACCAATGTTATTAGAAATGTTTTTTATCTTCTATTCTCTAGCATGCATGGCAAACAGGCACCAGGTGTTCCAGTCCTCTTTGGTAGCACAATTAGTAGCAAACCATGCATGGAGTACAATTGCTTGGCCCCCGAGTGATTTGGCTCTCCAAACTGAAGAGGCTGAGAGCAAGCTGGTGCTTCCCTGACCACTCAAATCACAGCTGGGTACTCCATTCATAGGACTCCCTCCCAGCCTCATCAGTGTGTGTCCAACCTATCTGGGCTCACAGAAGCTTGGATAGAACAGAAGGAAACACTTTAGATTGCTTTCAGGCACAATTCACCATATTGGTTGTTTGTCTATGAAGAGTAGTGAAAATGGGTCCTAGATTTTGTTTTATTTGCAGAGGACTTTTATACCAATAATGTCAGTTGTTCAAGATAATGTTCCGAAAGAGGATTCATTTATTCCAAAATTTTAGTGGCAAATACTAAACCAGAAAAACTGTTTATGTCAAAAAATGAGTCAGACCCTTGGGTTCCAAGAGACTTTGGCCATTCATCTACATAATCTTTAAAAATTATAAAAGATTATATTGTTCATCTGCTTAAAATCCTCAGTGGCTTCCCTTTGTAGTTCCAACCTAAATTTTTTACATGTTATGTTCATTCTGCTCCAAGACTATTCGTCTGTCTCTTCCCTCTGCTTTGGATACTTCCTTTTCCCTTTCCTAACCTCCTGGACCAGATTGGCTCGTTCTTATTATCTGGTTCTTAGCTCAAACATGGTCTCCTCAGCGAGATCTTTTCTAATTATTTAAAGAGGCACACTAACCCTAGTCATTCTCGAGCTTGTTTTGTTTTTGTTTTCTTCTTTTTCATGTGTATTGCCTGCCTTTCTCACTAAGATGTAAACTACATTAGGCAGGGACGACGATTGTCATATTCATCATGGTAGCCCCACCTCCTAGAAGAGTGCCTGCTGGATATATGGCAGGCACTCTGATGAATTTATTGAAGCATAGCAACCCAAACACTTTCAATGGCAATATACATAATTACATATTCGTATTTGTATATATAAAAATATACATAATTGTAATACATAAAAACATATATCATAAATAACTATAACAATATGGATCTAGGTATCAAGAAAACCTTTCTACATCTTGCATTTGCATTGATTCCACTTGGTGGAATAGTCTAGTATGCTTGAGATTAATTACTAGGTGTTCTTCATCAGTCTCTGCACAGTACTACACAGCAAGTATCACAAAGGAAGGAATTCTGGGCAGACAAAAAATACATGATAGCCCTTTGCACAGAATTTCCCGTGTGCTTTCTGTATCATTTGATCATTCCGCACTATTAGCAATCAGGTAAGAAATAAAGGAGCCTAAACAGAAGAGACACTGCCTATTAAATTTTGAGCTATACCTAAGTTTCTGTAAATGGTAAGCAGTGAATTCAACCAATGCAGAACATAAAGTTTTGGAAATATCTGAATCAATAATTCACCAACTTTACTATTTTTGCATTATTCTCAGCATTCTGTGTCACATCATTTTAAAGTGATGTTATGACATGCGTCGATAGTGGCCACATGATAAATAATATTTTGGTTTCCTGTTACCATGTAATTAAACTACTGAATAATCTGATTTTTTTAAAAAATTAGAAAAGCAATTCTTGTAGATTTTTTTATGTTTGAGTTTTTCATCTTTTAATTCAATGTTGTTTTGTTCAGATTCAACCTTAAGTTGTTAAGCATCAGGATTGAGACGGGACCCACAAGAAAGCAACTAAATTATATATATATGTGTATGTGTGTGCATCACATAGAGATATAGATCATTCTCATGGATCCTTAAAACAGCTCGGGGAGGCCATGAAAGTGTTCTTACTTTTGAGGCTTGCAAGTTGCACAAAGGTTCTTTTAGTTACAAGTGATACAAACCCAAGTTAAAAACTAGCTCAAGTTCATACTTGAATGAACTTGAAATGAATTTGTACCAATAGCCAGGGAGTAAATCAAGATACTTCAAGGAATGAGAGAAAATGCTTCATAAATGAGTGCTTCAGAATCTGGAATTGGAACCTGGGATTACAATGCTGTCAGGTCTTTCTTACTGTCCATCCATCTCATCCCCACCTGACTCTGCTTCTCTTTGTATATCAGTTAAATTACTTCCTACTACAGAGAAGCCTTCTTCATGTGGCAGTGAATATAGCTCCTATCAGCTTCAGCTTAGCACAGGAAAAGTCTTTCCCTTTTCCCAATGACCTTGTATCAATCTATGGAAACAGTCTGGCTTCTCCTGCTTCAATTAAATGCCAACTATTATAATTAAGGTGCACAAAGTCCATTAGTAAGAGGGGAAATCTAATTGGGCAGGGAAAAAATGCAATTTCAGTCTATTTCAAAGGCTAAGAATCAATTTCTTTACTGTCATCATTTGCTGAGTATCCCCTTCATCCTAGGCATTCGACTAAGGACTGTCAACGCAGATAAAATCTGTAATTCCTAAAACATTACTTTATACACACATATTAATTAGTTACTTTTTTCCCTCGATGGGCTCACGATATACTTTGAGAGCCAGACCATAAACATTAAAAGGGTTATATATGACAGTTTTGTAAGCACCAAAGAGATACACCACTGATTAACACCGTAGAGTTTTTTTTTTAAAGAGGGTCAACATTATTTTAGGCTATAATAATCTGGGACATTTTAATGGAAGACATAGGAATTAACTTCCCAGCCAACCTCAAAGGACTGGCAGAACCTAGGTAAGTGGAGAGCCACTGATCCTTCTGGAGCCCACTTCTCCATACTGTTTCAATATACCAGCTAGGTCTGAGATCCACAAAGGAATCAGAAGGCCTAGGCCCTTGCCGGTGTCTCCTTCTAGAAGTTCAGAGTGGGCATTGAGCCCCGACTCTGACCACTCACCCCTCTGGCTTCAGGGCTCTGGCTAGTAGGACATATACAGAAAGAAGAAATTGCCAAATAAGGATTCAAGTATCAGCTTCATAATGGGCCAGGATAGGGCTCTTTCCTAACTGCTATATTGAAGCAGGATAGAGGGTTTTCTTACCCTCACCTGTGTATTGGTTTCCTAGGACTCCCATAACAAATCACCACAAACTTGGTGGCTTAAAACAATATGAATGTATCCTCTCTCAGTTCTGAAGATCAAAAGTCCAAAATTAAGATGAGACAGCCATACTTCCTCTGAAGTTTCTAAATGAGAATCTATCCTTGCCTCTTTCAGCTTCTGGTGGCTCCAGGCTGTCTTTTGTGTGTGGATGCATAACTTTAATCTCTGCTTCCATCTTTACATGGCTTTTTCTCCTGTGTCTCTGACTCAAATCTCCCTCTGCCTTTCTAAAGATCCTTATCATTGGACTTGAGCCTCATGCTAAATCTAGAGTGATTTCATCTCAAAATCCTTAGTTTAATTATATCTGCACAGACTTCTGATATGGTTTGGATGTTTGTCCCCTACAAATCTCATGTTGAAATGTAATTCTCAGTGTTGGAGGTGGGGCCTGGTGGGAGGTGATTGGACCATGAGGGCAAATCCCTCATGAATGGTTTATCATCATCCCCTTGGTGACAAATGAGTTCTTGTTCAGTTAGTTCGTGTGAGATCTGGTTGTTTTAAAGTGTGTGACACTTCTCTCTTTGCTCTCTTGTTCCCTCTCTCATCATGTGATGTGCCACTCCCCCTTTGCCTTCTGCTATGATTGAAAGCTTCCTGAGGCCTCACCAGAAGCTGAGCAGATGCCAGCACCATGCTTCCTGTACATCCTGCAGCACTGTGAGCCAATTAAATATCTTTACAAATTTAAACCTGTTTATGAATTTCTTTATAAATTACTCAGTCTTGGGTATTTCTTTATAGCAGCCCAAGAATGGCCTAACAGAAAATTGGTACCAAGGAGAAGAGCACTTGTGATAAAGATACTTGAAAATCTATATACTATCTTTACTTGATACTTGAAAAGCAGCTTTGAGACTGTGTGATGTCAGAGGTTGGAAGAGTTTGGAGGGTTCAAAAAAAGATAGGAAGATGAGGGAAAGTTTGGAACTTCTCAGAAACTGTTAAATGGTTGTGACCAAAATGCTGATAGAAATATGGGAAGTGATGGTCAGGCTGAGGAGGTCTCGGAGGGGACATGAGAAACTTATTGAGAACTCCCTAGCAAAGGACTTGGCTGCATTGTGTCCATGTCCTACGGTTTTGTGGAAGTTTGAACTTAAGAGTGATGACTTAGGGTATCAGGTGGAAGAAATTTCTAGGCAACAAAGCATTCAAGAAGTCACATAGCTGCTTCTAACAGCTGACAATCAGATGTGGAAGAAAAGGCACGACTTAAAGTTGGAACTTATATGTAAAAGGGAAGTAGAGCATAAAAATTTGGAAAATTCATAGCCTATCCATGTGGTAGAGAAGGAAAGCCTGTTTTCATGGGAAGAATTCAGGAGAGCTGTGGTGCAACCACTTGCTAGAGAGATTAGCATGACTGAAAGAAAGATAACTGCCAATATTCAAGAGAATGGGGAAAAGGCTTCAAAGGCATTTCAGAGATCTTTCAGGCCACCTGATATGGTTTGGTTTTGTGGTACCACCCAAATCTCATGTCAAATTGGGGGAGGGGCCTGGTAGGAGGTGATTGAATCATGGGGGAGGATATCCCCCTTGCTGTTCTTGTGATAGTAAGTTCTCGAGATCTGATAGTTTAAAAAGTGTGTAGCATTTCTCTTCTCTCTCTCTCTTTTTCCTGCTGCCATGTAAGACATGCCTTGCTTCCCCTTCACCTTCTTCAATGCTTGTAAGTTTCCTGAGGGCTCCCAGTCATGCTTCCTGTTAAGCCTCCTGTGGAATCATGAGTCAATTAAACCTATTTTCTTCATAAGCTATCCAGTCTCAGGCAATTTGTTGCAGCAGAGAATGGACTAATATACCACCCATCCCATTATAGGCCCAGAGGCCCAAGAGGAAAGACTAATACACCACCCTCCCATTATAGGCCCAGAGGCCTAAGAGGAAAAATTGGTTTAGTAGATCAGGCCCAGGGCCTCATTGTCCTACACAGCCTCAGCACACTGCTCCCCACAATCAGGTGCTCTGGCTCCAGCCTCAGCTCAAAGTGCTCAAAGCTTAGGCTGCTGCTTGGGGAATGCAAGCCACCATGAACCCTAGCAGTTTCCACATGGTGTTAAGCCTGTGGGCATACAGAATGCAATCATAAAGGAGACTTGGCAGCTTCCCCCTAGATTTCAGAAGATTCGTGGAAAAGCCCAGGAGCCCAGGCGCCCAGGCAGAAATCTGCTACAAGAGTGGAGCCTCCACAGAAAACCTCTGCTAGGGCAGTGCTGAAGACAAATGTGGAGTTGGAGCCCACACACAGAGTCTCCATCAGGGCACTGCCTAGTGGAGCTGTGGGAAGAGGGCTACCGCCCTCCAAACCTGAGAATAGTTGTTTCATGGCAGCCTGCGTCTTGAGCCTGGAAAAGCTGCAGGCAACCAACTCTAACTCATGAGAGCAGCCATGGGGGCTGCACCCTGCAAAGCCACATGGGTAGAGCTGTGTGTGGCCTTGGGAGCCCACCCTTTGCACCAGTGTGCCATAGATGCAGAATATGGAATTAAAGGAGATTCTTTGGGGGTTTAAGCTGTAATGACTGCTCTGCTGGGTTTCAGACTGATATGGGGCCTGTAGCCTTTTTCTTTTGGCCAATTCTCCCTTTTGGAATGGTAATTTATACCCAATGCCTGTGCCACCATTGTATCTTGGGAATAAATAACTTACTTATTTATTATCTCAGAGGCTCACAGGTGGGAGAAACTCATCTTCAGATGAGACTTGAGACTTGGGACTTTTGAGTTAATGCTGGGATGAGTTAAGACTTCAAGGAACTTTAGAAAGACATGAATGTATTTCGGAATGTGAGAAGGACATGAGATTTGTGGGTCCAGAGGCAGAATGATGTGGTTTGGATGTTTGTCCCCTCCAAATCTCATATTGAAATGTGATTCTCAATGTTGGTGGTGGTGTGGCATGGAATAAAGTGATCAGATTATATGGGTGGATCTTTCATGAATGGTTTAGTGCCATCCCTTTGGTGATAAGTGATCTCTCTCTCAGTTCACAGGAGATTTAGTTGTTTAAAAGTGTGTGGCACCTTCTTCCTCACTCTCTTACTCTGGCTCTCACTATATGATGTGCCTGCTCCCCTTTGGCCTTCTGCCATGTCTGCGAGCTTCCTAAAGTCTCACCAGAATATGAGGAGATGCCAGTGCCATGTGTGCTGTGCAGTCTGCCAGGACCATGAGCCAATTAAACTCCTTTTCTTTATGTTATCCAGCTTCAGGTGTTCCTTTATAACAATGCAAGAATAGCCTAACACAACTCCTTTTCCAAATAAGATCACTTTCACAGGTTCTGGAGGTTAGCACCTGAACATACATTTTGAGGATCGCTACTCAAGCCACTATGCCCTGTATTAAAGATAGCTGGCTCTGTTTGACTTATCTATCTAGGCACATTTAAGAAGCCAGAGATTGGCAGCCACCACCTCCACCGAAGTGGATTTAATGCTTGAGGATCAGAAGCAAAGGAGAGGACTAGAGGGCAGGCATGCCTGCTGCATCTGAGCACATTCAGTCCAAGAGGTCAAGACAGAAAGGCATTTCTATTGTTAGTAGTGCTCTCCCTAGAAAACTGTGGCCCACTGGAAGAGGAGTTCTCACTATTCAAATTCATGACTCCTTATCCTAGGGGAAAAGTAAGAAAGATACAGAAAGTGAGCCAAGGTGTTTATTCTAAACAACTCCTTAGCTTATCGGGAGAAAAGAAGCAGTCCTCTCCTCCACAGAAATTCATGAAAGGACAATGGGTTTCCTCACTAATTCCTCATTCTGGTCTTCAAAAAGAAATGCACTAATATGAGCTAATAGTTTAAGTTAGTCTATAATGTTTGAAAAGTTGGCTCCAAGTTGATACAAAGATGTATTCACTCATTAGTCATTTATTTAGCAATGTAGGCTAAGCACCACCTACGTTCTGTAAATATAGGGGTAATGAGGTAGTCATGATCCCTGCCCAAATGGAATGTATAGGGTAGTTCGTGGGACAACATACTATATCATAATTACCATCTTCCATTGTCTAAGTGTTCTGATATAGAAGCAAAGACCAAGGATCTTGTAACCTAGTTATTCAGGAAGTGGCACTAAGACTTAGACCCAACTGGGCGCAATGGCTCACTCCTGTAATCCCAGCACTTTGGGAGACTGAGGCAGGTGGATCACGAGGTCAGGAGATCGAGACCATCCTAGCTAACCAGGTCAGGAGATCGAGACCACCCTAGAGATGGCAAAACCCCATCTCTACTAAAAGAAATACAAAAAAATTAGCTGGGCATGGTGGCATGCACTTGTAGTCCCAGCTACTCGGGAGGCTGAGCCAGGAGAATCACTTGAACTCAGGAGGTGGAGGTTACAGTGAGCCGAGATCACACCACTGCACTCTAGCCAGGGTGACATAGCAAGACTATGTCTTAAAAAAAAAAAAGGACAAAAAAGGACTTAGACTCAAAGAGAAAGTAGTATGTTGGTAAAGGAAAACAAGACAGGCAGATAGCAGGTGAGAGAGAACCTGGAACTGTAGCAGCTGGTGAAATAAACAGATATTAGGAAACAAAGGGTCTTGTACACATGTTGAGGTGTTTGAACTTGTTCTACAAGCTTTGAGGACTCTCTGAAGAGCTAGTGGCATGATCAGATTTGCATGTTGAAATACTCACTTCTAACTACAACATGAAGAATTGATTAATGAAAAGCAGAGGTGCAATAGCCAATTAAGAATCTCTTGTGATAAAATACAGTTGTTTATTTGTATGTTCTATGTGAAAATGAACCAAAATCCACTGTGGACCTCCTATTCAGTTATCCCCGCCTCTGATTCCACAGTCTGTGGGTCACAGTGGCTAGTCTAGGGTGGAAGGAATTTAGGGGTTGCTGCTTAAATTTCACAGTGATGCATCTTCAGCCTTCAGATTGGCTTAAGTCAAAGGAATAAATTATCAGTCTTTGTATGTAGAAACTGACTTCAGGCATATCTGGATCTGGGGATTCAAACAATGCCATAAGAACAAGGTCTTTCTGCCTGGCCAAAACGGTGAAACCCCGCCTCTATTGAAAATACAAAAATTAGCCAGGAGTGGTGGTGCACACCTGTAATCCCAGCTACTCAGGAGGCCAAGGTATTGAGAATCACTTCAACCCCGGAGGCGGAGGCTGCAGTGAGCCAAGATCATGCCACTGCACTCCATCCTGGTCAACAGAGTGAGACCCTGTCTCAAAAAACAAAACAAAACAAAACAAAAACAAAAACAAAAAACAGATTGAGGTCCCTCTCTCCATTTTTTAAATTCTGCCCTCCTTCATATTGACATCACCATTGGTGATATCTTCTCCAAAACTGTGGCTCTTTTAAATTAACTCATGGGTTGCATCTTCCTAGCTTCATAAGCAGCAGTAAGAGTGCATTGACTCTTCTAAAAATTATGAAAAAGTCCTCCCATTAATACAAATTGGATCATATGTCCAACTCTGAACCAACTAGCATGTTAAGAAAATAGAATATATTTCTAAGGTTGGTTGTGGTTAAGGTGCTCATCCCTGAAGTGGGGCATAGGCACATCTTATATGAAATAGACTAAAAGTGAGAGACAGGCAATGGTTAAAAGGAAATCATACGTGTCATTATTCTGTAAGTCTCAAAAGTAAAGGTACTGGATTCTGGACTAACAAAAGGTTTCCACCACACAACCTCATTCTTCTAATCTGTCAAACACAGATTTATATAATCAATCTATATTTTTTTCATTAATAATCTCAGGTTGTGTACAAGAATCCTAGAACTTGTGAAAGAACCATTATGAAGGCTTGGGCTTCTTTCTGGGTAAATTCGACCTCTCGGTTCAACCAGATTGTGGCATTATTTGCTGTGCAGCAGCCAGGTGGACTCCATTCTGGGGCAGAGAAGCCTGCCAGCTGATTATTCCATGTCCCATTCTAATTTAGGTCTCAAAGAAAATTGTCACAGCCTTGAGTGAAGCCATCTTGGAATCAGGGATTGAGACCAAGAGAACAATGGAATAACACAAAGCCCAGGGCTTTGCCTTTCTCATTGGGGAACTCCTGTATTCCATGCAGAGTAAGAGTCAAATCTTACTCTACATGGATACAAATCCCATATCCATAAAATGCAAGTCAATCCCTGAGAGAATCTGTGAGAGGTACACCAGTTATCTTGGCCAAATCAATGTCTAAGAAGCAAGGAGTCAGAACCCTGGCCAGCAAAGATGGAAGGGCGTCCTTTTGGCTGCAGAAGCCACCTGGAAATTCAAATGCAGCGGTGAATACAGTGGAACTCCTGGTGGCTAACACCACTGAACAGCATTGCATCACAATCCAAAATGCCTTTCTCTGGCTCCTCTTCATCAGCCAAAGAATCATGAAGTTACAGTGAAAAATATAACTTTTCTTCAGGATGTCCATAATTGGAATTTTGAACAATGAACTAGAACTTGGCATCAGGGACCTTTTTTTTTTTCTTTTCCATAGCAGGCATCTATCTTTTCTGGCTGATTAAGGTCTGTTTCCCTTTATTGTAAAAATATTCCCATCTCAGTGATGCAAGTGAGATTCCAGGAGTGGACATGAGGACCTGGCCTGTGCAAACTTTGGCCACAGTGACTGGTTCAATGATGAGCATGTGACCTAATTAAGGTCAATGAAAGTTATACCTGGGACTTTTGCTTAAATTATTGGAACTGAATGCCCTTTATTCTCTGGGACATTAATATGGCAGGATGTAAGCTCAAAGCTGATGAGTAAGTGTCTCCACATGGAGACAGAGAGAGAAAAAGCAATAAATTCTTGATGCAGATGACCTTTTTTGAGCTTCGAGATCACCTTCTGCTTAAAGTCAGATCTATTCCTGAGCTTTACCATTATGTGAGATAAGAATCTCTCCATTTTTGCTTCAGTGAAATTTCAAGCCCCTGCAACTGAAAGTTTTCTGTCTAATACAGTTTCTAAGTCCTCAAGGTGCCTCCACACTCAGATTCAAGGTATTCAGAGCATGGTATTAAGTGGAATCCTTTCCATGTGGAAATATTAACAAACAGGAAAAGTGAGCCTCCACTTCCACCCAGATCTAGCTTAATCTGGAGAATTAGTACAGAGGGAAAGTTTATGCCCTAGTAAGACATGCAGCATGTATTTGTTAAGATAAAATTCTCTTTTATCTTCGCAATAGGACAATTATAAAATGAGCAATAGGGACATTATAAAACGATCAGTAATTGTGATTGACTTTTTATTTTTATTTTTAATTATTATGGGTACATAATAGTTGTATATGTTATTGGGTACATGTGATGTTTTCATACAAGCATACAATGTGTAATGATCAAATCAGGGTAATTGAAGTATGCATCACCTCAAGCATTTATCATTTCTTTGTGTTGGAAACATTCCAATTTCACTCTTGGTAAATGGAGTATCCATCACCTCAAGCATTTATCATTTCTTTGTGTTAGAAACAGTCCAATTTCTCTCTTTTCATTATTTTAAAATAAGCAATAAATTCTTGTTAGCTATAATCACCCAATTGTGCTACCAAATACTAGATCATATTCATTTTATCTAACTGTACTTTTGTACCCACTAACTATTACCATTTCAGCCCCCTCTCCCTGCTATCTTTTCTAGTCTCTAGTAACCGTCACTCTACTCTCTATCTCCATGAGTTCAAAAAAAATATTTTTTTTAGCTCTCACATATGAGCGAGAATATGTGATATCTGTCTTCCTGTGCCTGGTTTATTTCACTTAACATAATGTCTCCCAGTTCCATCTATGTTGTTACAAATGACAGGGTTTTGTTCTTTTTATGGCTGAATAATATTCCACTGTGTATATACACCACATTTTCATTATCCATTCATTCATTCTTCCATTGATGGACACTCAGATTGATTCTATATCTTGGCTACTGTAAATAGTGCTGCAATTAACATAGGAGTACAGATATCTATTCAATATACTGACTTTCTTTCTTTTGAATATGTAACCAGCAGTGAAATTGTAATCCTAAAATATATACAAAACCACAAAAGACCAGAATAGCCAAAGCCATCCTGAGCAAAAAGAACAAAATTAGAGGAATCTCATTTCCTGACTTCAAATTATACTTCAAAGCTATGGTAACTGAAACATTGTGGTACTGACATAAAAACAGATACTTAGACCTATGGAACAGAATAACTCCAGACATAACTCCACACATTTAAAGTTAACTAATTTTCAACAAAAGTACCAAACACATACACATTGGAGAAAGGATAGTTTCTTCAATAAATGGTGCTGGGAAAACTAGATACCCATACGTAGAAGAATGAAACTAGACCCCGTCTCTTACCATACACAAAAATAAAATTAAAATTTATTAAAGACTTTAATTTGGGGTCTGAAACTATGAAACTATTACAAGAAAACATTGAGGACATCCAGAACATAGATCTGGACAAAGATTTCTTGAGTAAGTTCTTAAAAGCACAGGCAACTAAAGCAAAAATGGACAATTTGGATCACATTAAGCTAAAAAGCTTCTGCTCAAAGAAATAATCCGAATTGAAGAGACAACCCACAGAATGGGAGAAAATATCTGCAAACTACTCATTTGACAAGAGATTAATAACCAGAATATATAAAGAGTTCAAACAACTCAATAGAGAAAAATAATCTGATTAAAAAAATGGAAAAGGGTCTGAATAGACATTTCTCAAAAGAAGACTTATGAATGGCCAAAAGGCATATGAAAAAATGTTCAACATCACTAAAAATGCTCAAATTTGATTTGAGAAATGCAAATCAAAACTACAATGACATATAATCTCATCCTAGTTAAAATGGTTTTTTTTAAAAAAATAGGCGATAATGAATGCTGGCAAGGATGTGGAGATAGGGCACTCCTCATACACTGTTGGTGGGAATGTAAATTAGTATAACCACTATGGAGAATAGTATGGAGGTTTCTTAAAAACTAAAAATGTGATTGCAATTTTCAGAGAACATTTTATCAGGGAGCTGAGGCCTTAATTCTGTCAGTTTAGTCAAATGGTATCCACTGACCTACCTGCCACCTCAATCATTTCTTTGTTGCCTTTAATATGCAAAAAGTTGTGGGAGGATGGTCTAATGTTTTGGCCAGTTAATTGGAGAAGATAAAGTTTAATTGCAGGTCAGGGTCTATATTAAAGTGATTTGGGTAAAGAAAGGGTAACACAGTCTGTTTCCCCATTCCCACACTCTCTTTTAACACCCTATGTAGTTAGAAAGTAATGAAACTGACAAAATTGTGTTATAAGATTGAGTGAATCACACAAAAAGAAGCAGCTCTGCTTGGGTAACTTTTAGAAAGAAGCCATTTTAGCTACCTCTATACAGGCCGAGCCCCATTCTGGAACCCTGAGGTTATCTACTATAGCTGCCTAACAAACTACTTCCCAAAACTTAGTAGCTTAAAAAAGCAACCATTTTATTTCTTCACAGTTCTGTCAGTCAGAAATTCTGGCTCATCTCTCCTTCTCAATGTTCCTTACAGCATGGTAGTCACAAAGTTGTAAAAGTTCTTTCATGACAACTGGTTTCCAAAAAATAATACTCTGATAGAATACGACCCATCGTACAAGCACTTATTGAGCCTCTGCCTGAATCATGTTTGCTTATATCCCTTTGCTCAAAGCAAGTCACATGGTCTAGCCCAGAATCAACATGGAAGGGGATAAAGCAAGAACATACACAAGGAAGCGAGATTCAATTGTGAAGGAAGGGCACTAATAAATCAAGTCTACCATAGGCTTAAATACTGAATTTCTCACAAAAATAATGTGCTTTTTTCCAGGTGCTTTATAGAGACTGCAGGTAAGCAGTAATTACTGGTTCAGGAAAGGAAAAACATAGTAGCCACCAAAACATTGCTGCAGTTAAAAGATTGTCTTATGAATATAAGAGAAGTATTTTCTTGGGTACTCTGAGAAATAACTACAGAATATCCAAAGGAGTGCTAATTTCCTACTTGAGCATGGTATCATAATTTGGCGATAAATGGAAATGTGACTTCATTTTCTAATTAAAGCCTGGCAAGATACGGACTTAAAAATGATAGAGAAGACAACAACAATAATAAATATGTGGTATTTTAAAGCCCAGAGTATTTCCTTAGGTTTTACCCAATTTCTTTACATAACATTTGAGTACCACACCACTAGTGGCTCCCATAGTATTTTAAACTATCCAAATTGTGTATGTTCGCCACCATGAGGAAACAAAAATTTAACCTGTGATTTAAAAAAAAAAAAATCATAGTTAACAATGTTCACCACAGGGATTCAAAGTAAATATCTTCTAACTTTTTTTTCATTAATTCAATATTGGTCAATGCTATAAAATCTACCTTTCTAAGAGAAAATACTTCAAAATGACTTTGATTTGGAAGGGTATCATCTATTCTTTGTCCTTAACTACTCTTACCAATGAAAGAAAATTTAATACTGATCTTTCCTGCCAGTTACTGGTGACAATGGCAGATCTCTCTGAAAAGAAAGCAAACTTACTTAATTAACAGCTCAGATGGAACGGTAAACTGACCTTCATTTGATGGTATTACCACATTCAAAGACACTCCTCAGGGAAAAATAGTCTACTTGAAACAGAGTACTTCCCATTATGGGGAAACATCAAGAAGAAATCAAGCCCATATCCACATGAGAGAAAGGAAGATTAACTATTTCTATAGAACATAAAGTAATTATTATTCTAGTTTTGGTTTCTTATTCTTTACTTCTGGAAAATTCTCTTCCACAACTTGGCCAAGCTAAATGTCAACCACTTGATTTGTTCTAATGCAAATGGACCACAATGAAGTATAAGACTACTTCAATATAAGTGTATACCAAACTTATTTTTATGTAATCTATTATCTACCATCTTTAGCATTAAAATACATATTTTGACTTTAGTTAGGCAATCAACACTTTTTTTATTGCATGTCTAGTATGTACTAGGTGCCATTCTAAATGTTAGGACTATAAGTGTGAATAGGAGAAATTCTTTGCTTGACGACTTATATTTATGTGTGAGGGGGGACAAGAAATGAGGAAAAAAACAGTAAATAAGCAGGAAAATAAAATTTCATGTACTCATAGAGCTGTGAAAATGATAAAATGGGGATATGATTGCAAGTGACTGAGGGAAAGAAGATGAAATGGGATAATATGATAACATGTACTTGGGTAAAAGAATGGGAGTCTGCTTCAGCTAAGATGATGTTTCTCACCTCTCTGAGACCATAGGATTGGTAAATAGCTAGATTGAGGTCACAGGCAGGCAGGCTGAACTACAACTAGTCTCCTCACTGTAAAACTTAGAGTTACTGTATAATTTATTGTCCAACCTGGGGCACTTCTGAGAGTAAAAGGTGAATGTGATTAATAATTATTGCAGAACAGCAGGCATAAATGGGACCATCTCAGATAAACCAAGACATGTAATTGCAATTCAATGAAGAAAAATACTGTTATCATTCTTTATAAAATAATAAGAATAATGATAGTGATTGCTGTGGTTGGATGTGGTTTGTCCCCACCAAAACTTACGCTGAAATTTCACTCCCGATGTGGCAGTGTTGGAAGGTGGGGCCTACTGGGAGGTGTTTGGGTCATGGGGGTAGATGCTTCCTGAATAGGCTAATGCCTTCCCTGGGCGTGAGTGAGTTCTTGCTCTTCCAGGAATGAATTACTTCTCATGAGATGGGGTTGTTAAAAAGAGTCTGGTTTTCTCAGTTTTTCTCTCTTGCTTCTTCTCTGGTCATGTGGTCTTGTTGTCATGCCAGCTCCCATTCCACTTTCCACCATGAGTGGAACCAGCCTGAGACCCTTATCAGGTGCAGCTTCCCAATCTTGAGCCTTCCAGCCACAAAATCATGAGCCAAATAAACCTCTTTTCTTTATAATTTGCCCAGCTTTATACATTTTGTCATAGCAGCACAAAATGGACTAAGGTAGTGGTAATAACTTAACTATGGCATTTATCTTTGGAGGCATTCCAGTCATTTCACATACATTATTTAATTGATTTTCTTGAGGAAAAGAGAACTTCTCACAAATAAGAGAGCTGTTCCAAATAAAAAGGCAAGATCATTCCAAGAGACATAAAAAAAAAACATTGCATTTTCTAAATTCAATGTGAACATGTTAAAGGTTAAATTTAAATTAAATAAAAGCCTATTTTTTATTTAATTTACATTAAATAAATGTGAACCTCAAATGGGCAAATATTTAGTAAGCATATAATAAACACCAGGCACAGTATTAGGTTCTGGGAGACATAGATCAATAGGAAAAGACCATTGCCCTGGAGAAGCCCTCTTCAGCTGGCTAAAGAATACTTCCTGCAGCTAAAATAGACTCACTATGTTTCACAAACAAATGAATAAACACTTCTCTGGTCCATTAGTCCATTAGTCCATTAGTATTTTCTGCCTTTCGCTTCCTCTGTTGTTATATAATCTCAAAGTGAGAAGACTTTGGCTGTAGTTGCCTATGCACTGTTGACTAGCCACTTGTGCTACTGTTCCCACTGTATCAATGTGGTCCTGCAAAACAAATATGAAAATTCCCATAACCTCCGTCTTCATGGGTATGTTCAAAAGACAAAGGATATGCAGGGGTAAATATTATTTTGATAAAGCTCTCTGTGTGCAGACCTTGAAGCTGACAACCTCTATGGGTAGCCCAGCCTCTGGTTTTATTCCCTTCCTGCCTGTTATAACATAATAAAAAAACGTGCATTTGGTCTCTGCCCCAGTTTTCTGAGACAGAGCTCCTAAAACCCTTATACATAGGAATGTCAGGACAATGTTTTGTTCTATTATTTTGTCTTTGACCCCAGTTTCTAACATAGAGTTTCTATGGCCTTTTTAATTTCCTGACTGATAGGAGCCTTGAACACAAAGCTCCTAAATCTCTTGGAATTTCATAGGTAATAGAAGCATCTTTTGTTCTAATGAGGCAACACTTTGGTGGGCTCCTGATGGGGGCTGCTCACTAGAAAGATCAAGCCGTAATATTAGCTTGGAAATTCCAGCCCTACTCCTATCCTCAAGGATGAGACAGGGGCTGGAAATTGAGTTAATAAGCAAGCATGCCTATGTGATAAGGCCTTCATCAAAATCCCAAAATTATGGAGTTTGGAAAGCTTCCAGGTTGCTGAATTCATGGAGATGCTGGGAGGGAGCATGCGGGAAAGGACATGTAAGATCTGAACCCCTTTCCCCATACCTTGCCCTGTCCATTTCTTCCATCTGGCTGTTCCTGAGTTATATTATTTTATCAAAACAAAACAAACAGGTAAACGTAAGTAAAGCATTCCCCAAGTTCTGTGAACCATGATCAACCTCAAGAAGGGGTTGTGGGAACTTCTAATTTACAGTTGGTTGGTCAGAAGTACTTGAGGCCTGCACTTGTGATTGGCATCTGAAGTGGGTGGCCATCTTACAGGACTGAGCCTTTAACCTGAGGGATCTGATGTTAACTCCAGGTAGATAGGGTCAGAATTGAATTTAATTCTAGGATATCCAGCTTGTATTGGAGAATTGGTCAGTGTGTGAACAACTCCATATATATCTTGGTGACCAGAAGTATTGTGAGAGAAGAGTAAGAGAAAAGACAGTTTTGTTTTCTCTATATATCTACCCTAAAGAATAACCAGGGCCTGCTTCTAGGTTCCTTATCCACTATAAAACCCTAGCCTCAGGGAAAGATTTAATGTATATCTTTCTTAGTCCATTTGACCTGCTATAACAAACGACCATGAACAGGGAGACTTATTCACAATAGAAATTTATTTCTCACATTTCTGGAGGCTGGGAAATCCAACATCAAGGCACCAGGAGACTTGATGTCTGATGATGGTCTGCTTCCTCTTAGAAGGTCATCTTCTCACTAAAGGAAGGGCACTAATCCCATTAATGAGGGTGGAGCCCTCATGATCTAGTCATCCACAAAGATCCCACCTCCAGATACCCTCACAATGAGTATTAGGTTTCAACATAGGAATTCTGGGAGCATACAAATATTTAGACTACAGCAAAGTCTAGTTGATTCCACTGGCTTCTTGTCTCTGGTAATTGGTGGTTCAAAACTTATTACTAATTGCCTAAGAAGGGCTTTTTCCCTGGTTGGAGGAATTTCAGGAATCTTGGAGAGAAGATGGAGAAGGAGTTCTATTAGGCAAGGTGTCTATTTGGGTCAAGTGTAAAGCCTAGCAGAAGGAAAAATTGAATTCAAGATATTTCAGAAAAAAGAGCATTGTAATTTCCTAAAAGTCGTCAAGAGATTGCCATGCCTTTTGGGAGATGGGCATGGGAGTGGTGGCTGACAGAAGGTAAAAGGAAATGAAAGTTGACATTGTGAGTAATCCTATTTTCTCCTGTTCATGACCACTATTAATGTCACAGCTGTTTCCAAAAGTGTTCTAAGTCGCTTAGCAAGCTGACTTGGCTAATAAGTGAGGGATTATGAAGAGCTGGTATTTATTTTCCAAGAAAGTGATAGAAACCCAAACTTAGGAGACATTTTCCCTCATTCATTCCTTACTGACTGGAGATAATGAACTGAGACCTCTAAGGCAGCTGGAGGAACAAAAGCCTGCCAGAGCCTGTAAACCATCTAGTTCAAAAATGATCTGTGTCACTAGCCTGGCCTGAACTCCTGCAAGTTATATAACTCATTTCCTCACATGTAAGTTGGGGAAACAGTAGACATCCAACCAGACGGTGGTTGTAAAGATTTTTGTTAAGCCAAGTGCAGCAGTGAATGTGCACTGAGAAAAGTCAATACACATTTGTCAGTTGGCATGAAATGAAAGAGAGTCACAGTGGGAAGACTGTGGTGAGTTATAACCTGCCCAGTCTTCCACTTCAGTGAAGTAACAGCCAGAACAGTGGGAGAAGATAGTCCAATAAACACCCTGATGGATGACACCTCATTCTTGCAACTCAGTCAAATGAGACCTCCCAGGTAGATGTAGATGAGAGGAACCTCACAGCCACAAGAAGGGAACCAATTTGAGGGATGGAAAAAAGCTCACAGCATAGCCAAAACAGTTTCATCTGTGACTCCATGACACCCACCTTGATTCATTCCCTTCTTTAGGCATTCATTTGTTAAAATAGTAAATTTTTGTTGGATTTTCACTCTGGGCCAGGCATTGTGTTAGGCATGTGAACTCAAAACCTAGTTCTTGCCTTCAATTTTATGATGTAGTAGGGCAAAACAGACAATTCAGTGATGTAAGTGTCTTAACAAGGAAAATAAGAGGATGCTATGAGATCCCAAAAACCAAATCATTGAGAAGAAGGTGAGGCTTTAAGAGGAAGTGCTATCTACCTGGAACTGAAGGACAGTGTAAGGGAAATGGCTGCATTTCAGTCAGGAGTAGGCTGAGGCAGCCTTCCAGCACAGTGTGACTCAGCAGGTTTGGAGTGCAGGTGCACAACCCTGCCCGTTACGTAATCACGCCACATGAGGTGCATTAGGTAATCACTCACATGAGCTTGTGCTTGCTTGGAGCCACTATTGTCTATAAAAGGTATAATTACCCTGCTAATGCTATACATATGTCTGGCACACAGGCTTTTGCCCAGAGAGAGCATAAAGCCATGTTGAAACTGTCAACGATTCTTTGAGTGTTTCTCCAGCTACCGGCTACCTGCCCACTGATTCCCTTTGGACCTCAGTTTGGGCTAGAACCTGACAGACAGTTATAAGCTACCCCAGCAAAAGTGTCAGAAATAAGGAAGCAGGGGTGCAGGGAGAAGTTTTCAAGAAAAGGAACAGTAACACTATGCTTAAAGACTCAGAGAACTTTTTTTTCAATATTTATAGATTGACCTCTTCAAGGTAAGCAATGTACTAGATGCATTGCTATGCATTAAGATGAGAATATACTACTCCAGGATACAAGGAACTTAAAACCTCACAAATAAGATGGCTTTGATAACAGTTATAAAGGAAAGCATAATTTACATGCCAAAGACCTCTTAAGTTTGTTTAGTTAATTCAGCCTCCTAGCCCACTCTCCCCCATAACTCCCACCCCCAAGAAACTAGTTTATTGTTAGAATTTATGTTAGCTAAAACACCATTTAACAGGTGATTTTTCTCTTCCAGTTCTTACTCCATTATAAGAAAAAGGAAGAATTAAATTAATTGCATCTTTGCATATTCAGCTGAAATATGGTCAATTCAGTGGTTAAAAGAAAACCCTATTGCAACTGAATGAGTAAACATTGATTTACTCTGTCAGTTCAATAATCTGAGCTTCTATAACTATGGCCACACTATTCTCTTCTTTGATATTTTTTCTCAACTATCTTATATTGTGACATCTGCTGTCTACACAGTGACCTACATGGACCAGAGCACACTGTAAATGCCCTTGTGGGGAAAGCCTATGTCCTTTAACTTCTGTGTTCCCTGCTCAGTATTTAAAACAGAGACTTAAACAATTTAGGAAACATTTGTTCACTCATCAATGGCTTTACCTGAGACACGAGAGTGCCTGAAAATAAAGAAGTAAGAGTCAGTATTTGAAAGGTGTAGATACCAGAGAAGGAGAGCAAGCCATTAGTCATGACTTAAGGACATAGAGGTCAGGAGGTAAACTGACTCAGGGAACTGGCTCCTGAATGTCAAGAAATGCTTTCAATCTTGTGGGTTGTACATGCCCTCCATGAATTATGGAATTGTTTAGGCCCTTTACATGCTCCCTGGCCTTGAGCAACACAGGAGAAGAAGTCTCAGGGAATACTGCTGTCTTTCTCTGGTCAATGGAGCACCTGGTGAATGGAGCAGCTGATCTGATTTTGCCTTTTCTATACAAATTTCAATATGATTCAATTGGCCTGGGGCCCCAGTGAAATGCAGTCTGCCCTGACCTCTGTTGTCCTGTTGCATGGCTTAAAATCCAGTTGCCAAGTCACAATGGCAGCTCAGATTCCGGCCTCCTGGCTTCTCCTTGTCAGAATCTGCTCATGTAATGAAGTGCAGCCTCTGCTTTCCGGGCAGTTTCCAGTATCTTCTCCATCTCACTTACATTTACTTCACTGACTTTTGACAGATTACTTTCTACAGGAAACCACAGTTGGAAACTGGAATCTGATGAGACTCTGAAGAACTCTCTTTGGTAATGAAAGAGAGGCCAACAACAAACAAACAAGCTCTTGAAGTAGAGCAATTAGGGGCAATGTTCTTGGTTATGGATTCTCCCTGCCATGTCATCTCTTTTGTTCTGCTCATCTTGTCTTCGTCCCAAGAAGTTGCTGAGCAGCAAAGAGCAGCACAAGGAAGGTCACACTAGAGAACTTGAAGAATAGGCAACCCAGCTTACTGGGCTCTTAGTACATGGAAGGTGGCTTCAGAGCTATGTTTAAAAATTGGTATTGTCTCAGATGACCCAAATTCTCCTTGAGGTGTTCTGGAAAGACTATGGGCTTTCAGCTTTACCAATTAGTAGGTGGAAAGTTACATTATGTCTCTGCTTACAAGCAGAGTTTGTAGCCCTTTCTATAGAATGTCAGCGTTGCCTTTCAGGGCACTCTTCAACCGAGGAAAGTCATTCTTTTCCTTCAGCCCAGCCTCCCATATTTATTATGATTCTAAATATTGCTCACCCTCTCTTGCCACCCAGAAGCTAAGACAACAACTAATTAAGAGCATCTTTGGAGAACTCGGAATATTCTAGATCAATATTAATGTTTTACTGTTGAGATAAAAGATTATGCCATTCATTGCAGGAACAAGTTATAAAGAAACATCCTAAGACAAAATTATACTTTGAAATATAAATATCCAAAATATAAATGATGATTCACTTGTGACCAGGTTTAGGGAGAAAGGCAGTTAAGCTTGGCATTAGTACTCTCCTTGGGGTTATTGTTTTTTTATCACTAGGGATGGCTGAGTTGCTAAGCTCACCCAAGATTAGAAGTGTTTCCAAAGCACCTCAGCTTGCACATGGGTCAAAATTTTTCCCTATGGGGCAGTCAACTCCTAACTGCTACTCTTAATCAGGCTCCTCTGGGGCACTGTCATGTCACAGCCTCATGAACATCATTATCAAGACTGATTTTTGCCCTGTGGCTGCAACAATGAACTTTTGCCCTACTACCTGTTTCAACTTTCAGAATCAAGTAAGGGTTTGTTGTATTTTTCTTTTCTTTTTCTTTTCTTTTTTTTTTTTTTGGTGAGATATTTGGAAACATGGCATAAACCTCAGGGTTTTTTTCCCAATCATGTCAGTAAAATATTACCCTGACCTTCATCCTTCCTGACCCCTTAGAAAACATGGACTCCTACTCATGGGGAGGTGACTACTAGATTTTCTGACATAAATGTTCACGATAAACACTAGGAGCACAGGAGTTGATACTTACAAATTCTCTCCTGTCCTCTGATCACAGTGCTGTGCAAATTCAAATCCTAAGGAGGGACAGAGAAGAGGGAACTCTGTCCTCTGCTAACCTTCCCCCCTTCAGCAAATTCTCACTTCTTAACAGCACTGCCCGTTTGAAAGCATGTATCCCATTTTTCAAGAAGGAAAGCCACAATGTCCATTTTTTCCTTAATGTTTTCTACTCATAATAGCTATAAAATACTCTAGGCACATATTCAATTTCATCTTTACAAAGAACGCAAGGAAGCTAGAGACCAGGGTGTCTGAGAGCAATAAGTGGCTAGGCTGATATTCAAACTCTGATGTTTCTGTGCTGAGGCAGGAGAGCAAAGTGGTGAAAGCTAGGAGCTGGAGGATGAAGTTTTCAGTGCTCTGCAGCCTTTTCTCCAGCCAAACCCCTGTCTGTATATTTTGGGATAATAGCCCAATTATATATAGAGTAAAGCATGGAGTGTTCTATTATTGGGAGTGTGGGGAGGAAAGGTGTGGTGTCTTGGACCACTCCTATTCTAAAAGCATTTAAGACTATCTGATAAGTAATACTACCCTCCCAAACACACTGCCTCAGGAAAAGGATTGTGCCAAATCATCGCTAGAAATACATATAATGCATGGGAATAAAACCAACACTGATGTTAAGAATATTCCTCTTACTTTGTAAAAGGAACTCCAGAACTTTTCAAGAGGAAAGAGCAGAGTAATAAGGTTTTGCTGAGAAAGCCACCAGGTAGGGCATGGCTTCTCAAACAGACACGGACATCCTGGTTAGTGTTAAAAGATTCCTGTCTCCTTCCCAAGAGAGAGTTAGAACAAAGGTGAAAATTAGAGCAGAGGAAAGCTGATGGGGCTGCCAAAAATTAGGGTACACTTTTTACCAAGGATGCAGAATTACCATGACTAAGGTACTCCCCTACCTGTATCAACAAATATCTTCCTCTCTATTGTATTCTCTCTTTTCAGAAAATATACAAACACATTCTAA
Organism: Homo sapiens; assembly: GCF_000001405.40. Lineage (NCBI taxonomy): Eukaryota > Metazoa > Chordata > Mammalia > Primates > Hominidae > Homo > Homo sapiens. Next base: position 80,140,492 of record NC_000014.9, read on the forward strand.
TGGTATCTTCCTTTAAAATGAAAATCTCTGTCTAGTTATATCTCTGTTTTCTGCTCCCCACCACAGGAAAAATTCCAGAAAATTCCCTGTGTGTTATCTCCATTTTCTGTTACAGTCGACCTTTTGTTTTTCCCATTAAATCTTCAGTCCAGCCTGGCTTTAGTCCCATCATTCCATTGAAACTGCTCATGTCAAAATCAGCAGTGACCTCCATGTTGCCAAATACAAAGAACAATTTATGTCTTCACTCTTCTACGAAACAGTCTCCTCTCTTGACTTCTGTGACTATATCCTCTTCTGGGTATTTTCCCCCTCGGTTATAGTCACTTCTTCTAACTGTCTTTGACTTGTTTTTCCTTCATTACCTAAACTTAAATATTAGTGCTCCTTGGGGGTTTGCCTTGTATTCCCTTCACCTTCCTTCATACGACACTAAGTGATGACTATTTTCATTCCCTTACTATCTCTATGATACACTCCCTTATTTATATTTTTTGGTACATACATCCTCTCTGAGCTCCAGAAGTCTTCATCCAAGTGCCCACCTGACAGCTCCACTTGGAAACTTTATGGTCTTCTCAGGCTTTGTATCCTTGAGGCAGATCTCATTTCTTCCTGTGTCTCCCTTTCCCATGTCAGTAACATCTCGGCTATTTAATTGCTAAGGGTAAAAATCTAAGTGCCATCCTGTATTTGCCTTTGTCCCCTTCATCCTTCACATCCAGTCCGTTTGCATCCTGATTATTTTATCTCCATCAAGTCTCAGCTCTATCCATGATGCAGCATCTCCATTGCCACCTCCCTATTCCCCCGACCATGCTGCCCTCATGAACACAGTAGACGCTTGGCACATTGCCTTGCTTTCGTTGCCATTCATCTCCTACCAATTTTCTTTATATTAGCTAAAATAATCTTTTTAAGCCTGTAAATCAAATTCTATTGCCTTTCTGATTCAATATCTTGGATGAGTTCCCAATGCATTTAGAATATAATCTGGATACCTGCAAGGCTCTAAATGAGAAGGCCTTTCTCTTCAGTTTAGCTAAATCTCGTTCTTGTCCTTACTTTCTATCCATCAAGTAAATGCTTATCAACATTCTCCATCATAGTTCTCTGTTCATTTCCTACATAAGGCATGCAAATTGCACCTGAAAAATATATCCAGGTCCTAATCCCTGAAACCTGTGAATGTTGCCTTCTTTAGTAAAAAAGGAATTTGCAAATATGATTAAGGATCTTGAGATGGGGAAATGAGTCTGGATTATTCAGATGGGCCCTAAATACAATCACATATGTCCCTATAACAGAAAGGCTGAGGGCAATTTCACCAAAGAAGAAGAGGGGGCAATGTGACCAGAGAGACAGGAATTGGAATGATGCAGCCACAAACCAAGGAATGCCAGCAGCCATCAGAGGCTGAAAGAGGCAAGCTCTCTCCTCAAGCCTCCTGTGTGTGCAGCCTTGCTGACATCTTGATTCCATCCCACTGATACTGATCTTAAATGTTTGGTCTTCAGAACTGTGAGAGAGTACATTTCTGTTGTTCAAGCCACCAAGTTTGTGGTCATTTATCATGGCAGTCACAAGAAACGGATCCAGTCTTCATAATTGATGATTATTTTATCTACTTATTTGTTTACTTATGTTTTCCCTTTTTGGTTTGTAAACAATGTAAGAGCAGGGACTACATCTGTGACTAGTGCTCACCATTATATGGCCAGTACTCTGCTGTTTGTAAGAGATCAATAAATATTTTGAAGGAATGGATTAATTTCTCTTTTTCAATAAGGTGCTGCTGTTTAAAAGACTAGACAAGATAACCTGTACATTATGTATAAGCATGTTCACAATATGTATTAAATGTAGCATGTGAAGCAGTGTGCTAAACATTACAAATGCATTAAAGGCCTTTAATTTGCTCTTGTGTCTAAAGGCTGAGATCTTTAGTAACGTTCAATAAAGCAGGCAACTTTTCTTCCTACCTTATCTCCTTCCAGCCCAAATCAAATCCATCATGACTTCTTCGTCCCCAATCTGTGAATTCTTCTCCAATGCCACTCCATCTCCACCCTATTACAAACTACTAGAATCTCTTCTAGTACTAGCAAAAACCCTTCCTAACTGGTTTACCTGCTTCTCTTCTTGCCCATTTCTAATATAATAATTGCACAGCCATTAGAATAATGTTGTAAAACAGATTTGGTCATACAATCTTATGCTTAAAGTCCAGTAACTTCTTGGACCAAAATCCTTAACATGAACTACAAAGTCCTTCATCATCTGTCCATTCCTACTTCCCCATCCTATCACCACAGCATCCCCTTCCCAGTTCTCCACAGCAGGGTGGTTTTAAGTCCTCATTATTCATCTTACACCTCTCACTACAAAGCTTTGGAACTTATTTTCCTCTCTCACTTCATTTTATTTTTCATTCGTTGTTCTGCTTCACTACATCGGGTAAACTAAGAGGGCATAAGGGCATGATGGTAGAAATCACATTTTAAAAATCATTACTGTAATCACAGAATTTAGCTAGTACAGTAGTAGATTGTCAATAAAATTGAGAGTTAAAAATTGTTAGTTAATAAATGGTGATCTCAGTAGAAAATATTTTAATTTTTTTAAAAGACACTTGAATTTTTTTATAATGACTTCAAACGTTTTAAAGTGTTTTTTATACACTATCACATTTAATACTCCTAGAGGTCCTGTGATAAAGACAGGATAGATCATCCAATTCTTTCCATTTTAAACTATGAAGAGTAGAACTCTCAGAAGGCTTAAATGACTTAGCCATGATCATAGGACTGGTAGGTTTAAAAAGGCATAATTATATTATACACAAGCATACAAGATGACCTGTACATTATGTATAAGCATATTCATAATATGTATTAAATGTAGGATGTCGAGTAGTATAAACATTATAAATGCATTAATTCACTCAATCCATAAAACAACCCTCCAAGGTAAATACCATTATATTCCCATTTTAAGAATGAAGAAGTTGATTTTTGGTTAAGTAACTATCTCAAAAAAACCACAGTTATTACAAAGGAGAACTAAGACTTAAAGTTAGACCTCTGTTTTTCAATAGGCCACAATTTTTAACCACTCACCTTGGAGCTTTTAATTTGGAGATACATATACAAAAAGTATGAAAACAATATTTTAAAAATCCATCGACTTACCACTAAACATAAGAAATAAAACATTACAGATAAAAGCCATGTCTCCTAAGTTTCTTACATTCCCTTTTCTCAGTGGCACAGCTAACTACTTACCAGAGGTTATTTGATCATTTCCATAGCTGTGTTTATATTTTTACTGCACATGTATGTACTCCTAAATAATACATGTCATTGTTAGTATGTTATATAAATGTTATCCTACTATCTTCTCTGTAATTTTCTTTATGATATTCATTCTTATGAATATATGTAGCTTTTTTTTTCATTTATGCTAGGAGTAATTACACTATAAAATTAGTTTTATACCAAGAAAACCAACTAGTCTTTCAAGGGGGGATGATTTCTCTACTGTTCTTTCCTATAAATGGAAAAAAAATGGGAAGAGAAGAGTAGTTTGTATAGTTTTCCTCCCCTCTTTGCTATAATTATCCCAATGTAGCACTGAGGTTGAAAAAAAAGGTAACTGCAATGTTCTCCACCAAAACATATCTAATGAGAGCTCTTTAGAGGTTTATGAGGATGCACCTTTAAAGGAGTCCTTTGGAAAATGCCCCAGTAATCCAGATGCTTCACAAAGTTCCTCTGACAGAACACTAGATCCCTTCTGGGAACAGGAAACTTTCTCTAGCACATCTCTTTAATCCCGCAGAAGGATAACTAAAACCTTGGTAATATTTTGGATAAAATATTGTTCAGAATGCTTCAAAAACCAGACTTGGAGGGAGTTAAGCTTCTTTGTCAATTAATTGATTGTTAGAAAGAATCAGTTAGGTGAGAAATAAAACACTATTTTTGAACTAACCAATGGAAGTTGTGATACAAAGAATACCTAGTTGTAAAATCTATAGAACACTCCTCTGGCATTGCCCTATTTAACTTGGAGAGAGCTTGCTTGCAGGGAAAAAAAAGTGGAGCAGGTGATTATTTCCCATGACAAATGTATAAAACATTTTTTCTTAAATTCTCCTTAAACAGCTGGTACATTGTATCTGAGTTCTGGGTTGCACTATTAATTCAAAAAGCTTGTAATACTGTTCAGTGGTATGTCCATTGGCTATAATACATTTTCTAATTGTGCCTATTGCAACTTCTAGTGCAACTTCTCTACTGGTTCTTCCATATTCTAGAAGAATGTACTGGTTATATTGTGAGGCAAAGGCCTATTGAATTGAATGTTTATTACATGTCATTCTGTCAATTAATTGAAATGTGTAGTCATTCTGTAGTTTACTATAGGTCTATATATAGCTGAATATTTGTAAAAACATAAAGAAAATTGGAAATATAAGTAATAATGAACAGTTTCCTTTAAGTACAGGCTTAAACTGAATCTTTGGTTTGGTTCTTCTTTGAGTAATTTTTTTCCTCTCTTTGCATAATAACATTAAATTTAACTTGAAGATTGACCAGGAAAAAAAAACTAAAGAAGAAGAAGGGAAATTTCCATCCATCTTCAGTAAATTAATACCAGTAAAAGATGAGTCCAGTATGCAAATCCCTCTAAAGAAACCTGTAAAAACTATTTTTCAGTCTATGTATCTGGAAAGCCTTTTTAAGAAGTCAGGGACAGGTTGGGTGTGGAAATGGACACAAGACAAACCATTCTGGAAAAGTCAAGTGGATCTTACTAAATATCCCCAAATCAAATATGAGAGTGCTTGGTTCCAGGCAGCTGCAGGTGGAAATGTGTCCTGACATTGGGCACCAGTGTTTGCTCTTGTCTGGGATGTTTTCACACTTAATTCCCTACCTCCTTCCTGCCTACCCCATCCTCTCTCCTCCATTTCTACCCCTTGCAGTCAAAAGAGATTCATACTGGAATGTTGACATGGTGATCTCATTCCAAGGCCCTGTCTATTTAGACACAATAATTTAAAGAGGAAATAAAATTGGTCATATTGGGAAAGGAAAACTAATAAAGAGGTTTCACTCAATTGCTTAAAAGGAATAAACTGAATTAAATCTCTGTTTCATTCCCAAGCTGGTATGTGTATGTAGGCAAAGCCTGGGTAGTAACACAAACTCAACACACTGGGATTCTCAACAAGTAGCTGAATGGTCCTGGTATTGAGGTTCTTCACTCATAGCTGATGTGAAGCCATTTCTGGGGTGGAATGCGGCAGCTATCTCACAGCTGGCTAACATTCTGGCCTGGTGATGACACCAGGCAATGACAAATAGCCCATTGAATTTCAACTGTTAGACTGATGAAGAAGGAAGAAAGCAGTCCAAAATAAAATTCAGGTTGGAATCTGGCTAAAGTGTTGGAATTCATCATTTCCAATATTAATCAAAGGGGGTCAAAGAGACTGATTAGCCACAGAAATTCAAAATTATAGATTTATCCCTTCAAGAAACTGGATCTGTTTCCCCAATACATAAAGAGCCAGCAAACGAAAAATTTTGGGATAACTTCTGACAGAAAAACATTTTTAATAAAAGTTAGTTTCATACATATTTTATGGTAGTAAAAAAACACCTAATGTTTAACACCCACCTGGTGTCAGGCATGGTGTGGGAAAATTTAGATACAAAACCTCACTAAATTGTGACAGAAGTCCAATGAGCTCCTGTAAGGAGAAATAAAAGCCCTTAGCAATGTCCCAGTTTGGAGGATTACATAGGAAAAACCAGGTTTTTCCAACAACACTAAATGACACTAACCTTGGCAATGAAATGTTGTAGTGATCAGGCAGTTCTCCCATCTGCCAGAGACAGAGAAGAGCTGTTAAACTTGAGCTGAACTCTGACAACTGCTCTAGTGGGTGAGATATTAGACAGTCTTAGAGGAACAAAAGGATTCCCCATAACAGTAGTAAGGAAGAGGTTCTTTCCATAGAAAAATTATACAAATTAAGCAGAATTGATGGATAGCTTTAATAAGATCTAAAGATATTTGATTTGGAATGGAATTAATTGACAGTTCTAAGACCCCCAAATATATTTGCTCTTTGATCTCCAAATCTGGATGAAGAATTGTTCTAGTCATCTAAATTGTATTGAATAATGACTTACTATACAATGCAGCGGGAGCTAGACTGATAACCAAAGGTGGTCATTTCTTGCAAATAGCTTGCTATATAGCTAATAGGCCCTGCATATTGTGTTAGAACCACCATTCACGATCTCTGTAAGTTCAGCCCTCTCAAAATATGGCATGACATACACTTGCAAACCAAAAATCCTTATAGATTTGGTTTGTGTGAGGAGGGGTGTAGGGTAGAAGAAGTCTGAGTGAATACTGGGTCTTCTTGACCACCATAGCTAATATTAAAAAAGATTTAAACCAGCTTCGAATAGCAACTTTTAACCACCACAGTAAATTTCTCCAGTGGACTTTTCTAACCAGACAAATCATCCAGTAACAATTACAATATTTAATAGACAAGTAAACTGGGACTCAGCACAATGCAGTGACTTGCCCATTTGTCATGGCTTGCCAGAATCAAGCTCCTCTTTGTTGCATCCAATGTGGTTTCTCCTATACCAGTTGGCCCATGATGCCAAACTATTTCTCAACCCTTTTCTGAACCATAATCCATTAATTAAAACCATGGCTTAGTTTATTTATGTACTTAAGATTTTAATGGGTTGACCAGTTGCTTCAATGACTGGCTAATTCAAGACAAATGGTCAATCCTATTATAGCCTTAGGTAAATTCAGCTTCCAAGACTTACCTTCCTGTGTATGATGAATGATGTCAATGTGCAAAGTTGTTTGTCAAAGAATAGTGTGAACTCACAATCAGCCCGTTTGGAAAGATTCTAGTGACTAAATGATGATGGTGTCAGTGCTTTGGTAGCACGGTGATGAAGAGTTATAGGGCAAATCGAGCCACTTATTACCCCATCTGAGTTCCCCGATGATAGAGGGCACATTGTGTTGCCATGCCCATGTGAGATTAAGGTAATCATTTTAACAATAACAGACTAAAGCCATTAGGAAATATTTATTAGTAACTATTAAGCAATTCCTACCTTTGATTTTGGGCTGAGTGTTGCATTGTCATTAAAGTATACCTGATTTACATGATTTGGATATATTGATATGATCAAGAGCAGAGTCCTGCATATTGTATGGGAACTACCACTAATGATCTAATTGTTTTGCTCTCTCAAAGCATGGAGCAATATACACTTACAGACCAAGAATCCTGATAGAGTTGGAAGAAACAACATTTGAAACTCCACGGATAGTCTACTTAATGTCCCTGAAACTATTCACTAACTCATGGTTTTGTAACACAAACATGGTAACCTTATTAATGATAACTTATGAATAAGTTGAATTGGAATTGTTTATCTTGGATAATTATCTCAACAATCTGCAGGCTTTGATACCATTGGACCTAAAGTCCAACTGAGGTGACTATGAGCTTTGGAAGAGATGAATAGATTTTATTACAGTGGATCCTTTCAAATTTCCTGAAATTTGAAAAGTACTTCAAAGAATGAAGTACTTGAAGACTGCTTATCTATCTAAAAGATCAATTTATGCCTCTCTTAATCGTCACAAGCATAAAGCTATTAGAAAAGAGAATGAATGAGCACACTGAATGCCAATCTTACTATTGTCTTAATTAGTAGCAAATAAAAAACTGGCATGACTACTTATCCCTACTTTACCTTCTCCCCTTCACCTAATATACTATTTTCCTCCAAATCTGCCATATATACTCACCCTTTGCCATTAGATCCCTGGAAATTTCACCTTTTCCATAAAGTCTAAATAGAAGTGTGAAGCTCTAAGTAACCTCCTTGGCTAGAGGATTAGAGGGAGCAAAGTCATTTTGATTTCTTTATATAACGACTTTCTAAAAAACATATTTGAAAAATATTTAATTAAATTTATTGTAATTTGTTATATTTTAATTAAATATTTTTGCTAAAATATTTTTAAAGCTTATTAAAGCACAATATTAAAACTACTTTTAAAAGGTATTTTAAAATATTTGTAATAAACAGGATTTAATTCCCTTCTTTAAAATACATGATTTCCCAAATTTTCCTGCACTAAGGTAAATACAGCTCTTAAAAGCATCTAAATAGCTAAATAAGATGGCAATATAATTGTGATTCATATTGACATTTAAGGAAACAATATGGCCTCCTGAGGTTCCTTTAGATATTAGTGTCCAGAGGTCAATGAAATAACCAGCTTGTTGCAGATCAGCTATCCAAGTCACAGTCTTCATACAACTGTGGTATGGTGATTTGTATACTTATATGTTATTTTTAATTTATAAATAATAATTGTATATATTTATGGGGTACAATGTGATGTTTTGATATATCTTTACAATGTAGAGTGACTAAATTGGTCTAATTAACAAATCTGTTACCTCATATACTTATTATTTTTTGTGTTGAAAACAAAATCTTTTTTATCAGTTTTGAAATTTGCAATGTGTTTTTATTTATTATAGTCACTATTCTGTGCAATAAGTCACTAAAGCTTATTTCTGTCATCTAACTAAAACTTTGTACCCTTTGATCAACATCTTTCCTTTCCCCAATCCCCTCCCTTTCTGAGCCTCTCGTAACCAATGTTCTATTCTCTACTTCTATGAGTTCAACTTTTTTAGATTACACATAAAAGTGAGATCATGTGGTGTATGTCTTTCTGTGCCTGGCTTATTTCACTTAGCATAATATCTTCCAAGTCCATTCATGTTGTCACAAATGATGGGACTGTCCCCTTTTATAAGGCAGAATAGTATCCCATTGTGTATATATCCATTTTCTTTATCCATTTATCTGATGATGAACACTTAGATTGCCACCACATCTCAGCTTCTGTGAATAACCTTGCAATGAACATGGGAGTGCAGATACCACTTTGGCATATTGATTTCAATTTACTTGGATATATACCCAGAAGTGGAATCACTGGATCATATAGTAATTCTATTTTTAGTTTACTGAGGAAACTCCATATTGTTTTCATAATTGCTATATTAATTTACATACCCACCAACACTGTGTAAGTGTTCCCTTTTCTCTACATCATTGCCAATACTTATCTTTCATCTTTTTAATAATAGCCATTCTAACATGTGTGAGGTGATATCTCATTGTGGTTTTAATTTGCATTTCCCAAATGATCAGTAATGATGAGCATATTTTTACATACTTGTTGGCCATTTGTATGTCTTCTTTTGAGAAGTGTGTATTTAGGCCTTTTGCCCATTTTTTGATTGGGCTCTTTGTTTCTTGTTATTTAGTTAAGTTCTTTCCATTTTAGATATTAGCTCCTTATTAGATGTGTGATTTGCAAATATTTTCTCTCAATTTCTACATTGTTTTTCCAATCTGTTAATTGTTTCCTTTGCTGTAGAGAAGATTTTTAGTTTAATGCAATCCCATTTGTCTATTTTTGCTTTTGTTGCCTGTGCCTTTGGGGTCATATTCAAGAAATTTCTGCAAAGACCACTGTCATGGAGCCTGCAATTCAGCACGCGGCTTCTAGTGCCATATTGCCTAGATTTTAAATATTTCCTTCATTCTACAAGTAAGTACGCTAAAATAAATAAGCTAACATCTCTGTCTATTTTTCCTCAAATGCAACATCAGGGTAATACTAGTGTCTACCTCCTTGGATTATTCTAAATTGGATTTATGCATTATTATATATTATGTATTAATACATACTGTTATAATTAATATAAATGAAGTGCTTAGAGTAGTGTCTAACACAAAAGAGCTGTTATTTTTCACTTGGATATAGTTGGCTTTTCCTCACCTCACATGGGCAGCTTTCACTTGCCAACTACTTCAGATTCCTCTTCTGATTCACCCATGCCTACACCTCACTCTGACACATAGTACCACAGAAACTCCTTAAAAGTAGAGACCACATCCTTTACGTTCTTGGGTTTCCCACATAACCTAGCATTGTATTCAGCATAGGGTGGGTAAAAAGTAATGATTTGTGAAAACAAGTTGTCCTGTTTATCCCTAGACAAGAAATTGTCTGTCAGCCACCCTTCTCTCTCTGGTGTCTTGATGAGATGACCCTAATGTCACTCTTGAGATTAATTAAACAGAAATAAGCAGCATGACTATGATGAAGCCATTAAATCTTATAGGGTGTGATTTGCAATATCTTCATTACTTAGTACTCAGTTAATTATTGGGCGAAAGGAAAAAGGTCAAAAACACATGTAAAGATAGATGCCAGCTAATAAGCCCTAATATTCAGAGTATGAACTGTAATAATTCCCTTAGCATCCACAGGGATTGGTTTCAGGACCACTGTGGATACCAACATTTATGGATGCTCAAGTCCCTTATATAAAATGGTTTAGTATTTCATGTAACCTACATACATCCTTCCATATACTTTAAATCATCTCTAGATTACTTATAATACCTAATACAATGTAGATGCTATGTAAACAATTGTTATACTGTACTGTTTTTTATTCCCATTGTGTTTTATTGCTGTATTTTTATTTTTGGGGGTATTTTTGATCCACGGTTGGTTGGATCCACAGATATGGAACCTGAGGATATGGGGTATCCACTATATAATGGTCAAATTACTATTTCTGAAAAATAATAGCCACATTAAGAAATGGGATGAAAAGAAATCAAATTACAAATTTCACTGACATATAGCCAAGAATCTAGTCTACCAAAACACCCTCTACCTTAACCAGTTACCTCCATAATTCTCATACAATAGCCAAAATTAAATACTATTAAAACATGAGGGACAATTCAGTCAATATAGAAAAAATGAAAGGGTAAAAAGTGTTTTTCAGCAAAAGTTACATCTTTTTACCTCCCTCTGGTTTTTGTTTTTGTTTTTTTCATGTATATAGGGATGGATGAGTGGTAGACCTCTGTATGATATATAGAGTTTTTCTTCCAACTTAAGTATTCTATGATTCTAACCTTGACCAGACAACCAGAAGCAGACTATATATTATATTTCTCAACTCCTCGTGCTGACATGATCCATGGCCATAGAGAAATAAAGTGGGACCAAGGAAAGTAAAAATGAGTCTTTCAGGAGGAGAGCCCTGAGTCACCCATCTAGTACTGATCTAGTAAATGACTTTAATAACACCTCCAAAGAACAAAAGAAGAATTTTTATACTTAGTCGACCTTATCTTTCCAAGGTTCAGCCAGGCATTTTAGGGCTACAGACAAATAAATGTGAGAAGGACACAGCCTATATTTTTTAAACTTAAAAATGACATTTTTAAAGGTTCTCTCTAAATCAATGTTTTATAAATTCAATCACTTCAAATGTGTTTAAAAAGTTTGGTATTTCAAGTAACTCTAGAATGATTCTTTCCACATAGCAAATGATTGGCAGTTCATGTATGTGATTGATATATTCACTTTTGTAATTAATCAGAGTCCATCCCTAACAGAAAAAAAAAAAAAAGTGCCATAACGCCAGAGGTTTCTTATCAGGTTTATTCTTGCCTTTGTTTTGTAAAGACTAGGCAAGTTAATATATGTAAAGCTTTTCAAAAGAGTCTAACAGTTGTAAGCATTCAAGAAACATCAGCTGTTGTTGCTCATGTCTTTTTTCTTTATGGTAGTATGCTCATAAATTCCCAAAAATATTCCCTAGTGAGGTGGGTTGGAGAAACCCTCTTTTTAGAGAAAAGCTTGCTTTTCTATGAACCTCTCCTCACTACCAAATTCTCCCTAAGGCAAATAAAAGCTCTAACTGGAAAAACAGGACTCAAGTAAATTCTTTAGAGGATTTCACAATCAGATTTAGCCCAAGTAATGCATAATTCATAATACTGAGTTCATATTTTGGCTAAGACAAAAAGTCAGCTATTAGTCTTACTTATATTAATTTAAGTAGTAAAATCTCACTTGTATTTCTACTTAGCCTTTTATTGTCAAGTCTAATTACTTACTTAAGTAAGTTTATCTGCCCTGATTATCACCTATAAAAATTAAGAGTTTTATCTATGTTTTTCTTTCAAATTTCACAAGTTCTTTTGAATTTCAGAAATTTTAACACCTAAACCAATAGATATATTTTTACATGCTACCCGTTCTGATAAAAAGTATAAAGGAGGCGGTATAACATAGAATTAAAAGATGGGTTTTGGAATCAGACACAGCTTTCCCCTTCTATTAATCATTAGGCCTTCAGCACATTCGTTATCCTCTTTCAACTTCAGTTTTCTCATTTCTAAGATACTGACAAAAATAGTTAAGAGTTTGTAGAGTTATTGTGGAAAATTAAGTAATTTAAAATAAATGTTCATAGTAAATTCTTGATGTTGGCAATTCTACAAAAATTGCTGAGGTGGGCAGAATTCCAGAGGTCATTAGTATAACCTTTGATTATTAGCTTCAACAACTATTCATTTAATTAAAAATTAAGTAAAAATATAATATATATACTGTTCTCAAGTACAGATATTTACTTTGACCTTGTACATTGATATTCACTCAGATCTAAGTACACAAACACACACATATATTTACATAGTTATATGTCCATTCATATGTGCCTTTATATGTACAATATGAATATTGTTGGTCTGTGACTTCCTTTGAACAAATTTAACGACATATTAACCATTTATTTTCTGGACTTGGGATTGGCTCAGCGTATTCTCACTGAAACTCAAATTTTCCATGTTTTTCCATTAGAAAACATTTTCTGTTTTCCTACAGCTTTGATAATGCCTAGTAATGAGAATTCTTCATTCATTATCTGTTTGAAAAACCTAATGTGTTATATTTAAATCTAGACCATCTATTAAAACTTTAGAAAGAGCTATCCTTCCTTCCTATAACCATCTCTAACCCATCAGTTTTCAAATACATTAATTTATGTTACAGGATCACATCCAAGCCCTGCATTGTTTACCTGGACGGTACCAAAACCTCTCTTGCTAAAAAATACGAAAATTACCCAAGAATAGGAAAGCATCCAATTCCTTCCATATTGGTAAATGTTGGTGTTTGAATGTATGGGGACTATAAGTTTGAGGAACCTATGGGTGTTTACCAAATAACGTATTGTACTTTGTAATAAAGATGATGTTACTAACTTATCTTCACAACACAGCAGTTTCAAATTGTTTTTCCAATAGAATAATGTATTATATAAACATGCATATTCTTAAATAAATTTTGCCCTATCTGCTCCCCATCCCCTGCTTCTTTCACTTCATTCCTTTCTTAATCAAATATATTTATGGCTGGGGTAAGTAGGGTTGAGAGTATAATATGTATTCTCCAATAGATAAAACATAACTGGCCCATACTGAGCTCATGACTCTGACTTCATTAAATGCTTACACTCATTCATGGAGCTAACTGGCCTACACTTACTTGATATTAATTGGGTTACTGATAAATTAAATTAGCCCTAGTATAATTTCAATATCCTTATAAACTCAAGAAAAAATCTTGGCTAGCTAGTGAAGTTACGTTATCGACCTTCCCTCTATTACTTAGTAACCAAAACAAGATACTCTTTGAATCTTTAGGGTTCTATTTTGTCTCTGACCGGTATTTTTCAACATTTTGTATGTGTGTGCGTGTGTATGTGCATATTAGCTGTTACTGCATCTAGAATTCTTTTATGCCTAAATCTCCTGGTTTCTTCTTCCCTATTCCCTCACTATTTATGAATATGCTAAATATTTTTGCCATGGCATAACATTTCTGGGTTTTCTATGAAGTTGATTGTCTGTGCATCATTTTCTTGCCTACTTTTTAAAAAACTTACTGTCTGTTTTTCCTTTTCTCTCCAATTGTTCCTGAACTTTCACTTAAGGCAGAATTTCATTATTAGAGTGGAATTAAGACAAAGAACAGGAAGATATTAACTCATTTAACTCATTAGAAAGCAAAAACAGGATTTAATGCAGCCTAAGGTCTGTTTTAGGGAAATTCTAATTTCTGCTCAGGAATCTGTAGATATACTTAAGCTATTTCAGGCTGGCATATAGTCCTTATATTAAATAATAATAATAGCAGTAATGATGAATTTATACTAATACAATATTAGAAAACAAAATTTAATGTAAATACTACAAATATTGGCATATGTAATATACTAGAATCTAAAACTATATAACAGATGCAATAATATAAATATGTCATACCTATCAATATTGATTTATATGAGATAATTAAAATCATTGCTATGATAAATAGTATCATAGTCTTACAGTATTAATATTATAAAATAATATTATTATGCTTTTATTTACTTATATGATTAATTCCAGGAACAATGCCTTTTATGTCATTTTTAGTTCCATTGTGATACCTGGCAAAATAAGAGATATATATCTCCTATTGGCTTTGTCTTTCTGGAGAACATTGACTAATACTGGACCAGCCTGAAAACATCATTAAATATTAGGAAGTTCTCTGTTGCCACACATCTAAGCCATTTCTTCCAGTTCAGTGTTGAGTAATAAAGCTAAATTTTTCATCTCTAGGATTATCTTTCAATTCTTTGTTTTATCTCTTAAGTGGTTCCTAACCCACCTGATAAAGAGAGTTGCTCTTCATTGGGTTTCCTCAAACCTAACACTGAGCTAGACAAGAGAGAAGAGACTGATTCTAGATAAGGCAAGTGGCAGACATGAGTGCTACTTGCTGGTGTTCCTGGTTCTTCTCTTCTTCCAAATATGCAAGTCAATTGCATGCCTTAGCCCCTTAATATCAATGAGCAAAATGACCTGTGTGACTTCCACATGGAAGCATTTAAGAGCTAGTGCACCAGAGTAATTCTCTACCTTCACTGTTCTATTCTGCCATAAAAATCATAGCTACATACAGTGAAATCGGGCATCCTGTAAGCATGGAGCATCTATAGCCCCGGTCCCTGCATGACTACAATAAATAGAACTGCTGAGCCAAGATGGACTTGAAATGTGATGGGGAATAAACCTTGGCTGTTTTAAGCCATTGAGATTTTGGAGTTCTTGGTCATGGCTGCAGATGATGAGATCAAGATACATCTTTCTGAGGAAGTACAGTGACACTGAAGCTGAGGCTACAGATAAGAAAGAGCTGGACTCATGCAGAGTAGAAAGATCATTTTACACATAAACAGCTGCCACAAAGGACCTTAGAAGATAAGCAGCACAGAATATTTAAGGAACTAATGAAATTCCTGCTTGAATACAATCTGAAAGAAAGGGACAGTGGCCCAAGTGTTGTCCAGGCCAACTCATTCTAGCTCCACTCTCTTATAAAGAATCAGGGAGAAAACTTGAACCCCAGAAAGTCAATATTGGTGAGCACCGTTGATCTAGAACATTCTGCCTGCTCCTGATTATCCTGCTCTCTGAGAAGACAGAGATGGGAAGTGTTTAGGAGAAAGTAGAGAAAGGTAGCTTACAGAAATAATTTTCTTAATAGCAAAGCACCATTATTTGAGTCCATGATAAACAAGACATCCTAGTGAGCCTGGGTATGGACAGCAGAGGCAGAATCAAACTTTTCAGGTCTAAGGAGGCCCCAGCAGGGGCCTCTTTAGGGTCCTGAAAATGAAGGTTTCAGAAGCTTATCTTTATCAGCTTCACAGTAACTCACGTTTGTGTGATCTTCTGATTTTAAAACACTGGTGCTGTT
This sequence comes from Homo sapiens, assembly GCF_000001405.40. Lineage (NCBI taxonomy): Eukaryota > Metazoa > Chordata > Mammalia > Primates > Hominidae > Homo > Homo sapiens. Next base: position 80,156,269 of record NC_000014.9, read on the forward strand.
TCATTGTCTACCATGATATTCTTCAAGCTTTTAAAAACTTGAGTTTCCTCGAGGTACATAAAAATATGATCACCCTCCACTCCCCATCATTGCAATTGTAAAAAATCTCCTGACTTTTCTATGATCCCCCACCAGTACACAGACCATCAACTCACTTAGATATAACACAAACTTTTTGGAGTGATATTAAAATCCCTTCACAAGCAGATCCTCATCTGCATTTGCAGGCCTTCACACCAGACAACACAGCATTTCCCTTCACCAAACCACATGGCTTATTATATATATATATATAACTCATGCTAAATAATTTCTTAGGCTGTGAATCTCCTACTCCTTTATTTTCAATAATTCACAAAATTGTGATTTTTCTTTAAGATTCAGCCTGAATGTCTTCCACGATATTATCACTAAATTTCCTAGATCTATTTATTCTATTAATTAAGTCCTTTTCTGTGTTCCTTAGTATTCTATTATGGCACATACTAAATGGCATTATTGTTACTTGTAGCTGTGTCTCTCTCTGCCATTGGAATATAGTGTCCTACATGGAAACTAGTACTTGCTGGGTGTTCAACAAATGTTTTCAGTTGGAAGCTTTGTAGGGTGAAAGGAAGGGAAGTAGAGCTAAAAAGAAGGTAGAAGACAGCTCCCCAGTTGAGAAATGTATTTTTTAATGAAACTCCTATAGCAACACTTAGCTTTTGCCTCCTTGTGATTTGTTTCTTTCCATTTCAAAAGTTGTTCATATTTCAGTAAATATGAGTCACCTGCCTTATTGTTACTTGTAGCAGTATCATTAGTGAGGATCCTTCAGGGAATGGGCCCTTAAGCATTTGCTTCAAATGACAGATGACTGGTTCCATGCTATTAAACTGATCTCTCACCCCATTCCAGACCCTAGCCAGACACTGGAAGCACTAACACCATCATAATTCTTACTCTGGACCTTCTATGAACCAGTTTACTTTCAGGATGTTGTTCATTTGTTTTGGCTGAACACATCAAGTTTCTCTGAACGTTTACTGCTCTCCATTCAGCACAGGTCAAATCTCCTTCATAAACTCTGCCTTCACATGTGAGACTTGCCACTCTCCTCAGACACCCTTTCCACCCTACCTCTGCAACTCTCTTATAGTCCCTTCTTCATCTGCAAGGTTATTCTCATTTTCTATTTCCAGAGTTCCAAATCTCTCCTGACCCAAAGAATCTCGTAGAGGTCAGAAAGAGGTTCCTTGTCATTTACATTCTGCTCAAACAAAAAAAAAAAAAAGAGGAATAAGAACTAGAAAACAAACCAGATCATACTGGGTATTGGGCAATGACATTAACTCTCCCTGCGTCCTTTCCTAATCCAGCTACTCTAACGTCATTGCTCCTTCCTCCATTCTCCCCGGAGTATTATTTCCAATATTTGTTATCATATTCTATATCATAGTATTTGCACGTATTCTAACTTGGCCTAAATTGTGAGGTCCCTGAGGGCAGAAATGTTATGTTATTTACCTTTCTCTCCATAGCATCTGACACACAGCACATACTTAATAAGTGGTTTTTGAATTGAGTTACTTTAATCACCTGACTCCTGAGACCATTATCAGGGTTACTTATCCCTTAAAGTAAATTGCTCCATCAACCTTTTTTTTTTTTTTTTTTTGAGATGGAGTCTCTCACTGTCACCCAGGCTGGAGTGCAGTGGTGCAATCTCAGCTCACTGCAACCTCTGCCTCACAGGTTCAAGCAACTCTCCTGCCCCAGCCTCCTCAGTAGCTGGGACTACAGACATGTGCCACCACTCCTGGCTAATTTTTTATGTTTTTAGTAGAGACAGGGTTTCACCATGCTGGCTAGACTGGTCTCGAACTCTTGACCTTGTGATCTGCCCTCCTCAGCCTCCTAAAGTGCTGGGATTACAGGCGTGAGCCACTGCACCCGGCGCCATCAACCTTTTTGAAAATAAAAACACTGAACATCTTTAATATATATACACATATACACGTGTTTATATATATATACACATACACATATACATGTTTATATATGTGTGTGTTTATATATGTGTGTGTGTATATAAACACATATATATAATGGAAAACTCACATTTTTGTATATATGAAAATATATTTTTATATACATAATACTTTTCATGTATATATTTTATATATATATATAAAAATACAGATAAATGTCAGATAGTTTTCCAAGATTTTCAAAAAAAGCAGCCATCTCTGTGTTCCTTTCCACCCCTGACCTCATCCTCAGAGGCAAACACTTCAACTCCTGTATTCCTTCCCACTACTTGCCTCTGCATGTGTAAACGGTACACAGTGATCTTTCTTAACCCTTCCCATGGTATTAAGTGGAAGATAAGGGTTGAGCTTTTTACGTGCTTTCTTTTCCCCCACACGTATTTTACCTCCTTCCAAACTCCAATAGAGTTCAACTCAATTACTCCTCAGGCCCTCTACCCTCTCATTTCTATCTGGAACGTTGCTCTTGGGGTCTGTTTCATAGCTGCCATCCTGAGATTCCCCCCTCAGCATCATCTTTGCCTTTTTTTTTCAGTCCTCTCCTGTGCTGATTTCCATGTTTCCTGGATCCCAGATATTTGTATTTTTGTGTTTATTTCTTCCTGTGTTGCATCATGTCTTCAGCACTTTTTCAATATATCTTTTATAAAAAACTAATACTCACTTTTTGGGAACTTACATTTTTGAAAACTTGCATGTTTTTAAAAAAACTTTTATTCAATTTTCACACATAATGGGAAGTTTGGCTTAAAATAGAATTATAGGTTAGAGATGACTATCACATGGAATTTGGAAGGCATCACCTGCCTTAAGAGGTTCCAGTGAAGTGCATGTAAAGAATCTCTTAGATTATGTGAAAAGGTGAATGAATGCTTGTCTGAGGGATGCAAGACACAAATCCAGGTAAGCCAACTGGAGAGGCAACATTGGAGGGAATTCAGAAGATGGAGATGAATTTGAAAAATGAGGCAGATTTTCCAAATCATCGTTGATTCAACCATGACAGAACAGGGTAGAAACTGGGAAAGCCTGAAGAAAGCAAAAGGATTGGAAGTAGAGACTTTTATGTGGAGCCAAAAAAAAATGTCCTGGGACAAAATAATAAATAAAATAAACTACCTCCGGTTGCTTTCGACTTGGTGCCAGCAGCTGGCTTAGAGAGAACCTCTTCAAGGGCTGACCAAAGTCTTGACACCTGGGCTTTCTCCCGCCCCAATTTCATTTTCTTAGATGAAGTTAGCTCAGCTCTCATTAATTCCTATATGACCTTAAAATATAAAACGTAATCACACCAGGCAACAAGGCCATTTGTCTCTTCTTGCAACTGAGGACCTTTTCAGTCCAGCAACTAAGGCCACAAACAAAATGGCTCAAGTGTTTTTTCAAATTGTCCTGCTGAAGAGGATCCTTTAGTTCTACAATGTTAGGCAGCTGCTATCCCTGAAATTGAAAGGTTGGGAACACTGGCCAGGACAGAAACAATCTATCTGATTGCTGAGAACTCCAAACAAGCATCGAGTACAGAATTCCATGAAGATAGAGAATTCCATCAAGATATAGAATTCCATCTGAATCCATGTGCAGTGATACCTGTGTCTTCCTTGATGTGCTGTTCCATTCTGCTGGAAAGTGTCTCTTTGGCTTTGGTGCTAATGTATGCTTCATCTTTCATGATAATTGTGATAGAGCTTCAGGATAATTCCTTAAATGGCACTCAATGTGCCCTACCCATACCACACCAGAGTCCAACAATGTTTCCTAATCAAGGACATCAGATGATATCAACAGTCGGAGACCATCACCTATTGCTGCTAAGTAAAGTGTGCAAAGATCTCTTGCCTCTTCCAAAACAGATGGGCTTATGTATCTGCTTTGAGCTTTGGGTATTTATGATGCTAAAAATGCGCTGGAGGAAAAATAAAAAAAGGCATCCCTTAGTATCCCAAGTAAAGTAAAGAAAAAACGGGAGGAATGTCATAAAAGGGATGTAAATATCTTCTGCCATGCCTCCTCCTTCTTTGCTGAAAAGTTGCAAGGTTTTCCTATAGGCCTTGATTCACAAATTGTGGTCCACTTGACAGCAGCGTCTGATCCCCAGGGATCTTATTAGAAATTCAGAATCTCAGACCCCAGCCCTTCTCAGTCAGAATTTTCATTTTTAACAAGATCCCTAGGTGATTCATATAAATATTAAAACCGGAGAATCACTGCCTATGGGGACATTGAATCGCAGTGGGAGGCACAGGATGCCGCTATGTTTCATTACTGCTGAAATGGTTAAGGTGATCATTTGGTTAAGGTGATGTCTGCCAGGTTTCTCCACTGTAGTTACTTACTTCCCCTTTGTAATTAATAAGCATTTTACCCTCAGATACTTTAAACTACACAAGTATTTTTGCCCCCTAATTTTAATATCCATTGACAATAACTGACTGCAACAATTATTACGATGATATTTGCCAAATGGTGACTTTTAAAATTTGTAATTGACTATTTTTGAGAATAGTTTTAAATTACATATACACCCCACAACTAGTTCTATTGTTAAAATCTTACATTAATGATATATTTGTTACAATTAATGAACCAATATTGACACATTATTATTAACTACAGTTCATAGTTTCAGATTTCCTTAGTTCTACTTAAGGTCCTTTTCTGTTCCAGAATCTCACCCAGGATACTACATTACATTTAGCTGTCCTGTCTCCATAGGCTCCTCTTAGCTGTAAAAGTTTCTCTGGCATCTGTTTTCACCACTCCTTCCTCATTTATAAATTGGAATTCAACTTAAAGAGCTATCTCTTTTCCATCACTTCTTTAATTATTTACATCTATATGGACTCATGGATATTTATTTATTCTCTGTGTTTTAAGCCATTACCATCATTATCTGTTTTATTACACAGATGGACTCAGATGTGTTATTTGGGAACTTCCTCCAGTTAGCTTCTGGACATGCTTCCATCGTTTTTTGAGCACTTGCTTACTTTCTGGCATCATTAAATGTTCTAGGCTCATCTTGTGCTTTCCTGACCCCTTCTTGGAGTCAGACATTTCTCTGAGGAGTCTAGGTCCTTTAATTGGTGAATGGTATTTAGAAACCAAGATCTCAGGGCTGGGTGTTCTTCTGCAACTGGGATATCATTATTTCCAGGCTCTCTTAGCAGCAGAGCTAAAAAATATGTGTATGTATACTGACCCAAGCACACATATACATCTATATCTATTTCCACATCTATTAAAAACCATGAGTTCATACTGATACCTCTGATTCCACCTAACAGCATGGGGTTCTCTCTAATAATAGTCCCTATTACTTATTTGTAAGCTCTTTCTCTAACAATGAGAAAATAAGCTTTCATTATTTATAGTAAATTTACTTATTTATTCAGTATCAGAATATAAATAAAGAAGTTTCAGAATTGCTAATCCAAACCTCTGTGAAAAACAAATTTACTAATTAGAGCACAGTATTTGTGCATAGTTCTTTTTTTATCTTTAATCTTTCAGGATATGGTTGAAATATTGTTTTCCAAGATGACATGTAGGTTAGCTCTTTTCTTCCCCGCCCTGTATTGTGGCAATGTGGTTCATTTATAATACAGCACAATTCATTTGCTATTGTTTTTATTCCATTTTGGGGTTCTAGTGAAGAGAAATCTTTTGTCTTATCAAAGGGTCCTACCTTCAACAAAGAGCTAAAAACAGAGCCAGTAATATTCCAGTATTCCTTGGCATTGTAAAGTATTCCATAAAGAGTGAGAGATATTTTGGCCTCTTTGATCAGTATATGATTATCAGTATTTTTAAATTCCTATCTTAATACAATCCAAATAAGCAAAGTACAGCCTAGTCTGGAAGAGAGAGGCGTCTCTAATTTAGACATGCTCTAAAACAATGATGTGCCTTCTTTTAGTAATTTAATAAAAATTTTAAGCTGAATTTATACATCCAAACAAAACTGGGTTAGAGGGAGAAGAAAGTGACAATCAGTAATCCAACAATGATAAAACATATTAGGCATTTATTGAAATTAGACAGTAGAGTCAAAAATAAGTATCATAGAAAGATCACAGGCACCTAATATTCTATATGGCAGACCAGGTAAGCATAATAAAAAAATGAATAATTTATAAGCGCAAAATACACGTCCTTTTGTTTTGGATGGCTAAAAGTCACGGTAACAGTCTGCATTTTTAGTGGACTCAAGTCAGAGGATCCTAAGCTCTGTTAAAGTAGTAACAGGGACTTATCACCTTTTCCCCTCAAAAAAGGTAGAAAAACCTTCCTTAACTCAAGCGCCGACAGATAATGCACCCAATCTCAAATCTCAGCATGGTCCCCTTAGGTCTTATCCAATGCCTCTATGGTCACTCTTGTCTCTGTTCTTTCCTACTTACATCTAAATCCCAGTAAATCTCTCTCCTGGGTAAAAATTATAGCAACGATCCCTCATTTTCTCTACTGATTAGGAGAAAATGGTTTAATAGAGCTCCAGAAACAAGTACAGATTTGTAAAGACATTTAATGTGGTTCCAGTCGTTTCTGAAGAGGCCCAGTTGCATAACCACCCTTCTCAGAGTTTGGATGTTGTTTTTTTCTTTATGTTATGTGAGATACCCCAGTGCATTCAATGGTAAATATTGTCCCAAAATATTTGTGGCTTCACATAGGATATTTGTATATACTACAGTATATCACATAGTATATCCTACTCATGCGGTCCATACTCTTTTACGTGGCTTTTCTTTGAGCAGTCACTCAGGGACTCAGGTTTCTTCCAGCCTGTGGCTTCATTTCACTTTGGTGTTTGGAGCCTTCTCTATCCAGGGGCCAAATGGTAAAATAAAATGGGATATTGCACATGGGAGGGATTCATGAGCCAGCCAGTGGTACCTATATATCACTTCTGCCCACATTCCATTGGTGGAATTCAGTTATATTGTCATGCCCAATTGCGGGGAGGCTGGGAAAAGAGCACAGTTGAGTACCCATAAGGAAGGAGCAATGGTCTGGTGAAGAGGCAACCTGTCTTTACCATAGCTCATGAACTCCCATTTCAAAGATTCTTATTTTTTGCTTAAACTCATTTGATTTGGTATATCATCACTTGCAACCAAGGGTACAGACTAGTACATGTCTTAGGTATAATAATATAGATTTGACCAAGGACAAGTGCTAAATTCCTCAGGTGAACACTTAAGTAATTGCAGTATAGATTTCATTGTTCTTTTTTGTTGTAAAAAATAAGAACAGAGACTCAGAATGTAAGGTAAGAGACATAAGAGATGGTAAAGATACAATGAAAAGGATCATAATATCCAGCATAATATTAAGGATATGTCATTTTTTTAAGGATTAAACTTTTTCTCTAACCACTGACATGCAATTCTGTCTTATGGGGTGAAGGGATTTCTTTATTACTTTCTATCAAAATCTAAGAGTTTTATAAACTCTTCCAAGTTATTCTCCACAACTCTCTTCATACACCAGTGGTTATTATATTTGTCCATGCATCAAAATAAGGAGCTTATTTAAAACATGAAAGCCCAGGCAAAAACCCTAAAGATAATCAGTCATCAGTTGAGGTTAGGGCTGTGTCTTTGTATTTATTTAATGCCAGAGGTGATTTTGACATGCAGCTAATTTGGAAAACCACTATCATAGGATGTAAGAATAAATGTGAATCTTCTCTTAGCAATAACCATATATTTCCCATAGTTTCTCAAGTTAAACTTATAATTTAAATAATTAAAACATTGCTTTATAAGAACCCAGTGGAAGACATCCAAAATATCTATGAGAATTGTTTCCAGAAGATAGATGGTAGGCACTATGAATGTAGGGCTGTTGCTGGCTGAACTGAGCTGTGCAGGCTTCATAGGGCAATATTATTTGACCTTGCCCTGGTAAGTGGATACAATTGGATAAGAGCATAGGACAGACCACTTCAGACATGTGGAAGCAGCAAAAACAGTCACAGTTGGGAAAGCAGCAGGCAGAGACAAGGGATAAGAAGCAGGCCAGCATAGCTAGAGCAGAAACAATGAAGGAAAAATCCAGAGCAGCATAACAAAATTCTAAACTGTGCACTGTGAGCTCAAAGTGCTATGGAAATTCCAAAAAGAGAGTCATTTGGTTAGAACAGCCAAGAAGACTTCATGAAGAAAGCAGAACTTGAGCTGGGTCATGAAGGACAGTGGGATTCTGTTAACCAGAGAGGAAAGGGGAAAAAATTATTTTTATTTTGATGTTTCTAAAATCCAGCTGACAAAATAAAACACTACCTGGCTGAAATATTCTATTTTTTGTGTAGATGTACCAAGGTCTTATGTGTACAGTTTGATTATTGTAAAATTTTATAATTTTATTATCCAATTTGTTTAAATGTCTATTTACCACATAGTGCTTGAGTAAGCTTTTAGTGAATAATTTTTAATATAAGATAATATTTTAAAAAACTAAATCAAGAAAAAATACAAATAAAAACAAGCATTAAGGAAACAGAGGAATATAAATATATAAGCATGTAAGCATGGATATATAACATAATTAGTTTATGTTAGCCATAATTTTTCTCAGAGTGTCCTGGAAATTCAACCAAAAACAGAAACTCAATGAGTTACACAATTCTCAGTATCTCTAAGAAGAAATTATACTAATTTTTCATGGGAAGAAAAATTTAGTCTGCACCTAGCGGTAGAAGAAATGTATCAACTGCGTTTAAATATTGAACCCTGTCGTCACCAATGGATTTTTTTATGTTTTCTTTATTGCAACCACAGAAGATAAACAAATCACAGAAGCTGCCCAATCGGTAGACCCATCGCAGTCTCTTTGGTGTACTTCATGACACATGAATCGCTCACCCACAGAGAGCCAAAGCAAACTTGATTTTCAATATTTTCCCTGCTGCTAGTCCTAAAACCCTGGAGGAACCAGGATCATCAGAAAGGAATGTTTCTGATGTGTCTATACAGAGATGGTTCAGCTGCTTTGATTTAATTAACAACCAGTCGATTCAATCAATTAACAATTTCATTCCATGAAAAACATTCCACCAAAATTTAGTAATATGAAAATGAAGTAACTCACTAATATCCCAGATTTTTATCTATTCATATGGCTATGTAGACCATGCAGAGAAACAGCTTTTTTTCTTTTCCTATTTTTTTTAGTTCAGATCTGAATATTCTTGAGGAGTGACTAATTATCTCATGATAATGATAAACATCTGCTCCATGCTTTCAGAACTTCACAAGTATAACCATCCTGTGAGATTGTGTTTTCACCTGTGAAACAGGAGGTTCAATGACTCGAAAAAGTCTAAGATGTAGTTATTAATAGACGAGGAGGAGGTATGGTGTTATACAAAGAGCTTTGGAGTCATATTAAACAACAGTTTATTTTCCAAATCCTGCATTTACTGGTAGGGTGGCTTGATATCATCTGCCTAGTTCCAAATTGTAAACTCTATACTCTCAATATTGGTTTCCACCTTTGGCCCTTCAGATTTAGCTTTTATTTTCATTCTCACTTGAAATTTGGTCCTTGGCTCTATTCTTACTATTTTTGACTGTGCCAGCTCCCCTGGCCTCATTATCTTCTTGTTGTCTTGAATCACAACACCCGTACAACTATCTAACTCCAGCAAAACAGAACTCAACCCTTAGGCTGGTCCCTTAGCTAGAGCAGCCCAAACTACTGGCAAGGCATCCATGCACAACACAGGCAACTCCCACAAGCAGTAAACACTAGCACAGGACTCATACCAAATGGCGGGGCACAGGGGAAGACTGGGACAAAAAAGAAAAAAAAGAGGACCAGCTGGGCATGGTAGTTCACGCCTGTAATCCCAGCACTTTGGGAGGCTGAGGCGGGTGGATTGCCAGGTCAGGAGTTCAAGACCAGCCCGGCCAAGGTGGTGAAACCCCATCACAACTAATAATACAAAAATTAGCTGGGTGTGGTGGGGGGCTCCTGTAATCCTAGCTACTCGGACGGCTGAGGCAAAGAATTGCTTGAACCCAGAAGGCGGAGGTTGCAGTGAGCTAAGATTGCACCACTGCACTCCAGCCTGGGTGACAGAGCGAGACTCCATCTCAAAAAAAAAAAAAAAAAAAAAGACCAAAACACAAATAACACAAATATATAATATACATTGATACATGCCCAAAACAACACAAGTCCCTTACCCTGGAGGAAAAAAAAAAAATGTGTTTACATGGATTTAAAGTGAGAGTCTGTAAGCAAAATCTCATAAGCAAATGTAAATTCAAAATTCTCTCCACTTGTTTACTTTTTCAAATTTATAGACAAATCATTTTCCACCAGAGGGAGGTACACATTTTAAATCATGCTCTGACGTGCTCCGTAGAAATAGAACCATATGGAATTTAGCCCTTATTCCAGTGTTGCAGTCCTACTTTTTTCCCTAAATCTGTTGAAAAGATCAGCTTTCGGGACTCTTTCATTAAGGTGCTACCAATCAATAAATTGAGTGACACTGGATGGTGGCAGAGACAATTAAAACAAAGTTACTTGGTGAGATATTTATCTGTCATATGGGCTGATTTATAAGCCTTCTACAAGAAGTAATTTAACAGCCCTTTAATAGAAGGAGGCTTGATAAAATACCAGCAGATGGTATTATGGGTAGTGACCCAGGCAATAATGATTTTAGTAATGGCACGTCTTATTTATTTACCTGTACTCAAAGAGTAAACTTGCGTAGATGCACACACACACACACACACACACACACACACACACAAAGAGAGAGAGAGACATTGTCTTCTGATGGACTAGACTGCCTAAAAGCCTTTAAGACAGGGTAAAAACATTCTCCTTGATTAAATAATCAAAATATATAAAACTCAAGAAAGAAGCAAAAAGTGGAGATTATAATGATACTAGTGATAATGATGATGATGGTGATAAAATCCAAACAGAAATTATTCGGCGCATCCATTCTGACCTGCCTTGGCTTTCCATCAAAAAGTACATGACATCTTCCTAGAGAGTGTATCTGTGTTTTAATCATTTCCAGTAAGTTTCACAGAGATCTTGAGTTATGCACTGCCAAAAAGGATGCAGGTAAATGGCTTATTCCTTCAAATAACCCTTTGGTATCCACGCACAACACAGGCAATGTACAAAAGCAGTAAGGGCTGGCACAGGACTCAGACCAAATAACATCTCCTTTACTAAGTGATTTCGCTTGATCTCTATTGTCTCAGTCACATATCCAGCAGCTACAGCCAAGTGTTGGGTAGATCCCTCTGAACTTGTGGGAGTAAAACTGTGAATGGGAGTTTTCCTGAAAAGAAAATGACCAGGTCAAGTGCAATGACATTCTGCCTACCATTTTATTTTAAGTATTGGTGGAGCATGAGGCCCAGAAGTCTGGGTAGAACCCAGAGAGTCAGTGAGGAACAGGAGGCCGAGACACAAGAGGGGAAGTCCACAATGACTGACTTCCTTGGCCATTCTGGACGATGAGATTAAGGAGTTTCAAGAACCCATTCTCTCTTATGCCCTGGCCAGAGCTGAGTCAGTTTTAGGCACCATCTATGACCGATCTTTCGCAGTGGAAATATCAGCACATTATTTCAGGAAAGTTGAGCTTGCCTCTGACCTCTGCTCCTGGTGTCCCAGACAGTACTGCTTGCCTCTGGCCATGATGAGAAGGTCTATGAGCTCATTTCTGGGCAACATTTCTATGGAATAGAGACAGGGTCCACTGGGGCTAGTATGTGAGGGAAATTTCAAGGCCTTGTTTCCTAAGAGAGCTGGGAAAGACATTATTAGGTGTTGAGACGAGTAGCCTGTGGGCTTTTTAAATAAAATAATTTTTAAAAAGCAAAATAAGAATTTTCCCAGGAAAACTTGACTTGGACATACTTTCTGTGGGTGGAACAGCAGACACCAGCACTGACCTTGCTGGCCAGCTTTGGATAAGCAAAACTCATCATCTGGGCCCTTAGTAAGCACCATGAGTCCCCGTCCTGCCCCTGGCCTCCCCTGTATACAAATTCTAGGTTTTCCCTCCCACAGGGTATCCTAGTCTGTCCCCATTCCCACTACCCTAAAATAACAAGCTGGTTTTCTAAGCTTTCCAATCTGGTAGCCACTAGCCACGTGTGTCTATTGAGCACTTGAAATGTTGCTAGCCTGAAATGGAATGTGCTGTAAATGTAAAATATGTAACAGATTTCAAAGATCTGGTACAAGAAAGGAATGTAAAATATCACATCAAAATGTTTTTATACTGATTACATGTTGAAATGAAAATATTTTTGATATATTAGGTTAAATAAAATATATTATTAAAATTAATTTCAACTCTTTTTCTTTCCTTTTTTTAAAATGTGGTTACTATAAATTTTAAAATTACATTTGTGGCTTGCATTTGGGGCTCATATTATATTTCTATTGGACTACACTGTTCTCTGTTCTCAGGACTCTTATTTCTGATATATCAATTTACCCTTGACAATGACAAGGGTGAACGTTCTCAAATGACATATTCGTTTTTAACAGGAATTAGTGGAAAGAGGTACGCGAGAGAACAGGTAATTCCCTTTCTATTAGAATATGCTTCCTTCTTGTTCGTTCTGGCAAGCTCTTATTCATCCATCAAGACCCAGATCATATGTCTCCTCTACCAGGAAGCTTTCCCTAACTCCCCCAGGCAGAGATAGTTACTCCCTTTTGTACTGTCTTGGCACTACAAATTTCTACCAGAGCACTCTAAATTAAACCATCAGGCTCCTTTAATTTACATATCTCCCCTTCTAAGCAGTGAACTCCTCCAAAGTTAGAACTGAGTCTTACTAATTTTAATAACAATAATGCTGTAATTATCATATGAAAATGTCTTCTCATGCCTCTATTTATTCCTTTGTAAGTTTCTACATTCATCCTTACATAAAGCTTTCTAATCCACTTAATCAGCACAGGAATCTCTCCACACCCCTCGTTCTTATTCTTCAGATAGTCCATAATGATGAAGCTTGGAGTATGATTTCACCTGATGAACTGCCAATCCATCTATTGGCAATGTATTCATCTAGAAATAATTATATCAATGACAATTGAAGACAACTTTTTAACTATGTCTTTCATTCTCCTGCCTGTGTAAGTGCCCTGGGTTTACCTCTCCTTGTACATGTTACCTGTACTTCTATCTGGGTCAGCTTTGTCTCCCATTCTGGCATTGTTCCCCCACTTTCTTTCTTTCTAGTGATGTTCCCAGGATTCTGTTGTCAAGCATCTCCTCACCCCGCCCCTGTGAATACTTTCCTGCTTTGAAATGCAATGTTTATTACATTGTTTGGGTGTTGACTCTCCTCAAAGCCAATAGAATATGGGATTCATTAGGAAGATGATAAAACTGTGCTCCTAAGACTCAATTATTTAACAAGGATTATATGCCCTTTCCTGTTTCCTGATAACTGCCAACCTAAAAGCTGACAAGTCAAGTGAACCTTCTAACACATCCAAACCAGGGTGTCCTTTGGATTCTGTCTGTAGTTTTGTTGGTCCCTGTCATGTCTAGAGATGTTCTGTGTGTAGAAAAAGTCAGGACTTGCTTAGATGGCTGGAGGCATTTGCCTTCTGCATCAACACCCCGTGAGATATCAGGAACAGCCCCCTTGCTCCAGCTTTCGGCATCCCCCTTTCTAAGGGGTGCTGTGTGAACAACCCATACCATTTGGCTTTTTAAAAGTAGGTTCCAGCTTTTGTAAGCAACGGCCTCAAAAGAGGAGACAGCCTCAGTGTTCTTGTGAAAGGGACATGGTTAATACTCCATCTTCAATTATCATTGAGATTATAAAAACAAACCAGGTTGCCAAACAGTCATCACTAAGTTAGTGAAAACAAACAAAAAGTCATTTTGAAAAGTATCAGACTTTCTTTGGTCTTGAGAAGGTAATAACAAGAAATTCATATAATTTCTAAAGAAAAAATGGAAGTTTAATTTATGCAATCCTCATCTTTTAAATATGAGATTGCACAATTGTGGAACTTTAATCCTTAGCTTCTTTGTCTCATTCCTATTTGTCAGATCCATTGGAATAGTTTAAAGATAAAAATTTAGTCTGCATGGAATACTCCCAGACCTCCCACTTTGCTTGAATAACATCTATCACTTCCTCCCTTCTCAGCTTGGACACCACTCCTACTGAGAAGTATTCTCTGATCTCTCAAGATGGATAAAGAAGTTCACTTCTGTGTGCCTGGTTTTCAGCATAATATCCTATCCACATAGGTAGTCAAGAAATGTTTATTGAGTGAATTAATGAAAGAATGAATGGTAGCAAAAATACTTGACTTGGAGATCAGGTTCTAGCTCTGCCATTTATCAAAGTTATTGACCTTTCTGAGTCTTGTGTGCTCAACTATAAAATGGAGATAACTGTGTCAACTTCATAGAGCTTTCTGAGGGCAAGTAAGGTTATGGGTGTGAAAGTATTTTGCAAACTGAAATGTGGTACAAAACTTGAAGCAATAGATTGAGTCCCTTTCTATTTTACCTACATAGATGCTATAAGGGCTTAAATATTTAATATAATGCAACATCTGGGCACATGAGCCAAAATTATACGGGAAGCAGATTGGAGTCAGCCTGCCAACCATGTACTGTGCTAAGTGCAATTCCACAGTGAACTACATGTAATACACAGCTGATACGCAGAGAATTTCTCCTGTGCAATTCAGGTAGCCCAGCTTAGAGGTCCCTAGAGCCACAGTGGTGCAAGCACTGGATAAAAGAGACGCTTCATGCCTCTCATCACCTGTGACTGTTTCCACAGAGAAGAACAACTGAATTTTGAGACCCGAGGTCAGAGGGACAGCTGTGATGCACTGTTTAAATGTTTTAATAGCTTTTTCAAATTACTGGGTTGAGTATAATGGAAATTTTATTACCTTACCTTCCCATGAAGCTATTCAAGTGATGTGTCATCAGAAGAGTGAAAAGGATGCATATAGAATCTTGTTCACCATCCTCTGAATTCATCATAGCATCTACAATGAGCTAGAAGAAGGACTGACTGTAAAAGAAAGGAGAGAAAAAATTTAGTTAACTGGGAAAATTTGAATTTGAACCTTGTACTGAGGGGCTTGTGAATATGTTTGATAAGTTATTGTTGATCTTATTTATCAGTATTTAGGAGGTAGGCACTGAGTTGTCAAACAGAGCATAGTATGAGGATAGCTGCTGAAAGAAAACCAAGCCAAGGTTCCTCATCCCAATCTGCCATATGTTGTCTGAGTGGCCTTGGCAATCTGTATAAACTCTCGGGAGAGATGAAAGGTCAACATGATGCAAATCTAGTAAAGTCAAACATTGAATCTTAAAGATAAACGATTAAGTTCTCCGAAGTGTAATCTGACCTGAGTGTCTTTGCAGTTGTTACAAGGAATAGAGACCTAACTAGCTTATGCAAAATATTTACACTATAAGAAAGCAAAGAAGATTTCACTGACAGCTGAGAGAAGACAAAGAAGAGAAGAGCCACACAAGGACAAGAATGTGAACTGGAATTCCAGGAGTAGGGCAACCTTTTTGTTTCTCTTGGGCACCATGGGCATGTGCATCTTTGCCTCTCCTATCTCTTTTGTATCTTGATTGGCCTCCTTTGGTCACATATGGTCCCATATGGCATTTTAGACAATGCACCATCACTACTCTCTAGTGCAATCTGATCTAATCCATGGCCTGCGAGCCGCATGCAGCCCAGGATGGCTTTGAATGAAGCCCAACACAAATTCGTAAACTTTCTTGAAAGATTTTTTTTTTTGGCAATTTTTTTTTGGCTCATTGCTATCGTTAGTGTTAGTATATTTTATGTGTGGCCCAAGACAATTCTTTTTATTCCAACATGGCCCACGGAAGCCAAAAGATTGGACACCCCTGCTCTAATGCCTGGAAACATTGGTTCATGTACCTCCCCTTTGATCCAATCAGCTATAGTCATTATATACAGGGTCACACAATAAAAGAAGGAAGAAGGGCTCTGTGCAGAGGCAGAGGTACAAAAGTCACCTAAGTGGTTAAATCTACCCTTTGAGAGCCATTCTGGTCCTATGAGTGGTGCCGAGGATGTGGAAAAAAGCATGGTTAAAGAGGAGCATGAGGACGGTGGTCTTCTTAATTTAAGAACCACACCAATAAAGCAGAAAACCAGGGAATGCCAAAGTGTGATGCATCTCCTCCCTTGTCTTGGTGTTTCCTATCACAGGCTACTAAAGGAAATGGTGATTAGAGTCTACTGTGAGTCACAAAGGGACAGGAAGATTCCTCAAATGGACCTCTAATTGTGGTTTGGGAGAAAGCCTTGTTAAAAATCTGTGCCTAATTTTTCCCTTACCTGCCAGTATGTTCAGCATACTAGGACCAGTAACCAAAATATTAAGCTATTCCTCGATTTTAATTCACCTTTCATTGCTCTGCTTGTTGCCTCAGCTTGCTGTCTACACAGGGTTGAATGGCCCCTGTGGACTGCATGATTCATGGCCAGAGTATAAAGAAAACTTCATATTGTGGTCCACCCATCTTCTTTTCCCACACTGTCATCTTTCACCACAAAGAGCCTTAGGCCAATGAAGTGGACACTGAAACCTATCTCAACCCATATTTCTCCTCCAAAACAACCACCTCTTAACCATCACTTGGGTCAAGAGAAACACAGCAACAGCACAGCCCACTCTTGGGAGGACCAACTGGGGAAGAGGGCTGAGCAAGCCTTGAGAAGTGGCTTCAGCATCTCAGCAGTGTAGAAGTGGGGTAGTTCTAGGAGAGGGGAGCTCTGCAAACTCCTTACACCCTATGGGAAAGGCCAACCCTCTAAAGTCCCAAGCCCAGAGCAGGGACCTTAGATGTTAGGGTCTAAAAGCAGTTCTGGCTGGAAATGTAAGGTGATTTACCTAAGGACTCTTGGACCTGGGTAGGATCTTTGGCATTGGAATTAGAGCTATGCTTCCAATCTCTTGGCAGGGAAGGAAGCAGGCATGGTGTGGGTCACTGGCCATAGAGGACTGGGCACTCTCTGTTTTTATTTTTATTTTTGCCCATGTGCTGTCAAGGAAGGGAAGGATGATTCAATGAGATCATTACAGGTCCTAAAGCAGACTTTCTAGGTGCAGTTTAGTTAAAACGTAAGATATGATTTGCACCCATTATCTCGTAAAAATCCTAAATGTGTGATGCCTCTTCAGGATCAGAAATATATTTAAAATCAAATTCATCATCGTTTTTTCTAAACTTTCCCCTCTTCTTGCTTCCCTTCACTACCCACCCCTGCTATGAGTACCAATTTACCTCAATAACTTTGATTCCATATGCCTTTGGCTTCTCTCTTTCCTGTACTCTGTGTCATTGAATACTGCCACCAAATCCCTTTGATTGTTCCTGTCTCTGATCAAATGTCTCTTCTCTTTCCTATCCTGCAAAATGTAGTTCTGGCCCTTATTACTTCCTGTCTAGACAATTACAATAAATTCCAGTCAATTTTCCACTTCAGCCCAACCTAAACAATAACAATACTTCTGTCTTAATCTTAAAACCTTCAGTGGCTCCCCATTGACTAAAGAATACACCCAAAACCCTTACCCTGGTATTCAAGTCCTTCACCACTGCAGCCCCAGCCAAACCCTCTCCATGACATTTTTTGTTTGACTGGTTTTTTTATTGTTATTGTTATTTTTTAAACAACCTCAGGTAATTGCAGGAAATTTGTGCAGAAAATTGTGACAAATGATATAAATCTCATCCCTATTTTCTCCATTCAGAGATATTTTGTTCTATTTACATGTGTCCTTATTTACAAAAGTGGAAACGTCCTGCTTTCTTTCATTTGATAGTATATCACAGTAGCATTTTTCTGTATTTAAAAATAAGTTTTGCTTGTTCTATATCATTTGCTACACTGACTCAAAAATAAATTATCTGTTTTTATTATATAATTAATCTGTATTTATTATAAAATGTAAGATACAAACAAGACTACATAAGTAAACAAGTCAATGTGTTTCACACTTGGATAACATAGAATTCACCATTGTTGACATTTTAGTATATAAAGTTACTCCTAATTTTGTTTAATACTATATCATAGGATTTATCTGAGGTTATCTTTTCTTTTTTTTCTCTAGTGATTTGGAAGGTTTACATAATGTTTTCTTTCTAGCAATGATGAACTAATTAACTTCTATCTTAAAAAAGATACTAGAAACTAGTTTCTCTATTAGAATTGAGAATGAAAAGTATCCATTTATTCCCCCACTGCATTACATTACATGATTTTATGTTATTACTCTTTCATTTCTTCATCAATTTCCCAGTTTTTATGATATAATCTCAGTTGAGTTCTTAAAGCAAATTACTATCACTTTTAGAATGTAACTTCTATTTTAAAGATTATTTTATATGCAAAATGTTTTATCACCTCCAGGTTATTGCTAAATAGTTTTAGAGCTCAATACCTTTTTTTTTTTTTTTTTTTTTTTTTGAGACAAGGTCTCACTCAGATACCCAGGCTGGAGTGCAGAGGTGTGATCACAGCTCACTGCAACTATGACTTCCTGGGCTCAGGTGATTCTCCCACCTCAGCCTCCCAAGTAGGTGGGACTATAGGTGCACAACACCATACGTGGCTAATTTTTGTATTTTTGTAGAGAGAGGGTCTCATTATGTTGCCCAGGTTGGTCTCAAACTCCTGGGCTCAAGTCATCTGCCTGCCTTGGCCTGCCTCCCAGCATTCTTATTTTTGAGTTCATGATTTGTCTTAATTTTCACTTGCCTTCCCAGAATGTATATGCAAGTAATTTTTTTCAGGACGTATACACTTATAAGATATGTCCCAGCCCCTGAATATTTGAAATATATTTTCCTTGCCCAAATATGTGTACATTTATATAAAAAATAATATATATATTGTCTTGGGTAACAATTCTTTAAAATTCAAAACACTTTTGCTCATTTTCCTTCCTCTTATCTTTAGTATTTTGGAGAAGTGCAATACCAGTCTCATCTTAGATATTTTTCAACCTAATTAGCTTCTGTGCTTTTAAGTTTACTTCATCTTTGATTTACAAAAATTCAATGAGCTATAAATAGGTGTTGGTATATTTCTATTAAAATTATCTGAATAATTGGTGAATCCTCTCAAAGACTTGTCAGTTCAGAACAATTTTCTTTTATTTCTTTCTTATTCTTATTCTTTCTGTTCGGCTACTCTGCATTTTATGTGTGCATTTTTTGTTTTAAATTTGCACTCACGTGTGGATTTTTTTTCTAAATTTGCATTTAATTTTTACTTTTTTGTCTCTCAAGAATTCCAATTTTTTAATTTCCTTGGTTCTTGGAGAAATGTTCAGTTTCAAACATCTGAAACAGTTTTTAGAGCACTCAATCAACTTTTCACTGCCTCCTTTTAAGTATTCATTTTTGAAAATTCTTATAAAATCTTTCTTGATTTCAGAATATTCATTTTTCACAACTGATGCTCAATTTTTATACCTGTGACAACTTCTTGAATCATGTCAATAATAGGAATGAGAATACTTCTAATTTTTTTCTTCCACCCAAGAAAAGATAGCACCACCCTTTTGAATTGCAGCATTATTTTTTATGTGTGTGAGGATATGTTCCTATTTATATGTCCTCACAGCTGAAGAAAGAAAGTCAGTCATACTTGGCCTCTGCTAGAACAGTAGAAGCCAAAGGAGATAAGACTTCCTCCATATCCCTAAGATAAAAACCTTTGATCTTCTAATTATTTTCACTTCCTGTAACTTCTCACCTAAGTTGGCCCTTCCTCTAAATTAAGTCCAATCAATATGTTCTACCAAGTCCTCCTTTAATCTCTACCTCTTCAAGGACAGAGTACCTGTTCTTCATAGGAGGCAAAATGTTAGGTCATTCTTCTATCCTTTATTTCATTTGTCCTTTTTTGAACTTTATCTGAAATTTCTTGATGTTTTTGGAAGGTAGATCTCACAATTTATACTTTTACCACATTTTTGCATGACCTTGACCTATTGGAATCTGGTGATGGGGAAGTTGTATACCTCTGTGAATGCCACCATTCTTTTAAAACCTTGCTTTCCAATCTTTTATCTCTTCCATAATTTTCCATCAATATCTTTACTATATGCCCTATGATTTCTGGGAAATATGCATTTTCTCAAGCTGTGTTTTGCTCCAGGAAATCATTCCTGGTATTTCTTCTCAACCTGGCTCTTCCTATGGAAATAACCAAAACTCAAGCAATTTTCAACTAGAGGGTTAACAAAAGTGTTCATGAATGAGGTAATACAGAACTCTCTCCATGTGTGCTCTCATGCTGTTGGTTCGTGTATATTAAAGTCTACCATGACTGATAGCCCTATATGGTTATATTTTATTTCCCCAATTACAGAATTTAGTCCTTGAGAATAGGAATAATGCTTTGTTCACGTTTATTTCCTCTATAAGGTGTAAACAGAAACTTTTACATCGCAAGGGCTCCAAAAATAGTGTAAGTTTAGGGTAAGTTTGGCTATCATCTATTATACACTCCATATCAGTATATGTGGTACTTCTAGTCCATTCAACAAATATAATACAAATATAAAACAAAAATAATACTTCACAGTGAAGTATTATTTCTTTTTGTAAAAGAGGTATCTGAGGCACAGACAAGATTAATAACTTTAAAGTCATCCAGTTAGTGACTGAAATGGGACTCACACCCAAGTCTGATTCCAAGGTCCATGTGATTTTCTGCCACACCATTCTGATTCAATTAAATGTTAATTAAGTTGGGATGACCTCACCAGGCAGAAAACTTGTAGAAGAAATAGAATTGGGTTAGATATGAAACAACATTCCTCCCTCACCAAGTCCACTTTATAAGTTCTCTCATTGATTAAAAGTGGGAAATAAACCCCAAGGTTTCTACTGAATTGCTTGGTATACTACTTCTGACACCCTTCCTAGATATCTCTTTTCTTCTCCTAAATAATTTGACAATTCTCAGATTATAAGCTACGTAAAATAACTTAGCCATATTACACCTTGAAAATCTGAAGTCAAATTTGCTCAAGAATATCGTTTTCCTCATGTCACAACTACAATGTCATCCTAGAACGCTAAACCCGCACATATTGTGACCCAACTCTATTAGGCTTCATCTACCTTTTATAAAGGCAGCAGAAAAATATTGTACAACAACTGTTGTTCACTGACCAGAAAAGTAGGAATTGAAGATGAT
This sequence comes from Homo sapiens, assembly GCF_000001405.40. Classification (NCBI taxonomy): domain Eukaryota; kingdom Metazoa; phylum Chordata; class Mammalia; order Primates; family Hominidae; genus Homo; species Homo sapiens. The sequence goes on from NC_000014.9 coordinate 80,177,564, forward strand.
AAGGGCAGAAAAATCCTTTTAAAACATAAACTGACAGCCCATGGGCCAAGCCCAACTGCTGTTATGTTTTGTTTGGATTAAACAGTATTTTAAAGCTATTTGACTTCATAGCCAATATTTAAAAGTTTAAAATTCACATAGAAATCAGATTTCTGGCTTCTTTTTTAAAAAAATATGAAGATCTGATCTCACTGGACTTGCATTCCTGCATGAAAACTATTTACTGGTTATATTTTATTTCCCCAATTTAAGTTGAGTAGCAGCAGGGATAGCTAGTCCCTCCAACTGTGGGCCAGTGAGTTTGGAGCATACAACATATGTGAAGTAAATACCAAATATAGAGAATTAAAGCTGGGAGAGATCTTAGCAAAATTAAATCAGCCTTTTTATTATAAATAAGGAAATTGGGCCAGAAAGGTGATATGATATAACCCAGGGTCACATAGGTGGTAAACAGCAGAGCTACAACAAAAAACTAGATATTCTAACCACTCAGGCCATCATTCTGTTTATTGACAAACTTCATAATGAAACAAGGATCTCTCATGAAATTACATTATTTAGTAATTTAAAAATGTGAAGTGTATTATAAAATATCTGCCTGCTGTTCTCATGTTTCTTTGGCCTCTCATTTTTCTCTATTTGCATTAGCGCTTTACCTTATTGAACACCAAATAAATCCTTTGCAATAGCAATGCCAATTTACTGTGTGACCATATATCATTATATTCTGAAAATGGTATATTGTACAAGATCCAGCTTGTATAAACATAAGTGTTGGTCCTTAATATATATATACATTAATTTGTTCACTTATTCAACAAATATTTATTGAGAACCTATCATGTTCAGGGAACTATATTGGAAACTCACTAAAGATAAAAAGAATGAACACGACAAATAAGATCTCTGCCTCCATGGTCATAGATTAGCAGTACCATAGTCATAGAATCGCCAACGGTGAGTAACCTAAACATGTGTTTCTCCAGATCTAAAGCAGAATTTCTTTATAGTTTATAGAGGACAGCAAATATAACACACATAATTCATGATTTTTTAAAAAGTCAATATTACTAGTGGCAAATTAGAATCAGAGACTCAAAGTCTGTAAATTAATGAATCCAATGATGGAACAAATTCTCTGGAACTGAGTTAAAATACTTTTAATAATCTACATTTGTAGCCAATAATTCGTTTCTCTGTTTGAAGGTTAATTTTAAAGTATACTTCTGATGCAAGAATATTAATATTTGAAAAAAACATTCTTGGCCACCCATAAAGTCTAGAATAAATTGTCTTCTAAATATGCATGATGCATCAGACTTCACTGTAGTTGGTGGCAGCTGTAGGAGGAATGAAGTGTTTTTTGTTTTTGTTTTATTTATTTCCCAGGGAACAGTCCTCTCTCCGCAAAATTTACTCTAATGAACATGTATTAAGCACTATCAATCAGTCACTGTGTTTATCACTGGAAGAATAGAAAGATGACTACAAAATACTTACTTTCCTATATTAAATGTTTATCAAAGACAGGAATTAACACAGATAGAAAATAGTTAATGCTTAGCTACGTGTTGTATTTTTGTTCTAAAAAAAAAAGCCAGAAAATAAATGTAATAGATACCTTAAAATGGAAGAAAACAGTGATAGAAGTCAAGGTGGGCTTTAAGGGGGCATGAGCATTGAGGAACAGTAGTAACTGCAGAGGAAGGGGTGAACATTTCAGAGCACTGCAAGATTAAAACCTCACCAGACATAGAGAAATAAGTTTTTTTATTATCGAAATTAAACCCTAATTATACTTCCAAAGGGGAAAGAAAGATGGCTAGAATAAAATAACCAATTTGTTTTAAAAATGTAAAAAAATGAAGTTAGCCAGAAGAAACTAAAGAAAAATAAAGAAAAGGAAGAGGGAAATTAGTGGCTTGGTTAGCTAGATTCAGGTACTGAGATAATGTCATCAGAAAACCCTCTCGCTCAGCTCCCAGCTCTGCTTTTTTGTGTTATCTTTCATTTCATTCCCTAAATTCAGCCAACAATGAAATCTCTCCTTTCTTTCCCCCATCCATACCTGACCCATATATTTAGGCAATTGATTATATTTAGTCCATACTTAATTAAACAATAATAATAGATAGATTTAATAGATATTTTTTGTTTTGAGATGAAGTCTGGCTCTGTTGCCCAGGCTGGAGTGCAATGGCACTATCTCAGCTCACTGCAACCTCTGCCTCTCAGGTTCAAGCAATTCTCCTGCCTCAGCCTCCCAAGTCACTGGAGTTATAGGTGCCCACTACCATGCCAGGCCAATTGTTGTATTTTTAGCAGAGACGGGGTTTCACCATGTTGGCCAGGCTGGTCTCAACTCCTGACCTCAAGTGATCCACCTGCCTTGGCCTCCCAAAGTGCTGAGATTACAGGCATGAGCCACTGTGCCCAGCAATATCATATTTTTGTTATTCCTGTGAAACTAAGAACCTTATGGAAATGACCAAATAATGTATGTCTTTTGTATAATCTGTAGCAGCTTGCATATTACCTTTCACAAAGCAGATGATCGATATCTACTAGTTGCATTAAAATTATATGGAATTAATCTTAATTGAGGTAGTTAAGACCTTGTATTCTGGGTGGGAATTAGAAATGATCATTTATAATACAGGCATTGGGACAAAGAAGAGTCAGTGACAGACTGCATGAAATACATTAAAGTTCATTAATCATTTCTAGTATTTTCAAGGTTTACATATGAAAAAAGTAGGAATAATATTGACATGTTATAATAACAAAATAGCAATGTTTAATGGGAGAATCAATTTGTGGAAGAAGATAAATTTTATTTTGGACACCTTGAGAGCTTTAACAGCTAATAAAATATTGAAGTTGCTAGTTCATATTTCCAAATGCCTTGGGAAGTAGAAAGTAGATGAAAGTTGAAGTCTGAAGGTATGGAGTAGGATTCACTGTCATAAGCATAGTATTGATGATGCTCATAATTAGGAATGGATACCATTCCAAAGGAAGGAAAACCAGCATTTGACAATATGATTGGCTACATATTCTAGGAAAAACCTACCATAAACCCTAAGAAATTCTGGATACAATAAAATAAATAGAATTTAAAATACATTAATGAGCAACAAAGAAAGTGAAAGAAATTCACGGTTCAAAAAGGCTAAAAAGAGCTTGAAACTTAGTGTGAGAAAATGCTAAACTCACAGACTGTCCAAGGGCATCTCCTGAGAGCAGGAATCTAGATGCTTGGGTTTTTTAATGTTTACAACCAGGGAAAGTGAAAAGCCTTCAGTCTGGCTCAAGGTAATAAGTCAAATCTGAGCCTTCTGGAGAAAGTTGGGTTACTTGAAGCGATATTCCCTCAATAAAAAAAAATGTAAGCCAGAAAAGATTTCATCCGCTGGGAAAGAGAGGAACAGAGGAATCAGTTTGCCTTAGGTCTTGGTAGAAAGAAAAAATGAGCCTCCCTTCAAAATTCATAATGAGGCAGGCATGGTGGCACACGCCTGTAATCCCAGCTACTCAGTAGGCTGAGGCAGGAGAATCACTTGAACCAGGGAGTCAGAGGTTGCAGTGAGCCGAGATCGCACCATTACACTCCAGGATGGGCAAAAAGAACAAAACTCCATCTCAAAACAAAACAAAACAAAACAAAACAAAAAAAACATAATGATAAGCCTGCCCTCACATGGGTTGGAGATTTGAACATTTATTATCTTTGCATTCTAGTAGACCACAAGCAAAATTAATGTTTAAGGGTCTCCAGGCTGATAGTAGCCCAGGACGCCTGGCAGAAGAAACACAGATCCTGTGTGGAGATACGTTTTCTTAACCTAGGTTCCTCAGGATCCCTATAAATTAATATCAGCCAAAGGAAAGCTTACAATAGAAAATTATCAAAAACTCAATTAAATAATGTACTAAAAATAAGAGCCAGTAGAAAAATAACCCATGGTCATCAGATATTGAAGAATCAGATACAAATTATTTTAAAGTATGCTTTAAATTTTGGGGGGGGGGGGTGAAAGATAATTAAAAATAAGAACAATAGAACAAGGTGTTTTCAAGAATTCACCAGGCACATTTGAAAAAGAACTCAAAATAACTTGTATAAATGAACAATGTAAATTTTGAACTTCAAAACTCAGCAGATTGGTTAAACAATGGGTTAGACACAGCTGAAGGGAGAATTGAAGAACTTGTAAAAAAGATCTGAAGAAACTAAAAACAATGCAACATCTTTGAAATTTAAAAAAGTGTAAGAGACTTTGAGAACAGAATGATCAGGACACACATACATCTATTTGGAGTTTACAAAGGAAAATAAAACAGAGAAATGGAGAAGAGTTGACACAAAGAGATAATAGCTTTGAAGCTGGGGGTGGTGGCTCATGCCTATAATCCCAGCACTTTGTTAAACTGAGGCATGCAAATCACTTGAGCCTAGGCATATGAGACTAGTCTGGGCACCAATGGTGAGATCCTGTCTCTATAAAAAACAAACAAACAAAAAATTAGCCAGGCACAATGGCACATGCCTGTAGCCCCAGCTACTTGGTAGGCTGAGGCAGGAGGTCACTTGAGCCTGGAAGGCAGAGGTTCCAGTGAGCTGAGATAGCACCACTGCACTCCAGCCTGGGTGAAAGAACCATGGCCAGGCACGGTGGCTCACACCTGTAATCCCAGCACTTTGGGAGGCTGAGGCAGGCAGATCACCTGAGGTCAGGAGTTCAAGACCAGTCTGGCCAACATGGTGAAACCCTGTCTCTACTAAAAATGCAAAATTAGCCAGGCATGGTGGCCCACGCCTGTAGTCCCAGCTACACAGGAGGCTGAGGCAGGAGAATCGCTGGAAGCCAGGAGGCAGAGGTTGCAGTGAGCCAAGATCACGCCACTGCACTCCAGCCTGGGTGACAGAGCAAGACTCCATCTCAAAACAAAAAAAAAAAAGTGACACCTTATCTTAAAAAAAAGAAAGAAATAATAGCTTTGAATTTTTCAGTGTCTATGACATGTATCTTTAATTCAGAAAGTACAACAAACACCAATAAAAGTAAGTAAAAGAAAATCCACCCTTGATTTATTTATTTTATTTTTTATTTTTTTGAGACAGACTCTTTTTCTGTCACCCAGGCTGGAGTGCAGTGGAGCAATCTCAGCTCACTGCAACCTCCGCCTCCCAGGCTCAAGCGATTCTCCTGCCTCAGCCTCCTGAGTAGCTGGGATTTACAGGTGCGTGCCATCACGCCCAGCTAATTTTGGGGTGTGTCTTTGCCCAAAAATTAGTAGAGATGGTGTTTCACCATGTTGACCAGGCTGGTCTGGAACTCCTGACCTCAGGTGCTCCACTGTCCTCGACCTCCCAAAGTGCTGGGATTAAAGGTGTGAGCCAACACGCTCAGCCCCACACTTTAATTACATGGTAGGTAGTGAAATTTCAAAATGCCAGTGACAAAGTGAAAACCTAAAATGCAGCTGGTGAGAAATATATGTGTGTGTCTATATGTATATATATATATGTGTGTGTGTGTGTCTATCTATGTATAAGTAGATAGATAGACACACAAATGGGTAACAGACTGTCAGCAGATTCTCATCAGCAATCTTGGAAACACCAGTAGAGTAACATTTCCAAAGGGTTCAGGGAAGATAATGGTCAATCTAACATAGATTGATATAATATATATAGATATTATATAGTTATATATAGATACAACCAATAATTATATCTTTGCCTAAACTTTCATTCAAGAACAAGAGTAAAATAAAGATATTTGTAGACAAAAAAATAAAATAGGAAAACTTTAGTAGCAGCACTTTCTCACCAAAGGAAGACTTGAAGAATGTTTTTCAAGAAGAAAAAAGGTCAGCTCACGAAGTAGGATTGATATTTGAGAAGAAATGATAAGCAAATACAGTGATAAATATGTGGGTGAATACAAGTAATGACAGGATGTAAAATAATTATAGTAATGTGAATAAGATAGGACTAAAATATTGTACCAAGATATGTTAGAAGATATGGAAGATATTTATTGAGAAAATTAAAAATTTAATTGAAAAGCATCAAAGAATACCTAATAAATGTAAATGTATACCATGTTCACAGATAGGAAGATGGAATACTAAATAGATATCCATTATCTCACAAAATTATGTATAAATTCAGCAAAATTCAAGTTAAAATGCTAAAAGTGTTCTTTTTTTGGAACAGAGAAAGCCAATTCTAAAGTATATCTAAAAAAGTATGGTGCCATTAATAATCAATATACTCCTTAGAAAGAAAATGTCAATGAGAAAAGTTAGGGAAGTAATTGGCTATAACAAAGCTTATTATAAAACTATAGCATTAATTTTGAATCCCATGAAACTGACTTTTTACAGGTCCGAAACAAATATTGGCCATTTCTCATGATTTAAGCTCACAATAAAGATGTCATATGGTATTGGTACAGGAAAGACAATAGATGAGGAAAATCCAGAATAGAGTGTATAGGGACAGATCCGTGCATATTTGGGAACATTGTCAGAAAGGCCATTATAGGTCATTGGGAGAAAATTAATACAGGGTACTCCATTAATTAATTACCTGATAGGAAAGTAAAGTCAAATTAGGTTTATTACCTAATACAATAAACAAAACTAGCTGCACATGGGTAAAACACATACTTATAAAAAGCAAATATTAAAACTGGTAAAAGAAAATATAGGAGAAAGTCTTTACAAATATCTATTTTCCACTCCTACAGTAATAAAATTTTCATATGGGCATATGGCTATCCAGAATAAAGACTACATTTCCTGACCTTTTTTGCAGGTAAGCAGCATCACTGGATGACAAAGTACTGGCCAATGAGATATAAGTGAACATATCCATAAAGCAGCTCCCAAGGACCTCCTTAAAAGAGATGGCACATGTACCCTAAAACTTAAAGTATAAAAAAAAAAAAAAAAGAGATGGTACACACACACTTTGCTCTTTTTTTCTGTTCCTTTGTCTACCTTTCTGCCTAGACTATGAGTACATAAGGGGCAAGAAGGCATCATAAGATGAGAGCAGAGAGCTTGAGAGAGCCTAGATCTCTGAAGACTGTATGGAGCAGAGCTCCCACACCACTCCAGATTGCCTGGCTTGAGACTTTCACATGAGAGAAAAAAATAAGCTTTTTTTCTTGTTTAAGTCACTATTATTTTAGGTCTCTATTCCTCACTGTCAAACCAAATGCTAACTGCAATTTGCAATGACATTTCGTCTCTCCTTATTTGATTTTCTTTTTTTAAAACCTGAAGTTCTGATTTCTAATCTCCTTACTTCAAAATAAGTGCAAGAGAGAAAAGCAGAATACATGGAAATAATTTTATAGAAACATTCATTTTTAATACACTAGATGAGAAGAGAGAACAATGAAAGAGAAAAAGCTGTAAGAGAAATGCCAAATGCTATTGAAATGTGAAGAGTGAGGACTAAAAAAAAAAAACAAATAATAACTCCTGCATTTGTCTGGATTGCAAAGACATCACTGGTGACTTTAGAGAGCTACTTCCAAATAGTGACCAGGAAGCCAATGAACCAACACAGCATTCATGGGATTATTGGCACGTAAACATTATTTGGAGGCCTTCCAACTCAACACAAAACCAGGAGACAGACTCGTTTAGTGTTTCTGAGCTACAGGTGTAACTAAGTATACCGGAATTATCAAAACACAGAAATAGCCCTTACCCTCGATAAATTTTTGATGTCTTTTCCATAATCATGTTACACACCTAATAGGAGCATGCCTGGTCTACTCTATCTGGTCACTAGAATGGCAACTGCCAATTCAATTGGAGTTCCATCTATCTCTCTCCTTAACTATATGAAGGAATCCTTTTTTTTCCCCTAGGCTTTAGAAGGTAACCATTGCATACCAAGGAATGAACTGTAAAGACTATTATTGGCAATATATTTATGTATGTTTATATAAGTGTTTATGTGTAATGGAAAGTGACAAATCTCCTAAAGATATAACAAGAATATGAGACATATCTCATTCACCAATCTCTGTACAGAGGCCCTGAGCACCAGAACAAAGGAAACAGAAGTGAATGCAGGCCACAGCTTTGAACTTTGCAAATTATGAGTACATATTCTTTGACATATCCAAGGAGTTGCTTTTGAAAATGTGTGCATGAACTGAGAACACATATACCAGAAGAAAACTTTCCTTAAGAAGTAATGATAAAGAATGAATTTAGGGGATTTCAGTCATTACAACATATAATAGCTTATATTCATATATCCTTAAAGTATAATTAGAAGCATACTTAGCTGGGCGTGGTGGCTCATGCCCGTAACCCCAGCACTTTGGGAGGCCAAGGCGTGTGGATCGCCTGAGGTCGAGAGATCAAGACCAGCTTGGCCAACGTGGTGAAACCCTGTCTCTACTAAAAATACAAAATTAGCCAGGCATGGTGGCAGGCACCTGTAATCCCAGCTACCCCAGAGGCTGAGGCAGGAGAATCGCTTGAACCCGGGAGGCGGAGGTTGCGGTGAGCCAAGATTGCGCCACTGCACTCCAGCCTGGGCGACAAGAGCGAAACTTCATCTCAAAAAAAAAAAAAGAAAAGAAAAATTAATTAAAAATACATTTTAAAAAGAAGCATACTTAATTTGGTAGATTTAGTGATTCAGTAGTAGCGTTGACCAAAAAAATTAGTGTTGGGTTTGATGAAGAGTGTAGCTATTACAAAAGCGAGGGAGGTTTGTCTCCATAAGATGATCTTCTTGGAAATAGAGGACTAGCTTCCCCTATTGCCATCAGATGGCAGGAATTTTTTAAATTCCCCTTAAATTTACTTCACTTTACAGAAACTTTACTACGTCAAACGTTTACAATGCATTCCTTCTTCCCTTAGAATGAGTACAGCACTTAAACCTCAAACCGTAAAGGTAACAAAGGTAACCTATGAGGTATTAAAACAGAAACAGAAACACAAAAGGCACTAAAACCTGCCTGGTGGCTGAAGCAGAAATGCCTGATGAGTAACTTTCCTGCCACATTAGGTGAGGATGCTGCCTCCTATGGCAGTGAACACCTATGAGGTGGACACCTATGAGGACACGTAGACACAGGATTGCCTCACACGTTTCTTTTCTTTTCTTTGAGATGGCTTTTTGCTCTTGTCCCCCAGGCTGGAGTGCAATGGCGCGATCTCAGCTCACCGCAACCTCTACCTCCCGGGTTCAAGCAATTCTCCTGCCTCAGCCTCCCAAGTAGCTAGGATTACAGGCATGCGCCATCACGCTGGGCTAATTTTGTATTTTTAGTAGAGACGGGGTTCCTCCATGTTGGTCAGCCTGGTCTCAAACTCCCAACCTCAGGTGGTCTGCCCGCCTCGGCCTCCCAAAGTGCTGGGATTACAGGTGTGAGCCACCGCACCCAGCCACCTCACACGTTTCTAAAGTGGATAAATCACGATTTTTACCTGATTACATAAATTGTATTAACTATACAGTGCACTCCATGCCATCCCATCTCTATGCTCCTTGAAAAAAAAAGTTGCCTTTTTTGACGGGAAAGGAAAAATATGTAGTAGGGGAGGTCGAAGCCAGGAGAGAAAACAGAAGTCAAATTCCCTTTTCTGAAGCAGGAATGGAAGAGGATGGGATCATGCTGTCACAGAATCCTCTCAGCCAAATCTCCCTGGTTTAGACCAGTTAATGTAACCACAATTTATCAAGAGGTACCTGGAATCTCTGCTACTACTCTGGAAGACCTAGGCAGCTTCACGACCCAGAATTGTTCCTCCTGAATATTTGAACTACAAAATGCAAATGTCGGCATGTGCTCCAAGTGGAGCTCTGCAGCAGGAATCTAATTTATCTTCTACAGGTACACCCCTTAACCCAATGTCTAGATGTGCAGCCTCACCCAGGACATCTCATTAACCTTACAATCATCGCCTGCATTTTCCCAGTTGAAAGTTTTCAACTTTTTGGACTAGTCTGTGGCGGGGGGGGGGGGTTATTCCATGCCTCTGACTCTGTCTTCTTTTCCTTTTGGATCTTGCACAAATCAAGGCCATTATAGTTGACTAAGATGATTAAGCCATAGTGAATCCTCACCTATGTAAATCCAGAAAAGAATTGTGAATACCTTTAGAGAAAGTCCTAATAGAATGCCTTACTCTAGGCAATTCTATTATATAACTTCCTGAAATACTTATTTTAAGGGCTGAATGCTAGCTAGAAGACTCCCTTATTTTACAAATGCATTTTTTCTGTTTCTCCTCCAATATTTTTCTCAAGGTCCTTGGAGATAAAGAGCAAACCTTCAAGATTTTAAGCCTCAGTACATTTGAAGGTTATGTCAGGAACATTAGATATCTTTATGTTTGGATTTCTTATTTATCAACTACACTAAACTCTCATATTGTAAGAAACCATATTTTATATTATTTGTGTATACACATTATAATGTAGTGCCTTACAATAACTAGTGGCTTATCTGTGAACTAATGGGTGCTCAAAACATTCATCATTGGTTGTATTTTAGTTATTTCAATGTCTGTTCATTCAAGAGGGAGAAATAAAGAAAAAATTAAAACATAGCTCATATCCTCAGTTCTTTTACTGAATAGAATTCTGCCTTGTAAGGATGATTGACATAGTTTAGTGCCTTTGCATTTTGACTGATTTGTCCTCTTTAGTCACAACAACGGATACTTAGTAAATAATTGACTTTCTAAATGAAAAACCACCTATCTTCTCTATCTAAAGCTTGCCCATCCTTCTAGGTCAATCCAAGTCCCTTTAAACTCCACAACGTCACCTCTGAGAGCTCTATCCATAGGGCCCTTCCTTCCTCTGGGCCTGTCCTTATCGAATGTATATATTAATACTAATCAAGGTATTCTTATATTCTTATTTAATGATTCTTATTAAGGAAGTTAAAAATAATGGCCACTAAGACTTCTGGATTTCAGTAACTCTTCTTAGATTGATAAGAAAGGTTGAGACATAGGACAAAACACTAAGATTAGAGAGATACGCGAATACAGGGAGTCAAGCTTACCAGGAAACTTACAAGTGGAAATCACTGCAGGAACCATAGCCTGAGTTGAAAAAAAAATCTGAACTGTAATTAACAAATTGCTAGAGGCTCTGTGTGAGCAAGTCTGAGAGTTAAAAATTCCAGAAGGACCTAGTCGTGGGAGGCTGTCGTATTTTTCTGAGTTTTGCCTCCAGGAGCTTGACCAGATTCTTCTTAGGGTAAGTACTTGAGAAAATCCCATCCAGCTTCCTGCAGGGAGAGGAGAAAAAAAAAAATTGAAATACACTAGAGCACTCTGTTCTTTTAACAAGGCCTGTCCTCAGGAGAAACTAGTTAACCAGAACGAAACCCGCTGGGATACAATCAAAGCCGAAATGACCTGAGAGAAGAGAAATACCCAACTCCAGCCAGCTCTAGCCTTCCACATGGGAGAAGGGAAATATTCAACTCTATCCGATGGTAGCCATCCTGTCCTATCTAAGAAAGAAGAAAAATATTGAGAAACACTTGTGAAATTCATAACCCAGAGGCCTGGGGTCACTGAAAGACCTAATCTCAAGACTGTAGAACACTTTTCCTCCCCTTACACCTTACCATCACATTACTAAAGGTCTAGTTACAACAATTCCATGTATCTGGTATGTTATGGCCAGCTATCAAAAAAAAAAAAAAATTACCAAGCATACTAAAAGGCAAAAAACACAACTTGAAAAGACAGAACAAGCATCAGAAGCAAATATGCCAGGGATCTTGGAATTATCAGACCAGGATTTAAAACAAGTATGGTTAATATTTAAAGGCCTTAATGGATACAGTAAACAGCATGCAAAAACACATGGACAATGTAAGCACACAGACAGAAATCCTAAGAAGGAACTAAAAAGAAATTCTAGAGATCAAAAAGACTATAACGCAAACAAAGAATGTCCTTAATAGGCTTATTAGTAGAACAAATACAGCTGAGAAAAGAATCTCCGCGCTTGAGGATATACCAATAGAAACCTCCAAAACAGAAAAGTAAAAAAAAATAAAGACTGAAAAAACCCAAACCAGAACCGAATATCTAAGGACTGTGGGACAACTACAGAAAAATCTAACGTATGTGTAATAGAAATACCAAAAGGAAAAGAAAAAGATAAAGGAAAGAAAAAGTATTTTAGACTAATAACTGACGATTTCTCCAAACTAATGTCAGAAACCAAGCCAAAAATTCAGGTAGCTCAGAGAATACCAAGCAGGATAAATGTCAAAATAAAAAAATTAAAAAAAAAAGAAAGAAAGAAACCCAGCTAGTCAACCAACAAACAAAAATCAACTACACCTGGACATATTATTTCCAAATTATAAAAATATCAAAAAGAAAGAAAAAGTCCTGAAAGAAATCAGAGGGAGAAAAAAAAAAACCCTATAGAGTACCAATAGAATAACATCCTTCTTCTCAGAAACCTTAAAAGCAAAAAGAGAATAAAGTGAAATACTTAAAGTGTTGAGAGAAAGAAGCCACTAATCTGAATTGTGTAGCCTGTGAAATTATCCTTCAAAAGTGAAGAATAAATACTTTCTCAGAAACACAAAAATTGAGGAAATTTGTTGTCAGTAGAACTGCCTTGCAAGAAAAGTTAAAAGAAGTTATTTAGAAAGAAGTAACATAATATAGGTCAGAAACTGAGATCTGCATAAAGAACAACGAGGAAAGAATAAGTGGAGATAAAGTAAAAACTTTCATTTTTCCTGTACTTAACAGATCTAACAGATAACAGTTTGTCCAAAATAATAATAGCAACAATGTATTTAACTATGTATGCTTATGTATACATCTTATTATATATAGGCTTAGGAGGGATAAGAGGGAGAAATAAGAATTATTTTGTTATTATAAGGTACCCACACTACCTGTGAAGTAGTATAGTGTTATTTGACAGTAAACTTAGATTAGTTGTGATTATATATTGCAAAAGATACAGCAACAACTTCAAAAAGTACAAAAAAAGTATTACTGATATGCTAAGAAAGGGAAGAAAGTGGAATAATATAAAATGTACAGTTTAAAACCACAAAACGGGCCGGGAGCGGTGGCTCACGCCTGTAATCCTGGCACTTTGGGAGGCCGAGGTGGGCGGGTCACGAGGTCAGAAGATCAAGACCATCCTGGCTCACACGGTGAAACCCCGTCTCTATTAAAAAAAATACAAAAAAAATTAGCCGGGTGTGGTGGCGGGCGCCTGTAGTCCCAGCTACCCGGGAGGCTGAGGCAGGAGAATGGCGTGAACCCGGGAGGCAGAGCTTGCAGTGAGCAAGATCGCACCACTGCACTCCAGCCTGGGCGACAGAGCGAGGCTCTGTCTCAAAAAACAGAAAAAAGAAAATCACAAAAGGAAAAAAGAGAGTAAAAGACAAAAATAGGAACAAACAGCAAGATCAACAAATATAAAACAGTAATAATTACGGTAGATATTAATCCAACTATATCTTTCATCATTTTGAAAATCAGTGGTCTTAGTATACCAATTGAAAGACATTGTCAGAGTAGGTCAAAAACAAGACCCAACTGGATGTATTATACAAGAAATTTACTTTAGATATTAAAACACTGTTAGAAAAAAGTAAACAAATGAAGAACAATATATATACAATGCTAACGTTAACGTTAATCAAAAGAAAGCAGAACTAGCTAAGTTAATTTCAAACAGAGCAGACTTCAAAGGAAGGAAAGTTATCAGAGACAAAGAAGGATATTACGTTAATGATAAAGGGGCCAGATCTCCAAGAAGACATAACAATCTTTAATGTGTATGTGACTAACAATGAAGTCAAAATGCATGAGGCAAAAACTGATAGAACTGCAAGAAGAGGCCGGGCACGGTGGCTCACACCTGTAATCCCAGCACTTTGGGAGGCCGAGTTGGGTGGATCATTTGAGGTCAGGAGTTCCAGACCAGCCTGGCCAACATGGTGAAACCCCGTCTCTACTAAAAATACAAAAACTAGCTGGGTGTGGTCGCGGGTGCCTGTAATCCCAGAAACTTGGGAGACTGAGGCAGGAGAATCGCTTGAACCTGGGAGGCAGAGGTCACACTGAGCCGAGATAGTGCCATTGCACTCCGGCCTGGGTGACAACAGTGAAACTCCGTTTCAAACAAACAAAAAACAAAACAAAACAAAAAAACTGCAAGGAGAAATAGGTGAATCCACTATCATAGCTGAACACTTCAAACCCCCTTTATCATAAGTGGACAGATTCAGTAGACAGAAAATCAGTGGGGCATAGGTGAATTCAGGAACACCATCATTCAACTGGTATAATTGACATCTACAGACTCCTTCATCAAACAACAGCAAAATATACATTCGTCTCAAGCTCCAAGAAATATTTACCAAATAGACCACATCTGGGGTCAGAAAATACACCTTAACATTAAAAAAAAAAATAGAAATCATACAATGTCTGCTCTCAGACCACAATGGAATCAAACTCGAAATAAATAACAGAAAGACGACTAGAAAATGCCAAAATATGTGGCTATTAAACTCACTTCTAAACAACATGAGTCAAATAAAAAACCTCAGTAGAAATTTTAAAATATTTGGAACTAAATGAAAGTGAAAACACATCTTATCAAAATTTGTGGGATGTGAAACTGGTGCTTAGAGAGAGGTGCTTATAGCATTGAATACATATATTAGAAAAGAACAAAGATCTTAAATCAATAAATTTTCACCTCACAAAACTAGAAAAAGAATAAATTAAATCCAGAGTAAGGAGAGGAAAAGAAGAAGAAATCAATAAAATTGAAAACAGGAAATCAAGAGAAAATCAATAAAATGAAAAGCTGGTTTTTTAAAAAGATCTATAAAATTGATAAGCCTCTAGCCAGGCTAACCAAGAAAAAAACAGAGAGGACACAAATTACAAATAATCAGAAATGAGATAGGGGCATCACTACAGAGCACATGAACATTAACAGGATAATAAAGGAATAGTATAAATAACTATATGACCACAAATTTGACAACCTAGATGGCATGGGCCAATTTCTTGAAAGACACCATCTGCCAAAACTCAAGGAAAATAGACTGTGTGAATGGTCCTACATCTATCAAAGAAATTGAGTCAACAATTAAATAATCTTCCAAAAAAGACAGCACCAGTTTCAGATGGGTTTGCTGGTGAATTCTACCAAATATTTGAAGAAGAAATTATACCAATTCTCTACAATCTCTTGCAGAAGATAGAAGTACAGGGAATACTTTGCAACTCATTTTATGAGGCCAACATTACCCTACCAAACTAAAGGCATCAGAAGAAAAAGAAACTACAGATCCATATCTCTCATAAACACAGATGCAAAAATCCTCAACAAAATATTACCAAATTGAATTCCATGTGTAAAAGCAGAATTATACACCATTCTGAGTGGAGTTTATTCCATGTATGCAATGCTAAAATCTGGTCCAAAATTCAAAAATTAATTCATGTAATTCATCACATCAACAAGCTAAAAAAATCACATGATCATATCAATAAATACAGAAAAGGCATTTGACAAAATCCAATACCACGTCATGATAAAAACACTCAGTACACTAGGAGGGAAGGTAACTTTGTCAATCTGTTAAAGAGAATCTACAAAAATACTACAGCTAACGTCATACTTGATGAGAAACTCAAAGCTTTCCTACAATGATCAGAAACAAGGTAAAAATGTCCCCTCTCACCACTTCTTTTTAACAGTGTACTAGAAGTCCTAGCTAATACAGTAAGACAAAAAAGAATATAAAAGGTATACAGATTTGGAAGGAAAAAATAAAGCTGTCTTTGGATGCATATTACATGATTGGTCTTTGTAGAAAATACAAAATAATACTTTTTTTGAAAAAAACCTTCCGGGACTAACAAGCAATTACATTAATAGAAAGGGTGCAGGAAAGAAGGTTCATATACAAAAGTCAATCATTTCCCTATATACCAGAAATAAACAAGGGGAATTTGAAATTGAAAACAAAATGCATCAAATTATTTAGAACTTATATATATATAAGTTCCATATGTAGAAAATGATAAAATTTGACAAAAATATCAAAGAATAACTAAATGAGATATTCCGTGTTTATGGGTAGGAATACTCAATATTGTCAAGATATCAGTTCTTCCCAATGTGATCTGTAGATTCAATTCAATGCAAATAAAAATCCCAGCAAGTTATTTTGTGGATATCAACAAACTCATTCAACAGTTATAAGAGGGCAAAAGACACACAACAGCCAACACAATACTGAGGGAGAAGTACAGACTGAGAGAATTGACACTACCTAACCTCAAGACTTAACCATAAAGCTACAGTAGTCAAGACAGTGTGATATTGATGAAGGAATATACAAAAAGATAATAGAACAGAATAGAGAGCCTAAAAATAGATCCACAAAAATATAGTCTAGTAGCCTTTGACAATGGAGCAAAGGCAATACAATCTTGTCAACAAATCACTCTGTAATACAGACCTTACAGCCTTCATAAAAATTGACTCAAAGTAGATTATAGATCTAAATGTAAAATACAAAACCATAAAGCTTTTAGAAGATAACATAAGAGAAAACCTAGATGATCGTGGGTATGGTGATAACTTTTCAGATGTGTTACCAAAATCCTCATCCATGAAGGAAATAATTGAAAAGCTAGATTTCATTAAAATGAAAAACTTCTATTCTGTGAAAGACAATGTCAAAAAAATGAGAAGACAAGCCACAGATTGGGAGAAAATATTTTCAAAAGACACATATAATTAGGGACTGTTATCCAAAACATACAACAAACTCTTTAAAACTCAACAGAAGATAAGATAACAAACAATCAGTTTCAAAAATGAGCCAAAGATCTTAACAGACACCTCACCAGAGAAGATGTATAAGTGGAAAATAACATATGAAAAGATGCTCCATATCATATGTTATCAAGGAAATGCAAATTAATTGTAATATGGTATCCTGGAATGGATTCTGGAACAGAAAAAGCACATTAGAATATAGATTATGGACTTTAGTTGATAATAATACCATATCATTATTGGCCCATTAGCTATAGTAAGTGTATAAATTAACATAATACATTAATAATAGGGGAAAATTGGTATGGGGCTTATAAGAACTCTCTGTACTATCTTCTTAATTTCTCTGTACATCTCAAATTGTTCTAAAATAAAAATTTTATCTTTTTAAAAAAAGTAAAAATCATTTCAGACATGAAGACTAAACCAAACCGAATATAAGAACAAATACAGACAAGGAATGGACTGTGAAATAATTAAAAAAAAAAAAGATACCACCTCATACCTATCAGAGTGTCCAAAATCCAGAACATTGACAACACCAAGTGTTAGTGAGGATGTGGAACATCAGGAATTCTGATCCATTGCCAGTGGGAATGCAAAATGGTACAGCTACTTTGGAAGACAGTTTGGCAATGTCTTACAAAACCTTAAAATGCTCTTACCATACAATTAAGTAACCATGCTCTTCAATATTTACCCAAAGGAGTTGAAAACCTATGTCTATATAGAAACCTGCACACAGATGTTAATAGCAGTTTTATTCATAATGACCAAAACTTGGAAGCAACCAAGATGTCTTTCAGTAGGTAAATGGATAAATAAAATCTGGTATATCCAGATAATGGAATATTATTCAGCACTAAAAGGAAATGAGCTATCAAGCCATGAAAAGGCACAGAGAATCCCTAAATGCATATTACTAAGTGAAAGAAGTCAATCTGAAAGGCTAGGTACTGTACAATTCCTATATGACATTCTGGAAAGATAAAACCCTGGAGACAATAGAAAGATCAGTGGTTGCCAGGGGCTGGGAGTGGCAAGGGAGGAAGAGGCAGAGCACAGAGGATTTTTAGGGCAATGAAAATAAAAATACCTTGTTTCATTTTATAATGATGGGTAACATGTCATTATACATTTGTCCAAACTCATAGAAAGTATAAAACAGTCCTAATGTAAGCTATGGACTTTGGGTGATAATGATGTGTCAATATAGGTTCATCAACTGTGATAAATATATCACTCTGCTGAGAGATGTTGATAATAGGGGAGGGTTATTCCTGTGTGGAGCAGGAGGTATATGGAAAATCTCCATACCTTCTTCTGAAAGTTGCTGGGAACCTAAAACTGCTCTTAAAAAATAAAAAGTCTCTTTCTTAAAAAAAAAAAAAAAAAAAAGCCACTGAGTTAACATCTGGTGTCTCTATATATTCGAGCCCTTCTTGCTCTCCTTTTTCTAGTAACAGATCCTACCCCCATTCAACAAAGTGGGCATGTTAGGCAAATTGGTCCAATCCAAGTTCTTCCCTGGGAATAAGGTCAAACTGCATCTGAACCACTTTATAATGAAATTGTAAGTCAGAGGCTTCCCCTAGCCAGATCACCCAACATACAGAGAAGCTGGTCTGGGTGAAAAAGCTGGCACCCAAAAAAGAATGAAGACAAAAGACCTGGCAAGAACTGAAGGCTTCTATGTTCCTGAATCCAGTTCTTACTAAGGCAAGTTTTATCCCAATCATTTGCAGAGTTTGGTTATTTCAGCCAATAAGTTCCACTTTTGTTTTTGTTTTTGTTTTTTTTTAGATTGACTTGGTCACTTGCAGGGTCTTAATGAATCCACAACAGGCTCCTTAAGGGAGTGTCTTAGTTTATTTTCTGTTGCTATAACAGAATACCACAGACTGGGCAATTTTTAAACAATAGAAATTTGTTTGGTTCACATTTCTGGAAGCTGGGAAGTCTAAGATCTCAGGGCCACATCTGGTGAAAGCCTCTTGCTGTGTGTCAGAACGTGGCAGAAGGCATTACATGGTGAGAGAGGGCGAGAGTGCACAAAACAGAGAAACGGGGGCCGAACCTCATCCTTTTATTAGAAGCCCACTCTCCCATTAACTAACCCACTCCCTCCACAATGGCAATAATCTATTCAAGAAGGGAGAGCCCTCATAACCTAATCGCCCCTTAAAGGCCCCACTTCCCAGTACTATTATATCAGCAATTAAATTTCAACATGAGTTTTAGAGGGGGCATTCAAACCATGGCATGAAGTGATGTTTTTATGAGTTTGGTTATATTGTTTTTACACATTACATTGTACCTAGCACAGAGCCCTGCAAAGAATAGAAACTCAACAAATAGTTGTCAAAGTAATGATTTTTTAAATTTCCTTTTGAAATTCTGGAATAGTATGTAAGATGCTAATATTAATAAAATTATTTTGTGTAGGAAATCATGAGCAAGTTCAGAGTCTCAAGAGATGCTCCTACTTTAAGTTGCCTGTTTTCCAAAAAATGCACATATTTAACCATGTTATGAACATATTCCTTTTCATTAACAGTCCATTGCCTCCACAGAACATATCCTTTATACCTCCTCATAGTGAAAAGTGCTTGATATAAATGTGTTCAAATGTATCACATATTAATACACTGCCAATCATAAATAATATAGAAGTGTGTGTATATAGTACATGTGTGTATGTGTGTGTGTGTGTGTGTGTGTGTCATTTTAACCAATTTCTTGGAAAGTATATTAATTGCACTTAGAAAGCCTGAGATGTAAATCTAACGAAGTAAAAGTTGGCTCCACAGTCTCTTAAACAGGCCCCTTTCTATGAATTCTGTGTGTAACTTGTTCATAAATATGGAAAGTATCTGAAGATTTTCTTTTTACTTGTCTTGATTTCCTTGAAGACCCTGGCACACAGCATGAGATTAAAATAATCTGGCATTGCTGGCTACTTTGCCCACAAATACCAAGGAATAAATATTAGAATGATGGATTCTCTTTCCCTTGTCAGCCATGAATATGTCCCAGCCTGGGGCAAGTTCTAGGGAGAAATGTTAAAATAAACAAATAGAACCAAAGAGTAGCTTTATTCTTTTATTCAAAGTTTATTAAAATACAAGAACAAATTGTATAAGCACACATAGCACTCAGCACCAATATGATAACACTCTTTCTACTGATAATCTCCCAAAGCAGTTCATTTTCTGCAACTGAGAAGCACATATGTGTAGCATATGCACGCGTGCATTCTCACCACATTTACCCAGGACTCTTAGCATCATGTCCCGCATATTCTCCTTGCCAGGGAGACAAAGATGGGGAGAGGCAAACTAATGTGACTACATCCAACCACTAACTGAGTCGATGACTCTTTCGTCAGTAGTTATCATCCGCACACTGGTCAACTCTGCACATCTCTGTCTCCCTCTTCGGGCGCCCGATTACTTGGGCTAGTGAGTCTGGTGACAATGTGATGCAAAACTAAACAAAACTGGCCAACATTCCCTACCCAATATCATTTAATTGCTTTGGTTATAAAGTACTGGATACTTATTTCTTCACATCCCCCAATCCTAATACACATAAAAACCACGCTGACCAGTGACATGGGCCTGGAGAAGTCTTGAGAGAATTTTCTTTATTTCCCATCCCCTTCTGTGGGTTTCTTTCATTTATGTGTTTACCTGTTGGCTTTTTGAGGGGAGGGGGAGAAGTGGAGGGTTTGAGCCAAAATAGTGACTTCATTAAACATCTGCTGGGTCTTCGAAGTCTCAGTAAATATTGAATAAGCTCCCTGGAGCTCTGCTGTTGCTGCCTAAGACGGGTAGCCAGCCCCGACTTGCATGAGCAGTCTTGTTTGGATATCTGCACATGTTTGCTTTCTATTGGTTCAGACTCACCTTGGAACAGAGCTGGGTCTGTTAAGTCTGAGACCTTGCTTCTGGTACTATACACATAGGGCATTAGGAAGTGGCCCAATGTTTTGCTCATCCTAAAGTCACTCAATGACTTGCAGCAGCCTTCAGCCTTCCTTCAGTTGCGAGAAGTTTGTTTTCAAATCTTCCCAGATTGGTAGACCAAGCCCTCAGGGCCTTGTTCTTCCCAGTTAGCAACTTTCTAGCTCTCCCATCCTAGATCCTCTCTTTTCTTAGAGAGCCTCAGGACATGACCAAGATTGTGCCCATTGCAAAGCAGAGATTGGTACTTAAGCCCCATTCTGGAAGCATATATGAAGAGTGGGTTTGGATTCTATTTTTAGAGTGAAGGAGGAAGTTGGAATCTAACTATATATATTTTAACTCTGACTTTTGGCCATACCATTTAGGGAAAAAAAAAAAAAAAAAAAAACCTCCTAAAATTAAAAGCCTTACTTGCAGTCTCCACTGCTGAGACACATGACAGTGGGGATGTTCTGAAAAGCTCTAAATGCTAGTAAAGGTTTTCATTAATCCTTCAGTGGGACGGAAGTCAGAGTCTACATTTTTCCTTTTTCAATGGTCATATGATCCTAATTAAAGTTATTTTCCAAACCATCAGTCAGAGGTCGGGTGGAACAAATGTCCAGATTCATCCATCCTCTTAAGATTGACATAAAGAGAAGTCCTGTAAATCAGTCAATTCTTCTTGCTTCGCACATAGGCCATAGGGCATGCTGAGGACACCTTGTAATCCACCTTTGAATTTTCCCGAAGGCATACATACTGTCTCTAACCTGCCCTCTAGAATTTTATGCAGCAAGGCAGCACCAACATGTGACCTCACCATATTTCATAATTTTTATTTCAGAGCCCAAATAGTAAAATACACTCAGGCAAAATGAAAGACAATAGGCTATTCTTCCCACTGTGATGAGAGAATAAGCACTTCCTGGTTAACGGGAGAAGAACTTAACTGAACAGATCACTGGGAAGTTGATACTACCAAAAATCAAGGAGACGTGCTATAAATGAGGTGAAGACACAGGACCAGAGACCCAATGTGAAAAAAGAAAGTCATGTAAGTTAAGTGACTGTCACTTAGCTATACAAAGTAGGAACAGTTACTAATCTGCCTCTAAGGAGGTCAGTTACATTTTAATAGCTGTATGAAACATTTCTACATTACTGTGCGGGCATCTCCATTCATGCCCATTCAAGAAAATCATTGTTGATCCCACTAGTATTTTCACTAAGCAATAAATAAAGTCAGTTTTTGATAGGTCCAAGACATAAGTCTTTCAAACAATAAGTGTTTGAGTAGACCCAGATGTTATGATAATATCTAAAATTTCTTGGAAACTATTTCAATAATAGACAAGCTAATGAAGCTTAAAAGGCTAAACCGATAGCTCCATGTAAACACAGCCTATGGGAGAAACATGATTAGGGACTAAGAAAGAGAACTCAGACTTTTATATATGATATAAATATATCATAGATTTATACTATGATATATAAATAGATACACATTTCCCTGTGGGACTAAGAACTACAATTCTTCAAAGGAACAAACCTTATAAAACACATGAAACGCACATGAGTATTGGCAATCTAATAATTTCTCAGCATATCAGATAAAGCATTGATTTTCCTCTACCTCAAAATAATGAGTTCTTGTTAATTTCATAAAAGAATACATCACAAGAAATCATAAAAATTCATGTTGCGATAAATAGGTTACATAATTACAGGCTTAACCCTGATAACACCAAGACATTCTACATAGCGTAGGATTCCTGAGCTTTGTCCATTCATTTTCTCCATTGGCCCTTCCACAGCCTTTCTTCCAGAAATTCTTGCATGTTCTATTGAACATCTTCCTCCCTGATAGCCCATGTCTTTCTATGTTTCCTTCCTCTGCTTCATTTCTCCATTGGGCTAACCTCAGGGAGAATTGTCTGCACACATAAACGACCTCCTTCTTTAAAAATATAGCACAACTGGGTGATTTTTCCATCATCCTTTTCCCCAGTTGACTAGCACTGCCTCAGCCTAATCTCATCCCCCCACCGGCTTATCTGACATACTGTTACTTTATCGTACATAGAGAAAAAAGGGGAATTTTAAGGACAACAGTGTGAATGTGCTGCAACCAGGTTTTTTATTTTACTGCTTTAGGGTTCCACGTAAATCTCAACACCATTTTGAGGTTAAAAATCAATGGGGGCAGAGATAAGCCTTGAATGTAGAAGTTAACAACTGAGGAATCTGAAATAATTATTCTCAATATGATTTTCCAGCAACTCATTAGATAATGAAATTTGCTTTGTTTCTTTGTGGGTGGTTTTTATAGAATTTAGAACATTAGAAAGCTGATGTTGCCATGAAAAATCAGTCCCAATGGAGCTTTAATATTTACACAATATACCAGCTGGTGACACGACTGATATGTTGCTCCCATTTAAAAAATAAAATAAAATACGTTTGGTTCTTGCACACCTAGTTCTCACTCTTTTCTCAATTCAGACAACTAGTTTAAGAATGTATTTTCAACTTTAGTTTTTTTCTATCCATTTTATTTATTTTTTATTCAGTTATTAATGGAATGGACAAAAGATCCTTTGATTGTACCTTTAAATACAATCATATACTATGATTTCATAATAGTCTCATATTTACCAAAAAGAAATTATGATACGAAAGTGGTTGGTCCATTCTTTTGGGAGCTATAATCTTTAAATATTACTTATGGGTAAAACTATAGTGTCTATTTTAAAAAGAAAAAAATATTTTATATATATATTTTTTAAAATAGCATTATAATCATATACTATAGGGACTTTAGATTACTAAACCTCAGCTAATGGGACCAAGGGAAGATCCAAGTCCAAATTCAAATGTCAATGGAAATTCCATGATATACCGGGGGTTGCCTTATAACAAAGCCTCCAAAATGATTGATCAGAATTATCTCTAACTTCCTCTTCTTCTATTTTGCAATGGAAGTAAGCTTGTTTGTTTGCACCTATTCTTCACTATAGCTCACCTACTTTGGGAGGAAATCAAGGCTGTGCTGAATGGCCATGGTACCTACCTCCCGCAGCAGCTGAGAATATATATACATATATTTGTATGTATGTATGTATGTGTGTATGTACGTATAATTTCTTCAGCTCAGCATTCAGAGAGAACACTGCTATAGAGACCAAGATTAGGAATGACTTGGGCCACATAGAAATTGTAGGAATGGGGAGGAAAAGACCAGCACCACCAGACCCACTGGTTTTCCTTTAATAGGTATCATGGGGTATAATTAACCCACTGAAAATATACATACCACATACATGGTTCAAAAGTAATTATTTCCAAAAGAAACCCCTCACAATTACAAATATTTAAGTATTTTTTTTTCTTTCAATCACCCCTTTCTCCTCTCTAGGAGCATATGACAAATATATTGTTTTTATATGTGTATTCTCTATGCCACTTTTAGTTGAGCTCCTTCTTCTTTTTCTGGCCTTGTGTATGTTTCTATGTTTCCGTGGCTAACAAATGTGACCCACTCTCTACAGCTTAAGGGTGAAACTCTGTGAATTTTCCAAATCTTTCTGCCTCCTCTTTCCTAGCTTGTCAATTTCATTTCTTTTTTACCACTCTCTCCACCTGCCTAGAAATTAACCCTCAGATTACAGATGATCATTCTAACCTCTCAGACTGAGGGATCATTCTCGGTATCTACAAATATACCAATAATTTCTGGGGTATGAAGACTGAGAGCACTACATGGCTAGAAGCTGGAACATCAGAAATGACTCTAACATAAGGTCTAACCTTAACACCAACGTCTAACCACATGGCCTGGGTTCAAGGACTTGTTGTAATATTTGGGAATTTTCCAACTGGGCTCCATCCATGCCAAATAGAGCCAAGGCAATACCCTTTATCTTAACGTAGACAGTAGCTTCCCTAATGTAGTAATTATTCAGGTAAGTCTTTTCTTCTGGTCTCAAAGCATGCATCAGATGTATCAGTTCCTTCTCAATGCAGAATGAACACATGCTGAATTAGCGTTTCTTCCTCTCCATCTTGGGATCTTTTCACATAGGGCTTTTTACTAAGAAGAGAGGTGATATGGTTACTTACTCAGCCCAATGCCATTTGAGTAGTGAAAGAAGTATGGAGCTGTTAGAGATTCATGTTCTTCCGATAGATAAACTCCTGTCTTTCAGTAAGCCAATAGGGCTCTGTTGAAATATGGATTCAGTTCTTAATTTCCTTGCCTTTATATAACTTTTTAAAACAATAAGCTCTCTTATAATCATACCTTTAACCAGCTAATCTAGTTTTCTTTCATCTCTTGCTGAAATTCTTCTCCAGCCAATGCCGGACTTCTTGAAGGTTGTAGGAGAAGGGGCCCTTTCCTCCCAGATAAGCAATTTTCTGTCTCTGCACAATGCACACACGTTCAAAGGCTACCCCGTAAGCTATGTTGGCGTTATTGTCCATGCGGTCAGCCACAACTCGGCACTGGGGCGGCAAGGAGAAACGCTCCAGAAGCTGCTGGGCTGCTGCACATCGATCTTCCTGGTTCTGGTGCTTCTTCACCTCAAAAGACAAAGAGGAGTCCCCCGGTATCGCCCAGCCATCTGATGGATGAGCCTCATCAATGTAGACCAGCAGGAAGTCAGCCACTGAGGAGAACTCTTCCACCAGTTTGCGGAAGGCTGGCAGCTGGCTCGTGAAAGGAGGTCAAGTGGCTGAGCCAAAGTTGACCACTAGTGGGCGCTCAGGGCTGGCAAAGTCAAGAAGGTGGCATGTGGCTCCCTCAGCTATCTTCTCCTGGGTACCATTGCCACTGTTGTCACCTCCTTCTGTACTGGAGACATGCACCACACTGGAATTGGGGGCATCCTCACCCAATTTCACCTGACGGTAAAAAAAAAAAAAAAGAAGAAGAAGAAGAAGGTGAGAATATCACATTAAACACATTGCCACTTGAATTCACATTAAATAGTTACAATTGGCTCTAATAGAGTGTGGTATTTCCTTCAGAGCATTTGGTAAACATTTATTGATTTGAGTAAAGAGGCATGATGGCAGGTAATGTAAAGAATGGCCCAAAAGACAATAAAAGTCTTTTTCATTCTGTATAGTCACTGAAGATAATTATTTTCATCACTGAAGGCACTGGAGTTAACTCTTTTTAAAATTAAGCCAAGGCTGTTATTCTTTACTATCCTTATTTTGCTGTCAATTCTTAACATGCATTCTATAACAAATGATTAATTGACTTCATTTTAAAAATTAGAAGCAAATGGTCTACTTTAAGACAAATTATCAGGGTCTTGGGACATGGTCCCTCTTTCTGAATTCTGAAACACCAGGCAGGACCTTCATTTTCTTGCATGATACTAAGTCATTTAATCTCAACCAATGGCCAGTGATACCAGTGGGCTCTATTCTTGGCCAGATCTAGAAAACCTGAGGTCTACCACTTATAAGAAGTGTTACTTCCACTTAACCTCTTTAGTGATTCAGCTTTCCCACCTGTAAAATGGAAATAATAATGCCTGTCTTCCACATATGGCAACTGGAGGACAACATGAGAAAAAGAGCTCTTTGTGCACTGTAACTCTATGGGTGTGTGTTGTCCTTATCAGATGCTACCCCACCATGTGAAACAGAACATCATCATTCTTGGGCAATTCTGTGTTTGTTTTTGTTTTTTTAAATGCCCTGAGCAAAGCTTTGCACTCTCCTCAATATGGCATCCTCCCTGGAGGCTTCTACTGCCACTGCTTACAAGGTGGTTCTTACCACTCCAATCTTACAATTTCCATTTAAAAAAAAAATAAAAACAGACAAAAAAACAAAAATGGTTACTCCAGAATTCTACTTTAAGTCAATTTCTCATTTTCCATGTGTGCTTGTTTCCTTCTTTTTATCTAGGAAGTCACATTAAAAAGTACTTTTCTACCCCACAATTTGTTAACAAGCTCCTCTGAATTATAAAATATTGGGGCAGAAGAAGTAGAGATAAAAATTGTTTCATGTGCTCCCTTTGCACATGGTTTAAATAGTTGAGAACAGAATGAAGGAAAGTTTGCAGCCTTTGAATCTGTAAATTGATCATAAAAAGCAGGCAACAATAAAAGAGCCAATTACTTCAGTTTGAATTAATACGATTGGATCTTCCTTAGAATGGTTTAATCAAAGCCAATAACATTAGGGACAATTTAGGGACAGTACAATTGATTTTTATATACTATCCTTAATATTACAATATACTTCCAACTGGGTTGACTTATTTCCCTCATATACATACAGCCACACATAATGCTACTGTTAATTGAAGTCACTTCGAAGTGAATTGTTAAAGATGTAACAATCCAAACTGATATAACCCACTCAAGGGCTTTTATTCAGAAGCTTCTATCTAATGTTAATGCATAACTCATTTTAACTGTAGAGAAAGAATTAAAGTTCTTTCTCTCCCTTCTGAAAAATCCTAGCAGGGAAGGTTTGAAATAAGCATTATTAGTGTTCTAAGAGAAATCTTACTGTAATAATCTTCCTTCTCAGAAAGGAAGCTGCTGGTGTGATTTAAGTAAGTACATTTGTTTTTTAGTCACCACCACAGAGAAAATTATTTTACTTATACTAACTTTCTTGATTAATTTGCAAATGACACTAGATGGAGAAATCTAATAAGCACATTTAGCTGGATTCTTTCATATGAACTACCCTAGTCTTTAAGGCATGAAAATATACATCAAATTTAAAGATATGTTGAAGGTATTATTAACCTTTTAAGCCGTGAGTTCTTTTTGTACTTCTTTTTTTTTTATAGATCTAGGTAGTGGGTAGCAGTCTCTTCTCTTTAGATCTTTCCCATTTGAAATAATAGTAATGATTCTAGAAGGGGTGTTTTAACAATATCATGTGTACTGTGTGCCTCAACGTACCGTGATAAGAAGACCTAAATGCATTCAGATTAGTCCGTTGTAGGGACTTCCTGTTAAGTAAGCAACCTGTACACTTGTAGGTTCTTGATAGGTAAAAACATTCATCTGCATTTTGGAATCATTTTTGAAACCCATGAACAATTATGTGGCCTTGACAAATGCGCCTCTAACCCCCTGATTCATCCGAGCAGACCTGTTGATCCTTTCATTATGTCTGATTATTCAACTGAATAATCTAATCTGTTGCTTTAGTCACAGGGGACTCTCTTATTACCTGCAGTAAATTTTCTTGGAAAGTTAAGGCACCTTCTCCTTCTTAGAAACAATGTATAGTTCAGCTGCAGAATTCTTTCCAAAACACAGACTAATTTGCCTTGGGAAATTTAGAGTAAGTACAACACTGTCAGTCTAAAATAAAAAAATTAGGAAAGTTACCAAATTCGTAATGCTCTTTATGGGGGGGATTTAGCATTTTGTTAGGATTAGGGTTAGACTGG
Organism: Homo sapiens; assembly: GCF_000001405.40. Taxonomy (NCBI): domain Eukaryota; kingdom Metazoa; phylum Chordata; class Mammalia; order Primates; family Hominidae; genus Homo; species Homo sapiens. The sequence goes on from NC_000014.9 coordinate 80,205,825, forward strand.
GAAGTATTTATTTTATTGAATGAATGCTAGTTGTTATAATTCTAGGTCAGTGAAGAATTTTACACTTAATGATAACCCTGACCTGCAATGAACATAATCATATTTGGGTGACGGATAAGCTCACTGAGGCAGATAAATTTAGAAATATGAATCCTGGGGCCCTCTCATAGAGTACTACCAAAATCAGCACTCAATGTTATTGATCTGTCCTTGACAGTCTCATCTGGTCAGTGCACAAAACAAATGTGGCCTATTATTTTTATTTTGTTGAGGAGCCAGGGTCCCTTACTGAATGTTATAATGTCATAAATGGATATGCTTATTCATGAAGGTGCCTAGGCAAGAGAAAATGCATAGATAAAATTAATATTATTAATAAAACTAAGAAGGAAAAACACACACCCACCATCCATAAATCCAAATGTGAGTAGACCAGTAGTCTGCTTTTATAAGCTTCATATACTAGTCATAAAATGTGTCCATCTTTGCTAAAACCTGATGGAGGACAATTTAGCTAAAATAAAGAAAAAAAACTTTTTTTAGATATGGAAGTTTCCTTTAACCTAAAAGAAAATATTCTAAAAGGATATTACTGTTCATTCTCATCTCCCCATTTGGTCACCATAAAAATTAAATTCCTAATAGACCAGAGTTTCAAATGGAGAACTTCTTGGTTTGCTGGGTTATGCACCCTGCTGAGACAGGCTGGGAGAATCACCATTGTCTTCGATGATGGAAGATTCTTTGCTCTCCCCACGAGCAAAGCATTCCTTGACACAGAGCCAAAATGATGAAGAAAATAAAGTTGGTCCCATAATAACATTTAGGCTGCAGGAAAGAAGCTCAACAAAAACAAGTTATCCCCTGGTACTCCCAAACTTTGTTTTAATTTCCCACAGTGGCACAGAAAGTCTGGCCACAAGTTACCTATCATCTTAATTTCTCCTTCTTAGAGGGTTTGTGTTTGGTTTTTGTCCTTAATGAGACATATTTGCCAAAGAGGCATTCAAAAGGCATTTTTTACTCTTGCGGAAGAGTAATTAGGTCGGTACCTCTTTCCCTGCCAGCATTAGCCGCTCTAAAGAGAACCCTGCCCAGTATTTAATGCCCAAACACAAGAAGCATCATTTCCACTAATTGGTCTTGAAGTTCCGATGTTCCCAAAGGGTCCCTTTATTTTGCAAGGATCAGAAAGGACATACGTAAAATGTGATATTGTCATCGCTGACTTTTATCTCTCTCATCTGCACTATTACAGTGGTCCTCTCTTATGTTTTTGCAAGCAACATCAACACAACACCAACAAAGGAGGTAAATAAAGGATTTGCATTTTTACAACAGAAGACATCTCCGGGCCAAGTTCAAATGTTGGAATGGAAATCTTTATAAATATGAACATGAACATAAACATATAGCATATATAAAAATTTGATTCCCTTGATGATGTTCAGTGTTCAGTGCATGGGGAAAAAGGAAATGCTGCTTTAGCATGTGGACTGTGAAATGCAGGGCAAGGGGGAGAAAAGAACCATTCATCAAGTAGAAGCAGAAAATACAGCATATACTACTAACCTTGTTTCTTGTTTTGGGATTTTATTTCTTTTTCTTTTCCACAGCCTGAGAAAGCCTTGTGGACAATATATCACATAATCTCATAACAGAAACTAAAGCAAATTATAAAAATGAAGGGTGGGTGTGTGGTAGCAGAATTTTCACACATACTACTTGCTATCCAAAGCCCTGAAAATGGCTTTATTAACTATCAGGAAGTTTCAAATTCTTTGACATAATGACCAGGCTACATCAATGTCCTTAGAAACATGGCCAAACTATCATTAAGAAGAGATTTAACCATTTATATTCAGATTGGCCAAATAAATCAGAGTTGAAGAATAGGCTACGTACTCCTTCCTCTGAGCTCAATTCCCTTTTAGCTATTCTCTTTTTAATTTGTACCTTGAAAATGTAGCTCTAAGCTCTATCATTCCCCAATGTTTTATCCAAGTGATGGACAAGCTCTGGCTGTGGCCTGCTTTGTGTTCTTTTGGGACTGTTTCTCTCTTAAAAGGGCCATTTTCCATTGTGGAAACTAGTGTCAAAGGCTTGAGGTGAATGAAGAGGAGGAGGAGAATGTTAAAGAGACCCTTTCAAAACCAAAATTATATGTTCAAATGAATATGTTTTCTGTACCTCTGCAATATTAACCGTGCAGAAGCTAAACTGCCTGTCAGCATCTATACTGTGTGTTTACTTTTACACTTCATTTAGGTAAGAGCCAGGCTCCCAGACAGAGCAATTTGCTTATTGGTTGCATGTTTTTAGTCTCTGAGCGCCAGCACAAGGATATACTGTTCAGATGCAATGACGCTGACTAAAGAAACTTAAATAACAAACACCTTTTATTCACCTCAGGGTCTCTCACCAGTGTCTATAGACTTTCCTTTCAATCAAAATTGTACACAGAATCCATCTCTTACTAAACTCACATTATCTTTAAAGGCTTCTCCATAAAGTTAATTCAAATCCCTTTCAACCTTTTAAGAAAGGGTTTATTTAAAAAAAAAAGAAAAGAAAATATTTTGTTCTTTCTTTATTTCTGTGTTGCCCCTTGTGGAGGCAAAACACAGGGATAATACTTTTACTCCACTTTCTCTACATATCTTTCCAGGCATCTGACATGCAGCAACAAGGAGAATTAATAACAGTAAATCACATGTGTAGTTGTATCACATGAGCACACACCCCTCTCATCCTGGAAAACTTCACTTCTGGGGATGGGTAGCCTCAAAATAATGCAAGTCAGGGTTATGAAATAGTGTGATGCCATCTCAAACAGAACCTCTTACAACGTCTCTGGAAATGACTACACCCAAAGACAGTGGCACAAATGACAAGAGCATTCAGAGAAGTGATTCAACCTGGTTGAGAGATTCTGAGTGACCCTCAAATGCCACCACAGAAACCACCACCCTTGCCATACTTGAAGACAGAAAAGAGACCATCATTCAGTTGCAGCTGTGTTCATAATGTTTCCATTTATCACACACCCAGTCCAGTCTTGTTTCTGGATATGTGGGTCCTGGGGTTGCTTCTGCACATGGTAGCTATTACATAAATCATCAAAAGCAAACATAATAACATCAGTCGTGAACTTGGTCACTAATCAAATCAGTAGGCAGGGACAAAGAAATACAGAATAGGAATATACAAACCATATGCAAAAAGAAAAAACAAATCACTCATCCTTCCCAATTTCCTAGAATAGGAATAACAACATATTGCAACATAATGGAACACTATACATTGGTGAAAAAAACAATAAACTTTATTGAAGACGTATTTGTTTGCTTTTCCATTTTATGTTCAATAAGCTGCTTAATGGGAGAAACAACCTCACTTAATATTTGTGGGTAACATTACAGCCCCCATTGTTTATATGAGAGATGACTGTTTTTCATGTTTTTCTTAATGAAACATGACATTTATATAAGAAATATATGTATATAAGTAAAATTCTTCCAATAAGTTTTTTTTTTTTTACTTTATAGGCAAAAGGCAATTGTCCTTCCAAAAAGTAAGAGTTTAATATACTGAGATCAAATCACTGATATTTCCATGGTATCTGCTAACACGTATAAAATATGATGTTGAAGAGGGAACTTCCTAATTAATAATATGTCTGATATACTTGTGTACTCCTCCACCTGCCTCCAAATTGCCTTCCACTAAAACAAACCATTAAAAACTTCCCATTCAATGTATACTTTTGTGGAAATGAAATAATCAATTCAATATCTACTTTTCTAGATCTCCCGTCCTCACTGACATGCACAATATAAATGAGTTTTTACTGTTAGAACTTTGAGCACCAATTCATATTCTCATAAAAGAATTTCCATCTACTAATAAGAGCTCTTACTATTCACATTTTTAACAACAATAAACACAAACCCTCTTTGGGTTACTATCAATAATAAAGACGTGCATTGTGGTAAAATTTCCCTAGTTCACAACAGATATTTTCTTCTTGAACATCTGATTTTCAGAAGAACAATCCTGTCCTGAATTCTTTGTAATTTTACAAGTTACTTCTTCTCTTTTCTTGGCGCATGGTTTTAGTTTTCTAGTGTTTATTTATGGAGGATGCATTCCCTTGCGTCTCTATTATTTCGAGTTCCCCGTCTCTGGTTCTAAGGTGCTGCCTGCCTAAAACACACCACTTCACTGAACACCTGGCTTCTATATTCCTCTAAAATACAGATGTACAGTTGCTTTTTCTGGCATCTTGGGCAAGGTCCCACAACACTTTTAGGGAAACCAAGATTGTCTATTTTGATAACTACTTTTGCCAAAATAGTTCATTCTTCTCAAGCCTGGTTGAGGGGGTGGAGGGGACCTTTAGAAGTCATATGGGCATAGCAGGTGGGGGAAAACTGACAAAAGACCAGGGCGAAAATCATCCTCTGTGCCCCTGAAGATCTTAGTTGAAAATGCTCTACTAACATCTCTCACCAGCAAAAAGCCTGGAACACAGTATTTTTCACTTAGAAACTAAGATCACTACCTCTGATTTTGAGAGAGCAGCCCCTGGGCACTACCTGAGCAGGTAAGGGAGACCACTGCTCTAATGCTCATAACAGCTCTGAGATTTAATGAATCACAGACCCATCATCTCTTTCTAGGGCAACGTATTTTATTTTTGAGAAACAAAGTAAAGGAGGCTTCCCTTACAAATGCTGGATTTCTGACAGCTAGTTTTCAGACTTTTCTTTCGCAAGTTGATATCTAGTAACTCAGGATCACTGCCTGAAAATCGCTTCCAAAGGGTTCAAATTTGAATCAATGTAGAGGAGGTGGCACACAGCTGCTTGCTTTCATTAACTCTTACCTCTACCAGAAACCAAGCAGCTATGATGCCCAATCACAATTTCTATGACCACTTTCTTATCTTGTCAACTCTCTGAGAGTTCTGAGTAGCATTTCTCATTTCTTGCTTTTCAGTACCCACCCCTCGAACATACTTCCTCAGTGTACCTCAGCCTCCCATCAAGCAAAAAATCAAAATTCCAGTTTATGGCAAGAGCAGAATAAATGCAGCAGTCTCCTCTTCTCCATCATTTTCTGACTTTTCCCAAGTTATCGTACCAGCACAATGCCTTCTACTCCCAAATCACAGCAAGATATTAATAACCCTTAGTAGAAAGATTCCTTATTAGGTCACACAGAGTCATTATGGCTTAATAGCTGTCACCCTCCCAAGCTAACCTGTGCAACAGGTGTGGAAAGTAAACTTAGAGGCTCACTTGGCAACCCCACAAATAGGGCTTCACAGCTCTCCCCCCAATGCTCCCAATGGCCTCTGGTCCCCAGCATATGAGCCCCTGCCCCTGTAGACCTAGGGAGAAGCCCTTCTCAGCTCAGCTCACCTGTTTGTAGGCATCGAGGAGGAAGCTCTTCCAGACGCAGCGCAGTCCCTCTGAGGTCAGCATGCGCCGCCACTCTCCGCGAGTGGACTTGGAGCGGCTCAACAGCAGCACCACGTGCTTGAGCAGAATGACCGAGTCATAGAGAGCCAGGAAGAGGCAGTTGGAGAAAAAAACTGGCAGAATTTGCAGTGTGATCAGCAAGTCTACGCTGAGGATGCCCATCTTCTCTGCCTCCTGAGTCAGTTCCCTTGTGCGCTCTGGTTCCCCTTCACCCTCTTATTTAAAAGGGGGGTGGTGATAAAGGGGGTGGGGGAGGTAAGGGGGAAGGTTGGGGGTTGGGGGAGAAGGGGAAAAAAAACTAAATTAAAAGGAAGCCCAAGTTGTCTCCTCTTTCAAAGAAGCAGAAATGGCAAGACTAAGTCCAGTCTCTCCAGCCCAGCAGTTGGAGTGTGCCCATCAATTCATTCAATTCGGAGCTGCTGCCTTTTTTTTTTTTTTTTTTTTTTTTTCAGGATTTAAGATGTTAAAAAAAAAAAAAAAAAAAAAAAAAAAAAGCTGGCGTACTCGTCCCTAATCCAGTTACCTCTGTCAGAGTCCGTTAAAGACAGGCAGTTCTACTTTCATTTCCAAGCACCTATGAGACTGTGGCAGAGATTTTAAAATTTTCTTTAGCCTTTCATTGTCTCTATGCTCTTTAAACGTAGCCTGTTTCTTTCTTGAATTGCCAGAGTTTTTTTTTTTTTTAAATGTGCTTTAAGGGTAGTTTTTTTTTTTTCTTTCTTTACTCCGTTTTACACACACTTTCTGTGCTTCTCTTTCTCCCAGTCTCACTCTCTCCCTTCCCCAGGAGCGACTGACTCCTCTTTTTTCTCACTCTCTGTCTTTCCCTTCTTGCTATCTGTCTGTGGTGCAAAGTGCCTCTCTCTGCAGCCCAGTGAGTCTCCCTGACGCCTTTTATACATTCCCTGGCTAATTGCTGCAATAGAGAAGTGAAAGCCTAATCTTGGTAAAGATCTTGACGTCATTGAGAAAGAGGGCTTTACTTTGGCCAGGATTGCAGTGAATAGAAAAGCAAAACTCGACAACTTTTTTTTTTTAGAAGGGGTTGGGGAGAGACAGTGGAATTTTGCTTTGTGATTTAAAGAGAGAAAAAAACTAATACCCTTGACAGCCTTCAGGAAATGCTTCCAAACTTTGGGAAAAGTAATTTAATATAATGTGCAGATTGATATGGCCAACACTCTCTCTTCTGATTATCATTATCATTAATTTATGAGGGGTTTTGGAAAGAAAGGATCCTGGAAGGCAGGTAGAAAAAAGGAAGAGTTATCACAGGCGGTCTTTGCTCTGTTTCTTGGAAAATATGAACATTTATATACAATCTTTATACCTTTATACCATGACTCCAACCCTTTGTAAGATCTGTGACCTAGGTCCTTTAAATTTTTTTGAGTCATTATCTTATTTAAGAAAATGCAAAATGAGTTGTAGGTGGAAAACTTGTAAACTATTTGAGTACCATCCCAGCATTTCTTTAAAGCTTCTTGCAGAAACTTGAATACAGGTTTCTTTTTAGTTTTACCCAAGCTTCTAATGAAAAAAAAAAAAAAAATCCAAGTTCCTCCAGACAGGGAAGGAGCTAGGCGACATTCTTTTAGCTTCATTTTGCAGATAAAATTAAAACTTTCCATTGAATAGCATTAAGAAGCCATAAGGCTGAGAAATTATTAATGAAAGCTCTTTAAATTTGGTGTTTCACCTGCTTCTGTTAGCATAACCCCTAAGAGACCTGATACTTTAAGGAATCTTCCTTTTTGTTTGAAAAAAATTTTAATTAAATGTATGGGAAGTTAAGAGCCGACTGAATTGGTTCAAGGTGCCACATTGACCATTGTTCATTGGCTTGCCTCTCCCATGAGTCTTTAGGACAGGTATTTAGGCAGACAATGCTTTGGCAGAATGGCATGACCCCCACTTTATTCTACTTTTTCATCCTGTGTTACCTAATAGATCACTGAGTTTTCTCAGTGATAGATACTGAGTTTTAGATACTGGGTAATAGATAGCTGAGTTTTCTATGTAGCCAGAGCTTAGGCATAAGCTAAGCAGTAGGTGCAAGCTTGTGGTTAGCGTATTGCGTATTTTTTCCATGTGGCTAAAACCTTCATGATCACAGAAATAATTTAAAAGCCTAGACAAGAGTCATTAATTTGTCGTCCTGTTAGCTGAATTCTGCATATTAATGCATTTTGTTTGGTTGGCAGGTTGCTTTTTTGCCTTTAAAAAAACAATAATCAAAAAAGAATGCCTTTAGGTTCCGTGAGAGCAGGGATTCTTGTCCACTTTGTTCACTGCTACCTCCCCAACACCTAGAACCATGCTTGGCGCACAGTTGGCTCATTGAGGACGTCCTGAATGAATGAATGAACAGGGCATGTAGAGGGCCTCTGCATTGCTCTACACTAGGGGGCACCATTCACATACAATATGATGTGAATGGGGGTGCCCTGGAATTGTAAAACGTGGTGGCCTTGTGCAATGCCCTCTCTTGTGACACAACCCTCAGCATTCCCTACAAATTCTTTCATTTTTTTCATTAGTTTGGCTCCTAATGAGTTTTGAATTTGCATCTCATGGACGAAATTGTTAAAAGACTTCAAAGCTTAGAAAAATAATATAAACCACATAGAAAAATTACACCTTCCCTATGACTAGCATACAATGTTAGCAAAATAATATTACTAATATATGCAATGTACATTTACTGCATGTATCTTCTCAAACTACTCAATGTCCTTATGGGAAAAAAGAAAGAACAAAGGCAGGGAGTTGATAGCACAGTATTTTAACTGGTGGAGATGTGAAAGCTATATTGCCATAGTTCCCACCAACAATGGCAGAAGGAGGTGTAGACTCAGGAAATGCTGCTTCCACTCAATTGCCCAGGCCTTAGAATCTCTCCCCTTCTCAGACCTTCATTCTACCTTGATTGAATTAAACCAGTGCTCCCCTGCAGTGGAGACTTCAGCAGCTTTAAACCAATTCTCTCTCACTTGCTTTTGCTCTGAAGGAGGAAAGTATGTTTGTAAATGGCAAGCTAAGGAGAGGGATTGATAGAAAATCAGAAAAACCTTTCTTTTAAATGTGAAGTTCAAAGCATATCCAGACTTTAAGTGGTTATAAGTTAGAATTAGGACTCTGTTGGGGGCTTTTGTTTCTTTTTATTTATTTATTTATTGAGGTTAGAAGTGTTTGAAGGGAATTTTTTTTTAAATAGGAGAACAAAAAGATACACAGCCAATCTGGTTATGTCATTTCTCAGATTTCTTCAATCATTTTTCTAAATGAACGATAAACACATCACAAAACTGAGGGCCATTCCTCTAGCAGATAGACAATCTGTCCATCCAAGAAATTACATTTCTCCAAAGCTATTTCTTTTTTTATGCATGGTGCACAATTGCTCATTCCAGTTATTAAGAATATTTACCACATTGATTTTCAAGTAATTTTATACTCATTAAGTAACAGAATAATCCTAAGGTGACAGAGTATGACTTTTCCCATCATATAGATGAGAGAAAGCAGATTACCAAAATTAGGGAGTCCAAGCGGGTGTTGGGATATTTTCCCTAACTCTAAATAAGCCTCACTTTTTTTCTTTAATGTCTGTTATGGGTCCTGGTCATTACTATGAGAACCAAAACCCTTGTTGAAAGTGGTTTGCTAGTAATTTAATCTTCAAAATGGCAAAGGCTGTGAGGACTTCACATCTGTTTAAGACTGTCCCGACTCAGGCTCCTTGTTTAGATTTCATATGTTCTTTCAAAGGGCTTGGCTATCTTCTTGGTCATGTATGTGTTCTTAGCAATCAACATGTAATGAGTTAAATGCAAACCAACGAGGGGCATGTCGGTTGCATTTCCCCATACGATATTCCACACGGGTTTTAAATTCCAAAGAGAAGCAGCCTAGGGCAAAATGCTTTGGGCTTTTTATGAAAAAACCTTTGCAAAATTGTTTAACTTTTTTATATTCCCATAGTAAAAGAGCATCATGTCCTACTGTTGCCTCTTTCTGGTTGGAAAATAACAAGCATATGAGTCACAAGACTTTCTTTAGTCCTCTTCTTGACTCTAAAATTGAGATTGAGAAAATAAAGTTGGATAATCTGAAAGCAGACTTGGAAATTTTAAGCACAACAGTTGCCATTACTATTTCCTTATTCTTATTTGAAAGAGCAGAAGAGCATCCAGACAGTTCTGTCATGTTAACAACTCATACCATGGACTTTCAAGCTGCCTTTGTTTCGTGGAATTTTATTCTTTCTAATTCCAGTGATTTGTCAAGTGCATAATTTAAAAAATGGCATTTCATTTTTACTTTCTTAAAAACATGTCAAATAAACACATTATAAATCCAAAAATGTCTGGAAACAGCAGGCATGCTGATTTTGGATTTGAGAATATGGTTGCCATACATAACGCCTAAAACAGCGCCGCTCTTATCAGAGCAAGGAATCACAAACTGTATAACCTACTGCCTCCAGTGACTCTGCCTGACAGGGAGTTATGACGAACGGCTTACACCACAACTACTGAATCACTCAAAATTCCCTGTGGGCCCATCCATTCCACAAACACAGCCGTGTTCTCTGCCTTGTGATGAAAGGAGAAGCTCAATGGATAAAATACACAATCCCAGAGTAAACTCTGACACACCTTGAGCAAAGCAACTTGGGGGCGGGAGGGCAGGCTGACGCCTTGGGAGGTATGAGCATTCTCTCCCAGCAGCCCTCTCCGTAGGTTCCTCTGCAGTGCTGGCAGACAGCACCCATCCGAGTTGTTAATGCATTCTTCCCTCAGGAACTGTTGCTTCTCTTTTTTTTCCAGGCTACCTACTGGTAAGACAGAGGGGGAGAAAAAGACAAAGGAAATAAAAAGGAGAGGGAAAGCAAAAATGAAGAGAAAAAGGGAGATAAAGATGGTAGGAGATAGGCAGGGAAAGAAAAGATTCAATGAGTTGCCAGTGGAGGCCACCAACAAAGAGCCAGTTAATGCTAATTGTGGCGATGCTCTTTGTGAGGCAACAGCTGTCCGGTATCTGGATGAAAGCCACCACCGCATTTCACAGAGGCCACAGAACAGCTGTTAGGAGACAACAATATACTTCACTTAGGATTGGCCTAGTCTGGATCCACATTGATAGCCAATCCCCTCTCCCCACTGCCCAAACCTCTCCAGGTGCCTTGACTCTTATTTGGTTTTGAGAACAGTTTATCAGCCTCTAGAGACACCCAGAGTTTGGGATGCTGTGGGAAGAGGGGTGGTAGGGGAATTGAGAAGAAGACTTTGTAAAGTTATACATGGTGAATTCATTCATGACCAAAAATAAATAAATAAATAAATAAAAAGCTGAAAATGAGGAAATTGAACTCACCCTTTCTTTTCTGAAACTGTGACTCAATCTCTTCTTTCTCCCTAAATACTTGACCCAATGCAGTAGACCAAAAGAAACAAAGGAAAATGGTCAAAAAAAGTCATCATCTCTGGAACAACATTTCCTTTACTTTGTTTCATTCCTCGGCTCGTAGGAAACCACCGGATGATATTAAGTTTTAAAATAAAATAGGTCATTCTTTATAAATGGCTTTACAGCAGCTTTTTTAAAAAGTCACTTATCCATCACCTCCCTCATATGCTGAAAATGTGAACACCAAGCATGACAAAATATACTAAGAAACATGCTGACTCATGCCATTTCAGAGGTAATGGTGTAGTTTGTTCCCAATGAGAGCAAAGGATGCCACACCTCCTCCCTCAAGAATCAGTACACTAAGTAAGGCTCAAAGAAAATAAACTAGATATTCTATTCTAACCTCAGTGGAAATGAGGAAGCTAATAGAATGAACTGTAGCATGAAAAATTTCTGTTTGGTAAGAGGATAAAATACCTGCAATGAGGATGATTGTATAATGAGTGTGTTACCAAGGGAGGTTATGAAAATGTTATCAGTGGACTCACAAGGTAGGGAAGAAGGCTAATAAAATAATCTCTCAAAACCTTTTTAAGCTCGTGGTACTCTTAAAATAATGGTTCAGGATAAGTTACTACATAACATTACATAAACAACACAACAGAGCCACTGGTGGAACACAATAATTTATAAATTATTGTTCTGTTTCCATTTCAATTTTGAAGACTAATTTTTTTGTCAGATTAAGTGAATCCTTATGCTTTTCTAAGAGGTGGTAGACAGGAAAGCATTAGGGTGTCTTCCAAGGACAAAATATAAGGCATGAAATTTGAATCTATTTTTACATCCAGTCTCATTTATTAGATGGACACTGGGAGTCTTTTATCAAGATGTGACCACTTAGCTAAATGATTATTTTCAAAACAGATGTACAAACAAATTTCTAAATAGTCATGCTTTACTATGTCAGGGGAATTTTCTGTCATGTTTTAAAGATTCTATGTCTGCCTTCCCAAAATAAAACCAAGACATTTTATGATTTTTGTATCAGTAATAAGCTAAATGATACACAAATCTAAGACCTCAAACTCCTCAAAGCAAAAATCTCTATTGCTTTCTGATAAATGTTAAATAATACCAACTCACTCAGCAGTTTGGCATTTGCCTTTTATCAAGAGATGTCACGTTCTGGTGGACTTCAATCATAAGTCACAGAATCTATTTCTGGGGCCATACAGGCCCATATGACCAGAAACAAATCTCTGATTTTATTTTTCTACCTGCAAAATGGAGGTTAAAATGTTTTCTCATATTTATGCCATGTTGATGGGTAATATATTCAAGTTTATAAGAAACTTAGCTGTATTCTAAAAATATTCAATATAAAAAAAATCTTGACAAGTTTTTTCAGACCTGCCTAAGTCAATAGATGCCTTCTAATAAGACCTTCTTTGTAAAAACAAACAAACAAACAAACAAAAACAAAGACACACACACACATAAACAAACAAACAAAAAAAAAACAGATCCTGGCAGGCAGGCCACATATTATTTTTAGTTTGAATTACCAACCCTTTCTACTTAACTTGATGGAAACTTTGGATGTAGTAGAAAATAGAAAAAATTATCTGTAACCAGGAACTTTATGGGTGGGTTCTTTGCCTAAAGAATAATAATTATCAACCTGAATCTTAAACTCAACCCTAAACTGAACCTGATGCGGAGCCCTCGAGAGAGGTATGTTCCTTACCTCTAAATTACCACATAACATTCCCTTTATTTTCCAAGATTCAAGGGAGAATAGAAATAAAAGCTGGCCAAATATTCCTGACCCTGGAAAACAAATGCTCTCTAAGTTTCCTGGACCAGAAAGTAGTAGAAAAACTTTTAAAAACATAGGAGAAAAATCAATGACATTTTAATGGACAATGTGCTTATCAAAGTAAAGCCTCAACAAAATGCAGTGTTTGGGCCTGGCAAGGTGGGTCATGCCTCTAATCCCAGCACTTTGGGAGGCCAAGGTGGGTGGATCGCTTGAGGCCAGGAGTTCGAGACCAGCCTGGCCAACATGATGAAACCCCATCTGTACTTAAAATACAAAAATTAGCATGGCGTGGTGGTGCATGCCTGTAACCTCAGCTACTCAGGAGGCTGAGGCACGAGAATCGCTTGAATCCAGGAGGCAGAGGTTGCAGTGAGCCGAGATTGGGCCACTGCACTCCAGCCCGGGCCACAGAGTGAGACTCTGTCTCAAAAAGAAAAAAGAAAAAAATGCAATGTCTGCCAATACTTTGGGTACTACTTTGCATGCTCTTTAAGAGATCATTTAAATCATCCTACAAAGAAATGTTTCCCTACTGTCCTGGGACCTGAAAACTATGGATCTCAAAAGATTGTCTTTTTATACAACAGACTCTCTCTTCTAGGCATTAGAGGGTACCAGTGGTTGGAAAAGGCAAATGGTGAAGCAGAAAGGTGGAAGGTAGGGCTGGATTTAGAGGAATGGATGTCATAAGGAATTTGAGGGCAGTGCAATAATAAATAGCATTTGATTGCCTTATTGCAATAGATGCTAAATATTAGAAAAGTAGAGTTCAATTAGTTCAATGACAGGATATGAAATTGAAAGTCAGTAGGCAAAATATTTCCGTTTTCTATCTGTAGCCCCAGCATAAAGACATGGGATATGTGAGAAAAGGAATAGGAAAAAGCCAAAGAGACACCGGCTTACATTAGAAAATCTACTCAAAATCACTCAAAGGATTGACAACTGTAAGTCATTTTTTTTTTTTTTTTTTTGGTTGAGTTATCCATTCACTTACAACAAACATTTGTCGAAAGCTACAAAGTTAGTCATTGCGCTGGGCATTGAAAATGATCCTGAGTCTCAAAAATGTTTAGAGACCAGTAGGAGGAGACAGACATATAAACTAAAGAAGGCAACACGATGCTTCCTTACATGCTATAATACGTGCTATAATAGAACTGAATCGTACAGTAGAGTATAGAGAAAGAATTACCCAAATCTGTGTGAAGCCAGAGTCAATAAAGAGTTAATGAAGAAAATGCACAGGTCCAGCTAAATACAGTATTACAAAATGAAATTCATTCACGTGGTATTTGATAATGGAACAAGTTTAAAACGATTGTTTTGTATACATCGTGTTTGTAACATTTTATTATAAATCACTATGAGAGGAACTTACGTGGTATTTTTTGACCTTAGAACATAATTAGGAATGGATAACCTTCTCTTGATAAGCATAAAGTTGATAGAGATCAACAAAATGAAAGAAGTTTGTTACAATCTTGTTTTGTGTGTGTGTGTGTGTGTGTGTGTTTTGTTGTTGTTTTGTTTTTGTTTTTTGAGAGGGAGTCTCGCTCTGTCGCCCAGGCTGGAGTGCAGTGGCGCGATCTTGGCTCACTGAAAGCTCAGCCTCCCGTGTTCACGCCATTCTCCTGCCTCAGCCTTCTGAGCAGCTGGGACTACAGGCGCCCGCCACCATGCAATCATTGTTTTTGACAGTCCCTATCAGTATCAGCAAGGAACAGGGACCTGGGTACATCCTTTGTCTCCTTTTCAATTAACAGAAAGTTAGTGCATATAAGCTCAATGAGTCTTAGCATCTAGGTGTTACAGAGCATGGGAACTAGGAAGCAGTTCTTGGCAATGCTGTTCATTTATAGTTAAAGAATACATTAGTGGTGAAGATAGCAACAACCAATTAAATTTTAGTTCTCCACAGCCACACTTATATAATTTAGAGCCATTCCTTTCATTTTGGGGTTGGCCAGGTACCTCACCAAGACATTTTCATAAAACATGCTGACATTCCAAATTAGTGACTAGATAATATTAGAGCCTTTGGAATTAATCTTAGTATGAATATTAGTGGTAATATAATAACTAATATTAATGCTGCTTGTTGGGGGGAATGGGCTTATAACTAAAAATGACTTTAATCTACATTTCCATTCTTCCAATTCTCCTCAGTCTAAACCTCAGGAAATTACTCTTGCTTCTTTATTTGTGGTGCTTCTTACCTCTGTCCTCTCATGACAAGTCACCTGAACAGTGCATAGGAGGCACGGCTAGAGACTTTGAGGATGTTTACTGGTAGTAGAATTGTATAGGCCATCTCAAGAAAGAGGTAGACATCAAGATTTCACGAATATAGGAAGTATTTATGAAATACAGAGTCTGTTGTATATGGGTAAAATGAACATTCTTATTTCCATATTCAGAGTATAAGAAGTTCCTGCTGGGAAACAGTTAAATCCTGAGATTTTTTAAAAAAACTTTTTATCATGGAAAAATTTCAAACATATGCAAAAGTAGAATGATGTGTATAAGGAACTACTCAGCATAAGCTCCTAACCAATCTTGTGTCCATCTTTATAACCCCTACTCACTTCTTGCTTCCTATGTAATTTGAAGGATGTTCCAGTGAAGTTTTTGGTCTTCCCAGAACATCTACAATGGTATTATTGTCTACAGAAAGCATCATATAAATTACCTAGCTAATTGATTTTTTTCTCTTATATCTACCTTTTTGCTCTCTCTTTGACAATCATCTGTCAAGCTACTAAGAAATACATGGGAAATAGAAATTTTTCTCCATCATTTCTAAGCTAGAAACCAATGTTTTGTCTGAGTACCTACATGCTACAGTGATAGGTGTTTTTAAAAAGGTAGAGACAGATAAAAACACCATAACATTTTCATAAATTATTGAACCACAGTCATTTTCTTTTTTTCACATTCATTTTTAATGGTATGCAGTACACATGCTGACTCAGAGTAAGATTGCTTTCTAAATTATGAGGTGGTCTCAGTTTATTCATTTACATCTATCCCAAAATGCAATGTACTACAAGGTATGACAAGAAATTGCCATCCAGGTCATAAGAATCTGACAACTGTGATAAAACAGAAGCAGATGATAAGAATTCATGGAAGTAATCAATACCAAACTAATGTGTTTCTTAATGAGAAGTTTCTCATAATGAAACTTCATTCATACAAAAAACAAGCAATTTACCATAAAAACAAATACTGTATGACTATAAACTTCTTAGTGCAACTCATAATAGGTCTGTGCACCTTACTCTCTAAAGTCATTCCCCTTCCTGAGTCATTGACCTTGTCCTACAAGTAATAATCTCTTTCATCAGTGATCTGTCATCTTCTCAACTATTTACCATTCCAGAACAATCCCAAGCCCAGAAAGTGATGAATGGATGTTTTGGAGGTTTTTATGGAAAATGTAATACCCTTCCCCATATCACCGATTACTGAGAGAGGAGGAAGGTGGGAGGGGAGAAGTGTGTGCAACTATTTGATTCTCTGCACTCTCTCCAACAGAGGTATAAAATTTTACCTGATGCTCTACAAGGATAGCACACTTGCATATATGCATGTACATTAAATTTTGTAGGTGTGCTTTGCTATATTGAAAAAAATATTCAAATAATAAATCTCAATACATGCAAATGACTTTCTTTTCCTACAATACATAAAAATGCCAGGGCAATCTGCTTTCTATGATCAGACACCAAAGAGCTAAACATTGAGTGATAGCCAACGTTATGAGACACATAAAAATGAAATAAAAATGAGTAAGAACATAAACATTTAAAGAGATAAACACTGTCAAACAGAAATGATTACAAAGTTTGTAACAATCTGCATTTTTCATTGTTTTCTATCTACCTAGCCTTCCCCACTAAGAATTTATTTTGCTTATTTTCCTTCTTTTAATAATGTTGGTTCCCATAATCATTGACATTAGAGGACAGGAAGCAAGACTCAGTTTATATTTATTGGGAGAAATATAAGTAACTTGAAAATGCAAAAAATTTCCTATATTCTTGAATGTTTTAGTTAGCAACTTTCATTTAATAGCTCTGAAAAACTGAACCTCTTCACAGGGATACTGTTTGTTTATCTTGTGCCATATGAACTACCACATTCAACCTTTTCTTAACCTACAAAAACAGCAATTTCATATGGTTTAATTATTTGCTAATTTTAAATAGCAAAAGGTCTACAGATTGCCATTCTACTTGAACTATATATGGTTATTTATTGGTGAAATGTACAGAGGAAAAATGGAAGTATTATTTCTTTGTTTCTTTTTTTTTTTTTTTGAGACAGGGTCTTGCTTCATTGCCCAGGCTTCAGTGCAGTGCAGTGGCACAATCATAGCTCATTGCAGCCTCAAACTCCGGACTCAAGCAATCCTCCTGCCTCAGCCTCCTGAGTAGCTAGGATTACTGAAGCATACCACCATGCCTAGCAAATTATTTTATTTTTTGTAGAGATGGGGTCTTGCTGGTCTCAAACTCCTGGGCTCAAGAGATCTTCCCACCTCTGCCTCCCAAGGTCAAGGGATTATAGGCATAATCCATCATGCCCAGCCTGGAAATACTGTTTCTATTGGTACGTGCTTGACATTGCTATTTGAAATTTTATTTTTTTAATTGTATCATACTAATGGTGAAAAACCCATTAATAATATTTTCAGTCTCACCCATCAATGACTGTGTTATTGGCTTAACATATAGCCCCTGGATGAAGTTACATACCTTGTCAATTAGTATGTCAAGCACAATAGTGCGTTCTTTAAAATGACTACACTTAAAATACATGTTAGAACATAGCATGTTAAAACTCAGTAAAACTTTGGGCTGGAAAAGGTTTTGTAGGCAATATGTTGTGTTGCTATTAACAAATGTGAAGGAATTATACTACAATAGTAATGAGAAGAAAGGGGTAATTTAAAGTTTTAGAGGTAGAAAGGCAATCTTAACCAGGGATGGACTCAACAAAAGTTATGTTAGGTACAGCATTCAAGTCAGCAGGAAAGGACTTCTGTTACAATATAAAAGTTTGAGCTTTTACTTATATTCATAAAAAGTTGAAAAAGTGAATTATACAATTTTAGAGTAGAATGTAATTTCTTCTCTGAGGGAACAGCATATCTCTGCTACTCCTAAGGCTATCATTCTTAAGGGAATCTTTTGTAAGACTTGGTTTCAAAGTTGCCTACTCAATTTGGGAGTTGGCTTAGTCTGCCCATGTTGTAGACAAAGTTAAATAAAATCCACAAAGCAGATGAAACACATTCTTTAGACACCAAGTCAGTACTTTAATCACTTTTGTGACCAACCTTGATTAAATGTATCAAAACAAAGTAACAGTAAGGAAATACCGATTATATCACAGGCCACCAAGCAAGTACCCAATTATCTTCTCACATAATCCTGCTTTTATAAGAATGATAATATCAACACAAACTGCACCAACAAGTAAGGATTGCTGACTCTCATTGAGAACTTATTATATACCTGCCCCTCTTCTAAATATTTCAGTAGCATTAAATCATGTAATCTTCATAACAATCTTATGGCCTAACTACCACTATTAGATTCATTTTGTAAATGAGAAAACCAATACTCGGGGAAGGGTGAAGCAAATTGCCAAAGGTCACAATCTTTGAATTACAGAATTCTTATGCTGGAAGTACCATGAAGCAATCAACTAGTTTGTTTCGCAATTTGTATGATAGGCTAAAAAATTCCACCACCTCCAACCAACAGATACTAAATCCTAATCTCTGGAACCTGTAAATGTTGTCTTATTTGGAAAAAGACTCTTTGCAGATGTGATTATGTTAAGGATCTTGAGATAGGAAAGTTATCCTAGATTATCTGAAGGTCCTTAAATGCCACCTCATGTGTCTTTATAAAATGGAGGTAGAGAGATACTACACACACACACACACACACACACACACACACACACACAAGACAACAATGAGAAGATGGAACACAATGAGACTTGAAAAGCAATTTTGGCCCACTGACACTGATTCCAGACTTCTGGCCTCCAAAACTGTGATTGAATACATTTTCATTGGTTTTTAAGCCAACCAATTTTTGATAATCTGTTATAGCAGCCACAGGAAACTCATACAGGCTGCAATTTGAAGAATATTTAAACTGTTGAACACAAGCTAAATGTTCCTGTTTTGTAAAAACTAAAGAGGAGAGTTTAGATTTCTTCCTTCAGCAACGTACTATGTATTACTCAGGGTTCCCTAGAGGGACAGAACTAATAGGATAGATATATATAAAGGGGAGTTTATTAAGTATTAACTTACATGATCACAAGGTCCCACAATAGGCTGTCTGCAAGCTTGAGGAGAAAAGAGAGCCAGTCTGAGTCTCAAAACTGAAGAACTTGGAGTCCGATGTTTGAGGGCAGGAAGCATGCAGCACAGGAGAAAGATGTAGTCTGGGAGGCTAGGCCAGTCTTACCTTTTCATGTTTTTCTTCCTGCTTTATATTCACTGGCAGCTGATTATATGGTGCCCACCAGATTAAGGGTGGTTCTGCCTTCCCCAGCCCACTGACTCAAATGTTAATCTCTTTTGGTAGCACCCTCACAGGCACACCCAGGAACAATACTTTGCATCCTTCAATCCAATCAGGTTGACACTCAGTATCTACCATCACAAATCCACCCCTTGCCAACTTGAACCCATATACATCTCCTGAGATCACACATAGTCTTCAAATAAAGACAATAATAAGGTCATAATTACACCTAACATAATACAACTCTCCTTCCTACAACCAGACACACACCAATCCCAAACCAAATACTATTACATGAAGTTAACAATACTTAAATGCTGATATGAGGTCAATAAATCTTATGCTCCATGATAAAGGAAAAGGAAATAAAATGAAGATATTATCTTAGTACAAGTATATACACGCACAAACGTTTTTAACAAAAGGAAGAAATACTCATGACATTTACAATCCTCGTTTCTGCAGCTGTTCACATGGTCATAGCTGGTATTGATGATTACCTTCTTCTACTGCCCATTCTGTATTTCTTTTGCCTTCAGCAAACACCTCAGCAGGTCGTGGGTTTTTTTTCCTGGTGAAGTGACTCAAACCTTCATTCCTGAGGGGTCTGGACCATTTGTAGTCCTGCCTGGATTGGGCTGTTATAGTTTCCCATTGACCTTAATTGCAGGGCATGGTAATACTAAGAGACACCTTAATGGTGCAGTAGACTGATTTCATCTTGATGAAATCACTCCAGCCAACACTGTAACTCCCTTCTTAGCCTGTTGACTTAAAGGTAGGAGGAGCCCAAAGTGTCCAGGTGGCAATCTTAACTTCCAGTTTAATGGAATCATTGTTGTGTCTCCTGATGGCAGCATTCCTCCCTCTGGAATTAAGACCTCTAAATCAGCAGAATGTAATGTCACGGGAACAGGAAGCAAAAATTTCGCTAGTGGATCACTAGGGGTGATGGTGAGTGGTGCCACTCCCACTTCCACCGCTTGATTCCTAGACCCATGAATCTCGGCCATGTGAGAAAGAGTACTATATATTGGATGCTGATTCAGAGCATACACAGCCTTCTGGAGAACTTTGCCACAGTCCTGCAAAGTATTGTCACCTAGTTGGTATCGTAATTGTGACTTCAAAAGGCCGTTCCACCATTCTATCAATCCAGCTGCTTCAGGATGATAGAGAACATGGTAAGACCAGTGAATTCCATGAGCGTGAGCCCACTGCCACACTTATTTAGCCATAAAGTGAGTGCCTTGGTCAGGGGCAATGCTGTGTGGAATATCATGATGGTGGAAAAGGCATTCCGTGAATCCACAGATGGTAGTCTTGGCGGAAGCATTGCATGCAGGATAGGCAAACTTGTATCTGGAGTAAATGTCTATTCCAGTGAGGACAAACCTGTGCCCTTCCCATGATGGAAGAGGTCCAATATAATACCTGCCACCAGGTAGCTGGCTGATCACCCCAAGGAATGGTGCCATACCAAGAACTCAGTGTTGGTCTCTGCTGCTGGTAAATTGGGCACTCAGCAATGGCTATAGCCAGGTCAGCCTTGGTGAGTGGAAGTCCATGTTGCTGAGTTTATGCATAACCTCCAACCCTGCCACCATGGCCACTTTGTTCATGGGCCCATTGGGCAATGACAGGGGTGGCCGGGGAAAGAGGCTGTGTGGTGTCCACAGAATGGGTCATCCTATCCACTTGATTATTAAAATCCTCCTCTGCTGAGGTCACCCATTGGTCAGCACTCACATGGGGTACAAATATCTTCACAGTTTTTGACCAGAGAGATCCATCCACATACGTCTTCCCCACATTTCTTTGTCACCAATTTTCCAATCATCCTTCTTCCAAGTCCTTGACCATCCAGCCAAATGATTGGCTACAGCCTATGAATCAGTATGTAATCACACATCTGGCCATTTCTCCTTCCATGAAAAGTGCACAACCAGGTACACTGCTCAAAGTTCTACCTACTGGGAAGATTTCCTTCCACTGCTGTCCCCCAGTGATGTCCTAGAAAGGGGCTGCAGTGCTGTAGCTGTCCACTCTCAGGTGGTGCCTGCATATCATGCACAACCATCTGTGAACCAGGCCCTAGTCTTCTCTCCCTCCGTTAACTGATCATAGGGAACTGCCCATGATGCCATTGGTGTAGGCTGGGGAAGAGAAGGCAGGGTGGCAGGAGTGGAGACCATGGGCATTTGAGCCACTTTCTCACGTAACTTACTTATGCCTTCAGGACCTGCTCGAGCTCAATCATGTATATACCACTTCCATTTGATGATACAATGCTGCTGTGCCTGAACCACTTTATGGCTAGATGGGTCAGAAAGCATCCAGTTCATGATAGGCAATTCAGGTTGCATGGTGACTTGATGACCCATAGTCAAACATTCAGTTTCCACCAAGGCCCAGGAACAGGCAAAGAGCTGTCTCTCAAAAGGAGAGTAGTTATCTGCAGAAGATGGCAGGGCCATGCTCCAAAATCCTACAGGCCTCTGCTGTGATTCACCTATGAGGGCCTGCCAAAGGCTCCAAACAGCATCTCTATCTGCCACTAACACCTCAAGCATGATTGGATCTGTTGGGTCATATGGCCCAAGTGGAAGAGCAGCTTGCACAGCAGCCTGGACCTTTTGCAGAACCTTCTCCGGTTCTGGATTCCACTCAAAAATGGCAGCCTTTTGAATCACTAGATAAAGGGGCTGGAGTAGCCCACCCAAATGAGGAATGTGTTGCCTCCAAAATCCAAATAGACCCACTAGGCGTTGTGCCTCTTTCTTGGTTGTAGGAGGGGCCAAATGCAGCAACTTATCCTTTACCTTAGAAAGAATATCTCTACAGGCCCCACACCACTGGACCCCTAGAAATTTTACTAAGGTAGAAGGTCCCTGAATTTTAGTCGGACTTATTTCCCATCCTCTGACACACAAATGTCTCACCAATAAGTCCAGTGTGTTTGCTACTTCTTGCTCACTGGATCCAATCAGCATAATGTCATCAGTGTAATGGACCAGTGTGATATCTTGCAGAAGCAAAAAGCAATCAAGGTTGCTCCGAATAAGATTATGACACAAAGCCAGAGAGTTGATATACCCCTGAAGTAGGACAGTAAATGTATATTGCTGGTCTTGCCAGCTGAAAGCAAATTGCTTCTGGTGAGCCTTATGGACAGGAATGGAGAAAAAGGCATTTGCCAAGTCAGTGGTTGCATACCAGGTACCAGGAAATGTGTTAATTTGGTCAAGCAATGAAACCACATCTGGTACAGCAGATGCATTTGGAGTGACCACTTGGTTAAGCTTATGATAATCCACTGTCATTCTTCAAGATCCGTCTGTCTTCTACACAGACCAAATGGGAGAGTTGAATGGGGATGTGGTGGGAATCACCACCCCTGCATCTTTCAAGCCCTTGATGGTGGCACTAATCTCTGCAATCCCTCCAGGGATGTGATATTGTCTTGATTTACTATTTTTCTAGGTAGAGCCAGCTCTAATGGATTCTATTTGGCTTTTCCCACCATAATAGCCCTCACCCTACCAGGCAGGGAGCCAATGTGGGGGTTCTGCCAGCTAATAAGTATGTCTATACCAATTGTGCATTCTGGCACTGGGGAAATGACCACAGGATGAGTCTGGGGACCCACTGGACCCACTATACGTTGGACCTGAGATAAAACTCGATTAATTATCTGACCTCTATAAGTCCCTACTTTAACTGGAGGACCACAATGACATTTTGGGTCCCCTGGAATCAACATCAGCTCAGAGCCAGTGTCAAGTAGTCCCCAAAATGTCTGATTATTGCCCTTTCTCCAATGCACAGCTACCCTGGTAAAAGGTTGGAGGTCTCCTTAGGGAAGGATGGGAGAAAGATTCACTGCATAAACTGTCCATAATGTAGTGGGGTCCTAACCTCAAGGGGACCCAGCCTCCCCTTCATTCAAGGAGTACTGGGTCTGTAAACTGGCTCAAGTCTGGAAATTGATTGAGGGGCCATGATTCTCCGTTTTTATAATTCAAATTAGCCTTTTGTCCATTCAACCTAGAAGTTTTCTGCTTGTATGAATTAAGTAGGAATGCAGTAGGCTTCCTATCAATTTCACTTCTAGGAACACCATGATTAATTAGCCAATGCCAGAGCTCTACACAAGTCAGATTATTCTGATTGCTGCTTTGTCTCTACTGTCCATTACAATAGCTACATCCACTTTGCCTTTGATGGTTGAGTGCTGCCACTTGGCCCCTGCCACCTTGGGATCCCATTATTCCCATTGTACTTAAATTTTATAGTTGAGTGACTGTGGTTCTCACTGTTAGATCTGACATATAAAGAAGAGCAATTATAGGGCTCTTCAAAGATGCAGGTGCTGCCCTCACACATCTATTTTGCAAGGCATTGGTCAAGGGTATATCTTCTGGACCCTCCCAGCTGGGATAAGTAGGTCTGAAGTAACTAATCCACTCCACCATCCCAATCTCCCTAAGCCTTTGGATCCCTTCCTCTACATTAAGCCAAGGAAGATCAGGCATTTCTAGCTCGCTCACAGTGTGCCATCTTTTAATCTATATTTCAGCTAACCAAGCAAATAAACTATTAGAACATTTTTTTAGCTCCCAGAGCTGCAACATTAAATGCAGAGTTCCTACTTAGTGGGCCCAGATCAATAAATTGAGCCTGATCCAACTCTGTTCCTTCCACCATTAACTCATACCATTAATGTTCATTCCCATGCCTGTTCTCCAGATTGCTGTTTATATAAATTAAAGAACTCAAACAGTTCTTTTTGAATGTAGCGCACCTCCTCATGAGTCACACTCTCAACCTCACCTCTAGGGGCCTGCTAGGACTTTAGTTATAGGTCTAGAAGCAAACAGGGGTGTTGGGGGTAGCTCCTGAGGAGAATCAACGTTATTTTTCCTGGCAATTGCCTCAGGGGAGGCCATCGCTGTTGCCTCAGGCAGCATAGGGTTTATCTCCTCAGACAAAGGTGGAAAGACTAATGGCAGCATGGGTCGAGGCGGGGATGTGGCCACTACTGGGAATGGGGAAGCTGTTCCTTCTGGCAAAGAAGTTTCATCACAGTTTACAAACTCAGCGTCCCCAGCTTCATCAGGGTCCTCCAACACATCCCCATTCCAAATTTCAGGGTCCCATTCTTTTCCAGTCAATGCCCTCACTTTAACAGTAGACACCTGGTGAGGCTGTGCATGCACCTTTCACTGCAGGTCAGCCACTCGTATAATATGAGCTTGTGTCTGTTTTTCCACAATTTCAGCTCTTTCTCTATAGGAGATGAGACTCACTGAGGGCAATCTTAGCAGATTTGAGGCTCAATATCTGCTTTTGAGGCCAGGAGACAGAATCCCTGAATTCATCATTTTCTTTCATTACTTTCCCCACTGAACTTAGGAGGAACAAATCAGCTTCATTATGTTCCTTGATTCTCCACATATGGTCAAAGGTATGATGTACAGAGTCACTAAACTCCTTACCTCTCATGAGCTGTGAATCAGGAGTGGCAAATGCATTAATTTTGCATAACTCTCTAAACAGTTCATGTCAAGAGCTATCACTGTTCTTCACACTATTAGAATTAGAGTCCTTAGCATTTTTGGTTATAATCATATTAAGCAGCTAACTCTAGAAACCCTAAAAGCAATGAAAGAACTTCATCCTTAATATTATGTTCCTCTAGAATCACTCCTGGTACCAAAATCTGTATTAGTCAGGGTTCTCTAGAGGGACAGAACTAATAGGATATATACAAAGGAGAGTTTATTATCTTACATGATCACAACGTCCCACAATAGGCTGTCTGCAAGCTTGAGGAGCAAGGACAGTCAGTCTGAGTCTCAAAACTGAAGAACTTGGAGTCCGATGTTTGAGGGCAGGAAGCATCCAGCACTGAAGAAAGATGTAGGCTGGGAGGCTAGACCAGTCTCACCTCTTCACGTTTTTCTGCCTGCTTTATATTTGCTGGCAGCTGATTAGATTGTGCTCACCAGATTAAGGGTGGGTCTCCCTTCCCCAGCCCACTGACTGGAATGTTAATCTCCTTTGGTAACACCCTCACAGACACACCCAGGAACAATACTTTGCATCTGTCAATCCAGTCAAGTTGACACTCAGTATTAACCATCACATACTACAATATTTGACCACCTCACTCTCAAGAAATGTTCCTTCTAATTAATAAATCATCCATGTCCTTTTGCCCTGCCTCCTTCAGAAGTAGATATTAGCTTTGTTTTTGCCCTTTCCAATAGGCCTCCATATTCTAAGTGATTTCATATCACTGTTACATTCCATAGGCTGAATTACGCTCCTTCATTTAGCCTCTTTCTTACAAGACCAATTTCTGGCATTAAAATCATGTTTCTAGTATTCCTCTAATATCCCACTATAGTTGTGAAACTGAGGAATGGTCCCAAGATTTGAATTAACTGATTTTTTTCAAGACATGAGTATAACAGAGAGACTAAGATATATGTTGAATGAGGTGGATGTGTTGTGTGATTTAAGATTAATATTGGATCTTTAACTTAAAGAACAATTAGGTTAATTTCATCAAAATCCTTCTATTATGAGTGGTTATATATTCCAGATGCATTCCTAGCAAGCCCATGAAGTTGCTTTTAGTCATCCAAACTCTCAAGAAATTATTAAATAATATCATCTGTGACTTCTATATTTAGAATTTAATCTATAAGGTTATGTAACAAATTGAAACAAATGTTTCCTAAGTGAGAGTAAACAAGACTTTTGCGTAAGAACAAATGCAGGGGACACCATGATCTCTAGCCTATTTACAAAAGTTATAAAAATTACAGATACTTTCACATGCCTGGCAGATTTTATACCAACTGACTGACTACTGTAAAACAGCAACTGCATTACTCCATCCTACGACAGCCAATAGAGGTGAGGCTGTCCATCCCAACCCATTTCTCCTTCTTAAGTAACAATAAAAGATAAGAGTCCAAAATCAGAACCTGTTTTACTCAAGCCAGTTGATGTAGTCATAACTAACAATGACACAAGAGACCTGGGAGCTCACGTTAGAAAGGATGCATTTTCAATTGCCTGTAAAACTTTTTCAACATATCATCGTCAAAAAGATTTCATTCTTTCTACTTTATGTACACTATTTTTGGCCAGGTTTCTCTAACTAAGCACTATTGACATATTGGGTTGGATAATTCGAGGCTGTCTTGTACATTGTAGAATGTCTAGTAGCATCCCTGGTCTGTCTTCACTAGAGGCCAGTAGCACCACCCCATCCCCGACCCAGTTACGACAATCAAAAATGTCTTCAATATTGTCAGATGTCCCCTGGCAAACAAAATTATCCCTGTCATTTAGAACGCATATTAATACTAATCAGTACAATAAATTGGCTGAAATGGGATAAGTTAAGAAAAAAAAAAGCAGAGGACTAAACTCTCTTTTACATTGGTCTTGCTTTAAAGAAAATAATAAAGTTGTAAAGCAGGCCAACAAGGACACCCCTTCACATGAAAGACAGGCTTTTTTAAAAGAATAATTGGGAGTTTATTTTCAATCAGCCAATTTTGTGGCCAAAGGATAGCCTGTTCATCTTTTACATCCCTTCAACCCTTCTCACTGTGGGTTTCTGGTGATGAGAATTTTAAAGCCAATCTGTGATTTACATAGATTACCATGATGCCCAGGACAGGGAGGCATTCACAGAAGTTCTATTCATATATGTATCTAGAGCACACAGAGGCAATGTTTCTGTATTAGACACAAGCAATTTCATTAATTTAAGTGGCCAACAGGCAGAGTTTTAATTCCCTGGATGATCTAGGAGTGGAGGTAAGGAGAAAAGGACTTAAAAGAGGCCAACTGAGATGCCTTTCCCCTGTTTTCACCCCAAAAGAGAAATCTCTGTTCTTTCTACAGCGATGAAACTCAGTGATATTGGTCATGGGGCTCCCCATTGCAATAAGATATCATAACCTTTAAGAGAAATGGAAAGTTAGGAAGCAGATTTCCAGGCCTTTGTTTTCAAAATAATTTTTAAAACTATATAAGCACCCAAATTTTAAAAAAATTATTCATCAGTAGCATAAATTTCTGTGAATCTTTGTAGAAATGACAACCATTCTAGTTGCTGGGACTCTATGAAGTGTCCACTTGCACTGTGATTTTTCTTCAAATGATGTAAATGCTTGATATTTTTAATAATATCAGGGGTTACATGATACTCTCTAGATGTCTATTCCATTTATTTTATGGTCAAAAAATTACAACCCTGCTTTCAGATCTAAATAATTCTCATAACTCCCAGAAACACATTACAGTCTTTCCACCTGTTACCAAGTGAGAGCAAAGCTTAACAACTGGCTTTCATTTCTGGTACATTCAGCCAGCAATTCATTTCTGCCCATCCCACAAAGAAAATGCATGTGCAAAAAAAAATATGGGCATGTGTTCATGATTATTCTTTTCAATCAGACATCATCATACCGGCAATATTGGAACCTTCCTGTTCCTGGCATCACAACCACTCCCTTCCAAAGCAAAGGACATGAACCCTGCCTGAACTCCTGTACCAGCAAGTCAAGGGCTTCTACTGAGGATCTTTTTCAGAGTCATGCAAAATTGAGTTCAAGAAGTGTAGACTGAAAGTAGACAGGGCCTGTTCTTTTTGCCAGAGATAGGCACTCCTGCCCCTCCTTCTGATTAAGGGTTTTGTTCTTTTGATGGAGGGAGTTTCAGTGGATGAGGAAAGCTACCCTTGAATTATCATCTCTTAAGTGGAAGCTGACAGTGCTAATAGTTCAAGCACAGGTTGATTGATGAGACTGTCCCAGACTTAGAGGCAGGCAATCTTTGTCATTGCAAGGCTCAGGCAAGCAGTTTCACCTGCCGCAATGCTAGTATCACTCCTCCTCTTCCCATCCTGCTCAAAAGTAAGTGAGGAGCACTACTCTTACTGAGCACAAAAATCTCAGGCACTCTGAGTTTTGTTGACTTCACAGATCTGAGGACTTTGGTTGACAAATTGGGATTCCTCTACCAATGATTCTTAGTGAATAAGGTAGGATATGGAAGAACATGGGGGAAAAATCCAGGTTTTTTGAGGCCTGAAGCTTCTATAATTTGGGGGCCCTCTTTAAGAAAAAAGGTATTACACATTTATAAATACAAAAATTAGGTAAAAAGTCTATAGTTATTCAGAACGTGAAAAAAGCTTGCAACAAATTACAAATTTTAAAATCCTGAGAAGTACCACAAACATCACAAAGCCCAGAAAAAAATTGCACAATATTTTAAAATTCATTACCTATACATTTCTTACATTCTGTGACTGTATTTTCTCCAATCACCTCTTCATAATACAATAATATTGTCATGTAATCTTCTATAGAAAGAGCAAAAAGATAATAGTCTTTTCTGTAAATCTGCAAATAGGAATAATGTTCCTTCTTATTGGCTGTTTAGAAGATTTTATTTCAACTTTACAACCCATTAAAGGCAATGTAAAATTTTATTATGGGTGGTACATTTTCTTTCATATGAGAGCTGTAAGTCTGGATTTTCAAGTAATGAGCTTCTGCTTTAATACATTTTTAACCTTATTTTTCCTCCACAACCACATTTCTTAGTCCTCTTGTTCTGTACCATGCTGTCACAATACCAGGCGATTTCTCACAGAAGACGGTATGCCTAGAAGTATCCCCATGCTCGGACAGATAGCAACATATTCGCTATGACTGCAAATCACACATATACCATTAAATCTAAACTAAATGTATTTCTACTAAAATTGCTGCTCTTCAACTCCACCGAACACAAAAAGTATGAAGGTGCAAAAGTCAGGATGTAAAAAGACAGTTGTTTCAATCAGTTGTGGTTAAAATGCCTCACTTTTCTAAATTTTGCAAAAATATATGACTATGTAAATACATTAAAAGTGAAGGGCTTGAAGATTAGCTTCATTAGCATCAGCATAAATCCGCCATAGGGAAAACAGAAAAGGCTGTGCACCCTGTTCAACACTCTCATCTCTCTCTGATTTTCCCCAAACTTCCCAACTTGTTTTACCACAAAGTCACTGGCAAGAAAGTTACTTATGTAGACTCTGCCAGGAAAATTTTTAACACTAGAATGACTATATTAATTGTCAAAGGAAGACACCATGAGGATTTAGGCCCACACTCAACAAATACACAGGATCTTGGGAAAATCAATGACACAGATACAGAGCATTTGGAGAAATAAATACACAAAGACAGCTTAATTCTGTACATATTCATGTCAATGCACGTATTATGTATTTGTTAGACCAAGCATTGTGTATTAGTCCCTTTTCATGCTGCGGATAAAGACATACCCAAGACTGGGTAATTTATAAAGAAAAAGAGGTTTCATGGACTCACAGTTCCACTTGGCTGGGGAGGCCTCATAATCATGGTGGAAGGCAAAAGGCACAACTTACATGCAGGGACGCAAGAGAGAATGAGAGCCAAGTGAAACAGTAAACCCATTTGATAGGTTTGGCTGTGTCCC
Source organism: Homo sapiens (assembly GCF_000001405.40). Taxonomy (NCBI): domain Eukaryota; kingdom Metazoa; phylum Chordata; class Mammalia; order Primates; family Hominidae; genus Homo; species Homo sapiens. The sequence continues at coordinate 80,235,650 of NC_000014.9, forward strand.
CACCCAAATCTCATCTTGAATTCCCATGTGTTGTGGAAGGGAACTGGTCGGTGGTAATTGCATCATGGGACAAGTCTTTCCCATGCTGTTCTCATGATAATGAATAAATCTCACGACATCTGATGATTTAAAAAGAGGAATTCCCCTGCACAAGTTCTCTCTTTTTGCCTACTGCCATCCATGTAAGATGTGACTTGCTCCTCCTCGACTTTCACCATAATCGTGAGACCTCTCCAGGCATGTGGAACCGTAAGTCCAATAAACCTCTTTCTTTTGTGAATTGCCTAGTCTCAGGTATGTCTTTATCAGGAGTGTGAAAACAGACTAATACACTCTTATAAAACCATCAGATCTCATGAGACTTATTCACTACCATGAGAACAGTATGGGGGAAACTGCCCCCATGATTCAATTATCTCCCACCAGTTCCCTCCCATGACACATGGGGATTATGGGAGCTACAATTTAAGGTGACATTTGGGTGGGGATACAGCCAAACCATATCATTCCATCCCTGGCCCCTCACAAATCTCATGTCCTCACATTTCAAAACCAGTCATGCACTCCCAACAGTCCCCCAAGTCTTAACTCATTTCAGCATGACCTAAAAAGTCCACATTCCAAAATATCATCTGAGACAAGGCAAGTCCCTTCTGCCTATCAGTCTGTAAAATCAAAAGCAAGTTAGTTACTTCCTAGATACAATGGGGGTACAGGCATTGGATAAAAACACCCATTCCAAATGGAAGAAATTGGCCAAAATGAAGGGGTTAAAGGCCCCATGCAAGTCTGAAATCCAGTGGGGCAGTCAAATATTAAAGCTCCAGAATGTTCTCCTTTGACTCCATGTCTCATATCCAGGTCATGCTGATGCCAGAGGTGGGTTCCCATGGTCTTGAGCAGCTCCACCCTGTAGCTTTGCAGGGTATAGCCTTTATCCTGGCTGTTTTCATGGGCTGGTGTTGAATGTCTGCAGTTTTTCCAGGTGCACCATGCAAGCTGTCAGTGGATCTACCATTCTGGGGTCTGGAGAATAGTGGCCCTCTTCTCACAGCTCCACTAGTCAGTTCCCCATTGGGGACACAGTGTGGGAGCTTCAACCCCATGTTTCCCTCAGGTTCTCCCTGAGGCCTCTGCCCCTGCAGTAGACTTCTGCCTGGACATACATCCTCTGAAATCTAGGCAGGGGTTCCCAAACCTCAATTCTTTTTTCTTTTTTTTCAGATGGAGTTTTGCTCTTGTTGCCCAGGCTGGAGTGCAATGGTGGGATCTCATCTCACTGCAACCTCCACCTCCCAGGTTCAAGTGATTCTCCCACCTCAGCCTCCCAAGTAGCTGGGATTACAGGCATGCACCACCACACCCAGCTAATTTTTTGTATTTTTAGTAGAGACAGGGTTTCTCCATGTTGGTCAGGCTGGTCTCAAGCTCCTGATCTCAGTTGATGCACCCACTTCAGCATCCCAAAATGCTGGGGTTACAGGCATGAGCCACCATGCCCAGCCTTCCCAAACCTCAATTCTTGACTTCTGTGTAACCTCAGGTTCAACATCACATGAAAGCTGCCAAGGCTTGGGCTTGCATCCTCTGAAGTCACAGCCCAAGCTATACTTTATCCCTTTTGAGCCATGGTTAGAGTATCCGGGATGCAGGTCACCAAGTCCCTATGCAGCACACAGCATGAGAACCCTGGGCCCAGCACATGAAACCATTTTTTCCTCCTGGGCCTCTGGGCCTGTGATGGGAGGAGCTACCGTGAAAACCTCTGATATGCCCTGGAGACATTTTTCCCCATTTTCGTGGTGATTAACATTTGACTCCTTGTTACTTATGCAACTTTCTGTAGCTGACTTGAATTTCTCCTCAGAATGGGTTTTTCTTTTCTATCATATCATCAGGCTGCAAATCTTCCAAACTTTTAGGCTCTGTTTCCCTTTTAAAACTGAATGCTTTTATTAGCACCCAAGTCACCTCTTGAATACTTTGCTGCTTAGAAATTTCTTCTGCCAGATACCCTAAATCTTCTTCCTCAAGTTCAAAATTTCACAAATCTCTAGGGCAGGAGCAAAATGTGGCCAGTCTCTTTGTTAAAACATAGCAAGAGCTACTTTTACTCCAGTTCCCAACAAGTTCCTTATCTCCATCTGAGACAACCTTAGCCTGGATTTCATTGTCCATATTATGATCAGCACTTTAATCAAAGCCAATCAACAAGTCTCTAAGAAGTTCCAAAGTTTCCCACATTTTCCTGTCTTCTTCTGAGCCCTCTAAACTGTTCCAACCTCTGCCTGTTACCCAGTTCCAATGTCGCTACCACATTTTCAGGTATCTTTACAGCAGTGCCCCACTCTATCAGTACCAGCTTATTGTATTAGTTTGTTTTCATGCTGTTGATAAAGACATACTCAAGACTGGGTAATTTATTTAAAAAAAAAAAGGTTTAATGGACTCACAGTTCCATGTGGTTGGGGAGGCCTCACAATCATGTCAAAAGGTGAAATGCATGTCCTACATGGCAGCAGGCAAGAGAGAATAAGAGCCAAGTGAAAGGGGAAGCCCCTTATAAAACCATCAGATAGATCTTGTGAGACTTATGTACTACCACTAAAAAAGTATGAGGGAAATCACCCCCCCATGATTCAATTATCTCCCACTGGGTCCCTCCCACAACACATGGGTTATAAGAGCTACAATTCAAGATAAGATTTGGGTGGGGACACAGCCAAACCATATCACATTGTACTTGGCATTAGAGATATGCAGTCTGGACTTTGCCCTCTGTAGAGTCCTCATCTTAAGGATAATGTGTTAACTCAAATTCTCACATGAGAAAGAAATATGTTTTTACTTAAAAATGCATGAAATCATGAAAAAAAAACCCTCCAAGAAAAGACAGGTGAATATTTAACTGATCTGTTTTGGAGGAAAGATAATTACAGCATATAACACAAGAAACCACAAAGGAAAATCTATAGGTTTAAGTATATTACGATTAAGCTCATATCTACACACAAACTATTATCAACTACATTGAAAATCAAAAAGTGAGCTGGGGAAAATCTCTAACACATTTACTGCAGATGGAGGGTAAATATAATTTTTATATAGAGTTATTTGAATTAGCAAAGAAAAGATCTAGTAATCCAATAGAAAAGTAGACAAGAGACAGGAATAGATAATTCACCAAAGAAATATATTACCAAAACATATGAACACAAATTTTTAAATATGAATTAAATCAATGAGATTATTTTTCACTTACAAAATTACTAAAATTGTTTGTTTTAAAGGCAGAGTTTAGTCCTGGTGAAAGCACATTAAGAGCAATTCCACCATATTGTTAGTGGGAGTTTCAATTGGTATAAATATTGCAGTAGGTTGAATAACAGCCCCCAAAGATGGCCAGGTCAAAAGTGTTAATATCTATGAACAAATACTTCTACTTTTAAAATTATCCTAGGAAATAATTAGAGATGTAAAAAAGTGTAGGGGAAATGTTGTTTATAGTACTATACTTGTAGTAGCAAAATAATGGATGCAAACTACATGTCCAACAATAAACAATAATACAGTAACTTATAGTCTACACATATAAAGAAATAATTTGCAGTCATAGATTTTTTGAATAATGTTCAATGTCATAAAACAATGCCTAAGGTATAATATAAAGATGTTTTAAAGTAGGACATAAGAACATTTACATATGGACAATGTTACATAATCAAGTTCCTCACAATGTGCTTATGTTAATGAAAATGTTAGAAAAAACCATCAATGTGCAACAACAAATAAATTCTATAACATCACATGACTGCATACTGGGAAGCTACACCAGGGATTACAATTTGCTTGTCTAATATATTCTACTTTACCCTTAACAACATAACCCCAATTCTTTTTGAAGCTACTTCCCAGATAACAGTACATTTCCCCACTTCCTTTAACAGCTAGATGATCATGAGACTACGTTTCGGTTAATAGAAAAAAAAAAAAGCAAAATTTCTTGAGTGGAACTTCAGAGAACACCCCTCTAAAAGACAGAAAACTGGTAGATTTTCTTTTTCTCATTCTTTTATTTGTGCTTCAAATATGGATAGAGTTCTGACAGCCACTTCAGACCCTGTGACAACTTGAGAATGGAAACCACATGCTAAGCCTCGTAGAGAAGAAATATAAAAATGTCCTAGGTCCATAATGACCACAGAAATGCTAAGCATGCATTGAATGGGTTATTTCTAGACTTCTTTAATGTGAAAAAAATACAAGTCTCTCTTACTTAAGTATCTGATTTGAGTTTTCCGTTACAAGCATCCAAATTTCAATTTAACACAATAGTTTTTATTTATGTATTTATTTATTTTTTGAGATGGAGTCTCCCTCTGCCACCCAGGCAGGAGTGCAGTGGCGTGATCTCAGCTCACTGCAAGCTCCACCTCCTGGGTTCACGCCATTCTCCTGCCTCAGCCTCCCAAGTAGCTGGGACTACAGGCACCCGCCACCACGCCCAGCTAATTTTTGCATTTTTAGTACAGACAGGGTTTCACCATGTTAGCCAGGATGGTCTCAATCTCCTGACCTTGTGATCCGCCCGCCTAGGCCTCCCAAAGTGCTGGGATTACAGGCATGAGCCACCGCGCCCAGCCTTACATAATAGTTATTTTTAAAATCTGCTTAGTAATATTTGCAAAATAGGTAATTCAAGCAAATCTTCCCACTGAAAACAAATAGAAAAGTTAGACAAAATAATTTTTACAAGATAACTTGAAGCTATGAGAAAAAAGGAGGCTGTAAAAAAATTATAAACCAAAAATGTAGGAGAAAAGGGCAGAGAGAGACAAATCTAGCATTTGGGGCAACTTCAAATGTAAGAGGGTGCATAGATCCTGGAAGAGTAGCTAAGCAGCTCAGAACCTAAGAAGTGCTTTTGAACAACTTGTAAGGTAGAAAGACAAAACTTGAAATCCAAGATTCCAGTGCTTTATATTAGGAACCCAAAAAGCTGTACCTTAAGAACAAAGATAACTCAGTAATATACCAACCCTCAAAAAATGAAGAAAGTTCAATAATCTCAAGCCCTGAAATTAGATTAAGTTTATCCCAATTGTTTGTGCTCCCAGCCACTTGTCAGATGCAAAAGTAAAGCTTCACTGAAGAAAAATAACATTATCTTAGTTTATTATCTCTAGAATTGTTTATATACAATATCTTGTGCTCAACCAAAAATAAACAGACACAAAACAGAGACAAAAATTGTGACAAGACAGACAGCAAAAGAGAGAGAGAGAGGAGAGAGAGAGGGAAAGGGAGGAGAAGAGAAAGAGAGAAAGAAAGAGAGAAATTAGTTAATAGAAACAAAGCAATCAAATATCAAGATAATAAAGTTATCAAAACTAAATGTTGAATCAGCTAACTAGATAGTGGACTTGTTGAAAACTATGCCAAATATTTTCAAGGAAATATATCAAGATTGGAAATATTTTCCTAAAAAACTCTCAGGAATCACAAAAGAAGTGAATCAGATCAAAATTCCAAAATCAAAAATACAATAATCAAAATTAAGAATCCAATGGATAAATTTAAGAACAAATTTGTATTAATCTAAATACTATATTCAGATTAAGTTACAATTGTGAAATAATAAAAAATATATATAATGGTCTCTGTCCAAAGTACTTGGCACAGAGTTCCTAAAACTCTTATAATGTCCTAAGCAATAGGAGTGCTAGAATTATTTCTTCTAATGTGTGGTCTCTGTTCTGGTTCCTGAGAGATAGCTCCTGATACCCTTGTAGACCAGGGTGCTAGGAGAATCTTCTGTTATAACATTTGGCCTTTGCCCCTTGGTTCCCAACACAGCGCTCCTTCCAATCCCTTGGAATATCCTGGGTGATAGGAGAATCTTTTCTTCTAATGAAGCAATTCTTGGTGGGCTTCTGGATAGCCTCAGGATAGGGGCTGGTTGCCAGGGGCAACTCACCATGTGATTAAAAGCTTGGAACATTCAGACCCACCCCTAACCTCTGGAGAGGAAAAAGGGGCTAAAGGTTGAGTTTATCACTAATGCCCAGTGATGTAATCAACCATCCATATGTAATGAAGCCTTCATCAAAACCTAAAGTAACTTGCTTCAGATGAGCTTTGAAACAGTGGAACACATGGAAGTTCCTGGGGGATGGGTATTCAGAGAGGGTATAGGAACTCCACACTCCTTCTCATGTGCCTTGCCCTATGCACCTCTTCCATCTGGCTGTTCATCTTTGTAATATCCTTTATAATAAACTGGTTTAAATGTAAATAAAGTGTTTCCCAGAGAAGGAGGTCATGGGAACCCCCAATTTATAGCTGGTCATCAGATGCCCAGGTTACAACCTACTATTTGCAACTAGCACCTGCAGCGGGGGAGGTCTTGTGGGATTGAGTCCTCAACCTATGGGATCTGATGCTATCTACAGGTAGATAGTGTAAGAATTGAGTTGAATAAGAGTATACCAGCTATTGTCTGCTGAAGAATCTACTACAGAATCAATTGGTTGCTGGTAGGGAGAAATCCCCACAAATTTTGGTGACCAGAGGCCACAAAAGTATTCTAAATACTTTTTTTCTTTATTTCTCAATGCTTTTTTTTCCCTATATCTCAGAGAAGCTGAAGAGAGAATTAGTGATTTGGAAGACAAGTAGATGGGGAGAGAGTGTTCAGGATAAGCATATATTAAAAGCACAAAAAATACAAAAAAGTAAAATAACAAAACACTTAAAAGACACACTAACAAGGTCTGACACACCTGGACTCTTAGAATAAGGGGACAAATAATCAGCTAAGAAAACTCTAAACCTAATGAAAATGCCATAGCTTATGAGCTCAAGAAGTATATATGAAGAGGAAACAATAACAACTTCTGTTTCTACCCAAGATACAGAAATAGGAACCAGATTTACCATCGTACCATAAACAAATGGAAAGCAAAAAATATATATATGAAAATTGATTTTCGGACCCTGAGTAACAGGCAATGTAGGGCTATAATCCTGGATAACAAGAAAACAAATAAGCAAGGTAAACCTTATGCTTTTACCAGCTTGTGTTTAGAGGCAATTTCAAAGCTGTAGTAAAGAAAGGGGAACCAAAATAGAGCCTAATGGTCTCACTAAGTGAAGGGAACAGAATGTGATTTAAAATTTTTTTTTATTTTTTCCCTTATGTTTCATTTAGGATTTTCTCAATGTCTGATTTTCATAATTTTTCTTTATATTTATCTTGTGTGGAGTTTGCTGAACCTCTCACATCTCTTGCCTATTATCTCTTCAATTGTTGCTTAAGTCTCATTCTCTTTCTCCTTTCTTCCTGGGACTTTACTTATATATACTGTCATGCAACACTTAACAAAGGGAATATATGTTTTGAAAATTTCATTATTAGGTAATTTCATCATTGTGTAAACATCATAGAGTATATTTCTGCAAACCTAAATGGAAAGTGTACAATAGCCTATTGCACACTTAGGCTATATGGTGTAGCCTATTGCTCCTAGCCTACAAACTTGTATAGCATTTTACTGTGCTGAGTACTGCAGGCCATTGTAATACAATAGTATTTTTGTATCTAAACATAGAAAAGATACAGTGATAGTGCTATATTATAATCTTCTCAGACCGCCATCATATTTCTAGTCTATTGAATTCTTCATTCATTCATATTTTTCTATGTTTTGGTAATTTATATTCACTTGACTTTGAGTTCCTCAATGTTATCTAGGATGTACAATCTAATGTTAAACCATTCCCATGAGTTCTTAAATTAGTTATTGCTTTTCTTTTCAGATCCATAATATTCACTTGAAAATTTTTTATAGATTGTATTTATCTGTTGAAATTGCCATCTTTTTATCAATATTGTCATTTTTCTGCTTTCCTTAACAAATTTTATATTCATTTTATAGTCTTTGCTGCTAATTCCAGCATCTGGATCATCTGGGGACTGGTCTATATAGTTATCTTTAATTATGGATCATATTTTTCACCTTTTTCATATGTCTCATCATTGTTTTATTTATGCCAGAAAGAACAATAGAGACTGGAGTAAATGTTATGTTCCTTCATAAAGAGCATCCCTTGTCCTCTATTAAGCAGGTGGGATGAATGGCTGGCTATTTTTGAACTAATTATTAATTGAGCTGGGTGACAGTTCGGTTGCTACTTTAGTTTGACTCTGTCACAATTTAATAAAATGTATGAGAAGTAGCAAGGAAGAAATACAGACTGATAGAATTCACACATAGAAAATCAAAAAGAACTTACAGACTGGATACAAGGTCGATATGCAAAAATCAGTAGTTTTTTTATACATCGACAAACAAAAAATGAAATTTTAAATGATATCATCTACAATAGTATCCAAATATATTACATTTCTAGGAATTAATCTAAGAAAACATGTAAAGCATCTCTATTCAGAACAATATAACACATTATGGAAAGAAATAAGCATCCAAATCAGGGTCCAGCCAACTTTTTCTGTAAGGATCAAGTAATAAGTATTTTAGCCTTTGTAGCTAGCTGGTCTATATCATAACTGCCCAATTCTGCATTATAATGCCAACACAGAAATAGACAATGTGTAAACCAATAGGTGTGACTGTGCTCCCATAAAACTTTTTTTCAAAAACAGGCAGAGGATACATATTTATCCTATAGACTATAGTTTGTTGACCCCTGATCTAAATAATCACAGAAATAAAATATATTAATATGTCATAAATATACAATAACTGTGTCCATTCTCCCCAAATTGATTTTTTAATTCAAATCCTTCACAGTCAAATTCAGATGTTTGTGGGGTTATTTTTTGTTTGTTTGTTTTTTGTTTTGGTAAATATTGACAAGCTAATTCCAACATACAATAAAAATTAAATGGGCAAAAATTTGCCAAGACAACACTGAAGAAAAACAGAATTAAAAGACTTCAGAGATGTCAAGAGTTTTTTAACACTCTAGTAATTAACAAAGCGTGCTATTGCCAACAGAATATATGCCTAGACAAATAGGACCTAGGAGGCAATCCAGTAACGTCTTTGCATGTACAAATATTTGATTCATGAGAAAGCTATCACTGCAAAGCAGTGGAGAAGGGATGGTCATTCCAATAACCAATCTAGATGGGTCATCTAGATAGAAATAATGTAAAAGAAGATACCCTCATATAATACACAAAATTAATTATATGTATATGATAGATCTAAATGTGAAAAATAAAACAATGAGACTTCCAAAAGAAACTACAGAGGAATATTTTCAGAACTTTGAGGTAGGCAAAAATTTCTTAACCAGTACATATAAAAGACTAGTGGCAAAAGAGAAGACATTAAAAAGAAACACGTCTAATTATCAAAGACATTTTGAGTGAAAAGGGAAGCCATGGGCTGAGAGAAGATGTTTTCAGAGACTTAGATAGATATTACATAAAAGAAGATCTCCAGGTGAAAAGATGCCAAGGATTATAACACATCAGGAAAAATGAAAATCAAAATCACAAAAAGATATCAATAAGAGTTGGAGTGGCTAAAATAGCAAGAATGATAATATTAAGTATTGGTGAAAATGTGGGAGGCCTAAGTTGGAAGAACTTAGGTGGGCCGTAAGTTGGAAGACTATATTATATGCTAAAGTTGAATATAGACATTGGAAGAACTACATTGCATGCTAAAGTTAAATGTACACATTTCCTATTAACCAATTTCATTTTTAGGTATAGTTCAAAAAGAAATATATGCACATATACACAATAATGTTCACAGTGGCACCATTCGTAATAATCCAATAAATTTGTGTTATTTCCCATAAAACTGGGAAACAACACAAATTCTTGACATCAGTAGAATGGATAAATCATTTGTAGAATATTAATTCAATATACTATTATGCAATAATGAAAATAAACTACTGTCCCACATATAATATGGTTATACCTCAGAAAAATAATGCAGAGTAAAAGAATTTGCCAAATATGGAAAATATGTATTATATTGTTTCATTTTTTTAATTTTATTATTATTATACTTTAAGTTTTAGGGTACATGTGCACAACGTGCAAGTTTGTTACATATGTATACATGTGCCATGTTGGTGTGCTGCACCCATTAACTCGTCATTTAGCATTAGGTATATCTCCTAATGCTATCCCTCCCAACTTCCCCCACCCCACAACAGTCCCCAGTGTGTGATGTTCCCCTTCTGTGTCCATGTGTTCTTATTGTTCAATTCCCACCTATGAGTGAGAACATGCGGTGTTTGGTTTTTCGTCCTTGCCATAGTTTGCTGAGAATTATGGTTTCCAGCTTCATCCATGTCCCTACAAAGGACATGAACTCATCATTTTTTATGGCTGCATAGTATTCCATGGTGTATATGTGCCACATTTTCTTAATCCAGTCTATCATTGTTGGACATTTGGGTTGGTTCCAAGTCTTTGCTATTGTGAATAGCACCGTGATAAACATACGTGTGCATGTGTCTTTATAGCAGCATGATTTATAATCCTTTGGGTATATACCCAGTAATGGGATGGCTGGGTCAAATGGTATTTCTAGTTCTAGATCCCTGAGGAATCGCCACACTGAATTCCACAATGGTTGAACTAGTTTACAGTCCCACCAACAGTATAAAAGTGTTCCTATTTCTCCACATCCTCTCCAGCACCTGTTGTTTCCTGACTTTTTAATGATCACCATTCTAACTGGTGTGAGATGGTGTCTCATTGTGGTTTCAATTTGCATTTCTGTGATGGCCAGTGATGATGAGCATTTTTTCATGTGTTTTTTGGCTGCATAAATGTCTTCTTTTGAGAAGTGTCTGTTCATATCCTTCACCCACTTTTTGATGGGGTTGTTTCTTTTTTTCTTGTAAATTTGTTTGAGTTCATTGTAAATTCTGGATATTACCCCTTTGTCAGATGAGTAGGTGGCAAAAATTTTCTCCCATTCTGTAGGTTGCCTGTTCACTCTGATGGTAGTTTCTTTTGCTGTGCAGAAGCTCTTTAGTTTAATGAGATCCCATTTGTCAATTTTGGCTTTTGTTGCCATTGCTTTTGGTGTTTTAGACATGAAGGCTTTGCCCATGCCTATGTCCTGAATGGTACTGCCTAGGTTTTCTTCTAGGGTTTTTATGGTTTTAGGTCTAACATTTAAGCCTTTAATCCATCTTGAATTAATCTTTGTATAAGGTGTAAGGAAGGGATCCAGTTTGAGCTTTCTACATGTGGCTAGCCTGTTTTCCCAGCACCATTTATTAAATAGGGAATCCTTTCCCCATTGCTTGCTTTTCAGGTTTGTCAAAGATCAGATAGTTGTAGATATGTGGCATTATTTCTGAGGGCTCTGTTCTGTTCCACTGGTCTATATCTCTGTTTTGGTACCAGTACCATGCTGTTTGGGTTACCATAGGCTTGTAGTATAGTTTGAAGTCAGGTAGTGTGATGCCTCCAGCTTTGTTCTTTTGGCTTAGGATTGACTTGGCAATGCAGGCTCTTTTTTGGTTTCATATGAACTTTAAAGTAGTTTTTTCCAATTCTGTGAAGAAAGTCATTGGTAGCTTGATGGGGATGGCATTGAATCTATAAATTACCTTGGGCAGTATGGCCATTTTCACGATATTGATTCTTCCTACCCATGAGCATAGAATGTTCTTCCATTTGTTTGTATCCTCTTTTATTTCATTGAGTAGTGGTTTGTTGTTCTCCTTGAAGAGGTCCTTCACATCCCTTGTAAGTTGGATTCCTAGGTATTTTATTCTCTTTGAAGCAATTGTGAATGGGAGTTCACTCATGATTTGGCTCTCTGTTTGTATGTTATTGGTGTATAAGAATGCTTGTGATTTTTGTACATTGATTTTGTATCCTGAGACTTTGCTGAAGTTGCTTATCAGCTTAAGGAGATTTTGGGCTGAGACGACGGGGTTTTCTAGATATACAATCATGTCATCTGCAAACAGGGACAATTTGACTTCCTCTTTTCCTAATTGAATACCTTTTATTTCTTTCTCCTGCCTGATTGCCCTGGCCAGAACTTCCAACACTATGTTGAATAGGAGTGTTGAGAGAGGGCATCCCTGTCTTGTGCCAGTTTTCAAAGGGAATGCTTCCAGTTTTTGTCTATTCAGTATGATATTGGCTGTGGGTTTGTCATAGATAGCTCTTATTATTTTGAGATACGTCCCATCAATACCTAATTTACTGAGAGTTTTTAGCATGAAGCATTGTTGAATTTTGTCAAAGGCTTTTTCTGCATCTATTGAGATAATCATGTGGTTTTTGTCTTTGGTTCTGTTTATATGCTGGATTACATTTCTTGATTTGCGTATGTTGAACCAGTCTTGCATCCCAGGGATGAAGCCCAGTTGATCATGGTGGATAAGCTTTTTGATGTGCTGCTGGATTCAGTTTGCCAGTATTTTATTGAGAATTTTTGCTTCAATGTTCATCAAGGATATTGGTCTAAAATTCTCTTTTTTGGTTGTGTCTCTGCCAGGCTTTGGTATCAGGATGATGCTGGCCTCATAAAATGAGTTGGGGAGGATTCTCTCTTTTTCTATTGATTGGAATAGTTTCAGAATGAATGGTACCAGATCCTCCTTGTACCTCTGTTAGAATTCAGCTGTGAATCCATCTGCTACTGGACATTTTTTGGTTGGTAAGCTGTTAATTATTGCCTCAATTTCAGAGCCTGTTATTGGTCTATTCAGAGATTCAACTTCTTCCTGGTTTACTCTTGGGAGAGTGTATGTGTCAAGGAATTTATCCATTTCTTCTAGGTTTTCTAGTTTATTTGCATAGAGGTGTTTATAGTATTCTCTGATGGTAGTTTGTATTTATGTGGGATCAGTGGTGATATCTCCTTTGTCACTTTTTATTGCATCTATTTGATTCTTCTCTCTTTTCTTCTTTATTAGTCTTGCTAGAGGGCTATCAATTTTGTTGATCTTTTCAAAAAAACAGCTCCTGGATTCATTGATTTTTTTAAAGGGTTTTTTTGTGTCTCTATTTCCTTCAGTTCTTCTCTGATCTTAGTTATTTCTTGCCTTCTGCTAGCTTTTGAATGTGTTTGCTCTTGCTACTCTAGTTCTTTTAATTGTGATGTTAGGGTGTCAATTTTAGATCTTTCCTGCTTTCTCTTGTGGGCATTTAGTGCTATAAATTTCCCTCTACACACTGCTTTGAATGTGTCCCAGAGATTCTGGTATGTTGTGTCTTTGTTCTCGTTGGTTTCAAAGAACATCTTTATTTCTGCCTTTATTTCGTTATGTACCCAGTAGTTATTCAGGAGCAGGTTGTTCAGTTTCCATGTAGTTGAGCAGTTTGGAGGAAGTTTCTTAGTCCTGAGTTCTAGTTTGATTGCACTGTGGTCTGAGAGACAGTTTGTTATAATTTCTGTTCTTTTACATTTGCTGAGGAGTGCTTTACTCTCAACTATGTGGTCAATTTTGGAATAGGTGTGGTGTGGTGCTGAAAAGAATGTATATTCTGTTGATTTGGGGTGGAGAGTTCTGTAGATGTCTATTAGGTCGGCTTGGTGCAGAGCTGAGTTCAATTCCTGGATATCCTTGTTAACTCTCTGTCTCGTTGATTTGTGTAATGTTGACAGTGGGGTGTTAAAGTCTCCCATTATTATTGTGTGGGTGTCTAAGTCTCTTTGTAGGTCACTAAGGACTTGCTTTACGAATCTGGGTGCTCCAGTATTGGGTGCATATATATTTAGGATAGTTAGTTCTTCCTGTTGAATTGATCCCTTTACCATTATGTAATGGCCTTCTTTGTCTCTTTTGATTTTGTTGGTTTAAAGTCTGTTTTATCTGAGACTAGGATTGCAACCCCTGCCTTTTTTTTGTTTTCCATTTGCTTAGTAGACCTTCCTCCATCCCTTTATTGTGAGCCTACGTGTGTCTCTGCATGTGAGATGGGTTTCCTGAATACATCACACTGATGGGTCTTGACTCTTTATCCAATTTGCCAGTCTGTGTCTTTTAATTGGAGCATTTAGCCCATTTACATTTAAGGTTAGTATTGTTATGTGTGAATTTGATCCTGTCATTATGATGTTAGCTGGTTATTTTGCTCGTTAGTTGATGCAGTTTCTTCCTAGCCTTGATGGTCTTTACAATTTGGCATGTTTTTGCAGTGGCTGGTGCCAGTTTTTCCTTTCCATGTTTATTGCTTCTTTCAGGAGCTCTTTTAGGGCAGGCCTGGTGGTGACAAAATCTCTCAGCATTTGCTTGTCTATAAAGTATTTTATTTCTCCTTCACTTATGAAGCTTAATTTGGCTGGATATGAAATTCTGGATTGAAAATTCTTTTCTTTAAGAATGTTGAATATTGGCCCCCATTCTCTTCTGGCTTGTAGAATTTCTGCTGAGAGATCAGCTGTTAGTCTGATGGGCTTCCCTTTGTGGGTAACCCGACCTTTCTCTCTGGCTGCCCTTAACATTTTTTCCATCATTTCAACTTTGGTGAATCTGACAATTATGTGTCTTGGAGTTGCTCTTCTCGAGGAGTATCTTTGTGGTGTTCTCTGTATTTCCTGAATCTGAATGTTGGCCTGCCTTGCTAGATTGGGGAAGTTCTCCTGGGTAATATCCTGCAGAGTGTTTTCCAACTTGGTTCCATTCTCCCTGTCGCTTTCAGATACACCAATCAGATGTAGATTTGGTCTTTTCACATAGTCCCATATTTCTTGGAGGCTTCGTTTGTTTCGTTTTATTCTTTTTTCTCTAAACTTCTCTTCTCACGTCATTTCATTCATTTCATCTTCCATCGCTGATACCCTTTCTTCCAGTTGATCGCAACAGCTACTGAGGCTTGTGCATTCGTCACGTAGTTCTCGTCCCATGGTTTTCAGCTCCATCAGGTTCTTTAAGGACTTCTCTGCATTGGTTATTCTAGTTAGCCATTTGTCTAATTTTTTTTTCAAGGTTTTTAACTTCTTTGCCATTGGTTCGAACTTCCTCCTTTAGCTTGGAGTAGTTTGATCTTCTGAAGCCTTCTCTCAGCTCGTCAAAGTCATTCTCTGTCCAGCTTTGTTCTGTTGCTGGTGAGGAGCTGCATTCCTTTGGAGGAGAAGAGGCGCTCTGATTTTTAGTGTTTCTGGTTTTTCTGCTCTGTTTTTTCCCCATCTTTGTGGTTTTATCTACCTTTGGTCTTTGAAGATGGTGATGTACAGATGGGTTTTTGGTGCGGATGTCCTTTCTGTTTATTAGTTTTCCTTCTAACAGTCAGGACCCTCAGCTGCAGGTCTGTTGGAGTTACTGGAGGTCCACTCCAGACCCTGTTTGCCTGGGTATCAGCAGCAGTGGCTGCAGAACAGCAGATATTGGTGAACCACAAATGCTGCTGCCTGATCGTTCCTCTGAAACTTCCAGATATGGAAAATATGTATTATATTATTTCATTTAATTTTTTAAATAAGCAAAACAAAACTTTAACATCCTAAGTCACAATAGAAGTGTCTCAACAGGCGAGAGAAGATGGTTATAGGAATTGCAATAATCAATTTCTTGACAAGGGTGATGGTTATATAGATATTTGGTTTTATGATTATTATTTTAGCTATACACATTCACATTAATGTTAAAAAGTTTGCTCATTCAGATAAGCCGATACTAATTGGGTTTCTTTCTCTAGGGCACAGAACAGTGACTGCAAGGATAAATAATTTAAAAAATAATCACTTCCAGATGTTGAGGTTAGGGGTTATTTATTTTTGTTTTAGCTTTTATCTTTATACTTTTACTTTTTCTCTTTTAGAAAATAACAGTTGTCTGCATTCTTCTATACTAAGAAGCAATATGATTTTTTAAATTAAAGAAGAGCCACTTCAAATTTGTAAAGACTGGAAGTCTGAGATGATGTTAAAGCCATGAATCAGTATGGATAACAATAAAGGTCAAAGGGCACATTTTGACAAAAATAAAATCCTGCATATAGCTTAGCTTTGTGGAGATCAAGGTAGCAAAATAGAGGAGTCAATCAGAAATGAAAAGTCCCTCAAGGCTGAAGGTATATATTTAGCTATTGCAAACTTACCAAAGATGTAACAATTTACTCCAAGTGCAGAAAAATTTAAAGGAAAATGTTGAGGAAATATGGAATGTAAACATATGTGCCAATTCACATCAAACTTCAAATTTATTTGATTATGAGTGCATTGACTATCTATCTGGAAAAAAATCTTAACTTTTGGATCTCTCCATTTTAATATTTTTACTAACTATTGAGGTGAACACACATTACCTAACGTACCCCTTTATACAAGGTAGTTTTGAAATGTTTGGTTAGTCATATAAATGCAAATCTGCTGCTGATACAAATCTAGGAAGAAAAGTCAATACATCAGATGTCAGAATCAGGACTGAAAATATCTCAACAGGCTAAAACCTTATAACCAAATTCCAAGATAAAACATTAGGAGTAAATGTAATGTCCCAAACACAGTTTAGAAAAATTAGCCTCACAAGTCTATGATGAGATATACATTGTGTGAAAAAGACTTAAAGGATTGAAATGATGAGGAGCCCAATATAAATTAATGCGGTGTACAAGGCTGCAAAAACTTAGGTCAATTTTAGGCTATATCAATAAATGCAATGTCTTGAACAGGAAAGTTAATAGTCCCATCAGACATTTCACTGGCCAGAACAAACTGGAATGTTGAGCTTGGTTCTGGCTGCAGGTCCAGGGGAAGGCTGCCAAAATGGTGAGGTGTCTGGAAACCATGATTTAAGGATGGTTAATTCTTGGAAATGAAGAAACCTAAAGGGAGACAAGACAACTGTCTTTGAGTACTTAAAAGGCTCTCATGTGTAAAAGGGATTAGATTTTCTATGAAATTTTATAGTCCTGATAAAGAAGTGCTGAATATTTCACCTTAATGTGAAGAAACAGATTATAAGGTAGACACAGCCAAAGTTACAACAGGTGATGCATGAGGACTTCCTGTTGCTGAAACTCTTTTATTGTTATGTTGAAATTTAATAAATTGGTAGATTAAACATAACTCAATAGTTTAAACAACACTAATAAAGTCTCATGCACTTAGCACTAAAGTTAAGAAATAAAGGATTAGCAGTATTTTAGAAGCTCCTATGGGACAGAAATATCTTGAATTCATATTAACCATATTTTTGTTTTTCTTATAGTTTTACCTCCTAAGTGGGTTTCCCTAAATAATACATTGTTTAGTGTTAAACTTTATGAGTTAATCATGCTTCATATGCTATTCTGGCTTATGTTTATTTTCTCAATGTGAAGTTTTGTGTTTATCCATGATGATGCATGTAGGAATGGGTCTGATATGGTTTGGCTGTGTCCCCATCCAAATCTCATCTTGAACTGTAGTTCCCATAATTCCCACATGTTGTGGGTGGGACTTGGTTGGAGGTAACTGAATCATGTGAGTGGTTACCTCCCATGCTGCTTTCATGATAGTGAGTGAGTTCTCATGAGATCTGATGGTTTTTTAAGGGGATTTCTCCACTTTGCTCAGCACTTCTCTCTCCTGCCGCCATGTGAAGCAGGACATGTTTGCTTCCCCTTCCACCATGATTGTAAGTTTCCTGATGCCTCACCAGCCATGTGGAACTGTGAGTCAATTAAACCTCTTTCCTTTGTAAATTACCCAGTCACAGGTATTTCTTCATAGCAGCCTGAGAATGGACTAATATAGGCTTACTTATTTTCACTACTCTACAGTACTCTATTTGTATGGGCATATCACAATGTATCAATCCACTGATGCATATTTGAGTTGTTTGCAGTTGCTGTTAAGCACAACCCCAATAAAAACATGCTTTTGTGTGCTTACCAGTGCACAGGGAAGGGTTTCTTGGGGTTGTAGAGCAAGTTCAACTTCACTAGGTAACACCAAACACTTCCAAAGTGGTTGTGCCAATTTACCTTCCCATCAGTTTTGGATGACAGCTTCCAGTACTTGAAGTTATTGACATCCCTTGGTATTTTCAGACTTTTAAAGTTGTTTATCTGGTATGTGTGAAATGTACCTAATTGTGATTTTAATCTGTTAATCCCTTTATACAATGCTTTCATATGTTTAAAAAGCATCTGTCTTTCATTTTCTATGTCAGATCTCTTTATTTTTTTTGTCCATTTCTCTAATGAGTTATTATCTTTTTCTTATCGATACCTAGACACTAATCCTTTTTTGGTTGCTTATTTTGTAATTATTTTCTTCTAGAATGTGTCTTGTCTTTTTTATTCCTTATGAAATTTTTAAATGTTAATTTAACCTCCTTAAATGGTAATTTTGTAGCATTTATCAACTTTTTTCCTTTATGGTTTAACTTTATGTAACTTTTTAAAGAATTATTTTTCTACTCTGAGTTACTAATATATCCTTCTTTATTGTCTCCTAAAGTTTTCTCTAGTTTTGCATTGACATTTGTCTTTACTTCATCTAGAATTGACATTTATGGTATAAGGTGTAATATAGGTATTCAATTCATTGTATCATTTTCGTATAATAATCACTGACATAAAGGTTCACCATTGAATGAATTGTTTCCATCCATGCATGAGTTTATGTGGGGACTCTCTTTTCTGTTTGTCAGTGAATCTATCCCTGCATACAGTTATACCTTGTTTTATTGTGCTTCACCTATTGTGTTCAGAGACACTGTGCATTTTACAAATTGAAGGTTTGTGGCAATCGTGCTTCCAGCAAGTCTATCAGCACCATTTTTTCAACAGCATGTGCTCACTTCAAGTCTCTGTGTCACATTTTGGTAATTCCAACAATATTTTAAGCCTTTCAAATTATTATTATTTTCGTTATGATCATTTGTGATCAGTGATCTTTGATGTTTCTATTATAATTGTTTTGTTTTGAGGCACCATAAACTACACCCCCATAAGATGGCAAACCTAATTAATAAATGTTCTGTGTGTTCTGACTGCTCCACACAGCAACCATCTTTCCCACACCCTTTATTTCTCCTTCTTCTCTGGCCTCTCTGTTCCCTGAGACACAAGAATATTAAAATTAGGCCAATTAATAACCCTAAAATGGCCTCTAAGTGTTCAGGTGAAAGGAAGAGTCACATATCTCTCATTTTATATCAAAAGCTGGAAATGATTAAGCTTAGTGAGAAAGCCATGATGAAAGATGAGATAGGCCAAAAGCTAGGCCTCTTGCACCAAATGGCTAGTTATGAATGCAAAGGAAAAGTTCTTAAAGAAAATTACAAGTGCTGCTCCAGTGAACACACAAATGAAAAGAAAGTGAAACAGCCTGATTACTGATATGGAGAAAGTTTTAGGGTTTGGATTGATGATCAAAGCAGTCACAACCTTCCCTTTAGCCAAAGCCTAACCCAGAGCAAAGCCATAACTATGTAGGCTGAGAGAGGTGAGGAAGCTATAGAAGAAAAGTGGGAAGGTAGTAGAGGTTGGTTCATGGGGTTTAAGGAAAAAAGCCATTTCCATAACATAAAAGTGCAAGGTGAAACAACAAGTGCTGATGTAGAAGCTGCAGCAAGTTTCCAGAAGATCTAGGTAAGATCATCGATAAAGGTGTAGAATAAACAATAGATTTTCAATGTAGATAAAAAGCCTTATAGTAGAAGATGCTATCTCAAATTTTCATAACTAGAGAAGATAAGTCAATGCCTAGCTTTAAAACTTCAAAGGAGAGGCTGACTCTCCTTTTAGGGGCTAATGTATTTGGTGACTTTAAATTGAAGTCAATGCTCATTTACCATTTTACCATTCCAAAATCTTAGGGCTCTTAAGAATTACACTAAATCTACTCTGCCTGTACTCTCTAAATGGAAGAACAAAACCTGGATGGCAGTGTATCTGTTTCTAGTATGACTTACTGAAATATTTTAAGCCCACTGTGGAGACCTACTGTTCAGAAAAAAAGATTTCTTTCAAAAAAGTACTATTCATTCACAATACACCTGGTCACCCAAAAGCTCTGATGGAAATGTCCAAAAAGATTAATATTGTTTCCATGCCTGTTAACACAGCATCCATTCCATAAGCCCATAAATCAAGGAGTAACTTTGACTTTCAAATCTTGTTACTTAAGAAATACATTTCATAAGACTGTAACTGTCATAGGTATTGATTCCTCAGATGGATCTGGAAAAAGTACATTGAAAATCTCCTAGAAAGGATTCACCATTCTAGATTAGATTAAGAACATTTGTGATTCATGGGAGAAGGTCAAAATGTCAACAATTACAGGAGTTTGGAAGAAGTTGATTCTAAGCCTCATGGAAGACTTTGAGGGGTTCAAGACTTCAGTGAAGGAAGTCACTGTGGATATGACAGAAATAGTAAGAGAACTAGAGTTAGAAGTGGCGCCCGAAGATGTGACTGGATTGCTGCAATCTCATACTAAAACTTGAATGGATGAGAAGTTGTTTCCTATGGATAAGAAAAGAAAGTGGCTTCGTGAGATGCAATCTACTCCCAGTGAAGATGCTATAAACACTGTTGAAATGTCAACAAAAGATCTGGGATATTACATAAACTTAGTTGCTAAAACAGCAGCAGGGTTTGAGGGGATTGACTTCTATTTTGAAAGAAGTTCTACTGTGGGTAAAGTGCTATCAAACAGCATTGCATGCTATAGAGAAATCTTTCATGAAAGTGTCAGTCAATGTGGCAACCTTCATTAATGTCTTATTTTAAGAAATTGCCACCGCTACCTCAACCTTCAGCAATCACCACCTTGATCAGTCAGCAGCCATCAACACTGAGGCAAGACCCTCCACCAGCAAAAAGATTAGGACTTGCTGAAGGCTCAAAAATGATCGTTATCATTTTTTAGCAATGAAGTATTTTTAATTGAGGTATGTACATTGCTTTTTTTAGATATAATACAATGCTATTGCACACTTAATAGACTACAGTACAATGTAAATATAATTTTTGTATGCACTGGGAATCTAAAAAAATTGTGTGACTTGCATTATTCCAATATTTGCTTTATTGTGGTGGTCTAGAACTGAATCCACAATATTTCTGAGGTATGCTGTGTATATTATATTTTCTTGTTACAGTCTTTTTTGGTCTTGACATGTGGCCAAGCAAGATGTACTCACTCACTCTCTCTCTCTCTCTCTCTCTCTCTCTCTCACACACACACACACACACACACACCAGTTTTTTTCTTTAGGAGTGTGGGATTTAGTTCCTAGTGCATTTGTTCTGGCATATCCATTTTAGAACCAATTTATCAAGTTCCATAAAAGCAAAACAATGCAATGCAAGAAATATCTTATGGAGATTTTGTAGAGGATTCCTTGTAATGTATAGATCAGCGTGAGGAAAACTGACAACTTTACACCATGGACTCTTCTTTCTATCCAAGAACATTATTGAGATGTTTTGGTTTATTTGATATACTGCTTTTCAATAACCTTGACATGTTTTATCATAGAAATTTAAAACACCCTTTGTTTGATTTCTTCACTTTCATTTCTTTTGCTGTTGCTGTTTTAAATAGGACATTTGTATCAAATACCTCTTATGTATCATTTCACAAACTCTTGGCTTCAGCCCTTATTCCAGCTCTGCTGCTGTGATCCTGTCTAACAAATTTGTCCAGCTTTATTCTATGCAACCTTACAGCGTACCTGTGTTCATATACTATTAATTGTATTACTTTTAAATGGCAAAAACCGAAATTACTTTTGCACCAATCTAATATGTCATTTAGTGCCTGCTCCTGAGCCTCTTTTGCACCCAGTCAGAGACACTCATGGAAGCTCATCCACACTCATCTTTATGCAACCTAGAAGTGCAAGGGAGTTAGCATGTGGGGTCTCATCCCTGAGCACTGAGCAACAAGAGCATATGGATAGATGCATCCTCCTTTCCTATCACAGGAGGACATTTCTGAGAGGCCTTCCATAGGTTTTAGAAGGCTTTGTGGCCAGATCAATAATACAGATTTATCTTGGCTTTCTTTTCTTTCCTGCTTATCCCCCTATTCCTCACAATTATTACCTATAATCACATTATTGAATTACCTAACTGCACTAAAGCCTTTGTTACAGGCTCTGCCTCTGAGGGAACCCTAGCTAAGACAGTATTTTAAAATTATATTTTCTGGTTGTTGCTGATGTATAGAGTGCAATTGACTCATATCAACAACAATTCCACTATTTGAGTTCTAAGGAATAAGTGCTTTATATATTATCAATTTTAATCCTCATAGACTTTATGATGTAGGTACATGAGTATACATAATAATAAAGTTTAATATACTGACTTTTGTATATGGCAATATTGATAATTCATATTAATTATAATAAAATGTGTATAGAATCGTTAGAATTTTCTGTGTAAGCAATCCTTGGCTTCATGCTATATAAAAGGAAATACATTCAACATTTCACATTTAAATATAATGCTTACTGTAGGATTTTTATAGATCTCTACATTAGATTAAGGAAAGTATAATTTATTCCCCATTAGTTATGAGTTTTTGTTTTAAATAGATAAGAATTTCACTAAATGCTTTTTAACCTATTTATTAATTAGATATTAATTTGATTTTCTCCTTAATTTCAAATTAGAAATTAATTTAATTTATTTAATTGATATTAGATTACCATTGAAATAAACCCACTGTGGTCATGATTATCTCTTTTATATATCACTTAATTTCATTTGATATTATGTTTACTAATACTAATTTCATTTGTATTCATGTTTACTAATGAAACTTGTCTAGTATTAAGTATCAAGGTAATATTAATCTCAAGATGAGCTAAAGAATGATATTGTTTTTCCTCTTTAAGAGTTAGCATATGTTTAGAATTATCTTTTCACTGAAAATTTAGTAAAACTTTCCATTAAACTGGTCTGATATTAGTGCTTCCATTGTGGAAAGATTTTTAATCTTTAATTCAAGTTTCCTAATGACTATTTTTCATCCCTTGTATTCTTCTTGGGTCACTTTTAGAAGTTGCATTTTTCTAAGAATTTACTTACTTTACCTAGGTTTTAAAATATTTTTTCATAAGCTATTTATAATATCTTCTTAATTTTCATAACTTTTGTCTCCTTTTTCATTTATAATATTGTTTGTTTGCAATTTGAACCATAGTTTTCGTGATTAATCTTGTCAGAGGTTCATCTAATTTATTATTATTTTCAAAGAACCAATCTCTGGTTTTGGTGATTTCATTATCCTTCTTCATTTTCTATGTCATTAATTTCTGTTATAATCTTCCTTCTACTTTTTAAGAACTATTTTGCTGTTCTAACTTTTCAAGTTGAATGTTTAAGATGTTTGATTAATTTTGAGTGTTTCTTCTTTAAAGTTGATAATTTCCTGTAATATAACTTTAGCTGTATAACAATTTTAACAATAGGATTTTCATTATCATTACATTCTAAGTATTTTTGAAATTGTATTATGGTTTACTCTTCAACCCGTGAGTATATTTAATAACATATATTTTAATTTTAATCACTTTTTTCTATGTTTTTGGAGGTTATTGATCTCTAATTTAATGACATTGTCACCTCAGATGATGCGTTATTTATTCTATCAATCCTTTGAAATTTGTTGTGACTAATTCTAAGTATAGCACATGGTCAGTTTTCACAAATTTCTTTATATGCTTGAAAATAATGTTTGTTATCCAATTATTAGATGTATAATAATTTCCCATATAGGTAAATTAGAACATGTTTACTGATTTTGCTATTAACATCTTCTATACATGTAGACATAAAAGTATCTTAATTGACTTGTGCTATCAATGACTAAGAGATACATTGTCAACCTTGATGATGTTTAATGTATCTTTCTCTTTGCGATTCCGTCAATTTTTTATTTAAAATTTTGAGGCGATGCAAGTGTGTACATAGCAATTGAGAATATTTTAATTTCTTGATGAATGTAGCTTTTCATTCTTTTCAGTGATTCTCAAAATTACAAGCAATTCTTTTTTGCCTTTGAGTTTACTCTGCATAGTATTAGCACTGCTATGGCAGCTTTGTCTTGGTTAGTATTTGACTTGAAGTCAAGGGAGGTTGAATGACAGGCCCAAGTTCACAAAGATAATTCCCAGAAGTTGAACTAGGACCCAGACTTTCTGACATCCAGTCCAGTTCTCTTGCTTGCATCCTACAGAGCAAGTGTGATGTGATACAGAAGAGAGCCAGAAAGACATGAATGACATATGTTAAGAAGCAATGAAGACAGCAGGGCTAGCTACAGAGGAACAATGCAGGGTAGTTAAACCCAGGCACAGAGTTTGAATTTTATGATCAGCGTGTCATGACCAAGTAAGATTTTAGGAAGCCTATAATTTCAGCCATATTCAAGAGAGAAAATGAGACCGTTTAAAAGGGTCCTGTCCCTCCAAACCCAGTATAATGTAATGAGAGTTTGACTCAAAGCCATGGGAATGAAAAGAAAAAGGCAGATTCAAGAGTCATTTTATGTAGGAAATGACACACCAAAATGACTTAATGGATTTTGGAGGTGAAGGAAATAGTAGAGTCAAAGATACTACCTCATTTATGTCTGTAGTAACCTGACAGCTTTATTACTTTTTAGGTTAGAAACCGCAGAGTGGGGAATCAGTAGATGGCCTAGGGAAGGAGAGAAAATAATGGGTTTCCTCTCCATGCAGTGAGTCGGGTATTTCTAGTATGCAGAGGAAATACACTACTAAGCACAGATTGAAATATGTAGGGATCTTTTTATTTGTTGTTGGTTTTGTGTCATTTTGCCCTATGAGAAAGGAGACCATTTGCATAGAAATCATAGTGGAATATTTGTTTCAGGCTCTGTTTTTCTTAACAAACACAAAGAATCATTGTCTGTCAAACACTTTAAATTAAAAATTGCTATAATTTATTACTGCTATATTTTAAAAATTGATATCAAAGATAATGGCTTTATGAACAAAATTCTGGTCAACCCAGAGGGCCTTCTTGGACAACCACTGTATTCCAGGCACTCTTGAGCATCCTTGTATTAAATAAGTAAGATTTATTGCTTCAGCGGTTTGAAATTCCTTGTGGACCTCCCCTTAAAGTATTGACAAGGCTCAACCCTATTTAATCCACAACCATTAAGATCAAAGCATTATGTGGTACATCCGCTTGTGTAATTACCAGTAATGCCAGAAAACAGCTTTGTGAATTCGGTCACGATGAACTCTGAGGGAATAAGCAGCTGGAAAGGCTCTAGGAACTCTCTCTCCAGAACTTTAAAAAACTGTACTCAACCCAGTGAATATTTTTTTCAGTGAGTTTGGTTTTGGTTTTTGTTTTTCCAACTGGATATAATATAAATGTCTGAGATTTTGCTACATAATACGATCTCTTTGGAAGGGTCAATCCTAATGTTTTAGGCCAGTTCAGCAGGCTTGAGTTCAACTCTGGAAATGTGTAAGTTCCAACAGGATCCTAAAAAACCACCTAAAAGAGCCTGTGTTTGCCCACAGATTATTTATGTGTGAGCCCTTCCACTGGTAGAACAGCAAAGACCCAGGGGAATCATTGAGATGTCTGAACATCAACAGTAAGTCTATTTAGATGCTCTAAAATCACAAATTCAAATCCCCAGAAGGCCTACTAAGCCCTGGCTTCAAGGTACATTCATGTAGTATAATGCTGTCTGTTATGAGACTTTTATATTAATACAGAGCACACAGAACTTCAGTTTTAAAGTTCCCACGTCAATTTTTGTAGCAATAGAAGTTGTCTTTGTGTTCTCAGCCAATGTCTCTGGGACTTGGCTGAAATTTTGGAGCCATTGAGAAAGTGGCTATATATGTAATTTCAGATTAATAATAAAAGAGATATTTATTTATTTAAAATCTCAAAATGTATTGTATATCTAGAGTAAATAAAGTGTTTTGAAAATGTCTCCTAACAATACAACAAGATGAATCTACATTGGCCAAGGTTTTGCCTCCAAACTTCATATATAGTCATGAGACATTTCCAAAAGCTTCAGTAAACATAAAGTTTTTTAAAGCTTTTAGGAAGATGAGTTTTTCTTTTGTTTGTTTCCTCCAAGTAACCTGCTACTTGTCTATGTTCATCAGGAAACATCACCTCTTAGTAATCTTAACTTTTTTCATTAGAGAATGAAAGAGACATAAATGGAACTGATTGCAATTCTCTAAAACCTCTCTCTTAATTTCTATGTGTTTTTATGTGTTGCTCCCTTTGCTTAGGTTATCCTTTCCTACACTCTTTTTAAAATAAATCCTAAAAATTCTTTTTCTTTCTCTTTTTCCCTCTTTTTTTTTTTTTTTTTTTTTGTTGTTGTTGTTTTAGACACAGGGTCTTACTCTGTCACCTAGGCTAGAGTGCAATGGTGTGATCACAGCTCATTGCAGCCTCAAACTCCCGGGCTCCAGAGATCTTCCTGCCTCAACCTCTGGAGTGGCTGGAACTACAGGCGCACATGCCACCACTCCTGGCTTATTTTATTTTGTTTTATTTTATTTTATTTTAGTAGATGAGGTTTCACTATGTTGCCAAGGCTGGTCATGAACTCCTGGGCTCAAGCAATCCTCTGCCTTGGCCTCCCAAAGTGCTGGAATTATAAGTGTGAGCTATCATGCCTAGCCAAAATCCTAAAGATTCTTTAGCACTTAGCTGAATTGTCACTTCTAGAAAGCTGTAGAAAGCCTAAATGTCTCTCTCCTACTTTAGTCTCTTCTCTTTTGACCAAACTGGGCACCTGCTCCTGACTTCCACAGTCACTTTGACCTTTTTCTGTCATAACACTCACTTGTATTTACTTCTCTCCAGCAAGAGCACCTCAAATATACTGCCTTACTTGCATCCTAGCACCTAGTGTAATAAATGTCTTTTAAGTGCATAATAGAACTCTGACAAACTGCTTTCTCACTCACTTCACAGACGTACAAAACAAATGTGATCTTTTCTTTTAAAGTTTTTGATAAATTATGTAGGGCGGGCATGGTGGCTCACACCTGTAATCCCAGCACTTTGGGAGGCCTAGGAGGGTGGATCACCTGAGGTATGGAGTTCAAGACCAGCCTGACAAACATGGAGAAACCATGTCTCTACTAAAAATACAAAATTAGCCAGGCGTGGTGGCGCATGCCTGTAATCCCAGCTACTCGGGAGGCTCAGGCAGAAGAATCGCTTGAACCCGGGAGGCGGAGGTTGTGGTGAGCCGAGATCGCGCCATTGCACCCCAGCCTGGGGACAAGAGCGAAACTCCATCTTGAAAAAAAAAAAAAAGTGAGAACCTGCTACATGCCTGGCACTGTAGGCACAGAAGACAGAGCGATGAACAAGCCCCTTCCTCTTACAGCTTATATAATAGTGGGGGAGACATAAAATAAAGCAAGCAAACAAAAAGTAAGTCTATAATGTGATGTCAAATAGTATTAAGTGCTGTGTAAAAAAATCAGCCAGAGCCAGGGATAGAAAAAAATGTATAAAGTACAGCTGGGTGGTGGTGGGGGACAGGCTGTTTCTGGCCAGAATGAGGTGAGGGAATGAGACCAAGCCAGGAAGGGAAGAGCATTCAGGGAGGGGAACAGCAACTGCAAGGATTCCATGTCAGCACATCTGATGTGTGTGGAGAACAGCAAGGAGCCAGTGGGACTACACTGGAGAGAGTAAGGGCCGAGAGGCACGGGATGGGTCTAAAGGTGGGCAGAGTTCTGACCACCCAGAGGCTTGGAGACTCCTAGGGACTTTCCATGGAATGCATGGCTTGCAAGTGTGAAGATGGCCCATTTGAGGCTTTGATCAGGGACAGAATGTGGTCTGAGGAATGTTTCAGCAGGAGCACTCTGGATGCTAGTGAGAAACTGAATGCAGGGGGACATGGAAAATTGTTAGGGAGCTCAAATACTAATCCAGCCAAGATGTTGACTTTAGCTAAGATGTAATAATTGAGGTGGTGGGAAGAAGTTCGATTTCAGATAAATTTAGAAAGCAGAGCTGATAGGATTTGGCATTTACTTTTGTGAAGTTATAAGTTTGTTACAAAGTAAATTAGAATCAGGCAAATCCCATGACTAACCATAATACTGACAACATACACGCACATATGCATAAACACACACATACCACACACATGGATGAACACACACACACACACCCCTACCACATCCAGATATAGCTAGTGACACAACACACACAAACCTCTTGGTTTAATCTGATCTGGGGCAGTAGGCACTATTGCAAATGCTATGGCAATCTGTGACTTAGGATTCACCTCATAACTGCTCTATATGAGCCACCTCTGGCTGCTTCTACCTAGTTCACAAGTCTACAACTACAGTTTGCCAATATTCCCTTCACAAATGCACTGCCCTGTCTTAGCCTGAATATAATTGTGGCCATGGGCAGTTACTTTTACCCCTCTGCCATCACAAAACCCTGGTTTTTTGTCCACTCAGAGAGGCTCAGCTGCCCCAAGCTCCACTCCAGAGATATAATGCAAAGAAGAAAGGCTTGGAGTTTGAATCTTGATTTTGCTGCTTACTGGTTGAGTAATGTCACTGACCTCTCTGAACCTTAGTTTCCTCATTTGTGAAATGCAGAAGTGTTAAAAACTTGAAGAGATGCAAGAGATAATCTTTCTCATTCTGCCTCTGTGCTTCAGGATGTCATTCACAGTCTTGTCCAAAAAAATATGCCATCAAAGTAACATTAGTAAAGCCACCAACTGGGATGTCTATGACATATTCAACACTCACAGCCATGTCTAAGGTCAGAATCTGACTCTACTCTAAAGACTTCTAGTTTGGATCAATTCCTACCAGCAGTGGCATCACTGGGACCACTTGCTGTCCCAGAAACAGGGTCCCAAGATGGCTTCTAGTCTTGAGTTTTCATTAAACCCTTTGCATTTTGAGGATAATAATACTATCAACAGGGCAATCCACAAACAGAGATGATAATGATGTCTCAGAAAGGAGGCATCAAACCAAGATATTTTTCAAGATTTGGCAAGTCAGTCTCTTTACAAAGTTCCTTTAATCACTGAGGGGCTAAGGCCACTTGAATTTCATTTATTTTTAAGTAGTGTTTTAGGATAAAGGCTAAAATTGCTCCAATGGGAGGGAGAGAAAGAGAGGGCAGACAAGAGCAAAGGGTTGAGAGCTGAGCAATGTGTCAATACACACAATGGAAATCATCAACAGACACTGAGGGCAAATTACTTTCATATACAGGAATTATACCCCAATAAAAGAGACTGATAGATGCTTACACAGCTGTGGTTATCAGGATAACATAACAGTGTTTGTTCAAAGCAAATAATGGAGTAGCATCAGGCTCAATATGACAGGCTTTCAGACCTTACCAACAATAGAGAAAGGACAAGTACCGAATAAGGCAATAAAATAATCAGGGAAAAAGAACAAAGATTGAGCCCCAGGTTGATGTCGAGAAGTGCGAGTGATGTGAGGAGGGTTTTAAGGAGGCTGCTTTTTTAGCCTATAAGGTTAATTCTAAATATCTAACAGGTTAATGCACAATTTTCAGACAACTTTACAACCCATGCATAATTAGACTGATGTTTGTGAGTTATTTGTTTTGTTTCTAATTGAAATTTGGAATTTGAACTATGTAATAATTGGTGTTAGGAGGGAGATGGAATATGCAAAAAGTTGGCCATTTGTCCTCCAGAAGGAGACGTCTATGTGCCCCAGTCAAAGATAAAGTAACGTAAGCTATTTTGTCCTAGTAGTTTGTTATAAATTATAATTCAGGTAAAATATATCATTAGAAATGGCAGTAAATCATGGATTAAAGTGTTTGTGTTTCTTCTGTTGACATCGTCTTTTAATACAGCGCCTCAATCAAAACTTGGTTCTCTCTTCTCAAGAAATAAGATGTTTATTTTCCCTTTCTCAGACAAATTTTACCTGAGCAATAGCATTTTGTTTTGATAAATATAATCTTTGACTTCATAAAATAGAAGATCACCATCTTTATTTATTTCTTGTCTCACCATGAAATAGGTTCTGGAATGCTACTTCTTGAAGGTACCAATGGGAGAAATAATTTCAACCATTATGTAAAATTGAATACAGGCTGAATAGTCCTTATACAAAATGCCTGGCACCAGAACTGTTTCAAATTTTGGATTTTTAAAAAATTTTGGAATATTTGCACATACATAATGAGATATTTTGGGACTGGGACCTAAATCTAAATATAAAATGTATTTATGTTTTATATACACATTATATACATATCCTGAAGGTAATTTTATGCAATATTTTTTAAAATTTCTTTTCTTAAGCTTAGTGGCAAGAATGCAATATTTTAAATAATTTTATGCGTGAAACAAAGTTTTGAATGAGTTTTGGCAGCAACCCATTACATAAGGTCAGATGTAGAATTTTCCACTTGTGACATCATGTCGGTGCTCAAGTTTCAGATTTTGGAGCATTTCAGGCTTCAGATTTTTGGATCAAGTCTGCTCAACCTGTATTGTCATATAGTGATTACTATATAGTTATTTTATAAAATTGTAGCAAAGCTGAATTTATGGCTATTGTTAAAAAAAAATTGGCATTATCACCCAACCGACACTAATTCAAAGCATGCTATAACCTATTAACCATAATCCTCTGGCTATCTTTTCTGCAAACTATATTTCAGGCCTTCTGACACAATTAAAAATGTCTTCTTTCTACTGAGCCTGAAAGTTCACTGGTAATGGAGGAGTTAATTAAGAGTTTGTAAAGCTTAAAATCTTCACAGTCCCATTTGTTTCTTTGTGTTCAACAAAAAGCAGCCTTGAGAAAGTTTGACTGACATTTATGATAATTACATTTGGAGATTAAAATAATTTAGGGTTTCAAAAGGTTTACAATTTATACGCCATATTGGGCCTCACATGATTATGGCTTCCTTCATATCATTTTCGTCTGGCGTTGAAATTCATTTGATGTGAATGTAATAGTCATTTTAATGGATATTGTTAATTCCTTGTTTTCAGCATAATAGATAAAGGGGAATTTAATTAAATTCATTGTGTGAGCACTTATCAGGGGTAAAAAGGTTCACAGAATTATTATTTTTCTGGTGTGACATGTAAAGAACATTGTAAAAGACAGAACATGAGCCATATCAGAGTGTGGCTGGCATTAAAAGTCACACTAGTTTTACCTCCCCGTAGATAATGTGGCAGGCTTCAAACCAACACTAAAAAGTGGTATCTTGAAACTATAATTTCCATAAGGGACCAGCATGATGTAACAACACTGCTTTCTCTCTTCTTCAAACTTGGTGAGACTCTTTAAGGTCAGAGTTCAAGTTTCCCGAAAAGTCTTAACAGAGAATCAAACCTTAGGTCCCCAAAATTCAGCAAGATATGGCAAGAGGTTTTGTTACAGTAGCAGCTTCACTTCTTGTGCCAGCTCAGAAAACCGGAAGAACAACCTCTCCCTGGAGATTTGGGGACACTCCTGGTTATAATCCCTGCTGACTAAAGGGCTCCAAAAGTCACTGGCCCAGGTACAAAGAAGCTATGACCTCATTCACGGAAGGTAACTTTCTGGGAAGGAAAGGTCCAACAAGAACTGCTGAGATGCTGAATTTATTTTGGTGGAAGAGAAAAGCCTGAATTATTTATTCTATAGAATTTTTACAGCATATTGATTGATATCTCCCTTTGGGTCATTAAGGCCAGAAACTCTGCCCTTAGTTTACTAGTCACAAACCTTTGTCATAAATTCTTCAGAGTTGTAGACTACATTCAAACACCATAATCATTAAACGTAAAAATATACTGGAAACTTCCACTGAGAAAAAAACTAATTAGAAAAACTTTCAACTAATTTAACAGCAAACAAACTCTATCGTAAATGAACCCACTACACTACTATCCAACCTTTAAAACTTTGAGTTACAATGCTAAAATTAAATAACATAATAGGTATATTTAGAAACACACACACACATCGAAGATAGGCTAACAGTTTCTCTGAGTAATTACATGTGATTTTCTTTTCTTTTTCATATGACTATTGATATGGTTTGACTGTGTCCCCACCCAAATCTCTTCTTGAATTGTAGCTCCCATAATCCCCATATGTCGTGGGAGGAACTCAGTAGAAGGTAATTAAATCATGGGGTGGATTTTTCCCGTGCTGTTCTCATGAGAGTGAATAAGACAGGTGAGTCTTGCAGGTCATAATAAACAGTATAAACTTTTTAAACTTCTTCCCATAAACAGTGATAGTAAATAAGTCTCACGAGATCTGATGGTTTTATAAAGGGCAGTTCCCCTGCACACATGTTCTCTTGCCTGACACCACATAACACATGCCTTTGCTCCCCCTTCACCTTCTACCATGATTGTGAGGTCTCCCAGCCATGTGGAACTCTAAGTCCATTAAACCTCTTTTTCTTTATAAATTACCAGTCTCAGGTATTTCTTCATAGCAGAATGAAAATGGACTAATACAACTATATTATAATGATAATGACTATGCATTACTTTTTAAATGTGCAAAATGCCTTGAAAGAATTGAAAAAGTAAATAACTTAAATACAAAGGTCTCTCTCTGTTTCTGTCTCTCTCTCCCTCCTGTGTGTATGTGTGCGTATGGTGTGTGTGTTTGTGTGTATCACTTTTCCCAGACCAAACCCATTTTCTCCCACACTCAAAACTTACTCTAACAGACTAAGAGTCAAAAGTAGCTGGTGTGAAAAGGAATGTGTAAAATGTAACAATATCACATCCCTCCACTTTGCCAAATTCAGTGGTGGGAGTAGTTTTAATATGCATCCTTTGGGGAGAAAAAGGGACACCACTCACCTCTCTTTGATCCTTCCAATCTGAACCCCATAATATTGCTGTTCTTTTCATAATTAAAATTTTCAAGAGTGCTTCTTGCCTCAACCATCTCACCACACATTTCTCAATCTTTCTCATGTGGCTTCTACTTCCCACATATTAATTTTTAAAACTCTTTTCCAAAAAGTCACCATGACTTCCTAAATACCAATTAAAAGAATTCTCCCTCACTCTTTCTCTCCTTTGATCCTTCTGCTATATTTGACATATGTTCCTACTTCCTCTTTCTTTAGAAACCAAAGGCAAACTGATTTTATTACTCTGCACTCTTGTCCTTCTCTGATTCCAATGACTACTTTTTGTTTTTATCACCTGTTTTAATTCTTTTCCTGGATCTGCTTTCTTTTCCCACTCCCCATGTGAAAGCCATTTTCAAGCCTGTTTCCAATCCTCATGTCACTTGATTTCAACATTTATTAAGAACTTGCTACATATTTGGCACAATGCTGGGCACTGGGCATACAAAGATGACTATGCTGTGCAGAAGTATGCAGACTAATGAAAACATTTTAAATATTTTAAATGGGGTAAAATAGAACAATCAAGTGTTATAGATGCCAGGATAACAGTACAAACTGAAAACAGAGCAGTGTGCAAAGGAGAGAGTAGCAGATTCTCCTTGAAGAGATGTCTGGAATAACCACACCTGGGAAGAGGTGAGTCTTGCAGGTCATAATAAAGACTATAAACATTTTAGACTTCATTCCACGGACAAAGGGAAGCTGAGAAATTTTACATGAATAAATGAAACGGATTTGCATTTTAGAAAACAATTATTGAAAGCAGTGAAAGAAATGGAAGAAAATGATATCATCTAGAGAACAGGAGACTTATTGGGACATGCTTGTTGTTGATGTTGAGGAGCGTTGAGTGGCCCTGAAATATTGCAGCATCCGTGAGAACAGAAAAGAGGAGGTGAATGAAGGAGGTAGAGAAGAGTGAGGATTAAAGAGATAAATATCTATAGGATTTAGTGCTGATTCTGTAGGGGAGGAAAGGAGACAGAGGGGATGGAATTCAAGATGACTCCTAGGATTCAGATTTGGGCTTCTAAATGAATCATGCTGATGACATATGTCACAGATAAGCAATGTAGAAAGAGGTATTTGTTAATGGGGAGACAGTGGGCTGGATTTTAAACATGTTGAAATTGGGATCTTTCAGGAAATTCTAGGAAATGTTGGCTAGGAGAATCAGAAGCTTATGTCCTGAACGGGAAACATTTAACACTCATAAGTATAAAAGAGACAGTCTAATCATATGATTGTGTAAGGAAAAGAGGTGAGTCACTCCAGGAGAGTGAACAGAATAAGAAGTAAATAACATTAAGCCAGAGTCCAGGAACTATCAGCACTTCAGTGGTGAGAGGAAGAAGAAAACTCAGCAAATGAAAACAAATGATTACCAGTTCCATAAACCCACCGGCAATGGCCGTCAAAGTTCCTGTTTTCCTTTTTGCTACAACCAAAGAAGTGTCCCCCTAAAATCTTCTGCCCTCTCAAGCAAACCTACAAATAACTCCAAAATCTGTATCACTCATTCAGCCTTTCTTCTAAACTCTTTAATACGATCCTCCAAAATCTGACTCAAATCTCTTTTGTCTAGACGTTTCTTCTGGAACTCTCTTAACACAGCCTCTGAGCTTTAGCCTGTCAAAATGACTTTCTTCCAGTTTTGCATTTACTATTCCACATCTCTGCCTTTATTAATGCTGTTCCCTCATCCTAGTATTCCCCCATCCCTCACTCCCAGCCATCATTTATTATCATGACCCCTGGCTTATGAGAAGCTAAAAATAGCCCAAACTGGAGTCGCTAACACCAAAGGGAAAAGGAGGGAGAATATCACTATTTATCCAGGTTCTACTAATGTTCTAGAATTATGTTTGGCCGTGGGTGTGTCTGTTTGTGAATACATCTCATTTAATCTTGCAGCAGCCCTAGAAGATCATATTTATAAAGGAAGATACTGAAGCTTATTCATTTACATAATAAATGTTTATCAAATGCCTATTATTTACCAGTCGCTGTGCTTGGTGCTAAACAATGGTAAACCAGAGTCCCCAGTTTGCACCTACAAAGAGCTATTAACAATGAGAGAGACAAATATTGAAAATATAATTATGTAAATAAATGTATAATGGCAAGTTGAAGTAGCAGCCATGATGTGAAATGATGGGAAGCTAATTCAGGGAAGGGAACCTCCGTTCTTAGGCAGAGATATTCATGGGGTGATCTCAAGGATAAGTGGCCAGGTGAATGATGTGTCAGGCCAAGGAAGGAGCCTGTATGAAGTATGAAAACATAATGAAAGGCCAGTGATGCTAGAGAGGAGTGAGAAAACAGAAAAGAGGGGCTCTGTGAAGCTGAAAAAGGAGGCAGACAAGATTTTGCATGTCTTTATAGGCCATGTTCGAGAGCGTAAATTTTACTCATTAAATAATTAGAAGACATTGAAGGATATTATGCAGCAGAGTTGCATAAAACATTTTTTAAAATTAGAAAAAATAATTAAATAAAATCATCCATTTCATATATTATAGAACAAAAGGCTAAACATTGGGTCTGATCCCCAACTTTGCAGAAAGTTTGTCATCTCGTCTCAATCCAGACCTATTAGCATAATCTAAAAGACATGGCCACCCCTGGCAGGCTTGCGTGGTCTTAACTCAGATTCAAGTGCTCTTTGCTCAAATTCCAAAACTTACTTGAAAATCTCTTGAAGAATATAAACTTTTTTGCCATATAAAATTCTGGAATACTAGGCTATCTTTCAAGTATGGGGGGCCTTGTACATCAGCCTTTAGCAAAATTAAACTTGTCTACCTTTCAACTCAATATCATCTCATAGAATAATTGTGGTTCAACATGATGTTTGGGATGGAGCTGGTGCTAAAATCAGGCCCCTTGCTATTGTAACTTACAAGAAATGCATTAGCAAACACAGACGGCAGAAGGTGGGGAGCCTGATTGCCTAGATTTCAAGTCTGGCTCCACTACTTATTAGCTGTATAACTCTGGGCTAGGCATTCTAAGCCTATTTCCTCATCTATAAGATGGGGATGATAGGAAGAATAATACTTAACTCATAGGGTTGTGTAAGGATGAAATGAGCTAATACATTTAAAACTCATAGGGTTGTGTAAGGATGAAATGAGCTAATATACATAAAGCACTTGCAACAGTACCTAACACAGAATAAATGCTGCATAAGTGATATCTGTTATTGTTAATAATTATGAAGGCATTTATAATTTGGGGTGTTTCTTAGAAAAAATGCATATATCCATCTGTAACCATTATTTATAAATAGACTGACCTTTTAGGCAAAGAGACCAACAGACATGCTCTTTCACATCCCTACTGAAATATGCAATGCTCAAGCTTGCCAAATGTTTCATTATCATTTCTATGCTTCTGTCCCCACATGAGAGGTAGGAAAACCTGGGCAAGTGGACTGTGTTTCCATCAGAATCTGGTATTCTGGTGGAAGGTACATCCTCCTCAAAGTGCTATGTCTTAAAACACAGTGGCTGGCAGGATCTGAAAGCCACTTACATCCTTCTAGGACTATTTCTAGGGCTTATCCAATAAACAGCCATGAATAAGGAAGAGAAACAAACCCTGGAGACAAAGTCAGATTGAATACTTCCTTACAGTGACAACTTCTCAGAGAATACGATTCTAGACACTTTAGCTGAATATTATTACAATTAGCTTCCACACCTGAATCCTGCAAGAGTTCATGCTGTATTGTAGAGGAAGGGTGTCTCTGATTCTACTTCTATATTGAAGAAATGAAAGACTCCGAATCCATGGATTATTTAAATGGAATGAGCTCCTCTGGTTTATTGCTGCCATGTTTTGTCACATGTTGAGGTCCAGCCCAGGTGTCCAAGTTGACCTAAGCAGAGGAGACCTTGAAGATGTTTACAAAACTAGGAGAAAAGTGTATAGAATAGGAGAGAAGTGGATAAAATCAAGCTAATCTTAATTGGAGGAGGTGTGACCAGAAAGGCAGGACAAAATATTGTGAGGAGCTAAACAGAAACACAAAATGTTCATTGATTACGGTTGAAAAATGACTTGAAGAGCAACAGAGAGGGAAAGATGCTGAGAAAGAAGGAAGAGTCAATTCCCTTTCCCACCTGCCCTCCATTGTCTATGTGAGGCAAGGGGGAGATTAGAGGCTAATGGATATGAAGTCAAGATACGACATTCAGCTGGTAACTTGGATATCTTACCTACAGCTCTCCAACTCCAACTTCCCATTTAGAAGGTGGGCATGGAAGATAGAGTTGCAGCTATCTTGAGATTGTATAGATACATAAATTCTAGTTGGTGTTATATAAGTAGTCTATTGATAGATACAAATTTTTATATATTTAAAATATTTTCTAATTAAATGAACACTGTTTTGCTAGGACTGAAACACTATTACATAAAATGCACCCATCAGTTACATTTCACAATTCCAAGAATAGCAACATAGCAGAAAAAAGTCTGATATACAAACAAAAAGCTCAGTGCTTGTGGAATGCCTCAAACAGCATAATAATGACCAGAGACATACCTAGGATTTGCATATTTTCTTAAAATTTGTTTTTATAAATTAAATTTTTGTTAGAGACGCAGGTCTTTGGCTCATTTTCCCCTGTTGTCTTTATGTTAGGCAGCTTCCTTCAAACATTTCAAAGGGATGAATGTGTTTCCTTCATGGTTTATTTGAAAATCTGATACAAGTTATGGAAAAAACAATTGAGCTAAAAAAATCATAGGAATATGTACATTGTAATATCTAGTCCAAACTAGAAACAGGTTGGAGAAGATGAGCTGAAAAATGCCCAAAAATTCAATTCCTTTTATGATTCATTTGTTTAAGACAGAAAACATTTTTTAAATTCGCCTATCAAAATCTTAATATTTTTATTACTTATTTAGACCACAAAACAATGTTTGTTTATTTATAAACTTTGGGAAAAAATTAAGAAAAAAATAAAATCTTCAACAATATTTCTACCTAGATAATCACAGCTAACCTTTTGACATGTGTGCTCATTATATTTTTCATAAATATATTTATATAAACTTAAAATTGGAATTATACTATGCACATTGTTTTGTAAATTAACCTTCCATTTTATTGTCTTAAACACTTGTCCAAATTATTACTTTTCTAAAAGATGAACTTTAATAGCTACGTAGAACCTCATCATAACTATACTCTAAATTATTAAATCAATAATTCATTGTTGGTCATTTAAATTATTTGCAATTATAGTGATGTTACAATAAGCATCCTTGACATAATTTTGAGAATGTATCAGATTATTTTTTTAGACTGAGCACATAGAAGGAGAATTATTAGATTGAAGGATATAAACATTTTTAAGACATGTAATATATATTGCTAACCTTTGCCCATTAAGGTTGAGCCAATTTGCCTTCCTGCTAACAGTATACGATAAGCCTATGCTGACTAAGAAACAAAATGTAAACCCTTAGGTAATGCTACATAACAATTTCTGCTCTGACTATAACCAAATAAGAAGAGAGCAAAAAGAATAAAGTAGTAATAAATAAATGAAGAAAGCACAGATTTTCTTAAATTAGTGAGCATACTAAACTGGTATATTTATACGTAGGTTCAATAGGTTTCATTCTAATACTCATTAAACTTTTTAAAAAAGTGATATAGAATGACCAGGCATGGTGGCTCATGCCTGTAATCCCAGCACTTTGGGAGGCTGAGGCAGGCGGATCACTTGAGGTCAGGAGTTTGAGACCAGCCTGGCCAACATGGTAGAACCCCATGTCTACTAAAATTACAAAAATAAGCCAGGCATGGTGGCCCCTGCCTGTAATCCCAGCTACTCAGGAGGCTGAGGCAGGAGAATCGCTTGAATCCAGGAGGTGAGGGTTACAGTGAGCCAAGATCATGCCACTGTGCTCCAGCCTTGGTGACAGAGTGAGATTCTGTCTCAAAAAATAAATAAATAAATAAATAAATAAATAAATAAATAAATATATAAATAAAAACAAGCAAACAACAAAAAAAATTTTTTTAAAGTGGTATAGATAACTAGAATGGGCCATGGAGTAAGACAGAAGTGGCTTCAAGTCCCGGTTCTCCAATCTGAAACTGTGGGTGAATTACTTAAACCCTGTCACATCAAACTCATTCATAAAAGCACACTTCTCAAAATTTTGGGAAAGCCTACATGGGATGATGGATGAATGCTGCATAGCACCGTGCTTGATTCTTTGCAGGTCTTCACTCTTCACAATCTTCCATCTACCTTAAATGTGTTCTATTTATGTTATTTTGAAAAATACAATGGGAATATGCTGGCAAATTGTTGAAATGAATTCAAAACCTGTTGTGCCCATTCTTTTTTTTGTTCATTTTCTTTCAGCAGGAAAGATTAAGAGATGAGCCATAAATGCTGACAAAAATATTTAGGAAAAAGCTTCATTTAGCCAATGTTTTAAAAATTGACATCACCAGTTCAAAATGGGAAAAGGCAAGATCTGCTCAGCAAATTCCAACTGTATTGGCCAAACCCTTGTTCCTCTTCCTCCATTAAATCTCCGTGATTCCCAAGATTGCATTCTCGTCAAAGGATCCACCCTCTAAAACAGTAATTTTTAGTTTCTTTATCCTCATTGCTTTTATATATTTTCTCAGATCTTCTCTGATGATTAATCTTTCCCATAAAGCCCATGCATCCTAATTTCTTGCCTTCTGCTCCATTTTGTGACCTACATTCCATCAGGCAGTAGGGGTGGGGGGCCAAAAAGCTTATTATGAGATATACTGAAGGATAAAGTGGTAGAGACTTTTCTAATATGCTGATGAATAGCTAACATAATTGACTCAAACATACGAACAAAAGAAAGTCATGAGAACTAAAAATGTGTGGGCAATGAAATATGCCATAAACAAAGGAGATTAACCTAATGAGTCATAGTACCATGCTGTCTGAATATTAGAATATGATGGAGAGAAGAAAATAGCTGCATTTCTACTTTTTGCTCCAGAAACTTCATTTTGCTCATTGTGGATAAATTAAGCTTTAACATTTTTTAAATCTTAATACAAAGCATGAGTGTATGTGTTGACTCATGTCATCTTATCAGCATTTAACATTCACGCAAAGTTACCCTTGGGAAACAGCACCCCATTCAAGAAAGCTACAAACTGATCAAATGTTCAACTTGGCCACTGCAATGGCACAAACATGAGTGGATTTCAAGGGCTAAAACCGAGCTATTTGTCCTTTAGTTTTTACATAAAGTTAAGTGATTGTTGTAAAAGAAATGTATTAGGCTGTCAATATTGATGAAGCTTACCATAGTACAACAATAAAGAAAAAAATAGGGTAAGAGATTTATTCTGCATAATTATTAGAAAATAGGGGCAGCTAACATATCATTTTTCCCAATAAAGTCCATTTTCAGTCTATAATATAAATCAGATCATATACTTGCCAAACCTCAAGGGAGTTTTTTTTTTATTTTTTATTTTTTTGGGAGTTTTAAAGGTAAAGGTAAAGGACACACCATATCCCTGGGCCCAATATTGTGACTTTGTGCTACCAACACACACAGAGATGACCTGCAATAAAATCTGTTGGTCTCATATTTGAATGTCTATTGTTTGTTTTTCAAATATTAACCATAATTTAGTGCTAGAAGTTATTCAAAGATGACAATTTATACAAATTATGAAAGTCAAGATAATATTCACTAAGAAGGTCACCATCCCAAACATTTAAACTTGAATAGAAAACACAATCTTATATCTCTGTACAGCAGGCACTACTGGTGGCCTAATAGCCATCATCATCTTTTGTACTAAGAGAACCTTGGTTTTATTCTTATCTAGGAGAAGAAGTGTTTTCAGAGAGGGCGAGAACATCTCTAGACTGATCATTGTTCTAAATTAATCACGATCGTTCCAGCTCTTTTAGCCCGTGATTATTTGGGAGTGGTCATCTGAGCTAGTTCTAGCCAATGAGACGTAACAATTAAGCTCTGAGAGCACGCTTCTGAAAAATGTTTCCTGGTCCTCATTGAAAAAAAAAAAAAAAAATGTATAAAAAGAGAAACTCCCATTCTGCATTTGGATGCTGCCAAGGGAGAACAAATTGCAAAAGCCAACTTGTAATCACAAGAGAGACCTGAGGACAAAAGTCATCAAGCCAAGTATGGTAGGATGAAAAAGCAAAACTGTAGGGTGATGAAGACATTTTCATAATATTGAATGAATGTTGGACTTTCCCACCTTAAGATTTCTTTAGTGATATAATGCTTGTTTGTTTGTTTCATTCTGTTGTTTAAGCTACTTTTAATTAAATATTATGCTACTTGTAGCTGAGGTAATCATAAATATTACAACTGGTTAGACATCACATTCATTTCCAGGAAGGGACAGAGACTTCACACCTACTTAGGCTCTAACTTAATCCCTTTGTCAT
Organism: Homo sapiens; assembly: GCF_000001405.40. Lineage (NCBI taxonomy): Eukaryota > Metazoa > Chordata > Mammalia > Primates > Hominidae > Homo > Homo sapiens. Next base: position 80,276,978 of record NC_000014.9, read on the forward strand.
TGTGCCTTTGTTCATTATTATCTTTCCATCTAGAACACCCTTTCTCTCTTTCTCCACTGCATTATTGGCTGAGTATTTTTTCTTCTGTAATGTATACTTCCCTGGTAGAATGAGTTGCTGCATTATATGTGTTCCTGTATAATTTAGCCACTATCATTATTATTGCCCTTATCACAATTAACTACACATTGCACATGCATTCTGTGCCAGACATTGTGCTAAACGCTTTACGTGCTTTACATGAATGATGTCTTCTGGTAGACTGTATTATTTGTTCATAAATATTGATTCTTTTCTCACCTGTGCCAAGCTCCTGGGAAGATGTGTATTCTTCCCTGTCCATTGATTTTTGGGCTTGGTGGTGTGCCTTGATTTGCCCAGTGAAATCTGAGTAGACCAGATGCACCTTCTGTCTGACAGAAACTTTAAACACCCTTACATAGTCTGGCTCTGTCTCTCTTAATCCTCTCTTCACCATGGGAATAGGATGCCCCAACATGCTCCTTTAACATGGCTTCCAGAATGAGCAGACACATGGAACCCAGCAGAGTCTAATCAAATTGAACAAAACTGCAGATAATCTTCCACCTTTGTGTGATAAGAGCAAGAAACACAAATTGGCTTTAGTAAGCCACTGAGATAATGGGCATAAACTAATATGATGTCATATAATATAAATCTCATAACTGTATGAAGCATTTATTATTATTATGCCGTTTAACAGTAGAGGAAACCAATTCCAGTTATAGGACTTAGATTTTTTTCCCAATAATAAGATGGATATCTGTTTCTCTCCTACTACACACAACTCCTTAAGGATAAGGACTACATATTTTTTCTTTCTTTTCCCAACACATAGCACATTGTCTGCTTGATGAATTAGGTTGTTGGAAAGAATAGTTCCCTAGAGCACATTTATATTATTAGCACACCTTCATGACCTATATTTTACATACCCTGATATCAATAGTTTGGATAATTCACTTTTTCCTCCCCAATGTCCTTTCACTTTAAATACAAAATGAATACCTTGTATAATACTTTGTAAGCATAAGTTAAATAATATATAGTGTAGTCCTGTGTCTTAACTTCATGGAGTGCATGCCAGGAAAAAATCTTAAAAATTCATCTTGACAAAAAGCTAGCTATTTTTAATAAAACATATTTTTAGTCAATTGTTGGCCCACTTGTTACACAGGTTTGTGAGCAACTGAACAAAATAAGACACTTTGTGAATTGTTTTTAAAAATTAATGATATCTTTAATTCAGTAAAATCTGGTTTGAAAAGATGCCTGATATTTTGGAAGCTGAATTCACAAAGCTTAGTGATTAATTGGATATAGATGGGGAAGAGGGGAATTAAAAATATATACAGGATGTATTAGTCATGGTTTTCCAGAAACAAAAGCACTAATAAGAGAGAGAGAGATTATAAGACATTGGCTTACACAATTGTGATGGCTGAAAAGTCACAGTGTCCGTAGTTGGCAAGCTAGAGGCCCAGGAGAGCTGATGTGTAGTTCCGGCCCAAGTCCAAAGTCCTGAGAACCAGGGAAGCAGTTGGTGTAAGTTTCAGTTTGAAAACCAGCAGCCTCAAGACCCAAGAAGAGCCAGTGTTTCAGTGTTAAGTCCAAAGGCCAGAGAAGAGCAATGTCCCAGCTGAAACAGTCAGGCAGAAGACATTTCCTCTTACTTGGTCTTTTTATTCCATTCAGGTCTTCAAATGATTAGATGAGGCCCATCTGCATTATAGAGGGCAATCTGTTTTGTTTCCTATCAATTCAAATGTTAATCTTATGCAGATGCACCCTCATAGACACACCCAGAATAATGTTTGACAAATATCTGGGCCCCCATGGCCCAGTCAGGCTGACCCATGAAATTGACCTTCACAGAGTGTTCTTTCATTTAACAAATATGCACTCAATGTGTTGAATCACTACTCTATGCTTTAAATAAATCCTTCTTTCAACATCCTTGAAGAAATTAAATTTTCATCCTTCATCAAAAAAACTTAAAATTAAAGTAATCTTAGAAATTATACTTTCCTACCACATCATTTATACAAATGAGAAAAATAAGGCTCTAAGCAACATACTTTTATTGGTAAAAGTAGAGGTAAGACTAGAGCCAAGGTCAAGAACAAATGTTCCTTCTATTATACTGCACAGTTCCACATCTCCTTCTAAGTATTTGATTTTAAATCCCAGTCCCAGAAGGAAAAAGAAATTAATAGATACACATCCATACATAAGCCTTGTGGGGTGTTTATCTTGTTACAGATACATACACATAAGCGTTTCTGAACATAGGGAGAGATAAAAGCTTTATTATAGCTTCCAAGCAATAGTAAAACACATTTTAGACATAAAAGACAAGATTCCTATAGATAAAAATGCATCCTTTCCAGTTTTTCATCCATTAGAGAGAAATATAATAAAACATCCAATTTCTTTTCTTGAATGAAGCATTTCAGAAGTTTAATTTTTCTTGCTAACATCCAAGTAACCCAATGATGTTCATCTAAAAATGAGGCCAAAAGGTATTAAATTCATCAGCATATAAATGACTTTTCTAGGATGTGAAGATGGATCACAGCAAAAGACGTCCACAGTTTCAAATGTTATTACTTACCAAGGAAAATAAATAAAGTTAAGTTTTTCATACTATCATTACAGACTATTTCACTGAACTGTTCTTGATATTATCATATTCTGTTTTATAATATTCCCCCAGAGAAACTAAATATAAAATAATATACATAACTCAATATTCCTCAGAATCACATTTCTTTTTTCATTGTTTCCCTAAACAATCCTGTTAGAAACAAAATATCATTGGTAATTGATCTACACCAATTGAACACAAGTGGCACCAGCTCAGAGTGAATTTCAAAATGGCTGCCATCTTGTTTCCATTCCACTGGAAATGCAACGCAATCATGAGAGAAATCATACTAGAGATAAACGTCAGTAAATGCTTATATATAATTTTATATGCTTTAATTTTAATACACAGAGAGTTCCAAACTATCATTTTATTATCTTAGCTGTTAATAAAAATATGTTACCAGGAAAAATTATCTCGTATGAATTGACCATAGGTCAACTGTTTATTTATGCACTCATCTAATTATTTAACAAACATCTATTGTTAGGCTAACAAGGGTCAGATGCTGAATTTTGTACTATTAAAGCAGATATTTTAGAAGCTGAACTCACCAAACATACTGACTAATTGGATATGAGTAGAGAAGGAGAAATTATATGAATAAACTATGGCTCCTACCTTAAAATAGAGTACCGTGTGTGGGGAGGTCTAAGCAAATAATACAGTTCAAATATAATAATCTGTGGAAGTAAGGTGAGAAGACAACTATCAGCCTGATGAAGATTCAGATGACTACTTAAAGGTGATGACATTTGAAGCTTATCTTTATCCAGTAGTGAAGAAAGATGAGGCTATTACTGAGAGTATGAAAAAAAATTAAGGTATAGAGTTATAAAATAACAATATACTTTTTGTTTTAAAACTATAGTTTTAAATAGTAATGTTCAAAAAGAAAATAGTGTGCATGGGCTGGAAAAGTAGGCTGGGACTAATCTATATGCTATGTTGATACATTTAAATACATTTATTCAGCAATGGGGTTAACACTGAAAGTTTTTACACTGCAGTGTGATAAAACCAATTAAGAGTCCTAAAATCAGTAGAAGGAGGAATGAAAGAGACCTGAGGCAATGATAACAGGCAACAATTATAATAATCTAGGAGACCATTATGAGCAACTGAAGTAAACAATGGAAATGAAGGGGCAGGACCCAGAAGTACAGCTAATTCTCATTACTTGCAAGGTCCATATTTGTAAGTTTGCTTACTCACTAAAATTTATTTGTAACCCCCAAAATGAACACTCATGGCGACTTTTGCAGTCATTTGCAGACATGCCCAGAGTGGTGAAAAATTTGAGTTGCCAAATATGTACATTCCAAGCTGAGGAGAGGAGTTTGTGAGGTTCATCTTCTGTGGTTATCTGGAAGTTTTAGGTAAAATGAATGCATTTCTTTAACAATGCCATCTAGAAAACTGGATTTAAATTACTATTTAAATTCTAAAAAAATTTTAATTGCTACAAATAAAGCTTAAATTGTTGTTTCATTCAACAAATTTTGCTGGGCACATATCATGTGTAAGGCATTATTCTAGACACTGGAGATACAGCAATGAAACATACAGACCCTAATTGCTATCCCCATAGAGATTACATTTTAGCATGCCATGTCTCCCAAGAAAGGGAAATGGCATTATCCAAATAAATGTAGGTGAGTCTATGATGCATGAAAGTTAGACAATTAACAGAATGAAATATAAAATAATGAAGGGGTCTCCCAAAACCATGGTAGGGATAAGAAGAGTCTCCAAAAATCACAGCAAAGACTGGTGAGAATGAACTTACTAAAACAAATGAAAGTAACATGTAAGGAACACTTCTGGAAGTTTGTGGTGGATGGAATGGTAGGGAAGGTGGGATTCTACTTGCACATTTGAAAATTATACAAATTTTCAACTGGCATATAAGCCTTTTAAAGTATCAACTATGTATTATATCCCTTTAGCAAACCCTAATAATCCTAAAATAGAGATGAATCCATCTAATGAATTACCTCAAGGGCGTCCCTATATGCCCCTCAAGGATGGCTAAGCAAGAAGACTCATAAAGGTTCTTATTTCAGAATCAGAGAGATTCAGTCATCCTAGAGTGGTATGGCCCTGGGGTTGAATTAGAGTGTGAAACATGAAAATGCATCTTCAACCTTTAAACTGAGTGACAGCTGAGGATAGATACAAGACTGACAGAACTGTTAATGAATTTTGTAACATGGTTGAGTACCTAGAAATGGCATTATTAATAATATAATGCTATTTGGCAGTTATTGCAATGCATGATGATGGTAACTGATTTGTAGAAATTTATAGACACGTTGTTGTGTATTTATGCACACACATGTATATATGTATGTGTGTGTATATGTATTATTTGATACACAATTTTGTTTGAATGCATTTAATTTTAATCCTGGGAATCTAAGAAGATCAAAGCATTATAAAACACTTTATTAGTTAATTTATAATCTGTTCATCATGAACTTTCAATGGATCAGAGAAAGGCTAAACAAAAGGAGAAATGACATATTAAGCAAATGCTAATATACGTGGTACTGCAAAGTTTATATTTAATTGACTGGAAAAACAAATTTTCTTGATTGCCTTATTTTTATAAATCTTTAAATAATTAATGCATTATGAATTATTTGAATTATTCTTATACATTTAATATAGCAAATTCCAAATAACCTTTACTTCACTTTACCTACCAACTGTGTAGCATATACTTGGAAGATATAAAACTAATTTTTTATAGCATTCAAACTTAACATTTACATGACTATTCTTAATTAATCTGAATTAGTAAGATTTGATGTCATTTCTATTTAGCTGCTAGTTGGCAGGGTTTAATTTTTCCACACATACTGGATACTATTGGATGAATAATTAACTTTTACTAGTCAGCTTCAATAATTTTACCCATTTGAAATACCAAACTATTTTGATTTTTCTTCTCTATAAAAACAGACTATCCAAATTACTTACATCAGAAAAGTAGTTGTCAAAATATTTCAAAAGCATTAAGCTAGATTTTTGATTCTGCAGAGATAGCTGTTAATTTATTCCTACTAAGATATTGAAATCTCAATGCTACCATTTACCTTTTGAAGTATTTGCCAGAAAAACAAAAGTCAAACCCAGAATGAAAATCCACTGTTTTATTTATGAATAAATAATGTGAAAGAAGAGTTTCTGTGTAAGTTAAAAGAAGAAGACAGGGTTTTAAAAAATATATCTGAACATCAACCTAATCAAAAGCAGAGACAGTTAGATATTTGAGATATAGACAAGTGAGAAGTCATTTCAAAAGTGATACCAATTAATCTGAGTAAATCTATGGTCTGAATGTTTTTGTACCCCCACAATTCACATGTTAAAAAGCCAGTCACCAAGGTGATGGTATTACAAGGTGGGGCCTTTCAGATGTGATTAGGTCATGAGGGCTCCACCCATGTGAATGGGATTAATGAATGCCCTTATAGAAGAGGCATCAGAGTGGGCCGTTCCCCTTTTGCCTAGCGAGGCTCCAACATGGAGGTGCCATCTATGAGGAATCGGCCCTCACCAGACACCAAATCAGCTGGCACCTTGATCTTGGACTATCCAGACTCCAGAATCATAAGCAATAAATTCCGTTGATTATAAAGTACCTAGTCTCAGGTATTCTGTTATAGCAGCCTGAAAAGACTAAGACAGCTACACTCCAACCAAAATAGCTAAAATGAAAAGACAGAAAAATACCAAAAGGGTAGGCTAGTGAAAATGTGAATAAATATCCATTTGCAGGTTTTCATGTGGTCATAAGTTTTCATCGCCTTTTGGTAAATATCAATGAGTGTAGTCAGTGGGTCATATGGTAAGAATATGTCTATTTTTATAGAAAATTACTGAACTGTCTTCCAAAGTGGCTGTATCATTTTGTATTTCTACCAGCAATGAATGAGAGTTCCTGTTGCTCCACACCCTCACCAGCATTTGGCATTGTCATTGCTCTGAATTTTTGGACACTCCAATAGATTCATAGTGATATCTCATTGCTATTTTAATATGCATTTCCTTGATGACATATGATGTGGAGTATCTTTTCATATGCTTGTTTTCCATCTTCATATCTTCATTGGTGAAGTGTTCATTAAGGTCTTTGGCCCATTTTTTAAATTGGGTTGTTTGTTATTTAATTGTTGAGTTTTAAGAGTTCTTTGTACATTGCAGATAACTGTCTCTTATGGTTATGTCTTTCACAAATATTTTCTCTCAGTCTGTAGCTTGTCTATTCATTCCCTTGAATCTATGTACTTTTCAGTTTTTGCATTACATCATTTACTTTGTATTTAGCTATTTACCTTTTTTTATTGTGGTAAGCATGCATAATATAAAATTTGCCATTTTAACGATTTTTTAAATTTTTTGTTATTATACTTTAAGTTCTGGGGTGCATGTGCAGAATGTGCAAGTTTGTTACATAGGTATACACTTGTCATGGTGGTTTGCTGCACCCATCACCCTGTCATCTACATTAGGTATTTCTCCTAATGCTATCCCTCCCCTAACCCCCCACTCCCCAACAGGCCCCGGTGTGTGATGTTCCCTGCCATGTGTCCATGTGTTCTCATTGTTCAACTCCCACTTATGAGTGAGAACATGCAGTGTTTGGTTTTCTGTTCTTGTGTTAGTTTGCTGAGAACGATGGTTTCCAGCTTCATCCATGTTCCTGCAAAGGACATGAACTCATCCATTTTTATGGTTGCATAGTATTACATGGTGTATATGTGCCACATTTTCTTTATCCAGTCTATCATTGATGGGCATTTGGGTTGCTTCCAAGTCTTTGCTATTGGGAACAGTGCCACAATAAACATACGTGTGCATGTATCTTTATAGTAGAATGATTTATAATCTTTTGGGTATATACCCAGTAATAGGATTGCTGGGTCAAATGGTATTTCTAGTTCTAGATCCCTGAGGAATCACCACACTGTCTTCCACAATGGTTGAACTAATTTACACTCCCACCAACAGTGTAAAAGCGTTCCTATTTCTCTACATCCTCTCTAGCATCTGTTATTTCCTGACTTTGTAATGATCGCCATTCTAACTGGCATGATTTTAACGATTTTTAAATGTATAGTTTGGTGGCATTAAGTACTTTCCCATTGTTATGCAGCCATCACCACTAACCATCTCCAGAATGTTTTCATCATTCAAAACTGAAACTCTATACCCATTAAACAATAACTCCTCATTCACCCTTCTCACCCGGGCCCCTGGAACCACTATTCTACCTTGTGTGTCTATGAATTTGACTATTCTACCTATCACATATGGAATCATACCATATTTGTTCTTTGCGTCTGACTTTTTTTATTTAGCATAATGTCTTGAAAGTTTATCCACATTGTAGCAAGTGTCAGAATTTCATTCCTCTTTTAGGCTGAATAATGTTTCATTGTATGCCATCAGTTTTAAATGTCATATAAACTGCCACTACATCAAATCCGTCAGGTCAGACATCCTTGACTAACTGATAACTTGTAAAATACCATAAGCAACCCAACATTTGCCAACAGATGTACAGATGAAGAAAATGTGGTACATATACATATACACAATGGAGTATTATTCAGCCATAAAAAGAATGAAATCCATTATTCGCAAAAACATGGATGAAACTGGAGATCATTATGTTAAGTGAAATAAGCCAGGCACCAAAAGAGAAACATCGCATGTTCCCATTTACTTGTGGGGTCTAAACATCAATATAATTGAACTCATGGACAGAGAGGAGAAGGATGGTTACCTGAGGCTGGGAAGGATAGTGAGGTTCAGGGGAAAGATCAGGATGGTTAATGGGAACAAAAAAAATAGAAAGACTGAATAAGAACTACTATTTGATAGAAGAACAGAGTGACTATAGTCAATAATAACTTAATTGTACATTTTAAATAATTTAAAGAGTATAATTGGATTGTTTGTAACTCAAAGGATAAGTGCTTGAGAGGATGGATACCCCATTCTCCATGATGTGCTTATATCTCATTGCATGCCTGTAATCAAAACATCTCATGTATGCCATAAATATATACACCTATATTATTTACATAATCATTAATTATGTACCCACAAAAATTTTTAAAAGGCCAGGAGTGGTGGCTCACGTCTGTAATCCCAGCACTTTGGAAGGCTGAGGCGGGCGGATTATGAGGTCAGGAGATCAAGACCAGCCTGGCCAACATAGTGAAACCCCCGTCTCTACTAAAAATACAAAACTTGCTCTCCCTCTCCCTCTCCCTCTCCCTCTCGGTCTCCTTCTCCCTCTCCCTCTCCCTCTCCCTCTCCCTCTCCATCTCCCTCTCCCCACGGTCTCCCTCTCCCTCTCTTTCCACGGTCTCCCTCTGATGCCAAGCCGAAGCTGGACTGTACTGCTGCCATCTCGGCTCACTGCAACCTCCCTGCCTGATTCTCCTGCCTCAGCCTGCTGAGTGCCTGCGATTGCAGGCGAGTGCCGCCATGCCTGACTGGTTTTCGTATTTTTTTGGTGGAGACGGGGTTTCGCTGTGTTGGCCGGGCTGGTCTCCAGCTCCTAACCGCGAGTGATCCGCCAGCCTCGGCCTCCCGAGGTGCCGGGATTGCAGACGGAGTCTCGTTCACTCAGTGCTCAATGGTGCCCAGGCTGGAGTGCAGTGGCGTGATCTCGGCTGGCTACAACCTCCACCTCCCAGCCGCCTGCCTTGGCCTCCCAAAGTGCCGAGATTGCAGCCTCTGCCCGGCCGCCACCCTGTCTGGGAAGTGAGGAGCATCTCTGCCTGGCCGCCCATCGTCTGGGATGTGAGGAGTCCCTCTGCCCGGCTGTCCAGTCTGGGAAGTGAGGAGCCCTCTTCCCGGCTGCCATCCCGTCTAGGAAGCGAGGAGAGTCTCTGCCCGGCCGCCCATCGTCTGGGATGTGAGGAGCCCCTCTGCCTGGCTGCCCAGTCTGGGAAGTGAGGAGCGCCTCTTCCCGGCCGCCATCCCATCTAGGAAGTGAGGAGCGTCTCTGCCCGGCCGCCCATCATCTGAGATGTGGGGAGCGCCTCTGCCCTGCCACCCCGTCTGGGATGTGAGGAGCGCCTCTGCCAGGCTGCCCCGTCTGAGAAGTGAGGAGCCCCTCCGCCCGGCAGCCGCCCCATCTGAGAAGTGAGGAGCCCCTCCGCCCGGCAGCCGCCCCATCTGGGAAGTGAGGAGCATCTCCGCCTGGCAGCCGCCCCGTCCGGCAGGGAGGTGGGGGGCGTCAGTCCCCGCCCAGCCAGCTGCCCCGTCCGGGAGGGAGGTGGGGGGGTCAGCCCCCGCCCAGCCAGCTGCCCCGTCCGGGAGGGAGGTAGGGGGTGCCTTAGCCCGGCCAGCCGCCCCGTCTGGGAGGTGGGGGGGCGCCTCTGCCCAGCCGTCCCTTCTGGGAAGTGAGGAGCCCCTCTGCCCGGCCACCAACCCGTCTGGGAGGTGTACCCAACAGCTCATTGAGAACGGGCCATGATGACAATGGCGGTTTTGTGGAATAGAAAAGGGCGAAAGGTGGGGAAAAGATTGAGAAATCGGATGGTTGCTGTGTCTGTGTAGAAAGAAGTAGACATGGGAGACTTTTCATTTTGTTCTATACTAAGAAAAATTCTTCTGCCTTGGGATCCTGTTGATCTATGACCTTACCCCCAACCCTGTGCTCTCTGAAACATGTGCTGTGTCCACTCAGGGTTAAATGGATTAAGGGCGGTGCAAGATGTGCTTTGTTAAACAGATGCTTGAAGGCAGCATGCTCGTTAAGAGTCATCACCACTCCCTAATCTCAAGTACCCAGCGACACAAACACTGCGGAAGGCCGCAGGGTCCTCTGCCTAGGAAAACCAGAGACCTTTGTTCACTTGTTTATCTGCTGACCTTCCCTCCACTATTGTCCTATGACCCTGCCAAATCCCCCTCTGCGAGAAACACCCAAGAATGATCAATAAAAAAAAAAAAAAAAAAGAAAAAAAATACAAAACTTAGCTGGGCGTGGTGGCGCATGCCTGTAATCCCAGCTACTCAGGAGGCTGAGGCAGGAGAATCTCTTGAACTAGGGAGTCAGAGGTTGTAGTGAGCCGAGATCGCGCCACTGCACTCCAGCCTTTGCAACAGAGCAAGACTCCGTCTCAAAAAACCAAACCAAAACAAAAAAATTAGAAAACACAACCAAATTGGCCAAAATCCTGTGTAAATAATGTATACCTTCATACTATTATTTAAGATAACTTAGAATGTTCCTTGCTCTCAAGGGTCTCCCTTCCTTACTTCCAACATGTAATTTATTCTACATAGACTATTTTTAAACTCAAATATTCCTGAAAAAGAGTAACCTATTTAAAAAAAAGCATCTTGAGATGGTTTACATTTACTGCTTTCCTTTACAACAAGAGAGGCCTTAAGAGGAAGGGAAAGAAAACATTTCTCTGTTTCTACTACTTTGTGTCATTTAATGCTCAAACCAGGTTAATAAAGTAGGACTGGTTATTTTCCTCTTGAATATGAGGAAACAGAGACAGGTTAAGCAACTGAGACCAGATGAACAACTTGTATGTGGGAAACTGGGTTTTGTTTTCAGGAATAATGCTTTCCTACTATACCATGCTGCCTACCAGGAAGAGACATAATTCATGAAAGAAGGAAAAGAAAGGTAATACGAAAGAACAACTAACTCTATTAACTTCCTAATTTTGTTCAAAACTAGCCTGGGCTATCAGTGTAACTGATCTCTTTCACTGGAAATTGTTCTCGGGTGTGAAATGGCTGATGTAAAACATATCAAATCTAATTTAAATATTTAATCTATATTGAACTGTCCCTACCAAAAAAAACATATATACTTACAGAAAAAAAAAAGCAACTGAATCCTTTTGTAACTGTACAACTATTATGGGAAAAGTGCCTAATTGATTCATCTGAAGAAATCCTCTGCCTCTAGCCATTATGCCCGCAGCACCTCCTACGGATGGGCTCTTTCCTATGAACAAGAGGAAAACAATACCCAGGCTTACGTTTCCTAAGTCATTTCAGTGTTTCAAATTCTTGCTGTTAGTAATTTCTTGTGCAGGCATTAAAAAAATTCATCTTGCTGGTCACTAGGAATGATTTTCAGAGTAGGGAGAGAGTAACTGGCCACTATCCTTCAAATACTAGAAGATTCTCATTGAGCTTTCTTTCCCCAGGTGAAATAATTCTTTCATCCTATCTCCTAAAATAACCAGAATTTTCTTAGCATTTAGTAAGAAATGTCAGAAAGCAACAATTCATCTGAAACTATTTAGTATCAGCTCAGATTCATAATTGTCAAATAGATTTGCCAATATCAAACATAAACATAAAATTGGGTTTCTGAGTTTAGTGCAAATTAAGCTAAAATAACCCAAAGTGATATTTATTAAAATAGGAGAAGATGTAGCTATGTTACTCAGATTTTAAAACATATCTTATCATAGTATTTTAATTTTCTGGACTCACTTATAGAAAGAGAGATACAGATAAAGATAGAGATAGGGAGAGCTAGAGGAAAAATAGAAAGGTGTAGATCATAAATTCAGGCTATTTCTGAAGAAAATATAAAACAGCTGCTAAAATTAGTATAAGTAGCTATCACATAAAATATTCACGTCACTTATTTTATTGTGTTTTGGAGGTTACCTCATTTTTAACAGCTTTACTGATATATAATTTGCATACCATATAGTTCACCTGTTTAAAGTATATAATTTAATGGATTTTAGTATATTTATAGAGTTGTGCAATCATCACCATTAGCTAATTTTAGAACATTTTCATCACTCCATAAAGAAACCGCATGCCCTTTAGCAATCACTGTCTGTTTCCTCCCTTACTCCTCCATTCATTCCTAGGCAACACTGATCTACTTTCTGTCTCTGTAGATTAGCTTATTCTGAACATTTCTTATAAACGAAATCATGCACTAGTTGGTCTTTTGTGACTGACTTCTTTTACCTAGTGCACGGTTTTTGAGGTTCATTCATATTGTGGCAAATAACAGTATATTATTCGTTTTTATTGTAGAATAATATTCCCTTATATGGCTACACCACATTTTATTTTTCCACTCATCAAGTGATAAGCATTTTGGTTGTTACCACTTTTTTGGCTATTACAAATAATGCTGCTATTTATGTTTGTATATAGTTCTTTGTGTGAACATAAGCTCCCATTTTTCTTGGGTAGATATCTAGGAGTGGAATTGCTGGGTCATATGGTAACTCTATTCTTAACCTTTTGAGGAACTGCTAAACCATTTTCTAAAATGGCTTCGACTTTTATAACACCGTCACAATGTACAAGAGTTCCAGTTTCTCAAATTTTCACTAACAATTGTGTCTGTTTTTATTATAGCCATTCAGTTGATGTGAAGTGGTATCTCACTGGGGTTCTGACTTGCATTTCAGTAATGACTAATGATTTTGAGCATTACTTTGTGTGTTTATCATTTTTATATTTCTCTGGAGAACTGCCTATTCAAATGCTTTGCCCATTTTTAAATTGGTTTGCTTGTTCTATTATTGTAAGAATTCATATATTCTAGATTCAAGTCCCTTATCAGATACATGATGGGCAAATATTTCCTTTTATAGTGTGGGTTGTCTTTTCACCTTCTTGATGGTGCTCTTTGAAGCATAAAAGTCTTAATTTTGATGTTCAATTTACCAATTTTCTATTTTATCACCCATGCTTTGATTTCATTCCTAAGAAATCACTGCCTAACGCAGAGATTTACTTTTATTTTAGTTGTAGGACTTACATTTAGGTCTGCAATCACTACTGTGAGTTCATTTTTGTGTATGACATTATGTAGGACCCTAAATTCATCTTTTTGCAAATGGATAACCAGTTGTACCAGCACCATTTCTTGAAGAGTATTCTTTCCCCCATTGAATTGACTCGCCCCTTTGCCAAAAATCAATTAACCAAAAATACTAGATTAATTTCTATATTATTAATTTTATTCCACTGATCTATGTATTTATCCTGTGTCAGTACCACACTGGCTTGATTATTGTAACTTACTATAGCAGGTTTTCAAATTGGAAGTATAAGTCCTCCAAGTTCATATACCTTTTTCATGATTGTCTTGGCTAGTCTGATCCCCTTGAATTTCCATATGAATTTTAAGATCAGGTTGTCAATTTCTCCAAAAAACAAATAACTAGATGGGATTTTGTTAGGGATTGCATTGAATCTGTAAGAGGTTAACTCTTTGATATCTTTTATTAGATATAAACTATCATGGTTATAATAAATGGCTAATTATTTTGAATTTGATAAAAAGTTAAAGAGATATGGTTGTACTTTATAAGTAGTTGGCAGCAATAACACAGCAATTTCAAAAACATTACAACAAGGTTACATTCAGTGTTTGTGATCATTTTAACTTTAATATATTAAAAATTGCTTGAGATAAGACCTTCAAAAATCAAAAAACCTATGGCCATTAAAGGTCTTAAAATTGGTCTGGAATCAACTGTAAAGGAATCACATAAATTCTCAACTCTATAGAATGAAATAAAGCCTTGTATGTGTTTCATTGAAATGTAAACAAGTCACACGATACCTTTGTTGTGGTCTGTTACTCAACAATATAGAAGTCAAGTAATATCAGATTATACAATAGTCTAAGAAAAACCACTTCCCTCTTTGACCTAGTTTCAAAAGCATTTTCTCTTGGCTTTGAAGATGAATAAATATGCTTGTTAAAGTATTAGGTCAGGCCATCCACTCTTAGTAATGGGTTCTATTAATTATCCTTTAGTCTGTGTTAAAGCAATTTTTAAATTTTAGTTGGAAAGAAGATGCTTTATTGTATAAGCCTTTTAATTTCTCATTTACTTACTAAATGATTATATATTGATTGCCCAGGGGATCTTTCAGTATCTTTAGCCTTTGATTATCCTTTTTAATATGAACAGTAACTTTACAGATAATCCCACAGCTAAACAAATATCATGCATTGAGATGCTTGAAAATAATTTTTTGTAGCCCCCCTGGTTATTTCATAAAGTTTAAAGACTGGAATGACCATTTTCTTCAATGAAGGCTTTTCAAAAAAATAAGCTATTATTATCCATTACATTTTTAAAGCACCATCATATTTATTATTTTAGCCAGTTATAGAAGATAAATTTTAAAATTTTTGCCTTGTAACAGCTAAATGCAAAGTGTTAGCCAGGATCCTTAGTTCCATTAAGACAGAAAATATTGGCGGAGATATTGTGATTACTTTATTTTCAAATTGGTTGGATGATCCTAGCTCCAGATGCACTGGAACTGTGAAGCTGACTGGAGGAAATTAGTAATTTCATGTTCTTTGTCCAGAAAATTGTTCAGTGGTTCCTGAACATCTTAGTACTTGAACTATATCTTAAGTTGATGTGCTAATTGAATAACAAAAATTCTAAGATAAGAATACATTTGCAAATATAGCATACCCCTACTGCTATTTTGTAAAATTTATAACTGGTTTTAGAAATGGTTAACTTATCAGTATCTAAAAGATTATGCCTAAAGAAACTGGCAAGTTGTTTATCCTCTCAGTAGCTTAGTAATGAATCATTTTTTTAATTGAGTTTTATATACGAGGCAGTCGATAATGCTAGTATGAATATCCAAATCATATGTAAACTTATCAGATTATTCACAACTAAAATAAAAATACCAGAAAACTTCATTGATTATAAAAAATTACTTTCTTATGAAAGAGAGTAAATAAACATTTATTAGCGTGTATCATTCTTTTGATATATCGTAGAATGAATGCTGTTTTACAAAATATTTAGCTTAGAGGAGTATTACTTCATTAAATTCAACAAAATATATCTTTAGCTTAAATAGTCAGTGATAATTTCTACAGTAATCTTTCAACCTGTTTCCCTCCCACTACTGTTACCTCTTTTTGTGAGTCTTTCACAACCTTATGAGTAAAGGGATGAGATGAGAACACCTATGTTTTAGAGAAGTTATGTAAGTTAATTGAAGTCACACTGCAAACAATGACAAATCCTTGATTCAAATTCAAATAGATCTAACTTAAAAATTACATGAATTTTTTTATTATACCATTACACTACAATTTTCTCTATAGCCAGTAGCAAAAGTGATAGTGGCTACTATCACTGCCACCATCACTACAATCTTGCCTCCTTATTTCTTGAGCTATACATCTAAAGCCTCCCATCAATGTAGCATGCATGTTCTAGGGCAATTTAAAGTAGAATTAGGGCTCCTAGGGGCCAGACCCTAACTTGAAAGTGACTTCAGACCTGTATATAAAAAAGCAATGGATGAGAATGTCTGCTCTGTGCAATAAAAGCCTCTGAGAAACAGGAATAAATCCAAGTAAAATGAACAGGTAAAGACGGTGTAACCCAAATGTTTTCAAATGTACCAGCTTTGTGGTCCCTTTGTATCAAAGGTACCTCTGCATCTTATAACTTTTTTCTCATAATTTTTTTCTTATGTCTTAGTTCATTCAGACTGCTGTGACAAAAATTCCTAGTCTTGGTGGTGTATAAAAACAGAAATTTATTTCTCACAGTTCTGCAGGCTGAAAAATGCAAGATCGAGGCATTGGCAGATTAGGTGTCTGGTGAGGGCCTGCTTCCTGGTTCATAGATGGTGCCTTCTCACTGAGTTCTCATATGGTAAAAGGAACATAGGAACTCTCTAGGGTCTCTTTTTTAGGGGCACTAGTTCCATTCATGAAGGTTCTGCCCACATAACCTAATCACCTCCCAAAAACCCCACCTCCTGACACCATCATATTGGGAGTTAGCCTTCAACATATGAATTTGGGGAAGACACAAAAATACAATCTATGGCACTAAACACTCAATGCACATTTATGAGCAGTTCAGATTTTACTGAAGATTCGGTAGGGAAGATGGAGGAAGAGATTTAAATTGTATATTGCACCAAAACCTTTAAATGCTCCCATTATTTGTCTTCTTTTCCAAATCACTATTAGGATTTTTCCTCTTATCGTCTTTTACCACATGCTACTCAATCTTGTCAATTCTTTTATTTTATCTTCCTAATTTTCCCAGAATCTTCATATACCTCTCCCCTTTAAATTGCTGAAGGTTTCAGCTCTGCCTCAAGAACCACTCCTAAATTGTACCTCAAACTTCATCATACCCACAACAATAAAAATCTTTTAATTTATATTATCCAACCTCCATAAGAGGCAATGAGAGGTTATAGTATTTTTTTTTTTTTCGAGATGTAGTCTCACTCTGTCACCCAGGCTGGAGGGCAGTGGCGCAATCTCGGCTTACTGCAACCTCCGCCTCCTGGGTTCAAGTGATTCTCCTGCCTCAGCCTCCCAATTAGCTGGGACTACAGGCACGTGCCACCACGCCCGGCTAATTTTTTTGTATTTCTAGTAGAGGCAGGGTTTCACCGTGTTAGCGACGATGGTCTCAGTCTCCTTGACCTTGTGATCCTCCCACCTCGGCCTCCCAAAGTGCTGGGATTATAGGCATGAGCCACCACGAATAACCTTAGCTATTCCTAATCACTGTGCATGAACATGATGTGAACCAACATTATTCCCTATACATGCTATGCCTGTCTCCATGTTAACTTTGGCTGCCTTCACCTCAGTCGGTCTCTCCCCCTCACTTTTTAAATTCTAAACCTCAAGTCTAACTTGACCAAAACTTAGAATAGACTTTGCTTCCAAAAATGTTTTTCAATAACAATCAGTAGAGCCCTATTTATTTAGCATTTCTTATGTACTGAGCAGTACAGTGAATACTTTAGAAATAATCACATTTAAACCTCCAAACAGGTCTGTGAAATGAATACTATTTTTACATCTGTCAATTGGCTTTTTCCTTGTCTTGAATTAAGACTCATATTGGCACTCATATCTTCTGGTGGGAAAGAGAGAGTGTGCTCACTAAGCAGCCAGGAACATGTTGCTGAACAACAGAAGAGATGTAGGTAACAATTACTCAAGGCCGACCTTGATCTCATATCTAAATAGTTTAACGAGACAAAGAAAGTATCATTGCGCCATATTTAAATTTAATTCGCCGAGGTTTATGCAGTGCCTAGTAACTTCTGCAATGGTGTTACCTGCATAATTATTCCCGATCTTCATAGCAACTCGGTCTGAGAAACAAATATTGTTATGATCCCATTTTTACAGACAAGGAAAGGAGATGTGGAGAAACTAACCAAAAAACCTGCTCCAAATGTCAGATGTAAGAGGGAAATCTTTATTATATTCCTCCATGCATACTTCACACACTTTGAAGTATGTGAATATATATTCTGACATATATATTGACATATATGTCATGTCATATGACATATATAGACATGCTGACATATATATTGACATATATGAAGCATGACAATATATATGCTGCATATGCAAACAGTACCACATGTGTATACATGTGTAATTGTGTGTGTCCCAAAGAAATGACGGCAACTGGCTTCTGAGGCTGATTTACTTGATACAGGCTGATTTACTGAGGCTGATTTACTTGATACAGAGACTAATAGTAGCATAACAGTTGCCCCTTCAAAAAGTAAAAAAATCTGGTACAGTGAATTGAGCCAGAAATTTATAATCACAAAATGAAAAATATACTTAACTTCATCATCAAAACTCATATTTTTAGATATAAGCTAGCATTAGTTATGATTGGATTTTGTGTTATTTCAAAAAGTACAATTTTATTTTGATTTGTATATGGGTGAGTATTGAGACTGTGAGTACCACAATCTTTTCAGAGATAAGGAACTCTAACATTTTTAACAGAGACCTATTAATATTGACTACACCTCCAAGGTATATGGCAATGAGAAAAGAAAAATAGGGTGGTAGGTAGTTAGGGAAAAAATGTAAGTAAAGAACAATCAGAATGGTTTGGAAAATTTATGCCAAGATAACATAACATATATTATATAGTTAGACATGTAGATATAGAACCAAGTAAATATGAACTACAAAGCACAGATCATATTTAAGATACAAAAGAACTTTTAATATGTGAGTGATGACAAGTATAACAATAGCTAACTTTTTAAAAAAACATACAATATGCAAAGAACTATATATGCATCATCTCATTTAATCCTTACATTTCTCCGTAAGTTATTATTATTATCATCTGCGTTTTAGAGATGAGAAACTAAGACTTAGGGAGGTTATAAGAATAGCCCAAAGTCACCTAGCTTGTAAGTGGTGTGGGCAGGATTTCCAAAGTATGGCCACCAGTAACAGCATTCTCTCAGACAGAAAGGAAAGTTGAGGGTGGAAGAAAGATTAAACATGAAGTTGCCAATTCGAATGATTTTACAAAGCAAATACATTAGTGTAATTTCAAGCTAAAAAGCTTTAAAGGCCGGGCACAGTGGCTCATGCCTGTAATCTTACCACTTTCAGAGGCCGAGGCGGGGGATCACCCAAGGTCAGGTGTTCGAGACCAGCCTGACCAACATTGAGAAACCCCGTTGCTACTAAAAATACAAAATTAGCCAGGCGTGGTGGCACATGCCTGTAATCCCGCCTACTCAGGAGGCTGAGGCACGAGACTCTCTTGAATCTGGGAGGCGGAGGTTGTGGTGAGCTGAGATTACACCATTGCACCCCAGCCTGGGCAACAAGGGCAAAACTCTGTCTCGAAAAAAAAAAAAAAAAAAAAAAAAAAGCTTTAAAAATAGAGTAACTTATGGCACCTCATACATTAAAAATTAAGACAGTTCTGTAGCAACAGAAGCAGCTTAGTAAAAAGAATAAAATTATTGACTCTGTGAAGCAGATAAAACATATAATTTAACAAATTTAACAAGTGGTTCTTATGGAGCAAATTATATGATGAGGATGGAAAGAGAAGGAGAGAGGAGGGGAGGTGCGGGCAGGGGAGAAAATGACTGAAAAATAGAAAAAGACGCTCATCTTAAGGATGGGGTATTGAATTGTCACGGTGAGCAATGAGAAAAAAAAACAGAGAAAGTTTAGATGTCATAAAAATCTTGAACATTTGGGACAGTATTTGAATTAATTTATTGAGGTAAGGTTTGGAATTTGCTACCCAATCTCTTCTTAGAAAGAAGAGAGGAACTTTTTGATGGGGTTGTTTTTTTCTTGTGAATTTGTTTAAGTTCTTTGTAGATTCTGGATATTAGTCCTTTGTCAGATGGGTAGATTGCAAAGATTTTCTCCCATTCTGTAGGTTGCCTGTTCACTCTGATGATAGTTTCTTTTGCTGTGCAGAGGCTCTTTATTATTAGTTTAATTAGATCCCATTTGTCTATTTTGGCTTTTGTTGCCATTGCTTTTGGTGTTTTAGTCATGAACTCTTTGCCCATTCCTATGTCCTGAGTGGTATTGCCTAGGTTTTCTTCTAGGGTTTTTATGGTGTTAGGTCTTACATTTAAGTCTTTAATCCATCTTGAGTTAATTTTTATATACGGTATAAGGAAGAGATCCAGTTTCAGCCTTCTATGTATAGCCAGCCAGTTTTCCCAGCACCATTTATTAAATAGGGAATCCTTTCCCCATTGCTTGTTTTTGCCAGGTTTGTCAAAGATTGGATGGTTCTAGTTGTGTGGTGTTATTTCTGAGGCCTCTGTTCTGTTCCATTGGTCTATATATCTGTTTTGGTACCAGTACCAGGCTGTTTTGGTTACCGTAGCCTTGTAGTATAGTTTGAGGTCAGGTAGTGTGATGCCTCCAGCTTTGTTCTTTTTGCTTAGATTGTCTTGGCTACGCAGGCTCTCTTTTTGTCAAAAAGTGGGCAAAAGACATGAACAGACACCTCTCAAAAGAAGACATTTATGCAGCCAACAGACATATGAAAAAATGCTCATCATCACTGGTCATCAGAGAAATGCAAATCAAAACCGCTATGAGATACCATCCCATGCCATTTAGAATGGCGATCATTACAAAGTCAGGAAACAACAGATGCTGGAGAGGATGTGGAGAAATAGGAATGCTCTTACACTGTTGGTGGGAGTGTAAATTAGTTCAACCATTGTGGAAGACAGTGTGGTGATTCCTCAAGGATCTAGAACTAGAAATACCATTTGACCCAGGGATCCCATTACTGGGTATATACCCAAAGGATTATAAATCATGCTACTATAAAGACACATGCACACGTATGTTTATTGAGGCACTATTCACAATAGCAAAGACTTGGAACCAACCCAAATGTCCATCAATGATAGACTGGATTAAGAAAATGTGGCACATATACACCATGGAATACTATGCAGCCATAAAAAAGATGAGTTCATGTCCTTTGCAGGGACATAGATGAAGCTGAAAACCATCATTCTAAGCAAATTATCATTATCACAAGGACAGAAAACCGAACACCACATGTTCTCACTCATAGGTGGGAGCTGAACAACGAGAACACATGGACACAGGGCAGGGAACATCACACACTGGGGCCTGTCGGGGGTTTGGGGGCTGGGGGAGGGATAGCATTAGGAGAAATACCTAATGTAAATGACGAATTAATGGGTGCATCAAACCAACATGGCACATGTATACCTATGTAGCAAACCTGCACGTTGTGCACATGTACCCTAGAACTTAAAGTATAATTTTAAAAAAAAAGAAAAATAGAAGTAATGACAGTCATAAAAAAAAGAAAGAACAGAAGAACGTTAAGCAATTTGATCACTATCATTACAAGAGACTTACAGAGATGCTTCTATCACGTTCGCTGTTTCTCAGAGCCTCACCTAAAACTCTTGCTATGCACATCACTGTATTTGATTCCAGAGTATTGAAGCCAAGAACTGTGCAATCATGAATAAATGGTAAACATGTTGTGGTGTGTTTGTTTTCCTTTACTCAGGGTTTTCTGTGTGGTGTACGTGGTAGGAGTTACATGATGCCTAGCCAATTGTATTCATTTCATCAGCTGATTACAGGCATCCGTCTCAGGAAAGCTTCCATCCCCTATAGGCTCAACTTTATTACCCAACTCTAAGGCTCAATGAAAAATTCATAAGGACCGTGACAGCACAGAGGTGTGAAATGCAAAATACCAGAGGTAAGATAAAATGATTTTAATTCCTTGCTGAATCACAGTGTGTCTTATACAATACCGTGTGGCAAGATGCACACATGATCCAAAACACATCTTTACGGGCTGCGGCACCTCATACTTTAGTTATCACCTCTACAGATATGCAGAGGATAATACCTCACCTAGGCAGAATGCTGCTGACAGGCAGAAGATAATCATGCCTCTGAATAGCTAGTGCACATTCATGCCCAAAGCTCATGCCTAAAACTTTCGTATTTTATTCTGTGAAAAGTTTATTGGACCCGTACTCAGAACTTTTTTGCTGTTATTTTACATAGAATTCTACAAAATTTGGTATAGCATAAGATTAATTTAAATCAAAATCACAGGTTTTTCCATATGTTAGCTCCCACATATTAATTGGCAAGACATTTAATATTTCCAAGTGTCCATTTTATGAACTGTAAAATGGGTATAAAATAGGTTTATTTTCATAGGGTAGGTATGAGGATGTAATCAGCACATCTATGTAAAGTATAAACATAAAACAAGTACCCTAGAGTTTAAATATGGATATTTTTGATAGAAACTGATATCACATTGCAAGCCAACCACCTTATCTGAGACTCAACCAGAGAAACAGCAATCTTTTTCAATGCCAAAGAAAAACTGGCTGTGCTGGAATTATTCAGAGATTGTACATTGATCTCCACAGTGGAAACTTTCTAGGGAATTTTCAAGGGTAAGTCCAATTTATGAGATTGTCTTTTATTACTAGCATTAATATCTCCCAAAGAATTTTAAATGTATAACAATATGAACCTAGTCAGCACAGATATGAACAGCCCTTCTTAATCTTATTGTACTGCCTTATAGCGGAGTTCAAAAATCAGTGTTCTCAAAGATGAATTGAGTCATCAAGAAAGTTTAAGTATACATTCCCTAATGCTCAGACAAAGTAAACAGGAATGTTTAGAAAGAATCTCATCCAAAAAACTAAAAATTTTAAACAGTATTTGTAAAGGAAACTTACAGGTATAAACACTCAGCCAGTAAAACAAAACAAAAACTCAGTCATCCATAACAGAGCTAATTATAATGTCACTGGGTCCATATAGGACCACTCCCTACCCAGTCACACATAAAGATGGCTGAATACCCTCTCTTCAGTACCTGGAATCAAGACTACCAAGGTCAGTTTTTTAGGGAGAGGGAGCTACCTAAATGTCTAGACCATTATTTACTCTACAAACTTGTTTTATATCTTCTTATTAATTTGTAAGAGCTCTTAAATATTAAGGATATTAGCCTTTGCTTACAAATTGTAAATACATTTCCAGAGTTTACCCTTTATTTTACACTTGATTTTAACCATACAGAGGTCTTCAATTTTAGTATAATCAAATGTAACAAACTTTTATTTCATGACCCCTGGGTTGCCATCACATGAAGAAAACCTGTTTCCAGCCCAAGATCATTAAAATATCTGCCTATACTTTCTTCTATCCCCTCTGTGGCTTTATTCTCACATTTAAGTCATTATTCCAATTGTCATATATATTTGTACATTATGCAAGGTAAATACATTTCCAATAAAACATTTTAATGTAATTCTTATATTTTTAATCCACGTAGATAAAAGCATGGATTTTCATACTATACCTGGGTAAAACAAATATTAATAATATGCTTTCATGTTATTATAAATTATCAGTTGTTTATATCTGCTAAGACAAGTAACCAGTTTGGTATTATGATGAGAAGGAAAAGCAAACTAATACTTACAGAATGCCTACAATGTGCCAAGCACTGTTCTGAGTACATTGTACATGTCATTTTACTTAATCTTCAGGAAGCCAACATTCAGTGAGGATAATAACTTACCCCCAAAGTCACATAGCTGATAAAGTAGAACAATGATTCAAAACGAGTTTGTTCTGACTTCAAAACTCATGTTCTTTCTGCACAGAGATACAGAAGCCTTGCCACATGTCTAAGGGAAACGTGATTATATTTAGTGGTTAATGTTATTTTTTCCAAATGCTAAGTAGCCCATTTAATGCCTTGGATAACAGTTGTAATTATCATCATCATGTTGTATCTAAGTATAGACATTCAGGGAAGATGGTAATATGAATGGCCTTCAACTCCTGGGCAAGGTGAGGGCTAGAAAATGTATTATCCTATTTTTTTCTAATTTGGTTTCCTGAATTTCTAAACCAGAATTTAATAAAGAGGTGATCATGAACATCCACAATAGTTCTAGGCAGTTGGAGAATTTTTAAGTTCTAGTTATAGCTCCCAGTTTACATATACTCAACAGAATAATTAGGACCAAGGCACAAAATGCTTTGTAAAATAAAATAATCAAAGGATAAAGCCAATTCTGTTGCTTTCAAATATAGTCCAACAGAAATATTTATGTTACTGTTACATGCACTATTTCCTACTATTGCCATATCAGTACAAAAACCTTATAACACTTTATTGCATAAAAAACTTGACCACACACATTGTCCCAGTGATTTCCACAATCATCACATAAGAAGAAAGCACAGCAAGCATTATTTCCCCTGTTTTTACAGGAGTGACAGAAATTACACTCCTTACTTAGATCCCAAACCAGAGAAATGAATGAGTGAATGAGCAGAGACAACTCAGTTTCATGCACTCCTAATTCCGTTTTTTTCGCCATGCAGCACTCCTTAAAAAAAAAAAAGAAAAAAGAAAAGAAAAAGAGAAGACAAAAAAAAATCTAAGTTTAATTTTAAAATCCAGTGAAAGTCTAATAAAATTAGGTTTTAAAATGATTCAGTTCATTAACATTTGATCATAGACCTAGCCTATTATAAAAAGAAATATTATAATCTCTGATCCTAGAGCTATTTGACAAAGATCTGTCTCTGGGGCCTGAAAAAAGAATAGATAGATCAGAAAGTCTTCTGGATTCCATTCTAAGCCCAAAATTAAAATTCCTAAAAGACTTATGACTACTTTTCTTATCTTCTTGGAAACTGTGTAATTCCACAAACATTGAGTATGCCTACCAGGTGTAGGGCATTCTGAGGGGGTACTAAGAAAATATAGTGGTTAAGTGGGATGCTTAAAAAAAACCAATATTCACTATCGATGTCTCCGAGAGTGTGGGACTAAGGGAATTTGGGAGGAACATACTTATTTCCAAATTTTTATGTAATTAACATGTACTCATTTTGGAATAAGAAATAAATAAAGCACAATTTATGAAAAAAAGGCTATAGTATAATGTTTTATTTTCTTTAGAATAGGCCTCCCATGTTAAACACTATGCTGCCATGTTGAAAGAGAGGGGGAGCTCATATTGATTAGTTATCATGTGCTGGGCATTTTGTAGATGTTTTAAAACATAACCTTATTTACTTCTCAGCATAATTTTGGGAAGAAAATATTATTATCCTCATTTTACAGATCGAGAAACAAACTCTTATTGAAGTTGTATGATTTGCCTTTGGTCATGCAGCAAAGTTTCAGACCCCACATACAGTATTCTTTTCACATTACTATAATAATTTCCTTTTCAATCCTGCAGACAATATACTTTCTCCTTGCTGAGAATACCAGTCTGATTTATCACTAAAATAGATAATCATGTGAAGTCCCTAACAGCTCCACATTTACTTTTATTTGTGGTTCTCTAATATAGCAAATGTCAATTCCTATTGTATTATCTCTAGTCCCAGTAAGCTATTGCACTAACTTCATTATATTCAATCAATTGGTTTGTTGACCAAGTTTTTAAATTTTTTCCATTGGATGAAACGGGAAAAAAATTCTCAACCACTTGTTTTAAACTAATGTAGTTCAAATAATTGCCCTGTATTCCATAATTTGTATTGACTACACACCTAACACAACACAGAAATTGTAGTTTTTATAGCCCAGGTTAAAAGAAGACCACGGAAAAAATGGAAATGAATCAGGCTGAACCTAGAGAGTTGCACTCAATGGAAGAAAAATTGTAGAATTACAAATTAGCAAGAGGAAAGGGGTTTTTGTAAGTCAGGATTTAGTCAGGAAAAGTTCTTGATGAAGAATATTGAACTTCCAAGATGCTGAAGAGTCCCATATCTGCAAAAAAAAATCTTCTATTTACAGAAAATATAGGTCAAGTGATTAGATATTTATTAGAAATAAAAATGACTTTTATCCATCAGGAAAATGGTTTTGCTTAGAAAGGTTTAGTGATTAGAATTAGGAACAAGAGACAGTTCTGGGATGCCAAAGAGATTGTTTCTTCATGTTGGTACTAGTTACATGGTACGTTGAGTTTGTGTATTTTCTAATATTTCTAAGAAATGTTTTCTAAATTTCTAAACATTTCTAAGAAATGACTTATAACAGTGAAGACTAAAAACATCCTGAATGGTTTTTAAATGGAGGGTATTTGCATATTTGCTGCACAGATTTTTAAAAAAAACGAGACATAATAAGAGTGTAGGTATAATGGATATATACTGTTTTGCAGAAGGAAAGCTCTTTAAATCATTTTGCAAAGAAGAAAAGAAGAGAAATTTCTCTTAGTCCTAGTATTCCATAAGGATTTGACCTGGGATAAGGAGTGATGTAAAGTTCTCATACACAACAGCCCCCTAGTTAACTCTCCTTTCTCCTACACATGCACATCCAGACACTCGCATTTCAAGCCATATCAACCATTCCCGAACACAATTCTTTGCCCCATAAAGAATCACTTTTGAACAAGACTCATGCACTGACATTTCTAAAGGTTAACTATAAGATCATTTTCATTAGCATCATAGCCAACAAGCCAAAAATGGTTTGTAAGGTTATTGCTGACCCATGAAATTATTATTTTTAAAGTTGACTATTTTAACCCCAATTCTATTTAATGCCTATCAGAAAATAATGAAAAATGGTACATTTCACTTTAACAGAAGCTAGTAGTTCTCAAACTGTAGAATTCATAAAGATCATCTTGAACGTTTGTTGAAAACATAGACTTTTGAACTTTACATTGGAGAATCTGATCCAACAGACGTAGAAGGATGGCCCCAGGAATCTATGCTTTTTACAAACATGCCAGGTAATTCTGAAACAGATGATCAGCAGATCACATCTTGAGAAACACTGCCACTATTAGAACCTCAAACAAAACAAACTCCAGACAAACCTTGCATGGATTCAAAAAGATCACAATCCACACACTGTGCTGGGACCTGAATAACCACATGGTTTTCATCCTGGAACTCTAACAATCAATGATTTAACTCCAGGCTAGAGTAAAGCAAGGGAAAAAGGCATAACAGGGACAGGTGATTTCACCATGTTCTTTAGTGAGTTTTTACATGACATAGCCTGGCTGAGGTTGTAAACATTTGTAAAATTTATTGCAGGGCTTTCACAAAGCTTGGTTTGTGAGATACAATGGCTTCTATGAAGAGAGAAGGTACAATTCAGCAAACTTGTATAAGACCCTGACCCATCGTTGGCTGAGAACCAACAAAGATTGGCTAACTAGCAGGCAAATCCTCAATTCTTAGAAAAGCCTCATCCATGGAAGCTGTGATTCAACCTGTCACAACAAGTGCGCACAAATTACATCTGGACCATCACAGGCTGTCGGTCACGAGGTGGCTTACTAATTTTTCTGAAACCCAAACATCATGCCAGAAGATGTAGCTACATTGTTTACACTCTTTCTTAGGCAATATTTCTCTCCATTATCATTTTGATCATTGATGTGCTTAGGCTGACAGGAGCCAAAGAAAATTCAAATGTAACACAGAAACAACAGAAATGTGTCATCCTGGAATAGACATGTTGTCTGTCCAGCCTAGGCACCTGCTTCTCATAATGACTAATGCCAGATGTTTTAAGGAAAGATACAAGCTTCTATTACACATCCGCTTTATGCAATTATGCAATGATATATCACAAGGGAGTTTTCTTTCTCTGACCCTGGGTTAGCCATCAGTTGCAGCCTAGTATTTCAAGATACCAGCCCTTGAATTCATTACCCCAGCATCCTTTACTAAACTATTTCATAACACACACACACACGCACACACATATACACACACAGTATTTGTCCAAAATGCTCCCTTATCAAGAACTCTGTACCAAAGCAATTATACTTGTTAACAACCTTTTCTGGTTTCCATTAAGGAGATGGCTGGACATTTGCTATATGGGCAATGTTTGTTGGTGGCAGTAGGAAAATGAGAACTAGCTCATATTTGCTAATACTTGGAAATAAAACTTACTATACCGGTGATTATGAAAGTAGGTATTAGAAAGCCCCCTGAATTCTGGATAGTTAACTGAAAATATTCCAGGTAAAACTACAAAGAACTGGTAACAATTGCAAGATTTACAAACACTAACAAGTTATCTTGAATTATATACTCCTGAAAAAATTCAATAAGCAAGAAGCATATCTATGGTATGTTTGCTCTTTTGTTCAACAGATATTTATCAAATTCCTTTTCTGTGCCATTCCTTGTGTTAAGTGCTGGGGAAAGAGTCATGAGTCTTCCTCTTATATAGCCTTGGCCAATTGGTAGGGAAATAAATAGATAATATAATGGCAAATTGAGATAAATGATATGAAGGAAACCAACATGGTTGTGTTAGAGAAAAACTGCATGTACCTACTGTAGAGTGGTCAGGTGAATTTTCTCCAAGAAGTGACTCTTAAACTGAGACTAAAGGATAAGAAAACTAAAATCGTGCCAAGAACTGATGACTGTTCTGGGTAGAGAAAATAATGAGAGTAAGTTTTATGGGTAGAACCAAGTTTGGCACATTTAAGAACTGAAAGGAAGTCAGTAGGCCTGGAAGTAGGCAAGAATCAGATCTTAGAGGACTTTGTAGGTTATCATAAAAATTTGGGTCTTTATATAAGTGAGAAGGGAAGCCCTTAAAGGGCTTAAAGTATAGAAATGATACAATTGTTTATACATTTTTAAAATAACACACTGGATGCAAAGAGGGGGAATGTGATGGAGGAGGCAAAGAGAGTGTGGGAGATCTGTTAGAAGAGCAATTCTCTAACTTTAAAGTGCACATGAACATCTGGGGGAATCTTATTAAAATGTATATGATTCTCTAGGTCCAAGGTGGAGCACAAGATTCCACATTTGTAACAAGCTCTCAGGTGATGCAGATGCTTCTGGTCCATGGACCACACTGAATAGCAAAGCATGGAGATCCATCTAAAGGAGTCCAGACTCTTCTCCTTCAAGGTGGTGGCTTGGGCTAGCATGGTAGGAAAGCAATTTGACATATATATTTGAAATATATTTCAGACTAGAAGTGGCAGATTCAATCTAGTTCGCCTCTTAACATTATAACAGTATATTAAGAAAACCTCTAAAACCGGCCAGGTACAGTGGTTCACACCTATAATCTCAGCACTTTGGGAGGTTGAAGTGGTTGGATCACAAGGTCAGGAGTTCAAGACCAGCCTGACCAACATGGTGAAACCCTGTCTCTACTAAAAATACAAAAATTAGCCGGGCGTGGTGGCACACGCCTATAATCCCAGCTACTCAGGAGGCTGAGGCAGGAGAATCACTTGAACCTGGGGGGCAGAGGTGGCCGTGAGCCAAAATTGCGCCACTGCACTCCAGCCTGGGCAACACAGTGAGACTCCAAAAGACCTCTAAAACCAAAATTTCTGAAAATGAAAGGGAATCCTGGAAGTTCTTGTCTCAACATTGGAGACAAGATGGAGATAACAGTGAAAGAATTAAAGACAGAGGTCTTTAATTCCATGAGTAGGCCAGAACCCACATGGTCTCTAGATGGTGAGAGGATCAAGGTGCTGGTGAGGGAAGTACAGATGGTGCCCAGGACTCTGCCTGTTTTCTGACAGCCGGGGAGTTAGCAGCAGATGCCAGTGAGAGCAGAAGTCCACAGATGGCACAGGAAAGAACCTTCAGCCTCAATGTCCAAAGCTTTAAGCCTTTAAGCCAAGTTCTGTCACATTTCAGCTGTGTGTCTCTGGGGGAAAAAAAATCACTAATCTCTTATGTTTGTTTCCTCATTTAAATAAAATATGATGTAATGAGATCATGCATATGAACACATTTAGCATGGGGCCTATTATAAGAAGGTATTGATAAATAGCAATCTAATCAAACTTACATGTCAATGGGGGATCATTTTCTGCTTCTTCTTAAGTTGTATAAGAATATTGTCTGTTAGATATAGAAGGGAATGATTTTACATCCTGAATTGCCAGGCATAATAATTTCCTTTCAGTTCGCATCCTGAACTGTGTCCCCATGTAGCTTCAGATTATTTTTGCTTCTGTTAGAGATATTTCCTGACATGGAAGTTGAAAAGCCTGGAAGCAATCCATAAATATCACCTTTACATTCTACAATGGTCCATACTTTTTCCAATTCTACAAAGGTAATTCCCAATTAAATATAACATGGATAAAATGTATTAATATAGGACTTAAATGACTTATTCAGTCATTCTGCCACACCTGAAAGGATCCCTAAAAGGTATCAGACTTTCTTAGGAAAAGAAAAGTCTGGTATTACCAAAGTAGACTTTTTCAGGTTCTCACTACAGAGACAATCAAGATTTTTTTCTTGATGGTTTGGTATTAGTCTTCTGCTATTTATTTGTTTGTTATGTCACTTGTACTAAGAAAGAGGCTTACTGGCTTTATGTTTCCTAGTTCAATTTAAAGTCATTCGTCTTTGCCATACTCACAGAGAGCATAAAAAAGTAGCTAGTCCTCAGACTCTGTAACTCAGGTCTGGCATGAAGTTAGGCCACCTCAATTAAGCCTCTTTTGTAATTACCAGCAAATATTAGGTTGGTGCTAAAGTAATTACGGTTTTTGCCCTTTACAAGTGATGGCATTCAAGCAAAGTTCCAGAAGTACCCAAAAGCTGTTTGATCTCCATGTGGATAAAACATGACTCCCCATAAACATGCTCTACATCATTAATTCATAGTGATTGCTGTCTTCCCAGTGATGCAAAAACAATCTTCAGCCTTTCAAAATTATAGTTTCAAAGCAGTAAGCTGTTTTACTGTGTCATCTTAAAAGCCATGGACTTTATTGCTTTCCCAGGATAGGGAAGGATTTGCAGAGTACATCTTGTACAGCTCAATGAGATGGTTTACTTGTTCAACCCTGTGCCTGAAATGAACCACCAGGAATCTTCTACCAAAATACACTGTATCTACTCCAGTCAAGGCACATGTTATCTCTTTCTCTCTCTCTTCTAGAATAATTCTCGAATTCCAAAAGAAGGTCTCCAAAATTTTCCTTGGCAATTCACGCTGGTAGAAAAGAAGTACTTACTGTGCACGCTCTCTTGAGCAACATCTAGGACTATGTCTAAAATATTACATCTAACAGTAATATTCCTCTATAAGAACTTTTCACAAAGTATTTCTGAGTAAGTCTACTCCTTAACGGCACAGAATTCCTCAAACTCACAGGGAATGTCCAGGCACTTTCCACCCCTGCAAGAGAGCACTGTTCTCTTTTACTCACAGCCAAGCCATATCATCAAATAACTGAACATTCTGCCACACAAATTATCCAGATCTTACAAATCATTCGTTCCCTGCACTTCATCACATGATAAATAATGCCAAGTACTTAGGTTTCAAGGATAAAAGATTCTTCAAAGGAATTAACAGTTAGGTATGCCTCTCTCACCTGTACTTCTACAATGGCTGGAGGCCCTCCAGTCCAATTCGCTTAAATCCATCCTACATGCTGATCCCAAAGGGAGACTTCCAAGGTACAAATGTGACTATGATACTCAGGCAATGGGAGAGCTTGAAGAATTTAACACCTCAAACCCATTGATGTTCTTGTCTGACTCCCTCACAACCTGTAAAACATTTAAGGCAGAGAATAAATCACACTCATCCCATTAATCCTACAATCTAACAGGAGGCATGATGCTTCGATGCTTGTTGAATGAGTGACTATTAGTTTTTCAGAGTCACAGATTCCCAAAAATGGTAATCAAGGAAGAAATCAGGGTAAACATAGTAAATGACATAGGTGCCAAGCTATAGACTTTCCGTTATACCCTCTTCCTGTTCCCCAGAGCAGCTGGAGTAATATCTGAAATAGTTTACATCACAACATCCTGCTGCCTCCGGAGCTTTTGAGGTCACCATCACATCCAAAGTGATATGCAGGGAAATCGTGTTTCAGACCAACACATTATTACTGAAACAAAGAGAAATCATGCTCCACGTTTTAAGTAAAATGGAATATTGCTTTCTGAACACAGTTTTACTAAAATGGATTTGAGTACATATCTTCCAGTAATGCTATCTCAACACCCACACTTGCCTCTCTATACCCACCGCACACACGCACACGCATGTTTTTGATACTATAAATCTTACTCAGACATATGGGGGGGTAAAGCTTACTCACCTTTAGTTGCCATTCCTCCTCAGCTCCCCCTAACTGCATTATAATCATAGTCATTACTGCCATAATGATAGTAATAATGCTTTGTGCTTCTGCAGCACTTCTCAGATGATCTCAAAGCATGACTGCATCATGACTGTAAAAGTTGAGAACATTTGTCTCCTCTAGAGATAGTGTTTATAACAAGGGCAGGAGCTCACCGACTCACCTGACACCCACAAATCAAAATTATGAGGAAGCATGGACTGATTGTCTCTTTTATTTCACTAGGAAAGGGTGATTTTATTGATACAGGTCAAGACAAGTCTCTGGAGGAGCCTATCAAAGAAGAAGACCTATTTCTTATCCAACACTCACTGACCTTATCAAATACATTTTATACTGACAAGGGGGAAGGAAAATTGTAACGCTTCCATGGTTTAAATCTGCAAAGTACCTTTCAAGTTGTGGCAACAAATTGATGGCTCTCCCATCCAGTCTTGGTCTCCAGCCTTAAGCTAAACTTGCTGTATGACTCAAATTTCTCCTCATCTCCATCTCATGTGGTGCTGCCACAGCTCCTCCATTATATCCCACCAAAAAATCTATGGCCATTATTATGAGTATTTTCCCATGATCCCAGAGAATCATTTAGGGAACTCTGAAAAACAGAAGGAACCCAATTCACCCTTCATGGGAACAGACTCATCTGTAAGAAGAGTCTTAAGCCCTGAGAGGCTGAGATATTTCTGCCTTAATCTAAATTAGACATTTCTTTCACCCACCCTTCCAGAATAAATTCAGTATCTATCAACGCAAAGCACTAGGAACATTTGTATGCAGAGGTATTGAGGAGCTCATATTCTTTGTAGGCTAATCATGAGAGGGGATAATGGGTCTCCTTGCTGCTATACTGTGACTGCCCACAAGAAGTTTCTTCTCTATGTGGTAGCAGAAAGAGGGATTTTTAAATACAGATCAGATGATATTGCTCTCCTGCTCAAAATTCTTTGAGAGCTGCTCATCACACTTAGAAGGATATCTAAATTCTGACCATGGCCTGCACAGGGGTCTCTGGTTCTCTTGCTGCCTGCCTCTCCAATCTCATCTATCTCTCTTCCCTGTGATCCTTCCACTTATTGCATACTGACTTCCTTTCTGCTTCATTAAGACCCAACTCAAGTCTTCTGCACCTGCTGTTCCATCTTCTTGCAACACTCCCCCATACCTTCATATGACACCTCCCTCATTTCACCCAGCTCTCTCTTCCACTATCATCTGAGCAGAGATGCCTTCCTTGGTGCTTCCTCTAAAACAGTCTCCCAATCCCTGACAGGGGATCTTTATCTTTATCTTCTTAGCCTACTTTATATTTCTTCATCATATTTTCCCTATCTGACATTATCATACATGTTAGTCTGGTTAATTGATCGCCATTGGTCTTCACCAGAATGTAAGCTTTGTGCAGACTGGTATTTTGTTGTGTTCATCACTGTAACACAAGCACCTAGAAGAATACTTGGCACACAGTGTCTGGTCAATAAACATTTGTTGACAAGTAGTGGAGAGGCTTTCTATACCCACAGTTCATCTAATAATACCATAGGAACTCCTATTTGCTCCCAATACCAGGGATTTTTTCAAGTCTTAAAGATCAGAAAAGCTAAGGGGATGGGGCATACCTACCAAACTCAGGCAAATTGATGAGAACTACGGTTCCAAAGATCATTCCAGGAAACTGGGAGGATCTTTTTAACCCTTATGGATGTTAAACACACTGTGTTCTATGTGCCTGTGTTTTGATTGCAACCTATTATATGAGGTTAGTTCTATGTGTCCACAGTCATCTTCTGCCCATAATCTCAGGTCTTTTACACATTAAGCATTATAATTATGATGTTATCACTGGAGACTGGCTGTCCAGTCACCAGGACGCACCCTTTGTTGATATGTGTTGTCCCATTAATATAGGCCCAGGAACTGTATCTCTTTGTCTCTACATCTGCTCCTTCTATTTCTTTTGAGTCATGCCTTCACATAGCCCAAGAAAGTTTCCCCATGGGAGCAACAACAGGAACTGGATTGTTTTCATAGGGTTTCGTGTCTATCTTGTTAGCCTCCAGGGGTCAAATTTTTGTATCCTGCTTCCTTACAGGGGATTTCAGACTATCAAAACAAGTTAGTGCAACCGAAGAGCTACTCGGTTCAATATGCTAATAGTTTGTATGCCTATCTACAAACACACATAATTCTGCATGTAAAATGTACATGGACAAAAGCTCAAGCCTACCAAAATGAACATGTAAAATTGTGAGATATGCTAAATTGGTGCTTTTGAAATTCTAATGGGTTCAAATAAGTCCTGGAATTTAAAGTCTCATTAATAATTGCCCCTAATTATGTATGAAGCTGTCCCTCCAACAGAGATCTCTCCCTCCTCACCTCATTGCCTGATAAGGACATTGGTTGCCATTGCCAGAAAGCACCACAGTGCCTACTCCATAGCATATGAGAAAACAGGCTGACAGCATAGTCTTTATACCTCTTTTCTACTTTAACAACCATTTAACAGTTGGTGCCATCTCATCGACTGACTATAATACTAATTCAGAAAATGCAGCTTCCAATCACACAAAACAAGCCCTGTTCTCTCTGCAATGTTTCATGCCATCATCTTTCTGAAAAATGAGATAAACTGCTGCATGTCTTACAAAAATGTTTAGCAAAAGTTGTGATTTGAGTTTTCTTTTAAAACTGGCTATGCTAAGTAGGATATCAAAAACTGCTTTTCCGTTTCTGAGCCTAAAAATGTCTCCAGAGCCATATAGCCACACACTTATCTGTCTTTTATCTCTCCTCTAAAACATGCACTGAACATCTACTCCGGGGCAGATCCTGCTGGAACTGGAAATATAAGTACCGGTTGAGTATCCCTTATCCAAAATGCCTGGGACCAGAAGTGTTTCGGATTTCGGAATTTTTCTGATTTTCAAGTATTTGCATTTTCAACAACATCTTTATATTACAGAGCAGAGAATAAGCAAAAACAAAAAACAAACAAACAAAAAAAAACCACAGTGAGTAATGCATATAGGATGTCGTGGAAAACCTGCTGTTGATTGGCGATTCAGCCTGCACAAGTGCCATTTTTTTACCCTTTGTAGGCATGCTTGCCTGGGGAATCTGGGCATGCGCAGAAAAGATATAGCGCAGCTGAAGGAAACTGGGAGGGTCTTTTTAACCCTTACGAATGTTAAATACGCTGCGTGCTTGCTGTGCCCCTGTGTTTTGACTGCAACCTATTACATGAGGCTAGGTGTGGAATTTTCCATTTGTGGCATCATTTCAGTGCTCAAAAGTTTTGTGTTTTGTTTTTGTTTTTGTTTTTGAGACGGAGTCTCCCTCTGTCGCCCAGGCTGGAGGGCACGATCTTGGCTCACGGCAACCTCCGCCTCCTGGGTTCAAGTGATTCTCCTGCCTCAGCCTCCCGAGTAGCTGGGACTACACGTGCGTGCCACCACACTCGCTAATTTCCTTGTATTTTTTAGTACAGAAGGGGTTTCGCCATGTTGGCCAGGCTGGTCTCAAACTCCTGACCTCAAGTGATGCGCCTGCCTCAGCCTCCCAAAGTGCTGGGATTACAGGGGTGAGCCACTGCACCCGGCCTGGAGCATTTTGGGTTTCAGATTTCAAGATTAAGTAGGCCCAACCTTTATTAATAAAACATGATCCTTGCCCTGAAGCAATTATCTACTGTAAACTGGAATTATTTGTCTTCAACATCAGCAATAGCTTTCAGGTCCAAAAATGTGTAGTCTATGTAACTTATCCCTATTAATTTCTCTTTTGTGACTCTCAACCAAACCTTTAAATAATGTTACATATTGGCCATGTGGGGTTCCCGCTGTTTCCTTGATCGTTTATTCATAGTCTGTAATTTACAAAGTACTTTTACAGCATTTCATTTAATCCTCACAACCACTTGTGGGGAAGATGTCATAAACCTCATTTTATAGCAGCAGAACCTCAAGGATGCTATGTTGCTTGCCCAAAGTTACACAAGGTCGTAAGGCCAGAAATGGACATTTCTGCCTCCATATCATTGCACTAAAGCTTCTAGTTATCAACTCCAGGATCTCCTTATAGTCCTGTGATCCAACACTCGTTTAACAAATATTTATTGAGCCTCAATTATGTGCAAAATATTTTGCTACACAAGAATATTCAATCCTTGCCAACGTTCAAGAGAAGTTGTTCATTGTTGTGTTCCCTGAATCTAGAAATAGTCTTCTCTATAATTTCCAGCCAAATACTATTAAATACCATGTGTAGTCTTACTTCTCAAGTATATGCTCACCTCACATCTGCAGAAAGGGTCACACCTTTCCTCCATACTGTATCAACTTTTAAATGCATTTCTTATTTTGCATAGTGATTATTAGCCATATTCCTTTCCCCCATGCCACACCTAGAGAAATGAATCAGAGGAGAAAGGGGTAAGTAAAGGAGTAATTCTTTGGCAGTATTTCAGAAGCACAGGTGGATAATCAGCTAGATGCCCTTGGGTCCAGTGGCAAGTGTAGATGACAGGCCATGAATATAGATGGCTTTACTAAAGCCCAGGTTACACAGCTCCTCAATATCCCAGGGAAATAGTTTTGTAATTTCTGCCACTTCTTAGCCAAAGACACTCTCCTCATTATCTCCATCTCACAGTTGCTGTTTATTGAGCTACTTTAAACCCTAGTTCAGAAGGATGGTCCTTAAGATAAAAAAGATGTGAAATGAAAAGCAGATGCTTCAATGTGCTGGGGTCATGTCTGGGTCTGGAAATGGAAACAGAGACAGCAGGTTTTTATATTCTCTTGAGCAAACCCCAGGACATTCTTTAAAATGAAGCAGTCAAAAAATATAAATATTTCCATTAGTCAAAGGATACCAAACCAAGGTTTGTCAACTTAGTGACTGTGAGAACTTCTCCAAGTGGAAATATTTACCAGAAGACTGAGGCAATCATTGTTACCAAGAGCTTTTGTGAGCCATGTGCACCCTTTTCTCTCAATTTTCACACAGGCATATTGTGGCAAGGAAAGGTAAAGAAAACAAAAAAGAATGAAGTACAACAGGGGCTGAGAGGGAAAGTTTAGGAAGGACGAAAAGGAATGAGCAGAGAGGGTGAGTGGTACAAAAAAGAGTAAGTTTTGAAGTCAGATGGGCATACATGTACATTCTGGCTTTGGGATAATTGATCTAATTGCCCAAAACCAAATGGTCTCACCTGTATAGTGAATATGGTTCTATTTATCTCGAGGGTAAGTGTGAAGAGTAAGCAAGCTGCTGCAAGCAAGGTGCCAGCATGGTATGTGACAGAATGGACCTTAATAAAGAGAGGGGGTAGTGGTGATTTAAAGGAAATCTACATGGATATTCCAGAATCTTTTAAATTGACTATGAATTGACTATTAAATTAACTATTCATCCTGATAATTCTATAAAATGTAAATAGGTGAAGTGGCACAAAATAAAAATTATTTTGAATGCAGTGTGACTCTCAATCCTGGATGCTTATCAAAATCCCTTGTGGACCTTAAAAAAAATTCAATTTCCGGGCCTCACCTGTACAAATTTGTTTTCAGTAACTCTGAGATAGGACTCAGACATTTGTGTTATATTAAGAGTTCAACATGTATTCTGACGCCCCAACAAGAGAACTGCTGCTATAGATACTACATAAGATGGAATATAAAACATCACTAAGGAAAGAAACACGCATTTCTCCACTTGCATGAATATAGCAACTTTCTAAATCATATTGAAACCTCTAGTTATAAGATCTTCCATTTTCTGCATCTATTTACTCAAACTTCTTCTGTGGTTATATCTACCTGTAAGACCAAGATGTGTCTCATAAGGAAGATCACGGACACAATAAACCCTTTCTCTAGAATGTGTTCCAGTTTCCAACCATTCCTTCGTGGGTCTATATAATATTTATAATCGAATGACTTCCATTTCAAATGTATGGAGAAGCACACCCCTAAGAATGGGGCAGTGACCACAGCATGTGATATCCTCAGGAGTGATGAGGGTAACATGTCATTTAACATTTTGCTTCAATTTATTTGACTGCCTCCATCTGTGCAAGCATTGATTGGTATAAGAAGAATGAGTTACTTCACTTCAGATGGTTCATTAGGGAATCAAAACTATTGAATGAGAATTTCTTTGTGAATCAAGGCTAAATGATTAATAATGTATCAAACCCCAAAAGAAGACACTTTATTGTCCATGAATGCTTTTATAATGCAATTTTCATTAAAGATTACAGCTGTGATTATTTAATACCCATCATTTCCACCACTCCAAAAAAGAAAACAGTTATAAAACACAAATCTTTTGTTCTTATATCACGAAGTTAAACATTTTAAAAAGCTGCACTTGAAAAAGAAAAACAGCTTATAATGCATTTGCTTTTAGATATGCAACAGAAAAATTGCTCCAAATAAATTTTAAAATGAAATGCCAGAAACTTGGAGAAACGTACTTAGTGGGCCAAGAAAACAAAAGAGTGGATGGTGATGTGAGTCTCCCTTCTCTTTCATCAGGTTTTACTTAGCTAAGATCAGGCATGCAATTGCAGATAAACAAACAAAGGAACTTACATTTAAACATGGCAGATTCCTAAAAGGACTTCTCCACATAAGGGAGAGAGCTCATCTCATCTCAGCGCCTCCCTGTCTCTCCTGGATCAACCAGCTGCTCCTCATTGCTTGGGGAGCAAGTTGTGAAGAATGCTGGTTAATTGTAATTAAAGTGAAGAAATTCCATTCAGATGTAATCATAAAGGGAAATGACAGAGACACAAAAGAAATGAAGAAATTAAAAAAAAATTAAACCCACTAAAACCTTGAAGCCCTGAAGTAACCCCAGATTGCAAGAAAAACAGATTGGTCTTTAAAAAAAAATCCTTCTGATAGAAAAGTCACATCAACTAAGAAGAATTCTGAGAAAAGAAGGTCACATTGGTAAGAAAACAACAGATAGTCATTTTAAGAGCTTAACAATGTAGAGAAGCATGTGAAAAAAAAAAAAGAAGTAAGAAGGATGGCTCTGCAATTATCTAACGTCTTACCTTCTTTAGTATACTGGGGGCTTTTATACAGGTTTTCTTTGACAGATAGTGTTAACAAATAAAAGGACAAGGTGAAATCTCTCTTTTGCTCTCTCTGTTTCTCCCTGTCTCTGTCTCGCTCTTTTTTTTTTAATAGAGAGGAAAGGTCCAATGTCTTTTTTACTATGTTCTTAAGACATCTAAATAGAAATATGATCTCCTGAAAGAGATTAATCGTTCATTGAAGTAGTCCTTCATAGATTTTTGACCCTGAAAGGAAATTACAGAAAACAGTCCAGCCCCCACAGGCATCATGATTCAGGCAAGGATGCCATCTAAAACATTTGTGTGGGCTGTGAGTTGAATTTGAGTTGAACTGGTATAATGTGGGTGTAAGGCAAAAGAGTGGCCTGAAGTGGAAACGGAGGAAAAAAAAATGAGGTATCCAAGATATCTGCACTTATTTTCTTGCCAAAGTTACCAAAGCACTGGCCTTCTGTAGGCAGAAGCAGAGACATCTGGGACCCTTCAGCTTCAGCTTTCGTATTCCCAGACCCAAGTCACTGTTTCTAAATTAACATGTGTTACTGGGGGGTAACTTTCTATCATAAATAGCTAGTTGTATTGTTTGGATACTTCAGAACCTAAAACAACATATTCAATGTACATTAGCTAATTAAAGATTAAGACTTTTTAAAACCAGATACCAGAAGTGACTTTTTTCTTTCTTTCTTTTTTAAGTGCCCATATAAGAAAAGATTCCAAGTAGGTCTTAATAATAGCATGTTCATGAGCCTCACTATTCAGAGGCAGCATAAAATATGGGAAAGCGCATGAACTTTAAATTTAGAGCGACCCTACTCTACCACAAGCAATGTGACTTCGGAAATTTAAAAAACTGACATTTATTGAAAATTTACTATTTGTCAGACACTGTTCTAAGCATCTGATGTATATTAAAACATGTAACCTACATAATAGCTCTAGGATTTAAATATTATTATTATCATAGATGTTAAAACAAAAATACACAGAGGTCATATGGCTAATGAGTGAAAAAGCTAATCTTTGAATCCAGAATGAAAGCTTGTTTTTCGACTCATGCACTCAACCACTATGTTACACCATTCCTCACCATTATTTAATTTCTCTGCCTAAGGCTTAATTTTCCTTTTCTTGTCTTGTCTTTCTTTCTTTTTTATTTCAATAGGTTTTTGGGGAACAGGTCGTGTTTGGTTACATGAATAAGTTTTTTAGTGGTGATTTCTGAGATTCTGAGGCACCCATCACCCGAGCAGTGTACACTGTACCCAATGTGTATAGTCTTTTATCCCTCACCCCAACCCTTCCTCTTCCAGTCCCCAAAGTCTATTGTATCACTCATGTCTTTGCATCCTCAGAGCTTAGCTCCCACTTATGAGTGAGAAACATATTTTAGGCTGGGCACAGTGGCTCACGCCTGTAATCCCAGCACTTTGGGAAGCCGAGGCGGGCGGATCACAAGGTCAGGAGTTCGAGATCAGCCTGGCTAACATGGTGAAACCCCCTCTCTACTAAAAATACAAAAATTAGCTGGGCGTGGTGGGTGCCTGTAATCCCAGCTACTCAGGAGGCTGAGGCAGGAGAATCATTTGAACACGGGAGGCAGATGCTGCAGTGAGCCGAGATCGCACCATTGCACTCCAGCCTGGGCGAAAGGGCGAGACTCCGTCTCAAAAAACAAACAAACAAACAAACAAACAAACAAAAAACCCACATATTTTATTCTTGAGTTACTTCACTTAGAATAATGGTCTCCAATTTCATCCAGGTTGCTGCAAATGCCATTATTTAGTTCCTTTTTATGGTTGAATAGTAGTCCATGGTATAATGAAATTTCTTTATCCACTCATTGATTGATGGGCATATGTGCTGGTTCCATATTTTTGCAAATGCAAATTCTTAAGCCTCAATTTTTCTAATATATTGGAATTGAATGATTGTGATAAAGATTATGTGTGTATATATATATATCTTAATTGTTTATATAATGCTACTCTTAAGAGGATTTCTAATTCTAGTCATGATGAAACAGTGTAGACTAGATTTATCTTCCTACCTTAAGCAAGTAGAAAATGAGGAGGAAACTTGTGAAACTATGTTATTCAAATGTTTGGGAACTGGTAGCACAGGCCAGGTGATCTCTGAAAGAAGTGAAACAAATAAAGTTGCCCTCTTATTGCCCCCAGCTTACTGCCTGGAGAGTTTCCAGGATGTAGTGCAGAAGCAGAGAGCCAAAATAGAGCTAGAAGTTTTTCTGAATGCAGGAAACAGAGTTTGGAATTCAGGGAAGCTAAAGTAGCTAGAATTAGTGGGAGAAGAATATAGGAAAGGAGAAAGTTGCACAGAGAAAGCCCTCCAGAGATCTGAAGAGGGAGTTTCTGTGAGTTTTGGCTGAGTACTGATGTGCATATATGTAAAAGAAAACTATCCAAGGCCAGGGAATAAAGAAGGCAAACAATTTCAGAAGCCCACATGGGGCTGAAGAAAGTTCGGTTCCAGTTGAACTGAGTGGAAAGACTTTCTAATACATGGAGAATTGGGTAGAGTACTCAGTATTGTATTGACTTAGAAGTGGGGCTAAATTAGTTTAGACTAAAGGTTGCCTTTAGATCTGCCCTAAAAAACTTAAAAGCAACTCTCAAAAGCATCAAACAAATGACAAGTAATTTATTGTAACCTAGAACAAAGCTAAACAGGATTTAAAGGATAAAACAAAATTTAGCACCCAAGTATGTAAGATTCATAATGTTGGCATCCAGTCAAAAATTACCAGGCATGCCAGTAAGTGAGAAACTATCACCTATTTTTAAGGAAAAAAAAAATCTATCAATAAAAATAGACCCAGAAATGGAAAGATGATAGAATTAGTAGATAAGAATATTGTAACAGCTACTGTAAATATCCTCAATATGTTTAAGAAGGTAGAGGGAAAAAATGAGCACGGTGAGGAGAAAAAGGTAATATACCAAAATGACTTGAATCAAACCATTTCTGACATAAAACATGAACTGGATGAAATTAACAACAGATTTGACACTGCAGAAGAAAATATCAGTGAATTCGAAGACATAGTAACAGAAGATATTCAAGATAAAATACACAGAGATAAAAGACTAAAACAGTAATAGAACATAAGTGAATTGTGGGACAAAATTAAGTGGTCTAACATGCAAGAAAGGGAAGGAAAAATATTTTTTAATAATGATAAAAAAAAATTCCACATTGTACTAATCTGTTCTCACACTGCTAATAAAGACATACCCAAGACTGGCTAATTTATAAAAGAAAGAGGTTTAATTGACTCACAGTTCCACATGGCTGGGGAAGCCTCACAAACATGGCAGAAGGAGAACGAGGAGTACAAGTCACTTCTTAGATGGCAGCAGGCAAAAGAGCATGTGTAAAGGAATTCCCCTTTATAAAACCATCAGTCTCTGAGACTTATTCATTATCACAAGAACAGCACTGGAAAGACCCACCTCCATGATTCAATTACTTCCTACTGGGTTCGTCCCACCACATGTGAGAATTATAGGAGCTGCAATTCAATATGAGATTTCAGTGGGGACACAGCCAAACTTTATCACACATTTAATGAAAACTACAAACCCCCAGATTCATGAAGCACAACACACTCCAAGCAAAATAATTATAAAGTCAGTCCAAGTCACATCATATTCAAATTACTGAAAACCGGTAATAAAAATAATCATTTAAAAATCCAGTGAGAAAAAAAAATTACATATAGAAGACTGAAGGAAAAGAATGGCAGCACACTCCCTTTGGGTAACTACGGAAGGTGAGAAGACAATGAAATGGCACCCTTAACATATTAAAAGCATTGGCTGGGTGAGGTGGCTCACGCCTGTAATCCCAGCACTTAGGGAGGCTGAGGTGGGCAGATCACAAGGTCAGGAGATCAAGACCATCCTGGCTAACACGGTGAAACTCCGTCTCTACTAAAAATACAAAAAAATTAGCCAGGCATGGTGGCGGGCACCTGTAGTCCCAACTACTTAGGAGGCTGAGGCAGGGGAATGGCGTGAACCTGGGAGGCGGAGCTTGCAGTGAGCCAAGATTGTGCCACTGCACTCCAGCCTGGGCAACAGAGTGAGACTCCATCTCACAAAAAAAAAAAAAAAAGCATTGTCAACCAATAAGTCTATATCCAGCAAAAATATATATCAAAAATGAAGGTGAATTAAAGACTTTTTCAGACAACCAAAAGCTGAAATGATGTATTATCAGAAGTTTTTTATGTAGAAGGAAAATGGTGTATATAAATTTGAATCCACAAAAACAGGGAAGAGCACCAGAAATGGCAAAGATGTTAGTAAATATAAAAAACATTTTTTCACATTTAAAAAATATCTTTGAATGATAATTGACTGTTTAGAATACAAGTAATAACAATATAGTATAGGTTCTATAATGTATGTGGAAATAAAATGTATGATAAGAATAATGTAAAAAGCAGAGGAAAGGGAGTATAGTACAGTAGGGTCTTCATGGTATTATATTATTTGAAGACAACTATGATAAACTAAAGATGTACATTATAAGCCCTAAGAAACAATTTTTTAAGTGTAGTTAATAAGTCAATAGTTGAGTTATTATGGAATTAGAAAACATATTTACTTAATCCCCAGAATGTAGGAAAAGGGAAAAAGAAGAAAGAATAGATAGAAAAGATATAAACTGTTTTCTACAGTTTCCAACAGAAATCAAATTGAAAGGTGGTAGACTTAAATCCAATTGTATCAATAATTATATTCATTATAAGTGGTCATAGTTCTGCCCTTGGGAAAGAAAGAAGCATTTTACTGACCAACAGTCAGTGCTTCCATAATAAAGGCTACATGATCACATGATTATAAAATAAAAGTGCATTAAGGCATGCAG
This sequence comes from Homo sapiens, assembly GCF_000001405.40. Taxonomy (NCBI): domain Eukaryota; kingdom Metazoa; phylum Chordata; class Mammalia; order Primates; family Hominidae; genus Homo; species Homo sapiens. The sequence continues at coordinate 80,321,167 of NC_000014.9, forward strand.
TTAACACTGATTTCCCTTTGAGGAAAAGATAGCCATGAGGCATTATATTTATAGACCTTCTCTCCTGAAGTTAGGACGACGTGCAAGTAGAAACATAGCCATACAGAGAAGAAGGTTAGAGGGTAAGCAAACTCTTAACCATGGTGAAATTCAGGCAGAATGAGATTGTGGGGAGAGAAGAAAAGGGAAAAAAAGTGGGTGCTTGTTAAATGCAGATCTCCAAACCTCAGCATGAGTGATTGAGTCAGTAGATCTCGGATTGTACCTAAAAGTCTGCATCTTTAGCATGTACCTACAGGTAATTAGGTGGAATCACATGGGGGACACTGGTGGAGCAGTTTGGAGAATAGGACCACAGGTCTATGATCAGGCTGCCTTGACTGGACTCAGTTCTACCAATCACTTGCTTGGCACAAGTCACTCAATTTCGATTTAATGATGAGTAGATAGTGGTATTTGTATTCATTGAGTTACTTTACTTAAAACACTTAGCACAGTGCCTAGCACACAGTCATATTCATGTTAACCATTATTGTTATTCTCATATTTCTGAATAATTTGGATTTTTATATGGATGACATTTTCGTATTATTCAGTGTTATTTCCAAGCCATGTTGGAAGTTGAGACAAAAGGAAAACACCAGTAATGTTGATCTTGTCTTTATTTTTTCATCATGGACTTTTTTGTTAATTTGATTTTTTAAATATTATTTATTTGGGGAGTTTTTTTTAGAGCCTTGACTCTAGTGCCTCACTTGCCTCACCCTATTCTGGCCCTGTATCACTTGTGTAATTAAAAAATAGGTGGGGAACAGGCATATCTCTATGATTACATAATTCACTAATCAAATTGAGAGAAACAGGTGTGGTCCCACCCTCTGAATGAATGGGAGACATTAATATCCTGACGGTGAGGATACTTTTTCACTATTCAAGTCATTCATTTTTTTTTTTTTTTTTTTTTTTTGAGGTGGAGTCTCACTCTGTCACCCAGGTTGGAGTGCAGTGGCATGATCTCGGCTCACTGCAAGCTCTGCCTCCCAGGTTCACACCATTCTCCTACCTCAGCCTCCCGAGTAACTGGGACTACAGGCGCCCACCACCACGCCTGGCTAATTTTTTTGTATTTTTTTTAGTAGAGACGAGGTTTCACCATGTTAGCCAGGATGGTCTGGATCTCCTGACCTCATGATCCGCCCACCTCGGCCTCCCAAAGTGCTGGGATTACAGGCATGAGCCACCGTGCCTGGCCTATTCAAGTCATTTCTTATGCCTTCTTTCAAATACTTAGCTTTCCTAAGAGCATTTCTAGAAATAGTTTACTAAGAAATTATTTGCACAACTGTTTAAAAACATCTCACCTACAAAATGACCGCAAACAATAACAATATGGGAACTCATGTTGTACCCAGTTTGCATCAGGTATTGTTCTAAGCACTCTACATATGTGAAATGATTTAATTCTCTCAACAGTCCTATGAAATAAGTAGCATTTTTATCCCCACTTTACAGATGAAGAAACAAAGGTCCTTAGAGGTTATGTGAGTTCCCACAAATAACACAACTAAAAAGTGACAGAGTCAGGATGTAACACTAGGCTTTTTGATTTGATACCTTACTGCTGACCACTACACTGCATGGTCTTTCACCCCCAAACTAAGGAAACAGAGACCTAGGACCACATGACTTTAGTCAGCAGCAAAAACTTCTGGGACCCTTCAACTCCTATGGTTTATATTCCTAGCACCGAATTGCTGTTTCTCTCTTGACCAGTATCATGAGCAGGTAACCACATTAATAGCTGGTTCCACTGCCAAAATATTTGGGAATATAAAGGAATTTTATTCAGTGGTTTATAGTGAAATTGGCTGTTCATTGGCAGAAAGAGACACCCAACACACACACCTACATCCTTTAAGTGTGCATGGGAATTCATTCCACTTGTCAAGAGAGATTTATGTAGAAAGAAAGGACACTTGGATTGCTTAGGCATGGGTCCCTTTTACACATTGTGATATCTTTGCAGTCCTGAAGGCCTCTGACAGCATGTCAATGTGGAAAGCAGTATCTTGTTGAAAGCTTGATGAGTACATCTTATTTATAATGCTAACTAATTCTTGTTGCAGATAATCCTCTTCGAGTGATGTTTACATAGGATACAGAGAAATAACAGGATAAAAATAGTTACTATGAAATTCTCCACAGGCTATAAACAGTTTTAACTTTTGGCAAAAGGACCTTATTATTTACATACTCAGACAAATACAGGCCACACACTCCTCAGATTATTAATGTTCCTCTGCAAATAACTGACATACACAGTGTGTAAATATACCAACTGAACCCCTTCCTGTGTCTTAATTAAATTCTACCAATCTTGCTCAGAGTCCTGTGTATTTGGTTTATCTTATGATCATCATTTATATATATCAATAATACTGCAGTCAGAGATCTTTTTTTGCCTTCTTTTTTCTAAAACAAATGCGGTCAGAAGTAATTTGTTTCTTATGAGAGACAATGCCTAACTCCAAAATCTCAGCATTTCAATTCCTCACCGTCCAAATGACCATAAAACTCCAAATAACATCAACTCAAATACCACAATCCTAGTACAGAACAAAGTGGCAGATTTTTTAACTGAAGTAAAGAGTGCACTTGTTTACATGAAAACAGTTATTTCTCTGTCAAATCCTCATGGTAAGAACAGAATCTCAGCTCAACTTTTTTAGGTCAAATGAAGCACCATATTTATAAATAAAGCTTTCATTCTCTTTTCTCTCTAAGCTGTAAATTCTTTGCAACCTCTGGCATTTGCAGTATGAACATTTGTCTGATTTAGTTGCAAGACAGAGACACTCTGTTATGGAACAAGAAGCACTGCTGCAGTCATCCATATCCCAAAACATTCCTAAAACATATGTGTCTTATGGGATTTGTGGTAAGTGGAATAATGACTCCCCAAAAATGTCCACATCCTCACCCCTGGAACCTGTGGCCATGTTACCTTACAAGGCAAAGGGAATTTTGCAGATGTGATTAGGGTTAAGGGCCTTCAGAAGGTGAGAGTATCGTGGCTTATTCAGGTGGGCCCAATTAATCACATAGGTATTTAAGATAGGAAAACTTTCACCCAGTGAGATTAGTCAGAGGGAGATGCTAACACAGAAGACTGGTCTGAAATATGCAATGTTGCTAGCTTTAAAATAGGAGGAAGGGGTAGTTTCCCGAGTCTCTAAGGAATTTGTTTCCTTTGTCTAGTTTCTTTCTAGAAACAGAAAACTGTGAAATCACTTTCTAGAAACTAGACAAAGGAAACAAATTCCTTAGAGACCCCGGAAAGAACTGCAACCCTGCCAACCCCTTGATTTTAGCCCAGTGACACCTGTGTCAGACTTCAACCTACAAAGGTGTAAGATTATAAATTGGTGTTGTTTTAGGTCATTGAATTTGTGGTAATTTATTGCAGCAGCAATAGGAAACTAATACAGAGTATTTTGCAGTTAATAGGCAACACATTCAACTTCACAGGGCATATAACTCCATTTTTGCAAAACATAATTTTTTAGCATTTATTTCTACCAAGAAAATGCACGGCCTTCTCTTTATAAAAAATCATGTATGCTATTAGAACATAAGGAGTTCATCCATCTTCTATTTTCCAGGAAATAAACTCAAGGAGTATTCTAAGGTACTGAAACCAAAACCACTGAACTTCGGTCCTCAAGCTTCAATAAGTTCCCATATTTCCTTAAGGTAAAAGATTCTCAGAATTTTCTAACAGTTAGTAATTTCTGATTTCTCTGAAATCTTGGATTCACCACCAAGTTACAAGGAAAGCAGGTGCAGTGTGGAAAGAGAGGGGAGTGACCCTAAGCCCGGCTCCCAGATGATTTCCTTAGATCCTGGAGTTTCACTCACACCTGGCAGATCACTTTATCATTTATTATTTTCTTATACAAATATTGATTGTGTGTCTATAATGTTCCGAACACTGTGCTGGGGATACAGTGGTGAACATAACAGACAGTGCTTCCATCGCAAGAGCTGGAATTTTTACAGAGTTCCAACAGAGCGATGAGAGTTTACAGAACCATGAGAACTTTCCAGCTAATGAGCACCTGGTAGGGACTCTTGCTCTGCTGAGAATGAAGAGCAGTGACTTAGCAACTGTTAAAACTCACTTCAAGGCTGAGTGCAGTGGCTTACGCCTATAATGCCAACACTTTGGGAGGCTGAGGCAGGTGGATCTTTTGAGCCCAAGAGTTTGAGAACAGCCTGGGCAACATGGCAAGATCTCGTCTCTACAAAAAAATTAAAAATTAGCTGGAGCATGGTGGCATGCGCCCATAGTCCCAGCTACTCAGGAGGCTGAGGTAGCAGGATTGCTTGAACCCAGGAGACGGAAGCTGCAGTGAGCTGAGATGGTGCCACTGCATTCCAGCCTGGGAGACAGAGGGAGACCCTGTCTCAATAAACAAACATACATACAAACAAAAAACAACTCACTTCACCCTCCTGGCAACTTACATCTTTGTCTCTGACCCTATTCCTAATGGGCTAGAATAACAGAGGTCCTATAACTTTTTTTCTATTCTCCACCCTACAACATGTCTTCTTTGTGTGCAAGCTCAGAAAGGCCTTTTGCCTAGTTATTCTCGAATTTTAGTGTGTACAAGAATAACCTGGAGTGTTTGTTTAAAATACAAGTCCCTGGACTGTCATCAAGATAGTCAGATTCCATGAGTGTGATGTGAGATCCAGGAGTCAGAATTGTTAAACAAACACTCCAGGTGAAATCTACTGAAATGGCTGCAGATTGCACCTTCACAAAAACTGATTTATGTGCTGAAGTGTTCATATGCATACAACTAAGAATATTATTACTTTAAAAAAATAATTTTTGTTTTATTCTGAATTTTTGAAATTTTTATTTATGAGGAGAAAAAAATTATGCAACTAATAAATCATCTAGCATTCGAGAGATACTTAGAGATAATCACTGTTAACTTCTGTTCATTTTTTTCCAGTTTATTTTTCCTTATTTGAAGTCATACTGTAAAGGCCTGGGTCTTGCCCATTTCAAGTAAATATAAACAATTTCCCATTGAACTACATTCTTCTTTAAAAATGAGATAGTCTTTCATTAGTCTCCTTTTAGGTTCCTCAGTAAAGTTTATAAATTTTCTTTATGTAGATGACATACATTTCTTGATAACTTGATTCCTAGATATTTTCAAAACTTATTATTAATAACAATTGTTTCCTATTATGTTTTCACGTTTTAAAAATACAAGTATGTATTAAACCCACTGATTTGTATACACTTAAGTTTTAACAGGCTACCTTGTTTCATTCTCTTGGTAGTTCTAACAGCTTTTAAGTCCATTCTCTTTAGTTTGCTATATGATCTGCAAATAATGACAATTTTTTCTCCTTCGCTCTAATATTTATGACTCACTGATTTTTTCCTATCTTCTTGCATGTGCTACAACTTTGAAGCCAACACTAAATAATTAATAATAATTAATGGCCTTACATTATTTCTGACTTTAAGGACATCGTTCCAGTCTTTTACAATTAAGTATCATCTGTTCTACTAATATCAGACCGATCGTTTCACTATGTTAAGGAAGTTTTCTACTATGAAAGTTATGAAGACTTTTAAGATCAAGATGAAGTGTTACATCTTATCAAATAATTTTTTGCATCTACTAAGAAAAGGATTTTTTTTCTTCTTGGTTTTAAATATTAATCCATTTCATAATGTTAAGCTACTGCTGTATTTCCAAAAGAGAAGCATTTACTCATTGATTAATTTTTTAGTATAGTTACAGTAATATTTTAATTAGAATTGCATTCATATTTATAAATGAGATTAATTTGTAATTTTGCACGTGTATATGCAAATATCCACTACATCTGCAAGGTTTCTTATCAGGTTAATAAAGCAAATTGGGAAGATACTCATCTTATTCTAAGTTTTGTTCCAGAGCATAGATTTATTTACTTATTTATTTGGAGATTTTTTTTAATTGCACTTAAAATACTTTGAGCTTGGTATTTCTGAGAATTTGTTTTTGTTGCCATCTATGTGAACAATAGGTTAACTGAGTATAGAATTCTTAAATCACGTCTTATCCTTCAAAATCTGAAGACTGCCTCCTAGCATTTAATATTGTGAAATAGACATAATCCTTAAATAACTTGTTCCCTCTCCCTGAATGATTGCAGGTACTTTTCCTTTTTTTCTGAAGATTGAAGTATGTTGTAGGTTATGTCTGGGATAGTGTCTTTTTGTTTACTTTGCCTAATTTTATTTGATAAATATTTGTATGCTCAAAATTCTAGTGCTCATCTGAAGAAAATTTCCTTCTCATTTTATAATTATTTATCTGTACTGTTTCTATGATCTTCCTAGGTTGAATTGCTTGGGACTATTCTCCAGTTTTTTAAATATTTTCTCTTATAATGACTATTTAAATTTTTCCAGGAGTTTTGTCAGATTTATTAAACATAGCTGAAGATAGTCATAATAGTGAGTTTTGTTTGTGTGTTTTCATATTTGTTTTCCATGTTTGCTATGACAACTTGAAGTGAACTGGGAATGTGATCTTGTTTCTTATAACAACTGAAGTGACTGTTGCTACAAAGTTCCAGTTTCGGATGGGTCCCCACTTCATTCAGGAGGCTTTCACAAGCAAGGACAAGGTATAAGCGCCATAACAGTAGCTCAAGGTATACATCTCAGAGATTTTACTGGAACTGAGATCTATGTAGCACTCCTCATACTTCCTGATTACCCCAGAGCTTAACTGTCCTGAGACAATACCACTCTGAGTGAAGGGCCAACCACCTTGTAAGTCACCATAAGCAATGAAAAGCCTGCTTGAAAAATCTCCTAATACTAACTAGCTTAATCAGCCTCTCTTTTGCCAAAATAAAAGAAAAATAATTATTTGAGGTTCATGGCATTTAAGGCCCCAATTTTCAGTTGTGACAAGGGTTTTTCCTTCTCATTATGGCCCTTTGTTAAATGGGAATGTGAACAGGGAATAAGTTAAATAAATGGATTCAGACCATGTCATCATATGAAAAGAACACTATCATTTTCATTAAAATGTCAACACAAAGACAAAAAACAGTAGGAGGTAAAAACAGAGCACTGGAAATCTGTAGGGCAATATCAAATAGTCTAACATAAGTATTATTAAAGTCAAAGAAGGAAAGAAGGGAGAATACAGCATTAAAAATCTTCAAAAGCATACATATAGCTAACAATGTTCCAAAATCAATGAAAGATAGATCTAATAAACCTATCTTTAGATTATGTTTTGTAGTCGTCCTGTGTAGAATTCTCTCAGCTTATTAGATCTGCTGAAAGAACAACAGCTCAGAGACTTCTACACGGATATATATGAAACATAATCTAAACGTAATCTACAACAATATGAAAAGACACACTTAGACACATCATGGTCAAAGTGATGAAAACCACAGGAAAAAAAAATCCTGATGCAGCCACTGACAAAAATATATAGACATATGAAGGAACAAAGGTAAGAATTACAGTAAATATTTTGTTAGAAATTATGCAAGCTTAAATTTATTAGAGTTATAGCTTTAAAGGACTAAAAAATACAGAAGTAATAACAATAGCAAAAAATCTTGACCCAGAGTTTTATGCTCAGAGAAAATAGCTTTCAATAATAAAGGCTTTTTTAGACAAACCAAAGCTGAAATAATTGTAAGCAGATGTGTGCTAAAAAATATTTAAGGAAAATATTTCTATCGAAAGGAGTACAATACCAGTTTGAAATATAAATCTACACCAAAAAATTAAAAGCAACAGAAACTCTTAAAGTGCTAATATTTTTAAATGTCCTTAAAAATAATCAACTGTTTTGGGCGAAGGATATGAACAGACACTTCTCAAAAGAAGACATATATGTGGCCAACAAACATATGAAAAAAAGCTCATCAACACTGGTCACTAGAGAAATGCAAATCAAAACCACAGTGAGATACCATCTCATTACAGTTAGAATGGTGATCATTACAAAGTCAGGAAATAACAGATGCCGGAGAGGATGTGGAGAAATAGGAACACTTTTACACTGTTGACGGGAGCGTAAATTAGTTCAACCATGGTGGAAGACAGTGTGGCGATTCCTCAAGGATCTAGAACCAGAAACACCATTTGACCCACCAATCCCATTACTGGGTATATAGCCAAAGGATTATAAATCATTCTACTATAAAGACTCATGCACATCTATGTTTATTCCAGCACTATACACAATACCAAAGACTTGGAACCAACCCAGATGCCCATCAATGATAGACTGGGTAAAGAAAATGTGGCATATATACACCATGGAATACTATGCAGCCATAATAAAGGATGAGTTCATGTCCTTTGCAAGGACATGGATGAAGCTGGAAACCATCATTCTCAGCAAACTAACACAAGAACTGAAAAGCAAACACCGCATGTTCTCACTCATAAGTGGGAGTTGAACAATGAGAACACATGGACACAGGGAAGGGAACATCACACACTGGGGCCTAGTGTGGGGTGGGGGGCTGGGGGAGTGATAGCATTAGGAGAAATACCTAATGTAGATGATGGGTTGATGAGTGCAGCAAACTGCCATGGCACATGTATAGCTATGTAACAAACTTGCACGGTTCTGCACATGTATCCCAGAACTTAAAGTATAATAAAAAATAAAAATTAAAAAAATCAACCGTTTAAAGCAAGAATAATGCCTTACAAGGTTCATAACTTGCAGAAATAAAATGTATGAAAACAATATCATAAATTATGGGGGAGAAAATGAGGTATATCCTTTAAAGATTTTTACACTATGTGTGAAATACTGTAATACCGTTTCTATGTGGACTATTATAAATTAAAGTTTATTCTTATCAGGTTTATATTTTAAACTCCAGAGCAATCTTGAAAAAAATTGAAAGAAGTATAAGTAATAAGGCCGATGGGGAGATAATACTGAATAAAAGCAAGGCAGAAAAAGAAGAAAGGGGAAACTAAGGACTAGAGGGGCAACTGGAAAATAACTAGAAGTATAGTAGACTTAAATGCAAACATGTCAGTAATTACATTAAATACAAATGATCTAAACCTAAATTAAAATGCAAAGATTTTTTTTTAAACAGCAAGATTAAATTATATTTTATCTATAAGACTCCACTTTACCTGGAAAGACATAGATAGATAAATAATAAAAGGTTGGGAAAGATTATACCATAAAGACATTAATCAAAAAAGTTGGAGTGGCTATAAATAATATCAGACAAAATATACTTTAGCACAAGGCATATTAAGGCAAATATAGGGACATTTTATAATGACATAACAATTATAAATGTGATTGCACCCAACAGCAGAGTTTCAAAATACATAAAACAGAACTGAAAGTACAAAAAGAACAAGGAAAATACACAATTTTACTTGGATATTTTTATGCTCTTCTTATAGTTACTGATAGAACAAGTAAACAGAAATCAGTAAAAATAAGACTTGAATGATACTGTCAACCAACTTGATCAAATTGACATTTATAGGATCCTCCATCCAACAACAGAATAGACATTATTTTCTAGTCACATGAAACAATCACCTTGATAAACTATACCTTGGGCCTTAAAACAAATCTCAAAAAAATTTAAAAGAATTGAAATCATACAAAATATAGTTTTTAACCATCTGAAATTGAAACGTATCGATAACAGAAAGATATTTGTAAAATCTCCAAATATTTAAAAATTAAATAAAATTGGTTTCTTATAAGTCTCAAATTCATTCTTTTCCTCCTCAAACTTAAGTCTATTTTGAGGTTGCTGTCTCAGAAGATATCACCGTCTTCCCATTTCCAATGCATTAAACTTTTCTGCTATTTTAGTTTCATAACCTCCCAATCCTATCCACTAAACACTAATTCATGTGATTCTCCCTCTGAAATTCTTTAGTCCACAATCCTGCTACTTTCCCAGTTTATCTTATCTCCTACAGTGGTTGTTCTATCAGCTTTCCAAATAGCCTTCCTCTTTCATTCACTCCTTCAATCCAATATACTCACTCAACAATTATTATCCTCCCAAATCAGGGTTTCCAATCAATTGTGTATAATGAAGATATACTATCAAAAATTTTTTTCTGTGGCCAAAAATATTTGGGAAACATAGCAGATTAGATCCACCTTTTTTAGCCTAACAATACATATTGACATATTAAAGTCTATTTAGATTACTGCAGTAAAAATCCTGTGTAACTCTGTTTAACCTAGCATGTCCCAAATTTATTTGAAATTAAGTTGTTTTTTTCCATAAAATATTTACCAATACCCTCCGAATAAGTGTTTAAAGGAATTTCCTTTGGTGAATACTTTCCTAAATTAACATGACTTCACTTTTCCTCTCCTTTAAAAATTTGATGGTTCAAAAATGGCTATGAAATGACATTCAAACTCCATGGTCTAGATGCAAAGACTTTTATGGTCTGGCTTCAACTTCCTTCTTAAGCCTTATCTTCCTTATACCCCTCATCTCTATTCCACCAAAGCCTTCATGACTCAGCCATTCTGGATCAGTGTCCATGACACAAAAATACCAAATACTCTCTACTTCTTTTCTTGCTTTTTCCTCTGTATTCACTTAATTCCACCTACCCGTCCAAATCCAGTCCAAATACAGCATGCCATTAATTTATTCAGTAAATATCAATTAAATATCTACTATGTAATAGGCATTGAGGTCTATTCCAAAAATGTCCCAGTTGGAAATAATCTTTTCCTTCACAATAATCCAATAGTGAGCTTTACCTATGTTACATCTTTGTTTATGTTTTATGTATTTTAAAGCACTTATCAAAAGCTGATTCTCAAATACAGAAGGCACTCTCTTGCCTAAAGCTGACATTTGCTTTACCCTCTCATGGATTACTCCTTCCCCAGGTATCTGTGTTGTTCACTTTCTCATTGCTTTCAGGTCCTGACTCAAATGGGAACTTCTCAATGAGGCCTTCCCTGACCAGTTTTAAAAATTATACTTTCCTTACTCCCTTTTTAATCTTATTTTTCTCCACAATATTTGCCATATGACATGATGTAAGTTTTATACAGTTTTCATAAACTTCTTAATCACAGGGATTTTAATCTATCTTGTTCATTGCTCTATCTCTAGTATCCAGAGCAAGGCCCACCACTTAGTAGATGTGCTGGCTGATTTTATGTGTCACCTAGGCTAGGCCATAGTAACCAGATATTTGGTCAAACATCAGTCTAGATGTTGCTATGAAGGTATTGAAGGTATTTTTAGATGAGATTAACTTTTGTTAAATCAACGTATTTTTAGTAAAGCAGATGACCCTCCGTAATGTGAGTGGGCCTCATTCAATCAGGTGAAGGCCATAAGAGAAAAAGACTGAGGTCCCCTAAAAAAGAGAGAATTCTGCCTTCAGACTGCTTTTAGATCCTAGCTGCATCAGCAACTCTTCCTTCGGTCTTCAGCCTGCCCTGTGGGTTTCAAACTTGCCAGCCCCACAATACCACTCTCCATATATATATAAAGAGAAGGAGAGAGATCCTATAAAGAGATCTATACAAAGAGAGAGAGAGAGAGAGGCCACAATCTCATTTGTTGTCTTTCTCTAGACAACCCTGACTAGTACAGTAGGCACTCAGGAAATACTTGAATATGAGTAAATTTGATTTATCATTAGTTGTGTACAGCTCCAATTCCCTTTTTAGCCCATGAAGGGGCTATAACTTATCCATTTTTCTTTTTATTCAGTACTTAACATTACTATTCATTCATTTAGCATGTATTTGTTGATTATCTTCCCAGTACCAGGCATGGGACCCATGCTACACATATGCCTTGTACTTTCTTATCTCTCTGCCTTTGCTCTTTCTCCCCTCCCCTCAAACATTTATTTTATTTCACTCATCCTTTAAAATCCAGCTGAAATATAACATCTATAAATAAGAAGCCATTCTTTCATTCAGAAAACTTTAATTGAATGTCTATTATGGGTTTTGTTTGTTGAATAAACATACAAGCTTGTATTAGTCCATTTTCATGCTGCTGATAAAGACATATCCGAGACTGGGAAGAAAAAGAGGTTTAATTGGACTTACAGTTCCACGTCGCTGGGGAGAACTCAGAATCATGGCGGGATGCAAAAGGCACTTCTTACATGGCAGCAGCAAAAGAAAATGAGAAAGAAGCAAAAGTGGAAATCCCTGATAAACCCATCAGATCTTGTGAGACTTATTCACTATCACGAGAATAGCACAGGAAAGACCAGCCCCTATGATTTAATTACCTTCCCCTGGGTCCCTCCCACAACTCGTGGGAATCCTGGGAGATACAATTCAAGTTGAGATTTGGGTGGGGACACAGTCAAACCATATCATTCCACCCCTGGCCCCTCCAAATCTCAGGTCCTCACATTTCAAAACCAATCATGCCTTCCCAAAAGTCTCCCAAAGTCTTAACTCATCTCAGCATTAACTCAAAAGTCCACAGTCCAAAGTCTTATCTGAGACAAGGCAAGTCTTATCCACCTATGAGCCTGTAAAATCAAAATCAAGTTAGTTACTTCCTAGATATAATGGGGGTACAGGCATTGGGTAAATTTGGCCATTACACATGGAGGAAAATTGGCCAAAACAAAGGGGCTACCAGCCACACGCAAGTCCGAAATCCATCAGGGCAGTCAAACCTTAAAGCTCCAAAATGATCTCCTTTGACGCCAGGTCTCACATCTGGGTCATGCTGATGCAAGAGGCGGGTTCCCATGGTCTTGGGCAGCTCCACCCCTGTGGCTTTGCAGGGTACAGCCTCCTTCCTGGCTGCTTTCACAGGCTGGCATTGAGTATCTGTGGCTTCTCCAGGTGCACAGTGCAAGCTGTCGATGGATGTACCATTCTGGGATCTGGAGGACGGTGGCCTTCTTCTCACAGATCCACCAGACAGTGCCCCAGTAGGGACTCTGTGTGGGGGCTCTGACCCCACATTTCCCTTCTACACTGCCCTAGCAGAGGTTCTCCGTGAGGGCTCTGCCTCTGCAGCAAACTTTTGCCTGGGCATCCAGGCATTTCAATACATCTTCTGAAATCTAGGCAGAGGTCCCCAAACCTCAATTCTTGACTTCCGTGCACCCATAGGCTAAATACCACGTGGAAGCTGCCAAGGCTAGGGGTTTCCACCCTCTGAAGCCACAGCCTGAGCTGTATGTTGGCCCCTTTCAGCCATGGCTGGAGTGGCTGGGACACAGGGCACCAAGTCCCTAGGCTGCACACAGCATGGGGACCCTGGGCCTGGCCCACGAAACCACTTTTTCCTCCTGGACTTCTGGGCGTGTGATGATAGGGGCTGCCACGAAGGTCTCTGACATGGCCTGGAGGCATTTTCCCCATGGTCTAGGGGATTAACATTAGGCTCCTTGCTACTTATGCAAATTTCTGCATCTGCTTGAATTTCTCCTCAAAAAAAAATTGGTTTTTCTTTTCTACTGCATTGTCAGGCTGCAAATTTTCTGAACTTTTATGCTCTGTTTCCCTTTTAAAATAGAATGCTTTTAACAGCACCCAAGTCACCTTTTGAATGCTTTCCTGCTTAGAAATTTCTTCTGCCAGATACCCTAAATCATCTCTCAAGTTCAAAGTTCCACAAATCTCTAGGGCAGGGGCAAAATGTCACCAGTCTCTTTGCTAAAACATAACAACAGTCACCTCTGCTTCAGTTCCCAACAAGTTCCTCATCTCCATCTGAGACCACCTCAGCCTGGACCTAATTGTTCATATCACTATCAGCATTTTTGTCAAAGCCATTCAACAAGTCCATAGGAAGTTCCAAACTTCCCCACATTTTCCTGTCTTCTTCTGAGCCCTCCAAACTGTTTCAACCTCTGCCTGTTACCCAGTTCCAAAGTCACTTCCATATTTTCAGGTATCTTTTCAGCAACTCCCCACTCTACTAGTACCAATTTACTGTATTAATCCATTTTCATGCTGCTGATAAAGGTATACCCAAGACTGGGAACAAAAAGATGTTTAATTGGACTTACAGTTCCACATCGCTGAGGAGGACCCAGAATCATGGCGGGAGGAGAAAGGAACTTCTCAAATGGTGGTGGCAAAAGAAAATGGGAAAGAAGCAAAAGCATAAACCCCTGACAAACCCATCAGATTTTGTTAGACTTATTCGTTGTCAGGAGAATAGCACAGGAAAGACCAGCCCCATGATTCAATTACCTCCTCCTGGGTCCCTCCCACAACACGTGGGAATTCTGGAATATACAATTCAAGTTGAGATTTGGGCGGGGACACAGCCAAACCGTACCAGAGCTCCTCCACAGAAAAGGAGTTACATAAAGATAAAGATGGCATGATTCAGAGAAACAGATTCCTGAAAGTTCAACTTGTTAGGGAGTATGTATGTTACTAGCAACACAAACACTAAAAATACACGGATCAATTGATTGGAATTACTTTGGTCATCTCTAAAGTGTAATCATCTGTCAGCCAAAGGACCAGAGCATAGATTCATAAGAAATCAAAAGATCAAGTAAATGTAGGCAGTGGGAAGTGCCTCAAATTCATGTCTCATAAGTCTCTTAAATTCATTATTTTCCTCCTCAAACTGAAGTCTATTCTTGGGTTGTTTATGAATTTAAATTCATTTATGAGTACAGCAGGTCGGGGGTAGTAAAGAAAGAAAATGACAAAGGGTTTTCAGAGGAACATTATTTTCACACCTCAACTATATTTTCATCATCCATTAAAGGTGATTAGTTGGCTGGGCACGGTGGCTCATGCCTGCAGTCCCAGCACTTTGGGAGGCTGAGGCAGGCGGATTGCCTGAGGTCAGGAGTTCGAGACCAGCCTGGCCAACTTGGTGAAACCCCGTCTCCACTAAAAATACAAATATTAGCCTGGTGTGGTGGTGGGCACCTATAATCCCAGCTACTCAGGAGGCTGAGGCAGGAGAATCACTTGAACCCAGAAGGCAGAGGTTACAGTGATCCTAGATCACATCATTTCACTCCAGCCTGAGCAACAGAGTGAAACTCCATCCCAGAAAAAAAAAGTGATTAGTCTAGGTCAACTCCATCTCAAAAAGGAAAAAAAGAAAAAGTTGATTAGTCCAGGTCAAGTGTCAGCACTAAAAAGCTAAATCTTTGGGCATGAGGTGAAAAGGAGTCTTCTTGCCTTGCATTGAAATGATTTATGATGATAATAGATTGACAGACTGAAAAGGTCACTCGTCAGTCAGCCCACCAAACCTCATCTTTCTTCCATGTTGTAATAAACTTCACTTGCGGATCCTGTAGGATAATACATCCATATGCCTTGGATGCTCCAGGAGCTGAAAGGTCATTCTGGACCAGAATTCCTCTCAGTCATGTGTGGGTGCTCCTGGTCTCTCCTCACTTGCATATCACTATATTTAAAGCCACAAGCTGGTAAGTTTCATCTGTTGTTCAACCCGTCAGCCTAAGTCTGATTCATAAATTATATTTTTCCATTTAACAGTCAGAAAAATCTCCTCTTCTTCAATGATAATAAAATCGGTAGACCAGATTCTGCCCTTCACTACTAATGTACAAATCCTGCTGAAGTCAGCAGAACTTAAGGGCATGCAACTTTGGACAGAGTGTGTTCCAACTTTTTTTCCTTGCTGGATTTTTATTACCTGACATCTTTCTGATTCCTCTGGATTGCACAATAAGGGAAGGGTGGCCCAGTTTGGGTAAAATAAAAAATGACCCAAACCACTGACCTAAATCCTGCCTTTGAAATTTAAAATTACATTTACTAGGAAGGAAAACAGTTTTTTGAGTGTGGGTGGTTTTCTTTTTCAAAAACCATTTTCAAATGTTGACCTCCTGAATGTTTTCATACCAGTTTGGATTGGAAAACAGAAGGGTAGGTAAACATTTTTTTAAAGCTTGGTAGGGGGAGGTCATCCTTTTCTGAATTCATTATCTGTAAAGAAGCAGGAAATGCCAAGATCTTTTTTTTTTTTTTTTTTTTTTTTTCAAAAGATTGCCTGGTCACATTGCCAGATTTGACTCCAAAAGCAAATTGTCCATTTTTGTGAAATATTGAGGCTTTTTGTCCTCCTTTCCTTCTAAGGTGAACTCAGGTAGCAGAGAAGTAGAGGTAGGAAAGTTTTGCTTGGGGCTGTGGGATGGAGTTGAGGACAGTTTGTCTTTTGCATAAATAAAGGGGCATATGCATTGTTGCCACATAAGGAACAGGCCACATGGTTTGATGTAATGAATGCTTCAAGACTATCCCATCATAACCCTCACAGCTCTTCTGTTGTACCTGAGATAACTACTTACGTCAGTCTTCAGATAAGATGACACCTCTTGAGACACTTTGAAGTTTATCGGGATATGGGACTCTAGGACACTGTAACCTACACCCAATTATTTATCAATTCCCTATCTGAAATCACAGCCCTGACCAAATGGAACATGAAACAGGCAAATTTTGATAAAGAGAGAGGAAAAAGGAGGAAGGAAAGATGTGAATCAATGCTCTAGAGGAATAAAAGCAGTTAGTCACTATGGGTTTACCATACCTTTACCAATCTGTACATACATACTTACCCTATTGTGTTCTCATTCTTTGTATACATAGCTAGTCCTTGACCTGAACTGATCTCCTTAAAATTGGGCTCTTTGTCACATTTACTTTTCTTTCACCACACCTGGCACAGGGCCTGCTAACATGGAAGGCAATATAACACAGTGCTTTGGCTTAAGTCCTTCGCTTGAGTTCAAATTCTGCCCTTCGCAAGCTATGTGACTTTGGGTGAGATACTGTACCTCATTAAGCCTAATCTGTAAAATGGGTATAATAATTTCTTCCTGCAAATTTCCTTCTGAGGATTAAGATATGCTTTAAAGTGTCTTTCACAGTACTTGGTACACAGTACACACTTTATAAAAATTCAATATTATTATACGCTCAAAAATTTTGTGGAATAAATGAATCAGTCAATCAACTAGGAATTAGCAAGGGTTCATCAGGAGAGTCTGAGTGTTTGGTCATATGAAGAATCAGGGAGGGAGTGCTTAAAGAAGGCATTAAACAATTGACCACAACTTTTGTTTTTAGCACAATGTCAAAAACTCACTACATTTGGTGGGATATTCGAATACAGTAGAAGTCTCAAAACAGCACTAAAGTAGCAGTAATTTCCAAAGCAATCACTACTCTAGAAAATCTGCGCTTCACAATGCCAACATCATGCACTGGTCCCCTTTCAGCCCCTTGTTGCTGATGAAGCAAAACTGTGTATATGCGCTCTTAAATTTCTACAGAGCAGAGTTGCCCGGCATTCCAGCAAACATTTCCTACATGCTGACATAAAGTTACACTGGGCCTCTGACCTCATTCTGATCATGTTGTAACCTACGCTACATCATAAAAGCTAGTATTTGTTGAGATCTTCCTATGTATTCAGCACATTTCTAAGCACTTTTACATGAATCAATGTACTTCATCCTTACAACCCTATGATGTACGTACTACCTACCATTACCATCATAATGAGGAAACTGAAGATGAGGAAACAGAGGCACATGGATTCAAACAACTTGGTTAAAGTCACAGAGATAGTAAGAGCTGAATCAGATATTTGAACCCAGAAAGGTGGACTCCAGAGTTCTTAACCACTATGTCATATGCACCATAAGATATACCAGCTCCATCTGCCTATTATGGACATTATCATAGCAGTATTTGTATATTACATTGTAGCCAAATACACTTTACACATTGGTGAAAATATGGCTGTATACCTTGGGAGGATCTACACACACCGTGTGAGATCTGCTGGCAGAGACAGTGTCTTACGGGCAAATTCTGCTTAAGTCACAAACATGCCAACAAACCAAGCTGAGGATGTGGGGTAAAAATTGACCATGTCCTCAAGCTTAAAGTCCCAAATGAAATGTGGCCTCTCGAGATCTCAGCCACGATCTCTGTTTCTAGTAAGATGCTGTGGACAGTCTCTTCAACCCATTTTCTGAATTTTCTGCCAGTGGGGAAGGCCTACAAATAGCTTCTGGGCAATTGTGGGACACTGCCAGAGCTTCCTAAAGCCACCAGCTAAACTTGCAAATCTTTGGCAATTCCTTTCTCATGATAGACTTTACTTAAAAATGAAATTAAGCTTAACAGTCAATGAAAGAAAAGGCAGCAATTATTGAGCACAGTAAGCAACATGAGGAATATAAGATCTTCCTTTCAGTTTTTGTTCTATACCCAGGCTTGTGCACCTGTGTATCCGTAGGTCTATTCAGTGCTGTTAAACACCTATTGTCCTCAGGAATTTTACTCACATACATTTTTATACCTGTGCATGAACTGGTTTATAGTGCTCCCAAATTTGGTTCATTGCTATTGGATTGATTATTTCTAGATGTTAAGATTCAGCAGCAATATCTATTATCCATTTTCTGACCCTGTACAATAGCAAGAGTCAGTAACTCCTATCTAACCGAAATTATAAAAAACAGTTGCAATCTTACACTGTATTGCCTCCAAATAAAATGTTAGTTCTGTCCTGGAATAGACAGATTCAATTACATATGTATTAACATTTGGCAAACAGGCCAAGGACTCAACTTTATCTCCAGAATCTTTACTGTTGTAAGCTACCTCTCTCCTCAGCTGGAACAGTCGCGCCCAGTTATGAAGTTGTACATGCTTCGAGATTCACAGGTGAAAAGTTATTTAGTAGTCTTTAGAATATTTGTAATTTTGTATTGCGCCTTTCCTCTCTACGCTGTCCCTGCTGACTCATTCATCCTCTCCTCCATTTCTAAATCAGATGAGACCATGGCCCTTAAAAGTGAGGAACATCTCCAATTGCAGATGAAGAACATGGGCATCTTACTGGTTCTTCTTTAGTTACATCATCATATTCCAGAGAAACATGCAGCACTGGTAGGACTCATCTGATCATTGAAAAGTGCCAGTTCAAAAATTTCCACACCCTCATTGGGCTACCAGTTAAGGTAGATCTCATTAGGGTTATCACATATACTGGGAACAGAACTTCCAGTAAAATATGTACCATAAAACTCTGGAATTATCATTAATCTTCAACTATTCTTATTCTCATGCTGTACCCAAAGAATGGTGACTGGTAAAGAGGAATGTCCATAGACTGTTGCCCCTCCTACAGCTGTATACCCTTAACAAAAACCAGATGGAAAACTGGACCAGGTAAATAAAGACAAAGTCACCCCAAGAGAGGATAGCATTCATCCCAGTTACTGTCAGCTCTTATCTGGATGTTAGTAGTAGTTTCTCAGCTGCCATTCTTGCCCACGCCCAATTCTTTCTTTTCTCATAGACCATTGGTGTTTTTATGACTACTCTATCAGATCATATCCCTCCCCTGCTTAAAGATTTTCAATGGACTCCCCATTACATAAGGGAAGAAAATGCAAATTCTTTCGCATGGCACACAAGATGCTTTAAAAGTAGCCTTATCCGAAGGATATGAACAGACATTTCTCAAAAGAAGACTTTTATGCAGCAAACAAACATGTGAAAAAAGCTCATCATCACTGATAATTAGAGAAATGCAAATCAAAACCACAATGAGGTACCATCTCATGCCAGTTAGAATGGCAATCATTAAAAAGTCAGGAAATAACAGATGCTGGCGAGGATGTGGAGAAATAGGAATGCTTTCACACTGTTGGTGGGAGTGTAAATTAGTTCAACCATGGTGGAAGACAGTGTGGCAATTCCTCAAGGATCTAGAACCAGAAGTACAATTTGACCCAGCAATCCCATTACTGGGTATATACCCAAGGGATTATAAATCATTCTACTATAAAGACACATGAACACGTATGTTTACTTGCAGCATTGTTCACAATAGCAAAGACTTGGAACCAACCCAAATGCCCATCAATGATAGACTGGATAAAGAAAATGTGGCACATATACACCATGGAATACTATGCAGCCATAATAAAGGATGAGTTCATGTCCTCTGCAAGGACATGGATGAAGCTGGAAACCATCATTCTCAGCAAACTAACACAAGAAGAGAAAAGTAAACACCGCATGTTCTCACTCATAAGTGGGAGTTGAACAATGAGAACACATGGACATGGGGAGGGGAATATCACACACTGGGGCCGGTTCGGGGGTGGGGGGCTGGGGGAGGAATAGCATTAGGAGAAATACCTAATGTAGATGATGGGTTGATGGGTGCAGCAAACCACCATGGCACGTGTATATCTATGTGACAAACCTGCATGTTCTGCACATGTATCCCAGAACTTGAAGTATAATTTAAAAAAAATTTTTTTAAAGAAGTAGCCTTATCTACCTCTCCACCTCATTTGCAGTCTTTTTCCCCTTCCCTCACATGTTCCAATCATACTCACTTCCTTTAACCTTCTGAATTATGCCCAACTCTTTCCCAAATCAGAATATATACTTCTCCCTCTTCCTAAAGCACATCTCTCCCCCAACCCACCCCAACTTTTCTCATGGAAGGTGCCTTGATTTTCAGGATTCTCTTTATTGCCCCCTCCTTAGAACAGGTCTTTATTATTATTATTATTTGAATAGTTTTTGGGGTACAGGTGGTTTTTGATTACATGGATGAGTTCTATAGTGGTGAATTCTGAGATTTTATTTTAGTGCACCCGTGAAACAGGTCTTTTTAAATCTAAATCTCATCCACTTTTCCCTATCACAGCACTCTGTTAAATTTATTTGTTCATTCATTCAACAAATTTATTTTGTGCACTAAGTATGTTCTAAGAACCATTTTAAGCACCGTGGATACAACAGTGAGCAAGAGTGAACATTTTAGTCAGAGAAGTAGACAATAAGCAAAATAAGTAGATTGAGTATCAAAAACATTTATAATTCTAGTTTAGAGTGGCCATGGAAAGTCTCACTGAGAGGGTGGCATATGAGAAAAGATGGCAAGGAGGAAAGGAGCCAACCATATGACTATCTAGGGAGAGAGTATTCCAGGTGGAAGGAGAATCCAGTGCAAAGTCCTGAGGCAAGAGAATGCCTGGAGTGTTTGAGGAAGGCAAAGAGCTACAGTGACTAAAGTGGACTGAGTTGGAGGACAATTGTAAGAGATGAGGCAGGAAAAGTGAGATTAGGGTTAGATGGAGTAGGGCCTTGGACACCATAGTAGGTCCTTCAGCTTTTACTCTAAGTGAAACAGGAAACCCTTGGAAGCTTTTGTGTTAAGGGTCATGTGATCTGCCTTGCATTACAGAAGGACCACTCCAGTTGTTCTTTGGGAAAACAATTTGAAGAAAGAGTCATAGACTGAATGTTTGTGTAAATTCATATATTGAACTTTTAACCCGCAATGTGATTTCACAGAGCCTGTAAGGTGATAAAGGTTAAATGAGGTCAAAATGGTGAAGCCCTGATCTTAAGGACTGGCGGTCCCATAAGACAAGGAAACAACATTGGAGCTCTCTCTCTCCCTGAACAACATGCACGGAGGAATGGCCATGTGAGGACAGACACAGCCAGAAGGCAGCCCTCTGCAAACCAGGAAAAGAGCCCTCACCAGAATAACCATTGCTAACACCCTGATCTAGGACTTCCAGCCCCCACAACTGTAAGAAAATTCACTTCTATTGTTTAAACCAACCAGTCTATAGTATTTTGTTATGACAGCTTGAACTGACTAAGGCAGGGAATAAGAATGGAAGACCATGTTATCTTCCTAGCATTTAAGCAAATTTATATTATACATATCTGTCATGGTGCATTTGTTTCAGATCTTATCCACTCAACTGTAACCTCCACAAGACTAGGTTCTGGGTCCCTCTCATTCAGCACTCTGCCTCCAGTTCCTAGTACTGCACCCAGCAGGTCACGGATGCATAATAAATATTTCCTGAATGAGTAACTTGATGAATTTTGGATTTCTCTAAGATAGGCCCATCATTTAGGGCATTTACTTTTAAATGAAAAACATTTTGGTTTTTGTTTAATTTGTTTGTTTCTATAGAGTTTTCTATGGATTGATACTATGATACTGTATATTAATCAACTTTCCTCCTTCATTCTTTCCTTCTGCAGCCAATTATTGAGTATCTGCTATAAACCTGGCATTGTGCTAGGGCTGGGATGCAAGAACGAATCCTACTTGCTTACATCAAGGTGTTAGCAGACTTTTGTATTTGTATTATTTAACATCATACCATTTAATGAGAGCCCAATATGCAAAAGTAGAATATATTTTTATCAAATCCAAATGTCATAATTTCTGGAATATGTTTTACTGGGCTACTTAGCAATCATCTATTAGAACTCAGATGCCACCTATTCAGTATGTCACTTTTGTTGGTAATAGGCTACAGCTTTAAAATTTGCATCACTTTGATAGACTCCTACATTAGTTTTCTAGGGATGCTGTAACAAAGTGCCACAAACTGGGCACAAATTTATTGTCTTGGTTCTGGAGCTAGAAGTTCAAGATCAGGGTATCAGCAAAGTTGATTTCTTCTAAGCCCAATGAGAAAGAATCTGTTTCTTGCCTCTTCCCAGCTTCTGGTAGTTTGTCTGCAATCTTTGGCCTTCCCCAGCTTATAGAAACACCACACTGATTCCTGCCTTCATCTTCAAATGGAGTTCTCCCTGTGTGTGTGTCTATGTCTTCATTTCCTCTTTTTATAAAGACACCAGTCATGTTGGATTAGGGTTTTATCCTACTCTGGTATGACCTTATCTTAACTAACTACATTCGCAACAACCCTATTTCCAAAGAAGGTCACATTCTGAGGTACTGGCGTTAGGACTTCAACATATGAACTTTTGGAGAAGGCAAACTTAAACTCATAACAACTCTTAATAAGGGAATAAATAAAGAGCTCTTCTCACCTTCAGCTCTTAATTACTACTTATCTTTGATAAGTGTTGGGGTTGAAAGTTGGAAAAAAAAAGTGGAGTTCTAAATTTTACAACTTTCACCATGGTGTAGCCAAGAAAACACTTTAGTAAGACTCACAGAGCTCTGTCCTAGTCTCATGTATCTAAATGTCTAATTCAGCTATTACTAAGGATTATCAGTGAGTTTCTTTATATAAAGAGACAGGATCAACTTTCGTAACCACTAATGTCCTGACCTGTCCTAGAAGAAAAGAAAAAAGTGTTATTATTTATGGTAGGCAGAATACTAAAATTAGCCCCATGATCTCCACTGCTGGTGTTAGTCCTATGATTATATTATGTTGCATGGCAAACAGGAATTTGGCAGTTGCAATTAAGGTTATCAATCTGTTGACTGTATTGTAGAGACCTTTTCCCAGTGGGCCTAACCTAACCACATAAGCCCCATAAAGCTGAGAATTTTCTTCAATTGGTAGCTGAAAAGAAAATCAAAGAGATTCAAAGTGTGAGAGGGATTATTTCAGGGAGACATTGCTAGAATGGATTGGGCCACTCAGGCAAGAACTTGAGAATGGCCTCTAAGAACTGAGAAATGTACCCAGCCAACAGCCAGCAAGAAAACAGGGACCTCAGTCCTACAACTGCAAGGCACTCAGTTCTACCAAAAACCTGAATGAGTTTGGAAGTGGATTCTTCTACAGAGCCTCCAGGTAAGCACCCAGACTTCTGAAACCTAAGCAGAGAATCCAATCAAATCCAACTACATTTCTGTCCTACAGAACTGTGAGAAAAGAATGGGTGTTGTTTTAAGCCAGTACGCTTATGGTAATATGTTATGCAGTGATAGAAAATTAACACACTATTACCCTGTGATGACAAAAAGAATGGTGAAACCAGGAAGAAATAAAAATGAGGACAGAATGGAGAAACAGACTAGGTGAAAACTGAGTAGAACAGAGAAAGATAAAAGGAAACAGGCGAGGAAAGAAAGACAGAATGAGATAAGGTATATAAAGTTTTCTTTTAAAGATTTCTACTTGGCCACAGCCAAAATGTGCTTGTATTTGTTTGTTTGTTTGTTTGTTTTAGTGTCTGTGTGTTTGGGTGAAGTGGTGATACTAGATTTGACAATCAACCTCACGATACATTGTACAATTACACTAAAATCTAGATTTATGTTACCAAAGATGATCTAATAAAAAAGAATGAAACAATGCGTACCTTTTGCACATGTGAGGAAAAGAGTAGAGAAAAAAAGGGAGGAAAAGAGTAGAGAAAAAAAGGAAGGAAAAGAAAGGAAGAGAAAAGAAAGGAAGAAGAAAGTCAGGGGGAGTAAGGAAAAGGAGAGGAGAAGAGAAGGAAACTACAAAGGAAAACGTTTTTAGATGAATATAAATTCCGTTTTGAAGACTGGGCTAAGGTTGTGTGTCAGAGATGAGCACAGTGGTATCAAACTTCTCTTGATGTTCTCCAGAATCAATAGAGAAATTGCCATTTCTGTTCTGCTTTTTCAGCCTTTTTGAGCTTGACTAGTTCCCTGGCCGCCTAAACAGCCTTTAATTCCATCAAAGGAAGCAAAAGCTCCACTGCCATGACATTAAAAAAAAAATAAAAAAAATCTTTACCTCATGCAGGTATTTCTGAATCCAATAATTATGAAAACACAAAATCACATCTGTTTGAAAGAGCTGAGTAAGCCAATAGCAATGTTAGACATTTCCAATAAAATTCAGTAATTGAAAATAAGTTTTATTAGGAAAACACCATTTCTGGAGTTTCACTCAGTAAGGCAGAGAAATTACTCTGACAGGGTCAAATCCCAAGGAGATTTTTTTTCCCCTTGTGTCCTTAATGGATTTATGGATCCTTTATAGGATGTGGGGACATTTCACATGTCCAGTGACACAGACCGACATCAGTGTATTGAAACAAAAACACAAAGACCAACTTAGTGTAGAATTTATGGTAAAAAGCTTGCATGGCAGAGCCAAAGTGACCAGGCAATTAAATAGCAAGCACAAAAATATGAACAACTTCTGTGCACAGACTTCTGCAGCTAGTTTCATGTAAGAGCTTTTGTTTTTTAAAAAATGAGCTGTTAAACACTAAAAAACAAGAGATAAATACACAGGACAAAGATCAACTAACTATACAAGTTGACATCCAAATAATAAATAAGAAGAAAGCAGTTATTCATCTTGTAACTTCTGTTCTGGGCTCTGAAGAAATACTGATTCTATTTTCTTTGTCTGTGACCAGTAATATTATTTGTAAAGCATTCTCACCAAGTTGGTTAAATGAGATCTCTTCTCCAGCCAGAGCTGAAAGACCTCTAATCAAAGTGTGCTTTCAGTAGCTCCTCTTTCTGTGCTTGGGAAATTCTAAATGATTATTGCCATTATTTCCTACGTAGATGACTGTTGTATAATTGCCTGTTCTCTGTCTTGTGGCCTTGGGAAGACTACTAATGTGATAGTTGATGACCAGCCAAACCCCAAGATTGTAGAGTGGCCCAAAGAGTTGTTTATGCCAATCTTTGGGAGGAAACATGCTACATAATTACAAAATAACATATTTAGATCAGGGGTCAGCAAACTTTTTCTGTAAAGGGCCATAGAGTAAATAGTTTAGGCTTTGTGAGCCAGACAGTCTTCGTTGCAACTATTCAACTCTGCTTGTAGTGTGAAAGTAGCTACAGACAATACCTACATGAATGAGCATGGCTGTGTCCCAGTAAAACTTAAATTAGAACAAAAATTTAAATTTCTTATAATTTTCTTTTGTCAAAAAATATTACTCTGATTTAGGTCTCTTTAAACCACATAAAAATGTAAGAGCCATTCTTAGCTCAGATTCATACAAAAACAGATAGTTGGCTAAAATTGCCAGGAGGGCATAGTTGCCCATCTCTGATTTAAACTATTTTATATGTTTCCAGAATATATCACATGATTATATTTCTAGAGCTAATCCTTGATACAAACATAATAAAAGTTGGTTAAAGTTATATACAATAAATGCCAAATGCACAGTATTGAATTTTGTCAAATATTAATCGAAATTCACCTTTTCTAACATACTGTAATTTTATTTACTTGATGCTCTTAAAGCTTCCAGTCCATGAAGGAAATACAATGCAGAAAACCTGAAAAACCCATATAATTTGACTACCCATCTATTGCAATTGTTTGACACTGAAATACTGTGTACTCTCATAAAATCCTGAGGTTTTATTTTCCGCCAGACAGAAATTATCTCAGAGTTATTTGGTGTTATTTATTTGGCTGAGAAATTATCTCAGAGTTATTTGGTAATCTAGTCATGTACAATAACACAATTACATGCGACCTATAGTCAATAGCTGCTCTGCCCTTGGTCCTCTGATATCAGTGATAGTATTAAATAAATAAATCCAGAGAATCTGGTTAAGGTTGATTCCAATTTCAGGCCCTGGGAATAGTTCAGTGGGAATTTTAATGTAGTTTTGCCATTATCCACACGCTATGATTCATGGTTCAAGGCAATACTAGCCATTCTTGACACAGCACTATATCTGTATGTGTGTAAGCTGTTCAGTGTGTATGGCTGCATATTCATCATACTAATGCAAACTAAGGTGATTACTACAGAGCTGTCAAACCCCGTTCAATCCTATACATTCATCAACAAGTATTTGCCAACTCCATAATTTATCCAAAGCTTTACAAAATTCCCTTCATGTCTGCTTTCTCTTAACATATCACTACAAGTTCTCTCTTACCTACTGGTCAGTGGATCTGGCAATTACTTTCCCCAAATTATCATTGTTGTCTTACAACATTATTGATGTAAGTTTTCAGGACCTAGTTAGTCTCCAAAGCCAAAAGAACATGGTTCAAGTGTTTTGTTTTGTTTTTTTAAGATAAGTCCTAGCTCTCCAAGCCCTTCCATTCTCAACAATGACATGTACTTTCTTCATGGCTACACAGAACTAATGCTATCATCTTTTGTCTTTTCTCTAATTCATCTCTGATTTATTTATTCTCCCCTCCAACTCATCTTCATTGTCCTTTACTGTCTTGCCATGACTTTCTTTCTTTCATATTTCCCAATCTTTCTTCCTACAAACACTGATTAGGTACCAGGCCCTTTCACTGCTACCAGAAAGATAAGAATGAATAAGACACAGTTGTATGAGACAGATGGTAACATAAGATGCACAAAGATATAATAAGATGTGGCATTGAGCTCAAAGTCTACTCCCTTCCCTATGCCTGGGATCCCATGATACTGCATTTTCCAGAGGCTCATGCTATATCCCTGTATTAGTCCATTTGCACACTGGTAATAAAGACATACCTGAGACTGGGTAATTTATAAACGAAAGAGGTTTAATTGACTTACAGCTCAGCATGACTGAGGAGGCCTCAGGAAACTTACAATCCTGATGGAAAGGGAAGCAAACACACCCTTCTTCATATCATGGCAAGAGAGAGAAGTGTGGAGCAAAACGCAGGGAAAAGTCCCTTATAAAACCATCAGATCTTGTGAGAACTCACTCACTATCACGAGAACAGCAGGGAGGTAACCGGCCCCATGATTCAATTACCTCCCACTGGGTGCCTCCTACATCATGTGGGAATTATGGGAACTACAATTCAAGATGAGATTTGGTTGGGGACACAGCCAAACCATATCAATCCCCAATCTCTCAAGAGACTTAAAATTCTCCCTTTTCCTTAGCACCTTCTAACTTCAAATATAGTTATGCTTCCCCAAATAAAAAAATGGGTTTTACTTTCATTTTCAAGTTTTAATAAAATATATCTAATATTTTTAAATATGGAGACAAGTAACAAGTCACTCATCACCTAAGTGAACAAATGTTATTTTATTTTATTCCGTTCAGACTTTAAAAAATAAAATAAAACATTCCAAGTGCCGTTAAAGTATTTTTTGTAGCTCTCCTTGGCCCCATATTTATCTAAAATCTTTGCCAACCCTTCCCCCCGACATGGAACCATTATTTTGAATCCTTTGCATTCAGTTTTTTCATACTTTTACTACATATATATGGATCTATGTGGTTTTACTAAATGTGCGTGTCTTTAAAAATACAGTGTTTCAGGAGGCCAAGGTGGGCAGATCACTTGAAGCCAGGAGTTTGAGACCAGCCTGGCCAACATGGAAAAATCCTGTCTCTACTAAAAATACAAAAAATTAGCCAGGCATGGTGGTACAGGCCTGTAATTCCAGCTACTCGCGAGGCTGAGGCACAGAATTGTTTGAACCTGGGAGGCAAAGGTTGCAGTGAGATCACATTGCTACACTCCAGCCTGGGTGACAGAGTGAGACTCTGTCTCAAAAAAACAAAAACAAAAGAAAACAAAAAATACAGTGTTTGCTTGAGTGCTTTTAAAAGTACATAATGATATCACACTACATGTTCCATTCTGAAACTTGTTTAAATTTATGTACTAGTTATATATTTGAGATTTATCTATATTGATGCATATTGTTTTCATTCATTCATTTTACCTGGTGAGTATTATTCATCATATGAACACAGCACAAATTATTTCTCTTTCTTCTATTCATGGAGATTTACATTGCTTCTAATTTTCCCTACCAAATATAATATTAAATAGGCATTTCAGTATATGTTTCTTTGCGGACATAGGTAAAAGTGGAATATCTGAGCCTCAGGCTATGTGCACTTTCAACATCACTAGATGTTGTATATAGTGCCAATTGCCTCTACAGACTAGTTGTCTCAATGTGCTCCCACTATTAGTGTATGAGGCTTTCCCACAGCCTTATAGCAATTGGTACTGTCAGATTTTTCCATTTTTTATTGTCTGATGGGTTTCAAGTGTGTCTTATCACCACTTTCCAATCTGGTTTCTATCCTCATTGAGCTATAAAAACTGTTCTTTCCGTGGAAATCTAATAATCACTTTCTTGCCAAATCACAAAGACTTCACTTGTACCCATCACTCTACTTGACCTCAATTGCATTTGGCATGCTCGTAACCACCAAGTCCAAACGTTTTCTTCCTTTATCTACCATTTCACAGTATTCTGGGGCAGAGGAGGCATTGAGCAAAATGTCCTCTTAGAAGTTCAGATGTGAATCTCATAGACAGATCAGAAAAGTTACTCTTCAAAGAAATGTATTTAATAATAAAGCTGCAAAAATTTTTTTAACCTTGGAAAGTTAAAAAAAATACAGGTAGCTTTCATAATATGAAACACAGAAAATTAATTTCAAAACAAGTACTCCCCAGTTGTGGGGGTGTGCAAGAAACAGCATGAGAACACTTTCAGAGTAAGCACAACATTTAACCCAACATGTAACAAACATTCACAAGTCTTTCTTAATTATGTCCAATGTAGTTTATGTATGTGATGCATATTATATTGATAAACTTACTGGTCATCAAAATACAATGAATGTGTTATGTTTTAAAAAATAAACAAAATTTGAATCTATTATAATGTTGAAAGGGGGCTATCAGATTTCCGAAGCATCTTTCCTTTCCTGTTTCATGAGCTATAGTTGCTTTTGACTATGCAAGCTAGAACACAAATTTAAGAAATAGAAACATATAGATCTGGACCAGGAACCTTTAAGTAGGTCTAAATGCGTAGCCATATATGAAAAATTATCTAAAATATTGTGTATTGGAGCTTATACACATATGAAATAGCCATCTCCACTACTCATTTTCCCCCATTGACATCACTGATGACAATAAACAAATATTCATTTAAGGAATGCATTCGACATATACTTACTGAGCACTGACTCGTTGACTATACGAGGTCAGGAGATTGGGCAACGGCTAAGAAAGTCCCTTTCCTCAAACAGTTTAAATTCTAGATCTCTGGAAAAGTAATGCCAGACTCTGATTAGTACCTCCTGTTTTTATAAGTTTTTTGAGGTATGGAGTATTTCAGTTTTGGGAAAAGAGTGGAATAGCTGTCAACGATGGCAAAAATAAAACTCCAAAATGTGATAAGGCTGATATAAAGGAAAGGGTCACCAATATTGTAAAAAGATAAGGTCTAGATCTCTCAGTATGGTCTAAGTTTAAAAATCCAGAGTAGTGACACCAACTAACCCTCATGAATAACGTTTTAGTAAAAATGTAAAAATCAGAAAAATCTTTCTTAAAAAGACTATTCTCTGCCCCACACATGTAGTTGACAATTATTAAAGTCTATAACCAAGAAACCTCAAGGGCTGTGATAATTTTATGTGAAATATCCCCTTTAACTGCAAAAAGTAAAAACCTTACTTCTTTGGTGACTCTCATTAAAGTCTGCATTCTGAATGTTTCCAAAACTTTTATTAAGGAAACACCATAGTGTTTCTGTTATAAACATTTGGGTAATTGCTGTGTCAATCTTTAAACAGACAACTCAGTAGAAGCTATGATAATTCAAGTTTGGCAAAAGATCAGTCATTACCTTTTATTTTATTTGGTATGACCTGTGATGATTCTACTAATGGGGGGGCTCTACTCAATTATTAGTTTATGCCGACTATTTAGCTAAATGCTCTATGAAACAAAAATGCTCTTTTTCACAGGTTTTGACAATTACCACAGAGATGAAGTACCTCCATAGTTCTGTCAAAGTCACTCTAACCAAAGGAGCAGAATTGGGAATAGGGAGGATTACAATATGCTTTTGCTATTCTAGAAATATTGGATTGGTAATCTGGATTGCTGGCAAAACAAAACAAAATACTGACCCTATGCCATTTGCCCTCCAAAAATGATTTCCCAAATGCTGCCAAGTTCTCGAAGAGTAGATTTTGGTCTCACTACCAAGGTAATCTAGTATAAGAAAAACAGTTCATGAAACACCAGTTTTTTCCCTTTCTTTTGTGAGGATACATATATGGATCAAAAAATGCTTGTGTTCCATGTTGAGGTTCTTTGATTCTTAAAAGGAAATATGCTTGGCTAAATTTATGAGCTGAAAGACCAAGTAGCCTATTTTTGGAACACCAGAGAAAAGACCAACTGTGTCAAACCTGAAAAATTATAACTGTCAGTGGATCTTGGCTGTTTGGCAAATATACTTTAAGCACTGAGCATACTGAATCTGAAATTTCAAGAGAAAATTTCCAACTTCATTTCTCATTATAATAGATTTTAAGCATTTCTAGCCAAAACCCAGATATGGATACAGCATCTTAATGCCAAAAACTCTAATTACTGCCTCAACTTGACTTCAAGGATGCCTTGAAAATGATTTTAAAAAAGAAAGATTGAACATCATCTACTCCTACTGTAAGAAAAATGTAGATGGTATTTTCTTGATGCTCTGGGTAAAAATTCCTTTGGAAACTCAAGAAATATTTCCCAACATTGAACTATACACAACTAGCTCTGAATAGCTATTTAAAAAATTATGTTCAATTATGTTTCCAAAATTAATTTTTATATAGTCATGGTGGAGTAAAATGTCACTGCAGAGAAGTAAAAAGGCTTTCTTGTCACTATTCAGTGTTCATCAACACACACATGTGACATACATTTTCTTCACATTTAGCAAACAAGGAAAATATCTGTACAATAGATTTTATACTTAAGCACGCTGTTAAGGTCTTCATTTTCCACATAAACTAACATAGAAAAGCTTGTAGTCATCAAGTATACTCAATTCTCACATAATCAAATATTTTAAATGATTATTTCTTTATTAAGCAACCTTTTTTCCTCTAAAACTACCACTGAAAATGTTGTTTTTATCTGCCATTTTAAAACTTCACAAACTTTTTTTTTTAAGTTCTGGGGTACATACGTGCAGGATGTGCAGGTTAGTTACACAGGTAAAAGTGTGCCATGGTGGTTTGCCGCACCTATCAACCCATCACCTAGGTATTGAGCCCAGCATGCATTAGCTGTTTTTCCTGATGCTCTCCTCCCCCAGCCCCCACCGACAGGCCTCAGTGTGTGTGTTCCCCTCCCTGTGCCCATGTGTTCACATTGTTCAGTTCCCACTTATAAGTGAGAACATGCAGTGTTTGGTTTTCTGTTCCTGCGTTTAAAACTTCAGAAACTTTATGCATCAAAGCTACTATCCTTCTGATCTACATCATTTCTTTTGTGGGTTGTTTGTCTTGTTACACTTCCTTAATTAAAGATTTTTCCGGCCGGGCGTGGTGGCTCACAACTGTAATCCCAGCACTTTGGGAGGCCGAGGCGGGTGGATCACAAGGTCAGGAGATCAAGACCATCTTGGCTAACATGGTGAAACCCCATCTCTACTAAAAATACAAAAAATTAGCCGGGCGCAGTGGCGAGCGCCTGTAGTCCCAGCTACTCGGGAGGCTGAGGCAGGAGAATGGCGTGAACCCGGGAGGCGGAGCTTGCAGTTAGCCAAGATTGGGCCACTGCACTCCAGCCTGGGCCACAGAGCGAGACTCCGTCTCAAAAAAGAAAAAAAAAGAAGATTTTTCCAATACTTGGTCATTTTCTTCCTTTTTGGTGACACTCTTAGGAAACTTATCATTTCTCACAATCTTAACTATGATCTCCATGCAAAGGACTTCCAAATACATGTTGTTGACCTTTAATCAAATCTTCATTATTACATATTTCTTTCTTCAAGCCATTCACCTAATGTGTTCAGGGCACTTAGTGTGCACAATTCCCACCACAGGCGCCAGAGACACAAGACAGCACAAAGCAGTGTGGGTCCCTTCAGAACTGTGTGCCAGATGATCTCCTTCCATCCCTCTCAACACGTTGCAACATTCGTTGTTTAAAACTTATGCTTTTCCATTTCTACTAGCTCTATTTATTCATTAAAGTTTTTGTGAACACTACAATCACTCTCCTATTCATCCAGATGTATAACTGTGTAGTTAACTCAAATACTCGGGAAAATTAGAAGAGAGGACATTTCAGTCTCTACTTCACACATATCTATTCTTTATTTCATGTCTGTTCTTTCTTATCATTTGCTAATTGACCCTCCAGCATTCACGGTCTTTACCTCCTAATCTACTCTGTATACAGTTGGCACATTAATTTTAGAATATCATCTGCATAATGTCACATCCCTGTGCAAAACCCAACATAGAAAACCTTCAGTGGTTCACCATCTATGGCATAAAATCTAAACCTGTCATTTTAGCATTCAAGATACCTTCCAATTTTATATTCCATGAATCGCCATGTACTTCGCGCTATAGCCAGACCACTGTTCTCAAAACATTTTAGTATTTCCTCCTTGATATTCAGCACCTACCGAGAATGCCTCTCACCATCTTTTATAGCTGCCTAGGTTTCACTCAATGTAAGATACACCTGTCGTTCCACCTCCTCCTGGATTTTTTCCTTAACTCTTCCAACTAATATTCAACTCTCTCAGAAAGCATGAACTATTTTGTTTGTCTTGGCATTCATCATGTTTTAATGATATAGCTTTTTAAAAAAGAATATATTATCTCTGAAATGAAATTCAATTTCCTTAAGGTTAGGACCTTTATATATATGTATATGTATATATACATATACATATATATACATGTATATATGGGTATATATGTATATATACATATAAATTTATATGTATATATACATATAAATTTATATAAATTTATATTATGTATAAATTTATATAAATTTATATTATGTATAAATTTATATAAATTTATATTATGTATAAATTTATATACATATATAAAAATATATGTATATGTTTATATACATATATATTTAACTTACTTTCTCTTACAGTTTCCAATGTTGTGATTTTATTTGTCTAAAGGTTTACATTACAGAATGGCTTGGGCTTTTACAGGTGAAGATGTACCACAGCCTAATCACATCTCCTAAAAGCTGTACTCAAGTGAAGTGTTATATAAGATGTTCAGCTTTTTATGACACAAGTGTTGCTGATAGCAGTGTTTTAATGGGCTCTCCTGCCTGGCAGTATCCCTTCTGTTTGTATTAGGTCTCAAATCAAATAATATAACTCAGTGCCTCCATATGTATCATTCATGATGACCTAATCAGTAGGCTTTTATGTCAGTTGTAGAAAATTAGGCGTTATTTTCCATCTTTCAGGTTACAGGAAAATTGGCAAGAATTGCATTTTGATTTATGTTCTCTTTGTGAACTACACTTAGACATTTGATTCTATTAACTGAATTAGTATGTGGAAAGCCTTGTGAAAGATTGGCTATTCAGACAAGTTTATAAACATCACTTGCTCCCTGCACAAAGGAGGGATGGCAAGAGTTATAGCTTAAGAAAAAAAATATCAGATACATTTACTGTGACTAACGGCACTAACATGGCCCGTTCTTGCTCCATTACTGTTTATTGTCTGCTTTTCAACAGCGCTTTGCATTTTCTCTAAAGATTCTGATTCAGGGATGAGCAGAGTGTTCTTCAAACAAGAACACGCTCAATCTGCAGCATGTCGATAGCAAAGTGCTGATGGACATTATTCAAGAATTCTGATATGTCAGGAACTGTACCCCTGTGGCTCATAATGGGAAGGAAGCGAGGTTATTAGACTGATTTGCAAGGCCGCACTTCAGTTTTGTCTGACTGACAGTGCCAGGAAAGACAGAGGTCCTCATCCTGTGCCTCGCAATTAATGTGTTTACAATTCCTGTCATTCTGTTAAGCAGCTTGTGCCTGAAAGTCACCGATAATTTTGTGGTCTGAGTAGCCTCATCTCCCCACTACCCTCCATCTTTCCAAGGAAAATCGGTGTTCAGTTGGCCAGGAATGCTTTTGTTTTTGTTTTCGTTTTGCTTTGTTTTCAGATTTGCCCATTATTTTTAATTTTTTTTTATTACTTTATTGAAAAGAATGAGACCATGTCCTTTGCAGGGACATGGGTGAAGCTGGAAGACATTACCCTCAACAAACTAACACAGGAACAGAAAACCAAACACCACTTGTTCTCACTTATAAGTGGAAGCTGAACAATGAGAACACACGGACACAGGGAGGGGAACAGTACTCACAGGGGCCTATCCATGGGAGGGTGTGGCAGGGACAGCATTGGGGAAAAGAGCTAATGCGTGCTGGACTTAATACCTAGGTGGTGGGTTGATAGGTGGAGCAAATCACCATGTCACACGTTTGTCTATGTAACAAACCTGCACATCCTGCACATATACCACAAAACAGGAATGCTTTTGAATGGACACCAAAGGATTTGTGAAAAGATCACAGTGTTAAGGTCAGCATAATTCTTTAAAAGAAGAGAAATCTAGGCTGGACCACAATAAAGACAGTTTCTTAAGATACGGGTTTTCATCAGTCTTTCATTAATGAAGAACAAGAAACTTCATTAGAAGTTCATTTTTATAGCTTTATTGAGGTATAATTTATATAGCATAAATTCTCCCATTGCAAGTGTACAACTGAATGATTTTTAGAAAATTTATAGAGCTACATACCCGTCACTACAATACAGTTTTAGAACATTTCCATTACCCCCAAAAGTCCCTTTGTGCACCTCACTTGCAGCTAATCCTTGTTCCCACCCTGGCCCCTAGTGGCCACTGATCTGCTTTCTGCCTCTATACCTTTGTCTTTTCTGGATATATTATATACACGTAATTCTGTAATACAGAGTCTTATGCATTAGGATTCTTTCACTAAAGAAACTGTGTTACAGCTCACCAGTAATTCACTCCTTTATATTGCTGAGCAGTATTTAATTGTATGTTTACCCATTTACCAATTGGTAGTCATTTAGATTATTTATAGTTTTCAGCTGTGATGAATAATGCTGCGATGGACATTCATATATATGTCTTGTCTTTATGAGGCTTTTTCACTAAAAATAGAGTAAAGTTTACCCCAGAAAATTAGTTCTTTTCCTAAATGTCATAATTCTAAACTCTACTGGAATGGTAAAAATCTACAGAAAATAGCAACACCAGAAAGATTTTAAAAGAATGGAAAGTCTGACCTGATTTATTACAATCTGCTGAATTCTTTACCTGACTTTTCTCAACTTTATTCTGGGTCCACGTTAACTGTATACAGAGAAATGACACAAGGTCAAGTCAAAATGCTAGAGAAGATAGCCTTTATCAAGGGTTATATACTTTTTTCATTCCAGTTTACAATAGTCCAAAGAACACAAAAACTTCTCTGGCATTGACTCATTCAATGCCGTGGATTTCTTGAGACGAACACAACAACAAATTCCCTATTCAGACTTGATTCCCAGTTTAAATGTTTGTTCTAAAAAAAGCTTACTCTATCCTTTTTCATCTCAAAACTGAAGGCTTTTACTACCAATTTATAGATATGGAAATAGTTTCATAGCAGGGAGACTATCCCTGTTATGGAGTGAATGTTGTGTCCCCTCTAAATTTATATGATGAAGCTCTAACCTCCACTGTAATGGTATTAGGACATGGGGCCTTCAGGAGGAAAATAGGCTTAGATGCAGTCAGGAGGGTAGAGTCCACATGATGTGATTAGTGCCCTTATAAGAAGAGACCAGAGAGCTGTTGCTCTCTCTCCAGCAGATGAGAATATAGCAAGAAGACAGCCATCTGCAAGCCAGGAAGACAGCCTTCACCTGATAGCACCTGGCAGTACTGGCACCCTGATCTCAGACTTTCAGTCTCCAGACTGTGAGAAATAAATATCTGCTGTTTGTAAAGACACCCAGTCTATGGTATTTTGTTACAGCAGCCAAAACTGACTAAAACAATCTCTTTTAATGGTCTTCACCCCACTCTTTCTTTCTCAAAACCAAACTAATGAAATTGTGGAAATTAAAATAAATATCATTTTGTCATTTATTTGTTTCTAGTGTAAATTCTTATCTTGGAAGTGTATAAAATTAAGGAAGATCAAGCAAGGCACTTCACTTGTTTTTGGTAGTTTACAAATAATTTTTCAGAGGCTCTTCTTTTGTAATAAACATACTACTGCAGAGTTTTTCACATTAAAGAATGATTTTAATTGCTTCAGTGCCAACATTTTTAATAAGGGCAAACATCCCAGAAATTACAATGTAAATCACTGGGGAAATGTAGTTATCTCTACAAGACATGTTCAGGGTGATCCTTGAGTGGCAGAGCACTCGGTAAATCGGGGTGCCTCCGCAATGCACATAAGTATTCCGGTGTATGCAGCCTTAACTGAGGTCTCTGATAAATCTCTCTTGTTTAATTGGCAGAAGGTGCGTGAGGAAGGAATACACCATGACCACATGGTTTCTGGAACACTCATGAGCACAAACTGTGCTAACCATTGTAACCACAGCAATGACTTTGTCATAAACACTTGTTGTGATAAAATAGAGAAGTATATCAAAAATTCTATACAACCAAAAAAAAGTACATAGAATATTATCAAGAGGATTTGTCTCTGGGACAATCAGTAAACAACCTTAGACTGTGGGAATACCTTTTGTAAAGGCATATGGTCAGAGAGAAAGGATACTAGACAGCATCAGCCATAACCCAGACAAATACCTTTCCAAAAAGTGATTCTAATTACAAAAGACTAATGTCTGTCTACGTTTTAAAAATATTTATCTGAGAAATACAGCTTTTTAAAGGAATTAAATTTTGCTTCCTTTACCACCTTCTTGGTTTTCAGGACAAAATAAATGGTGGCCAGATGCAGTGGCTTAGGCCTGTAATCCTAGCACTTTGGGAGGCCAAGGTGGAAGAACTGCTTGAGTCCAGGAGTTCAAGACCAGCCTGGACAACACGGTGAAACCGTGTCTCTACAAAAAACACAAAAACATTAGCCAGGCATAGTGGCATGTGCCTGAAGTCTCAGCTACCCGGGAGGCTGAGGAGGAAGGATCACCTGAGACCTGGAGGTTAAGACTTACATTGAGCCACGATCACACCAGCCCTCCAGCCTGGGTGCAAAGTAAGACCTCATCTCAAAAATATAAATTTAATAAATAAATGCATGGCATTCTTTTTATGCTCTGCTGATATAGGAACAACAGTTGTTTAGGGCATATTGAATATGAAGTGCCCATGGAATGTCAACTATAAGTATGATATAGTTGGAAATACCAGTGTGGAGCCCAGAAGAAAGATCTGGCTATAGATATACAATGGTAATTCATTCCCATACAGATGCCAAATAAAGTCATGATAGTATATAAACCGGTAAAAGGATAATTTGCAGATGGAACAGAAAGCTAGGCGAAAATTCTCCTAAATTTGCAAGATAAAAAAACTGCAGAGGAAGAGGAATCTGCGAAGGTTGATGGGATGTTACAGAAGCCAAAGGAAATGAGTGTATAAAGTGAATAGAGGAGGAGGGAGTGGGGCATGAGCAGTGCCAAATGCTACAGAGAGGTCAGGTATGGGAAATCCTAAAACATCCATTTGATTTAACAGTCAAGAGGTTATTAGTACTCTTTTATTTTTGGTCTACATTTAAGGGGTACAAGTGCCATTTTGTTATGTGGATATATTGCGTGGTGGTGAAGTCTGGGCTTTTAATGTATCCATCACTTGGATAATGGACATTATATTCATTAAGTAATTTCTCATCATCTACCCCAATCCCAGCGCGCACTTTTCCAAGTCTCCAGTGTATATTAGTCCATACTCTATGTCTATATGTTACACCAAAAACATACCTGCACTCATATGTTTATCGCAGCATTATTCACAAGAGCAAAAATACGGAATTAACCTAAGTGTCCAGCAACGAATTACTGGATAAAGAAAACATGGTGTGTGAGTGTGTGTGTGTGTGTGTGTGTGTGTGTGTGATTTCATATATATATATGATTTTTATATATGTATATGTGTGTGAGATTTCATATATATAAGATTTTTACATATGTGTGTGTGAGATTTCATATATATATGGTGTGTGTGTGTGTGTGTGTGTGTGTGTGTGTGTTGGCCAGGCACAGTGGCTCATGCCTATAATCCCAGCACTTTGGGAAGCCAAGGTGGAAGGATCGCTTGAGTCCTGGAGCTCAAGACCAGCCTGGGCAACACGGTGAAACCCCATCTCTACAAAAAATACAAAAAAAAAATTAGCCAGGCATAGTGCCATGTGCCTGAAGTCTCAGCTACCCGGGAGGCTGAGAAGGAAAGATCACCTGAGCCCTGGAGGTTGAGACTTGCACTGAGCCATGATCACACCAATGGAATACTATTCAGCCATAAAAATGAAATCATGTCTTTTGCAGCAACACGGATGAAACTGGAGGCCATTATCTTAAGTGAAACAACTTAGAAAGAAAAATATTGCATGTTCTCTCTTATAAATGAGAGCTAAATAGTGTGTATATGTGGACATACAGTGTAGACTGATAGATATTGTTGGTAATCTTAACCAGACCACAGTAGACTGAAAGGTGGAGAGAACAAAGAGATACAACCATTGGGGACTATTCTTTCAAGATGTCTGTCTCTGAGAAGAGGGAAAGAGACAAGTCAATAGTGGGAAGAAGAGAATATATGAAGTTAAAGACACATAGAGTTAATTAGTTATTTAGGTAACTCAATATACTAAAAGAGGTTGGGGTTCTAATGAGAAAGAAGTTGGGGAGGAAACATGGAAGACATAGTTAGAAAAGGAAGTCTCATTGACATATGTTAGATATTCAGGCCATAAGTTTAAGCACTAGTGCTCCAGTTCAACAGCTCTCTGTTTTAAGCATGAGGATCCTAGGGTTTCTAGCCAGGATATCTAGCAGCTTTCCTTTACTGAGGCAGAGTTCTAACTTTCAAGACCCTCTCACCACAATTGTGTCTATTTCTGCTGTCACCACAATGTGCCTTGGAGCCTTGACTCTGCCCTGACATCTGTCTTTGTCATATTCTGAGGGCAGGGTTGCCAGATAAAATGTAGGATGACCAGTTAAACTCGAATTTCCAATAAACAATAAGTTTTTATTTAGTATAAATATGTCCCATTCAATACTCAAAACAGCTCATAACCCTCTTTCCATTAACCCAAGTATATGCCGAGTGCATATGCAGAAGAGTGAGAGACATGCGTAGTGTTTAGTCTTTAAAAAAATGAAAAACACATTTTGCCCCAAGTATTTTTCCCCTTCATTTAAAAGTTAAGTTGTGTATTTCAAAGATAAATCTAAGCCATGTGTCTCAGCTCTTCCCTCTAATAGCAAACTGCTCTGAAAGAACTCACTGTCATATCAAGGACTTTCAGAATGTCATTTTTTATTCCAAATAAGAAAACTATATTTTTCCTAAACACACAAAAACAATCTCAAAAATACACACATATGGCTCTAGCTCACTTCTCATGAAATAGAACAATAATCTATTCTCACTTGACTGATTTATATTCATTCTGAAGATACCCATCATCTGATCAGTGTCATCGGCAGCTTAACGTTTATTAAGAAACTATCATGTGCCAGGCACAAGGCTATGTACTTTATAAACGTTAGTTCTCATCTCAATCACCCTGACGTGAACACATTATTGACCCATTTAATAGACAAAGTCATCAAAGTCCCAAGAGGTTAAGTAACATGTGAAGCACATCAAAGGTTAACACAAATTCTGCCTAACATAGAGGCCCACACTCTTTCCATTTTCCTAGATGGTAGCATGTTCCCTTATAGTTAAGAGAAAGCTAAACCATCCCTATTGTCTCGAGGCTGAAGATCTTAATGAAAGACATAGACAAAAACACAATGACACAGAGTTGAGTAACCCATATTTAACTCAGTGGAGAACAAGGCACTAAGATGGTACATGAAAGGATCTAAAAAAAAAAAAAAACAACGTTTTACAAGAAAATAGTTTCTGCAATGTATTTAAAAATTACCCAGATTCTCTTTATTAAGATAACACTTAATACATCCTATCTCTAGTGTTCACAGCTTTTTTGGAGGAGTGGGAGTTCTATGTGTCTTATAATTTTTGGATTATGAGGATATAAGAAAAGAAAAAGAGCATTTTGAAAGCATGCGTTACAGAAAGTCCAAAGAAAAATGAATCAAAACACAGGTTCTGAATACAGACACTTTGGGTTCCAAACCAAGTTCCGCTACTTACTTGCCGATTATTCGATTACGGTCCCTTTACTTAACTACCCTGTACTTCAGTGTCTTCATCTACAAAATGGACATAATAATACCTATCTTATAGAAATGTTATAATAATTAAATGAGATTATATTTTGAAAATAGTTGGCCTCATTCCTGAGACATAATAAGCACCCCGTGACCAATGGTTGTGGTTGTTGCAGAACAATCCAGTAGAACACTTTGACAGCCATCGTACAGTCATGGAGGCCAACGAGGCAACATTTTCAAATAATC
Source organism: Homo sapiens (assembly GCF_000001405.40). Classification (NCBI taxonomy): domain Eukaryota; kingdom Metazoa; phylum Chordata; class Mammalia; order Primates; family Hominidae; genus Homo; species Homo sapiens. The sequence continues at coordinate 80,362,383 of NC_000014.9, forward strand.
ACAGTCCATGAATAGGAAAAGGAGAAACCGAGCTAAGAACTTGGCCACACTGGGAAGAAGGGGGATGAAGGGTAACTGCTGGAATTGGCACATAAGGAGACACAAAAGGGCTAGGCAACAAACTTGCTATGTATAACAAAGAAAGACAGCTTACTTGTGTGTTTGTGTGTAATTTTCTGTTGAATATTTCATACAGGAAAAAATAAAGCACCAAAGAAATTATTTTCATTGGATTAGGAAAAATTTTAAATTAAGAGATTCAAAATTTATGTGGCTTTGCTTTAGAAATAACCATTAGTCCATGTACCTCTAGCCTGAAAGCAGCTATATTATTATTACTAATGGGAATCACACATTACAACTTTTTTAAAAGTGGAAAAGACAACTGATTGTCATTTTTTTGTTGGTTAATAATAATGGAACTCTTCCTTTGAGGAAAAAAACAGCATATTTCTACTTTAAGTTATTTTTCTGTTTTCTTAGAATAAGAGTCAGCAAACTACATAGCTTGTGACCAAATATGGCCCACTGTCTGTTTTCATAAACAAAGTTTTACTGGAACCTGGCCTCATTCATTTTTCTACATTCATTTTCTACATACTGCATTCATTTTTATGGCTACTTTCGTGTCAGAATCTCAGAGCAGAGCAAACGTAACAGAGGCTGTACAACCCACAAATCCTAAAATATTTAATTTATACGACCCTTCACAGCAAAAGTGTGCCAACCCCTTTCATACAGTTATGAGGTATTTTGTATTACTATGCTCTGGCTACCGTAATAAAATACCATAGACTAGTTGTCTTAGACAACAGACACTTATTTTCTCCAGAGGCTCTCAGAAGTCTCAGATGAGGTTGGCAGCATGGTCGGTTTCCAGTGAAGCCTCTGTTCCTAGCTTGTAGGCAGGGGTGGGGAAACATCTGGCCATGTTCTCATGATGTGGGAGAGAGCTCTTTGGTGTATCTTCTTATAAGGACACTAATCCTATTGTATCAGGGCCTCATCCTATGACCTTATTTAACCTTAATTACCTCCTTATCGGCCCTAGTTACACTGGGGGTTAGGACTTTAATGTAAAGATTTGAGGAGGATGTAATTCAGTCCATAGCGCATTTCACACCTCCAAACTCTGATTTTAATCTGAAATATCCATGGCCTTTTATCCCCAAATGTACCTTCTAGTGTGCTTTTCTAAATATATCTAGAAAAAATGTTGAAAAGAAAGTACAGTGGAAAATTTCTCTGTTGACTGTGACTAAAGAGACTATCTAGAAACCTTGCCACAAATGGTACCCATACCAAAGCACTTGAACTTGGAGAAAAATAAAGATAAAATGACTTCTGGAAAGCAGGACAAATTTCTCCACTGCGAAACTGAAACACACCCATTAATCCATCCCACAAATGGTAGTTTCCATCATATGGATGATCTTTTATTTTACTGGGCAAAAAAACAGCAGTAAAGTCCTTCAGGGTAATCTGTGATCAAGTGGGGTTTGAAGATTCAAATAAGCATTGATGGGTCAAAGTCAAGTTGTGGGCCTCATCATTCTTGTGCTATTTACAAAAAGGATATAACTCTATTTCTCCAACAACCACGGAGTATTTTAAGAGACACTACCCCATTCATCTTCTGAGTGCTCCTTGAAGCAAAGTGTCCCACATTTTATTTCTATTTTACAAATGAGAAAACTAGGGCAGAGAGCAGTTATACGCTTCTCCCCAGAGAGAATCAATCTCTAGAAGAACTAAAGATATAATAATTTTAACTCTTTTTGTTCTCTATGAGTTCAACCACAAATTAGTATATTCCATACCTCTCCATGAATAAAAAGGGTCTAATGCTCATTGGATAAAATATCATTCACACTGTAGTCATTGTGTATATTTCCTGCCATGTCAATATGGTGGATGACACTTTCACTTTGGTGCTTTTAAGGACTCCCTTCTTTATTATAGGTACAGAAACATGAACAACCATAAGAAAGAAATTATAAGCCAAATTAGATAATGGACAGAGCACCAAAAGTGTTGGTTTGAGATCCTAGCACCATACTGTCTTATGACATAGAAATAGGCACTAGCACCATCTAGTGAGAGACCAAAGTAACTCATGGATTATTAAGAGGGTTTGTCACCCAGGGGGTTCCTCTCATCGAGAGGTTTCAATTATTTCCAGATCAAAGTTTCTTTGGGCTTTATCTGACTCCTAAATAAGCAAGAATATCCTTATTAAAGTCACTGTAGGAGTGCAAGGGTTGAGCTTGGGTTGCTTGTTGTATTTTATTTTCCTGTGACAGAGTAAAAATGGCAAGGGCTAGAAGAGGTTGAGACCCAGTTGAAATCTATTCACCACCAGCTCTTTGGTTTTACACGAATTACCCAATCTCTCCAATTGTCTGTTTCTTCATCAATATAACGAAGATAGTGCCCATTTCATGGGTACTTGGGAAGATTAACGTTATAAAATAAATTTATGTTTCTCTATATGTTGACTCTCAACAAATATTAGTTTTCTCTTTCTCACAAAGGATTCCTGAGATTTTTTCACATAGCACTTGGTATGCCATAACAAAGCACAAGAGACTGGGTGACTTAAAAAAAAAAACAGATATTTATCTTATCACAGTTCTGGAGGCTTGAAGTCTGAGGTCAACGGGTCAGCAAGATTGCCTCTTTCTGAGGGCTATGAGGGAAAGATCTATTCCAGGACTGCCTCCTTGGTTTGTAAATGGCTGTCTTCTCCCCATGTCTTTTCACATCATCTTCCCTCTGTATATACCTGTGTCCCAATGTCTTTTTCTTATAAGCACAACAGTCAAATGGGATTAGGGCCTACCTAATGACCTCATTTTAATTAAATTACCTCTTTAATGATGCTGTCTCAAAATACAGTTAAATTCTTAGGTACTGGGGGTTAGGATTTCAACATATACATTTGGGGGGATTTTGGGGGCACACAATTTAGCTCATAAGAAGCACAGTAAGCAGACATCCATACAGCAAGTTAATAGCAGAGGCAGGATACATCCCAGCCCTGGGCTAGGGTGACATAGCCATGCTGTCCCTGAGAGAGGTAAACAGAAAAATAAAGTTTAATGGATCACATGGAATATCCCACTTACTTTTGTTTAAGTCAAACTATACCATCTTTTTCCTCCAGGAAAAAGGTTTCTGCGATTCTATAAGTATGACAATGTATTGTTAATTATAGCAAGTTCTTAGGTTCCCCAGGTAACTTTGAAGGTGGAATCAAAACATTTGTCCTATCCTCTAAATTGACTGAATCCACCATTCCTCAGTTATTACGCTACTCACCAGTGCTAAACCAACTTTGAGGAACTTCATTTCACTGTTTAGCTGACTCAGGAGGGGCTTTTTGTAATGTCTAGCTAATCTACAGCACAGCTCAGAATCTTCAGCAGCTAAAAAACTGCACTCTCCAGCTTTTATTCTAAAAAAAAAAAAAAAGTCTGCCAGCACTTTCAAAATGTATTTTGTGAGGTACACAAACATTAATATAAGAATAGCAAAGATCGTCCACCTCGTTGCTCTCCTATTAAGCAGATTCCCCTTTTACAGTCTCCCGCATAAGCAGCCTCTGCACTTGAGGTTTAGAGAAAACAGAATTGCATTGCTTTCTCTGCCTGCTGTACCGTGACTTCAACACCATCCTCCCCTTCCAACCTCCCCACCACAGCTACTCCCATGCCTGGCATCCAATTTTTCTCTGCCTGGACAAAACTTAAAACTCGTAATAAACACAAATAGGAGCTTCAGAATTGCTTATAATAGCACTCCCTAGTTATCATTATCATTATTACCTTCATTTATATTTTGAGTACCTATTTGAGATGTCTTCATCCACAGAAAGAAAACTCGGTGAAAAGATAGCAGGATCAAACAATACTCAGTTGTGAGAATCCAAATAAAAGCGGGTCTGAAAGATCAGGTTTGAATTTTTCTAGTTAAATTGCATATCATATTCAATTTCAAAGCTGGCTTGTGATATATTTACCCCAGTGTCTCATCCTCAATTTAAACTGTCCATGTTGTGCTGCCATGAACATTTAAGTACAGGGTTCCACACGGGCAACCCAGTAGTGCCATGTTTCAGCTCCAGCTTTGGCACCTCATTCAATCCTCAGTTACCACCTAACCCACTCCCTTAGTTCTCTCCTCTTTCTTCCACTACAAAGCTGATGCCTTGCTCTCCTTCAAGCTGGCGTATTCCCATTATACAAACATTACTGCTTTTACACCCAGCACCTGGATCTTGGTTTCTAATACCATTCTCCAACAATGGAACTGGGGCCGATTCTATGTCTGGAATACGGGGTATACAAGACGAGCCTAGGAGCATTCTGTAGTGTCAGAAAGTAAGGAAGTGCTAAAAATATTTAAAAATAAAAATATTTTTTAAAAGGATAGTTTATGTAAAAGGAACTAACCTGGAAGAGCTACAATGGCCAAAGCTGAAACGTTTTAACAACAAAATATAAAACATAGAATTAGATTATAGCACAAAGTATAAAATATACATGAGTCCATACTGATATAAATAAATGAGTGAATAAATACATGGAGGAAAAAAGACAAATCTTACATGAGGAAAAATTCTAAATAATACTTGTAGACACTACATACATACCTTTCCAGGAGGTGGAATTAACCACCCCCTGCTTTAAGGGTGAGAGCTGGATTTAGTGACTAGCTTACTGAGTATGAAAAGGCAAAAAACATAAACTTATAGTGGAGAAACCCAGAAAACACTAGCTAAAGGGAGTGATCAAGATTAACATCACCAATGAGCATTCATCTTGATACCATATACACACTAATATGACACGCTGAGAAAGGCATATTACCTCTGTGGTATGTGGCCCTCATACTCATAACCCCAATATAATCATGAGAAAAACAACAGACAAACCCATATTGAAAAATATTCTATAAAATATCTGCACTTCTCTCTTCAAAATTATCAAGGTCACAGAAAGCAAGAAAAGAATGAGAAACTGTCACAGACCAGGGGATACCATAAAAATGTGACAACTAAATGCATCGTGGTATCCTGGATTGACTCTGGGTACAGAAAAAGGACACTCTGATGACCAGTGATGATGAGCATTTTTTCATGTGTCTTTTAGCTGCATAAACGTCTTCTTTTGAGAAGTGTCTGTTCATATCCTTCACCCACTTTTTGATGGGGTTGTTTGTTTTTTTCATGTAAATGTGTTTGAGTTCTTTGTAGATTCTGGATATTAGCCCTTTGTCAGATGAGTAGGTTGCAAAAATTTTCTCCCATTCTGTATGTTGCCTATTCACTCTGATGGTAGTTTCTTTTGCTGTGCAGAAGCTCTTTAGTTTAATTAGATCCCATTTGTCAATTTTGGCTTTTGTTGCCATTGCTTTTGGTGTTTTAGACATGAAGTCCTTGCCCGTGCCTATGTCCTGAATGGTATTGCCTAGGTTTTCTTCTAGGGTTTTTATGGTTTTAGGTCTAACATTTAAGTCTTTAATCCATCTTGAATTAATTTTTGTATAAGGTGTAAGGAAGGGATCCAGTTTGAGCTTTCTACATATGGCTAGCCAGTTTTCCCAGCACCATTTATTAAATAGGGAATCCTTTCCCCATTGCTTGTTTTTCTCAGGTTTGTCAAAGATCAGATAGTTGTAGATATGCGGCATTATTTCTGAGGGCTCTGTTCTGTTCCATTGGTCTATATCTCTGTTTTGGTACCAGTAACGTGCTGTTTCGGTTACTGTAGCCTTGTAGTATAATTTGAAGTCAGGTAGTGTGATGTCTCCAGCTTTGTTCTTTTGGCTTAGGATTGACTTGGCGATGCGGGCTCTTTTTTGATTCCATATGAACTTTAAAGTAGTTTTTTCCAGTTCTGTGAAGAAAGTCATTGGTAGCTTGATGGGGATGGCATTGAATCTATAAATTACCTTGGGCAGTATGGCCATTTTCACGATATTGATTCTTCCTACCCATGAGCATGGAATGTTCTTCCATTTGTTTGTATCCTCTTGTATTTCATTGAGCAGTGGTCTGTAGTTCTCCTTGAAGAGGTCCTTCGCATCCCTTGTAAGTTGGATTCCTAGGTATTTTATTCTCTTTGAAGCAATTGTGAATGGGAGTTCACTCATGATTTGGCTCTCTGTTTGTCTGTTATTGGTGTATAAGAATGCTTGTGATTTTTGCACATTGATTTTGTATCCTGAGACTTTGCTGAAGTTGCTTATCAGCTTAAGGAGGTTTTGGGCTGAGATGACAGGGTTTTCTAGATATACAATCATGTCATCTGCAAACAGGGACAATTTGACTTCTTCTTTTCCTAATTGAATACCCTTTATTTCTTTCTCCTGCCTAATTGCCCTGGCCAGAACTTCCAACACTATGTTGAATAGGAGTGTTGAGAGAGGGCATCCCTGTCTTGTGCCAGTTTTCAAAGGGAATGCTTCCAGTTTTTTTCCCATTCAGTATGATATCGGCTGTGGGTTTGTCATAAATAGCTTTTATTATTTTGAGATACATCCCATCAATACCTAATTTACTGAGAGTTTTTAGCATGAAGCGTTGTTGAATTTTGTCAAAGGCCTTTTCTGTATCTATTGAGATAATCATCATCACTGGCCATCAGAGAAATGCAAATCAAAACCACAATGAGATACCATCTCACACCAGTTAGAATGGCAATCATTAAAAAGTCAGGAAACAACAGGTGCTGGAGAGGATGTGGAGAAATAGGAACACTTTTACACTGTTGGTGGGACTCTAAACTAGTTCAACCATTGTGGAAGTCAGTGTGGCGATTCCTCAGGGATCTAGAACTAGAAATACCATTTGACCCAGCCATCCCATTATTCGGTATATATCCAAAGGATTATAACTCATTCTACTATAAAGACACATGTACACGCATGTTTATTGAGGCACTATTCACAATAGCAAAGAATTGGAACCAACCCAAATGTCCAACAATGATAGACTGGATTAAGAAAATGTGGCACATATACACCATGGAATACTATGCAGCCATAAAAAATGATGAGTTCATGTCCTTTGTAGGGACATGGATGAAGCTGGAAACCATCATTCTCAGCAAACTATCACAAGGACAAAAAACAAACACTGCATGTTCTCACTCACAGGTGGGAATCGAACAATGAGAACACGTGGTCACAGGAAGGGGAACATCACACACCAGGGCCTGTTGTGGGGTGGGGGGAGGGGGGAGGGATACCATTAGGAGATATACCTAATGTTAAATGATGAGTTAATGGGTGCAGCACACCAACACGGCACATGTATACATATGTAACAGACCTGCACGTTGTGCACATGTACCCTAAAACTTAAAGTATAATAAAAAAAAGAAAAGAAAAAGGACACTCATGGAAAAATTGATACATTCTTAATAAAGGCTGGAGTTTAATTAATAATAATATACGAATGTTAATTTCTTATTTTCAGTCACATGGTTATATAAGATGCTGACATTAGAAGAAAATGAGTGAAGGAAACATAAGATTTCTTTGTACTACCTTTGCAAACTTTCTGTAAGCCTAAGATTACTATAAATGAAAAAGACAATTTTTTAAGAACTTAAATGTTACTTTTGCTGCTTAAAATTTTGTTCCCCTAAGACTTTAGTTTACCACTACAGAGTCTCCCTTTATGAAAAGGGTAGTGAAAACGTAGAAAAAGGAAGAACATTACTAAAATGAAGACACAACCTTGGGGGATAGAAGTATGCTCATCTCTGTATGTTTTATTATAAATAGATAAATAGATGTAGGTCTAGCTGATCATATACCACAAAATTGATACATTTAAAGTATAAAATTTATGGACAAAAACCAATGTTATACTTTTATTATGTATCATAAGATGATACACCATAAAATAGCATAAAATCAACATTTTTAATGTATACAATTCATTGGTTTTTAGTATATTCACAAAGTTGTGCAACCATTACTACTATAATTCCAGAACATCTTTATCATCCCCCCTCAAAAAAAAAACAAAAAACCATGCCCATTAGCAGTTAATCCCATTCCCTTTCCCATGGCCTCTCACAATCACTAATCTATTTCCTGTACTGTGGATTTAGCTACTCTAAACATTTCATAAAAATGAAATCATACAATATGCTGCCTTATGTGTCCAGCTTCATTCATTTAGCATAACGTTTTTAAGAGTCATCCATCTTGAAGCATGAGTCAGTATTTCATTTCTTTTTTTGGCTTAGGAATATTCTATTGTATGGATATACCACAATTTGTTTATCCATTCATCAGTTGATGGGCATTTGGGTGTTTTCTACCTTTTGGAAATTATGAATAATGTTGCAGTGAACATTCTTGTACAAGTTTTTGCGTGAATATACCCTTCTCTAGGGTATATTCCTAGGAGTAGGATTACTACATCATATGTTAACTTTATGTTTAAGCTTTTGAGGAACTGCCAAACTGTTTTTCAAAGTGCCTGTACCATTAATGTTCTCAGCAATGCCTTAGGGTTCTCAGCAATGCCTTAGGGTTCCAATTTTTCCGTATCCTTGCTAATACTCTTTTATCTGTCTTTTTTATTATAACTATCCTAGTGAGTGTTAAGTGGTATTTCATTGTGGTTTTGATTTGCACTTCCCTGATGGCTAATAACAGTGAACATCTTTTCATGTGCTTATTGGCAATTTCTCCATCTTCTTTAAAGAAATGTCTGTTCAAATCCTTTGCCCATTTTTTAGTTGGGTTGTCTTTTTATTGTCGAATTATAACAGTTCTTTATATAATCTGGATACTAGATCTTTATGAAATATATAATTTGTGAATATTTTCTCATATTCTGTAAGTCCTCTTTTGACTTTCTAGGTAGTGTCCTTTGATGCACAAAAGTTTTTAATTTCAATGAAGTTGAATTTATCTATTTGTTCTTTGATTTCTTGTACTTTTGGCATTATATTTAAGAAATTATTGCCTAATCCAAAGTCATATAGATTTACATCTATGTTTTTTTCCTAATACTTTTATAATTCTAGCTCTTACATTTAGGGCTCTGATTCATTTTGAATTAAATTTTGTAAATGAGGCTTCTCTACATGGGGTTTCTCTCCATGGTATGTTTCGTTTTCTTTATGTGACATCATGAACAATGATCGAACTTAGAATAAAAATTTCAGGGCTGACATATCTGTGCCACCAGTTCCTAGTGGTAAAATGGTCCCCCTTCTTTGATTTTCATTTTCTCCCCAGTAATGTGAAGGAGCTGAATATTCTCAGTGGAGACTGTTTCAGTTCTATCTGAGATTTTACAACCTCTAAAATTTGAGGTTAAATTTAAGAAATGAATCCCTATTTCCTAAAGTTAAATGCCAAAATTTTGTAGATGAAAAGATATAATGAATTTGCAAAATGAAAAATTAGGTGAGAGAGAGTAGTGGTATAGTTAGACAAAATAGGATTGGCCATAAATGGCCAACTGCAAAGTACATATGGGTTCATTACCCTACTCTGTTTTTTCAAAATAAGTTCCCAAAAAATTTCAATAAAAGAAACTGTTGTTCACTATTGCCACCATTTTGGGTTGCCAAGTAAAAACATTTTTTTTTAAAAAACTGCCATCTATTATCATTATCATTTCATAAAAGTTTGATCTATACCAAATAATAGGAGCAATATTATCTTTATATAAAGAAAATTTCCTTAATTTGGGAAAAAATTAGCTTTATGCAAAACCTATTTCCTTGTTCTTGTAATTTTCACTTGGTCATGAACCAGTACTGTTTCCCAACCTGATGTTTGGGAAGCACTGAATCAGATCACAACTCTGAGGCATTAGAACCACTTAGGCTCAGGTGTATGATTTAGTCTACATTTTGATAAACATAAAGAACAATAGCAAGGGTGGGAGGAACTAGGTGTTCTCAGATGGAATCTTGTTGATGCCAAGCTTTCTTACAATAAGCCAGAGGGTGTTGGGCTGTAGGACACCAAGTAAAGCTCCACCTTTATTCACAATTTGTTAACAGTAAATTTTTCATGAAGCACCCATGACTATAGACTAAGTCAAAGTAACTATGAGAGAAGGGAAAAGTAAGAAGAAAAATTATCATATTCTTTTTGGAGCTTTTGTTAGATTTTTTAATTTGAAATTATACATGGGCTTAGATGCATTGTAGTAAGTTTTAATTATATGTCTTTAATTGAAAATTAATAAAATTGTAGTAATAGACAAAAAATAAAGTCCTTTAATGACTTTTTAATGATTAATAGTGATTAATAACTAATGATTTTTTTCTAATAATAGAAAATAAAGCCTATAAATGATCTCTGTAGAGGTCATTTATAAGATCCAATGTGCTGGAATTGCTCATGTTAGAAACCTCCATGGTATGATAATGTTGGTCTTACAAATGTATTGAGGGAAGGGGAAAAAATTAAAATTGTCAAATCAAAAATTTAAAAAGCAATTAGATTTTTTCTTTTCTTTGACCTCCTAATGATCTCTAGCCAAAGCAAGTTAGTGTCTCCACTGACTCAATAAATTTGAGCGCTTTTTTCTAAGCAAGGTGAACAGATTCATAAATTCTATAAAAGTGAAATTGAACATCTATTATATAGCATTTTGTACTCAAGAATGAAATGAGCATTATATCAGTACAACTTTGAGCTAATCCTAAATTTCTTTATATCGTTAGCATTTAGTATCAGTTGTTATACATCTTCTGGGTGTTCCTCTGACCTCTCCTCTTCTTATTATTATTCTCTCCTGTATCACCTTTTTGGAATATCAAGTTCTCATGATCTTAACTCACAAAATTTGAATTTACAAAGTACTTATTTTTGAATCATCATGCAGTGTAATCCTGTAAAGTAGATCCTTTGTAACACATACATTTTATAGCCTAGAATTCTGAAATACTGATATATTAATGAGCTTCTTTTTTTTAACTTCCTTCCTTTTTTTCTATCCCCACATATCTTTTGCAGCCAGCTCTCCTCTACTAGAGTTTGGAAGACTTTCAACCAATCAGTCGTTCAGAAAATAATACTGGATACCTACTAAGTTCAAGGCATTGTTTGTGCTATATGAACACAGCAATGAACAACAATAATAACAATAAATAAACAAAAACTCATCTATACTCATGGAGTTTACAGTCAAGGGGCCAAGAGAGAAAATTAAGAAATAAAATGAATGTAAGTATATGTTGTGAAGTGTGTGAGAAATGTTACATGCTATATATGGGAAATAAGAAAAGACTGATAATGTGGAGATCAACTGGAAGAGAAATACAACTTAATAATGGGTAGTCAAAGAAGGCCTCCTGGAAAAAAAGGTATTTGAGCCAGTACTTGAATGTCAAGAAGGAGAGAGTCAATCGAAGGTCTAGAAAAGGCAGAGGCATCTGCAAGTGCAAGGCCTTGGAACCGGGAGGAGCTCAGCATGTTTAACGAAAAGGGAAAAAGCCATTTTAGCTGAAGTAAGTGGAAGGGGCTGAGGTCAGATGGTTGTCAGGGCCGGATCACAGAGAAGTTTGCAATGGGAAGTCATGGAAGGTTATAAGTCAGAAAAGAGAACCAATCTATCTTTTTAAAAATAGAGACAGCATCTTACTGTGTTGCCCAGGCTGGTCTTGAACTCCTGGGCTCAAGCAATCCTCCACCTCAGCCTCCCAGAGTGCTGGGATTATAGGCATGAGCATTTATGTCTGGCTGAACAAACCTATATTTAATGGAATACAAAGAGTTTTAATGTAGTGACATAAAAATCAACACTAATTTAGCCTTCTGATTAGCCCTACTGTGACATTTATATCCTATATTTGGTTCACAAGCTTTTCTCTTGTACCCAATTCACATCTTGCACCCTGACAACTAGCTTCTCAGGCATGGTCAGGAAGGAAGGATCCCATGAAGAATATTTTGCAATATTTCCAAAAATATTGCATGAAGGACAGTCTCACTCTCATTTCTTTCTTTCTTTTTATTTTTTTTAGACAGAGTTTCATTCTTGTTGCCCAGGTTGGAGTGCAATGGCATGATCTCGGCTCACCACAACCTCTGCCTCCCGGGTTCAAGTGATTCTCCTGCCTCAGCCTCCCGAGTAGCTGGGATTACAGGCACGCGCCACCACGCCCTGCTAATTTTGTATTTTTAGCAGAGATGGGGTTTCTCCATGTTGGTCAGGCTAGTCTCAAACTCCTGACCTCAGGTGATCTGCCTGCCTTGGCCTCCCAAAGTGCTGGGATTACAGGCATGAGCCACACCACACCCGGCACTCTCATTTCTTTCATGCAATATTTTAAAATATGGAATCCGTCCTTAATTTTTTAACCCTTTCAAAGGCTGGAGTCATGCTAACTAAATCCCTATCATTCAGCTCGTGTCCCATACCTATTGTGAAGATCCTGACGTGCTGACCAATTCGACACTGACGGGCAGTAGAACTGTCATGATGTTGTACAACTACCATGTTCCCTTGTGAGGCTGGACATCTTTCTCAGCTGTTTAGAGTAGTGCCAAAATACCCATCTCCTCACCCCTCTATCTATTCACCTGAGTGAGCAGGTCAAGGAGTTTGGACTTCTGAGCTGACTCCATTTTCTTGGTGCCTAACCCTCCTGGTCTGGCTGTCAGGCTGCTCCCTGAGCTCAAAATTTCCCTTACAAACATAAAACACACCTACAGGCACAGGCGAAATCCAGACAGATTACCATTCCAAACTCAAGAATCCCTGATATAAATTGAGTTACTGATCCACTTGCCTTTTCCAAAGTTTATAACAGTCTGCCCTATAAATTTAGCATTATCTGAGTAAATGGTTATTAGAATTTTCCACTATTATGACATAGAAGTAATGACTTTATTTTAATTGTTTTGTTGCATTAAATTTGAACATGCAACAAAATAGTATTTTATTCAATAGATTTTACAGTATTCAAAAGAGAAGTGTTCCCTAAATTTAGGAACCTAAGAGCAAATATCAGAGTAGTAATTCAATAACAGTGGCCTCGTCAGTCAGAGGGGGTTTCTTTGAGGTCAAGGTTGAGATATTTTGGCAGCAAATGGTATTCAGATGGGTCCACAGATCAAACCTCCTTGACCGTGCTACAGTCACCCTGGATAAAATACTAAAAGTGTGGGGGATGGGACACATATGTAATTATGATACTAGAATGAGCTAATCAGCCTCATCGCAGTTTGTCTTTTTGGGAGAAAGGAACAACTTACTCATCTTCTGAAACATGGTAAGATGGGAGACTTCCACAGAATCCAAATGTTTGTCAGAAAATATAAGCATTTGTCTTTTATTTAGCCTCCCACATCCACCCTCCCTTCCCCATTCATACTTTTGCTGAAGCAACAAGTGTCCTTGACCCATACTAAGGCCACTAATATGGCATTGGTTACAGAAATGCAGACAGAAACTAGCAGGATAACAGGACCAGTGTTCGTCAAAGTGTGACGAATCCCTTTAGAATCCCACTTGTGACGTGGTGCCCAAATGTCATATGAGACCAACTGAGTCAATCAGAATTTCTGGAGATGGATCCAGGAAGGCTGTATCTGAGGGAGCATAGGGTTCAGGAAGTTAACCTTACTGACTCTAACAATAGTAAAGTTTGAGAAGTATTAATAGTGGATACTTAGCAAAGACAGAGAGAGCCCCAGAGGTGAAGCTGATGTTGGCAGAAGGTGAGGAATCTTGGCACAGAAAAAGAATTCAGGTGGCTGGGCACGGTGGCTCACACCTGTAATCCCAGCACTTTGGGAGGCCAAAGAGGGCAGATCGCCTGAGGTCAGGAGTTCAAGACCAGCCTGACCAACATGGAGAAACCCCATCTCTACTAAAAATACAAAATTAGCCAGGTGTGGTGGCACATGCCTGTAATCCCAGCTACTCGGGAAGCTGAGGCCAGAGGATCACTTAAACCTGGGAGAAGGAGGTTGTGGTGAGCCAAGATCATGCCATTGCACTCCAGCCTGGGCAACAAGAGCAAAACTCCACAAAAAAAAAAAAAGAATTCAGGAAGAATTTGGTGTTTGAACTGAGAGGAAAAAATACTAATTTATATCATCTTTTGTTGTGGAAAAGGTCCTTTCCTCACACATGCTTCAGAGCCTGAAGGAGCAACGTATAAGCTGCTAGAGACATGGCCCTTGACTTAGGGCCATGACTTAGAGTCACTCTGACCTTGAGGACTAGAGTTAAATTAAATTCGCACATGCCACAAAAATAGTATTTTAGTCAACAAGTTTTATGCAATATTCAAAAGAAAAGTTTTCCCTAAATTTAAGAACCTAAGAGCAAATATCAGAATCATAAATCAATAGTAGTTGCCTCATCAATTACAGATGGGTTTCCCTGAGGTCAGGGTTCTCAATAGCAGTGGCCTCATCAATCACAGATGGGTTTTTTTGAGTTCAGGGTTCTCTGTTCCCAAGGTTAGAGTGACTGGAGGAGCATAGGTTGGAAGAGGCATGATGAGCACAGAAAGACAGAAGAGAAAGAAGGGTAATCTGATAAAAATGAGATGTGTTCTTCTGTGGCCATAAAATGAATAGCTAAGGGGTGCAGGACAGGCTTACATGACACCAATGCACAAAACTATACAGAAAGACTCCTGCCATATGATCAACAAGCACAAAAAATAAAGATACTTTCTCCACTCTAGGGGAGGTAAAAACCAGGTAGAATGACTTTGCTCGGCATAACCATACTGACTAAAATGAAGGATCTATTTGTTTTGAAAGCAGAAACTACAGCAAGGAAACCCCATGTATCTACAGCAGTGATAATGCCCATCATATAGACGAGGTGAATGAATGTGAGGAGTTTAATTTTTCAGTGTGTATTAATAATTAACCTGCTCATTAGCTTTATTAGACAGAATTAGTCCTGCACTGAAGCAGAGCAACCGCAAGGCAAATTATTAAAATAACTGATGAAACTTTCCTTCTTGACTTTAAAAGATGAAGTTTGGCAGCTCCAGATAATTATATGTCTAGTATGAGAAAAGAATAGAGTGTTTTTGTCTTGAAGAACTGGAAAGGATGACTGATGCATTAAAATAAAGATGGGATTATTTGAGTACAGAAGTAGGGTTTAATTTGGACACTATGAAGAAAAAATATTTTAAAAATAGATACGTTATTTAGCATTGATGGAACAAGTATTCTACCTGGAACATGAGGCCACCACATTGCTGGTCACTACTGTTTTATGCTACATTTGGTAAGAAGACTACAGCAGTGTATGTGTGTATGAATACATTTATGCAAATTAACATTTTGAAAACTATATTTGACAGGGCTTTAGTCTCTTGAGTCTTACAGATTTAATAAATGAATGAAGCTATCTTTCAAAAAATCAATACTTGAAATTTGACACAAGGAAATTGAGGAAGAATAAAGTTTGCCAAATATAAAAATAAGTGATATTAAAGAGGATTGCATGTAATATTTTATCTTACCTTTTCACTCCCACCCCAAACATATTATCAAATACTTTTAAGGTATTATGAACAATGGCCCAGCTCCTTTTTGATTCTGGGTTATCTTTGCTGATTTATGCCCTGGAATATTAGAGATTAAAAAAATCAAAATATCTCTTTGAAAAATGCCTGGCTCCATTGATTTTGTGGAGAGGCTCTTGCTTGTCTGAATTTAATTTAAATGTAGTTCTTTGTTATTGCTTCAAGAGGACAACAGTCATTTCTAACAAGCACAAATTATTCAGAGCATGACCCCAAATGCTGTATTTCAAATAGCAAAAGAAAACAAGCTATCCTCTAACCTACTTCACATTTCAGGAAGAGAAGCTGCGTGAAAGGAGAGCTGCAAAAGGACAACTTGACCCAGAGAGAGTCGCCCTCACCAGGGCCCTCCTCCCGGCTTCACTGGGTCTCTGGATGGGCCAGTTGCACAAATACAAGAAGATCAGGCCAGCATCCTGGAAGTGGGGAGGGGACTTGGTATCACCCTCCTTGGATAGGTGTTTGCCAAGTTCTAGTTAACCCAGTTACAGTAAAGCCATTGTGGACTCTTTAGTGGAGCAAGCCTCAAATCTACATGGCATTCACGATTTTTCGATGGCCCTGGCCACAGCCAGTAACTGCAATTTAGTGGCTTACACATTACCATGAAAGGGGGCGGGCAAAGGCTCAAGAGCAATGGATTTTTACGGCAATAGGAAATAGAACACATTTTGTGCAGTCGCCAACTCCTTTGCATTTCTGAGGATGAAATGCCCCCTAGATCAAAGTGACAAAGTGGTTAGGATATTCACGGGACAGAAGACAAAAGGAGTTCGTTCACTGCCAAAAAGAAAAAAAAAAAGCCTTCTGTTAAGTATTTAGAAGTTTAATAACAGTACTTACATGAGAAGCAGAATGCAAGAGGGCAACTTGAAAGTGTGCACAGTTAAACAGGAGCTAGCCATTTTCCTTCACACAGGCAGGAAGCTTACCTTCATTCACTCGTTCATTCCCCAATATACATTGAGCACCTACTATATGGGACACTGCATTTGGTATTATAAGAAGTACAAATGTGCATAACAAAGCCTCTACTCTTAAGAAGATGGTGGACATTCAGGGAAGCTAATGAAGTATATGCACAAATCAAGGTGTCAGACCAACTATATAGCACTTGCAAAGGAGATAGGCAAAAACTGGTTTTGCAATCTTAGCCCAAGACAAGCCTCAAGAGGGTAAAAGAGGTTACAGAGGCAAGGAAAGAGACAATTTCTTTGGAGGGATTTGCTAGAATTCTGTGCATTTCACTCTTCACTTGCCCCTACTTTGCAATGGAAAAGTTGAGGGCTACTCCCTCCTTACTTCATGCCAAGTGAAAGATGCTTTAAGAGAACCACTTGGGGAGCTTGGTCTGTTTCTCTTTAGAGTCTGTGGTGGATATGGGTCAAATGCAAGGCCTACAATTGAAAAAATCTCCAGGCAAGAAGCTGGATGAAGCTGCTCATAGTGTCCAATTTGAAAGCTGTATAGACAATAAACTGTGCTTCCACCGATGAAAAAAAAAAAAAAACAAAAATGAGGACACATACATGTTTCCTGAATTCTACATGTGGTCCATAGCACATGGGAAACACCTGTCCTAGAGTTGTTGAACAGATAATTTACCCAAGAGGGCTACCTACAGAGAAAATGGATTTAAAAGGAAGGGAAAAGGATTAAAGGAATGGAAAATATAGAAGCCTTCTGCCTGTATTTTAAGGAGATCATCACACTTAATTCAGTAGTTATAGTATATTAAGGTAGAAAGTCTAAATCTCATTCAGATATGTAAATATACAGTGTTATGAGGGAAAGGTTTTTTTAAGATCACCTAAGACTTGTTAAACACTACTAATGCATGGCTAAATAAAGTCTGGGCCTAAAGAGGTCCTGTCTATAAATCCAAGAAGTCAAATGAAAAGTGCAATTTTAAGTTGTCATCCAGATATTTAGATTTCAAGACTCCAGGATTTTGGAAACTTGCAGATTTTGGAAGTTTGAGAAACTATAATTTTTATCTACATGTCTAAAATATTAAGAGACGACATGAAGAAAAAAATGCAGACTCAGACTTAATCTAAACAGATTTGGTTCTTTACCATGAAAAACCCTTAGAGTGACACCCTTAAAGAGTGATTCCTACAGGGAATTATAGAAGTCTTTTGTCCTCGGCCTGGCGTGGTGGCTCACACCTGTAATCCCAGCACTTTGGGAGGCAAAGGAGGGTGAATCATTTGAGGTCAGGAGTTTGAGACCAGCCTGGCTAACATGGCAAAACCCTGTCTGTACTAAAAATACAAAAATCAGCTAGGTGTGGCAGTGGCGTGCACCTGTAATCCCAGCTACTTGGGAAGCTGAGGCAAGAGAATCGCTTGAACCCGGGAGGCAGTGGTTGCAGTGAGCCAAGATCGTGCCACTGCACTCCAGCCTGGGTGACAGAGCAAGATTTTTTGTCAAAAAAAAAAAAAGAAGAAGAAGAAGAAGAAGTTTCGGTCCTCTTTCTTGGAGTTGCTGAGATGAGATAGAGGAGGGAGCGATTAAAGCATCTTCTCTAGTCTTAGTTCCCCTTCTTAGAATGGAGAGGGGAGGATATTCAGGAAGCAAAGGCCAAACCCTGGCTCCATACCCCAGCTCTGCTTCTTCTTTACCCTTTAGGAAATTCCCCTCCCCACTGTCTTGCTTCTCTACCCCATTGACTGCTTGGCCAAACAGGCAATGGCCCCAGGAGTCCTCTCCAGGCTGACGCCACAGTTTGCTGCAGTCCACAGGTAGATAAGGTATAATTCAGAGGTTGTATAGTCTATCCCCCTCTGTTCTGAGGCCCAGAGAAGTTAAGTAGCCCAAATATCTTAGCATACTGGTCAGAGACTGACAGGAGAGTTCTGATCTTCTGCTTCTCCAGCAGAACTCTTTAACTATACTACCTTAAATGGAAGGTATGTAGGAAGGGCCGTGGGGTCACATGTAGCCACAAACACACACACACAGAGTAGGTAAACATGCCCCTTCCCCATCCCGGATGGTAGTTAGAGGCCACTGTTTCAAGCTATTTTATTTGGTATTAGACAGCACCCCCTGTCCTCCCCCCACCACACACACAAGTAATTTGGAAACATCAAAGAAAATTACAGAATCATTTCATATGTTATAAATCTGTACCATGTGTCATGAATCAAACAATTGATTAAATAAACTGGGGATGTCATGAAAGTCTCATTAACACTCATGTCATCTCTGCCTAGAAAAAAATCAATCAAGTACATTCTAGAAATAAAACATATTTTCTATAATCCCCAATCATCTGCGATTCTTAGTGTACAAATGTATACAATTTATGCAATTACTTGCACACTCAAGACAAATATATCAGGCAAAGGGCCACGAGATTTTCTGTAGAGGCTGCACCAGAGTTAATTTTGTTCCCTGTGGGGTTCCCATTCGTATAATGGTGCACGAGTCCATGTCCTTCCAGGAACCATTCTGAAATAAGTTTTAAGAGCAGCAAAGTCCTTGCTCTGCAATGTTATTATAATTTCACACCAGTACCTGCAGGCCTTTAGAGACAGGGTCCTTGCTCTAAAAACAAAACACTGAACAGGACTGGCTACTAAAGGAGTCTCCTACACTTGTAGGGGGTGGACTCCTTAACCCATTTATGTCTAGTGTTCCATTATTGGAACGCTAAGCTTGTGGGAGTTACTTATATCCTACTGCTCAAGGTCATCGCCATGGTCTGATTTTTCACACACACAAAAAAATTTGCAACCTCCAGCATAAATGGGTTAATTTGATCACAGAGATTAAACCAAACAGCTCAAACAAAACACCTGGTTCTCTCTCTCTGCTAATTGTTCTTTCAATGGCAAAAAAGCAATTTTTTCCATAACATGAATAATAAAAAAAAAAATGTACTAATGAGATTTACGCAATATTGGAAAGAAGAATTATGAATAGGTAATTACACTTTTAGGAGATTTACAGATTTCAACCAGTTAAGCCCTGGGGCATGATTATCTCACTAGCCTTGTGCACTGAGAATAAATATAGAATAGAATGGGTGTGACCAGTGAACACTACTTTTTGCCAAAAACTTGTAAAGAACAAGCTGTGGACTCAGAAGGGTATGTACCAAAGGTTGCCTAAATGGATTTCACGCTTATGAAAGGCAAGCGGCCCCTGGCACAGTAAGCGCCCCATGTCAGAGCCATTTGCATTACCTGCCACATTGCCAGGCTCCCAAACAAACCACATTGTCTCATCCCTGTCCCTGGCCTCCACTTCTCAGAGTACTTCATGTTCTTTCTATTCCACACTGAATCTACTGACCTACCTTTCCCTTGGGCTGCCTCTGTGGCTTGTTCCTTAGCTGTCCCTGGAAATAGATTTAATCTCATCTACTTTCACATGAGCAAAGGGATCCTTCATGGCCCGTGGAAGATTAAACCCACTATCTTGGCTTCAATTACATTCCTCCAAAAGAGAGAGAGAGCTAGAAAGGGCACGGGGCACTGCTTGGGAGGAGCACTCATTGAGCAAGAAGAGTGAAAAAAGGAGCAATCGTTCAGGAAGAACCCTTTCATCAACAATGACTAACATTGAATGGGCCCCCACTAAATGCAAGGCTCTATTCTAAGAGCTTTACCTTTATCAACTTATCTAATTCTCTCAACAACCTCATGAGATAGACCCTACTAGAATCCCCATTTGATAGAGAAGGCAATAGAAGTACAGAGAAATAAAGTCAATTATTCCAGATTAGGATGTTGGAGCCAGGATTAGAATGCAGACAGTCCTGCTCAATAATCATAATAAAGCCAATTGAATACTTAATTAGTTCAATTTGTGTTAGTTATGCACCAAGCATTGTATTATAGAGTTATATGTATGATCTCATTTAATCTCTACAACGCCATGAAGTTGGTACTAATATGATGTCCATTGATACGTTGTTTTTATTTAACCTCCAAAGTTCAAAACTGTTAAGCAATGGAGCCAGGATCCCAACCAGGGTTAGAATAAAGAAACTATTTTTTCTCCTATTACCAGCTAGTCGCTAGAGATGGAGTGAGATGCTTAAAAAGACATGGAATGCCCTACTACGGGAGATGGTCAAGGAGGCACCAGGCATTTACTCAAATGAGATACCCTTTTAAAGTTATTTCCATATTTCCATATAGCTAGGAATGCATGCTTTATATTCATTTGCATTGGTTTTCATGTCTTTTCTGTACCCTTTTCCTACCAGGTTTCTATTTACTCACCCTGAGGCTGAAAACTACTGGGTTTTCTTTTTCCCTGTTTATTCTCTCACCATATGTAGATGCCATGTTCAATAATTCTTTCTGCTGCTATTGCTGCTACAGCTGAGAAGTTTGAGATGATGGAAGGCCCTGAAAAACAAGTCTGAATTGTCTTCTTACAAAACAGACATTTCCTTGCTTAGTGTTTTCTGCCCAGAGTGAGGAACATGTTGTTCAGACTTGTAATGAACTGGGTGCTCCTATAACAGTAGAAGTGCCGCACCCAAGCATCACATCAGGGCTGTTTTCCTGCTCTTCAGATCTGGATCTATAGGGTAATGTGAGGTTCTGGCATACTTGGAACCTTGTGTTCAGTCATAAATTAAGAAGAAATATATTCCACACTGATGAAAAGTCATCAGATTCTAAATCCATTATTGCAATAGAGTCAGTTTCTTTATGAGGGACGACATCATAACAAGTAGAGTGATAATTATTACCTAATATTTATTAAGCATTTACTATGTGCCACTCTACTCAGCACTTTACAGTTCTTTCATTTAATTCTCATACACAAAAGAAAATCCAAATATGTACTGAGAACCATCACCAGGTTACAGATGAGGAAATTGAAACTTAGGACGGTTAAATAACTTGTTGAGAGTAACATAGCTGTGAGGGGTGAAACCAGTACTTAGAAACAACCACTGGACTCTAACAAGCCTCTTAACGACTATCGAACATGGCCTCCCACCATCTCAATGTGATCAATTAACATAGCATTGCAAAACATGGTGTCTTAGTCCTTTTGAGCTGCTATTACAAGATATCATAAACTGAGTGCCTTATATACAAAAAACATTTCTTTCTATTTTTTTTTTTTTCTTGAGACAGAGTTTTGCTCTTGTTGCCCAGGCTGGAGTGCAGTGGCATGATATAGGCTCACCACAACTTCTGCCTCCTGGGTTCAAGCTATTCTCCTGCCTCAGCCTCCTGAGTAGCTGGGATTACAGGCGCCCACCACCATGCCCGGCTAATTTTTTGTACTTTTAGTAGAGACTGGGGGTTCACCATGTTGGCCAGGCTAGTCTTGAACTCCTGACCCAGGTGATCCACCCGCCTCAGCCTCCTAAAGTGGTGGGATTACAGGCATGAGCCACTGTGCCCGGCCAACAGACATTTATTTCTTACAGATCTAGAGGTTGGGCAGTCAAAGGTCAAGGCACTGACATATTCGGTGTCTGTTTCCTGGCTCATAGAAGGTGCCTTATTGCTATGTCCTCACATGGTGGAAGGGTGAACTAGCTCTCTGGGGTCCCTTTTATAAGGGCACTAATTCCATTTAGGAGGTCTCAGTCCTCATAATGTAATTACTTCCTAAAGGTACCACCTCCCAATGCTATCACCTTAGGGGCCAGGATTTCAACACACGAATCTTGGGAGGACGTAAACATTCAGTCCACTGCCATCTCCAAGTGCCATCTGAGGTATCTGAATCCATAGCATTTGTCTTGAAGCCCATCTTTCATGGGAACCTCTTCTCTCCTCATATGCTTATTTAATTACAGCTAATCATCCTCAGGAGTACAGTTTGAAGAACTGGAGGTAGGATCTTATTTAAAGTACAAGAGGTCTTGCTTTAGAACACATTGATTTTGTTGTTGTTTTTGTTAGGAGGAGGCAGTTTAATTTTGTTTTACATCATTGAGGCTAATCTTGTTAAGGTCTTAGTTTCAGAAACATGGCAAAATTTTTTTTTTTAATTTTAGCCACTTTCTTTTTGCATAAAAGTTTTAGGTTTTTTTATGATACTGACACCCAAGACCATAGAAGTAAAATAACATTTTAAATATTATATATAAAAGGACAAGAGTACATTAGATGAAAGTTTATCCATAAAATTTAAGACTATAAAGACAGATCCAGCTAAATAAAGATGTATACAATCCAGACACAAGACTGATGTAAAATGAAAATACTATGGAAATATTATCCTAAAACTTCCTTAGAAATGAGTTTTCCCATTACTCTTGTTTCCACACGAAAAAAGATAAGGCCCACCGTGTGGAAGTAACTTGTTTAGGATAACATTAGTAATCGGGGCCTGATTTTGTCATCCAGTGTCATGCTTGTTACTTCTTCTCCTCTTGCATTTTTTGTTTCCTATTTAGTTTTCTCCCTGACCCTCTTTCCTCATTCTCTTCACCAAATGCAATCTTTCATTAAAGAGCATGCTGGCTCATTCGGCAAAAGATCTACATTCAAGTTCCACCTCTGCCACAAGCTCCCTGTGGAACAAAGCATCTGCCCTGGTGCTGCCTTGCTGTAACTTTGCTCAGCTGCCTCTCTCTCTCTCATTGATCCCCAAACAAGGGCAGTGCCTGCACTGCTGATGGATGTACCCTAGAGCACAGTCTGCATCAACAGGGACAACTGACTCTCTCTCTGAATTTCACAATTCGGGAAGCCCTTGTCTCTCAGCTAGTTACTTTTTTAAGCACCTGGAAATCACAGGCAAGTGATGCAAAATGTTCTCTCGATAACAAGCCAGAGACAAGATTAAATATTGGTCTTTCTCATGAACATTCAGCCAAAAGTCAAACATTACTTTCCCCCTTTACTATGGTGAAGTAAAATATTTGTGTCAGATGTCTCCAGGGCATTTCCTCACTTTAGTTCTTTCTTTACATAGGAACTCCTCAATCTGAACAGATCAATGGTGTTCATCAACCAATGTCACGATTTGAGCAGCCAATACCAGGTACGACCCTAGAAGCTTCTTTTGCCTTCTTCACACACTGGAAGGGCAGAGGGAACTTCTTTGCAAGTACCAGTGAGGAAGAAGGGGGGTTTTGTGCCTTCTGCAGCTATTGGAAATCTTCTTATACTATCTAAGGCAGTGCCTGCTTCATCCACATCATGTCCCTAACTGCCACTTGGGATGGCATCTGCCAGCAGTTCTCTGAAACAGGTTCAACTAGTAAAATCAGTTAATTGCCAAGCACAGATTTTCATGACCCTGATGCTTCCATTAGAAAAAGGTCAAAACCCTGCCACTGAAAAGAGGTGTCAGAAAACACAGGGAGGTGGTTCTGGTGCAATGATTCCAGCAGCAGACAAGTCTTTTGTTCAACAATTATAGCTTACTTGTCCATGTTATGGATTGGATTGTGTTTGCCCAATATTTGTATGTTGAAATCCTAACCCCCAGCACCTCAGAAAGTGACCTAATTTGGATGGGGTTGTTGCAGATGTAATTAGTTCAGATGAGGTCATACCGGAGTAGGATCAGCCCCAATACAATATGACTGGCGTTCTTACAAGAAGACACAGACACAGGGAGAATACCAGTGCAAAGGGGAAGGTAGAGATCAAAGTGATGCTTCTACAGGCCAAGGAATGCCAAAGAGTGCCAGGAACCACCAGAAGCTAGGAGAGAGGCATGGAATGGATTTCTCCCTTACAGCCTACAAAAGGAACGAGCCCTGCTGACACCTTAATCTTGCACTTCCAGCTTCCAGGACTGTGAGACAATAAATTCATGTTGTTTAAGCCACCCAGTCTGTGGTACTTTGTTATGGGAACCCTGGAAAACAAATACAGACCATATTTCCAAAGTTTTGAGAGACTTAACATAAAGCTCTAGTTATCTGTATATTCCAGGAACACATTATTAGAATAGAAGAAGGTTTGTATAATTCATAATAGTGAATATTTCTCCTTACTGGGTGACACATTGTTTATCTATACCCAACAAATACCATCAATCAAATCTCTCAAAATAAACTAAAAAAAAAAAAAACTCATTGATAAAATCCTGGGTTTTTCTGCACAATTATTTCCAAAGCAATGTATCATTTCCAAAGTTTAGTTAGGACCAGCTCAGGACTTCCATGAGTCAACTGATATACCTGAGAAGCATATTCCTTCCTTCCCCCAGCAAGTGTTACTGTGAATACACAGACAGGCACCAGGGATCCAATAGTGGGCAAAGCAGGTAGCCATTGTCACAATGGCTTATGTTTACCAAGGAAGACAGAAATTGATCAAACAATCACTCACATACATAGAACTATTAACTGTGACAAGTGCAATGAAGAAGTAGCATCATACTCTGCAGGCAGTTACTTCCCCTTGGAACTGTGGGCAGGCACAGCTGGGCTTACTCTGTATTCTACATGTAAAGTTGCAGTACTGTGAGTTTTCTCCCATCAAAAGAAAACACTGAATATTATATTCAGGCACCAAACTATCTGTCAAAAATAATCATATGAATAAAACATGGGCCCATAAAGAAGGAGCTGAAAGGGGTAAAGAAGAGAAGCAGAAAGGCAAGTGGGACATGAAGACAGTTAAAGAAATAGGAAACTCAGGAGAAGACGCTGACATCAGGTTTCTGCACTCAGGATTCAAGAACAAGGGAGTGAGGACATGTTCTGTGGGCATGGCAGTGGTGAAGGGCACGTGGTCAGGCATGAGACTTTGTGCAGTTAAAAGGCTCTTGCCCAAAATAAAAGCCTACCTTTGTTTGCAGCTCTGTCCTTTTAAACTGGAACATCACTGTTCAGCATGCTCTTTGCTCTATGCAATTGCAAGCACTTTAGCCTGCTGCCAAATGACGTAGCTGGTCACCAGAGAAGCTGCCGAATGCCGCTGAGCAGGGGGAAGAAAATCCATGGAATTAGTCCTGAACGTTGCAAAAGAAGCTGCACCTCTCAGCTACTGTGTTAAGTCATATTATAATTGTCTCTCGGATCACATGTGAGCTTTTTCCACAGGTGGGATAGAGCCAGGCTTCCCGGTGCCAGCATGGCCCCCCAGGCCTCTACAAACTGGTCTGCAGCTGCTGTGTCACTTGCCCTTGGCAGAATTTAACAAGATAAACTGCTTCCTTGGCATTTAGTTTTACACTTAGCATGGGTTATATTTATACTTTTTGCCTATTGGTGATGACCAACTTGGATGACCCACTTTGAGGTCACCCAAACAACCTAGGCATAACTGATTCAAAAATATCTTTAAAACAATAAATACATCACTGTATGAAAACATGAACACTTCTATTTTCTGAAACAACTATTTAGAGAACACCTTTACTGATAGCTAGAGGCTATGTGGATGAGAAAATTATACCAGTGGGGTGGAGAGCTCCATCATGAAACAAAAATAAGCTTGCATCACAAAACAGAATTCTATGGCCCTTGATTCAGCCGTGTCTGCTTGAGTTTGCATGATTCAAAATGTAGATGTGGTAGTTAATGTCAAACCATCCTTAGGTAACTAGATGTATCCCTACAATGCCCAGGTGAATAACCTGAGATGAAAGCTAGATATTTTTAATGCTTTTATGTTAAATGGAAGGCTGAAGCATGTTTAGCACATTTAGCATCATGTGTAAAAGTGAGGAGAAGGAATATGATCTGAACAGAAACAAATTATCTGTGAATAAAAGAAAAGTGGAATGTCCTGGGTGTGGAGGTTGGCGGCTGGTTCTCAGAGTCTGGGCCTGGGACCAGCAGCATCAGCCATACCTGGGAACTATTTAGAAAAACAAATTCTCAGGTCTCACACCAGACTTACTGAACGAGAAACTCTCTTGAGGGAGCTCAACAACCCATAGTTTAACAAGCTTTCTAGCGATTCTGATGCACACTCATGTTTGAAAGCATCTGAATTAGGACACGAAGACCCAAGTACAAGCGACAGAAAAGCAAGACAGAGCACACCGTCTTCCCCTAAGCAGGATTACGAGGGCAGAACTTCAATGTCTCTAAGGAAAGAAACCCTAATCCTGGAGTCTATAAATTATTAGAGTCTAACAATCTAAACAATTCTGATAAAGAGATGAAAAGTCATTAAAGTAAACTTAAATTGTTTTTCAACTGAATGGGTGACAGACATGATCCCTGTCCTTGTGACATTTGCAGAATTGCTACAAGTTCACTGTAAACAGTGTTTTCATCCCCAAATTCTTAAGTGACTGAAATCAGCCTTAAGCCCAGGCAGCTGAAGTTTTTGTGGTCTGGCAAGTATTTGGTATGACTCTCTTCACCTGAATCTGAGCATTTTCCCTCTGAATCATTCACTGAGTGAGAAGAATTCGAAAAGGAGTTAATAAAATACATTCTTTGTGGTTGGAAATTATAATATCTTCTGATCATAGACTGGCTAAGTCAGTACAAGCAAATGAGATGCAGATAAGAAACATACAACACTTCTACATTGTGTTGTCTAATTATTGTACATATCTAGAGAAATTTCTAGCAGAGGTCACTGGTCAAAGGGCATGTTGAAGACATTAAAAATTCAAGAAGGGAAAAATGTACTATAATAAAATAAGCTTGAGTATAGAGTGAATGTGGTTTGTCCAACCTAAAGCTAAGTGCCAGAGAGATTTCTTCATCCTCCTTACCACCCCAAATATTACAAGCAACTCTGAGATATTAACAAGAAAGAGTTTTATGTGACTGGAAGTTTCCTTTTGCTTTTAAACTCTTTCATTTAGCGTAGATTAAAATGGCACTGTGTGCTTATAAAAGTGACATCTATTTGCTAGTTCAGTTCCCCCAGGCTAGGAAAGTAAATGGATGTTCTGGCAAAAAGTCGTAACTAACCCTCAAAGTTGGTATACCAGCCATGCTTGAGAAACACTTTATTTAGTCAGTGTTTCCTATTATGGAAGATGGTACAAGATTACATTTTGAAAAGACTGGGAATATTCTAATAAAATTTCTTTTTTTGATATGCCTAACTGGTTTTTAAATATTGTTGTGAACCTCATATCTCTCCTACAAATAGACATTTCTAAAGATGCTTCAAAAAAGACAAACAAGGCCAGGCATGGTGGCTCACGCCTGTAATCCCAGCACTTTGGGAGGCCAAGGTGGGCAGATAACGAGGTCAGGAGATCGAGACCATCCTGGCTAACACAGTGAAACCCCATCTCCACTAAAAATACAAAAAATTAGCCAGGTGTGGTGGTGGGCACCTGTAGTCCCAGCTACTCAGGAGGCTGAGGCAGGAGAACGGCTTGAACCCGGGAGGCAGAGCTTGCAGTGAGCCGAGATCGCACCACTGCACTCCAGCCCGGGCGACAGAGTGAGACTCTGTCAAAAAAAAAAAAAAAAAAAAAAAAAAAAAAAGACAACCAAAGATGTTAGCTTCAGAGCCATCATACCAATTTAGTTCCAGCATATAGAAGTTATTTCACTGAAAAACTAACATTTGCTCAGCCAGGCCCAAGAATCTATGAGTCCATATTCAATTTTCTCTGTACATTCTCCTTCCTTCCTTCGTTTCTTCCTTCCCTCTTTCCTTCCTTCTTACCATCCTTCCAAGGATGGCAGCCTATGCTCATATATCTGCCAAAATTTTTGAGGGCACTGAAAAGAAATATACAAAATTAACAATCTAATATTTTCAACCTGCAGCTATAATCAAAACACAGATAATGCTTTAGATGAGCCTAAATTTTGTAACTTTCCCTACCATCTTATACTCACCACCAAGAATAGACAAAATTGTTTATCACTTGTTTTAAGATAATGCAATTTTACTCTGGGGTGCCATGTCATTTCTACAGATCATCAACCAAAGTTCTAGTGTAGTTCACTCCCCAGTGCTCTTCAAAGCTATATAATATGGTATGGAAACTAGTTCAGACCTTGCTAGCCTCATAACTGCTACTGAAGAGAAGATCTCTAAGAAGCATCAGCCCAGAGGGCTGCTCAAAGGAATTCAAGAATGTGGCTGAAGCTAAATTTCCTTGGGGACTTAAAAAGTTGCTGTTATTTGAGCTGGCACATAGCCAGCTTTGTTGTGCTCTGCAGCAAGTAGCTTTGCATAGGGTTAAGAAAGTCAAATTCCTCAAACAGAGGAGGACCCAGGTACCCAGTGAGTCAAGACTATGTCACACACAAACACAGACATATACAGTCTGGAAACCCTGCATTCCTGTAGCACAGTATGTCTCCACCTCAAAAGCATGGTGCTCTTTTGTTTTGTTCTCTTTCTTTCCTTTTCAGCTAAATGGGTTTTGACAGTGATGAGAGCCATGTGGGTGGTTGTCCTTCAGGTTTTGTCAATTGTATAAAACTGACTTGCCATCGTTCACCTTCTTCTAAATTTGCACTTTTCACTATAGGCATGATGTATGTCAAACCTCATTACAATGAAAACCTTTGAAAGATAGACATTTTCATACCTCTTAACTATGATTATGAGTTTTTTTTTATTTAGGCAATACACAATACAATAGGTTTTCCTTTTAACAAAAGTGTCTGGACAATCCTTGGGAGTTAATCTGAAAGAAATTGGTAACTATAAGTAAGGACAAATAATTTTAGAAGAAACCAAGTCTTGTCATTGACATAGCACTTATTTTCTCAATATTATCCCAGAAGTTCTGCTTATCATTTACTGATTTACGTGGAGAAACAACATATGGGAATGTTTCCATGTGAACCTCAATTTGCTTTCTATACCATCTCCTGGTTCCATCTCTTATTTAAACAAGTTATTTTACTTGGATAAACTGCTTGTTATTCTTGTTTTGTTTTGTTTTTACATGAAACGGATAGATTGTCTCTTAATTTCTTTGTCTAATGGGACCCAAATTAATAACACATTCTTCTGAACTTGAAGATATCTATAGCGTCAAGAGCATGAGACCAAATTGGCCAACTGACTCCCTCGTGTAAAATGAGGCAGTTGGCCTTTCTGTTCACTATACCCTAAAATCTCTGATCCCCTAAAATTGCTGATACTCCTCTAAGAGGATCAAATATTCACATTTTCCAATATATTTCATGAGTTTTTTCTATAAGGTCCAAACTATTCCATTTAATTCTGTTTAAACCAATTGATTTGTTGACTTAGTTAACAAATACATATTGAGCATTTGTATGTTCCAGGCATTTTGCTAGATGCTGCCCTTAAGAAGTTCATAGTCTATAATTTTACATATTTTATATCTGATACATATTTATGTTTTTAAAAGCTCCATATACTCTCATGTAGCAATTTCTCCATTTTGTTTATGTGTGTTAGTGTAGACATGCCCAACTAGGTCTAACACCCTTGAAACTACAGATATCTTCAAGTTCAAAAGAAAGTTTTATCAATTTTAGACCTATTAGACAAAGAGATTAAGAGACTGTTTCATATAAAAACAAATAAATCAATAATAAAAAATAATTTATCCAAGCACATTAAGGGAATACTATAGCTATTTTTATCACATTTTTCAGGTAAGGTAGAAATCAGTAATTTAAGTGCCTGATTGTGAGTGAAGATGGGTGGAATGAAATCCAAATGAGATTGGAGAAACATATTTTCCTGCAAATTCTTTCTCACTAATTCTTAACCGTATTTGCCTGGAAGTGCTATGTCACAAATCTTTAACCATTACCAATCATTACTTAAATTTGTACAGAAATCTAGTATAAAGTTAGATCAATCAGGCAAATAAATTCAGATTTCATTTCTGATTATATTTTTATCAAATTCGAATAGGCTTCAAACTCCATTAGCTAGATTTACAATTTCTAATCCAATTCCTGTAAGACCCTATAAAATGACCTATGAGTTACCGGTATTTCTAAGTATGCTAGAATATTATATTATCATTGCTTTCTATCCTGTATCTTAGAAAACACAAAGCTATTCATAGGCATAGACATTTTAACTACATCAGATTTAAGAAACACTAGACACATCACCATGCCTCTGAATATCTCCCCAACTGACAGAAAATCATCTTCTGAATTTCTCTATTAAAGATGCCTTTCTTGGGGCTCAGATGCACAGTCATCAAGAATGGCCTGATTACAATAACGATAGCTATTCATTCAGTGTCTAGGCTGTTATAGATATTGTGATTTCCCTGTATGTATCTAAAACATCCTTATAAAGTATTATCTCATTTTCTTCTAAGATAAAGGAAGTGAAATGAGGGTGGTCACCTAGATGGGATGCAGTGGAGCCAGCATTTAAACCCTATGCTCTTTCACTATGACATCTTGGGTCACTCTATTCAGCCATCATCAGCTTTCAGTAGTCCATTGTAGAATATTTTACTAGATTATTCTTCAAGATGTTTGAAAATAATGCCAGAAATATTTTTAATAGTAGAAAAAAAAACCCAAGTGATGCATCTGGGAAATGGGGCATTTCTCAAGGTGATAATAACTGAGCTTGGTTCTCTAAATAAAGTTATTAGCTAGAAAAAGACACACAACACAAGACTACAAGATTTGGAGAAAACAAATACAATAATAATAGCTAGCATTCACTGAAAACTTACCATGTGCATCCACTGTCCTAAATGCTACCCATATCTTAACTCATTTAAGCCTTTAAGATCAGAGAAATATACCAAATTTGGAGAAATCTCAGGGAAACAAGTAGACAAGAAAATAAGAACATTCCAAGCAAACTCTTCCTACTTCAGGGACACTCCTTTGCCTAGACAGATACCTTGAAAAGTGACCCTGTAACTATCTGGACACATCACACTCTTCTAACCAAGAACCTACAACCTTAAATAAAGTATATTACCTATATAAGAAGCAGAGACAAATCCAGGTTTGCTGGGCTTAACAGTTATGCAATTTGGGAGTCCCCTCACTAAGAAAAAGAGTACAAAATTGTGGATGCAAAAGTGCTTGTGAAAATCACTGTGTTCATAACTGATTGCTAGTATTTTATGTTTTTTTAATTTTACAAGAACATATGATCACATCAATGCACCTCAAGAGCTCTTGTTGAGACTTGGAAGGGGCCCGAGCAAGTGAGGAGTCTAAAGCTTGAGTTTCATTTACTTCACAGTATATCTGCTTCTGACAACAAGCAAGACTGAAGTTAATCCATTTAGCATGATGATGAAAATGAAGTCATCAATGAAGTTGCAAGCTTAGGATATCCTTCACATTAACCACCAGTAGCCCAACTATTTAACTAAAGGAACTTTGTAATATCTGGACTCAGAAACTGAGATAAATGCCATAACCAATCATCCAACCGGAGACTGAGGTACATGTAATCAGGTTCAAAAGTGACTCTAAAGGTACTTGCCTGGCAGCATGACAAAGTGGCATATTATTACACTCCTTAAACACTTTGTGAGAAGCAGCAATCACGTCTCCCTCCTAAATGTATCCAAACACATCAGAGCATTAGACAAACAACTCTAGACATTTACCACATTTCCATTCTTGTATATTGACCCAAGGGATAGGGAGGGACAAGGCTTGGTGAGGCAGAGAGCATCCTGTTACACATAACCCACCCAAAAGTACAGAATTCATTTCTTGAATTGCTATGACACCCTGGGCCCCTTTGTTTCTCAATAATAGATGGACTCATGTTTCCTTCCACCTTATAAAAATTCCCTTAGAAGGAATTTAAATGCAGTCTGTGAGCATTAAAACATTCTTTACTGGGACCACCCATTCATAATGCTACCCTAGAAAAGATAAAGAAAAATGAAATCTAGATATAAGAACCAAAGGGATCAGGTGAACAGGATCTTAATCACTTCCACAGAGAATAAGCTAGTGAAATGAACTAGCATGGTTTTCCCTTCAAAAGCAATCCTGAAATGAAAGAAAAATGTCTTATGTTGGGTGAAACATACATTTTTAGATGGTAGACACAAACTGAATTATTTGCACCCTTAGATTTTTTGAAGGCCAGAGAGATCAAACATTTCCCTGCTGTTTGTTTGATTTGGTCTGAGGTGAAGCCAAGAGATGTGGTGATGGAAGCTTGGAAAAACAATTAAAAAGAAATGTATGCAGTGGTTTTTCTGGGATCCTAATTAACTGGCCCATTTCTAGGTAACATTAGGGAAGTTGTGGGCTGTGATTATTATCTCTTTAAAGTCCTAATTAAAATGTCAAACTGTAAGGTAGAAAGTCTTCAAAGCTGCATGTAATTTGATTGTGTTGGCTTATTGGAAAAATGGCCTTGGAAATACAAATAAACCAGCCACTAAAAAGATCCCAGAAGTCCAGGCTTTTTTCCAGAAGTATAATCTGTTGAACCAATAGCATTTTATAACTAACCACTCACCAAGTGGTAGACATCCAAATGTCAAAGCCTGTTTCATAACATGGTAACACATAACATGCTGCAGAAGAATGCCTCTCCATTGCATATTTCGGTTTGAAAAGGGTGTTTGGGGTTAGTTCACCTACAAATGCTTATGTGCTTATCACCCAGACTTAAATGTTCTTACTTGGTGAGCTTCAGAAGTTGCCGGCACCCTACCCACTTTCCAAATTAGTCTGCTAGAGTTTTGTAGCTCTAAAAGAATCCCTGCATACTGTGGCAGACTTCTGTTATTCTGAAGTATCAAAATCTCAGCAGAATGAATTCCCTATCACATCTGTGCATGGGTATTAGAGAAGCTGCCCCTCACTTATAAAACTCAGGCAGATATGACACGTTGAGATGTTAGTAAGAAAAAAAAGCCAATCAAAAACTGGCTTAAACAACAAAGACACTGGTTGTCACATAGCAAGTACAGCAGTGAATACAATATCTCAACGACATCAAATGACCTACTTTCTTTCGATTTTTCCACATTGCCATTCTCAGACAGTCAGCTGCTCCTCTCATCATCACACTGTGGTTACATCAGTTCTACGCATCGTCTCCTTATAACCATTTTGAAAGGGAGGAAAACAGGAATGTTGCCTCCCATGCATGTCCTTTTATCCTTTCCTAGAAACCCTTCAGCACACTTGCCACCACACTTCATTCTCCATAGTTGTATCATATGCCCATGCCTAAACCAATCATGTTCTTTCAATGGCAATTACTGTGACTAGAGAGCTAATCAAGACTCATCTCCACTCCCACAGCTAAGGAGGGATTCAGTCTCCCCTGATGTACATGCATGTCATACTGATATTGAAAAACAAATTATAAGTGTATTTGCAAGAAAAAAATGGAAGAAACGCTGGGTAGGACACCAACATTGCCCACCCCAGTAAGTGGTACATCTACTGCATCACTGTCAGTAGGTTCCAGGCGTGGGCAGATTTGTATTGACATGTTGATCACAGTCTCTCTTCTATCTCCACTCATGGCAACATGTTTATAAAATACCTAGTCAAGGCCTTTGGCCATGAATAAAAGAAAAAATTATTTCCACCTTGAAATTCCTCTATTCATTCACTTGTTTATTCACAAATATAGATTGAGCAGGCCCTGTACTCGACATAACAAGAACAAGCAAGACATGATCCGTAATAGGAGTCAGCTTATAGTCCAGTGGAGAGAATACATAAAGGCAAATGAGCAGTGTCATATCCCCTTTGATGGGGAATGTACAGTACTCTAAAGTACTTTAATAGTAAAGTATCATAAATGCTTTGATAGCAAAAGTCCTGGGGAATATAGATGCACATAGATGTACTTTATCCAGTTTCCTAGATGAAGAGATCACTGAGGTAAGAAACGAAGATACAAAGGTGAGTTGTAAGTAGAAAGACTTAAAAGGAGACTAAAGGAACCCTCCAACCTTGGTGCTTCTCTAATTAACTTCGACTAATTTAGCTAACTTCTCAAGAATACCTATACTGCTAAAACAGCGATTCTTAAATTGGAGTACATGAATGTAATTCAGAAGATGAGTAAACTTAAAGAATAAAAAAAATACATCCTTGTTTTATTAACGCAACTGAAATTTAAGATTTTTTTTTCAATAATAAAAATATTGGCAAATAATCAATCTGTACTACAGGGTCCCAGACTTAGGATTTTACTTATACCGGACTTGTGATTTTTCAACTTTACAATGGTGCAAAAGCAATTTGCATTCAGTAGAAACTATACTTCAGATTTTGAATTTTGGTTTTTTCCCCCAGGCTAGCAATACATAGTATGATACTCTGTCACGATTTTGAGCAGCGGTAGCGAGCCTCAGATTCCAGTTGGCCACATGACCATAAGGGTAACCAACTGATACTCTACCATGTACTATGTTCCCAGATGATTTTGCCCAACTGTAGGCTAAGGTAAATATTCACAGCATGTTTAAGGTAGGCTACACTAAGCTATGATGTTCTGTAGTCTGTCGCATTAAATGCATCTTAAACTTAAGATATTCAAATTATTATGGGTTTATTGGGATATAACTCCATCGTAAGTCAAGGAGCATTTGTATTATCATTACCCATGACTTTATCAACAATAGAAATCATAGATATTTCATATTAAATTATAGTTGGTGCAGACATGTCAAAAAATATTCAAATGTATTTCCCTTATAAGACTTACCACTAGATATTGTTCTTTAAACCATTAATGTAAATAACATGCTTTTTAAAACATTTGGTTACTGTATTCCAATATAATTGGTTTCATATTTTATTTTCTATTTCTATATATTTTATTTAATTTTATTTTATGCATCTAAAGCAATAGTCAGAGAAGGGGTTGATAGATCTCAGCAGACTGATAGGGATGCATTTTTCCCTCAGATCAGACATGAGGGATTTGGAAAAGGTATAAATTTACTTTTGTTATAATTAACCTGCCCAATTAAATTTTGTGTTTGATTTTTAGCACTGTTAGCTGACGTGGTTTGGCAGTGTCCCCACCCAAATCTCATCTTGAATTGTAGCTCCCATAATTCCCATATGTTGTGTGAGGGGCCTGGTGGGAGGTAATTGAATCCTGGGAGCAGGTCTTCCCCATGGTGTTCTCTTGATAGTGAATAAGTCTCATGAGTTCTGATGGTTTTTTAAAGGGGAGTTCCCCCACATAAGCTCTCTTGCCTGCCACCATGTAAGATGTGCCTTTGCTTCTCCTTTGCCTTCTGCCATGATTGTGAGGCCTCCTCATCCATGTGGAACTGTGAGTTCATTAAACCTCTTCCTTTTATAAATTATTCAGTCTTGGGTCTGTCTTTATTAGCAGCATGAAAATGAACTAATACCTTATCCCTGTGGAAATAAAATATTCTTTTAGGGAAGCAGTAGAAGCTCTCTGAGTCTATGAGTTTGTCATTTTCTTTTTATAAGAGATTCAGTGCTATCAGAAAACCCATTCCACACCAAAGTTCTTATAATCATTGTTACTGCCATAATGGTCAAGTTCAGCAGCTTCTTAGGCAGTTGTCTCAGCAGGCACTTCATCACAATCACTAATAGTGGTAATTTGATTGAATGAATTGCTACTACATGCCATAGATTACTAGTATATAATTTCAGCATTGTGTTCAAACCCAAGAACATGAAGAAACCAATTTTGAAATCCCATTTTGGAGTGTCTGTTACCTGAGATCACTTGTGGAATCAATTTCTGTATCAGTCAGGGTCCAAGCAGGAGACAGAAACTATATCAGTTATTTGAACTGAAGGAATTTAATATTTAACAAATTAGTTCAGTATAAACTTGTTAACTAACACGGCAAGAATAGAACACTGAGTTATTGTTCAGTAAACTTTGAAACAAAGTACTGTTAGCAAATATTTTACTATATTATTGATAGTAAATATTTTCAGCTTTGCAGTCATGTGATGTCAAGTACTGAAAAAGGTCTGCAAAAATATCTCAAGCACTGATCTTAAGTTTTACAACAGTGATGTTATCCCTAGAAGCAATCTGGGGAGGTTCAGAATCTTGCAGCCTCTGGCTACATGACTCCTAAACTGTAATAATCTTGTGGCAAATTTGTTAGTCCTATAAAGACAATATAGTCCCCAGGCAGGAAATGGGTTTGTTTTGGGAAAGGGCTATTATCTTTACTTCAAAGGTAAACTATAAACGAAGTTCCTCCCAAAATAAGTTTGGTCCACCATCAATGAACAAGGACAGCATGGAAGTTAGAAGCAAGACGGAGTCAGTTAGGTCAGGTATCTTTCACTGTAATACTTGACTCAGTTATAATTTTTGCAAAGGCAGTTTCAGGATAACCCAACTCTGCAAGGGTTGAAAAAACGAAAACAACAAATGACTTCAGCTGTTGTTATGGGAAGGTATTGCTGCTGCAAATGTGAAGTATTGCACAGTGGGAAGACCATGAAAAACAAACAGGAAGAAGAAAATTCCTTCTCCCTTTTCCAGCCTTGCCATCTTCCTGTAGTGTCCCCTTTTGGTAGAACCTAGCAGGGGCTAGCTGGCCATGCTGAAATGTAGTTTACAAAGTCCTAGCCCCAGCATCACAACATGGAGTTTAGAGAGGTTGGCTTGGAGCTGAGAAACAACAGCTTTATAGCTGGCAAACAAGTGGTTCAGGCACTTCACTAAGCTACCAAAGGATACTTAGTGAATAAAAACAAGTCAAGAATGAACTTGCTCAACTTTTTCATGAACTCTGATTACTGAATAACCCCATTAAATAGTCTTCATGAACTGTTCACTTCAGTATAGTTCATTTTTGACAGACCTATGTCCTAAAAGAGAATTGCAAGTATAGTCTCCTTTCTTACCAGTTTAAAAGAAAGTAACTATAACTACTCAGTAAAAGCAATGGTCCCGTTTGGGCCACTTTTGAAAGAGAAAAGGCCAGCAAGTCTGAGGCAGGTTCTCCTAGTATTATTATTATCACTTCTGGGCATACACAGATGGTTCCATAATCTCTTCAAAGTCTCCCGGGAAATTAAAAGGAATACTAAATTAATTTAGCATTTTAAATAAAATAGTAATGTTTTTTAATGAAGTGCTTCATTGCTTTGGGTGGCAGAAATGGACTTGAGATGGAAGAGATGATAATTAGTAAGCTCTTTTATTTATGGAACCTGGCCCCTCGTCAGAAGGACCACACATTCTTTGCCCTTGGATGATCTCCACTATTAATAATTACAGGGATTCTGAGAAATAAAAGAAAATACAGCACACTCCAGGTTAACATGCCATAGTTGGAGGGCTCATCAAATATTCCAAGTTCCAGTTTCCCTAGGATGTTTGCACCAAACAACACAGTGGGCCACATAATATCCGGAATTTTTCTTTCCTGTTCCTGGCATTCTTAGCCTTTGAAAAGCAAAGACACAAAAACCTTTGTGAAACTATATTACCTTGTTTAGAAACTGTCTGACTAGTGCCATTCAATTCCTGATCATTTCCCTATACATTGCATGGTTGTGACATTTTATCTTATTCAATATGGCTTCCTCTGTCAACAAGCATGTACTATGGGTTACTGCTTGGTGCCCAGTGGCTACCATTGTCAAAATGATTACAATATGGTTAGGAAAGCAGAATGGAAATATATGAAATACTGGATTTAACAGAATGTTATATGAGATCAATTCTTTCTCAGAATCCTACTTAATAGACTTATTCCTGGAATGAGAGACTAGACTATATCACTCCAAAAGCTGACTATGGGTGACCTAAATATGCTATTCCAAAACAGGGCTCTCAAAATATTTTGTGCTAATTATTTTGAGAAACTTATTTTGAGAAGCTCTGAAAACAGAGTAGAAGTTTCCCTTTTGAAAAGAAATGTATATCTATAAAGGAAATCTCCATGTGTAAGGGTGTCTCTCTCGCTGTACCAAGAAGAGAAGGATGACTTTAAATTATGAGAAACTAATGTCAACAGAGAAGGCACCAACAAAAATCTGTGTAACAAACCTTACCCTTGTTCACCAAGCTTTTCCTGATCATCTCCTCATTACAGCGTCCCCCAATATCCTCCTTTGTTTCAGTTGAAGATGGTATTTCAGCCCGAACTCAAAGCCACCTCTTTAAGATTGACTTATTTTCCCTGAGTATCACCCATGTATAAATGAGGTATACACTCTAACAACCTTCTATAGGCTTTTTCCTTGTTAATCTATCTTTTGTTACAGGATCTCATTCCAACTAAGAACTCAGAAGGGTAGAGAGAAAATTATATTTGTCTTCCCCACACTAACAAACAGAAAAAGAAAAATAAGCAGTCACAAGCTGAAGTATGTAGCCCAAGGTTTCCAGTTAAAAATAGAATGTATAATCTGTCACCGGAATAATTTTTTAATATTTTTTAAAATTGACTTTTTAAAAATAGAATTTAGACTGGGCCTTGAAGAATAAGTAGAATCTAATTCAAGGGAAGTGGGGCTAAGAAAACAGCTGAGCAAAAGCACAGAAGCAAAACTAAAAATTCCGACCTAGGTGGGGCAAGGTCTAAAGATTTGATAAAAGAACTGTTAAACTGGTCACGGTGGCTCATGCCTGTAATCCCAGCACTTAGGGAGGCCGAGACAGGTGAATCACAAGGTCAGGAGATCGAGACCATTCTGGACAACATGGAGAAACCCTGTCTCTACTAAAAATACAAAAATTAGCTGGGCATGGTGCTGCATGCTTTTAATCCCAGATATTTGGGAGGCTGAGGCAGGAGAATCACTTGAACACGGGAGGCAGTGGTTGCAGTGCCACTGCACTCCAGCCTGGGTGACAGAATGAGACTCTGTCTCAAAAATAAAAATAAAAATAAAAATAAAATAAATAAATAATAAAAACAAAAAAATAAAAAAAACTGTTAGCGGCAGAATATACCTGAGACATGGCACTAAAGTATGTTACCAGCAACGAATCTGTGTGGGTCTGTGGCAACCTCAATTCTTGCCTCCTCAGAAGAAACAATTCAACTGAGGGGCATAAGACAGAAGGAGAGACTGAGGCAAGTTTTTACAGAAGGAGTGAAAGTTTATCAAAAAGCTTTCGAGCAGGAATGCAAGGAAGTGAAGTACACTTGGAAGAGGGCCAAGCAGGTGACTTGAGAGAGTCAAGGGCACTGTTTGACCTTTTAACTTGGGGTTTTATATGTTGGCATACTTTTGGGGTCTGGCATCCCTTCTCCCCTGATTCTTCCCCTGGGGTGGGCTGTCTGCATGTGCAGTGGCCTGCCAGCACTTGGGAGGTAAGCATGTGCAGTGTGTTTACTGTAGTTGTACACAGGCTCACTTGAGGTATTCTTCCCTTACCTGTCGAATGTCCCTCCAAGTTCATATACCAGTTAAACTCCACCATGTTTCCTCTTAATGTGCGTGCTTGGGCCCACTCACCCACCTCCTGAGATCTTATCAGGAAGCTACTGATCACCAGTTTCAGGTGTTTCTATTGGGAGATGGCCCTTCCCTGGCACCAGCTGTTACCAATTATTATTTTAGAGAGACACATGACAACTGCCTGACCATCACCTGATGGTTGCCTTACATCCCTGGTGGGGTGTG
The DNA here is from genome assembly GCF_000001405.40 of Homo sapiens. Classification (NCBI taxonomy): domain Eukaryota; kingdom Metazoa; phylum Chordata; class Mammalia; order Primates; family Hominidae; genus Homo; species Homo sapiens. Next base: position 80,402,334 of record NC_000014.9, read on the forward strand.
GGGAGCCCTCTTCTGCCCTGTTCATGCCTCATTAGCTACCCACTGTAACAGAACTGTATGAAATAATGTTCATAACAATTCATGAAAGAGTTTGAAGAATTATTTATGTAGGGGCAAAAGGAATTCTTCATCCCGCTCTGAAGGTTCCAGGCTGCTGAAATGAATCAACTGGCAGATTTACAGGAGAAAAGGCATACACATTTATTAATATGTGTAAGCACAGAAGCCACACAAAATGAGACTCAAAGAAGGGACAGATCGTTGAGTCTTAAAGACTCAAAGAAGGGACAGATCGTTGAGTCTTCATAGTGGAGAGGGAAATGGGGGATGTAGACAATTGTGAGGAGTATTTAATGATTTTCAGGGGAAATGAATGGGCTCCAAAAGAAGACAATAGTTTGTAAATGATTCCCTTAGGAACCTTAATGGAACCTACAAATTACAGAATGAGGAGGGACAGAACTGCATTGTTGTTGCAGGACAAAGGTTGTCCTACCATACCGATAAAGTCTCTTGGTTAATCTCTTAGAACTGCCTTCAGAAGAATAGATGAAAAGTCTGTCTGGGCATGGTGATGACTAGTTAATCTTTCCTGGATTTTTAATGAGATTCTTAAGGAGGGTATTTAAGACAATTGCATTTCTTTTGGATAAAATTTCCCCCATCAGATAAGGAAATTCCAGGGAGAGAGCCCCTCCCTGCATTAGGCAGGGAGAGGAACAAGAGGTTAGAAGTCCATGGTTCTGAGGCAGCTTCTAAGGTCTTTCAATTTCTTTTAATTCAAAGTGTTCTGCAGGCCAAAGCACCATACTTTTGGATATCATTTGCTGAATCCCAATGTTGGTAAAGCATGAACTTGAAGTGGAACTTCAAAGAGGCAGAGTCAGCCAAGCCGAAAGTGAGGTTTGCCAAGATTGATCATTGATGTGAAAAGATTAATCATAAGTGGTAAGAGGGCAGGCCCTGTAAGGGTTACCACATAGGGGTCTAGTGTAGTGGCCCAAGCATGGGTAGATAATAATCCTACTAGATTAGCAGCCACAGAAATAAAGAGGGAGACTTTGTGAATTGAACAATTGAGGGCACAATGGAAATGACACACCTGTAGTTGATTACTTTAATAACATGTTTCTCAGCATCCTGGATCCCCTTGAGAGACAGGACTAGCTGGATTTCCTAGGCTGACTAAGAATTCCTAAGCCTAGCTGGGGAAGGTGACTGCACCCACCTTTAAACACGGGGCTTGTAACTCAGCTCACACCTGACCAATCAGGTAGTAAAGAGAGCTCACTAAAATACCAATTAGGCCAAAAGCAGGAAGTAAAGAGTCAAACATCTATCACCTGAGAGCACAGAGGGAGGGACAATGATCAGGATATATAAACCCAGGCATTGGAGCCAGCAGTGGCAACCCCCTTTGAGTCCCCTTCCGTTGTATGGGAGCTCTGTTTTCACTCTATTAAATCTCGCAACTGCACGCTCTTCTGGTCCGTGTTTGTTCCGGCTCCAGCTGAGCTTTCGCTCGCCGTCCACCACTGCTGATCACTGCTGTCGCAGACCCTCCACTGACTTCCATCCCTCTGGATCCAGCAGGGTGTCCACTGTGCTTCTGATCCAGCGAGGCGCCCACTGCCGCTCCCAATTGGGCTAGAAGCTCGCTATTGTTTCTGCACGGCTAAGTGCCCGGGTTCTGTCCTAATCAAGCTGAACACTAGTCGCAGGGTTCCACGGTTCTCTTCCATGACCCACAGCTTCTAATAGAGCTATAACACTCACTGCATGGCCCACAGTTCCATTCCTTGGAATCTGTGAGGCCAAGAACCCCAGGTCAGAGGACAAAAGGCTTGCCACCATCTTGGGAGCTCCAAGAACAAAGACCCGCCAGTAATACCCTTCTAGTTCATCCAGCTTTGGCATGTCCCTTCCCAGCCTTATATGTGGATGGTGTCAGGATCCAAACAAAGATAGCACCATGCCCCTAGAAGAGGAGGATGAACTCTTTTGAGTGTTCCACTGATCCTGCTGATCCATAGGTTTTAGCATTTTTTTCATTATATTCCTATACTGTAAGAATTTTTAATTTTCTGTATATTATGATGTTTTGACATCTTAAAAAAATATATTGGGTGGAGAAGAGGCTGCTTTTTTTCTGGGCCAGCCAACTCAGGAATATAACAAAGGACCCAGCTGGGAGAGTGTCTTTGATATACAAACTAAGCAGTTCAGAGCCACATCTTCTCTATCTGGCCCATACCCTCTAGGAGACAACATTCCTCTGTCTTAATCATGCTAGAGCCAGGTGCTAGGTAACTAGGGACCCCTCCTGTGGTTTAGAGCTCACTGAAATTATTCAAAGGAGCCAATCCTAAACTGTTGGCTCTGCCCTGGCCCTCCCTTTCCCCTGGAAACCTAAGACTGTGGCCTAAGGACTCCCATTGCGCCTGTTTTCTGCCTCCTAACCACCCTGGTGTTTTTCCCACGTGGCTTTATGTGGCATATCATACTAATTGTCTCTAGGACCTGTGAGCATAATAAAAAATAATTCCCCCTGAGCTTGTCCTCTATCTCCCTGTGGCTGCGCCTAACTTACCATATCACAAAATAATACAAAACCATTCCCCCACCCAGTATATATACAGACCTAGCATCTCCTAAAATCTTCCTCTCTTTCTCCTGAACTGAGGAAATGAATATAACTCCTGCTTTATAATTTGATGGGGGAAAAGGGGGCATCTGAAATCATGTCTGCCCACTTCATGCTTTCGTCTCAAGCCCCCATCTCATTCAGAATCTTTGGCTCCTTGCACAACAGAACATATTCTTACTTTATCTGACTCCTCTAGTCCCTGTGCCTCTAGCTCCTCAAAAACATCTCCACAGATTGTATAGATATTCAATGTTTTGGATTTGTCTTGGTCTTAAGCAGTTTGGATATATAAGGCTGCATAATAGATATTTATACTATATCACTATAACCTTGTTTTATTATATTTTTATCTCACTACTTGAAATCTAAAATCTCCAAGGACAAGGACTCCAAGCACTGCATCCAACACAATATTACCATTTTGCATCTCAATAAAAATTAACAAATGAGCTAATCTTTTGCATGTTTATATTCCTTGCTAAGGAGCTGGAGATACACGTGTAGATGTCTTGATAAGAAACTCTGAAATCTCTGAACTTTAAAAGGCATGGACTTTGCTAACAGTTGAGTGAAATTTCATAAAAGAGGTTTTCTCGTTAACATATGCTATGAGATAAATTGTACATACACATAAAGTCCCTGGCTTTGAAATAGCACATCTAGAAACAGCGCTAACAGATCTCCTTGAAACACAACTTTGAAGTCAAACAGCGTCCAGTATGAGAAAGATTTCACTCTTTTTTTTAAACAAAATGTCATTTGTTCTTTAGCACAGTAATATCCGAATAGCAATGTATAAGATAGTAAACTCTCATAGGACAAACGCTCAGATTCTTCACATTTAATAGCCATTATCTTTTCCTGTTTGTTTAACCTGGCACAGATCTCCGTGAATTTTCTTTTGGGTCCTTTCATATTATTTCACATGTCTCCTCCCCTGTCATTCTTTAACTCATCTTGTTCCTGATGTCTGCTGCCTCTGCAAACTGCCTACTAAACATACCCAATTTCTCAATTTGTGTGTATTTAGCTGCAAAATTTTATTGTTACTACCTGTGATGATTGTTTAGACAAGCTGAAGATATTAACTCAGTCTGGCTATTAATGTAAAAGCAGCTAAAATTTGTACTAACTTTATTCACCAAACACCCATACTTCTCTGTCTCTAATAAAAAGAAGAAAAAGAAAGACTTGAAATACCTTTGATAATCAGACACTTATAGAAATAATAACTATAAAATAAAATTGGATAAAGTATATCAAAAATGTTTAATTTTATCAAAAGGTATATGTGTGCATGTGTCATTTTATATCACACAAACACAAAAAAAGAACAGTTGGAATATCTTAGATATAATGAGGGATGTTTAAGAATAAATAATTTGTTGACAAAAAAAAAAAAATTCCTGTCCTTTAAATATTTTCCCTAAGCACCTTCTGGTGAATGGCCCTGTGTAGGTCCTATGGAAGATACCCAAAAGCAAAATTCAGGTTCTACCCTAAAGAAGCTGACAATTCAGTTAGAGAAACAAAATAAGCAGAATAAAAATTAAATGAATATGAAAATCTATCACATGGTGCGTACCTTTTGACTCAGATATGCTACTTCTCAGATATGAACCTAAGTAAAAAGCTATGGATATAACTACATGGGATTATAGAATAATTTTTGGAATTACTAAACTTAGAAAAACAATGAAAGAATTAATTTTAAAGGGTGGTCACGTACAATAGACTGGCATGTGGCCATTAAAGTGATGTAGAAAATACTGTTTAATAGCATGGAGAAATGTTTGTGGTATAATGGGGGAAAATCAGGCTAAAAATTAGTAAGCTTGATATGATCCTTTTGGTGTCAAAAAATAGATACAAAAGGTCGCATATTAAACTCACAGCATCGCATTTAATAGTGAATATCAGAAACAAAACAGAGATGTCTGCTTTTGTCATTTCTATTCAACATTGTATTAGCAATTCTAGCCAGGGAAAATAGGCAACAAAATTAAATAAAAGGCATCCACATTGAAAAGGAAGGAGGAAAGCTATCTCTATTTTTAGATGACGTGATCTTGTATATAGAAAATCCTCTAGGAATCTACTAAAAACTATTAAAACTAGTCAATTAGTTCAGCAAGTTTCCAAGATACCACGAATATTATTTGTATTTCTATATAGTAGTAATGAATAAGTCAAAAATAAAACCAAGAAAATAATTTGACTTAAAATTGCATCAAAAAGAATAAAATACAAATAACCTTATCAAAGGAAGTGTAAAACTCATGTACTGAAAACCCCAAAACATTATTGAAACAAGTTAAAGGCATAACTCAATAGAAAAACATTTCATGTTCATGGCTCAGAACATTTAATAGTGTTACAATGGCAATAATCCCAAAATCGATCTACAGATTCAATGCAATTCCAATAAAAATACCAGCTGACTTCTTTGCAGAAATTGAAAGCTAATTCTAAAACACATATGGAAAGGCAAGGGTTGCAGAATAGTCAAAACTCTCAAACAAAATTGGAGGATTCACACTTCCCAATTTCAAAACTTACAAAGCTACGGTAATTAAGACAGTGTGTTACCAGCGTAGGTGGAATAGAATTTAAAATCCTGAAATAAGTCCTTATATTTATGGCCAATTGATTTTCCAAAAACATGCCAGGGGTTGGAATCCTCCCTCACACCATACACAAAAATTAATTAAAAATGGATCCAAGGAAGACTTAAATGTAAAAGCCTAAACGATAAAGCTCTTAGAGGAAATCATAGATGTAAATCTTCATGACCTTGGATTAGACAATAATTCCATAGATAGATATGATACCAAAAGCACAAGCAACAATAACAAAATAAATAAATTAGATATCTACTCTTTGATTTTTTGTTTGTTTGTTTTCTGTTGTTCTCTCTGTTTCATCTGCCTTATCTTCCTATATATTTTTTAACAGGTTTTAGAATTCCATTTTTTGGATTCAGTTGCGCTGAGTTGAAAGAATAGGGAAAAATACAGCTACTGCATCTTCCCAGAAGCAGAAGTTCTATATATAAGTTTTATTGGGACATCTTTAAAAAGTACCTGAGGTTTTAAAAAATTTTCTGAGGCTCTACTGTAAGCCAGAAATTCTTCCTCACCTTTGGCTGCTACTGCACATTTTTGTGCCTATTTTTGGGTAGAAGGTCTCTTCTCACTTAGAATTATCTGATAGGGGTCTTCATATTCCACCATGTGTCTTAGAGCTGTGGTTTTCTGCCACACCAGAAAAATGCTGTACTCCAATAGGTAATAGAAGCTGTTACCACAGTGATTCTCAAAGTGTGTGTGTGGGGTGGGGAGTAGAAAGTGTGTCTGCAGCACACACTGCAAATCGTGCTTTTTATTTTATTTTATTTTATTTTATTTTATTTTATTTTATGTTATTTTATTTTATTTTTTTGAGACAGCATCTTGCTGTTACCTAGGCTGGAGTACAGTGGCACAATTAAGGCTCACTGTAGCCTCGATCTCCTGGGCTCAAGCAATCCTCCCAGCTCAGCCTCTCCAGTAACTGGGACTACAGGTATAAACCACCATGCCCAGCTTATTTTTGTATTTTTTGCGGAGACTGGATTTTGCCATATTGCTCAGGATGGTCTTAAACTCCTGGACTCAAACAATCCACCTGCCTCAGCCTCCCAAAGTGCTGGGATTACAGGTGTGAGCCACTGCGCACACCCAATAGTGCTTTTTAAAATGAGCCTCTGTATAGTTGGACAAAGCCTTTTGTCTGATCATAATCGTGTCCTAGGATGTTGGCATAGCCCCTGATTAAGATACACTATAAGTTTTTGTCTTGTGGAAGAACCTGGTGGCCCATGTCTATTATCATGAAGTCATGCCCATCCACTTCCTTTGGCCATTGCCTTGAGTCGGGTTATATTGAAGAACCTAAAGCAAAAGTTTGAATTTGGTGTGGAGAGGAAGGAGGGCTGGTGATGGCTTCATGATGGGCAAGTTGAGTCTAGACTTGGTTCAAAGGCATCTAACCTTGGTTAAGATTCCCAGGCCCTGAGAGTTGCGTGGGAAAGTGCAACAGCACCTGTGGACTTTTAAGGATCATGGCCTTCTTAGCAGAAACCAGAATGAAGCCCACATCCCAGAAAAGCCTACTTTGCTAAAGATTCCTTGTATGACATTTGTAATAGGGAAGGAGTCCCAATAATAACTGAGAGGGAATTTGCCACCGTATCTGTGGTATTGGAACTTGGAATCAAATTTAATTTTATTTAATGAAAATAAAGCAAAATGTGTCATGCCCACTTAGCTTTGTAAAATACAATTGAAACCCCTTATAATAGTTTTAAAAACTTTGTTTAACCTAATTCTAGCAAGAGAACAGGAACTCTTGATTCCAGAACAATTATACTAATCCTTTCCCTTTTTTTGTTCTCATTTTTTCGTTTAATTCTAGATCACTATAGTCTTCCATGATAACGATATGCTTATCATTTTAAAAAAACATCTAGCATAAGTCAGCTTTTCTTACAGAGGTAGTATTACACACTGGAACTACATTTAGCCTGGGCCCCAGTGTTCAAAGAAAGTTTATCAAAAGAAACATGAAATTCAAGTGTGATGTTTCCTTCACCTTGCACTGGAATGTCATCGTGACTTTAAAGGTAAAACTTTCTCCTTTTATACACTCTATTCCTTCTGTGGTTTAGGAAATACAGACAGGGTGAATCTACCTTTATAGTTTCACAAAAACAGTGAACATTATTTGTTCTACCTAAGATTTCTGGCATACCATGTATTTTCCTAAGGCAGCATTTTCTATTGCTTTTTGCAGTGTCCTCCTGAGACCTCCTTCCTCCTTTTCCTCTTAAACTGCTTTTTAAGCTATTCTTTCTTGCATTTCCTCCAATTATTTTCTGTTTTTAATTTAGAAAACTGTTGGATGCCCAGTAGATACCATAGCTATAAATGTACTCTTGACTTTCAGATCTTTATCTCCAGGCTAAGTCTATCTCTTTAATGTCAAACCTGTATAACTTCTACTACATATGGGAATCTTCCCTAGGATGTATATGTCAGAATTTACTGAGTTCTAAAATGGTCATTTTCCAAGTGAGCCAGCAGCTTAAGCATCACCTGGGGATTTGTTAGAAATTCAAATTCTGGAGCCCCACCCCACACCTAGAGAGTCAGAAACTCTAGGGGTGGTGGCCATCAATCTGTCTATTAAGATCTCCAAGTGACTCTGAGGCACACTAAAGCTTGGGAGAAACTGTTCTAAAGCAATGGTTCTCAAAACTTTGCTGCACATGAGAATCACTTAGGGGGTGTGTACATCTGTGCATGTGTGTGTGTTATGAGTGAAATGTCGGTATCCCCCAAAATAAATATGTTGAAGCATTAATCCCCAATGCAATGGTATTTGGAGGTGGCCTCTGAAAGGTTATTAGGTTTAGATGAGGTCTCAAGGTTAGAGACCTCATAATGGGATTAGTGTCATCAGAAGAGAGAGACCAGAGCTCGCTCTCTCTCTCTCTCTCTCTCTCTCTCTCTCTCTCTCTCTCCCTCTCTGCTTGTCATATGAGGACACAGAAAGAAGGGAGCTGTCTACAAGCCAGGAAGGGGCCCCTCACCAGGAACTGAATCTTCTGGCACCTTGATCTTGGACTTCCCAGCCTCCAGAATTGTGAAAAATAATGTATGTTGTTTAAGCCACCTAGTGTATGGCATTTTGTTACAGCAGTCTGAGCAGACTAACACAGTGTGTGTGTACATATATACAGAGACACATACATTTATCTACATATAAATACATATATAGCAATCCTTGGTCTATCCTCAGAGATCCCGATTTAATTTCCACTGCACAAACACTGGCTTTTCTTGGTACTTGGAATGCTTGAGTCCACGTCTCAGAACTCCTAGGTTTTCTTATTGGAAAGAGCAGGTCTGTGTTCTGAAACTCACAGATTTTACTGTCCCCCAGAGCAGTATATTACTGTTCATCTCTGCCCCTTATCCTTCACTTTTTTATTTTGAAGGAAGGATGGCTGGAATAAAAAGAATATGGACTTTGAAACCAGACGCCCACATCCTGCTTATATCCCTTGCAAGCTGTACCACTTGCTGGCTTTGTGAGCTTGAACAAGTCACCCAGCCTTCCTTAGCCTCAGTGGCTCATCCAATAAAAGAAAAGAAAAAGACAAAAGAAGAGATAATATCTACACTCTGGATAAGACTAGAATTAATTTTAATTAAATTAGAATGAGATATAAAATCCTAGCATGGCACATATAGTTAAGCACATGCCAGTTATCTTTTAAAATAAATAGGCATTTCTCTTAAAGATTATATTGTAGACTTAAAGGTTTCCCCAAACTTTATAATAATAACAAAATAAAACAAGGTAGCTTTTGTCATTTCTGACGCGCATATTGAAGCAATAGAACACAGGACATTTTTTGTTTTAGAGAGTATACTCTTCTCGGTGACACAACGCACAGAATTATCTTCATATTCACTAACACATGATGTTAATCTTGACATCCCAATTACAAAACACCAAGTGAAACAAAACCTAAGGTGATATTTTTAATAAAGAGTTTTAATAAAGAGTCTGAGACATGTTTCAAAAACAAAGCAAAAAACCATGCTTTAAGATAGTCTTGCTCCCTTGGTGAATGGTCCCAAGAAATTATACCTTATGTTTATATTTCCCCTAAGCTAAGGACAATTTTGAGTCGTATTCACTTTCATTTTGCCTTCTCACTTTGCCTCCTCAGAAAGGGACCAGAGGCGTGAGGCTACACTTTTAGTAAAAGTATAAGTTACTCTCACTTTTATGAAAGGCAATTGAGCTTTCTTTTGTAAATTTTTAACAATCAGCTTCTTTGAAGTATAATTTACATACCATAAGATTCATACTATAAGATTCACCAGTTTTAAGTGAGCAATTTGATGAGTTTGGATAAATGTCCACAGTTGTATAAATACCATACAATCTGGCCAGGCATGGTGGCTCATGCCTATAATCCCAGCATTTTGGGAGGCTAAGGCAGAAGGAGCATTTGAGGCCAGGAGTTTGAGACCAGCCTGGACAACATAGATAGACCCCATCCTTATGAAAAATTGTAAAATTAGCTGGATGTAGTGGTGCATGCCTGTAGTCCCAGCTGCCTAGGAGGCTGAGGCAGGAGGATCACGGGATCCCAGAAGTTCAAGGTTACAGTGAGCTGTGATTGTGCCACTGTACTCTAGCCTAGGCAAGAGTAAGATCTTGTCTCAAAAAAAAAAAAAAATCACACAATCATGATACAGAATATTTCCACTACATAAAAAAGTTTTCTTTCTCCTTCCCAGTTAAACCTCTCCCCCAAACTCCAGACCTCAAAACCCTAGATCTGTTTTCTATCACTACATCGTTGCCTTTTCTAGAATTTCATATAAATAGAATCATACAGTCTTCTTTGTCTGGCTTTTACTAGCATAATGCTTTTGAGGACATTTGGTTTGTCTTCAGGTTTTGGCTATCAAGGGTGAAGTTTCTATGAATATTCCTGTACGATTTATTCTGTAGACATACGATTCTATTTATTTGGACATATAGGACTGGGATTGCTAGATCATATGGTGGGTACATGTTTAACTTTATAAGAAACTGCCAAACTGCTAGCCAAAATTGCTGTGCCATTTTGATTCTCACCAGGAATATATGAGAATTTCAGTTATTCCATATCCTCACCAACACTTGGTGTTATCAGTATCTTTTATTTGAGTCATTATACTGTACGTGTATAGTATCTAGTTGTGGTTTTATTTTACCTTTCTCTGATGACCAATAATTCATTCACAAGATATGATATCTCTCCCTTTACTTACATATTCTTTAATATTTTTCAGTTTAAAGCATATAAGACTGGTGTATTTTATAAATTCATCCCAAAGTATTTATTATTTTTATACTATTATAAATCATACTATTTGTATGTCTAAATTTCCAATTGCTTATTACTCATAGATTGAAATGTAATTTATTTTTGTGTATAGACCAGATATCTATCCTGCAACTTTGCTAAATTCATATTAGTCACTAATATTATCGGATTTTTCCTTAAGGTTTTCTACATAAACAACCATGTAATCTGAAAATAAAGGCAACTTTACTTCTTTCTTCTCACAGCCACACCTAAAACTCATGTGAACACTTACATAATAACTTCATTTAGCAACTTTTGAAGTTATATCACATTTTAGACAATGTTTTATCAGATTTTTTTCCCTCAAAAGGAACTAAATATACAATAGAAAGTGGTATTTTTGACATTATACACTCACAAATTTCTTTGACATGACAATTTCTAGTCAAGGAATGGAAATAAATTTATGTCCCTAATTTGTATGAACTCCAAATGTTTTGCTTGGATACATCCACATACATACAAATGTTTTGCTTTTGCATATGCACACAAATGAGAGGGATGGAAAGGGAACATCTTCTACTACTCTTGTCTATATATATTGGGCATGTGCTATTTTCACTTGTTTTTCAGTATTTAATCTTTATTTTGCCCTAACAATAGTTTTCTATGCTATAACTTTTCAAAATGTAGTTTGATTGCAAAATAAGCATGAGCACCAAAGTATTGCAAATTGTTTGCTTCCTACCTGTTCCTGTTCCTGTTCCTATGAGCATTATTCCCCTAGCAATGCGTTTATCTTGGTAACAGTAGTTACTTCCTGTAACAGAAGTTGCATCCAGTTTTCAGTTTTTCCAATACTTGTAGAGCTAACCTCATCCCCCATCACCACCAGCTAAGCAGAGCCCCCTCATTAGAATTCTTAGTTTCAATACTACGGGTCCCTCCTTCCAGCTTCTAGGTTTTACAATTTCCAACTTCCATGCTTTTTTCCCCCAGTCCTAACAATGGTGGCTGCTTCCTGCAGCTGCTACCTCCACGCACCTTCATGTTCTCTTTTTTTTCTTTTTCTTTTACACAAGTAATACATTTAGACATAGTTAATAATTCCATAAGTTAAATCATTTCTCTTAAAAAAAAACTGATGTGCTTTTTTTTGATGGACTCTGACTGATAAATATTTTCATATTAGGAGGTAGATGACCATCGTACACAGTAATTGAAGGTTAATTTGGTCATTTCTTCGGGTTACCTGAATGTTGAGCTACTTGTCAATGAGAAATGGATTAATCATGCACTGGCTTATGATTAATCAAGTATTATTTGGAGTTGATTGTGGTGAAATGCCAACTGACGCAGGTCCTGAGGAGATCAAGCAGCTGCTGCTCTTCAGCACTATGGGAATAAAGATGACAACAAAGACTGCAGTGTGGAGAGGATTCTCTAAGTACACTGGAACACTCACAGAGTGAAAATGAGGAACACTGCGAATGGATTCTAAGGGTGTTAGACCAAGCAGGCTGCAAAATAATTCAGAAAAGGGTCAAATATATTGATGAAGCACTTATGAGTGTTTTCATATTCAATGTGTTAGCTGGAAATGGTTCCAACAGTTTACTTTGGTTGAGTGACACTTGGACTCTTTGACAATCTACATTTAATGAGATTAAGATGCTGTAACATCCCTAGTAAAATGTGGAAGAGCAGATCTAAAGGCTTAAGAAGGTAAGAATGATGGAGTCGATTTATCATTTGTGGCCTTCATTCCCTCCTCCCAACACTCTTCACCCAGTTACATTCACTGAAGAGCTCAAAGGACACTCCCTTTATATTGGTGAGGACAAAACCAAAATCTTGAAAAAGCTCTCTGTTTGCTGTCCTGCGTAAGCTAGTTATGAAAGTGGGAGATGCTGTCATTAAGATGGACTTCCTGATTTCAGTTGGATCCTGCAGTTGCAGATTTTCAGAGGCCAAGTGACATATCAGAACTTAACTGACAAAGACAGTGTGGACATATCACCAGCTTATTCCTTCTGTCCATCATGGTAGAAGGAAAGAACTGGTAATATGTTCACATTGTCTTTGTGACCATAACAGGCAGAAGGAATAAACTGGTAACCGGTATATTTTACCGCCATATTATATCACCTGCAGATATCTTTAGGTGGTAAATTGATTACAGTGTATCTGGGAATGAAATACACAGACAGCTTACTAAAAATGTTACTTGATCTATAATAAGAAAAAGTTCAGGTCTGCTAGAAACCAAATGTTAGTTGACACGATGTATTGTCATAGCCTCTCACCTAGTTTTCATATATAAGCCTGGAACCCCTTGATTGAAGGCGAGAGGTTAGGTTCATTTGAGGATAGAGACTGATACATTGCTACATATATATGCTATAAACTTTCCTTCAAGCCTTTTTCAATAGGACCTGTAGCCATTTATTAGTTTGATTGTGCTATGGGAAAAAAGAAAAGCCTAGATCTTTTAGGAACTATTAGGCACTGGCTTAACTTCCAGGAACCCTAAGTACCAGTTGGTCCACCTGTCATATTAGAGGTTTAAGGCTGCCATGTCATTGGTGAGTTAAAAGTGGTGTGCTGCAGAAAGATGTAAGTTGGAGACATAAATTTGGATATATATCCTAATGGCTCTAAATACTATCTATATACTGATGGTACTTAGAGCCCTGGTACTCGATGACATCACCAAAAAGTGGTATAGATACAGAAAAGAAGTTCAAGCATTAAGCAAGGAGACATTTCAAATTTTAGGTATTGACAATATGAGAAGGAACTATAAAAAAGAGATTGAGAGGCAGTGGCCAGAAATACAGGAGGGATAACAGGTGAAGGTGATGTCCGGGAAGCCATGGAAAGAAACGTGTTTCTAAAGGGTGAATAAGCAGCTGTGTGTCACATGCTGCTGATCAGGCAAGTCCAAAAAGGGCTAAGAAATGACAACTGGATTTTAGCAAAGTGGTGACCAGGAGTAAAGGCATTTCAGAACAGTGACTAGTGTAGAAGCCTGATTAGAGTAGGTTCAAAGAAATGAGAGGATACATTCAAAACGGCAAGTACAGACAACTTTTTAAAAGAGTTAAGCCGTAGAGGAAAAAAGAAATAAGGCAACAGTTAGAAGAAGAAGTAGGGTTGAGAGAAGGTTGTTTGTTGTTATTGTTGTAATAAGGTAGACATAATCACCTTTCTTTATGCTAAGGAAAATGTTCCAAAAACAAGGGGGGAATATGATAATGCAGAGAGGAGCACTGTTTGACAATAGTTTTGAGTAGGAGAAAGGAATAAAATTTAATGCACAAATAAAAGGGTTAGACTTAGCTTGGAGCAGAGAGTTTATCCACAGAAATAGGAGAGATGATAGAAAATATTAGTACAGATTTAGGATACATAAAATTTTAAAAATCTACAAACAAAATTTTTTGTTCCACTGGACACAGTGGTACGTGTTTGTAATCCCAGCTACTGCAGAGACCAAGGCAGAAGGATCACTTGAGCCCAGGGATTTAAGATCAGCCTGGGCGACAGAGAGAGAACTCATCCCCTCCCATCCCCACCTCCAAAAGGTTTGGTTCCTTGAAAATACTTACTAATAAAACACTGGCAAAGTTTACCAACTGAAGAAAAATAATTATATAATAAGCAAAATTAGGAATAAAATAGGGGACATAATTTCTTTAAAAGGCTGCAGAGATTTCCAAGATAATAAAAGAATATCACAACCAACTTTCTGCCAATAAATTTTAAAATAAATTATAGAAAAATGTAACTTAGCAAAATTTTCTAATAAAGAAACAGAACATTAATAGTTCTATAACTGTTTTTTAAAAGTGAATCTGCATTTTAAAATCTCTCCTACTAAATACACTCATACTTAATGATGAAGTAATTAAACCATTTCCTTTCAGATTAGGAATGAGAGTAAGAAAATAAACTATCACATTTCTATTTATCATTGTACTGGTGAACCTAGCCAAAGCAGTAAGGCAAAAGAAAGAAACAAAAGTTATGAGAATCAGAAAGGAAGTACACATAAATACTTTCAATACCCTGAGAAGCTATTATTGCCTACATGGATAATCTAAACAGAATAAACAGAATACAAAATAATTAATAAGAGGTTACTGGATTTATAAATGAATATACAAAAGTCAATTTCAGTTTTACAATCAGCAGTTAAAAACATTAATTTTTTTAAAAAAATTACTCTAATAGTAACAAAATTATAAATACTTAGAAATGTACAAGACCTGTATGGAGAAAATTGTAACATACTTGAAAGACAGTAAAGACTTAAATAAATAAAGATATACTATATTCATGGTTCAGGAGACTCAATATCATAAAGATATCTTTTGTTTCCAAATTAATGTACAGTTTCAGTGCAACTTATCAAAATCTCAACGGGTTAGCACGTATATTTGAGTGCAGTGGGGGTGAATGTGCAGCCATGTATATATAATTGAAACCTGATAGCTATTTCAAACATCAGTGTAGAAGTGCAAGGTATAATACCCAAATAGTCTTAAAGAAAAGAATAATAATTGACAATAGATATTAAGGAAAAGATAATAAAAGTTACAACTTTAAAAAATCTTCTAAAGTATTCCACAAGATTTTTTAAAACAACTTTATTGAGGTATCATTGAAGTACAATAAATGATACATATTTGAAGTGTACAATTGGTTAAATTTTGACATAAGTTTATACTTGTGAAACCACTGCCTTCCAAAAATCTTTTTGTACCCCTTAGTAATGCTTCCTCACCCCATTTCCAGGCACTCGCTCGATCGCTTTGTGTCACTATAGATTTATTTTCATTTTTCTAGAATTTTAAATGAATGGAATTGTACATAATGTTGTGTTTCTGTCTGGCTTTTTTCACTGGAGATATATATATATATATATATATATATATATATATATATATATATATATATATATATATATATTTTTTTTTTAATGGAATCTTGCTCTGTTGCCCAGGCTGGAGTGCAATGGCATAATCAGAGGTCACTGCAGCCTTGAACTCCCGGGCTTAAGCCATCCCCCTGCCTCAGCTTCCTAAGTAGCTAGGACTACAGATGTGTACCACCACACCCAGCTAATTTTTAAATTTTTTGCAGACACAGGGTCTCACTATGTTGCCCAGGCTGGTCTTGAACTCCTGGCTTCAAGTGTGGATATAATTATTTTAAAACTATCCACATCATAGCAGGTATCAATAGTTCTTTCCTTTTTGTTGTTAAGTAATATTCCCACATCAGATTTAAAATGGCAACCTCCTGAAAATACGGGAAAGCAAAGACCAGGAGGATGACCCCCCATCTTGGAAATTCTCATACCAATGGACCTTCATGAATTTTCCTATGTTGGTCCTGATTTTGCTGCCCTACTTTGGAAAGTTGTGGTTTTAATGAACCATATTCTTCTCAAAGAACCTGTTGCTGAAAACCTTCTTTCCTTTTCACGGATTTTGATTATTTAGCTGAAAAGAGTACATTGTTACAAAACTGTAGCTATGAATGTATTTTCCCTATGGGACATTTAGGCTTTGCTTTATTCTATTTTTATAGATTGTACCCCTGTGCACCAGCTAGCTGATATGAGATGTTGAAGACAATTAAGAGGTTGTGGGTAGGTCAGCTCTTGGTCAAGCTACTACAAGAAAGGTAGTTCAAGGGCAAGTTGGCTGATTTTCAGGAAAACAACAAAAGTAGTAAAAATTTCTAATATATATAATTTAATGTGCTCAGAAGCAGTAATTATAGTAACTAAAATTCACTTGAATATTGTCTATGTACTTGGCATTGCTATGAGCTTTACATGTATTGTCTCATTTAATCTTTAAATCCCAGTGAGATTGATGGTATTAATTATTCTTATTTTACACAGAGAAAACTGAGGCATGGAGACAGTAAGGTCAGAGAATAAATGTCATAACAGAGCAAAGCCTAGAGACAAAATGACCAAGACATACATATCTTGGCGTGAATTCCAGCCCTGCCACTTAGTAGTGCCCGGTTTCTGTTCCAGTTAAGTAGGTCTCTGTAAAATAAATTTCATAAACTAACAGTACCAGCTCATATGGTTGTTGTATGGCTTAAGTGGTATAATAATGCTTGTAAAGTACTTAGCACAAAGTCAGTAATAAACAGTAGCTGTAATAATAATAATTATTATTATTACAATGCCCAAGCAGTAATGCCTTCAACTATTATTACCCCGAGCCAATTACTCAAAAGTAAATTGTTTTTAAACCTAATAATCAAAAATGAGCTTACATCATTTCTAAATATTGCACATTTTGAAAGCACGGGAATTACTATTAATTCAAATGCACACTGATTTTCTACCAAAAGTGTTGATTTATACTCTATCGCTAAGTGTGTTTCCTGACAACATATTAAGACAACTCCTAATTTTCTTTAAAACACATCCAAAGAGAAACACACCTAATATTTTAATCCAGTGACAAATGTGTTTGCCACATGGGTATTATCTGAGAGTTAGCAATTAAACTCCTTGGTCAACAATCCCTGCTTTACTTTGCTTCGTTCAGCCAACTCCCATTTCTTTTATTTTCCTCAGCACATAATGTGATAAATGTTCCCAATGCAACGTGCTTCACAGGGTAGCTGTGGGGTTGCCAAGGTACACACACAAAAAGTCTCACCAGGCAGAGATGAAAAGGAGTGTAATATAGCAAGGCTGCCTGTGACATTCTGGAATTCTTTATGGCTAGGGAAAGCTTGAGGGCTTGCTCTTGAATATGCAGTTAACCTCATTGTGATTTTTAGTGTGTGTCCCTCCCCATATATCTTATCACAACCAAAAATTATAGACTCTTATCTTAGAGAAGTTGGGGACCACCGACTTGCCACATGCCCTTGCATGCCACATGACAAAATTCACCTTGCCAATGCATCTCTCTCCATCCCCATGCCAGCTCAGGATTAGTGCAATGACCTTTCCTAATTAGATGGCACAAATTCCTATCTGGAGTCTTATTCCAAATTGTAGTTACCAGTCATATGACTGTAAGAAAATACTCCAGGCTGTTATCACCAGGCAGCTGGGGGAGAAAACCAAGGTAGCAATCCTGGCTCTACAAAGCCGTCCTTGGCTCTTTGTAGCGGAACAGAACTGGAAATACTGTCTGGCCTTGAGGGAAAATAAAGACAAGAGCTTGGCTGTTACAGTTGTAGTCATCGAGTCCTTCTGAAATACCTATATGGAAGATTATTTTACTGATTTTGTTCTCTTCTTGGAAACAAGCAAGAGTTGGAAGGGGCCTTAGTCTAGACTTACCACTAGTATGCATTAGGTTCATCATCCCAGTGATCTGCATTTTGGATCCATTGCATCATTTGCCTATCTCTCCTTCCGTAATACCCCCTCCTGCACACACAAACACCAAGACCCCAATACCATCTAGCAATACTGTGAGGACCCTTTTGTTTTCCATTCATCGTAAGAAGTGTGCTCAACTCTGTACTCCCCTTAAATCTCTAGTTTCCCCATTTGCCCGCCCCTCCCCTTGCACTGAATCATTTTCACTTAATGACCTTATCCTTCTACTCCACAGAGAAAATCGAAGACTTCCCAGTGGAAATCCTACAAAGTTTGTGCATTGACGTATATTGTATCCTTCCACGATGAGAAATAGATGGTCTTTATTTGAACGGATAATCCCTCCACCTGTACTATGGATCCTCTAAAAGTCCAGCTTTTTAAAGAACCTAACCTCACGAATTTCCCCATCTCTTTATTTTGTCTTTTTGTCTTCAACCTTTTTTTTTTTTCTCCTGTGGCCTCCTTGGCATCAACATTTAAACATCCTCAGTTTCCCTTCCTCTAAAAAGAAAATAATCTCCTTCGACGCTTTTTCTCCTATAAGCTACCTCTTTCTACATTTTTAATTCACTGGTACTACTTCTATTGTTGTCTTTCTCTCTTTTTCATTAGCTCCTTGCCTCATCACAAATCCCATGAAACAGCTCTTGTAATGTCACCAATGACTTCTATGTTATCAAATATAATTGGCTTAGCTCTGCTTACCTGGCTTCTCTATGGTATTCAGCATATTCCTTCCTGCTTGAAACATGCTCTAGTCTTGATTCCAGGAAACTGGTCTGATTTCCTCCTACCCCAGACATTTCCACCTCTTCTCAACTTTTCCAATTCTTTCTGCTCTATCTGACCAGTATATGATGAGTTTTCCAAAACTTAGTTCTAGGTTCTCTTTTCATGTCAAACTCTCCCTAGATGATTTCAACTATTCTACACAACTTCATTTACCAGAAATATGCTAATAAATACAAATTAACTTTGCTGCTAGCCTTCTATGAGGCCCAGAAGTATACTTTCAACTGCACATTCATCTTTATTCACCTTTATTCCAAAGGCATCTTGACTCTAACTTGCCAAACCAATGGGGAAATCTCACTCTATTCTCCAAAAGTGGCTCTTCCAAGTGTTCTGTACCTAAAAGCACTAGTACCTACCCGTTTGTTCATACAAGAAACTAGGGAATTATTCTTGAGAGTTTCTTCTTCCTTAACTGCCACATTCAACCAGCCACTGGGTTCTCTCTAATAGGAAGAATCCCTATTTCCCTCCGGTTGTGTTGTCCAAAAGGAACTTCTGGCCCTAGGAGAAAATAATATTGAAATAACACTTCTAGTTTTCATTCCATCGGTCCTCTCCATATCCTCCTCTTTTATGGGGAAAGGGAAGGTATTACCTTATTGGGGAGTTTAGAAGGAGCCAGGCCATTATGTGTTCTCCCTCTTTCTCGGTTCATTCTCCAACAGTCCTGAAAAAGTGTCTCTACAGACTGAAATCTTCCCTTAGAGGTTCATTTTGCATCCTAGGCTTGGACAAAAGGCATTAGGAAAAAATTGGCCACACACTTAAGCTTCCCTGGAAGGATATTGTTCATAGGTCTACTTTTTTCAATTGACTCCAGACTCAAAGGTTAGAGAAAGAAGATAAATTACTGCCCACAGAAGCTCACAGCATTGCTTTTGTCTTCCGGACACCTCTCATGAACACCAATAGTAAAAACCATCTTTACTGTCACTATCTCACTCCAAGCCTGCATCACGGCTCAATAACATTATTAAAATGGCTAGACTGCAAATTTTCTCTTCTCTTCTTCTAGTCCATTCTCTTAGATGCAGCCTGAGTGGCCTTATTAAAACGCAAGTGACATCATGTCACTCCCCTGATTAAACCTTCACTTTGTTTCCTATTGCTGTTGGGATGAAAGTTTTAAATGTCCTGCATGCAATGCCACATGTCATGCGCCATTTGAAACATTCTTCCTGTTGTTCATTGCAGACTGCTCAAGCGCTGCTTTTTTTGCTAGTTGGTCACCCTTTTCCCTCACTCTTGACCAGGATGATCCCAGCATAGCCCAACAATCTCAGATTAAGCTTCATTTCTCAGAGCTCCAATTAAAAGCAAGAAACCTGTTAACATTATGTACCTTTTCTTTAGCGTCTTGTCCTTTTTCTTTGAGGTACTCATCACTATTTTATTTAATGTTAGTATTAATTAATATTATTCATCGTTTCCAATCCCAACTGGTACATTACCACAGCATTACCATTGCATGAGAGAAAGTAACTGAGGCTCCACTGTGCCAGGCAGCCTTATTCCTACCAGAACAACTCCATGATAACTAAAGGAGAAATGCACCCTGGGAAAAGTGACACAGTTCATTTGGTATCAGTTGTCCGGTGGTGGAATTAATGGACAAAATAGGACTATGCACATACGTATAAAAACAGATCAAAAGTAAGCTTATGAAAAATAGCCATATCATAGAAGTTAACATTTTAATGATATATCTTGTGATATAATAATAAACAATCCATTTATTTTTAATGATTGGAACACTGAGTTGAAAGGGACTTCGAGATACTGCTAATTTTTAAAAGTGATTTATATGGAAGTAATTTATGTGGAAATAATTTATAAATAAGCAGCACAGACAATGAAAGAATCTTTAAATTTGACTCCTGGCCCAGTGCGGTGGCTCATGCCTGTAATTCCAGCACTTTGGGAGGCCAGGCAGGTGGATCACCTGAGGTCAGAAGTTTGAGACCAGCATGGCTAACATGGTGAAACCCCATCTCTACTAATAATACAAAAACTTAGCCGGCATTGTGGCGCACACCTGTAATCCCAGCTACTCGGGAGGCTGTGGCAGGAGAATCACTTGAACCCAGGAAGCAGAGATTGCAGTGAGCCAAGATCATGCCATTGCACTCCAGCCTGGGCGACAAGAGTGAAACTCCGGTTCAAAAAACAAAACAAAACTTTGACTCCTGACTACACCACCTGCTAGCTGTGTGATCTTAGGTAAATTTTTTAACCTCTTTCCTCCTCTATCTCTTTATTTGTTTTAAAGTGATAATAATAACTCAATGTTTGTGAAGAGTAAGAGTAAATTATATTTGTGATGCAACCAGCACAGATGAATATTAAACACAGTAATTTCTAGGTTTGTGAATTACATGAAGTATTTTTATAAATGATAATGCATATTACATTAAACACATAATTTTAATTATATTCAACATACATATAATTGATTTAGGTAATATACACATTCAAATATGTATTCAAAGTACACATGTAATTGATTTAGATATTCAATATATATTCAAGTACAACAAAATTGATTTAGGTAGGACACAGGGATACGATGTTGCTTATTTTGTCAAATATTATGAGAAAATCCATAGAACACTATTACTTTATAAAAAGAAAAGACAGGTTAACAGTAAAGAAGTAGATCTTTACATTTAAGTTGAATACATTGAGCTTTATGTTATGCATTTCTCCATGGAAGTATGAAAACCTGATCTCAGACTATTACTGGTTTGTGAGCTGCACTTGGAGACTCACAATTAAAGTAGCTATTTAATAAATATTACTTGAATCTAAACCTGTGCCCTAATATCAGAAAATTGAGTGACTAAATCATTGAGGACCAGTTCTCGCCTGGGCTCTTTTTGTGGGGGCGGTGAGGGGACGGAGTCTCACTCTGTCCCCAGGCTGGAGTGCAGTGGCGCAATCTCGGCTCACTGCAACCTCTGCCTCCCGGGTTCAAGGGATTCTCCTGCCTCAGCCTCCCACATAGCTACAGACGCAAACCACTACACCCAGCTAATTTTTGTATTTTTAGTAGAGACGGGGTTTCGCCGTGTTGGCCAGGATGGTCTTGAACTTCTGACCTCGTGATCCGCCCGCCTCAGCCTCCCAAAGTGCTGGGATTACAGGCATGAGCCACTGCGCCCGGCCTGCCTGGGCTCTTTAAGGTCTCAAGAGAAGACTCTCCTGTGCCTCATGGTACATGCAAATCCATAGGCTTAACCTTTCAAGTAAACTGATGCTCATTTTTTTTTTTTTTTTCTCAGAGTTTCGCTCTTGTTGCCCAGGCTGGAGTGCAATGGCGCAATCTTGGCTCACGGCAACCTCCACCTCCCATGGTCAAGCTACTCTCCTGCCTCTGCTTCCTGAGTAGCTGGCATTACAGCCACGTGCCACCATGCCTGGCCAATTTTGTATTTTTAGTAGAGATGGAGTTTCTCCATGTTGGTCAGGCTGGTCTCGAACTCCCGACCTCAGATGATCCGCCCACCTTGGCCTCCCAAAGTGCTGGGATTACAGGTGTTAGCCACCACGCCCTGGCCTGCTCATTGATTTTGATGGTAGAAAAGTATGATTTTCTTTTTATTTGATAAATAATAGTCAGTTTTTCAGTTGTTTGGGAAAATTATAGCTAGGATATTTTATTCTGCCTGACTTTAAAAAATGGTTTGAAGGACTTTTAAAAATATGTATTAAGATCCTATGTAATAAAACTGTAAATCTACCTACAGAATGGCTGAATTTCATGACATTTTTAAAAAAACGGCCTGGTGCAGTGGCTCACGCCGGTAATCCCAGCACTTTGAGAGGCTGAGGTGGGCAGATCACAAGGTCAGGAGTTCAAGACCAGCCTGAGCAATATGGTGAAACCCCATCTCTACTAAATATACAAAAATTAGCCAGGCGTGGTGGCGCACACCTGTAGTCCCAGCTACTCAGGAGGCTGAGGCAGGAGAATCGCTTGAACCCGGGAGAAGGAGGTTGAGATTGCACCACTGCCCTCCAGCCTGGGCGACAGAGCGAGACTCTGTCTCAAACAAACAAACAAAAGGCTCCTCAGTGCTCTCATGGAATATAAATTGTATGACTTTTTGGAAAACAAGCTGGCAATAACATAGTAAAAATCTTAAATTATTTACACTTTCCAAACCATTCTGTCTTTTTATATTTCATATTCCATATTTCAAATATGAAATTTAAATTCCAATGCCCATAAATAAAGTTTTATTAGAACATAGCCGAGCTTATTTATTTATGTATTTTCTACAGTTGCTTTTGTGTTGCAACTGCACACTTAAATAGCTGTGGCAGAAATTTTGTGGCCCACAGAGCCTAAAATACAGTACTCTCTCCTTGTCCATCCTTATCCATAGTGGATATGTTCAAAGTCCCCCAGTGGATGCCTGAAACCATGGATAGTACCAAACCCTATATACCCTATTTTTTTCCACACATTCATACTTATAATAAAGTTTAAGTTATAGATCAGGCACAGTAAAAGATTAACAACAATAACTAATAATAAAATAGAACAGTTACAACAATATACTGTAATAAAAGTTAGGTGAATGTGGTCTCTCTCAACATAATTTATCATACTATACTTACCCTTCTTGTGATGATGTGAGTTGATAAAATGCCTGTGTGATGAGACGAAGTGAGTGAATGACATAGGCATTTGATATGAGTGGAAACTTCCAGAAATGATTCATAAGATTTAATTTGCATGTTGCTCTAAGTAGTGTGATGTAATCTTGTTCCACCCCACTCTGTCCTGCTGGGATTGCCATTAGTCACTTAGTATCCCTCTAGGTTATCAGATGATTGACCATCGTGGCATCCCAGTGTTTGTGTTCAAGTAACCCTTATTTTACTTAATAATGGCCCCAAAGTGCAAGAATTGTGATGTAATATTTTTGGACGTTAGTTGACTGTGGGTCACTGAAACCGCAGAAAGCCTAACTGCAGATAAGAGGCGACTCCTGCATTTACTATGTGGCCTTTTACGAAAAAAAATTTTTTGCTGACCCCTGTCCTAGAAAATAGGGCTATTTCAGGGCGCTCTGCTCAAAAGTTCCTTGCTCCATGCCATGTTGCCCCTCATATGTATATGGCAAGAAGGTGAAAGGCAACACATAGAAATGTTAACAGAGGAAAATTATCCTTGAGAGAACAGCGCCTAGCCCATTTACTTAATATTTTTTGAGTGAGTGAATGCATATGTGACTACTAATGGATATAGAGGGACTCATATGGAATGTTCTTAAGAAGTCCTGTGTCATCTCTCCCTTGCCATTATCTATGGAGAGGTAGCCACTCAATGAAGAAGCCAACAATCACTTGAAGGGGCCTTTGGGTTCTTTACTGTGAGAGAATATCCTGGCTTAACAATTTCTAGAGTCATGGAATAACAGAGAAAGAATCTTCTCCTATTGCTCTCTGGTTTCTGAGAAGGTTGTCCTGATGCTACTGTGTTAGATAAGCCAGTATGGCCATTGGAATGAACCACGCTTAGGCCAAGGGCCATGAAATAGGAACTTCTGGTATATTAACTTGTGTCTAGACTGGTGCCACTAGTCACATGTGGCTATTTACATTTATTCAAATTAATTAAAATTATATAAGATTAAAATGTTAACTCTTCAGATAGAACAGACACATTTCAGGTATTCAATAGAACAAGTGACTGGTGCCTTCTATTTTAGTTTCAGGAAAAAATAGGATACAACATTTTCATCATCATAGAAACTTCTATTGGGCAATGCTGCTCTAGACACTGGCACAACTCTTTCACGCAACTGATGTTGTAGTGCAGGAGTTGAGCATTTTTGCCTTAAGTCATATGTGTGATTCATCAAATTCACTTCCTAACCCAGTATTTTACATCACAGTACATCTCTGAATTTAGAAATCATTGATAGGAGATTGGGCTTCCAAAATTTTATTTTCTAAATTTCAAAAATCTGTGTGTACCTCTCTTGCTTAGGTTTGAGATCCAAAGATTAGGTGCAGCTCCATGCCTCACATTAAAAAGACAAGGGGTGATTTTTCACAGAATATAATTCTTATTATGTAATTTGATATACGAAGTCCTGTGGATGCACACGGCAATCATTTCTTTCTCTACTTCTCTGCAATGTGTTTAAAGCTTTTTGGCTATGAATCAAGTAACTGATGAATGTGTACTGGCTTGCAACTTTATTTATAAGACCGTTCTCTACTCACAGGGCCTTTTATCCAAACCTGAGAGTACTTTACATCTCCTTACTCATTAGAACATCTCATTCTTCTGGATGGGTGACAGGGATTAAATCTGTTCACAGATGGGGAGACCAAGGGGAAAAGTATTACAAGGTCACTTTCTGACATTGGCCATTCTAAGAACTGGATTTACTAAACCAATAATAACTGACCCAGTGCTAATAATGATGCTTGGAACTTTGAAGAACATTCCCCATCTAAACTTTTTATAGGATTTTTTTTCCTGAAACTATTTTCTGAATATGTAGAAAAGAGTAACTTTTCTTTCTTTTCTTTTTCCCTTCTTTTTCATTCTTTACTTAGTAATTGTAAAAGTAGTAAATGCTAATTTGAAAACATTTAACAAGTGTAAAGAAGAAAAACTATCCAGGAAACAATTGTTTATTACTTCATTTTTTCATCCAAGTAATATTTGTTGAATGCTTACTACCTGCCAAGTATCACTCTACTTGAAGACAACTTTCTCCTCTGGACCCTCTTGGTACTTACGTTTTTCCCAGTATATAAATCAGAAAGGTAGAACATAGCAGTGGAAAAGCCATGCCCATCAGCACCTGGGTTCAAATTCTGGCTCTGACCCTTACTTGCTGTGTGACTTTGGGTGAGTTACTTAAACACCCTGAGCACAGTGGCTTGGTTCACGCCTGTAATCCCAGCACTTCGGGAGGCCAAGGCGGGCAGATCACCAGTTCAAGACCAACCTGGCCAACATGGTGAAACTCTGTCTCCGCTAAAATTACAAAATTAGCCGGGCTTGGTGGCACATGCCTGTAATCCCAGCTATTCGGGAGGCTGAGGCAGGAGAATCGCTTGAACCTGGAAGGTAGAGGTTGCAGTGAGCCAAGATCACGCCATTGCACTCCAGCCTGAGCAACAAGCGTGAAACTCTGGCTCAATAAATAAATAAACTCCCTGAGTTCCACTTTCTTATATGTAAAATCAGTATAGTAATAGCAGATCTACAGGTTTCCTAAAAGAATTCAAATAATCTCTGCTCCATTGGGAAGTATGTAAGCTATTTGGGACA
Organism: Homo sapiens; assembly: GCF_000001405.40. Taxonomy (NCBI): domain Eukaryota; kingdom Metazoa; phylum Chordata; class Mammalia; order Primates; family Hominidae; genus Homo; species Homo sapiens. Next base: position 80,428,372 of record NC_000014.9, read on the forward strand.
TGAGCCCAAGAGCATGAGGTCTTAGCACAGTACCAATGTGGAGCAATACAAATGAGTAGGTTTACTTATTATTACTTTTTTAAAATCATGAAAGGAAGGAAGGCAGGACCAGTGAATCAGGGGATATGGGCCACTGGACTTGGGGCCAAGTTTTTCCAAGATCGAGAAAGGGAAGGCAGATATTTTCTTTCCCAGGCTAAACTTGTAAATTCCCAAGTGTATCACCAACTATAAAGTACTCCACATTAACACCATTCAGAGCAATGATTGTTAGGTTTTCAAGCAAACTTGTAGACTCAACACAGAAGAAGAGGTATGCAGGGCAAGTAGGGCTGTGTAATCTTAAATTATAGTGAGTTAAATGGGAGCCTTTGAGAAATGACTATGTTTATCCATAGTATTTGCAGGTCTCTCTTGCCAGCTTACATACGGCTGTCACAATGGGAATGAAGGAATCATGGAAGCTTCCATACAGCCTTGCCAATTCTCTTTTTTAGTAGGAAGCTGATTATTCAGTTTGGAAATAAACCCAGATTCCTTGTTTCTCTTTCTGCCTATTTTCCTCCAGTACTTTCTGATCATGTCACTTACAGAAGCTTTGCCAGAGGATAGAAAGGAACACGTTCAGGAAGTATTTAGTCAATGTTTCATTGTTTTCTGGTAACACAGATAAAAGTTATTTGGAAGACTATATTCCAAGACTATCCCTTACTGTTGATAATGCAAATTAGAGATCAATCAAAGCTCTGGTAAGATTATCTTGTTTTCTATCCCAATACTCCACTCTTTAGAAGTGGACATTCAAGGACTAACCATCTCCTTTTTTCCTCATTAACATGGGTAAATTAAAATCCGAATGCAACAAAATTCTCTCAGAGGTTTTATATTTATTTTTAGCTCTACACATTGATCCCAAACTAGTTTAAAAAAAATAAATTTAACCTTTGAACTGATGAGAACAATTTACAACATATTGAGCAACTTAGAGTTTTCATTGTGTAAGTCAACAATTAATATATAGTTTAGCTTCCTGCCTTACTAGATTTTATAAAAAGTATAGTTGCTTGAAAATTTTTAAGAACATTATTTTCTAACCACCTTGCCACTATGCAATATTTATTGTTACTGTGGAGATTTTCTTTCCCCCTTAGCCTCAGCTTGAGATCATTTTATGCCCTAAAGCACATCACAGTATGCCCTGGAGCACATCTTGGGAATCAGAAGTGAATCTTTAAATCACCTGATTTCACATCTCAGCAGCTTTGGTTTGGTCAACATCAGTGAAGAGTATACATTGAGGCAGAGGTTAAAAACACAAAGACAAAACTCCAAACTGAATGGAATAAATAACTTGCCTTCAAGTGGAAAAAGTCTATAATTTTGTTGATTGTCTTTCATAAAACCTTTCTCAAAAAAGATGGGCACTTTTATATCCACAAAACAACACCCTCCTCCCACCAAAGTATTTTTTAAATAATTAGGCACTGTCTTTTTTACATGTGATTTGTCAAATAGAAGAGGTATGCTTCTGGAATCACCTTCTGAGTGCTTTATCATTTCTGCTCTTTATTTGTTCAATGTGAAGATTATTGCTTTTCGCATACTGTATGTGAGCCCTTCAGAATCCTTTTAAAAGGCTCAAATATGCAGGTCCAACTGTGGCTAAATATATTTTCATTTTATTCTTAAAATTACAGAAGAATGTATATGACCTTTGGAGAATGACAAAAATTGCTATGTGATCTTCATTATCAGATTAATTAGGAACAGCCTTTTCTGTAAAGTGGATTTAGAAATACCCACTCCATAGGATGGTTGTGAAGTCTAACGCGGTTCTCCTATATACACTTCCCAGAATATTGCAGTTCACGTAAGAGACACTCAAATATTCACTCTATAAGCAAAATTGAAGTTAGGTGAAGTTAGGTGCCTCTGAGGGAAAAATCTCAAGTTTTTCTGAGGTGTCCAGAAAATGTTGTTTGGTTTTGGTTTTGGTTTTGGTTTGAGGTTCTGCTATATAGCACACATTAGGCTAGGTATTGAGTATTTAATTCTCTCTAGACTACAGCAATAGGGGCTGACTCCCAATTATCTGTTCTACCCACAAATAATTGGCCCAAGCACATAATGATAAATCCAAACATCCTGTCTGTAATGGGTTCAGGGATAACCAATTCTGGCTAAAGACGTATAGAGAAAATTTCGACAAGAGGACACCTGTTAAGAGATTGCCACATGATACAATAATTGTCCTCATACCTCCAGACTTGGCCATTTGGGGGCATAAGGGTTAGCACTAAAGCAACTATCTTGCTACTAGCATGAAATAAAACTCATGAATGGCAGAGGGCACATCCTGATGACATCATTTACTTGCTGAAACAACCAATCCTGGAGTACACCCTACTACTGGCCTTCTTAGGTATGAAATAATAAATGTCCTTGTTTAAGTCAGCTGGTGTTATTTTTATATTACTTGGACTTAACAACAACAAGCAGACAGAAACAAAAACACCATTCTACCTAAAAAGAGTAGCTTCCAAACTATCTCTTTACTTCTACTCTTGCTTCTCATAGTCTATTTTCAGCACAATAGCCAAAGATCCTTTACACTCTTATCTTCCCCTGACTCAAAACCATGTAGTGGCCACCAATAAACCTTAGAATATAATCCAAAATTATTATCAAGGCTTACAGCATCCAATATGATCTGACCCTTTTCACTACCCCAGCATCACCTCTTTCCAGTCTGACCCTCCATAGCTCAGCTAATGTCCACAAAGGTCTTCTTTCTCCTCCTTGAACAGCCATTTCTCATCTCAAAGACTTCATTCTTCTCTCTGCCTGAAATGTGCTTCTCTTAGTTTTATTTCATTCTATTCTCAGTTCAGTTATCTTCTCAGAGAGGCCTTAATCATCCTATCAACAAAATAGCATGCACACTCACCTAAACCCAGCTTTTTATTTCATTTGCTACATTATTTACTTTATAGCATATATTACTTTCTGCAATTGAATTGAAAGTAATGGCAAAAACCACAGTTACTCTTGCACCAAACTAATATGTATTTGTTTACTTGATTTTATCTGTTGTCCACACTAAAATGAAAACTACATGAGAGTAGAGACCCTGTCTACTTTGTTCACCCTTGTGTCTCCAGGGCCTTGTACAGTGTCTGGTGATGTAGTTTGGCTCCGTGTCTCCACCCAAATCTCATCTCAAATTGTATTTCCCATGTGTCAGGGAAGGGGCCTAGTGCGAGATAATTAGGTCATGGGGACGGATTTCCCTCTTGCTGTTCTCATAGTAGCGAGTTCTCACAAAATCTGATGGTTTAAAACTGTGTGGCTTCTTCGTGCTCTCTCTCTCCTGCTCTGCCATGGTAGATATGTGTTTGCCTCCCCTTTGCCTTCCACCATGATTGTAAGTTTCCTGAGGCCTCCCAGCCATGCTTCCTGTTAAGCCTGTGGAACTCCGAGTGAACTAAATCTCTTTTCTTTAAAAATTACGCAGTCTCAGGTAGTTTTTTACAGCAGTGTGAAATGGACTAATGCACCTGGCATGTAGTAAGTACTCAATCAGTATTTGTTTAATGAATGGAAGGTAGAACTACTGTAGGAATAGGAGTACCTCAAAGCCTGAGATAAATAGAAAAAGGCTGTAAGAAGAAGGAAAGCAGATAGAAAAACAAGATATTCAAAAGAAGCCTTGATGTCGTAATTAAAAATGGAAAAAGTACAAATAGAAACATGTAATACAAAACAAATGGCTATTAATATCGATGACCAGAGGTCTAGGCCTGAGAAAAGAAAAACTAATGGCTATTGCTTTGGTATAACAACAAATCTGAATATAAAGAGGAACATGTGAAACCTAGTAAGCTAGTCTTCATCTTGGTCCAGTGGAGAAGTAAGCTCCACTGGCCCAGGAAGTCAAGAAGACCTGAAAGATCCACAAATGTGAATTTAACTGTAGATAATAAAAAATAAAATGTTTGAAATTGCATATGCCCTCACTTCTCTCTGGAAGAAAAATATGAAAGTGATATTAACTTCACCTCTAGTAAGCTGCTGAAATTTTAGAGAAGCTTCAAAACATAGCAGAAGCACAACCTCTAAAAAGTACCTCTTTACATACTATTAGGATGATATGTTATTTGGAATAAACATAGAAAAAAATCTGCAAATCCAAAACATAAATAGGATATACAAGGAAAGAGATACAGAGCCACATGAAATGTAAAAAGCAATCTTTTCTGTTCACATGACAATATAGCTGAAATTGAGTCTTCAAAAACTTAGAAATTAGTTGTATGGCAGTGAAAAAAAGTGTTAGCTATGACAGGAAGTAGCTAAAACTTGCTTGAAGGGAGTAACAAGATGCCAGAACCTAGAAACACGTATTAAAAATATGTACAAAAAAGGTGTCGAGGAAGAGGTAAATTCAAAAGCTTACAACATTGCAAGATTCCATTTAAATGAGTGGCTGACAAGAAAAAAGATAAAAGTAAAATTCTCGTGGACTTCAAGCAATATGAAAAAACTAAAGTTGGTTTTAAGGAATTTTTCAATAGTCTTTCTGAAGAGTTGGTGCTCCCAACCAGAGCTCATGATCTATGACTCCACAGTTACATAAAAGTTTACTGTTAAATCAAGGACAGCAGTATGATTATAAAGAGATCAAAGGGGGAAATGTATTAAGAATAGTATCTTCAAAAACAAACAAATAAACCTTAGAAAAATGATATTTACCTGCCAGACTCAAGATGAGGGAAAATAATAAAGCCATCTATGCTGACTGAAGGTTCCTTAACTCAATCACTTGGTGCAGAGATCCTGGTTATCCTGGTTAGCCACAAGATTGGAGAATGAATTGTGAACAAAAGATAAGGAAGGCATTGCCAAAGGTAGTGCAGTACTGAAAATTCTAATCTCTTTCTTCCAAGTAAGACATTTAAAGTTATTCTGACCCAAATAATAATAATGGCTAACATTTTTGGAGGGCATACTGTCTACCAGACACTGTCTTAAGGATATTACATAAAGCATTTTATCTAACTCTTATAATGACATTATGTTAGTCTCAATAGGATCCTTCAGAAAAACAACAAAATGACAACAGGAATAATTGCATAAAAATGCACCAGAAATCTCAAGTGGCTGTAATAATGTCTAACATGACAGACAGGCTGTAAAAACACACAAGGACAGTCATTTGGGAATGTGTTGCATATACCTGGGGCATAGCTTAGACAGACAAGAAAAATAATTCAGCCTACTAGAAAAGATGGGAATTCTATAACTGTAGATACAAATGATAGTTTTTTTCAAGGTAAGTATAATATTTTTTTAAAAAGGAAAATAAAAGAAATACTAACAAACATTCGTGATCCGTGTTGTATTTACATTGACTACTAGATATTCCATGGTATACGATTCTGCTCTGAAGGAAGTATCAAAAATTAAGGTAAAGCTAAGCATACTAAAGCATGCTTTTTCTCTTCTTTGGATATTTGTATAAACATTAACAAGAAATATAACCTATTTTGTGTATGCTTGTTCTGGAATAAAGGATCATTCTAATCAGGACTTTGGTCTAATGAAGCAACTCTTTGCTGCAAGAGCTGGCAAAACTGAAATGCAACATTACTTCCCAATGATACACAGGAAAATAATACACAGGGTAACACAGGCTTTCAAACTGTGCTAAAAAGGGTACAGAATGTAACCAGGTAGAGACTGGAGGAACATACCTCTGAACACTTGGTAATATGTTGAAAAGACAGTTGTTAAGACCACGATTTAAAAAAAAATTGTATGTATTAAGAAAAGCACAAGGGAGGAGGAAGTGGAGCAAGATTGCTGAATAGAATCCTCCAGTGATTGTCCCTTACTGCATGAACACCAAACTTAACAACTATCCACACAAGAAAGCACCCTCATATGAATAAAAAAAAATCAGGTGAGTAATTACAGTACCTGGTTTTAACATTATATCAGGAAAAAACGGCACTGAAGAGGGTCTTGTATTGCCTACACCACTCCTCCCATATCCGCTGGCATCACAGCATGACATGGAGAGAGAATCTGTGTGCTTGGGGGAGGGAGTGAAGAGACTGTGAGACTTTACATTGCAACTCAGTACTGCCCTGTCCCAGCGGAAAGCAACACAGGGCAGGATTCCACCAGTTCCCATGGAGAGAGCATTTAGACAAATCCTAGCTGGAGGGGAATTATCCATCCCAGAGGTCAGAACCTGAGTTCCCACTAGCCCCACCACCATGGGCTAAAGTGCTCTGGGGTTCTAAACAAACTGGAAAGACAATCTAGGCAAAAAGGACTGCAATTCCTGGGCAAGTCCTGGTGCTGTGCTGAGCTTAGAGCCGGTGAACTTGGGATGCAGGTGACCCAGTGACACACCAGCTGGGGCAGCCACAGGAGTGCTTGCATCACCCCTGCACCAACTCCAGGTAACTCAGCTTGCAGTTCCAGGAGGAGATGGAAGAGTAAAGACTTTGTCTTGCAACTTGGATACCAATTCAGCCACAATAAAATAAAAGCACCAAGTAGAGTCCTGAAGACCCCATGCTAAGCCATAGCTCCAGGATGACATTTCTAGACCAAGCCTGGGCCAGAAGAGAACCAACTGCCCTGAAGGGAAGGACTCAGTCCTGGCAGAGTTCATCACCTGCTGACTAAGAATTCACTACCTGCTGACTAAAAAGCCTTTGGGTCTTGAATAAACATCAGTGGTAGCCAGGCAACAGTCACCATGGGCCTTGGGCAAGACCTAAAACCTGGCTGGCTCTATGTATGACCCAGCATTTTTCCAGCTGTGGTGGCTGTAACCCCTTCTGCTTAGGGAAAAGAGAGGGAAGAATTAAAAAGACTTTGTCTTGCAGTTTGGGTACCAGCTCAGCCAAAGTAAAATAAAGCACCAAGCAGACACCCAAAGTTTCCAGTTCTAGGCCTTGGCTCCTGGAGGGCATTTCTAGACCCACCTTGGGCCAGAAGGGTATGTGTTATCCTTGTGGGAAAGACCCAGGTCGGGCAAGACTCACCACCTTCCGACTAAAGAACCCTTGTGCCTTGAATAAACATCAGTGATAACCAGGCGATACTCACCACAGACCTGGGGTGGTGGTGGCCATGGAGAAAGACTCCTGCTTGAGAGAAGTATAGGGAAAAGTAAAGAGGACTCTTGCAACATGGATACCAGTTCCACCCTAGCAAAATAAAGCACGAAGCAGATTTCTAAAGCCCCCAGTCACTGGCCATAGCTCCTGAATAGCATTTCCAAACTCACTTTGGGCCAGAAGGAAACCTGCTGCACTGAAGGAAAAGACGAACTTTTGGCTGAATTAATCACCTGTTGATTAAAGAGCCCTTGGGCCTTGAATAAACATCAGTGGTAGCCAGAAAATAGTCACCGCAGGCCTTGGGTGATACTCAGTACTGTGCTGGACTCAGGTGTGACCCAGCACAGTCCTGGTGTTGGTGGCCACAAGGGTGCTTGTTTCACAGCTCCCCCAGATGCAGGCAGCTCAGCATGGAGAGAAAGACTCCATTCACTTGTGAAAAAGTAAGGGAAGAGAATAAGAGATTCTGCCACATAATCTAGGGAATTCTCATGGATCTTACCTAAGACAACCAAGGCACTACCTCTATGAGTCTCCAAGAGTCACAGTGTTACTGGGCTTGGGGTGCCCCCTAATGCGCTTATGGCAATTCCCTTTGAATAGTTGGAAAGTCTTCTCAAGAAAGATGGGTACAAACAACCCCAGACTTTCAAGACTACAATAAACATCTAACTCTTCAGTGCCCAGACACCACTGAACATCCAAAAGCATCAAGACCATTTAGGAAAATATGACATCACCAAACATACTAAATAAGGCAACCCTGACCAATCCCAAAGTGACAGAGATATGTGACCTTTCAGAAAATTCAGAATGGCTGTTTTGAGGATGCTCAATGAAATCCAAGATAACACAGGGAAGGTATTGTCCTATCAGATAAACTTCACAAAGAGATTGCAATAATTAACCAGAATCAAGCAGAAATTTAGAAGCTGAAAAATTCATCTGACAAACTAAAGAATACATTGAGTCACTCAACAGCAGAATTGATCAAGCAAAAGGAAGAATTAGTGAGTTTGAAGACAGGCTATTTGAATAATATACAGTCAGAGGAGCCAACAGAAAAAGAAAAAAAATATAATGAAGCATGCCTTCAGGCTGTAGAAAATAGCCTCATAGAGGCAAATATGAGTTACTTGCATTAAAGAGGCAGCAGAGAGAGAGAGATCAGGGTAGAAAGTTAATACAAAGAGATAATAATAGAGAACTTTTCAAACCTAGAGAAAGATATCAATATTGAAGTATAAGAAGTTTATGGAATACCAAAAAGATTTAACACAAATAAGACCACCTCAAGACACTTAATAATCAAATTCCCAAAGGCTAAGAATAAAGAAAGGATCCTAAAAGCAGCAGGAGAAAATTAAAAAATAAAAAAAAACATATAAAGGACCTCCAATATGTCTGGCAGCAGATTTCTCAATGGAAACCTTACAGGCCATGAGAGAAGTGCATGATGTATTTAAAGTGCTGAAGGAAAAAAACTTTTATCATAAAATAATATATCCATTGAAGATATGCTTCAAACATGAAGGAAAAATAAAGGCTTTCCCAGACAAAAGCTGAGGAATTTTGTCAACACCAGATCTGACCTCAAGAAATGCTAAAGTGAACTATTCAATCTGAAAGCAAAGAACATTAATGAGGACTAAGAAATAATCTGAAAGTACAAAATTTACTGGTAATACTAAGTACACAGACAAATACAGAATATGATAACACTTTAATTATAATATATAAATTACTTATATCTTGAATAGGAAGTCTAAAAGACAAACCTATCAAAAAATGATAGCTACAACAAATTATAAAGACATATTCAGTATAATAAGATATAAACATAAACAACAAAAAGTTAAAAACTGGGGAGGATGAAGTTAAACTGTAGAGCTTTCATTAGTTTTCTTTTTGCTTGCTTGTTTGTTTTGCAATTAGAGTTGTCATCCATTTAAAATAATGGGTTATAAGATGTTATTTGCAAGCCTCATGGTAACCTCAAATCGAAAAGCCTGCAAAAAAAAAATTAAAAAGCAAGAAATTAAAACATACCACCAAAAGAAAGAGCTTTCATTAAAAAAAAGACAGAAAGAAGGAAGAAGGAAGAAAAGACAACAGAACAACAAGAAAACAAATAACAAAATGATGGGAGTCAGTCCTTACTGACCAATAATAACATAGAATATAAATGATCTAAACTCTCCAAGCAAAAACATAGAGTGGCTAAATGGATAAAGAAACAAGACCCAATGAACTATTGCCTACAAGAAACACACTTCATATATAAAGACACATATAGATTGAAAATAAAAGGATGAAAAAAGATATTCCATTCAAATGGAAGCCAAAAAGAGCAGGAGTCGCTATACTTACACCAAACAAAACAGACTTCGAGACAGAAACTGTAACAAGAGACAAGGAAGGTCATTATATAATGGTAACGGGGTGAATTCAGCAAGAGGATGTAACAATCCCAACACTGGAACACCCAGATGTATAAAGTAAATATTATTAGAGCTAAAGAAAGAGGTAGACCTCAATACAATAATAGGTGGATACTTCAGCACCTTGCTTTCAGCATTGGACAGGTTATCCAGACAGAAAGATCAACAAAGAACATTGGACCTAATCTGCAATATTGACCAAATGCATCTAATAGATATTTACAGAACATTTCATCCAATGGCTGCAGAACACAGATTCTTCTACTTAACACATGAATCATTCTCAAGGATAGAGCATGTGTTAGGCCACAAAACAAGTCTTATAACATTTTTTAAAAATTGAAAATATCAATAATATAGTTTAGATATTTGTCATTGCCCAAATCTCATGTTGAATTGTAATTCCTAATGTTGGAGGTGGGGCCTGATGGGAGGTGTTTGGATCATGGGGGCAGATCCCTCATGAATGGCTTGGGCCACCCCCTTGGTGATAAGTGAACTCTTATTCTAAGTTCACATGAGATCTGGTTGTTTTAAAATGTATGGCACTTTCCCACCCACTCTCTCTCTCTCTTGCTTCCGCTTTTGCCATATGATGGACCTGCTCCCCCTCTGCCTTCTGCCATGATTATAAGCATCCTAAGGTCCCCACCAGAAACTGAGCAGATGCTGGTGCCATGCTTCCTGTATAGCCTGCAGAATCATGGGCTAATTAAACCTCTTTTCTTATAAATTACCCAGTCTTGGGTATTTCTTTATAGCAATGCAAGAATGGCCTAATACAATCAAGTATATTTTCTGACCGCAATAGAACAAAAGTAGAAATCAGTAACAAAAGGAACTTTGGAAACAATATGAACACATGGAAATAAAACAATATACTCCAGAATGACCAGTGAGTCAATGAAGAAATTAAGAGGGAAATTTAAAAATTACTTGAAACAAATAAAAATAGAAACACAACATACCAAAACTCATGGAATACAGTAAAAGTAGTACTAAGAGGAAAGTTTGTAGCAATAAGTGCCTCCATCAAGAAAGCAATAAAAATTCAAATAAACAACTTAACAATCATGTTAAATAACTTTAAGTAAAGATTCAGAGCCAAGATGGCTGACTAGACACAGCCAGAAAGAATATCTCCCACTGAGAGACCAGGACATTGGGAAGATTGACATATTCTAAACATATTTTTGGAGGGAAGGCATAGAGAGTGGACAGAGAGAGGACACAGACCCTAGACTGAAGGGGGGAGGAAGCTGGAAACCCTGCACCCAGCTGCCAAGCACTGAGATTTATTCCTGGTTCCCAACAGCTCCTGGGTGAAGGGGTGAGTTAAGCAGGTAAGAAGTGGCCCACTTATGTCACAGTCCTCCAGAATCCTAGCTACAGGAAACCCCTCACCCCTCACGGACACTTGAGCTGGCAAGCAGAGCTGCTTGAAGAGGGCATACCTCAATCAGAAAGAAAAGCACATTAGTGAGCAATAATAAATCATCTGAAGGTACAAAACTCACTGGTAATAGCAAGCACACAGAAAAGCACAGAATATTATACCACTGGAATAGTAGTGTGTAAATTACTCTTATCTTAAATAGAAAGACAAAACAATGAACCAATAAAAAATAATAACTATAACTTTTCAAGGTACAGACAACACAAAAAGACAAGGTGAAACAACAAAAAGGTTTAAAGCAGGGTGAAAAGGTGAGAGTTGTTATTGGTTTTCTTTTTCCTTGTTTGTTTGTTTAGGCAATCAGTGTTAAGTTGTCATCAGTTTAAAATAATAGGTTATGAGATGATATTTGCAAGCCTCATGGTAACCTCAAATCAAAAAGCCTGTAATCGAAAAAAAATTAAAAGCAAGAAATTAAAACATACCACCAGAGGAAATAGCTTTTACAAAAAGGAAGCAGGAAGGAAGGAAAGAAGGAAGAAAAGACCACAGAACAACAAGAAAACAAATAACAAAATGACAGGAGTCAGTCCTTACTTATCAATAATAACATTGAATGTAAATGGACTAAATTCTCCCATCAAAAGACACAGAGTGGCTAAATGGATAAAGAAACAAGACCCAGTGATCTGTTGCCTACAAGAAACACACTTCACATACACAGACACATATAGACTAAAAACAAAAGGAAGAAAAAAATATATTCCATTCCAATGGAAGCCATAAAACAGCAGGAGTAGCTATAATTATATCAAACAAAATAGACTTTGAGACAAAAACTGTAAGAAGAGACAAAGTAGGTCATCATGTAGTAATAAAGGAGTCAATTCAACAAGAGGATTATTAGAGCCAATGATACATATAGACCATCAATACAGTAATAGCTGGAGGCTTCAACACCTTGCTTTCAGCATTGGACAGATTATCCAGACAGGAAATCAACAAAGAAACATTGGACTTAATCTACACTATAGAAAAAATAAACCTAATAGATATTTACAGACTATTTCATCCAATGGTTGCAGAATACATTCTTCCCCTAATCACATGGATCATTCTCAAGGATAGACCATATGTTAGGTCACAAAACAAGTCTTAAAACATTCAAAACAACTGAAATAATATCAAGCATCTTCTCTGACCACAATAAAATTTACAAATCAATAACGAGGAATTTTGAAAACTATACAAACATGGAATTTAAGCAATATGCTCCTGAATGACCAGTAGGTAAAGGAAGAAATTAAGAGGGAAATACAAAAATTACTTGAAACAAATGAAATATTAAATACAACATATCAAAACTTATGGGGTACAGCAATAGCAGTACTAAAAGGGAAATTTATAGGTATAAGTGCCTACATCTAAAAATAAGAAAAACTTCAAATAAATAACCTAATGATGCACCTAAAAGAACTACAAAAGCAAGAGCAAACCAAACCCCAAACTAGTAGAAGAGAAGAAATATTTAAGATTAGAGCACAAATAAATATAATTGAAATGAAGAAAACAATAAAAAATCAATGTAAATGTTTATTTGAAAGGTAAATAAAATTGATAAACCTTTAGCCAGACTAACTAAGAAAAAAACAGAGATGACCCAAATAAATAAAATCAGAGATGAAAAAGGAGACATTACAATGGATGCCCCAGGAATTCAAAGGACCATTAGTGGCTACTATGAGAAACTATCTTCCAATAAATTGGAAAATATAGAGGAAATGAATACGTTCCTAGGTACATACAAACCTACCAAGATTGAACCATGAAGAACTCCATAACCTGATCAGACCAAAAACAAGTAAAGAAATCAAAGCCATAATAAAAATCCAGTAAAGAAAAGCCCCAGATGTGGCTGGGCATGGTGTATCATGCCTATAATCTTAGTACTTTGGGAGGCCAAGGTGGATGGATCATTTGAGCCCAGGAATTCTAGACCAGTGTGGGCAACATGTCAAAACTCTGTCTCTACTAAAAATACAAAAACAGCCAGGTGTGGTGACATGCACCAGTAGTCCCAGCTACTTAGGAGGCTGAGGTGGAAGGATCACCTGAGCTTGGGTAAATGAGGCTGCAGTGAGCTAAGATCATGTCACTGCACTCCAGCCTGGGCAATGAGATGATCTGAAAAAAAAAAAAAATGAAAGCAAGAAAGAAAAAGAAAAAAAAGAAAAGCCCATGATGCAATGGCTTCACTTCTGAATTCTACCAAACATTCAAAGAAATAATACCAACCCTACTCAAATTACTCCTAAAAATAAAGGAGAAGGGAATACTCCCAAATGCATTCTATGAGGCCAGTGTTACCCTGATACCAAAACCAGATAAACACAAAACAACAAAAGAAAACTATAGGCCAACATCTCTGATCAATATTGATGCAAAAATTTTCCACAGAATACTAGGAAACTGGATTCAATAACACATTTTTTAAAAGTCATTCATCATGACCAAGTAAGAGTAATCACAGGACACAAGGATGGTTTAACATACACAGATCAATCAATGTGATAGACCATATCAACAGAATGAAGAATAAAACCATATGATCATTTCAATTGATGCTAAAAATCATTTGATAAAATTCAACATCCCTTCATGATAAAAAAAAAAATCCTAAGATTAGAAGGAACATACCTCAATACCATAAAAGCCATAAACAAGAGACCCACAGCTAGTATTACACTGAATGAGGAAAATGTGAAAACCTTTCCTCTAAGATCTGGAACATGACAAGGATGTCAACTTTCACCACTGTTATTCAACACATAGTAGCAGATGTCCTACCTAGAGCCATCTGAAAAAAGAAAGAAAGAAAAAGCACCCCAATTGGAAAGGAAGAAGGCAAATTATTCCTGTTTGTAGATAATATGATCTTCTATTTGGAAAAACCCAAAGACTCCACCAAAAAGCTGTTATACTGATAAACAAATTCAGTAAGTTTGCAGGATACAAATTTAACATACAAAAATCAGCAGCATTTCTATATGCCAACAGTGGACAATGTGAAAAAGAAATAAAAAATGTAATCCCATTTACAATAACTGCAAATAAAATAAGATACATAGGAATAAACTTCATCAAAGAAGTGAAAGATCTCTGCTATGAAAACTACAAAACATTGATTCAAGAAATTGAAGAGGACAACAACAAAAAAAATGGAAAGGCATTTTACAGTCATGGATTGTAAGAATTCAATACTGCTAAAATGTCCACACTACCCAAAGCAACCTACAGATTCAATGCAATCGCTATAAAAATGCCAATAACATTTTTCACATAAATAGAAAAAAATACAAAAATTTATATAGACCCACAAAAGACCCAGTATAGCCAAGGCCATCTAGAGCAAAAAGAACTAAACTGGAGAAATCACATTACCTGACTTCAAATTGTTCTACAGTGCTACAGTAACCAAAACAGCATGGTATTGACATAAAAACAGACACACAGACCAATGGGACAGAATAGAGAACCCAGAAACGAATCCATATATCTACTCTGTTGAACTTATTTTCAACAAAGGTACCAAGAACATACATTGGAGTAAAGACAGTCTCTTCAATAAATGGTGCTGGGAAAACTGAATATTCATATGCAGAAGAATGAAACTAGACCCCTGTACCATGTACAAAAATCAAATCAAAACGGATTAAAGACTTAAACCTAGGACTTCAAACTATGAAACTATTACATGAAAACTGTGAAGAAACTCTCCAGGACATTGATCTGGGCAAAGACGTCTTGAGAAATACAAGCACAGGCAAACAAAACAAAAATGGACAAATGGGATCATATCAAATCAAAAAGATTCTGCATAGCAAAAGAAACAATCAACAATGTGAAGAGACATCCCATAGAATGAGAGAAAATTTTTGCAAACTATCCATCTGACAAGGGATTAATAACCAGAATATATAAGGTGCTCAAACAAATCTATAGAAAAAAAATCTAATAATCTGATTAAAAAATGGGCAAAAGATACGAATAGACATTACTCAAAAGAAGACATAGAATGGCAAACACGTATATGAAAAGGTGCTCTACGTCACTGATCATCAGAGAAATGCAAATCAACACTACAATGAGATATCATCTCACCCCAGTTAAAATGGCTTTCATCCAAAAGATAGGCAATAACAAATGCTGATAAGGATGTGGAGAAAGGGGAACTCTTGTATACTGCCGGAGGAAATGTAAAGCAGTAGTACAGCCACTGTGAAGCACAGTATAGATGTTTCTCAAAAAGATAAAAACAGAGCTACTATATGATCCAGCAATCCCACTGCTACGTCTATACCCCAAAGAAAGGAAATCAGTGTATCAGATATCTGTGCTTCCATGTTTATTGCAGCACTATTCACAATAGCTATGATTTGGAAGCAACTTAAGTGACCATCAACAGATGAAAGGATAAAGAACATGTGGTACATATATACAATAGAGCAATCAGCCATAAAAACGAAAGAGATCTTGTCATTTGCAACAACATGGGTTAACCTGGAGGAAGCTATGTTAATTGAAAAAAGCCAGGCACAAAAAGACAAACTTTGCATGTTTTTACTTATTTGTGGGAAATAAAAATTAAAACAATTGAACTCAGGTAGATAGAGAATAGAATGATGATTACCAGAGGTTGGGAAGGGTAGTAGGAAGTGGTGTGAAATGGGGATGGTTAATGGGTACAAAATTATAGTTAGATAGAATGAGAAAGACCTGGAACTTGATAGTACAACAGGTTGACTACAGTTAGCTATAATTTTTTGTACATTTCAGAATAACTGCAGGAGTAAAATTGAATTGTTCATAACCAGAAAGAAATGATGAATGCTGGAGGTGACTGAAACACCATCTACCCTGATGTGATTATTACACATTATGTGCCAGTGTTAAAATATCTCATGTACCCCATAAGTATATACACCTATTATGTACCCATAAAAATTTTAAATGTTAAAATTTTTAAAAAGAAAAAAAGAACAGCACAAGGACTATGAGATATATTCAGAAATTTGTCAGAGTGGCCCCTACCTCTCTATCCATAGGCTAGATCCACCTAAAATGAGCACTAAAATTAGGATTGGCTGATGGTCTATGTGAGCTTGGACTGACTGGATGACTAGCTGTGTAACCCGGGGCAATTTATATAACCTCTCTGGAATTCAGTTTTCTCATCTATATAAGCTAGGAATTACACTGCTTGATCAGAGATGTTGCTTCCCATTCAGAAAACAATTCTGAATTGACTTTCAGCAAGAACTGGAAGAGTAACCATTGGAGGAAAGACCATGAAGTAACCAACAGGGGCAAATCTCAGTGAAAAAGTCCAACTGCTGCAAAGGTAGACAATTTCAGGACAAAAACTTCTGTGCCACATGGTAGTCCTTTGCAAAAGTTACTTGTTGAATTTCAGAAATTCAGTTCAAAAACTATTATGAGATTATATTAGTCAGGGCTCTCTAAAGGGATAGAACTAACAGGATATATGTATATATGAAGGGGAGTTTATTAGGAGAACTGACTCACATATCACAAGGTGAAGTCCCACAATAGGCCATCTGCAAGCTGAGGAGCAAGGAAGCCAGTCCGAGTCCCAGAACCTCACAAGTAGGGAAGCCAACAGTGCAGCCTTCAGTCCGTGGCCAAAGGCCTGAGATCCCCTAGCAAACCACTGGTGTAAGTCCAAGAGTCCAAAAGCTGAAGAACTTGTAGTCTGATGTTTGAGGGCAGGAAGCATCCAGCATGGGAGAAAGATGAAGTCTGGAAGACTCAGCAAGTCTCTCTTTCCAACTTCCCCTGCCTGCTTTATTCTAGCCACACTGGCAGCTGAATAGATGGTACCCACCCAGATTGAGGTTGGGTCTGCCTTGCCCAGTCCACTGACTGAAATGTTAATCTCCTTTGGCAACACTCTCACAGACACACCCAGGAACAATACTTTGCATCCTTCAATCCAATCAAGTTGACACTCAATATTAACCATCACTGAGATGATGAATATCACAGTCATAGTTTTGAGTACCTGTGAATTTTATGTGTTTATCAGTTTTAAGAATTACCCCCCAAGCCCTAGGATAGTCTTCCCTTAGCCTTAGGTTACCATGATGATATAGCAGCTTGAGCCACCAGTTCTTCTCACAGCAATAACAAGATCTATCCGAGCTTTAACTGTTTTCACACACACCACTGTTTTGGCCTTGAGGTTTACATGTGCACATTATATAGTTTGGATATTTGTCCCCCCAAATCTCATGCTGAAATTTGATCCCCATTGTTGGAGGTGGGGCCTAAAGGGAAGTATTTGGGTCATGAGGGTGAATCCCTCATGAATACCCTGGAGCCATCCTCATTGTAATGAGTGAGCTCTCACTCCATGAGTTCCTGCAAGAGTTTCCCCCTACCTTTCCAGAGAGCTGGTTGCTGAAAAGAGCCTGGCACCTCCGCCTGCTCTCTCTTGCCATGTGATCTCTGCATAGTGTGGCTCCCCTTCTCCTTCTGCAATGAGTGGATGCAGCCTGAAGCCCTCGCAACAAGTGGATGCTGGTGCCGTGCTTCTTGTACAGTCCAAAGAACCAAATAAACTTTCTTTCTTTATAAATCACCTAGCCTCAGGTATTCCATTATGCAACACAAAGAGACTAAGATACATGAGATAGGGTCTATCAGCTCCAATCAACTAGATGGCTGAAGAGCAGCTCTAACAAGGAGAATGCTTCCCTGGATAGGTATTGTTTCTGTTTGCCCAACATCCTTTCATTACAGCATCATTTATCTCTAATGGCATGAGGTTGTGAAGTGGCTTCAATGGCAGAACGCTGCTCCCTTAACTTCAGAGTTCATTATTTTTTTTTCTTCTGGGAATTTGAATCTTTATCGCAAACATGCAGTTGCACAAGGCAGTTAAAAGAAGTCCTTCAATTGAGTGCCCTGGAAGGAAATACACAAACTTTCTCTTTGGTTTTCCAGCTCTCCCTTGACTCTATGAGCTACTTTGTGCCTAAGCTAAACAGGGTCAGTTTCACTTGCTTCCAGACAAAGAATCCTGATGCCAAAATGCAAAAGTGGTGGTCTTTCCAATCAAGTTTTGTGAAGGGAAATGTCAAGATTGTGTTGCATTCCCCAGTCATTTGCTAAGGGGGAGAAAAGAGTGACTCAGAACTAGAACAGAAACCATCTGGCTTAACAAATTTTCCTAATGAGAAAACAATTCCAAAAAGAAGAGACTGACTGGAGATCACACAATTAGTAATTGATAGACCCAGATTCAAAACACCTGATGCTTAAGTCTAGTGCTTTTCTCCAACTATCAACATTTTTAATGGATAATCCACAAAAATGAGTAATTATCTAGTAGTTGAATGCAGACTCTATTTCTAATATTTTAATATATATATATAAAACAGTGATTGCTTTGTTTTTCAATGTTTTAACACATTCGTGCAGTTTAAAAATGTATTTTTTTAAATGCAGTGTAGATCTTTCTCCCACACCTGCCCCACCTGTCCTGTCCCTTTCTATCCTAAGGTAACAACATTTATTCATTTCTTGTGTATGCTTCCAGGGTTTTATTATGCAAGTACAAATATATATGTTTCCTTCTTTTTTTTTTTTTTCTTCCAAGTCAGGGTCTCATTCTGTTGCCCTGGCTAGAATGCAGTGGTGCAAACATGGCTCACAGCCGCCTCAACCTCCCAGGCTCAAGCAATCCTCCTGCCTCAGCCTTTTGAGTAGCTGGGACCACAGGTATGTGCCACCACACCTGGCTACTCTCACTTTGGCCTTCTAAAGTGCTGGGATTACAGGCCTGAGCTACCATGCCTGACCTGTTTCCTCCTTCCTTACACCAAAAGGAGTATACCCTACATACCTTTATGCACCTTACTTTTTTAACAAGAATTTTTATAAATTTTCCACATCATTACATGAAGAACAATCTTACTTTTACAGGTGCATTATATCCCACTATATGGACATATATTAATTTAAGCCCTCCCCAGTTGATGGATATTTAGGTTATTTTCAGACTTTTGCTGTTCAAACAATACCCTTGTAAATAACATCAGTTCATAGCTAAGCAGTATTTCTGTGGAACAAATTTCCAGAAGTGTATTTGCTGAGTCAAAGCAGATGTATGAATTTAAAATTTTGATAGATACTAACTAAATGCCTGCATAAGGGTTCATGTAGGTTTGTATGCTACACCCATGAATCATCAGACCTGTTTCCCCACAGTTTTGCTAACAGTATGTTAAAAAAAAAAAAACAGTAATAGTTCAGTTCAGCTATTTAAGGAAAAGTAATTCAGAAGAGTTAATTTTTTTTAAGTAGTAAAAAAAAAATTCTTTAAAGCAGCTTACCTGTAGATTTTCTACCTTGACCATATAACAAAGAGAGTGTAATAAAAAGCTATCCTCTGAAATCACTCGTTGCAGTTAAGAGATGTGCTCTCGGCCGGGCACGGTGGCTCATGCCTGTAATCCCAGCACTTTGGGAGGCCAAGGCAGGCAGATCACGAGGTCAGGAGATGGAGACCATCCTGGCTAACACAGTGAAACCCTGTCTCTACTAAAAATACAAAAAAATTAGCCGGGTGTGGTGGCGGGCACCTGTAGTCCCAGCTACTCGGGAGGCTGAGGCAGGAGAATGGCGTGAACCCAGGAGGCAGAGATTGTAGTGAGCGGAGATTGTGCTACTGCACTCCAGCCTGGGTGACAGAGTGAGACTCCATCTCAAAAAAAAAAACAAAAACAAAAAAACAAAAACAGAGAGAGATTGATGTGGTCTCAGGAAAGGAAGCAGGATGCATTAGGTTAGCTGCAGAAAGCGTTCACCAAACAATAATCTCATTTATGTTTAAGCTGACCAAGTTGAAACTGCTCAATAAACTGGACTATTCAAATATTGGCTCTTCCACTTCCAACTGTTGACCTCAGGCAAGTCATTTAAACTCCTTTTGCCCTATCTTCAAAATGAAGATTCTTGAGATAAAACATACAAATCACATAAAACAATGTCTGAACACATAAGTGTTCAGTTCATACAGCTATTGTCATATAACTTGCATATCTCTCAGTCATCTTTAATGTGCCTGGGGATATGTGGTAATGAGATTGCCAGGGAGCATAATCTCAAATGCATTTGACGGTATGGAGGATGAAAAACGAGAAGTAGATAACGTAAGGAACAGGAGGATGTATGATCTGTCCACTGCATTCAAATTCAAATTTAAAAAAAACTATCTTGGCCAAACAAAATAATTCTGCATGCTAATTCTGCCTTGGAGATTGCAATATCAAAAATAATTTCAAGATCCCATTTAACTTTATCATTCCATGGTTACTGAAATAGTCATTTTAGCCAGTAATGTCAGCATTCAACCTGGGCTTCACCAGTTAGTCAGCTTTGACTCCCTTCTCCCTTGCTGCCTGTTTATGTGATTGTTCTTTTTTTTTTTTTTTTTTTTTTTTGAGACAGAGTCTCACTCTGTCACCATGCTGGAGTGCAGCGGCACAATCTCGGCTCACTGCCAAGTTCCGCCTCCCAGGTTCACGTCATTCTCCTGCCTCAGCCTCCGGAGTAGCTGGGACTACAGGCACCCGCCACCATGCCCGGCTAATTTTTTGTATTTTTAGGACAGATGGGGTTTCACCATGTTAGCCAGGATGGTCTTGATCTCCTGACCTTGTGATCCGCCCACCTCGACCTCCCAAAGGGCTGGGATTACAGGCGTGAGCCACTGCGCCCGGCTTATGTGATCGTTCTTATATTCTGTTCATGCCTCCATTCAATGAGTCCTTAGCCCTCTTTCCAACATAACTTTTGAATGTTCCATGTCTCTGCCCACTTCCACATCTGTATTAGTCAAATATTGCTGCAAACCTAGAGTTTTACAACAGTAAAGCTATAATTTTCTTGCTCCCTAGTTTGGGGGTCAGCCAGGGAAGGATCTGCTTCAGTTTGTAGTTGGCTGGGCTTCGGGCTTTGAATCACAGTGCAATTTACATTACATGTCTGTCGTTCTCCCTGTACCAGCAAAAGACAGGAGCACAAGAGGGTGGACAGAAAAATACAGTCTCTTGGGGTCTGATATC
This sequence comes from Homo sapiens, assembly GCF_000001405.40. Classification (NCBI taxonomy): domain Eukaryota; kingdom Metazoa; phylum Chordata; class Mammalia; order Primates; family Hominidae; genus Homo; species Homo sapiens. The sequence continues at coordinate 80,449,499 of NC_000014.9, forward strand.
ATTTGGATTTGCATCCCTGCCGAAATATCATGTCAAATTGTAATTCTCATTGTTGGAGAAGGGGACTGGTGGGAGGTAATTAAATCCTAGGGGCAGATTGCCCCCTTGCTGTTCCCATGATAGTGAGTTCTCATGAGATCTGATGGTTTAAAAGTGTGTGGCACTTCCACCTTTACTCTTTCTCCTGCTGCCATTTGAAGAAGGCTTCTGCTTCCCCCTCACCTTTGGCCATGATTGTAAGTTTAATGAGGCCTCCCAGTCAAGCTTCCTGTTAAGCATGCAGAACTGTGAGTCAATTAAACCTGTTTTCTCCATAAACTACACAGTTTCAGGTAGTTCTTTACAGCACTGTGAGAACTGATACAGAAAATTGGTACCAGAAGAGTGGGGCATTGCTATAAATATACTTGAAAATGTGGAAGTGACTTTGGAACTGGGTAACAAGCAGAGGGGAACACTTTTGAGGGCTCAGAAGAAGAAAGGAGAATGTGGGAAAGTTTGAAACTTCCTAGGGACCTATTGCATGGTTTTGACCAAAATGCTGACAGTGATATGGACAATGAAGTCCAGGCTGTGGTGGTCTCAGATGGAGATGAGGAACTCACTGGGAACTGGAGTAAAGGTGACCCTTGCTATGTTTTAGCAAAGAGACTGGTCACATTTTGCCCCTGCCCTAGAGATCTGTGGAACTTTGAACTTGAGAGAGATGATTTAGTATACCCAGCAGCAGAAATTTCTAAGCAGCGAAGCATTCAAGAAGTAACCTGGCTGTTTCTAAAATTGTATGCCTTGTATGCCCATATGTGTGAACAAAGAGATGATCTGAAACTGGAACTTATATTTAAAGGGAAGCAGAGCATAAAATTGCGGAAAGTTTGCAGCCCAGCCAAGAGGTAGAAAAGAATAACACATTTCCTTGGAAGAAATTCAAGCCTGCTGCAGAAATTTGCATAAACAATGAGGAGCCGAATGTTAATACCCAAGACAATGGGGAAAATGTCTCCAGGGCATGTCAGAGATCCTCACAACAGACCTTTCCATCACAGCCCCAGGGCTTAGTAGGAAAAAAATGTTTTTGAGGGCCAGGCCTAGGGCACAGCTCTTCTGTGCAGCTTTGGGATATGGTGCCCTGGGTCCTAACCTCTCCAGCCCCAGCCATGGCTAAAAGGGGCCAAGGTACAGCTTCAGAGGGTGCAAGCCCCAAGTCTTGGCAGCTCCCACATGGTGTTGGGCCTCCAGGTGGACATAAAACAAGAGTTGATGTTTAGAAATCTCTGCCTAGATTTTGGAGGATGTATGGAAACACCTGGATGTCAAGGCAGAAGTTTGCTGCAGTGGTGGAGTCCTCATGGAGAACCCCTACTAGGGCAGTGTGGATGGGAAATGTGGGGTTGGAGCCCCCACACGGAGTCCCCACTGGGACACTGCCTAGTGGAGCTGTGAGAAGAGGGCCACAGTCCTTCAGACCCTAGAATGGTAGGTCTGACACCGTGGACCTGGAAAAGCCACAGGCACTCAACACTAGCCCATGAAAGCAGCCAAAGGGGCTGTAGAGCCACAGGGTTGGAGTTGCCCAAGGCCTTGGGAGCTCACCTCTGGCATCAGCGTGCCCTGGATGTGAGACATAGAGTCAAAGGAGAATATTTTGGAGCTTTAAGATTTAATAACTTCCCTGATGGGTTTTGAACTTTCATGGTGCCTATGGGTCCTTCATTTTCGCCAATTTCTCCTATTTAGAATGTAAGCATCTGCCCAAATGCCTATACCCCCATTATATCTTGGAAGTAACTAACTTGTTTTTGATTTTATAGTCTCATAGGTGGAAGGAACTTACCTTGTTTCAGATGAGACTTTGCATTATGGACTTTTGAATTAATGCTGAAATGAGTTAAGACTGGGGAACTGTTGATAAAAGATAACTGTATTTTGCAATGTGAGAAGGACATAAGACTTGGGACGGGCCAGGTGTAGAATGATATGGTTAAGATTTTTGTCCCCACCCAAAATCTCATGTCAAATTGTAATTCCAAATGTTGGAGGAGGGGCCTGGTGGAAGGTGATTGCATCATGGGGGAAGATTTTCCCACTTGCTGTTTTCATAATAGTCAGTGAGTTCTCATGAAATCTAATGGTTTAAAAGTGTGTGGCACTTCCTCCTTTGCTCGCTCTTTCTCTCTGTCCTGTTGCCATGGGAGGAAGGTGTTTGCCTCCCCTTCTGCCATGATTGTAAGTTTCCTGAGGCCTCCCTGTCATGCTTCCTGTTAAGCCTGTGGAACTGGGAGTCAATTAAACCTCTTTTCTTCATAAATTACCCAGTCTCAGGTAGTTCTTTATATCAATGTGAGAACAAACTAATACAAGGTGTTAGCCTGAAACTGGAACATTGTGACTTCTACCTCTATTTCACTGGTCAAATCAAATCACAGGGCCAATTCCAACATCAGTGGGGCTAGGAAACATACTCTATTTATTTTAGAGAAAGGTATTACAAAACCATATGGCAAAAGTTGCAAATATATAATTTGAATGAAAGGGGGACATGAATAATTGTGAACAATGAATGAATCAATATGCCACAGCATATTCTCTTGATCACAATTGTTCCTGTACTTCCCACATCCAAAATACACTTATCCCCTCCCCAAGACATCAACCACAAGGATGGAGAGATGTGGAGTAGACCTAAACCCAAACATAACCCAGAGTCAACCCTAACTCTCAGGTGACCTGCAGCCCGAAATAGTCACTTGGCTAAGCCAGCCTAAATCAGCAGATCTACAAGTGTGAAATAAGTGTTTGTTGTTATAAGACACTGAGTTTGTTACATTACCTAACTAATAAAATGCATTTTCTCATATTTGTTTCTATATTCTTGACATGACTTTATCACTTCCTTAATTTTCTCAAATCCTTCCTATGTCTCAGATTGATCCAAATCTTCTTTCAGTGCCTGTTTCTTCATCTCATCTTCATTAATATACATAGAGGCTATGTCACTCATTTTGTGCTTTCAACATTGATCCTCTATATGTTTTTTTTGAAAACTTACTATTCAATCATCTTTTAACAAAGACTTTTGAACACCTACTGCGTGCCAGAAGCAATAACAAGAACTTTAAAAACAATAATGAAAAGATAATCCATCCTCAAGGATTCTAGAGTTTAATAGGTATAAACAAGGAACAATTAAGAAGCGACATAAATGCTCTAATTTCCAAATTATTACTCTTAGCTCCTTAATTAAATTTGAAGCTAGGGTAAAGAGTTACAGGCAAAGATTATTTTATTCTTTTTTAAAAATTTATTTTTTAATTTATGCATTATAGATGCATATAATTTCAGAGGACATGTGATAATTTAATACATTCATATAATCTGTAAAAATCAAATTAATGTACCTGTGTTATCTATCACATTAAATATTTGTCTTTCTTTATGCTAAAAACATTTGAATTATTCTCTTCTAGCTATTTTTAAATGTACAATAGATTATTGAAAACTATGGTCACCCTACTGATCTATCTAACATTTAGGTCTTATTTCTTCTATCAAACTGTGTATTTGTATCCATTAATAAACTTCTCTTCATACACTCCTCCCCACTACCCTTCCCAGTCTCCCATTCTTTCTTGATCCTTTCATAGTACCAAGCACAATGACTTGTCTAGAGTAAGTGTTTAATAAAGAGTTGACTTGTTTTGTTGTTAAATGGCATCACAACCCAATGCATGGCCTTTGTGCTATGCCTAGCAACTATTTAGTCTATTGTTCCCAATAAACATTTGCATAGTGTGCCAAGCATTGTGCAAGGCCAAGGTGTTCCTGGTTGTCAGGCAGAGCATAGTCTGGGTAAGACAGGCGTGTAATTATGATAGCACTTACTGCACTATATTAAGATTCACGAGAGTACACTATGGGAACAAAGAAGGGTGGCCAACTTCATTTGGGGAAGCAACTTTACAACTTCATAATTATAATTGCAGCTTTAAAACACATAGATATTTTCCAGGCAGAAAAAAGTGGGAAAGACTACTCTAGGTCACAAGAACATCATGTACAAAAGTACAGAGTCATGAAAAAGCCTATGGGTTTGAAGATTAGCAAAGCATTAAGTATGGATAGAATTTAGGTTGGTTAGGAGTTGGGTGATAAGAAATGAAGCTGCAGCTGAATTGAGAGGATCCTTGTATGAAGCCTAGAGGAGCCGATGAACTGAGATATTATTCTGAGGAGATCAAGAAACGAGTGGGAGCTTTTAAGCCTGGGCGAATTGTAATTGGATATTTTATTTGAGGGTGGCCATCTCATGACAGTGAGGAGATTAGAATAAGGAAAAATAATTTGATTATAGAAAGACCACTTAGGAAACAGTTGAAATGATTCAAGTCCAAAATGATAAAGTCCTGGCTATGATGGGCCTGGCTATGATGGGCCTGGCTATGATGAGGGCTGGACTGGAAAGACATTTTTGCAATAGAGTTCACAGGACCTGCTAAGTCAGTGGATGGAAAATGTAGAGGGGATGAAGATAAAGCAAGTCTGTGCTTTGCCTAAGTTGGGAGCCCAATGGGAGTGGTGACCTAAAATAGGAGAAAAGGCAGGTTCCATCTGCAAAGGACAGGGCTCTGAACTTGAGCCTTGCCTGTTCCACCCATTGCTCTGCAATCCTGAGTGAGATATTTCACCTTTCTGAAACACAGTTACACCATCCATAAAATGGAAAAATACTATCTACTTCATGGGATTGTTTTGAGGTTAAACAGAAGTAAAAGATAAAAATGTCTAGCTTACTGCCTGGTCCATAGAAGCTGTTTGATAAATATATTTTGAATAAAGCAAACAGAGAAATAGAATGAATAGCAGAGACTGCGGTTTAAATCTAGCTGGTTATATAATGTTGAGTGTGTTACCTAAACTCCTTGACATTCTGTTTCTTCATTTGTAAAATAGTGAAAACTTGAGCTGCCTCATTGGGTTGTTGGGAAGATTAAACCTGAACCCATATGCAGAGCCTGATGTACACTGACAGATCGTAGCCACTCAATCAATTTGTGTTGAATAGAAGTATGAATTAATTCATATGAGCTTAGTAATCTTGTTTAAAGAAGCAGAAAAATATACACCCCCTTTAGTAAATATTACATACACATGCATACACCTACTCATAAAAGAGGATGTTAAATCTCTTTAAGTGGTAAGTTTCCATTATTTGTAAAGTCAAGTTACTTAGAAAAGGTTATTCTTCAATAATGTAAAAAAAAAAAAAAATGGCATGCTTCGCTAATCTAATTGTATTGCAAGAAAAACAAAGTCAAGTACACAACGAAATCTTCCTGCAGAGTATAGGTGATCTGCATAACTTTTACCACAAAGAAGTGGTACACAGACTGAAAAAACTTGAGAACCATGATTTTTAAAGAACCCAAGTGCTACCAGCATTGATTGTCTGATTGTGTCTTTAATTTGTTGCTGATACTATTCCTGCTTGAATAAATGCATTTTATTTTGTATAATGTGGCTACTGTAGATACTGCTAGCTGCACCACACTCCTGTCTATTCTACTCTCTTTTAGTAATTGAGTCAATTTGTATCCACTCTCCATCATTTCCCCCACCTCCCCACTTTTAGGAACATGGCCTCCCAGCTACAGACTACATTTACCAGCATCCCTTGAAGCTAAGTATGTTCATGTGATGAGATTCTGGGCAACGGAGGAGGAGTGGAATTTATATGTCACTTCCTTGAAGACACCTGCCATGAACTCTTTCTCCAGCAGCGCTGAGGAGTGCGACATTCAGGAAATGGCAATGCGGCAGTAAGGAAGGAATCTGTGCCCTTTAATGACCTAGAGGAGTAGATCCACTTCGCCACCTGGACCGGCCAGACTAATGTGAGAAATACACTTCTATCTATGTAAGCCAGTACATTTGGGGGTTTCTTTGTAATAGCATCTCAACCTCTATCCATGGAATGCAAGGTTTTGTCTTATTTTTCAAGAAAAACAAGTTGTTTCAATGGTAAACTTTGCCTTTAGGACTTCTAGGACAGATGGATTTTTAAATGACACAGTCTGATGTGTCAGGCTAAACTTCCCAAATACCCATTATCATACCAAGGTTATTACCAAGGACCTTTCTATCATCTTTTATTTGATAATGGTATTTTGATTTTGAATGGCAAGTTCTTATGTGCCAACTGGGTTGATTTTCATTATGATTGTTTTTTGTAATGAAGTAGCAGTTTTTCAATTTCTTTTACTAACCTTGCCAGTGAATGCTTGTCAAATAATACAAAGACTGTTCAAGTTGCCTTATCTCTGTTATTGGACTTCACCATAAATTAGATTTTAAAAAATGGAGGGTCTCAGAAGAGAATGTCTAAATAAATAAGAAATGGTTCATCAATTTTTAACTTTGAAATAACAGTATCCATTTTGTATACCATAATTACCAAATTCCATCTGAAAATTTGTTTTGACTAACAGGCAGAACTGGAAATAGAATTTTATTATATTGTTTTGCCACTCTTGGCAATTGGGAAAAAATAGGATTCAAGATTCTAGTTCCACATACCTTTTGTAATAGGGTACCCTGCATCAGAACTTTTATTGTTGGTGTAATGAGGAGCTATGAGATTGTTTAGATGTCAAAAATAAAGTCAATAAAAAGACATGTAACATAAAAGAATGAGAACACCAGACGATGGTGGAATATAACATAATATAGACAGAACATTTCAAAGTTATCATACATGACCACTTACACAACTTATCTAACCATAGATAGAACTGTCCTGGATCAACTGGCCTGGAAAATAACTACACTGCTAATATTTCAGTCACTACAATTCTCAAATTCAGAGAAGCCAAATCAGTTTCTTCCCCTGGCTTTCCCAGTAACCACTGACAGCTGTTGTGGTGGAAAGAACTCCTGGCTATGACTCAGGAAACTTTATTGCTAGTCCTGGCTTTACCATTTACTAAGCATGAATTTAGACAGGTCAAGTAACCTCTGTGCAGAGTGATTATGAACCTCAGAATAAGATAATCTATGGGAAGTATTTCGGAAAATAAGAATAAGATAATACATGGGAAGTATTCAGGAACTAAAAAGTTTTATGCAAATATACGTGTGTGTGTGTGTGTGCGCACGTGCAAAATAACTCACACTGTAAATTCAAAGCCAAGTATATATTTGCTTATATATGAAAATATATACATATGATATATATACATATGAACACAAATATACATATATATACATGACCACATGTGTGGGGGTGTGTGTGTGTAAAAACATATTACCCAAATTAAAAACTTTTACTCCTCAGGATTTATGCCCTGGCTGCTTCTAAAATGACTCGAGGCAGCAGTTATAGATTAACATGCAATGCAAAAGTGCAATGAGAAGCTCTAAAACAAAACAGAGTCTACGTAGATGACATTTAAGGAGTAAGTACTTTTTAGTGGAGCCCTCCTGCTCTTTTTTGACGGCTAAAAGCCAAGCATAAAGGGACTTCTACAGTGATAAAATAACCGTTAACTAATAACATATTTGTCACCTGTTAACTCTCACCTTCCCCTTCCCAAATAAAAACTAGAATCATGACAATGACCTATATCTCAGTCTATGGTTTCACCCATATCCCATTCCTCTTGTCTCTTGTTCCCTGTGTAATAAAGTTAATAATCCAGTTCCACTAGAGTATTCAGGAAGTACGATCTGGGTGGTAAGTCCCCGTAGTGGAATAAAAGGCACACATGATGCTTGCACCCTAAAGTCAGTAGGATTGTTACAAGCAACATTTTATTGACTTTTTTTTCTCAGTGATCATTAATCAAGAGATTAAGGAACAAGATGACAGTAATGAGAATAATCTGTCTTTCCTTTACTGAGGTCCCAATAATTTTCCCTCCTAAAATAATTTTAAGCAAGCTACGTTTTTAAAATACACGTAAGTAAATTAGGAATTAACGTCTTGGTGGGTTGGAGAGTAATACATATACCTTTGATTCATTAGCTCAGATAATAGCATTCTATTCTGAAAACATCTCTCAATTTCCTTTGATCTTTATTTTAAAACAAATAAATGGAAAGCATTGCATTTTATGGCCTTAGTTCTCAACTTGAACACCAAATATATTAGACTATATTTTTACTGGACAGTTTAGTATTGACAAAGCATATTAATACTAAGATAACTCTATTTCAAATTAAAACTTGCAATCACTAGATTTACATTTGCACTAGCAAATAATGGCATTTAAGAGATTTGCCTCTCCCCTATCTCTTTCTAAAGTGATAATATAAAATGTGTTAACAATCTCTGCACAGATAGCTTGGAAATAAAGAACAAGAGCTGATCACTGAATACCATTTCCATACATTGTTCTAATGCTGTTGTTGTCCTCATCACTTAACCACAGCATCACTCCAGGAGCCCATACATCTCCAGGCATTAGAAAATGCTCACAACTGAGACATAGGTCTTTCAGAAGCTGAAATGTATTCTCCAGACTAACATTTCTGTTTTCTAAACTTTACAAGAAAATGGTTTCTAGAGAAGACTGTATTTAATGTTTGCCACCTTAGAACCATAACGTGCCTTTCTTCCAAGGGAAACCTCCAAAAGCAGTCTCTCATTTAGTATTAGATAGTATACTTGCCAAATAGGCTACAAAGAATGCCAGCCCTGTTTTACAAATGGAGGCCTAAGTGTCATGAGTCCCAGACTCTCCCCATGCAGAGAGAGCAAGAGGAAGCAGTGGACGCGCACTGAAAGCCACACATTCCACCCGTTTCTTAAATGTGCATTTGTGAGCTCACATGTCAATAGCAGACTCCTTAAACACGTGGGAACAAATAGAATACATTGGGAACACTGGCCATTGTGATAAGAATTTAACCTGTTTCTCAGAGCAACTGCAACGGGACAAATTGTATGCAAGTAAAAACCATCTCATTGACCCCAGACTCACCTGACCCCTCTTGTCCTCTTGAAGTTCTAAATACCTGCCCAGATTGACGGAAGTCTGCTAGAACAGACTGTGGAGACAGAAGCCCCAAACCCTTAGTCTTTATATGCCCCTCTTCATCTGTTCAGACATCTCTTTTCACTCTGATTGGCTTGTGGTTCTCTCTCACTGCTCCTTGCCTTTGAAATCTTCTCTGGTCAGCAGTTCTTAGGGTTAATCTCTGCAACTTCCCCAGAGCTTCTACGCACATCCTGGGCATGTATGTGTATTTCCAGTGGCCTAAAGTGACAGTCTGTGGTAGATAGCTTCTTCCAACTCCTTTTCCTGGAGACTTGCTTCTCCCTTGTGTGGCTTGTCTTGGCTCTTCTAACAGGCTAAGGGTGGTGATCTATTCTCTTTACCTGCAACTTATAAATCATAATGTGGTTCTGCTTTAGAGGGGTGGTCTACATGATTGGCATATTAACTGCCAGAAAGAAATCTCAGGTTCCATATTTGAACCTCTACCTCATCTTCTAAGTGAAGTACTACCAAAAAAAATATGATTTATATTATTGCCTTTTCTCTTTGTCACCTTCCTACCCAGATTAGCAATATTTTCCTTTATGAATCTGACTTTTTTCCTTTTTTCTTTTGTGTCTTGTATAGTTTCCTTTAACACAGTTCACACTATGGGTTGTTTTTCTGAAAAAAAAAATTATTTTATTCTTCGTTTCCCACACCATATAGGTTCATATTACAGAATGAGCTTACATGATTTCCAAGGAGTAATAACTAGAATAATTTTGTCATTTCTGCTTCACTTCTTGAGTTCACAAATGAATGCTTAGGTCAGATTCTGTCATAAAAGGCGAAAGGAGTTTCCAAGTTCCTTTGTTTGTGTGAAATTTTATCTATCCATTATTTGGTAAAAGCAAGAGAAGAGGTTAGGAAATCTTCAGCTATGCAAAGAGTTTGCTGTTACAGGATTGTTGAAGTGGCAGATATCCAATATGCCATTTTTGAATGTCACCATGACCATTTCTGATCACCAGAATGTGATAGCATTACTACTTAACATGTAATTGAGTTTTACAGCCTTGGTCTATACACAGAGATGGCAAGAACATCTTTTTGAAACCATGTTTCATTGAACTTAACAGATTTCTGCCTAACAGATAAATATCAGTTTCCCTGAAGTTCTTCATTTTTGTGAAATTCAATTAGTGATGAGATTTAACATTTTCAGCAATAAATTCCTAACATCCTAGGTTTAATCTGTTGAAATCTTGAAACGACGAATTCATCCCTCCTTCCCAATTTCTCTGGATGGAGGTGTAGTGAATGTCCTCTCAGAATTCTCAAACACTGAGTTATTTTTGAGGCAGAACATTTCCACTGGTTGCCCTTGGGTAGATATGCAGTATTATCACATTACCTTTGAAATCTCTCTAGACTGCGACCCACATTCTCAGCAAGGCAACTGTATATGAACACCTTGTTCTCCATCAACTTTTTTATTTTATTTTTAATGACATCTCCCTTGAGTATCTGGTCACTTTGTAAGGTCTCCATCCATTGAGTTGAGTACATGTGATACATATGTCTGTAAATTGGATGGATATTTTCTTTGCTCAATTTAGAAGTACCAAGAACTTTATTAATATATCCCCAAATATTTCAGTTGTAAAGTTCACAATATTGTCCTAGAGAATTACATCAGTATTTCTTGTATTTTTTTCTTCTTACTCTGTACCCCAGTTATACATATGTATATGTGTTTATACATTTATAGTTAAAAATATATTTTCTATCTATCTCTCTAACTCACAATTCAGGCTTTGATAAAAGAAATGCTTCACTTAAATACAAGATCTTGATATTCACCATTGCTCTCTGTGGACACAGATCTTGGTGTGCTATCTTTCTTTGTTTTTTTTTCTTTTTTGAGATGGAATTTCACTCTTGTTGCCCAGGCTGGACTGCAATGGTGCTGTCTCGGTTCACTGCAGCCTCAGCCTCCCGGATTCAAGTGATTCTCCTGCCTTGGCCTCCCAAGTAGCTGGGATTACAGGCATGTGTCACCACGTCCAGCGAATTTTTTGTATTTTAAGTAGAGTCAGGGTTTCACCATGTTAGGCATGATGGTCTCGATCTTCCGACCTCAGATGATATGCCCACCTCAGCCTCCCAAAGTGCTGACATTACAGGCGTGAGCCACCATGCCCGGCCCAATCTTTCATAATAATATTTTTCACATGGGCTGTCTGAAAAAAATCTTAAGAAGTCATTGTCTCACTGTCTTGTCCTACCATCTCCAGATGCCCAAACCAGTCTTCAGAAGTGAGCTTAGCTAATAAAGGCTTCAAATGTTTTGTCTACCCCAAGATACCTTCATTTTAATCAAGAATAAAACTTAATACATTTCTAAATGGCAGGTTTCCAGATACCCTTGATGGGGGTAGGGATACCCTTGATGGGGGTGGGGAAATTGAGGTAGAAATATTGCCAGTGCTTTGAAAGGGACACAATGAAAGAGGCAAAATACTTGCAACTTTAATGACTGAAATTATTCCAATTAATAATTGTACTTTCATATATTTTTTCTAATATTTACCCTACAAGGTGGGTATTGTTCACAAATAAGGAAGATGAAGCTCCCAGTTATTATGTGACTTGCTCAGGGTGACAGGGCACAGAAGTGGCCGAGCCAGGTCTGTCAATGCCCATGCCTGACCACCTGTTCCTGCACAAAGACCCTGTTGGAAGGTGTTGAGGAAAGGATAAGTGAGAGCTAAAAATTTCCAAGTATCAGCTACAAGTAATTTGAGATTTTTATAGGAAAAGAAGTTTGGACCAGAAAATATATCTGGAGAACCTAAAATCTCCCCTCTCAACACTTTCCTAAAATCTGAAAAAAGTGAAAGAGTAAAACAGAAAGAACAGGGGCTTAAAGTCAGAAAGCACCGGGTCAAAGTCTGCTACTGCCTCTTACACTGCCTCATACCTTGAGTAAAAATACATAGTTTTGTATCCATGTTCTCCCATTGAGTAAAAGAATATAATGTCAACTCCATAGGGCTACTATGAGGATTAAATGATGTAATTTATATGAAAGTCTCAGGATAAGTGTTCTGTTTATAGTGTAAACTCAATAAATGGTCTTTACTTCTCCTTTCATCCATTGTTATAATTTATTTACAACATTTTATTTTATTTTATTTTTTTGAGACATGGTCTCACTCTATCACTCAGGCTGGAGTGCAGTGGCATAATCATGGCACACTGTAGCCTCAAACTCCTGGGCTCAGGTCTTAGCCTTAGCCTCCCAAGTAGCTAGGACTACAGGCATGCATCACCATGCCCTACTAATTAAAAAAAATTGTAGGCTCACGCCTGTAATCCCAGCACTTTGGGAGGCGGAGGTGGGTGGATCACGAGGTCAGGAAATCGAGACCATCCTGGCTAATACGGTGAAACCCCATCTCTACTAAAAATACAAAAAATTAGCCAGGCGTGGTGGCATGTGCCTGTAGTCCCAGCTACCCAGGAGGCAAAGGCAGGAGAATCACTTGAACCCAGGAGGCGGAGGTTGCAGTGAGCCGATATCACATCACTGCACTCCAGCCTAAGCGACAGAGCGAGACTCTGTCTCAAAAACAAAACAAAACAAAACAAAAACCAAAAAACACATTTATAGACATGGTGTCTCATTTTGCCACCGAGGCAGGTCTCAAACTCACAGCCTCAAGAGATACTCCTAATTCAGCCTCCCAAAGCACTGGGATTTGAGGTGTTAGCCACTGCTCCCAGCCTGCAACCTTTAAATAGCTGCAAAGGAAGAGGCTTTTCAAGTCTGTAACTACATATACCTAAATGAGTGCTAGACAACAGCTGTACTACCTTGGTTAAGAGCATCGGTTCTAAATTGTAACTGCTAGTTCAGATCCTGGTTCTTCTCTTTACGAATTTTGTGATCTTGGCCCATTGGCTCAACACTACTGTGTGTCAATATCCTTAGGGAAAATACTGGCACTTACTTTGTGAGATTTTCTGAGATTCAATCAAATTCATTAATGAAAGTTAAGTGCTTACTATAGTAGCCAGAACTCAGTAAGTGCTCCATAAATGCTAGCTGTTATTACTAACCAAGCACATAATAGATTTAGAAGAATCATTCTCAACAGGGTTCATCTTGCTCCCAGAGGACATCGAACAATATCTAGAGACATTTCTGGTTGTTACAACTCGGTAGGAAGCTGCTCCTGGAATCTAGATCATAGAGGTCAGGGACGCTGCTAAACATCCTAAAATATAAAAGACAGCCTACCCCACAAGGAACTATTCAGTCCAAAATGTCAATAAAGCTGAGGCAGAGAAATAATGAGCTAGAAAAATCACCTTTAGTCAACAAAGATCCTGAGATGTTTTCTCCATAGGGCATTAGATACCACTAACCAAATATTGCTGGCAAACAAAATAACCCTATGAAACTGCACCCCATCCAATACCAAGTAAGCTAATGCTGGAAAAAGTCAAAATGATAATTGGATATATGGAAGTATAACACTCTAGTATGTCTTAGAGTTATTTAAAAATACTCCTTTGAAAGAGTAATCTTTATTTCTAATTAGAATCACTTTTCTAAAATTTATTGAATAGAATTCTGAGAGTGATGAGCAAGGATATAAAAAAGCTTTAGAGACTACAGGTCCCATCAAAATTAATGCCTGCAAATTATCTAGAGTTCTTCTCCCACAGGACCCAGCAAGAAAAAATGGTGTACTTACAATGGATACTGGGTAGGAGAGAAAGTGGCCATGAATTTTCATGCTTCTTTATATTTTCATCCTCCTCAACCTAGCCTAGATAATTTTTGGATGGTGGGATTATTTAAAGAAAGCTAAATGAGAAGGGCTCAAAGTATCTTTTTCCTTGCAGTCCTGATCTCTTAAATTTAGCCAGAGCTCTAGCTGAGAGGATTTCTTATCCATCCTTCCTATGAGCTTCGCTGTATCTCCTCCAGCTTGTGTTGAAGAGAGTATATTGTCCACTTGAAACAAAACCTAATAAGACTAACAGAAACACTTTCTTCATAAAAAAATAGCCTCTTAAGTCTGAAGAGCCTCTGAAGTCTGAAGTTCCTTAAGGAACACACCATTGACCCTGAACTTCATTACTTGGGAACTGATGGTTGGTTCTCAGGGAACTGCTAAGTAACAGTGAGATCCCTTTCCTTCTTCAGTCCTTGGTATGGAGGTACTGCTCAAACACAGAACAGGGTTCCAGTGATGATACATGAAAAGGTATGACTCCTTTCTTATGCTTGCAGGTGAGACTCACAACAGAGGCTTATATATATACACAGAATGTGCACACTGTTGTCTGCCATAATGTTAAAGGAGGACTCTGTAATATTCCAATTATAGTGGGCTTAATAACAGTGCCTAAAGAAATCATTCCTGTATTAGTCCATTCTCACACTTCTACAAAGATACTACCCGAGATGGGATAATTTATAAACGAAAGAGGTTTAATTGACTCACAGTCCCACATAGCTAGGGAGACCTCAGGAAACTTACAATCATGGTGGAAGGAAAAGTAGGCACTTTCTTCTCAAGGCAGCAGGAAAGAGTATGCGTGTGTGAGCACAGGAAAAACTATCATTTATAAAACCATCAGATCTCGTGAAAATTCACTCACTATTACGAGAACAGCATGGGGAAACCACCCCCATAATCCAATCACTTCCCTTCCCTGACACTTGGGGATTATAGGTCCCTCCCTCTACATGTGGGGATTACAATTTGAGTTGAGATTTGGGTGTGGACACTGCTAAACCATATCATTCTGCCCCCGGCCCCTCCAAATCTCATGTCCCTTACACATTTCAAAACCAATCATGCCTTCTCAACAGTCCCCCAATGTCTTAGCTTGTGGGAGTTCAGTCAGGCTGGTGGGAAAAATTTTAAAGATAGTTATAAGAAAAAGACACAAACCTTGGAAGGCCAGGGGGGTTTGCATAAGCTCCAGTAATAGATCAGGCTGAAGGCAGCGTAATCCTTACCTTGAGTTAATTGCTTAGGGCGTAGAGTAGTTTATCTAAATAGCTTCTTTACTCCTGTGGTCCTAAAACCATCCTTTGATAACTGCTGCTGCATAATTGCTCTCTGCTTGGGAGGTCAGCAATGTCAATTACCCTCTAGTGGTGTTTACTCAAGACCTTTGTCATTTATGCTGAATAAAGGCGAGGTTTGCTGGCTGATTGGCTGGTCTGCGGCTGCAACTGTTTACAGCACTCTCCTTGGTGTCTGTAGGTGGCCCGGACTCTCAGCTGGACTGACAGGCAAAATATCTGTGTCCGTGTACGTTATTCATCTGTCACTGGGTCAAGGTCTCCGGGACAGACCCCCTACAGCTGGCGCTCCGTGTGAGGAATGCTGCGAAGGATCACGACGGACCCCCCAAAATGAAGGTGAAAAGGACCGCAGAGTCAGTGAGTCAGTAAGTCAGTGGTGCCTGCTTGGAATTTCCTAGTCCAGGGGTGGGGGATTGTTCAGGCTGAGGTTTCATCATGGGACAACAGTTATCAGTGCAACAGAAATAGTATATAAAAGTATTGAAACCGCTGCTTAAGGCTAGTGGAGCCAGGGTTTCGCAGGCTCAATTAAGGGATCTAATGAAAACTGTTGTAACCCATAATACATGGTTCCCAAAAGAAGGCACACTAGATGTAGAGCTCTGGGAACAAGTGGGAACAAATCTTAAACAACATCAGGTGTAAGGTCTATGGGTCCCAGTATCATCTTTAACGTAGGGGCCTTAGTAAGGGCGGCTTTGGTCCCACTATACACAGAAGAGCCTAAAAAGGTGAAGGAGGAGGAACTGTCACATACTTTACCACCCCTGAGTCCCTCAGACCTGCTATCACTGGGGAAAAATAACAAAGAGGAAACAGAGGTCTTGCCTGAACCTCCTCCTCCAATAAATAGGAAAAAAGACAAGAGACACACTCCAGCTATGGGACCTTGCCTTAAGCAAGCGGCATTAGAAGGGGAGCTTTCAGCCTGCCTGGTAGTGCAAGACTGACAAGGCAATCAGCAACATGAACCCATTTCTTTTAACGCTTATAAAGAGCTAAGAAAAAGCATTAAAGAAAATGGAGCCACTAGCCCATTTACAAAAGGAATAATTAAGGACTTGGCAGACAACTTCCGTATGACCCCATGGGACTGGTCAATGCTAGCTAAAACAACTTTGGACCCTAGCCAATACCTCCTTTGGAAGGCAGAATATGATGAGTTGTGTGAACAACAAGCCAACCAGAATCAGGCAGACAGGCAAGACATAACAGCTGCTATGCTCCAGGGGAGGGGTCCCCATGCTGATGTACAACAACAACTAGATTTTGATCCCCAGGCCTATGCTCAAGTGTCTTTGTGTGCTCTCAGGGCTTGGGACTGAATTCCCAAAAGCGGAGTTCAACAGGGATCTTTTATAAATGTTCGACAGGGGCCTCAGGAGCCATGTGTTGAGTTTATCAATCGGTAAACCAAAGCAAATAAGAGACAAATTAGTCACGCCCAGGCCACTGATATCTTATTGGTGCAACTGGCTTTTGAAAATGCTAATGTGGATCGCCAGCAAGCAATGCAGGCAATCAGAGGAAAGGCAGCCACAGTCAGGGAACTTATACAACCATGTCAGCTGGTGGGAACTGAGACACACAAAGCCAAAATATTGGCTATGGCATTAAGGGCTCCTAAAGTAAAAAGGGAGAGAAGCCAAAATTATTTCCTATGCGGAAAGCCAGGTCATATGAACAAGGAATGCCCCCATAGTAGAGACCAAAGTAACTCAGGAAAGAACCCCCTTCTATATGCCCCCAATGTAAAAAGGGGAAACATTAGGCAAATCAATGCAGGTCAAAATTTGAAAAAAACGGAAACCCCATAAGTAACCAGGTAGGAAACTTCATGAGGCCCCGCTACAAATGGGCAACGCCAGCAGCTTTCCTTGGTCAGATGGAAAGTCCACAGTCCTCTCTCTCAGAGCAGGCACCACTGGGAATGCAGGACTGGACTTACTCTGCCCCAGTGAATTAGTGCTTAAAGAAGAAGACCCTAAAAGGGTTACAACTGGGATCTGGGGCCCACTGCCTCTGGGAACAGTGGGATTAGTCCTAGGGTGGTCTAGCTTATCTGGTAAAGGAATTAATGTGCTCACTGGGGTAATTGATAGTGATTACCAAGGTGAGATATAGGTTAAGATGGAATGTAAAGGTCTGCATATTCTTCCCCCTCGATCAAAGACAGCTCAGTTACTGATTTTACCATACTAGGTCCCCAAAGCCCACAGAAAGGAAAGGGGAAGGGAAGTTTGGGAAGCACAGGAGACACAGGAGTATATTGGAATCAATTAATCACTGACCAGAGACCCATGATTACCTTAGAAATTAGAAATAAGAATTTTACTGGCTTATTGGACACAAGGGCGGACATTTCAATTATTAGTGATCAAAACTGGCCAGAAACTTGGGCTTGGGTCACTCAGAAACAAAAAATTGTCGGCATTGGGGAAGTGCACACAGCCAAGCAGAGAACGTGCCCCCTAACATGTTGCAATTCAGAAGGAAGAAAGGCAATTATGCAACCTCTAATCATGCCCATCCCTGTTAATCTTTGGGGATGGGACCCATTAGCCCAATGGGGGTCACTCTGCAGACCCCTTTCTAACAAGGGCCACTGTTATTATTCTTCCCCTACCCCGATGTGGCTCTCTCAAGATCCTATTTGGGTAGAACAGTGGCCTCTGAAGGGAGAGAAATTACAGAGGGTCCATGAATTAGTTGAAGAGCAATTAAAAGCTGGACATGTGGAACCATCTAATAGTCCTTGGAATTCGCCCATTTTCCTCATTCCCAAAAAGTCTGGGAAATGGAGACTTTTGCATGACTTACGTGCTGTTAATGTCAATTTGCAACATATGGGACCCCTTCAGCAGGGGCTCCTTTCCCCCATGGTGATTACTCAAGATTGGCCTACAATCATTATTGACTTAAAGGACTGTTTTATATTTATATATATATATATATATATATATATATATTCGTTATACTTTAAGTTCTAGGGTACATGTGCACAACATGGTTTGACACATAGGTATACATGTGCCACGTTGGTTTACTGCACCCATCAACTCGTCATTTACATTAGGTATTTCTTCTAATGCTATCCCTCCCCCAGCCCTCCATAACCCAAGAGGCCCTGGTGTGTGATGTTCCCCGCCCTGTGTCCAAGTGATCTCATTGTTCAACTCCCACTTGTAAGTGAGAACATACAGTGTTTGGTTTTCTGTCCTTGAAGGACTGTTTTTATATGATTCCCTTAGCAGAACAGGACAGAGAAAAATTTGCGTTTACAATACCAGCTATCAATAATGAAAGGCCAGCTTGTCAATTTCATTGGAAAGTGCTTCCTCAAGGAATGCTAAATAGTCCTACCATGTGTCAGTATCATGTAAATCAAGCTTTGCTACCCAGTAGAAAAGAATTTCCTGATTGCAAGGTTATTCATTTATGGATGATATTCTACTAGCAGCCCCAATGGAGCCAATGCTTTTAAATGTATTTACCTCTGTCATAAAGAATACATAGCTAAAAGGTTTAATCATTGCACCCGAGAAAGTATAGATGTCTTCTCCTTGGAAATATCGTGGGTACATACTAACTTCCCAGTCAGTAAGATCTCAAAATGTTAAATTAAATATTAGAAACTTACACACCTTAAATGATGATCAGAAATTACTAGGTGATATCAACTAGCTCTGCCCTACTCTGGGTATATCTACGGATAAGCTGCAAAACCTGTTTTCTATCTTAAAGGGCAATACAGCCCTAGATTCTCCCAGATATTTAACCCCTGCAGCAAAAGGGAAATTGAGGAAATAGAATAAACCATCTCTCAGAGGCACCTAGATAGCATAGATCCAGGCTACTCAATTCAAATGTTTATCTTTCCCACCAAACACTCCCCTACAGGGTTAACCACAGACCCCAGGACTGCACTTTCTAGAATGGTTTTTTTGTTTTTGCTCACATACCAGGACTAAAACACTAGTTCCCTATATCCAGTTACTTAGTAAAGTCATCTATTCAGGCTGCAAATGATGCAGTCAGTTGCTAGGTTATGATCCTAATATCATCAGGATTCCTTTAAGTAAAAAGCAGTTAGAAGCAGTATTGCCCTTATCGATGGACTTGCAAATAGCACTCTCTGATTACACAGAACAAATAGAGCATGTCCTTCCCGCTGACAAACTCCTTCATTTCTTATCTTGTACTCCTGTGATCTTGCCTACACAAACAGTTCACTCCCCCATACCTAATGCTTTAACACTGTTTACTGATGGATCTGGTAAACATGGAAAGGCGGCAGTCTTTTGGAGACTACATAATTCACTCACTTGATCTGGATTTACTAGCACTCAAAGAGCTGAGACTGGGGCCCTGATATTGGCCTTGGAAACTTTTTCGGCTCAGCCCATCAATATTGTTAGCGACTATGCCTACTCTATTTATTGCAGAACCTTGCAACAGCCCTAATTAAGTCCACTCTGGAGCCCACCCTGTGTGCTCTTTTTCTTAGACTTCAGCAATTGCTAGATCAGTGTATACATCCTATTTTTATCACACATTTTTGAGCCCAGAGTTCACTGCCTGGCCTATTGGCTTACGGCAATGATCAAGCAGACCTTCAGGTTATGACATCACTGCTTGACCAAGCCACCCAATCACATCAATTTTTACACCAAAATTAGAGAAACTTATCTAAACAATTTCAACTCACCCAGAGACTAGCTAAACAAATTATCCTGCAATGCCCAGATTGCCAGCTCACAGGCGCATCCCCACCTTCAACACGTGTTAACCCTAGAGGACTAGAACCTAATCAGTTACGGTAAACAGATGTTACACACATCCCCGAATTTGGAAAACTTAGATACGTACGTGTATCCATTGATACCAATTCTCAATTAGTGCCCATGCTTTGCCTGGAGATTCCACCCAATATGTCATTAAACATCTTTTAACTTTTGCATTTATGGGATGGCCCACAAAAATTAAAACTGATAACGGTCCAGTTTATGTCAGCTCACAATTTCAACAATTTTGTCACACATGGGATATCCAACATTCCACAGGCATCCCATATGACCCCCAAGGACAGGCCATAGTAGAACGTGCCCACTCCACCCTTAAAAATATGCTCAAAAAACAGAAGAGGGGGAGTATGGGTAAAGACCCTGCAACGCTACTAGCACAAGCCTTATTTACCCTTAATTTTTAAAATTTAGATGACAAATTTCAATCAGCTGTAGAAAAGCACTTTGCTAAAACCTCTCAAGACATAAAACCTGCAGTTTTATGGAAAGATGTAAACAGTAATATATGGTGTGGTCCAAATGAATTACTAACTTGGGGAAGAGGGTACACTTCTGTCCACACCCCCTCAGGTCCTCTTTAGATTCCAGCATGATGCATCAAACCATACCATGGCATGGCTAGGACCCAACCCGGTACCAGAAATGAAGGAACTGACCTTACAGGACCCACAGCCCTGGACGATGTGGCTTCTGTGGACGACAAAAGCCCCGGACATTACCTGGGGTATGCTGAAGAGGACAACTCAGGAGGCTGAATGAATCCCGCTCCAGACACAGACACCATTCACTTCAGATAATTTGTTCCTTGCTATGCTGTCTGTTGTACATTGCAATTCACATAGGGTATTGCTCCTTTTTAGGCCCTTGCTTTGTCTGCAACCTGTACCTGCTACACTCTATTGGGCTCATATCTTAGATCCGCCTTTCTTTAGTCCTGTCACCTAGGCAGACACCCCCTTCCCAGGCTTTAATAACGTGACTGCTTGGCTAGGAGGGATAGATTTACCCCCAGTGGGGTCCCTCATTAATGGCACACATTGGACTAAGATGCCAGATAACAATAAGTATCACTCCAATATCCTCCCACTATGCGTTAAGTTATAAAGGTTCTAACCCTTACTGTGTACCTGCTCAAACACAATTATGGCTACATCATGGCAAAAGAAATGCCTTAACAGTCTTAGCTGCAGGTAGCCTCAAACCGGGTAATTCAATCAATGTTGCTTTCCCAAACATTCCTTCCTGTGCTAAAGAACAAAGCCAGGAAAGTAATGAATTCCACTTTAGCTGGGAGGTCTGTCACAGGGGACAAGCCTGTAGCCTCCAGTTAGGCAATTATAACACCTTAGACTGGAACCCTCATGGCCATTTGCAGGACAGCCTTACTGATGTCCACATCCATCATGGCATCAATCACAGTTTCATAGCCTTGTTCCATCCCCCTGTGATTTGGGCCAATGGGGGGATGGGATATCCCAGACCCCAAGTAAAGTCCATCCCACTTCAAGACACTTTATGGTGACTGGGACATCTTAGTACTTCCTTTGACACCTGGCATGGGACATATCATAATTCCAGTAACAACTATACTATAACCTTTATTCATAATCACACTGATCAGTGCCTAATTTGCACTACCCATCCATATGTTTTCCTTATGGGAACTAATATTTCCATTACACCCAAAACTCTGCATTTGTGACCCAGGTGCAGGAACAGGCTTGGTTTGTCTCATGTATCACTAATTATAATATATCTAATTTAAATATTACTAGTGCCATGGTATTAAGGAGACAATCTGAGGCATTCCTATCAGTCAATTTGACACACGACTGGCAAGGTTCCTCTGCCCTTGCCACCTTAGAATGTACCCTATCCCAGGTCAGACCCAAAAGATTCATAGGCACACTTACAGCCTTTATAGTCTCAGCCATAGTTATCCTAGCAACTGCTAGTGTGGCTGTAGCATCTATTACTGAAACAGTACAAATGCTGTTTTTGTAGATAATTTGGCCAAAAATGTGTCTAATGAACTTCTCTTACAGCAGGGTACAGATCAAAAGATTCCTGCAAGTCTGCAAGCCCTTGAGGCTGTCTTGGAATATGTGGGGGAGTGACAAGATGCACTGGCATTCTGTCAACAATTAAACTGCGACTGGGAGCATAAACATATCTATGTCAGTTCTCTACCATGGAATCGATCAATGCATAGTTGGGATGAGGTGAAACAATACCCCTGGGGAACCTTTCATTACAACTTAACAGCAGACGTAAAGCAACTTACAACTGAAATTTTAGAATCCCTTCACACGATACATCTACACACCCAACAAACAGCCATATGGAAGAGCAGGCAAGATCATCTCTCCTGGTTAGACCCCTGCTCCTGGGGGTCACTCTTTGACTGGAAAAGAATGTTGCTAATTATACTCATGATTGTCTTATGTTATTTGCTAATTCTAGGATACAAAGCTGGAATAAGAGGAATGACCACTTCGTCTGACAGACCTGTTGCTGCACACATCTGTACCCTTCGGTCAACAGAACCCGATGCAAAGAACAGAAAAGGGAGAGATGTGGGAGTTCAGACAGGCTGGTGGCGTGTCCAGAATTTATTCCTTCCGGTGGGTTCTTGGTCTCGCTGACTTCAAGAATGAAGCCGCAAACCTTTGCTGTGAGTGTTACAGCTCTTAAAGGTGGTGTGGACCCAAAGAGTGAGCAGCAGCAAGATTTATTGTGAAGAGCAAAAGAACAAAGCTTCCACAGCATGGAAGGGGACCTGAGTGGGCTGCTGCTGCAGGCTGGGATAGCCAGTTTTTATTCCCTTATTTGTCCCCACCCACATCCCGCTGATTGGTCCATTTTATAGAGTGCTGATTGGTGCGTTTACAATCCTTTAGCTAGACACAGAGCGCTGATTGGTGACTTTTTACAGAGTGCCGATTGGTGCATTTACAATCCTTTAGCTAGACACAGAGCGCTGATTGGTGCGTTTTTACAGAGTGCTGATTGGTGCGTTTACAATCCTTTAGCTAGACACAGAGTGCTGATTGGTGCATTTTTACAGGGTGCTGATTGGTGCATTTACAATCCTTTAGCTAGATAGAAAAGTTCTCCAAGTCCGTACCCTACCCAGGAAGTCCAGCTGGCTTCACCTCTCAGTGGGAAAAATTTTAAAGATAGTTATAAGAAAAAGACACAAACCTTCTTGGAAGGCTGGTTGGGGGTTGGTTTGCATAAGCTCCAGTAATAGATCAGGCTGAAGGCAGCCTAATCCTTACCTTGAGTTAATAGTTTAGGGCACAGATACAAAGGAATGTAGAGCAATTTATCTAAATAGCTTCTTTACTCATGTGGTCCTAAAACCAACCTTTGATCAACCACAGGTGCATAATTGCTTCTACTCTGGAGGTGGGCAGTGTCAATTACCCTCTAGTGGTGTTTACTCAAGACCTTTGTCATTTAATCTATACTGAATAAATGTGAGCTTTGCTGGCTGATTGGGGCCACAGCTGCAACTCTACAGCACCCTCCTTGGTGTCTGTAGGTGGCCTGGACCCTCAGCTGGACTGACAGGCAAAATATCTGTGTCAGTGTATGTTATTCATCCATCATTGGGTCAGGGTCTGCAGGACAGACCCCCACATTAACTCATTCAGCATTAACTCAAAAGTCCAAGTCCAAAGTCTCATCTGAGACAAGGCAAGTCCCTTTAACCTATGAGTCTGTAAAATCAAATACAAGTTAGTTACTTCCAAGATACAGTGGAGGTACAAGCGTTGGAAAAATGCTTCCATTCCAAATGGGAAAAATTAGCCAAAACAAAGGAGCTACAGGCCCCACGCAAGTCTGAAATCCAGCGGGGGGGCAGTCATTACAACTTAAAGCTCCTAAAAAATCTCTGTTGACTTCATGTCTCACATCCAGGGCATGCTGATGCAAGTGGTAGGCTCCCACAGTCTTGGGCAGCTCCACCCCTGTGGAATATACAGCCCCCCTCCCAGTTACTTTGATGGGCTGGCATTGAGTGTCTGTGGCTTATCCAGGTGCACAGTGCAAGCTGTCAGTGAATCTACCATTCTGGGGCCTGAGGGACTGTGGCCCTCTTCTCACAGCTCCACTAAGCAGTGCCCCAGTGGGGACACTGTGTGGGTGCTCCGACCCCACGTTTCCCTTTCCACACTGCCCTAGCAGAGGTTTACCATGAGGGCTCAACCCCTGCAGCAAACTTCTGCCTGGACTTCTGTAGCAGGTGTTTTCATACATCCTCTGAAATCTAGGCAGAAGTTCCAAAACTTCAATTCCTGACTTCTGTGCACCTGCAGGCCCAACACCATGTGGAAGCTGCCAAGTCTTGGGGGTTGCACTCTCTGAAGCAACAGCCTGAGGTGTACATTGTCCCCTTCTAGCCACAGCTGGGATGCAGGGCACCAAGTCCCAAGACTGTACAAAGTAGCAAGGTGCTGGGCCCAGCCCATGAAATCATTTTTCCCACTAGGACTCCAGGCCTGTGATGGGAGGGGCTGCTGTGAAGGTCTCTGACATGCCCTGGAGACATTTTTTCCCCATTGTCTTGGCAATTCACATTTGGCTCCTAGTTACTTATGCAAATTACTACAGCAGGCTTGAATTTCTCCCCAGAAAATGGGTTTTTCTTTTCTATCTCATTGTCAGGTTGCAAATTTTCCAAACTGTTATGCTCTGCTTCCATTTTAAACATAAGTTCCAATTTCAGATCATCTCTCTCAAGTTCAAAGTTCCACAGATCTCTAGGGCAGGGGCGAAACGCTGCCAATCTCTTTGCTAAAGCATAGCAAGGGTCACCTTTGCTCCAGTTCCCAATAAGTTCCTCATCTCCATCTGAGACCACCTCAGCCTGGACTTCATTGTCCATATTACTATCAGTATTTTGTCAAAATCATTCAACAAGTCTCTAGGAAGTTCCAAACTTTCCCACATCTTCCTGTCTTCTTCTGAGCCCTCCAAACTGTTCCAACCTCTGTCTGCTACCCAATTCCAAAGTCGCTTCCACATTTTCCAGTATCTTTATAGCAGTGCCCCATTCGTAGTACCAACTTACTGTATTAGTCCATTCTCACACTTCTATAAAGATACTATCCAAGACTAGGTAATTTATAAAGAAAAGAGGTTTAATTGACTCACAGTTCCACATGGCTGGGCAGGCCTCAGGAAACTTACAATCATGGCAGAAGGAGAAGCAAACACCTTCTTCACAAGGCAGCAGGAGAGAGTGTGCATGTGTAAGCACAAAAAAACCTGCCATTTATAAAACCATCAGATCTTGTGAGAATTCACTCACTATCATGAGAACAACATGGGGGATGTTGCTTCCATAATCCAATCACTTCCCTTTCCCTTCCTTGAAACGTGGGAATTACAGGTTCCCCACTTGACATGTGTGGATTACAATTTGAGATGAAATTTGGGTGGGGACATAGAGCCATACCATATCAATTCTCTAATCCCTGGAACCTGTAAATGTTAACTTATTTGAAAAAAAGGATCTTTGTAGGTATGATTAAGTTAAGGATCTTGAGATTCAGGGCATTATCTTGGATTATCTGTCTGGACCCTAAATAGCATCATAAATGTCCTTGTAAGAGGGGGATCTGACACACAGAGAAGAGTAGAAGGCCATGTGACCACAGAGGCAGAGATTGGAGTAACGCAGCCATAAACCGAAGCTGGCAGCCACCAGAACTTGGAAGAGGCAAGAGATCGATTCTTCTGTGGAGGTGATACCTTCATTTCTGTTTGGTGAAACTGATTTTGGACTTCTGGCCTCCAGAACTGTGACAGAATACATTTCTGTGTTTTAACTCATCTAGTTTGTAATTTGTTTCAGAGGCCACAGGATGACTAATACAGTACATTGTTTATGACTGTGGATTCTCTTCTCACAGGCCTATATCACCCAAACCTGAAAAGGGAAAGAAGGATGTGAAGAAAATAATATAGGAGGAAGAAGAATGAAGAAACAGCGGGCAAGAAAAAGAAGAAGACTAGAAAGAGAAGATGAAGCAGGATAAAGTGGAGGAGAAATAGCTTTACTGAATGGTAGGTCATATACAAATTATACTGGGGAAAAGTGAAATTTGGCCCCTAAATTCCACATCTACCTACACGGTGAACATTGAGGGTATGCCTAGGTCCTAAGAGGAATTTGTCTTCAATAATCTTCATGAATCATTTAAGAGTTTTAATGGTAACTAACGAGAAAAATTTCAGTAAGCTATATTAAAACTGTTAAATGATTTATTTAACAGTTTTGGTCAAAACAGTGACCCCCTTATTCATCAAGCACTTAGGGTTGATTTGGCAACACTAAACATCCTTTAAGATTCTGTTCATAACCTACTTCCTCTATAAAATCTTCTTTGACCTCTGCTCTTTCCATTTTCTGAATTTGTGTTCCACGTACAGGAAGTATGTCTGTTACTTCTGCTCTTCCAACAACAACAACAACAACAAAAAGCCCAAGGATGCTGCTAAATATCTTAAAAGGTACAAGCAAATAGTTATGATAGTTTTATATCTCCTCCAGCAGTCTGCACGGCGAAGGACTATAATAGAGTCCTTGTGGTGACTGACGGATTAACCACTATTCTGAGGCCAATAATACAGATGGCCTCATCTGTTTCATCTTCTATCTTCTACCTGTGTATCATATTGTGCAATGGTGATTGATATTGAGAATTATATCCCTGAGGCTTGCCAGGTCTAAATCAGAAAAAATAGACTGATAAAATTCATTGTCTTGCTAGTTGAGAAAATCTACTCATACATTTTAGGAAGATTTCCAACTGGAAGAATTGAAGCCAGAATGCATTTCTCATCATCCTAATTTAATGCAATTAACTGCAACCCTCAAGTCCCAAGTATTCAAAGCATCAGAAGAATTGCTTTATTAACCAAAGATTCATAGGTTTAGCCTATAAATATACCTGAAGGTACCTACTTTCTGTTATTTATTTCCCACTGTGTGGTAAGTCTTAGCATAAATGTGGTATAAAACAAGCTTATTTTTCAGTTGATTATACATTACTGGCTTAAAATTGCCCAGAGGAAAGTCTTCATTCATGGGCTTGTTTATATTTTTTATATTGCTCATTTATATCCAGTGTAACTGAAATTGAAGTTCAGTTCTGTAAACTATCCCACAGTAAGTACTCAGATAACTGCCCACATGCAAAACATTAGGTACACACAGGGCTAAAGAATTTAGTCAAGAGGGCGGGCATGGTGGCTCATGCCTGAATCCCAGCACTTTGGGAGGCCAAGGCAGGCAGACTACTTGAGGTCAGGAGTTCAATACCAGCCTGGCCAACATGGTGAAACCCCATCTCTACTAAAAATACAAAAATTAGACGGGTGTGGTGACATGCGCCTGTAATTCCAGCTACTCGGGAGGCTGAGGTGGGAGAATCGGTTGAACTCAGGAGGCGGAGGTTGCAGTGAGCCCA
This sequence comes from Homo sapiens, assembly GCF_000001405.40. Taxonomy (NCBI): domain Eukaryota; kingdom Metazoa; phylum Chordata; class Mammalia; order Primates; family Hominidae; genus Homo; species Homo sapiens. The sequence goes on from NC_000014.9 coordinate 80,476,881, forward strand.
GATGGTGCCACTGCACTCCAGCCTGGGTGACAGAGTGAGTCTCTGTCTCAAAAAAAAAAAAATTTAGTCAAGGACATACAACTGTTCGTAAGAATCCTTCATGATTTTACATTTAATGTTTATTTATTTTTTTATTTTTTAAGCATAAGAAAACCAAAGGCACATTGTTGGCATTCCTATCACGTCAAAACAATGAATATAAACCACATCATACAATTAAGAATCAGAAATATAGAGAATGGGAATAAATTAACCAAGGAACTCATTAATACACCTCCAAACAGAAAACTAGGACCTAAAATAATGTAAACCTTAGTGAAACAACAGCTGCTCTTATGAAAATCCATATATTCTAATAGTACAGTATTACTGCCTTTCCTACCTTGGAAAAATTACATTATAGTTATGTGGCCCATATTAAGGTTTCTTTGGGCTTTTATAAGTATAAAAGCATTTCAAAAGGATAAGCTTTTGAAACTGGACATTTAGCTATCCACTAAGTCAAGTCCCTTGAGAAAAAGTTCCATTTTTTTCCTCTGGCTCTTTTAGAATGTTCCAAAAGAATGATTCAGAGAAACCATAAATAAAAGAATTATGAACAAAGTCTTAAAATGTAAAGCACCTCCCCGTGTTATCTATACATCTAAACCACGATGCAGTCATGTCAGTCACCTGTCCCATGCATTTCTATTTTGATGACCTGAATTAGGCCTGAATAATGAGTGGAACTAAAAGGCCCACACACCATGGAAAGCTTAGCGAGTTCTAAGGAGGGGGAAAGGTCCTTGCTTTGGCTGATTTTACCAGATTCCTTTTTTCTACTTTCCAAAATGAATCCAGTAGGTTGTAGTCTGTTTTTCTGTCTGTTAATGATAGCGTGCTTAAAGTTCTACTAGCATTTTCTGGAACTCTTTAACCTCACTGTCGTCCTGAGAGAACTCTGCCCCTGAAGGGGAAAATAATTTTTCTTCACCCAGGGCCTTTTTCCTTGTATTAATATTAACATCCCATGAGAATATTAGCTCTGGAGGAAAGAATTTGGTGGCAAAATTCCATATTTACTCATGAAATCCACCCCCAACTTCCACTCACACATTTTAATAGGACACTCAAAAGAAAAGCTCCCCATTCCTCCCTCTCTTCCTGGATACTTCCCTTCAGCTTCATCTGACACCCACAGTTTTTTCCCCCCTTTTTTCTGCTTGAATCAATAAACACTTTTTACTAGCAGAGCGTTCTTTCAGTAGTGTATACCCTGTATTTGATAGGGCAGAAAAGTATTTAAATTTTTAAAAAATCACTTGGCACTGGCTGGAGTGTAGAAACAGAAAATGGAGTCAGTTATTGCTTAAGCCCCCAGCATCTAATCCCACCTGGCTGCTCTTTGTTCCCTCTCTTGGGTTGCAGAGAAGATAGGCATAGCAAAACCTGATGCACCATCATGGCTCCACGAGATTTAAGCAGTGTAGTGTGGTTGACAGCAGCCTTCCAGCCTTCCTTTCCTGGAAATGCTATTTAAAACACCCTCTATGAGAGACAGAAAAAAACTCATTGGTGTCATTGATTCTTTAAAATAATTTTTAAATGACACTTTGCATATGTAGCTGAGTGACAAAACATACGGATTCTGAAGCAACATATACTGTCTGCATTCAAATTTGGGTCCCATGCTTACCAGTATGTGATCTTGGGTAAGTTACTCAATCCCACTGTCCTGCAATTTCCTCATATAAGATACATTCTTGAATGAAAATGATAATAATACTAACCTCATAGGGTTGTTGTGAGGATTGAGTTAAAATATTTAAAGCTCTTCCGAATACTGTTTGCATATAGCAGATGATACACGTTAGGTACAGAGTATCAACATCCCCTTCTCTGATACATAGGTAGATTTGAAGATATGCTTATAACAATATATCTCTTTCTATGTATCTGAACTGGCATTCAGTAAATATTTGATAAATTAATGCAATCTAACAGAATAAATATGCTAATTCCAGAGTCCAGTTAGCTTTGTCACTCATTGTTCAACAGCTTCTGTGATTTGTTGCTGATTAATAAATAGAGATAGAACCTCAGAGTTTATGGATGAAGTGGATCAGGCCTAGATAGTAAGAAACATTTATGATGAGCCTGTGTGTGCCAGGTTCTGAGGTTGACACTTTTCATGAGCCATTACATGTAAGTCTCCTAACAGCTCTTTTAAGGCAGATGCAATTCATTCCTTTATAGAAATAAGAAAAATGAAGCTCAGAAATGTTAAGTAAATTACCCCAAATCGCACAATTAGTAAGTTGTGCAAGAGGTAGGATTCTAATCTTATGCTATTTTTAAGCAAAATATAACATGTAAAAAGGAGGTGGAGGGTGGATTATGCAAGTAAAATGATTTTACAGACAGTTCATTATTGAATAAAACATTGAAAAACAAGGGTATTTTCAAACTGCTGATGAAGACACACCTGAAACTGGGAACAAAAAGAGGTTTAATTGGACTCGTAGTTCCACATGGCTGGAGAGGCCTCAGAATCATGGTGGGAGGTGAAAGGCACTTCTTACATGGTAGCAGCAAGAGAAAAATAAGAAGAAGCAAAAGCGGAAACCCCTGATAAACCCATTCCAATCTCATGAGACTTATTCACTATCATGAGAATATCACGGGAAAGATAGGCCCCCATGATTGAATTACCTTCCACTGGGTCCCTCCCACAACATGTGGGAATTCTGGGAGGTAGAATACAAGTTGAGATTTTGGTGGGGACACAGCCAAACCGTATCATTCTGCCCCTGGTCCCTCCAAACCTAACACCCTCACATTTCAAAACCAATCATGCTTTCCCAACAGTCCCTGAAAGTCTTAACTCATTTCAGCATTAACCCAAAAGTCCACAGTCCAAAGTCTCATCTGACATAAGGTAAGCCCCTTACACGTATGAGCCTGTAAAATTAAAAGGAAGCTAGTTACTTCCTAGATACAATAGGAGTTCAGGTATTGGGTAAATACAGCCATTGCAAGTCTTAAATCCAGTGGGGCAGTCAAATGTTAAAGCTCCAAAATGATCTCCTTTGACTCCAGGTCTCACATCCAGGTCATGCTGATGCAAGAGGTGTGTTGCCATGGTCTTGGGCAGCTCCACTCTGTGGCTTTGCAGGGTACAGCCTCCCTCCTGGCTGCTTTCATGGGCTGGTGTTGAGTGTCTGTGGCTTTTCCAGGCACACGGTGCAAGCTGTTGGTGAAATCTATTATTCTGGATTCTGGAGGATGGTGGCCCTCTTCTCACAGCTCCACTGGACAGTGCCCCAGTAAGGACTCTGTGTGGGGGCTCTGACCCCACATTTCTCTTCTGCACTGCCCTAGCAGAGGTTCTCCATGAGAACCTTGCCCCTGCAGCAAACTTTTGCCTGGGCATCCAGGTGTTTCCATACATCTTCTGAAATCTAGGCAGAGGTTCTCAAACCTCAATTCCTGACTTCTATGTACCCGCAGGCTCAACACCACGTGGAAGCTGCCAAGGCTTGGGGCTTCCACCCTCTGAAGCCATAGCCCAACCCATACACTGGCCCCTTTCAGCCATGGCTGGAGTGGCTGAGACCCAGGGCATCAAGTCCCTAGGCTGCATACAACAAAGGGACCCTGGACCTGGCCCAGGAAACCATATTTTCCTCCTGGGCCTGCAGGCCTGTGATGGGAGGGGCTGCCGAGAAGGTCTCTGACATGGCCTGGAGATATTTTCCCCAGAAAATAGGTTTTTCTTTTCTATTGCATAGTAAGGCTGCAAATTTTCCAAACTTCATGCTCTGCTTCCCTTATAAAACTGCATGACTTTAACAGTACCCAAGTCACCTCTTGAATGCTTTGCTGCTTAGAAATTTCTTCTGCCAGATATCCTAAATCATCCTTCTCAAGTTCAAAGTTCCACAGATCTCTAGGACAGGGGCAAAATGCAGCCAGTCTCTTTGCTGAAACATAACAAGCGTCACCTTTACTCCAGTTCCCAAAAAGTTCCTCATCTTCACCTGAGACCACCTCAGCCTGGACCTTTATTGTTCAAATTGCTATCATCATTTTGGGCAAAGCCATTCAACATGTCTCTAGGAAGTTCTAAACTTTCCCACATTTTCCTGTTTCCTTCTGAGCCCTCCAAACTGTTCCAACCTCTGCCTGTTACCCAGTTCCAAAGTCGCTTCCACATTTTCGGGTATGTTTTCAGCAACTCCCCACTCTGCTGGTAACAATTTACTGTATTAGCCCATTTTCATGCTGCTGCTAAAGACATACCCGAGACAGGGAAGAAAAAGAGGTTTAACTGGACTTACAGTTCTGCACGGCTGGGGAGGCCTCAGAATCATGGCAGGAGGCAAAAGGCACTTCTTACATGGCAGCAGCAAGAGAAAAATGAGAAAGAAGCAAAAGCAGAAACCCCTGATAAACCCATTAGCTCTCGTAAGGCTTATTCGCTATCAGAAGAACAGCATGGGAAAGACCGGCCCCCATGGTTGAATTACCTCTCCCTGGGTCCCTCCTACAACATGTGGCAGTTCTCAGAGATACAATTCAAGTTAAGATTTCAGTGGGGACACAGCCAAACCATACCACAAGGCTTATAATTCAAAGATGGTTTGGTCTCTCTTAGCATTAGCTTTGCAGTAGAGATTCAGACTATATATTGTCCACTTTAATCCAGTGCAGAATGTTATTGTATACTTCAACAGTATATTCATAAACTCTAGAAATGGAAAGTGACCCAGTTATTCAACTTCCTCAGTTAACAGCAAAGAGGCATGAGAGGTGAATGGCAGGCTCAATGTCACATGGCAAACAGTGACAGACACAGCCAGGATTTCTCTGGACCTAACACTAATCCCCTTACAGTAGTCAGGATAGCCAACCAGACACTGTGGTTTTAAATCCATCCATTTAGATGTATGTGATCCTAGTTCACCTTAAATAGCCCAATTCCTACTTTAGTATCTAAACCTAAAAAGAGTATTAGACTAATTCTTAATATTATCTGGGATGACAAAATAAATAAGATTATTCTCTAGCAGTAAAATAGGTAGACTTAATACCTAGGAACTTCTATTTTTAAAACCTGACCAAAATTCTGGTACAGCTGTACCTTGTCAAGGGACAAAGAGAGTTAAATATAGTTTGGGTGGGAGAATCGCTTTTTAAAGAAAAAGTGCTGCTCCTTTTTTTATGAAGACAGGAGTTAAGAGAATCTTATTTTTTTTTTCTGTTAGATTGCATTCATTCACTAAATATTGACATTTACCCAAACAACTATAACAGCAGAAATGCTACTTCCTTTGCATATTTCTGAGTATTTATTACAGAGCTGGGCTTTTAGTAGTCACTGATTGGTGGTGTCTTTTCCTATGTTTAGTACGTTGGATAACTTCAAAACAAAAGTCACTGATGTTATATCAGCTACTACTGATGTACTGCTATAGAGACAAAGAAGCATACGGTTCTTGACTATTCCAATGCTTGTGTTGTCCAGAACCATGCAGTGTAGTATGCACTTTCTTAGTTATAATGTCATCAGTAACATGAAGTCCAAAGGCATACAGTTTCTTTCATTGTGCATGCACCAGAAGCTTAGAATCAATAGCACTCTTATCAGGCTGACAAGCATCAAGTTGCATTATGGTATCTATACTAAAAAACTGGCACCATCTAACTATAGCATAGGGCCTAGGAAGCTTTGTTAATATGAGCGACAAGACACATGAAAAGCACATTATCCACTGCTTCAGCAACACTGCATCACCAGACATATCAGCTGAAAAAGCCGAACCTTGGGAAGCTCAAACTTTATGACCTAAACTTCAAAATGTGCCAAACATCACTTTAGTAGAAAGGGTTGTGAATTGCAAAGGCAATGTGGAGAGAGAGGAAATAGTAAAGGTAAAGAAACAAAGAGGGACAGAAGTACACAATTCTAAGTGATTTTTATAGCAGACGCTTAGCCCAAGTAAGAAAATAAATCGCTAAATGACAAGAAATTGGCCTGTGAGCTAAGCAAGTTTCTCAAGCCAAATATCTTAAAATAAAGGATCACTGGTGGGATGAATAGGCAACCAAACCACAATCGGCTTGTACATTAGCCAAATATTGGCAGGTCGAGAAAGCTCAGCAAAGACTGACCTGCCATATCCTATAGGGGGTGAAGCACAACTTACTGAGGATGACATTGAAAAGTCAACAATCAGGGAACAACTGATGTTATTTATCATTATGAGTCTCTCCACCTTCCCTAAAAACCCACATTGCAAAGCCAACTTAGAATTTAAGGGAGCAACATTACAATCTCAAGGATTTTGTTCCACATTAACCATCCAGTGGATAGTCCTGGGGAAGCATGTGATGATGACAGATACAATCCACAAATATGACGGCCAACACACACTCAGGCCTTCAGCTGTAGACTTGCACAAACACAAAAGAAATAATGGATGCAATGACAGCACAGATATTCTACTAATATCTTTTAAGGCAAAATCAGCATATTTCATGCTCAGTAAATTAGTTGCTAATAGTGGTGACACAGGGATGCTATCTGATTGGTGTGGTTTTCATGCCATTCATGGCACTGAAGGCATGATTTAAACTATCAGGCAGAAGTTCCAAGAACAACACGGCGATGTGAATTTAAATGAATACAGTCAAGCTAGTGGTTCTGTGAAGTGCTGAAAGACTGCAAATTTGGCTACCAAAACCAGTTAATAAACATTCTTTGCTCACTGTGGTAAGGAAAGATGGTTGAGAGTATAGATGGAGTTAGCTCAGTTAGTAAATGTATTTTGAACACTTATTGTATGTCAGCCACAGTACTAGGCAAAAGACAATGCCTTTCTTCAAAGAGGTTACTGTCTAGTGAAACATTTTATAATTTAGAAATACAGTAATCATGTTTGTAGAAGCTATACATAATTTAACAAATAAGCTGCTTTCTAGGTACCATTAGTTATGTCTGGCGATTTTCTATGTAGCTTTTAAAGCTTCTGATTCTGGATAAAATACTGATTGAAAGTTAAGATGTTTAACAGGTGATGGTATCAAAATGATAAAACCCCTAATCTTGATTCCTTTTTCTTTTTTTTTCTCTGAGACAGGGTCCCACTCTGTTGCCTAGGCTAGAGTGCAGTGGCACAATCACAGCTCACTGCAGCCTTGACCTCCAGGGCTCAAGCGATCCTCTCACCTCAGCTTCTCAAGCAGATGGGACTACAGGCGTGCACCACCATGCCCAACTAATTTTTGTATTTTTTATAGAGATGGAGTTTTTACCAAGTTTCCTGGGCTGGTCTCAAACTCCTGAGCTCAAGCAATCTGCCTGCCTCGGCCTCCCAAAATGCTGGAATTATAGGCGTGAGCCACCGCACTCAGCCAATCTTGGTTCTTATTTATACAAATTTTTCTATATGCTAGACCTCTGGCTACTAATTATAAAATGCATGGCAAATATCAAAGTGGTGATGATTTACCTTGGTCAGACCTCACCAAGACCTACTTGGGTTATCAATGTTACCACATGGGTCCTCACACAAATTATAGGTAACTTGGGAATTAGCTCCCATGATGCTATCAACCGACAGTAATTATTCTGTTGGTAAAAGGCAGTATTGCTTTTGTTAAATTGATCAAACATTTAGGTAAAGTCATGGTATTGAGATCAGTATCAGAATGAACAGGGATCTCACTCTGGTGATTGCCACTTTGATAGGCATCAGTTATCACCTTAGGAAAGCAGGTAATTTCATACACATTTGAAAGGACAAAAGAAGATACCACTCACATCCATGCTTTCAACACTAGGGTTACAGACCACAGGGAGATTTTAACTTATTCTCCTTTAGATTCCTTCTTTTTTTCCAGTTCACTTGTAATGACTCTCCAAGAAGAGAAATAGACACTGGAAAGGTATTGAACATTTAGCCTGAACATCTACTGGCATGAATATTGCACGGGAAAATTTTTCTATATCTGTTCTGTGGTACCAGTGTCTACAACTGCACATTCCTCTAAGAAATACAGTCCCAAAAGGGAAAGGGTAGAGAAATCTGACCTCAATTGTGGGCATTGGTGTGAGAAATAACACATTGTCTACAGCTCAAAAGCAGTGGAATCAAGGTAGCATCAGACAGAAGACGGCAGCCATTGTGGACAGCTGTCTCTCAGTGGCTCCAGAACTGCATTGTTCTCACATGAGATTTGTCTATGAGAAGTTCAGCCCATATCCAGTAATGGTTCTGAGAATCTGAATATCATCTTCATTTAATACCCAACAAATGATACATTTTCACATACATACACACAAGATCCTTGCTTCTGGAAAGTAAAGGTTGCCCAAAAACAAAACAAGAAGAATCATTTTGCGGTTGTATGGCTTCACCTTTAGTATTTATCTCAAAAGGGGTCAAGGAAAATGGGAGGGTCTTGGCTCTCTTATTTGATATTATCTCAATATATACAACTTTTAGATCCTCTTCCTTTCCAAAAGTCCAATTTCATTCCTTTTTCTGAGAAGAGCAATAAACAGTGAAATATGAATGAGTAATGAAAGTTTAGCATGGTCAAGTCTAGTCATACCAACCTCAAATTGTGTATAACTATTATCATTGCTAATTAGGAATTATGAAGTATATGCATACTGAAACATATAGGTCTAGCTAACCAACTTTATCAGCGTACCAAGTAAAGAAATTATACTGAAATTCTTAAAAATCACAAGGTTAAGACTGGTAACATATAATAGAGACTTTTTTAGCCAATTAAATAAGATTTGGCACATAATAGGTCCACAAGAATTTAGCAATGAATGAATAAATGGATAGATGATTGAATTAAGGGAAATAATGTTTTCTCGAGTGGAAGGCCACTAGTGCTGAGGAAACGTAGGAATTGAAGTATGTAATTGTTGGCGTATGTGCCTGTCCAATGATGGGAAGTTTTTCCAAAGTAGATAACAGCAGGTGGAATAAAATGCATGTGTATATTCATGTAGGCTGTTTTTAAAAGACATTATCTACATTACCACTTGGTACAAATTCCAAACCATAAAATCACTGAAGACACTGTAAACACAGTTTGAGGAGCTATGCTGTTTGCTCCATTTACTTGGTTTTGTTATTTATGCAAGAGCTGTACATTTTAGTACTTTAACTGTTGCAATTAGCTAGAAGGGTGGGGAATCCTTAGCAAAGCTTCTAAATGGGACCTATTGCATTGTAGTTACTCAATAAATAAGTACTCTTTCAAAGAAACACCTTCTCTGAAGTCCTTAAAGGAGCTAATGGAGCTGAAAGCCAAGGCTCAAGAACTAGGCGAAGAATGCAGAAGCCTCAGGAGCCGATGTGATCAACTGGAAGAAAGGGTATCAGTGATGGAAGATGAAATGAACGAAATGAAGCGAGAAGGGAAGTTTAGAGAAAAAAAAATAAAAAGAAACAAACAAAGCCTCCAAGAAATATGGGACTATGTGAAAAGACCAAATCTACGTCTGATTGGTGTACCTGAAAGTGACAGGGAGAATGGAACCAAGTTGGAAAACACTCTGCAGGATATTATCCAGGAGAACTTCCCCAATCTAGCAAGGCAGGCCAACATTCAGATTCAGGAAATACAGAGAACGCCCCAAAGATACTTCTCGAGAAGAGCAACTCCAAGACACATAATTGTCAGATTCACCAAAGTTGAAATGAAGGAAAAAATGTTAAGGGCAGCCAGAGAGAAACGTTGGGTTACCCACAAAGGGAAGCCCATCAGACTAACAGCGGATCTCTCAGCAGAAACTCTACAAGCCAGAAGAGAGTGGGGGCCAATATTCAACATTCTTAAAGAAAAGAATTTTCAATCCAGAATTTCATATCCAGCCAAACTAAGCTTCATAAGTGAAGGAGAAATAAAATACTTTACAGAGTAAAGTAAAGCAAATGCTGAGAGATTTTGTCACCACCAGGCCTGCCCTAAATAGCTCCTGAAGGAAGCACTAAACATGGAAAGGAACAACCGGTACCGGCCACTGCAAACACATGCAAAAATGTAAAGACCATCAAGGCTAGGAAGAAACTGCATCAACTAACGAGCAAAATAACCAGCTAACATCATAATGACAGGACCAAATACATACATAATAATATTAATTTTAAATGTAAATGGGCTAAATGCTCCAATTAAAAGACACAAACTGGCAAACTGGATAAAGAGTCAAAACCCATCAGTGTGCTGTATTCAGGAAACCCATCTCACGTGCAGAGACACACATAGGCTCAAAATAAAGGGATAGAGGAAGATCTACCAAGCAAATGGAAAACAAAAAAAGGCAGGGGTTGCAATCCTAGTCTCTGATAAAACAGACTTTAAACCAATAAAGATCAAAAGAGACAAAGAAAGCCATTACATAATGGTAAAGGGATCAATTCAACAAGAAGAGCTAACTATCCTAAATATATATGCACCCAATACTGGAGCACCCAGATTCATAAAGCAAGTCCTTAGTGACCTACAAAGAGACTTAGACTCCCACACAATAATAATGGGAAACTTTAATACCCCACTGTCAACATTAGACAGATCAACGAGACAGAAAGTTAACAAGGATACCCAGGAATTGAACTCAGCTCTGCACCAAGTGGACCTAATAGACATCTGCAGAACTCTCCACCCCAAATCAACAGAATATACATTCTTTTCAGCACCACACCAAACCTACTCCAAAATTGACCACATAGTTGGAAGTAAAGCACTCCTCAGCAAATGTAAAAGAACAGAAATTACAACAAACTGTCTCTCAGACCACAGTGCAATCAAACTAGAACTCAGGACTAAGAAACTCACTCAAAACTGCTCAACTACATGGAAACTGAACAACCTGCTCCTGAATGACTACTGGGTATATAACGAAATGAAGGCAGAAATAAAGATGTTTTTTGAAACCAACAAGAACAAAGACACAACATACCAGAATCTCTGGGACACATTCAAAGCAGTGTGTAGAGGGAAATTTATAGCAGTAAATGCCCACAAGAGAAAGCAAGAAAGATCCAAAATTGACACCCTAATGTCACAATTAAAAGAACTAGAAAAGCAAGAGCAAACACATTCAAAAGCTAGCAGAAGGCAAGAAATAACTAAAATCAGAGCAGAACTGAAGGAAATAGAGACACAAAAAACCCTTCAAAAATCAATGAATCCAGGAGCTGGTTTTTTGAAAAGATCAACAAAATCAATAGATCGCTAGCAAGGCTAATAAAGAAGAAAAGAGAGAAGAATCAAACAGATGCAATAAAAAATGATAAAGGGGATATCACCTCTGATCCCACAGAAAATTTTCGCAACCTACTCATCTGACAAAGGGCTAATATCCAGAATCTACAATGAACTCAAACAAATTTACAAGAAAAAAACAAACAACCCCATCAAAAAGTGGGTGAAGGATATGAACAGACACTTCTCAAAAGAAGACATTTATGCAGCCAAGAAACACATGAAAAAGTGGCCATGATCACTGGCCATCAGAGAATTGCAAATCAAAACCACAATGAGATACCATCTCACACCAGTTAGAATGGTGATCATTAAAAAGTCAGGAAACAACAGGTGCTGAAGAGGATGTGGAGAAATAGGAACACTTTTACACTGTTGGTGGGACTGTAAACTAGTTCAACCATTGTGGAAGTCAGTGTGGTGATTCCTCAGGGATCTAGAACTAGAAATACGGTTTGACCCAGCCATCCCATTACTGGGTATATACCCAAAGGATTATAAACCATGTTGCTATAAAGACACATGCACACGTATGTTTATTGCGGCACTATTCAAAATAGCAAAGACTTGGAACCAATCCAAATGTCCAACAATGATAGTCTGGATTAAGAAAATGTGGCACATACACACCATGGAATACTATGCAGCCATAAAAAATGATGAGTTCATGTCCTTTGTAGGGACATGGATGAAACTGGAAACCATCATTCTCAGCAAACTATCACAAGGACAAAAAACCAAACACCACATGTTCTCACTCATAGGTGGGAATTGAACAATGAGAACACATGGACACAGGAAGGGGAACATCACACTCCAGGGACTGTTGTGGGTTGGGGGGAGGGGGGAGGGAAAGCATTAGGAGATATACCTAATGCTAAATGACGAGTTAATGGGTGCAGCACACCAACCTGGCACATGTATACATATGTAACAAACCTGCACATTGTGCACATGTACCCTAAAACTTAAAGTATAATAATAAAAAAAAAGAGAGAGAGAAGATGCAAATAAAACACCAAGCAAAACAAGAGGGAAAGAATATTTTCCCCTAGTAAAAGTAAACTTTCAAACCTAGCTGAAATAAACATATGGTTAAATATTGTAAAAGCTAAAAAAAAAAAAAAAAAAAAAAGTCACACACCAAGTGTCTGTGGTCTAATAGTGTAAGACATTATTGATAATTGCAAGAATTGCATTACGAAAAGGATAATAACACAGAGCCCCTTCTAACTGGCACACACCCTTCTGAACACTCTCTATGGGTTAACTCTAATGAGCACTCTGAGGTAGGTAATATTATAATTTCTTTTTTCCTGATGAGGAGATTAAGCAGCAAGGTAAAAAAGTCTCTAAAGGTAGAAGCTGGACTCAACCCCAGCAGACTCCCCCAGAGTCTGGGATCTTCATACCCTATTGCCTCAGTATCATGATTTGGCTCAATTTGCTGCTCTAAAGGAATTGGTGCTAGCTTTCATTAAAATTCAAGAATACCACCCACATGTGGCCTCTTCGAATGTGACTGAGGAGAAAGTGAATCAGCCAGATAAGAAGCTGCTCTCTCGTCTCCTTAAAGCATCAGAGTAGGATGTGACCAACAATCAGAGCGGGGTGTGACATCTCCAGTGGAAGTGGAAAAAGACAATTGTTTAGGAGCATTTACCACACTTACCACCTCCTGACCAGGGTATCTTGTAGGGATTCAGTATGTATTTCTTTGTATCTGACATTTGACATAAAAGGTTTTATCACCAAAAAAAAAAAAAAAAAAGAAACACCTTCTCTGAGTATGACGGAGTGAATTATTTAGATTGTCAGATATCAAGAGGAGTTCTTGAAAATATTTAGACATTTTAGAATAGGAAAATTCTGGGTAGGTTTTCATTTAGTCCATTCCTAAACAATAAGGGGGAGGGGCATCAACTTGATTTCAAACAAATATTTCTTATTATCAATTATATTTAAGGGGGGTACCACTGTAAGATAAAAGGCCAAGATGAATCATATGTGGCTATCAGTTATCAGTCTTTCAGGGACAACAAGATGGAAAGGTAGAAAAAATCCCTGATCTCGATGTCGACATTGAGGTAAAGCTGGAAGAGATTGAAATGTCAAGGAATCATCAAATTAAAATCTCCCTTCATATGACAATGTCAAAATATGGAAATGTTACTCTGAAACACAGTGGTTGACTGTGAGCCACTGGTATAGAGAAGAAAAAATGAAATTGCATGTGAAATGTTAATGTGGAATCAATGCCCCAAATCAGGTTGCTCTGAAGTTCCTGGGAGTGAGAGAAAACAGAATTACAACTTGACTCTAAAGACATTTGCAACTTTTATAATCAAATACTACTTCTGTCCTTCAAGCCAAACAGAAGAACTATACTATAGGCCCTGATTTAATTGGATGTCTTGATGATGATCCTGATGAATGGGCAGAGTCCTGGCATAGTCTGTTAGAAGGAGGAGGTGGGAAGTAACCTTTAGTAGTTAATCAAGCATCTTTGGAAATGGCTTTAAGACCTCCACTTGGGTGAGCCTCAGGACTGAATCACAGCTCGGATACCTGGGAGAACACATGATATTGGAAACCAAGTTAAAAAAAAATACTCTAGTACTTCACCTGGAAAATAGCCACTTTCATATTTTTGTTTTGGGATAGGCACTAAAACTCAGAGAAGGCTATTATAAAATGAATGTCAAGGCAGGGTTCTTGAATTTGACCATTGATCACAATCATCTGGAGGACTTGTTGTAACACAGATCGTTGGCGCCATCACCAAAGTTTCTGAATGGATAGGTCTGGGGATAGCTAGAGAATATGTAATTCTAACAAGCACCCAGATAATACTGCTGCTGCAGGTTTTGAGATCACCCTTTGTGAACCATTGCTTTCAGGAATCGTTGAACAAAAGGATACGTATCTTCCTCACAAAACTATGATTTACCCTCAGTGGAATCTAATCCATGAGTTTACATGCATTTAAAATTAAGAAATGAGCAATGACCACCACTGTTAATTTGGAACAGTCAAACTAACCTCACAAAAGACTTCTCCAGTGGAAAAAAATGGGAAACTCTTTCCACGGTACACACTGGCTTTATTGGCTGTGGTCTTGGTCAAAGCACAGAATGAACCTTGGCCAGCAGCATGAGGTCTCTCAAGCTGCAGCTGTTGGGCGGAGGCTGCTCTGCCAGTGACTCTGGGCAGGAAGTGCCTCGTTAGAACTGTTGCATCTATTTTACTCAGGCCAGAGGGGGGGAAAAAGAAAGAAAGAAAAAGTCCCTAGGTTTCTCCAAACCTCTTTTAATGCCACCGTGTTAGATGGCTTTGCTACCCATCACTGTTTCACTTCTGGTAACTAACAGCTTGGGGTTCATTATGATGGGAAGTTTCAAATATGCTAAGTATTATAAATCAAGCCTGTATCTTCACTCACAGTGGAATTAATGACAGCATAAATAAAATGAAAATCCAAAATGACAGACAAGCACAGGGCACCCCGGCTGAAAAACATCAGAAAGCCGATCACTCTGCACCCAGACCCAAACTGCTAGCCAGCAGTCTATAAAGAACATGAAGGATTACTGCAACTTTCATCAGAAATGTGACTTTATAGTGAACATCAAGTTCAACAGGACTTCTCACAATGCTTCTTTCCAGGACCCTGCATCACATAAAGGATGAAGTGCTACCACAGTTTTTTCCTTCCAGTAAACAGTTTAAAATGTGTGTTATTAAAGGCAACCCAGCTTCCTCTGTGTTCATATCATTTTACAGAACTCCTGCCATCCTTCATTCCCTTATCCAGCTAAGTGCTGAGCAACAATGGACAAACAAAATCTAAACTAGCATAACCACTACCCTAGGGATAACACTGAATAAGAGTTATGCAGTATGATCTGATAATAGCTGGCTTCAAGAGCTAAGAAGAAAAGGGGGAAAAAAGCTTGTAAAGGGGATATATTTGAAATTGAAATTTTAAAACAGATGTGCAACTGGACACACATTTTGGGAACTGCTCTTTTGGCTATAAGGTGATGAAGGTGATATGAATAGGTTCTCTGATATATGAAGTACATATAAATACTGTATTAAAAATAGCTGTGTATTATCACACAAGGATGAAGAATAATGATCTCATTTTACCAAGAGAAGCCTTTCACACCTGGTTAATAGACCAGGTCACACCTTAAGAAAAATAACAAAAGTGTTTCATGTATTAATCTCACTAACTCCGCTTGCAACTATCCTGTTATCTTAAAATACATGCACAGGACAAGTGAGCACGACTCTAGCCCACAGGCTGGCCCTAATAAAGGACAGAAAGTTGCTTCTAAAGATCACTGAGGAGAGGACTGGATACCAGAGAAGGATATCAAAGAGAGAGAGACTGGGAGAGATGAAATATTTCCAATAGAAATATAGTATCTCAAGGACAAAGAGATGTACTGTTTCGAAGTACAAATTTTCACATTATTGGTGAAGTGTCTTGTACTTTTGAAAGCCATTTGAATGCTTGGTGGCTTCAAATGATTCACAAGTACACCAGACTCTCAATTTAAAAATTTATAAGAAAAAAACAAAAGGAAACTGTGTAATTTAATGGAAAACCTCATATTATCAAAATTAAAGTTGGCATTTTTTTAAGCAAGTATGATTTTAAGAAAATATTAAATCATTATATAAAGAAGATTGTAAGCTAGTGACTAAGGAACATTTATCCTACTTTCCCTCAGAATATTTTTTTACTTTTAGATTGTAACATCTGAATTGTTGGTAGTTTAGTATCCATTAGTTTTCTTTTAAAAATATATATATATTGCTTCAAGCCAGTATTCTGATCTTTATTTCCAATTAAGTATACAGCTAAGATGACACAGAGCTCCAATATCTAAGGATAAATTGTAACTTTAATTTTATTTAAGTAATGCCAGTCAAACTGCTTCACTAGAAGAATAAAAAATGAGAGGGCGACAAGTTGTGGGGTCCTATGGGGCTACAAAAGATAGACTTTGCAGGACAGTCTAGCATATGCCTGTTTGAGAAAAAGAGAGCATTCGTCCAGAGAATGGCAATTGGCAATTGTGTAACTTCAGTTTCCTGAAACATTGCAAGTTATCCTTGTAAGTACAGGTAATAAATATTGCAAGGCTCTGTTTTGACTACAGTAGCATTTCCCACCCCCAACATTCTCATTTATGTGCTCAAAGACATTAGGTTCTACATTGTAAAAGCTGGAGGCCATCAGATGATATATTGTTTCAAACATCTTCCTGAAAGGAAGCTAACATGTAGCTATGTTTAGAAATCCACTATATTCCTGTAGAGAGCAAGGTCAAGTTCACATCCACAATCATCACAGGGCTTTGCACCCACGTTAGAATACAGCTATGTTAGAGAAGAAAAGATGCCCAACCACAGAAGTATCCCTAGGGTTTTAGCCATAAGAATGGCCAAAGACATATGCAATATAAATCATTTCCTAATTGGCTGCCCCTGAAAAGAAATGCAGGGGCTACAAACCCTAGACTCGGCCCTTACAGTGTGGGTCGAACACTTACTAGACTTCAGCGGTCAACAATAGGGGCTATCCTGGTAAAACACTAAGGGTGACTTGTGCTGGGCTTGAATTTAGGTAGGATATGGTCATAGGCATAGCTATAGCAGGAGAAGCCAATAGGGGCAGATGAGGGCCAGATGAGGTTAGAACTAGAAGGTGCGGCTGGTTTCACCAAAGAGCAGATTGGTTTACTTTGTTACTAATCAAAAGCTACGGTGACTTTTCTGAAATTTGCTTGGGGGCTTGGAATCTAAAGTTCTGCTTTTCCATGTAAGCATTTCTTCCAGCCTTAAATTAGATGTGTCGTGTTTTGTAAGGAAATGAAACTAAATGGAATCTTTCGTGGTTTAAATTTCTTTTGTCAAATAGGGATAAGTTGATATGTTTCTATTGCTAAACATTTGAGAACTTAAAAGCTGAAAGATGGAACTATTTTCATATCAAATTTTGGTGCATGAAATGCCTTTATATACAAACTTTCCAAAATTTCCTTTCCAGCTAAGGTTCATAATTTAGTTTTGATCCAAGAAAACCAGATGCTTTCGTGAGAACAGCTTCCTCATTTGAAGGCCATGAAAATCACAAATTTTCTGTTTTGTTTTAAATTGAGAGAAAACACTGGAACAGTTTGTCTGGGGAGGGGGTGTAAGACTCTTGGAAAATTACTCAAAGATCATTCACATTCTTGGCTACCATAGGATGTGTAGTTGCATTTAGAGTAAGAACAAATCCTGAGTAAAACAATTTGAGGTATTTATCTCTTCCTAAAAAAAGAGTTTGCTAAGTAAATGTGCCATCTCCTTATATGTAAGAATTTGGTCCCATTTTAAACACAATGTGTTATCTAACTACAAAATTCAATACAGATTAGAGAAAATGTTAACAACTACTAAATGGCTCTACATGTACTTTGCATATCACTGAACTGAGACTCAAAATGAAAAATGCATTTGCCATACTTGAAAGGAGAAAAATGAAGAAAAGTAGGTTCATTTTCTTAGTTAAGTAGGTAGGCATTTTTTATACATGTAAACTTTAAATGCTGTATGCATACTGTTTTATTAAGCTATAGATTTTAGCTCTTTATTAGTAAAAATAGGTAGGTAAACTATAACAATAAGAAAAGTTAGTGGTTCTGGGAAACTGGGTGCATAAAACGTTACATAACCAACTGGTTTTCAACCTTCCAGTCAGACACTAGTCAAAGAAATAATATGACCTTAGCCAATGGGAAAAACATTGAGCCAGATTTCTCCCAGCTGTGTTTCTCCCCCTGTAGCCTTCAGCAACTTCAACGGAAGTTTAGTGTGTTTAGGGAGAAAGATGGCCAGAAGAATCAAAATTATTAAACCAAAAAGGTCAACCTTCAAATTAAGTATTGGACCAGGCTTACTGCAGAATAAAGTTTATCCTTCCCAATGTCCCAGTGCTACAAGCAATATGGTGGACCAGCTACTATTCAAACAGGGCTGATATCACATGTAATTGAGGCTACCCTGCCAAAGGGGTGAGTAAAGGAAAGAAGTTGTTGGCTTTAAAATGCACAAATCAAGCTATTAATGTTTCCTTAGCATTCTTTTTGATTTCCAACTTAAGGGTAGGGTAACTGCAAGATAGGAAAAATCCTCAGAGGAGACAGGTCCCTGGATTTAATTCTATATAAACAGGAGGCCAAGGAATTTTGACAAAATTGTTGTTCACAAAAAGTTGACTTTGCCTTTGAAGTTCTAGTGTGTTCCATATTTAAGTCAGACACCTTCATTCATCCAACAGTAGCACAGAGCATTCAATAACATGATATAATGGCTTTTTTTTTTAGATTTAAAAAGTTACTTCATAAGATTCCTCTCCAGTCTGTTATAAAATCACTGGCTACTATGTTTTCAAGCATTTCTCAAGTAAATAATTTGAGTTACTTTACATTTTCAGGTCTAATTGGTTTGGTGCAATTTTTTTTAAATGACCATAGATGCACTAATAATGGTTTAGATCAGTTCTTATTGAAGAGAATGGATGCATGAAGGCCCTACTAATACATAAAAGAAAAAGTTATTTAACTAACATTTATCCATAGGATTTAAATAAAACCTGTTGATTTTCCCTCATATTTTCTTCTCTGCTGGTTATTTAGGACGAAGGAGATAAAATACTTTGATGTTGGTCAAACCATCAATGGAAATACATTCTCAATACTTTAAATATTACCATAGAGTGATATAGTTTATATGGATCACCAGGACTGTGAGTCACACCACACGGGATACTCCCAATATATCCTCATAATGCTCATTAATACATTACATTGCTCTGAGAATTCCTGAAGTTAGACAGAAGAAAACCAAATCTGTTGTCTAACCCCAAATTTCTCCAGCTAGCCTGAACAAATCACTCCTGTTTTCATGTAATTCCTGATGCCAAACAAACTTTGCGACATGCATACCTGTTTTTGTATCTCATTTTTTCCTCCTAGCACAATGACTGGCATATAGTAAGCACTCGATAAAAGATTTTTGAAATGCATACATGATAAAAATGCATAGCTATACTCTCAGGTTACATAGCTTGTGTTACGCAATTTTTGGATATCTTCATGTTCTAAAGGAAGAGTTGCATTCAGGTTCATGGAAAGAGGCTGCCATTTTTTTCTTCAGTACCATCAAATATGGTAAGTTAGGACAACATACCTTGAGCGGAAGCATCTTTATGAAATGTGAGAACTCTTAATGAGCAAGTGTACTTTAACAAACACAAAATGTAATGCATATTACAAAGGTATTGCTTTATTGCCCTTGTCTATGCAGAATCCATGACCCAATAGGATTCAGTTCCTGAAAGTTTACTATTACTTAGCATTTAATATAAATCCTTCTCCACTAGGAGATCAGCGTGTAAAGGGAATACGTTCTTAGACACTTTGATGAAAAAAGTTGGGATGGTAGAAGCAGATAGGACCAAATTATACAAGATTATATATAAATCTCATGGACAAAGGAGTTTGGTGCTATGATTTTAGTCACAGTAAACCAAAGACGGTCCAGGATATGACTGAAGTGATCACAGTAGGATATTTGGCCACAAAAAGACAAATAAATAAATTGTGCTATGAATTCTTTACAGTGCTCTACAGTTCAGATATCATTTATGAATTCTTTATTGCTATTAAAAATGGATGATTGGAAATAATTTTCAGCTACGGTATGCAGTTGTGGACTGTTAAGATGATAGATATAAAAGTCCTGAGCATTTATAAAGTGGACTGTCTAATGTTATATATGCACATCTCCACATGTTATAACACATGATAATTTATTAGGGAGAAAATTTTTCAAAAAATCAGTTGTATATAAATGCTCCCTGAATCTAAAGTGCTGGCAACTTTTGCCTCAAGGGAAACTCATTTTCCTTCTTTTTAGCCAGTAATTTTTAAAAGGCCTCAATTAGAAATCCAAATTTTGGTTGGGAAAATGTGACTGACCACACTTGAAAAAGGAAAATACAAAGTGAAAAAATATCATTCTTTCTGTGCTAGTATAAGTTGCAAATAAATTAGCTGCACATCATTCATGATCTGATATTATTTGGATTGGTTTACCATTCACAAGGACCAACAGTATTGTCACTTTTGTCAATGTTTGGCAATACCAAAGAGCCAAAGCTGCAGGTATGTCTGTTAGATAATCTGGGCCAAATTGCTGTAAGAATAGAGATGTTATTATTTGTAACATACTCATGTAAAATAACAAATTACATTTGCTTTTTTAGCTCCCATATTCCTCTTTTTTGGGTTGTGAACTTGTTCCATTCATTGTGGCATCTTCCTTGTTTGAAGCTGAATCTGGAGCAACAGTTCTTTTGGTAAATGCTGGCAAGGTAAGAAGAAAAAGAAAAATAAACCTAGGTGAATATAAAACTGGCCTAAAAAATTAATTTTGCAGAAGGTAGTTAATGTATCATGGTATTTGATCGAGTTTTCTATAATTAAACTTCACATGGACTAACAGACCTCCAAGCTAAGAATAAATACACTCAATTTATGACATTTAAAAAAAACACGAGAATTAAACTTTTTATTTTATTTGAAGAATACCTGAGAGTAAAAAATGTGTGCTTCGTCAGGATACAATGATATAAACCACACCGGTGTGCACGTGCACACGCACACACACTTGCACACTCGCAAAGAATTTTAGAGGCAGAAATCTTAAGGGCTCCTTTTTATGGAATCCTCTTTATTACAACTTCTAGTCTATTGAAAGTAGACCTGGAGTTTGTGTTTACTGTTCTTTTACTATCTCCTACTCCTCGTCTGAGCTATAGATGCCTATATCCAACTGTCTGTGTGAAATCTTCTCTCCTTATCTCTACTCTCTGATGCCTGCTCATTCCTTACTCTTCTCCAACTTGAAAAATGATATACCCGTCTGCCCAGTTTCTCAAACCGTGGTTCCTCTCTTCCTTTGTCCTGTCTGATCCATCCATTCAGTTTAAGAGCGAGCTCTAATGACTCTCCCTATCAATTTCACCTGAGTCCTGATTCACACCATCCCCATTACTCTCATCAGCCCCCAAGTCACCATTGTCTCCCTTTCT
The DNA here is from genome assembly GCF_000001405.40 of Homo sapiens. NCBI lineage: Eukaryota > Metazoa > Chordata > Mammalia > Primates > Hominidae > Homo > Homo sapiens. The sequence continues at coordinate 80,498,311 of NC_000014.9, forward strand.
GTTTTCTTCTTGCTCCCTTACGATCCTTTCTCCACACCACAACCACAGTTACCTTTCGGAAAAGTCAATCAAATTACGTCATTCTCCTGCATGACTCCCTCATCCTGCCCTTAATGGTCGCCCAGTGAACTCAGAATAAAATCCACACATCTGACTGTGGCTGCACCCTCTCACTCACTCGCTCAGTAGCCCGTATCTCTAGGAGACCATGGCCCTTTCTTCTCTGGAGCTTTTGTACTTTTTGCCCCTACTATCAGGAAGATGCTTCCCATCCAATTTCAACTCAGCTGCTGCTTCTTGCCATTCAGGTTTCAGCTGTAACCTCCTCAGGGAGGCAGATCCTGATCACCAATCTAAAGGAGTGCTCCTGTTCCTGGTACCTTCTATCATTTCACCTTTATAGCACCAATCACCATTTTAAATGATTTGTTTACTTGCTCGCTACTTGTTTCTCCATGACATCACCTTGCCTGTCCTGTTCACTGCTGTATACTCCAGAACTGAACACTGGACATGGTACACAGCCTCCTAGTAAATACTGGTTGAACAACTGAATATAGGTGAGGGATTTTAAGATGACAGCCAACTGGGGATTTTCTAGCTGGTTTCTGGAGCGCCTCTAGAGAGTACCTTGTCAACTTGCAAAAACCAGAATTCAATTATTTAAAAATATCCGGCGTTTAACCGATCAGTAAAAAATACCTGAACCACTGTCACATAAAATAAATCTGTAATCACATAAAATAAACCTGTAAAATGAGAGAGACAGAGAGACTGCACTTTCATAGAATTAAATCCTTTAATGGACAAGAAACAATTTTATTGCCTTTATCAGTGTCCTAGTGTTTTCATTGCCATTAATCTTTGGCATTTTACTCTATAAGGCTGAGGACAGGTTACATATGAAGCATCTTTTCACAGTTAGCCGGGTAGACCTTGAAGTATAACACAGAAGTGAAAATAGTGTGCTATTCTTGCTGTGGATAAATTATTTTTCACCCCACGGACTTAAACTACCATTAGAGGCACCTCAAAACACAAAGTGAGAATACTAACTTTTCTTTTTATAGCAATGTAAACTGAGGTAAGAAAGTGAAATAGTATTTTTAAGCATCTTTCATTAATCTGCTTTTCTAAGAATATCAAATTATCTGTAAGATTCACTTTCAACTCCTATACTAATCCTTAGATAACATATTTTCCCCATGAAGAATAACAATTCCTTCCTTTTGGGCTTATTTATTTTAACAAACATTATGTTTTCAAACAGTTTTAGATTTACAGGAAATTTACAATCTGCATTTATTTTTAAAATCTGGTTTGGAGACACCAACTCCACAAAGATGAAACATTTTAGTCTTAAAAAACTAGAGATTTCTAGAAGTCATCAGATTACTATGGACCTCAGTGAAATCTGGTCTGGTCCCAGTCCTGGGATGTGATGGCTGTATCCTGGAGTTGTGTTCCTTTAGTCTAAAAGGAGCTATACATAGTGACTAGTGGTCAGTTGCCACTTTTGAAAAGCAAAAATGACAGTTTCAAAAGCTGACATTATGAGTCCCTTACTAAGCCCCCACTGTCTACAGGCTGAAGGTAATGGAATCCAAGTCTTCTAAAAGAGTGTCCTGACTCACGGCCATAACTTCCAGCAGGCCAGGATAAATTTGGTAGTGATCATGCCTTTAAATAATGGATTTCTGTGTTCCTATTTCCAATGGCAATATAAACTTACAATTTATACATTTCTTCCCTTCTTCCTGGCAGAAGGAATCTACCTTTTCTTGAATTGACCTGAACTACACAAAGCTGACATAAATTACTTCTTAAAACAAACTTTCATTAATGCTGGATCACTTCAGAGACCACAAATTATGCAGTATTTTCCCATTTCCTTTGTTTTTTCCACGGTCAATGATTCTATGCTTTAGTTTGGTCACAGTTTGACAGGGCATCTAAGTCAGCAGAATGAATGCCTTAGCATCTACAGCTTCAACGAAAGGGCCTCACTCAGTACAAATTCTGACTAGAGTAAGGAGCTGACTGTTCTGTGGGCCCAGAAACTCATGTCTGCCTAAGGACCTATGACTATCCACTCCCTATATCTCTATACAGATCTAAACTGCTCCAAACTCCAAACCCCAGCTTTCATGTTCCACCTGAGACTTAACAAAAAAATTAGACATTTACTAGTCAGACATTAAAGCTGGGGTTTTCTCAGTAACACTTGTCTTTGTAAGAATCATTTTTAGCCAGTGTATATACACATATCAAATAATACCAAAGGGTTACATAGAAAAACAGGAGTTTCTTGTCCTACCTCTCTGAATTCCACAATCCCACTCCCCAGAGTCAGCTATGATCACCTCTTCCAGTTTTATTTTCTGTATTTATTTCATTTTTGTAAAACATGGAGAAGCCTATATTGCTATTTTCTGATTTATATTTTTAGACATTATCCACACCCACCCCCTTCTCCTCACCCCATACTCCCAATATAGTTACATATGAGCTTTTAGTTATATGACTGTTTACATTATTATGACTAAATATGGCTCATGAAAACATAGTAAGGATACTATGACATTTCTCTTCTTGTTCATTTTTTCCTCCTGGGTTTATTAATTGACTCTTGTTTTAATTTTATTTCTTTTTATTTGCTCTTTCTCTGTGACCATCTTGCTTCTAAGTGCTCAGTTAGATCTGCCATATGTCCACTAGTAGTCTTTTTTTTTTTAAGTGTTCAATCGTATCAGATATCTATTAGCTTTTTGTTTGTTTCCTGCAAATTTTCTGGATAGAATCTTTCCTTTCTTCCTTCAGTGTGGCAGAATTGAAAAACATGAGTGTCCAGATAAAAAGTAGCTAGAAGAATAAATAAAACAAGACCCACACTGAGGCACATCATCACAAACTCACTGGGGTGAAAGAGAAGATCCTAAAAGTTCCTGGAGCGAGGAGTAGAAAGGATGTGGTAGGGTAGGAAGGAGGCGCAGAAGATGACTTCAAAGGAGTGACAGTCTTTATCTACGAATGAAGGATTTTTCAACAACAACATTGGATTTTGGAGGATAATTGTTCAATGACTTCAGAGAGAGAAAATCATTTTCAACTAGAATTTTATATAATGGAATAAATCTACTTTTAGAAATACAAACACTAAAAATATTTACCTCCTTTTCTTTCTTTCTTTTCTTTTTCTTTTTCTTTTTTTTGTAATGGAGTCTTGCTCTGTCACCCAGGCTGGAGTGCAGTGGCGTGATCTTGGCTCACTGCAACCTCCGCCTCCCGGGTTCAAGCGATTCTTTTGCCTCAGCCTCCCGGGTAGCTGGGACTACAGGCACCCGCCACCACGCCTGGCTTATTTTTTGTGTTTTTAGTAGAGATGGGGTTTCACCGTGTTAGCCAGGATGGTCTCGATCTCCAGACCTCGCGATCCGCCCACCTCGGCCTCCCACCTCCTTTTCTTTGGTGTGCTCTTGAGGTAGGAGGTGGGACTAGACTCCAAAGGCAGGGCTTCGACACCTGCCCAAATTGAGGACTAGCTAAAATGGGTCTCAAGCAGAAGCACCTCTCCATAAGACACGTCCACAAGTGTGCCTGTCAGTTTATCATTGCCACGGCAACACGACACACCTGTCGCCATTTTCCTGGCGAAAACCCAACAACCTGGAAGTTACCACCCTCATCCCAGAAATTTCTGCATAAGTTGCTCTTTAATTTGCATATAATTAAAAGTGGTTATAACTGTGAGTGCAGAACTGCTTCTGAGCTGCTGCTCTGGGCACACTGCCTATGGGGTAGGCCTGTTTTGCAAGGAGCAGGACCTCTGCTGCTGCTGTACACTGCCGCTTCAATAAAAACTGCTGCTAACACCACCGGCTTGCCCTTGAATTCTTCCCTGGGTGAAGCCAAGGACTAAGCCTCAATTTTGGGGCTTGCTTGTCCTGCATTACTCTCATAAAAGAAAAGAGTGAAACAAGAAAGAGGAAGGTATAGGATCTGGGCACACGGGCATCAATATAGGAAAAGAGTGAAGGACAATCTCAGGATGGCTGCTGTGCAGTGGGTGTTTGTTGGGTGGGCCTGGCCACTCCTGGCCTCTTGTTCTGTTTTCTCTGTTCTCTCAAGACGCACATGAATCATCTATTGCCCCTCCTGAATTGCTTTTCTAAAAATTTTATCTTTTCTCTCTATTGTCTCATTCTTTTTCTTTTTCTTCTCCTTTCTTTGTGGTTATTTCACATTGTTTTCCACCTTTCTGGTTTTCTTTACTCTTTATGGCAATCATATTTTAAAATTCTGACACCGCTTAGTCTGTGTCCCTTTTTCATAGTATTTTGCTCTTGTTAAATGTAGTGGATTTAATATTTTCTCTTATCTCTCAAAGGGTATTAATGATATTCTTTAAAACATCCTCTGTTCCCTGTATTACTCATTTGCCGTAAGTTCTGTTTTCCTCTTTGTTGGTCTCATCTCTTCTTTTTAATTCTTCAATTTAAAGGGAGATTAAAGAAAAATTACAGGACAATTTCTGTAACTGAGCTGAAATTTTGCTACAAAAAATGAAGTATTCAGGGTAATCCTAATGTTTCTCACTGCTAATGTGCCCCATTATTAAAAACAGAAAACTTAAGGCTTATCAGAAAAGCAAATAAGAATGTTTTCTAGAAATAATTATAATTCAATTACTTGAAAGTAATTAATGATAAGGTAGCTAGGATTAAATTTTTTAAAGTATTTTTGAAAATATGGGGATAGGTCTGGGAAGAAAATCATAAAACAAACTTGTACACAAGAAAAATAGTAAAACAAGACTATGGATTAATCAGTTAATTAATTTACTAATTAATTAAACTAATGAAGAGTTTTACTTTTTAGGTTAAATTTTTCAGTTAGATTTTACAATGTAAACTATAATAAATGTTTTCTTTTTCAAATTATGCTCTTGATGATATATTTTCCTATTTAACTTTATTTCCTTTTCAGCCAGTGTATATCTATAGAAACCTATAGTTGCTTGTGAGAAATATATCTTAGAGAAATGACCACAATTGGTCATGAAATGCTAGTGTTGAAACCTAAATACAGGTTCTTTCACTGCCTATCATAGTACTAAATACAATTCCAAAATCTTGATGTTTTCCATTTAATGTCTTCTAACCACTTCCCTCTAGGTGCATTTCTAGAAAGGCTTATGAAGGTCATAATGGCAAAAGTAACAGCAGTATAACAATCTGTTTTCACATTATGATGCTGTTTATCTCCAGGCTCTTGAATGTCTGACTAATTGGGACACTGTGATGTTTCATGGTGTGAAGTCCCTACTTCCACCTCCATGCTTGTTTATATTAGAAGGACTTGGAGAAAGTTTTCCATTGCTAAATATGAAAGAAAAAAAATTTGGCCTATGTGTATATCAAATTCTGAGGTGCCATAACCAACTTGAGGTCCATATTGAAGGGTGGTTCTTGGCTTATGTAGATACAAAATCACTTGGGAAAATGATTAGGACAGGAAGACAAAATGCTCAGCATTTAGACTAAAATAATCATGAAATAATGAAAAACCACACCACTTATCAGAAATCGATAAATATTTATTCAATGAATCCATGAATATAAACCAGCAAAAATAAGAGTTATCACCTTTGGATTTGACCTACTTCCTAGTGGCTTATTTTGGCATTTTATTTTACAGCAATATAGCTATATTAAATGACAGAATTATCAAATTTAATGTATAACCCTACAGGCCCATGGTAAACTGAAGAGCAAAATTATTACCTAAATAAAAATCCATTAAATAACATTTGGATCCCAATAGTTTAGATAAATGTGGACTTAACAAAAACAACTTATATGTATATTAATTGAATATTAGTTGAGTATTTACTATTTGCCAACTACTATATAGAGTGCCAAGGAAACAGTGGTGAACAAAACAGGCACTCCTCCTATCCTCAAGATATAAAGAAAAATTGTAGCACACTGTGGGTGCTCATAACAGAGACTACACTTCAAACTGTGAAGCTTCTTTAAGGAAATTACATATAAGCTGAAACTTGAAGACCACATATAGGAAGGAAGGGAGACGGCAGGGATAGATCGTGGCAGATGGCATTTTGGGCCAATGGACTCATACATTGTTGATATTGATGATGACATTTATCAAGATTCACAGAGTGAAATCTAGCAGTAATAGTATTCTTACTCTTTGTACAAGATTACATATTTCTCAACATTTATATGCAAAGAACTTCAATTTTTTGATAATTTGAACTTTATTATAAAATAACTTTCTTTACTCATTCATCCATAGTTACTGGCAATCTCCAAACGAAAAATTTGCCTAATTAAGATTTTCACCTTGGGTGGTTATTTAAGTTATTCTGAGAAGCGTAAAGTCTAAAAAGGAGGGATTCTACATATTTTTAGTAAACTGTGTACTATTATGAATATCCTTGAACATTTTTTGTATGATTCATGAGGATTTTCTCAGACTTATGAATATTACTATCATATACTGGCCTTAAACTAATTTTCCCATGTGTTGCATTTTCTTAAATCTAATTTAAAAATGGGTACAAGACTTCATTACTTACAGTTCACGTATGAAAATCTTGGACTAGACAGGAAGCGACTGTGATCCTGCCAAGAGGATGAGTGATCTAACCCACGAGTGTGGGAACCTTCCAGAAAGGTTCTGTCACCCTAAGGAAAAAAAGGCACAGCATTTCAATGATTACACAAGGTATGGACCAAGGCTCATTTAAACGTACTGAAGCTGAAATTAAATCTTAATATACAAGCTATGTTGTACATGCACAATTTAATATAATTATAATCACTGTAAAAATAAAATATGTGCATGTTAAGGATAATTTGGAAAAAAGAAGAAATCACCCATTGCTATAGCAACATGACATATTTCTTTCCAGTCTTTTTCCCCCATGAATAGAATTTATAAAACTTTGTGTTTAACTTAAACTTATGCTATAAACATTTTTGAAGTCATTATTTATCCTAACCTTTAGCTTATGAGTTACTCTTATACTATCTAGTGGATATACTATGTTTTACTCAGCCATATTTTATTGGCATTTAGGTGGCTTCCCAATGTTTTACTCATATACATAACACTGTGAGAAATATCTTTAAACTTATAACCTTTTCCATATTTAGGACTATTCCTTATGACAAATTCTTATGAAAAAATACTGGGTCAATAAAAATAATTGGATGTTTTAAAATACATTTAGCTAGACTGCTTTCTAGATTATATTCGTCTTCTCACTCATTTAATAAATATTTACTAAATGAAAATGAACCCAGAAAAGGTCCTTCTCCTCATGTATTATATGAATGTGTCCTTCTCCACTTCTTTCAGCTATAACTTTAAATAATTTTACTAATAAAATAGATTTAAAATACGTGTTTAATATACTTTCCTTTGATAAACAGTAAAACTGTACTTTCTTCCCATGAACGCTTCCTACTTATTTACTGTACTTGTGGTTTTTTTCCTTCTTTCACTCATTCATTCATTCATTCACAATAATTTATTGGGCACCTACTATGTGCTAGGCTAAGAGAAAGCAAGACATTGGGGTCTACAGTCAGAAAGCCTTCAGGCTTGCAGAAGAGAAAGGCATTAAACAAATAAATGATATAATAAAAACTGTAAGTGCTATAAAAACAGGTAATAACAGGAAGAACCAAGTTTAGATTTAGGATTCAGATAAGACCCCTCTGGGAGGTGACAGTTAAGGCAATATTTGAATGTTGAATATGAATCCACGAAATCAGCCAGGCGAAAATGTATTGGTGGGGCATGAGAAAGCAGAAGGTAAGGAGAAGGATCAGGGAGGGCAGTCAGGGAATGATGTTCCAGACTCAAGTAAGTGTGGAGGTGAGAAAGAGTTTGGTGTGTCTGAAGAACTGGAGGAAGACCCCACAGCTTAGGTACACTGAGCCTGGGGGAAGCGATTACAGTGAGGTCCAGGGCCATGCTCAGGATTTGAAACTCTTTTTTTTTTTTTTTTTAAGTACAATCAGAAGGCAATCAGGAGTTTAAAGGAGAAGGATGACAAGCTTTGATTTATTTTTTTTTTTTTCAAAGATCACTTGGGCCTCTGTTTGGAGAATGAATTGAAGCAGCACAGGATTGAAGGATGAATATCAGTTAAGACCATAACTGAGGATAACAGCAGGGTTCTAGGGAGATGAAAGAATCAAGAAATGTTGGCAAAAATTCCATATCTGTGGGTTAGGTGGCCCAGAAAGATTTCTCAAAATATGGTCCCAACATGGAGTAAGGCCTCGTGTAACATGACCATCTGATGAATTAGCCATCCTTCTCTTTACCAAGTACCGACTTTATATTTTATTTCTGTGTCACATACAATGTACGTAAGTGCAAAAGAAAGGGCAAACATTTTAAAAATATTTTCAACAGGTCCATATATTTTGAGCCAAAGGCACGAACATAATCCTCAGGTGGTTCAAGATCATTAGCTTTCATGTTCCAAAGGGAGATGATATAGTTAGGGTATTTTCCCATGCCCCAATCTCATGTTGAAGTGTACTCCCCAGTGTTGGAGATGGGGCCTGCTGGGAGGTGGTTGGGTCATGGAGGTGGATCCCTCATGGCTTGGTGCCGTCCTTGCAATAGTGAGGGAGCAACCAGGGAGATCTGGTTGTTTAAGTGTGTGGCACCTCCCCTCAGCTCTTGCTGCTGCTTTTGCCATGTGAAGTGCCTGTGCCTGCTTCACCTTCTGCCATGAGTAAAAGTTCCCTGAGGCCTCCCCAAAGCCAAGCAGATGCCGGTATCATGCCTGTATAGCCTGCAGAACCGTGAGCCAATTTCTTCGTAAATTACCCAGGCTCAGGTATTTCTTTACAGCAACACAAGATCAGACTAATACAGGAGGTTAGCTAGATTTAAGATGAAGACCCTGAAGTTTTTAACCAAGGGATTTTCAATTTTCACTAATTATGGGAATTTCATAAGAAACTCGAAGTCATTCACTGCAGGATCTCTGGAAAGGAAAGGATATACATTATGCCCCAAATATATTCCAACAACTACTTTAGAATGAGCTGACATTGGGCAACTAGAGGCAGGTAAACTAGCTACTGTAGTTCAGATGTGACATACTACAGGTGTGGCTGAAATTGCAAGATGTATAGATGGAGAAGAGGGTTATGATTTCAACCAATGCTAGAAATCTCCACTGAATCATGGTTTTGATATAAATCATGGTTTTGAAAGAGAAAAGCATAATAAATGGTTTCCCACTAAAAGATGCTTTGATGATTAGAGGCCAATAAGGGGAAAGCAAACACACACTTTTACTCACTAACGCCACAACTGAGACAGACAGTGAGAGGACAGGAGTAGAGACACAGGTTTGAGTATCTTGTTGAAACAGATGGTGTAATGGTGGCTTCAAAATGCGCCTACCAGAGGAAGGATGAATTAAACAAAGATATTTAAATACTATTCATTCTTCCTAAAAGGCATGGTTTTAAATTTCTAAAAAAAAGTCAACTGGCATCAAAGCATTGGTTATATATTTTCTATTTAGGGAAAAATAATAATTTAATTTTTTTTGTTTATTTTTGAGACAGAGTCTCGCTCTGTTGCCCAGGCTGGAGTGCAGTGGCACGATCTTGGCTCACTGCAACCTCTGCCTCCCAGGTTCAAGCGATCCTCCTGCCTCAGCCCCCGCTAGTAGCTGGGATTACAGGCATGTGCCACCATGCCTGGCTAATTTTTGTATTTTTAGTAGAGACAGGGTTTCGCCACGTTGACCAGGCTGGTCTCGAACTCCTGACCTCAGGTGATCCACCTGCCTTGGCCCCCCAAAGTGCTGGGATTACAGGCGTGAGCCACCGCGCCTGGCCTAATTTAAATTTTTAATGATGAAGCCAGTTACTTGGCATATGATAGTCAAAATATGGCACTGACATATTTCATTCTAGCAAATTTAAAAACTATGGAAAAATTCAGGAGAAAAATTATTCAACAAATATTTTAAAATAAAAACTTATTAGCATAATTTAAGGATACATTTTCCCAGGTCTTACTTATAAATATCTATTTGTATGGAGATCACCTTCGTTGATGATTTCGTTTCCTATTTTTTCATGGGAATTTTCTCTATCATGATCATCATTATCATTATTAGGGTTATATAGTATTTTATTTTACTAATTTCCTATTGTTCAAAATTTACAATTGATTCCAGTATTCTCTGTTATAAATAATCATTTGATAAACATCTTGGTACAAAAACTTTTGTCCATATTTTTATGTATTTAACATAAATTCCTAGAATTGAAATTACTGAATGATACATTTTAAGGCTTTTAAAAATATCATTTTCATTTCAGCTGAAAAATTTACTGGTAGAGTAATTCATAACATTTACTAAACATATGTTGTCAAAAATTACTTAAAAACTTTTTATGGGTACAGCACAGTTGTATATATTTATGGAGTACATGAGGTATTTTGATACAGGCATACAGAGTGCAATAATCCTGTATTAATCTGATTTCACACTGTGATAAAGAACTACTGGAGACTGGGTAGTTTATGAAGAAAAAGGGTTTAATTGACTCACTGTTCCGGATGGCTGGGGAGGTGTCAGAAAACTTACAATCATGGCGGAAGGAGAAGGGGAAGTAAGGACCTACTTCACATGGCACCAGGAGAGAGCGAGCATGGGAAACTGCCACTTTGAAAACCATCAGATCTTGTGAGAACTCCCTCACTATCACAAGAACAGCATGGGGAAAACAACCCCCATGATCCAATGACCTCCCATTTGGTCCCTGTATACCTAGAAGTGAGATACCTAGCTGGATCATATGGTAGTTCTATTTTTAGTTTTTTGAAACTCCTCCATACTGTTCTCTACAGTGGCTGTACTAATATACATTCCAACCAACAGTGTATGGGGGTTCCCCTTTCTCCACATCCTTGCTAGCATTTGTTATTGCCTGTCTTTTGGGTTAAAAGCCACTTTAACTGAGGTGAGATGATATCTCAGAGTTGTGATTTACATTTCTCAATGATCTTGAGCCCATTTCCTACACCTGTTTGCCATTTGTATATCTTCTTTTGAGAAATGACTATCCAGATCTTTTGCCTGTTTTAAAATCAAATTATTAGATTTTTTTCCCTATGGAGTTGTTTGAGTTCCTTATGTATTACAGTTATTAATCCCTTATTAGATGGATAGTTTGCAAAAACTTTCCCCCATTCTGTGGGTTGTCTTTTCATGTGGCTGATTGTTTTCTTTAATGTGCAGAATCTTTTTAACTTTATGTGATCCCAGCTCTCCAGCTTTGGTTGCCTGTACTTCTGGGGTATTCCTCAAAGTCTTTGCACGATCCAATATCCTGGAGAGTTTCTTTTTTCTTATAGTAGTTTCATAATTTGAGGTCATCTATGGCTTTAATCCATTTTGATTTGAATTTTATATATGATAAGAGGTATACATTCTAGTTTCATTTTTCTGCATATGAATATCCAGTTTTTACAGTAATATTTATCAAAGAGACTGTCTTTTCCCCAATGTATGTTCTTGGAAACTGTCAAAAATAAGTTCACTGTAAATGTACAGATTTTTTTCTGGGCTCTCTATTCTGTTCCATTGGTCTATGTGTCTGTTTTTATGCCAGCAACATGCTCTTTTGGTTACTATAGCTCTGTAGTATAATTTGAAGTCAGGTAATGTGATTCCTCCAGCTTGGTTCTTTTTGCTCAGGATGGCTTTGGCTATTCTGGGTCTTGTGGTTCTACAAAAATTTTTGGATAGTTTTTTCTATTTCCATGAAGAATGTCATTGATCTTTTCATAGGGGTTGCACTGAATTTGTAGATTGCTTTGGGTAGTATGGACATTTTAACAATATTCTTACAATCCATGACCATAAAATATCTTTCCATTTTTTTGTATGTGTCCTCTTCAATTTCTTATATCAATGTTTTATAGTTTTCATTGTAGAGATCTTTCACTACTTTGGTTATGTCTATTCCTAGGTATCTTCTTTGCGGGTATTGTAAATAGGATTCCTTTTTTTGATTTCTTTTTCACATCGTCCACTGTTGGCATATAAAAATGCTACTAATTTTTGTATGTAGGTTTTGTATCCTTCAAATTTACTGAATTGGTTTATCAGTTCTAATAGCTTCTCAGTACCAGTAGAAGATCATATCATCAGCAAACAAGAATAATTGACTTCTTCCTTTCCAATTTGGATGCCCCTTATTTCTTTCTCTTCTCTGATTGCTCTAACTAGGACTTCCAAGGCTATGTTTAATAGCTAGTGAAAGTGGGCATCCTTGTCTTGTTACAGATCTTAGAGGAAGGGTTTTCAGTTGTTCCTCATTCAGTATGATACTAGCTGTGGGCCTGTCATATATAACTTTTATGGTGTTGAGATATGTTCCTTTTAAAATCCCTCTAAAACCTGAGTTTTTTGAGGGGTTTTTTTTTTATCATGAAGGATGTTTATCAAATGCTTTTTCAATATCAATTGAAATGATCATATGGATTTTGTCCTTCATTCTATTGCTATGATGTATGACACTGGTGGATGTGTGTATGTTAAACCATGTTTGCATCCCTGGGCTATTATGAATAATCTTTTTAATAGATTATTGAATTTGGTTTGCTGGTATTTTGTTGAAGATTTTTTTCATCAATGTTCATCAGAGATATTGGCCTGTGGGTTTTTTTTTTCCTTTTTTTTTTTTATATGTCTTCTTCTGGATTTGGTATCAGGGTAATACTGGCCTCATAGAATGAGTTTGGGAGTATTCCCTCCTCCTCTATTCTTTGAAATAGGTTGAGTAAGATTGGTATTAGTTCTTTAAGTGTTTGTTAGAATTCAGCAGTGAAGCCATCAGGTCCCAGGCTTTTCTTTGCTGGGAACCTTTTTATCATGGCTTCGATCTCATTACTTGTTATTGGCCTATTCAGGTTTTGGATTATTTTCCATGGTTCAATCTTAGTAGGTTGTATGTGTCCAGAATGTATCCATTTTATCTAAGCTTTCCTATTTATTGGCATATAATTACTCATTGAAGTCTCTGATGATCCTCTCTGCAGTATCAGGTGGAAATTAGCCTCCATTTTCCTCTCAGATTTTATTTATTTGGGTCTTTTCTCTGTTTTTCTTATTCTGGGTAAAGGTTTGTCAATTTCATCTTTTCAAAAAAACAACTTTTTGTTTAGTTGATATTTTGTATTTTTTTCATTTCACTTTCATTTATATCTACTCTGATCTTCATTATTTTTCTTCTACTAATTTTGAGTTTAGTTTTCTCTTGCTTTCTGTTTCTTTAAGATGCATCACTCAGTTTTTTATTTGAAGTTCTTCTGCTTTTTTGATGTAGGCATTTATTGCTATAAACTTTCCTCTTCGTACTGCTTTTGCTGTACCCCAGAGGTTTTGATATGCTATGCTTCCATTTTCATTTGTTTCAAGTAATTTTTAAATTTCTCTTAGTTTCTTTATTGATCCACTGGTCATTCAAGAGCATACTGTTTAATTTCCATGTGTTTGTATAGTTTCCAAATTGATTTCTAGTTTTATTCCCTTGCAGTCAGAGAAGATACTTGGTTTTTCAATTTTTTTGAATTTTTAAAGAACTGTTTTGTGCCAAAACATATGGTCTATCCTTGTCAATGATCCATGTGCTGAGGAGAAGAATGTCTTCTGCAACCACTGGATGAAATGTTCTGTACATATCTATTAGGTTCATCTGGTCTATACTACAGATTAAGTCTTATGCTTCTTTGTTGATTTTCTATCTGGACAATCTGTCCAAAGCTGAAAGTGGGCTGTTGAAGTCTTCAGCTTTTATTGTATTGGTATCTTTCTCTCTCTTTAGCTCCAATAATATTGGCTTTATATATCTGGGTAATCCAGTGTTGGGTGCATATATTTTTACAATTGTTATATCCTCTTCCTGAATGCACCCCTTTATCATTATATGATAACCTTGTCTATGATAACCTTGTCTTTTATAGATTTTTGTTTAGAGATCTATTTTTTCTGATATAAGTATAGCTACTCCTGCTGTTTTGGGTTTCTGTTTGCATGAAGTATCTTTTTCCATCCCTTTATTTTTAGTCTACATATGTCTTTATAGGTGAAGTGTGTTTCTTGTAGGCAACAGACCATTGGGTCTTGTTTCCTTTTTCAATCCATTCAGTCATTCTGTGTCTTCTGATTGGAGAATTTAGTCTATTTACATTCACTGTTATTATTGATAAGCAAGAACTTACTCCTGTCATTTTGTTATTCATTTTATGTTTGTTTCCTGGTCTTCTTCTTCCTTTCTGTCTTCCTTTTTGTAAAACTCTGGTAGTATGTTTTAATTTCTTGCTTTTTATTTTTTGTGTATCCATTGTAGGTTTTTTGATTTAAGGTTATCATGAGGTTTGCAAATAACATAACATGTTATTTTAAACTAATGATAACACTTCAAGAACAAGCAAACTAACAAACAAGCAAAGAGAAAACCAATAAAAACACTTTAACTTCACCCCTCCCACTTTTAAATTTTTGTTGTCTCTATTTTTATCTTACGCCATTTATGTCCTGAAAAGATGTATTTGTTTTTATTTTTGATTGGCTTATCTTTTAGTCTTTCTACTGAAGGTATGAGTACTTTATACACTGTAATTGCAGTGTTATAATGTTCAGATTTTTCTGTGTACTTACCATTACCAGTGAGTTTTGTACCTTCAGATGATATAGTATTGCTTGTTAATATCCTTTTACGTCAGACTGAAGGACTCCCATTAGCATTTGTTATAGGACAGGTCTAGTGTTGATAAATACCCTCAGCTTTTGTTTGTCTGGGAAAGTCTTCATTTCCCCTTCACATGTGAAGGATATTTTTCCTGGATACACTATTCTAGCATAAAAGTTGTATTCCTTCAGCAATTTAAATATGTCATGCCTGCCTCTCCTGGCCTGTAAGATTTCCACTGAAAAGTCTGCTGACAGATGTATGGGAGCTCTTTGAATGTTATTTGTTTATTTAATCTTGTTGCTTTTAATTTTTTTTCCTAATACTTGACCTTTGGGAGTTACATGTTTTGAGGTAGTCTTATTTGGGTTAAATTTACTTGGTGTTCTATAACCTTCCCGTACTTAAATATTTATATCTTTCGGTAGTTTTGGAAAGTTCTCTGTTATTATTTCTTTGAAAGACTTTCTACTCTAATCTCTCTCTCTCTAGCTCCTCTTTAAGGCCAAAAACTCTTGTGTCTGTCCTTTTGAGGAGAAGACTAAGCTCTATTTTTTAATCTTGCCCAAATTCCTGTCTAAGGGGTCTGGAGAGTTGTGCCCTACAAACTATACATTCTCATCAGATGGGTTTTATTTAATTCTATATATCGTGACTTACTTTCCAATCTGACTCTGGCATAACAGTACAACACAAGGAAGAAAATCAAAATATTTTACCCCAAAACACGTTTTTCTGCCATATCTTGAAATGGCCCTGCAAAGCCATCCTTTGTGTGGGAAAATCTGCGTCTGTGAAGAATCTCTACTAACATAGCTAGATCTTTTTCTTCCAGGCCCTCCCAATCCTGAAGAGATTAACTAAAAGCCTAGCACCTTTTAACGATCTGAATAGGAAATACTTGTCATCTATTGTCTCTAAGGGCAGCCACTATAAGACTTCAAAAAGACCTTGGTCTCCACAATCTTTTATCTTTACCTGAATATTTCCTTTCTATTGATCCCAAGTCTTTAGATAAACTCAACCAATTGTCAACCAGAAAATGTTTAAATTTACCTATAGCCTGGAAGCCCCTGCTTTGAGTTGTCCCACCTTTCTGAACCAAACCAATGTATTTGATTGATGTCTCATGCCTCCCTAAAATACATATACCAAGCTGTACCCCAACCACCTTGGGCACATGTTCTGAGGACCCTCCTAAGGGCTGTGTCATGGGCCACAGCCACTCATATTTAGCTCAGAATAAATCTCTTCAAATATTTTACAAAGTCTGACTCTTTTCATCAACAGAGGCTATTTTCTAGATCTTATAGGTGTACTTCATTATTTTTTTTTTTGTCTCCTCTGACTGTATATTTTCAAATAGCCTGTCTTTAAACCCACTAATTGTATCTTCTGCTTAAGCAATTCTGCTTTTGAGTCACTCTGATGCATTCTTCAGTATGTCAATTAAATTTTTTAGCTCCAAAATTTCTGCTTGATTTTTTAATATTATTTCAATCTCTTTGTTAAGTTTATCTAATAGGATTCTAAATTCCTTCTCTGTGTTATCTTGAATTTTGTGGTGCTATTTAAACAGCTATTTTGAATTCTCTGAAAGGTCACATATTTTTGTCACTCCAGTATCAGTCTCTGGTGTGTTATTTAGTTTGTCTGGTGAGGGCATATTTTCATGGATGGTTCTGATGCTGGGGGATATTTGTCGATGTCTGAGCCCTGAAGAGTTGGGTATCTATTGTAGTCTCGGCAGTCTAGGTTTGTTTGGATCCATCCTTTCTGAGAAGGGTTTCCAAGTATTCAAAGGGAATTGAGTGTTGTGATCTAAGTCTTTGGTCCCTGCAGCCATGTCTGCATTAAAGGGCACCTGAAGCCCAGTATCACTGTGAGTCTTGCAGACTCATAGAGGTATTGCGTGGCGGTCTTGAATAAGATCCATGAGAATTCCCTGGGTTACCAGGCGGAATCTCTTTTTCTCTTCCCCTAATTTCTGCCAAATGAATGAAATCTCTCTCTCCATGACAAGCTGCCTGGAGATGAGGGAGAGGTGATAGAAACATCCCTGTAATCATCACCACTAGGACTCTATTGGGTCCATGATGACTAATGCCTGGCTGCTGGTCATGTTCACTCAAGGCCTGTAGCTTCTTCAGTTAGCAGGTGGTGAATCCAGCCATGCTTGTGGCCTTTCCTTCAGAGTGGTGAGCTCTGCCCCAGCCCAGGGCAGATCCAGAAATGCCATCCAGGAGCCAGGGCCCAGAGTTGGAAACTTTATGAATCTACTTGGTGCTCTGTTCTACTGAGGCTGAGCTGACACATAAGCCACAAGACAAAGTTCTCCCTACTTTTCACTCTCCTTTCCTCATGCAGAAAGAGTCTCTCTCTGTGACCACCATAGCCCCAGGCCCATGATGAGTACTGCCTGACTACTACCGATGTTCGCTCAAACAACTGTCAACCAGATAATGTTGAGGGCTCTTCATTCAGGTTGCGGTGAATGCTGCCAGGCCTGGGCCTCTCCCTTCAGGGCAACAGGCTCCTACCTGGTCTAGGACTGGTCCAGAAATGTTGTCCAGAAGCCAAGATCTGGAATCAGGGTCCCCACTCTGCCTGAGCTGTTGCCCAAGCTGCAAGACAAAGTCCCCTTTACTCTTCTCTTTCCTTTCCTCAAGCAGGAAAAGTCTTTCCCTGTGACACCTACAGCTGAGAATGTGCTGGGTCACACCTGAAGCTAGCACAGGCCTGCGTCTTACCTAAGACCCATGGCGAGTACTGCCTGGGTACCACTTACGTTTTTTCTTTCTGAGATGGAGTTTCGCTTTTGTTGCCCAAGCTGGAGTGCAATGGTGCAACTGCGGCTCACTGCAACGACCACCTCCCGGGTTCAAGCAATTCTGCCTCAGCCTCCTGAGTAGCTGGGATTACAGGTGCACACCATCACACCTGGTTAACTTTTTTGTATTTTTAGTAGAAACAGGGTTTCATCATGTTAGCCAGGCTGGTCTTGAATTCCTGACCTCAGGTGATTTGCACACCTCAGCCTCCCAAAGTGCTGGGATTACAGGTGTGCAAGACCTACGGGCTCTTTAGTCAGCAGGTGATAAATCTTGTCATGACTGGGTCCTTCCTTCAACAAAGAGGGTTCTCTTCTGACCCAGGATCCATCTAGAAATGTTATCTGGGAGCTATGTCATGGAATGAGGGCTTCAGGACTCTGCCTGGTGCCCTATTCTACTATGGCTAAGCTGGTATCCAAGTTGCAAAACAAAGTCCTCTTTACTCTCCTCCTTTCCCCAACTAAAGCTGAAGAAAGGAGTGTCTCCTGGAGCTGCGAGCTGTATTGCCTCAGTTGGGGGAAAGGTGATGCTAGCACTCCCTTGACAGCCCTGGCTGTTGTCTTACTAGGTCACTCCAATGGCTCCAAGCCCAGCATAGTACCAGGCTTGTCCTTGTGGGCTAAACTGCCTCTCAAGTTTATTGAGAATCCCACAGTGCTTTAGTCCATGGTGATGGGTCTAGCTAGAATTCAGATTCCAACTATCAGGATGCATGATTCCCTTCTGGCTACTGCTTGTCTAAATGCTCCCTCCATGGGCATGACTAAATTCTGCCTTGTGTTGCTTTCCACTGTGACAGGGTAGCACTGAGTTCCCATGCAAAGTTCCACAATCACTGTTCTCTCTCTCCCCAAAACACACAGATTCTCTCTCCCACCACGTGGCTGCTGCCAGAAGTTGGGGGAGGAGTGGGGAAGTGTAGGCAATTTAAGATAGTCTTTCCTACCCTCTTCAGTGCCTTCTTCCTTGATATGATGTTAGAACCAGGTACTGTGATTGCTCGCCTTAAGTTTGATTCATATAGGAGTGCTTTTTTGTCTTGATAGTTAATTGTTCAATTTGGTTTTCCTGAGAGATAGGGGGACAATTGCTGGAGGGTTCTATTTGACCATCTTGCTCTGCCTCCTCCCCCTAATTATTCTTTTAATATCATTAGGAGCTGTAGTAATGTTCTTCTTTCATTCCTAATATTGGCCATTTGTATCTTCTCTTTTTTTTTTCCTAATCAGTCTGGCAAGAGGTTTTTAATTCTTATTGGTTTTTTCAAAGAACCTGCTTTTAGGTAATTTATTTATTTTTTAAATTTCATTGATCTTAAATTTACTATATCCTTGCTTTGACTTACTTTGGGTTTAATTTGCTCTTGGTCTTCTAGATTTCTACAATGGAAACATAGACTATTGATTTGAAACATTTTTTCTTTTGTAATATACCCATTTCATGTTACAGATCTCCCTCTGAGCACTTTTTAGATGATCTCACAAATTTGCATAAATTCTGTATTAATTTTTATATAGGTAACATATTTTCTAATTTTTCTTTTGATGTATTTCTTGACATATCCATGGATTATTTGAAGTATCATGTTTAACTTCTAAATATTTGGGAAATTTTTAGGTATCTTTCTGTTATTAATTTCTAATTTCATTCTGTTGTGGATAGACAACATATATTGTATAATTTCAATCATTTTAACTTTACTGAAATTTGTTTTATTGTTACTGGGGGTCCTTGTTCTTAGAGCTCCCAAGATGGCGGCAAGCCTCTTGTTCTCTGACCTGGGGTTCTTGGCCTCACAGATTCCAAGGAATGGAATCTTGGGCCATGCAGTGAGTGTTATAGCTCTACTAGAAGCTGTGGGTCATGGAAGAGAACCGTGGAACCTAGCAACTAGTGTTCAGCTTGATTAGGATGAATCTGGGCACTGAGCCGTGCAGGAACAATGGCGAGCCTTTATCCTGACTGGGAGTGGCAATGGGCGCCTCGCTGGATCAGGAGGAGCACAGTGGACACCCTGCCAGATCCAGAGGGGTGGAAGTCAGTGGCAGGTCTGTGATGGCAGCAAACAGCAGTGGTGGACGGTGAGCGAAAGCTCAGCTTGAGCCGTAACAAACACGGACCAGAAGGGCGTGCAGTTGCAAGATTCAATAGAGTGAAAACAGAACTCCCATATAATGGGAGGGGACCCAAAGGGGGTTGCCATTGCCATCTAGAATGCCTGGGTTTATATCCTGATCATTGTCCCTCCCTCTGTGCTCTCAGGTGATAGATGATTGACTATTTATTTACTTCCTGCTTTTAGCCTAATTGGTATTTTAGTGAGCTCTCTTTACTACCTGACTGGTCGGGTGTGAGCTAAGTTGCAAGCCCCGTATTTAAAGGTGGATGCAGTCACCTTCCCAGCTAGGCTTAGGGATTCTTAGTCGCCCTAGGAAATCCAGCTAGCCCTGTCTCTCATTATGACTCAGAATATAGTCTACCTTAGGAAATATTCAATGTGTACATGAAAAATATGTGTAATTAGCTGTTGTTGGGGAAGTATTCTATAAACGTCAATTAAATTTACTTGGTTAATAGTATTGTTCAAGTCTTCTGTGTCTTTACTGACTTTCTGCCTACTGTTTTATGAATTGCTGAAAAAGGAATGTTAAAATCTCCAACTGTAATTATGGATTTGTCTATTTTTCCTTACAATTCTATCAGTTTTTTCTTCATATATTTTGACACTGTTAATAGGTGAACACACATTTATGACTGTTATTCCTTCCCTTTACAATTGTTGACTTATTCATGATTCAACCACTCACATTTATTTCTTTCACTTTTGGAAAATGAGGAGGTTTAACTCTATTATATCTTTAAGTTCTAATATAAGTCTTCAAAATATTGTCAGAATTTATTATGTTACCTTGAAACAAAACTAGCCAAGTTAACCCTAAAAGACTACCCTAAAATAAAAATATTTCAAAATGCTTTGAACAATCAACATAACAGAGTATGAAAAAAATAATGTCATCTCCTCTAATTCTATACTGATAATTAATTTGTGGAACTTCTATAAAAGTAAATTTTATAAGGTGACCATAAAATGAATGTTTGCAATTCCTAGCTATCTTTGCACCAAAAGCTTAAGTATTAAAAAGGAAATATTTGTTAAAAAGGAACATTCTTTGCAATTCTAATAATCCCAGCTTTTGCTTCTTACCAATTCTTACACACTTAGCACAAGGACCTATTTTCATTGCTGTCCTAAGTCTCAACAAGCTAGTTAGCCAGAATTCTCTGCAAAAGTTCCACTGGGTGAAGGGACTTGCATTTTCTAATATTTTTCCTGGGCTTCTTCCACTTCTCTTTCATAACCCACATTGTAATTGGTTTTTAAAAAGCTGTTCCAACCTGACTAAATGTCTTTGCTAAGCTGATCTCTAATGATGAATATTTAATGATACCCACCAAGTATTTTTCTCTCTGGAATATTATAAGTTCAAAGTGTATGAGACAAATGATACATTTAATTTTTTAAAATTTTAATTTGTCCAGCCCTTCCCCTGGAGAGAAGGAACAAACACGTATGTATTTCAGATTCCCTGGCAAAATATTTTCCTGAATTTGTCTCTAGCCTAATAATGCACTGTCCTTCCATTTCTGCCCTATTCTGAATTCCCAGTTCTCTATCAGTGCTCAAGAAAACTTAATCTCTTCCTCAGTAAACTGCTTTATTCCTATCTGAAAGTTTAATCTGGGCAGATGTTTTACTTAAAGTCTGCCCTCCATGTCTCCATCTGTGTGGCTGCTATTTTACATTTTTAACCTCCAAGAGGGTGAGGCTATGATTGTCTCCATCTACCCATCTTTCCATCTACTCATTTTTCCATCTACCCATCCAAATACTCCACAATTTAGCACTGTGCCATCTACACTAAAGAACTCAATAAATGGTCATATGATGATCATTTCTTGACCAAAGTGCAGAAATTAAAGTTTGCTGTGGTGGAAGCTGGGAAACAGGAAATTACTGTTCTCACATTCTCAGTCTCTTGATGTAAAAAAATTATGGGGCTGCACCAGATCATCTCTAAGTCCTCTCAGCACTAACATTTTATGATTCTAATCTATCCAGACAGAAACAGTGAACAACCAGTACTTCTAACTATGCAAACTATGCAAATTTACCATTGGGAATCCAAATTGATAGAACAATATTAAAAACCCAAAGCAGGCCAGACTCAGTGGCTCACACCTGTAATCCCAGCACTTTGAGAGGTGGAAGCTTGCGGATCGCCTGAGGTCAGGGGTTGGAGACCAGCCTGGCCAACATGGTGAAACCCCATCTCCACTAAAAATACAAAAATTAGCCAGGCATAGTGGCGCATGCCTGTGATCCCAGCTACTCGGGAGGCTGAGGCAGGAGACTTGCTTGAACCCAGGAGGCAGAGGTTGCAGTGAGCTGAGACTGTGCCACTGCACTCCAGCCTGGGTGACAGAGCGAGATTCCATCTAAAAAAACAAACAAACAAACAAACAAAAAACAACATTCATTTACCCTATTAACAGACTTATGAAAATACTATTCTAGATAAATCCATTTGAATCTCTTTGACTAGTTTTCATAATAGGACTAATAGCTAATTGATATTTTATTGTATAAAATTATATATTCCTAGTGTGTCAATAATGAAAAGATTTTACTCAATTTTTTTTTCTTTTTACTTACTTCAGACTTGGCTTCACATGACTTTAATCCATTTTCAGAAACCAAATCCACTCATAGTAGATAAAAATTTGCCATAAACAAGCATACTCAAAAAAATGTGCCATTGACATAAGAAATAAAGGCAGGGATGCAAAGATGTTTTTAATGATGGTTCATAGGAATCAGCGCTTAGTTTCTTAAAGTGACTTTATTTATTTATTTATTTTTTGAGATGGAGTCTCGCTCTGTCACCCAGGCTGGAGTGCAGTGGCACGATCTCGGCTCACTGCAAGCTCTGCCTCCCAGGTTCACCCCATTCTCCTGCCTCAGCCACCCAAGTAGCTAGGATTACAGGCACCCGCCACCACGCCCAGCTAATTTTTTTTTTTTTTTTTTTTTTTTTGTAATTTTCGTACAGAAAGGGTTTCACCATGTTAGCCAGGATGGTCTCGATCTCCTGACCTCATGATCCACCCACCTCAGCCTCCAAGAGCTGGGATTACAGGCATGAGCCACCACACCCGGCCTTAAAGTGACTATTTTAAAGGAAACAATCATTGTTTGGATGAATATATTATGATGTTTGTTAAAAACTAATAAATTTAATTGGTATTTCTTTTGTTTTTAGTACCTAGAATTTTGAATTAGAGATTATTAAAAATGGCTTCTATAGCTAAATTTCTTCACAATCTTTCTTTTCTTAATATTCTTATTGAGTAAATTATTTGGAAGGGTAAAAGCATGTGGCTTGCTGAGGGAATTGGGTTTGATAAAGTGCAGCTCTAATAGGTTAAAATATTAATTATACTCATCGAAGTACCCAGGTTGATTTCTGAATAAGCACTTTAGATCCATTACGATTTTCAGATTTTATAACAAAGAAAAAAATACCAATTCAACTGGCAACCTTTCGTTTAATTTTGAAGAGCAGGATGAAATTGACTAGTTAAATATGGCTTGCAGGTTAGTCTTGATCACTTCAAGAGAATAAACATATCTTCATATTTCAGCATGATTTGATTGCCTATAAGGTTTTAAATGTGTCATGTAAGCATTACTGGAAAAATAGCAATTAAATTTTTGTTAGAATTTTAGAAAGGCTGAAACTAGAAAATGATTTTTTAAGAAGTTTTTAAAATCACCAGTTTAACATGTATTGTACACTCACTGTGTGTTCTGGAGTCCCGGCAGTGCTTGCCTTCAAAAGCCCATACAATCTAGTAGAAGGGCATTTCCCAAACATCAGTGTTCACCTACAGTTTTACTACTGTTTTCTCTTACATTTACTTGTTAACTTTGCACTCTAAATCTCTGTATAGGGGAGGCTTAAAAGATGGAGAGAAGCACAGAGCTGTATTTGCATATTAGTTTACATATGACTTCTTATCAAAGCATGGAGTAGTTATTATAAATGAGATAATTGGAGTATTGTAGAGTTAAAGCTCTCTCAAATCCTCCCATGGTTGCCACTACTATTCCTAAGCAATATCTGTAAAAATCAACGTAATAATCCATTAGTGATATATATTTACAGTCATTAAAATAAAAATGTTTATGCATCACCTACAAACTTGAATTGTACCAGGAATTATACACAGCATGCTTTAGAAGCTACTGTTGTAGAAGATTTAAGATATGTACAGAAATAGCTGACTTGAACAGCCATTAATTGCTGTGAGCAAGGTATAAACAAATCACAAAGATTCAATGAGAGAGAAATGAGTTCAAGGAACAAAACATGTACTTATATCACACACATGCTTACATTGAACAAATATGACAGGGCTTTGGCAAACTCTGCTTCTGTAGACTCTGCTGAAAGCCATTATTAATGCTTCCTCACCTACCTCATCTTATCCCGTAAAACATCTGTTTGTTTAAAAAGAAACTGTATACTAACTCTTCAACTACAAGTTAAAAATCATGACTTTTCTTTCAAGGGGAAGAAGGATGGGGAATAAACATGCCTTCTGCAATTTTACTAAAAAATTCCAATGTTAATTAAAACCATATATTTAGTATGGGTAAAGGTAATAAATGGGGATGTCTTGGACAAAACCATGCTCCTCTGTGAATTCAAATTAGTAATGCTGTGTTACTGGCTGACTTTTGAACATTCTGTTCTATTTGAAACAGCTGAGACAGGAAGGAAGCCTGTATGTCCTACAGAAACCCAATTAGGCTTGATGAAAGAGAGGCCATGAAATGCTTCTCTTGTCTACCAAGACAGAGAAAATGTTGTGTTAGGTTCAGCTTTGAAATGAATTCTAACTATAAGCTTTTAGATCAGGCGTTGTCCAGTTAGCTTGGTCAACTTAAGACAATATTACATTATGCTCTCACAATTGTGGATGTTGGTCCTGCTCAAAATCTTGACAGGCTTCTAGAAAGCTGATCCTTTTTGTCCTGGTGATTGCCACAGGAATAAACAGAGGAGATGGCTCTAGCCTTGGATTGATTGAAAGAGAACCTGACTTGCTCACTTCCTGCTAACCCTTCCCTACACCAGCAGTGTGGTCATGTTGGATGTTTCAGTGCCTTCTTACAACAGCAACAACATAAGAGAAGCCAGCTGCCAACATGGTCTGCTATTCCAACAGTTATTTGTCTGTCAACAGTAATATAGTCAGAATCTACAACTGAAATTCTAATAGTGATCCTCTCCCAAACTGAGATGTGGATAAATGTTTTCTTGTGCTTTGTCCTTACAAACCTCTTTTCAAAAGACTCTTGAGCATCTTTCTTTCCTCTGAACCCCCAATGCAGTTTATTGGGGCCACTTTTTTGGGGCCACCTTTATAGCATTTAGCCCTTTTCATTTTTGTACCACAGTAATTTGTATGAAGGATTTAAATTCCTAAGGGTTGGTAATGTTTTTTCTTATGATGCCATTCTCCTGAGCTCCTAGCACAGTGCCTTGGTTTGCATTAGAAATCCAATAAATGTTTGATTAATGCTGTGTTTAGAAAAACAACAACAAAAACATGAACATCCTCCAACTACAACAAAAAAGGCAGATATTTTTGTTTCATTTTGTTCACTGATGTGAGTCCCATGCACCTAGAAAGTTCCTGGCACACAGCTGACACTCAATAAATATTTGTTGAATGAATAAGTATTATGACTTTCCAAAGAGCTTGGAGAGTATCTATTTGATTGGCAAATACAGAAAAAGGAAACATGTCATATAATGTGTAAAGGAAGAAGTAGATTAGTAATTTCTTCTTCCTCTAGACCAGAGGTTGGAAAACTTTTTCTATAGAGGGCCAGATGGTAAATACTTTAGTCTTTGTGGGCCATATGGTTTCTGTAGCAACTATTCAACTCTACTGTTCAGTGCAAAAGCAGCCAAAGACAATATATGAATAAATGAGTGTGGTTGTATTCCAATAAAACTTTATTTACAAAAACAGTTGGCAGGCAAGATTGGACCCATAAGCAGTTTGCCAACCTCTGCTCTAGAGCACCTGTGTCTGTTAGAAGTAAGGTAACTAGGTAACTATTCTCTCCTTTAATACCATGCTTTCTGCATCTTTATACATTTGTTCCCCAACCCCACACCCACAGGTACTGTGTTTTGCAACATGGTAGCTGTACAGTATGTTTGTTGCATTAAACTGAGTCTTACACTGATTTCCTGGAACTGTAGTTTTCAGTAGAACCAGTGAACTCAAGTCCCTGTAATTTGCCTTTTCTTTGAATTCTGTCTTAGCAAAGGTGGGTAAAGTTAATAGCTACTGAAATAATGTCTTCTGAAACTGATGGAGTAAGGGGCACATTCTCTCTTGAGTTCCTATTTCTCTTATCTGAAGCATTTTCTTCAGGATGTCAGTGATGTATCAGAGCTGGCTCTTCTGATTATCCATGAAGACAAGAAATGACTAACACAACTTTCTCACTACTCATTTAAGCTCACTCTTCTTTTAAAGCTGCCTCCTCTCTCAGTCTTTTGTAAAAAACTTATTTTCATGAAAGGAATATGAGAAAACGACCATTGGTATCTACAATTGGCAAAAATGTGTTCCTATATTTTCCTCACCAATGACTACCAAAAATGTTATATTCCTGTGAGTTTTATGTTAAATAACTATATTATTTCAGAACAGGAATCTGTGACATATGGTGATAGTCAATAAATGCATTGCTAAAATGTATCTGTTTTAAAATATTTAAGTAGTATTAATGTGGAACAACACCATCATAAAATGTGTTCTGCAGGTCTATTCTATACTTGCACTATCTACTTGCAAAATTTTCAAATTTGTTTTTCATTTTGCTAAGTGCTGGCCCCTCTTATGAACTAGGCCTGATTCCCTCTTCAGCTGCAAATGCAATTTTAAACAGAACTCCGATGAGATTACTTGCTGAACACGTTAAACATTCATAGCTTTGCCATATGCTGTTATGGAAATTGCATTGATTTATAGCAATTTGGGTGCCACCAGATAGCACCGATTCACCTGATACCAACTCTAAGTGTATTGGGAAATAATGTTTTAAATGTTTCATTTGCATCTAGACCTCTGTTGAACTAAGAGGCATGTACTATGTTTATGTATTTTTGGAGAACACTAATTTTTACACATTGAAAATTATTCCTGCATTTGGTGACTTCCAGAAAAAATTAGGTATATAAGGTCTAAATTTATACTGTAATGGCACAGTGGTCAATGACATAAATTACTAAAGCCAGGCAGACTTAGGTTTTCATCCCGATTCAACCATTTAATTATTACTCTACAGCCTTGCTTTCTTCAATGGCATAAGAAGGAAAATAATCACGCCTATCTGAGAGGATTTCTGTGAATGTTAAATATGATAAGGTATATAAGGCATGTAACACCTACAAAAAGAAATGTCTTGTGGTTTGTTCTAAAATATGCTCAATAATCATTAGCTCTCATAGCCTAAACTTTGTATTTCTGTATAGGTTAGTGGCACTCCTTTACATGATGCAGAAATGCTTGAGTTTGTAGGACTTGACTGGGAATGTTGGAAGATGATTTAGGGAACTTAAAAATTGCCATACGAGACAAGGTCACCACTATAGTGAATATACGGATCTATTAAAAACAAAGGTAAAAAGGAACAAAGTCACAGGATGCTCTCTTCACAGTAAGGGTATCAATAACCTGTCCTAATTGTGTTAATTTTTATTTGGAAGGGAGGAAGTATAATACTCATTTTAAGCATGCTAAGAAGGAGTTATGGAAATGAACACTGTCTTTATATCCACTGAGCATTCTATCCAATTACATTCAGAGGAGGAAAGACGCTTCTTAGAATTAATTATATTTCACTGTAATAAGTGAATATATACAGTGTAATGAATATTCATACATATTCAAGTTTGTAAGAATATAAAAAAGCCAGAAAACCTTTAGCTTTTTTTTAATTGACTTGGAGTGCACATTTGAATATAGATGGACTCTCTCTGGGTCAGCATTCTCAACAGGGGGCATCTTTGCCCTCCAGGGGACATTTGACAATGTCAGGAGACATTTTTCGATGTTACAACTTGAGATGGGAGATGTTACTGGCATCTAGTGCGTACATTTTAGGGATGCAACTAAATATACTGCAACGCATAAGACTACCTCTACCACAATGAATTAACTGGCCCCAAATATCAAGAATGCCAAGGCTGAGAAACTCTGCTCTAAACTGAGAGCTGCCCAAGGTCAAATGGATTTAAAATCACCCAGATCCCAGATGGATACTGGGTAGGCTCTAGAGAATGTATGCTTTTTGTTAATACGGTTAAGTCTTCCCAGTGTCCTGTGCTGGCTCCACGGTAATAAACCAAAAGCTGAAGTATTAATATGGAGTTCATATCCCCTCTAGAAGAAAATGACTAGAATTCCAAAGTACAATATATTATCTGACCTACTGCAGACTTCAGTGTGGAGAGCAGCTAGACTTATACATAGAAGAAGGTGATCATCACACTAAGATTTTGACCAACCAAGTGACCAGGGGTTTCTTGGCTCTTAAGCAGCACCAGTTCCCGTAAACAAGTAACATATCAAGCAGTGATGGCACAGACTTAAGGCTTACTTCCCAGACAAAATGTGGTAGGCACAAACTCTGGATTTTTATTCTCCATTTCCACAGAATTGAAAGTCTATTTAATATATCAAGGAAAATATTTTCTTTCACAAGTGCCCTTACACAAACACTGCAGAGGCTGCTTAAGAGGTTGTAGCCTTAAACATGGATACTACTTAAAGACTAAAAAAGTATATAAAGAAAATTACTTTGAAACTTTTGGTTCTGTACTTGGTGTCATCTTGGTGATGCTGAAGAGAATTTCTGCGAACCCTGTATTTGGAATATCTTCCATCAGTTCTCTCAGATGAACTGCAGGAATCCTGGAAAAAAAAAAAAGCAAAGGGTCTGAACTGGTAGATGAAAGAAAATCAGTGCTTGAAATTAGAGTAAGAAAGAGTCTATATGTAGATAAAAATGAAAATAAATAATTACAAAAATTTAGAGATATATAGGAGAATCACAGGCCACCATAGAGAAAGAAGAAGGCTACACACAGTGGCTCAAACCTGTAATCCCAGCACTTTAGGAGGCCAAGGTGGGAGGATAGCTCTAGTCCAGGAGTTCGAGACCAGCCTGGGCAACATGGTGAAACCTCACCTCTACAAAAAAATACAAAAACTAGTCAGATATGGTGGTGCATGGCTGTAGTCCCAGCTACTCAGGAGGCTGAGGTGGGAGAATGAGGATTGCTTGAGCCCAGGAGGCAGAGGTTGCAGTGAGATTGTGCTACTGCACTACAGCCTGGGTGAAAGAGCAAGGCTCTGTCTAAAAAAAAAAAAAAAAAGAACAAGAAAAAGAAGAAAATTGTCACTGTGGATAAAACCATAAAAATACAATGCATCCTACAGTGGTTACCTGAATTCTTTTAACAACTAGTCCCTATGCCCATCTACAGTGACTGACACCCTTTAGAACAAGGTTCAAGTAGCAATGAACTGTCCAAAGATGTCATTAATGACACATGCCACATTTGGATGCTGTGTACTATCACTTGCATTGGTACTTAGCATCAATATATTCTTGTTTTAAAAAATTGCTACCTGTAAAACTAGAGCCCTTTTACTTCACTTATCCATAAACAACATCCCACCTTTTAACTATTATGTCGCATAGATTTTTAAACTGGAGGATAGCTCCTTTGCTTTTAAAAACATAAAAAGATTCAGGTAATAAAAAAAATTAAGAAAACAAAAATTTCCAGGCCTGCCTTTTTTCTTTTTTTTCCTCTTCATTTCTTGGGGGAAGAAGGAACACAGCAAACAGTCACTATAGACAATTATTTAGACATTTCTATTATTATTTAGGGAGAAATTAGAAAAACAATGAGGACAACTGATTTTGGTATGTAAAAAAAAACACGTACGGATTTAGTGTCCCTCAAAGTCCCAAGAAACCTTAAACTTACTGAGTGTTCAAGCTAGAAGGGGTATTATAATTCCAAAGTTCTCATGCTTAGTACAAAAACAAAACAAAACAAAAACCTCTAAAAAACTAGAGCCCAGGGAAGTTAAGAATGACTTGCCCAGGGCTGGACAATTTGTGGCAGATTGGACTTAGAACTCAATGCTATTCCCTTTCTACCTAATCAAAAATGTAATGTTTAAATATGGAATTATAGAGCTGAAACAATTCTTTTTTATTTTTGAGACGGAGTCTCACTCTGTCACCCAGGCTGGAGTGCAATGGCACGATCTCAGTGCACTGCAACCTCCGCCGCCCTGGTTCAAGCAATTCTCCTGCCCCAGCCTCCTGAGTATCTGGGATTACAGGCATGTGCCATCACGCCCAGCTAATTTTGTGTTTTTAGTAGAGACGGGCTTTCACCATGCTGGTCAGGCTGGTCTTGAACTCCTGACCTCAGGTTGTCAGCCCACCTCAGCCTCCCAAAGTGCTGAGATTACAGGCGTGAGCCACTGCGCCCAGCCAACAATTCTTTCAAAATAAATATGACCGCATTTAAACAAGAATAAAGTCAGGCCTATCTAAATAAGATGAGGTCCGTACTCACACTTAAAAGTCATAGGCTATGGTACTATCAAGAAATACGTATATAGGAACCCAGAGATAATATTGTTCAGGTGCCTCATCAGATGAATGCGGACATATCTCCTGAGGCATTAGGTGATTTTTGTCTGGTGCATGACTTTGGACCAGAACTTAGGTCTTTGTATTCTTGTTCACGCCACACTGATTTTTAGAAAGTTGAAAGGGTTTGAATAAATATAATCCACATCTAATAATCTCAAGGCTTTATGTATTTTCATTTAAGGCTATATCTAGTCATTTTTATTAACTTGATTAAAATCAGCTCTTTTTAATCACATAGAGGGCTTTAGAGTACATGTAGAACGGATTTTAAGCTAAAAGCAGCAGGGCGAAGCAGATGGGCTCTGCTGTTTTACACAGAATTAGATCCCACCTCCAGCTAGTTTATGGGCTCCAAGCTTCAGTGTCCTCATCTATAAAATGGGTGAAAATAACACCCATCTATAGAGTATCTCTGAAGATTAGGAAACATGTACCATAAAGTACTTAGCACCTGCTAAGTATCATGCACTGTGTGCATAACACTTGCTAATTAACTCTTTCCCTTTTCAAGCTAAACGTTTCAATTTCAGTATATTGGGAAGTACAATGCTGAACTCTGAAAAAGACTCTCCCAAAAAATTTTACTATTTAGGCATCTTCATATGTGAGTCTGTATGTATATGAGCTAGACTTGTAGATGATCACTAGCTCATAGGATTAAAAATAATAATAATGAGCCTTTTGGTAATAGTAGAGAATACAACTTTTAAATTGTACTTATGAACATTCTGTTCATTGTAGACAACTGGGGAAAAAGTGATCTGTCACTGGAGGTTAAAATGTATATTTTTATGCTGGTATAAGACAGGTATCTATTTCTCAGTGACAAGTGCAACCTGTTTCCCATATTTTCTCTTGTCTGCCCTTCATTTACTTGGATAATTTAGTTACAGAGAAAAAAATGAAAATAATATGGGCATAACATATTGTCTCCTATCACACTGGGTTGTTTAAGAGTAAACAGAAATTGCACTGTTTTGGATACTGGTTTCATAATTCTTTGATAGATATTTAAACTGCAAATATATAATCAAATCAAACACTTGGTTTTGTTCAATTTGGGATAGTCTAGCTTTCTAGATTCGTCAGCTAAACTGGATCTCACTCAAAAATGTTAGTTACTGAACTACCAAAAGATGCTTAATGCAAGGTAATTTTAAGACAGTGTAGACCTTGGGAACCACATTATATCAATGCTTCCAATAAATCAATATGGCATGATCTGGCCATTTTCCTATCCACTGTATCTTCAAATAATATGTCAGATCTAAACAGAACCTAAATATAACATAAGTTATATTTTAAGGCCAATGTGAAATATGATTACATGGTTGCCAAAAAGAAATCCTTCCCATTGTTAGCTTCAGCTATACAAGGTCAATAAATTATAAATCATTAAAATTTTACATTGCATCTGCAGCCCTAAGGCTATATACGACGTTCTTGGGACCAGACCTTGTCTGGCAGGACTGGCAGCAGAGATATTTGTTTTGCATATCTCCTCTATGAGGAATTTAAAAAACTACACAATGTAAATTAACACATGTAACTAATTGGCTTGATAATGAAATGCTTTGTGGTTAGAGGTCTATCAATAAATGGCCATGAAATATGAAATGTGAAATTTACGTGGATTTGAGTTCATATGTCATAGTGTAAAGATAACTTGGGAACTACCATATCTCTAAAACAAACAGTACCCAAATAATTCACAAATTAAAATTGCTAACCAAAAAAGTTATCTATTGTCAGTGTAATGTGTAACTCCCTTTAATTCTTAGGCTTTTCTAAATTATCATTAAAGTTTTAGGGGCCCAACTGAGCTTCTAGTAGTACAGTGAAAGTCTATATCTTCCTATCTTGTGCTAATACATAAGTTGCATTGTTTTCAATTCTAACTTCACAAATGTCAATAAACCCTGATAAGGTGGTATGTTAAAAGTTCCCAATGTTTTTTGGTCCTTCTTCCTTTTCTATACTTTTCTTTGCACATCAGGAAGATGTCAAGTGTTCTCACTCAGATAAAATACTGAAAGAGACAAGCCAACTCTTTCTCACTCTGAAGTCTTTGAAATCTTCTAGTAGGCTCAGTTTCTCAGGCACAGACTCCAGATGGTCCAAGGCCACTTGGGTACTCTGAAATAGAAAACATAAGGAAACCAAACATTATAAAAAATTGATTAATACTCTCAGAATCCACATACTAAAAATCAGATGCACCACTGTAAGAAGCAGTTCAAACTGTAGATTTAGACAGTCAAATAAGAACATATATAATAGTATTTTCAAGATAAATGTATCTTTTGAAAATAGAAGAATTATTTCCTTTTAAAAAGTATATGAGATGCATTTGCAAGACTGACTCAGATACAAAAATTCTTCCTGGATAATTGCTTTCAACTGATATGCTATGAAACTTTCTATAGACTATTTCATATTAATATTAATTTACAAACCTGCTTCAGTGAACATCAGAAATAGACTATGAGGTAATACTGAGAAACAGATGAATCTGCAGTTACTTATCTATGGAGTATATTAGAGATTCTTAAATGTTGCCATTATAAAGAAGAAAAGAGTTCTCAGCAATTATTTCAGTTAAAAGGGAAAGAGGAGTGGTTCTCAAGATTTGGGAGAAATATCTGAAATTAAACATTTGCTTCAGGGACACAAGGTCCTGTTGATCATAAGTCAATAACTTATTACACAGTCTTTAATTAGCTGATCACTGTTACACCCACCTGTGAACATTAAGTGAGAATGATATGAAAATTATTTCAAAGCAAACATAAAATAAAAAGTTAAATGGTAAAATAATCTTGAGACTAGAGACTGCATATATATTATAGGCATCTCTGTATCCTCAGCTCTGTCACAATGCCAGACATATTAGGTGGGTAACAGGTGCTAGCTCTTAAATTTAAAATGGATTTTAATTGTTCAATGAAATAAACAATAAACCCTATGGCTGACGCATGGGAAGAAAGAGAAGTGTACTGCAAGAACCTAGACATAAATTTGCACAAAGTTGCAGGGAAGTTAGTGGCCCCTCAATATTCCATGTGCTTCCCTACTTCTCCCCTGTGAAAGGTTCTGAACAATGGACTCTGAGAGTGTCACTTCTGGAATGAGACAGTTGAACCTGAGCGTTCCCCCTTCTATCCCAGCCCCTACCATGAGGACCCTGATGGCCACATGCTCCAGAAGGCATAACTACAAGATTAAGATGAGAGCTGCCCACCATATTGGATTTCACGTGAGTCACACAATAACCTCTACTGTGTTAAGCCATAAGATTTCAGAGTTAGTTATCAATGCATCATATAGCATTAATTATCATATATAATACCTACCCTGAGAATTAAATAATGAAATTGTAAGCTAAATAAGTAGTCAACTGGCTCATTTTGTGGAATGGGGAATCTCTCAATTATGAGTATATATATATATATTTTTTTTCTGAGACAGGGTCTCGCTCTGTTGTCCAGGCTAGAGTGCAAAGGCACATTCACAGCTCACTGCAGTCTCAACCTCCTGGGCTCAAGGGATCCTCTGACCTCAGCCTCTGAGGACCTGGGACTACAGGCACACACTACCACACCCAGCTATATAATTTTTTCTCGGGAGGAGTTCATTATTTTCTCAGTTAACTTTCCTATTTGAAATCTCCCATCTCCCTGAACAGAGAGATGCTGTTCTCTGCCTGGCATATCCAATCCAGAGCCTCACTGATGCAGTTTCCCCCACAGCATATACTTTATGTCTTTCACGGGGTTCAGGGTAGAGGCACATATGGAGACAGAGGGCTGAGGGTCTAACCCTTCCTTACAGACACTTTCAATGTACCCATCCACCCCTCCTTCCACAGTAACTGTGCTAATTACTCCAATGCAAATGGCTTTCCAGAATTCTGCAGGGTGAATGATATTTGATTGCTTTCCATTGCTATCCCCTTGGCAGATCCTTGAGTTTCACCTTTTCTGTTCTGAGTCATTTTACTACTTTTCAATGTTCTGTGACATGGAGTTACAGATGTCTTCTAGTTTTGACACGTGTAAATCAGTTTTTCTATTTCTTCATATCCTTATTTTTGTAATGAGATTTTTGAGAAGGGCAGAAATACCTTTACTCTGCCATTCTGAAAGGGAAGTCTACATGCTGTTTCTTCAAGTTCATAAAGTTCTCTTTTTCAAGTTCCATTGAAAGGATTTAGTAGTTTGTTCCTTCTGCTTAACATTTATATTATTGTTAGTCTTTAGGCCACATGTACTCACTTACACTGCCATGCATTTTAAATGACTTCATCTAATTTTTTCATGTGTAGGAAAGATTCATCAAAATGATGTGTTTCTTACTATAAGCCACAACATGTAGGCTTAGGAGCTTGCAGTTTTAGCCACCGTATATGCCATATTCATTTAAATAATAAAATTATAGGTTTTCTTAGGAATTTATTGACTCTTGAACAATAAAATACAAAGCAATGCCCTGATGATTTTAAATCAAAATTTTATGCATTGCATAAAATCCTCTTCATAAACACACTCCAATAATATCTGTAGTATTAAAACTTTATTTCCTTTTTTTGTTCCATAATTTTTCTCATTTTGAAGTGATCTTCTGAACCAAGGTTAAGTAAGTATGTAAAACTCATTTTGTGCTCAAAATAAGTAAATGATCTCTTACCCTACTGTAAAACGCAGCATGTTAAGTAAATAGTTTTGCTTAAAATTTTCAATCAACCAGGCGACTACATGAAACCATTCTTTTCCTTGCATGTGTTTACATACTATTTTTGACAATTATATGATGGTTTTGGATGTATATTCAAACGGCTATGTTTTTGTGAGTGAATTTTGAAAAACTCCTTGACTCCTTCTTTTCTCAGTGCAGTTATTTTTATTCTCCCCTCCCTTGCCATCCCCCGCTGCCCCCATCTCCCTTAACCAATCTTTATACTTCCTCACTATTTATTTCACTTGTGGCTTATTTTATATTCCATTTATGCATTGCTTATAAATATCTTCCTCAATATCAGAAACACTTTCTGGTACACATACCTTTCTTTTCATCCTTATATTCTAGTCAATTAACAACAAATATGTATCTCGGATATCATAGAAAGATCCACAAACATAGATGGCATACGTCCTGTTCTTCAGGAGCATTTAGCTCACCCAGGGGAACAAAAGATGTAATAATTATACAAAGAAAAAAGTTATTTGTACTTACTTTAAGGGAATTGCATGCACAAATGCTGAACTAACTAGGGCATTTGCAACAACAAGATGTGAAGTAATGAAGACAATGAGTCCAATCTTACAGGCGTCTCAGGTCTCATAATTTCATGATTAAGTGATATTTTTTGGGAGAAAAATGTATTTTCTGGCTCTTCTCTCTCTCTCTGCATGTATGTGAGTGTACTTAAAACTGCCACTTTGGCATACAAACTCAAGAACATGAATAACATTGCAACTTTTTTTTTTTTAATTTAAGATTGGCTGGGATTCTGTGATTAGAATCTTGTCACATTACTTAAGATTTCAAAATTATTTTCACCCCAAAGCTCACAGCCAGAGAGACAAGATCCATTAGCAGATGAATAGTTTAAAATAAGAAACTTGCTGTATTTCAGAGATGTCATGAGGACCTATGTCATGTTAATTCCCAGGGCAAAATACTTTGTGCAGAGTCAGGGAAATATTTTGTTTTCTAAGTTGGTTAATTTTTTTCTGCCTTACATTATCTCATGCCTTAAAGGGCATGGACAAGTCCCCACTGTTAAGGGAGCAGGGCCGGACGTGGTGGCTCACGCCTGTAATCCCAACACTTTGGGAGTCCGAGGCGGGTGGATCATGAGGTCAGGAGATTGAGACCATCCTGGTGAACACGGTGAAACCCCATCTCTACTAAAAATACAAAAAATTAGCCGGGCGCGGTGGCGGGCACCTGTAGTCCCAGCTACTTGGGAGGCTGAGGCAGGAGAATGGAGTGAACCTGGGAGGTGCAGCTTGCAGTGAGCCCAGATCACACCACTGCACTCCAGCCTGGGCGACAGAGCAAGATTCCGTCTCAAAAAAAAAAAAAAAAAAAAAAGGGAGCAAAGTTTATTTCAATAATGTCACCAGCATATGACACGTGCTTAATTTGTCTTTAGTTGTTTTCGAGAATAAATAAATCAGATGCTTACAAAGGGGTTTAAAATTAGAAAACAAAGAAAAGTTCACAATTAAGATTCCACTTCATAAAGGGCCAGTACATTGTGTATATTTGGTTTATCTCAGAGGCTAGAAGAGCTGGACTTCCAGGGACCTAGAAGTAGGGTCAAAGCAGATGATCAGTTAATCTTAATCCTGTTTAGTAGCAAAATGAAAGACTGAACCATGAACACATAATTCAAATTTGAATACACTTCCTAATCCCTCACACCACCATAAGAGATAGGTACGTATTATTGTTATCATCATTATACAGATAAGGCAATTGAGGACCGGAGAGTGTAAATAACTTCCTTGCAGTCAGATGGTGGCAAAGCTGGGATGCAAATCCAAGCAGTCTGAATGCAGAAATGGCAAGGTTCTTATTAGGAAAATATTTTCATGGCAAATTGCCAGCTAAAACGGAGTACATTGCAACTAGAAGCTAAATAGTGAGTGCTTTATGTAAATTCCTAACTTCCCTCTAGCTATCAACTCTTAGCAGCTAGACTTTGAAGATGTGTCCTTGATAGGCTTATTTCTGGAAGAAAAGTTTTAAGATGAAACCATAAAGAATGTAATCTCACTGGTGCTAAAGAGTCTGTACTCAGGACCACGTGTCTAAACACACTTGTGTGCACACACGCGCACGCATACATGCACACACTCACACACACACACACACATGGGGTCTGGATAGTGTTTCTGTTGATTATAGGATGTTAAATGTCAGAGGAGTTTTATGATACTAACACTGCCTTTTCTTTTTTTCATAACATTTAACACTAGTGAAGCATACTACCTGGCCACTAAGAGGTGTTTCAAATAAATGTTGGCTGAATGCAGACAAAGGTAGACTTACCATGTTCTAATAAACCCACTGAATCTTGACCTCTTTATTAAAACCCCAGAAGCACAAGTTTGATGTTTTATGTATTTCCTCTAGACTAAGGGCAAGATCAAGTGGTAGAGGCAATAGTGAAATTCAGAAATCTTGTCTAATAGGCCCTGTGGCTTTTGCACCTACAGATGTGTTTGGCTATCTGTTGACAAGGGCAAAGAGTAAGCTGTCAGTTTTGCCATTCTGAAATCTGCAACAACACCAAACTCCTATGAAGTTCAGCTGTCTGTACTGTTCCACAGTACATTTTTCCTTAGTAGTTCCTTTATTTCTGACTGCAGGGAAACCAAATAATATAGTATGACAACATAAGTAGCAGCAATTAGGAATTAAAAGGGGGGAATGCATTGCAATTCTTAGATTCCTGTCTCCTGTAGAGAAAACTTAAGGAACAGATTTAACCATAAATATATTTTAGTATTTATACTGCTCTTTGAAAAAAAATGCACATTTATTTTCTTATTAACATGTAACAACTACCATTTTCTTATAGTGTTATTGAAATCATATGTGTTTTGAGGTTTAGATGATGAATAAATTAAAGGAGATGATATCTACATTTTTATTTTAAAAATAAATGTGTGAGTTTTTGGCACTGCACACATGTTAAATAAATAAGGCTATGAAGCAGTTTATTTGGGTTCAAAAATGCAATTCTATTTCATTTGGAAACAGATCCACTGCAAAACTTTCCTGACAAATGGCTGAAAGGTGGTAAAAGGACCTGAGTAAACACGTTTCTGGGAGAGGAAGGGTGAGATCATGAAATGGATAGACTGTATGCCTTTTCACTTGTGGTAACTCGATCCAGCACAGCTGTATTGGCTTCATAGGGCCCTGTTTTCCAAACTGTATAAGACACTCACTGGAACCACACCAAACAGTAGCAGAGAATAGGCCACCGAAGTCACGGTGTTGATGCACATTCTTTATG
The DNA here is from genome assembly GCF_000001405.40 of Homo sapiens. Taxonomy (NCBI): domain Eukaryota; kingdom Metazoa; phylum Chordata; class Mammalia; order Primates; family Hominidae; genus Homo; species Homo sapiens. The sequence continues at coordinate 80,536,783 of NC_000014.9, forward strand.
AGCCCCAGTGTTCAAAGTTGTGTGTATTTCTTGGGATATCAGAGGAGTCCTCTATTTCTAGACTGTATTTTATGAGCGGTCTAAAAAATCAGATGCCCACTTAGAAGTGTTTACATGTGTATTGGGGTAAGAGGGTACATAAGGCTTGTTAAGTAAAAATGCTTGTTAAGTTAACATGGCACTATGACATCAGTGTCTACATTTGGGCTAACATCTAAAAGAGTTTTTGTCAACAACAAATTCTATTTGTCTTCATATAACACTATTGTAGTCAAAAGTGGTAGATCTCCTTTAAAAAGCAATGATAAAATTTGAGAACAGGTAACATATCTTCACTGAAAACTGAGATACAGAAGGCTTTCTAGGTATTTTCCAACTCCTATTCACAGTATTTTTTTTTAAGAGAGGAACTATATGAAATACAGAATCTGCCATTTCAAATTACTGCTTTCTTATTTCTACATGTAAGTGAATTATGTTACAGTCAACCCATTATCTTACTATTAGCTTAAAAAGATGTAGTATTTTCTCCAAATGAGTGATTTGGGTTTTCTTTTTTTCCTTTCAATACGAAAACACCAAGAATGATTTGATGGAGAAGGGAAGACAGAGGAAATAAAAGAATCATCTCTTTCCCAGAGGATTCTTGAAATTGTCTTCTTTCATATCATTCTTGCCACTCCCTGATATAAAGAAAAAATAACACACAAAGACAAATGAGGACTAGTTTAATGTTCTCTGTGTGCTGAACAATAAACTAGGCACTTACAACTGTTTTACAAGAAGGAGGGTCTTGAGATCTACAATCTACTTAATTGTAATCACTTCATTTCTTAAAACTGAACATAAAATGTACTCACAAGGGAAAGAAATTTCAGAGCGTTTGCAAAAAAACAATTCTTTTTAAGTGATTGCATGTTAAAATATGAACAAACAGTATAAGCCAAGGTTTCCTAGAAGATACTGTGTTTAGCAATTTTTGCTATGGTGACAGGTAAAGAAACTATGCTTCTAGATACACAGGTCCCAAACACGTGTAACCAGCTGAATGATGAACAGAGGCGGAATATATGCTGCATTGGAAATCAGCATCCCTAATTTGTGGATATTCATAGTTCCAGTAATGTTACTTACTTGTGTTTTGTGATTTTGGGAATATGACTTTGCCCTGCCCTTCTAAGCTTCCGTATCTTATTTGCAAAATGGGGATCAATATTAATGGTCTTTATTATTCTACGCCCACAGAACAATACATTCACATTCACTCTCTTACTTGTGACTATCAAGTACTTACTTGTGATAGGCACAAGTAGGACAGTGAATGTGAATGTGAACTGAAAAGTGTCAAGTACTTTTCAAACAGCAGATTTTTTTTTTTAAAGCTGAATCTCTGAGGTACCATCAACTCTAGTAACTTCTAAAACGTGAAGAGGTCAGTGACCATCTAAAATTAGAGTTAATAAAAACTAGTCAACAGAGCACAAAGCAGAAAAAAGCCAAACTTAATTAAAACTATATCTAACATTTAGAAATGCATTTACTATTCTACAAACATCATCTAAGATGTTAAAGTAATAGAAGTGTAATAGCACAAAAATTACTTTTGTACATATTGTGCCTTCCATGGAGAATGTTCCTTCCAATTTCCTTATCCAGTTAACACTTTTCCCCACAATGCTATAAGCATCTTCAAGCATACAGGAAATGTGAAAGAAATTTACAGAGCTCACCCGTATACCCACCACCTAGATTCAACTATTAACATTATGTTTTATATTTGCTTTATCATATATCAATCCATCTATCCATCACTCTGTCTATCCTTCGATCCAACTTATTTTTGGGGTGCATTTCGAAGTACATTGCATACATTAATACACGTTCCCTCACCTAATTCAGCACGCATATCATCAACTCCACTTCATTATTTTTTTAAATGTAGAATTTGCATGTAATGAAAAGCACAAATCCTAAGTGAACTGGTTAACTTTTACTTTCTTTCGTATGTCAGCTTAGTCATCACTTCCTCAGGGAAGGCTCCCCGGCTTTCTCTGATACTGTGAAACAATCTCTCCATTGCCTCATGAGCCTCACATTGGCAACACTTACTGGAGCACTAATATAATATTAATTTGTGTGACCTATTAATGCTTGCATTAGCAGTGGGCAATAAGCATCATGAGAGTAGGGAATATATGTCCCCAGCATTCCACCAAAGTGCCTGACCCAGGAGAGCTATTCAGCAAATACTACGTAAACAAATGAATGAATACTATTTGATGAAGGAAAGCTTTTCACATTTATTCAGTCTGCAAATATTTACTGAATGCCTCAGACACTGTTCTAGAGGTGAAAAGGTAAAAACTCTCTGTCCTCAGGAACAGAAATGGGAGAGAAACTAACATGTTCATAAAATATGATGTCATAAACACTCTGAAGAAGTGTAAAGCAGGGTAAAGTGGTAGTGAGTGATAGGGTTTCTATTTTAGACACAGGGGTCTGTGACAGCCTCTCTGATGCAATGGTTTTGGAGCAGACTGAGTCATGAGCATTGCCAGAGGAAAGCAATGGGGACAGGATATGTTGCGGGAAGTCAGGGACCTCGAACAGAGGGACCGGCTGGAGCCGCGGCAGAGGAGCATAACTTGTGAAGATTTCAAGGACATTTATCAGTTCCCAAATAATACTCTTATAATTTATTACGCCTATCTTTACTTTAATCTCTTAATCCCATTATCTTCATAAGCTGAGGATGTACGTCACCACAGGACCACTGTGATAATTCTGTTAACTGTACAAATTGATTGTAAAACATGTGTGTTTGAACAATATGAAATCAGTGCACCTTGAAAAAGAACAGAACAGCAGCAATTTTTAGGGAACAAGGGAAGACAATCATAAGGTCTGACTGCCTGCGGGGTCAGGCAAAACAGCCATATTTTTCTTCTTGCAGAGAGCGTATAAACAGATGTGCAAGTAGGAGAGATATCGCCAAGTTCTTTTCCTAGCAAGGAATATTAATATTAATACCTCGGGGAAGGAATGCATTCCTGGGGGGAGGTCTATAAACAGCCGCTCTGGGAATGTCTGTCTTATGTGGTTGAGATAAGGACTGAGATACGCCCTGGTCTCCTGCAGTACCCTCAGGCTTACTAGAGTGGGGAAAAACTCCACCCTGGTACATTTGTGGTCAGACTGGTTCTCTGCTCTCGAACCCTGTTTTCTGTTGTTTAAGATGTTTATCAAGACAATACATGCACCGTGCACCGCTGAACATAGACCCTTATCAATGGTTCTGCTTTTTCCCTTTGTCCTGTTCCCTCAGAAGCATGTGATCTTTGTTAGACCCTTAGTAGTAGTTCTGCTTTTTGCCCTTTGAAGCATGTGATCTTTGTACCTACTCCCTGTTCTTACACCCCCCCCCCTTTTGAAACCCTTAATAAAAACTTGCTGGTCTGAGACTCAGGGAGCATCACAGTCCTACTGATATGTGATGTCACCCCTGGCGGCCCAGCTGTAAAATTTCTCTCTTTGTACTGTCTCTCTTTATTTCTCAGCCAGCTGACACTTACGGAAAATAGAAAGAACCTACTTTGAAATAATGGGAACAGGTTCCCCCAGTAAGGATAAACTCAGGGCCAAGGCCCTAAGGAGGGCACCTGTGTGGCACTTTGCGGGAATGAATAGTGAAGAGCCTGGTGTGGCCAGGTAGGAGCTTGCAGCCAGGTGAGGCCAAAGATGTCTGGGGCAAGAGGTTTTAGAGCCTTTTTGGCCACAGCTAAAATTCTGTATTTAATTCTTAATGAGATGGAAGGTCTTTTGAGGGTTTGAGCAGAGGAATGACATCCTCTCATTTACTCTCTAAATAAATATCAGGATGTCATTTGGAGAGCAGACTGCTAGCCCCTCACCCCTAACCAGGAGAAGGTCTTGTGGAGTTTGGGAGTGCTGTGTGAGGGGAAGATGGGCATCTTACTCCTAGGCTGGGGACTTGCTGAACAGTAGCAGAAACTCTGAGACCCACCTCAGGGTGTCCTTTGCATAGAGGTCTGTGAAAAATTTACAGGGAGAATAGGCGGAATCCCCAGAAGGCCAATGGTACCATACCAAATGCTCCCGATTTACCCCAAACACTCTCTCACCCCAAGAGCATGCATTTTGGCTGTAAACTTCTGAAAATGTCATATATGTCCACAAAATGTTTTCTCTAATCATATTTTTATTTGTGGTAACCTTCTGATTAAGGACAGGCAGCAAGACATAGTAAAAAAGATCATCAATAAGAAGAAATCAGGAGATACAAGGTTATAGCTCAGCTTTGACATTACCAGTTGTATGAACTTGGGCAAACAATTTAACCCATGGTTCTCAGTTTCTAAGTCAGGAAAATGGGAAAACAGTATCTGAACATCTCTAATAACCTTTTTGGCACTAGCCATAGTCCACTGTAGCATTAAGTTCTTCCTATAGCAGGTTAGGATCTCCTTTTTAAGCTTAAAAGGCTGGAAAGAGTATGGAGAAAAAAAGATTTTATAAAGAAAAAGCAAACTAAGGAAAAAAGTAGATATGGGGTTCTTGGAGTTAATATTTACCCAAGAATACCTATGGAGTGGAAAAACCTTCACTCTTCTATGGCAGAAAGTGAAGCTAATGACTGTGTTAAAAAAAAAAAAAAAAAAAAAACCAGGAAAAAAGACATTTTTGTTTCCTTGGGTGTTTACCCCATGAAATTACCAACTCCAAATATTTGTCATGGTGTATTTTTAGAAAAGATGCTTCCAAAAGCAGGCAATGAACTTGCTTTTCATTTTTTTCACCTTATAACTGGCCTAACTTAAAAAAAAAAATCTCACAATCTTACCCTTATCTAAATACTGCTAATTAACTTCTCATTTTATTGCCACAAATCTTACTCCATACTTTTGCTTCTGTCCTGAAAGCTTCTATGCCATCGTGACTTTATACATGAAGGTCTATCTGTCTGAAATGTTCTCTACACATTGCTTAAATGAGCTCACTGATTCTCCTGCAAGACTGGGCTTGGTCAATACCTCCTGTAACATGACAGTTAAGAGCTTGGGCTCTTGAGGCAGTCTACCTGAGTTTAAACCCTGGGTTAGTCACCTACTGGCTATCTGTCTATAGAAAAGTTCCTGATCCCTCTACACTGGGACTCAGTTTCCTAATTTTGCAGAGTTGTTGTAAGGATCAAATACATTAACACATGTAAAGTGCTTAGAGCAGGGCTTGGCATGCGGTAAGCACTCAATAAATGTTAGCTATTACTACAATGATAACACTAGTTATTATTCTCTGAGCCTTTCCTCTAAACTCTGGGTTAAGTGCCCATCCTTAGTATTTCCTATGTGTATATGTACCTCCCATCCTGTGTGTAATTATTTTGTAATGTGTGTTTACTTGTCTCTTTCATTACACTGCAAATTCCTTAAAGGCAGGATGATATTTTTACCTATATTTCCAATGCTGAGTACTTGGTATCACACATGAATACATTTCAATTTTATTAAATAAAACCTTATCATAAACATACATAAAGATACATTTAGAACTTAGAAATATTGTGGCAAGAAAAATACTGCAAGATTATATTTTAAATGCAGAATTTAAAAATCGACTATCTTTGAGGGACAGAGAATATTTCTCAACAGACTCAAAATTAAAGAAATAATAAAAACAAAAAACAGAACTGAAAGAAGAATGAGGGGATGGTAAAGTTCAGATAGACAGTATAGACCGAGTTAAAGAGAGGAAGATGAGAACCAAGTCTTCTGTGGACCTAATGACATGGCATAGGAGTGAGTGCTCTGAAGAGCAACATGTTTCCTATGGATGAGTCTATAGGAGCTTGGCCCTGCTGGACAATGATGGGGACACCCAACACAGGGCAGATACTGAGAAATGCTAATCATTTCCCTGAATCCTGCAAAGCCCTGGCCCCAAGTCCTCAAGACACCCTCAAGTAGGTAATCACATTTGTCTCTTCCATATTTAACCTGGAGCAGAGGGTCCTGATAGAGAGCTCTGATTAGGAATGATCATTGTTCTGGCTAAGGTAGGGTCTAGGTTGATTTATTTAAAAGCGCCTTGGTGAGGTAAACATAATTAATCTTCTCTGTCCTCAAAATAAAGGGCTATTTTCTTTTTTAGAGATGTCCTGTGTTCTCAAAGAGAATGACAAAATAAATTAATCATTTTCCATTACTCCACACACAGCACTTGGATGTTGAAAGACCATGTGAACAGCTAATCCTCCTATATGGATGAATTTCTTGTGACAGGCAGATCAGATCTAAACAGAAATCCGGCAAGGTATTTTATTTTTACCATTGTGGCATTGAGATTTATTTCAAAAATAAGTGAGATCAACTATGCCTATATTTTTAAAGTTTACTTTCATAATTAATCCTTTTTTGAACACTTAGAAACACTCTTCTGGCTCTTGTAGCAAAGTGTTTCCCTGACGACTGCTGCCAAAGCAGACGGAAGCAGAGACTATCAGGTATATCTTAAAACCTTCAAAAATCCAGCTGCACTGTCTCAAAGAATCCTCACTGCCAAACCATACTTAGTTAAAAGTACCAATAATCTGAAGTTAGAGCAATATATTTTGACAAACAATTTATCTAGACAGCTAATGTTAAAGGTTAAGTATGTTTGAGATGCTCTATTAGGCTAAATGGCTGAACAAAAAGTATTAAGAGGGTACATATGGAGTACATGTGAGCACAAGTATATATTTTTGAAGTTGGCCTGATGCTGAATCTTCAACCACTGGCTGTGAAAAATGGATCATGAAAACCAGTGGATACAATACAGCTGACAATGTTATTTGGTGAACACATTCATCTAAGATTTGCCACAACCAATTGCTTTCTTGAAACTCCAATAGCTAGAAAGTCCTTCCCTTCCCTGCCCAAATGAAAGCCATGCATTCATTCAACTGGACAACAATGAAGCTTTGTGGCTGGTAGCAAATAGGAAAAAGAGTTGGTCTTGCCAAAACAATTTGAAGTTTTGAACTCAGGCCCCCTCCCCTACTTCATTTTACATATTCAACTAAAATGAGTAAGTCCTGCAGCCTTTACCAGACACATTAGTAACTAAAAGTAGCCAAAACCACACAACTTTGGACACTTCGAGTGTGCTATGAAAACTCTAGAAAACATGCAATACTCCGAAAATTAGGCAGGATTTCACAAAAGCTTATTAATAGAACTGGATACAGCATCCAGTCTTTCCTGTACTCAACAAGCATTTACTAGCACCTACTATGTGCAAATCAAATCTACGACATCACTATACCAGATTTTATTCTGCTAAAGCTGACCAGATTCAGCTCAAGAACATTCTTTGGGTTTCTGAATGAAAATAGGTCAATAGAGATAAACGTGTATACTATATCATAATTTTTCATTAGCCATCTTTTTTTCCCATTAAATTGAAAACTCTTAAACATAGGGACTCTCTTAGTTTGGCTGCTAAGTAATAAAATAAGTAATAAAAATACCATAAAGTGGGTGGCTTAAACAACAAACATTTAGTTCTCACAATTCTGGAGGCTGGGAACTCCAAGACCAAGGCTCCAGCAGATCTTGTGTCTGGTGAGGACCTGCTTCCTAGCTTATGTAGACAGCCCCCTTTTTGAGGTGTCCTCACATAGCCAGGAGAGAGATCATCTCTCTAGTATCTTTTGCTTCTTATATGGGCACTAATTCCATCATGCAGGCTCCAACCTCATGACCTCATGACCTAATAATCTGCCAAAGGGCCTACCTACCTTGCCGGCTTGCAAGTTGTGCAAAATCTCAGACTCCTCACGGACATACTTTGGGCAATATAATTTAAAAAATGAAGTATTATGTAATAGTGATTATTTAGTTCTTTGATTCTAACATCCTTCTATGTGATTCCATCATTCCTCTATTTTCATATTATTTTAGTTCTTTCTAGCACAGTTAGAAACAATTGATGAATAATGATAAAATAATTTCCAGAATGATAAAATAGCAAAATACTTCAAGAATATGAGATCACCAAGATCTATTATGTATCTGCAAGACAGAATGGGACTTACTATGTTTTAAAAATAAGGAAAATCTCTATTTGTGTCTTCATAGAAGATCTTTTTAAGAGGGATAAAAGTTTTTTATTTGATTTTAAGAAAATCAATACTTAAAAAAATTTTAAAACCAAGATTGGGTTCAGTTGACCCTGATAGTAGACTGAGAAGTAAACCACCCTTGAAAAGCTCTCAACCTTTTACCATCATTCTCAGAATCCTCTTCATCCTCTTAGTCTCAAGTTTCTCCTCCCTGTGAGCCTACTCAAACCACTTCTGTGGAGTCTGATAGGACTTCAAACAAGAAGTACTTGTCCCATGCCACCCTCCAGTGCAGTGCCTATAAGAAGGAACCATGCTTCCTACTGAATCCATTGCATGGAGTAGTTGGTTATCACATGCTGAATGGAGAAATGAATGAAAGGCAATGAGTGTGATGCAACAAAGGATTAACACAAGAGTAGTAAGAGGAAAAATTAGAAAAGGAAGATGAGAGAGCCAGTTTACATAATCTTAATCAATATACCAGCAATTACACTGATTTACCATAAAAATAAACAATAACCACTAATTTGTTTTTAACTGTTTATATAGTTTCCAAAGATAATGGTTTTGTAAATCAGTCAATTTGTTGTAATTTGTTAAAATAAGAGAATTGGTCATTTGGCGAGTTCATGACTGAGCAAACTGGTCCTTGAAGTTAGATCTGACAAATTTTAATGTTAACAAAAGGCTAAAATGAAGCTCCCTTGATCCTTGGACAGTTATGGAAAATAATGTGTGAGAAAGAATCTTACAACTGTTGTTTCAATAGATTAAAAAGAAAAAATACTGGGGAGAGAAGACATGATGCTATCAGCAGAAAAGACATGAAATTAAGTCTGTGTTAATGAGTAGGACAAAATCCAGGAAAGCAGAGTAACACCAGGTTTTAGGGGACACACTAAAGGCAATTCTTGAAGGACATGTTGAAGATGGCATAAATCAGTGATTCTCAACCATAGTTGTACATTACAATCATCTGGCAAGCTTTAAAAAATACTGGGTCCTACCCCGGGTCAACTGAATCTGGGGGTGAGGGTGTGTTGAACTAAAATTACTGGGGTTATTAAATAAGAACTCTAAATCTAAATTTCTTAGAGCCTACATGTAAAATAACTGAGCTGAATTTTGGAGGTAAAATTAACATAACACAGAGTGCTAAGGCACATAACCAGAGTGGCAATACTAGGACAGAATGCAAATGTCCTGATTAATGGGCCAAACCTTTCCAGTCCACACACTGCTGTTGTGGCTGGTAAAGGTAATGCATACATCGGGGATGATTATTTTTAAAATTTAGAAAAGGACTTTCCCATCCATTGTCTCATTTGACCTTCTGAGCAAAACTGTGACACATGCAGGATAAGAATTAGTCCCATTTCCTAGATGATAGGAAACAGGCTTGGAGAGGTTAAGTGAGTCGCCCATGTGAAAAAGCCAGAATTCACAATCAGGTCTTCTAACTCCCATCCAACAGAGTTGGAGAGTATCAGGCTTTTACCTTACCCTGTCACTTAATTCCTACACTTCTGGAACAAACGTACTCTTCTTCAAGCAAAAACTAATGTAGAAGTAGGAGCTTTGAAGTATTTCACAGAAAAATGAGGTTTGAGTTAGAAATGAAAGGGATAAAATGAAAATCAGAAGTTCTTGGAAAAGAAGATGTAAAGGGAGTACTTCATAGAATCCACATACTTTAAGTCAGCGAGTCTATCTATGTTTCAGTGGCTTTCTAAAGCCACTATATAGTTAATGCCTGATAGCAATCAACCAACCATGTCAAGGCCTCTGCTGTGATAGAAAGCATAGGTAGCAGTGAGATGCTAGGAGAGAAAAACATCACAAAAGCTCCAGAAAATCATTTATGGAAGACCAGCTAGCAAAATAATTAAGAAGTGAGCCTAAAGAGAATAACAATGGACAGGCTATTTTGACAGTTTGGCCTTTTACTGTTTGATGTTCAAATGTAATGTAATTGGGGCATATGATAGGATGAAATCATATATTAGTGTTAAATAATTAACAAGAGACCACTTTGGGTATTTGTACTAACAGTGCTAATAGAACAAGTTATACTCTCTCCAGCCTTTCATCTGAGATCAAAGTTTAATAAAAGCTCTAAACAAACTTTATAAAATCTTGTGTAAGTGGTATTACAGCTGTTATGCAGATGCATAAAAAAAGGTCAACTGAGGTGTTTAATATCACTGACAAAGCTCAAGATAGAACTAGTAATGCAATCTAGGGGCAGGCCAACTCTTCAACATTCAAAAGGAGGAAAACTAGATCAAAGTTGTTGTATGAAACTCCATTTACCAGTGAGCTTAGGGCATATTATAACAATCTTAAATATGGTCCCAAAATGTCCATACCCTATTTCTTCTTACCCTGCTCAAGGTAAATATGAGATTTGATTGCAAATTTTCTTCCTCTTCACTTTGTATCATTTACTAAATACTTGCAAAGCGTTCTTTACGCATATCTTCATTACTCTCACCAGTCACAAGTGAAGGATGTGGAATAGAAAGAATGCTGTGTTGCTAATCAGGACATCTGAATTTTAGCCCTAGTTTTGTCACATTTAGAAATTCATAAACTCCTCTGGCCTCTAGACTTCTCTTGAATAGGGTGAGGGGTATTGACAAGGATTTCTAGCATCAAGTTCTAACATTATCTAAAATGTGAGAACCATGGCAGCAGGAACCTTGTCTGCTGTATGCTTTATGACAGTGTTGAGACATAGTAGGGACATAATAAATATCTCATACATAATATAATATGATTAAACTAGGGTAAGTTGTTTGATAGTAACTACTGGCAACATAGAAATTTTGTGAACACCCCAGATTTTTAATTCCTCCTATATTAGACAAAAGCCTACAAGGGAGAGGAATTTTTTTTTTTTTTTTTTGAGACGGAGCTTCGCTCTTTTTGCCCAAGCTGGAGTGCAATGGCACGATCTCAGCTCACTGCAACCTCCGCCTCTCGGGTTCAAGCAATTCTCCTGCCTCAGCCTCCCAAGTAGCTGGAATTACAGGCAAGCGCCACCACGCCCAGCTAATTTTTTGTATTTTTAGTAGAAACGGGGTTTCACCATGTTAGCCAGGCTAGTCTCGAACTCCTGACCTCAGGTGATCCACCCTCCTCGGCCTCCCAAAGTGCTGGGATTACAGGTGTGAGCCACTGCGCCCAGCTGGGAGAGGAACTTTTAAAGATGATCTAGTCCAGCCCAATCATGAAAAAAAAATAATAATAATTGAAATTCAGAGAGGTTAAATAATTTGGCCAGGGTCATGTGCCTGGCTATGGTGGAGACATGACCAGAATCTAGATTTTCTGACTATTAATCAGATACTATTTTTTCTCATATCACTTTCCATCATTTAAAACTATTCATATAATAATTTTCAGCTAAAGATTGAAGGTAATTTGTTAAAACTAGATGCACAAAATGAAAATTCTCCATATTAGTTTTTCATTAAAGACTTTAAAATGTGTATAAAATATACTATTCCCCCCACTATATATTGTGAGTGTAATACGAATATCTTATTTTATGGTTAAGTTAGGATCTTAAAAAGATATCAAATATACTATCATTACTCTGAGCTTTCACCCAGATAGGCTCTCTTAAAGAGAGCAGAAAGCATTTCTTACATGTGTTGTATTTTACAGAAAGATACTGCCATTGTGCTTTACAATATACATTCATATTATCTTCACAATATAAAGCAAGAGCTTTTACCCAGAGAATGTGCTGTTCTTAATATTGTTTAGAACAGGCCTATAAAACACATTATCAACCAAGGAAGTTAGAAAGGCAGTATGACTACTTATCGGCATCAAATACGACACTGTCAGTCTGACCTCCAAACACTGAGCAATTCAATAATACTAAGTTCATCTGCTGGTGAAGCTGCATTCATTATGCAATTTCCCAGTGATACCTTTCCTATGTTATCATGTTTATGAAAAATTTGACAGGGCTGTAGAAAACAATTTTTATAGGCTGAAAGAAACCTCACATTTTTTAAATTGGTCATCACCTTTTGCCACAAGGTTGTACCTCTGCATAAACAGCCCACTTTTTTAGCAGTATTTTCTACATTTGACCATAAACAGTCATGTTTCAGAAGCTTAACCCTTTGAAGATATCCCCATTGTTGGAAAACGTACATAGCTTAATACTAACATAGAATACAGGCTGTGTATTTTGGGACAAGGTGGAGAAAGGAGAATGTCTAGATTGTTTCACCCAAGATCCCTCATGAGAGATTCATGAGGATATTTCCGTTTGCCCTCGATGCGAATATACAGAAGGTAGACTAACATTAGAGCAGTGGGAAACTTGGCAGAACGGGCTAGGACAGGGTTTGTGCAAAACCTTTTTCCGGTTTCAGTTTGAATGGGTTCCCAGGAAGTGTCAAGTCTGAACAAATCCAAAATTTTACAATGTAGCTCAGCCAAAACTGCTGGGATTCACCTGATTCTGGGTCAAAACTGTAACAGAGCACACTGCGTTTTATTTGGTGTAAAGCCAATTGGACTGAACCTTTCAGGCAACTTCAATGAGAGGCTCATAGCCTTGGCAAAACCAAAAATGAACCTAGCTTGATCTTTGGTTTTAAAACAGCAAGTTCTGGCTTTGTAAAGAGATAAAGGCAAGTTTTCCTTAGCGTCAAGATTCTTACAAATACTTAGGAGAAGCATTGCAAATAATTAACAGTTATTTGGCCAGATTTACATTATCAAGTCAGTTGTTTCCTGAGTTGTACAGCGGCACTTTAGTAAGTACTCTAACTCATTTGGGTCTATATATTCTTAAGTGCCCTAGAGCACAATTTAGTGTCCTAACAAAGAGTGATGGCTCTTCTTCAACTTCGGTGCCTGTAGAGTGATTTGCACATGCAGTAGGATGAAGCACAATTAGTGTTAGATCCAGGGTAAAAAGGAAAAATAATTACAAATAAAAACCCCAACAGCAATTGTCTACTCCAACACAGACAGGTGAAGTAAGTGTCTATGACATTACTTAGTCTGTAATTTCCATAGAGACACATGGGCATCTTCTCACAATCTTGGACACCAAATCTTGAAGTTCAACTAGTGTGTATAGTTCAATGACTCTTTCAGAGATATGCTTCAGACTTCACAGTGTTTTTAAAAGAAAAATCATATTTCTAAGAGTTTTCCAGTGTTTTGTAATATTTCTCAATATAGGCATTTGAGTATATATTTTTCTCTATACAGCTTTAGGTTAGGATTTACCCCATTTTAAGTTGTGTTAGCTCTGTAAGTATGTTTTGAAAATAAGGGAGATAAGATTTTTTAAGTATTTGGGAAGCTGATTAAATGCCGACTAATTGCAACTACTAATTACACATTTGCTCTAAGTCAATGGTTTTCAAAATTAAGTTTTAAAGCTATGTATCTCTCTCACACAGATTTTAAGTTATCTAAATGTTTTTAATCATAAGCTTAAGTAGTTGCAAAGGATGACATTTTCTCACAATATTGTAAAGAATGACATTTTCAAATAAAACTCATTCATATAAATAATATAAACTTATCCAGTAAACTTTAAATAACTCAGTAATTTGTTGCCACCATTTATCCACTTATAAAATAAATATGACCCTCGTTAAAAGACAGATTTTTTCTTGTTCCTTTTTTCCCTTTAGTTTATCCTAATATAAAATATATTTATGTTCATAAGTGTTTTTATCATTTTGCCATACTTCATCCTTCTCTGTAATAATGTATATATATGAATATCGAGAAAAATTGGTTTTTAAAATTCCCTGTGATCATAAAGCTCTGTGTTATACATTTTTATAGACTGGATTAGCATTACAATTAATATTAGGTATATTATAAATTTTGAGAAAGATTATTAAATGTGAAATGTAAAAAAAAAAAAAAAAAATCCAAAGCTTCCAAAAAGTATATCTCTTAATGGAATGAATATAGTTTCCTCTTCTCCCACACTGAATTAGTTCACATAATCATAGCTAAATGCTAATTTTTGTTTGAATAAGACAGGGTTTCATTTCATTTCTATTCCCATTATTTCTATAGATTTAATCACAAATCTTGTTCACATAAAAAGTACATGAGAATGAAAGTTTTGTTATAACAATGTTACTCAATTCTTGAATGTTTTCCTACTCTTATGGTAAATATTACATAGTGATCTGTCATCAAAATTAATTTTAATAATCTATCAGCCCTACAAAGTTCTCTTTTGACTTTGTTGAAAGCAAAGAATGAGAAACCACCTGACTTACCAAAGGACTATAATGTAGTTATTTAGACCATTTAGTTCCTATTTCTGGAAGGCATGCCAAAAAGGCTTTATTTGTCAAGATTTATCACGTAACTGTTTTTCTTTTGTTTAACTCAACATATACAGAAAGGGCTGAGACAAATAAAAATCTTGCTAACTTTAACACTATTCGATTACTGTAATATTTTTGATATATTTATCTTAGCATTAAATATGTTTCCATATAAACCCCAGACCTACAGATTGGCAAAGCCAGTCCTTACTGTCAAACCAATCAGACAAATCACACTTGCTTTATGGTATAAAAAGAGTCTGACTTCCTTTCTCAATTCAGTGGAATGGTGTTAATGTGTGTCCCTGTGAAAACTGTCTCACTTTTGAATCATAATTCTAAAACAGATACATAGGTAAGGCATGGAGCTCTGCTAGAGTTTGTCACCTGGATGAAATAAAATACTGCTGCCTTTAATGATTTCTTATCAACACTCTCTTAGCTTTGATTTCTGGAGCTATACACTCTTTGATTATAGTAGAGTAGTGGAAGAGGTGAGGTTATTAAATAAAAATGTCTTCACCTCCCTCCCCAATCAACAGTATACATCTAATTCAGAACACTTCAACCCCAGTATCCCATATATCAAACACAGCTCTTTGTTCTTAACAAAAATATATGTGCAACTAAGAAGGACAAGAAGCCTTACCCCAGGGCCTTTACTAAAGAAGGCCAGCAGGCACAAAAATCTTAAATTACTCCTTTGCTTGGCACCTTAAAGTGCCTGGGAAAATTTGCCTCATGGAACTCGGGATGGGTGAGAAGTAGTCCTGTTTTTGTTGTTGTTGTTGTTGTTTGTTTGTTTTTTAAATAAAGTGGGAGAGAGTCAATTATGAAAGGTAAGATGTCATTTCAAAGCAGAATCATTTTAGGAGAAAGTGTATCTAGAAACTGAAGCTACAAAAACCAATTCTCAGTTAGCTGGGCATGGTGGTGGGCACCTGTAATCCCAGCTACTTGGGAGGCTGAGGCAAGAGAATTGCTTGAATGCGGGAGATGGAGGTTGCAGTGAGCTGAGATGGCGCTACTGCACCTCCAGCCTGGGTGACAGAGTGAAACTCCATCTCAAAAAAAAAAAACACAAATAAAAACAAAACAAAACAAAAATATAAACCAATTCTCTTAAAACTATTTGTGCCTGACTACCTCTTGGAAGATCTTTGTATACTCCCAGGGGCATGCTACCCTAGTTAGAACATGCTGTAATTTACCAGCTCTCTTTGAACATTACTGTTGGGGTCAGGATTAATCATTTTGCAGTAAAAAGCTTTTAAAACGTTCTACTAACATGTTTCAATTCCCTTTAGTTTTTTAATTTTTTTTGGTGAAATATGTCATTGATACAAAATTTTAAGTAAAATATATACATACAGTTTAAAGAAAATGACAATCTGTGGTTTTAATTAGTGCCTCCCTGATTGCTGATGAAAAATGTCTTCTCACATGTTTCTTTTTCAATAGAGATGCTTGCTTATGCACTTTGCCCTTCTTTTGTCCCTTTTAAAAGCTTGGATACCTTTTTCTAATTGCTTTTTAGGCAATAAGATTTGGACACAAATTGGTAGTCAGTTATATCTGCTACAAATATATCCTATGTGTGGCTTTTCTTTTCACTCTTTTTATGTTGTATTTTTATTTGGTTTACAGAAGTTCTTAATTTTAACATGGTAACTTGAGTCACTTCTTTTATATGATCCATTATTCCAATGCCTTGTTTGCCTTTTTTTTCTCTTCAGAAATCTCCTTCGGTTCCAGGGTTATGAAAATACTCAACAATTTTTTTGTTCTAAAAATCTTACGGTTTACCATTCACATTTCGGTTTTCTTTCTTTCTTTCTTTCTTTTTTTTAATTATACTTTAAGGTCTGGGATACATGTGCAGAATGTGCAGATTTGTTACATAGGTACACATGTGCTGTGGTGGTTTGCTGCACCCACCAATCTGTCATTTAGGTTTTAAGCCCCACATGCATTAGATATTTGTCCTAATGCTCTCCCTCCCTTACCCCCAACCGACATGCCCTAGTGTGTGATGTTCGCTCCCTGTGTCCATGTGTTCTCATGTTCAACTCCCACTTATGAGTGAGAACAATACATTTTTGCATCTGATATGAGACAGAGGTTCAGTTTAATATTTTTAATACCATCTATGGAAAAGTTCATCCTTACTCCACTGGTATGTGATGCCATTTGTGTCAAACATCAAGTTTTCATATGTACGTATTTCCGTTTCTGGGTTCTCTATTTGATTACACTGACCGACTTATATATTCCTTTGCCAAGACAACACCATTTTAATTTCCATAGCTTTAATACATTTTGATACATGTTTAAGAAAACTCCCCTTACCTTGTTCTTCTTCAGAAGTTTCTTGGCTAGAGTGTCTTCTCTATAAAGCACTTGTAATTCTTTTTAAAGTTTTTTCTCTTATGTACTTTGAATTTTTTGTTACTTTTGCATGGGTATAGTTTTAATTACATTTTCTCAGTAATTGTTGCTTGGAGGTAGAAGTAAAATATCCTGTTTTTTATCAAAGAAATTGCTAAACTCTGTATTTTTTCATAATTTAACTATGAATTCCTTGGGCATTTTATATAAACAAGAACAGTATTTGCAAATATCAATTTTACTGCACTGGCTAGGCCCTTCTGCACAGTGTCTAACAGAAGTTGTGGAATAGCACATCCTTTGTTCCTGGTCATAGAGGAGGACGTCAGCATTTCAGTGCTAAGGTGATTTACCCATAGAATTTTTCCATATGACCTTTATCAGATTAAGAAAGTTTCCCTCTATTCTTAGTTTAATAGAAGGTTTATGATGATGATGGTGGTGGTGGTGGAATCAATGCTTCTTATTCATTTATGGGGATGGCCTTTTCAAATTTTATTTCTCTCTAATCTGTCACTATGCTATAAATTACATTGATTAATTTTCTAATGTTAAACCAACTTGTTTAACTTAACTGAACTGCTGGAACAAACTCAACTTGTTCATGATGAATTATTCTTTTTAAACATTCCTAAATTTACTTTGCTAATCTTTTGTATATATTTTTGCATTCATGTTAATGACTAAGGGTCTAAATTCCCTTACTTACTCTTATGCTTGGTTTTAGCATAAACGCTATGCTGACTCAGGATATAAAATGGGCATGTTCCCTCTTTATCTAGTCTCTGGAAGAGTTTTATAAAACTGAAATTATCTGCCCCTAGAACATTCGGTAGAACTTATGTATAAAATTATTTGGGCTTGGTAGCCCTTTTCTGATTAAATTTCAATTGACTAAAAATAGTTGATTAAAATTATTTATTTAAAATTTAGTCATGCTATTTCTTCTTAGTTTTTGAAAATTATATTTTTCTAGGAATTTGTTTATTTCTTCTAATTTATAATTAGAAAATTATTCAGAACACTTTGTTATGTGGTTAAATTCTCCAAGACCTGTAGCTATATCCTTTTTTTCAATCATAATGGACAATGGTCTTTTTTATTATGATTCGTTGGTCAAATAACAGACTTTACTTTGTTAGCCCTATTGCATGTTTTTTTCTATTTCATTAATTTTCAGTCTTTATTTTTCCCTTCTTTTGTTTTCTTTAGGTTTTACTCTTTTAATTTCCTTTTAATATCTTATGTTGGGTGATAAGCTCATTAATTTTTATCCCTTGATTTTGCTCTTTCCGAAAGAGCCACCAGAAAAAAATCCTTCCCAACAGAATGTTTCAGTAACTAGTACTGACCAGTATGAACTAACATTTGGGAAGGACCTATTTAGATCCTGATATAAAAGATCCCTGATGTAAAACATATAAAACCCTGATATAAAAAAATCAAGTCTAAACTGCTTGGTTTGTATTTCAGAACGTCAGAATGACTCCTCTTACTCTCTCAAACTGTTATCTATCTCTCTATACATTATCTCCTATGAACCGACAGGGGAAAAAAATGTGAAAAGGCTTTGAAATGGAACAAAAACTTACTAGGTATCTTCAATGAAGGCCTAGTTTTTGCCTAGCACATCTGTCTGGGCTTCCTGATTCTGTGGGATCTCTGTGCTCTTATTGTCTTTCAGTTTTTATAACTTTATGAGTTGCAGACAACTGATAACAAAAATGCAAATAATTTTTGTTCACAGACAATAAATTTTGTCTGGTAGGGTTCCACTGATCTTCCTTCCTCATTGTAGAAGAAGCCAATTTTGCCTTTATTTAAAATACATTTCAGCACTCTGTAGTGCCTATATATGTGTGGTTCTTTAAACACTCCTTTAAGTCATTTGTAACTTCTTGTTCATTCCCTCATTAATTAATGAGTTAAATAAACACATTTGTCACAAGTTAATTTTATATGTGTACGGGAGTCATGATTTTACCTTAAAAAATCCTTTTAACAAACCCTTTTGTTCATTACTGCCTTAGACTTCGATAACATCTCCAATATGAAAGGGCTTCTGGGGCTCTTTCTATCTCACTACTGATTCTTCATATTTCAGAAATAAATTTAAGCTCCTCTTCATGTCCTCAAACTGCAAAATCTATCATTTTCACAATGAACCCAGATCACAATGATGCAATGATGCCTCAATTCTCTTTACAATGATCTTTTCTTCAAAATAGCTTCTGAAAATGCATTATCTTTTTCATTCATGGACTGTATTTTTTTGGTTTTTATCTTTCATCATTTAATTCATTTAAATGAATGTGTCTTCTTTACTCAAATAGAGTACAAATTCCTTGAAGGCATTGATCACAATTTACTTTCCTTTTTTCTTCCTTGGTGTCAACACAATGCCTCATATTGAGCCCAATAAATTTCCACTGCTGAGTCCCATCCTTGGCCCATGAGCAGGGGCTCTCAATCAAAGTTTTTTCCCATGTAATCACTTAGCTTTATTTAGGGAATCAACCCATTCTATTTTGGCTGAAGGTGGTTCCATCCCAGGAAAATTTACATTAACATTTAGTGAAGATGGTTAGAGCTTCTGTGAAACACCAAATAGCATATAGCACTGACCAGGAATTCTAGGAAATAAAGAATACATTGCCGTGCTTCTGGGGAATTTCTCACAACTACTGGACTAATGCTATTTATTCCTGAGCACAGTCTTATGTGAGGTTGAGATACATGCAGTTTAACAGTCATTCTTTCATTCTACAAATGTTTATTGATTGTCTACTATATATCAAACATTTCTGACAGACCCTGGCAACGCATTTGCAAATAAAATGCAGTTTCTAATCCAAGGAGCTTACCTGCTATTAAAGAAAGAGAGGGAAAAGTTGAGGAAGACGGGGAAAAATGGGCATGTGACTGTGACCTAAGCAGATAGATAATTGGTGGCAAGCTAAACCAAGTTTCTTATTATGATGAAAAGGTGATCTTCTTTTCAGGTATTATAACTACTGCACTGCTAAAATCAATCTACTGTAAATACTCCTAATGGAATGGTGAAATTTCAAACATTTGCATATTGATAGCACCATGATATATGCTCTACATGCAACACCTTCTGTACTGTTAATAACAACTCAACCAAATATGGACCAACAACATTTTTCTAAGTTTTAAGCACTGACTTGGGAGAGAATAATAAATGATCTTGAGATAGCTTTCAGCATATTTGATTTTATGAACTATAAAGTACTTTATCAGTTGAAGAGTCTACCAAGTTCATTAAAATCTGTCCCTTAAAATGTCATATGAAATCAAAGGACTTCATAATATTTGATCGTTAGCACTATTACTGAGCATTTTAATTTTTATGGTTTTATTTATAATCATTTCAAATTGAAACTATCAAAAAACTACTGCTGTTTAAAATCTAGTCCTTTAATCAATTTTATTTTTCCCATGGTGACTTTTTATTTTTACCTTTATTCTTACGGGAACCTTTAGGTTAGGACATTTGTGATTCTATTCCTCTGTACTTCGTTAGTGAAGAGATTAGATAAAAACAATTAACAAATACAAATAATCATTGTTGCTGATATAATTTTCAGTTTTGCATAGTATATAGGTAGAATTCAAATGATTAAATAAGAAGTAACAAGCAATCGTGGTAACGATAACATTTGTTTGGTCCTAAATATTTTCACGTGTATTTTCTCTCTTAATTCTTAGAGAAAAATGATAAAATAATTTTAATCACAACCATTTTACAGATGAAGGAAACAAGAAAGAAGTCATTTGCTAAATGTTGCATAAGCGGCATTTTGTACACCAAATCCAGGTCTTCAAACTCAAAAATTACGTTTTTGTCCAGATTTTTTAAAAAAGCATTTAATTCACAGGCCAAATTCTGTTGGCAAGACACTTTCTAAGGGTAAGTAAAATATATGTGGAAGAACACTAAACATTTTATTCACCAACAATGTCATCATACTGAAACTGAGAATAGTGTACTTTCTAAATGGCCCAGTGAAATCTCAGGAAGAAGTTATTTATCCATAGGGTCTGGACATCGTCAATCAAAATCACTTGCTTGCATATTACTAAAATGTGGTCTGTAACCATCTTTCCTCTCTTCATACTCACAAATAAACATTTCATTTTTTATTAACCTTATTATCTAAAGATTTTTTTCCTGCTTGTTAAAAATATAAAAAGAAAAAAAAATCACTACGACTAAGATACTTCTAATATTTTATGTATTTTCTTAGCCTTTTTAAATGTAAAATATGCACATTTAATATTTTTATCACTCTTTATATATCTTTATATATCACTTTTTCATATATTAGCACGGCAATATTTACTTTTTTGAAAACCTGACTGTTTATGGTTGCATAGTATTTCATCAAATACTTGAAAAACAGAAAGAAATAAAATTAAAATCTATAATTCTTATGTAACTGATCACTGTTGTGAGTTTTGCTTACTCTCTTCTGTTCTTTTTTTATATGCCTATATGTCATCATTAAAGTACACACCATTTTATATCTTGAAATTTTTCCATTTAATATTATAAGCCTTTGTATAACCACTGTGGCATGTTGGGTGAAAATTCCATACTCTATAAAACCATAATTTTATTGACAGTAAGTTGGTTTTCCTTTACTTTTTTTTTTTGAGACAGAGTCTTGCACTGTTGCACTGGAGTGCAGTGGCATGATCTCGGCTCACGGCAACCTCTGCCTCCCAGGTTCAAGCAATTCTCCTGCTTCAGCCTCCCGAGTAGCTGAGATTACAGGCTCTCACCACCACACCCGGCTAATTTTTTTAATTTTTAGTAAAGACGGGGTTTTACCATGTTAGCCAGGATGGTCTCGATCTCCTGACCTTGTGATCCACCCGCCTCGGCCTCCCAAAGTGCTGGGATTACGGGCGTGAGCCACCGCGCCTGGCCAATTTTTGTATTTTTAGTAGAGACGGGGTTTTACCACGTTGGCCAGGCTGGTCTCGAACTCCTGACCTCAAATGATCCACCTGCCTCGGCCTCCCAGAGTGCTGGGATTATGGGCGTGAGCTACTGCGCCTGGCCAAAAATAATTTTTCAATGAATATTGTATGCATGTAGTCTTGACATCTATGAACTTGAAAAATTATTTCTTAATAGCACATTCCTACAAGTAAGATTATTCAGAAAAAGCTGGCATGCTTGCATTATTCTTTTTGTGACACTGGTGAAAATAATGTTTATAAAAACAATGAATGTTAAAATCTTAGACTTGAAAGAATAAATAGCAAACTGATCTCAGTTTCTTATCAACCAATCCTCTTAGTGATTGTGAAATACAGTAGAAACACCAAGTATTGACTATATTTAATATATTTTTCATAAATTAGTACATCTTGACATCAGAAATACTGAGAGATGTGACCACTTAAGTATGCTCACATTTTTATTTAATTTTTTTTCATTTTAAAGTCTATATCCACATACCTTTTAGATACAGTTTAGCTTGTTTTCCCCTTTGACATCTTAGATGTAGTTTTCGAAATGATTTCTGAAACTGTTTCCTTTGGTGTGCTGTGAAATCCACATCAGGAGACAGCAGTAATTCTGATAAAAGGAGAAAGAAAATGCCCCAACTTACCGTTTCTAATGCAATTACACGGTCCTGCAAAGAAAGCATAATATATAATTATAAAACGAAGGCTGTTTAAAATTGTTTCAAGTTTACTTAATTTACAAGTATTCTATTTACCATCTATTATTAATAATTCATTTTAAAAATGTAAAAAATGAGAACTATTCAGAATGATCTCTAGAACAGAAAAATAGTCATCAAAGAATGAATGTATCTTTTTTCATCTCATTTAGTGCTAGGACTACAGAGTTTAAGAGTAAATGCTACAATTCTAGTACAGTTAATGAAAGGAATAGAACCTACCATTTTTGTAATGGTAAGATTATTTATAAGATGTAAAATGTTAGATTTGATTATATGAATCACAACTAGACAAGAGTAGTGATATAGACAAGGAATTAAGCACATATTCTAGCTCTTAATTAGGTTTACAGCGAAAAATGTGGTCTCCACAACAAGCTGAAATTCAGACATATCTTCATCAATTAAAATAAATGAGTAAATCATTATTGAAAACAAGGCAGGAAAATAAATGAGAAAGATATGGCACATGCAGCCAATCCTGAGCCCAGATAGGCCTTCATTGTCTACAGCATCTTAGAATGTTTATAGAAGGACTGGCTTTAAAAGGGGTCATTGATAACGATGCATCAAAAGCTAAATGATTAAGAAAATGTTTGTATTCTCAACTCCATAGTTGTATTCTCAAGTCTTTCCAGAGGTGACATCTATAAACAGGAAGTCTTCACCAAATAAAGACTGACTCTGAGACAAAGCAGAGTGTGAAGATCTAAGAAAATGAAAAACCATCCTTTTTGAGGTGGACCAAGGCCATTTGCCTTTGTTTTCTCTTATTTTAAGAACTGGAGGAGGTCAGGTGCAATGCCTCACACCTGTAATCCCAGCACTTTGGGAGGCTCAGGTGGACAGATCACATGAGGCCAGGAGTTCGAGACCAGCCTGGCCAACCTGGCAAAACACTGTCTCTACTAAAAATTAAAAAGTAGCCAGGTGCGGTGCCGCGTGCCTGTAATCCCACCTACTCAGGAGGCTGAGACAGGAGAATCACTTGAACCCAGGAATCAGAGGTTGCAGTGAACTGAGATCAAGCCACTGCACTCCAGCCTGGGCAACAGAGCAAGACTACACCTCAAAAAAATAAAAATAAAATAAAAGAACTAGAGGAAATATGTGGAATCTGGATTTTTAAAAATAAAATTAATTAATCGTCTAAAGAAGTGTAAAGGTAAACACTGAGTGTCAACTTGACTGTATACACGGATGCAGGGTGTTGATCCTGGGTGTGTCTGTGGGGTGTTACCAAAGGAGATTAGCATTTTAGTCAGTGGGCTGAGGAAGGCAGACCCACCGTTAATCTGGTGGGCACAATCTAATCAGCTGCCAGTGAATATAAAGCAGGCAGAGAAATGTGAAAGGGGAGACTGGCCTAGCCTCCCAGCCTACATCTTTCTCCCGTGCTGGATGCTTCCTGCCGTTGAACACTGTACGCCACGTTCTTCAGTTTTGGGGCTTGGACTGGCTCTCCTTGCTCCTCAGCTTGCAGACAGCCTATTGTGGGACCTTGTGATCGTGCAAGTTAATACTGAATAACTACCCTTTATATATATATATATCTCCTACTAATTCTGTCCCTCTAAGAGAACCCTGACTAATACAAGAAGTAAAGAGAGAAAAATGGCGCACAGAATGACTCAGCCCAGGTCTCCTGTGGTCCTGCAGGGACCCACATAGACCTATGACACTTAGAAGCAGAATGAACTTGGCCCCTACTGGCATTCTCTCAGTATCACATGAAATAGAGGGCTCACTTATAAAGACTTCTGCAAACTAACTTCCAGCAGTCAGACTGGGAAACAGTTGCACATTTCCACCCTGTAAACATTTGGCTATGTGGGCATGAGTTAAATGAATACATTATGCAAAATTAGCCCAAAGCAGACTGTTTCTAGCAATATAATCTGTTTAATTGCATTTTGTTGGCATAGTTAAGAGGGCCTCACCCTTACCCTCATAATTTTCATAAAATAACTGCTATGTTGTTGGTGACTTGTATATTGTCACATTTGAGCACTTCATAATAAATGCGTATGATGCCTCAAGGGGGCTTTGATCTATTGTTGCCAGGCATCTAATTCATTGTGCATCTGGGACAAAAACCATTCAGCAATACTTTAATATCCTTTGCAGATTGAACAGAACGTCATTAGATGCCTTATACAGAGAGAAACAGCCTTTGGGCAGTATCATATTTATATGAACCATCTTGGAAGACTGAAAATATTTACAGCCCTATTTGGGCCTTAAGTTTTCCCTATACCATGGGTTTGAGGGTTGCTATTAGTTAAGATTAACGTATTTTAAAAGCATACCTAGAACTGACTTGAAATAGGCGATTTCATATAATGTCAAAACAGAACAGAATTAAACTGTCTGTCCTAATTCATATCTTAGTGTTTAGCAGAGATAAACTGATAGCATTATAAGTTGTGTATGAGTACCTTCATTTTACTTAATTTTTTATTTTAAAGGAAATATGTGCCTAGTTTATGTGACTATTGACTCAAATGGTCAAGACAACTCCATTTTGTTGAAATACGAAGGTCTATATATATATATATATTTGTTTTGTTTTGTTTTTGTTTTTGTTTTTTTGGGACAGAGTCTCACTCTGTCGCCCAGGCTGGAGTGCAGTGGCATGATCTCAACTCACTGCAAGCTCCGCCTCCCAAGTTCACGCCATTCTCCTGCCTCAGCCTCCCAAGTAGCTGGAACTACAGGTGCCCGCCACCACATCCGGCTAATTTTTTTATTTTTAGTAGAGACGGGGTTTCACCATGTTAGCCAGGATGGTCTCGATCTCCTGACCTCGTGATCCACCCGTCTCAGCCTCCCAAAGTGCAATAAATAAATATATTTGAATCCACTTTAGTTATGTTTGTTTGCCTATAACCTACTCTATTCCAAAATGGTACTGAGACAGCTTTCAATAAAAAAACTGTATGTCAAAAAACATGAGGAAATTAGAGAAACAGAAAATTTAGTTCATTAACCTTTCAGTAATTCAATATGCCAATCAACAATAGCTAATAAGATACCAGCCATTGTAGTCAATTACTGATTTTGTCTAAATTATAGTTTTCTGTCTCAATTGTAGGCTGTAAATAAAGAGAAATTACTAGTCTTCATGAACTTCTTATTTGATTTTAAAATTTAAGAAATGCATTTTGAAAACTTAAGTGGTTATGGTTGACACTGTTTTTGGTAAACAAAGTTAGTTATATATCTTTATATAAAAAATTATGCTACTGTGTATCATTATTCTCAATGGAAAATAAGCCAACAACAGTGTAGCTTTTCTTTTCTTTTTTTTTTTTTTTTTTTTTTGGAGACAGGGTCTCCCTCTATCATTCAGGCTAGAGTGCACTGTCACAATCAGAGCTTACTGCAGCCTATACCTTCCATGCTCAATTGATCTTCCCACCTCAGCATCCCAAGTAACCGGGAGTATAGGTGTGCACCACCACACCCAGCTAATTTTTTTTTTACTTTTTGTAGAGATGGGATCTCACTATGTTACCCAGGGTGGTCTTGTACTCCTGGGCTCAAGCAATCCTCCTGCCTCGGCCTCCCCAAATGCTGGGATTACAGGCATGAACCACCACACGTGGGCCAATACTGTCAAAGCTTTGATATGCTTCATGATTAAAAAAGAAAAAGCCAGTATATGTCCTAGAATGAACATATAATTACAACAAAATAAATTATATCTCCATAACCTCTCCCAGTTTACCCAGAGCTGCCTTTGTAATTTTTCCCTTTTTCTTTAATCTATAATTTTCATTTAAACAGATTTAAGTTCAACCTGCAGGTTCATTACTCCACCCACCCTTCCAAACCACCAATCCCTGAACCCCACTCTCAACACACTCGCAGGGCTTAATCCTGAAAAGAAAAGTAAGCATTGCTAGAACAATGAAAGGGCATTAGGAGGTAGGAGAAGTAGACAAGGGAAGACCACTCCCAGGAAGTAATGAAGATACTTCCATGCTATTTCAGATGGTTTTAATAAATCAGTGGCTCTTATTTTTGTGGTAATAGACTTTGAGAGTCTAATAAAACTTGACATTCTCCCTAGGAAAATGTACATTATATGCAACACACATATGTAATTTTATATATACTTTTTGGGGTAATGCAGACTCTCTGAAGCCTACCCATGGGCCTCCAAATCTTTTTTTTTTTTTTTTTTTTTTTTTTGAGATGGAATCTCACTCTTGTCGCCCAGGCTGGAGTGCAGTGGCACAATCTCGGCTCACTGCAACCTCCACCTCTTGGATTTAAGTGATTCTCCTGTCTCAGGCTCCCGAGTAGCTGGGACTACAAGGCGCGTGCCACCACACCCAGCTAATTTTTTTGTATTTTTAGTAGAGACAGGGTTTCACTGTGTTAGCAAAGATGGTCTTGATCTCCTGACCTCGTGATCCGCCTGCCTCGGCCTCCCAAAGTGCTGGGATTACAGGCGTGAGTCACTGTGCCCAGCCCAAGTCTTTTTACTCCAAATAAAAACACCTAAAATAAGACATAAGAATATCATAAAAATAAATTATTGTATTACACTAAATGTATTTATTTCCTCTTTATGAAACATGTCTAGATACATAACCTCAGTAACAAAGAAATAAACAATTATGACTATAACTAAGGGCTCTTATAGGGCAGAAGTAAAAATGTAAAATTCTAAGTGGGAGTGAAGGGTTAAACAAAAAACAAAGGAAAATTTTTCTTCAAATACTTGGAAGAAAAGAGTTTTCTGGGAAAAAGCCTGTTTTGTTGCTACTGTTTATATGTGATTGGATAGTCCCTTTTCTATTATTCTTTAGTTCTAAGAAAGGGAAAGTTTATGAAACACCTAAATTGACATAAATATTTTTAAAAATGTTTACTCTTAATGACTGTACATGTAGTCACTGCATAGATATTGGATTACAATGGAGCAGTGCTAATAGCTGTTCTTACCAATAAGTGAATATTACACTTTCTAAGTAAAAATAATGTGGCTAGACATCATGTTTTAATTTGTTCTGGGTTTGACAGATCAGGTAAGGAGAAGCCATATGATATAGGATTCCCTCAATATACAAATTATTTTGGGGGAAGCCTAAAGCATGTATACAATAAAAAGATGTATTTTAACTTTTGAGGTTAATGAGGTTTTGAAACTGCCTTTGCAAAATTATAACTGAGGAAATTATGACAGTGACAGAAATTAAACCTAATTGACTCTATCTTGCTTTTTTCTAACCCTGAAGCTGTCCTTGTTCACTCCTGGGTGTAGGCTGAACTAACTTTGGGAAGGAATTCAGTTCATGGTTTGACTCTGAAACAAAATTGATAACCGCCCTTTCCCAAAAAGACCTGCTTCTTGCCTGGGGTCCAGTCTGCCTTTGCAGGACTAACAAATTAGCTACAAGATTAGAAATTTAGGGCAGGCGCAGTGGCTCACGCCTGTAATTCCAGCACTTTGGGAGGCTGAGGTGGGTGGATCACCTGAGATCAGGAGTCTGAGACGAGCCTGGCTAACATGGCGAAACCCTGTCCCTACTAAAAATACACAAATTAGTCAGGCGTGGTGGCAGGCACCTGTAATCCCAGCTACTAGGGAGGCTGAGGCAGGAGAATCCCTTGAACCCAGGAGGTGGAGGTTGCAGTGAGTCGAGATCACACCATTGCACTCCAGCCTGGGCAAAAGGAGTGAAACTCCGTCTCAAAAAAAAAGAAAAGAGAAAGGAAATTACAATTTAGAGGTCATGCAGCCTCTGGCTTCCAGAGTCTGAACCTCCCCAAATTGCTCCTGGTGATAACATCATTATTGCAAAACCTAAGATCAGTGCTTGAGATAGTTTGCAGACCCTGCACTGGATGGATCAGCTGACACTACCCACACCAGTAATCTGGCCCAACCAGTTCTGCCATCCCACCCAAAAACAGAAGACGTTAAGATAACCTAACTTTAACCCCCTATGATTCCATCTCCAACCTGACCAATCCGCACTCCCCACTTCCCAAGATTTTAAAGGTAATTTGGCAAGCGCCTGCTTGCCAAATTATCTTTAAAAACTCTGGTCCCCGAATGCTTGGGGAGACTGATTTGAGTAATAAAACTCCAGTCTCCTGCAGAGCCAGCTCTGCGTGAATTACTCTTTCACCATCACAATTCCCCTGTCTTGATAAATAGGCTCTATCTAAGCAGCTGGCAAGGTGAACCCATTGGGTGGATACAGTTTGTAACTAGCCTTAAGCTGTACATATTCATTTGCTACCACAATGAAGTGTACTTTAGAATTTAGGAATGGACCAAGGCAAATTCATTAGTATCACTGGAGATGAGCAAATATTTGTAGGCTGTTAGGAAATGAGCATTAAATGGATCATTTGTTATCAGAATATCTAATCATTAAAAGTTTATTTGATTCAGCTGAGCTAATCAGCCACATCGATTCATCCATCACATCTCAGAGATGAATTAGAAACTTATAGGTCTAAATAATAATAATTCTTCTGCCTCTGGTGAGTACAGTTGAAAAGTCTAGTGACTTTATTTTATCATAATAATGCAGCATTTTCCAAGAATGCTTTAAAGATATCATTAGCATATGAAAAAGCATAACACTGGCATAAAAACGTAAGAAGAGTCTTCTATCTTTTCCACATCTTAGAAGCTTGAAGAGTATAGAATAATTCTGGCAACTTCTCTGGGACTTAGGGACCATGATGGACATATACTTTTCAAAAAGAAAAACCCACATTGAGGACTCCCTACCATCACTATTGTAAAATACAAAGCCTGTCTTCTGGAAGAAAAATCCACTCAACTTCACCCAAAGAGACCACTGCATGGCGTTCTTCCTTCCAAAGTCAACTCTGTTTAATCCACACTCACAGTTTACCTGCTACTTCCTAAATAAACCCTATAGAATGAAATACAAATATATATATTTTTTCTCCTCAGCATTTCCCCATGACAATCCATTACGTTTTAAAAATTTGTCAGTCATTTTAAATAATTAAAAGAGCTAGAAGTCATTTTATTTGAAATTATTTGAATACATTTAAAATAGTATTCTTTGCCAAACTTTAAGATAATGAAAAGGGAAAGGCTTTGATTAATCATCACACACAAAAGGTCAGCATTTCTTACAGTGATTTAAAAAAAATTCAAACAAAATCAAGACAAAAATCACTATCTCAGTGTAGCAACATCAAAAAAAGCTTTAAAATGTAGCATAAGTTGGCTTTGAATATACCAAATGCATCTGTGATTTATATATAAAATTGTATGCTATCTATTAAAAGTCAGTGAAAGAAGTTTGTCTATACATCAAATACTCCAGGATGGGTGGCATTGGAGCAGCTTGCACTGGTTTCCCAATCATCCTGTGTTCACTGTAACCATCATTAGATACCTGTAGTCAATTTCTGTTCATTCATTTCACTGGCTGCTTATGTGCCTTTTCAAACAACCTACTTCAGCGTCTAAAATAACACAACACACATATTGAAGAAAAAAAAAACAGCGAGGCTTAAAGATTTTGTCTGAAAAGTTGTCAAGGAAAAAAAAAAAAACCAACATTTTGACTTAGGAAGAAAAGCCAATTTAAAGTGATATGTCATGTTCTAGCCTACAGGGAAGCCCAATAATGGTCCTTGTTGCCTGATTTTCAACCTGGGTGTGGCAAATCTCTGATAGAACCAGAAGCAGAAACAATCACAGGATTTAAAAACAGACTCAAGGTGGTTGATCCACATTTCCAATATGTTCTGTCATTTACTACTATTGCCTTGACAGAGACCTGAGGGCAGCCAGTTGTTCTTCTGTAGCTTTCTTCTGCTGTGTTCTCTGGTGGGTGTTTTAGTTTGTGGTTTTATTATGAGGAGATTATTGACCATTATACTTCAGTTTTGACATTGTTCAGGAAAGGCTGCGGTTGTATTTATATTGAAGTGGGGTATGTGTACGGGTTTGTGGGGTGAAGAATACAAGTGGGGAAAACAAAGAAGATGAAGAGAAAGATACAGAAATGGGGGTCTATTGGTTTGTTGGGACAGATTTCAGACTGGAAAATGCAGCCTGAGCGGCAAGGTAGGGTTTTATTTAAAATCCCTATACATACTTCTAGGTAGCTATATGAAACTGACACCAAAAATTCTGAGACTACCCTTTAAATTTCAAATCACGAAGCAAAGCTATGAGCTTTCTTTTCCTTATTTTCCTTTAAAATAATCATTTCAAGATTCTTCCTTTAAAGCACAACGTAATGTGGTACATAGGTGTGTGCTACAGAATATCACTACAGACAAAATGAAGGGCAAGAGACAGAATTATCTTTCTCCAGGGACTGTCAAATTCTCCAGTGAAACTGCTCGTAACAGGTAACAAAGGTGAGTGACATCTGGACTGGAGAACAACTAAAGATTATTTGCAGATAAAATAAAGACTATGATGGTGGCTAGGGGCAATGCAAAGGACAACCAGTGCAATTTCAGATGCTGACTGTCCCCACAAAGAGATGGAGAAAGAGGAATTGAGGAGTACCAGGAGAAGGCCAACAACTCAGAAACCAGCACACCATATATTTTTCAAGGATTTACATTTAAAAAAAAAAAAGTACACGACACCAGTCGTGAGGTTAGTCATGTATCAATGGCATATGCCCTGAACTCCTATGCAAATCATATTGCAAGAATGATTATGGCATAATTTATGAGCAGGCTTGTGTCATGCAGAACTTGTGGAAAATAAGAGGGTATGCTTTCATTTTCAGGTACACAAAGGGTTGTGTATCTGACTGCCACTGAATATAGTTGGTCTAATGAGACTCCCTGAGGCTGACATCTCCTTTGTTTCCCCGAAGGGCACATATCTCCTAGGCTTCTAGGTGAAAAAGTTTACAGAGAAACCCATATAACCACAGAATCCTTCCTCCCACGCCGTGTTCTCCTGAGTCTTTAAATTACAGCACTGGATTGTTAACTATCATGCATGTCACACAGCTGAGTCATTAAATGCTACAAGTAAATAGTCCACCTTTGGAATTAATGACTTACCTTTGGGCAATTCCAGTAATCCACATCATAATTTACATGCAGAGTCATTTACAGGAACTAATGCACAAGGAACATTGTAATGGAGACTCTTTCTTGCCCGTCACTCTCATATTCTTTCTGTGTGCTTCTGTGTTCAGTTACCCCTCAGCATTCTACACTAGAGGGGCTGCTGATGAGGATGATCAACATCGAAGCAGAAAGTCTTAAACTAATACAATGGCTGAGATGGGGTAGCTTTTTCTTGCTTCTTAATTCAGTTTGACTGAGATTAAAACTATTATTAATCTCCATTTCCCAACACACACGCGCAGGTAAGAAGGGAAATGTAGCTAAACAATTTAAAGTAACCAGATTATCTGCCCTCTGATTATCATTGGTACACTCTTCTTTCTAAGAACAACGAGGGGAAAAAAAAACCAACAACTAAGTTTTTAGCTGCACTTCTGGGAAGCATACATGAAGGCTGACTTATCCTATATGCACTAAAATAAAGCAGATGTATATTAACTGTTCAGTCCCAAATATCCTAAATATTCCTACCTATGAAATACTTAACTGCTTTTTCTTCAAACTGAGCTTCACTCTGATTTCTCACTGCAGTCTGACTAGCATCTTCCCAAGGTGGAAGTTTAAACAGTAGCTTCGGCTGTTTGAGAGAGATGTGAGTTATGAAAAAGAGTTGGAAAGCTCTATTATCTTAAAGTAATTGAAAATGTTATAAATAGTAATAGCTATAAAAACAGCACTAATTTGACTATAATAATTTCAAACAAATTTCTAAATTTCTGCATTTAGAGAAAATGATATGATGTAGTACTTTTAAAATGGTCCCCCAAATAATTCCTTACCCAAATTAAAGTCACAAATTTCAGGGACATTATTACTTTAAATCTAAAACATTTTACTTTTCAGGACTATAAATAAAGAGTAGTGATTTAGCTCAAAGCATCCTCAACTGTATTGCTTTCAAAATCATCCCTGGAAGTAAGTGATCTTAAATTCCAAAGTCTATGAAATGAAGGAATAAATTGGATGAGAGTTTGTTAATAGCCTCACCTGGGCAGTTTTCGCCGGTAATGACAGCTACTCACAACCTTACCTGTGGATAATGGAATGCTGATACAGTGTGGTTGTAGGAGTTCAGAAAAGTCTGATTACTCAAAATTATACTTTCTTTCCATTTACCAAATTATTTCAAATTCTACCAACAGAAATTTATTCTTTGAGGAAAAATTCAAAAAAATATTCTTATTAGACTCTCCCTATGCCAGTTAACAGTTAAACTAGTTCATTCTAAAGCAGGGGTAAGCAAAGTCCAGGCAGGCACCTGTTTTTATAGGCCCATGAACTGAAAGTGGTCTTTACATGTTTATTTGGTTGAAACCAATCAAAGCAAGGATAATATTGCATAACATAAAAATACTCTAGACAGGTTGGTCAGCTTACATCCCTATGAAGAGGTAACATTTGAGCTGAAACCTAAAAGAAGGAAATGAGCCAGCCACTGAAAGAGCTAAAGGAAAAGTATTACCGAGAGAGGCAGATGCAGAGATCCTGGGATAGGAATGGGTTTCCTTAATTTTAAGAACAAAAGGGACACTGGTATGTGTTATGGCTATTAACGAAAACATCCCTTTATATTACTAGTACCATAAAAATCAAAACTATTTATTGTAAGTTTAATTGCCAAAACTGCATTGGGTACTTTTAACATATGTTCTTTTTATTTATTTATTTGAGATGAAGTCTTGCTCTGTTGCCCAGGCTGGAATGCAGTGGCACAATCTTGGCTCACTGCAACCTCCGCCTCCTGGGTTCAAGTGATTCCCCTGCCTCAGCCTCCTGAGTAGCTGGGACTACAGATGCGCATCACCACGCCCGGCTAATTTTTTGTGTTTTAGTAGAGATGAGGTTTTACCATGTTGGCCAGGATGGTCTTGAGCTCCTGACCTGGGGATCCGCCCACCTCGGCCTCCCAAAGTGCTGGGATTACAGGCGTGAGTCATCGTGCCCGGCCCATATGTTCTTATTTTTAATGTTCATGAAAACTTCCAGTAGGAGGATATCATTAATTTCACTCATTTAAAGCCAGGAACATAGACTTCAAAGACATTAAGTGTGTTGAAGTCCATGTTGTGATTAAATGTAGGGGGTCGGGGAGGCTGGTCTGTAATCCAGCTCCATTTGACTCAAAACAGTCTATACTAACCTCAAAAACAAATTAAAAATTGTGAGAGTGTGTGTGTGTGTATTTTTTCTACTTAACAGCCCAGCAAAATGGAACTAATGGAAATATCATATGCATACAGTGAGGTTTTATGAGCAAATAGACAATAAATTCTTTTTTTTATTAGCATCAGGGTGACTTTGTGGTTTTCCATGGTAGAGGTTAGGGGATGCACTGGGTAACTGCCCTGGAGCCTCTTCCTTAAAGTATGCCAAAACAGACTTCCAGAACCTCATTTTTAACAGGCATTAGGTAACAGTGTAATAAAACATACTATATCAATAAAATTTAATGCCCAAATAAAAAAATTATTTGTATACATTTTTATATTTATTTCACTATATAATAAAGGGGCTATTATATTGTTGCCATATGTCTTTTCTAAGTAAGTTGCAACTCCTTACTTATCTGGGTCTGACATCAGGACAGCTGAAGCACATGGCAGTCAATACCACTGCGGAAACAGCACAAGAAAGGATTGAGGAAAGCAAAGACCTAAACTTAATTAGCTGTAATATTGTGCAGCTAAATGACACCTATATTGTGCTGGTCCCTTAGATTTTTTGGATCTGGACCGCAGGGGTTAGATTCATCACTGAGATCATATCTGGCCTCTGTGCTTCAATCCCTGTTTCAGTCGTGACCAATGTATTGGTTCTTTTCTCACAGTGAAATAAGAACTAGGGATTTCTATTACAACCAGAATGTAGTAAAGGCATGGAATCTCTTGTAGGTACTATTTTCTATTTTACTTTATGGGCAAATACAGAAATATTACTTACAGACATTACATGTTATTTATTAACATGCTAATAAGCCTTCACACATTTAAAAGTAAACATTAAACTTCTAACAAATTAAATCTAGAATAGTACATGTAATGCAGAGACACTGGAAAAGGAATGCACTTTAGAATCAATTTTTAAAAAGTAAAATAATCAACTGATTATAATAAAAGTAAAAAGTATAAGAGGAGATGCTTATTAGTCATTTTTGCAGCTCATTTTAGTTTTGTCACTTTTTGCACAATTTAAAATTTATGGAAACGTTCTAATGTTGCCTTTAATTTTTTTGCCAGAATTATTTTGAACTTGGTTGAAAACTGAAATTGACGAAGAAGGAAAAAAAATGGAAGAAATTGAAAGAAAAAGAGGCCAGGATCCTAAACAAATCAGAACAAAAAAAAAGAAAGGTGAGGAGATTCTGTTTTTCATTGCTCTTAAGTATAGTAGTATAGAAGCCAAGAAAGTTCAAAAACAAGTACTAGTTCTCTCACCGGCTGAGGAAGTATGAGTCTCAGCGACATTATCCATACAATTACAATAGTAGTTACGTACCTTGGAGGATTGTTGCGAGTAATAATTTACATAGATTTAGCAGTTTTACCACAGTGTATGACACAAAGAATTGCTTGGTTTCATGTGTGACTTTTTCCCTCTCCTTTGACATACAGACCATCACCCTTTGGGCTGATTTAGCACAATCCTGACGGGAGTTAGCAAGTGCTAAATAAGTATTTGTTAGTAGACTGAAGCATAAAATAAGTGAGTTTTTAAGATCCCAGACTGGGGAAATCCTCTGCAGTGTTTCTGTATATTCTGGAAAATCAGCTAGAGATTGGGTGGGGAGATGGCCTTAGAAGTGAGAACTACAGTTTCTTTTAATCATGTATTATTAGTACTTAGGATCTCAGAGATTTGTTTCATGAGTCAATGAAAATGTGTTTCAACCAGAAAGGTATTATTGCTGAGCATTTATTTCCAAATCTGTTGCACACTATAGTCATTACCCAGAATATTGCTTTTCACAATTCTCATTGTTATCCAGAGATAGACGATAAAATGGATTAACATAGATATTTGCCCAAAGTTTGAGGTCTGTCTAGGGATGTGCTGTGAGAGGTATAAGCAATGTACTGTAAAATATTAAGGGGAATGATCTTGAAGTGATCACTTATGTTCTGTAACACAAATGAGATTGCCCCAAATTACAGGGTGCCCACTGACTCGAGACTGGCAAAAACTCCCAGATAAACTTAAGACTGAAACATCATAATGTGTTGAGATTTGAAAACAACAAAAAAAAACACAAGAAAACATACACTGCTATCTACATAAGCCCCAA
The DNA here is from genome assembly GCF_000001405.40 of Homo sapiens. Classification (NCBI taxonomy): domain Eukaryota; kingdom Metazoa; phylum Chordata; class Mammalia; order Primates; family Hominidae; genus Homo; species Homo sapiens. The sequence goes on from NC_000014.9 coordinate 80,572,750, forward strand.
TGCCCATGGAGCTCAGAGCTCAGACTCTTGACAGTTGAGCCAAGGTATGTTTTCTGGAAGCGTTGCTTTTCACAAAGTCAACTGTAAAGGGGATAGTGTATGAAGATGAGTCAAATCATCTTCCCCCTGGTGGGAGGAATTTACCTATTCTGTAAAACACACCCAGGTCACTGTTTTTTGTTTTTTGTTTTTTGATGGAGTCTTGCTCTGTTGGCCAGGCTAGAGTGCAATGGCGCGATCTCGGCTCACCGCAACCTCTGCCTCTCAGGTTCAAGCGATTCTCCTGGCTCAGCCTCCCAAGTAGCTGGGATTACAGGTGTGGGCTACCACGCCTGACTAATTTTTTTTTTTTTTTAGTAGAGACGGGGTTTCACCATGTTGGTCAGGCTGGTCTCAAACTCCTGACCTCAGGTGATCCACCCACCTAGGCCTCTCAAAGTGCTGGGATAATAGGCATGAGCCACCTCGCCCAGCCTTTTTTACTACTAACTTTTTAAATAAACTTTCTGTCACAGAGAAATATTTGGGCTTTTGAGCTCAAAGACTATGCTTTGATTTTCCATTTTAACAATGTTTCCAAATGATGTGTGTGTTTTTAGAAGCTTTTTTAGAAGCTTGATTCAAGCAGACTGCTGAGTCTTGAAGTCTTGCGCTTTTCATCCCATTGGATAAACAGAACCAGGCATGTTTTTATATTTCTTTTATTCTCAAATGAAAATGACCTAGTCAATCAACTTCGATATATTCAGACACAAGAATACTTCTTTCGTAGGGTATTCTATTTTCAAGTTTTATACTGTCATAAATTTGGGATTAATATTAAGTTGCAAATTTCAGGTAAAACAGAGTGACAAGGTTTAATGAGCACTACAATTTCAGTGGAATCCTTTTTACTGAGAGTGGGTCCCTGCTCTCATGAGGTCTCTTGATGTAGTAAATTGAAGGGTGTAAACCTAATTGGCTGAGAACCTGTTTGACCCCAAGGCAGACTGCTAATGCGTTCTTTCTGGTGTAACTTTGTACCAAATTTAAGGTTGGTAAGCCTGTTCACCTTTCGAGAAAATAGAGATTTTAATGAGCTGTTAAGTTACCTCTGCCTGAAAGTGGCAAAGGGTCGCCCAACCTTCCATCCCCACAACACTGTATTTTGTTTTGTTTATGCCATTGCTTAGAACAATTATTTTTAAATCACATTTCAGAAGAAGACATAGAGATACGCAGTTATTTGCCTAAGCTTTGAGGAATGCACCTTGAGAAGAATACGTGGGTATGCATTACATTTTGGTTTCCAGAATAATAAAAATTCTGTTATAACTCTCACGAGTCATCTTAGGGATGAGTAGGGACTGTATTACTTTCTAGTTTAATGAAACCTTAAACAGTTAATCCTAATTTATCAATTTATTCAAATTGAGATTTCTAAAAATGTACTTTAGTATCTCCCAAGAAAATGGGAATTTCTGGGGAAATGAATTGCTTCAGTTCTTTCTGAGATCCAGTGAGAGAGCAGAGCATTCCCTGTCACCCTCATCCTTCTAAAGCAATTCCGAGGGAACTCTAAAATGGACTCGTGGCTGCCCCACCCTGCATTTCTACCTGCAATCTCTAAAAGTACTGGTTATGGGCATGCTACAGTTCGGCAGAAAAGACTGACAGCAAAACCACAGAAATTATCCACCTGGTCGATCAATAGCCCAGTTTCTCACACGGTTTCCTTACCAGGAGGATTAGCCATCTACTGGGTATTGAGAGGTTCATGTACTATCTTGCCAGCTTCCAGGAGGGTAATTTATTTGCTAATGACAGTCGCATTCTTTGGTGGCTTTTCCTGCCCGGTTTATCTCCAACAGTTGTGCCTGACAACTCTACACTGGCATTCTTTATATTATAACACCCTAATATTAATATTTATTACACTTGTTCCAAAAGAACCAAGAAGGTATATTCTATTTTTTTCCTCGAAAGACTGTGTTGCCATAGGCTACTCCATAAGTAGCTGAAATAAATAATGGCTGGGGAAGAGATTATTTTCCCCTTACTGCTCATTTCAAATGTTTTTGCCTAAGCACTATTGAGGTGACAAAAACAAAATCTAACACCTGTCCCTCCACCCCTAAAACAGTACTAAAAAGAAAATCGAACCCTTCAACTGGGAGATTCCAGACTATTTTTCAAAGCCAACTGATAGACAACTTAAAAATGATTATGGGTCATCTGAAAAACAGCATGGCACTAATGATATTTAATATCCTTCAGGCAGAGCTTCTGGAATGTCTCAGAAAAATCAGTCACTTAAATATATATATTCAAGATTGTACATATTTTTATATATTTTATTATAGATTTATATAATACAATATTATATATAAATCTGTAATTAAAATCTATTATATAGTATATGAAATATTCATATACATGTATATATACAAAATCTGTAAACCCACTGTTAGAAATTAACAAGATTGAAAAGGATTCAGTTCATTTCTAATAAAATTTCTAATAATACCAAATAATGTGTTCAAAAATACTTATGACAACATTTAGATTACAGGTCCTACAACTAAAATGCTTCCTTTCTCCTCCTAAAATAATGAGAATGATATTCATATGTAGCCCAATAATCAATTAATTATTGCCACATCATGACTTTTTTTTCGATTTTTCATTATATTTAGCAGCTGGCCAAAGACATAATACTACTTTCTTCAGCATAATCTGATGAAAATATGAATTTAAATTTCAGAGTTGACCATGGCAGGGGGGAAGGTAAGAGAAAGGGCAAGGGTAGAAGGTGGCGGAAGAGGGAAGGAGAAGCCCGATGGGGGCAGAGACCTCTGACTTGTTTATTGCTTTATCCCTAAGCATGCAGCATCATGTCTGACACATAGTAGGTGTAAACAGTCACTGTGTGGAATTAATATTTATTGCAACCTGTCAGGCACCAAAGTTTTCACATTTCTTATGGTAGCTAATCCTCTCAAGAGTCCTATGAAATCAGTATTATTATTATCCTTAATTTACAATATCTATATATTGTGCTGACGCAAAGTAACCTACCAATGGCTTAGTATGAAAGGAAAATGAATAGTAAAAATTATGTTCATAATCATCTAGTTTTAACTCATTTCAAATAAAATGAAGAGAGATGACTGGAAGTTATCTCATGACTCATTTCAAATAAAATGAAAAGAGAGATGACCAGTAAGTTATCATATGAGTAAGGGCACATGAGTTTTGCAGATACTCTGTTCAGTGACTGTCATAGGTAACACTGTGAAGCTTTCATAACTAAGCATGATACTAACTCTCGGTGTGTGCTGTATTTTAGGATTCAGAAAGCAACATGGGGAAAGGTGAACCAGGTAGACTGGTATTTAAAAAAATAAAAACACTAAACAGCAGCAACACCTACCGCTATTAGCCATCACGAGCAAGGTGTCAAGTCACTGAATGCAATTCAACTAAATTGAGGAAAAATGGATTACCTTGTGTGTCTATTTTAAAGTTTCAGCTGATCTTGAGAGGAATGAAAAAGGGATTTGCTTGTTTCAATGTATCTCAAACTCATATGCAAATAAAACTCTGATACTGCACTACACATTTATAGTCAAAGACAATACTTTAAGAGGAGTAGCACACAATGCAACTGCAAATGAATGTCACACACACACAAAAATAAGGCAGACAATGTTAAGCTCCAATGAAGAATTTTGGTAATTACAAGCTGTATTGTTAAAAATCACTGTCAAATATGTTTGTCTCCATTGTTTGTGATTCCTCTTAAGATTGAAAACACTCTCCTCCCTGAGGCTCCACCCCCCCTGCCGTTTTATCCTTCTCCACTGCTACTACCACTCATGTGAAATTACTCCGGCGTGTGTGTGTGTGTGTGTGTGTGTGTGTGTCTGTGTCTGTGTCTGTGTCTATACAGGAATGGCAGAATTTGGATGTCTCTCCCCAAAACATTTAAACAAAAAATGAACTCTAGGACAGGACAGGGATTGGTGTTGTTTTTTAATGGGTGGATCTTGAGGAGACCCAGGAATAGGGGCTATATAAATAAGAGACCAGTAGGGTGGCATTTGTTTGTTTATTCAGTAAACAAAAAATTATTGAGTACCCACTAAGATGAGGCACTGTGCTAAGTAGTGGACATCCGGAAAAGTGAAAGACATGAGAGTTGATTGACAGGTATGACAGGAAATTACAGTTCGTTGAAAGGTAAATTTTTGTTTTGAAACCTAAACCCCATAGCTAAATGGATTCAAGAATTTAACAAATATTTATTCAGTTCTGTTGATGATCTTTCCCTTGAAATATTCTTTTGCTAAACTTCATAACACTATATGTTCCTGAAATTATTTCCTTTATGTCTTAGATTCCTTTGCAAGATTTTCATCCTTAGCCTGTTGTTTAAATGTTGGTGTTTCCTAGGGTTCTGGCCTAGGATTTCATTTCTCCTCATTCTAAATACTTCCCCTGGGAATTCACATTCGCTATATGACTTTTAGTATCATTCTTATGATATGGACAACAGACATGATGGCATCAAATTCTGCATGTTCAGATCAAACACCTTCTGAGCTCCAGACTCAAATGAACCTCCCTTAACATTACCACCTGGACATTTCAAAATACCAAAAATTGAACTGATCAACTTCCTCCTATATCACTGAAGAGCACAACTATCTGTGAAGTTGCCGAATCGAGAAACACAAGAATCATTCTTAACTCCTTCCTTTTTACTTCCTAACAACCAATCTCAAAGTTCCATGGACTTTATATTCTAAAACATATTAAGAAGTCACCCACTCCTCTTCATGCTCTCTGCTGCCACCCAATCCAGGTCACCATCATCTCTTGCCGAGAGTCTCACAAATGTCTGCTTAATTGGTCTCCCTGATTTCAATCTTGCCTGCCTCTAATTATTTTTCACGTTACAGCCAGGTATCTATTTAAAATGCAGATTTACCATATTGTTCTCTTATTTCAAACCCTTTTCCAATTTCTCATATACCGAAGGTAAAGTCCAAACTCCTCCACGAGGTCCTTTAGATCTCTGTTTACTTAAAAAATTCTTGTTTTGCTGCCCCTCTCTCAGATGCTACATTCCAACATACTGAACTTTCAGTTCCTTAAACATGAAACTGTGCTCTTTTATCCTAGGCCTTCCCCTATCCTTTCCACTGCTAACTCCTAGTTATCATTCCAACATTGGCTTTCTTTGGGAAGCCTACTTGGATTGCCACCCCACTCCAGTTTAACCTACCTCAATCGTACTTAATTCCCTGTCAGTTCTGCCAACCTACCCTTACCTATGACAAACAAGGACAGATGTTCTTATATGTTCCCACAGTCACTTATACTTTTCCTTTAATATGAATTTTGAGGATTTTATTATAAACACTGATTTTTATAGTCTTCACTAATTATAATATAGAGGGTAAGAAGACATCTAGTACACACAGCTTGCCTTTGTATCCCTAGCACCTAGTACAGTGGTGTGCACAGAATTGGTGCTTGATAAGGGTTTGTTCAATGAGTAAATGGAGTACCTCATTTATAGGAAATTGGAAAGGGTTTAGAGCTAAATAAAATACCCCCTACCCCTAAGGAGAATGACATAAAATGCAGAATATCTGTTATACATAATTATAAGATGATAATGAGTAAATAAAATTGACTCCAATTTGGATACATGAGGATGTGCTAACATTGTAAATTGGAATTAAATATTTAGCTCTCCCTTCTGGGATCATCTAATCCACACTAAACACTTCTGGAAGACAGTTTTATGATTTTCTATTACAGATGAGAAAATAGGCACAGCAAAGTTAATTGAGTTATCCAAGGTTACCCAGTGAACCAGAAACACAGCCAGGTACTATTGTGTCATTGTAGGATTTCAGCCTATATACTTGAATAGTATTCTTCAAACTATCACCTCTGATAATCATATGTGAATATAGAAACTCAGGAATATAGGCACTTTTCCAAGGATTTTCCTCTAGCCTTTAACATTAAAGGCTTTCTGTGATATGCTTCTGGACTCTTGTGCATTCCGAGAGTTCCTTCTTTATTCATAATAGAGTGTTAATATCAGGCACTAGTTACCATTACAAAGTGTCAACATTTAACTCTTCTGCTCTGGGACATCATATTACACATTCTCCAACTATAAATGTCCATAGCTAGTTGGTTGGTGCATTCTATTGCACTGGATGGACATTTCAGTAGAAAATGCTGCCAGTATTTAATAAACATTTGAGAGGCAACACAGGCTATTAAATTTAATGAGATTACTAGTTCCAACATTTGCACTGTGAAAGAAAAAACTACTTGTGCTGCCATTTCAAAAGGCCAGACATATACTCAATAAGTATGTTTATATATGTTATTCTGGGTAAACACAACACACAACCACAATGCCTAAAAAAGACTTTCTCAATATACACATTTAGTGTACAAAGAGCTATGCTTTTTATAACAACAAGCATTGCTGATATTAGTTTCACAGAGATAGGCAGGTCAAGTATACACTTGAGATTCTTCCTAGCCCCAGACTGGACTAACCAATGCTCTTTTTTTTTTTTTATACCTGAATATAGTACAAGATGTTAAAATAATCTAATCTGTACAAAACTGAAGCTAACATGTACCACTTTTACTGGATGTATAAACTATGCTTCCTTTGCATTTTCAGATCAATTATACAATTTTCTCTTAATGGGTATACCATCAGGTAGAAGAATCCCCAATCACAGAACACTTCTCTTGCTCTTTGGACTTTATGTGGCCTATCTTTCATTTGCCAAAAGCAAACATCTTTACCCGTAAAGCACTCAAACCAGCTCATGACATCACTCTCCAGTCTTGCCTTGTAGCTCCAGGCCCATGAAGAACTCTAAATGTCCAAAGTATTTACTGTTCTTAGTCCCCAACCTGACATTAAGTGAATTGGTTCTATCATGGGAATATAACTGATTATGTTTCCCCTAATAAAGACAGACACTTGAGTTACCCATTTGTAAGTTAGCCCAATGTGAAAAGAAGAGAGAACTTCTGTCAGATGCCAACTTCACATCCATTGCTCATATCACAGAAATATCAACTAAAATTCGAGTGGAATCTTTCTAACACCATTTTCCAGCCCAACAAATGTGAATAAACCTGTACTGAATTGAGAGGCTGTACAAGGCAACCTTAAGCTCTATTTATGTGTTAATTGGTTGGTCATTAGTAGATGACACCCATGGGGTCAGAATACTTTTGACTTTCACTTGAAAATGTAGATTCCATGAATTCATCTTCATTCATCAGTCCTGTTTTGAGGGAAATGACTATGAAAGGATACTGCCTTCATTTCCTAATGCTGCAGTTCCTATTATGCTATACCAAGGAATAAAATTTCCTATCAAAAGTAGCATAGAGGCTGATTTGGCTTCCTGCTTTAGATCAGTGCTCTCAGAGACTTCTAAAGGAAGCAAATTCCAACTTTATAGTTCTGACATTGTCCTTGTCACCCTATTTGCTATACCAGTGTGAATGTGACAATAATAAAGGATAAAAGAGTAAAAAACAAATGTTTTCATACCAAGCATGCTTGCCCTATTTAAGAATTTACCTGCAGAGATCCCATTTCTTCATCTTTTCTTTGGGTCTCTTCCAGTAGATCTGTAATAAGAAAGTAAAATACCCATCAAAATACAATGTAAAAACGAGTTGCCTCTTATCATCAAATGCAATTCAGCCAGTAGCTTGTATAAACTGTTGCCTGAGAAGAGAATTTAATGTTTAAGTGTGAGAAGCCATGTAAAAGAAACACGCTCTGATCCCAACTGAGGACATGGCAGAGCGCGGGAGCCTGCCAACTCTAAGCTAGCCAAGAAGCCCTGGGACATCTCTCAGCTTTACCTGACATACCAAAGGATGACATCAAATCAATTAAAAATCTGTAATCATACCAATATTTTAAGAATTTGGTCTCATGCTTATATAACTCAATGCAACACAAAATTTCCTTTAGAAAAAAAGAAAAGCCTTTTTCTTTTGAAAGAAAAATTAAAAACAAACCATTTGCCCTTAAAACAAGCTCCCAAGCCAAGTTCCACCCCTACAGTCAATTTTTATAACCAAATTAAAACACCCTGGAATAATAGGTGTTATTAACTGGAAGTGGAACACCACCTCATCCATAAAGTCTTATTAATTATCATTTCACACTGAGAGGGTGGGATGCATTGAAGCTACATTTGACTAAGAGTTTGGCACCATCCCAGAGAAATTAGTGGTTGGAAGGGAAGGTCGTCAACTGAAGAGAGCTCTGTCTTAATGCATGTATACAGCCATGGTGTCTCAGTGCCCTACATTAATTTATGAACTTGCTATTAAGAAAACATATTTTCTGCCTGCAGCTATACCACCCTGTGCTATGATCTTATTATATCTCACAAACCTAAAGAGGACTAGGCTGAGTCAGAACTTGGATGAAAACTGGCAAAAAACACCTACAGCAGTGTATATTAATATGAGTATTTGCCTTACTCTCTCATTGATATAGCTTACCAAGAGACTATGTTACATAAAAGGAAAATATAAGTTACAGAAGTCTAATATGTATCCCAGAAAGGCAAACTCAAATGTTTTACCAAGTGCTATATTAGATATAGCAGGAAACAGTCATATAGTAGAGTGACAAAGTCATGCTGGTGTGTTGTAACTGGGCAGGCAATACACCAAAATTTCAGGAGACCTGGCAGATGACAGAACTGATTGTGATGACCCTTTGAGGCCGCACAGCTAAGAGGGTTACAGATGAGTGGTAAGCAATCTCCTGAAGACACAACATGCTGGGATTAAGGATAAGAGATTGTTTCTATTCTGTATGCTATAGAGGAACTGACTTTGGCTCCCAAAACCTCCCTTAATCAGGTACGTCAAAAAAGTAAAAAGAGCAGGCCAGTGTTTTGGGGTGTATTTTTAAAGGGGTTTTGATTGGCATATCAGGTTCTGTAGCTATAAGATACAGAAACCAACTTGGTGTATGGAAGATTGTTTAAGTGCCCTCAATCATTCCTCTTCCTGCATCCTCACTCATTTGCATTGTGGCATTGTAGCTACTTCCATCAAGAGGCCATGCACATCTGCTTCACTTCTTGCATCTGGGCTGGCCTCCTGACTTGATTTGGTGAATAGAATATAGCTGAAGTAACTCTGTTTCAGTCCAGACTGAGGCTTTAAGAGGCCTCACACATTTCCACTTTTTCACTTGGAACCCTGTCACTGACATCTGAATAGGCCCAGGCCAACCTGCTAGATGACAACAGACACATGGTCTAGGACTCTTCCCACTTCTGTCACCCTGCAGGTTGCCCCAGCTGCCAGCCAGCAAATGCCCAGAAGCAGAGTTGCCCAGTTGATCTAAGGATGACTACAGATGACTGAGATGGGAGCCCAACTAAGACCAGACAAACTACCCAGCTGAGCCCAGTGTCAACTCCAATTCACAGAACCAGGAGCTAAATAAATGGAATTTTGGAGTGGTTTGGTACCCGGGACTTGCCAACTGAAAGCAATGAGATGCTATTTGAATAACATGTATTTAGAAATTATTAGAAGGATATAGAGATAACTAATAGATGCACTGGAAAAGAGGATCCCAAATCTGAAGGCAATAACAACTAGAGCAGGTCTGGATGGGACGAGATATAGGTAGCATGAGCTAATAAGCATTTTATTCTGGGCTCCTCTAAACTTTATGTCATTCCACTCAAGATGAAACTTCATAAAGAGAACAGCTACTGAGCCTAGCTTAGATCTCTTGCCTACTGCTTGGCTAGGGGAAAGTATGGAGTACTTTCATTGTTAATCCCAAAAGGATTGGACTAAGAATAGAAAGAATAGTTTCCAAATGCAAAATTAGGGTTAGAGAAGGAAGGATGGACATCAGACAGGCCAAAACAACAGATTTCTACACCATCTGGTTTCAGTTAACTGTGTCCTTACCCCAATTCTCTTCAATATTTGTGAGATATAAGATCACTCCTGTGTTCCTATGAGGATGTGGCTACTTAGCTCCATTACTTCTGGATATTAGGAGGTTCTCAGAGCTGGGCACTTTGTAATGAATTAGATTGTTTAATGGTGCAGTGTAACTGGAGTGATACATAGTGGGGTTCATCAACCACAAAAGAAAACTAATCTTGTTCCTCCAGAGTCAACTTAGTATGGCAAGTCCAAACTCCTTAGATAAAACTTACTGGATCAATAATGAGTGTCAGATCTTTTATGCAGCCAAACACAACTCACTCATCTGATAAAATATAGAAGGAAAGAAGTCCAGTCTACTCACAGAACTTCATAAAATTATAGGAACTTTAAAATTATGTTCTCAGTTTTCTCCAAATACATACGGGTCATACTACTCTTCCAACAAATCTGATGCCAATGACAATGCTTGACTTGGGATGGCTGAATAAAAACAACCGAAGAATTCCTAGAATTTTAAATTTTAAATAAATATTCTCCCTGACTGACCATCTTGTATAAAGGGTATAAGCAGACACCTGTTTTGGTTTTTATTTTTTTTTTCTTTGTGCCACATATCTTCCCTTTGAGAACTCCTGTTCCTCTTTTCCACATGATTTCCATGAAACTTTTGGTCAAGAGGCCTAACTAACCTTTCCTGCTGCAGAAGCAGGTCATGGCCCAGGCTAGCAAGTCAGAGCATCTTATCCCCCTGAGCATATGAGCTAAGCAACACCAGAGGTGTCCTTTTAGAGGATTAATGTGAATGCCAGGAAATAAATTTTCTCCTTCTGAAGCCACACCTTATATTAGCCTGGTGTTTCGAAGTCTGTATTTTCTACTATGTTGAAGAAACTTATTAAGCAATGAGGCTGGCAAAGAAGAAATGAGAGCCAAGAAAGAGAGAATTGCTTGAGGACTACATCCACCCTTGACTGAAGCCCACAAACCTCCTGGACTTCCAATACATAATTCTTCCTCTATTCTTTTTCTTAAATTAGCTTTTGTTGGATTACTGCCATTTTTAAAAGTCTCCAGGGATGTAGTTGTATTGAACCTTCTTATCTCTATTCAGAAACCTAGAAGAACTTTCTAGTCCACCTTAAAATGTTTCATCCTACAACAAATATATGAAGACATGAGACTCAAAGAAATGCAAATGGTTTGGCTGAGATCACCTAGTTAGTACAAAGCCACTTCTACAGCTTTGCTCTCCTATCATCCTGCTCTGTCTAATCATGCTCTCATTTGTACCTCTCAATACTTAATTGCACCCTTCTTCATACTGATTTAAAAATAAAATACACACTTGTCTGTATTCTTCTGACCTGCTTTAAAAGTTCCCTGAATCAGGGCGTCCGTGACATTTTTTTTTTTTTTTTTTTTTTGTTTGACAGCGTCTCATCCGATGCCCAGACTGGAGTGCAGTGGCGCCATCTCGGCTCACTGAAACCTCCACCTCCTGGGTTCAAGCGATTCTCCTGCCTCAGCCTCCTCAGTAGCTGGATTACAGGTGCCAGCCAGCACGCCTGGCTACTTTTTACATTTTCAGTAGAGACGGGGTTTTACCATGTTAGATGGGCTGGTCTTGAACTCCTGACCTCAAGTGATCCGCCCGCCTCGGCCTCCCAAAGTGCTGAGATTACAGGTGTGAGCCACTGCCTCTGGCCCATCCATATTTTACATCCATGTTCTCCTTAACTACTGCCTTTCTATCTTTGATATTTAACTTATATCCCCAAAATTGCTCACTCCACCCACACCATTGCTGTATGCCACTGCTCACTCGTTAGGTGCATTGTTCAAGCACATGCATTTGGAATGATGAACACGGTTATTAACCTGTGCTGATGAAATATGGCTACTGGGCATCGCTGAGAAGCACCACTCTATGCAAACAGACAAAACACAAGAGAATATAGGTGAGACCCCTAGATAGTTAAAGTGACTTAATACTGTGATAACAGCGTGATTAGTATCTTTCATTATAATGAACAATCTTGTTGTTTGTTCTTATCAGCATGGAAAGAGCTGAAGGGCTGCTCTGCTCTTCTTATCAGCATTGAAAGAGCTGAAGGTCTGCTCTACTCTTCTTATCAGCATGGAAAGAGCTAAAGGGCTGCTCTGCTCCCTTGCTCACCACTGACATGTTCGTGTTTTCTTTTATTACTCTCTGGTTTGCTGTTCCATACAAATAGCAACTCAACTACCATGTAAATTGCTGTGGTGAAATTTGCTTCCATCAACATTAGTTAATGAAAGATCTTTGGTAAAAAGGGCAGCAGCCCTGTGTATTTTCCTTGGATTGGTTCCAATTTTTTAAATGAGCTGATACTCACTCATTATGACATAAAGTCATTAGAGGGAGAAAAAGCCATATAAAAAAGCAGAACATCATGGATGAGAATTGGATGATCCAGCTGTCCTGTTTTGTTTTGTTTCTGCTTTACATTTCTCTGGAACACTTAGGGTTAATATATCACGACCAAGTTTTTGGCTAAGATAGTTTTATATCTCTTCCTCTGCAGTCTTTGCAACCAGTGATCTGGCTGTTTAAGGAGGTTTGACACTTTTTAATGTTGATTTTGGTTTCTGGTAGCCAAGAAGCAGATAGATTGTTTGTTTATTTTTCAAAGGTGAGTCATGTCCAGGTGTGTATGAGCAATTACACCCATCTAGTAACTTGAACCTTCCTAGGGAGACTGAAGATCAAATTGAGAAATGACTATATTTTTCTTTAACCATTCCTATAAAATGCCTCATCCATATTACAACTAAGCCCAACTGATAATGGAGAGAAAGTTATAGAAACAGAGGCTTCTGACACAGCAACATTTATAACAACAGCACTGGACAGAGTAACATTGGCAGCAGAATATGTTGAGTTACTGATTGCAGTTTAGAGAAAAGCATTTAGCTCTGGCTCTTGTAACTTACTATAATTCAGTGCTCCTGTCCAGTGTTACTCTGTGTGTCTCGACATTTACCAAACACAATAGATAATGCAAATTCTCAAAATAATTCAATATTTTATTAAAAAGTAAATTTATGATATTTCTATTTGTGAACAGATTCATATATTTAAATATATTCATATATTTGATTCATAATTTCATATAACAAAATTCATCAGATAAAGCAGCACATTACAACCCTTATGAGCCTATAAATGATGGACTTAGCCTTCTATTATTCCATTCCAGATACTCAAGACATTAGCTACATGCCAGAGATAACGGGTCAGTTTCTCTTTTTCTTCCTTAGCTACCCAGTTATTGGAATCATTGACATTTTAGAGACAAGAGAACACAGAAATAATCTAATCCTAGGGTTGCTTTTTTTTTTCCTAAAGAAGTACAATTCTGTCTTATAAGGGAAATCATATATACTTTCTAATGTAAATTATAAATAGGTAATTTAAAAAGCTGAGAAGGAGCTGCTTTTAAGGAAACAGAAGTGGAGGGCCTGGGGGCCAGCCCACCAAGCTCCTTCCTATCCTTGGGCAGACCCCTGTGGTGGCATGGTGAAGCTGCAAAGCTCCAAATTATCCTCACTGAAAGCTACTGATCTAATCTAGTGTCCTGGGGTTACACAGTGGAGGACTGAGTTCCGAGATCAAATGCCTCTGTCAATGTCACATAGCTAGTTAATGGTGTATCAATCTGAGCCCAGGGCTTTTGAATTGGACCAGGGTCCAGTACTTTTTTTTTCTTTACACAAAAGTGACTGCCCTGCTTTGACTTTCAAGATTTGTATTGAAATGACACAGTATTCCAATGCCTATATATTTTCTAATGCCTCTCCAAACAGAAACAAAAGAAAACTTCATTAAAGCACTTGTGTAACATCGACAATCTGTGGGAAGACCCACAGTTACCAACTGTCCACGTTAAAATTCCTCAGTTTTGGGAGATGACGTCCAAAAATATGGCTATGATGGAAAGCAAATACCTAGACACTTGAGAAGGCAGTTGTTTCAGCAAGATATATTCAATATACAGCACACAGAAGATTTCACAAAATCAAACAGCAACACAAAATCTGTTTCAATGAATGACAGTTTCTCAGCTTAATATAACATTTACCAGCAAACATTTTTCCTATTTTATTATACTAGTAAAGAAAAATTGAATAAAGGTATAACAATATGACTATATTAGCTCAAATACCTAAACAACAATCAAATGTGTTGGGCTTTCAGTTAATATATGTAAAACATTTAAAATAGTGCTTGGTATATAAGAAGCATTATATACGTATTAGCTCTCAGTATTTTTTTTTTAAATCACCCTTAAATATCTCTGCTAAAATCAGGAAAATGTGCAAAACAAACAGTTGTAATTTAAAACAAACAAACAAAAAAGGCCTATTAGTAAACTGCTTTTAGACATCATCCATTATAAGTAGCTACATTATTTAGAACTCTGCCATATCTACTGCCACCCACTGGTACATATCTGGATATACCGCAATGAGTTAAGAGTTTTCTCATCCGGCCTTACCACAGAAAACACACAGGTTAAAATGAAGAACAACATTCAAAAAGTATGGCTATCCCTTGTGGTTTGTCTCAGACACTGAAACAACATGCTGGTCTACAGATGGAGCCCAATTGGTCCAATAAATGAAAGGTTTACAGTTCACTGTCTGTCTTGGGTATGTGGTAAAACATCCAAATACAGGTACTCATGTTTTTCTTTGATGTTAATTCATTTCTGGTGAAACTTTCCACTTCGACAACCTTAGAGATTTAAAACCACTTGCCACAAAACTGTCACAGTACAGAAAATAGCATAATAATCTACCCCATTCCACCTCATGCTTGAGTCTGGCACTGAGAAACATCCTGATATAGAATGAAAGTTCTGACTCAGTCAACTATTAAGTTTTCTGTCATTTCTATTGGTAACATGAGCAGAGAAAGTAAGAACATATTCAGTAGGAAACACATCACTGTTCTAAATTGGCCTATGGGCTGTCTTGGCCAAAATGAGAAAGAGAAGTTTATGATCCATTGTAAACATTATTTCAAGAATAAGTTTCATATGCTGAAATCCAGGCATAAAATCATTTTTCTCCCCACATGTACTCTGCATTACACTCACATAATGGGAAGTTTGCTTTCATTTAAATTAATTGGGCTGGGAGAAAGTTTATCCTATGCTCTGTTCTTGTTCTAGACTCATAAGGTCAACTGGGTATACATTTTGGGGCTCAGAGAAGTGCTGGGTATTTGACTTACTCTTTGATCACCTCTTCTTTACAGAAGCTACAAAAGTTTGTGCTGGTTTCTTGAGGTACCTACTACTGAACCAGATCTACGCTTCTTAGGCCTTGTAGATTCCTGGGTCTACTCTAGATCAAAATGAAATTTGAAATTTTTAGTGAATTTTTTTTCTAGTTTCTGCAATTCTTACATTCTAAGAGTAAAACAGACCTCAGAAGTGGAATAATGGTATGATATAGATCAGTGATGTGCACTTAGTTACAGAGTACAGCTCAATGTCAAACACCAACTGTTTCCTCTGGCAATCCACACACAGACAGTACGTACCCATGTATTTATATCTGGTACATCACAATGTAAATATATCCTGGGCTTAAATAGAGACATTTTATTTCAACTTATTCCTCATAAATATCAGTATTTCCTACCAAATTTGGCCTAGTATGTTGATATATTCTCTCAGGGAAGTAAATGATTAGAGATAGTTTTAAGGTATATATGATATACATACAAAACTTTTGACAGTAAAGGAGATACAACTGAAAATTTTGAAAAATTTTGAAATTTAAATCTTCAGTTTTAAACTTGATTGGTCAACAAATCTTAAACTACTAAAAGAAGTCCAAGTTCAGACATATGGTGTTTAATTGTTGCCCCATCCCCTCCCCACTTTGAGGCCATTTTAAAGACGAATTATTACAGCTCAGCTCTATTCAAAGTGTTTGCATCTTACAAATCCTTTCCTTAAAAACTTAATGTTAAGATTTTTACATAAAAACATTATGTTTTCATTCAGTGAGCTTTTAAAAAAAGCATGGGACTTTCACTAAATTTTAGAAATATTTTTGCTAAACCTCCAGGTGGGCAAATGGCTTCAATCCTCTTTGTCTCAGTCTCCTCATCCACAAAGCTTCAAAACACATTGAGTGTTATCTCACTTCATGAAGTAGCCATGAGGAAGAAAATGGGATAAGAAAGAAAGTGGGAATTAAGGTAGTTAATCAGATATCTTTAATATAAAGATTATCCTTAATTACCCATGTGGGTCCAATGTAATCAGAAGACACTGTGAAAAAGACTCAAGTGGTCCTTACTGATTTTGAATATAGAGGAAGGGAAGCATGAGCCAAGGGATGAAGGAAACCTCTAGAAGCTGGAAAAGGCAAGAAAACAGACTCTTCAAGAGCCTTCAGAGAATAAGGCAGCCCAGCTGACATCTTGATTTTAGCACAGTGAGATCCATTTTCATTCCTGACCTCCAGAGGTATGTTATTTTAAGCCACTAAATTTGTGGTAATTCTTTATAGCATTAATAGAAAACTAACACACCTTAGAACTTTCATTAAGTAATAAATTCAACTCTAAGAAAATTTAAGGGTTCATAACATCTACCCTCAATTCTGGTATCTGGTAATCAAAATGTACTATACATGGTATATGGTATGCCACATTCAATGAAAGCCTTGTGAAGAAACCTGTGATTAGGTAGGAACAGTGAAGAGGAGGTCTTTCATGGCAAAACTTGAATGTAACATGTCATAAGCTGTGACTCCAAAATTGTTAGTTTCCTCAGTGAAAGAGTCATGCACACCTGCGTTTAGCTCCTCAAAAATTTCTTACTGAGTTGCCTAAAATTATCCCCACTTCGCACCTATGCTGGAGTGTAATTATGTAGACCAACCTATAAAGTTTAGTCATCCCTATAAAAGGCATGTGCTGATATTAACATTCAAGGTACAGTTTGGTATGTAATACCCCAAGGGTAAGAACTGTTTACCACTATATCCTCAGTGCCTGGCAAATACTATTTCTCTAAGTATTTTTAAAATAATGACAACATCTATAAGAAACTAGTTAATAACTCTCTGACATGCAATATGATGTCATTTACCAGAATGTAGATGCCAATAAATTAGTTTAATATTATACCTTATTAAATTTTTTTCTGGACTGAATTTGAAAATTCAGGTAACAAGCGTTTTACAATTCTCCTTCACACAGTGGAAAATAATGCCAACTCAGGAATCCGCTTCACATATAAAGAGCAAGTCCAGAAAGATACCCAGTGAGTAGGCAGTAATGAGACACAAGAATGATCACCTGCAGCATGGCTTAGAGTAAATCTGTGTTGTACTGAAACAAGGACATGAATCCTCACAGAACTGGGTATTCATCTTGAAATGGCAAGCATGTGTTTACACACCTGAAAATTTCCAAATTTTCATAAGAGACGTAACTCTTGGATTGAAGAACCTATGTGAACCCGAAAGAAGATAAATATAAGGAAATCCACATGAAGATGCTTCATAGAGTTCTAAAAACCAAAGGAAAAGAACAAGTCTTGAAAGCAGTAAGACAGAAACAATATCTTACTTACAGGGGGAAACAATTAGAATAATAATAAAATGCTCATTAGAAACCACACAGGCCATTAAAAAAGTCACATTTTTTAAAAATGCTAAAAAACAAAACTGACAACCCAGAATCCTATATCTAGTGAAAATACTGTTTAGGAATAAAGATGAAGGCAAGACATTCCTAGGAAGAAAAATTAAGATAATTTATTGTCATCAGACCTATCCTGAAGAATGACTAAAAGAAATTCTCTAAAAAGAAAGGACATAAGAGAAAGAATATTAGAAGAGGAGAAAAAAAAGAAAGAACACAATCAAAAATACAGGTACATACAATAGATATCTTTTGAATTTTCTAGACTATGTTTGATGGTTGAAGCAAAAATTGTAACAATATCTTATGTGCTCCTAAAAGTATTTAGAGGGAACATTTAAGACTAACAGCGGATCTCTTGGCAGAAACCCTACAAGCCAGAAGAAAGTGGGGGCCAATATTCAACATTCTTAAAGAAAAGAATTTTCAACCCAGAATTTCATATCCAGCCAAACTAAGCTTCATAACTGAAGGAGAAATAAAATCCTTTACAGACAAACAAATGCTGAGAGATTCTGTCACCACCGGGCCAGCCTTGCAAGAGCTCCTGAAGGAAGCACTAAATACGGAAAGGAAAAACCAGTACCAGCCACTGCAAAAACATACCAAATAGTAAAGACCATCAACACTAGGAAGAAACTGCATCAACTAATGGGCAAAATAAACAGCTAGCATCATAATGACAGGATCAAATTCACACATAACAATATTAACCTTAAATGTAAATGGGCTAAATGTCCCAATTAAAAGACACAGACTGGAAAATTGGATAAAGAGTCAAGACCCATCGGTGTGCTGTATTCAGGAGACCCATCTCACGTACAAAGACACACGTAGGCTCAAAATAAAGGGATGGAGGAATATTTACCAAGCAAATGGAAAGAAAAAAAAAAGCAGGGGTTGCAATCCTAGTCTCTGATAAAATAGACTTTAAACCAACAAAGATCAAAAAAGACAAAGAAGGGCATTACATAATGGTAAGGGAATCAATGCAACAAGAGCTAACTATCCTAATTATATATGTACCCAATATAGGAGCACCCAGATCCATAAAGCAAATTCTTAGAGACCTACAAAGAGACATAGACTCCCACACAACAATAGTGGGAGACTTTAACACCCCACTGTCAATACTAGACAGATCAATGAGACAGAAAATTAACAAGGATATTCAGGACTTGAATTCAGCTCTGGACCAAGCAGACCTTACAGACATCTACAGAACTCTCCACTCCAAGTCAACAGAATGTACATTCTTCTTAGTACCACATCACACTATTTCTAAAACTGACCACATAATTGGAAGTAAAACACTCATCAGCAAATGCAAAATAATGGAAATCATAACAAACAGTGTCTCAAACCACAGTGCAATCAAATTAGAACTCAGGATTAAGAAACTCACTCAAAACCGTACAACTACATGGAAACTAAACAACTTGCTCCTGAATGACTACTGGGTAAATAATGAAATTAAGGCTGAAATAAAAAAGTTGTTTGAAACCAATGAGAACAAAGACACAATATACCAGAATCTCTGGGACACAGATAAGCAGTGTTTAGAGGGAAATTTATAGCACTAAATGCCCACAAGAGAAAGCTGGAAAGATCTAAAATTGACACCCTAAGATCACAATTAAAAGAACTAGAGAAGCTGGAGCAAACAAATTCAAAAGCTAGCAGAAGACAAGAAATAACTAAGATCAGAGCAGAACTGAAGGAGACAGAGACATGAAAAACCCTTCAAAAAAATCAATGAATCCAGGAGCTGGTTTTTTGAAAATACTAACAAAATAGACCACTATCCAGATTAATAAGGTAGAAAACAGGGGAGAATCAAATAGACACAATAAAAAATGGTGAAGGGGATATCACCACTGATCCCACACAAATGCAAACTACCATCAGAGAATACTATAAACACCTCTACACAAATAAACTAGAAAATCTACAAGAAATGGATAAATTCCTGGACACATACACCCTCCCAAGACTAAACTAGGAAGAAGCTGAATCCCTGAATAGGCCAATAACAAGTTCTCAAATTGAGGTAGTAATAGCCTACCAACCAAAACAAGCCCAGGACCAGACGGATTCACAGCCGAATTCTACCAGAGGTACAAAGAGGAGCTGGTACCATTCCTTCTGAAACTATTCCAAACAATAGAAAAAGAGGGAATCCTCCGTAACTTATTTTATGAGGCCAGCACCATCCTGATACGAAAACCAGGCGGAGACACAACAAAAAAAGAAAATTTCAGGTCAATATCCCTGAAGAACATTGCAAAAATCCTAAATAAAATAAATACTGGCAAACCGAATCCAGCAGCACATCAATAAGCTTATCCATAATCATCCAGTCGGCTTCAACCCTGGGATGCAAGGCTGGTTCAGCATACACAAATCAATAAATGTAATCATTATGTAAATAGAACCAACAACAAAAGCCACATGATTATCTCAATAGATGCAGAAAAGGACTTCGACAAAATTCAACAGTGCTTCATGCTAAAAACTCTCAATAAACTAGGTATTGAGGGAACATATCTCAAAATAATAAGAACTATTTATGACAAACCCACAGACAATATCATACTGAATGGGCAAAAACTGGAAGCATTCCCTTTGAAAACTGGCACAAGACAAGGATGCCCTCTCTCACCACTCCTATTCAACATAGTATTGGAAGTTCTGGCCAGGGCAATCAGGCAAGAGAATACCAGAAATAAATGGTATTCAAACAGGAAGAGAGGAAGTCAAATTGTCTCTGTTTGCAGATGACATGATTGTTTATTTAAAAAAAACCCTGTTGTCGGCCGGGTGAGGTGGCTCACACCTGTAATCCCTGCCACTGAGGAGGGCAGATCACAAGGTCAGGAGATCGAGACCATCTTGGCTAACATGGTGAAACCCCATCTCTACTAAAGAAAACACAAAAAAATTAGCCAGGCATGGTGGAAGGCGCCTGTAGTCCCAGCTACTCGGGTGACTGAGGCAGGAGAATGGTGTGAACCCAGGAGGCGGAGCTTGCAGTGAGCCCAGATCATGCCACTGCACTTGCACTCCAGCCTGGGTGACAGAGCAAGACTCCATCTCAAAAAAAAAAAAAAAAAAAGAAAACCCCATCTTCTCAGCCCCAAATCTCCTTAAGCTGATAAGCAACTTCAGCAAAGTCTCAGGATACAAAATCAATATGCAAAAATCACAAGCATTCCTATACACCAATAATAGACAAACGGAGAGCCAAATCATGAGAGAACTCTCATTCACAATTGCTACAAAGAGAATAAAATATCTAGGAATACAACTTACAAGGGATGTGAAGGACCTCTTCAAGGAGAACTACAAACCACTGCTCAAGGAAATAAGAGAGGACACAAACAAATGGAAAAACATTCCATGCTCATGAATAGGAAGAATTAATATTGTGAAAATGGCCATACTGCCCGAAGTAATTTATAGATTCAGTGCTATCCCCATCATGCTACCATTGACTTTCTTCACAGAGTTAGAAAAACTACTTTAAATTTCATATGGAACCAAAATATAACTCATATAGCCAAGACAATCCTAAGCAAAAAGAACAAAGTGGGAGGCATCACGCTACCTGACTTCAAACTATACTACAAGGCTACATTAACCAAAACAACGTGATACTGGTACCAACACAGATATATAGACAAATGGAACAGAACAGAGGCCTCAGAAATAACTCCACACATCTACAACCATTTCACCTTTGACAAACAGGACAAAAACAGGCAATGGGGAAAGGATTCCCTATTTAATAAATGGTGTTGGGGTAACTGGCTAGCCATATGCAGAAAACTGAAACTGGACCCCTTCCTTACACATTATACAAAAATTAACTCCAGATGAATTAAAGACTTAAACATAAGACCTAAAACCATAAAAACCCTAGAAGAAAACCTAGGCAATACCATTCAGGACATAGGCATGGGCAAAGACTTCATGACTAAAACACCAAAAGCAATGGCAACAAAAGCCAAAATTGATAAATGGGATCTAATTAAACTAAGAGCTTCTGCACAGCAAAAGGAACTATCATCAGAGTGAACAGGCAACATACAGAATGGGAGAACATTTTTGCAATCTCTCCATCTGACAAAGGGCTAGTATCCAGAATCTACAAGGAACTTAAACAAATTTATAAGAAAAAAACAAACAACCCCATCAAAAAGTGGGCGAAGGATATGAACAGACACTTCTCAAAGGAAGACATTTATGCAGCCAACAAATATATGAAAAAAAGCTCATCATCACTGGTCATTAGAGAAATGCAAATCAAAACCACAATGAGATACCCATCTCACACCAGTTAGAATGGCAATCATTAAAAAGTCAGGAAACAACAGATCCTGGAGAGGATGTGCAGAAATAGGAACACTTTTACACTGTTGGTGGGAGTGTAAATCTAGTTCAACCATTGTGGAAGACAGTGTGGCAATTCCTCAAGGATCTAGAACCAGAAATATCATTTGACCCAGCAATCCCATTACTGGGTATAAACTCAAAGGATTATAAATCATTCTACTGTTAAAACACATGCACACATGTGTTTATTGCAGCACTATTCACAATAGCAAAGACTTGGAACCAACCCAAATGCCCATCAATGATAGACTAGATAAAGAAAATGTGGCACATACACACATGGAATACTATGCAGCCATAAAAAGGATGAGTTCATGTCTTTGCAGGGACATGGATGAAGTGGGAAACCATCATTCTCAGCAAACTAACACAGGAATGGAAAACCAAACACCGTGTGTTCTCACTCATAAGTTGGAGTTGAACAATGAGAACACATGGACACAGAGAGGGGAACATCACATACTGGGGCCTGTCAGGGGGTGGGAGGACTAGGGGAAGGATAGCATTAGGAGAAATAACTAATGTAGATGATGGGTTGATGGGTGCAGCAAACCACCATGGCACCTGTATACCTATATAACAAACCTGCATGTTCTTCACATGTATCCCAGAATTTAAAGTACAATTAAAAAAATTAATAAACAGGAAGGGTAAAAAATATAAACAGAGAAAGTTTCTGTTTCAATTTGATGATATGGTGGTATCACATAGACTGATAAGCCAGGTGCATATAATACCCAGAGGAACTACTGAAAGCTTACACAAAGAGTTTTACTCAAAAACACATGATAAATCAAAATGTAATTCTAAAGACTATTCAAATAACCCAAAGGAAGGAAGGCATATTAGTCTGTTCTCACACTGCTAATAAATACATACCTGAGACTGGGTAATTTATAAAGAAAGAGGTTTAATGAACTCACAGTTCCACATGGCTGGGGAGGCCTCACAATCATGGCAGAAGGCAAGGAGGAGCAAAGTCACGTCTTACACGGCAGCAGGCAAGAGAGTTTGTGTAGGGGAACTCCCCTTATAAAACCATCGGATCTCATGAGACTTATTCACTATCACCAGAACAGCATGGGAAAGACCTGCCCCCATGATTTAATTATCTCTCACCGTGTCCCTCCCAGAACAAATGGAAATTATGGAAGCTACAATTCAAGGTGAGATTTGGGTGGGGACAGAGCCAAACCATATCAGCAGGGAAAAAAAAAAAAAAAAAAGAGGCAGAGGAGAGAAAATACAGAACATAGACAGAAAAAAAGGCAGACTTAAATCCTAACACATCAGTAATTATATTACATAAAAATGGTTTAAATATACCAATTAAAAGACGGAGATCGTTAGAGTGAATTAAAGAACATGGCCCGATGTTATGCTATCTACAGAAAACTCACCTAAAGTGTAATGATATAGGTTAGGTATTATATCGTGAAAGTAAAAATATATCATGCAAATATTAGATCAAATTCAAAATTAGAGTTAGAAATCCCAATATCACTCTCTCAAAAATTGACAGAAAAACTTGACAGAAAACCATCAAGAATATGTAGAAGCATAAATATAACAAAAAAACCTATAAATAGAAACTAAATAAACCCTTCTAAATAATCCATGAGTCAAAGAAAAGTTCTCAAGGGAGGTTTAAAAATACCAGGAATTGGATAAAAATGAAAACAGCTAGGCACAGTGGCTCATGCCTGTGATCCCAGAGCTTTGGGAGGCTGAGGCAAGAGGATCACTTGAGCCCGGAAGGTTGAGACCAGCCTGGGAAACACAGTGAGATCCCTTCTCTATAAAAATTTGTAAAAATGATTAGCTGGGTGTAGTGGCTTGCACCTATAGTCCTAGCTACTTGGGAGGCTGAGGCAGAAGGATCACTTCACT
Source organism: Homo sapiens (assembly GCF_000001405.40). NCBI lineage: Eukaryota > Metazoa > Chordata > Mammalia > Primates > Hominidae > Homo > Homo sapiens. The sequence continues at coordinate 80,596,736 of NC_000014.9, forward strand.
TGAGCCCAGGAGTTGGTGGCTATGTTCTCAGTGAGCTGGTTGGGCCATTGCACTCTAGTCTGAGTAACAGTGAGACACTGTCACAAAAAAAAAAAAAAAAAAAAAAAGGTGGGGGGGGGAGGAAAAGAAAAAGAAAATATCACAAAAATGTCATATATCAAAATTTGTAGGACAAAGCTGATGCAGTTCTGAGAGGAAAATTTATGAAACTAAATGCATGCATTTGAAAAGAGGAAAAGTCTCAAATGAATACCCTATGCTCCCACCTCAAGAACCTTAAAAAAAAACAAAAAACCAGCAAGCAGAAGTAATAAAGATAAGAACAAAAATCAATGAAATTGAGAACAGGAGACAATAGAGAACAAGAGGGAAAAAAAAGTCAATGAAACAATGAGCTGGTTCCTTACAAAGTTCAATAAAATTGACAAACCTTTACCAAGATTGACAGAGAAAGAGAGACGGGGCAGGGAACAAGGGAGGGTGAAGAGAAAACACAATTACCAACGTTAGGAATGAAGATATTCCTATAGGTCCTGCTGATATGAGAAGGATTTTAAGGGAAGACTGCAAACAACCTTACAAACATAAATTTGATAATTTAGAAGATATGGAACACAAAGTACCATAACTTACCCAATGTAAAATACCTAATTTAAATAGCCTTGTAACTATTCAGAACAATAGATGTGTAATTTTAAAACTTGCAGAACAAAAATCTCCAGGTCCAATGGTTTCACTAATAACTTTTACCAAATGTTCAAAGAAGAATTGGTACCAGTTTATACAATTTCTTTCAGAAAACAGAAGAAAATGAAATATTTCCCATTTATTTTATTTAGCCTATTTCAATACCAAAAACAATAGACAATTGTCCCTCAAAAAAACAAAGAAAGAAAGAAAAGAAAGAAAAGAAAAAAAAAAACCGCAGCTTTCTCCTGAGCATAGAAAACACATCTTTTTTAAATAATTAGCAAATAGAATTTAGCAACTTATAATAAGAATTATGTAACATGACCATGTTGCACTTATTCTAGGGATACAAAGTTGGTTCAGTATTTGAAAATCAATGTAATCCATTATCTTAACAGGCTGAAGATAAACAAAAATCACAGGATCATATCAATCAATGAATAACAAGTATTTGACAAAATTCATTGACCATTTATGATAAAAATAAACTCAGAAAAAGGAACTAGAAGGGAATTCCTCAGCTACAAAAAAAAAAAAAAAAAAAACAAAACCCTATGGCTAGCATTATGCTAAATGGTGAAAGACTGAAATGTTTTCCATTTAAGATGAGAAATAAGACAAGAATACCTACTCTCACAATTCTTATTCATCATAGTACAGGAAGTTCTATAATACAATGAAGAAAAGAAAATAAAGGCATAGAGATTGGAAGCAAAGAAAAAAAGTGTCCGTATTTGCAGATAGCATGGTTGTCATCATGAAAAAAAATCCCAAAGAATCTACAAAACAAAACAACAATAAAAGCCCACCTCAAACAACCAACAAGTGAATTCAGCAAGGTCACAAAATACAAGATAAATATACAAAAATCTATTATATTTCTATACATTAGGAGTGAATGTGTAGACATCAAAATTTAAAATTATTATACCATTTAAAATCACTCCATTTGAAAAGACTCAAAAATGAAATAAGTATAAATTTAACAAAACATGTAAAGAATTTGTTTGCAGAAAACAAAACACTGTCATGAAAGAAATTAAAGGAGACATAAACAAATTATAAGACGTACTGTATTCATGGATTAGAAGACTCACATAGTAAAGACGTCAGTTCTCTCCAAACTAATATGCAAGTTCCATACAATTTCTATCAAAATACAGCAATACTTTTTTGTAGCTAACAACAAGATTATTCTTAAGTCTATATGGAAAGGAAAAGGAACTCGAATAAGTAAAACAATTTTTAAAAATTAAGAATAAATTGGAAGAAATAAGTATACCCAATTTCTAGAGTTATTATGGAGTTAGAGTATCAAGACTGTGGTTTTGGTGGAGGGATATGCTCATAGCTCAATAGAACAGAATAGAAAAGTAATTGAACAGAATAGAAAATCCAAATTATAGAAATGGAGAACAGATTAGTGACTGCCAGGGTTTAAGAATGGAATGAGGGTGGAAGAGAAGTGGATGTGGCTATAAAAAATATAAAAACATGGTAGATCTTCATGTTGATGGAAATGTTCTATATCTTGACAATATCAGTGTCAGTACCCTGGTTGTGATAATGTACAATGATTTTATAAGATATTTCCACTGAAGGAGAATAGGTAAAATGATCTTTATGTATTATACGATCTCTCTTATTATTTCTTACTTCATGTGAATCTAACAATAACATCACAAGTTTAATTTAAAAATTCAGAAGTATTTTGGGCACAATGACAGATAATGGATCTTAAATTTTAATTGGTTAATTAATTCCTCTTTGAGGTTAACACCTCAACACTTGCCCTTCCTTGTGCAGTTCACTGCATCTACCCTAGTACACAGTCATATTCTTTTTTTTTTTTTTTTTTTTTTTTTGAGACGGAGTCTCGCTCTGTCACCCAGGCTGGAGTGCAGCGGCTTGATCTCGGCTCACCGCAAGCTCTGCCTCCCAGGTTCACGCCATTCTCCTGCCTCAGCCTCCTGAGTAGCTGGGATGACAGGCACCCGCCACCACGCCCGGCTAATTTTTTTTGTATTTTTTAGTAGAGACGGGGTTTCACCATGTTAGCCAGGATGGTCTCAATCTCCTGACCTCGTGATCCACCCGCCTTAGCCTCCCAAAGTGCTGGGATTACAGGCATGAGCCACTGCGCCCGGCTGAGTCATATTCTTTTTTCTAGACTACTGCAGTTATCCATATTTCTAAAGCAAAGTATATAGTTAGACACTGTACTACTTTAAAAAAGAAAGAAAAAAAAACTTGGTCATACTAGAAAGCCCCGATGTTAGAATTAATACTCAAACACCTTAAATAATTTATTTTAAATATGTACAAAAAAACCTAAAGGAAATCATACCCAAAGAACTGAGGAAAAGTATGAGAATGATGTCTTGCAAAATGGAAAATTTTAATAAAGAGATCTAAAAAATAACCAAGTAGAAATACTGGATTGAAAAGTAGAGAAACTGAAATTTAAAAATAATTAAAGAGGCTCAGTAGCAGATTTGAGCAGGCAGAAGAAAAAGCCTGAAGATATCTGTGTTTTCTTTCACATACCATGAAATATAGAGGTAGGAGCTACAGGGGTGGAGCAGAGGCTCTACGATGTCATCAGCACCCCAGATTCATTCTTTTTTGTCATCATGTCATCCTCAGAAGACAAGAGACTGAAGAAAAATGAACAGAGACTTAAAAGAGCAGTGGGACACCTTGAAGTATACCAACATATGCAAAATGACACTCCCATAAGGAGAGGAAAAAGAAAGTGGGGAAGAAACATATTTGAAAAGATAATTCCCAAAGGAATTATTTGAAACGTAAAAATTCCCAAATTTGATTAAAAACATTAATTTGCAAAACTGATAAGTTCAATGAACTTCAAATAGGATAAATTCAAAGACATTCACACCTAGATACATCATAATCAAATTCTCAAAAGCTAGAGAAAAAGAGATAATCTTGAAAGCAGTGAGAGAAAAGTGACTTATCACATAGAAGGGTTTTGTATCAGAAATCAAGGCTAGAAGGCAGTGGATTACATATTCGAAGGGATAAACAGAAAAAAGAGAGAGAAAAGAAACTGTCAGTGAAGAACTTTACATGCAGCAAAACTGTCATTCAAAATCACAGAGATATTAACACATTCCCAGGGTCTTTCATGGTGAAATGAAAGTACAGTAGACAATAAGTCAAGTCCACACAAATAAATAAATAGTATCAGTAAAGGTAACTATATAGATAAATATTTTAAAAACAGTATAAATGTATTTTTTCTTTGCTTATTTTAGATGTTTACAAATATCTAAACATAGACAAAAATGTATTTTTTTCTTTGTAACTCCTTTTATTTCCCTACCTGATTTACAAGCCAACTATTTAAAGCAATAATTATAAGTCTGAGTTGATACATATACAGTATATGATATAATCTGTATCACAATAACAATACAAAGGAAATATAAGGTAACAGAATTACGGAAGAGCAAAAAAATTGTATGCTATTGAAATTAACTTGATATTAATCCAAACTAGAATTTTATACATGAAGAAGAAAACTGAAGAATATACATGAAGATGATATATGAAGAAGATTATACATGAAGAAGAAAAATCATTAAGGCAATCCTAGGGCAATCATTAAGAAAAAACTCAAAAATAAAAAAAAAGACAATACTATGCTGGGAAATCTCTATTAAATATTTACATACTTAATACCTAAATATGTATTTAACAAAAGAAAAGGCAATTATAAAGAAATTGAGGGAAAAAAAGACATAAAACAAATACAAACAACTAGCAAAATGGCAGATGTGTTTCCTTGTAAGTATATAAGTCGTGCATTGCTTAATGATAGGGATGTGTTCTGAGAAGTGTGGTGTTCTGAGAAATGCATTTTTAGGCAATTTCCTCATTTTGCAAACATCGTAGAACAGGGGTGTCCAATCTTTTGGCTTCCCTGGGCCACACTGGAAGAAGAATTTTCGTGGGCCACACATAAAATTAACACTAATGACAGCTGAAACAAAACAAAAATCACAAAAAAATCTCATAATGTTTTAAGAAAGTTTACAAATTTTGGGGGGACCACATTCAAAGATGTCCTGGGCCACAGGTTGGACAAGATTGTCATAGAGTATATTTACACAAACCTAGATGGTATAGCCTACTGTACAACTAGGCTATATAGTATAGCCTATTGTTCCTAGGCAATGAACATGTTTGTACAGCACGTTACTGTACAGCATGTTACTATATTGAATACCATAAGCAAATGTAACACAATACTAAGTATTTGTATATTTACAAATATCTAAACATAGAGAAGATAATGCATTGTGCTATGACATTATGATGGCTATGACATCACTAGGCAATAGAAATTTTTCAACTCTGTTATTACCTTATGGGAACACTGTCATATATGCAGTCCATCATTAACCAAAATGTTCTTAAGTGGCACACATAACTGTAATTACATTAAATATAAACTCTCCAGTTAAAAAGTGGAGATTGGCAGATTTATAAATGCATATAATTCAACTTTATGCTATCTATAAGAGAAATAGTTTAGATTCGAAGACAAAAGTAGGTTAAAAAAGGATGAAAACAGTAACCAAAGAGAGCTAGAATAGTTATACTAATATCAAACAATACAGACTTTTAGACAAAACTTGTTCTGAGACAAAGGACATAAAATAATAAAAGGGTCAATCAATCAAGACTATATAACAATTATAAGTATATATGCAAATAACAACAGAGTCTCAAAACACATGACAGAAAAATGGACAGAATTGAGGGTAAAGAATACAACAATAATAGTTGGAGACTGTAACAATACCCCACCTTCAATAATACCCAACTTTCAATATAGGATAGAACAAATAAACATTTGAAGAAAGATCAGCAAGTAATGAGAAGGCCTGAACAACAGTCTAAACCAACTAGACCTAATAGTCATCTATAGAACACTTTACTCAGCAACAGCAGAATACACATTCTCCCCAAAGGCATACATTCTCCAAGACAAACCATATGATAGGCCATCAATAATGTCTAAATAAATTAAAAGGAGGCTGGGCGTGGTGGCTTATGCTTGTAATCCCAGCACTTTGGGAGGCCAAGGTAGGTGGATCACAAGGTCAGGAGATTGAGACCATCCTGGCTAACACCATGAAACTCCGTCTCTTCTAAAAATACAAAAATAATTAGCCAGGCATGGTGGCATGCACCTGTAGTCCTAGCTACTCAGGAGGCTGAGGCAGCAGAATTGCTTGAACCGGGAGGCAGAGGTTGCAGTGAGCCGAGATCGCGCCACTGCATTCCAGCCTGGGTGACAGAGCAAGACTCCGTCTCAAAAAATAAAAATAAAATAAAATAAATTAAAAGGAATGAAATTATACAAAGTATGTCCTCAACACAACAAAATGATTTTAGAAAGTAGTAACAGAAGGAAATTTGGGGAATTCACAAATGCATAGAAATTAAAAAACATACTCCTAAAAATCCTATGGTCAAAGAAGAAATCAAAAGTGAAATTAGAACATACTTTGAGAAAAATGAAAACAAAAACACGACATACTAAAATGTATGGGATACAGTGTGCTTATTAAGGAGGACCAGAAACTTCACTTTCCAAAGGGCTTTTAAACTTAATGGGAGGAAGCAATTCTGCCATTTCTGAATGAGGCCTTTCATTTGTCCTGGCTCTGGAGTGTGGCCTCAGCAAATGAGACAATGGCCTTTCTGGCCAGCAGCATTATTCATGATAGCTGAAAGATGGAAACAACCCAACTGTCCATCAAATGATGAATAGATAAACAAAATGTGGTATTTCCATACTATATTGTATCATTTTATTATATGAAATGGTCAGAACAGGCAAATCCATAGAGACAAAAAGTAGATTTGTGGTTGCCAGAGGCTGGAGGGAGGGATATGGGAGTAACTGTTAATAATTATGAGGTTTCTTTCAGGGCTGATAAAAAATGTTCTGGAATTAGATACTGATAGCTGCATGACCTTGTGAATGAATACACTAAAATGTACACTTTAAAAAGCTGAATTTTATTTTATGTAAATCCTATCCCAGTTTATTTAGAAAACATGGGAAGACCACTATTCCTTTTATAAATGGAATACAGAGCATGGACTCTGGGATCAGTCACATGGGTCTACAATCTTGTCCATCTACTCCTCCTTCCTCCGCTCTAAAATAGACACAATTAATAGCAATCTCTCAATTAATAGCAATTTTCATCATTATTATTTCATCATGCCTGTAAAAAGATATTGCAATTATTATCAATTATGAATATAAATTATGTGTTGGTGATTAGAGAGCCCTGCTTGCCAAGAGAGAAAATAATTGAGTAGAATCCCATACTGCTAGGATAAAGACCATCAATATTCTCTCAGGCATTGTATTCTGCTCCAAAAAGTGAAATTCTATAGTAATATTGCTTCTCCCTCCCCATACCTTGTAAAGTGGAAATTAAGTCCTTTCTTGCTAATTTGAGTATTTAGGAATCAATTCAGTGAAATGTTGTGAAACGATGAAGCTTTTGTTACATCTCAAAATGAATGTTACAGGTAAAAACAAAAAGTTATTACTAAAACTTTCAAAAAAGCAATATTTTCTAGTTCTATACATTCTACTTCTAAAACATCTCCTGAAATTCTCCCCCAAATTATTATAACAGCATCCTGTTGGTGTTTCCTACCAATGTTTCCCTTACAGTGCCCAGAGTCATGAATCTAAAATAGATATGCTCATGTCCCTCTTTGTTCAAAGACATCCTCTGACTTTGAACTGCTTACAGAAATAGATTCCACCTGTGTTGATACAAGTGATTGATTGGTCATGGTTTGCTGAAGTGTATATGGTCAAGTATTCTAGGGATATGCCTGAGCTGAATGAAAAGACATTCTTGAATTCAGTTTTAATATCCTCGATGGATATGGGAATAGAGGAGAAGAATGAAATGTGGCTAGTGTTTCCCATGCTGAGATTAAGGTCAAACTCCTTAGTACATGCTTTATAAAGGATCTGTCAACAAATTTACTTCCAAGAGTATTATCTTCTGTTATCATTGCAACATCTCCTAGCATTATCTGCAATGTCCTTCCTGACCTTCACTACATAGACAATATATAACATTATTCGAATCTCAGCTTAAAACGTATCCTCGGTTAGCTTTTACAAACCATCCCGTGCCCAAACACCACTCATATTCCTGGAGATATTGCTGCTGTTTCTGTTTCCAGATCGCTTTGTTCCTACTTTTATTATAGTATTTATTCTATTACAGTTCATTGTTATGCATTTGGATCTACCACTATATTCAAACTCTTTGGTAAGTACCATGTTCAGGAGATTCTAGTTCAGAATATTGTATATACTTTTTCTGAAAGGTTAGGACTTCTGTTTCAAAAGTAGTTATCTTCTGGCAAAAGTCAGAAGACTCTAGACAGATCTGAAATTCAGATTAAGTTGACAATTAGGACAAAAAAGACAAAACTCATGGCTACACAAACCAGTCAGTAATACTCAAGTTTCTGGACAAGTTTCTACCAAGCCCATTCAAAGTATGCAATATGGTGAAAAACTATCAGAATGGAAGTCAGGAGACCTGGGTTCTCATTCTTTCTCTGCTATTAGTTAGCTAAGTAGATTTTCAAAGATGGAAACTTAATCTTTCTTGGCCATAACGATCCTATCAATAAAAAGTGAGGTTCTATTATCTGCTAAATTATTGCAAAGATCTCCGTAGCTCTGAAATTTTAGGCACTGTATCTTTGTAGGTTGCTGCATGGTCTCTAAGTGTTAGTTGTTGCCTCCTAGTTGAATGGCTCAATGTGTATGAGTAATAATTATTCAGAATTAATATGTATAACAATTATCTCCCTAAAACCTTTTAGGAATCCAAACAGATTCTTAGTTTAAATAATTATTTTTGTTGTTAGGACTGTTTATAGATAATAAAGACATGTGACAAATTCATTCTCGTTCACCTCGAATATCTATCTGTTTTCTTCTACACCCAGGATAAATACACTTTAGATAATTGCAAATCTTCCCTTTTTGTTCTTCAAATCCTCACAATTACAGTAATTCTTCTATATCTTCTTATTCAGACTCTTTTTAAATTCCAAGAACAAATTAAATTACTCTATCATCTGGAAGCAGAAAAAAGAACAAAGTGGATTTTTTCACAAATGGATTACATAACATGAATATTTTCATTTGTCAGATCACTTTCTTTCCTGTCAGTGTCAAGGCAAAAAAAGGCCAAGAATGTCTTCCAAAAGACAGTTTTTCCTCAAACCAGACATCAGACAGACCTTCCAAAGGGCAGTCAAGCATACTAAATCCAGTTCATGAATATGAAGGTTTGGGATTTTAGTGGTTTTAGTCCCTTTCTATTAATGAGAAGTAAAAATGTGTGTCTCATTTAAACAGAAGGGATTCAAAAACTACCCAATTGGTAATAGAAAAATAAAAGTAAACCAAAACAGTTTCCAATAAAATATTATAGTATAAACTTTAAAAAATTATTTATTTTATTTTTATTATAATTTTATCTTTATAAACTATGAAAATTTTTAAATTAGTGTTTTCTTTGGTGTTATGTTCCAATAGCAAATGGTTTTCATGGATAATCTCACGGGTCATTGCTTCTTTTAATTAGTAGCTTTTGCTAAACATAAAAAAATCCTCAAGTAATTTTTAACACTGATTACAACTGCCTAGTCCATTAACAAATTGTCATATTAACACTGGCCACATTGTACAGCTTATCTTTAAAGGCTACTTGTTTCATTTTCATAGATTTTAATTAACTTTTCCTTTCCTATTAGAGTTGACCATTAAGCAGCAACAAAGGTATTTTGCCTTTTTTGCTTCTGGATATGCAGATTTTGACTGAAAAAGAGATCTGGAAAATGCAAAAAATATAGATACCAAATTAGATGGTGGTGAGACTTGTAGATAGAATCAAAGAAGCCAGGCTCTGTAAACACTACCAGCACATTGATTGAATCAATTTCATGTTGCCACAATACTTCTGGAAGTCTGTAAAATTTCCATCAACAGCTTCTCTTATTTGCATTAGCTGGGAACAGTACATATAATCATAACTGACAGGCTAGAGGGAGTTTAGGCTTATGAAACAGAGAAAGGAAAGGAAAATGCTCATTGTTTAGATTCCCTAAAGTAGAAAATGTTATCTTTGTTTGGGAAACAGAATGTACTGTACTTGCAGTCTAATCCCTAAGGTTTAGGAAGGTCTACAAGTTTAGAACAGACCTCAAAGGTTCTCTCAAACAATGACCTCTTTTCCCAACACTTTCATATGTGTGCGTGTGTGTAGAGAGCAGAAAAGCCTGGATCCTGAACACCATGTTATATAATATATAGGTAATGTATATAATATCTGCTCAAATATCACTCTATCCAAAAGGACTTCCCTGATCTAAAATGATCTAAAACAAGACACATACTCTTCCCTTTCATTATTACTCTCTAAACTCTTACCTTGTTTTGATACACACATATATACATATATATACATACATGTACATATATTTTAATACATATATTTATATAACATATATACGATACACACATATACATATATGTACATATATGTGTGCATCGAATATATGTGTTATATAAATATATGTATGAAAATGAGCTACATGTGTTTATCTTTAGAGAAAGCCTTTGATATTGTTAAATGTGTTATGTACATATTTACGTAAATCTATATCATATAGACATATCTAAAGACAAATACATATAACTCATTTTCAAAATAAGTATGTACTCTAAATAGGTATAAATTGATAAAGACTGAAGCTACATAATAAATATGACCAATTAGTGGGTAACCAAAATACACAAAAAAAGAGAGAGGAAGGAGATGGAGTGAGAAACAAAAGCGAATGTAAAATTAGTAAGAATAATTCAAAAGAAAATATAGGCTGAATTCCAAGAGAAAGACCCCTTTTGGACACAATTTATAAACCTTCATCTTTCAAGGGAAGACTTTAAAGTGTTCACATGCACAAAGCTGGACTGACCATCTACCCTAGGTGTGTTACAATAAATGTAAAAGTCTTGCAAGTTCCTTCACCAAATTCTACATGGATCAAGATACTGTTAATCTTTCAGAGAAGCATTCTGCAACTTAACAAAGTTGGGCATAGTTCCAAAAAGCTTTCAGGAACTTCAGAGTAAGAACACTTAGGTCTAGTATGGCAGGAGCAGGCAAGTTTGAAAAGAAAGGAAGACTCTTTCACAGGCCTAGCTTCTTCTCAAATTTACCAGTAGAAAAGGCTATGGAGCATCAACTAACTTTTTAACTAATAGACTTTCAACACCATTACTTTTTATAGATTATACAATAGCTTCCCCCACCTTCTCCTAAAGTCGATTTCAGTTTTAAGTCCTACCCTCAGATATCCAACCAACCTTTCCACACCACCAGAAGTACTCTCTCTGCTGTCACCTATTACAACTCTCCTCCACGCAGTCTCAGCTCCAGTCCTGCTGGCTTTCTGCTCTTCAAAGAGCCTGTCATTAACATCGCCTCAGGGCCTTTGCTGCAACGAGTTCTTCTGCCTAGAACACACTTTTCATTTAATCTTCCACTTCATTTATGTATCTGCTCAAAGGCCATCTATCAGAAAGGACTTCCTTGATCTAAAACGATGTAAAGTCAGCACCAGCACCCACATGTGTCCCTTCTACCTTACTCTGCTTTGATTTTCTTCATAGTACTTTTTGACATGAAGAACATTATCTATATATTTGTTTAATTGTTTTGTCTTTTCGCCTCCACTAGGATGTAAGCACCATAATGTTCTTGAGATACTTGTTCAGGAACTAAATAACTCAGGCACCTAGAAAAGTGCTGGGCACATAGGAAGTGCTCAGTAATACATGCTGAATAAATGACTCAAATTCTATTCTTCCTGCTAATGTAAAATTGAACTTTATACAACACAGACAACATCTCATTTTACACTCTTACTGTCCTCTAACACCAAGCTAGTCTTGCTTAAAATCAATCATTTCCCATTGCTTTTAGACTATAATCTACATTCCCGGCAGGACCCAAAAAGCTTCTCATGGATTCAACTCTGTTTAATTTTCCAGTCTCACCTTTCACCATCCCTTTCCATATTCTAAATTCTGATCACACTAAACTATTTGCAGCTCTTAAATGTATCATGCTCTCTTGAACCTCTAAATCTACATCTGTTTCTTCTGCCTGGAATGCCCTGCCTACCCTGTTTACCCTGGCTAACTCTTACTTGTCCTTCAGGATCCAGCAAAGCTTTCCCACGTGGGGTTAGATACTGTTAGTAATTGCTCTCACAGTCAGTACCCTGTGCCTTGCTTTAACACAGCACTGTCACATTATTTCTAAAAATAATAATGGTTTTCTTATTTACCTGATCTCCCTCCCCTATTAATTGAGAGCTCTTTGGGAACCACCAGGCATCTCTTTGCACTTATTCAACACAGTACCTGGAACCAGTAAACACTTAATAAATATTGACTATAGGAATGCATATTAAAAATGTATATTGAAGATTGAAGTATATTACATTTTTTGAGATTTGAGAGATTTCTGAACCATGACTTGGGACTATTAGAGACATACTAATGATACTGCAAAGACTAAGATTATAAATTTCTACAGTAGAGCTTTCATTTTCAATAAACCACATAATCAAATATTTGTTATATGTAATTTCAAATATAAAGCTGAGATATTTTAAACTCAGTAAAAGCATTTGGATAAGTAAATATTATGTAATTGGGAAGGGCTAGGCATGACTCATTTTTTTTTTCCAAAAAGTAACCTTGGTTAATATTTCAAGATTTGCCTATAAACTGAGCTTCCTTGTCTGTGACTGACTTTGAACCTTTTAAAACCAAAACATTAAGTTAGATATCTTGAAGTTCACTGCATGTATATAAGGAATTTTATATTATTAAGATGTGAATTTAGGGATCCCATTATTATGGTTCCCTCTGGCCCCCACCCCCATCCACTGGGTATTTGGGTGTCCATTTTCCCACATGGTGATGGATTTGCACTTTGCTTCATCAGGTCTCCCTTGGGCCAAGAACACATTTTAGCCATAATTATTGGAGCAGTCTGTGGCAGTGGAAAACCAAAGTTAACTGAACCACATGGAAATAAAACCCATGTCATTGGTGTCATTACCAGTACACCCTAACCAACAGAGTTAACCTCAATGTAAACAGCAGGCAAAAATAGCAAAACACTCCATCTTTTGGAGAAATCAGTCCGTTTGGAAAGAATGCAATAAGAAGGAAACACCTGAACTCATTTTTTTTGGACTAAAATGAGATACAAGTACTGATTTCTTTTTTTTTAAAATTATATATGTATGTGAGTCAAAAAAAAATCACACAGTTGGAAAAAAAAATGTTCACAGTGAAAAACATTCTTCACTCTCCAGTACTCAACACTGACTGCCCATCTCTCAGGTACCCTCAAGAGTCAACTTCTATTACCACTGTCTAAATTTTATTTCCATCTCAGTGTACTTGTTTATGATTATGCTATGTGTGTGTGCATGCATACAGTCATCTCCCTTTAATAAATGGTAGCACGTTATATACCCATTTTTAAAAATAATATATAAAACTTTCATCTGAAATTTATTCTGCTGAAAGCAGCGCAGTATGAATCATACTTTATCTCTTTTTTTCCAAATAAATGTCTATTGGTCAAAACCATTTATAGAATTATCAATCTTTCCCCCACTTATTTGAAATAAAATCTTACTGGGAACTAAGCTCTGTATATGTTTGAGTATATATCTAGGAATGCTACTGTTTTTATCATCTGTCTGATTATTTACTACTATCACTAATTTAACATTGTTTTATGTTTTGATAACTTAGAAGAGGTATAAACAGTAACATATCATGTAGTAAGAGACATAGATTGCTAAGTGTGGTACTGTTTTATAAATACTAAAAACTATAATTCATGGGATATTTTCATCAATATTGAACCTTAAATATTAACACATAATATGAGGATCAAACCTTTGGTTTAACAATCAAGTAAAAAGCATGAACACAATATTGGTATTATATGGGAAAACATATTTTCATTCACTCTTAGTAAGAGCATAAATCAGTACCTTATGGGAGAACATTACACAAACCCTACCAAAATTAACAATCCGTGTACTCTTTGACTTACCAATTCTACTTCTAGGAATTCATTCCACAGCCATACTTTCACTAGTGCAAAATGACTTATGCATGTTATTATTCACTGCAGTGTTACAGCAAAAACTGAAGGCATCTTAAATTTAAATCAGTAGGGAAACTTGTTAAATAAATTATATTCATACGATGGAGTTTCTACATAGTTATTAAAAAAGAACGAGGAAGTTCATTATACATTAATATAGAGAAATCTCCAAGAAATGGTAAGTAAAAAGTAAGATATTGAACAGCGGGTGGTATGCCATCATCTAGGTAAAAATGAATAGAAAAAAATGCATTCTTATTTACTCATATATGTATAAGTTATGCCTGGAAGGATACATATAAAAATAGGAGCATGCAACAGTGCAGCAAAGGAATAGAACTGAGAGTTCTATGTATTTTTCAGTAAATCTTTTAAAGTATCATTTTAGTTTTAAATCTTGGGATTAATGGTAAAACATATTTATTGAGAACCTATTATGTTTGAAAAACTATAAGATAAGGAGTTTTCACTTTTGTTTTAAATTATTCAATTAAGCTTTATTAAACATTCAAAGACTAAAGAGAAAATATTAAGAACCTTACATTGCCATGAATTATTAAAGAAAAAAAAAAGCAAACTAGATACCAGCATCAAATAACAAAAAAAGGAGATTAAAAAAAATCTAAGGTCATTTTGAGTTTGGAATGAGAAAAAATAATTCATGTACTATAGATTATGGCCAACTTGAAATCAGCAGTAAAATCTAGCAAGATACCTCAATGAACTACATAGATAATTCAATTTAACACAAATGTGTTAAAATATTGTAAATACCACAAATCTTAGATTATGGCTATTTGAAAGTAAAAGAGATGAAAAGGATAGGAGGGAACTCTAGAGAGTATCATCACACAAGCCAAAGAAAAGGGTAAGCCTCCAGTATAGGAATGTGGATAGCAGTGTCAAAGCTACAGAGATCTTCTTAAATTTAAATCAGTAAGATTAAAAATTATAGCTTCACTCTAAGTATTCCCAAAGTTAAATGATAAAGAATATTAAACATGTTAAACATAAGAGAAACCAGTAAATACTGTTCTTAAAAACTTAGATAGGCCGGGTGTGGTGGCTTACACCTGTAATCCCAGCAGTTTGGGAGGCCAAGGAGGGAAGATCATGAGGTCAGGAGTTCAAGACTAGCCTGGCCAACATGGTGAAACCCTGTCACTACTAAACATACAAAAATAAGCCAGGCGTGGTAGCCTGTGCCTGTAATCCCACCTACTCAGAAGGCTGAGGCAGGAGAATTGCTTGAATCCAGGAGTCTGAAGTTGCAGTGAGCAGAGATCACGCCACTGCACTCCAGCCTGAGTGGCAGAGCGAGACTCTGTCTCAAAAAAATAAAAAATAAATAAATAAAAACCTTAGATATATGAGTACCCGGTAATAGGACAGCAATGCTGTAATAGTAAAGCATGTATGTAGTACGAGCCACAAAAATGTAGTTTGCCTTTTAATTATTCTGAAACATGGTGTTTTTTTGTCAAATATTCTTGATAGATTAAGCATTCTTTTATTGTCTCTGAAGAAATTATGTTAAAATCATCTCAGAAATCTCAAAATGATTTGGTAAAAGGGGTGAAAGAGAAATGAATGTAGATAGATACACAATGAAAGGATGAAAATGAAGGATTCTAATTCTATTCTAATATTAGGAATAGTATGAACAAATACAATGACCGTGTTAATCTGATCAACATTCTTATATAGAGTCCTTGTTTATTCCATTAGATCTTACCAGATCAGAACATTATAATTCTTATTCACTTGAAAGTGCCATGAATTTTCCATTCAAAGTTAACCAGAATTTCAATTCAAGAATAACAAAGGATAATCACATTATTTGAGAGTACATGAATTACTTAATAATACTACACATCTTGGTAACTGAAAGAAAACAGGTGTATCAAAATGCTAGTAATCAAAACTAATCTGAAGAGGGAAAATAGAGTTAGCAATACTATTAGTGAAATTTAAAATAACATCACATTCTGAGTTGTACTTGACAATATTGAATTAAACTGAATCCTCCAGGCTAAACCTCCAATAGGTCCAATTACATTTTAAAGTAATTTCTAAAATCCATAAAGATCTCAGAAACCAGAAAGTGTTTTTTTGTTTTTGTTTTTGTTTTTGTTTTTTTCATCTCGCTCTGTCGCCAGGCTGGAGTGCAGTGGCACTATCTCGGCTCACTGCAACCTCCACCTCCCGGGTTCAAGCAATTCTCCTGCCTCAGCCTCCCGAGTAGCTGGGACTACAGGTGCACGCCGCCACACCCGGCGAATTTTTTTTTTTTTTTTTTTTTGTATTTTAGTAGAGACGGGGTTTCACCATGTTCTCCAGGCTGCTCTCGAACTCCTGAGCTCAGGCAATCCGCCCACCTCGGCCTCCCAAAGTGCTAGGATTACAGGAATGAGCCACCACGCCCGGCCCATTGCTCTTCCAAAAGTTTAGAAATAAAAGTACTTGTTAAGTAATGATGGTTTTGATCTCATAGTTATGTTATTTAAATCACTAGGACAAATATACAACAACTGCCGTCCGCTCAAAACTCAAACAATGGAGAGCATTTTTTTTTTTTTTTTTTTTTTTTTTTTGAGACGGAGTCTCGCTCTGTCGCCCAGGCTGGAGTGCAGTGGCGCGATCTCGGCTCACTGCAAGCTCCACCTCCTGGGTTCATGCCATTCTCCCACCTCAGCCTCTCGAGTAATTGGGACTACAGGCGCCCGCCACCATGGCTGGCTAATTTTTTTTTTTTTGTATTTATGGTAGAGACGGGGTTTCACCATGTTAGCCAGGATGGTCTCAATCTCCTGACCTTGTGATCCACCTGCCTCGGCCTCTCGAAGGGCTGGGATTACAGGTGTGACCCACCGCGCCTGGCCGGAGAACATTTTTAAAATGTAAAATTATTTTTCCAAAATTATTATTCAAATGACGCTTTATAAGAGATGGCCTTTTCCCCATCTCCCTATATGTACATATGCTGTTTATATTTCTAAATGTAAATTCTAACTTTGATTCTAATTTTGATGAAGACTCATTATGAATTAAGATAGCAAGCTACCAAGAGATAAGACTAGAGTGAAACAAGGGGCAGAAGACAGCAAATAGGGCTTTCAGGAAACAGAGTTCTTTATGATGGGCAGGTTATATGGAAATATAAATATGTCTATTTACTCACCATAATAAGGAAATTGTAAAGGAAGACATTTAATGATTTATGTAAAAAGATAAATACCATTTAATAAAGAATAGGTGATTACAAAAATATTTTATGCATAATTTTGCAGAATAAAATTATCTTTTTCTTATTTGACAAGACTAGATTTTTAAATAACAGAGGGGAAAGAGTCAAGGACAAGGAGAATGACATATAAAAATTAACAAGCAAGATACAAAAAATATACATAAAATTGGAAGAAAAAAATTGAGGTGGTTAAAAAAGAATGAAAAAAAGGGCACCTACTTCCAAATGATAAAATGACTTAGAAGTATTACAGCTCATTTTGTTTCACAGAATTATATTACCATTATCATTACATAACTTCCATATTGTTGAAGCCAGTGGACACTCTTCTATTTGTGTCTTATTTGGGATCTCTGCAGCATTTGATACTGCTGACTACATTCCTATACGCCAGGCTTACCCCCTTCCTTTGGCTCATGTGACAACACTCTCTAGAAGTCCCTCCTATTCTTTTTTATCATTTCTTCTCAGTGTCGTTTGAGAATTCCCCTTCTATGGCTACATCTCAAATATTACTATTAATATATCCTTTAACTTTTCATTTTAACATCTAGGGTCTCTGTAGATCTGGTTTCAGAATATAATTTGCCTAATTTCTGCTCTCATGTCCTACCTCCAACCATAAAAAACCCTGTCCCACCCAGGTAGCCTGCTTTATGAGACTCTATTTTCATAGTGCTGCTCTTTCTTTCCTGAGTGTCTTTGTTCACCCAGATACCTTCTACTAAACCTTTGAAAGTCAAATATCGTGTTATCTCCTCTAAATATTTTTTAATAAATCCCTAGTGTACGATGACTTTTCTCTGTGCTTCTCCAGAAATCTGCTCATGTAATAGCATTCGTCTTGCTTTGAAATCACTAATTTACATGTCTGCTTTCATACTAGACTATAACTCCAGGTCAGACCACATCTTCTTCTTTCCCTAAGAATTATAAAATGCATATAGCAAAGGTTATCAAATGTACAGCTCAATGAATTATCACCAAATATATACCTGTGCAACTATTCCCAGAAAGATTACATCTTATTTGACTTTGTATCATCAGTGACTCACATATAATAAACACTTAATAAATACATGACAAATAGTAAGAAATGGTATTGATTGGGTTTGGAGTATGTTAATCATTGCAAGAAATCAGCTCAGTGCTATGACCCAAAAACCAGATTTTAGACACCAAGATCAAATATCACTTATAATGGGGAAACTCTACAGTCACACAAACTAGTAACAGTATAGAAATGAAATTTGCAATAAAAAATGACATTAAATAACAATCTTGCTAGGAAACCAAAAACATAGAGAGCTTGGCATTAATATCCAGAGAATGATAAGGGTCCACTATGTGATATTAATTTTGCCAGCAGATGACCCTCTTGGCTAGCCAGGTAAATGAGATAGCCGTAGAGTATCTCCAAAAGTAAAACCCAGAGACAGGCAGTCTATCAGCAGCTAAGCAACTCAGCTTCTTAGCAGTGAACATGCGAAAAGGATTGATGCAAATAGAACAGCTACAAATCTGCCTCATGGTGAATGGTTGTGGAAGACTGTAATCCAGAGGGGGCAGGGAAAAGGCTACAAGGCCACAGACAACACAACTCCAAGAATAAATTGCTAAGAAGTGACGGCATTGGGAGGCCAAGGTGGGTGGATCACCTGAGGTCGGAGTTCAAGACCAGCCTGACCAATATAATGAAACCCCATCTCTACTAAAAATACAAAAATTAGCCAGGCATGGTGGCATGCACCTATAATCCAAGATACTCGGGAGGCTGAGACAGGAGAATCACTTGAACCCGGGAGGCAGAGTTGCACTGAGCCAAGATGGCGCCATTGCACTCCAGCCTGGGCAACAAGAGTAAAACTCCATCTCAAATAAATAAATAAATAAATAAATAAATAAATAAATAAATAAATAAGTGACAGCAGCAGAAAGGCCCACCAGTGTACAAGATTGAGAAATAGATTGTCTCGATTTATATCAGCACAGTCTGTGGCCTGGGAGGCTAAACAGCAGAAGCTCAAATACAGAAAGACTATCTAAGCAATAGCAGCAGCTGCTAACCAATGAAACTAAAACCACATCTGTGCTTTACTTAGAAAAGAGTAAAGGTCGCCGGTGGCCTGTTCAATTTCACTCTTGCTGATAGACAGCTGCGTCTCTCATATAATTATTTAACAAAACTTAAAAATTTGCATTCAATTTCAGTATTACATTTTTACTTGCTTGATAGTTCATTCAGTAAGAGCTATAATACAAAGGAAAGATCCTTAAGAGGAATCATCATAGTGACAATGACAATAATAACAGCTAAAATGTATGAGTGCTCACTGTACCTCCAGTCACTGTGCTAAAGGTGTTCTTGCATTTTCTCATTTAATCTTCATGTCATTATATAGAGATGATTATTTTCCCCATTTTACAGGGGAGGAGACAAGCTGGGAGAGACTGTTTTTACCACTGGGAAATAGCAAAGTTGGACATCTAATTCAGGTCTGACTTCAGAACCTGCACTTTTCTTGGTTATGCTAAATTACCCAAATTCAACTGTTTTTTTTGATATGTGAATTATTTTTTTAAATCAAGTGTTCCCATTTCTAGTCATGATGAAGGATGTTAACAAGATTCTTAAGACGCAAATAGCAGAAGGGTCACGGAATATGTCCAAACTTACTTTAGTTCTCCCAATATCAGCAGTGATGTTTCAAATTTACCTTGCCATACCTCAGAAAGTACTATACGGAGTCTCAATCCAGGAAAAGTAGAAAATTTAGAATCATCAAGGTGTAACTGTAGTTTTAAAAAATAAACCATTATGACTACTGGTTTTGAATTAGAATAGCAGAGCTATAAGGACATTTAGAGATCATGTAGTTTAAAAACAAAAAAAGAGAAAGCTGAAATGCAGGGAACAGAAATGATATAATAAAAGTTCCCACTGTCTAGTCTATCACAGAGCAAAGACTAGTGATATTAAGCAGACCATAAGCCAATGATTCTTTCTGTTACATCATATGGTCCCAGTGGAAATCACTCAGTCCTCTAAAGAAAAAAAACTTCTGATAGTTGGGCTAGTAATTCTGCAAGCAATAAATTGTATTATAACCACAGAGGAAAACATTTGGAACTAAGTAAACCAGCCCAGTTGCCATATAAAGGATGATTTGGCAATTTGCAGACTTGGGCTCAAGTTCTACTCTCTGATCCATTGGGGCAAATCACTTAACCTATGTGAATATCATCTTTTTTTTTTTTTTTTTTTTTTTTTTTTTGAGACGGAGTGTTGCTCTGTCACCCAGGCTGGAGTGCAGTGGTGCGATCTTGGCTCACTGCAAGCTCCACCTCCCGGGTTCACGCCATTCTCCTGCCTCAGCCTCCCCAGCAGCTGGGACTACAGGCGCAAGACGCCACGCCTGGCTAATTTTTCTTTTTGCATTTTTAGTAGAGACGGGGTTTCACCATCTTAGCCAGAATGGTCTCGATCTCCTGACCTCATGATCCGCCGGCCTCGGCCTCCCAAAGTGCTGGGATTACAGGCATGAGCCACCGCGCCCGGCCGTGAATATCATCTTTTAAAGAACATAAGGTGGGGGGTGGACTGGTAATAACTACTCACAAGATTGTTGTAAGCATTAAGTGGAAAATAGGTGAAAGTGCCTAGTGTGACACAAAATGCTTGTTTTTGGCTGGGAGCATTGGCTCACGCCTGTAACCCAGCACCTGGGGAGACCGAGGCGGATGGATCTCTTGAGCCCAGGAGTCGGAGACCAGCCTGGGCAACATGGTGAGACCCGCCTGGGCAACATGGCGAGACCCTGTCTCCACAAAAATAAAAAATAAACAAACAAACAAAAAGCTTGTTTTCCTTTTCTAAAAGTAAGCATGTAGTGTATTTGGTTAAACTATAAGCTCTATCGGGCTGCATGGGTTCAAATCCCACTTCACTTAATAACCATGTAAGTTAGGGAATTAGTTACCTTCTCTGCACTCTAGCTTTTTCATCTATAAAATGGGGATGGACTATTTTAAAGGATTTAATTAGATAATGCACGTAAAACACTTGGCTTACATCCTAAGACATGGTAAGCATTCTTGAGGAGAATTATCTTGATTCCATTCTGTAACATGCAATAAAGATAAGTATGCAACATTCCCATTTATATCTGTATAAGATACTATGTCAATACTTTTGCTTCAATTTTTTTCGTTCAATTACCTTTCCATCAATTTTATTCCATATCATTTTTTGAAGATTTAAAGAACGTGTGATCATCAAGCAATTATGATGTTACAACAAACAATCTATTATAACATAAAGAAAACAGAGAGCTACACATCGTTCTTGATCTTATTTTCGAATTTAAAACAAATCTCGGTGTACATTCACCATTCAAGATAATATCAACACACAACATGAACAATTTAGCTAAGGCCTTCTGGCAAGAAGATGGCTCTAGCTACGCTAGAAGCCTTCTTACAGTATACGTCTTGAAATGTGGGATAAAACAAATACATAGTTGAATTCACAAGAAGAAAGGAGGTTCCTGGATGCTCAAACAGTCAAATGAAAATGCACAAACAAGTTATTGCTGCAGTAGACTATGAATGGAAACAGGACTGGGGAAGAGCTCCATGAAATGTAAAGATAGGCCGTAACTGCTGGAGTTTTAGATTTTAATATCCACTAAGTGACAGAAAATAAGGGCTTGCATCCATTTTGAATGAGACAGGACACTGGAACTGAGATTCCTATATGAAGCTGGGACCCTCTCTAAAGCTATAGTACCCAAACTTTAGCAACCATAACAATCACTTGGAGGGCCTGTTAAAACCCAGGTTCCTCAATCCAGCCCCAGAGATTCTGGTCCAGCAGACCTGCGTATTTGTATCTCTAGTACATTCCCAGGTAATGCTGATGCTACTGGTCGATAAACCAAACTGTGAATAGTGTTGCGCTAGCTAAAGGCTGCATCATTAGTGAAAAGGGTCCTAAAAATTATCTTCCCTGATCCAGGGAGATGATAAGAAACACATTTCTGACAAGGACTCCTCCATTGTGTACTGGTTAAGTGTAAAAATGAACACTGCCCGCATAGCATATGAGTGGTAGCCTAAGGAATTAAAACTGAAAAATTGGCCTTGGGTTGGAGATTCCTCTGAGGCATATGGAAAATGTAAACAAAAGACTGTTCTGCAGGAAAACTTTCACAACCCAAATTATGTGAAATCCCCATTTAGATAACTCAAAACCAATAATTAAAAAACACTCAAGGAAATGTTTATGAGCAAGAGTCTACAAAAATAATAGAAAGACTGGTACAACCAAAACATAAGATAACAGAACAATTGAAAGCACTTATAAAATGTTTTAAATGATTTAAAGACACACAGACACACACACACACACACACACACACACACACACACACAAATAGAAAACAGGCCTGGCATGGTGGCTGATGTCTGTAATCCCAGCATTTAGGGAGACCGAAGTGGGTGGATCACCTGAGGTCAGGAGTTCAAGACCAGCCCGGCCACCACGGTGAAACCTCATCTCTACTAAAAATACAAAAAAATTAGCCAGGTGTGGTGGTGGGTGCCTATAGTCCCAGCTACTCAGGAGGCTGAGGCAGGAGAATCACTT
Source organism: Homo sapiens (assembly GCF_000001405.40). NCBI lineage: Eukaryota > Metazoa > Chordata > Mammalia > Primates > Hominidae > Homo > Homo sapiens. The sequence continues at coordinate 80,619,621 of NC_000014.9, forward strand.
GAACCTGGGAGGCAGAGGTTGCAGCGAGCTGAGATCACACCACTGCACTCCAGCCTGGGCAACAAGAGCAAAACTCTGTCTCAAGTTAAAAAAAAAAAAAAAAGAAAGAAAGAAAATGGAAAACATAAAAAATAACTTCTGGAAATAAAAAATAATAGCCTTTGCTACAAAATTTCAATAGGCAGGTTTTAGGTGAGGCATAGGTGGAGAAAAGAATGAGTAGGCCAGGTATGGTGGCTCACGCCTGTAATCCCAGCACTTTGGGAGGTCGAGGCGTGTGGATCACCTGAGGTCAGGAGTTCAAGACCAGCCTAGCCAACGTGGTGAAACCCCATCTCTGCTAAAAATACAAAAATTAGCCAGGCATGGTGGTGGGCGCCTGTAACCCCAGCTATTCGGGAGGGTGAGGAAGAAAAATCACTTGAACTCGGGAGGCGGAGGTTGCAGTGAGCCGAGATCGCACCATTGCACTCCAGCCTGGATGACAAGAGCAAAACTCCGTCTTAAAAAAACAAAAAACAAAACAAAACAAAAACAAGTGCACTGGGAGAGCAGACCAGGGAAATCACAGACAATGCAGTGCAGAGGATGAAAAGATAAAAGGTACTAAAAAGCTATGAAGTTACATTAAGGACAGGATGAGAAATTCCAACAGGTTAGCCACAGTTTTAGTGGTCGACTAAGGAGACAATAGAGAGAAGCAATTTGAGATGCTACATAATGACTAAAAAATCTTCTAGAACTGTAATCCTAGGAATAAAGAATCACAAAGAGAACCAAGCAGAATAAGTAAATAAGTCTATACCAAATACATAAAATAGTAAGACTGCAGAATACCATGGGCAAAAAGATCTTAGGGAAAATAAAAAAGAAAAGATAAGACAATTGATTTGTAAAGGAATTAGAATTTGGCTGACAGAAGATAGCAGCAACAAGAGACTCTAAGATAATAAAATATCTTTCAAGTGTTAATAAAACTCAACTGTAGTCTTAGGATTCTCTACCCAGGTAAACAATTACGTAATACTGAAGAGAAAATGAAGACAATTCCAAGACAGAGAGTTTACCACTCATTGAAAGAACCAGGAAATGATTTTCAGTCCAAAGGAAACTGATCCTAAGATCCTCTTAATATCTGAGGGTAGAAATATTGAGGCATTGTACACTTTAAGTCAGGTAGATATGCTATAGTTTTAAGAGTGCCTACTAAAATCATACAAATAGTATGTACTTTCGAACATGTAGCAATGTACATACAAATAGCATGTACTTCCAAACACGTAGAGATGAAAAGTGTGCAGAAAATTCAAACAAGTTATGGGTACATACACAAATAGTAAAAGTATAAACACACACAGCATGATATATACCAAATTCAGGATAATTGTCACATCTAAAGCCTGAGGGAAAGGAAAGGAATGTGCTTAGGATCCTAGCAATACACGACACCAACATTTTCATGCAAATAAGGCAAAATGTTACCATCTGCTAAATCTGAGTGGCGCATATATGACCTTCCATCATTTGATTTCTGTATATGTTTAAAATATCTCATAATTTTTTTAAGTTAAGAAGGCAAATAAGTTTAGCTAAGCCAACGTAAGAAAAGCTTAGTTAGTTGGAAAATTACTTACCATGAATTCATTTTCCAAAAGAAGTCAAGAACAGGCTAAATTAGTCAGGTAGCAGGCCCAATAAAAGCCAGGTTTAAAAAATATCTAATATGTATTGTCTTTCCTCTTGAATCTGTTCTATTTGGTTTGTCTAAGATTCTTTGATTGTGTAAGAACTTAAGACAAAAGCTATATATAACAAAACATTGTGTTCTTATATTAATGATAATTGTATCAGTGGTTCAAAAATGGAGGCTAATGAATAAGGGATGATATTAAGTGAGATTTAACACAAATTCTACAGATAGGGCAAAACGTCATAAAATTATTTGAAGGGCTACAGTAATATACTAACCAGCTTAAAATATACACATTAGAAAATTAGAAAGACTAAAAAGGGGGTACGGTCTAGATTACTCTTTGAAAATCATTAGCTTTCTTTTTCTCACATGTCAAGCTCCAAATCAGCTATGATATATTTTTGTCTTTGGCTTCAAAGGATCTCTCTAACCTCACCATTTTTTACCGATAACTCAAGTCCACTCCGTTTGTAAGGGGTTTCTTGTTTCTTTTTCCACTCATCAGATGAAAATCATGCTTGTTTTTAGTGACTCATACCTTACCGTATGTTGTTTATTAATTGCAAAACAATTCCTGTTAGTGACTGTTATGACAGCCCCAAGAGAATGAAGGCTAAAATTAGACCTTTTGGCTTTTGGTTTGTTTATGAGCAGGTATATGCAGGCTGTGACCTATCCCCTTTACATCTGCTCATTTCTTATAAAGCAGCAGCATAAGGGCAGGAGTCAGAGAAATGGAATTGCCTCCTTAACTTTTAGAATTGAAGCAGACAGGTATAATGAAGTAAAGGAAAAACATAAATGCACAGATGTGGGATAGGCTTTCTGGAGCTGTTTTTAGCATTCTTTATGTGGCTAAAAATAGGTATATGTACTGGAGTGTTTTTGTTTTCTAAGTTTTTTACTTTTTGACAAAAATGGCATCTTCAAAAGTTTTATTTTTCATTGAGATGAACCTCTAAGCTGTCCTCTCCCCTGCCAGCCTCCTTTAATTCAAGATGGATTAAAGACTTAAACGTTAGACCTAAAACCATAAAAACCCTAGAAGAAAACCTAGGCATTACCATTCAGGACATAGGCATGGGCAAGGACTTCATGTCTAAAACACCAAAAGCAATGGCAACAAAAGACAAAATTGACAAATGGGATCTAATTAAACTAAAGAGCTTCTGCACAGCAAAAGAAACTACCATCAGAGTGAACAGGCAACCTACAGAATGGGAGAAAATTTTCGCAACCTACTCATCTGACAAAGGGCTAATATCCAGAATCTACAATGAACTCAAACAAATTTACAAGAAAAAAACTAACAACCCCATCAAAAAGTGGGCGAAGGACATGAACAGACACTTCTCAAAAGAAGACATTTATGCAGCCAAAAAACACATGAAAAAATGCTCACCATCACTGGCCATCAGAGAAATGCAAATCAAAACCACAATGAGATACCATCTCATACCAGTTAGAATGGCAATCATTAAAAAGTCAGGAAACAACAGGTGCTGGAGAGGATGTGGAGAAATAGGAACACTTTTACACTGTTGGTGGGACTGTAAACTAGTTCAACCATTGTGGAAGTCAGTGTGGCGATTCCTCAGGGATCTAGAACTAGAAATACCATTTGACCCAGCCATCCCATTGCTGGATATATACCCAAAGGACTATAAATCATGCTGCTATAAAGACACATGCACATGTATGTTTATTGCAGCACTATTCAAAATAGCAAAGACTTGGAACCAATCCAAATGTCCAACAATGACAGACTGGATTAAGAAAATGTGGCACATATACACCATGGAATACTATGCAGCCATAAAAAATGATGAGTTCATGTCCTTTGTAGGGACATGGATGAAATTGGAAATCATCATTCTCAGTAAACTGTCGCAAGGACAAAAAACCAAACACTGCATGTTCTCACTCATAGGTGGGAATTGAACAATGAGAACACATGGACACAGGAAGGGGAACATCACACTCTGGGGACTGTTGTGGGGTGGGGGGAAGGGGGAGGGATAGCATTGGGAGATATACCTAATGTTAAATGACGAGTTAATGGGTGCAGCACACCAGCATGGCACATGTATACATATGTAACTAACCTGCACATTGTGCACATGTACCCTAATACTTAAAGTATAATAATAATAAAATAAATAAATAAATAAACAAACTGAAAACCTAAAAATAAAAAAAAATTTAAAGCATGGTTTCAGGTTTCATCAGCTCTGGTCAGAAATATAAATGTTATACCTTATATTTATATTTTACATAAAAATATATATTTGCCAATGTCATAAAACAAAAAAAAAGGAAATAGGTCCAATTACTATTCCTTTGAATCTTCAATATGTAAAAGCAGTATCATTAAAAAAAGCAAATAACTTAAAAGCTTGATACTCTAATTAGCAAAAAGTGGATTTTTTAATGTAAAAAAAGTCATTTCCTTCCAGAAGTAGATTTTTCCTTTTATTTTCAGTTGAAATGTAATAATTGTACACATTTATGGGATACAGAGTGATATTTTGATACATGTATGCAATATGTAATGAGCAAATCAGGGTAATTAACATATCCATCATCTTCGGCATTTATCCTTTCTTTTTGTGGTGAGCATTCAAAATCCTCTCTTCTAGCTTTTTTGAAAATATACAGTAAGTTATTGTTAAACATATTCACCTGACACTGCTACAGTACTTTACAATTTATTCTTCCCATCTAGCTGTAGCTTTGTCTGTTAACCAACCTCTTCCTATCATCCCCTTCCTCAATCTTCACAGTACCTCATAACCACTATTCTACACTCCTACAAACTCAAGTTTTTTTTTAGTTCTCACATATGAGTGAGAACACGCAGTCTTTATCTTTCTGTGCTTGACTTACTTCACTTAACATAAAGTCCTCTAGGCTCATCCATGTTGCCAGGACTGGCAGGATTTCATTCTTTTTCATGGCTTCTTTTTTATCCCATTGTGCATATATAACACATTTTCTTTATCCATTCATCTGTTGATGGACATTTAGGTTGATTCCATGTCTTAGCTATTATGAATAGAGCTGAAATAAACATTGGGGTGCAGGTACCTCTTCGATATACTAATTTTTTCTCCTCTGGATAAATACTCAGTAGTGGGATTGCTTGATTGTAAGGTAGTTCAATTTTTAGTTTTTTTGTGGAACTTCCGTACTGTTTTCCATAATGGAGGTATTAATTTACATTCCCACTAAGAGTGTACAATAGTTGCCTTTTCTCCACATCCTTGCCAGCATTTGTTATTTTCTGCCTTTTGATGATAAATATTCTAACTGGGATGAGATATTTCACTGTGGTTTTGATTTGCATTTCTCTGATGATTGGTGATGTTGAGCATTTTTTCATGTACTTATTGGCTTCTTGTGTGTCTTCTTTAGAGAAATGTCTACTCAGACCCTTGGCCCATTTTTTAATGATTATTTGTTTTCTGTTGAGTTGTCTGAGTTCTTTACATATTCTGAATATTAGTCCTTGTCAGATAAATGGTTTGCAAATATTTTCTGCCATTCCACAGATTATGTCTTCACTCTGTTGATTATTTCCTTTGCTATGCAGAAAATTTTCAGTTTGATATAGTCCGTTTTGTCTATTTCTGCTTTTGTTGTCTATAGTTTTGAAGTCTTACCCAAGAAATCTTTGCCTAGACCAAACTCCTGAAGTATATTCCCTAGGTTTTCTTTCCCTGTAGTAATTTTATAGTTTCAGGCCTTATGTTAAGTCTTTAATCCATTTTGAGTCAATATGTTTTGTATATGGTTAGAGACAGAGGTCTGGTTTTATTCTTTCACATATGGATACCCAGTTTCCCAGAACTCTTTATTAACGAGGCACTTTTGTTAACACTTTATTAACGAGACACATTGGGGAATGTATGTTCTTGGCAACTTTGTTCAAAATCAGTTAGTTGTAAATGTGTGAATTCATTTCCGGTTCTCTATTCTGTTCCATTGGTCTGGGTATTGGTTTTTATACCAATATCACATTATTTTGGTTAATGTAGCTTTGTGGTATATTTTGAAGACAGGGAGTGTTATGCCTCGAGCTTTGTTCTTCTTGCTCAGTAATGCTTTGGCTATTTGAGGTTTTTGGGTTGTTCATGCCTCTATATGAATTTCAGGATTTTTTTTCTATTTTTATGAAGAATATCATTAGTATTTTAATAGGTGTTGCACTGCATCTGTAGATTGCTTTGGGTGGTAAGGTCATTTAAAAATATCAATTCTTGCAATCCATGAGCTTGGGATGTCATTCCATTTTTTGTGTCCTCTTCAATTTCTTTCGTCAGTGTTTTGTAGTTTTGTTATCGAGATCTTTCATCTCCTTGGTTAAATTTATTCCTATAATCTTTCTTTCTTCCGTCCTCTCCTTCCCCTTCCCCTTTTCCTTCCTTCCTTCCTTCATTTCTCTTTCTTTCCCTCTCCTTCCTCTCTTTTCCTTCTTTCCTCTTTTTCTTTTTTCTTCCTTATTTCTTTTTTCTCCCTTCTTTCTTTTTTCTCTTTCTTTCCTTTCTTTCTCTCTTTCTTCTTTCTTTTTGTTACTCTTGTACAGAAGAAATTTTTACCATATCAGATTAGTTCTCTCATTCATGCCAATATCAAGTGAGCCTGTATTACTCTTTAAAAAGTCATAAAATACTAAATGGTAACACTGGTATATTGAATAATCAGCCCCAAAGATAGTCAGGTTCTAATTCCTGGAATATGTGAATACATAACTTTACAAGGCAAAAGAGACTTTGCAGATTTTAAGGATCTTGAGATGAAAAAATTAGCATGGGTTATTCAGGAGATCCCTAAATGTAATCACAATTGTCCTTATTAAGAGTGAGACAGGGCCGGGCGCGGTGGCTCACGCCTGTAATCCCAGCACTTTGGGAGGCCGAGGCGGGTGGATCATGAGGTCAGGAGATCGAGACCATCCTGGCTAACAAGGTGAAACCCCGTCTCTACTAAAAATACAAAAAATTAGCCGGGCGCGGTGGCGGGCGCCTGTAGTCCCAGCTACTCGGGAGGCTGAGGCAGGAGAATGGCGTGAACCCGGGAAGCGGAGCTTGCAGTGAGCCGAGATTGCGCCACTGCAGTCCACAGTCCGGCCTGGGCGACAGAGCGAGACTCCGTCTCAAAAAAAAAAAAAAAAAAAAAAAAAGAGTGAGACAGGGGAGACTTGACCACATAGAGGAAAATGCAATGTAGTGACAGAAGCAGAGATTGGAGTGAGAATGGAGGAAGGGGCCACAACCCAAGGAACATAGACAACCACTAGAAGCTGAAAAGGGCAGGAGAAAGAATTCTCCCCTCAGAGCTTTCAGAAGCAACCAATCCTGCCAACACCTTAACTTTAGGCCAGTGAAGCCAATTTCAGATTCCTGACTTCAAGAAAATAAACCTAGACCAAGATGGTGAAACTCCGTCTCTACTAAAAGTACAAAAATTAGCTAGATGTGGTGGCGGGCACCTATAATCCCAGCTACTTGGGAGGCTGAGGCAGGAGAATCGCTTGAACCCAGGAGGCAGAGGTTGCAGTGAGCCAAGATGGTGCACCATTGCACTCCCGCCTGGGCAACAGAGCAGGACTTCGTCCCCCCATCACCACCCCCAAAATCAAGCATACATTTTAACCACAGTTGAAACCCTCAGGATTTTCTCAGAGATTAATGACTTTTCTTTTATATTCCATACAGTCCTGACAAGATACTTATTAGACCCACAGCATATTTAGAAAAATAAGTTACACATGGGTACATGGAGATTCTGGGAAACTGGTAACAGAAAATGCCCTGATTTTTACAAGAAGCAATATCTCAGAGTAAGGAAGGGAAGAGACACAGAAAATATTAGAACATAATAGCTTAGAATCAATTGTGCAAGAGCAGTGCTGTATTTCCAGTTAATGGTGAGGACAATTATTGCATTACAGTACAATCATCAAGATTGAGCACAACTGTCCCAAGTCATTAAATAAATGCTCAGCATATTCTGCTTAAGAATGTAAGTGAAAATAAAGAAATGTAAGAACCTTGTTGAAAGACTCTTAGACGTGATTAAAATAAATATTCATGCTCAAAGATGTAAGAACGCATCACATGAAGTGTCCACCTATGTACAGTACCTCATTACTAATGCTGTTGGCAGGACATTGTAAGGCCCATTGTAGATGTTCAATTAACATTTGGTGGCTAATTTCATGAATGAATAATACATTAAATGAATATCATTTGTTGTAGATATACTGCTAATAAGGTCAGCAAGTTATATGTTTATTTAGATTGTACATAAGAGAAATATTTAGAAATTATTCACAGGCAGGTTTGGAAGAATAAAATGAGATATTAAAATACTCAGAAAAGCAATTTAGAAAGTCCATTTTTATTTTTAATTAATTATTATTTTCTTTTTTTTTTTTTTTTGGCTCAGAAGGTAGAAAGTCCATTTTTAAAAAGCCTACTTAATGAAGTAAAAACCATGTCTGCTCACTGAGGTTTTTGGTGTTAGATGTAATAGAGCTAGAGCAATAACCTCATTGGGCTATAAAATGAAAGTCCCATACCAGAGATTGTATTCTAATTCCCTTAAAAGTTTTTCAAGTGACCTAACCCATTCATCTCACTCAGGCTGTGTGTGTGTGTATAAAACAGTTTGAAATATCCTCAGCACAGCTCTCTTGAAGGCAGTCTAGCTTCGGGAGTAAGCGTACTAGTGAAAAAGCTTAAATTGCAAGAACAGAAAATTCAGAGAACTTTATACTATTACAGACCCATATGGTGGTTTGACAGATCAAACTAACCTCCAAAGGGAAATTTCTATTTGAATAGTAAGTAGATGATTTCAGACATGTGCTTGAAGTTTTATTTAGAAACACAGACTAATGCATCTGTTATCCTAAATAGTGAAATGTGACAAAAAGTCTTTCCTTTCCTATTCTTAGAAACATCCCATATAGCCATCTGTTTATCAGTTTCCTCACTTTTTAAAACACTACTGTACATTTTATTAGCTTGACTGGCATGTCTTTAGATAGAGTGTCAAGTATCAAATTAGGAAATGGACTTTGCAAAATTGGTTACATGCAGTAAAAGCTAAAGAAATGAGTGTCTTTTATCATATTTAAACTAATTTCAAACTATGAACTGACATGACTTTAACAAGCTAAATTCCCAACATAATACATAGCTAGAATGGACATCTGCTGTTTTTGCCTGTCCATTTCCCCCTTTCTCCTAAAAAGCGTCCGCACAACTACCTTTCTCCCTCTCTCGCAATATGAAGTTATTATAGGGCTAACTACGCTGTCTATTTTAGCTTTGGACAAATGACTGAAACCTGGTCAATGAGAGTAACACAATCTTTTGGCAACAGGGAATGGTTTAAGGGTAACATACCTGATTAGGTAACTCAAGCAGCAACAGCCCTGGACTTTCACCGGAGCTACTGATAAGTAAGCTCTTGCTAGCTAAGATAGTAGGATGTGAGCCTATAGCTCACATATATATATGTATAGTCACTTCTTACAGGCAGCATGGGTGAAAATGAAGTTTAAGTCAAGGGAAGCTTTGAATATAAAAGGGCTGACAGATGGTGGGGTAAGCGTTTTAGATGTTACAAATGAATTTTCTTGTGCCACAGTTAGACTACATTTGTATTTTTAGTTCCTAAGTGAATAAATACCTCCCTTACTCTCCCTTTTTAAACTCAAGCCTGTTTAAGAAAAAAAAAAAAAACAAACGGGTTTAACTCACTTCAATCAAGATTTCAGGCCAATACAATAGTTTCTACAATTCACTACTTTCTTTCCAAATGACTTTGCCATTAGCAACAATTGAAAAAATGGAGCTGTGTCTTCTCAGTAAGGGCTTGATTCTGATACTAGAGATCAGCGATGTGAGTTGTGTGGTCTTTGACAAACTCAGTCTTCTGAGACTGGTTTCTTTATCTGTAAAATATACATAAGAATTTGTATCTTGAAGAGTTGTAGTGAAGATTAACAGTGTGTTAAACATCTAGCAGGTGAACACTTGATAAATTGCATTTTCTTTTCCTTTTTGGAGAAATAGAGGGCTTTTATGTATTTATTTATATTTCACAGGTATGAAAATGACAAAAAGTTCCTCTGAGAAGGAGTTCTCAAATTCAAAAGTTAAAAGTAATCCTTAACACTCCAGTAATATATTTTTTTTTTCTTTTTAAGGTAGGAATACCCTCTGTTGGGAAACATAAAATTTTAGAAATCGGTCACTAATAAAGGATCTAAGTAAAATTATTTCACAAAGTAAAGCCTTTTTAAATGTACATTAATAAAAGGTGTAGTCTCTATAGGCCTAGGGTTTGCACTGAAGTTTTTCTATGTGGTTTTTATTGTTTGTTGATTTTAATTGGTTTGAGGTTTTTGGCCCTTGTTTTCATCTTTTCTTTTCCATCAGTGACTTACTCAATCTGATTTTCTGTAACTTTTGAGTCACATATTTCTGGGATACTATAGTCCTAGGAATAACATGAGAACTAGGTGCCCTGGTAACAAAACATTTTGAATTGGTTTTAAGTAGAAAAATCTATTTAAGAGAGAATTGAATGTATATAAGTCATGTGGTTTGCTATCCACTGATCCAATAAACTCCATGATGAATTCATGTAGCTTGTAAGTTCCTAAAATCATGCCATCTAACATAAAATTTTAGGATATTTTAATTTTTCTTTTTCCCTTGAAACCCAATCTAGATGATATTATCATATAACTGTTATTTACCCTTCTGCTTTGTTCAATTTTGTTCTAGTAGTGGTCAATGTAGACGTATCGGTTATACTAGTGGTTTAAAAGTAGATAAAAATCAACTATCACTGAAATATTCACATACTTTTACAAACTAAGGTGGATACTTCTCTTATGTGGCATTAGAAAAGTAATGAATGAAAATTACAGTCTATAAACTCAAAGCAATTCATTGTAAATTAACCCACTATTTTTAAGAAATCATAAAATTCTGTAAGTAAATTGAATTGAATACTTGTTACCAAGATTAAGTAGTATGATGATGTGGCATAATATTTCATATTTAAAATTTTATAGGCATTAGAGTTTACACTTAGATGTGAGGTAAATTCATTAAAATAGTATTTATGGGTAGTCAGTGTAACGGTTTACATTATGAAAGATTCTTTAGCAGAAAAAGAAGCTCTAAAAAAATACCCCAAAGTCTGCCTTGGCAAGAAATTAAGTCATATGGAAAAAACCACAAGTTACAATAAAAATTCACTTGATACAGTAATATACATTATTCCTTCTGAATTGTATAGGCAAAAAAACTCCAGCTCCCTAAGCCAACAACCAAATATTTCTGTTAAGTTCATATGATTTGTTTTCAGGGCAGAACCTCTGCAAGTTTTTATAGTGTAAGGACTGACCAATATAACGAAAATTAGTTATCCAATCTAGATGCAAAAAGACAAAGCCATATCTCTGTTGTAATACAGAATCACAAAAGTCACCATCAGCACGCATTGTAATATGTTACTTTATGTAATATGAACAGAAGGTAAACTTACAAACGCTGTCAAAATAATTGTCCATAACATGTTTTATTTGGGCTTCTGTTTTTTACCCATGGGCAACTGTAAAAGAAAACATGCAGTGCCTACTTTCTCAAAGGGTAATTTTTATCTTTGTATTAAGAAACTAAAAAATACTCATGCTTTTTCGAGTCAATAATTCCACTTGGAGGAATGTAATCAGAAATGTATAAAATCATATATATGCAAAGACTGTCATTCTATTGTTATTCATAATAACATGATTTTTAAAAGAATTTAAAGCTCATCAACAAATTAGCCACCATCTCCATTGAGAATCTGATGAACACTAAGTAGAGTCTTTAGCCCAGAAATATCCACCTATGCCTATCCACACACATAGGCACAATATAAACATGATATAAAAATTACATTGCCATCTAACTTTGAAAACTATTACAAGACTCAGCAATTGCATGATATATAGGAATAGCTTTTAGAATGATGGAAGGAAGAGAATGCAGTTTTCAGAGAAGTAAAAAAATGCTGTACACTTACTGAAATTAAAATGACTGGTCTAAAGAACTTAGCGAGATAGCAGATAAAATTCAAATATTACAGGCTATGAAGAGTCTTACATACCATTAATATGCTTATTTCCATTCTTTATATTCAAAGATAACACTACTACTGTTTGTTTCTATATGTGATTCGGTATCTGCAAAGATCAATGAGTAAAGAAGTGCTAGAAGTCTAATCTTTGATTTGATGTTGTAACTGACCGACAAAGCCTGAAGCAATTTGTATTTTCTCTTGTTCTATCAAAGTGCAAAGTACCAGTCATTTATTCATGTAATACAATTCAATTTCATAAACATTCTCATCAATTCAATTCCATAAACATATCTACTTTGTGCAAGACTTAGGTGTCAGATATTAAAAAGATGAATAAAACACAGAAACTGTATTCCAGGGACCTCACCATATTAAGGACAATTCTTAAGAATTTATTTTCAATAGTTAGAATGTATACTGCATGAAGACACCTTTTTTCCCCCTCAGTGATATATCCAAAGTACCTAGAACAATTACATAATTACTAAGACAGAGGAAGAATCTGAACTAAGGTTGACCTGACTCTAAAGTCCATATTACTAGCTGATGTGTTATTCAGCTCTTCTGTACTCTGAATTCTTACCAGTCACCTGATTAAAAAGGTGCTGCTTCTATAATGTATAAAATTATATACCTGAAAAGCAATAGCAAGCATATTCCATAATAATTAACACAGAAGAGTCACAAGATAGCTAAATACTATGACAACTATCCTTCAGTATTTTTCTTTTTAGTTTTCTATGTATGCACACATCACTAAATAATACATTGTTTCATTTTCCTGTCTTTTAGTATTGTATACATAGAATTATACTATATGTGTACTTTGTTGACTTGCTATTTACATTCAACATAATACTATTGAGACTTTACCATGTTAGTGAGTTTATATATACTAAGTATAAATATTATATAATATACTCTGTATATACTGCATATAGTATATATGTTATATAATATGGTACATATATATCAGTATATTATTGTATATTATACATATGATATATACTATACATTCTAGTGCATTATACAGATTACATATATAATGAAAATTACAATGTTATCCTTGGAGTCCATCATACTATATATAATATATAAAATCTATTATCTATATAATATAACATGCTATATATATTATAGTGCATTCACTATAACAGTTTTTTAGTATTCTGCTCTGTGAATATATCCTAGTTTTTCTATTCTTCCATGAATGGGCATGTGGGTCATTTCCAATTACTCTGCAATTACAAATGGTGACTACTTATGTGCATATCTCCTAGTTCGGGTGTGTAAGCTTCTCACGGGTGTATGTCTGGGAGTGGAATTGCTGAGTCAAGTGGCAAGTGCATACATTCAATTTTTTAAAATGATGTGAGTTATTTTCCAACATTCATGCACCAGTTTATAAATACGCACTAAGAATGAGTGAAAGGGCTATTGTTTTAGTGCTCACTACGTGTGCATTTAAAAATTAAAAATAGGATGGGGTTTGGGATTCACACCTGTAATCCAGTACTTCGGGAGGCTGGGGTGGGAGGATTGCTTGAGCCCAGGAGTGCAAGAGCAGCCTGGGCAACATAGTGGGACTCCGTTTCTACAAAAAAATAAAAAATTAGCTGGGTATGGTGATGTGTGTCTGTAGTCCCAGCTATTCTGGAGGCTGAGGCAGGAGGATCACGTGAGCCCAGAAGGTCAAGGTTGCCTTGAGCCGTGACTGCCACCACTACACTCCAATCTGGGTGCCAGAGTTAGACCCTGCCTAGAAACAAACAAACAAACAAACAAAAACAAAACAAAACAAACTAGCTTCTTTTGAAACTTTCCTCAAGAGAGATAATATACATTGGCACAGGGGTCCGATATGTCAATAGTAATACTTTCCGTTGTAAATATTTCATATCTCTGTCCTGCTTAAAGCATAAAAGTTGTCACTCACAGTGGCCCCATGATCAAGTTAATACCCCTTGTAGAGCTCACAAGCTCTCCTGTTTCTGTTATGGCCTGCCTTCTTCTCCAGTGTCTTCTGCCACCTCTGTCTCTCTCTATTGCTTTCCTCCGTCTCTCTCATATATGCCAGGGCCAAACTGAAGTTCTTTCATTTCTCCAACAAGATTTCTAATCTTAACAATCAGTTCATCTGCCTCTTGCATCCCTATTCCCACACCTAGGACAAGCAAGACTTCCCACTACGTATTCCCATCCACAGTTTGGACTATGGATTTTAAAAAGTGGGGATCAGACTTATCTCATTCACCACTGTATCTTCTTTGCATAGCTCATTGTCTGGTTCAAACCAGGTCCTCAATAAATAATTAAATAAATGACTACCTGTTTCTAGTTAAAATAAATGTGTGCCCATGGGAGGTGTCCCATCCATTCTTGGTATTAAAAAAATGTGAATCCCTATGTCTAAGTATCAAACCCTGGACCACAATGAATTCATCAAGAGCTATGTACAGGGCCCTCTTGGACCATGGAGTCTTTCCTGGGTATTCATGCCTAAGGTAGGAAGTACCTAAGCCATGCATATCTTCCTTAATATTTGAAATATCAACAATTTCCCACGACTGGAAAGCCATATATGAAGGAGATGAGGCTAGAAATTTGGGTCACTAGGGATCCTGCCTGCTGCGTTACTAAGTTTAGATTACATCCTACAGAAAATGAGAATTACTATAAGATTTAAGTTTAGGCAAGTCATGATTAATTGGTGTTTAAGATGTACTTGTTAGATTGCTTTCAGAGGAATAACTGTTGAGAAACAAAGATTCTTGCTGGAAAGCCATAATGCCAACTTTGACTTTACACTCACTACATTCTAATAGATGAGTGAGTCTTTAATGTTTTCCTCTTGACAACATTTTTTGGATTGATGCCAGATTCCCGAAGGGCATTTCTGGATGGAAAGTTTTAAAGCAATAAAAATGTTCTCCAAGGACATAAGACTATTTTTAAAAGTTTTGAAAGTGGTACTAATATCAATATAGATGTTTATTGGAGACACAGGTAGAAAACAAGAAAAGCAAAGTAATATTTTTGAATATATTTTTCAATATTTTGTATTTCACAATTGGTGAGTTACGCTTAGTAGGCATTTTTTCCAGGTTGTATAAATAAGAAAATGTAACTAACATGTTATTCTCCCTTTATCCTGGTAATCATTTTTTCCCAACTTCTAATTTGGAGAAGCCAACCTCGCAAGTTTAGTTAATTTTATCTCTGTGTTTTGCCCCCACTTTTCCCTATTCTCCTACAATTGTCACTCACATGTCTTTTTTTCCATTTCCACAGGTACCACTTCAGCTTACCTCCCGATGCCTGAATTGTAACAAAAGCCTTCCAACAGTTTCCTTCTCTACATTTTCTCTCCTCTCTGGTATATTCCCAACACAGATGTCAGGATAACTTCCCTTATATAATTTTCATCACATTTTCTCTTTCAGATAAGAACCACCAGTTGCTTCCCACTGCCTGGTTTATCAGTGTGCGTTCACCATAATGTTTGTGGTAGGCCACTAATATATGACCTTGCTCCCAGACGACCAGGCCTCCAAATTTATAACTTAGTACAGTGTCTTCTAAAATATCTCCTCTTTTCGTAGAAGCCAGTTCTCTCTGATCAATCCCTTTATTTGGCCTGCTCGTTCTAGCTACCTATAATGCCTGCTTCTCAAGAGCCTTATAGAAATGTTTCTGGCTTTATCTCATACACCTCTGATCACTTCCGCAATCTGTCCGTGAAAATTCATTGCAATGTTCTCCTTGGAGTCCATACTCAATTATAGATGAGACACTTGCTAAGTGAATTTCTCTTTGATTTTGAATGAGAATAGACCCCACACACAGAATTCAATGCACAGTACATTATAAGATGAATTGACATCATCACTATCACGCAGTCCCAATGCATCCAAATGCCAACTCCACTGGGGGTAAAAAAAGAACAAAAAAACCCCCAAATAAACAAAAAACTAGGTCCTTCTAGTGTCATCCCAGAACTGAAACATGACCCTGTTATTGCATTTGTTAACTTGTTATATAGTCCTTGAGGCTAAAATTTACGCTGCAAGAAGAGTTTCTTCTTGTGTAGAGGATACAGCGCCACACAATAACAATGACTGACATTAGTAGGTTTTCAATAAATTAATCAATCCATCCAGTTAATAAGGAGTATACATTATGTGTCAGGTATTGTCTTATGTAAAGCAGATTTATCAGCGAACAAAGGAACTTAATTCTGGTGACTTGTTAGTTTCCTCCTAAAGGTTGAGCCTCCCTACTGTGAACATTTGAAATCCAAAACACCCTAAAATCTGAACCTTTTTGAACACTGACATGATGCCACAGTGGAAAATTCCACACCTGACTTCGTGATAGGCTGCAGTCAAAATGCAGGTGCACAACACACAGTTTATTCAGTGTCCTCAAGGGAAAAATACAGCTATCTTCAGGCTATGTGTATAAGGTGTATATGAAACATAAATGAATTTTGTGTTTAGATTTGGGTCCCATCCCTGAGATTTCTCATTATGTATATGCAAATATTCCAAAATCCAATTTTTAAAAAATCCCAAATCTGAAACGCTTCTGGTCCCAAGCATTTTGGTTCAGGGATACTCAAGTGTACTTATTGCTACTTATTTGTTCACTTGTTTTCTGAAATATTCTATGGCTATGACTGCATCTTATGCTTTTTTGATATTACTCCACAGAATGGGAGCTGTTTGCATACATGGTAGTCAGTGACTATTTGCTAAATAGTTGCATGGAATGTTAGAAACCTAATGACTTAGTAAAACTTATAAATAAGTGAGACTACTGCCCCCTAGCCTAAAATTCATTCCCTGCGCTCACTCAACATCATAGTTCTTTAGGAAGACAAGTTGTTCTATAGCATAAAGATACAACCTATTTAGATAGTCTAAAGATTCTCCTCTGTTTCTCAAATACAGTCAGTTATGCAGCTCAAAATGCCTCTCATTTTCCTGCTTTTTTTTCTTCTACTATTGTTGCCTCCAGGCTTTGCAGAAACACATGTTATTCTCCCCCTAAAATCTGTTCCTCTTCTAGTTTTCTCTCTGCCAGCAATGGCACCACACAGTCTTTTGGTTTTGCACCAGAGAATTAGAGATGAACCCCTCATCTCTAATCTATCACAAGTTTCCTCAGATTTAAACTCTCAAATCAAGATGTTTCTCACCATTTCCATTACTATTGTCCCCAGCTAATATTATATTCTTCCTGGGACTGGAATTAGTCTCCTAAATGGCCTCCCCATTTCCATTTTTCCCCCCAACTCTTCTCCACATTACTGAATTTTCCATTGAAAATACAAATTTGGCCAGGCACGGTGGCTCACACCTGTAATCCCAGCACTTTGGGAGGCCAACACGGGCAGATCACCTGAGGTCGGGAGTTCGAGACCAGCCTGACCAACGTGGAGAAACCCTGTCTCTACTAAAAATACAAAATTAGCCAGGCGTGGTGGCACATGCCTGTAATCCCAGCTACTAGGAAGGCTAAGGCAGGAGAATCGCTTGAACCCAGGAGGCGGAGGTTGTGGTGAGCCAAGATCGGGCCATTGTACTCCAGCCTGGACATCAAGAGCGAAACTCCGTCTTTAAAAAAAAAAAAAAGAAAAGAAAATACAAATCTGTCCATGTATTCCCAGCCTGCTTAAAACCCTGCAATCAGAGCTCTTAGAATAAAACTAAAATTTTTAACATGGTCCATTCTACCCATGGTAAGCAGAATTTTGGCCCCCAAAGATACCCATATCCCTGGAGCCATGTTATGCAAGGGGATATTAAGGTTGTGAATCAGTTGACCTCCAGATATGGCAATTTGTCCTGGATTACCGAGGATGACCTAATGTAATCAGGAAAATCCTTAAAAGTAGAAAAGAGAAGCAGAAGAGCCAGAGAAGGAGATGCAAGGACAGAAAAAAGATGAGACCTTGAAAGGAGAATTCAATCCATCTCATTTTCTCAATTTTCATCTCATTTATAAATTCTATAAAGTTAAGGGCTGCGTTTGCTTTTTTGCCTACCAATGTATCCATTGCAGACACTCAGTAAATAGTTTCTAAATGCATAAAGAAACTACTCCGGATAAGAACTCTTACATTTTTATCAGATAAATCACTGTATTACTTAAATATGCTTATCTTCTTTATAAAAACTGAATGGTGCCCCTAAAAAGAGACCAGGTCTTAAACCGTGAAACCTGTGAATGTTATCCTATCAGTAACATCTTTGCAGATGTGATTAAATTAAGGTCCTTGAAATGAGGTTATCCTGGATTATCCAGTTGGGCACCATATGTCATCCCAAGTGTCCTTATAAAAGAAAAAGAGAGAGAGATGAGACACAGAAAAGAACACAGTGTAACAAGAGAGGGGCGTATGTAGACGTGGCCACAAGTCAAGAAATGCCAGCAGTCACCAGATGCTGGAAGAGGCAAGAAAAGGGTTCTCCCTTAGGGTTTTCAGAGGGAGTCAGGTCCTGCTGACACTTTGATTTTGGCTCAGCAAAACTGACTTCAGACTTCTGGCCTCCAAAACCTACGACAGGATACATTTCTGTTCTTTTAAGCCAATATGTTTTTGATAATTTGTTACCACAGCCACAGGAACTAAACGAATACACTCTCCTTTGGATTTCTAATCATCTCTTTCCTTTCTGGAATGCCCTTCTT
Organism: Homo sapiens; assembly: GCF_000001405.40. Classification (NCBI taxonomy): domain Eukaryota; kingdom Metazoa; phylum Chordata; class Mammalia; order Primates; family Hominidae; genus Homo; species Homo sapiens. Next base: position 80,638,162 of record NC_000014.9, read on the forward strand.
CCTTCTCTTCATATTTCAATAAATGTTTACTAAATAAAGAACAATGAATGGCCAAATCGTATAGTTCCTCCAAGTGTCATTTCTTTCATAAAGCATTCTCTGAATACTTTAGGCCACGTAAAACTCTCCCATCTGTGTGCAAAGATAATACATGTTATATAATTTTGCAATCTGGGACTTGTAAACCCACTGGTATATTTTTCTTATTATCCCAAAGAAGCAATGCTGTGTTTAATTTTTCCTGGTGTCCCTCAAACTGTGCACGAAGCCCAATCTATGGGCACAGAGGACCTGGAATGCTCTTCCCCCGATGTGCGTAGGGCTCTGTAGTTCACTTCCTTCAGATGCTTGCTCCATTGTCAACTTATCAGAGAGGACTTTGCTGACCCCTCATCCCTCTACTTTCTTACCGTACTGTATTCTACTCTAGAACACTTTTCATACCACCTGATTTATTTTTTATATACGATGTCTTTTACCCTTCTACAATGAGACAGCGAATTCCAACACGGTAGGGGCAGTGACTAGCATATAGTAGGAATTCAGTAAATGTTTATTGGGTGAATCACTGAATATAAGGAAATGCCTAAATCTTTCTATTGCCATCAGTTGACTAAGTAGTCTGAACACAGGTCATTAAAATGGTAGCTCCTAACATTTCAAATACTATCTCTGAATTTGATCAAGACTCAGAATTTCAACTCCAGTAGCCCCTTTATTAGGTTTTAGAAGTCAATGACTCATTACGAAACCACTTAGGTTAAAAAAAGAAGTCTTTTTCTTTCATTTGGTTACAAGGAAGTATTGAAAGTTGAGATGAGAAGAATAAATTATGGAATGCAGCTCCCTGTCTAATATTTGCATTATTATGTTTCAGACATACATTGCTTAATACAATGTTAAGCAATAACAAATCAACGGTGGAGTGAACTAACTTAAAAAATGGTATTTAACCAAAAAAAATCTGTATTAATATTATATTCTTTATTCTATTTCCACAAATGAGATTCAAATTCATTTTACTTTCAAATAACTAAAATGTTTGATTGTGAAGCTATTATACAAAAATAATTCAGATAATCCTCATTCTAGCAGATACATACAAGATGTAGCTCAGAAGCTGAGTTCAGACAAAACAATTTTATGCAAAGGCTAACAAACATATGGGATAAGTTACCAAAAGAGAATTGCTGAAACAAGAAACACCAATATGTTCTACTGAGAACAAGGCGGGTATTTACATATGATCCAAATGAGGGGTGTGGAAGAAGAGTAAAATAAAAATTTAAGACCACTGGAATTCTCCCCAGCAATGTGTGCCTGAAGTAAACTCATTGTCTTTACTATAATTAAAAGACAATAAAGTATTCTATGACCTTCTTAAATATGTTTATTGTTGACATTTGTTAGATCCCTTATAATGAAATCTGTGGACCACCCAAATCCTGTTATTCTAATATAATTTGTCTAAAATTAACACATTATTGAAAATCATATTCTTAGTTTGTACATCTTAGAAACAGCTGATTACCCTCTTTCTGTGATGACTAGTCTTTACCTTGTGGGGTAAAAAAGAGAAATTGAGGAGATAATTCAAACTTCCCCACTCCTTTGAGCAGAACTATAATCTTAAATGGAGCAACAGTTTGTTTTGATGAAGGAGTAAGAAGGTTGACTAGCAATTATTTCATGCTGTCAAATTTGAAGAACAAACAACCAAGTTAAACGCAGTCTCTCCAAAAACAAAGGCAAATAACACATAATCAAATTCTTTCTTATAGAAAGTGACTTTTCCATGAACTGAGACCAAAGAAAGCACTCACTGAATGAAATTTATAGTAACCAGAATAACAAAGCATTGTCTCAAACTTTCATCCTCTGGAATATGGAAAAATTCTTATTATTTTACTTTGAAAGAATATTCAGTAATGGAACTTATTGTAAATGTGAAAGATCTCTCTGTGATTAGTTAGTTCAGCTAGCTAGATCAAAACACAAATAAGTCTGAATCAGGTATATAGGACACACTCTCATCTTTCTTTTCTAGCACATAAAATATGTCATTAGTGATAGGTAGGACCAAACCAGAGATAAAGGGAAAACTATTTTTTAATCCATCATCATTATTGCTAAAACAAACAAACAAAATAAAAAGTTCATGATCTATTAATAATGGGTGAATACTACTTCATTCAAATATTATTTTGACTGTCTCATTTTCTATTAATTCTTCAAGCTACTATAAAAGGGCTCTCATTTATTCTTAAAAGCACCATTTCCCTGCCAACTTCTGAGTCCAATGGACATTTTAAATTGCTTCCTAACTTGACCTGTCTGCTACACAGAATACTATGAACCATATCCTCAATTTTTCTATTTTTTCCACAGCAACATCCTCTCCTTTTACCTCTCCAATACCTCATTTCTCTATATGCTTTTCTGGTTCTACTTCTTTTACCATCCCCTTCAATGTGAATCCTCTCCAGGGTTCTATCTAAAACTCTCTTCTTATTCTAGACTTAACCTCTAAACAACAACAAATATGAAAACGGCTCTGACAAGTACCCATATAAAAAGAACTCCCAAATTGGCCCTCCCAAAAGAAACCACCCTTTTGCTGATTTTACGATCAAAATTCCAATAGTTTATTAGAAAACTTGGCCCACATATCTTAAGGGTACTTCAAAAACAGCATCTAAATCTAAACTTGTTATTGTCTTCTATTTTCCCAGAGATTGAAGAGCATGAGTTTTGAAGCCAGATAAATATCCAGCTCTGTCACCACCTAGTTACACAGCTTTAATTAATGCATTTACATTCCTTGAGAATTGCTTCCTAGCTACTTTGAAGGGCCATTATTATGAGAATTAAATTTGATTATATAATGGCCCTTCACAAACATGTTCCCGAGTTTAGTTTTCTCTTTTTTGTAGACCCTCTCCGAGGACCTTACAGTCATTCCAGAAATTTCTACTTCTCTCTGCATCCATAACCAATAGTAACACAATCTAAACCATTAACCATCTTCATATCTCCAGCATTTACCCCTTCTGTATAACTACTGCTCTCATTTTAGGTGGATGCCTCCTCATTCTCTAATGCAACTGCCCATGTATATCCCTGCTTCTAACTGAATCTTTAAACCACTCCTCTGAAATAAAAAATACTGTGACTTCTTGATGTTCAAGGGCTAATGTTTTATGTTCTTAACATAGGGCCAGCGTGCCCTTTCCACTTGGCCTCCACCTGCCTTTTCAAGTTTTATCAAGTACCAGTTTCCCTGGTACCATATGCTACAGTCACCAACTACTGATGTTGTATGGCCTGTGCCCTATCAAAGGTGCAGAACCTGTCTTTGCGCCTTTTTCCTAGAATCGGATACAGTGCCTGGTAGAAAGTATGCACAGAACAAATGCTTGTTGAATTAAAAGTTTCTACGGCTTAATACTGATTTTTAAAGTATTTATGGCTGCTGAAAGAGTGCTTTCTGAGACCTAATGTGAACGTAATATTAAAAGGTCAAAAAAGGATTTTTTTCTCCTTACTCAAGACTAATTATCCCAACAGTGAAAGAAAACTCTATTATAAGTAATTAAAATAGCCGTACCAGAACAGCTTAGTAATACAATTCAATTAAATTAAGCAATATATGTTAGGGACAGACAAAATATTATACAAAGAGAGAGAGAAGGCCAAGGCGGGTGGATCATGAGGTCAGGAGATCGAGACCATCCTGGCTAACGTGGTGAAACCCCATCTCTACTAAAAAATATAAAAAATTAGCTGGGCGTGGTGGCGGGCACCTGTAGTCCCAGCTACTCCGGAGGCTGAGGCAGAAGAATGATGTGAACCCGGGAGGCGGAGCTTGCAGTGAGCCAAGATAGTGCCACTGCACTCCAGCCTGGGCGACAGAGTGAGACTCCGTTTCAAAAAAAAAAAAGAAGAGAGAGACAGCCCTACCTTAAACATAAGCTACAAACTGCTGTGATTCCATCAGCCTACAGACATTTCAGCAGTAGTTACAGAGGGGACTGACAAGAAGCAGTTTGTCTGAAAGATGGAGGAGACACGTAGAAACACCTCATTCTAAGAAAAGAGGGGATCAAGTTTTGTCCATTAATAAAGCTTTAGCAATAACAAAAATGAATAATTCTTAGTAGAACATGGGATGTGTAATTAGGATTCATTGCCAGTCCAGAGATAAAGGAGAGATATCAGTGACTTAAGAATGAGAGAGACAAGGCTGGTGCTATGGCTCTCACCTGAAACCCCAGACTTTGAGAGGCCAATGCAGGAAGACTGCTTGAGGCCAGGAGTTCAGGACCAGCCTAGGTAACATAGTGAGACCCTGCTTCTATAAAAAATAAAAAGGCTAGCCAGGCATAGGGGTGCATGCTTGTGGTCCCAACTGTTTGGGAGGCTGAGGCAAGAGGACTGCTTGAGCCCAGAAAGTCAAGGTTGCAGTAAGCCTGGGCAACAGGTGAGACTCCATCTCTAAAACAAACAAACAAAGAAAAAGAGAGAGAGAGAGATTTAAAATAAACTTGTAAGAAATGTTTCATTAAAAGAATTAAAAAGTTATTAGAAAACTTGACCCCCTTTTTTTTTTTTTGAGACAGAGTCTTGCTCTGTCACCCAGGCTGGAATGCGGCGGCGCGACCTCAGCTCACTACAACCTCAGCCTCCCAGTTCAGGCAATTCTCCTGCCTCAGCCTCCCGAGTAGCTGGGACTACAGGCACGTGCCACCACGCCTGGCTAATTTTTTGTATTTTTAGTAGAAGCAGGGTTTCACCGTGTTAGCCAGGATGGTCTGGATCTCCTGACCTCGTGATCTGCCTGCCTCAGCCTCCCAAAGTGCTGGGATTACAGGCGTGAGCCACCGCGCCCGGCTGACCCACATATATTAAGGGTACCTCAAAAACAGCATCTAAATCTAAACTTGTTATCCACTATTATTTTCCCAAAGATCGAAGAGCATGAGTTCAAATCAATCCTCAATCTTTTTAAATCATCAGGAAAATCAAGTGGCAAAAAACAGTGCCTTAAAACCTAATTTAACTAGATAAACCCAAAGAATGCCATGTGGTTCCTTAAGTTTCTAATGCATCAGCAGTGGCACCAGTGAGGAGTACACAGCCCTGTGGGAGATGGTGGCCATGCCCATCAATAATGGAGGCCAGCGGCACCACAGCAGTCAGCAGGGACAGCTGGGAGGCCTCTGCAAATGTGGGGTGCAACACAACTAAGCAATGAGGCTTAAGAATTGTGGTGGCTGGCCGGGTGTGGTGGTTCACGCCTGTAATCCCAACACTTTGGGAGGTCAAGATGGGTGGATCATGAGGTCAGGAGATCAAGACCAGTCTGGCCAACAGGGTCATCTCTGCTAAAAATACAAAAATTAGTCGGGTGCAGCGGCGAGCACCTGTAATCCCAGCTACTCGGGAGGCTCAGGCCGGAGAATCACTTGAACCTGGGAAGCGAAGGTTACAGTGAGCTGAGATCACGCCACTGCACTCTAACCTGGGCATCAGAGCAAGACTCCATCTCAAAAAAATCGTGGTGGTACATGGAATACACACAGCAATATACAGCCAAAAAGGCATTGGTATCCAACAGAGGCAGCAAAGCCTGGTGGCAGAAATAAACATACTCCAAGCAAGGATCAGATAGTTCAGCTCACACTAAGTAAAAACAGTGACTAGTGAACTCCCAAATTTCATGTCTATCTGGAATCTCAAAATGGGACTTTATTTGGAGATAGCGTGAGTCAAGGATTTGAAGATGAAATCAGCCTAGATGTAGGGTGAGTCCTAATACAGGACTGGTGTCCTCACATGAGAAAAGAGAGAGATTTAGACGCAAAGACACAGACATACAGAGAAGAAGGCCATGTGAAGACAAAGGAAGAGAATAGAGTGCTGCAGCTGCAAGCCAAGTAACGCTAAAGATTGCCAGCCACCACCAAAAGCTGAGACAAAGAAGCACTCTTCCCTACAGCCTGCAGAGCAAGCATGGTCCTGCCAACACCTTGATTTCTGAGTTCTAGGCTCCAGAACTGTGAGAGAATAAATTTCTGTTGTTCTAAACCACTCCGTTTGTGGCGCTTTGTTATGGTAGCCCTGGGAAACTGACATACGATGTTTCTTTGCTAATTAGGCACCTGTCATATGCACATTGGAGATAAACGTTTAGGACTCCCCTAAAATACTTGCAGTGGCAGGAGAAAATACTGCTGAATAAGTAGGGCCTGCAAAAGCAAGGAAGGACACAAGCCAGTAAGACATGGGTGTTACACTATCAGGAGAAATATATTCCACTGAGATTTGTCTGCATTTTTCTTCTAATACTTGTTTCTGTTATTTCAAAAAGAAGATAGTGTTGATTTTCTCAGAAATTCCACTGATACAGAATAATGAGAAATCAAAACTCAAATATCAAAAAAGTGATTAGTAATAACCATCATTAATATTAGGCTTTTCTGTTAATATTCAATTCAATGCAACAACAAAATGCATATTAATATAACATTTTTCTTTTAAGGTAATAATTTAACTACTCTATATTTCTATAAAATTAAGTTCATTGGAAAGTAAAAGAATTTGAGTCATGACAACTGGCCTTAATGTTTAATGTGGATTAGTTAGATAATAAAGATACAAAAAAGGCACAATAGCATACACTGCTCATGTTATTTTAATGAAAAAGAACATATTCAACAATATGTTCTGAAATTACTAATTTGCATTTTCTAGGAAAATAATCCACTCTCATGGAACAAATGAATCATATCTCATTCAATAAAAATGAGAGAAAAATAGCACAGTTTTGAGGAAAGACTACAAACGTTGATAAATGAGACATACTTAATTCTATGTGACCTGGGCCAGATTATCAAAACATTCTGCATCCCAGATTTTTCATCAACAAGTTGAAAGGTCAAGTAGGTTCCTTTTGACTCTAACAAGTCATAACCACGTAAGCTAACTAAATATAATATATAATACTATTTTACCCACTATACAGTAAAACTGAAGAAATAGAAATATACTAAGGGTACATTGCCAAATGGTTTTACTTTTTAAAACAGTTTTCATTTCAAAACATAATCACATGTTTTCCATCCAATACATGTTACTGTTTATATTTGATGGAAATGTATTAAGGTATTATACCTGGTGTAGAAGAATGGCTCCTTTCTTCAAAAGGTTAATGTTCTAATAGGAGAAATCAGACTCAAAGTTAGCAGCATACATTAAGTCTAAGTGAATGGTAAAAATGAAGATAATTATTATATGGAGTAGGGAAGTATTACTACTTAATGTGTTATGACAATATTATATAAGATGCAGCATCTGAATAGGATACGTAAAATGGAAAGGAATTAAAATAAGCAAAAATCATGGCACCAAAAGCTGGTGAGGATGTGGAGCAAAAGGAACTCTCATTGACTGCTGGTAAAAATACAAGGTGATATAGGCATTTTGAAAGATAGTTTGTCAGTTTCTTACAAAATTAAACATATTTTTACCATACAATCCAGCAATCACACTCCTTGATATTTACCCAAATGAACTGAACATTTATGTCTACACAAAAATCTGCACATGAATGTTTACAGCAGCTTTATTCATAATTGCCCAAACTTGGAAGCAACCAAGGTGTCTTTCAGTAGGTGAGTGGATAAATACACTGTGGTAAATCCAGACAATGGAATATGATTCAGCACTAAAAGAATGAGCTATAAAGCCATGAAAAGACATAGAGAAAACTTAAGTGCATATTACTACGTGAAAGAAACTCATGTGAAAAAGGTACATTGTATGATATTTAGAAAAGGCAAAAGTATGGAGACGGTAAAAAGATCAGTGGTTGCCAGGAGTTAGTGGGGAAGGAGGGATAAATAGGTAGAGCTCACAGGATTTTTAGGGCAGTGAAACTATTCTGTAGAATATTACAATGGTAAATGCTTCATTACATATCTGTCAAAACCTACAGAACGTAAAACGCCAAGAATGAACCCTAATGTAAACTATGAACTTTGGATGATGTGTCAATATAGGTTTATCGATTGTAACTAATGTACCACTTTGGTGGGGGATACTGATAATGGGAGAGGCTGTGCTTGTGTGAAGGGAACTCTCTGTACCTTTCACTTAATTTTATTATGAATGCTCTGAAAAATGAAGTCATTTTTTTTTTTTTGAAAAAGCAAAGCTTAGTGGAACAACTTGGGAGAAAATGTATGCTAGGGAAATACAAAGCTATAAACAAAAGCATGGAGTTAGAAAAGGATCATAACTATTAAGGATTCAAGTGAAGGTCAGATTGGGCAAAACATGCAGTTCTGAATCAATAATATAATATATCTTTAATGAATAGTATGATAAATGATTTGCCTAAATCTGTATATACAACATGTATATGTACACAAACGTTATACATACTTACAAAATGAGATCATACTATACATTCAATACTACATACAATACATAACTTTTAAAAAATGTGAGTATCTACTCTTAGCATTAACTAATCCTTAATGTTATCGTTAAAAATGGATATACACAAATTTCCATTAAATATTTTCATGAATGTATTCAACAAACTTACTGAGTATCTACTGTGTCCAGGGATGCTTTAGATGCACCATAAATTATTTAGCACTCTTATTCTCTACTATGGCCAATTATGTTAATTTTACTTGATTATTATCATAAAACTGAAATGAACATTCAGATATATAAATCTTTCACACTTTAAAAAATGTGTTTTTCAAAGAGCAATTTTTTAGAAGTAGAATGCTAGGCCAAAAGGTGCTTTTATTTATAAGAAATATATATATATATATATGTGTGTGTATATATATGTGTGCATGTATATATATATATATATATATATATATATATATATATATATATATATATACACCCTTATAAATACACATACACACACACACACACACATACACACACACACACACACACACTGCATTCTAGAAACACTGTATGGAATGCTTAAGAATGCTTATGTCGCCACCTCTTACAAACACAATATATTATCACCTTAAAAAATTCCTGTGCCTAAGTTTCTTGCAATCTGCTTTTTTTCTACCTTTTCACTCCATTTTGCTGTTTTGTTCACTCAGCTTGTTTTCTCTATAAGACTTTCTAATCTCATTCTCTAATCCCTCTCATCTGAGGCCTTGCATTCTGTTCAGTACTTCAAATAGTCTAATAATTTTTTTTCTCAGAACCTTACGTACATACATGGTTTTGAAAGCTGTGCTTTTCCTCTGAGTTTTCAGGTAACAGCTTCTTTCCCTGAACCCTAATATTTTTAAAATAGACTCTATATTGACTTTTTTTCCTTCTTTCTTGATGTTTAAATAAGGCAATGACTATCAAGACTCAATAATCTAACTTTTGAGACCTACTGTTGCAATGGTCTCCAACAGGGGAGATTTGACAAGGTATGAAGACATTTCTGATTGTCACGACTGGGGAGGGGAGGTCGTCTGGTGAATAGCGACCAGGCATGTGGCTAAATAGCCTACAACGTGCAGTATAGCCCCACAAAAACAAGGAATTATACAGCTCAAAATATCAATGGTGCTGAGGCTGAAAAACTGTGTTAAAGGACTAGGTTAGTTGATATTCACTGCTTCACAGCGAATTCACAACACTTTGTCTGCATTAACACAATGCAGTTCTACTGGGGGAGATATTATGCCTGATCACACTGCTTGGTTCTTAGACCCTATAAATAAGCAGAGTATATGGAAAATTATATTTCCCAACTTCTTATTTTCCAAACTTAATTCCAAGGTTCTTCTAGGCTTTACTGTAGATAATATAGCTTAAAATAAGCACATTGTCATAACCAGTTCACCCCTTTGGTCCTGATGAATTATTTTCTAGAAATTATTGCTTATAAATTGACAGAGAAATAAGGCTATCTCAAAAATCAGCAGCAACTTTGTGGAATGAAAGCTTACCAGTGTAATGTTTTTTTCAGAACTTGGGTCTCTGAGTCAGGAGAGCAGTTGGAGTTTAAGCAAAAGTATCTTTCTACCTCTTTTCTGGGGATCTTTGATTAATGAAGTAAACCCTGATTTGATTTTCCTCAATTCAGTTTCACCTGCCTTATGGAATATCTATCAAGTGGCTTGACAGATATTTTGGTAGAATATTGAGAAAGGCTTCATTAGTGGCTGCAACTAATCTACAATTACAAATCATAGCCTAAACTATGGTTTTCAGTTATCAGTAATAATGAATGCATTTAACTAAACTATAATTAATATTATAACTAATATTACTAGCCCTCCTTTGGTATACTTCATTTCTTTATTAAATTAACTTCTACTCCAACCTTTCCCTAAAGGAGAACATAAGATGGGCAGATAAAAATAAAAATATACTAATAAAAAATAGCATTGATTTTAATTAATAAAGGAAGTCTGTAGAAGAATACCTACATATTTGTAAACTTCTGAAACTGTGAAGGATATAAGAGTGGTAAAAGTTCACCTGTTTATTCATTTTTTCATTCATTAATTCATTCATTCATCCAACTTTAAATTAATTAAACACTAGTTTAAAAAGCAAAGTGTACCAAACACTAATAAATCAGCATAAAATGGACACTATACTGCTTGCCTCTGTGACCTTATAATTTTTGTGGGGAAAAAAGGTAACACCTAATTTCAGCAACTAGGGAACAATGTTAAAGTAAAATATAAGCAGGTTTACAGTAAGGTATAGATAGTATCAACTGGGTTTCCCTCACAGATTGGAACTTCTAAAAAAGAATTAAAAGAATTTGAGATCAAAGGTGCCGAGGTAATCTAACTGATGTAAGAAATTACAAAATACTGACCTTAATTATATTAACCGCAACAAATAATGAGTAGAAAAGGTTAAGATTTATATAAACTTGTAGAAGAAGAGGCCTGGCAAGCAGGCAAGATGCTGCAGTTGTTTACTGAACATGAACAGGAGTGGGGAGAAGAAAATGTGGTGCGCTCCAAAAGCAAGCAAAAAGGACTGTGTTTCAAATTGGACCCTCCAATTTTATACCTTCGTCCTCTTCCCCACCCCTCCTTAACTTGTGGGTACACAAAGAAGTGCATGTGCTACATCTGTCTTCTGAGGTCGCTCACAATCTCACTTGTTAAAGAATGCCATATCTAGAAAGCATGAAAAAATTAGTTACCTAAAAAATGAAACCTGAAAAAAATTGATATTAATGCAATGGAGAAAATTGCTTGGTGAAAAGAATGCTGAGTGAATAAAAGAGAAAAAAGAGATTAAAAAAAGGACAAAAAGCAGGAGTCCCTGGAACAGCATTAAGAAACATGATGCCAGAGCATGACGTTCAGGTCACTTACATGGGGATTACTTGCAGGACTTGTTAAACAGCTGATTGATTCTATTGCACCACCTTGGAATAACAAACTCAGAATCTCTTAGGAATGGGGTAAAAAAAAGTCTGCATTTTAAGAAGTCCCCCAAATATTTTATTAACAGTTGGAAACCACTGGAATTGAGAATGGATCTAGTCCTGATGGAAAAGCAATTTTCTGAGGCCTCTGTTCTGGTCCATTGATCTATATATCTGTTTTGGTACCAGTACCATGCTGTTTTGGTTACTGTAGCCTTATAGTATAGTTTGAAGTCAGGTAGCGTGGTGCCTCCAGCTTTGTTCTTTTCGCTTAGGATTGTCTCGGCTATGTGGGCTCCTTTATGATTCCATATGAAATTTGAAGTAGTTTTTTCTAATTCTGTGAAGAGAGTCAATGGTAGCTGGATGGGGATAGCACTGAATCTATAAATTACTTTGGGCAGTATGGCCATTTTCATGATATTGATTCTTCCTATCCATGAGCATGGAATGTTTTTCCATTTGTTGGTGTCCTCTCTTATTTCCTTGAGCTGTGGTTTGTAGTTCTCCTTGAAGAGGTCCTTCACATCCCCTGTAAGTTGTATTCCTGGGTATTTTATTCTCTTTGCAGCAATTGTGAATGGGAGTTCACTCATGATCTGGCTCTCTGTTTGTCTATTATTGGTGTATAGGAATGCTTGTGCTTTTTGCAAATTGATTTTGTATCCTGAGACTTTGCTGAAGTTGCTTATCAGCTTAAGGAAAGTTTGGGCTGAGACGATGGGGTTTTCTTAATATACAATCATGTCATCTGCAAACAGAGACAAATTGACTTGCTTTCTTACTATTTGAATACCCTTTATTTCTTTCTCTTGCCGGATTACCGTGGCCAGAACTTCCAAAACTATGTTGAATACAAGTGGTGAGAAGAGGGCATCCTTGTCTTGTGCCAATTTTCAAAGGAAATGCTTCCAGTTTTTGCCCATTCAGTACGATATTGGCTGCGGGTGTGTCATAAATAGCTCTTATTATTTTGAGACATGTTCCATCAATACCTAGTTTATTGAGAGTTTTTAGCATGAAGCTGTGCTGAATTTTATCAAAGGCCTTTTCTGCATCTATTGAGGAAATTATGTGGATTTTGTCATTGGTTCTGTTTATGTGATGGATTACATTTATTGATTTGCATATATTGAATCAGCCTTTCATCCCAGGGATGAAGCCTGCTTGATCATGGTGGATAAGCTTTTTGATGTGCTGCTGGATTTAGTTTGCCAGTATTTTATTTAGGATTTTCTCATAGATGTTCATCAGGGATACTGGCCTGAAATTTTCTTTTTTTGTTGTGTCTCTGCCAGGTTTTGGTATCAGGATGATGCTGGCCTCATAAAATGAGTTAGGGAGGAGTCCTTCTTTTTCTATTGTTTGGAATAGTTTTACAAGGAATAGTACCAGCTCCTCTTTGTACCTCTGGTAGAATTCGGCTGTGAATCCACCTGGTCCTGGACTTTTTTTGGTTGGTAGGCTGTTAATTACTGCCTCAATTTGAGAATTTGTTATTGGTCTATTCAGGGATTCAACTTCTTCCTTTTAGAATTAGGAGGGTGTATATGTCCAGGAACTTTTCCATTTCTTCTAGATTTTCTAGTTTATTTGCATAGAAGTGTTTACAGTACTCTCTGATGGTAGTTTGTATTTCTGTGGGATCAGTGGTGATATCCCCTTTATCATTTTTTATTGCATCTATATGGTTCTTCTCTCTTTTCTTCTTTATTAATCTGGCTAGCAGTCTATCAATTTTGGTGATCTTTTCAAAAAACCAGCTCCTGGATTCACTGATTTTTTGAAGAGTTTTCCATGTCTCTATCTCCTTCAGTTCCACTCTGATCTTAGTTATTTCTTGTCTTCTGCTAGCTTTTGAATTTGTTTGCTCTTGTTTCTCTAGTTCTTTTAATTGTGATGTTAGGGTGTTGATTTTAGATCTTTCCAGCTTTCTCTTGTGGGCATTTAGTGCTATAAATTTCCCTCTAAACACTGCTTTAGCTGTGTCCCAGAGATTCTGGTACATCATGTCTTTGTTCTCATTGGTTTCAAATAACTTAATTATTTCTGCCTTAATTTAGTTATTTACCTAGTAGTCATTCAGGAGCAGGTTGTTCAGTTTCCATATAGTTGTGTTGTTTTGAGTGAGTTTCTTAATCCTGAGTTCTAATTTGATTGTACTGTGGTATGAGACACTGTTTGTTATGATTTCCATTCTTTTGCATTGGCTGAGGAGTGTCTTACTTCCAATTATGTGGTCAGTTTTAGAATAGGTGCAGTGTGGTGCTGAAAAGAATGTATATTCTACTGATTTGGGGTGGAGAGTTCTGTAGATATCTATTAGGTCTGCTTGGTCCAGAGCTGAGTTCAAGTCCTGAATATCCCTGTTAATTTTCTGTCTTGTTGATCTAATATTGACAGTGGGGTGTTAAAGTCTCCCACTATTATGGTGTGGGAGCCTGACCATCGGATCTTTGACAAAGCTGACAAAAACAAGCAACAGGGAAAGGATTCCCTGTTTAATAAATGGTGGTGGGAGAATTGGCTAGCCATACGCAGAAAACTGAAACTGGACCCCTTCCTTACACCCTATAAAAAAATTAAATCAGGCTGGATTAAAGACCTAAATGTAAGACCTAAAACCATAAAAATCCTAGAAGAAAACCTAGGCAATACCATTCAGGACACAGGCATGGGCAAAGACTTCATGACTAAAATACCAAAAGCAATGGCAACAAAAGCCAAAATTGACAAATGGGATCTAATTTAACTAAAGAGCTTCTGCACAGCAAAAGAAACTATCATCAGAGTGAACAGGCAACCTACAGAATAAGAGAACAATTTTTGTAATCTATCCATCTGACAAAGGGCTAATACCCAGAATCTACAAGCAACTTAAATAAATTTACAAGAAAAAAACAACCCCATCAAAAAGTGGGCAAAGGATATGAACAGACACTTCTCAAAAGAAGACGTTTATGCAGCCAACAAACATGAAAAAAAGCTAATCATCACAGGTCATTAGAGAAATGTAAATCAATACCACAGTGAGATACCATCTCACACCAGGTAGAATGTCAATCATTAAAAAGTCAGGAAACAACAGATGCTGGAGAGGATGTGGAGAAATAGAAATGCTTTTACAATGTTGGTGGGAGTGTAAATTTATTCAACCATTGTGGAAGACAGTGTGGTGATTCCTCAAGGATCTAGAATTAGAAATACCATTTGACCCAGCAATCCCATTACTGGGTATAAACCCAAAGGATTATAAATCATTCTACTATAAAGACACACGCACACGTATGTTTATTGCAGCACTGTTCATAACAGCAAAGACTTGGAACCAACCCTAATGCCCATTAATGATAGACTGGATTAGCAAAACGTGGCACATATACACCATGGAATACTATGCAGCCATAAAAAAGAGGAGTTCATGTCCTTTGCAGAAACATGCATGAAGCTGGAAACCATCATTCTCAGCAAACTAACACAAGAACAGAAAACCTAACATCACATGTTCTCACTCATAAGTGGGAGTTGAACAATGAGAACACATGGACACAAGGGGAACATCACACACCAGGGCCTGTCGGGAGGTGGGTGGTAAGGGAGGGATAGCATTAGGAGAAATACCTAATGTAGATGACGGGTTGATGGGTGCAGCAAATCACCATGGCACGTTTATACCTATGTAACAAACCTGCACATTCTACACATGCACCCCAGAACTTAAAGTTTAATAATAAAAAAAAAAGTTGGAAGGTAGCAGAGGTCAGTTGATGAGATTTCAGAAAAGAAGTGGTCTCTATAATACAAAAATGCAAGGTGAAGATCAAGTACCAATTGAGAATCTGCAGCAAGTTATCCAGAAGATCTAGCTAAGATAAGTGATAAGGGTGGCTACACTAAACAGATTTTCTATACAGGCATATAGCCTTATGTTGAAAGAAGATGCCATCTAGGACTTTCATAGCTAGAAAGGAGAAGTCGATGCTTGTCTTCAGAGTTTTAAAGGACAGGCTATCTTGAGAGGGGCTAATGCAGTTGGTGACTTTAAGTTGAAGCCAGTGCTTATTTTCCATTACAAAAATTATCGGGCCCTTAAGAATTATGCTAAATCTCCTCCGTCCATGTCTATAAATTAAAAAACAAACAAAAAAAGCAATTTTCCAAATCTCATCTAAAGAGTGTTTCAAATTGTGAGATGTGACCCATTAGGATCATTATATCAATTTAGTGTGTTCAGAAAGTTTCTTCATTTTGTAATGAAACAGAACAGTGAATATAGTACTAAAAGATTATATCCTGGCATTAAGGAAACTATTGTTTCATGAAACTTTTGGGTCAGTCATAAATATGTGTGCAGTGTGTGTGTATCCATTGCTACTCACATGTACTAGATAATGACGTATAATGTATTTCTTATAGAAGGTCATGGTCAAAAAAATGTGAAAGCCCCTGCTTTATAGAACATGAATGAACATTCATGGGCAGTAGGAGGCTTGAGGAATTCAGTTTTGACCTCAGGAGGAAGAGATAGGCATTTGTGACTCGTGAATCCCTGCTGGGTGTTATATAGTCTTGCCATGACAAACCAGAAAGTGTCATATTATATGTGACTTGATAGCTTATAAAATCCACTGGCTGGTACTTATTATTTCTGATTCATGTGGCCACGAAGAATACAGTCAGGAAAAAATGGAATATATCTATAGTGACTCTGAAGACCAAGATAGGAAGATGAAGGGCTTGGGAGATACAGTTTTTATTTTGTCGTTTAGCTGAAATTCAGGACATTTAAACAGAGAGGGGGATATGGGAAGTAAAGAACTAGCTACACAGATGATATAGGACAAGAACGACTTAGTTTTCTGAACCAAGGATACAAAGCCAAAATGGATTTCTGGCAGGGAAAAGAAATTTTCTCATCAATCTTGAAAGAGTAAGTAGCGCTTGATGGTCCTACTTCCTTCACTTATTCAATTCCTGTAGTTTGGCTTGAAATGGTGTCTCCAATATCATTAGTGACCTAACTGCCAAGTGCAATGTCCTTTCTTTTTTCTTAATCTTCATCTTTAATGTTCTTGAAGTATTTTATAAAAACATTTTCTCTTTTCTTGTTCAAACTCCTTTTTGCCTTTTTCTCTTTCTACTCCCCTCCTCCACTTGTTGGCTTCTTTTTTCCTGCTTTCATTCATTCCTACTATGTGAATTAACTCAAATCTCTAATCTTCATCTAAATCTTCATGGGCTTTAACACGTCCTTTAGAGGCTACAACTGCTCTTCCAGACTTCAGTGTCACAGTGTAGCCACTGTTCTAATTGTTCTGAGAATGGAACTGGTATAAACAATCATGCACCTGACACCAAATCATGTATTTTCTCCAAGTATCATAACTCTCAGTCACCGTTTACATGTCTCTTTTTTTCTCTCACCCTCTTTAGTTAGATGCCAATTCCTTTTAATTCTTTGTTCACGTTGGCTCACATCCAATCCCTTAGGTAATGTAATGTTTCTACCCCTCTTTAAGCTCTTATTGTTTCATATTTCATATCTAGACTCTGACTGTCAAACCCAGGCAGTGGAATGGAGGATACAAGACATTATACAGTGGAATTCAGGAATAAAATATTAAAACTTCCTTATTTATATCTCCATCCCTATCTATTTATATCTATCCATCCAATCTCTTCATGTTGCTGCCAGAGTGACCTTACTAAAATATAAATTTGCTATTGTCACACCCTATGTACATCCATTAATTATGTCTTTTATGGTAATGTGCAGAATCCTTAGCTACATGAATTCATAATCTGGTTACTTTTCTCCACTAATAGCCTAGCCAATCATCTTGTGCCATTCTCTATAAGCACATGTATTCCTGTATAATTCTCCTACTCTCTTCCTCTCTGTCCCCTTTCTTTGTCTGCCTAGCATCCTCTTTAGGGGATCCAGTGGGTGAGTATATGACCCAGGCCTTGCCATTCAGAGAACAACCACCTCTGGCCAGAGTGATTGGTTCCCAGGAAGACAGCTGACTGAAGCTGAGTTAAGGAGAAGTATCCAGGTGACTTCTGTTACAAATTCAGGAAAGAGGCACCTACCCTTTGGGATTGTTTCGCTGGTAGAAAGATAGATGGGTGCTGGTGGTGGTTATCTTTGCCACTACTTGGGAGGAATCTGTCTGAGGAAACACAAAAGAAAATGGAAAAGAGATAAAGCCAGATCCCTGTTTAAAAACCTCTGCTGGCCTTTTGAGTTACACGAGCCAAAGGAAGTAAAGGAAGTCCTTTTTTTGTTTGTTTTGTTTTGTTTTTTGTTTTGCCTCATTTAGGATAGTTTGAGTTTATCTTCTTTTTATTGCAACTAAAAGTGACCTACTAATAAGACCTACTCTAGGAAGGCTTTGCTGACCTTCTAGTCAGCTTTACTAAACATCCTTCCATGTTGCATATTGTTGCTCCTCCACTCCCAGCATTCTGGATCTGGTCACAGAGATAGATGAAAACTGTCCTATCAAAAGCCTATCAAACAACAGAGGAAAAACTGTACATCTTTGGCAAAGTCCAAAGTTAATTTTCTATAAGGATGTTCTCCATCAAATTTAATGAGTTACATAGAAGAAAAAAAGGTCAATTGAAAGTGAAGGATCCTCAAGTATTTCTCAATAAACCTAAGTTTTTATTTATATATATATTTATATATATATATATATATATATATATATATATATATATATATATATATAGCAATAAAAAAAAAACAACTAATTCAAGCGACAGCCCCCCTGCTTTCAACATTCTTCTTCCTATAGCTTGAGTTACAGGTTGCTTTAGGCCAACTTCACTGAAAGCAAGGGCATGCCACCAGCATAGAATATGAGAGCCGTGAGTAAAAACAATTAGGACTGAAAAGATTGAACTCCGTTTTGTTTTCTCCACCTGAAAAGTTTATACCCCTCTTAACTATGGTGTTAATTGGAAATTAAATGTAGAAAGTTCTAAGTTGCCTCTGGAGAATATTAAATTTAGCTCTAGTCTATCTAAATCTAATGAGAAGTTTGTGAATAAGCATTCTTAAAACAAAATCAAAAGAAGACCAAATATAAATTTACCATTCTATGAGCAAGAAACAGAACAGAATCAATATTTTTGATTAGTTACTAAATTTCCCTCCTCTGGTCATCACCTGAAATCCAAGATCACAGTTTTTGCTGGTTGTGGGTACAACTAAGTCACCTGTACAGACCTTTCTTATCCTGGCCTAACCCTAATATGATATAAACAGAGCGAACCAGATATACTAACAGAATATTTAGTCAGGTTTGACTAGTTGGAAGTCCATTCATTTTCTTAAATTGCACTTTAAAAAATGGTGGCATGGTGGCCGGGCACGGTGACTCATCACTATAATCCCAGCACTTTGGGAAGCCAAGGTGGGTGGATCACGAAGTCAGGTGTTCAAGACCAGCCTGGCCAAGATGGTGAAACCCCGTCACTACTAAAAATACAAAAATTAGCCATGCATGGTGGTGGGTGCCTGTAATCCCAGCTACTTGGGAGGCTGAGGCAGGGAACTGCTTGAACTGGGGAGGCAAAAGTTGCAGTGAGCCGAGATTACGCCACTGCGCTCCAGCCTGGGCAATAGAGCCAGACTCTATCTCAAAAAAAAAAATTTAAAAAAAATGGTGGCTTGTCATTTTTCCTAAAAGGAAGTAATCTATTTTGGCCTCATATTTAGTCACCACTAATAAATGGAGATTAAAACTTCTCAGGGGGCTGAGCACGGTGGCTCACGCTTGTAATCCCAGCCCTTTGGGAGGCCAAGGTGGGCAGATCACCTAAGGTCAGGAGTTCCAGACACCCTGGTCAACATGGCGAAACTCTGTCTCTACTAAAAATACAAAAATTAGCCAGAAGTGGTGGTGCGCGCCTGTAATCCCAGGTACTCGGGAGGATGAGTCAGGAAAATCGCTTGAACCCAGGAGTAAGAGGTCATGGCGAGCAGAAATCACACCACTGCACTCCAGCCTGGGCAACAGAGTGAGACTCTGTCTCAAAAACAAAAACAGAAACCACCTCTCAGGGGGATAACATAAAGAAGTAGCTGTATTTAGTGTGTGATTTCTACATGTAATTCCCATTAATACTAGAGAACAAATGTGTAAAAAGCTTTATAGAAGGAAGAGAGGAGAAAATTTTTGAAAGTTTTTACTAAGGCAACCCAAGATCAATTTTGAACAAGAAAAAGAAATCCTTTGTAACCAAAAAGACTAACAAGGTAACATGTACTGATGTTAGCAGGATACTAAAATGTACCTTTAAAAACCTTTTTTGAAGGCAAGAACTCTTACGTAAACCAAGTTTAAATTCAAGGCTCCATTGAATATCTATTCTACCTCGGTGACAGCGTTAAAAAAAAGTATAAATAGTAACAGGAGACCTGTGTTACTGTTTATAGTTTTTTTCTAATGCTATCACCACAGTAAAGTACTTTAGATTGATAATTTAGATCTTCCAGAAACATGAAAAAAATTAAGAGTTAATTGGTTTTTAATTCACCTAGTACAAGTTTTAAAAAGGTAATTTGTCATTTCTGATCTGACATCGCTTATGGGCATGGCAACTATGGAAGGATTATGGTAGGGGATATAGAAAATGATAGGGAGAGGAAATTGGTTTTGAGTCTCCTTAGATTGTACATCAACATTCTTTTGTTGCTGTTGTTTTCAGGCTTTACTGCCCTATTCACATTTATGCTTGTCAGCAAATTTCCCTTGGCTACATTCAAAAGGCAGCTGTTCATCCACACTCCTCAATGAATAAATATATCAAAGCCAATTCTTGGCCTGGGGACATGATCTGATTTCTAGAAGAGTTGCCAGCTTCCTTCTTTTAAGAGACTCAGTATATCACTTGGACCCCAGCAGCTTACATACTTATTTATTTTTGAGTTAACTATTACTATATTCCAAAAACAATACTACAAAAGTAGGGTAATCAATGTTGAGATGCCAAGGCTCAAATAAACAAGTAATGCAATTAGTTAACATCTTAAAATAAGAATGATGCAGATTCCTTCCTAAAAGTTTATAACAGGTACAATAAATGTGGTACCTTTATGAGAAGAAGTCCGGTTGATCAAGAATTTGAAACAGGCACAAGCAACTAGCAGAACCTGTCTCATGAGGTCCATCAGTGCTATTTTGAGAAGGGAACACCATGGACAAAATCACATTAGCTACGAAGCTTTTCTACCACCCTAGATGAACAGTTAGCTCTCACAGCAATGCTTAAAGTTACATAATGAGACTGCTGACAGGGGACAGGGAGCAACCAGACTGCACAATGCAACTTTTGTTTCAATGTTAACTGACCCACATGAGCAGAAAGTATAATAAACATGGCCTGTGACTACTAGAGGAAACAAATTTAGAGACATGTTTAGAAAGACAGTAGAAAGAGTATTGTGACAAGTGGTAAAATGTTTTCAAAGGACAAAGTTATTGAAAAATCTAACTTCCCATCAAGGAAGTGGCAAACCTTTTACCAGAAAATAAAATTTGCTAATTAAGATAAAATTGTAAGGTACAAATAGGTCATAGTTCAGTTGGAGAAGAACATTCTAGAGAGAAAAGTGGCAAGATTTGGTAATAATTTTTTCCTACAGCAGGAAAGGGGTCAAAAAAAAATACAGTTTCTAAAATGGCCCTCTCTGTCTCAAAATAATTTATCTTAACATGCATTAAAATTCATCCTTATTACCTGCTTAAAGGTCTGGGTTTCCAATTGAAGTGTATGCTTCCTGAGTACATGGAGCTTGGCACATAACAAGGGCACCATATATATTTGTTAAATGAATAAAGACACGCATGCATTGGTATGCAAGTAGAAAAATCACAGCATTAATGCCATCATTTATGGCTTTCCTTCACTTAACATGCCTTACTGATATCTATAACTCCGTGGTCTACTCAGTTGAGAGTTCGCCCACTTTAAAAGTTTGAAGTTATTACACCAACTAAAATGAAAAGCACTTACTAATCCAAACAATTATGGTATTACTATAAAACCTTAACAATGCATTTATATTTTAACCAATAGCAGAGGCCAGTACCAATCGGTTACAGTGAAAACTAGTGACTCAGGTGTGTACTATTAGCAGCATTTGCTTTTTAAGAATTTCTGTAAAACAATTCTAAATAATGATGACACTCAATTTCCAAGTCAGATGTGCAATTATATGACATACCACCCATACTTACAATTTCTCAATTATCATGACGGATTTTGTCTACCCATGCCCCCTTATCAGGGGGTTTGGGAGGTCTTTTACTGAAGTACAACCCTAGACTTTCCTGGAATCCAAGTTCATTTAACTGAAATGTTCTCAGAACTGAACAGTATGTGGTAAAGCCTGTGTTGACCAGGGATTGCAGATCTGATGGCATGTGGTAAATGCTTACAAATGGATAGGGAGGTCTTCTGTGTACGCAAAGGTATTAACATTGAATTAGCTAGGTTATACCATCATAAGTTTATTTTATCCCCTCTTCCTTTCTTTACCCATATACTCTAAATCTCTCAAAGACAGAACAGAACCTGACTTTGAGATATGAAAAGATTTAAATAACAGGACAGAGCTCACTGCACTTCAAACACGTCACTGTATTTTGTCTCTGTAAAATTTAAAGCCTTCAGCTTCTACATATTACATGAATTAACATGTCAGTGTATATGTTAAAATATTTTTTGCTTATTGTATTATGAGTTCTGAGATATAAATGCCATAGGTGATATCAATCTTGAGAAAGCCGTGCCATTTTCTACATGAGACACTTGCCAATGATAAAAAATATAAAGTTAGATCTCTTATCAGATCTTACAACTGCAGTGATAAATCTGGAAGAGTTTATAACTAATATAAATACAGCCTACATCATATTTGGGTATAGACAGACGCATGCTAAACAGCAACTCAAAAGAACTACCAGATCATTACCTTGTTGAGTGAAAAGCTTCAATGACAACATTGATTACATATGATTTTCAGGTACTATGCTAAGCACAGCCAATTCTCACAATAGTCTTATAAGGTATTGAAAGTTATTTTCCATGTTTTATGCATGAGAGGAAACTGAGGGTTAGAAATGTTACTAATATGTAACATTCTCAAAGTCACATAGCAAGTGCTACACTGATTTGGCTATCTTAGCCATTTGGCTATCCTGTCTCTTCAGCACATTCTTCCTACACATACACCCTGAGACATTCAGCAATATTTTATCTACACTACCAATTTTACTCCAAAAAAATTCTACTCAATAGCATTAGCCGAGTCACTGCTTTGTCATAAAAACAAAATTCATATTCTTATCTACTGCCTTACACAGGTCTTTCCACAGACCCTTCAACACATGTAGCAGAGGAATCCCATAAAAGCCAATACAGTGCTACATAGTAACCCAGCGTCACTGAAGACGTCATTGCTGAATAAAAGTTCATTTGCTTGAAGCTGGGCGTGGCTACTCAATGAAATAGAAATATGGGATTAAGCAATGGAACTAGTAAGCTTTCCGAAAGGAATAGTTTAAAATAAAACGTGCTCCCCCCCACAGAAAAATCAACAGCATCCATCTTTCCTCCTCTTCTGCTCCATTTTCAACAATGCCATGGCATTATTTGAATGTTTAAAACTAAAAAAATCTACTGGTTTGTTGTACTATTAATTTCATTGCTGGATCACCCCTAGATCTTAAAGCCATCATCAATATACTTCAAGAGTACTTTAAAGATACAGGAGGTCCTGGCAACCACAGTGGAAGCAGGAAGTTGCTCTTAGGTAATGAATCTTTTTAACTGGAGATACAGTTCTGATTGCGATAGAGCCTAAACTGAAGTCTCCCTCTTAAGAATAAAAACAACAAAAATAGTGGAAATTGTTTTCAACGAGAATATTTGTATAGCTAAGATGTCAAATTATTTGTAAGAACTTCAGATGCACATTTTACCTGTATACAATATAAATAAACTGTGAATACAGGTTAGCACTGCCCTTTATACAAATATTCTGAAATTATAATTCTTATCTTTTCATTAAAGCAGGTTTTTGCTAGGCAGTTGGACTTCAAATAAATATATGTATTAAGCAATATAAGTACTTTTTCCTAGAGTGCTTTATACTTTATAATTCAAAATTTTCATTAATGTTGCCTCTCAACTTCAATTAATGAGATTTAAAAAATGATCAGAATAACCGACAAAATATGAATGCAAAGTGTCTTGTGGAGGGTGAATAAAATTGCTTAATGGACTGAAAAACATCAATTGCTTAATTATACAGAATACATTGAGCTGAAACAATATCACTCAGTTTCTATTAAATCTTCCATCAGCAGAGATAGAAGCTTCCTGGCTGCTTGGAGAAACATTTTTTCCAGATCTAGGAAGACTACATGATTTTCAGATACGAGCAACATGATCTCAGCTGAATGCGTGGGAAACATAGCACTGAGAAAATTTCAAATGACCCTGTATCAGAGTACATTTGTTGAAACACTGATGAAAAATGGGTATGTACATCATTTGTGAGCACAAAAATATTTAGGAAAGTTAGTCTAATTAGTTTATGCCATGAAAAGTGGCTGATTTACATGTTTTATAGTGGCAAATCTGCTTGTTTCTGTTTAGAATAGAAAATATTAAGCACACTTTTAAACCTTTAACTTTAAAGTCTAAAATTGAGTTTATGCCTAAGAAATAACATTGCAGTCTCTAGAGACAGTAATTTACTATCCTTCTTAATTATTGGCTAACTACAATTTTTTAAAATCAACTATGTTTGAAGAATTATTACTCACTGTGACCCTAGTTTTTGCAAGAGTGAAGACAGACTATCAAAGCCAATCTCTACCTTGTTCACTCAACAATATAAGCCATGTATCCAGCCTTTAATTTGACAGTGTGCAGTTAAATAGAGGATTTGCAACACTGCAAATCAAGAAAAATGGAAAATAAAGAGTTGTCTATGTAACTATATTCTGTAGCTTATAATATAATGATTATTTTTCCATACATAATAATTAGATGGCAGACAATGGGATAACATATCTTTTTTAAAACTGAAGGAGGAAAAATAACACATTAGACATGCTCCTTGTGGTAAAAGTAATCTCATGTAGGTCTTAAGGACCACATTAATATTAGTACCAGCACTTTACAATAGAACTTTCTGCAATGATAGAAATGTCCTATATCTGAGCTGTCAAATACAAGAATCATTAAACAAATGTAGCTACCAAGTACCTGAAATGTGGCCAGTGCAACTGAGGCACTGAAATTTTCATTTTATTTAACAAATAGTCACTCGTGGCCAGTTGCTTGTATACTGGAAAAGCAGTTCTAAACTTCTTTTTGTACCATCCTTGACAATGACAGTGTTGAATAATTCTATCACTGTATTATGTTTTGTTACAGTAATAAACAACCCCAATGTGTAATTAGAAATTATTTTTCACCATGCTCCTTGCAGTCTTCACTACAGGCCCCGGGCTGAGAGAGCAGGCTCTCTAGGATATTGTCAGCCTCATGTCAGAGGCAAAGAAAAGAGAAACTGCAGGCTGCAACTGGCTTTAAACATTTCTGTTTAAAGGTAATTCATGTCATGTCCACAAATATTTTATTGGTTAAAACTAGCATGACCTCTCTTGATTTCAATAGGATGGAGGCTAATGTCACATAGCAAAACTGATGTCAACGGGACCAGGCAATATGATCCACCTCCAGGGAGAAGTAGCAAAAGTTTTCAAAACAGTACAATCTACCATAAGAATAAAATTTTGATTTCAGTCAATGAACATATGTTTTGCTTCAAACTGTTTGCCAGATAGGATATAAAATGACCCTAGATCTGATAATTTGCTATTTTCCAGCCACCTTCCGATAATAATAATAACCACAATGATATCAATCACAATAAAAACAGCAGTAACAGAAATTAGAAGAGGAACAATAGCACTAGCACTGACTGAGCCTCTTCTCTGTGCGAGGCACTACCAAAGATGTTATACATAGACTATTGCACTGAATTCTCACAACTCCATGAGGTTGGCATCGTTTCCCTAACCCCCCTACAAGGGAGGAAGCTGAGGCTCAGGCCTGCAGCCAGAGAGCTAGGAAACTGCAGAGCCCAATTATAATCACAGATGGTTCACATAGGATTGGCCTCAAGTCTTGTTCTTGTCCCACAATACAGCACTGGTACCCCAATGCCTGGCATCAGGGTTGCTCTTTATTAATTGTTATACCAGTATTTAGAGGCAGCTCCAGTGCCAAATTTATCTGCTAACTCTTACCCTAAACTGCCCACCGCCTACATCTCTACAATTCCAAAATTCTCAGCAGCCCCCAATATAAATATCACCCATATCTGCCCCTGGCAGAAAGATACTAAATCAATTTTCTCACCACCTTTCTTGGAAAATGTGCACTTCTAGGGCTCATTTGCCACCTCACATTGCGGTTCAGCCTAGAATATGGGTTGACATTAATTATGGACAATAATCTAGGTAATACCTAAAAATCAGAAATAGGAGACGCCCTCTGATCTAGATGTCCTAAAAAAGATGGTGAGGGCCTCAAGAAAAGAAAAGAAGGCCTCAAGGCCTTCTGGCAGCGGGTGTCAGAAGCAATAGACAGAGTTCAGGTCAAACTCAACCCTTTGCAGGGCTTGAAAACAACCAAACTCACAGATTCTAAGGAAACCAGTGCATCAGAGAGTTTAGCAAATTAGCTATTTTAACAGTGAGCAAGCTGAGAAAGAGCTATCAGAGGGACATAGCCAGCAAGCTGATATTCTGGCTAAAAAAGAGGTCACAAAGCAGAGACAGAATATGAGGGCAAAAAAAAAAAATACTGTATTAATTATTGACCACATAGGACCCTGTGCTGAACAACTACTTACAATAGCTCTAAGAGGTTGACATTATTTATCTCCATTTTGCAAATGAGGAAACTGTGGCCATGGAAGGATAAATTGATTGTCCTGGTCACAAAGTGGTAGAGAAAGGATTCAATCAAAGCTAGGTCTATCTGACTTCAGGAATGAATGCTTGACTATACTCCATCACTTGACTACAGTGTGACTGCAGGATATCTCAGTATATCTTAACATTATCAGTGACTCACCCAAACCTTAAAGGAGGTTTACTTTAACAACCGGAAACCAATGAGCAAACACTTCTGCCAGAAGCAAAGTTCTAAAACCTGAGAACAGAGTGAAAATCTACAATCCTACAATGGATTTGCTCTAATAGCGTAAACTTTACAAAAAGTCAACTCAAAGTAGATTTTAGGTCACTTTAGATCATATCCTGCCACAACAGGATATCCTACTGATCTTTACAAATGCTTGAGTTGACTCCTTTCAACTTTAATTATTAAACATTCTATGTGGAAATAAAGAAAATTTGAATTTCTGATCCAGAATGCTGATTCTAAGAATTATTTAGGTGTCAAGTGCTTGAAGAAATTTGTCCCCATTTTAACGTGTCATATAGAATACACCTACATTGTGCAAGTAGATTGGGAGCAGTGCTGCTTTACATGACTAGGGGCCAGTGGGGTATGTGAAACCTGGCCATAATTTAGAACAGATACACAAGAATTTCCCGATAGCACCAATAGTCAAAACTACCAATATGAGACCCCCTAGGCTAAAGCAAAACAAAATCTAATTAATTGGTGATGGCTAAGAGACATGGAAGTTAATTAACTTGGGAGAAAAGGCATAAGGCAGAGACTGAAAGGGAAAAGAGGAATGCTGGATTTAATTGACTATCCCAGCTTCAGCTCTAACCTCTTTATTGTCAGGCACTTTGGCTTGTGATAGAGGTACAATCAAACTCATGCTACCACACATACATTTTTAGCCTTATGTGGCAAGCAGCAAAAGTAAAAGTTTCAAACTCCATATAAAGAAAAAGGGGATAATTCACAGGTTAAACATGATGAAAACATGGTAGTAAAGCCGTCTTCCAAATGACCTGAATCACTGTCTAAACAACTGCTCTTTATTCCCTAATCTCTCGGGGAGAAATTTATAGAGACAGGCAGATATAGAAAGATCCTTTTCTGAAAAAAAAATTGTTTTAATTAAGTGGGAGAATTGAATCAAGATGGCTAAGAAAATGCACATTTCTCTGCTTCAGGTCTAAACTCAAAAAATGACAGTTGTGAAATGAAATAAGTTAAAAAAAAATACAGCTACACCAGCACTAGAAACCAGAAAGGATGCCATAAAATGACCAAAGTGTGAAAGATTATTACAACTTTCAAAGCAGATGGAATTATGGAGAAAGAAGGGAGGAGTAAACACTATCCAAAAGAGAGAAGAGAAAATTACCTTTGAGGTATGAGTAATTCCAGGGCTTTTCCAATTGCAAAGTCAAAGAGTTATTTAAAAATCAGGAGAGGACAACCACCAGGGTAGTTAATTTTACAACTCTATTAAGCTGGTTCAATCAAGTTTAGTTAAAATGAGCTGCAGAGGGATGTTATGTGGCCCCAGGATAAACCTCTAAGGAATCCTTTTAAATAAAACAATAGTATGAAAAGAATAAAGAAGGACAAGCATAGATTAGATATCCAAATTCTGCTGACACTGGAAGAAGAAACAAAGATAGGGAAGTGCCTGACTCTAGCCTATGGGCCAGGACAAAGCCTGAAGCTGCCTTGTGCGAATTGGAGTTCTAACACCAGAGAAACACACTTTCTATGAAACAAAATAAGGCAGGCCTTCCTAATGTCTGCCCTTTAAGAAGTAGGAAAGGACTTGATTCCCAGGAAATCAACAACACTCACAGGCCTCTGGTCATGGGCCCCTTCCCCAGTCAGAACCAGTATTTCTTGAAGAATTATCACATCATATTCTGAAATACACATCAAACAGAAATCCAAAAATGATGAGTCAACTTGGGACAAAAACACCATCACTCATTCATTGATTCTACAGATGTCTGTTGAGAGCCTACTGCATAAATAATGGAAACTTTCTTTGTAAGATGTTAGGGATATTGCAATGAACAAAGTACTGTCCTCACAAAGCATATATTCAAGTAGGAAAAGAGAGAGACAAAAAAAAAAAAAAAGACCAAACGCATAAAAACAATAAACCATGAGTCCAAGGAGAAAACTAAAGCAGGGTAAGAGGGATAGAAAGTAACAAATGACGAAGAACAAAATTAACTTCACAAAAGACGGAAGAGGAGAAATAAAATAGAAAAAAGTAAGCACTAATAAACTTCCAATCAGAATGGCATAGTAAGTTCAGGCTTTGACTGTCCGTCTTTGTTTCAAAAACACACCAAGAATAAGTACTATATAAAAACAAGAAGCCAGAAAGCCACTTCCAGGACCCCAAACAAAGCAAACATCTGCATGAACACAAACCCTCACAGACCTCCAAAGATGAGCATGGCAGGACCTGCTTGGTTCCAGATTCTGACGCAGTGGACAGGGCTTTCAGCTCCCACAAGATATGGAGACCCAAAATGCTCATTCCAGTAGAGAAAGGGACACAGGACCTTTGGTTAAAGCCAGGAGCTTCAGGTAAGGGTACAGACATTAGAAGGCAGGCTGATGAAAAATGCTGCCTGAGACCATGAGGCTGACTGAAGCTGAAAGGCAGCTACACACCTTAAAAATGCGAGCAACAGTGTGGCCGAGGGGCTTAATAATTGGATGTGAATCCAGCAAATAAATTCTCCAAAGAAAGCCAGAGTCAACTATAAAAAATGATTTAGAAATGTGGGATAGAAGTAACTATAAAACTGTTAGGGAGTGGGGAATCCAGAGTAAGAAGGTGAAAACCCAATAGCAATAACTAAACAATAAAAATGAGTTTTTGAACCCAAATTCTAAAATAAAATTTTAAAAATGCTAAAAAGTCAGCCAACAAATCAATACTCAGAAATGAATTTCCTCGAGGCCGGGTGCGGTGGCTCACGCCTGTAATCCCAGCACTTTGGGAGGCCAAGGCAGGCGGATCACGAGGTCAGGAGATCAAGACCATCCTGGCTAACACGGTGAAACCCCGTCTCTACTAAAAATACAAAAAATTAGCTGGGTGTGGTGGTGGGTGCCTGTAGTCCCAGCTACTCGGGAGGCTGAGGCAGGAGAATGGCATGAACCCGGGAGGCAGAGCTTACAGTGAGCCTAGATTGCGCCACTGCACTCCAGCCTGGGCAACAGAGCGAGACTCCATCTCAAAAAAAAAAAAAAAAAGGAAATGAATTTCCTTCAAATTAAAATGAATTTTATATGGTGCTATGACAAAGACTTTTAAAAATAGTATCCCGCCCAAAGTACTGATAATGATAATGACACTGATGATGAAAACAACAGTGATGCTGATGATGGTGTCATTCCTGATGATAATAGTAAACAGTATTTAAAAACTTACTATGTGCCCAACATTATTCTAAGCATTTTACGTGAAGTAACACACTTATTCCTTGCACAATCCCCACAACAGTCTGTGAGGTAAATGTTTAAATGAGTCTGATTCTATCACTGAGGAAACAAAGGCACAGTCAAGTTAAATAATAGTCTAAAGAAACACAGCTGCTATGTGAAGAGCTGGAATTCAAACCTAGGCAGGATTCCACCAGAGCCTGTAAATTTATCTCTCTGAAAGAAGAAAGAAAATTTGCTAAACATTTTGAAAGAATAAGAAATTGTAAAACACAGAGGCATATATAAAACAAAAAATTTTTTGGATAAAAGAGAAATATTAGAAAATGAAATAGAAAACTATTGAAATAAAAATAAAATATGTGTCACAAATTCTTGGCTGAAGAGTAAATTACAGAATTAGAAAATGACAAGGTTGGGGGATTCATTTTGAATATAGAACAGAAAAGAGAGATTGTTAAAAATAACATGAAACATCAATTATGTCACATGAAGAATAGATTGAGAGGTCCCAATAATTGTACATTAGGAGTCCCTGAGGAAGAGAATAAAGGAAATGCTTGACACAATACAGGATGAAATAATGGATGAGAATTTTAAAAATTACAGAAAATTTTGAGTTCTCAGATCCCAAGCTGGCCTGAAATAGAAGATGGGTGATATGGTTTGGCTGTGTCCCCACCCAAAACTCATCTTGAATTTTAGCTCCCATAATTCCCACATGTCATGGGAGGGACCCGTGGGAGGTAATTGAATCATAGGGGTGAGCCTTTCCTGTGCTGTTCTCATGATAATGAATAAGTCTCACAAGATGATGGTTTTATAAAAGGAAGTTCCCCTGCACAAGCTCTCTTGCCTGCCACCATGTAAGACATGCCTTCATCCTTCCTGTTCTACCATGATTGTGAGGCCTCCCCAGCCATGCAGAGCTGTGAGTCAATTAAACCTCTTTTCTTTATAAATTACCCAGTCTAAGGTATGACTTTATTAGCAGCATGAGAACAGACCAATATCCTGGGAAAATTGGATATCCATATGCAAAAGAGTGAAACGGTATGGAGATTTCTCAAATAACTCATCTGTCTCACCACATACAAAAATTAACTCAAGATGGATCAAAGACTTAAATGTAAGACCTGAAAATAAAAATACTAGAAGAAAATCTAGGGAAAACTCTTCTGGACATGGGTCTAGGCAAAGAATTCATGACTAAAACCTCAAAAGTATAAACAACAAAAACAAAAATAGACAAATGGGACTTAATTTATAAGCTTCTGTACAGCATAAGAAAAATCAAAATAGTAAGTAGACAACCTGCAGAATGGGAGAAAATACCTGTAAACTATGCATCTGACAAGGGACTGATTGCCAGATTTACATGAAAGTCAAACAGCTCAACAGAAGAAAAAAAAACAGAAATAACCTCATTAAAAGGGGGCAATGGACATGAATACAGTTTTTAAAAGAAGACATACAAATGGCCAACAAGCATATGAGAAAATGTTCAACAGCACTAATAATCAGAGAATGCAAATTAAAACCACAATAACATACCATCTTACAGTAGTCAGTACGGCTATTATTAAAAAGTCAAAAAATAGCAATGTTGGCAAGGATGTGGAGAAAAAGGAGCTTTTGGTAGGAATGTAATGTAGTACAATCTCTATGAAAAACGGTATGGAGATTTCTAAAAGAACTAAAAATAAGTATACCATTTGATCCAGCAATTCCATGAGTAGGTATCTATCTGTATGCCATTCTTGCATGGCTACAAAGAAACACCTGAGACTGGATATTTCATAAGAAAAGAGGTTTAACTGGCTCACAGTTCTGCAGGCTGTACAGGAAGTATAGTTCTGCAGGCTATACAGGCATCTGCTTCTGGGGAGGCCTCAGGAAGCTTCTAATCATGACATAAGGTGAAGGGGGAGCTGGCACATTCATGCCAAAAGCAGGAGCAAGAGAGAGGAGGGGAGATGCCACATATTTTGAAACCATCAGATCTGGTAAGAACTCACTGACTATCATGAGGATGGCATCAACAGGATGGCACTAAACCATTCATGAGAAATCCACCCCCATGATACAATCACCTCCTACCAGGACTCGCCTCAAACACTGGGGATTACATTTCAACATGAGATTTAAGCAGGGCAAATATCGAAACTATATTACTATCCAAAAGAATCATTATATAAAAAAGATACCTTTACTCATGTGTTTAATTGCTGCACTATTCACAATAGCAAAGATGTGGATTCAACCTGTATCCATCAATGGATGATTGAATAAAGACACAGTGATCTGTCTGTCTGTCTGTCTACCTACTTGCCTATCTACCTACCTACCTATTTATATACATACACACAGGAATACTACTCTGCCATAAAGAAAAATGAAATCATGTCTTTTGCAGAAACATGGATGGAATGGGAGGCCATTATCTTAAGTGAAATAACTCAGAAACAAAAAGTCAAATACTACATGTTCTCACTTGTAAGTGGGAGCTAAATAATGTGTACACATGGACATAGAGTGTGGAATAATAGATACTGGAGATTAGAAATAGTGTGAGGGGGGTGAGAGATGAGAAATTACTTAATGGATACAATTGTGTATTATTTGGGTGATGGTAACACTAAAGACCCAGAGTCCACTACAGATTATACAGCCATGTAAGAAAACTGTACTTATAAATTTACGTACATTTTAAATTTACATAAATTTACATAAATTTTAAAAAGAAATAAAAATAAATGTTGAATCTATTTTAGTACACAAAAAAGGAAAAATGAAATAAGTCATGGAATGTAAGAAATGGAGGATTTTTTATCAGTGAGAGAGATTTTACACATACTTTGTATTCTTTATATAAATTTGATTCAATAGTACTAATTGTTACCTTGATCTGTAAGAAAAGTATCACATTCACTTGTTTTTCTTTCTTTCTTTTAACTTCTGCTAAACCAGAGAATCCTTACTTAAATCAAATGGTCATCAGGGGAATGAGTACAGTCATTTGGTGAGTCTCTAGGATGTTGTAGATAAGTAGATCAAACAGAGATCCAGAAAGAATGCAGGGACATGCTATAGATAAGGACCTTCAGCATTTTGTCAGATGGTAAGTTATCAGACATAACACATTAAAAGCTAGAAAGCTAAACATTTCCACTAAATAAATAAAAGCAAATAGATTTATTAAAGGCAGCCTATTAAATTGATTAAGTCTTTTTGAAATAAATACAGGGAATAAGGCTGACAGGTTACCTCTTTATAGTTAAAAGGCCTTGGATTGTAGGTAAGATACTAGTGGTGTCAGACAATTTATGTTCTCTGACAGACTTCCTCATCAGTTATACATGTGTCATCATTAATAAAAATATCACAAGACAGACATCTAGGGAAGAGTATCAGGCTAAGATCAATTCAGTCATTCTCAAACCTTGTCTCATATCAAACCATCACATAACATAAACTCATAGACTCTTCTATTCTTTATAAACAATTAAAAGTTAAAATCTCTTTTCTCTGTCAAGGACAAGCCATGGGGAATGAACAGAAATAAACAGGCAATCTACTAATAACAGACACAAAAAATGTAGATATGTGTACAATTCAAACTGAAATTCACCACTCTTTTTGCAAGCTGGGTAAATTGGATGCTTTCCTTTAATGAGCCATGGAGAAAGACTGATTGATTACAGAGGATGTTGCTTTATGGTTTACTGTTCACAATTCACTGATCTCCTTATTGTATTGTCTATATATAGTAAACTGTTTTCTCCTTCTTGGGTTTTTTGTGTATGGGGGGGTGGGGGGTAGTGGGGAACGTAGAGGGGACAGGTGGGGTAGAATTTTATGTCTTCAAAATTATCCTCACATATCAAAACTGACAGGCCTCTGAAGTTTAAAAGCACCTTTCACAATTCCAATTCGGTAAAAGCAAAAACAGAGATTTACACCAAAGAGATGACACATATAAATTCTGACCTTGAAGACTGGGGCCTGCCAATTATAAATTACAGGTTTCTAGGCCTATTTTTCTTGCAATATCAATAGGACATAAAAGCTAGCTACTGGATGTAAAGTAAACAAATCTATACAATTCATTACAAATAAAAAAACTCAAGCAAGCTGGGCAAAAATATTTTTAGAAAGTCTTCACAAGAAGCATAGAAGTCTTCTCTTGTTTCTCTCTGAAATTTACATTATCATTAAACAAATTTTGAGATACCTAATAAGCCAAAAAAAAAAAAGGTGAACTGAAAGTGAACAGAAAAATGTCTTTTTTAAAAAAAAAATCACAGAATTGCTGATGCTATATTCAGTATATTAAAATACTAGTTGAAATAATCTAATTTCTATAAAATGCAGCCAAAAAGTTAACCAATCAACAAACAAAAGCAACATAGCTAAGTCTGTTCAGGTAGAATATTCAGTTACAATGTGCATGTGTGCATGTGTGTGTAGGAACGGAAGCCATAATAATTTTGACCCAAATATATCTTAAAGTTTTGATGTTTTTAACACTTTTCTAGGTCCCTTGATTTTCACTGTCAACTACAGACACATATTCATGCCTATTAAATAAAGACACATATACATATGGTTTATTGTCCCATTTCTTTGAAAATTTCTTTGACTTCTAAATGAGTTGGTTAGGTTTGTTTCATCAGAACAGCCTGTGCTTTCTAAATAACAAATATTTATTTTCTAATTTAAAACTACTATAGCATCTGGGGATAATAATATATTTACATAAAAAATAAGCAAAAGTCAAAAGATAATAGTTTTAAGCATAATCATCCCATTAAAATTTGTGAAATTGAATTAAGTAAAAATTGTCAATGACAATTTAATTCCAATCTTTTTATAAAAATAATTTATTCTCAAACTTAAGGTTTCAAACTTTTGTCTCTAAGATTTCCAACGTTAAGGAAAGTACGTGATGGTTAGAAATCACCTTAGAAAAGACAAGTAAACATTTATGTATAGTAAGACCTATATAACAGTACTTTCTCATATTTAGAGAGCTTTCTTCCCTGAAATGTATTTTAGGACCATTAGTAACAATAACAGGAAAATTTATAGTCTTAGCAAAAATGAGAAGATTTACATAATTGTAAAGCATTTTAAAACAATTCCATTCTGAAATCATAAAATACGTCTTTGCGGTATTTGTTTGCACTATTACAGCAAGCCACAGTATTTATTAAAAGAAATATATTATCATTTCTTGCCTCAGTAAAACTATTGTTTCATTAGAGTTGATGAGCATTTTTAAAATGCACTAAAGCAGGCCGGGCGCGGTGGCTCACGCCTGTAATCCCAGCACTTTGGGAGGCCGAGGCGGGCGGATCACGAGGTCAGGAGATCGAGACCATCCCGGCTAAAACGGTGAAACCCCGTCTCTACTAAAAATACAAAAAAAAATTAGCCGGGCGTAGTGGCGGGCGCCTGTAGTCCCAGCTACTTGGGAGGCTGAGGCAGGAGAATGGCGTGAACCCGGGAGGCGGAGCTTGCAGTGAGCCGAGATCCCGCCACTGCACTCCAGCCTGGGCGACAGAGCGAGACTCCGTCTCAAAAAAAAAAAAAAAAAAAAAAAAAATGTACTAAAGCAAAGGGATCTCACATTCGGAAACGTAAAACCGCTTACAACCTATAATCCTGGTCTACCTTTGGTTTTCTTGAAGGAGATATGAACGCCTTTTCTTTTCTCTTTCTCTCTCTCTCTTTTTTTTTTAGCATCAGAATGCTACAAAGATAAGCTTTCATAAAGTCCCAACAATTAATTAATTCAAGAATACGCTATCTTCACTGCAGAAATAATAAATAATGGATTTTGAATCATTGGTCCTTTATAGGAAATTGTACCTCTGATTGGCAAATTTTGAAGCAGCTCAGCAGAGAAAATAAACAAAAAGAAATAGGCTTCTGAGAAAAAGGCCAATCACCTTTCGTTTCTTAGACAAAAGAATTTTTCAGAGTTTCTTGCATAATAATTCATAGTTTTTTTTTTTCATTTGGGAAAATGCACATATTTTTGGTACAGAAAACTGGTAATCAGCAAAGTTTTAATCTGAATAACCGGGTTCCAATGTTGGCTTTGACAAACATCAATTATGTGATCTCTGAACCCAAGGAGATAACAACAAAATAAAGGACAATTTAAAGGATTACTAACAGCAATGGACACCATGCTTAGAGTACAATAAGCAGTCCATGAATAATGTTAATATAATAAATATTCCTGCAAGTATTCACTACCATCATCATTCTTATTATAGAGATTTTAGAGATCACATTATTATAATGCTTTTCCATTTCTGCTTACTAACAAGTGATCCTTCAGTGTTCAAACTCTGTGACATATCCTGTGATTTCTGCAAAACATATTATGAGGTTCTGAACATATTCAAGGTCAAATGCAAAACATATTTTAAAACAGGTAAGAGAAAATGTGTAAGGGATTAATTTTCTTCTCCTTATAAGAACATTTCTTTATTAAGTTTTAGAAAACCTCTCTAAAGTCTTAAATGAAGAAAAATGTGCCTCAAAAATATGTTTATATACACATATATATGCATATGTATATATGTATGTATAACAGTACATGTGTTAATGAAATAGAAAAAAGACAACATTTCAGCCCATCTAACTTGTTTTTACTTTATTTACACCATATATACCGCCATGGAACTAACTTCTATTACAGAGAAGACATTAAGGTAAAACAGTTACAAATGGCTTAACCACTAGAGATCTTAATTCATATTTTTCTCTATAAAATAACCCATACATCTTGCTCCAATGCATAAATGCAGCATACAGCTACATTCCATTAAAACCACCTGGATAAACTTATAGGGATCCTACTCTCTATAGCACATTACTTGCATCTTGTTTAAAGTAAGGACCTGTTTCAAGGGTCTAATGGAAATTCTATTCTTATGTAAATAAACTATTAAGAATAGCCATTTTGCTTTAATTGCACAATCACCTCGTCCTTTTTAACCTCTCCTATTCCCACACATGAACCTTTTAATTTCAATCATTCATTCTTGATTTCTCTTTTACAGAAAATGTCAAACATATACAAAAGTAGACAATATAATATAAGGCCTTGCTATTCAAAGTGTGTTGATGTACATTTGAGTTCTTTTCTGATTTTTGTTATTATCAATGTTGATTCTAAGAATATTCTTGTACATACCACTGTTAGACACATGCAACAGATTTTCTTGGGTAAAAACGTAAAAGTAGTATTACTGGAACATACAGTATGTGAGTATTCAACTTTATAAGATGTTTTTTAAGAGAAGTCACAAAAATTTACGCTACGCCAATTCATGAAACCCTGGTGATCCATAACGCTTCAAACACTTGATGCTATAAGATTTAAATCTATACTAACTTGGTGTAAAAATGGGATTTTATTGAATTACTAACTTGAGATTATGTCACATTTCTTCCTAAGATTATTGGGTCTATGGGTCTTCTATGAAATGTCTTTAGCTCATTTTTGATTGAATTTTCATCTTATTGATTTGTAGGAATTCATTTGTTCTTGATAATAATCATAAGTAGGTTATATTTTAGAATTAATATCTGTAATTGGTCTCTTTGCTTTTTTGTTTTTGAAACACATTTTGATGAACAGAAATATTTAATTTTAAGATAGTCAAATCTTTCCATGAGTGAGGCATACTTTTAAATATTTTCCCATATGGATAAAATTTTTCCCTACCCACTTACTGAATAGCCCCTCTATTCCCCCCTCAATGTTCAATGGAAATTGTTATATTTCAGGCTTTTACATCTATTCCTGTGTTGCCAGGATTGTTACTGAATTGTTCATCCATGAACCAATGCCACACTAGTCTTGATAACTAAAACTTCACAAACAGCCATGACATTTATTAGCATGAAATGCTATCTTTGTTCACTTCAGAATTTCTCTAGGCTACTTGTTAATCTACACATTCCTAAATATTTTAGAACCAGTGTCAAGTTCTATAATAAGTGTTGCTGGTATTTTTATTAGAAATTTGTATCACTGCATCTATAGGCTCATTTTCAAAGAGCTGAACATCTCTATGATACACAGTCCTTCTATTCATAAACACAAGGTAGATCACCCTTTATTTACTTTATATTTAAAGTATTTTAAATATTTCAGTAAAGTTTTGTGTAGGTACACATTACACATCTTTTGGTAAATACCTTCCATGGTACTTTATCATGTTTTCCTTTCTGAAGATGGAATCTTTAAACTTACGTTTCCTAATTGTCTACTGCTGGTGAACATGTTTTATTGATTTTATATATTGAGTTTTACATTCAGAAACTTGCTGACTTTCATTATTTCTATTAATTTGTGATTTTTTTTAAAAAAAAAATAATCAGATCATCTCCAAAGCAGGCAGTTTTATTTCCTCCATCCCAATGTTTATACCATAAATATCTTCATCTTAGTTTATTGCACTAGCTGGCAGCTAAGACTAGTGTATGGTTGAATAAAAGTGGTGATAATGAGTACAGTTCCTCAGTTCCTTTTACTTAATTTTTTAAATGCTAGTATCCTTCTATTTAAAAGGATGTTTCAAAGATTTTTTTCCCACAGATATATCACATTTAAAAATTCCCTTAATTTATTAAGATTTTTTGTAACACGAATTTGTGTTGGAATTAATCAGATGTTTTATGCAATTATTACCATAATCATGTGCTGTTTCTCACTTAATTAATTAATGTGGTAAATAACATCAGTTTTCTGATATTAAAATATATTTGCAGATCTGGGACAAAGCCAACCTGACCATTTTATATGATTTTTATACAATATTAGATATTTACATTTATGATTGTGAATGAAATGAGCCTAAAATGCTCACTTCTTGTACTCCTTTTCTGATTTTGGTATCAGAATTATATTGGCCTCACATTTAGACTATGGGGAGCAAAACTGAAAAAGCATTACATCTAATGGAAGGCTTTTAAATAAATGCAGTAGATCTATCATCCCATGATGTATAAAAAGTTTACTTCAATATTTCTTCAAACTTGGAGTGTATGTGTAAGGAGGGGAGTACATGCACGTTTCCATCTGCTTCTTGTCTTCATAACCTGTGTCTTATCTACAGATATATTACAGGTAAAAAGGCCAGGCGTGGTGGCTGACACCTGTAATCCCAGCACTTTGAGAGGCTGAGGTGGGCAGATCACCTGAGGTCGTTAGGAGTTCAAGACCAGCCTGGCCAACATGGTGAAATGCCGTATCTGCTAAAAAACAAAATTAGCCAGGTGTGGTGGTGACTGCCTGTGGTGCCAACCTACTCAGGAGGCTGAGGCAGGAGAATCACTTGAACAAAGTAGGTGGAGGTGGCAGTGAGCCCAGATGGCGCCACTGCACTCCAGCCTGGGCGACACAGCAAGACTCCGTCTCAAAAAAAAAAAAAAAAAAATTAGAAAACTCTTCTCCCACCCAGGTGGTTTTAATAGAATATAGTAAAGTTTAGTGGAAAATATCCAATAAAGAGTGAAAGACAAGTAATGCTACTTAGTTAAAAAAAAAATCACTTAAGGAAGTTGTGAGTTAAAAAGTCATCACCTAGAGTTGGTGAAATGTATAACTTATGGAAGTGTGTTTCAGCCTAGTGAAAAGGGACTGATCTAGAAATAAATTAAAAGAAAAACATAGCAATATTATTTATCTTATAATAAAGCCAAAAAACCTTAATTGTAATTGGAGTATTAGATTGGCATTAAAACAAGACATTTAGGACTGTGTGCATAAAAAAAGTATGAATGTTGAAAAACATGTTTAAGAGACATCTTTCACATGTTTTTGAATTATAGTCCTGAGTATAGAAAACCACAATAAACCAATTTATGCTTTTCAGACTTTCTTGGCTTAAGAAAAGGTTATTTATCAATTCCTATCCAACCTCTACTTTCAACATGGACAGTTGCTCTATAAAAAAAAAATATATATATATATGTATATATATATATGCTCAAGGAAACATGACACAGTAGCTGAAGTTAGGAAGAACTGCCCATCTGTTATGCGTGAATTCCTGAAGGTAAGCTGAGAGCCCTCATTTCAATTAAAATGAAATGGAACCACATGTATACAGTAGATCCAAACTTTCTATTACTTTTTTCTTACATGTAGCCATTGGGGATAGTCCAAATCTCACTGAAAAAGAAATTCAAAAGCTACCTTAATATAAAAGATCATCTATCAAAAATATCAAACACAGCTTGACATTGCTTAATCTAAAATGTTCTCACTCCATTCCAAAAAAAAAAAAAGGACCCTAAATCTGTATCAGAATAAACAATTACTTGTTTGGTTTTCTCCCCCCACAAAATGGCAGATTAGAGGCTTTTAGCATGCCTTGGCCACTTGGAAACAGCAACGTAGTGCATAAAGATCAACTATGTGCGCTTTAATTCCAGAAGGAAAATGGGAATCCGCTGGAATCCTAAAGGATACCCCAGATCCAGGGGAGAAGAATGCAGACAAACAGCCCCTGTGACTCAAACAGCTGGTAACAGTGAATGAAGTGCCAATACATGAAGAGCTTCCCTCTGTGACTCATCTTTCCACTGGGGTCAATGGAGAGCACTTTGTTTCTCCCAAGCCCTGGAGTTAACATGGTGAGAGGCTTAAAGACACTGAGAGGGAAAGACACCTGGAAAAGCTGCAGGCATTTTCCAAGACTCAGGACCAAGAGCACAATGCAATTTTTAATTTGGGTCCATGTTGTGGGAAGTCAGGGACCCCGAACAGAGGGACTGGCTGGAACCGTGGCAGAGGAACATAAATTGTGAAGATTTCATTTTAATATGGACATATATCAGTTCCCAAAATTAATACTTTTATAATTTCTTACACCTGTCTTTACTGCCATCTCTGAACATAAATTGTGAAGATTTCATTTTAATATGGACATTTATCACTTTCCAAATAATACTCTTATAATTTCTTACACCTGCCTTATTTTAATCTCTTAATCCTGTTATCTTCATAAGCTGAGGATATATGTCACCTCAGGACCACTGTGATAATTGTATCTAACTGTACAAATTGATTGTAGAACATGTGTGTTTGAACAATATGAAATCAGTGCACCTTGAAAATGAACAGAATAACAGCGATTTTAGGGAACAAGGGAAGACAACCATAAGGTCTGACTGCCTGCGGGGTCAGGCAGAATAGAGCCACATTTTTCTTCTTGCAGAGCGCCTATAAACAGACATGCAAGTAGGGAAGATATCGCTAAATTCTTTTCCCAGCAAGGAATATTAATATTTAATACCCTGGGGAAGGAATGCATTCCTGGGGGAAGGTCTATAAACAGCTGCTCTGGGAGTGACTGTCTTACGTGGCTGAGATAAGGACTGAAATACGCCCTGGTCTCCCACAGTACCCTCAGGCTTACTAGGGTGGGGAAAAATCCCACCCTGGAGAATTTGAGGTCAGACTGGCTCTCTGCTCTCAAACCCTGTTTCCTGTTAAGATGCTTATCAAGGCAATACATGCACAGCTAAACATAGACCCTTATCAGGAGTTTTTGATTTTGCCTTTTACCTTATGATCTTTGCCTTGCCCTTTGCCTTGTGACTTTATTGGCCTCAGAAGCATGTGATCTTTGTTCTCCTTTTTGCCCTTTGAAGCAGGTGATCTTTGTGAACTACTCCCTGTTTACACCCCCTCCCCTTTTGAAGTCCTTAATAAAAACCTGCTGGTTTTGCAGCTCAGGTGGGCAACACAGTCCTACCAATATGTGATGTCACCCCCGGAGGCCCAGCTGTAAAATTCATCTCTTTGTACTCTTTCTCTTTATTTCTCAGCTAGCCGACACTTAGGGAAAATAGAAAGAACCTACGTTGAAATATTGGGGGTGGGTTCCCCCGATAGGTCCATACAAAGTCAGCCAGTCTGTGTGGCAGCGTAGTTGCGCATGCATTTTAGTCTTGAGCCAGAGATTGGAGTGCCTGCTCTGGAGCTAGGTGGGAGCCTTCACAGGGAGAACAGAAGTGTGGAAAGTGCCTCAGTAGCAAGCGCTGGAATTCGGCTCTCCCCTGCAGCAGGCTTAGGGGTGGGATGAGAGCTGCTACAGCTGTGGTTTCTCCTAGGTGACCAGACTTGCAGGCAGAGCCAGCTTGGGGACCTGGAACTAATCTGCATGTGCCATTGCTAGGTGCCCAAGTATGCTCCCCTCAGATCATGGTAAAGTGATCCACCCTGAAGCAGAAAGCCAGGTATTTGGAGCACCCACTTGCCTAGACCAGCATCCCACCCTTCGTGGATATAGATCCTGGTGAGCACGGCCCTCTGCGCTCCATGCCCAGGAAGATCTCCAGGTATTCAGAGTACTCGCTCACCTGGTTCAGCAGCCAGTGCAGCCCCATCCTTCCTGGACATATATTGTAGTATATGAAGACCCTCTCTGCTCCACACGCAGACAAATATCCAGGCATTTCGAGCACCCATTCACCAGGATTAGCAGCTTGAACTGTCCTACCCACACTGTGCAGAAATTGTGGTATAGTAGGACCCTCTGCAGTCCATACCCACATGTATCTCCAAGAATCTGAAGGATGTACTCTCCTAGATTAGAAGTGTAGGCCACCCATCAACACCCCATCACCATGCAGAGAAATTGGGGCTGAGGTTTCCCAGCTTTAACACTAGGCACACCTCTAGTTGCTTGGTGACCAGACACTGG
The DNA here is from genome assembly GCF_000001405.40 of Homo sapiens. NCBI lineage: Eukaryota > Metazoa > Chordata > Mammalia > Primates > Hominidae > Homo > Homo sapiens. The sequence goes on from NC_000014.9 coordinate 80,680,804, forward strand.
ATTCTCTCCTAGCACTGGTGCTTGTGTTTACCATTGGGGGACCTGTATGCAGGCCTACCCAGTGTGGCTCTGTCAATCATGCCCAACAACCCCCACCAGTGCTGAGCAGAGAGCTCAGACCACTGTGCACCCCACGGATCAGCCCATTGCCTGAGACAATAGAGACCCTCTCCCAATAAACAAGAATCAAGTATATACTATACGTATATACCATGCTGGCTATATACCATGCTGGCTATAGTCGGCTCTTGCTCATAAATGCCAAATACTACCTTGTAGGTCAAACTGCACAGCCCAATATAAAATCTGCCAAAAGAAGTACACGGTACTATAAAAGCAAAGCCAAGAGACCCTACCCATGATCCTCTGCATCCACACTCCCTAGCGAGGAAGGGAAAAGGTAAAAAGAAAGGAAAAAAATATTATAGGGCAAGGGAAAAACAGAAAAAAATCCTACCTGCACAAAAATAATTACAAAAAGTAGAAATGTCAGCATCTCCAGATGAGAAAGAACCAGTGAAGGAATACTGGCACCACGAAAAATCTGAATGTAGCGACACCACCAATAGATCACATTAGCTCTCCAGCAATGGTACCTAACCAAAATGGAAACTCAGAAATAACAGATAAGAAAATTCAAAGGCCAGACATGGTGAGTGATATGGTTTGGCTGTGTCCCACCCAAATCTCAAACTGAATTGTAGTTCCCATAATCCCCACATGTTGTGGGAGGGAGCAGGTGGGAGGTAATTGAATCACGGGGGTGGTTTCCCCCATGTTGTTCTCATGATAGTGAGTGAGTTCTCATGAGGTGATGGTTTTATAAGCATTGTCATTTCCTCTTCTGGCATTCATTCTCTTCTCCCTGCCGCCTTATGAAGAAGGTTTCCCCTTTGCCTTCCGCCGTGATTGTAAGTTTCCTGAGGCCTATCCAGCCATGCTGAACTGTGAGTCAATTAAATCTCTTTTCTTTATAAAGTACACAGTCTCAGGCAGTTCTTTATAGCAACAAGAGAACAGTCTAATACAGTGAGTCATCTCTATAATCCCAGCACACTGGGAGGCCAAGGTGGAAGGATTGCTTGAGGGCAGGATTTTGAGACCAGTCTGGGCAACATAGCAAGGCCCTGTCTCTATGAAAAAAATAAACAAAAATAAGCCAGGCAGGGTGGTGCACACCTGCAGTCCTAGCTACTCAGGAGGCTTAGACAGAAGGATCACTTGAACCTAGGAGATCAAACACACAGTTAGCTATGATCATGCCACTGCACTGCAGCCTGGTTGACAGAGTAAGACCCTTTCCCCCCACAAAAAAATAAAAAAGGAAAAAAGAAAAATAATTCAAAGCATGGATTGCAAGGAAGCTCAAGGAGATACAAGAAAAGTTTGAAAACCAAACCCAGAAACTTCTAAAGCAATCCAGTAAGTGAAGAAAAAGATAAGCATCTTAAAAAACAATCAGAACTTCTGGAATTGAAAAACTCAAAGAATTTCAAAATGAAAGCTTTATCAATAAACCAGCTGAAGCAGAAGAAAAAAATTCACAGCTTGAAAATTGGTGTTTTAAACTAACCCAGTCAGACAAACATAAGGAAAAATGAATTTTAAAACATGAATTAATTCTTTGAGAAATATGGAATTATGTAAAGTGACCAAACCTAGGAATTATTGGCATTCCTGAGAGTGAAGGAGAAAAAGTAAATAACCTGAGAAACGTATTCGAGGGAATAATTCAAGAAACTGTCCCTGTTCTTGCTAGAGAAATATTCACATACAGAAAACCTAGAGAACACTTGAAAGATACTATACAAAATGAATATCATCAAGGAATATAGTCAGCAGGATGTCCAAGATTAATGCTAAAGAAAAAGTCTTAAAGGCAGCTAGAGCAAAAGGGCAGATCATGTACAAAGGGAACTCAATCAGGCTAACAGAGGACATCTCAGCAGAAGATTTACAAGCCAGGAGAGATTGGGGCCTATGTTCGGCACTCGCAGAGAAAATAAATTCCAAAAAACAATTTCATTTTCTGCCAAACTAAGTTTCATAAGCAAAGGAGAAATAATATCTTTTCCAGACAATCAAGTGCTAAGGGAATTTGTTACCACTAGACCAGCCTTTCAAGAGAACCTGGAGGGAGTTCTAAACATGGAAACAAAAGAATGATAGCTAGTTGCCCACCACCCCCACCAAACACACACGTACACACACAAACACACTCACTTAAGTACATAGCTCACAGACCCTATAAAGCAACCATACAATAGAAACTACAAAGCATCCAGCTAACAACTTCACAACAGGATCAAAACCTCAAATATCAATATTAACCTTGAATATAAGTGATCTAAATGTCCAACTTTAAAGGCACAGGGTGGCAAGCTGGACAGGACCATCCATCTGCTCTTTTCAACAGACCCATCTCACAAGTAACAACACCCCTGAGCACAAAATAAAGGACTGGAGAAATAATATTATTTTGCAAATGGAAAACAAAAGAGAGCAGGGATCACAATTCTTATATTAGATGAAAGAGACTTTAAACCAACAATGTTAAAATGACAAAGAAGGATGGTACATAAAGACAAAGGGCTCCATCCAACAAGAAGACTTACCTATCCTATATATATATACACACCACCCAACATTGAAGCATCAAGATTAATAAAACAAATATTTCTAGACCTAAGAAAAGACTAAGATAGCCACACAATAATAGTGGTGGACTTCCACAACATGCTGACAGCATTAGACAGATCATCAAAGCAAAAAACTAACAAATTCTAGACTTAAATTCAACACTACCAATTAGACTTAACAGACATCTACAGAATAATACACCTATAAACACACAATATACATTCCTCTCTTCTGCACATGAAACACACTCCAACACTGACCATAAGCTCAGCCCTAAAGAAAGTCTCAATACATTCAAAAAGATTAAAATTATATCAACCATACTCTCTGACCATAGTGGAATAAAAATAGAAATCAATACAAAGAAAATCTCTCAAAACCACACAATTATACGAAAATGAAAAAACTTGCTCCTGAATGACTTTTGGGTAAAAAACAAAATTCTTTGAAATAAATAAAAACAGAGACACAACATACCAAAACCTCTGAGATGTAGCAAAAGTAGCATTAAGAGGAAAGTTTATAGTACTAAACACCTACCTCAAAAAGTTAGAAAGATCTCAAATTAACAATCTCACTTCACACCTAGAGGAGCTGGAAAAACAAGAACTAAACCCAAAGCCAGCAGAGAAAAAGAAATAACTGAAATCAGAACGGAACTGAATGAAATTGAGACCCAAATATCCATACAAAGAACCAACGGAATGAAAAGTTGGTTTTTTGAAAGGATACACAAGATCGGTAGACCACTAACTAGATTAACAAAGGGGAAAAAAATAGAAGATGCAAATAAGCACAATTGGAAAGGACAAAGGTGACATTACAGCCATTCTCACAGAAATACAGAAGATCTTCAGAGAGTATTACAAACACCTCTATGCATACAAATCAGAAAATCTAGAAGCAAATGAATAAATTCTTGAAAATACAAAATCTCCCAAGATTTAATCAGGAATAAATTGAAACCCTGAACAGAACCATATCGAGTTCCAAAACTGAATCAGTAATGAAAAATCTACCAACCAAAATAGCCCTGGACCAGATGGATTCACAGGCAAATTCTACCAGATGTACAAGGAAGAGCTGGTACCAGTTCTACTAAAACTATTCTGAAAAATCAAGGAGGAGTAACTCCTTCCTAATGCATTCTACAAAGCCAGCATAGCATCATTCTAATACCAAAACCTAGCAAAGACACAACAAAAAACATAACTGCAAGTCAATATCTCTGAGAAACACACAGGCAAAAATCCTCAAAAAAAAAAAAAAGCAAACTGAATCCAGGAGCACACCAAAAAGTTAACTCACCAAGAAAAAGAAAGCTTCATTCCTAGGATACAAGGTTCGTTCAACATATGTAAATCAGTAAATGTTATTCACCACATAAACAAAATTTTAAAAAAATACGATCATCTCAATAAATGTGGAAAATACTTTTGATGTAATCCAGTATCGCTTCATGATAAAAAACCCTCAACAAACTAGGCATCGAAGGAACATACCTCAAAATAGTAAGAACCATTTATGCCAAACTCACAGTCAACATCGTGCAGAATGGGCAAAAATTGGCAGCATTCCCTTTGAGAACTGGAACAATACAAGGATGCCCACTCTCACCACTCCTATTCAACATAGTAATAGAAGTTCTAGCCAAAGCAGTCAGGCAAGAGAAGGAAAGAAAAACCAACCAATTACCAAAAGAGAAAGTCAAACTATGTCTCTTCACTGAGGATTTGATTCTATCCCTAGAAAACTCTAAAGACTTGGCAAAAGGCTACTGGGACTGATAAACCACTTGAGTAAAGTTTTGGGACACAAAACCAATGTGCAAAAATAAGTGGCATTTCTATAATGCAACAATATTCAAGCTGAGAGCCAAATCAAGAACCTAATCCCATTTACAACAGCCATGAAAAAAAAATACCTTGAAATAAATCTAACCGAAGAAGTAAAATATTTCCACAAGGAGAACCACAAAACACTGCTGAAATAAATTACAGATGACACAAAGGAATGGAAAAACATTCCATGCTCATGAATTGAAAGAATCAATATCATTAAAATGGCCATACTGCCCAAATCAATCTACAGATTCAACGTTATTCCTCTATCAAGCTACCAGTGTCACTTGTTCACATAACTAAAAAAATTAAATATAAAAAAAATTCTAAAACGCATATGGAACCAAAGCGAAGCCCAAACAGCAAAAATAATCCTAAGCAAAAAGAACAAAGCTGGAGATAGCACATCACCCTATGTCAAACTATACTATAAGGCTGCAGTAACCAAAATAGCATGACACTGGTACAAAACCAGACACATGGAACAATAGAACAGAATAGAAAACCCAGAAATAAAACTGCACTCCTAGCACTATCTAATCTTCAACAAAGTCAACAAAAATTATTAATAGGGAAGAACCCCTATTCAATAAATGATGCTGGAACAGCTAGCTAGGCCATAGGCAGAATAATTAACTTGGACTCCTACGTAACATTATATACAAAAATTACCTCAAGATGTATTGAATATTAAAGCATAAAACCTTAAACTATGAGAATCCTAGAAGAAAACCTAGGAAACACCATTATGAACATCAACCTTGGGAAGGAATTTATTAGAAGCCCTCAAAAGAAATTGCAACAAAAACAAAATTGATTGGGGACTAAATGAATTAACTTTTGTGCAGCAAAAAGCTATCAACAGATTAAACAGACAATCTATAGAATGGGAGAAGATATTTGCAAACTATGCATCCGACAAAAGTATAATATTCAAACAGCAGACCCCTCAGCAGAAACCCCACAAGCAAAAAGAGACTGGGGGCCAATATTCAACATTCTTAAAGAAAGTAATTTCCAATCCAAAATTTCATATCCAGCCAAACTAAGCTTCATAAGGAGAAATAAAATCATTTTTAGACAAGCAAATGCTGGGGGAATTTGTCACCACTGGCCTGCCTTGCAAGAGCTCCTGAAGGAAGCACTAAATATGGAAAGGAAAAACCATTACCAGTCACTACAAAAACATACTGAAGTACACAGACCAATGACACTATGAAGCAACTACACCAACAAGTCTGTAAAATAACCAGTTAGCATCATGATGATAGAATCAAATTCACATATAACAATATTAACCTTAAACGTAAATGGGCTAAATGCTCCAATTAAAAGACACAGAATTGCAAGCTGGATAAAGAGTTAAGACCCATTGGTGTGCTCTATTCAAGAGACCCATCTCATATGCAAAGACACACCTATGCCCAAAATTTAAAAACAAAGGAAAATCTACCAAGCAAATGGAAAACAGAAAAAAGCAAATGTTGCAATCCTAGTTTCTGACAAAACAACCAACAAAGATTCTTGTTTAAACCAACAAAGATTTAAAAAGACAAAGAAGGATATTATATAATGGTAAAGGGTTCAATTCAACAAAAAGATCTAACTAACCTAAATATATCTGCACCCAATGCAGGAGCACCCAGATTCATAAAACAAGTACTTAGAGACCTCCAACGAAACTTAGACTCCAACACAATAATAGTGGGAGATTTTAACACCCCACTGTCAATATTAGACAGATCATCAAGATAGAATTAACAAAGATATTCAGGAGTTGAACACAGCTATGGATCAAAGGGACCTGATTCTCCACCCAAAAACAAGAGAATAAAAGTTCTTCTCAGTACCACATGGTACTTACTCTAAAATCAATCACATAATTGGAAGTAAAGCACTCCTCAGCAAATGCAAAAGAACTGAAATCATAACAAACACTCTCTCAGACCACAGCACAATCAACAAATGGTTCTACCAAGAAGATTTATATGCTCATATGTTCATCACAGGACAATTCACAATAGCAATGACATTGAATCAACCTAGGAGCCTATCAATAGTGGACTGGATAAAGAAAACGAGGTACATACATCCCATGGAATACTATGCAGCCATAAAGAACGAATAATGAAATCATGCCCTTTGAAGCAACATGGAAGCAGCTAAAGGCCATTATCCTAAGCATATTAGTGCAGTAACAGAAAACCAAATACCTCATATTCCCACTTGTAAGTGGGAGCTAAACAATTGTTATTCATGGACATAAAGATGGTAGCAATAGACACTGGAGACTACTCAAGGAGAAAGGAAGGGGAGAAGGGTTGAAAACCTTACTTTTGGGTAGTATGCTCACTACTTTGGTTACAAGATCTATCATATCCCAAACGTCAGCATCATGCAATATAGCCATGCAATAAAAGGGCATATGTAACCCTGAATCTAAAATAAAATTTAAAAGAAAAAATAACCAGTCAGAAGTCGAAAAGGTAATACTGAACTCTCCCTCAAAATGAGATCGCACTCATGCACGAAAATAAACAACTGACTACTGAATGCCTAATCTTACCTGATAAAACATCTTACTCTTTAAAAACATAAAAACGTATTAGATTTTTTCCAGGTGCCAAAAATAAAATATATAGTCTGGGAATTAATAACAATTTTTATCCCTCCATTAAAAGCATTAAGTCATTTATTTACTTCTTCTCCTTTATTCTGATAGTTGCTTCATGTTAATCTGGCTTGACTTTTAACAGAACAAGTTTCCATCTGATTATCTAAGTCTAAATCTCCCTTAGCTCTTTTAGAAGATACATCCTTGCTATGGTCCCAATTTAATATCATTATGCAATATCTATCCTCTACCAAACTGCCTGAGTCTCTAAACTCTATGTAGGATAGAAAAAAATTAAATATTTTATTAATTTTATTTAAAATAGCAACAAAAAATGTTCCCAGATGATAGTAACTCCTTAGTCAGGTCTCAAAAATTTCTTCCAACAATTATGCTGACTGGTTTTTGTAGTCTGGTCCAGAATCCATACCAACCTTAACGCTCTGCTCCCTGCTGCATTGTCTTCATTTTGGAAACAGCCTTGCCAACAAGTATAAAGAATGTATAAATTCAGTTATTCACTAGCCTATTCCGTGTCCATGTAACAAACAAAAATACATGAAATGAACATTCTTTATTCTGACTTATTAAATAGCATCAAGTTTAGCAAGAAGCTCATTGCAATAGTTCCCAAACCTAGATAACTAATGTTATACTAAAACAAATTTTCATGTTTGTTGCATAATTTTCCCCAATTGTTTTAACAGATTAAGGCATCACCTAAAAATCTCCTGGAAACCCACATTCACTTTGCTGTGAGTTGATGCCAGCTGTTTCAAAACATGGGTCAAAGTTAATTTAGAAATAATAACAATGTTACCATTCTGTCTCTATTTACAGAAAAATAAGTGAGAGGAATCTTTGCTTGCCTCATAGCGCATTTGAATAAATAAATCAGAGAACATTAGTAAATTTATTAGAACTATCTGAAAAGTGTTACTTTGTTATAATTTCACCTATACATTCCCTTACCATCAAGTCTGAATTACACCAAATCCTTTTGGGGGCAGACATTAAATTGGGTACAAGAAAAGAAACCAAGACATAAAGATGAGGGAATCAAATAGTTAAGTTTTTCTAAGCAAACCTAATTATCCCAAATCTGCATCAGGAAACTCTTACATTACCTCACGATACAATATGCACTGGAGATACAATGATGGATAAGAAATGTATCTTTACGGCTAGGCGCAGTGGCACCCAGCACTTTGAGAGGCCGAGGTGGGTGGATCACTTGAGATCAGGAATTCAAGACCAGCCTGGCCAACATGGTGAATGAAACCCTGTATCTACTAAAAATACAAAAAAAAATTAGCAGGGAGGCAGAGGTTGCAGGGAGCTGAGAGTGACCCACTGAACTGCAGCCTGCATGACACAGCGAGACTCCGTCTCAAAAAAAAAAAAAAAAAAAAAAAAGAGAAATGCATCTTTATCCTCAAGGAGCTTATAGTCTAAATAGGAGGAGATCAAGCTACATCAAGCTAAAATTGGAAGGAACTGTTAGAAGGAATTGAGAACGTGAACCTAAAGAGACCATAAATAGGAAACAAAAGAAGCTGGAGACAAAGAGAGCAAGAACAGTGGCAGGAATTCTAGGTTACCAGAACTACTAGCATTAATATTTTCAAATTAAATTCCACTCAGCTATACAGAAGATACAACTGTATTTAAATAATAAAATTGCTTGAAAATATGCTGAATATGTTAGACTCAAAATATACACATTAAAAAGACATTAGGTTTTGAAGAGTTTAAACAATACTGTTGTACTCTGTGTGTGTGTGTATGTGTATACATATATACATAGACGCACATGTATATTTACAAAATTTGTATATAACAGGCTTATTACATTAGAGGCCAGGGAAGTTCTTTTTTAATGGATATTACATTAAAATATTTCAAAATAAAATGTATTAATTTATACATCCATGAATTAAAACATATATAATTATACAGTTAATAGATTATCGATTAATTTTAATGATTCACAAACTAGTATCTCTTATGGAAACAATATAATAACTTGAGAAAAGGACAATAGAGGGAAAACTACCACAGTAAATAAGTAGATCTGTGAGTCCCTGCAATACTGGATATAAGGCATGGCAATCTTGAAAATATCAACCATCCATCCTGTTCTAACCCCTTCCACTTGCTATTGTGTTAGGAATGTGGTCTTGTTACTAAGTTGTTCCAAGCTTAGTTACTCAAGAAGACAGTTTGGGCAGGGCGTGGTGGCTCACGCCTGTAATCTCAGCCCTTTGGGAGGCTGAGGTGGGCGGATCACCTGAGGTCAGCAGTTCGAGACCAGCCTGACCAACACGGAGAAACCCTGTCTCTATTAAAAAAAAAAAAAAAAAAAAAATTAGCCGGGCATGGTGGCACATGCCTGTAATCTCAGCTACTCAGGAGGCAGAGGCAGAAGAATCACTTGAATCAGGAAGACGGAGGTTGCAGTGAGTTGTGATCGCATCATTGTACTCCAGCCTAGGCAAAAACAGCGAAACTCCATCTCAAAAAAAAAAAAAAGACAGTTTGATACTAACTAGCTAGGAATTTGATGTTAAGTGTAATAGCTTAGAGTTCTCACAATGATAGGTGCTGGCGTGGATAAATTGTCACAAACACACTTATCCAGGATATTTAAAGAGAAATATAACAACAACAACAAAATCTACATCATGCCATACAGCTGTGTGACAAGAAAATATATTTCTTTTCATATGTATGAAATTTCAAAATAGTGTATAAAGACTCACTTCAAATTTGCTAACAATGAATCCAACTAACTATTTCATATTTAATACTCATTAAACAACTACTACTTAGTGGCTTCCCCACTCCCCTTACTGAATGACATCTCTTCAGCAAGAATCAACTTTGGAACTCAAAATCATTTCATTATATATGAAAAATCCTAAATATGATGATTTAATAGCTTAGAAAGGTTTTTTCTTCATTAAAAATAAATACCCAATGTTAAAAATATAAATTTAGTTTAAATATTTGCCACATAAGTTAAAAACACATCAAAAAACACAAACATACTCTTAATAATATCTCTGATAAAATGACAATATTGTAATGTTTTTCCTATTCCTCCATCACAACACAAATCTACCCTAAAAGGTATTAAATAACCTTACAAATTTTTGTATAGTCAATTAGCACATGCATTGTAACCTATAAATACTTGAAGTAGAATCACATTTTGAAACCAGTATGTTAATTTTATGCTAAAATCCACAGACCAATAAATATAGTTATAAATCATTCTTATGTTCCTGGCCTTTCCAATACATTACAAATAACTTTATTTTCTTTTTCTAAATGTAGCAAAATTTACTTTAAAATTACTACAAACTGACAAAAACAAATGATATTAATCAGAAGTCAATTATCCTTTTAGCGAGAATAATGATGTGGTGATGGGGGGATGGTATCTGGAAAGAAGAGAATGGGTAATCCCAAATTTCAGTTACACCACAATCTTCTCCCCACTATTGGGGTTAGACTTTCAGGGGAGGATTAATCTCTGAAGTGAGAGAGAGACCTAGGACTATCACCTTACCAGCAGGTCTCAGCAACTAGTCAACAGTTGATTGGGGCTGACTGTTAGGCAGGGAGAGAAAGAAAGAAAGAAAAGAAAACTGGCTTCTTCTCTCACAAGCAATCTAGACTTTCCTAGATTTATAAAATTTCAGCTTTAAAAATATCCAAGCAAAGAAGAATGAAAAGTAACTTATTTACTAAATTTTCATGAATAAAGGGCCAATGGACTAACTGCACACCTCTAGAGTTGAACCAAATGAAATTGCAGATTTTGGAGATCAAACAATTCAACCTAAGTTACAAGAAGCTTAAAAATTAGAAGATGATAATTAAAACTAAATAAGTTTTTAAGTATCTTATATTTATTACTGAGATATATTAAAATTGTAAAGTGTTCCACACCTACAAATATTTAATAAAATTTTGTAACCATCTTGAATCAGGGAATATCATCCAAAATTACAAAGATATTTTGATAGGATGAAAAGCAAAGAAAATATGCAACACAAATCAAGTAAGTAGGACACTCCCCTCTTGCACACGGACAGGCTGGATGCAAGGGGCACTCCCAAAAATTGTTATACCTGATTACCCAGTTAGATGGATTTTGGGGCAGAAGGTAGAAATTGAGTTTGAGGATTTGACAGTTTGCTGAAACAGAAAAATTGTGACTAGTTGTCAGGAAAGGTCAGCATCCAAATCCAGCCAGAAAGATGGATCAGCATATTGTTAAACTGAAAAGAATAATAAAATATTTATAAGAGTTGGTGGAGTGAGCAAAGCAGTAAATGCAGAAGTTTAGTTGGGTAAAACATTTTGCAAGAGTTATATAAAGATCATGGCTCTAAATCATATCCAGAAATCAACTTCCATTGGTCATCTCTATATTAGCTTACCTAAAAATTAAATTAACATGCTGAGTTCAATTATTGAATGGAATGGCTATCATGTTAGATGACATCAAAGGAAGGATGTATACTGTGAATGTTAAAAATACAAGCAGATACAATTAGCATGAAAACTGGAAGTAACAGCAGATTTAGAAGAAGAGCCAAGTGGTGTGGTAAACATTGAATGTGGGGAACAGGTAAAATTAAAAACATGCATGGAATGTCCTCCATTATATCTCCTTAGTCAGTGGCATTAATTATTCTTGACTATTTTAAGCAGATTGCAATCTCAGCCAACAACAAATTTTATTCAATAAATATTTAATTTTACTGTTGGGGGCCTTAGGTTTCTAATTATAAAAAGATAGAGTTGGAATAGATCATCTCTAAGAATCCTGCTACATTTACAACATGATTCTTCACAGCAAGACTCCACAGTTTTCTCCAGACCAGCTCACTCTGCACTGGTTTTCCTTTAGATAGAGAAAGTTTGTTCATGTGGTGCTGTAGAATTCCCCTGAATCTGTTTTACACAAAGGTTTTGCATCTTTCTCCAGTTAGGGAACATTATATCCCCCGGTCTAAGTCAGTGCTTCTCATACTTTAATGTGCATTTAATTCCACTTAGAAATCTTGTTAAAATGTAGATTCTAATTCAGGAAATCTGAGATGAGACCTGAGAGTCTACATTTCTAAAAAGCTCTCAAGTGACGCAAATGCTACTGGCCCATGGACCACACTTTCGAGTAGCAAAGGTCAAAGATATGCTGGAAGTATCAGTGGCTTTGAAAAAAGCAGCATCAGTCTACACAAGCTTTCCTAAAGCCTACAGACCAATACCTTGACTCACATTATAGACAATATCTAGAGGATATTTATCAGTTTCAACCTGTTTTCAAGTCCCCTGTAAAAAGGTATGATTTCCTTTCTACTGCTAGTATTTCAATTTATGGCCATAATTTCATGTATCTCCTGGAAAGAAAACGACATCTACATGTTATTTGTGCAGTAGTTCTGAGAGAACAAAGGTTGTAAACAGGTATGTTCTATTTCAGAAGTGATTGTATTGTATTTGGGATTCACAAAAAATTGACTTTATTCTTTAATGAGACATAGAGTGATCTTTCAAATCTCAATCAAAATCTAATTTTTCCTATATTAAACTTAATTTGAAAATTAAAAATAAACTGCCATAACTATTTGCTTGAAAAAATAAGTCATCAAATATCTTAAAGATATTTTGTGAAGCAAGAATTAGAGGCCATACTTCTTTATTTTAAAAAAGAGAACAAAGAAGTTTCCAATACTAAGTTATCTAAAAATAAAAAAGTATCATAAAGAGGCAGTTCCCTATATATGGATGTGTTTAAGTGTATCTATAAGTCAGTTGTTTGAAATTCAGAATACAATTTCCCAGTTAATAATGACGTTGTCTCTTAGCTAGATCACCATGAATAATCAAACTTATAATTTGGTTGAAACTTAGGTTTGCCTTGTCAAAACAGATACACATCTGAAAAACTCACCAGTAATTTAAAAGAAAAATACTGCAATTGAATAAGAAACCATTTTCAATTTATCTTGGATGTTAATCCTTCAAAAAGGATGTTTACAATGAGGATGAGTGGGGATAGAGAAGAAAGTTCCATGTTTTCCGTCAAAAGTGTTTTAGGTTCTTCCTGATACATGACATCAGTTTAAAACTTCATCCAAATTTACAAGAAAAAAACAAACCCATCAAAAAATGGGTGAAGGATATGAACAGACACTTCTCAAAACAAGACATTTATGTGGCCAACAAACATATGAAAAAAAGCTCATCAACACTGGCCATTAGAGAAATGCAAATCAAAACCACAGTGAGATACCATTTCACATCAGTTAGAATGGCAATTACTAAAAAGTCAGGAAACAACAGATGCTGGAGAGGATGTGGAGAAATTTTTACGCCGTTGGTGGGAGTGTAAATTAGTTCAACCTTTGTGGAGGACAGTGTGGCAACTCCTCAAGGATCTAGAACCAGGAATACAATTTGACCCACAAATCCCATTATTGGGTATATACCCAAAGGATTATAAATCATTCTACTATAAAGACACATGAACATATATGTTTACTGCAGCACTATTTACAATAGCAAAGACCTGGAACCAACCCAAATGCCCATCAACGATAGACTGGATAAATAAAATGTGGCACATATACACCATGGAATATATGCAGCCATAAAAAAGAATGAGTTCATGTCCTTTTCAGGGACATGGATGGAGCTGGAAGCCATCATTCTCAGCAAACTAACACAGGAACAGAAAACTAAACACTGCATGTTCTCACTCATAAGTGGGAGTTGAACAATGAGAACACATGGACTCAGGGAGGGGAACATCACACACTGGGGCCTGTCAGGGGGTAGGGGGCAAGGGGAAGGGGAGCATTATCATAAATACCTAATGCATGTGGGGCTTCAAACCTAAATGATGGGTTGATAGGTACAGCAAACCATCATGGCACACGTATACCTATGTAACAAACCTGCAGGTTCTGCACATGTATCCCAGAACTCAAAGTAAAATTAAAAAAAAAAAAAAAACTTGTTTTCCTTAAAACAAGAGATTTAGGTTCCATGATTTCTGCACATTAACCATAAATAAGAATAGTTTGTTGCTTAAATTATTAAGGTGATCTTATTAGTAATAGCTTATGAATGAGAAGGAAAGAAAAGAAACTACAGTGGAGATGTTTCCAAGGGAAAAACCTGGAATAGAAAAGAAAAAATAAATTTTTTGCAGGGATTGCATTTGTGCCTATGAAAAAGAAGTTGCCCATCATGGGAAAATGTGGAACGAAAGAAATAGAAAAGAAAAGAAAAAAAAAAAACTTTGTTCCATAAAGGAGAAGATATGTTTTGGGAAACATCTGCTCAGAAATTTCTCCATTTGTCTAGAGAGAGTGGTTGGAAACCAAGCAATGTTTCAGAAAGTAGGTATACATTGAGTTTTGAGAAATAATTAGTTTACCATCAGTTGAAGATGAAATGTGAAGCAGAGGAAAAGCACTTCCAAAGAGCCAAGATATGAACTTGCAGGGTGTGGCCAGGCATGGTGGCTCATGCCTGTAATCCCAGCACTTTGGGAGGCCAAGGCAGGCGGATCACTTGAGGTCAGGAGTTTGACCCTAGCCTGGCCAACATGGTGAAACCCCATCTCTACTAAAGATATAAAAAATTAGCCGGGCGTGGTGGTGCACACCTGTAATCCCAGCTACTCGGGAGGCTGAGGCAGGAGAATCGCTTGAACCCGGGAGGCAGAGGTCACATTGAGCCAAGATCACACCATTGCACTCCAGCCTGGGCAACAAGAGACTCCATCTCAAAAAAAAAAAAAAAGAAATTGCAGGGTGTGTTCAGGTAATATCAAGTAGTTTGGTATTGCTGGTGGTCAAAGTGCCTAGGAAAGTAGCAGTATTAATAGACTTTCAATGGTCCATAAAAGACTTAAAGGTATATATAACATTACCTCTTATGCTTCAAAAAAATTTTTTTTGAAATAATTTTATGGAAATATTTTAAGCAGGGGTAAACATCTTCCAATTTCTTTATGAATTAAACTCAAACAAACACTCTGGCTTCATAGAGAACAGACTGGGTGACAGTAAGACTGGAAACAAGAAATGTGCCCTTCACAGAATGCAGAAAGTCTGAACCTCCGTCCAGTAATAACTGGAAAAGAAACTAAAACGCGGTAGAGGAGGTGCATTTTCAAGATTTTCAAGCTATAAGGAAGGTAAATTAGGACCAATTAGTGACTGTTTGGTTACTGGGATGAGAGGGCTGTTAGAAGGAGACCGGAAAGACCTGCAAGTGTCTAGATTGGTTGAGTGAGTAAACAAGGAATAACATAAGACAAGTAGTATATAAAATAAATAATAGACTAAAACACAATACATTTGAGTGACTTATAGGATATCCAAGCAAACATATTTGAGAGACAGTAAAATCTCCAAATCTGAATTCTGAGGAAGAGGTTTCAGAGGTCATGAGCATTTGGATGATACTTAAAACATCAGGGTAGAGATTAAGTCTCCCAGGGAGAACATGAGATATGAAAAGATAAAGGGGTCTGAAATCTCTATTTAGGAAACAACAAAATTTAAGGAATAGCGTAAAAAGAGCTGATAAAGGAGGTTGGAAAATGTTTAGAAATGCACTTAGTAAGTAGAAAAGAGTGTTGTCAAGAGAGTTCAATGAGAAGAAAGCAGCCATGGCTATCAAGTGTTACAGAGAAACAAAACAGCAAGTGGACTGAAAAGTGACCTTTGTATTTGACAACTAGGATATCATCACTGATCTCAGTGAGAGTAGTTTCATAAAAGCAGTAAAATGACACGTCAGATTTCAGTAGGTTGAAGAAAGAATGGGAGAGTTTAAACAAACAAACAAAAAATGGTGATCAAGATGGTTCTTCAGAGACCTTTAAACAGGAATAAAATAAAGTAGAACCTAGATGGAATATAAAATTCACAGAGCGTCGTTTCTTTGTATTTGCTTGGCTGTGTTGTGACAGAACAGACTTGAGCGTATTAATATGCTGAAGAAAACAGAAGTATTAAGAATATGAGTGTAAAGGAACAAGTTTCCAGAGGAGGTTAAGAGGTAATGCTTAACAGCAAAGATTAAAGATCGGTCTTCAAGTGAAATCCTGTTAGTAGACGGTGTACATCATCTGGATTCAACCTACAGCCTTACTCCTTGATATTAGCAGTTTCTTTGAACTTAAGTCATATCAAACTATTAAATGTTAGCAACTGAAATTTAAGAAATTAAAAAAAAAGTTTTCTAAACATTAAAACTAAAGACTTTATAAATCAATTTGGCCTCTCAGAGATATAAAATTTCCTTCTCTGATTTTAGCTTTAATAGAAAACATCTTATCCATGAATTAAAACTATAATGGTTGTTCTCCTTACACAATAAAAAGAATTTACAGGTTCTAAAGGGCAGGTAATGGATTTTCTATTTTCATGCCATGATTATGTATCCCAAAATATATCTAACAGTCATTCAATTGAGCACCTCAAACATATCTTTAGAAATATCTGAAATTGGGAATTCTTAATAAAATACTGTTGCCTGCTTTTCATTATTTAAAATCATTATTATTGAAATCACATTTGAGAAACCTCACAATTGATTTTATTCTTAAAATAAGAAGGCATAGCAATTTCTTTATTGTCTATATGTACATTTTGTTTTTAATAACTCAGGCTAATTTAAAAAATGCTGAATAGAAAACAGGCTAACAATTTTAAATAGAAAAATAGAAGATGTTACACTGTAACATCTGTTCCATCTGCTTACCTCAAAATGTGAAGATATGTTAAATCAGATTTTGTATGTCCTTTGTTTTATCTTATTAAACCAGAAGTTTAGGAAAGATTACAAGAAAATTCACTGAACAATGGGTTGATAAGCCAAATGCTGAAAACCAGATACACTTCAACATTTTGGGAGCTATCATTATGGCACTGAGCATAAATATATATATGTGTGTATATGCACACATATATATAGATACATATATAAACCAGCTTATAAGAAATCTGGGCCCTAAAAATTCTTTCAGAAATTTTTCTTTGACTCTTTTATCCTAGCTTGGCAATATAAATATAAAATATAGACCTTAAAGTTAATGATACTCCATCTTTGAACTGTGACTTTGTATTATATTAAATTTATCATCAAATTTCTATTAAATTCTTAAAAATGTTTTAGGAATCATTATTTTTTGCTATTTTAAAAATACTTTATTTCAGTTATTTTATTTTACATTGTTGGACTGGACATAGTACCTACCTCTGAGAGTTAGTGAGAGTAGTTTCTTCTTTCATCTTTTAAACATTGAACACAGTGTACTACTCCTAGTAGGAATTAGACAGATCCACATTTAAGAAACTATTTACCTAACTATCTAAATATCACCAAGTAGAATCCCTAAACAAATAATATCAAAAAATACATTGTACGTTCCCAAATAGGGAAGATGCCTACCATTTCCCAAGCCCTATGAAGAACATGTGAAATTCTTTAAATTAGTACTGATCATAATAACCCTCAGAGGTAGGTACTATGTCCATTTTAGAAATGTTTAAGAAACAAACTTAAAGAAGTTAACTTACCCTATAGTATGCAGCAGAACCAATTATCAACCTCAACTACTGAACTCAAAAGACTACGAAAAATGCAAATGCATAGATATTAATCACTGACTTCTTCATTCAGCACTTTTCAAAAATTAAAGGAGTCATTTGAATGCAGCCTAGTTTTCCTAATGCATGTCTGTTTTCTGTGGCGCATATGGGAAATTTATAATAAAGGTGATTTCTAAGATTAATAGAGATAAATTTAGACCTATCTATATTACCCAAACCCCATTCTTAAAAAAAAGTAAATATTAAAGTATCAATGACATTTAAGTTAAGCATTATACAATTTTTCATTTTCTCTTTTGTAAAAATAAAATTTTATTCAAACAATAAGCTGAAATCCTAATGTCATTTCATTCCCATTCTAGATTACTAGAGTAGCAGTAGACCTGAATAGCCTCAAAACAATGCCTAAATTACTCTCAAAGAAAGGTGATAATTGCCATAAAAGGCTTTTAATATTGGATATGGAATCTTGGGAAGAGAATGAGAGGGAGAGAAATAATGTCAGAGCTCTACTTGTGAACATAAAATCCGATAGACCTGATACTCAAACGGAAATTACTTTCTGTCAGAGTACACATTCCTGTCAGAGTACACATTCAGTACAATGCCTTAGGGATACGTCAGCCTCTGCCACAATTTAATCTGTAAGTATCTAAGAATCTCGCCATTCCTTGTCAGCCATGCTGCCAAGACGTGCAGAGCATGAAGTAGTGGGTTCCCTAGGCCCATCTCCAACTCCTCCTATCTCTATTCAAATAAAAAACAGTGTCTCCCATTACCGCCCATGCACTACAGGCCATGGCCATGAAAGCATTTTCCAAGATGGTGTGTAAAGCCTTACCTTTAAACCATTGCTTAATGTCCTTACTTTAAACCAGGGAGTTTCTTTTTGACTCTCCCAAGGACACAAGTACTGCAAGGGGAGATATATTCATTTCTACTAAAGTATTTCAACTCTTTTCTCTAAATTATGAACAAAATTATTGACATTGTAACTTCATTTAGTATATGCCACCATTTAACATAGGTTTGTATTAATCAGATTATTAGAACCACACCTAGCACCTTAGGCGAGCATGCTACATCACTGATAATACACAGAGAGATTAAACCTATTAAACCTGAACAAACGTTTATTTCTACCTCCTTAGTTAAGATGTCTAGAAATCTACAACTTCCCAGATTGCTATCTTAGGTGAAGAGAAATTCTGTGATTTATCTGGAAGGTAAACCTTCTTCTACAAGACTGGACTTTCAAATTTTCTCCCAGGAAATGCTAAAATCTAACTCTACTTGAAGGCCTAAAAGAATGGGGGTAGTTCCAAGCAGGGTGCTAACTTATGCCTGCAGCGTGTCTCCCTTAGGCAAGGAAGTAGTATATCTTCAAGCAAAGAGCTAACAACCTCTACTACAGGGACCAGTAGTACTACAGGGACAGGTAGGTGCTTCTAAGAACACGGAGGGCTTTAAGTGGGGAAGGATGGAAGTGATACTGAAACCTAAGTCCTCCCACAGATTCTTCCAATTCTTGGGTATACGTGGCTTTATCATTCAATACTATAACGCTAGTGAAAGGGAAAGTGTCAAGTTGTGAACTTGAATAATGACATGCTTCAGCAGGCACAGGATCAGACTTTCTGAGTTTAGTCTTTGGGACCACTGCCAAAATAATGCTGAAGGAGAAGTATATTTCATGAGCCACCCCAACCCCTACTCTGTAATGAGTCCCATATCTCCATATTTACTCACTCAGATGCAAGGTTTTTGGACTAAGCTGATGATTAGCTGGGCTGGTCACTTATCTTGCAGGAAAGACTCACGGTTCCTGCAACTGTCATAGTACAGAGTGGCAGGGAAGATGCGCGTCATTAATAGGTAATTATCCAAAAAACAAGACTAAACTGCAAATAGGAAAGGGGGGATGGTAGAAAATAAACCAAAGAATAATACACATCTATCACGTTATTCATTGACCCCCCCCAAAAAAGCCATATTTCAGAGACCATATATGTTATGCTTAAATATTTTTAAATCAGTAACTTTTCCTTTTGTCTTTCTGAGTAAACGGGCTTAGTCCTAGTCATTCCAACTACCTATCTGAATGGGAATTATGTGATTAGTAACTAAGAGTTTTGTTCTGGGTTAGCAATATAGGATTCTGTGACATAAGGAATTCAAAGAGAAAGAGCAATGTAATATTCAGCTTCTGGTATGCAAAATAGGATTTATCAAGCACAATAGGCTTGTAAACCAGATTACCAACTTCAGAAAATAATATTGTTTCTTTATATCCCATTTTAGCAACTCAAGAGACAAGCTTGTTTAACTGACCATACAGATTTAATATAAGGGATACCCAAACAGGAATAGGATATCACATATAGGAGAGTCTGCTCCTTTCAGTCTCAAAGGAGGGCAGGGAAGAGGGAGCAGAACAAGATTGTTTGGCATGTGAATTGATTTTCCCTTCTCTGTGCTCTGCGTGGAGAGGAAGAAGCTCATCAGATTAGCCAGGGTAAAACTGAAGGCAGAGCAGGGGTCCAGCTTCTTGGCCCTTGTTCTAGACTCAGAAAAGAGATTGTCTCTCAGGCTGCTCCTGATGACAAAGCCCTATCACCTTGGCAGGAAGGAAGAAGACTCAAGACTTAATCTGTGGATGAGTCTTTGGTTCCTGTGTAGCCTGCAAGGGAAGTAGAGGCAGCTGAGAGTGTAGCTGGGGCACCTACCGGAGAGGCTGCCGTAACTGCTGTGAGGGTATGGAACAGACTCTCCTGAGGAATCACACTGGACACATACCCAGGTCTCAGAAGAGTGAAGATCAAGCTGGCCAGTGCTACAGGGAAGCGCTGCCCAAGATGAAAGGCAGCAGATGTCACTTTATAGTGGCTGCAGACTACAACCAGACAAATGCCAACAGAACAACCAACAACCAAATGGATGGACCTCACTCAGTGGCAGAGGAGCCAGAGGACCCAAATCTTCTCTCCTGCCTCAAAGATGCATAAGCTGTCCTCTTCCTGGGCATCAAGGAGGTTATTTAAGAAACTAAGCTTTCTTGGCCCAAGACAGACTAAAAGGGACCGCTTGAAATTTTAAACTAATTCCAACGTTTAGTTCACTTTTTCCTACTAATTTTCTTTCCTACTCTATCAGTCTTCCCATCTTAAACATGGGACTTCTATGTTTCAATTGTTCAGGCAGAAGCTTTGCCATCATCTTTGACCCTTTTCTTTCTCTCAAACCCCAAAACTACACTCCTCTTGGCTCACCCTGTTCCAGCCACACTGGCTTCCTTGTGGTTCAGCAAACAGGCCGGATACATTGCAGCCACGATGCCTTTGCATGGGTGCTTCTCTCTGGATGGGATGCTCTTCTCCAAGATGTGCACATGAATACATTCTGGTGCTCACATTCTTTCATTCTTGGCTCCCCTGGCACTTCCTGAATGGAACCCACTCTGATCTTATTTAAAATTACACTTTGCTTTCACTGGCAGCTCAGCCCCCAAAAGCTCCTTCCCTGTTTTCTCAACATGGCAATTATTACCTTCTAACATACTCTATAATTTATGTATTTGTTTTTGTTTGTTGTCTGTCTCCTGCCAATAGAATGTAAGAAACACAGCTACAGGGATTTTTGTGTATTTTATTCACGGTCATATTTCTAGTTTCGAAAATAGAGCCTGACATTGTAGTAGGCACTAAACAAATATTTCTTGAAGGAAAGATTAATCAAAGGTTCAAGGTTTAGGAGGAAAATCAGATTTGTTATAGACCAAATTAAAGAAATTACATTTTCCCTATACATCCATTTGCCCTTGACATTATAGCTGCTCAAAGAGGATTTATTGTTCCTTGTGTGTGCATTCCTCACCATATTCTTATTGTCACCCTTCCCAGTTTCCCAGTTCAGGCCCTGGACTGAGTGATGTCTAATGAGAGTAAAACCAAAATGAAGACATTTGCATAAAAATAGCAATTAACATTTACTGAATACTTCCTAGATACTATTCAATCACTTTACATATATCAGTTCATTTGATACAACCACTTACCAGGTAATATTATCAACCTGCAAGAATAAATGAGGCAACTAAGGCACAGAGAGGTTGAGAAAGTTACCCAAGTTGGTATTATGGTAGAACTAGGACTCAAATCTAGGCAATGTGACTTTAAAGTGCATGTTTTTAACTTCACCCTGAGGTTTGTGTGTTTCCAATGGTTGCTTGGATACCTTGCAGCAACTGCCTGCTTATTTTGTGAACTCTGCTATATTAAGAGCTACTTCATTATCAGGAAAAAAAATTCAAGACATAAGAAACACAAATATATAAAGCAAAACACTAAACAAAATACCTAAGCATAGTAGGGTTTTTAAAATCACATAAATGGCACCAACTAAAAATGTATGCTATAAAAAGATTATGTATGTATGTATGTACGTATGTATTTAAACTATTTTTATGGTAAATTTGGAGAGAATGGAACTAATGAAAAATAACAACTTCTAAAGATAGAAAGTAAAAGTACACAGATTGGCAGATGAGGTAGGAAAAAGAAGGCCAGAGATAAAAGGCAGGCAAAATCAATCACTCTTGTGTTAAAAAACAGTAGAACTTGGAAAAATCACTTAACCTTTCTGGGTCCAATTCTTCATTTGTAATGAGGTTGTTAAGAACAAATAAGTTATAAAAGGACCCTTCTCAGCTCTAAAAACTATGTCTCTAAGTCCAAATTAAGTATTGTCCATAAATTCTATAGCATCTTCCATCAGACTGCATTATCTTTAATATTCCATCCAGTTAACAAGCCTTCAGTTATTTAAGACTTTTAGCAAAATTTATGTTTTCATGGCACATTTAAAGGACTCTCTGTAAAACAATATGTTTTTAAGAACTCATTCAAGTTCTACTCTAATTTAAAATTTTAAAAATCCAAAAGCTTTTAGCTTTTGGAGAAATTAGAAAAAAAAAAGTGTTTACTATTTTAACTATGTTTCCTATCTGATTTTCTTATAATAGTAATTTCCAATTCAAAAATATTAAAACCAATGTCACTTTTTAAGCTTATTATTGTGAGATAATAAGAAATAATAGAGATCACTTCTATCTTTTGCTCACTTTCTCCCAATGGTGCCATTTTGTTTAACTGCCATTGGATATCACGACTAGAAAATTGACATTAATACAATCCACTGGCATTATCTGAATTTCACTAGTTTTTACCCACACTTGTGTGTGTGTATATGTGTATGTGTGTGTGTATTTAGTTTCATGCAATTCTATCATTTTATCACATGTACTGTGAACTCCAACAGAGTCAAAACAACAGTTTCATCACAAAGATCCCTCATCCAACTAATTTATAGCCACAGTTACCTCCCTTCCTCCCTATTTTTCTTTAAAATAAAAGAGAAGCAAAGAAAATTATCTGGGCAATAGCATCTTAATTTAGATTCAACCCACAAAATGGTTATTGATAAAACTTTAAACCACTAGAATTAAGAAACTATTTAGATTAACAAGAAAGATACTTATGTAATGAGAAAAACACACTAGAAATAACATCATTATCTGTTCCTTACCACACAATTAAATTTAGAATGAAAGCATCTCTGGGAAATAATTTCAATTATGTAGTCCTAGATCATTAGAAGATTTTACTAAGATTAAATTGGGACTTAAGCAGCCAGTATTCATTTGGAGAGCAACAAAAACCACAGAGTAAACACTCTAGCCAAAGAGTTAATTCTAGCCAAAAGAATATTCAAACTAAATTTTCTAAAAGAAGAAAAGATGCAACATATTGTATATAAAATGAAGGATTTAGTTATTTTTTTAAAAAAGTTTATGAGTGTAAAATGAATGAAATGTCAAAGAGGAAGACGTATACACATTTTCATATTTTCTATATATAAACATATGTGTGTAGAATATGTACACATTAGAATTTTAAGGCTCTAATGCAAGTTTTTATGTTTCTTCCACCACATCTGTATGTTAACAAATGGAAAAGAATGTATTTTAATGGAGATTATCAGGACTATTTGTCATAATTGAAAAAAATACAGAACTACTTTAGGCCTACATTTTTACGCTTGAAACATGAAGAGGTGTGTTGACTATAATTTTTTTATAAAATTAGGATGGTAATGATACTGATGTCAAAATTTAGCCTAAACTGATTCTGTCTCTCCTTCCTTCAGCCCTTTCCTCCTTCCCTTCTTCCTTATTGCCTTCTTCTTTCTTTCTACCTTTCTCCCTCTTGCCTCGTTTTTTCCTTTTTTAAACTCTTTTATTGTAGAAATTTTCAAGCCTATTCAAAAACAGAGTAGATCAGTTTAATGAGCTGATATATACATTACTCCAATCATCATCAATGCATGACCAATCTTTTTCACCTGTATCCAAAGCCACTTAACCACCCCATTCCAATAAGTCTGAAGCAAATATCAAACCATATCATCCCATCTGTAAATATTTCAGTATATATTTCTAAAATAAAATTATTCTTATATTGTAAACATAACTATAATGCCTTTATCCCACCAAAAAAAAAAATCCTTAACAGCATATCATGAAAGAAGTAATCAGTATTCCTATTTCCCAAAATTTTTTAAAGTTTGTCTGTTTGGACTGGAATCATGCAATGCAATTTCATGCACTGAATTGCTTGATAGGCCTCTTAAATCCCTTTTAATCTAGATTCTCCCTCTAGCTCCTTTTATTCCACTTGTGTGTGTGTGTGTGTGTTTTGTTTTTTTGTTTTTAGTGGAAAACAGACCTTTGTCATGCAAACTTTTCCAGTCTAAATAGTGACTAAAATGATTCCTATGTATTCATGAAACCCAGAGCTTTGGTCATATACAGGTTCAGTTTTGTGTGTATAGGTGAGAGAGAATTAGTCAGACTAATTCACAAAGAATGTGGTGGCTTTACAAACATGTGAAAATCTTCAACACTTCCTCCATCAAGAGGTTGAAGAAAAGTGGGGCTGGGAATGGGGGATTCTGAGGAGACCAGTCCTTTCCCCTTGAATGTGGGTAGGCTTTTGACTATTTTGTAACCAATAGAATGCAAGGAAGGGATGTTGTGTGACTTCCCAGGCTAGGTTAGAAAAGGCAATGAGATTTTGCACTGTTACCTGGGACACTTGTGCTTGGAGCCTTGGGGCAGCCATCCTGTGAGGAAGTGGTAACTTATAGAGAGCCATATGTGGATTCTCTTGTAGGCAATGCTAGTCTTCTAGTCATCCCTAGATAAATTCCAGATGGGTGAGTCAATAAATTCTCAGACGAATCAATTTTTCAGGTGTAGAGTCAGCCCCAGCCTTCAAATCTTCCAAATTTATAGTAATAAAATGGTTAAGTCCTTAAGTTCTGTGATAATTTTTGGTAACAATAATGACAGGTACAAGGATGTTGTGTTGTACCACAAGCAGGTATATATCATCTACATGCTTCTATTTTTGCATTAGCAGCCACTGATGACCATTAGTAAATTAACAAATAAGGAGTTGCAAAATAATGATATTCCGTTTCTATCATAAATTGTTCACTTACTTATTAGTTGGAACTTCTAGAAGAAACTTTCCCTCATCAACCCTTTGGTTACTATAAGACAAAAAAAAACATATAGAAAAAGCAAGACAAATGATTTTTAATCTTAATCTACCTGTTTTCAAAATAATAAGCTGGTTCCATACCATCTTTCAAGAATGAAGAATGAAATCTTACAAAGAGATCCCTGTACACTTTGCCCAGTTTTCCACAATGGCAATATTTTGCAGATATATTTACAATATCACAATCAGGATATCAACATCGATATGATTCACTAATCTTATTAAGTATTCCTCAGTTTTACTTGTACTCGTGTGTGTGTGTGTGTATGTGTGTGTGTGTGTAAGTTCTATACAGTGTATCACCTGTGAAGCCTAGGCCTCCATGATTTCAGATGAGAAATCTCCTGTCATTCAAATTGCTGTTGCCCTATTAGTAAGCTGTCATTTATCTCTGCTGTCAATATTTTTTCTGTATCTCCAGTATTCAAAAGTTTAATTATGATGTGGGTCTTTTAGGGTTCATTCAGCTTGGGGTTCACTCAGCTTCTATGATCTCTAGTTTTGTGTCTTTTACCAAAGTTGGAGCTTTCAATCATTATGTCCTCAAATATTCTTTCAGCACAACCTTCTCCTCTCCTTCTGTGAATCTGATGATATAAACATTGAGTCTTTTGTTATTGTCCCTGTGGCTCTGTTCTTTTTTCTTCTTTTTCAATTTATTTTCTCCCTATTGTTCAAATGAGGTGAATTCTTTCTTCCAGTTTGTTGATTCTATCTTCTGTTATCTCATTCTACTACTCAACCCATCCGTGATATTTTTCTTTCTGTTGTTGTATTTCTCATTTCCATAACATCCATTTGGTACTTTTGCATAACTTTTATTTCTTTGTTGAGATTATCCATTTGTGACAGAGATTGTTCAGGAATTTTTATGATTCCTTCTTTAAATCTATTTCCAGTACCCGATTTATTTCAATGTTGGTGGCAGATGTTTGTTTTATTTATTCTCATGATTCTTGGTATGGCAAGTGATTTTTAAAATCATATTCTAGACATTGTCTGTTATGTTATGAGACTGTGGGTTCTATTTAAATGTTTTATTTAAGCAGGCAATCACTCTGGTTAGGTTTATCATGTGGGTCTTCACCTACTTTTGTAGGCTATGGTTCTAATGACAGTTAAATTTTCAGAGACCTTGTAGTGTTGTTTTGTTCAGCTTGGTTTATCTGCTGGATATCCCACTGGCCCGTGCTAGAGCTGCCTGAGGAGGGTGAGCCTAGTTTTTGATAGCTTCCTTGGCTTCTGAAATACTAAGACTTTCCAAGTTTACCACGTAAATATTTATACCTGATCAGAACCAACCAATTCTCCAAGGAGTTTTGGGGACTTTTTTCATGGCAAATGGTATTTAAATATCATAATCTTGGTGCTATAGATACACTCATTGATAACTGCACTGGTCTCTGTTTGTGAAGCTGTACATACACATCAAACCCAAAATTTGTTTAAGATAAAATCCAACATGAGGTCATACTGATACAATTCAAATTTACTACTACATGATTTTTACTTAACCTTAGTAATCTATCCATAAATCTCAGTTTTCAATAATACCTATATAATTAATCATTTGATTTATTCCTCAAGACAAACATAATTGTCTAAAATACCACCAATACCACAAGAAAATATGTTTTTTAAAAAATCTAATTTTTTTGCAATCCTTTTTGTCATTAAGGTATAACCCACTAAGGATATATAGCTATCTTGAAATTTCTTCTGTTCAACATTAACTTTGTTTGAAAATTACATAAAATATTTACATTGTTCTAAAGTCAAAAATAGGTATAGTACCCTCATTTCTTAAATAGTAGCATATAAGTCATTTATCTCATATTATGGTATATCCTGTAGATTAATGTGCCATTTGATGTAGAAATATTTGCATTCCTTTTCATTGCTGCATACTACTACATATTCTGGATGTACCATTTTTTTTCTTCACGTCCCCTATGGACATTTGGTTATTTCCAGTATTTGCTATTAAAGATAGTGCCGCATAAGAAGCGTTATTTACTGGAATTTTGTATTGTTTTCACTGTATCTTTTGATATACATTCCTAAAAGGGGAATTGAAGAGTCAAAAAATGCTTATGAAAATTAACTAGATTCTGAGTCACTTTCAGAGGATTGTACCATTTTTGCATTCCTACAAGCAATGTTTGAAAGGGTCTATTTCCTCACAGTCCCCAGCCTCACAGACATTGTCATGCATTTGGATTTTTTAATAAGTTGTTTATATATTAGGGATATGGGAATATCACCTCTTGTCTGTGATAAGACTTGCAAATACTGTTTCCATTTTTTTTCGATTATTTTCCATTTTTTATTTTATTATTATTATACTTTAAGTTTTAGGGTACATGTGCACAATGTGCAGGTTAGTTACATATGTATCCATGTGCCATGCTGGTGTGCTGCACCCATTATTTGTTTTTTATTTTGCTTATGGTGAAAATGTTTTGCCATTTTAAAAAACTGCTATGCAATCAAATTAGTCAATCTTTACTCCCTGATTGCCTCTGAATTTTAGCTAGTAGTCATGTAAATTTAATCTGTAGCCACATTATAAAAGCATTTGCTTCCTATAGTATTTGAATAATTAAAGTTTTTACATTAAACTTCTGGCCCATTTAAAATTATACTGATGAATGGTGTCAGAATAGATCTAATTTTTATATTTTTCCATATAAATATCCAGTTGTTACAGCACATTTATTAAAAGGTATATCCATCTCCACTGATTTCAAATTCTAGCTTCATTGTAAACTAAATTTCCTTCAGTATTTGGGCCTATTTGGGGAGATTTTCTATTCTGTTCTAGTAGTCCTTCTAGTCAATTTTTTTAAAATTGTAAGTTTTAGGCTGGGTGTGGTAGCTCACGCCTGTAATAAAAAAATAAAAATATAAATAAATAAAATAATAAAATAAAACTCTAAGTTTTATATTATTACTATTATTTTTAGGGTTTTTGTTTTTTTTTTGAGACGGAGTTTCGCTCTTGTCATCCAGGCTGACGTGCAATGGCATGACCTCAGCCACTGCAAACTCTGCTTCCCGGGTTCAAGTGATTCTCCTGTCTCAGCCTCCCGAGTAGCTGGGATTACAGGTGCCTGCCACCATGCCCAGCTAATTTTGTATTTTTAGTACAGATGGGGTTTCACTATGTTGGCCAGGCTGGTCTCGAACTCCTGACCTCAGGTGATCCATCTGCCTCAGGCTCCCAAAGTGGTGGGATTACAGGCATGAGCCACTGCACCCAGCCAGTTTTAAATTATGTTTTAATATCTGGTAGCATTAACCTTTTCACTTCTCTTCTTTTTCAGCATTTTGCTGGATATTCTTGCCTTTTCATTCTTCCAAATGAATTTTATAATCAACTTTTCAAGATACATTTAATACAAAAAAATCTGACTGTATGTGCATTAAGACTGCTTTACATATAAAAAATAACTTAGAAATAAATGATATTTTATGATGTTTGAGTCTTCCTATTCAAGGAACTAATATGCCTTTCATTTCTTCCAGTATACTTCTATATCTTTCACATGTGTATTTCAGTTTTCCTCATATGGGTTTTGACATTTCTTGTTAAGGCTAATTACACCTAGGTAGTTTATTTTCTTTATCAATAAATGAATGGGGTCTTCTTTTGCATATTATCAGTAGGTTTTTTTCTGATTGGTTCAGTTTTCATTATTAACAATTTTGATAGTTTGCTTATGAAATGGCAAATGAGTAAATTATTGTATCACTATAACAAATCTAAAAACTAGGAGAAAAATTAAGAATAAGAGAGTAGCCAAAAAAGGAATTGTCTTAAAAAAAAAAAGCCAGCACAACAATTTGTTTTGTACCCTGTTTTTGTACCCTGGACCTTTTGAGGATATGAGGATATGAGGATACAAACAGATATTCTATACCTACAACTATTTGCAAAATACTGCTATTTGTTAAGAACATGTATTAACAATCTAATAATGAAATCATGCCATAAATTGGTGCAAACATAATTCCCATTACCAAAGGGTTTAGAACAGAGGCCAGTTATCTGTTGTTCACATCTCCCTCACTAGATATATGTTACTAGATAAGAGATCTTATTGACTGTTTTCTCATGAGAAATATCACAATTACAGTATGATATATTGAGTATAGGAGAGAAGAAAAGTTAAGAAATTCAGATTTAACTCTTGAAAAAGAAACAAAATATATTTATTTGCATCTACTTTGGTGTCAACTGAATTCATACACGTCTCACCACCTATGAAAATAATTAAAATATATTGTGAAAACATAAGAGTAACTTATCAAATTCATAAAACATAATTTCTTAAATTCTTCCACAAGTTACTCTGGATATTTATAAGTATTAAAGAAATAGATTTACTTTATTTAAATACTTTCATTAAGTACTATACAACTGAATATAAAGCAAGTGACTTATAATTTAAAGTTCTCCTAAAACATGACAATCAAATTAACCCCTTTTTGTTTGATCCTACATCAACCTGTCCAAATGGTCTACTAACTGGTCAGGAATTTTATAGTATGTGCATTCTATTGACTTTAATTGGATATTTTCTTGAACAGAATAAAAAAATCAAACGTGATTTTGAATAACAAGAACTGACAATGCACAAACTCCAGCAAAACATTAACCCAAAACAATTTCAAGACCATAATATGATTTTGGAAATAAACCATCTGATATTCAAATTGTCCAATAGTTTCCTCTAAAGTGATACAAAAAATTATCGTCTGAAATCATTAACTTGCACACTCTGGAACATTAAAGTAAATCTTGATAACTTATCAAATACAATGAACATCCATCCTCTTAAGAGAAACAGTATAGCAGCTAAAAACAAAGCAGCTTTTTGGCTTATATGAGAAGCTATCTAATTTTGTTTGTTTTTCTGTTCTCAAGAAATGGTTTTCATTGTTTCTATAGATCGAGTTAAATGTTGGACTGAGGCAATATAACACAATGAATTCACTTAGGAGACCTTTCCAGTAACTACTCTAAAATAATCCTGTATTACTTGCCCTTTTTCTTCCCAATGAAGAAAAAAACCACTCCCTTTAGAATATGGTCTAAAGACTGACATATAAGACTATGTTGTGTGTGTGTGTGTGTGTGTGTGTGTGTGTGTGTGTGTCTATATGTCTGTGTGTGTGTGTAACCACACTAATATGATACTTACATAGCATGAATTAACATCATAATAACAATCACTTCCCTTTCAAACATACATAAGAAAGAGGCTAGCTTATAAGAGATAATATATGTAAAATTACAGTTGTAACATCTTATTACTTGCAGTAGTAAATAGCAGTGAGAACTCATGTAGATAGAGAGCACAAGGCTGGTTACCAGAGGCTGGAAAGAGCAGTGTGGGGGTTGCAGGGAAAGTGGGAATAGCTAATAGGTACAAAAATATATATTTAGAAAGAATAAGACCTAGTATTTAATAGCACAACAGGGTGACTATAATCAATAATTTAAGTATACATTTAAAAATAACTAAAAGATTATAATTGAATTATCTATAACACAAAGGATAAATGCTTGAAGAAATGGATACCCCATTTACCATAATGCGATTATTGTTTATTATATGCTTGTATCAAAGTATCTCATGTACCCCATAAATATATACACCTACTATGTACCTAAAAATTTTTTTAAATTAAAAAGAATGTAAAAAATAAAAAATTCGAGTGAAAATAATTTCAATGGTGTTTATTGAACTATTTGCATGCCAATTCACTCTTCATTATCTTTTTCTGCTACAAACATAAGTATACGAACTTAATTTGTTCCTTGTAATCTAATTTCAATGACTACATGTGGCTATCCTAGGGAATTAGTACTTAATATCATAATTTAATAATTATCTTTAGAAATAAATTTTTAATTTGAAATTTTAAGAAATTAATATGAGGGTAGGAAGATTTGACAATATGAACACTAATGTTCGGATCTGCCTGTAACACAATAAGGAGTTTGAGATGGTAAACTGTAAGAAAAAGGAATACATTCATTCTCTAAAGAGTTCTGTACTGGAGCTTCTTAATCATTTCAATTTGTGCACTCTCAAACAACAGTATTACATCCAGGCAGGCTGTCCTTACTATTGTCAGGGTACAACTGACAACCTGTGGCCTTCTCATCTCACCCCAGGCTCCATCCAGCACCCTATGTGGCTCAAGCATTGAGTCCAGAAACACTGTACACATCCAACCCCTATTACTCCCTCAGAAAACTACACTTCAGCTACCACTTGGGCCCAGAGAGGTGTTCACACTGTCCCTGGAAGGACTTGACCTATGGAAGGGCCACAGATATTTCCTGCACATGGGCTCTGGCAGCTAGGTTGGGGTATTCTGGGGTCCTGAGTACCCAGAGCATGGTTTAGAAAAGAGAGACTGTGGCTATCAGTTGGTAGCCATGTATCCGTAGACCCAGCTATTTATTCCATTTGTAGAAGGGTTCTCTGAAGTGGGAGATCCAAGGCAAGCACTCTGGCAGCCTCATCAAAGGCAGCTGGAGATGACAGTAGTCATCTCAAAGTTCTGCCAATAAGCCTATCTCTTTCAGAAACACATCAGCTATTTTACTGTTAATATGGTGAAACGAGAAATAACCAAGTCGGTAGCTGTGGATGCACTTTTCCTGAGGCTTGCATTTCCCCATTATATCCAGCTTAGGCTGGACCAGAAGCCTCTTCCAAATGCCATAAGCCAACTAACTCTAATCTGTAAAATACTAGGTTGAATCAACCCATCCTTAGATAATACCCTGACTGATCTGGAAAAGAAAAACCAAAAGTTGAATCTAATCATATCATAGACAATCAAGATAGACACAAGCAGACTACCAAGTTGAATAGCTCCTTGTTACCAATAACAATAAAATAGTTATCAAGAAGGGCACTTTACGTGGGAGGGATTGCAGGTAAAAAGCAGCCTCCCCATTGCTCCTAGCATTATCCTACAAATAAAATGAAACACCACACTTACTCACTGGAAAACATCTGGTAGTTAATATAAAAGACTCTTTATAATCTAATACCAGACCACATTTTCCGCGGTGATCTTTTCTCATTCTTCCTCTCCTGCTTCTAATTTGTTGAAATATACTACGACTTCTGTCTTTGGAAACAATGTTTTATTCTTGCCTCCCTGAATTTCTTCCTATCTCCTGGTCAAGCATGGCCTTTTCAAAGCTCTATGACTTTGTGTGTAGGCTGTTTGTTTGTCTACTTCTTCACCTGGCAAACTCCTATTTAACCCTCAGAGTCCAACTTAAATACTATCTCTTAGTTCCCTGACCCATCCAAGCAGAGATGGTGCCTCCATTATCTGTATATATAGCAATTCATTAATATATACAGCAACACATACAAAGCTGTATTAAAGTAAGTATCTACACTAGTGGACTGTAGCATATTCTAAGAGAGGGACAAGGTCTTATTGTTCTTTAATCTCCCCTGTTTTGCACATAGTAGATTGATTGTTGTGTATCCACTTAAAGCATAACTTTTTAAAAAATAGAATAACTTCCATTCAGCATTACTTACGTGTACTGAGTAAAAGAGAAGGTTGGAAACAAAGATAGTGATTTTGTTTTTAATTTTATATAAATTGTATTTATCATTCTGCAACTAGCCTATTTGCACAAAGAATCAAGAGTCAGCAGCATGAAAAATCTTGGTTATTAGAAACTATGTAAAAGCAACTGGAGCCTAGCCATCCAATGCTGCAGTTTCCTATTTTATTTTTCAGTATCTAGTGTTTCTCTCTCTCACTCTGCTGAGTAGTGAAAAGTTAGGATAATCCAATTCTTTAAATATTATTGATGCACAGGGGATCCAATTTTAATATTTGGAGAAGATAAATCTACTTGGAAGAATATACTGAATATTGTATTCTTTTCCACTATAGCAGAAGTGAGCAGTTATCAAAATGTAAATTTCAGACATCTAATTGTATGATATTCCACTCACTAAACAAGGCCATGTTTTCATTAAAGCTTGGATTAAAATTCCAGTTGTGCATACACTTGGAATTTTAAAATTTCCTCATGAGTCCATATAGGTTGCATCACCCATTCAAGGCAAAACACACACACATACACACACACACATACACACACACTTAAGGCTACTTTTCTCATTTAGGGTATAAACACCACCATTCTGAGCTGGGAAAGGCAGAAGAAAAGTAACAGAAGGGAGGCTGTGGCTAAAAGGCCATTATGTACATAGAGCAGAAAGGTGTGTTTTTGTGTATATGTGAATATACACATGAGTGCATGTATGTGTTTGTCCAACTAATGAAAAGAAGGCATGACTGACACTGCAAAATTTCTCACTGCCAACCAAAAATCACCTAATATCAGACAAGAACGGATCTAGAAAATTACCCGAGCTCTCTAACAGGCAAACCTCAAACTTCCCACATTGTCTCCACACTAACGGCAGCTATATCATTTCAAAGCCCCCATGAAACCAACAACCAAGAACTACTCTCCCCATCCATCATACTCTCTGCCCACATCCCATACCCGACAATAATAAAACCACATCCTAAAAGCAGCAGATCAAGACTTAAAAAAAAAAGAAAAAATTTAAGAATAACAGTATTGTCCAATCACTCAAATATCATCTTATCAAAAAAGCAATTTCCACCCTAAACCAACTGAAAGGCACCACAACACTTAGAAAGACATCAATCACATGGAATTATTTTATTTTTATAAAAGTAATTATAGGCCAGGCATGTCTGTAATCCCAGCACTTTGGGAGGCCGTGGTGGGCGGATCACTTGAGCCCAGCAGTCTGGGACCAGCCTGGGCAACATGGTGAAACTCCACATCTGCAAAAAATACAAAAATTAGCTGGGAGTGGTGGTGTGCACCCATGGTCCAAGCTACTCGGAAGGCTGAGATGGGAGGATCACCTGAGCCTGTCAGGTCAAGGCTGCAGTGAGCTGTGACCATACCACTTCCCTTGAGCCTGGGTGACAGAACAAGATCCTGCCTCAGAAAAAAAAAAGGAATTATAATAAAATCTGAAAAACATGAAATTGTGTTTACAATGAATCTTTAGTCAAGACATGCAAATAGTCTTCCTACTCTGAAAATAGACCTCAACCATAATTTGAAAAATATATAAAATCCTATTCTCCCACAAGTCAGTCAGGTAGTAAACAAGTGTTTTCTCGAGCTCCTGCTATTTGCTAGGCATTGTTCTATTAGGCCGTGGGTGAACGCATATGCAATTAAAATTTTTAAGATAATTTCAAACACTACTAAATGTAATGAAGAAGTATGAAAATGTGAGAGCAAGTTCAAGTTATTGAAGAAGGCCTCCTTGTGGAGGTGACACGGAAGCCAAGAAAGATGAGAAGGAAAAAAAGCATTTCAAACAGAAGGAGCAAGTGCAAAAGACCCAAGGCAAAAAATGAGCCTTATTGAACGGAAATTAGTAAAAAGGAGGGAAAAGGAGTAAAAGTCATTAGAGATCTTCAAGCAAAAGTGTGCCTTGATCTGCTTTATGTAACAGCCACTTACATGTTAAGTGATCTTGGATGAATTACTAATCTCACTGTACCTGAGTTTCTTCATCTATAAAATGGGGATAGTAATAGCACCTACCTCAAAGAGTTGTGGTAAGGACTGAGTAAGTTAGCATGTTATAGCGCTTAGAACAATGCTTGGCAAAAGAAATTGTGAAATGAGTGTTAACCACTTTTTCATTAGCATTAATATCTTCTGTATCATCATCAGTAAAAAATAATCACTTGCTGGCAGATGAAATAAATAACTGGATGAATGTAAGAGTGGAGACAGAGAGACCAGCAGCTACCAGGCCACTGCATTAATGTCTGGGCAAATGATGATTTTAAACCAAGATTACAGAATGGGACAGATTCAAAATATATTTTATTAAGTTGATAGGATTATTCAATGAATTAAATATGCAAAGTGAACCAAATAAATTAAATGAGACTCCTAGTTTTTAACAACTTAATTGAGATAAAATTCACACACCATATAATTTATCCATTTAAAGTGTACAACCTGATGGCTTTTGGTATATTCACAGAGGTGTACAACCATCACCACAATCAATTTTAAAACATGTTGTTACCCCAAAAAGAAATCCCATATCACCCATCACGTTGACTCTCGTAGTCATGCAGTTATTTATTTCATCTACCAGCCAGAATCACTATTTCTTAATGATGATATAGATAGTACAACCACCAGTATCTAAAGATTTAACTGTTCAGGACATTTCATATAAACAGAACCACATAATATGTGTTCCCTTATGATTGACTTTTCATATGCATGAAGTTTTCAAGGTGCATCCATGTAGTAAAATTTATTAATACTGCATTTCTTAGTGCTAAATAATAGTCCACTGTATGACTATACCATATTTTATTTATCCATTCGTCAGCTGATGGACATTCGGGTTGTTTATCCTTAAGGCTGTTGTAAACATTTGGCTGCTATGTACATGCGTGTACGGGTTTTTGCTTGACAAATGTTTTCATTTCTCTTGGGCATATTTCTAGGTTATATGTAACTCTATGTTAAACTTTTTAAGTAACTGACAGACTGTTTTCCAAAGTGGCTGCACCATTTCATATTCTCACCAGAAGTGTATACAGGTTCCAATTTCTCTATATCTTCGCCAGCAGTTGTTACTATCTTTTTTATTATAGCTGTCCTGGTGAGTATAAAGTAGTATCTCTTTGAGGCTTTGCTTTCCATTTCGCTGATGGCTAATGTGTTCATTTTCATGTGCTCATTAGCCATTTTACATCTACTATGGAGAACTGTCTATTCAGACCTTTATCCATTTTTTAATTGGGTTGTTTGTCATTTCATTATTGAGTTACAGGGGCAAAGCAAAGCACCTTAGGCAAAGGCAAGGTTAATTTAGAAAGAAATAATTGTCCAATCTAATAGGTATGGTAGTGCACACAAGTTGTTAGCTCTTAAAGGCAGAGACTCTGCTATAATTTACTTTAAATAATATAGTTGTCCCTTTCACGGCACCTAGCAGAATTGAAATCAAATATTTTAAAGAACATATGAAAATACTGGAATACTCCCAAAAAAAGAAGTTCTTCAGTTCTAATAGAAGGCTATAACATTTAAAACTAATTTCCTGTAGAGATTAACAAATGAATTTCACTTCATGGGTCAATTCAAATCAGCTGGCAGAGACTACCTAGAACAGTGTTTTCAGAGTGATAATGAAGCTGTAGCTGACTTAGAACAAATTAAATATAATAACATCTTCCATGAGCATCAGAAGGGGTAAATGGGGGCATTTGTGATAGAGCACCATCCCAAAGAAGGTTTATATATTTTGAAAATATAAAAGCAATTAAAGAAGATTGTTAAGGTGCAAAGGTTAAAAAAAAACTTGAGATATTTAGAGTACACACTTAATATCAGAAAATGATCAAATAAAATGCAAAGACTGTGCTTCTACCAAAATATTTACTTGGTGCCACTTTCAGAATCAGAATATTAGATCAAATAGATCATTGATCTAACTCAGTATGTCATTTCACACATACCCAGAGCCTCTATCTACTAATCCTATTTTTCTTTTTTTTGCTTTTGTTTTGAGACAAGGTCTCACTTTATTGCCCAGGCTGGAGTGCAGTGGCACAATCATGGCTCACTGCAGCCTCGACCTCTCAGGCTCAATGGATTCTCCCACTTCAGCTTCCCTAGTAGCTCTGACTATAGGCATGCACCATCACACTCAGCTAACTTGTGTGTGTGTATGTGTATGTGTATGTGTATGTGTGTGTATATATGTTTTGTTTGTTTGTTTTCGGTTTTTTGAAGAGATGAAGTTTTTCCATGTTGCCAAGGCTGGTGATCCTCATTTTCATATAACTCAACAAAGACAAAATGGTGAGACTTACTTTTTCATGTAGTTGAAGGTGTGAATGACATGAGGTGTGAATAATATCACCAACAAGTCTTACACGATTCAGTAGTAATGAAAGTCTGTATAAATTATCAATGTCAATTCATTAACTCTAATATAGAGATGATTTCACATTATAGGTATATACATCACATTTCATCTTTTCAGCAAAAGTAAAGTTGCATAACATTTGCTTCTAAATACTACTTTCAAAGTGGTGACTCAGAGAAAAATTTAAACAACTAGTTTTAATGACAGACCTCAAATATATATGGCATAAAAAGACAACAGTTTTAGTAATTAAATCATACAGTCTACAAGTTTACAACCATTTTGTATTATACACATATCACATATAGATATTTTACCTCTCTAGGTTTTCAGAAACCGAAAGGACAGTGAGAATTTGGAACACAGAATACACAGTAGCTGCAGGAGTGGAGCCACCATTTCCAAACTACACAAACTTAGTTTCACGTGATCTTGTAGTGATACTGAGTATTTTTTAATTTATCACAGGAAAACAAAAGGATTCTGACAGTCTCTTCTGTGAGAACATTAATCTGTCAGGACTCTGTGAGGAGAGACAGCAAAGTCCAACAGTTTAAACCAAAACAAGAGGGCATGAAAAGCTGTATCTGATCAAGAAGGGCACTGGCATAAAGCAGGCTAAATAGGTACATGGGCTTAACACCAGCGAACCTCTCATTTGCTTCACGTCTTTGTTTTTTTCTGAGTGTTGGCTTAGTTCTCTGCTATCACTGACAGTTTTCTCTTCTTCACATGAAATATGGTTTCTGACAGAAAAGTTTTATAACCTTTTGATGAAGGAGATGGGCAGGACTTGTTTTCTGGACTTGTTACTCTGTCAGGATTTGGTAAAGTGAGGCCATCAGCAGGAACCGGCAGATGGCAATGAAAGTGATTCCTAGGTGCCCTCATTGCTCATTGGCATAAGACACTCCCACCAGTGCAATGACAGTTTACAAATGCCATAGCAATGACCCAGAAGCTACCACCCCATTCCATGGCAACAATGCAGAAGTTACTGCCCCTTTCCTTGGAAGTTCTAAATAACCTGCCCCTTAATTTGCATGTAATTGAAAGTGCCTTTAAATGAGTATAAATACAGTTGTCAAGAGCCCATTCTTTGGACTCATGGTGCAATGCCTATAACTTAGCCCTGTACCCCAAGCAGTACCATTTAATAAAAGACTGCTAACACCTCCAGCTCAGCTAGTCCTAGAATTATTTCCCAGGGTATGCTAAGAACTCTTTGGGCTAAGCCCCAATTTTAGGGCTCACCTTTCCTGTATCAGTTTCAGTGCCATGACCAAAGCTTTAAAAAGATTATCTTTCCTATTTTGAGTTTGAAATTTTTTATCAAGGAGGGACAAGGAAAGGCCCAGACTAGATCACATCTCTTAAACAATCCCTGTGGTAAAATGAGTACTGGGCCAGATGAAGCCTGATTATAGCTATCCATGTGGGTAAGGAAACAGAATTCATTAGAAGAAAGAGGGGACATAGGACTAAAAAGTCACCCCAATGAGTTTTTATTACAATTTGCCAATATTAGAATATGAAACAGAGAAGTGAGAAAATGAAGCCAGGAAGAACAATTTGGAATGAAATCATGGCAATCCAGGAACTAAAAGACAAGTATTTGTTTTCAACACATAGTAACTGTGCACCACCGCAGCAAGGATAACAGATATGGTCCCTGGCCTTAGAGAATTTAGAGTCTAATGGGAAAGATGGAAAATACATAAATAAATCCATGAGCATATATATGCAAATAAAATTATAGTGCTGTGAAGTAAATTAATAGGTTGCAAAGATAGAAACACAGAAAAGGACCTACTTAGATTGGGTAATGGAGCAAGATCCCTCCGAGGAGGTGACATTTCAACTGAGACCTAAAGGAGGAGGCCAAAGCTATGTGCATAGGGAGGTGGGGGCTACAGGGTAAACGAGATGGGGGCAAAAAAACTACTGTGACACCTGTGAGGCAGAAATCGCCTCAGCATATAAGAGAAACAAAAATAAGGCCAGCATAAAATGTGTCAGAACATAATGCTCAAGTTGAAGGGGGAGAATGGGTGAAGCTGGAGAATGGGCAGAAGGGATATTGCTAATCATGGTAAAAAACTGGGATGTTTCCCTAAGTGCACGGTCCATTGAAAGGTTGAAGGACAGTAGTTGAGTGTCACAAAATGAATACTGCAAGCTGCTGAGAGGTGAATGACAGGAAAGGGCCATGATTAAATGTGGATAAGGAGATATTGTGTCATTCCCTGCATTCCCAGCCAAGCCACATTCTACAAAGAAATCTCTTCATTGTCTATGGATCCAAGGCTTGTTACTTTAACTCTGTAAGTATCAGCTTCCCCCTTAATAAAGCAGGAATAAAAATATCCACATCAAATGGAAGATTGTCCGAGAAATTATGTAACGTAAGTCTTGGTATATGGTAGGTACTCAGAAAATATTAGGTCTCTTCTCATTTACTTCCTGTGTAGCTAATAAAAGTTCTTCCAAATTCATCAGCAGGTGCTAAGTTTTGAAAAATAAAAAACTAGACCTAGACAACTTGGTCTAGGTAGCGGAAACGAAGTATCTAAGCAATGCAGACAAACTAGTCTGAATGGAAAATAACCTTGACTTGATCAGAATATTTACTAGCCTCTATATTCTAAACCAAAAATCTGAACTACGAATTTAAGAATAAACTCTAAATTCAACAACCATCCAAATTCTCTACCACAATCTATACAACACAGAGAAAACCTAAGTATGAAGGTAAATAAATATCCTTGAGTTGTTCATCTTTCTGATTTGCTCGTTATCTTTATCTGTTACCCAGGTGCATAATCGTGTTATTCCCTACCTTTTTAAAAAGTTACGTAGAAAATTTAAGAATTCAAAGAATCTATGAAAATAATTTCTATACATCTTTAATTTCCCTTCTTACATATTGGTATTATGGCTATAAATTGTCTATATTGTAAGATCCCTTAAATAATTTTTACATATAAAAGATTTTTTCATAAATAGGATTAATATTAGAGAATATGAGCTTCAGGTTACATTCATCATCTTGGACTTCCCAAAGAGAACTCGACAACCCTGGCAATCATACTACAGATGATTCTCTTATAAAAAGAATAAGACCAAAAAATGGCCAGTATAAATGATCCTCTAGGGCTATTCTGTTCAATATGTTAGCCATGAGCCACATATGACTATTAAACATTTGAAATGTGGCTGGTTGGAATTCAGGTGTGCTCTAAGGGTAAAATACATGCCGGATTTTGGCATCTCAGTTGAAAAACAAAATGTAAAATATGTCAATAATTTTTCTTATTGATTATATGTTGAAGTGATCATATTTAGGATATAATGGGTTACATAAATACATGTTTAAAATTAATTTCACTTTCTTTTTACCTTTTTAATATTTTATTATCAGAAAATTTAAAACTATACATGTAGCTCATGTTTGTCTTGTTATGTTTCTTTTATACAGCACAGCTCCATAATGATGTACATTTTAAATTAAATCAACTCTGCATAAATCTGTTATCGAACAAGTCAGGATATAAATAAATAAACAGGTGAATTCGTGAATAAGTGGATAAAGTTCATGATATGATATCTCTGGTTAAATGATTTCAAAACGTTGCTTAATAATTGTTTGAGCAAAGTGATAAGCATAAATAATTAGGCAAGTGTTTAAGTTAGTATTACATTTTGTCTGATGAATAAACATGAATTAAATTAAATGATTATGGGTCACATACTGTGCTAGTCATGGAACACATATATTTAAGACAAGGCTACTGCTGTCATGTGGTTTATAGTTTTACGGAAGGATATAAACAATAAAACAAATAAATGCATTAAAATGTTTTTGGTGCTGTGAGAAAGGCATTTAGTAGTTCTCTAAAAGAAATGTAAGAGGGCATTTTTCTTGTTTCAGAGCATGGACACTAATATCCATTTTATCCTTTGGAGCCGAAGATAGCCAAATGTCCTTCAGTGTGTGGGGGTGGCCTGAACCATCAAGGATGTTCAGTTCAAATTATTCATAGTGTCACTACTGAGAAACACCCAGCGTCATGCCATGCTATGAACAGGATCACCACTGTAGAACACAACACAAATATCATAAGTATTTTCTGATGCTGGTTCCTGAACACTGTGGTGACTCCAGAGACTGGCTAAATATTGTGAGACCCCATTCTAAAAATGCAATCAACATAAGATTACACAAAATCATCTCTGTTCTTTGGTGTGTAAAATCCATACACATATACACTAACATATGTATATGTGATATATGTATACATATTTATATATTACAGACGCACACATATAAGTATATATAATATATATATAAATGTAACATGTATCATTAATATATTTTGCCGTTTTCAAGCTGAGAAAAGAAAAAATGTTTATTGAAGCATTTAACAGCTATAAAACAGAATGTTCATATATAAGCTTCTCTTTAAACTTTTTCCTTTACAAATAATTTTGTCACTAAAACAGGAATACCAATTTTGCCATTCTCATCTGATACCCAACTGACAATTAAGCAAACAGAGATGAAGAAGACAAGGAGGAGGAGGAGGACAGCATTCTGTCATCTGGTAGCAGAGGTTACTCTTTATCTTTTTTTTTTTTTTTTTTTTTTGAGACGGGAGTCTTGCTCTGTCGCCCAGGCTGGAGTGCAATGGCGCGATCTCGGCTCACTGCAAGCTCCGCCTCCTGGGTTCACGCCATTCTCCTGCCTCAGCCTCCCAAGTAGCTGGGACTACAGGCACCCGCCACCACACCTGGCTAATTTTTTGTATTTTTAGTAGAGACGGGGATTCACCGTGTTAGCCAGGATGGTCTTAATCTCCTGACCTTGTGATCCGCCCGCCTCGGCCTCCCAAAGTGCTGGTATTACAGCCATGAGCCACCGCACCCGGCCCTCTTTATCTTTTAAACATTACTAAGAGAATTGCCAATCTAGAATGGTAGAGTGAGCAAAAGACAGTCCCCATGTAATATAAAAATGCCAGAATCCTTAAAGGTGAAATGAGTCAAACTACTACCAATAGACATTAAGGTAATCACTATTTGATAACAACAACTTTTAAATATGTATGAAACCTATAAACGTGTCATACTTCACTGTCAAACCTGCTCATCGCTTCCACCCAAATCAAAGAAAGATCCTTTAAAGAACTCACATTCTAGAATCGTATTCAGGCTGGAGACAACAGAAATGTTTTAATCAATGCATAAATCTAGGGTAGTGAAGTTATTTGCCTCAAAAATAACAGTGTAGTACCCTTTTCAAAATGTCTTACTACATAAACTTAATTGGCTCTATAAGAAGTGAAAACTTTGAACCATAAATTATAGAGGGAAATCTAGCATAATGGTA
This sequence comes from Homo sapiens, assembly GCF_000001405.40. Lineage (NCBI taxonomy): Eukaryota > Metazoa > Chordata > Mammalia > Primates > Hominidae > Homo > Homo sapiens. Next base: position 80,723,585 of record NC_000014.9, read on the forward strand.
GAACAGTGTCCAAAAAGTGATACCCTTTTTGCATTAAAATATTCAGGGCTAATTATGATTTTAGCACTTGTTTTTATCCTTGCTTTGTTCATTGGCCAAACTTAAACACTTCTCATCTCCTTCAATGAAAAGTGGTGCTATTATGTTCCTGGAAGCATGAGCAGGGTTCCTCAAAGCCTAATTTTAAGGTCTTAATTGGCTGAGGCAATGGGAGACCATACAAAGCCCACTTCACAGAGAAGGGCAAGATTGCCAGGTCACTTGAGAACAGATGAAGAGCTAACTGGAAGCTATTGCTGAAACCTTACACAGTGTCCTGGGAAGTTTTAGCAAATAGTAACTTACGCAGAACAGAACACAATCATCCATCATCATAAAACAGAACCCAGAGGGGTTGAAGTTAGCTTGTAGAAACAGAACAGTTAAAAGATTAAAACTGTTATCCTCATTTAATAATTGAGTACCATAACAAACCAGACAAGCCTTATGGAGATTGGGTACTGTTATTGGTTCTGTGGTATGCTATTGCTTTCAAATATTTGGCTTCCTCCTGACCCTTAAGTCTCAGGAACCATGTGCTCACAATTAAAGAGGGTTGCTATTTACTAACACTTTTGTTCATTTGGTATTACTGGATCCAAAGTCTACTTTAAAATTTGGAATGCTGAAGAATAATTCATTCATCCATCTGTTTATCCACCCAACATTTGTGGTGTGTTATGGAATAAAAGACACTTAAGACGTTGAATAAAATCATCTCAGCCCTCAATTAGTTCAATACTTAATAATATAATAATAATTAATAATTTATCCAAATAGATACATTATAAGAACAGCCAATCTGGAATTGTTTTAAGTAAGTTACTTCCTTTTTCATTACTCCTAATTACTGGTGACAGGTTCCCAAAACAAACGAAACAGAGAAGACCAAATTTTATTTGTGAAATTCAAGACTCTATAGAAAAAGAAAAGGTAAAAATCTGGAATTAACCTCTGAAAAGCTTTTAGATTATTCTATGTTTACCTTAACGATAAAGACACATACTAGAAAAAGATATCCAATAATAATTTACACATTTGGGGTTGACAGTAGGACTTGCTACTGATTTCTATACACTGTCTAGCGTTCAACTGAAACTCAGACACTCTTCTTGAAATTTCAATAAGATGTTTATAAATGTGTTTTACCTTGCTGTTACAAAAATATATCAGAGGCTTAATGTTTTTTTCTTTTTCAGGATAGTTCCTATGCTACTTCTGACTGTATACTCTAGCCTCCTTGCCTTGTTGTTTGCTCCTTTGTTCATTCACTCTTACTTAACTAAACAACTATTTATTGGGCACCTACTATATATATATATCATACATTTATATATAATATATATCATACATATATATCATATATACATATATCATATATATATATACATATATGATATATATATATATATATGTCAGTGTTTGAAAAGAACAAGGAAAACCTCCATCTGCCCCTATTATACACCATGGGTGTCTTATTTCTCAGTTTTTTCCCTCTATTGGCAACTGGAATTCAATTCTCGAGTTTAGGTTTACTCTTTGTCATTCTTGTTTTCCCAATTTTTTTTTTTTTTTTGATACAGAGTTTCACTATTGTCACCCAGGCTGTAGTGCAGTGGCACAATCTCGGCTCACTGCAACCTTCACCTCCCAGGTTGAAGTGATTCTCGTGCCTCAGCCTCCCAAGTAGCTGGGATTACAAGTGCCCACCATGACGCCCGGCTAATTTTTGTAGTTTTAGTAGAGACGGGGTTTTACCATGTTGGCCAGGCCGGTCTCGAACTCCTGACCTCAAGTGATCTGCCCGCCTCAGCCTCCCACAGTGCTGGGATTACAGAGGTGAGGCACTGCGCCCAGCCCCCAGTGCTTTTTCCTGCAGATAATTTACTCCACCTTTACCTCTATTAACTATTCCAGAACACAAGTTCCCTCTATTTCACATTATCCCCAACAAGAATGACCCATAACTGATGAAAATTTAATATCCAAGCAGGAAAAGTTTTCTGACTCCAAGAATTATAATATGCTAGAATTCTGGTACAAGAGGAAGTTCATGCTAATTAGAGAAGATTGTAATTCACAAAGTTAAAATCCTGAAAGAAAAATCTCCCTCCGGAAGAAGTATGCAGTAGAAAAGATCTCAAACTCTTAAATAACATTAACTCTAATTAATTAATTTATATGGAATAATCAGGCTTTGGTATTTTTCAGCTATATTGGTAGATCTTTCAGAAATCACAAATTGAACAAATGTGATCTGAAAATGCTTTTGTTTCCCAAAACCACAACTTCCCCAGTAAATGCTCTAACCATTCAATTACATTCCTTTACCTTGAATAAGGAACAAGTAGTATAAGGTACTATCTATAAAAACAAATAAGTAACTTCTATAAGATCCTTTTTGTAGGCAACCAGAATATGTCTCACCCTTTCCTTCCCAATACCCAAATCCCCCAAAACAGAGGTACTTGTTACCTTCTCTTGTGGTTTAGAAACCAACAGACATCTCCTATGTCTGATGACCATGACAGCCATGATGTGTCTGATTTAGCCAAGGCTTCAGGAGCTTATAACCTTGTATTAATAGGGAAAATTCCTAACAACAAAAAGCACAAAGAAAATCTTTTCTTGATGACTGATCCCGTAACCTGTAATTTATATTCCCTCAGAGTATTTATAGGATTTCATAGTCATGAAAGACAGAAGGCAAGATCCCTTAAGTGGTTGCTTCTTTGAAAGCACCAAACCTACATAAGAAAAGAACTGTAGAACCAACTAGAGCTACTCCATCAACAACCCCTCCCTTTTGAAAAACATGCACCCACATATATACACTCCTTTTCATAGCTTTATATGTAAATTTTTGTGTAAATTGTCTTTTATCTGAATTAACATTTTAAATTCCCTAAAAGCAGAGAGTGTCCTCTTTCATATATGGAATTCAATGGCATCACACACTCCAAAGACACTAACAGGTAGTCTTTGAAAATAAATTGCTTTTGGCTTGCCTATGGGTTGCCTGTGCAAGACAAGTGCTTGAATCAGCACCAACTGAACTTAAGGAGAAAAATGTAAGCCATCGAGCCAAATGTGCATTATATAGTCATGAATCTCATTTAATACTTCTGCCTAGCTAATAATATAAATAAGTGGATATTTCAAGGAAAAAGAATTTTAAAAGGAAGAGAATATAGTTTAATGAGTACATAATTATTAATATTTTACAAAATAAACTTTGGAAGTGAGTTGCTGGAAGGTGAACAAAATATTTGAGAACTGGAAATTTTAAAAGGTGGTGGCAATTTCTAAGTGCTCCTGATAGAAAACTGATCTGAGAAAAGATTGCATACAAAATTGTTAATGAAAAATAAACTACATATTTGGGTGGAATTAGAGCTGTGGAAAAGAAATAAGATGATTAGTCACCTGAACATGGTTATGGAGGCATGGAAACTGAAAGACAAGTACAATACCGCTGTGAAAGAGTTCTGATTGCTTTACACAGAGAAATGTTCCTGAGGCCAAACAACAGTTACCCCTTGTCTAACATCGACCTTATACCACGACTTAAACAAAAATAAGGTAACAATTCTACCTAGCAGAGAGGGGAATCATGAGGAAGCAGTAGAGCATCTCACTTTAACGTGAAATAAAGATCAATTTACAATAAAGTAAAAAAATTTAATAAATTTTAAAATTTTGCATTTAGAAGCCTCAGGGGAAGCTTAGATATCCATGTCACCTCACTCCAGAAGTCAGAGGGAGTTACAGAAGTGGAGAGGCCAAATCTTAATGCAATATTTTGCCAGAAAATATGAAACCAAAAAAGAGACCGAAAAACCAAGGCGAAGATTACATGAGGAAGTCTCCAAAAGCAATTGCAATGAAAACAAACATTGACAAGTTGGACCTAATTAAACTAAAGAGCTTGTGCACAACAAAAGAAACTATCAACAAACAGACAACCTACAGAATAAAAGAAAATATTTGTAAATTATGCATCCAACAAAGGTCCAATATCAACAATCTGTAAGGAACTTAAATCAACAAGCAAAAATAAACAACCCCATTAAAAATGGGCAAAGGACATGAACAGATACTTCTCAAAGGAAGACATGCAGCCAACAAGCATATGAAAAAAGTTCAACATCACCAATCATTAAAGAAATGCAAATCAAAACCACAATTAGATACCATCTCACACCAGTCAGAATGTCTATTAAAAAATCAAAAAATAACAGATGTTGGCATGGTTGCAGAGAAAAGGGAATGCTTATACACTGCTGGTGGGAATATCAATTAGTTCAGCCACTGTGGTAAGCAGGCAATTTCTAAAAAAACTTAAAACTACCATTCAACACAGCAATCCCATTACTGGGTACATACCCAAAGGAATATAAATTATTCTACCAAAAGACACATGCATACGTATGTTCACTGCAGCACTATTTACAATAGTAGACATGGAATCAACCTAGATACACATCAGTGGTGGACTGGATCAAAAAAAAATGTGATACGTATACACCATGGAATACTATGCAGCCATAAGAAGGAATGAAATCATGTCCTTTGCAGCAACATGTATGCAGCTAGAGGCTGTAATCCTAAATTATCCTAAGATAATTAATTCGGGAACACAAAACCAAATATCACATGTTCCCACTTATTAGTGAGACCTGAACATGAGTACACATGGACACAAAGATGGGCAACAGTAGACACTGAGGCCTACATGAGGGTGGAGGATGGGAGAGGGGTGAGGATGGAAAAACTACATATTGGATACTATGTTCACTATCATAGTAATGAAATCATTTGTATACTAAACCCCAGTGGCACGCTATTTAGTCATATAACAAATCTGCACATGTACCCCTGAACCTAAAAGTTGAAAAAGAAAAAAAAAAGTACATTTTAAATGTTTGCTCCACAAATTCCAAAAGGAGGAGGAAAAGGGTATGCATTGCTATGGGATCTCTGTAAAAAGCATTTTTATTTAATTTGAACCTGAGAAGTTGGAAGATATTCCAAATTCTTATTTATTGATTCTTATTGTTAACGTATTTCAGCCAAAACTTTTTTATTCTCTCTTAATAGATTATGTCTCTGTCTGGATTAAGAGAAGGACCAAAAAAGTGATCATTTGTAGCAGTAATAACTATGTATGCAGATATCAACATTGTAGAACATTATAAATATACTAGACCAAAGTTGCATTTTCTAACTAGATGTAACCACATATTAAATAGCTATATTTTTCCTCTTTTAACAGTTTTGTCACTTCCATGCTGCCAACGCGGAGTCACAGAATCTGCAGGTTCACGCTGAGCCCTTTTGGTTAAACGCATCACTGAGGCAATCAGAATCTCCTTTTGCTGCCCTTTAACTGGGAACAGCAAGTTCTGCCCTAGTCCCAGGCTGGGCTGGTGGGGGTGTGTGTGTGTGTGTGTGTGTGTGTGTGTGTGTGTGTGTGTGTGTGTGTGTGTGTGTGTGTGTGTGTGTTTACCCAGTGTTTAGTCTTTTATCCCTCACCCCCCTCCCATGCTTCCCCCCAAGTCCCCAAAGTCCACTGTATCATTCTTATGCCTTTGTGTCCTCATAGTTTGGCTCCCACTTATAAGTGAGAACATACAATGTTTGCTTTTCCATTCCTGAGTTACTTCACTTAGAATAATGGTCTCCAACACCATCCAGGGTTGCTGTGAATGCCATTATTTCATTGCTTTTTATGGTTGAGTAGTATTCTATGGTATACATATATATATATACCACATTTTCCTTATCCACTCGTTGATTGGTGGGTATTTGGGCTGGTTCTACATTTTTGCAATTGCAAATTGTGCTGCTATAAACATGCATGTGCAAGAGTCTTTTTTCATATAATTTCATAATCTTCATAAATTCCCTCTGGGTAGATGCCCCGTAGTGAGACTGCTAGATCAAATGGTAAATCTACTTCTAGTTCTTTAGGGAATATCCGTATTGTTTTTTATTGTGGTTGTACTAGTTTACATTCCCACCAGCAGTATAAAAGTGTTCTCTTTTCATCACATCCGTGCCAACATCTATTTTCTTTTTGATTTTTTAATTATGGCCATTCTTGCAGGAGAAGGTATCACCAAATTTTGCATGAAGAATATTTGCTTGAAGATAGGTATTTAATTGAAATTACATTTACTTCTCCTTTCCTCCCTTAACAAACACCATTATGATAAACACATTTGGTGAAATATTTATGAGGATTGGTGTGTTTAGGGAATATCTCAGAAGACACAGTACATACTGCAGCCATTTTCTTTTCCTTGAACTGTCAAGCTAAACTCAGCATGAACAAAGACAGAAATATTAACGAGTACCCAACAGAGGCCTCACTGATGTGGAATAAGAGATGGTATTACTTAGATATATACCTCTTTGGAGTGTACACATTGAATAGCCATAGTCACAGCAGGCTTGGAAAATAAAAGCAGTCTCTTATTTCAATATGAGCTTACAATTGCACCTTAAGAAAAAATAAGAAAATTAATTTCTGTATTTGTTCATAATCATTGGCATTTCATTGCAACGAAATCATACTATATAGAGGTCTCCCCTTCTAAATATCTTTTAAGAAAGGAATCCTTCCAACTGTCATAAACATTTGACTGTCTATTAACCTCATAGTTTCAAAGTATGCATTCTTACACCTTAGCTACATCTTCCCAACTGTAATTTATATCTCTCTTCTCAAGACTGAAAGTGCTTCTTAGTTAACTTATATTGGGTCATTCTATACTCAGAATGGAAGAGGGTAAAGAGAAATGTTTAACGTAAGGGCAACTCCTGTACCATTGACAGACCCAGGTGAACTTCTAGCTGGAGACATGACTGTTTTAACAGGGAAAAGGAGGAAGAAACTGTGGATCATAAATTATATGTATACCTCTTCTGGCCCCAGTGAACTTTGAAAGCTTTGTAGAGAGACAAATATTTCATGACCACAAAAGTGTAAGTTAGTCAGATGGAATAGTTCTTGGAAATAGTTGTTTCGTGGAATTTATGTAGATGACTACAAAGACTAATTTGTGCTTTTGAAAACTACAGTGTCCATTAATCACTGTGAATTTCAAAAACAATAGAAAGGTATGGTCTTGAGTGACTGGTTAGAAAGTAGTTATCACTTTCATAGTGGAGGCACAAGAAATGAAAGGTTTGATCTTAGTTTCCTCTTTATGGGAGAGAAAGGTTGCATCCAATAATATTATAATTAAATTCATTAATTGGGCCTTGAGGCTTGATGTTCCTGTGAGCTATTCAAAAAATTATAGGTTATCAAATGATGTGAAAGAAAATTTTAGAAATATTACAGCTATCACAACAAAGGAGTTAATGTCTAACAGTAAAACTATTGTTTCTGGATAAGCATTTCTAATGGTATAGTCATTAAGACAGCCTAAAGACTTTGAAATTTTGACAATTCTATTTTCTTTCAAACATTCTTAACAAAAAAACTTGATCTCTTTAAAAGTTCAGGGAAGAGGTCCCAACAAAGTGAGGAAAGCCAGGTTGGTTTCAATTTAGAAGGCTCATTGAGGTTGACAGAGTATTGCTGGTTTATTTTGATATGCTATATAGCAGTGCAAACACAAAATCGAGTTTCACAAAGTCTGCTCCCATCTGTAACTGCCTGTCAATCCTGGAGAAATAACCTGCCCCCACTTCCCTCCCAGCCTAAGCTGCCTCAACTGTTAAATGGGATTAATAACCTCAGAAGTTTATTTTAAGAGTTACATAAGATAATACATTTAAAACCTGCACATTACCAAACCCTCAAGAAATATTAGGTTCCTTCATTTCCCTAATGGTCATCTCAAGGAATGAAGTAAGTAGTTGAACATTAAGATCTAATGTCACTTGTATAGGACTGTGGGTAGCGACCTTGTCAAAATGTGATGTAACTAAAAAATTACTTTTAAATACAGGAACAACAAGGTCAATAGTCTCAATAGGGGAAAAAAAGCAAATCTATAATTTCTCATGGTTGATGTGATGGAACTGTTTATCTGATCTACGAAGGAGAGCATGCACATCAAAATCTCGGTAAATACTATGAGGGAGAACTTCAAGGGCTTTACACTGGACAGATAAAAAGGGAAAAGATTCTTTTGTTGCCAAATATACTAGTTTCAAAAAATCCACTGAAGACAGCTAAGCTAATAAACATTATCAGACTAGTTTGGTGATAATTTGGAGTTATTCTTCATATTTGGTCTTGTGTTTTGAAGAAGCAGAAATAAGAATAAATCAATAAGGCTATGTTTTCTTTTTGATTGAAAGAACAGACCTAAGTGTGTAGTTAGAAATTATAGGGGAGTGTAGCTTCTGTTGAAGATACCATAATAAATGGAAAAAAAAGAGGTAGGAGGGAAATCTGTGCCATCCATTTATCCATCCACCCATCTATCCACCTGCCCCCATACACAAACATCCATTACATGTTTACTTTCTGTTAAATATAAAACATGGTACCAGATGCAATGAGGAAACAAGAGATTAAAACCTAGTATTAAATAATATATATGCAGATAACCAGAGGAAACAGCAATAAGTGGCAAATGTCACGGAATCCTACCTGAAAGTTTTAACTGCAATGGAGTGGTAAAACAAAAAAATTGCACTAGCAAACATGATAAAAAGGGCTAGAGTTTACATAGAAAGAGAAGAGGAAAAAAATGGTAGGACTTTTGTAACAAAATTGAACTTTATTTGTTTAGCAGTGGGAAAACCACTGAGGTTTCTAAGCTGGAGAGTCATGGGATCAAAGCTGTGTTAAATGAAGATTCATCTGGCAGAACTGATTAAGCAGGTGTGTGTGTGTGTGTGTGTGTGTGTGTGTGTGTGTGTGTGTGTGTGTGGTTTCTCCAATAAAACCTGTTAGGTAGAGGTCAATTGTGGATGTGTTGTAAGTAATTTATCACAAAAAACACAAAACCGAAATCGGTGATTTACTTTTTTGTATTAATTTGAGAGTATTCGAGGTTATTTCTGTAAGATGTCACTCTTACCAAATGCTTTACTAAACAGCAGATTAAAGAATGCAGAAACAAATAGCTGGAGCCCAGGGCACAGTGTGACCATGAAACACCCACAAGAGTGTTCCTGCCTGGAAAAATAATCTGTGTTGGACTTTAGCAGGCATATAGGTGAGGACAAGTCCAGCAGAAGACACAGACTACAGGTTAGGAAGATCATGCAAGTAAGATGCTTCTGTAACCCTTGTAAGTATGAAGCAATAAAGAGCTAAATAAGACAAAGGTGGTATAAAGGTTAATTTTATATGTCAACTTGACTGAGCCACAGGGTGCCCAGATATTTGGTTAAAATTTGGAGTACGTCTGTGAGGGTGTTTCTAAATGAGATTAACATTTGAATCAGTAGACCGAAAAAAAGCATATTGCCTCCACAATATGAGTGGGCCTCATCTAATCCACTGAAGGTCCCAACAGAGCAAAAACACTGAGCAAAAATCACTCTCCCTCTGCATGAACGTCTTCAAACTAGGACATCAATTCTCTCTTGCCTTAAGCTTGAACTCAGACTGGAACTTATACCATCACCTGTCTTGGTTCTTATAGCACTGGACTAAGACTGGAACTATACCATAGGTGCTCTTGGGTCTCTGGCTTGCTGACCATAGATCTTGGGACTTCTCAGTCTTCATAACCACATGGGTCGTGTGTGTGTGTGTGTGTGTGTGTGTGTGTGTGTGTGTGTGTGTATTTGTGTGTCTGTGAACATACATAGAAACACACCCTATTGCTACTGTTTCTGGAGAACCCAGACTAATACAGGTGGTCTAAACAGAAAGAGAGGAATGAATATATGACAAACAGCTAAGAAAAACTTTGTAAAGTCACCAGTTGTAGTGGACAAGGAAATGGGAGAATGTAATCTTTTTTTCAAATCATAAATATAAGAGAGATTTTAAATGCTTACAGGAAAACTTTCAAATTAATAAATGTTTTAAAAATTCCCTAAAGATTCAAATGGAAATTTCATGGCTATAAGGCATATATAAGTTTTACATAGAATATGTTGATGTCCTGTATTTTTAAATATTTCCATTTTATATTTCATGACATGCATATGTTTATTTTCAGCAACTACATCTATTATGTAAACCATTCTGGACTCCAGTGTAATCAATAACAAAGAATAATCAAACTTCAAATCCTTAAAATTCAATCATAAATTGAAGTTTAGAACCCACTAAAGGTACACTAGGCATCTGAAAATTCAGTCTGTTAGAGGACATAGATAATTTTATTAAATTTACTAAGTGCAGTAACAATATTTTTGTTTGCCCTTTAGTTCCCTTATTTCATGTTTCAGCCAAGTTCTTTCCCACTTCAACGCTTCATAAATGCTGTTCCCTCTGCTGGAATGGCTATGCTCATCACCCCTTACATGGCTAAAGGTCAGGCATCACTTTCTAAGGAAACCCTGACTTCAACATCTCCCTCACCCATAATCTGTGAAGTTAGATCCTCCATATACTCTTAGAGCATAATCTATACTGCTACAAAGGACAACTACTCTAGTAGACACAGTGTCGATGGCCAACATGAAAATGTTCTAAACAGGAAAAAAGAATATAATAATGAATACAGAATAATAAAACTAGCCTGCATTGTGTCTTCATACTAACATAATCAAAAGTTTAATTTTTTAAGGGAGGAAGGGGCCCACAAAAGCGAAAGTCTTTAGGGTCCACAAAAGCCATATGTCCCTAGTTACTCTGCATTATTGCTAAGAAATGACACCCTGACTTTTTTTTTTAGGCTGGATGATAGTACCTACCTAGGAATTAAATAAAATTATAAATTACTTAAAGCACTTAAACAGTGTCTGGCACATAGCAATAAATGTTAGATGTTATTACTGTTTAAAACAATAACTGAGGGCTGGGCACGGTGGCTCACACCTGTAATCCCAGCACTTTGGGAGGCCGAGGCGGGCAGATCATGAGGTCAAGAGATCGAGACCATCCTGGCCAACATGGTAAAACCCCATCTCTACTAAAAATACAAAACTTAACTGGGTATGGTGGTACACACCTGTAATCCCAGCTACTTGGGAGGCTGAGGCAAGAGAATCACTTAAACCCAGGAGGCAGAGGTTGCAATGAGCTGAGATCGCACCACTGCACTCCAGCCTGGTGACATATCAAGACCCCATCTCAAAAAAAAAAAAAAAAAAAAAAAGGAAAAACAGTAACTGAAAACACTATTCATTACATTACATTCAAGAGAATACATTCCTCTTGAATTTAGTTTTCAAAATAAGTTTGCTTCTCCCAAGCAGTTTCTGTGTTCCATTTAAGATAATACAAACCATATGACCTAACAGGTATCCCTCCCAGATGTCAGAAAACTGAGAGCTAAATAAAGTGATAAACCAAAACAACTTCTTCTTGGTGCCTAGGACACTATTTCTCTGTTTCTTATTTTTTTTCCTGTGATTTTTAGATTTCCATCGATGTCCATTTTAACACTATAGTACAGATTTTAACACTATAGTACAAGTCAAAATAAAAGGATAAAATTTGAAAATATGACTACGTAATATCAAGGGCCTTACAACAGCCTAAGCCAATAAGGACTGTCTCCATTTCGGGTTCACTCATAATCCATGTAACTTCTTTGAATTTTCATAGTATATTTGAAGAAAGAATATCAAATACGTATACCTAGGCATAAGGAAATCATACTCATTTTGAAAATACCACGTTTCGCACATTTCCAGAACTATCTCAATATATTTCAAGGTTAATACAGTAAAAGTAATTTATGAATATTCCTAATTTACTGATAAGTGTCCAAAAGTGGGTGCACATTTCCAAAGAGGGTCAAGCAGGCTGGAAAATTTCTTGATATACAGGGAATCAAGTAGCAGAGAACCTATTACAGATCTCTAATTTCATTATTTTATTGGTATATTAGTTTTTCATAGATGCTGTAACAAATTCCCACAAACTTAGTGCCTTAAAATGATGCAAATTTATTATGTTACAGTTCTGTCCGTTAGAAGTTCAATACGTCTTACTGGGCTAAATCAAGTGTTAGCAAGGGTACCTTCCTTTCTGGAGGCTCTGGGGAAGAATCCATTTCCTTGTCTTTTCCAGGATCTAGAGGCTGCTCATATCCCTTGGTTCATGGTCCCCCTCTTCCATCTTCAATAAGCAATCTTCAGCTGAGTCTTTCTCATATTGAATCCTACTCTGCTTCCCTCTTTCACTTTTAAGGACCACGTGATTATATTGTGTCCCAGATAATACAGGATAATCTCATCTCTAGAACCTTAATTTTTTCCAGCTATAAAATCCCTTTTGCCATGTAAGGTAACATATTCACAGATTCAACCCAGTATCCAACCCTGTTAGGTTGTGGACATCTTTTGGCAGAGGAGGGAGGGAATAGGCAGGCATTATCATTTTGTATGCAACATTATAGAAAAGACAGATAGTACTCATTACAACACACCATCAAAGCAGAAACGACCTCCCAGAAATCCATATTTGCAACAACAAATAGTCAAAATGTACACAGTTTCCATCTGCATTTGTTTTAAGGTAGCTCTAATATAAGGTTTTAAAAAAAAAAAAACACAGCAAATATATGCTTTGAATTTAATGAAAGCTACTTAGTAACCTAAAAGCTCAAATCGAATCTATTTTAGCACAAGGAGCTTTGCCTTACTCATCTCCCTAAGTGTGCTCATGATTCAAGTTTAAGGAAGAACAGCTTTGCTACACAAATAATCTATAAAGTGAAGAAACAAGAAAATCTAAGAATTCACATAATATATTTAACATTTCTGAATTTTCCAGAATATATTTCAGAATACACACACATACACACACACACACACACTGTCTCTCCCCTCAATATTTTGGAAGAGGAAAAATACAAACTTTAAATATTTAAACTCCCCACTCAATCAATACTGGTCTGTTGCCAACTGAATACATTACTGGAAATATTGAAAATCTTTATCTCTAAAATTAAGTTCATCCAATAGAAGTGTTATAAATTTTAGGCCCGTTACACAGAGGTGAAAAAGGGAGGGCTCAGAGATATTTACAGTTAACTAAAGAATAATGAATCATAAGTTTCCACTGCCCATTTACTGACTAAAGACATGAATGTTGATTTCGCATTCAATCACAGTTGACATCTGCACAGATCTGTGTATAGCATCCCTAGGCATATCGTTAATTTAATTCTGGTTCTAGGAATATTTAGCCAATGTAGTTTAACTTCAATCCCTGTTGACCTAGGCTGGATTTCAATTCATAACAGAAAACATATGAGAAACAAAATTACTGTAATGAAACATCTATAAGCAAAAGAAACTAAGAATAAAACATATTTCTTAAAAAATTATGATTTGACTCTAAGAGCGGGCATAATTTTTTAAAAACTATTCTTTCTCAATTGGTTGTTAAAAACAATTATAGGCTGGGTGCAGTGGCTCATGCCTGTAATCCCAGCACTTTGGGAGGCCGAGGCGGGTGGATCACAAGGTCAGGCATTCAAGACCAGCCCGGCCAGTATGGTGAAACTCCTTCTCTTCTAATAATACAAAAATTAGCCAGGCGTGGTGGCACACACCTGTAGTCCCAGCTACTCGGGAGGCTGAGGCAGGAGAATTGCTTGAACCTAGAAGGCGGAGGTTACAGTGAGCCAAGATTGTGCCACCACACTCCAGCCTGGGCGACAGAGCAAGACTCTGTCTGAAAAAAGAAAAAAGAAAAAAAATTATAAAGAAAGCAACAAGAAAATAAAAGAAGGGGTAACTTCATGTTAAATAACTGATGAGTTTTAATAATGTTCTCAATTTATCAATTAAAATCACTTATTTTAATTATCTCTAATGATCTACACCATTGAACTTCTGAACAAGCTGGTCACAATGTAAAAATAAGATGCTAAGGCCAGGTGCACAGTTTCATGCCTGTAATCCCAGTAACTCAGGAAAACAAGGTCTAGGATTATTTAAGTCCAGGAGTTTGAGACCAGCCTGGGTAACCTAGCAAGACCTCATCTCTATACAAAAATTAAAAAATAAAAACATTAGCCAGGCATGGTGGCATGCACCTGTAATCCCAGCTACTCAGGAGTCTGAGATGGGAGGACTGCTTGAGCCTGAGGGGTCAAGGCCGCAGTGAGCCAAGATGGCGCCACTGCACTCCAGCCTGGGTGACAGAGCAAGACCCCATCTCAATCAATCAATCCGATGATAAATTCAATTTTAAAAAATTAACCAGAGTCCAAATAAATAAATGATATTACATTTAGAAATCATCCCATAAGTTACTTCAGAATGTTTAAATATTACACTCCAATATGGAATAGAAAAAACTTGCTTCTTCCTGTTTTGGGACTAAAGGACACTTCTATGAATATCATGATTCTAAATTATTTCTTCAGTAAGACAAATCTGAAAAACTGTGAAATGATTTGCAGAATAAGTGATAGACGAATGAGTGACTGGATGACTAGAAAAGTAAACCAATATATAAATAATGTATAAGCACAACATAAAGTCTAAACTACATGTTAGAAAAGATACCTACAGTTCGAGAGTCCCTCCGTTATTTCTGTCCCACAAATAAATTATAAGACATTATCCTCTGTTAACAGCAATTGACCACCAACTGTACAAGTAGCATAGAAATTCGAAGGATGAGCAGGGAAAAGCAGAAAAACCAGCTGAAAAGTTTCTCAGAACACTGGGAATGATGAAACCAAAGGAATAAACCATTAAAAAGTTGAGAACACTATTGACAGATCCAAAATCTATCACATTAGATTAAAATCAGATTTTTAGATAGAAAAAATCTAAGTCATACAGTAGTCTCCCCCCTATTTTTAGATAGAAAAAATCTAAGTCATACAGTTTCAATTTGGTTTCAATCACTGCCTGTCAACTGCAGTCCGAAAATAGGTAAGTACAGTATAATAAGACACCTAGTGACAGAGATCACATTCGAGTAACTTTTATTATACTATATTGTTATAATTGTTCTATTTTATTAATTATTATTAATGTTTTATTGTTTATAATTTATAAATTAAGCTTTATCATAGGTTTGTATGTATAGGAAAAAACAGTTCATATAGGGATTGGTACTACCTGCAGTTTCAGGCATCCACTAGGGTGCCTAAGTCTCCACACATAAGGGGAGTCTACTGCATCTCTTTATGCTCACAGCCATGTATATGGCCAGAATAATCAGTGAATAGTGTGCCAGATTCGCCACTAAGGTGGCTCTAATGCTTTGGATATACATCATATGACAAGCTTTATGCTTTGGAAGCAGGTTGCCAAAAATACTGATTTGGCAATCTGGCTTAAACCACTCCTAAGACTTCTACCAACGCAGGTCATGCCAAAGTTTTACATTGCAAATCCAGTGGCTACTTCTCATCCCTTCTCTCCTTTTCTCCAAATACTCATCCTTTCTTTGAGCATATACAAGGGATAGGGAGCTAATGTATCTTTCCTCTACTGCCTACTTCTAGACTATGTATATGTTCATCCTTTTTTTTGAGCTTATATAACACAAAGATTAGACCCAATTACAGATGCTAAGAAGCTACCCATCAAAATAAGAAAACCACTACAAAAATTATTGTGATAAGTGAATCTGCCAAATATACTAGCATATTCAAAACACTAAAAAGATCTTAAAAGAAGAAATCCCTAACTCTTTTGCCCTTGTTCTTTCCAACATTCACTTCTCTACCTTTACTTTTGACCTCATCCACCCGTATCTTCCAGGATCCTGCTATACCAGCTAAACTTCCACCTGTTCGACCTCTCCCATCAACAGCCCCTTCTACTCAACATACATAATCAGGCTCAAGCTTTTCTATGACTAGTAGTACATACAGAATCATACTCTAAAAGTTATAGTCATTCTACTCTTAAAGACTGAGACTATTTTAGACACAAAGTTTTAATATTCTTTTTTTTTGATATTTTGGTATTTTGAATTTTTTTCACGTTACACTAGAGAGTTAAATCATAGTATACAATAGGGCTAGAATTAATACTAACAATGTTATTGTGTCCCTAAATGAATCAGGAAGCTCTTAGAGGATACCGTCACGAAATGAATAAAATATAAACTATTTAAATATTGCTACCATAAAATGTAATACATAACTGAAATATTAGAAAAGACAAATACTGTTACCTAATTCCAGAGTGTCATAAACAATATGTAAACCACTCTAATTAAATTACTTAATCAACTTCTGCCAAATATTTGCTGATTTTTATTTTGGTTATTCAGAGTTTAATAAGTATCCAATAAATTTCAAAACAGGGAAAAATAAATAAATTTGGGCCAATGGCAAGATATCATCTCTGTCTTTCTAAATCTAAACTTTGGGGAAAAACTATGCTTTCTTTTGGAAGAGTGATTTTTTTTTTCACTAAATATTAGTATTATGGCTCCCCTATTAACTGTGCTCCTTTAGTGTTCTTTCATTACTTCCCTCATTCATTCAGTTGTTCAACAAATATTTCACACGTCTACTGTGCACCACGCTCTTTCTAGGCATTGGAGACACAGCATTCAGCAAAACATTAAAAAATCACTGCCTTCATAGAAACTCTATGCTAGGTGATACATAAAACAAAACACATTTCTCAATTGTGTGCCTGTCAAAAATTCATTAAGGCAAGAAATAAAGTATCTTTGGGCCAGGACAGGCCACACCCACAGCCATTACTAGGGTGAAACTTAAAACTAGTAAAATGTATATACACATACACACACACACACACACACACACACACAGATTCATATTTATATCTAGATAGATAGATAGATAGATAGATAGATAGATAGATAGATAGATAGATAGACAGACAGATAGATAGAAATGATGCATATTTCTTTCACTGTCTACTTTTTGGCTAAGACACAGGTGTTAACCAAAAATAATCTGAGCATTTGTTCTCTGCTGCAAAGGCATTATTTTCTGAAGAGCTGGAAGACCATTTTCTTTTTTCTACATCCTCTTACCTGTAGTACTTTCCCTTTTATAACTATTCAGAAAAGATAACTCCCTAACAAAGAAACTTTGACAATGGCTTATTTCACCCTTAGATGTGTCTTCTAACAAATGACACATGACAGCAAGGGACAGATTCAGGAAGCCTTGGTACAGTACACGCTGCTGGGAATGACTATTTTCTATGCATTGTACTCACAGCATGGGGGCAGTGAGGAATTGGTGAAGGTCCCACCTAATAAAACAAATCCAGAAGAGTATAGCACCTACCCCAAACTGGAAATACTAAGTAAATCAAATTTCATCTTTAAGGTAAAGGAATTTCAGGCCATGTCAATTTCTAATTATTCCAAGAAGGAAAGCCATGTACACATAATAGCCAAAACTACAACCACCCAGTGCCTGGAAAGCAAGATCAGTCACCTGTTTAAAAAAGAGTCACTATTTCAGTTTCAGGAAAAAATAAGAAAATTGCCTTCTATATTTGTTCATATTCACTAGCATTTTGTACAGCAAGAATACAACTACACTGTAGAAATGTCTCTCCTTCTGAAAACTTTTGAAAAATTCTTTGCAATTTCCACATAAATTTTAGGTTTTAGTAAACCTGATAGTTTCAACATATTCTTATACCTAAATCCTCCCAGCTGAAGTTTGCAGCTCTTTACTCTTGTCTTTGTTACCCCTTATAACTGAAGAATTTCTCAGTGAATAATTACTAAACTTCTAAGAGGTTCCTGACATTAACCCCTTAATAAATTTCCTCTCCTACAGGAATTTCCAAATTCCAAATTTCCAGACTTACAGGCCCAGAATACCCCAAAAGTGTATGACAACATGGATCTATGAATATAGCAGCACTCAGTGATGGAAACTCCTTCTCCCAGGGCCTCAGTTAACCTGGCAAATGTCACTTACTATGACATTAAATCACACCAAAAAATATTAACTCTGAGATGGCATTAATTCTAGCAAACAGAAAGTTTATCTGTCATATTTCACTTATAGATAGGTTAACTTTGTTCTACTTAATAGGTAAGTTTCTAAGATGGTAAAGAGAATCACATATAAATTAGTATTAACAATTAACTTTGATGTGTCAGAAATATCTAAACTTAATCAGTAGTTTCGCTGCCTTTCACCTTCTCTATGTGTACCATTATAAAAAAAAAAAAGTTTAAATCACTACGCAGATAAATTCTGCAGAAAATCTTTCTTCCTCGTATTTTCCTTATGGAAATCTTGCTTTGTTTTTAAGATCTAAATAAAGTGACATGCCCTAAAAATGTCCCCACAGGGACCTCAGCAGAAGTAATCAAAACTCTTTTTACCAAGAGCATGTTGCTTATATTTCTAGTAATTATTTATAAGTCCTCAACTTTAACAGCATTTGCTTGGTAGCAGATTAAAGTGTTCATTACGTCCAAATCCACCAGGCAGTACTGTTACAATATTTTTCACACACCAGACAAAAGATTAAAATATCTCTTGTGACAAAAGTTTGGGCCTTCACAATACTTCTTTTTTCTTACATTTTTGATTTTAAGAATTAGGTAAAAATGCATACCCTCTTTTTCTCCCACTAAATCAACTAGTTCCTGACTTTCCTCTTTCTCACAATGGCAAAACCACTGAGACCTTCGAATCTCCTGTGAGTCCTCTCTCTTCCTCACCTTGGGCTGGTCCTCCACAACGTCTTTTGCATTTGTTGCCTGTTTTCCAATTCCACTACCAAGGTGCTTCTTCAGTCCCTCTTTTCCTTTTATAGAGAACATATCAATAGGCCTCTAACTGGACACATTGCCATAATCAATGCTAAGAATTTAATAACAGAGCTCCAAAATATGTGAAGCCAAATTCCCCTTACTCTACTGTTTCCACCACTATGATTACAACGTTCTAATATATTATATAATGTATCTATTTGTAATATGTATATCTCCACCCAATAAAACATAAGCTAAATAAGGGTAGGGTTTTTTTCTCCCCCTGCTTTATTCACTGATATATCCTCTGTACCTAGAATAGTGTGTACTTGAAAATGGGCACAAAATATGTATTGAATGAACTAAGACGTATTTTACTGAAGTAAATGTAAACATCAGCATTTTACTAAGACAGAAGCAGTATGTCTTATCAATTAATTCCTGCACACAGCCAGTAAATGCAGTTATCATATACACAGGAGGAATGCTGTGGCTGAAGAATTTTCTCTTCTCGTCCCAGAAATGAAGAAAGATAAGAAGACAAAGACAAGAAAAGGAGATGGGCTTGGAAATAGTCCAAAGGGGATGCAACAGAAGTAGGTTTTTTTCCAATCCTAGGATTAGGATTCCATAAATATAAACAAAGAAAAATGAAAGAACAACTAACACACACCTCTCTTCTCACGATGTATTTCATCCAGAAGCTGCTCCTGCCTTTCTATCTGTTGAAAGAGACACTGCAACTCAGATTCCTTGTTTTCAGTCAAATTCCTGAGTTGTTGTCTGCAGAGCATCAGCTGGTGTCGCAGATTTTTCTCTCTGTTTTCTCTCTCTTTCAGTTCCTCACAGAGCCACTGAAGTTTAGTCTAAAAAATAACATTTATATCTAATGGTTAAAGAAACTCAGAAAAGAGCAGCATTTCAAAACATGAAGAAAAAAATAAGTAACATAATTTGAACAAATATAGATAATTACCAAATTTTTGCAAAATTTTAAAATATCCATGTTTAATTTGCATAATGGTCTACAGCAAGTAAAAGCTGGTTCAGAAATTAAGCCATGGTATTCGTAGATTTTTAAAAAATATTTTGTGTCATCTTTAGAAAGACAAAGTTTGGCCTATTAAACTTTCAATAATATTATGGGTAATCCTCTGATTTGATATACAGGGCAGTCTAGTATAGGAATTTAAAAAACAAATACATCCCAGAATAGAACTACAGACTTTTTATAAAAGAAGTATTCCTTCAGAGAATTTTTTAAAAGATAAAATTCCTAGCATGACTTCTAAAAATGCATATCCCCACTGATCTAGCTAATTAGGCATGAGGAGAGATTCTTTATTGACTAGAAGATATAGAGTTAATGTTTATGCTTCTAAGACACAAGGAAAGTGAATTCTGGCAACTCTACTTCACAGATTCTAACCTCACCTACCTTTTTTTCTTTCTTTCTTTCTCTCTCTCTCTCACTCTTTTTTTTTTTTCGAGACATAATCTCACTCTGTCGCCCGGGATAGAGTACAGTGGCACGCTCTTGGCTCACTGTAGCCTTGACTTCCTGGGCTCAAGCAATCCTCCTGCTCAGCCTCCTCAGTAGCTGGGACTACAGGTACACACCACCATGTCTGGCTAACTGTTTTTTGTATTTTTTGTAGAGTTGGGATTTCGCCATGTTGCCCAGGCTGGTCTCAAACTCCTGAGCTCAAGAAATCCACCTGTCTCAGCCTCCCGAAGTACTAGAACTACTGACATGAGTGACCACACCCAGCCCTCACCTATCTTTAATATTTAGATATTTAAAACAAGAATAGGAAAAGAAATATTTCTTTCACCTTCAATACAGCAGGATTTCAGTCAAGTCTTAGGACCTTCCTAAGTCAGGCTACCCTCCAATTCCTAGTTATATATGAAATGTACTGTCTGTAGGAAAATCATGCTTTTGAAGATAAAACCTGTATCAAAATTATTAATATAAAGTCTCATCAAAAACAAAAGGGGGCCATCATAACAGTTCTTCTGGAATGATGATATATAGAGTTCTGTAGAAATGGTCCCCAGTGAAATAACCGTAAGTGCTAAAAATATTGTTTTTAAAAATTAACATTTCTAAATATTGTCCTGTAGCCATACAGCAAATGAAGAAACATTTATTCAAGAAACTCTATTTAACCTCATTAAAGTGGCACTTGAGGCATAACTGACTCCCTCCTTCTACCCTCAGTGTGATAAAAGCTCCACTCCTCATTTCAGAAAAACACTGCCAAGAAAACAGGGTTTTCTCTTTCTCAAGTTCACAGTCAAGGTACGTGATAGCATACTGGATGGGCAGATCACCAGGATTTTTCAGCCTTGCAGCTCTGATTTGCATAGGCTAAAATCCTGGCCAAGTGCAGCAGGATGTTGAGAATCCCTTGCTCCCCCAATGTGCCACTGATAGGATGGTTACCCTACCCCAAGCACAGCAGGCTGAGAATACTGGGGTCCCAACTGCCATTTCCCCAGGTCACTTATAATAAAGCCGTATTTATGAATATGCCTGATGAATACAGATTTTCTTGAAATCCTCGAGAAAATACTAGCAAACGGAATCCAGCAACCTATAAAATGAACATCATGATTAATATGGTTTGGCTCTGTGTCTCCACCCAAATCTCATGTCGAATTATAATTTCCAACGTTGTGGGAGGGACCCAGTGGGAGGTGACTGGATCATGCGGGCAGTTTCCCCCTTGCTGTCCTCATGATAGTCAGTGAGTTCTCAGGAGATCTGGTCGTTTAAAGGTGTGTAGCACTTCATCCTTTGCTCTCTCTCTCTTGCAGCCATGTGAAGACAAGACATGCTTGCTTCCCTTTCACCCTTCCACCATGATTGTAAGTTTCCTGAGGCCTCCCCAACCAAGCCTCCTGCACAGCCTATAGAACTGTGTGTCAATTAAACCTCTTTTCTTTATAAATTACCCAGTCTCAGGTAGTTCTTTGTAACAGTGTGAGAACAAACTAATACAATGATCAAGTGGAAGTTGTCCCAAGAATGCAAGGTTTAAGATAGGAAAATCATTAATGTAATATACCATATTAATACAATTAGGGACAAACATCATATGATTATACCAAAAGACACAGAAAATGCATATAATAAAGTCAAACATTCCTTCATAATAAAGACACTCAAAAAACTACAAATAGAAGAGAACCTCCTTAATATGATTTTTAAAATATCTATGGAAAACCCACAACTATTATCATACTTAACAGTAAAAGTCTGAATGCTTTCTCACTAAGACCAGAAGCAAGAAAAGGATAACAGCTCTCATCACTCCTAACATTGTATTAGAGGGTTATGAAAAGGCAATTATACAAAAAATAAAAAGAAATAAAAAATATCCAGATTGAAAAGGAAGAAGTGAACATATCTCCATTTGGAGGTAACAGGCTTATGTGCAGGAAAATCCTAGTAATTCCATTAAAAAAATCTATTAGAACAAAAGAGTCCAGCATATTATAATACATAAAATCAATACAAAAATTAATTATATTTCTATATATTAATATTTGCAATGAGCAATCCAAAAATAACATTAAGATAATCATATTTACAATAGCATCAACAAATGAAGTCTTTAGTGATAAACATAAAACTGCAAAACTTATATTTAAAAACTACAAAATGCTTTTTAAAAAACTGAAGACTAAGTGGGAAGATATCCTACGTAAATGGATTGAAAGCGAATATTATTAAAATAGCAATACATCCCACCTAATCTACAGATTCAACAGGATCCCTTTCAGAATCCCATCTGGCTTCTTTAAAGGAATAGATGAGTTGATCCTATGTTTCATATGGGAATTCAAGGCAAATTTCCAAAATAGCCAAAAAAAGATATTGGAAAAGAAGAATATAGTTGGAGGATTCATACTTATCCATTCCAAAGCTTACTACAAAGCTACAGTAGTCAAGATGGTGTGGTATTGGCATAAGGACAGATATACAGACCGATGGAACAGAAGTGAGAGTCTAGAAATAAACCCATATATAAATGTCAATTGATTTTCAACAAAAGATCCAAAACAATTTCATAGAGAAAAGAATAGTCTTACCAACAAATGGTGCTAGGACTACTAAATATACAAATACAAAAGAATTCATTTATACCCCTACTTCACACCATATACAAAAACTAATTCAAAAAGGATCACAGATCTAAATGTTAAAGAGCTGAAACTATAAGATTATTGAAAGAAAACACAGGCATAAATCGTTGTGACCTTGGCTTGGCAATAGCTTCCTAGGTGTAACACCAAAAGCAGAAGCCATCAAAGAAAAAAGCTGACAAATTGAACTTCTTTGAAATTAAAATGCTGTGCTTTAAAGGCCACTACCAACAAAAAGAAGAGACAACCTGCTAAGTGGCAGAAAATATTTGCAACTCAATGTCTAATAAGGGAATTACATGTCAGATTCATAAAGAAGTCAGTAATAAAAAGACAAATGATGCCATTTTTAAAACGTACAAAGGATGTAAATAGATATTTCTCCAACGAAGATATATAAATAGCCAATAAGCACATGAAAAGATGCTGAACATCATTAGCCATCAGGAAAATGTAAATCAAAACCACAGTGAGACTCTACTTCACACCCAGCAGGGTAGCTAAAATCAAAAAGACAGATAATAACAATTGTTTGTGTAGATGTGGAGAAACTGGAAGTCTGACATACTGCCAGTGCGAATGCACAGCAGTGCAATTGCTTTAGAAAATAATCTGACAGTTACTTTATGGGTTAAACATAGAGGTACCATATAACCCAGCAGTTCTACTCCCAGGTAAGTATCTAAGAGAAATGAAAAACAAATATACATGCAAAAACTCAGATAGAAATTACTCATAGCAGCATTATAATAACAGCCAAAAAACTGAAACAATCCAAATTTCCGTCAAATGATGAACAGATTTAAAAAGTGGAGTATATCCAAACGATGAAACATTATTTGGCCATAAAAAAGTGAGGTCATGATACATGCTAAAATGGATGTATCATAATTTGGATGAAACTTGAAAACATTCTGCTAAATGAAAGAAGTCAATCACAAAAGACCACATATTATATGATTATATTTATGGCCAGGGGCAATGGCTCACGCCTGTAATCCCAGCACTTTGGGAGGCCGAGGTGGGCGGATTACAAGGTCAGGAGTTCGAGACCAGCCTGACCAACATAATGAAACCCTGTCTCTACTAAAAACACAAAAATTGGCCAGGCATGGTGGAACACGCCTATAATTCCAGCTACTCAGGAGGCTGAGGCAGGAGAATTGCTTGAACCCAGGAGGCAGAGGTTGCAGTGAGCCAAAATCACACCATTGCGCTCCAGCCTAGGCAACAGAGCAAGACTCCATCTCAAATGTCCTGAATAGACAAATCTACAGGGACAGAAAGATTAGTGGCAGACTAGAACTGGTGGTTGGATTTATAGGTGATGGCTAAGGCGTCCTGATTTTCTACTTGAGGTGATGAAAGTGTTCTCAAATTAAATGTGGTGATGACTGCACAATTCTGTAAATACACTAAAAAGCATTAAATGGTGCATTCTAAATTAACGAATTGTATGATATATGAATTATATCTCAATTAAGCTGTTAGTTAAACGGTAGAGAGTAAGTCAAGGCAGAAAAACAAAGCTAAAATTACACCTCTATGAATAAACGAGACCTGGCTACGCAATTTATAGGCCTCTGTCTTGTCTGGATGTCACTGGCTAAATGTAGGAAATCTGCAAATTAAATTGGGCTGTGCACTTCCAATTATGATTGCAGAAATTTAACAAAGCCTACTTCGCTTCTCAATACTCCCTTTGAAACTTCCATGTGAATACAGAACAATAAAAAGCTTCCATAGGACAGAAATCAGGAAACAGGGTCAACTCTTTGCCAGATAAAATATGTACTTTCTATTATAATTTTCTACTGAAGCACTAACGAAGAATACAGGAAAAATATAAGATGGTATACCACCATCCTCCTATGACAGTCAAGGCAGCAAATTGGGCTGTTCTCTAGAAAGTGTTTTCTACGTAGAGTATGAAACACATGCTGAAGGCTGGAAATCAAGAGGTTGTTACAGTACTCCAAGCAAGTGAAAATGCAAAGGGAAGAACCAAAGTGTACATTTTTGAGATATGATACTTCCTCACATGTTATGGTTAAAGTAGAGAGAGGAATCAGTAATGGTCAAGACGTATAACCCATAATAGCCAAGTTTCTAACTTACAAAACTGTGAGACAGGCTTTAGGTGTTACCCTGTGTACTCTCAGCTGAGGTGGGCACAAAGAGATACACCTTCTCCTTAACCAAAGGAGAGGGAAGAGTAAAAGGGACTTTGTCTTTCAACATGGGTACCGACTCAAGCCACAGTAAAATAAAGCACCAAGTAGACTCCTAAAGTTCCTGACTCCAGGCCCTAGCTCCCAGGGAGCATTTCTACACTCACCCTAGGCCAGAAAAAAACATGTTGCCCAGAAGAGAAACACACAAGCATGGCTGGCTTCACCTGACTAGAGAGCCCTTGGATCTTTAATAAACATCAGGAGTAGTCAGACAATAGTCACCATAAGCCCTGGGAGAGACTCAGTACTGTGCTGGCTTCAGGTCTGCCCCACCACAGTCCCAGTGGTTGTGGACACAGAGGTGCTTGTTTCAAACCTCCTCCACCTCCAGGCAGTTCAGCACTGAGAGAAACACTGCGTTTGTTTTGAGGGAAAGTAGGGAAGAGAAAAAAAGACTCTGCCTGGTAACCCAAGCACTTCGGAGAACATATGGAGGTTTCTCAAAAAACTAAAAATAGAGCTACCATACAATCCAGCAATCCCGTTGCTAGGTATATACCCAAAAGAAAGGAAATCAGGATAGCGATGTCTGCGCTCCCACATTTGTTGTGGCACTAATCACAACGGCCAAGATTTGGATGCAACCTAATTGTCCATCGACAGACAAATGGATAAAGAAAATGTGGTGCATATACACAGTGGAGTACTATTCAGCCACACAAAAGGTGAATCCTGTCATCTGCAACAACATTTATGGAACTTGAGACATTATGTGAAGTGAAATGAGCCAGAAAAAGGAAGACGAACTTCACATGTCTCACTCATTTCTGGGAACTAAAGATTAAAACAATTGAACTCACTGAGATAGAAAGTAGAATGATGGTTACTAGAGACTGGGAAGGGTAGTGGGAGAGGGAGGCAGTGCATATGGTTAATGGGTATATATAGAATGAGTAATATCTAGTATTTGATAGTACAACAGGGTGGTTACAATGAACAATAATTTATCATGCATTTTTAAATAATTAAAAGAATATAATTGGAATATTTGAAACACATAAGAAACAAGTGCTTAAGGTGATAGATATCCCTTTTACAATGATGTGATCATTATACATTGCATGCCTATAGCAAAATATCAACTTTTAGCAGATTACAAATTAAACAACTTTGGCAAACAAAAGAAATATATAAGCAGAGGATAAAATTTAAAAGAGATAAATCTGAAGGAATACATTTTAAAAAATAGTAAAATGAACATGGACTGATAAAAGATATGACATTTACAGTTGACCACAGACTCCACAGGAGTGAAAAAGAAGACAGTTTTTCAACCTCCTGTCAATAGAGACAACATAGTAGGATTTAATCTGGTTGGTATGCATCACTGATGGCAAATGTGAGTAATCATAAGCGTAAGGTAGAAAACATCAATAAAAGAAGTGGACAGAAAATATGGAAATGTATATGTTACTCTTAAATCTACTCTAAGAAAATTAACGGTGCAAGCATAATAATAAAATGCAACACTTTTCCCCCATGTTGGAAATGAATAAAGAATGGACTGGACCGTGTCAAATCATAGTGTAGTTGCCCCTGCTAATGTAGTCAGGTCCATGGTTTTTCTCATCTCCAACTGTTTTCCGCCATATGAGAATGAAACTCTACTTTTTTTTTTATCAGATCTTCTGATGCTTCCCACATAAAACTTCGATATTGTCTTTATGCAATTGTCTGAGTTTTCAAATGTTTGCTACCAATTCAATTTTTAATAACCCATGTGGTCCAAACAAAATCGGTCCCAGCATGATCCTCCAGTAATCTCTTCTAACCCAGTGATTTAACTGCAAATTTAAAAAATCACTTCACGTTGCCTTTTCTCCAATGCTTTTCCACCTACTCCATCCCAGTCTTTCACCTTTGTGTAATTACTACCTATGGTCACTGCTACTCCTAAGAGATGGTAATGGAGAAACAATAAATCTGTTTTGTCCTAACAATAATACTAATGGTTCTGGGGAAAAAACAAAACAATAACAACAACAACAAAAAATCCCTCACAAAGTATTAGGTTTGATATGTGTTATGGATTGAATTCTGTCCCCTCAGACTTCATATGTTGAAGCTCTCACCCCAAGTGTGACTGTATTTGGAGATGGGGCCTTTAGGGAGGAAATTAAGGTTAAATAAGGTCATAAGAGTGGACTCTATCTGACAGGAATCCTGTCCTTATAAGAAGAAGAGATAGCAGAACTCTCTTTCTCTTCCAGCCTCACAGAAGGAAGGTCACATAAGCACACAAAGAGAAGGTGGCCATCTATGAGCCAGGAAGAGAGGTCTCACCAGAAACCAAACCTGGCACCTTGATCTTGAACTTACAGCCTCCAGAACTGTGAGAAAATAAATTACTGTTCAAGTCATTCATTGTGTGGTATTTCGTTATGGCAGCCTGAACAGATTAATATAATATGACCTATGGCTTCAGTCTATTCTTACGAAGACTTTATTCCATTGTCAAACAAAATTTAAAGCTAACTATAGTTAGATTTTTTTTATGAATTGAATTTGTATGCAGAATATATTATTAATCCTACAAAATAAAATATCAACCTATGGAAATTTAATCAATCAATAATCAATTATGAGAATTTGTCTTTGTTGGATAAATACCCAACATCTTCATTAAGTGTCTTGAGGAAGCAGCTTGGAACACAATATAGAAATAACTTTAACAATTCCCAATAATAATTAGCTGACAAGGCTATTAATCACAGAGCAAAAACCATTCTATTAACCACTCACAGGAGTATTTTACAGATTACATAATAGGATCATTTATTTAACTACATCAACAAGTATTGCTAAATAAACCAAAACAGAGAATAAATTTGTAAATATGTCTTTTTTTTTTTTTTTTGAGATGGAGTCTCACTCTGCCGCCCAGGCTGGAGTGCAATGGAACAATCTAGGCTCACTACAACCTTTGCCTCCTGGGTTGAAGCGATTCTCCTGCCTCAGCAACCGAAGTAGCTGGGATTACAGGCTCCCGCTACCACGCCTGGCTAATTTTTGTATTTTCAGTAGAGATGGTGGTTTCGTCATGTTGGTCAGGCTGGTCTCGAACTCCCAACCTCAGATGAACTATCCACCTCGGCCTCTCAAAGTGCTGGGATTACAAGTGTGAGCCACCGCACCCAGGTAATGGCATTTTTTAAACCTTTGCAGTTGAGTAGTTGATAGCTTCCAATTAGGTGGGAATATTCATAAGTATCTAGTAAAACTACCAAGATGAACTTTTTAATCTGTGAGAATCCTCTACTGAGTCCTAGGGTAATGATATACTAAAGCCACTAAGAAATGACTCAAAGCTAAAAATCAAGGACCACAGAAAATTTAAATAAAAAGATTATAGCTTATAAAGGTAGCAATAATATTAGGACCCAGAATTTTGCTCCTTTAATTACTATGCTTCTTTTCCCAAACCTCTAGAAACAATTTTGAAAGAAAATGTTTGTATAAGAAACAGAGATAAAGAGGATGGCAATTTTTTAGAATGTGGTCAGCCATCTAAACAAGAATTAAATTAGAAATGCAAAAGTCAAATACAAGTCAACCTAAAAATATGTAATTTTTTCAGTAATACTTTCTCTACCTTTTCACTAAGTTATAAATATAATCAAGAAAAAAGCAAAATAATCTCCACAGCAATACATATACTTTTGCTCAATTAACTGAATATATTCCACGTAAATAATCTAAAGTGTATTTCCAACAAGTCAGTCAAGATACTGAGTACAGTATTTTCCATTCTATATCAGAAGGATAAAATATTAGATATTTATCCACATCTATCAATAAGAATTAAGTACACTGGGCCTAATACTTCTCACACAATGTTTTAAAAAATCCACATCAATAAAAAGACAATATTCATAAATGTAAGGTTTATATTCAAGTGTGGATTACACAACCAAGGGAGACAAATGATGGAACAGAGTTCCGAGACCTGAGTTCTAAGCCCTTCGCAGTAACTAATTAGTTTTATGTCCTTAGGTAAAACTAAAAACATCTTGGGCCTCAGCTTCTTCAATCTACAAAATGAGGCAGTCAAACTATGTGATCTCTAAAGCTACATCAGTTAAACAGTGTGGAAAAGCAAATGCTTGTCAATGCCTAGAATATACTATACTATAAAAAGTGTAACTCTTTGGGGTGGTATCAAACAACACAATATAAACAAATCTTCTCCCTAAATTTGGAAGTGTATTTCTTACCCATCTAATCTCCAAGTTTATAGCTATTACCAAATAAAACCAGTACTTGGGAATTAATATATTCACTGAAATCTCATCTGCTTGTTGCTTATTTTTCTATAATATTTAAGTTAAGGAAGTGCCTCAACTGGGAAAATGCAGCATGCCCAATATAATTACTCTTTCAAAAAATATTTATTGAACATTTAGCCAGGCATTGTGATAAGTGCTAAAGATGTAATAAGGAACAGGATAAGCACAGATCTTCCCTAGTAACATTTACAGACTAAAGACACAGAAGCAAACGGGGAATTTCAACACAATGGGGCAAAGGCCAAGAAGAAAAAGTATAGCTTTATACCGTCAAAAAAGTATATAAATTCACCTTTCTGTCTCTTAAGGGAATAAATACTGGATATAGGAATTAAATGTGTCTCCTATGAACAACAGTGCACTCAGGATCCTGCCTGATGTGGAAGCACAGCTAATATTAGCTTTTCTTTATTCTCTGTCACAAAACAATAATGTAACATGTGGGCTCAACAGTGATTATCTCTAGTATGTGAGTCCATCCTGAGAGTGCTGGCCTGCGCTAGATTTGACATGTTATCCCTACCGTCTCAATGTGAATATCTTTGGTACTTCTCACTTCTTGCCATGATGTGAACAAAAACTGTGATCTGTGTCTTTGTCCTTGCTTCTCTTGGGGCCTTCCTGTCCAAATAGAAGTTTCTGACTATCAGTCTCTCTGGTGGAAACTCTTTCAATACTGCCACGAATTTGCCTATCTGGGACACTACATGATCATTTATTCAGATACCAATCCCTGACTACTTTGGCTAGAAAATCCTGGAAATCTCTTTCTCCATTACCCTAGAATATAACATCTCTCATCATGTGTATGCTGTCAACAAAATTACTCCAGTCTGTCCTTTCCTCTGAATGTTTGAACAATTTTCTTAATTCAGACTCTCACTCTATCTCACTGTATGGGAAAAGCTTCTTAACTGGTTTCTCTACCTCAAATCTTACCAACTCTAATCTACCTTTCACCTCACTACCAAAATATAAATATAAGCATGCCATTCTCCTGTTCAAAACTCCTTTGTGATTCTCCATGCAATGTAGATCTGAATCCAGGATCCTCAAAATGGCAAACAATGCTCTACTGGATGAACTTAATCCCTCTGGAGCCCCATCCCCTGCCATTCTCTGTGTCATACCTTCATATTTTACTATTGCTAAATCATTTGAGTGTTCTTTGCATTCATCAAATTGCTTCTGTTCTGTGCCTTTCCTAGAACTTTGTTCTTTGCATGTTTGCTCTTTGCTCTTTACCTGGATGGTTTCAATATTCATCTGGGACATCAGCCTCCATGGCAGCTTCTGCATACTTCTATTACAGCTCCTGCTTGTAAGACTGAAATTATCTGCATATTGTCTGTCTTTCCTAAAGACCAGGACAATGTCCTGTTCTTTTTTTTTTTTTTTTTTTTTTGAGATGGAGTCTTGCTCTGTCACCAGAATGGGGTGCAGTGGCACAATCTTGGCTCACTGCAACCTCTGCCTCCTGGGTTCAAGCAATTTGCCTGCCTCAGCCTCCCGAGTAGCTGGGACTGCAGGCACGTGCCACCATGACCGGCTAATTTTTTGTATTTTTAGTAGAGACAGGGGTTCACCGTGTTAGCTAGGATGGTCTCAATCTCCTGACCTCATGATTCCCCCTACCTCGGCCTCCAAAAGTGCCGGAATTACAGGCGTGAGCCACTGTGCCCGGACGTCTTGTTCATTTTTTATGCCCACAGCATGTAACAGCATCTGAGACGTAGTAGTTTCTCAGTAAATTCCATTAAGCTGAAGAAAACATGGCCTTACCATACCTTGTTAGAACTTGTTACAAAAACATACCCCTCATCTACGGAAACTGCTTACCTGGCATTCCTTAATGACCATGTGATGGTTAACACTGAGTGCCAAACTGATTAGACTGAAGGATACAAAGTATTGAGCCTGGGTGTGTCTGTGAGGGTGTTTCCAAAGGAGATTAACATTTGAGTCAGTGGGCTGGGAAAGGCAGACTCACCCTTAATCTGGGTGGGCACAATCTAATCAGCTGCCAGTGTGGCTGAAATATAAGGAGGCAGAAAAATATGAAAAGACAGACTGGTCGAGCCTCCCAGCCTACATTTTTCTCCCATGCTGGATGCTTCCTGCCCTTGAACATTGGACTCCAAGTTTTTCAGTTTTGTAACTTGGACTGGCTCTCCTTGCTCCTCAGCCTGCAGATGGCCTATTGTGGAACCTTGTGATCATGTGAGTAAATACTTATAAACTCCCCTTTAAAAATAGATCTATTCCATTAGTTCTGTCCCACTGGAGAACCCTGACTAATACAGACCATCTCAACCCTCTTCCTTCCTGTAATTTCTTATTATTACCATTCATTAGCTATTTTACCTGTAAGTATAGTCCAACTCTCAATTGGACTTCATAATTTTATTATGCCACCAGTGCCAACAAAGCAACTGTGTGCAATCCCCACCCAATCCTTGTTTTCTAGAATTAACACTAACAGAACAAATTCATTTGGTAGATTTATGAAAACAATTACTGAATGCCCTCAGAGGTCCTTCTAATACTGCAAGACGTCAGAATGGACTATCTGAAGAGCAATTCTACTTTCCATATAGTTTTTTGTCCTCTGATTTCAGATCTTATCTTCAATACTTATAGAGCTGTCCAGTCATAGTTCATGGGAATTATAGTACTGTAGCCCATCAATAACCTAACCCATCTTTCTAGCAAATAGATTCAATTCCCCCTTAGTCAGTTGGTCAGTGTGGTATTTTTCATCACAACCCGTTTACACTGTAGAAGGAACAGTTGTCTCATGCAGTAATAGAAGGGGTCTGATCAGAAGTTCAATCCCATTAAATGATAAGGGAAAACTGCTCACAAGCTCCCAAATTAAAGAGCTATGATTAAGAATCATCTGTGGCTCTCATAGTTTAACTGAACTACTGCAGTGAAAGCTTTCTGTTCAGAAATGATAAAGATTTTAACTTGAAAGAAAATTCTAAGTACATTGCTCTTGTTGTCAGAATTGTAAAGCTGAGGAAAAGAAAAATGAGAAACGCAATATTAATGCACAACAGAAATTTCTGGCCAAAACATTCTGAGACAGCAAAACGTGTATTCTAAATTCCCTATTCAGGTGGCATAAATACAAATTTGTATTTGTTTCTATCAAAAATGGCTAGAAATGCACAGGTTCACTGTTGTTAAAGTCTAATGCTCAATCACTATACTTTCATTTTCTTGTTAAGAATGCTTTGTTTTAGGAGGCTTCTCTAATGCATAGTTGGCCTTCAAAGGTAAACTTTATCTTTCCATCACCTCCCACCCATGTCTTACTCACCAATCTCAGGGCATTATCTGTGGTTACTCAAATATTCTCATCTTCATGTCATTGTTCTACCCAAAACTAACTAACTGGAGAACTACATATTTTTGCAAGGCCAAGTTTAAATATTGCTTTTTTCCAGAAGCTGTCTATGACATGCTGGTAGCATCATACCCTCCCTTTCTCCCAGCACAAACAATAGAATTAGCTCTTCCTTCTTCTGTGTTCCTTTGTCAATGTTCACATATATCTATAATCTGGTTCTTAATATTTCAACAGTTTTACTTTCCTTTATTCTCTCTTTCTAGGCCTACATATTTAACTTTAAAATGTTAAAATAAGAAACATGGAGATTCCCTAAGTGGACTGCAGTGATATCTTCCCCTGCAATTAAGCATTATAGCTTCATATGTTCAGTTACATAACAAAATAAATAGCTAAACCAAATAGGATGGCTTAAAGATCATAAATATTACAATAACTTTAGGATTTAAAGATTAATTACCTTGCTTTCTGCTAACCAGCGATGTGGGTCATAATGTATATCAGGACCAGATGAAAAAACCTACAAAAGAGAAAACAGTCGATTAGAAATACATTTTTCTCTGACATAAACATATATAAATGAAATTCTTCACCACAGTATCCAAAAGTTTAGTTCCCCAATTTAAGGATTTAAAAAGAAAAATTGTTGCCCCAAATACTCAACCAGTTCCAAACTAGCATTCATTTATATGCCTTTTTATGTATGTATTCATTTATTTATGTATTGGCAATAAATATTTTGATGGAAAAATCAACTATCAAGTGCTATCATTGCTAGGATATATGGAGGCTGATTCTGTGGAGTTCCATATGGCAAACAGCTTCAATTAAAGTCAGTTTATTTCATTTCTGTTTGTTTCCTCTCCTCAGTCGTGTTCTACATAATGTACTTCAAAGAGGGTTATATGTGATTACATGGAAACAATTCTCTCTCATTTATCCTTCTTTAATTTAATAGTAAAAGGGCCATTTTGTCTTATCAATGATTGTCAATAGACACAAACTCATCGACATGACTTCACGCAAACATTGCCTTGTATTTCAATAGTTCATCTGCGCTAGCTGCTTTGACTTCCTTCACGCCAACTCATTTATAAAATCCCTTGCATCTGGTTTTGTCATATTACTAAAGTAAAACTGTATTCAAAGTTGGCAATGACTTTATAATTGTAAATACAAAAGTTTTTTCTCAATTTGTACTTTTGTTGAACTCTGTGCTACAAATAATATTTTTGAAGACCTCTTTCTCAAATTTGCCTGTTTAAAAATATCCTCTCTCTCTACAAGGAGAAGTCTATTCCTATTCTCAAATACCTCCATACCTCCTGAGCTGTGTGCACATTGCTTCTTTGTCAGGAATATCATTAGTTAACTCATTTAGACAAATGCTGAAAGCATAATGAGTGCCCACCACATATCACATATGTGAATATTGTATTCTTATATCCAATTTTCTCTCATCCACCTTTCTATCTAAATCTCACCCAATTCTCATATCCTCCCTGCCTTTTCAAGGAAATTTTCCCTAATCACCCGAGTTCACAGTATTTCCTTCCTCTTCCAGTTCTCTACTACATTGCTGAATATTTGCATACATCCATTTGTCATTGATTAGAATACACTTTTATTATTCTTTTTCATTCATGAATGTCATACATGTCAATTAAATCTTCTGTGGCCTAATAAAGATATTAATGTTTAATATCAAAGTATAAGATAATTGGGTATAAGTACAAGTAATGTTCACATTTTATTATTTGCTTTACAGATTTACCTATAGCTACATGTTTAAGAAGATAGCCTTAACCTGCCAGGCATGGTGGCTCACGCCTGTAATCCCAGCACTTTGGGAGGCCGAGGCTGGTGGATCACCTGAGGTCAGGAGTACAAGACCAGCCTGGCCAACATGGTGAAACTCTGTCTCTACTAAAAATACAAAAATTAGCCGGGCGTGGTGGCGCATGCCTGTAATCCCAGCTACTCGGGAGGCTGAGGCAAGAGAATTGCTTGAACCCAGGACGCGGAGGTTGCAGTGAGCAGAGATCGTGCCATTGCACTCCAGTCTGGGGGACAAGAGAGAGACTTTGTCTCAAAAAAAAAAAAAAAAAACCATTTAACGAACGGTGTCAGCACAGTGTCTGGGACAGAGAACACAATAAACCACTGCTACTGCATATCAAGATGTCACTATTAATAAATAGGCTTCAAGGCCTATTATGAAAAAAGCACTATAACAGGCATTTGTCATTAAAAATATAAAGAAAGAGAAGCCATATGTATTTGTGAACATGTTACTAAAAGAGGCAATACAAAATAATGATAGGTAACATTACTTGAGTATCCACTAAGCGCAAGATATTTGACCCTATAATAGCACCTTCTATATCTTACCTCACTTTATCTTCTCAATGAGCCAACTTATAACTGGGGACATGAACTCTTAGAGAAGAAAGAGCTTACATAACTTATCCAAGGTCATATATTAGAAATTTGCAATGACTTCCAATATGAACCTATACCTGTCTTGATCCAAAGCCCATCGTCTTCATGCTCTAAAACTGAATGAATACTCAGACCAAGTGTTATGGAAAGAGAGAGACTAAAATAAGTACAGTGCAGAACTAATCTATTTACTTGAGCTCTTGGATTATCAAAAACTGGCCTGTGAGAATGATACATCTTAATTCAGACACTTTCCTAATTGTTTTACAATTGTAGTGTACGTCTGTCCTTCATTGTCAAACACATACATTAACTAAAGTGGAATAAGTAACAAATACAGTGACTTGAAAAAGAAAAATGTAACTAAAAATAACATCAACATTCCCAGGACTTTTCTCAAACTCATTTATTACATATCTATTTTCTAATCTATTCCATAGCACTGTTACTCTTTACATACAATGGCTGAAAATCTCATCAGCAATATTTCAAGAATCAATAAATGACTAAGTGGAATTATTCCTTTTTTGAAAACATTTTACATGATTCTTCCACACTCTCTCAGAACTATAAACTACAAAACAAACATAAATTTTATCTTTACCACACCCCTGGGTGGTTTCTTAAGCATGTTTCTTGAGTGCTATGTTCTTGAGCATTCCATTTTTCTTTCCCAGGTTTACAGCAATAAAACAACAGAAGTTACTAATGAAAAGAGGCCCACAATGAAAAAAATGTAGACTCTTAAAAAATTAATAGAATTTCCTTTCTTTTAGATCTATTTTCCACCCAAGACTTGGATTGAATTAGTCTTTCTCTAGGGGAAG
Source organism: Homo sapiens (assembly GCF_000001405.40). Classification (NCBI taxonomy): domain Eukaryota; kingdom Metazoa; phylum Chordata; class Mammalia; order Primates; family Hominidae; genus Homo; species Homo sapiens. The sequence goes on from NC_000014.9 coordinate 80,759,701, forward strand.
AAGTGTAAAACCCATTACCACAGTCACTCCATGTCTGAAAGCCTATAAAAAATTGGATGCTTCTTGGAATATATTGGAAGGATAATTTGTGACTCATAAAGAAATAAAATATTTAAGCAATCTGCTATCTGCACATCATGTATTTGCCTGCAATTGCCCATAACAAACTGTGTATATATATGCACATATGTGAGTGCATATATATAGGTGTGTGTGTGTGTGTGTGTGTGTGTATACATATATATATCTTACAACATGATCCAAATGTTTCCATTTTACCTTCCTACATGACTGAAAACAAACCATGCTGTTACAAATATTTAAATATAGAATAAATATTGCATTGCTAATATATACTTCTTCTAGATAAAAATTAGGATTTTCAAGGCTCCACATTCATTAAATAAACGCAAATATGACAAGTCTTAAATTTAAAAAGCAGCATTAGGAAAAAAAAAAAGTTAGAATTATCATAGGCCCTACAATAGTTCTAAAAGAGTTAGTTTTCCCCCTAAAGCCAATTACTTCTCATATTAGACTCATAGTCTTTTCAAAGTAACACTTGAACTTAAAAAAAAATTGTAAATGGGAATACATATTGTAAAAATTCCATCAACTCTACCAAATTCTATTAGTTAAAATATTTCCATTAAAGACAAATTCTAAAAATGTCTTGACTGCAAGAGAATTAGTTATATTTTCCTTTAAACACAATTTAAGATAGAAAAAAAGGCAGAGAGAAAGAGCAAGAAAAAAGAGGGGAACATAGTAGTATGAGAAAGGAAGGTCATTCTAGAAGAGGAAAAAGACTAATAAATGTCAAAATCAATAGTAGAAACTGCTGAAAAATAAAAAGCATTTCAGCATAATATCACAATGTGAATGCCATCATATCACCAAATGCAGTAAACAGAGGGGTAAATGATGCTAAACTGTAATGTATTATGGCTACACATATCAAAACAATGTAATGTTCTCTGTATGTAAAATAGCAGCAAAACCTAGAGCTGACAGAAGTGCTTACCTGCAAGGAATTCAGAGCATCCATGATCACTTCTGTGTTTATTTATCATTTTACTATGACTCTAAATTGTGTAGCAGTATTCCATTTGTTAAAATAGAAAAGCTAAATTAAATACAGCTGGTTTAAACAGGGAAGGCGGATAACATAGTGGTTATTAATTTAGGTTCCAGAGTTAGACTCCATAGGTTTGAAGCCCTAGTTTAGCATTTAACCAGATGTACAGCCAAGGGCAAGTTACTTAAACCGTCTAAACCTCCCTTTCTCTTAAGTGGGTTTAATCAGAGTAACTAAAAGATAGGGTTGTTTCAGAGGATAATGGAGAGACTAAAGCACCATGCATACTACAGTACCTATACTATAGTACTCAATAGATGTTAGCCGGTAATATACCAACAACAACAAAAATAGCCTGCGATAGTGAAAACTCAAATTCCAGGCCTCTTGACTCCAAGGGCTACCTCTCTTATAAGATTTTTCTTTTTTTTTTTTTTTACAGAGTGAGACACAGCCAATTCAATGAAATAACATCATTCGTTCTCTCACCACAACTGTGCAATAGATCCAGCGCCTTATTCTAAAAAATGCAAAATGTTATTTTGTTTTATAAAATTTTCCATAATAATAATCTGACTACCACACATGAAAATCCTATTACAATTATATATTAGGAAACTAACTGAAAATATAAGGTGCAATGAGAATTCATAATTACTTTTAATTTCTCCACTGAGTCCTTGGAGAATGTTTTACAAGCTGCATCAATTTCCTTTCCTATCACACCAAGAATGGATTCCTGTTCAGTCTCCAAGCAAAGAAGTTGATCCTTGAGCTGCAATCTGGCCTCTTCCATCCTCCTTAAGTGCTCCTCTTCAATGCTTATATGTTTTTCCTAAGGCATTGAAAGAAATTAAACAAGGTGATTACTATTAAGTGGAGGCAAGAAAATACTTGTAATATCTGTTCAACCAACTAGAAGTGGATTTGAAAAGAAATCTGATTCCATCAGTCCCCTTACTTTACCAAAATAAAAACACTTTAATCTACTCATTAACTGAGGTAAAATTATAGAGTTCCATCGTAGGGCAGTTTGGGAACTGGTGAGAAGATATCTGGCAAACAAAATTATAATAAGTCCCTAACCAAAAGAAAAAAAGAAGTAGAAAAAAGAACCTTTTCCCATTTTAATAATATATTCTCAGTAATGAATGAGAGTAAAAGATGATGTCAGACACTGACTTCAAGCTTTCACTGAACATTAGTAAAACACCAGAAAATATAAACTGCTAAATATGATGCTAGTTTCTTCATTTGAGGAAAAAAATAAGTGTTACCACCTTTATCTCACCAAAACATAGCTTTAGAAAAATTCTAAGTTTCAAATGCAATTGCATTTACCACATAAATGCTTTTGAGTCGTGAAAATTTGATAAAAGAAAGATGAAGGTACTTTTCATCTTGTCATTATATACTTAAAGAAAAGGGAGCCCTTTCAGAGATTACAAGGACTTGGGGACCCACTCTAGGCAAAAATAATTCTAAATCATTATGATTATACAGTTACATTACTAGAGAAATTCCAAATGCATAGGGCTTGTAATAAAATAAAAAAATCACTAGAATTGTATGTCTAAATGGTGGACCAAATCCATGATGGCTAGCTATGACACCTTCAGTCATCACACTGTAACCTAACCATCTTCAACTGGCCTGCTAAATACAACAAAACCAGGAAAATTATGTGAGCCACAAACCCAACCTGAACTGAAAAAAAATAACAAGGAGATCCACTCATTAAGAATTAATCATGAAAGCTAGAATGATATTTTACTAAAAGAAACATAAATGATATTTCCTTTCAATTCAACTTACTTTAAAAACAAATGAAACATCCTCTGCCAGGAAAGACAGACCCTTTCATAATCTATCTTCTGTACTTCTCTCATGCCTCATCTTCCTCCTTTCCACTCTGCTGGAATTTGATTACTTACAGCATCTTAAATCTGCCTACATATGTCTCCCCAGACCACATCTGACTTGTACAACTCTGCTTGAAGTTGTGCTACTTCAAAATGGGGCTGGTAGCCAAGAGACATTTATCTCCAGGAGTTCATCTTAGTCCATCATCTGGGTCTGGATCTCAGCTTTGTAAACCTAGGAACTGGAATTTCTTTTTGGTACTCAGAGAGGTACTTTCAGCAGCAGAGTAACATTAAGCTCACAAGAGATTAATGTGTATGAACTAGAAAGCCACTCAATTAACTACATTCATTTACGATGAGACTCATAACTACCATATGAATCAGAATGTCCATGTCAGCATAACCAGTACATTTTCTCCCTATAGACAGATCTAGATGGGAAGGCAAACTATAATCAGACTATAGGTTAACGAATAGGAAATTAGAGCAAGGGGAGTTTGTTTTATGAAACAATGTTCAAATGGCATCCGGCTAATGAAAGTCCAGCATGTTCACCACACATCAGGAATTTACAAACCACAATAACAGGAGTTTCATTCTTCTAGGTAGTATTTGCATGGAGGGTGCTGAGGTGTATCTCCCTAACTTTCTTGTTTTTCCACATTGAGTTTCTGTCCAAACTCTCCCTACCAATTAATACATCATTTCTTTAGATTGATTAATATTTTCCCAAGTCTTGCTCATATCTAGGAGTTTTCTGAAAAATTAACATCCCAGCTCTGAACAGTATTTGATAATTGTATCATTTACTCATTAGAAAGCAACATTATTACTAAGTCTCTAGGTGATATTTGCCTCCCTACTGTTCCTGTGTATCTACCACCTATACCTTCTTATCCTTCAAAGTTTATCCTTTAAGATGCTGCATTCTTTCTTCCTGAACTCCTGAAGCAAATCATTCCCATAGTATATTAGGTATATCATAATTTTTTAATTTTTTTCAAATTGTAATATAATTATTTGCTTGTGAACCTATCTCCCCAAATAAACTGTTAATTTCAGGAGTCCACAAAACAAGTTTATTATCATCTTTAAACTCCTCCACTTTGCTGAATAAATGATTTAAACATTTTTTGAAGACACAAATTCAATATGTGAAAGATGATTTCATCAATTACCATGCAGAGCTTATAACCTTGGAGGCTACTGAGGTGTCCTAGGAGGTTTCTCCCCACACGTACATAAGGCCTCCTGATGGTGCAGTATTTTCATGGTCTGATAGTAATAAAGAAAATAAATACCCTATCAGAGACTACCGATGTATTAGAAGACTGCCCATATTTTACATCTAAGCAATTCAAAATAATGTTATAATTGATCTTTCTTTTCTCACTTCCCTCAAAGCCAACTCTCTTTCATCCACTACTACTTTTCTGTGGTCTCCATTACTTGTCTCTTATTAATAAGAAGACAAAACTACTTCAATCTTTTGATATTCTTGAGAATGTTGATATTGTCAGAAAAATCTCTATAAGTTCGGTCTCTTTAGAAAACATAGAAAATTTCATTATCCGGCCGGGCGCGGTGGCTCACGCCTGTAATCCCAGCACTTTGGGAGGCCGAGGCGGGTGGATCATGAGGTCAGGAGATCGAGACCATCCTGGCTAACAAGGTGAAACCCCGTCTCTACTAAAAATACAAAAAAATTAGCCGGGCGCGGTGGCAGGCGCCTGTAGTCCCAGCTACTCGGGAGGCTGAGGCAGGAGAATGGCGTGAACCCGGGAAGCAGAGCTTGCAGTGAGCCGAGATTGCGCCACTGCAGTCCGCAGTCCGGCCTGGGCGACAGAGCGAGACTCCGTCTCAAAAAAAAAAAGAAAAAAAAAAAAGAAAATTTCATTATCCACTTCACTATCCTCTGTGGGACAGTTGTATGCTATGTCCAAGCTCTCTTTGAAGTAAAAGCTGTAGGACTATGGGCTCACATGGATCTTAAAGATCAGTAAATTCAACTACTTGCTCCTTCAGGATTCCCTTATTTGGCATTTTTGACAGTTGAGTCATCCAACCACTAAATGAACACAAGTGTCAAGGAACAGAGTACCTGACAAAGCTGTAAACTCTCTCCATCAGTGTCCAAGCTATATGCAACAATTAAACTAAACAAACAAATCCTTCACCCCCACTAAGGCTTCTAAACTTCCAGGTAAAGATTTCTGTTCCTTTCCCCTGTTTTTTATTTGATTAGGTTTCAGACACATAGTGGTCTCCATTGTCTGCATGTACTCCAAGATCCTAAATCCAAGAGTTAAGTAAGCTCTTCCACACCATACTTCAGCAGTTATAATTTCATTCTTTCATTCATTCATCCCCCTCATCCAACAAATATTTACCTAAGTCCTATTCTAGACAAGACATTCTCATGTCCACTAAAGATGGAGTAAGTGATTGCTTCTCGGCCTTCTGGCTAAGATCGAGTGTGGAGATAGAGTAAACGACACAGACAGGCAGGCTCCTACTCTCATAGAGTCAACAAACATTTGCATGAAATGTCATTACTTTTGTCCCATTCATCTGGTTTGGGCATATTTATTTGAACACTAATTATGGTACCCAATGAAGTAGCGCTTTCTCGCAGTTTCATGTTTTAGAAATAGATGTGCTGACTAAGCAAGCACAGCTAATTCTGGGGGAGGGTTGGGGCTGGAAATTGGCTGAAGTTAATCCAAGTATCCTGTTAGATTTAGAGGCATTCAAATAAGTAACGGCAGATGATAATATTTAGGCACTATTAAGGCTATTCCCTGGTCTTTCAGTCAATTCAGAGGGGGCAATATCCCCTGATTCTACAAGATTAACAAAAAGTTACCAAATTTCTAGAGAACCAGAGGCAAAATGTGGTATATTAGAGAATGATTCAAAATATGGAAGACACAATCTAACTTCAATGTTTCAGGGTGAAAGGACACAGATGCCTGGAGCTAGGGAATGTAGGTAACTTCTTTTGGAGGGTAGGGAGGAAGGCAGATGAAGCTAACTACAGCAGTCTATGAGATCCAAGAAGAAAGATATCCTAGATAATGGCTGAGTTTGAGAAAGAACCCTAGAGAATAAACCAACCCCTAATTTTACATTTTAGGTAACCAAAGCGCAGACAGACTACATAACTTGACTAAAGTGAAAGAACCTATTAAATACAACCCCATAACCTGATCCCCTGACTAGTCTTCTCTCTTAAAATGCTAGAAAGGCTGAGGCCTTAACATTAGAATTTAGAAAAACAATGTGAAAAATTCAGAAAAGTTTTCAGCAAGTTATGTGAGGACTAATGTCCTAAAGTAGAAAGGAGAAATCAAAAATTAAATTCTGAATGAGCCTTATCATAAATGAAAATATATGACATATTGACATATTCAGAATAGACCACAAAATCAAAAGCACACTGAACATGCATAATATCCCAAACTTTTAAAGGGGCTATCCATCTGCGCTGAAGAAGTACCTGTGTACACATAAAATCTGCTTTAGTCCAATTTTCAAAAGTGTGCTAATCACACACTGAACAAGGTATAGTTCCATCGTCAAGACAGGAAAGGTTTTATGAAGCTTCTATTTTAGGACAAGAAAGGCTCATATTGTTGACACTTAAGTATAAAGAAAACGTAAAATAAAACTGCTGACAATCTCATGATAAACACACACACACATTCTGTTAACTGGTTTGATGAACTGTCCTATAATTCAAAAGATAAGAAATGCTGTTGTAATTATAGATTTATGTTTCAGCATGCTCTTTACAACTCAGAGCATTCACTTTCCCAGAGGCTCTAAAGATTATAAGGAGATAGATCTTATCAGAAATATAAAAGCTTCAATAACACAAGAGCATGTCCAAAATAGTATCTCTTTGGTAAAAGGTTATGAGATTCCTTCAATGTCTTAAGAGTTCCAGAAATGCCACTTTATTTAGAATATGGCTATTACATGAAGTAAAAACAGTTCATCAAACACCTTAAACAGAAATATTACGTTAAATAAAGTACACTGACATGACTAAATAAATCATTAATTTACAAAGGTAATTAATGGTTTTCCTTCACTGAAAACTAACTTGAGTCAGCAAATGTGACAATATTTCAGTCCCAAGGCCATCTTTACATACGTCAACAAAGGGTAGGGGGAGATAGGATAAAAGGTAGAGAAAGAGAGAAATCAAATAATATTAAAGGCTGAAATAAAAACGAATGCAATTTAAGCAAAGTTACTGGAAATACAGCTTGTTGAACCTACTGACATGCACACATCCCCTAAAAAGTTTTGAGGAAGAATATTTTCATAACTCAAGATAAAACTGTTATGCCTAAGCTTTAAATCCAGGACACTAGCATTACAAGGCAAATTATGAAACTATCCTGAACAAAAATTGGATCTGTCTGGAAACCATTTATCTGACTCTCTAAAGAAGGCCCACATTTTTATACCAACAGTTGACTCAGCTGCAAAGAAGTTAGGATACAACATAAAATGTCAACCAGGGCAGAAACTACAAGGGCAACTAAATGAGAAGATATCTGCGATGGATACTATAGGAAACTTGGAAATAATTTAAGCTGGAAAATTACCACACAGCAGTTTCAACTGTCTTACAAAATGGCCAAAAAAGAAAAAATAACACATCAAGTGCTGGTCACATCATAACCACTTTTTTCAAGCTTATTTCTCAAAACTAGATTTTTACGTAATGGAGAGCTCCTTAAACTCAAAACTTGTCTATATATGAAATATCTAGACTGATATCAAAAAATAAACAAGACAAAGCAAAAATAACTCTAAAATCAAGAGTTCAGATGAGTTTGAAAAATCTCCGTGGATTTACCCTACATATATCACTTGCCCTCTGGGAAACCAACTCTTCTCAAGAATATACAGGAAAAGGAAGGTGAATTCCTAACTCATTATAAAAGTCCAATAACACACCCCTCCTTCCTCACCCACATGGTTGTTAGAACAGTGAAAGATTACCTGAGTTCTTGCACAGGAATATTAGGTGCCCCTTCTCTGTGCTACCACAAGAAGTTATGATTAATAGTGCATTAAGAGCATGTGAGAGCCTTAGTAAAACAATAGAGCTAATAGAAAAAAGGAATGGCAAATGGGAACACTGGCCATATGATTTGATGCAGGTTAAAACTTAGGTATGACAGGCTTTGCAATCTATAACCTCTAAAATTTAAATTTCTGCTCTGCCACTCACTACTCTGTGTCTTCTATGTCTGTCTCCTCATCAGACTGTGAGTACCTCTAATGTGAAGATCTTATCCTTCTTTATTTACATATCCCAGCCCCTACTAGACTGTCTCACATAGCAGTCATTTCATAAATCTTGCTAAAACATAAATAAGCTTTTATGTTCTACTCATTGACAAGCATTTTTGAGCACATTAAATGTGTCAAGCATACAACCAATACAACAATTTTTAAAAATTATAAACAAGAAAAAAATTTTAATCTCTGAACTCAAATAACTTCTCGTGCTACAGTAAGTTAGTTCTCTTTTGTTGCCACAGTTAATTATTTAATTCATTGAGGACAATCACCTTGTCAGTGGCGAGGCTATTGTAACTATCAAGACAAGACGATATCACAATAGTGAGAGCCCTGGAAGTGGTAAGAAGTATTCAGATGCAGAATCAATTTTAAAGTAGAGTCAATAAGATCAGCTGATGAACTAAATATGGGTCCATGTGTGAGAGAATGAGCTGATTCTTTACATGTATTTAACAAGCAAAGGAACACTATGATTTCTACTCTAAGATTGGTTTCTAAAACAAAAATGCTACCATTTTGTGGGTTAGATACACTGTCTTCCTTCTCCTCTGATAAGTAGAGGATTGCTTTATACTATTTCCTCCAAAAGAGGGGAAGAAGTTATGATTAATAGCGTTAAGAGTATGCAAGAGCCTTAGTAAAACAATGGAGCTAATAGAAAAACGGGATGGCATATCAAAACACTGGCTTTAAGATTTGATGCAGGTTAAAACTTGGGTGTGAATGACTTTCCAATCTATAACCTGGTCTTAGGCAGGCTTACAAAAGTTTGTTTCCATAAACCAGAATCAAAAAAATGGAAATTCTAATTCAAACTTTTAACCACATTTAAAGAAATCATTCTGCCTCAGGCTTTTCATTGTCTTTTTCTAGGAAAGTATTGAGCAATACAAAGACGATGAACAGCATAATCAGAACGTGTTAGGATATGTATTGGATACGTTCCTAGAAATTAATATTCAAAGTTGAAATAACAAATACCTTCTAAATGATACTTTATGCATTCATTAAGTTTTATTCTTATTACATATTTCTCTCAAGACAAATGCCTGGAAATAGAAATAACATCCATAATTTAAAAATCAGCCAATTTTGATGCATTTCTATTTCTGAAATGAAATATGGACAAGGGAACAAACAACTAGAGTTTCAAATTATGCATTTGGAACGAACATTGTTTAATTTTCAAAAGAAAAAAATTATCATTCATATTGAGAGAAATGTTTATAAGGTTACAGTGTCTTTAATAACCATCAAGATTTCTTCCTCTTTTTTTTTTTCTTAAAGGATACTGAATTTTATTCTGAGTTGTTTTTTTTTTTAATTATACTTTAAGTTCTAGGGTACATGTGCACAACGTGCAGGTTTGTTACATATGTATACATGTGCCATGTTGGTGTGATGTACCCATTAACTCGTCATTTACATTAGGTATATCTCCTAATGCTATCCCTCCCCACTCCCCCCGCCCCACGACAGGCCCCGGTGTGTGACGTTCCCATTGTTCAGTTCCCACCTATGAGTGAGAACATGCGGTGTTTGATTTTTTGTCCTTGCAATAGTTTACTGAGAATGATGGTTTCCAGCTTCATCCATGTCCCTACAAAGGACATGAACTCATCCTTTTTTACGGCTGCATAGTATTCCATGGTGTATATGTGCCACATTTTCTTAATCCAGTCTATCATTAATACTTTTCTTATGAAAGAATATTTTTTAAACTTAAAAATGAAAGTCCAAATAAAATAACCTGTATATAACAAGCACCTCTTAGGTGTTTTTCCTAAAATTTATTGATTATTGCTTGTTCAACATTAAACAACAAAATGAATTGAGTCAATAAACAATTTAAATGCTGATGAAAAAAAAACTCAATGAAAACAAACCCAGACATTCACTTTATGTTTCCTTTTAGGGTCAACCAAAGCCAGCTAAGATTGCTTAACTGAAACAGATATGATACAGAACTTTCATGTTGCCTATTCCATCGGCTTTTTTCACCTCAACCAATGGTATACACCATTATTTAGCCTGATACCCACACTACAGGGATCACTCACAACTGTGGAAGTAAATGAAATCAAGCTAATAGTAAAGGATTTTAATGGAAAGTGCAGAACATGTTTGCCTTCTCCTCTAGACCCTTGTAGTTATCAATCCCTCAGTGAGTTAAGGATTTAATAGCAGGCCTCTCAATCAAGTCCAAGTCAGGAGTGGGTACAACTGGTAAACTTTGACTTTACTCCTGTAATTCACTTAAAATCAACCTCTTTGATTGTAAATAGTTGGTAGGAAAGTCATTGCCAATTGAGTAATTTCAAAACGGCTTCATCATAGCTGTGTTCTAATTCAGAAAGTAGAAACCAGAAGTACTTCTATGCACCTTTATTTTTTTCCCTTCTCTTTGCCACAGCTGCACATATAAATGCATCCTCTCCCTTCCCATTGTATATTCACTTCATTTTTGCATTCTATACTGTTTTCTTAACATCTGACATTACATTTCATAAATGGGAAGCACTCTGTTATTTCAGCCTATTCTCTGTAAAAGTCAAGGAGTACTCTGGGCTTAATGGTTACATGTGATTCAATTAAACATACTTTAAATGAAAACTCCTAAAAATGTATCATTTGCCTTCAACCATTTTATTATTTTTATTATTGTTTTTATTAAGAAGATGGGAATCTTACAGGAAATTACTCATAACATCCTAGTTAGTGTTTACTTAGAGTATCTGGTTTAAATTTGCTTCTAAATTAATGTGTGGTGACTACAACTTTATTCTACTCACACAACTTAAAATATCTGTAGCACCAAAAAAAAGACCACAAGCTGCCTAAAAATGGTCTAAAGTGTAAACATTAAAGTAAATGCTAGAAGTCAACAGCTCATTTGCTTCTATTTTTCTGATTTCTCTAGAAAAATCTGAAGTCAGAAAATTCTGCCTGCTACCATCAAATACCTCTTAGTCAAAAATGTGACAATGTGACTTTGCAAAGTAGTGAATACTTCATAGAACAGACATCTGAAAATCATATATATTTTTCCCCATCATCAAAAAATAGCAATCCTAAACAGATGGTTAAATTAGAACTGAAACACAAAGTTTAAAAACACTGATTCACTGTTTCCTCTCACAGATACGTTTTATGTGGAAAGTTCAGGTTTTAATTAGATTTTTCTAACAAAATCATTGACGACTCACATTCCAAAATTTGTCAGACCAAAAAATAAGAGTATATGGTAATTTGTTGAATGCAATAACCCTAAATTTAAATTCAATGCTAAGAGTTCAATGAAAAGAGAGTCATTTTGCTGGCAATAAATAAAGGAGAAGAATACAAGGACTGTATGCTTATATCCTGTTTCTACCATGTTTCTATGCAGTGTTGAGCAAGTCACTATATTCTCTCAACTTCAGTTTCTACCATCTGTAGAAATGGGCACCATAAATACACTTGCAAATGTGAATTATAACTACCATTTTTTAAAGATCCATATGTTGTATAAGAAAACGATTTCAAGTGTTTTTATCCAACATAATGACAGCTTTAAAATGTTACTAGGTGTCACTTTATAGATGACTTAAATAAATCTTTTCATGGGAAGGAACAAAAATGCATTTCTATGCATCCTGATCTATTCAACACAAGTTCCTATCAATTGCTATAGCCTTAGATGTCTCATAATTTCTGGTCTTAAACTATCTCTTAATTGTTTCATTGAAGTTTTTCTCATCTTCTGAAAGAATTAATAGCAGAAAATAAGGTCCTCTAAAGAGAACTAAGCATAGCTATTGAAACAAGTAAGTATTAAATGAGATAGCTCAGTGTCTCCAATTAACACTGGCCAGAAATGGTTCTTACTGATTCTGATCAATGGAAAGAACAGGACTGGTAACCCTGAGTCCTATTTCCATTTCTACCCAAGGATAGCTGGGAGCTCTTAGGTAAGTCAGTTAACTCTTTGGGCCAGAACCTCATCTATAAAATAAGGTATTGGGAGCTGACCTTCTGTTTAAGATTATGTTTAAGCTGACCTTCTGTTTAAAATTCTTATAAACTTTAACACTGATACCAAATGTTTTTTGGAATTACTGATATGGACAGTACACACGGAAATATGGGGTAGAAGAGGGGCAGCTGCCCACAAAGGCTGCACCCTCAAGGCTGGAAACCATGGCCCTAAATGAGAACAAAAATTCCTGTTTTTGTGCCCATAAGTTGCCTTTTGGCCCACCCATCCCTCTATCTGGTACCCATATAAACCCCAAACCCCTGGCTCCATGAGCAGAAAAGAAGATGAACAGAAGGGCAGAAGAATGGCAGAATGGTGTGACAGACAAAAGAGAGGAGCATCTGAACATCGAGAGGAGTTACACTGGGGACGGTTGGAGAGGAGATCAGCTGCTGGATGGCCAAACTCCAGGGGAAGATCATCTTCCCACTCCATCCCCCCTCCAGCTCCCCATCCATCCTGCTGACAGCCACCTCCATCACTCAATAAAACCGTGCATTCATCCTTCAAGTCCATGCGTGAATTGATTCTTCCTGGATGCCGGACAGGACCTGGGTACCAAGAGAGCACTGAGCTGTTTAACACTTAAGCCATCTGCAGATGGCAAGGCTAAAAGAGTGCACTGTGACACATGCCTACTAGGGCCTCAGGAGTCACAGACACCCACGCCTGGATGCTACTGTGGGGCTGGATCCCAGAGGTAGTTGCCCCAACTCCTGCACCTGCCAATCTGTGTGCTCCCCCTCCCATAAGAGGTTTCAGTGTGCATGGCAGCCCAACAGACAAGCCACAACCCTGTTGCACATCCTGCAAGGGGGGTCAGGGAACTCTCTCCTCTCATTACCAGCTTTGTCTCAGTAGTCCAGTGCTACCGTGTAAACTCTGAGACAATGCTTGTTAAACAAAAGGTAATACGTAGATTTTTCAGGGGCAGAAAGACTGAAAAACTCCTGACGAACTTGCAACATTGTCAAGGCTAGCTAACTAAAGGCGTAAGACAGCATCTTTTGTAACAGAGGAAGCTCCATGTACGGAGGTGATTATGGGTGGATTAAAGGAGAAAAGTAAAATGAGGGTGGCAGGTATCTCTGAATTCCTCCAGGTTTGGGTACCTAGTAACAAGAAACATATTCTCATAATTCCGCCTAGAATATCCAAGAACAAGATATTCTATATACCTATAATTTCTCAGATTCTTGTATATATAAAATGAAAATCATCAGTAAAATTAAATTATTCCTTCACTAATACTGGAAAATAAATGTCTTTATGGTGTTTGTGTTAGACTTAGGAAAACAATCTCATAATATTGCTATCATTTTCTTTATAAATTTTTCTCATTGTATATAAATACATCTGCACAAAATATTGTATATATTCTTTGATAAAACAGCATTTATAAAACATAAGGATGAAGAAAACATATGCAGTATATAAAAAATAATTTATAAAATAATGTCAATTTTCAGTGTCAGCTATTTTAAAAATATACAAACATATTCAAAATTAAAATCAATTTTTTAAATATATCTACTACCAAACTACTTGACTTTACAAAGACAGCTGATGTCATTTATAAGCTCATAACTATTTGCAAACGAATTTTTTTAATTACATAGGGTGCAGATCCATATAGATCAGGCATTTAAAACCTTCATTACGTAAACTTTAATGCTGACTGGCTGAACAAAAATGATTCAATTATGCACTAACACTTGTTGATTCACAGATTCCAGTGAAACTAATAAAAATATATTTCTGATAGAGTAAACAGGTAAATGTCACAAAAATCAAAAGATTAATATCAGTAAGATTCTTCTGAAACAAAAGAAGAATCAAATATTTCACCATAAAATGTAAGCAAAAGGAACAATAAATTTTAATGATACTAGGGATGGGAGAAAATTCTTTCTATAATATTTCAGGGTAGCTTTTTTGCCCTGGTTAGAAGCTAGTAATAAAAGTACCAAATGAATATGTAAAAATCTGTGGGTTGCATAACACTCGTTCTCTTTGTCATGTAAAACTGAAAAATAACATTTGATAAAGCAAAATCAGATGTTAGAAAAAATGCATTTTAATACCATATATCACCACTGAATACATGAGGAAAATATGCTAAAGTCAGTTATTCTGTGGATATTTAGCAAGGGCAGTGTTCTCCCACTGATTAATGCTACCACTGATGCTAATGGTTTATATGAATTTTGATGCAGTTTTAATATTTCTTAGCTTACCAGGTAATAATAACATGACAAGAAACACAATCTAAAACCACACAGTCAAAATAAAAGCAAGGCTTTAAAAAAAAGGCTGTGTGTATTGGTAGCCTCAGTAACATCACACATTGATGTTGAGGATGGGCATGCAAAAATACCACCTTGTTAAGCAAATTAGAAAGCGTCCACCCCTTTTGATTGTAGCAGAGCTGTCCCTTCAACCCATAAGGCCTCATTTATCAAATTCATTGCATTGCTTACATGGTAATCTTCAGGCTACTAATCACTGGGTTTTCCTTCATTGAAAACATATTTTTATTTCGTTTTCTTGCTTTTATCTGCCCCAGACTGGCCACCTTATACATGTGTGTATGTGTATCCATATTTCTTTACATATATACATATGTGTGTGTGTGTGTGCGTGTGTGTGTATGTGTGTGTGTGTGTATACACACATACCTCTTTGTCCATAATTTACTTATAAATTACCTACTATGTGTCAGGCTCTGTGCCTGGTCTTGGAGATGGAAATATGACCAAGGTGTAATTCGTCTCCTCAAATATCAAGCATAATTATAAAAGTGCCCACCTGTTTGGTTTGCTTAACACATGTGCCTTCAATATCACTTGCTGATGAACCAGCCAGCTCTTTTCACATGTGTGCCTCCTCTGTTTCAAATGATTCAACATAGTCTGGTTCTAAACTTCCCATCAGCAAAGTTCTGTGGCTTTATGATTAGGTAAATCATAGGCACATTATTTTTATTACTAACACATCATTAGGCTGACCGTAGGCAGTCATTCCATATATGCCAATTGGTTGACTGCTTGGTTGAACCAGTAGTCAGCATATATTTGGAAACATAACAATAACAAAATAATGGCAGCTACCATTAACTGATATCTTATTAGATACCAGATACCATGCCAAGCACTTTACATACATCCTCACACTTAATCCTAATAAAGGTATTATTATGCCCATTTGAAGGATGATAAAACTGAGGCTTTGAGTTTTAAATAACTTGCCTAAAGCCACGCAGGTAGGAAAGAATTCAAAGTTTTACGCATAATCATTATTGCTATACTATCTCTCAAAGAGAAAGTCCCTATCTGTAGTTGGCTCAATCCAACAAAATTTTGATTCATAGCTAACTATAAATGGATCAACACAAACAGCTAAGTTAACCTAAAGTACATAGCAATCATGTACATGAAAACTAAATATTAAAGATTAGAAAGCATATAAACTACATATAATATAAGCATGTTTGCGTGTGTATCGTTAAGATTATATGCCATTTTAGGATACAGAGACCATCTTTTCTCTGCATTAGCACCCATTGTCAAGACTTGACTACATAGTTTTAACAACTGAAAGAGATTTTGTTTTTAAAAATCCCACTATGTGTTAGCCAACAACAAACATGTATCTTATCTCTGTCCTATCCTCAACATCCAGCACAATGCCTGCCATATAGCAGATGCTCAATACATAGCAATATTAAAATAAAATCATTAATTCTTCAAGTTCTGTTCTAAAGTGAATGCTCCACTTATATGAATGCGTGATAACACATGCATCTGAAATATCATAAGCAGAATCTGTGAAGCAGCATGTATTTTTTATTTTTTTATTTTTTTTGAGATGGAGTCTCGCGCTGTCGCCCAGGCTGGAGTGCAGTGGCACGATCTCGGCTCGCTGCGACTTTCCGCCCCCCGGGTTCAAGTGATTCTCCTGCCTCAGCCACCTGAATAGCTGGGATTACAGGTGCTCGCCACCACACCCGGCTAATTTTTGTATTTTTAGCAGAGACAGGGCTTCACCACGTTGGCCAGGCTGGTCTAGAATTCCTAACCTCAGGTGATCCGCCCACCTCAGCCTCTCAAAGTGCTGGGATTAAAGGCATGGGCTACCATGCCCAGCTGACATTTTCAACATATCAAATTTTTCACCACTATTTCTTAAATGCAGCTATGGAAATATAAAACACATTAATGCAATCTTCTGGCTAACTTCATAATTTCATAAATTAGAATTTTATTTTGAAAAAGTTGAAAAATTTAGCATTATCACCAGAACTACAACCTGCCAATAGATACATTAAATACATGTGACCATTAGACACAATCAAAACAAAGCATGACATAGAACTAAATGACAGCTGTTTTCAAGACTATAGGCCTAAATTTAGCAACATAAGCACATTTAATCATAAACTCCTAACTTACATTTTATTTCCTTGCTTTACCAATTACTAGAGAATTTATATATATATTTAATTTTATATTTATATGTAATTTTTTTACTACTCTATATATTAATATATATTAATTATATATATTATTATATATATTAATAGTAGCAACATCTTATACACAACAAAAAGCGGAAATGTAAGCAAAGCACTAAGAAAGTTTCTTCCTAGAAGTTTATGAGTAGTTTTATGACAATCCACCCAGTGCTAATTCCTTTCATCATAGATTTAAGTAACCCTGATTGAGCACATACGTGCATTCATTTGGCCCATGTATATAGTGTCTCATCCTATTAACCATACTTTGATGGTCATTTTTTACATTTGACTTCTATTACCTTCAATTTCAAACCCTTTTAGGAAGTGGGTGAAAGAGAAAACAAATTTAAATATTCTGTTTCCTATTCTTAGTTGACTTTTTGCCACAAGAGAACCTCAAAAGTAGTGACTTCTAAAAATATTTATTATTCTATCCAACACAATATATGAAGTCACTCAATAATTTTACACATCTACTCAAAGGAAAGCAGTGAGCCTGGTGGGGATGTACCAAAGTTACAACCTTCTTACCATGAGAATTAATAGTTACAGTGCCTACCTACCACATAAGTGAACACTTAATTAGGTAATTTGAACCTCAGTTTTGTCACTCAAAAGGGAGCAATAAAACCTAATTGCTACAGACTGAATGTATGTACCCAAAAATTCATAGTTGAAACTGAATCTACAATGTGATGATAATTGAGGGTGGGAGGTGATTTGGGAGGTGATTGGGAGGTGATTTGGGAGGTGAATGGGTAGAACCCTTATGAATAGGATTAATGCCCTTATAAAAGAGACCCCAGAGAGCTCTCTCTCCACTTCTGTTATGTGAAGACACAGCAAGAAGAAGCATCTGTGAACCAAAAGGCATGCCCTCACCAGACACTGATTCTGCCAGCACCTTGATCTTGGACTTCCCAGCCTCCAGAACCAAGAGAAATAAATTTCTGTTGTTTTTCTTCTATCCAGTCTATAGCATTCTGTTATAGCAGCTCAAACAGACTAAGACACTAACTCAAAGAGTTGTAAGACTTAAATGATGGATAGACATAGGTCAATCAGTTGGCATAAATATCTGACTTATAGTAGATCCTCAATAAACCATCATTCCTTTTTTTCTACTTCATTTCTAAATTTCTATTTTAAGACAGAAAAAATTTAAAATCAAATTCTTACCCTTCAAATGTATTAGAAGCTGAATGGGTGGTTGAAAGAATAAAAATCACAGCATTCTAATAAACTGACTTTTTTGGGGGGCACCAATACAACTTCCCTGTGAAGGACTACAATTATCATTTGTTGATATATAAAATATTTTCTAGAGGAAATTAAAATTGAAATTAGAATTTGAAATTAGAATTCACTCATATTTTTACCCTTTCTTCTAGTTGATCCTTCAAACATTGATATTTTAGCTTCAGTTTTTTGTTCTCATTTTCATTCTGGGTTAATTCCTCTGTCAGTCTGTCACACTGTGATTTCAACTTCTCCAGCTGACCACGATGAATTTTAGCCATATTCTTCTCTTCTAAACTTTCAGCCTGAGAAAAAGAGAAGGAAAAAACAGAAAGTCCACTAGCCATAGCCAAAATACACCAAACACATTACATATTTTATCAGTGGAAAAACACTGCAAGATTTCAGCTCGTTCAAAGCATTCATATATAAATATTAAAATAAACACAAAGGAAATGTTCTTTGCAGTTATTCAATCGCTCATCAGTATTTACCAAGCATTTACGAAGTGGTAGATACTGGACTAGATGCTAAAGATAACAGATATGAATAGTAAGAGAGTCAGATGCAACAATCTATTTGACAACACTGAAAGAGAAGTGCTTATTAAAGGTGTAAGCTGGATATTTTGGAAATCCAAAGAAGAGACACCAGCTCTGCTAAGAGGGGAAGGAGTTATTAGAGAAGTGTCCCAAAAGGGAAATACTATGAGATGTTACTAACTGATAAGTTCCCTCGTCTATAGATGGGGCTTAACATTCCTGTTCACCTTCACTTCTGGTTTCTATGAAATAATGGTGTACTTTTTATGTAAGTCATTATCAATACTACTCTTATGGGGCTAAAAAAATTATGAAGTATAACAATCAAGAAACTACAAACTTAAAATGAAAAAGTTTACCAGTTATTTTTTCAACATCAGTAGTGTAGTACAATATCTATTTATTGATCTTTATTTAGGGTATAACCAGAACCAGCTTTTAAAAAATAAACTTTGGAAATAATCTATTCTATATAGGAAATTCAGTAAAGATTTGTCAGGTATGTGAACTTAAAGAATTTTAAAATAACAATAATGTAAACACTATGTGCCAGACACTGCTCTAAGACTTTTCTGTATACAGTTTTTCCTCATTTCATCCTCGTAACAACCTGTGAGAATCAAATAAGGTATTATGATTGTCCTTATTCCAATAATAATGAGAAATAAAAGCAAGCTAATCACTTGCCCAAAGATACACAGTGAATAAATGCAGAGTCAGGATTTGAACCCAGGAATTCTTTCTAATGTCCCTGCTTTCAACTACGCCACACTTCCTCCCAAAAGGTACAATATCATTAGGTTTTAAAAACCAACTGGGTGCAACTAGAAATGCTAACAAAACACACCTACCAGTTGCTGACAGTCTGTAAGCAATCACATTTAATCTGTTTAAAATATATGCTTTAATGCCTAAAATATATGTTTCTTTTATTTTTATAAGTTTATCATATGAGTTTAATTAGGTATATAGGAACGCAATCAATGGAAACAATTTCCTGAAAGAAAGAAGTTTTGTGAGTTTTAGACAAAATCTTTATTTTATTTACCCCACAAAATTTACCTGAGAGCTGATGCCACATTAAATTAACAAAGAAATTGATTTTTTATGAGCAATCCTATATTCACAGCCCAAAATAAATTTACAAAATAAAATCTCTCATCAGGAAAATTGTTCAACTATGATTTTAAGTTTCAGTAGAATGCTTTTACTTTTCTTTATGTCCTAACAAAAGCATAGGTAAATACAAAGAATTCCCCCTAAAGTCTGTAGTGTGCTGCAGCCAGCTCATAGAAACTGTCAAAGCCAACTGGGCTCTTCTCTTCCCAACTTCACCCCTCCCCAATGATGTCTCATTTGATAGCTTGAAATCAGCCAAGAAAGGGGTATTCAGAACCCCCAAACTTGGCAAATGCTATAAATCAAGGGTTTTCCACCCACCGGAAGCCTGTTTTCAAATATTTACCAGCACACCAATGCGAAGCTTGACTAACAACTTACTTATTGTTGTGGTTTTTATTACGTTTATATTTCATTTCAGAATTTACAAAGTGATGTTTGTGCACAACAACCCAGTGATATAGAAGGACATTATTCCTATTTTAACAGTGAGGCATAAAAAGGTGAAATAACTTGACCAAGATCAAATGGTCAGCAAATGGCAAAAACACAGAACTCCAATCCTGCATCTTCTGAATCCAAAAAAAGGCTCTACAAAATGATTTTGTTGAAATTGCAATGAGGTAATAGACCAATATCCTGAAAATATTAATAGCAGATACAGCATGTCATTAAAACATTTTAAATTTAAATTTAAAAATAGGTATGAGAGGGGTGATTCTAGAAGGAGGAAAAAAATAGAACTAATTTGTACAGAGAAAAAATATGGATGGCTTATCAGAGCTTATTAGACTCAAAAATGTAATAAGTTCAAATGAAGCTGAAAGACACAGAAATACAACATTTATAGAGCTACTTGTCTAAAACTCCGTTGTGTGCATAATTCAGTATATTACATCTCCTGTGATGGCCTTTGCTCTCAACTCAATTTAATTAATATAAATAAGTAAAAAGTATGGATATATTAATAAAATGGCATGAAGTGGTGATTTTTCCTTAAGGGTAAATTGTTTGGTTTCACAGGAAACTGCTGGGCTCACACAATCTCTGGCCATTCTTCCAACTCTAGAGCAACTTCAATACCACATTAGGGAATAGCTTTAACACCCCTCCCAGATCTCAAGCTTTCAAATTTAAAAAAAAAAGAAAAGTCCAAAGGTTTCAGAAGATCCGCAGAATGCTTATAAATTCTAAATTCTTTACACATAGGGAATTTACTAAAGCTTTGTTATCATCTCACAACAAATGAACTCAAAGCACTTCCTCAAAAAAAATGAGGAAATCAATTTTCCCACATTACATGGAGAAATCCAAACCAAACAGATCATTGAGCAAGTTAGGAGCAAATGCTCTGATTTCTAGCTTTTTCAACATTTCAACTTATAGCCACTGAGCATCTTCTGTATGTCTGGAACATTATGCTAGACACCATAAGAGGATACAAAATAGCTTAGATCTAATGCCTGTCCCTCTGGAGACTTATGAACATGCAACAAATCAAAATACAAGGCAGCCTAAATGTGCTGTACCTGGGGCACCAATAAAAGACCTATGGAAATACAGAAGACCAAGAGATTAGCTCCACCTCAACTGAAATTTATTCCAACTTCAGTGGATCCATAAAAGAAGTACAAAATTGGGCCTTAAAGGATTTGGCAGAATTCTTCTTCCTGCAGACTAGGAGGCCGATTCAGATAGAGAATGAGCAGTCAAAAGTATGCACAGTAATCTATATTTGTATGAGGAATGTTGGAGAGCATAAAAGGTAATGAACGCGCCAGGCAGTGGCTCATGCCTGTCATCCCAGCACTTTGGGAGGCCAAGGTGGGGGGGATCATGAGGTCAAGAGATCGAAACCATCCTGGCCAACATTGTGAAACCCCATCTCTACTAAAAATACAAAAATTAGCTGGGCGTGGTGGTGCGCACCTGTAGTCCCAGCTACTTGGGAGGCTGAGGCAGGAGAATTGCTTGAACCCGGGAGGCGGAAGCTGCAGTGAGCTGAGATTGCACCACTGCACTCCAGCCTGGTGACAGAGCGAGACTCCGTCTCAAAAAAAAAAAAAAAAAAAAGTAATGAATGTACATGAGTAAGGTAGAATCATTTCAAGGGGGGCTGGGCTGGAGTGGAGACTTTATTACAGAGACAGTAAATAATTAACGAAGGTTTTTCAGTAGAAAGTGACACACTCAGATATATATTTTGGGAAAGGAAATCAGAGAGTATCCGGGGGGCTAAAGGAAGGGGTTGCAGGTAGAGAAAGGAACTAGAGGGAAGTAGGGAGGTTACTTAGAAGTATGGCTACATTGCAAGTTAGCAGTCTGCATTCTGTTTTCTAGTATGACATATGATATATTGTCCATATGCCAATGTATCCATGAGCAAATGCAGTTACTATTTCTCACTGAAGAATGCATATCGGAATGTGAGAATTATGGCCTTACAGAGATGATCTTGAACATGCTCTAACTGAAAAAATTATTACTAACTCCTGACCATTGTGTTGATTATTATACAACCTAAATAATGGTGATAAGACATAAGTACTAGTGAGAAGGAAGGTTCTAGTTTCAACAACACTCTCAAGAAAACTGCAAGCTTCTTAAAACAAACCATTTCTCTATGCCATGCCAGTTTCTCCTAACAAATCATTACATGCTTGTCCTCATGCAAAAACCCTGCCTTCCTTTCACATCACACTATTTCTCATCAACCCCCTCTACCTTGCTGGCAACAGCTGACTGACCAGTCACCCTCTTCACTGTGGTTTTTGGCATGTGACCAATTAATGCCTTCACAATATCTTAAATAGCCAAGTGTCCATCCCACAAGTTAACTTCAAAGTTATTTGACCTGTTCTTTCCCAACTACCTTCACCAACATCGCACAACAGCAACCACTGCATGACCACACCTTAGACCTCAACTCTGAAAATTCTTATATTGCACTTCCTGACCAAATCAGCAACCTCTGACGGCAGATTTTTATCCTTCA
Source organism: Homo sapiens (assembly GCF_000001405.40). Classification (NCBI taxonomy): domain Eukaryota; kingdom Metazoa; phylum Chordata; class Mammalia; order Primates; family Hominidae; genus Homo; species Homo sapiens. The sequence goes on from NC_000014.9 coordinate 80,782,398, forward strand.
GCTTTCTCATTCCTTTGCCCACAATCTTTGTTCTTCAATGTTAGCCACATGGAAGTACTTTACACGCTCCTAGACTAGTCTCGGTCAGTTTGTACCAGTCTTCATACCAGTTTTCATCTTCACTGCTCCTAATTTCTTGGTGCACTACTGTCCTATTCTACTTCAGAGAGAAGAAAGGCTATCAGTCAAGATTCACATCAATTTCCCCAGATCATCCCTACCAACTTACCCAGTCTTACTGGTTTCCTCCGAATCCTTCAGAGGAAAGATGCCTTGTCTCCTGTTGAATGCTATATACTCTTATTTTTTATCAAATCCCCTCACATCTCCTCATGTACTTTCTCCATCAACCTCTGTTGAATGGAATGAAGGCTTTTTATACTTCTTCTTTCAGCTTGCCTGTCACATTTATCACTCTTGATTATAACTTTCTTAAAATGTCTTACCTGGGTTTCCAAGACATCATTCTCTTCTGATTCTCCTCCTGTCATATGGCCTTTTATTTTTATTTGCTAGGCCCTTTTAGTAAATTCTTTCCTTAAAACATTAGAGTTTGAGAGTCTCATCCTCTTTTTATTCCCTGCACAATCTCATCCAAATCCCATGATATGAACTACCACCCAAGAGTTAACTGGCTCCGAAATATTTCACTCTAATCTCAATTTCTCCCTCAACTCTTGACCCTACTAATTATTATGTACTAATCTGTTCCACCTAGACTTTCTTGGTTAAGCTTAAAGTCCCTCCCCTTAACACAATATGCTAAAAAACAACAACAAAAACAAACTAGATTTACCACTGTTCTCTTCAAATCTTCTATTCTGTCTGTATTCTCTATGTTGGCAATAGTATCATTATCCACCTAATCTCCCAAAGTCATTACCTACCTGTCCTTGAGTCTAAACTTTTTTCCAGACTAGCAAAGCAGTTAAGAACACAGTTAATTACCTGAGTTCAAATCCTTTCCCTACCACTCTCCTGCTGTAAGACCGTGGGCAAATTACTTAACCTTCTGTGTCCCAATTGCTTCATCAGGGAGAAAATAATACCACACAATCTGCAAGGTGAGGTGGGTATTAAATGATTAACACTTGTAAAGTTCTTAGAGCAGTGACCGGCACAAAATGTTGAAAAACTGATTGCTGGTAGTATTGTTATTGTCACAGCCAATCAATCAACATGTAATATATATTTTATTTTCTATAAGATCAGCTCTTCTCCATATCCCAAACTCTACTTTCTATATTCATCAACTCTAAAAGATTACTATTCCATAGTTCATCAACATTAAAATGTGTATCTTCCACATTTGACCATCTCTGACCTGGGAGTTCTTACACTTGATAGCATTATGATGGTTTCATAGGCAGGAGGCAGCATTTTTATTTCTTAGGAGCATATGCATCTAGTAATAACAGCAATGATGCATCTTATAAGGTGTCTTAGGTTTAATGAAATATAGTAAGGGTCTTTTACCTATTTTAGCCTCCATTCTGACCTGCCAATCCCAACTGAAGACCCCAAATCCACTAATGCCAGAAGGCTATCTAGGACTGGGGAAGGACTCATAGAATAGCTACATCATTTTACAGATGTCAACTATTTCAATATCATTTCATCTTAAATCATAAGCATTTTGAAAGTAGTAGTTGCATTTCAAAGGCTTTTGAAAAACATTATAATAATTAACCTTCAAAGATTTATCCATTCATTCATTCACCTATTCAATAGATATTTACAATGTTCCAAAAAACTGTTGTAGGCACTGGGGATATAGCTAGAAGCAAAACAGACTAAAATCCCTATCCTCAGAGAGTCTTCATTTCAATAAGGGGATATTAAAAAATAAATAATATGGAATCTATATCATATGACACGTGTTATGAAAAAAAAAAAAAAGACAGGAAGAGGAACAGATTTATCACACTCCTGACAATCATGTTATAAAATGATTGCCCTGCATGGTGATAATGCTAACAACATTAGACCTTAGAAACATTTCCTCAAATGCAAGATCCCAATTAGGCATTTACCCAGGCAACTTTGATTTGGAAAAGAAGGAGTAAATCTCGAAAGCCTTGGGTTTACACAGCCCATAAGCTGATCCACTTTAGTTACCATACAAATAAGGACTGTGGTTATAGCTTCTCTGGCCTTGACGAGTCTTTGCCTTTTATATTTTAGGAGGTCATAAATGTTGAATGAGGGCACGTTTCAGGTCCATGACTTACTGCCACCTCTGCCTTTCCTGAACTCCCCAAACAGCTAAACGTTCTTTATAAAGGGCTTCAATGCTCTGAAATAGGTGCTCCCAGGTGGCTGTTATAACTCATTTCAACCTGGCCGAACAGGCATGAATAAGCCTCTTTATTGTTGGTTTTATCTTCCCTTCAGTGCTTGGGAATACAGAATGATCTCTAAAAGTTTACGCTTTATTAACTTCATGAGCCACCAGAAAAATTCCTTCAGTATCATCAGGATAATTTAGCAGAGGTACCTTCAGAGTCCTGATATGATTCTCAGCCTCACTCTTTTCTTTCTTAAAGTGCTTCATAAGCTCCTGGATATTCTGTTCGTGTTTTGTTTTCACACTCTGCAATGATGATGTGAGATCTTTCAGCTCCCTCTGGTGCACATCTCGTTCCAGCTTTAACTGTGTGATGATTGTAGCTGTTTCTTCATCCCTGGATTTTGCCTGTGCAGTGAGGTCAGAAAGGTCCTTAAGCACTGCTTTCTTGGCTCTCTCTTCCTCAGCCAATTTATTAGCAAGATCTGCTCGGATGGCACTCAGGTCCTTGATGGACTCTTGCATCTCAAGAAGTTTAGCTTTGTCCTGGGCCTGGCTCTTCTTGAGCTCTGCAATTTCTTCCTCCAAGTGAGCTTTCTCAACTTTCATCTGGCTTTGGATCTTACTCTGCTTTTTCAATTCGCTCTCCAGTCTATGGATGGTATCCAGGGAATTCTTAACTTCCAATTCAAGGTCAGCTTGATGAGACTTAATATCACGTAATTTCTCCTCCTTGGAGTGAAGCTCCTCCTCCTGAAGGGCACGCTTTGTTAGGACATCATTCAATTCCTTTCGAAGATTCTCTATTTGTTGTAATGCTGCATACAGCTGGGTTTTCAATTCATCCTTTTCTTTTAAAATCTATCAGGTTAAGAACATGAAGCAAAAGAAAAAAATAAAAGTTACTGTAAAATTCACCATAGACTCTGCCAGTCAGCAAAACAATGTTTAACCCACAAGGAAAAAAAAAATTCATCAAATAATTTTTGTATTTTTCCCATTTTTTAATAAAAATACTTTTAGGCCAGAAAGGTGGGGGGGAATATATAATTGTCCTGAAATAGCAACACACTGAAATATGTATTTCAAATTTTCATCACCAAAACTTATTTCAATCCATGGTCACAAATAATTATTTAAATGTAAGATAAAATTGAGCAAACAAATGGGGAAAGCAAAGACTCTCATTATAAAGAAAACTTACTACAGGTTGAAATAATACACTATTACCTAAAATAATACTGATGTACATTCCAATGATACACTTTTAAAAAGGAGAAACCCCAAAACAGAGATGGAAAATAATATAGGGAAGCATGCAGATACAATACAAGAAAGTTTACGGTACATTCAGCCATTATTTTTAAAATATCAATGGTGACGAAAACTCACCAATATGCAACTGGGAGCCTGGAAGCCCACAAAGAAATGAGATTAAGTCAGGAAAGGTTGGGAAAGGGCTCAAGAGAAAAGTCAAGGGCCTAGAAGTCCATCATTCTATGCCAGCCTCTCTAAGATTTACATGGAAGGACAGAGGCCAAGGGTTAACTCTTCTGGCCTCTAATTCTCACCACCTAATCATTGCAAATAAAATAATGGGCAGCCAAGGGAGCCAAGATTGTTTTCTATACAACACTGGCACCAAAGATAATCTCCGTGAAACAGGAGGGAAAAAAAGGAACCAATTAAGACTCATTTCAGAATTACAAATAATGAGTTAAAATGCAAATATTTGCAAGACATTTCTACACTTCACATTTTATACTTCAGTGTAAAACAATTTATGACAAAAATTTAATGAGTCAATCACTCCAAAAAAAAGTTTCCCCAATCCTGCTCAGTTTTAACTGAAAGAAAGAAAGAGCACAAAGATAACATGAGAACTAACAAAAGGAGATGAATAAGCAGTTGAGCTCTGACCAGAAAGAAGTGAATTTGATTTTCAGTTCAATCACGGGCAATTCTATGGCCTCGGGGAAATCATTTCTCTTACTAGAGAAAATAATAATAGCTATTTCATAAGACTGTGATGAAGATTAGTGAGAAAGGGGAAACAAAAAGTTGGAGTAGAATTTAAGTTCGAGGAGGTATTAGGGTCTCAGGGAGGTGTTTATGCAAGGTAGTGATCAAAACTGTAAAAAGAGCCAGGCCCAGTGGCACACCCTATAATCCCAGCTATTTGGAAGGCTCAGGCGGGAAGATAGCTTTGGCTCAGGAGTTCAAGACCAGCCTGGGCAACATAGCAAGACCCCGTCTCTACTGTGAAAAGACGGGATAACTGAGGAGAAGGAACTCTGGAACACAGATGAAGGAGTTCACTTCCGAAAGAATGTAAGGTAGGAGAAATATAGATGAGCCTAAGGGTAGATGTATTATTTTTCTATTGCTTCATAACAATTTCCAACAGACTTAGTAGCTTAAAATACACATTTTTTATCTCACTGCTTCCAATAGGTTGAAAGGCCAAGCAAGGTATTCAGCTTAAGGTCTCCTAAGACTAAAATCAATGTATCAGCTGGCCAGGGCGCTTGTCTGGAGGTTCTGAGGAGAATCCATGTCCAAGCTCATTCAGGTTTCTGATACAACTTGTTTCCATACAGTTGTAGGACTTTGGGTCCCCATTTCCTTGCTAGCTTTTGGTCAGCGATTATTCTGAACTTCTAGAAGCCAACCTTGTTCCTTGGCTCATGGACTCTGCCATCTTCAAAGCTTGAACAGCTTGATGAATCCTTCCGAAGCTCCAACTCTCTCTGACGTCCCCTTCTCTCAATAGCCAGAAAAAAAAAAACCTTCTATTGAGGGCTCATGTGATAAGATTAGGCCCATCCAGATAATGTGATCACAGGAGTAATGTCTTATCATATTCATTGGTTCCAGAAATTAGTGTGACTTCTTTGGGGAGGGTCATTCTACTTACCAAACTGGAGAACACAAGAACTGATAGAATCAAATTTGGGCTGTAAAGATAGCATGGGAGGGACTGAGCGAGGGTAGGGACCTTCAATATAGTGATATATGTTTGAAGCAGATAACTTAGCCCCCTTGGCATGAGTTGAGAGACTTATAGGCAGTGCTGAGGATTAAAATCATATTTTCATAATGAAGTCATACCATGTAAAGTGTCTTTAATTATGAAATATTATATCTTCCTGAAGTTGGATTAAAAAGCAAAGATATTTCTTTTTCACACATAACAGTAAGTCCAGAGACAGGATGGTTCAAGAAGAATCCCTCAAAGCTCAGGCTCTGCTACTCTATAACTCTCCATCTTTTGCTGTCTTTGCAGTGTTCCAAGCTTCACATCAATTCCTGACAAGGGTGACAGCCAGAGGGCAGACAGTCACAGACCATGTGAGTCAAGTTTGGAATTTCTTTGGCAATACAGATACTAAAAACTAAGCTCTGTCGATCTGATTCTGGTTAATTGCTTGCCTAGTAGCCACAGCTTAAGATTCTGTCTAGGCATTTTCTCTGAGTCTGAAAATGTCAGTGTCTTTACTGTCATCTCAATACCCTGGACATACCCAGGGCCCTCAAATGAATAGCCTTTATCTTGAGGCAAATCAAAACAGTGGAATTGGGTTCTCTTTGTCTGGCCAGGATCTTTTTTTTTTTTTTTTTTTTTTCTGTTTCCTGACTCCCTCTTGTGCTTGCACTAATTTCAGTTTGGATAAATAATTCAACTTTTCCAAACCTAAGGGGTTCCAAATTATCAGACTCATAGGCAATTTGGATTATAGATTGTAGACTTCAGGCTCCCCACCTTAAACAAACAAACAGAAACGAACAAAACTCTCTGCTTTTAGACAGACCAGTTTCAACCTAAACTTGTCTTTCTCTTGTAAGACCTTACTGAAGGCTGAAATATGTACACAACATACTCCAACATCCTAAAGTTTTCCTACCAGTCACTTAATACTATCCTCTTATTCACAGCATCAATGCCCCTAAATATGATTTCTGTTTAAACCAATTGCTTCCAACCACATAGCAAGGTTTACCAACTTTCCCTTTAGAACAATATGATCCTCTCTTGCCCCTTACCCTACTTCTCCTCTCGGTCAACCCTACAATTTAGGCTATTTTACTTATGGCTCCTTATTTCTAGAACTCAAAGTTTCCATAAACTTGAATTTTTTCTGCTGAGGGTAAGAGAAAATCCCAATCCGAAATGGCTTAACCCACAAGAAAATCATTCCAGGCAGAACTGCTCCAGCTCTCTGCAATTTGACAGTATGTCAAAGCTTTGGCTCCAGCTCTCTGCAATTTTGTACCTAGTGATGGTCTTACATTAATTATTGAATGGAATGGATAGGGGGAGGCAGGAGGTAACCATGAATACTATGGAACCCAACTGATATTTCTATGGAAGTTTTGCTGTTACTGTTAAGGAGAAGGAGTGGAAAAAGTGGAAAGTCGGGTTGACTCCAGATTAGAAATCGGTAAAATATATGAGGGAGAAGAAAGAAATTGAAGATGTGATGAGAACAACATCAAAGTAGCTTTCAATGAAGTCCAATGTGACAGGAAAAAAACTGAATCCAGAAACTGGCTAGTAAACCAGAGGAATGTAGAAAGATCAAAATTGGGTATGAATAGTTAAAAAAGCTAGGGTGTAGGGAATAGAAGAATTATGAAAGATCAGAGACTGAGCTTCGGAACTGAAGGCTTGGACATGAAACAATTACAGATGAAGATAAAATTTAAACACAGAAATTAGACGCTGAAGTAGAATTATTTCAGTGACGGTCACTATAAAATAAGACATTAGTGAATTATAAGGATACAGACTTCAGTAGGTTGCAGACTTGAACTTTGAAGTTACTAAGGATGACGGCAAGAATTAATGTCATAAAACAGGTTGATGCAAAGCCAAGTGCTAAAATCCTTGAGAAATGTAGGGGCATAAATGAAAAATAGCCAGCAGTCAAGAGCAAAAATGGGGAAAGAATGCTCTAACCAGGCAAACCAAGCTTCCAAAGAAGGGGCAAAAGAAAAGATTACTGAAAGAAGGCCTGAAAAAAGCTGTGCGAAGCCAAAAGAATGATACTATTTAAAACCATGGCAATTACAGAAACAGAAGCCAACTCCTCAAAGACGTGAATACAAAGTATTATATACGCAGTTTGGTTTTTTTTTTTTAACTAACTAAAAGGTAGATGAGGGGCTTGCTCAATGTTTTTTTTGTTGTTGTTTTGTTTTGTTTTGTTTTTTACCTGCATGTGAGGGAAAATGCAGGCAGATGGCTGGATTATACTAATACATACTCTAGCATTTCTTGAACTGTATGTGATAGGACTCCATATGCATTCAAAAAATCATATACTTTGGCACTGATCCTTCTTACTTTCAACCATTCAAAAATTCAGATTTTACAAGATAGCATATATTACATATAACTCTTTTTTTCTGTCAGCAGGAAGGAAATACACAGAAGGAATAGATGGTAATTTAAGATTCTTGAAGTCAAATACTATCAAGCAAAAAGCTCAATACATAAGCAAGCCAATTATTCTGCCAATTCAGCAGGGGAAACAAAACAAAACAAAACAACAACAACAACAAAAATCCCAAGAAGTATTCCCATTATCCATATTAAAAAAGAATATGAAAAAAAATGGAAACATTCAGAAAAGCATATACTATGATTGGAGTCCAATTTTTTCCTTTATCGTTTTCAAAGCACCATTACAAACCAATGATTTCAAACAGTACCTTAAAAGAAAAAGAGAAGCAAAAATACCACAACTTACGACTAGATTATTTGTATCTATAAAGTTTTCAGTCTCCTAATATGTGTTACCTACATATCCCTGAAGTACACCACAATTCCCTGATGTAAATATCCATTGCATTGTCTTTGAGGAAAGTGTACAATTTGATCCATCTGGGTTTTTTTTTTCCCCTGCAGTGATACGCGATTTGATATTACACATCCTTCAGTAATGAAGTAGTTTTGTAATATGATATATATCTGATAACCTTACTAAGATTCCAGAAATGTAAAAAGCAGGAAAAAAGAAATAAATCAGAGAAATTTTTAAGAGAAAAAAAGCTTTTTGCCGTTTTGTATATTTTTTAAGTAACAAATCTTAAAGCAGAAAATAAATTATGCTAGAAAAAGAGAACTGGTGGTAGACACAGAACCATACTGCAAATATGAGGAGAGCATCATATGATCATATAAAATGACTCAGTAAGGCTACTTATTAAGTAATTTATTCTTTAAGCCACAATATGTTATATTTGTAAATCAGTATAATTTTTATTTTAATACACCCTTCCAAAATACCTTGCAGTCACTTTTTGAAAATAATTAGCCCTAAAAATCAAAAAGAAAGTAGCTGTATTATAAATGTGTTAAGGTGGCTTTGTGATTTTATTGAGAATTAAATATCCCTTTGAAATAATATTCAGTAATACATTTTTAAATTTTTTTTCCAAAATTATTTACCATGTATTTCCACATCACAGATTTACTGAGCACATTTCTTACTCTTTTTTCCTTGAAAAACCATTGCTCTAACTGCAACATGCTGCATTAATTTTTAAGGCTTTTAAAGGAGAAATTACAATGCCTGCTGTGATAATTGTGATACGACCCTAACTGTGGCAATCACTTTAAAACTGCTTCTTTGCTTATCATTAGTAATGCTAAGTGATAAAAATAATTGGAAGTATTCTGGGAAATGATTGTTAAACAATTTTTAATATTCTGAAAACTCAACCTAGAAAAGTCTCAGCACCATGGACTGGAATTACTGTATGATAACATGGACCCTTCTAAATCTCTTCTAATTAAGTAAAACCTCCAGATGAGATTTTCAATCAATCAATTCTCTCAACCACTCCTCTCGCTAGCTACCTACCTACCTTACAGTCAGGCTCATTGAGCCAGTTGCCAGATCAGGCTGACAACAGAATAATCAAGATAGAGCAATTTCCTGGGATCAGATCAGTTCAGACACAAGTCTGAAAGCTTCAGAACTGCTTTACTTCAGGGCAACCAGCCACCCAGTATGTGTCAGATGGGTTAAAATGAAAAGCAATCCACAGTGAGTGCAAAATGATCATTTCTTTCATCTTCTATATGTCCGAGAAATTCATATGTAAAAGATAAAGCATCTTTTCCATGACAGCTCATCTGAAATAAGTATCTGTCACTCTTAAATGCTGAAAACTGATTTTATAAATATAATGCCCTATATTTTGTTTTCTTTTCAAAGAAAGTCAACTTATCCAAATGATTATTCTTTTGGAATGTACAGAGTTCTCGACAAGTGACAAATGACAAAGCACAAATGATAAACCAAGAATAAACATGGATAAAAAAATCAATCACGACTTTCCTGCTTATTATCTTATAAACATCTGGGTTTAATTCAACCCAAAGATATATCAGATGAGAATCAACATAGGAGCATAAAATCCATTTAAAGTAACTGATTATACAAGAGAAAAGATAATGTGAAATGCATACATATATCAGTGAAATGCGTTTTGTTGCTATCAAAAGGGCATAAAAGCAAAGTCTTGAAGAGGGTTGTGATCCCATAACACTGCTCAGTCAGTGAGATCCTCAGTGTCACGCATTTAAGTAAGCCCATCACAGTTGCTGCCAGTAAATGGCCCTAGTAACTACTGCATTTTTTAAATGCTTCTTTCTAACCAATACCTAGTTGAAAATATATAAATAAATGAGATTTTAAAATAAATGCATTGGGAGGAAAGTTGTGTGAAAATAACAAAGATTTAGTCATTTTTTTTCCATTGGAATATTAGAAGATTAAACAATAATTCAATATAGGAAACTTACACCTAAATTGGGGCAAGGGGTACATCTATTTATGGGCCAACTCTGAAAAGCCACATAATATTAAACTATGAAAAGGCTTAAGTAAAAAATATTTAAAAATTAACTTTTGTACTTTGAAACAGCCAAGACATAAGGATTCGTCTATCAAGGACATATTGATTATATGTACAGTATGGCACTCAAGTGTTTTTTCAAAGGATAGATGAATGAATGGTTGAATCACATTGAAAACCGTTCCTTAGGAATGTGGCTTTTATACCTGATTATTCTTGCCTGTCAGTTCATCAACAGTTTCAGATTGTTTCTCCAACGCTCGTTCTAACTTCTTATGCTTAAGCTTCCACTGCCTAATGGATTCTTGAGCTTTCAGTTTCAGGTCTTCCCTCCTCTTCTCCGCCTCCTCTTTCAGAGCCTCTGACTGCTGGAGCTCACTGAGGTACCGCTCAGCCTGCTTGGTTGCATCCTCCGCATGGCGAGTCAGCTCTGAGATCTGAAGGTCAGCATGCTTACGCTCGGCCTCACATGTGTCAAAGTGATTCTGGATCTCCTTAAGTCGATCCAACATCTGCAGTTGCTGTTTTTCCCCATTCTCCAGTTCACGTGTTAAATTCTACGAATAAAGCATGCAAAACATTAGGAACAAATCCTTGTCAAAATTGGATGTGTAGCATATCATCAAACAAGAATCTCTAATGTCACTGAAGTGGAAATCATCTGTATTAAAATTCATTAGCAATCAATTTAGAAATCATGAGTCTTTTTCTTTGTATTTTATAACCACATTAGTTGGGAATAATTTTTTATATAAATATTCCCTTTCTTGGACTATTTTATCATCCAAAAAGGGAAAATATGTGTTTCCAATTGACTGTCACTAAAATAGAAGGCACTTTTGAAGCGAACAATGTGCATTATTTTAGTAACAACCTAGTGTTTTGTCCAGCTGAAGAAATATCGATGTTTTAAAATTTGTCAGGTTATCAGAGAACTATTAGTAGCAATCATATATAACATTTTGCCTTCTGGCAGCAAAACAGAATTATAATAAAAAATAAAAATAAGTAACAATAGAGTGACAGAAACATCAGCATAGATAACATATTAGGTTCCCAATAAAGTGTTTATACATTATTTCCAGATAAACCAACATAATATTATACATTGAAGCACTTATCTCAAGCTGATATGAATCACTATAGTACAGATTTATAAATACACTTAATTTAACTTTATTTTGAATATTTCTCTAATCAAGAAAAAAACCTTCAGTCTAGCTTCCCTGAAGCCAGGATGGTGATTATATATTTGGAAATTACACTAAATCATCATGATTAATACATATTTTAAGAATAAGTAAATATCTATTTTAAGTTTAAACATGAGAAGATATTGTTTTATGCAAGTTTATACAAATAAAATAATCATTAACATTAAGCCATTAAAGAATCATTAACATTAAGCCACTTTTGTAAAGCTTTGTAAGAAAGTGATAAATTCAGAAATAAAGCACTTACAATGAGTCACATAAGCTGACCCTCCTGAGCCTTAGTTTCCAAATACTTAGTGGCAACAAAAGTAACATAAAAAGGTCATGTGTCCGAATAAGAATGGGTTCCAGGGGTTGGAATGAGGCTGTGAGTTGGATAAACAATAAATAACATCTCCACTGTACTAAGGTCCGGACAAATGAAACTAGAAACATTTACCAAGCTCCTTTGGCCCCAACAGCAGAGGTTCCAGGTCCAGATTCTATGATCTATGGCTCAAATAAGGTTAAATATAATTTCCCTCATGATTAAAATCATGGTTTGACATTATGGCAAACATTTTTTTAAATGCCTCAAAAACAAACTTCATTTTCTGGGCGACAGGTTTGCATTTGTCCAGTTTGCTAAATTCAATGCAGCCTGGAAGATGTCTCATCCACCCAAATGGTAAATTGAGAACTGTGTACTTGTGTGTGTAGAAAATTCTAAAATAAGATGAGAAAACCCTTGTAATTGTGGTTTACCTTTTGCTCTTATTCTAAAAGTTTTACCAATATGCTAGAAATCAACTTGATTAACAAGCAGCAATCAAGTGATTCCTGATCAAAAGAGAAATGGAACTGATTTTTCTTTTCAACAAATACTTGGAAAGAAAGTGGTTATACTTCCTGTTCATCAAGCATATGGTTTATAGAAATATTAATAGGACATAGTTTTAATACCAGAGAAGCTAACTCTAATTAGGGAGGTATTCTCACTAACCACTAAATTATACTAGATAGTCCTAGGTGCTAAAACATGATGGAGAGTTACCTAAAGGGGTCTATAGACTACAATGTGGCTGTAGAGAGTCTCCCATAGGAGGTGATGCATAAGCTGAGATTTAAAAGAAAAGAAGCTAGCAATAATAATCAAATAACTATGACTGTGACTGAAATGCATTGAGTACTCGAGTTATACCAAAGATTGAATGCTGTATATGAATTACCTCATTCAATCCCAACACAAATCTAAAATGAGACAATATTATCCCCATTTCAGTGAAAAGTAACCAACATTTGCTGGAGTTAATAACTTGCTCAAGATCACACAGCTAATAAGTGAGGGCATAGGGATTTGGACCTGGATAGTCTGCTTCTAGAGCCCATGTTATCAACCTATTGCTAAACTTCCAGATTCTCAGATGACCCCAACTCCAGGCCTCTTCAGTCACCCACTGCCATGGTTTTATCTTGGTGTTTTTATCAGAACTGCCACCTTTAAAGCAAGGGGTTCCTGACTCCACCCTCTTCCCATAACTCTGGATTTAATTACCAATCTAATCAGCTATTACACCCTCTTCCTTCTGTGTTATCTGTGCTTCATTGTCAAGGAGATGACCACTCCCTTGAGATTTCTTTTGCTAGCTTTAAATCCTGGCTCTCTAACCCAAACACTGTATTTTTTCACTTTAGCCAATCTCTTGCTTACACCTAGACTCCCTCTTTAAACTGTTCATTCACTGAACATAAACAACAAAACCACCAACTCTAGGTGAACTTAAAAAGTTCCTAATTCCTACATCAGGTTGAGTCCTGTAAGAAAAATCACACAGGACTATCAGTTGATGTGACCACATAGAGAGTCAACTCACTGGCACCCAGAAAGTCTTCCACATGCCTCAACCCAGCTCACACAAGGGCCATTATGACAAAAAGTCTCATCTCTGACCCTACCATTTTTACCTTTGGTTTTAGTATGTACTATAACTCCTCCTTCAGAAGTAAAATTGGGCAGGCAGTTAATGCAGGATACCCCAAATATGTCCTACTTGTAGTATTTTAAAATTTACCAATGGTCAGTTTCTTCTCTTTTCCAGCCTCCAAGGAAAGGGGATTCTTCCTTAGACAAATAGCCTATCTCTGCGATTTTCCTACTTGACTATTCTGCTTTACTTCTCTCATCTCAAAAACTAACAGTAAAGATTTTAAAAAATAAAGAAAAGAAAAACAACACCAACAAAAGCACTTTCCTCAATCCTACATTATCTTCTACCCAGTACCATGTACTCATCTTCCTCTTAAGCCAAGATCCTGGAAAGAGTGGTCCATACTTGATGCCCCTACAACCTTATTTCAGTTCACTTGGTTCACTACATCTGGTGTCCATCATACTATGAAAACAGCTCTCATCAAGATCCCCAAAGATCACCTACAGCCAAATACAATAACTCTTTAAAAATCTTACTTTGGGAGGCCGAGGTGGGCGGATCACTTGAGCCCAGGAGTTCGAGATTAGCCTGGGCAACATAGCGAAACTCCTGTCTCTACTAAAAACACAAAAATTAGCTGGGTATGGTGGCACACGCCTGTAATCCCAGCTACTCAGGAGGCTGAGGCATAAGAACAGCTTGAACCCAGGAGGTGGAGTTTGCAGTGAACTGAGCTTCCGCCACTGCACTGCAGCCTAGGCCACACAGCGAGATTCAGTCCAAAAAAAAAAAAAATTTCCTTCACCTAGTTTCCTTGTAGCAGGTGACACTGTTAATAACCCCTTGCTCATTCTAACTCTCTGCTTCCTTAACTTTCATAATACTACTTCTCACTAGTTCTCTATCTTCTTATTCTTCTTCTTTCATAATCTCCTTTCCTGAGTCTCTCCTACCATTTAGCCTCTTAAATCTAAATAACTCTATAAAGTTCCAGTATTATGCATCATCCCACCTACACAATACCCTCGGTAGATGAGTATTTAGGTAGACAGATATTAGTAGGTATTAGTGAGTCCTACATTCAGAAGCCATACTAACCCATCATCTCCAGACTTTCAAATATCTAATGGCTTCATAACTTTCTACACTTAGAAATCTCACAGGCATCTTAAATTTAGCAAGTCAAGAAGTAAACTTATCTGAGGACCAACTCCTAACAAAAAGGCAGTCCTACTAAAATGGCAGGAAAGTGGCTCTCTGATGAGGGAGGATGGAAATGAGCTGAATTGTGTATTTTAATAGTGAGCAGATCTGAAATAATCACTGTAGGAAAAGAGGAAATGAACAACTGATAGATGTCTAAAAGATAACAAACAGAAATAAGGTTCTAGTTAGATAATCTCAAATTTATAATGGGCCCAAGAGTATACCAAATTCTTTGGATTTCTCCAGCAACTCACTTGAACCCAGAAGCAAAGTAACTTCAGGGTTATTTAATCTTCTGTAACTACAGAGCAACAACAGGGAGCACAGGATTAACATATTCAAGCCCAGAGCTTACGCAGGCAAACTCTTTTGTTCTCACATTTAAAAACTGCGGACTCTTATATTAACATGCTACATGCAATAATTCACTTTGAATAATATTTGAAAAGATCATGTCATTGATTGGGTATGTGAGTGTAAATGAACAGAAAAGGGTAGGATCTTCTTGTAAATAATTGTGGTTTTCACTACTCAAGAGAAAGCAGGTTTGAATTTGTCCTGGATGAACACCTCTTCTAACTGCCCTAAGTCTGGAAACTATCAGTAGCTACTGCTTTGCTATCAGCCTGTGTTATGTTTCAGGTAAAATTCATCATAGAGGTCCTTCCTATATTCTCCTAAGGATCCTATTCAGCCATTGTTTCGGCATTTCTTTAATCCATTTTCCTCAAATAACCAATCAGAAAAATCTAACTGTAATAAATATTTATCCCACATCAATCAAAGGACTATACTACAGAACCCTCATATCAATTCCCAACACACATACACTCTCACTCACATACATATGAACATATACATAGAGCACATAAGTGTACAAACACATAATAAATCCATGCATAAATGCTTTCAGGGTATTTATAGTAAATATTAAGGCACAAGTAATAAATATTATTTTCCTAATGCACTACATGAAATGCTAAATGAAAAGCATTTTACTTATTTATTCCATTATAATGATTTTCAGTTCTATTATTACTATTATATATTCCTGGAGGCATCTTCTACACTGAGGAACTTTTTACATTTAGATTGTGTGAAATTATCTCAGCCACTAAAGCAGAATGGTTAAATTTCATATCACTTAATTAAGTCCATGTTTATTTCTTGCTATATAAGCAGTGTCAAAAAAAGGAACAACTCAAAAACAGAATTATCCATATTACCATAAATTCTTGCCCATACATTGCCAAAAGGCTTATAAAAGCTCCATCTAAATCTAAAACTTTATACCTTTCAATTCTCCTTCTTTTCTCTTTCTTTCTTCAACTGGGAAAAAATGGTGATGAGTAGTTGGGTTGAAGGTCTCAGGTTTGCTGGTAGTTGGAAGGATTTATAGGACTCGGCATATTACAGTCATAATTATGTTAAGATTTATTAAAGAGGAAAGAAAGAAAGCAAAATAAGCAAAGAGAAAAAGGCACACGAAGTGAAGTCCAGTGGAAACTAAGAGTCCACTTCCAGTGAAATTACGCAAGACATGTTCAATTTCTCCAGCAGTGAATTCTGACAACACATATAAAGTGTTATCTATGAGGAAAGCTCATTGTGTCCAAAGTTTTAATTAGGGGCTAGTCACTTGGGCACCATCTACCTGTATGGAGCAAAATTTTAGACTCTCAGTAACCAGGTGGTCAAAATAAACTATATTTTTTGTAGTCTAGACACAGTGAATTCTCCTTATTATTATTTAAGTAAAACTTTATTTCAGCGTAGAAAACTACTTATCATCCAAGTTCTCAAATGCCAGAAAAGAACTGCTAAGCCTGCATTTAAAACATTTTCCATGAGGGTTTAAGAGACATAAAGTAGACTACCACACAGGTGGCAACAATAACTACTCATTTGTTCACTGATGGAATGAACGTATAATATAATATAGTGCAATTTTTCCTCTACTCACACTTGACAGTGAACACACACAAGAGATTGGGCACCTTGGTGAACATTTAAAAACATACATTGAAAATGGAAAATCTACCCCCAAATAAACCAGGATAAACAATGCATATTTTAAATAATCATTTTCATTTATAGTATTTATGTGCTTTGTATAGAAACTTGTAAGGGTAAGTGAGAAAACTGCCAGACTGTAATGACTCAAAAGTCACATCTCTAGGAAGACAGTGGCATATCATGGAAACAGAATGAGTCACTCAGGCTTGTGTTCAAATCCCAGCTCTGCTATCCTGTGACCTTAGAAGGGTGCTTAACCTTCATGAACCAAAGCAACGTTGTTGCCGGAAGTCAGGGACCCCAAACGGAGGGACTGGCTGGAGCTGTGGCAGGGGAACATAAATTGTGAAGATTTCATGGACATTTATCAGTTCCCAAATAGTACTTTAATAATTTCTTATGCCTGTCTTTACTTTAATCTCTTAATCCTGTTATTTTCATAAGCTGAGGATGTATGTCACCTCAGGACCACTGTGATAATTGTGTTAAGCGTACAGATTGATTGTAAAATATGTGTGTTTGAACAATATGAAATCAGTGCACCTTGAAAAAGAACAGAGTAACAGCGATTTTTAGGGAACAAAGGAAGACAACCATAAGGTCTGACTGCCTGCAGGGTTGGGCAAAGAGCCATATTTTTCTTCTTGCAGAGAGCCTATAAACGGACATGCAAGTAGGGAAGATATCGCTAAATTCTTTTCCTAGCAAGGAATATTAATATTAATACCCTGGGGAAGGAATGCATTCCTAGGGGGAGGTCTATAAACGGCCGCTCTGGGAATGTCTGTCTTGTGCAGTTGAGATGAGGAATGAGATATGCCCTGGTCTCCTGCAGTACCCTCAGGCTTACTAGGGTGGGGAAAAACTCTGCCCCTGGTAAATTTGTGGTCAGACTGGTTCTCTGCTCTCGAACCCTGTTTTCTGTTATTTAAGATGTTTATCAAGACAATAAGTGCACCGCTGAACATAGACCCTTATCAGTAGTTCTGCTTTTACCCTTTGCCCTGTGATCTTTGTTGGACCCTTATCAGTGGTTCTGCTTTTTCCCTTTGTCCTGTTCTCTCAGAAGCATGTGATCTTTGTTAGACCCTTATTAGTAGTTCTGCTTTTTGCCTTTTGAAGCATGTGATCTTTGTACCTACTCCCTGTTTTACACCCCCTCCCCTTTTGAAACCCTTAATAAAAAACCTGCTAGTTTGAGGCTCAGGTGGGCATCATAGTCCTACCGATATGTGATGTCACCCCCAGTGGCCCAGCTGTAAAATTCCTCTCTTTGTACTCTTTATTTCTTATGGAAAATAGAAAGAACCTACACTGAAATACTGGGGACAGGTTCCCCCGATACAATGTCACTTATAAAATGGACTCAATAACACCGACTTCCAGAGGAATGATAACCTACATGAAGATAAAGCACCCAAAAGAGTAACTGACACATTTTAGGAACTCGATAAAGAGAACTTTTTATATCTTGCTAGCAACAATGTTAGAATTAGTGACATAATCCAATGTCTACATTTTACAGATCAGGAAATTGAGGCACAGGAAGAGTGATCAATCCAAGATAAGGCAGATAGTTTTTGGCAGAGAAAGGACTAAACACAGGTCCCTAATATTCAATCCAGTATTGATTCCACTTCACTATGATAATGATTTGGATACTATTCAAATGACCCCTTTAATAACTAAGTTGCCATGTTCCTTCTAGACAAGAGGAACTCCTGAAGAGGAATCATACGATCTTGATGCAGAGGTGTTTCCTAAATGTTTGTGAACTGAGAAAAAAAAATCACAGGATAAGGTTGACTTGTGTTAAAACTAAACCAGGCATCGACTAGTTATTTATTCCTTTCTATGTTAAAGACACTAGGTTAGGCACTAAGGAAGTACTTCAGTATAAGTACTGATTGGGGTGCATATGAATGAGCAGGAGAGAACAGACATTGCTATTAACTATTAGAAACCAGATTTAAGTTAGTATGTTTCAAGAGAAACTACTCTGTTCAGCAAGACCTCAGAAAGAAGAGAAATGAAACATGAGAAAGAAGGCAAACTAAAATGTGAAGAAGAGAAAAGATTGGGTCACTTATGGAAAGGAAACGAACATTCACTACCAAAAAACATATGGGCAACAGATTTCACCACTGGTGGCTGATTATGACAAGTAATAGCTTGAGAGGGCTAAAGAGAGATTAAAAAATAAGGTCAGCTTGCTTATGAGTTCAAGGACTTTTTTGGCTGAGATGATGGGGTTTTCTAAATATAAAATCATTTCATCTGCAAACAGAGACAATTTGACTTCCTCTCTTTCTATTTGAATGCCTTTATTTGTTTCTCTTGCCTGACTGCCTTGGCCAGAACTTCCAATACTATATTGAACAGGAGTGGTGAGAGAGGGCATCCTTGTCTTGTACCGGTTTTCAAAGGGAATGCTTCCAGCTTTTGCCCATTCAATATGATATTGGCTGTGGGTTTGTCATAAATATCCCTTACTAGTTTTTGACATACGTCCCATCAATACCTAGTTTATTGAGAGTTTTTAACATGAAGAGATGCTGAATTTTATCAAAGGCCTTTTGCTGCATTTATTGAGAAGGAACTTAAACATATTTAGAAGAAAAAAAAACAAACAACCACATCAAAAAGTGGGCAAAGGATATCAACAGACACTTCTCAAAAGACAACATTTATGTGGCAAACAAACATAAGAAAAAACAACTCAACATCGGTCAGATGCGGTGGCTCACACCTGTAATTCCAGGACTTTAGGAGGTCGAGGCAGGCAGATCACAAGGTCAGGAGTTTGAGATCAGCCTAGCCAACATAGTGAAACCCCGTCTCTACTAAAAATACAAAAAATTAGCTGGGCACAGTGGTGGGTGCCTGTAGTCCCAGCTACTTGGGAGGCTGAGGCAGGAGAATCGCTTGAACCCAGGAGGCGGAGGTTGCAGTAAGCCGAGATTGTGCCACTGCACTCTAGCCTGGGTGACAGTGTGAGACTCTGTCTCCCCAAAAAAAAAAAAAAAAAAAAAAAAAAAGCTCAACATCACTGATCATGAGAGAAATGCAAATCAAAACCACAATGAGATACCATCTCATGCTAGTCAGAATGGCAATTATTAAAAAGTCAGGAAATAATAGATGCTGGTGAGGCTGTGGAGATACAAGAACACTTTTACACTGTTGGTAGGAAAGTAAATTAGTTCAACCATTGTGGAAGACAGTAGGGTGATTCCTCAAGAATCTAGAACCAGAAATACCATTTCACCCAGCAATCCCACTACTGGGTATATACTCAAAGGAATATAAATCATTCTATTATAAAGATATATGCACACGTATGTTTATTGCGGCACTATTTACAATAGCAAAGACATGGAATCAACCCAAATTCCCATCAATGATAGACTGGATAAAGAAAATATGGTATATATACATCATGGAATACTATGCAGCCATAAAAAGGAATGAGATCGTGTCCTCTGCAGGGATCTGGATGAAGCTGGAAGCCATCCTCCTCAGCAAACTAACACAGGAACAGAAAACCAAACACCGCATGCTCTCACTCGTAAGTGGGAGTTGAACATTGAGAACACATGGACACAGAAAGAGGAACAACACACACCAGGGGGGCCTGTTGGGGAGTGGGGGGTGAGGGGAGGGAACTTAGAGTATGAGTCAATAGGTACAGCAAACCACCATGGCACACATATAACCTATGTAACAAACCTCCATGTTCTGCACATGTATCCCGTTTTTTTTTATTTTTTAGAAGAAATAAAGAAAAAAAAAGAAAAGTAAGGTCAGAAATTGACTTGGATACTGAAATCCAGTTTAAGCTTTCAAAGGTTTTCTAGCAGGAGAATAACATGATTAGGTATGTGCTTGAGAAAGATTAATCACCAAAAGACTTTATGCTAACACTAGGATATTAAATATTATGGCAACATTAAAAATAATTGAACATAATCCTTTTAAACAGGAATGGACTTTTAGAACCAATTCTTTTCTCATCTGAATTGAATTTCAGCAACCAAATCCAATGGAGCTGGCTTATCATACATAAGAACAAACTGTGGCATTTGAAAGACTGAAAAAGGAAAGAACGCATTTGTCAGT
Source organism: Homo sapiens (assembly GCF_000001405.40). Classification (NCBI taxonomy): domain Eukaryota; kingdom Metazoa; phylum Chordata; class Mammalia; order Primates; family Hominidae; genus Homo; species Homo sapiens. The sequence continues at coordinate 80,803,019 of NC_000014.9, forward strand.
TTTTCTGAAGACAATACACGTTTTCATTCAATTCAATAAATATTTACTGCATTCAGCAATATCCTAGTTGCTGAGACATGAAGATGAATAAGATAGCATATTTCTGTGTTCTATTGCTCCAGAGAACCACAGGGCATAGTAGGCAAGACCGACATCTAACAGTTATTTTTAATAAATGTGATATATATGAGCCATTCTTTGTGCTCTATTTCAAATCTTGCCTCTCTTCCAAATTTATGCTGCCTAGTATATGCTAACACCTCATTCCTGAGTGCCTTTATCTGATTTTATGGTGAAGGAAGAAATGATACTTTCTTCAAAACAACAGCCCTATGTTAAAAAAAAAAAAAATAGGTAGTGGCTAAGGAAACAAAAGAAGTTAATTTAACAGTTACTACTAAAAGTATTAAAAAGAAAAAGAGTGGGCAGTGGGGAAAAAAGAGACAGAAACAGAGGTGGAGGAAATAAAATGAATTCCCATGCCAGCCAATCCCGGAAGTCACACAGCTCCCAACACCACTCATGCCAAAGTATGCCTAGCACTGTCTTCTTTCAGGATCAAAGTTCCCTTAATACCAGTGTGAGTAAAGGAGAGGAAAATGGGGAAGAGAAAAAAGATCAACATGTGAATCTGATCAACAAGACACCACTCCCAAATATTCACAAGTAAAGCTTTTTGTAAGACTGCAAATTAATTTGACTCTACAACATTTAAAAAGAATGACCCCAAGATAAGGGACAGGACAAATGGAAAATCAATTATTTGTAAAGCCTCTATTTCATCCTGAATAATTAGTGAAGAAAAAAAGCCACTTGTTCAATTTATTCCTTTTTCCCAGTTTTATGATATCTGAGAAAACCTCTTCTAAATTTTAGGACAAAAAAATTAACCATAAATTATTAATGTTTATACTAGCTAAACTGTCAGTTATTGGTATACCATATACATGATACAATAGTTGTAGATTTACAGTTACATTTTTATATATTTACATATATATAAAACAAACTTTTTAGTATACTAGAATAAACATGTGTACTGCAAAATTATGTGGATGTTTACATTATACTCATTTTACAGAACATAAAGAATAATTTTAAAATTTTAATCATTTTTAAATAATTAAAAGTTTTTATAACTTTGAATTAATGAAAAATTCATTTTAATATAAGTGTTTTGTTTATAAAACTTTGGTATGCACACAATTAATTACAATATTTCTTATATAAAAACACACAAACCAAACTGCAATGATGTGTTTCATAATACAGTTTCCAGAAGCACAGTACAGTGAAAAGTAGCAATTGCCTAAATGTATCAAAATCATATACTGCAATGATAATGATATTTCAAACACAGGCATATAAAGTTCCATTCTCTCCAAGGGAAATGCAGTAACATTAAAGCTAATAAGTGGTAGACAAGCCAATGATAGAACGCCACTTGAAATATAATTCAATTAATTATCTATAATACTGACCCTATGAACAAAAATTAAACTAATCCCTGTCCAAAATATGACTTCTTTAAAATAGGGACAAAATGAAAATATTGAATGAATATAAACGCTGCATCTAAATGGGATACAAATACCACAGTGAGAAAAATAGCTGACTCAAGTGTAAAAACATATATATACATATATATATAAATTGTATTCCTATTTTGTATTTATTGAAATCAGACTGAGTTCTAGCTTGTTGGAACGTTTTACAGTTTCCTTGTGACCAGTTAATTGCATTTAGAGATGCTTTAGTTTTAACTAAACTAAAATGGAGTAGATGCTTTAAAAAATCTTCAAAGAAATTGTATATTGCATATAACATTACTGATGTGTGTATATGTATTTATAAATGTGATATTAAGATTAACATGAATTCAACCGACATTCACTTGGGTGCCAACTATGGACACAAGGCTGCTCAAGGGCAATGAAAAATACAAGGCAAGTTCCTGTTCTTCAACTAAAAGAAAACCTGATTACTGGCACTGTCATGTACAACCCAATAGCAATCAGCCCCCATTGCCACCTCCCTCTAACATGTTCTCCTATCATATGGAAATCCCAAAACTGAATACTCAGCACTCTCTTGAGGTTTTGGGATAAACCTCAAGGTTTATCCCAAACCTTGATAACCTAGATAAATCTAGGAGATTTAACCTAGATAAATCTCTAGGTTTTGGGATAAAAATTAGGATCTGTCAATTAGATGCAATGTTTAGAGATTTGGAATGTGGAAATGAGGCAGGGACCATATTCTTGCTAATTTGGGCATACTAGTCATACAGTATAGTCATACTGTATGCTACTAGTCATACAGACATTATTTATTTTGTTCTGTAGTGGATCTCGCCCTTTGTCCTAGCTAAGAGGCCTTTGCAGCAGCAGCTTCCCAATCCCTGGAAGCCTAAGCAGGGCCAAGTCTGCCAATGATATTATAAACACTTACTAATAGAACACTAGAGCAGTTTTATTTCCAGTACTAACCCCTAACTGATATTATAAAGTTTTGCTTTTATTGAATAAACTAAAGAATTAACAAATTTAATGGAGTTTCACCTGAAATTTTCAGATTCTCAATCAAGCCATCCCCTACTCATCTCTATTGGGAAATTAGTTTGACATATGCTTGCATGTCTTGATGAACTTAATTTATTCATTTCAGTATAATTTGAGTGTTTCATGAACTGATACTGAGAGCACAAGTAATCAATTTTCCACAGTCAGAACTAAGGCAAGTCTCTTTGAATAAAAGAACTCCAATCAATCAAAGGAAGTCTGGGAGCCCTGAACTATACCTACATGAAGCTAAATTAGGCTGTCATTCATTGAGACCATACCATTTCAAATGGTGTTTTTTAAAGTAGTGATTGGTTGAAAGTAGAATACTATATTAACATTTTAGTCAATTCTTTTCAACTCAAGCAAAACTACTAACAATCTTTAAAACTTGATTCAAATTCTTAATGAGTGAATTAGCAGACAAATAAAACATCAGGGGCCATGGTAATAACCATATCCCATATATTATTCCTTTAAAATATAGCCTACTGTCTTCTCTATCATTCTAATTTTGACCACATATGCCATTATCATTTTCTTTTTGCCAAATGGAGCAGAAACACACAAACAATATCAATCCCAAATAATAGGTTCTTCAGTCTTAGTGATTAAAAATAGTTATTTCCAAACAAATCCTACGAGAGGCTTCATACAACCTCTTTGTACTTTTTAATAAAACATGATACTAAACTTAAGCAAACTACAGAAAATCATGTTCTATTAATTAAATACACTCATCTCTTTGGGAAGAAATAAAATATTAACTTCTCTTTCATTCACTAGATGTTCACTACATGGAAGATTTTAAATACACATTTCTTCAGAGTGTTTAACTTAAAACACAAGGGACATGTAATTAACATCTAGGCCTCAGTAATGCACGAGGGAAATTCTGACCCTGGAACACATATCTCAAAGTACATTTCTGTTTTCTTAATTTATCTCACACCCTATTAGACTGATAATTTCAATACTGCAACTCTGATGTTTAAAGTAGGCACTTTGGGAGAAGAAAATTTTAATAAAAATAGGATAAAACTCTTCTGCTTAAAGTAGATTGGTATTTGAGACTGCTTTTGATTGAGGTAGAACAACTTGGTTATACATTTGCTATGAAATGCGATAGGCCAAAGCAAGTATCAATAAAAGACATACACCTATATCTCACCAATATTAATGTGGCAGCAGAGAAGACTAAGAGAAATTACACAGATCAATTTAAAAAAAAAGTTATTCTGAAATATAAAACAAATATTGAGGGAGAGAAACTAAATATAACACAACACCTAATATTATTGGCTTACATCATTATAGAGCATTATGGTTTATTTGAAAGAGAATAGACACATTATCTCACATAATACAGTAACTTTGTGCACTTGGAAGAAAGCAATTTTTCTATTTTAAACATGAGGAGGAAACAGAAACTAAGGAAAGCTATATAGATGAGAGACCTTGTTTTTCAAAAATAAATATTGTTTCAAATAAATATAATAATCTTTTTTTTTATTCAAGTAGACATGGAAAGGGGTGGCTTTGGGTGATTTTTCTTTAATCAGGCCCTCAATAAAATGCATCAACACCTTCCCCATAAAGCCACCCAATATTCAAATAATTAAAGTAAAATCAGGGTACTTTCTATGCCACTAAGAATTCAAGACATGGCTCCTAACCCAATTTCACACCATCCAATCACATTGCCACCTATTAATTTCTACTTATGTTTAAATTAAGTAAAATTAACTATTAAAGTTAAAAATTTAGGTCAATTTGAATTCAAGATGGCTAACTAGAGACACAGACACCCGCTCTCTGCAGAAGCAAGAACCAAAATTACAAATAGAGTCTCATACCTCAAATAGAACATCGAGGAGAGAACACTAGAGTTTAACAGAGAAGTCTCAGGAAACACCAGGGGCTAACAAGGTACAGGAAGTAAGAGACCAGCTCAACTGGGATCAGCTGAAGACCCAGCGGGGCTAGGTTTTACAGAAAAAGGGTAAGTGAGAGAACTTCAGCTGTTCACATTCCCACCACAAACTGCTGCAATCTGAAACACTGGAGAGCTCCTTTATCCACATGAACCCTAACACTAGCAAGGACAGAGATCTGAACATCCCGTAAGGGCCCTGCACCAGACGGGAACTTGTGCTAGGTTACTCACCCCAACACAGAGACCTAAGCAGCTACAGCTGGGTGCCACTGTGAGAGCACAGCCATCATAGGTCTACATCCTGCCCTGGAACGACAGTCCCAACATCTACACATCCTGGGTGCCCACGGACATCTCCCTGTGTCCCCCAGAAGGCTACAGCAGCACAGAACTGGCTGAACCCAAAGATAGTGCAGGGTCCCTAGTACTCTAGCACACAGGAAGTATGTCCCAGGGAAAGAAGGATAGAGCACATCAAAAAAGCAGCCCCTGAAACAAAGGATACCAAGGCAAGCACCTTCCAGAGCCCAAGAACTCATTGTCTGGGACCAGGAGAAGTGACCCCACCACCAGTAGTGGCACAAACTCTATGCTTGGCCTCACAAGCAGAGAGTGAGATCCCCTCCCACTGGCAGTGGTCTCTGTGCTCAGACTCACAAATAGAAAAGTGAGACACCTTTTGCCCTTCTGCAAACTGCTGCAGGCACAGCCAATACAGTAGCCAGATGTCTGCCTGTATGGGGCTGTGCATGGCAACTATGCCCCACTGGCAGCATAACCTCTGTGCCCAGGCTTGTGTAAGGTCAGGATCCCTCCCCACCTCTGCATGACTCTGCAGTACTGTTGCCATAGAAAGCAGGAGAGCCTGAGAGCTGCATGTCTGGGCTGTGTGTGGGAACCCTGTACTGTACCTACCAACAACACCAGCATACACCTGTTGGAACCCAGAGGGTCATCTCACCACTGCTACTGCCATCACTCATACCGCAGCACCTGCTTAGGGATCTGAGAACACAATCACCAACCTGGACCACCGCTACCACTACCTGCATGCAAGCAAGCCATATGAAGACCCAAAATCTGCCCTGGAGCCCAAGATCAGGCATGCTCGGCCCACCATTGCCACTATGAAGACCGAAAGACTTACCTACCTGACACCTTTATCACCAGGAAAAATTCACCACAGCCTCCACTAATAACTGTACCCTAAACCACCAAGAAAACAATGGATACCACTGACGCTGTTTACAGCTGAAGAAATCATACAGAGACTATGCTACCACATGCACCCAGAATAAAAGCCTAAGGGCCCTTCCCAACCAACGCCACTAATGTGTCTTCAGGAAACATTCCTCCCCTATGAAAGCAAATTCAAAAAGTTGGAAAAAAACAACTATTACGACAGATATACAGATATCAATGTAAGAATGCAGGAAGCATGAAAAAGCAAGGAAATACAACACCTTCAAAGGAAAACAGTAATTCCCTAGCAAACTATCTCAATCAAAAGGAAATTCACAAAATTCTGAAAACACAATTCAAAATTGTGAAACTAAAGCAGCTCAGTGAAAGACAAAAAAATTACAAACAAATAATAGAAGGAAGTCAGAAAAACAATTTGGGATATAAATGAGAAACGTATGAATGATACAGATATCATAAAAATGAACCAGACAAGAATTCTGGAATTGAAGAATTCCTTGAATGAAATACAAAACACACTTGAAGTCGTCAATAACAGACTACACCAAGCTGAAGAGAGAATCTCAGAAATTGAAGACCAGTCCTTTAAAATGATTCAATCAGAATTTTAAAAAAAAAGAAGAAACAGAGCAGACATGATATATGAGATACCAAAAAGTGACCAAATATATGAATTATCAGTACACCTAAGGTGAGGAGGAAAGAAAGTGATTCAAAAACCTACTTAACAAAATAATAGATAAAAACTTCTCAAGTCTTGAGAAATATTTAGACAACAAGATACAGATGGCCCAGGGATCCCCAATAAGATACAATACAAAAAGATATTCTCCATGGCACATTATAGTCAAACTGTCTAAAGTGAATCACAAAGAGGAAATTCTAAAACCACCAAAGAGGAAAGCATCTAATCACTTATAAATGAGCCCACATCAGACTAACGGTGAACTTCTCAGCAGAAACTTTATATACCAAGAGGGAATGGGAAGATATATTTGAGGTACAAAAGCAGGGGAAAAAGCATAACCAATAATATTATTTTTCATATATAAAAAAAAATTGTCTCACAGACAAGCCAAACCTAGGGAATTCAAAACCACTACACCACTATTGCAAGAAATGCTCAAGGGAGTCTTAAACCTGAAAGTGAAAGGACAGCAGTTACCACAATGAAAACACATGAAGATATAAAACTCACTGAAAAAGCAAACATAAAAATAAAAAAAAGACTCAAATTGGTACCACCACAGAAAATCAGCAAACCACAAGGACAACAACAAGGACAATAAGCAAAAAAGAAAGGAATAAAGAATATACAAAACAGGCCAGGCACAGTGGCTCATGCCTGTAATCCCAGCACTTTGGGAGGCCAAGCTGGGAGGATCACGAGGTCAGGAGATCGAGATCGTCCTGGCTAACACAGTGAAACCCCGTCTTTACTAAAAATACAAAAAATAAGCCGGGCATGATTGTAGACGCCTGTAGTCCCAACCACTCGGGAGGCTGAGGCAAGAGAATGGCCTGAACCTGGGAGGCGGAGCTTGCAGCGAGCCGAGATCGCGCCATTGCACTCCAGCCTGGGCGACAGAGCAAGACTCCATCTCCAAAAAAAAAAAAAAAAAAAAAAAAAGAATATACAAAACAGCCAGAAAACAATGAACAATTCGACAAGAAAAAAAACTCACATATCAATAATATACCTGAATGTAATTAAATTAAATTCTCATATTAAAACATATAGATTGACTGAATGGATTTTTAAAAATGTGACCTAACTATATGCTTCCTACAAGAAATGAATGGATTTGATTTCCTTGTATTTTGTTGAGGTTTTTTTCTTTCCCATCTATGTTCATCAGGAATGTTGGCCTGTAGTTTTCTTTTTAGGTTATGTCCATGTCTGGTTTTGGTAACAGAGTAATGTTGGTCTTGTACAATGCATTAGTGATAATTGCCACCTCTTCAGTTTTTAAAAATACTTTGGGAAGATTGGTATTAGTTCTCTATACACCTGGTAGAATTCCACAGTGAACCCATCTGATCCTGGGCTTTTCTTTGATGAAAGAATTTCTATTTATTTTAAGTTCTGAGATACATGTGTAGGATGTGCAGGTATGTTACATAGGTAAATGGGTGCCATGGTGGTTTGCTGCACCTATCAACCCATCACCTAGGTATTAAGTTTAGCATGCATTAGCTATTTTTCCTGATGCTCTCCCTCCCCTAATGCCCCCCACAGACCCCAGTGTGTGTTGTTCCCTTCCCTATGTCCATGTGTTCTCCTTGTTTAGTTCCCAATCATAAGTGAGAATGTGCGGTGTTTGGTTTTTTGTTCCTGTGTTAGTTTGCTGAGGTTAATGGTTTCCAGCTCCACCCACGTCCCTACAAAGGACATGATCTCACTCCTTTTTATGGCTGCATCATATTCCATGGTATATATGTACCACATTTTCTTTATCCAGCCTATCATTGATGGGCATTTGGGTTGATTCCATGTCTTTGCTATTGTGCTGCAATGAACATACATGTGCATGAATCTTTATAATAGAATGATTTTTATCCCTTTGGTATATACCCTGTAATGGGATTACTGGGTCAAATGGTATTTCTGGTTCTAGGTCTTTGAGGAATTGCCACTCTGTCTTCCAGAATGGTTGAACTAATTTACATTCCCACCAATAGTGTAAAAATGACTCCACAGCCTCACCAGCAGCTCTTAGTTTTTGATTTTTGTTTGTTTCTTTTGAGATTAAGTCTCCATCTCATTCTTTTTCTTAAGAGTTTCTCTAACTAATGGATGTTGAATTTTCACAAGTGCTTTATTGGTACCTGTTGCTTTATTTTAAAAAGTTATTTTAAAATCATTCAGAAAATGGCATATATATATAGGCAGAAGAGAGACTAGGGCAGAAACCCTAGTTTGTGTGTTTGTGTGTGTATGTGTGTGTGTACAGACATATGTGTGTGTGTGTGTGTGTGTGTGTGTTTGAGAGTGTGGGTGTGTTTGTATGTATGTATTATCCAGATAGACAGGTAACAGTCCTTTGGTTATTATCTCTCTTCTGCGTCTGTGTGTGTGTGTGTGTGCACACGCATGTATTAGATAGATAGATAGATAGATAGATAGATGATAACAGTCCTTTGGTACCCTGCATAAAGCAAAAACTTTATCTTTTTGATTTTCCACAAGATTTATGTTTTTAAATTTTTTCCAATTTTTATTTTAGGTTCAGGGGCACATGTGCAGGTTTGTTACATGGGTAAATTGCATGTCATGGGGATTTACATAGTACCCAATATATAGTTTTAGTTTTTCAGTCCTCACTCTACTATCACCCTCCACCCTCCAGTAGGCCACAGTGTCTATTGTTCCTTTCTTTGAGCCCATGTGTAATCACTGTTTAGCTCCCACTTATAAGACAGAACATGCAGTATTTGGTTTTCTGTTCCTGAGTTAATTGGCTCAGGATAATGGCCTCCAGTTGCTCCAACTATGTTGCTGCAAAGGACATGATTTCATTAGTTTTATGGCTGTGTAGTATTCCATGGTGTATATGTACCACACTTTATTTATCCAGTCCACTGTTGATGGGGATGTAGGTTGATTCCATTTCTTTGCTATTGTGAATAGTGTTGCAATGAACATAGACACCTATATGTCTTTATGGTAGAAAGCCTCATATTCCTTTCAGTATATACCCAGTAATGGGATTTCTGGGTTTAATGGTAGCTCTGTTCTAAGCTCTTTGAGAAATCTAGAAACTGCTTTCCACAGTGGGTAAACTAATCTACACTGCAATCAGCAATGGATAAGCGTTCCCTTTCTCCATAACCTTGCCTCTGGTTGTTGTTGTTGTTGTTTGTTTTTGAGACAGAATCTCGCTCTGTTGCCCAGGCTGGAGTGCAATGGCACGATCTCGGCTCACTGCAACCTCCATCTCCTGGGTTCAAGCGATTCTCCTGCCTCAGCTTCCTAACTGGGATTACAGGCACGTGCCACCACACCTGGCTAATTTTTGTATTTTTAGTAGAGACGGGGTTTCACCATGTTGGTCAGGCTGGTCTGGAACTCCTGACCTCGTGATCCGCCAACCTCAGCCTCCCAAAGTGCTGGGATTACAAGCGTGAGCCACCGCGCCCGGCCTGTTTTTGTCTGTTTGTTTGTTTTTTTAACTTTTCATTAATGGCCATTCTGACTGGTGTGAGGTGGTATCTCCTTGTGTGTTTGATTTGCATTTCTCTAATGATTAGTAATGTTGAGCATCTTTTCATATGCTTGTTGGCCATGTGCATGTCTTCTTTTGAGAAGTGTCTTTTCATGTCCTTTGCGTATTTTTTAATGGGGTTGTTTGTTTTTGCTCATTAATTTATTTAAGTTTCTTACACAATCTGGATATTAGACCTTTGTCAGATGCATAATTTGTAAATATTTTCTCCCATTCTGTAGGTTGTCTGTTTACTCCGTTGATAGTTTCTTTTGCTGTGTAGAAGTTCTTTAGTTAGATGTCACTTGCCAATTTTTGTTTTTGTTGCAATTGCTTTTGGAGTTTTTGTCATGAAGTCTTTGCCAGGGCTTACGTACATGATTGCATTTCCTAGGTTTTCTTCCAGGGTTTTTACAGTTTTACATTTTACATTTAAGTCCTTAATCCATCTTGAGTTGATTTTTGTATATTTGAAATTTGTTAAAGTCTAGTTTATAATTTTTTTTCAATTATGATTCATGTTTTTGGTGTCCTAAGAAATCACTGTTCATCCAAATGTTGTGAAGATTTTCTTTGTTTTCATGTAGAAACAATTACTTTTTACAATTGTTTTATTTTCTCCTGTGTATGAGCTTGGAAAGTATATATTCATTATTCTTATTTTAGTAATACACTAAAAATTACTATATACATCCTTGATTTGTTAACATATAAATTTGTAATTTTAAAACTTTCTTCACTTTAGAATTGAGAACTTTAAACCATATTAACACAATACACACTTTCCAAAATTAAGCAGTATTATTGATGCAATTCTAGTTTTATAAATAATCTAAATAAGAGCATTACTGTTTTCTAGGTCTATATTCATCTAGACTTTTCCCAAACTTTTATCCTATATATTGAACTTCATTAACTGCTACATCTTTGTTCTTTGTTTCTCCTTGAGAAAAAATTTTTATATACTTTCCTTAGTGCTGTACTGCTGAAATTCAATTAATCAATTTTTGTTGCGCAGAAATTACTTTCTACTTTTTAAAGAGAACTTCACTGGATATGAACCTAGGTTGGCAATTATTTTGTTGCAGCACTTTGAAATATGTTTCTATTCTTCTTGTTTCCAATTTGATCTTTTAAGGTAACACGTCTCCCTTGCCTCTTGCTGCATTTGAGATTCTGCACATTCAAGATGGTTTTACTAATTTCACAAAAATATATCTAGATGTGATTTTCATTGCATTCATTTTACCTGGGGTTCTTAGAGCTTCTAAAATATGTGAATTGATGTATTTTCTCTTCAAATATTGCTTCTGCCCTCGTCTCTCTCTCTGTCTTTAGGACTCCAATTATCTATATCTATATTAGAATTTCAGACCTATTTACTATGCCCCATATATCTCTTATGAACTTTTCTGTATTTTCTATCATTTTGTCCCCTTATTATTCAGAGTAAATATTTTCTTCTGTTACACTATTTCTCTCAAAGAGAAGGACTTCCAGAAAGATAGTTTAAAGAGCTCACCAGATCCTCTTCCTAGCACAATCCACCATTATTTGGTTAAAAAAAAAATTATTGGTAAAAAAAAGAAAAAATAATGTATTGTATCTGGAAACTGTCCTAAGGGCCAGGGCAAACAAAAATGTATTTATTCCATTACCTCTCACCATATACAAAAATCAACTCAATGTAAGTCTTTAAATGTGAGACATGACTATAAAAATACTAGAAGAAAACCTATGAAAAATTCTTCTGGGCGTTGGTCTAAGCAAAGAAATTATAATTAAGATCTCAAAAGTACAAGCAACAAAAACAAAACAGACAAATGGGACTTAATTAAATTCAAAAGCTTCTGGGCCAGGCGCGGTGGCTCATGCCTGTAATCCCAGCACTTTGGGAGGCTGAGGCAGGCAAATCACGAGGTCAGGAGTTCGAGACCAACCTGACCAACATGGTGAAACCCTGTCTCTACTAAAAATACAAAAAATTAGCCAGAAGTGGTGGCGCTCACCTGTAATCCCTGCTACTCAGGAGGCTGAGGCAGGAGAATTGCTTGAACCTGAGAGGCAGAGATTGTAGTGAGCCGAGATTGTGCCACTGCACTCCAGCCTTGGCAACAGAGCGAGACTCCGTCTCAAAAAGGCAAAAAGAAACAAACAAAAAAAAACTTCTGCACAGCAAAAGAAAAAAATCAACAGAGTGAACAGACAACCTGCTGAATAGGAGAAAATATTTGTAAACTATACATCTGACTGATAAACAGAATTTACAAGGAACTCTAACATCTCAACGAAATAACAATAATAATAATAAGTTCATTAAAAAGTGGACAAAGAACAAGAACAATCATTTTTCAAAAGAAGACATACATGGCCAACAAGCATATGAAAAAATGCCCAACATCACTAATCATCAGAGAAATGCAAATTAAAACCACAATGAGATATCACCTTACACCAGTCAGAATGGTTATTATTAAAACATCAAAAAATGCCAGATGTTGATGAGGTTGTGGAGGAAAAGGCAATGCTGGTACACTGTTGATGGAAATGTAAATTAGTACAACCTTATGGATTGTAGTATGGAGATTTCAAAAATAACTAAAAAATAGAACTACTGTTCAAGCCAGCAATCACACTACTGAGAATCAACATGAAAGAAAAGAAATGATTATATTAAAAAGACACCTGCACTTGTATGTTTATTGCAGCACTATTCACAATGGCAAAGATAAGGAATCAGTGTACATGTCCATCAATGGATGAATGGATTTTTGAAAATGTGGTGTGTATACACACACACACAAAATGGAATACTATTCAGCCATAAAAACAGGGAAATCATGTCTTTTGCAACAACATGGATGAGACTGGGGTCCATTATGATTAAGTGAAACAACTCAAAAACAGAAAGTCAAATACTGCGTGTTCTCATTTATACGTGGAAGGTAAATAATGAGTACACATGGACATAGAGTGTGGAATAATAGATACTGGAGACCCACGTGGAATAATAGATACTGGAGACCCAGAGGGTGGGAGGGAAGTTTGAGATGAGAAGTTTCTTAATGGGTACAATGTGTATTATTCCCATGATGGCAACACAAAAAAAAAACCCAGACTTCACCATTATGCAATATATCCATGTAAGAAAACTACACTTATACCCCTTAAATTTGTATACATTTTTTAAAGAAATACTTATTTAAGACAATCTATTAAAAATCTTGATAAGAATAATCAGTATCTATGGCATCTGAGTCACAAGCTATTCCCATCCTGTCCCCTCCCAACTCAGTTGTCTGAATCTCCACTCTAGACAGGCATAGTCAAAAAGACACAGTTTCCTCTCACCCTTGCTCTCAGTATAGGGCTACAGATTCACCCACAGAGCGGCAGGCCCCTAGCTTGGTATTGCGGAGGCTCCATTCCAGGAAGACAGAGCTAAAAGACTGGGGCTTCCTTCCCCCAATCAGCCCCAACTTGTAGAGCAGAAGGTGTGGCAGGCCAAGAATGGGAGACCCAATTACCCATACTCCAATTCACTCAAACAGTGAATGTTCTACAACAGAAGAGGCAAGCTGAGATGATCAGGGGCTACCATGCCCAGCCAGCACCCTACTTCCTAAGTAGGGGTATCATTCTGGCAGGAAGCAGACTATAGTCTCTACCAAAAGCTCCACTACAGTTGTGCAAGATCGTGCTGAGAGGGAGAGGCCTTATGAACAGAGAGTTCAAAAGCTTTACCTAAGGAGACTGACTTTATCTGGAACAAGGCATGAGGAAATTGACGGCTAAGGACGCTGTCAAAAACAATGGAGATCTGGAGAGTGATCAGCTAAGAGAATCGTAATTTTGTAAGACTGGTAGCAACAAGTAAAACAGTGGATCAGCTAACAAAAAAATCAAACAAAGAGACGGCTAAGAGCCCTCTTGGGAGTCTGAGAATGCCCCAAAGATTGGCAAAACCCTAATCCTGCTAAGAGGTCAACTTTAATTAAGTTAGACTATGGCACAATGTATGTGCTACGTTATTGTTTAAAAAAAAAAAAAAAGGAACAACTAGGTAGCAATCAGTGAATTAGCAGAGGCTAAAAATTGAGTGAGATATCAACAGAATTAGACCAACCAAAGCTTAATGAGATCAGGGAACTAGACAATCAAAGAGAACCCAGTTAAAGCTATAGTTATCCCAGACAGCAATAGAGACTACACACATGATGGAGAAGTGACATCAGTGGCTACACACTGCAGGGAAAATAGGTTTCACTGAACTATTCCAGCCAATTCACTAAACTACTAAAAAAAACCCAAGACAGAAAAACCCAAAAGGTAGAGAACGAATCAGTATTCAAAGTTAATACAAAAATTATCTAAAATGTCTAATCTCAAAAAAAGTTACAAGACATGCAAGGAAATAGGAAAGTGTGACTTATACAAATGAAAAAGAGGATACAATATAAAACAGCCTTTGAATGGGCCTACATGTCAAACGTAGGAGACAACGATTTCAAATCAGCTAGTAAAAATATGTTCAAAAAACTAAAGAAAAACATTTTTTTAAAATGTAAGATAATGTCTCATCTAATAGCAATATCAGTAAAGAGATGGAAATTATTTTTGAAAAACAAAAATTCTGGAATTGAAATGTATAATAACTATAATAAAAAGCTTACTTGAGGCCGGGCGCAGTGGCTCACACCTGTAATCCCAGTACTTTGGGAGGCCAAGGCAGACGGATCACGAGGTCAGGAGATCAAGGCCATCCTGGCCAACGTGATGAAACCCCATCTCTACTAAAATACAAAAAATTAGCCAGGTGTGGTGGCACGCGCCTGTAGTCCTGGCTACTCGGGAGGCTGAGACAGGGGAATCACTTGAACCTGGGAGGCGGAGGTTGCAGTGAGTGGAGATCGCGCAACTACACTCCAGCCTGGTGACAGAGAAGAAAAAAAAAAAAAGAAAGAAAAACTCACTTGAAAGCCCCAAAAGTGAAATTTGAGTTGGCAGAAGAAAGAATCCACAAACTTGAAGATTATCGATAGATATGATGCAATCTGATGAAGAGAGAGATAAAAGAATAAAGGTAAACACCAACTCAGAGAAATGACTAGAAATGACTCAGATATGTAAAGGTAAGAACAGGCTAAGTGCAGTGGTGTGATCACAGCCCACTGCGGCCTCAACCTCTTGGGCTCAAGTGATCCTCTCACCTCAGCCTCCTGAGTAGCTGGGACTACAGGCATGTACCACTATGCCTGGCTAAATTTTGCTTTTACATAGAGACAGGGTCTTACTATGTTGCCCAGGTTGGTCTTGAACTCCTGGACTCAAGCGATCCTCCCACCTCCACCTCCCAAAGTGGTAGGATTACAGGCACAAGCCACCGTGCCCAGTCTACTAAATTCTTATATCCAGCAAAACTATCCTTTAAAAATAAAGCTGAAATAAAGACATGCACAGATCAACAAAAACTCAGAGAATCTGTTGCTAGTAGATTAGCCTTACAAGGAATACCAAAAGAAGTTCTTCAGGCAAAAAGCAATTGCTACGCAATCATATTTCAACACAGCCCTGTGACTCCAATCCCTGGCCACAGATGGCTAGACCAGTGGATTAATAACTGAACCAAAGACAGCCATCTAGAGGTAGCTCAAGTTTACAGTCTTTGCAACTAACAGTCTTAATGATGACCCAGGTCATGTGTAGTAAAATGTATGAAATTTGCTTTCTCCCTGAAGCCCAGCAGGGAATCTTCCAAGATAGTTTCTTGCTTCCCTTAAATTAAACACCCATCTGAGTGTCTCCATTACTTGCAACCTAGAAGGAACAAACAAATATACCTGAAGAATGTTATATGATAATAAACATGTGAAACTACAAAACCACTCTTTCAGATTTTCAACCAGAAAATATCAATTTCTATTTAAAGATATTTCAGCTACTTTGTCTTCTGAGTCTTTGCTTTTAAATATATTATTCTGTCCTTGAAGGACAGGAGCCATCCTTTTGCAATAGGAATGGAAGAGCCCCAGGCCTATTTCTTAAGATTTAGAGTTCCCACTGTCCTAATCCTAATTTCAAGTCTCACTATGATTATGCCTGTAGTTCAAGATGCTTTAACAAAGCACCACAGACTGGGTGGCTTATAAACAACAAAAATGTATTTCTCACAGTCCTGGAAGCTGGAAATCAAAGATCTGAATACTATCTTGCATGGTCAGATTCTGGTGCAGACCTTCTTTGAGCTGCAGACCGACAACTTTCTTTATATCCCCATATGGAGGAAAAGCAGCAAGCCAGCTCTCTGGCATCTTCCTTTTTTTTTTTTTTTTTTTTTTTTTGAGATGGAGTCTCACTCTGTCACCCAGGCTGGAGTGCAGTGGCGCAATCTCGGCTCACTGCAACCTCCGTCTCCCGGGTTCATGCCATTCTCCTGCCTCAGCCTCCCGAGTAGCTGGGACTACAGGTGCTTGCCACCACGCCCGGCTAATTTTTTGTAATTTTAGTAGAGACGGGGTTTCACTGTGTTAGCCAGGATGGTTTCGATCTCCTGACATTGTGATCCGCCCACCTCGGCCTCCCAAAGTGCTGGGATTACAGGCGTGAGCCACTGCACCCAGCCTCTCTGGCCTCTTCTTATAAGGGCACTAATCTCATTCATGAAGACAGCCTCATGACCTTATTACCTCCCCAAGTCCCTACCTCTAAATGTCATTACTTTGGGGATTAGATTTGAAATTTTGAATTTTGGCGGAACACAATATTCAGTCTATAATACTGTCCATCCATGCCGAAAGGGCCTGGTTGTTCTAGGAAAACCAACATTTCAGTGCTGAGTGTGAGTTCAATGACTGTCACTTTATTGAGAGCAAGGATTGTGTGGATTTGTGTACTCCTAGAACCTAGCACCAAACTCAATTCTTAACAGGCCTTAAATCAAAATGTATTCAGTAAAATACTGAATAATTTTTTTCATTGCCAAGTAGAAGATAGGAAAAACAGAACATAAAACCTGAAACCAAACTACATATGAAATTATATAATCTAATCAGACACAAAGATGGAGACCTCATAAAATATTTGAGTAATAATTTTAAAAATGTGTCTACTATTCTCTTAAACTCTACCTACATAACTATCCAGCTCTTAATTTCAATTATATTTTGGATGTAGGATTTGTAGTTGATTCTTTTTATAACTTCCTGACCTCTGTAAGAATATATGATCTAATTTCACAATATATTAACAATAATTATTTTGAAGTTGTTTTTGATAACTCCAATATCTGAAGAGTCTATATGCCTATTGACATTTCTTGTTTTTTCTCGTGCCTTTTGGTAGAATGGATTTGTTTCCTGATATGCCAGTTAGTTTGATTGAATGCTAGACACTGTATATGACAAATTATAGAAATCATACAAACCTCTGAATGATCATATCTTCCTCCCTAAAACATTTACTTTTGTCTTGATGGGAAGTTAGGACAGGGGCAGACCCAAAGCTATGTTACAATGCTACAGTCTTTGTGAGTAGAGAAAGTGTATTTTGAGTTCATTTAGACTCCTAGGGGCTTAGTCCTCTGAGCATCCCAATCGTGAAATCTTTACCAGAGCTCTTCCTCTTCAGTGGGCCTTTAAGCTCTGCTTATGAATCAGAAAACATTTCAGGAGAAAAGTAGTGGCAAATGTCAGAATTGCCATTCTGAACTTGCCTCCGCAACAAAATACTTGAACCCTCCTGTCCTTGCTGCCTAGAGATAGCTCTCTGAAACCTTCAAATATATTTTTAAAAACATGTCCTAGCCAGCTTTTCTAAATTGTACCAGTATAAGGTTTACACTACAGAACACTAGTCCATCACTCACAAAAGCAGAAACTGTTTCTCTTCCTTTAATGAGAATTGCCACAAGTTTGCCAAATTTATTAATCTTCTCTAAGGAAGAGCAAAATACAATCTAACATTTTATCATTATAGGTTCCCACAAAATAATATATTCTATGATACAAACACATTCTTCACCCAAGTAAAGTACTAGAAATTAAACACATTTAATGTGCTTGAAAAAAATCTTCCTAATGTTGACCATTGTTTATATTAGTCATATGTTATGTATTAGGAACTAAAAGAATGTTTTCTCAGTGCATATGAATAAGTTAGCTTTACTTTTTACAAAGATAATTTGTACTATTTGAACATTTTGAAGAGCATAATAGACCTGTTGAATTTTGTTACTGTTTAAGGCTGAGTGCAATCTCATTTCCTTATGCCCTTAGAGAGAACTACCTGAAAGCAAATATCTAAAAAACAATTTAATTTGCTACTTAAAATGATATGCTATCAAGTTGAAATCACTCTAAAGATAAGGAAACTAAAAAGACTACAGGAATAATGTATGAACAGTTAAAATTGGCTCATTATAAAGAATACCAACCCTCTTTCAATGGTATTTCAGGTAGACAAGCATTGAATAACTCTTAATTACTTACTCAAGGAACATTACCGCATTTGTTTAGTGCCACCCTTTTTTCCATAGCAAGTCCTCAAATAAGTATTCCCAAAGCTGTATTTTATCTTCCAAATTGCTTTAAATTTTCAATAGATCCATAGATAATAAAAAGTTATCAATACTTCATATTTTCTGAGGAACTGAAGTTATATGTCACACACATACACACATACACACACACACACACACACACACACACACACACACACACACATGCACACAAAGCTAAGAATCACAAGGCCCCATTTAATTTTTTTTTTTTAAGAGATGAAGTCTTGCTCTTCCACCCAGACTGGAGTGAAGTGGTGTGAACATGGCTCACTGCAGCCTCGGCCTCCCAGACTCCAGTGATTCTCCCGTCTCAGCCCCCTGTAATACTCCATTCTCCCACTGCAGATAAAGACATACCTGAGACTGCGCAATTTACAAAAGAAAGAGGTTTAAAGGACTTACAGTTCCACATGGCTGGGAAAGCCTCACAATCATGGCGGAAGGTGACAGGCACGCAGACAAGAGAAAGGAGCTTGTGCAGGGAAACTCTGCTTTACAAAACCATCAGATCTCATGAGACTTATTCATGATCATGAGACAAGCACAGGAAAGACCTGCCCCCGTGATTCAAATACCTTCCACCAGGTCCCTCCCACAACACATGGGGATCCAAGATGAGATCTGGGTGGGGACAGAGCCAAACCATATCATTCCGCCCCTGGCCCCTCCAAATCTCATGTCCTCACATTTCAAAACCAATCATGCCTTCCCAACAGTCCACTCAAAAGTCCATACTCCAAAGTTTCATCTGAGACAAGGCAAGTCTCTTCCGCCCATAAGCCCGTAAAAGCAAAAGCAAGTTAGTTACTTCCTAGATACAATGGGGGTACAGGCATTGAGTAAATACAGCCATTCCAAATGAAAGAAATTGGCCAAAACAAAGGGGCTACTGGCCCCATGCAAGTCCAAAATCCAACAGGGAAGTCAAATCTTAACACTTCAAAATGGGAGCAGTGTGAAGAAGAGGCGAGAACGAACCCCTAACCAACCAAAGCCCGTGCACCACTGCATCCCGCGTCCACCACCTACATCCTGCCGCCACCATGCCCAAGAGAAAGGCTGAAGGGGATGCTAAAGGAGATAAAGCCAAGGTGAAGGACGAATCACACAGAAGATCCATGAGGTTGTCAGCTAAACCTGCTCCTCCAAAGCCAGAACCCAAGCGTAAAAAGGCCCCTGCAAAGAAGGGAGAGAAAGTACCCAAAGGGAAAAAGGGAAAAGCTGATGCTGGCAAGGAGGGGAATAGCCCTGTAGAAAATGGAGATGCCAAAACAGACCAGGCACATAAAACTGAAGGTGCTGGAGACGCCAAGTGAAGTGTGTGCATTTTTGATAACTGTGTAAACTTCTGTTGACTGCACAGTTTGAAATACTATTTTTTATCAAGTTTTATAAAACTGCATAATTTTACTTTTTTTTAAGCTATGTTGTTAGCACACAGAACACTTCATTGTTGTTTTTGGGGGAAGGGGCATACGTCACTAACAGAATGTCTCCAAAGCTGGACTGATGTGGGGAAAACACCTTTCCCTTCTGGTTTTGAGAGACTTCCTCTTGGCTCCCAGGAGGAGGGATTCCCTGACGTTGACACACATGGCCACCTTGGCACAAAAGCCTTGTGCTATGGAAAAACAAATTCATTTCTATGTCCTCTTCTCCCTTTCCATCTTTCAGCAAAGACTTAACTCCCTTAAACCCAGACCACTACTGGGACCTGACCCCTAGTCATTGGTTACCAATGTGTCAGGCAATCTGGACTTTCCAGTGATGCCACTGAGATGGCACCTGTCAAAAGAGCAGTGGTTCCATTTCGAGATTGCGGATCTTCAGATAAATTCTGCCACTTTCATTTCACTTCCTGAAAGTCAGGGTCGGCTTGTGAAAAGTTGTTAAACAACATGCTAAATGTGAAATGTCAACCCTCACTCTAAACTTTCCCTGTTCAGAGCATCAGATGAAGACTTCATTGGGTTTTACAGTGGCTTTCTGATTTTTGGCAGTCCACTGAAGAAGGGAATTTGAAAGTTGTTGTATACTGTTAACGACTGTCTGCCCATGTCCTGCCTGAAATACCATGATTGTTTATGGAAAGTATCTTTAATAAAGCTGGATACAGTTTGGCTTGGGAAAAAAAAAAAAACTCCAAAATGATCTCCTTTGATTCCATGTCTCACAACCAGGTCATGCTGATGCAAGAGGTGGGCTCCCACCGCCCTGCACAGCTTCCACCCCTGTGGCTTTGCAGGGTAGAGCTCCCCTCACGGCTGCTTTCACGGACTGGCACTGAGTGTCTGAGGCTTTTCCAGGTACACAGTGCAAGCTGTTCATGGATCTACCATGCTGGGATCTGGAGGAAGTGGTCCTCTTCTCACAGTTCCACTGGGCAGTGCCCCAGTAGGGACAATGTGCGGGGATTCCAACCCCACATTTCCCTTCCACATTGCCCTAGCAGAGGTTCTCCATGATGGCCCTGCCTCTGCAGCAAGCTTCTGCCTAGGCATCCAGGCATTTGCATACATCCTCTGAAATCTAGGTGGAGGTTCCCAAACCTCAATTCTTGACTTCTGTGCACCCGTACACTCAAAACCACATGGAAGCTGCCAAGGCCTGGGGCTTGCACCCTCTAAAGCCACAGCCTGAGCTCTACATTGGCCCCTTTCAGCCACGGCTGGAGCAGCTGGGATGCAGGGCACCAAGCCCCTAGGCTGCACACCACATGGGGACCCTGGGCCCGGATCATGAAACCACTTTTTCCTCCTAGGCCACTGGGCTTGTGATGGGAGGGGCTACTGCAAAAGTCTCTGACATGCCCTGGAGACATTTTCCCCACTGTTTTGGGGTTTAACATTTGGCTCCTCAATACTTATGCAAATTTCTGCAGCCAGCTTGAATTTCTCCTCAGAAAAATGGGATTTTCTTTCCTTTTGCATTGTCAGGCTGCAAATTCTCCATACTTTTATGCTCTACTTCCCTTATAAAACTGAATGCCTTTAACAGCACCCAAGTCACCTCTTGAATGCTTTGCTGCTTAAAAATTTATTCTGAACAGATATCCTAAAACATCTCTCTCCAGTTCAAAATTCCACAAATCTCAAGTGGAGGAGCAATATACCACCTGTCTCTTTGCTAAAACTTAACAAGAGTCACCTTTGCTCCAGTTCCCAACAAGTTGCTCATTTCCATCTGGGACCACCTCACCCTGGACTTTATTGTCCATAATGCTATCAGCATTTTGGGCAAAGCCATTCAACAAGTCTATAGAAAGTTCCAAACGTTCCCACATTTTCATGTATTCTTTTGAGTCTTCCAAACTATTCCAACCCCTGCCTGTTACCCAGTTCCAAAGTTGCCTCAACATTTTTGTGTATCTATAGCAGCTCTCCACTCCTGGTACCAATTTGCTGTATTATTCTGTTTTCATGTTGCTGATAAAGACACACCCGAGACTGGGCAATTTACAAAAGAAAGAAGTTTAATGGACTTACAGGTTCACGTGGCTGGGGGAGCTTCAGAGTCATCGCGGAAGGTGAAAGGCATGTCTTACATGGTGGCAGATAAGAGAAGAGAGCTTGTGCAGGGAAACTGCTTTATAAAACCATCAGATCTCATGAGACTTATTCACTATCATAAGAACAGTACAGGAAAGACCTGCCCCCATGATTCAATAATTACCTCCAACCGGGTCCCTCCCACAACGGTGGGGATTCAAGATGAGATTTCGGTGGGGACACAGCCAAACCATATCACCCCCCAAGTAATTGGTATTAGAGGCACATGCTACCACACCCAGCTATTTTTTGTACTTTTTTGTAGATATGGGGTTTCACTATGTTGCCTAGGCTGGTCTTGAACTTCTAAGCTCAGGCAATCCTCCAGCCTTAGCCTCACAAAGTGCTGGGATTACAGGCGTGAGCCATCATGCCCAGCCCTATTTAATTTATATGTAAAAAACATGAGGCAGAAATTATTACGGTTTCAGAAAACGAAGAAACTTGAAAATAGATATTTTATTTCTAAACTGTTTTACTGACCACATTCAAATGACAAACTAATGTATTAGCAATAAATACAAACTATTAGTAATTAGTAATAAATACAAACTAATTAGTAATTAGTAATAAATACAAGCTAATGTATTAGTAATACATTCAAGAAAAAATTAAAATATTCAGTCCACTTCTGCTTTCTGCAACTCAGAGAGTTAAAGAAAACAGAAAAACCACCTTTCCTCATAACTCCCAAAATTCATTTTTTCATACAGATGAAAGATCTGAGAATTAAACCAAGTCTTCTAATAGGTATAAAGGCTTATTTAGTTATAGGGATTTTACTTGCAGAACATCTCAGCCAGGCATGGTGGCTCACTCCTGTAATCCCAGCACTTTGGAAGGCCAAGACGGGCGGATCATGAGGTCAGGAGTTCGAGACCAGCCTCGCCAACATGGTGAAACCCCGTCTCTACTAAAAATACAAAAATTAGCCAGGCCTGGTGGCACACGCCTGTAATCCCAGCTACTCAGGATGCTGAAGCAGGAGAATCACTTGAACCCAGGAGGCGGAGGTTGCAGTGAGCCGAGATCGCACCACTGCACTCCACCCTGGGTGACAGAGCGAGATTCTGTCTCAAAAAAAAAAAAAAAAAAAAACAGCTCTGCCAATAGTCATCTTTGTGAAAAATACAGAAGTATAGGGCATTCAGTAATGTGCCCACAAACCAGAGTAAATTTGGTTAATAACAGAAGCAGACCTCATTTCCACTAGATACCATAACTTTATTAATAGCTTCTCTCTACAAAGTTGTGGCCAATGTTTGTTTTCTTTATAATCTAATCTAGGTATTAAAAATTACTTGCTATTCAGGTAATAGCATATTTTACAATATGCACTTAGATAAGGAAGAAATTAAGATTTTAGAAATGAAGTTGAACATGAAATTACAACCAGCATAATTAAGGTCTCTAAGACCTTTGGTCTCCAAAAAGGGTTTAATCTCATTATTAAAAGTAATATTAAAGCGGGCATACAGTAAAATGGTCAGCTTTATGAAACAAATGCATGAATCAAGAGTTTATGGTAAAAGAAACAACCTTCCTTCTATTTGTATTGTACTAATCATAAAAATAAGCTATTATTGATTATCCTTTCTTTTTTATACCATCCTCTTTTAAAAAAAAATTAAAATCTCCCATTATAGTCCCAAGTTTCTGCTAATGAATTATCATGTCAGTTGTCACTCAATTATCACTTTCAACATTTAATCTAAATTATGTTCAGCATCTTGTTTTTTCCTTTCTTTGAAGTTCTTTCTTGAATTTAAAAGTCAAATTTTTTTTCAAGAAGAGTAAGTTGACGGAAGATGGAGGCAAAGATTAAATCAGGGGAAATAACTGATCAAGGATGCTTAGAATTCTTATGAATACAAATAGGCTATCAAGGTTAATGAGGTTCAACTTGAGTTTACAAGAAGGGAAAAGTGTACTTAGTATTTTCTATGCATATACAGATTTAAGATCTTAGGTACAATTTAAAAGGTAAATTATGCAAACTCAAATGTAGCTTCCTTCCATTGTTTTTTTAAGAGCCATTTTTACTGTTTTTCTCTAATGTAAAACAACTGCTTGAAATATATATTCTGGATCAACAAAAACTAATGCAATTAGTAAGATATAGCAAAGGTCCCCTTAAATACTGACAAATCTTCCAGAAATGGATGTGCTTTTAAGAAATGACTAGATAGCAAATATTAGTTTAAAAAGAAAAAACATAAATTTTTTACAACATATTATTTCATTCAACAAATACTAATTAAGCACCTAGTATAGGTAAGACTGTGTGGGAACACATAGGGACACAGAGATAAAACTTGGTTCTTAACCCATTTATAATCTCAACAGGAATAGAAGCTTTAAATTCATAAGTGGCTCCCAGAATGCCACAACTCTGAATTATAACATCAGTGCATACTAGTAAGTGGCCCAGAGCAAAATCCGTGCACAGCAACATATCAAAAGAAAAATTAAACATAAGACTGAGCATCAGAGCGAAAGCATAGAAGATTGCTGGAATGAGAAGAGATGTCAGTTCAACACACTCCAGGAATAAAGACATAGAATCTAGCTGAAGTGTACAGTATCTCTGGTTGTAAGGACTCTGTAAAAAGGGAGGTGGGAGGTTGAGAATTTCTACTATAATTATGAACAAACAACCCTTAAGGCATCATTATTCTCTGATTCTGTGTTCATTAAGCAATTTTTTGGTTACTAATTCTAAAGCCAGAAGATTAGGAGATTGGTGCCCTGCATAAGAGAATAATGTTTTCATATCTGTATAGGGCTCCCACAGGGTAAATCAGTGAAGTGGTACTCTTTTGTATATTAGGTTGGTACAAAAGTAATCTCAGTTTTTGCAATTACTTTTGCATTGACCCACACCTCTCTCTTCTGAGTTTCATTGTTAATATGAGCCAGTCTCCTGGGTCACACACAGAAAACTCAAGTTTCCAGATGTGAGGACAAGACCTTGAAACATGATGTCTCCACCAATGTAAGGGCACCAAAGTTCACTCTGTCTTGGTGACAGGGCAGCTGGCTTTTTCCTGAGTCTCTTTTTCTACTTTATTTTGGCCTACTTTGCTTCTTTTTTCTTTTTTTTTTTTTTTTTTGAGATGGAGTCTCACTCTGTCGCCCATTCTGGAGTGCAGTGGTGCGATCTCGGCTCACTGCAACCTCCGCCCCCAGGTTCAAGCAATTCTCCTGCCTCAGCCTCCCAAGTAGCTAGGATTACAGGCACCTGCCACCACACCTGGCTAATTTTTGTACCTTTAGTAGAGATGTGGTTTCACCATGTTGGCCAGGCTGGTTTCGAACTCCTGACCTCAAGTGATCCGCCTGCCTTGGCCTCCCAAAGTGCTGGGATTACAGGCGTGAGCCACTGTGCCTGGCCCCACTTTGAAATTTTTAACAAAACATACCCAGATTACTTCAAGAGAGTGTGAGAAAGGGGGCATAAGAATATTAGTGATATGGACAAAAGGATTATTCAGAAAGAAGAAGGATCACTTACAGCTGATTTAATCCAATTCCACTTTTACATGGGGGAAAAAGTTTAGGATTTCCACAAAAAGAAAGAAAAGACATTCAAAGTTGTTCACAGAAACAGTGAACAACTGGCACAAAGGAAAAACTGATGGAGCTGAGTAGGGAAGTTTAAGAAAAAAGGAATTATTTGACAAGACCACATATGAGGTTCTGTAGGAGAGGTGTCAGAAAGTGAAGGTTAAAAAGAAACACATTAATGATTGAATAAATCATAAGAACTGTTACTATATATATGTTCTTGGGCCTGACCAATGATCTCATTTTGTGCATCTTTTTTATTCATATTTGGTCTCTGAAAAGCAACTAAAGAAGATTAATCTCTCTTTTTTAATAGAATGTATAAGGCAACAGCTCCATACTACCCAATATTTTCTAAAAATAAAGCAGAGACTAAATTTCAAGAAAATTCTCAATTGTTAGAGGTTACAATCGAGTAATCTATGACCTAATATCTCACAAAGTCTGCACGAAACATGACTTTGAGAACAGCTTGGGAACAAAGATATTCAAATGGCCTCCAAAAGGTGCCATAAGAACATTAGTGATACAGACAATAAACTTGTTCTAACTTAATAGTTCTTTTATGAAAAATAAAGGAAAATCAGACGTGTCACTAAATCAGAAACAGCTGCAAATTTAATTAACTATTTTATTGTTCAAATTAAGAAAATCAGAAAAAATGCAACTAGTTAATGCTAATGTCTTACAGGGATAAACATTGTCTTTGTGATGTCCTTTGCAATGGCAACTGGAAAAAAAAATTTCATTCTCAAAAAGAAATTTATTCTTAGAAGCAAGACAAACTCAAAGAACTTTCTGCATCAACTTTATTTTTATTTACTTATTTTTTAGAGACAGAGTCTTACTATGTTGCCTAGGCTGGAGTGCAGTGGCACAATCACAGCTCGCTGCAGCCTTGAACTCCTGGCTCAAGCAATCCTTTCACCTCATCCTCTTGAGTAGCCGAGACTACAGGCACAAGCCACTGCTCCCAGCCTGCATCAATTTTAGATCCACTGTGAGAAACAAGGAATCGGCTGCATTTGTGTTCTTTGCTATGTTGCCAGCACTTAGAACAGTGTCTGGCATGTAACAGGCAGTCAATAATATTTGCTGTGTTGTAAAAACCTTTCCTCCAATTGTTTTTCACACCCAAACTCTATACAACCAAACCAAACTAACCCAAGAGGACTCAAATTCTTCCCCTAACCCATAAGAAATTGTAAAATAACTACTAAGTTAGGACAAGGGGAAAGCCAGGAATCTTGAATAAGAGCATTATTAGGCTATTACAAATAATTTTTTTAGTGCTCACATATTTGAGATTTTTTTCCAATGTATACCATGATGGCAAGTGAAAAGAAACAATGTGAAGGAAGGAAAGAAGGGAGGGAGGACCAATGTGTGGTTATGAACATAGAGCAAAGGGATTTTTCTACCTTTTAGATCTATCCAACATACTTTCTTTTTAAATACGTGACTTCAGCAAAATAATCATATTTTAGCATTTTCATCAGCAGGATCAAGGGCTAAAATAATACCCATGAAGCAAACTTTAAAAGTTGTATAATTACCATTGCTCTGAGACAATTTCAAGTAAGTCTTTATTAAACATGTAGAGGGCTTTGTAAAGAGTATGTCAATATTTCATTATCTTTACAATCCAAATCTTGAACCAAATTTAAAAGACATTTTCTATTGATGTGCTGACAAGATGAAAGAGAAACACAGATGAGTAACATTAAATATTTCCTTTGGGTTATATAAAATTAGGTGCTTTTAACACTAATTTTCTACCTTTCATTTTAATTTTGGAAATACTTGAAATTAGAACACAACTTCACTTACAAAAACAGATACAGGGAGGATTGATACATATCTATTTCCAAATGTGTCATCCATGTTTAATCTAATTTGCATAATTGTAATTTCAATTAAACCATTTCCTTTTATGAGGTCTTTTCCTTTGATTTTTAATATATACTGATAATTACCTCATCTATGCTAGATAAAAGCAGGAAATGGTAGCTGCCTAGTTATACTCCATTCACGGTTACCATATCATCCATGATTGCTACACAACTCTAAATTAATGGAGGCATTGCAATTCCACCTCATGCAGAACAACTAGAGGTCTGAAAACCTTTATGGTTCCAAAGAAGAATTATTGGTAACACCTTTTCACTATGCATTCTGCCAGTTTCACCCGCAAAATAAATAATAATTCACTGTTCTCTCAAACAAAAAAGGTCCCTTCTGTCTGTAGAAAGGGTTCAATTGCTATTAGAACAAAAATATTTTCAAATTTAAAAATAGTAAAGGATTTCTCTGTAAAATAATAAAGGAAAATCATCCAGGTTCCTGGCTTTGGGGTCCTGAATGAAAGAGAAATGAACCCATAGGAATTTCTACATATAAGTAAATCAGTCATTAATATAACTTTATATTATCAATGCTCACACTGGAGTTCATAAAATAACACATCTTTATATTAAAATTTCATTAAGCAATTCCATGAGATAAAATTAAAATATTTCGAATATGACTTAAAAAGAGCAAAGTCACCTCTACTTGTGATGCCAAATGTGCTTTCTCCTTGTCTTTTCTCTCCATGCACCGTTTCACTTCCTCTAACTCAGATGCCATTGCGCTGAAGTTCAGCTGCACTCTCAAATCTGACATTTGCTTCTCCAGGTCCTGTTTTTCCCGCTCAACCCCTTAAAAGATAAAATGTAAGGCTCAAGGGTTGTTCTTTATTCACAGAAGAATGTACTTTCAAATAGTACTGAGCCCTGATGTTTCAATATTCTAGCTATCATAATCCATTTATTGACAGTTACTCAACAGACTTTGCCAGCCTGTTGTTTCAAGTTTTATAGCTTTCAAAAACATATACATTGCTATATCATCAAATATTATTCCAGTTTGATACTAAAACTTAAAATGTTACCTGATTTCTACTGCAATTTATTTCAAGAAAATCACACACATTTTTAAATTTTCCTCACATCTCTACACTATCTCCAAACAGTAAAAAAAAAAAAAAAATACAAAAAGAGTTTTCAACTAAGCTACTTCATCTACAAAATATTTTTTTTGCAACATAAACAACAAATGATGCTATTAAATCTCTGATTGTGTATGACCAACCAATTTACTAATCCTTACTCATCTGGAGATTATTACCTGAAATTAATATATCATTTAACAATATAAATTGACTTAGTATTTAAATCAACATGAAATACTTGACCTGTGCTACACAGGGGACTATAATACCTTCTTCTAATATAAGGACAAATAACAAAACTTCATCCTCAATGAGCTTACATCCTGATGTGGTTTGGCTCTGCCCCACTCAAATCTCATCTTGAATTGTAGCTCCCGTAATTCCCACATGTTGTGGGAGGGACCAAGTGGGAGGTAATTGAATCATGGGGGCAGCTCTTTCCATGCTGTTCTCATGATAGTGAATAAGTCCCATGAGATCTGATGGTTTTATAAAGGAGAGTTCCCCTACACAAGCTCTATTCCCTGCCACCACGTAAGACATGCCTTTGCTTTTCCTTTGCCTTCCATCATGATTGTGAGGCCTCTCCAGCCACGTGGAACTGTGAGTCCATTAAACCTCTTTCCTTTATAAATTACCCAGTCTCAAGTATGTCTTTATTAGCAGTGTGAGAACAGAATAATACACATCCCAAGAATAGAGACAAAATATAAAGTACTCTATGGAGTCTAAAATGTCAACAACTGGAACATATACTGTCTGTCATTTTAAAACTACTGTCTTTCTAGTGGTTTCCTTTCCAGAAAAAAAAAAGGAGGCAATGAAAGAAGAAAACACTAACAAATTAAATTTATACATCATTCATAAAATACATTCCCACTTCAGAATATTAGTGTTCAAAATTGTACATATTAGAATGGAAGACATATGGGCATTTCAATAGGATGATAAGAGCGCTGATACATACATGTGGATTATACAGAAACAGTACAAACAGTAAAAGGGATTAGCTCTGTCTCAGTGAGGAACTAAAGTAGGAAGAACTGAGAACTAAGTCAGACTTAAAGAATGAATACAAAATTTCACCAAGCAAAGGAGAAGGAGTTGGGGTGTTTTTAGGGAAAGCACATACCATAAAGCATACAGGTACAAAACTGAATTTAACATTCAGGTAATTGCACACACAGAAGTTTCAAGTAGCTAATACATCTCATATGTTACAAGGGTGGGAGGAGGGAGTGTCAACAGAGTTTATGTGTTGCTAGGAAACTTAGAAGAATTTATCCTACAAACCAAGCATCAGCAAACATTTTCTATAAAGGATCAGATAATAAATATCTTAGCTATATGATTTCTGTCATAACTACTCAATTCAACCACTGTATTGCAAAAGTAGCCTAGACATTGCATAAATGAATGGGAGTAGCTGTGTTCCAATAAAGTCTATTTACAAAAACAGGTGGCAGTCTGGATTTGGCCCATGAGCCCTACTTTCCCTACTTCTGATAGGTAACCAACCTGAAAATGTACATATTTATCTATTTGTAAATGTATTTGTTTATTTTATAAATATATGTATTTTATTTTATATGTGTATATTTGTGTGCATATAACATGTCTCAATAATATGTATATATTGATACGTTTCTTGATATATACACATGGATGTAACATTAGAATGAATATATATTATATAAAATATGAAGGCATGTATGTATACATATATGTATACTTTATGAAACATATATATTTGATATGGAGATATATTTTGGTATGTTTACATATATATATACTAGTAAAGATAAATATACACACACATCTATACATACATACACATGTAGTATATGTAATGAAACATTTCCCAAAAAAGTTAAAATATTTAAAACAAAAAGTATAAAATATAAACAGCATTACAAACGCTCCATTTTGGAGAATGCTTGGTCAGTATAGGATAGCAGTTAAGATCTCAAATTTGGGGAAAAAAAAAAATTGGAGTCTGCTACTTCCCTCATGTGTGATCTTGGGCAAGTAACTCAACCTCTTTATTCTTGGGTCCTTTTTATAATCATTAATATAGAAATAAGAAATAAGAATAGTGCCCTTTAGTAATAGAAAAGAAAATAGATTACAGAGAAGCCAGAATAGGTAAGACAAGAGAGTACTACATGTCCTATACTGACCAAAGCATGCTTAAGCCGGGGCAGTGGGAATAAGAAAGAGAATGTTGCAAATTCAGGAGATATCAGGATGTATAAATAGGCATGAGGTAGAAACTAATTATATGGAGGAGAGAATAAATAATTTCTATGTTCTTTGCATTTTAGGCTTGGATGTCTGGATGGAGGATGATGCCACACACTGAGACAGGAAAGAAAAACATGTTTTGAGGAGACGATGAATTCAGCTGTGTATCAACATGCATTCTGAGGAACAGCATATGGAGATATCCAATGAGCAACTCCATTTGGAGGGCCAATGGTTAGGAGAGCAAATAGAGCTAGATTTAGGAATTATCACCTCTAGGTGATAATTTTTAATCAATTCCCAGGCAGACATACTAAGTAACAAAAGCCATGAGTAGGATAGTAGGCAAAACCAACATTTAGAAGACAAACTGTGAACACAGCAAAAAGATTCAAATACAAAGAATGTAAATAACTAAGACAGAAGAATTAGGAAAGGCAAGAGGCATAGAAGTCACAGGAAGAGTTTCAAGAAGGAAGAAGAAATAAGCAGGTAACACTAAAATAAGTAATGCAACGACATCCTTGGAATTGACAGAATTGCTAGCAAATTGGAATTGCTAGCAAATCATGCAAAGTCAATTTTACAAATACAGGTGGAACCCATTTTGCAGTGGGCAGAGGAAGAAATACCAGCTGAAAATATGATAAGTATGATTTCTAATGTAGAACTGTCTTTAAATAATCTAAGTATTCTGTAAAGATGAAAAACTCTACAATTGTTAAACGGTGAAGAAGTCCATTATCACATATATAAAAAAACTTCCAAAATTTTTTTCATACCTGATAAGTAGCTAAGAAAAGCTCAATATTTTTAGTCCTCAAAGACTTACAACAGAAATAATTACATTTTATGAGGTATCAAAACATAAAAAATGTGTTGGTCTTTGTTCCAACAATTCCTGTGTGCATCTTTATGAAGTTTGATGAAGAAGCTAACAGCTTAGGATTGTTTAAAAACAAGTGATATTCTGGGTCAAATGATACTTAAATTATATCACATGAAACTTAATGAAACTTAATGGCATACAAATAAAAATATGCTAAGGCTTGGATATAGTTTATTTGTCCTCACCAAATCTCATGGTGACATTTTATCCCCACTATGGCTGTTAGGAGATGGGGCCTACTGGGAGGTGTTTGGGTCACGTAGACAGGTCCCTCATGAACGGCTTGGTGTCCTTCTTGTAGCAGGAGTGAGTTCTTGCTCTCCTGAGGCTGGACTGGTTCTCAAGGGAACTGATTAGTTCAGACAAGAGTGGGTTGTCAGAACGCCAGGACATCCCTTGAATTTGGTCCCCCTTTACACATCCCCACTCCCCATTTGACCTCTTTTGCATTGTTTGGATGGAGCACAAAACTCCTCCCCAGAATTCCAGCAGATGCTAGAGCCATGCTTCTGGTACAGCCTACAGAACTGCGATCTAAATAAAGCTTTTTTCTTTGTAAACTATCCAGCCTCAGGTATTCCTTTAGTGTAACACAAAACAGACTAAGAAAATATATTAGAATAGCTTTGTCAAAATTTGTCATCCATTGAAGATTTTCTGGCAATGTGGAAATTCTAGCTTAGGCAACATATGGAGGTGTATTTGGAAAGCCTGGGGCAATATTTACCTTCCCTGAATTTAACAGTACATCCAACACTTACAAAAATTTCACCAATACTTTGAGCATTTGAGTAGGAAGCCTCATTATTGGGATAATACAGAAGCTGAGCAATGTGAACTCACCTAATAGAAACAATTATATAATCTCAATATTATCATTATTAAACCTGAATATACATCCAGTCATTAAATTCCATAATTTAAATTAACACCTCCACTGAGAAGGTATCCTAATATTTTTCAAACACAAAGTATTCCTAAACCACATAAAAAGCCAGTGATACAGCTCATGACCACTCCTGAGTTGTGATTAATTTTTGTCACCAACTCCAGACGACAAAAAAGATAGGGTACTGACTTTAATTTCTCTTATACTGAAAATTGAGATAAGAGAATGTGAAAGACAGAGCAACATTTACAATTTAAGTACAAAGACTGGTACACACTTACACATATGCACGTATATTTGGGCATGGGAATCGGAGGCTGGAAAAACTACTGCTTTTGCAGGCTCTTTCTAAGAGAAAGCCCCATGGTTAAGTAGGTCTAATAACCCAAATGGGTTTGAACCAAGCAGGGAAGATATTAAAATGGGATGATGCTGAATTATTATCAACTTATCAGAAAATGTTTAATAGATCAAGAAATAGTATGACGTGAGCATCACAAAGGAATGCAATTCTGAGGATGAAAAGTATTTTCTAAGAAAAACCAAAAAGCCCCCACACACATTATCACATTATTAGGTACAAATCTACTTTTACCTCTCCTAAATCTCCAGTCCTCCCCTTGTTCATCCTGATAGTTTGACTGTTGCTTGGAAATCTGAGATACTTGATGCTGTAAACCCTTTCGATCACCTTCTGCTTTCGTAAGTTGTGTACGCAGTTCTTCTACCTAACACATGGTCAAAAATCAAACATCGGTTTTCACAATCAGAGAAAGACCTACTTCAAATGGGCTATTGTAAACACAAGTTGAATCCAGGTTAATCTCCTTCCAAGCATAGTGGAACGGTTTCCTGCTCCATTTCCTCATTCCTCTCATCTCTTCCACAAAGAATAAATGAATGGCTTTTCCTTCTCTGTGTCCACTGAGGCAAAGAATGGAATGTGACTAGATTTTTTTTTTCATCACTTATTTTGTCCTCAGTCTACTCCATTACTATTAACCCAAATCAACTTCAATTAAGTATTATACTTCTTATATTTTTCAATTTTCACCCATTTGCTTTCATGTGAACATGGTCTATTGGTTGTTAAATTCAAGATAAATGATCATGATTTAGCATATTTTGATACTAAAATCATGCTCAAAATAAGTATGTAATAGATGCTGTTGAATAAACTCTAAACTCCTTGAAGTCAGAAACTGATTTGTTTATCTTTCTATCCTTAGACTGCCAAATTACCTAGCACATAGCAGGTACTTCCAAATGAACATTAAACAAGTTAACAGTGGCAAAAAGATTCAGCTAAAATCACAATGACAATCTAAACAAAGAAATCTCTTGCTTCCATAACTGAAACTGGAGATTATAAGTTAGAGTTCCAAACAAATCAGAACGGAATTAAATACAAATATAAACTTCCAAAAAGGAAAGTTTGAACTCTGCCAAAATTAATTCCATGTGACCACTGGCTGCAGAACAAAGTCAGCGAATATTTTCAAAGGTTTTGTAAAACAGGTGCTATCTTGTATTTTCAGCACCAATTGTCAGAATGTAATACTCCTTCTGAACATCTATAATGCTTGACATCTTTGCTTACCCTTAGCATATTCTGAAGGTGTGTTATATAACATACACTTCAAAACAGAAGAAAGTATAATTGCAGTTTGTATTAAACACAGACAGGCAGTTAGAAACCCATATGCCCTTATCCAATGTATGTAAGATGGTTATTTAAAGTTACTGAACTTTAAACATCAGAAGCGCCAAACTCCCATTATGGGCTGATGGAATGCAAAACGTTATACTTTAAAATTAAGCCTTATCGGCCGGGCGTGGTGGCTCACACCTATAATCCCAGCACTTTGGGAGGCCGAGGTGGGGAATCACGAAGTCAGGAGATCGAGAACATCCTGGCCAACATGGTGAAACCCCATCTTTCCTAAAAAAACAAAACATTAGCCAGGTGTGGTGGCGCATGCCTGTAATCCCAGCTACTGGGAGGCTGAGGCAGGAGAATCGCTTGAACCCGGGAGGCTGAGGTTGTGGTGAGCCAAGATTGCGCCACTGCACTCCAGCCTGGCAACAGAGCGAGACTGCGTCTCAAAAAAAATAAAATAAAATTACCCTTATCTTTGGTTTAAAAGGGTCAAGTAGTATCTTGAAAACATGAATTAAAGACAATGACGTTATTCAAAGTAACCTAAACATGCAAAGGTCTGCTGCATGTAGTTTACTTCTTCCTTTACTTCCCAGTGCCTCCTGGAATAAAATTAAGCTCCTGGGAAAATTTTATCTTATACATTCAGTCTTACTTTTACACTGCTCATGCTAAGACAGATAAGTAGTAAGTTGTAGCAGCAATCAGCAAGATACACCATCACAGTGGGGACTCTGGCTGGTGTTTGTACTAGCTTTCTCTGAATTTCCCTGAAAGAATTTTATCCTTTGCTTAGGTGTGCTAATATACATTCCTTAGGAAAACATTTTTTCTAGACCTAGTTCTTTTTTTTCCTTTCACAAAGACATTTAAATAGAGCTACTCAATCCTGATTTAATGTAAAAGTATATTATAATAACTTGCATAGACTTACCTGATGCAAAAGTGTTTCTCGGCTGCCTTCTGATTGATTCAATAACCTTCGAGATAGCTCCAATTCCTGTTCAAGCTAGAGTTTCAACAAAGGATAAAGAAAAATGCCCAATGGAGCAGAAGATAACTAAATTATTATGGGCACAGTTTAAAAGGAGAAAAGTGGAAAAGTTTTCAGAAGACATTTACAGCTAATATAAAAGAATAAATATCTCACTATGAACATATATCAATACTTCCATTAAAATAATGTGAATCGTATAACATAAAGTGAACCAGACCAGGCCTCAGGAAGTCTGGGATCTAGTAAGTTTCATCTCAACTGTGAGCCAGTCCAAGTCTCTCCTCCTCTGGCCTCCATTCTATCATCTCTAAAATAAGTATTTTATATTAAACAGTCTCCAAGATCCCTTCCAGTTCTAAATCTCTTTAATCTAAATTCTAAGGCAATTTTTTTCTTTAAATTAGAATACACAGTGTCAAATTAACTAAAGTAGAATAAAAACTGCAGGGACCCAATAACTCAAAAGTTTCATCTAATTGGTGATTTCCTACATTCCTAATATTTCTAATATTTATAAGACATTCCTTAAATTTTTAGATGTCTAAATTCAGAATGAGACATTTAAAATTTCCTTAATGATACTGCCATTAGATAAATATCGATAAAAAATGTGACCAGTTCAGGAGATCAAGACCATCCTGGCTAACACGGTGAAACCCCATCTCTACTAAAAATACAAAAAATTAGTCAGGCATGGTGGCAGACACCCGTAATCCCAGCTACTCGGGAGGCTGAGGCAGAAGAATGGCGTGAACCTGGGAGGCAGAGCTTGCAGTGAGCCGAAATCGCGCCACTGCACTCCAGCCTGGGCAACAGAGCGAGACTCCGTCTCAAAAAAATGTGACCAGTTAAGTGACTAAATATTCTACAAACTCCTAACATGCCTAGATGATTTCAAGTTGAAATATGTAATAGGATAGAACACAAGTTTCTTAACAATTTAGAGCTTATATGTGCTAGACTTGTTTGCATTCTGTAACAGTAAGATAGTTTTATAAAAATCACACATTTATATTAAGATGCTTGTAAGTGCTTAGATTTGTAACACTTATCCTAAATTATCATTTCAGTTGAACAACTGCTATCTGTATATTAATCATTTAATAACTGTACATGTGGTAGGTGTGCCTATGAAAGAACATGAGGGAGCCTTGTGGTGATAGAACAGTTCTGTATCCTGACGGTGGTAGTGGTAACAAGAATCTATACAAGATAAAAATGGACTGAACTTCACACAAACACACACACACACACACAAATACAAATGAGTTATATATATAAAGCTGGTGAAATCTGTATAAACTAAGTAGATTGTACCAACACCAATTTCCTGGTTTTGATATTGAATGGCAATTATGCAAAATGTTACCATTGAGGCAAATTGGGTGCATGGGACCTCTCTGTGCATCTTGTTTTACAATATCCTATAAATCTATAATTATTTCAAAATATATCTTTAAATCCCAATATATAATTTTTTAAAAATTATACATGTGGCTCATAAAACAAATGTCATATTAAAAAAAAGTAAAGTATAAGTGGGGATCACAGAATCCACATAAAATACTGTCCTGTTCTTCAGTCTCTATGGAGAAATAGAGTGAAGAAATCATACTTGAAGCAAAATGACTTTGAACTCAACCAAAGCCCATATTGATCATAATCCCTGTGTAATTTCAACATCGCAACTCCCAAAGGGCAAATCTGATGGCCTAACATACTTCGCTTACCCTAAAAGCAGCAGGGAAGCTGCCTTTACATGAGTTGGTGAAATAAAATAAAGGAGGCAATGGTAGGTAGAAAAAAGCAATAATACGGAGTAAAGAACAGGGCAAATTTTCACTTCATCATTCATTACTTTGAGCTCATCCTTAAATCTACTTATTTGCAAATTAAGGAAGAGTTGTTTGGCCTCTGAATTCCTTTCTAACTCTAAAGTGCTAAGCTCTACGTGTTCATAGAAATGAACACACAGTTCATAAACATGAACATATGTCAAAGATCATTGATATTTAATATAAATAGAGAATGTTTTCAGAACTGGCTGCTTACTATATCTGTCCACTATAATGAAAATGAATATAACCAAAATATTCAGTCTCCAAATGACAGGTCTTTTCTAACCCTGCAACAAAGTCAAGTTCTTTAAATGTTTCCAACAAGAAAAAGTAAAGTTTAATTCACCTCTCAGAAAGGAGAATGGTCATAGATGACAAGGTAGCAAACAACTTGCTTATCTGTTTTCAAGAGCAAGTCCTAGCAAGTAGAAGAGCCGTTGAACCAATTGACTCCACATAGAAAGATAAAGAACTCACAATGTTCTAAAGGATCCTGGGGACACTTTTCAAGGCACTCAACAAATACCATTGGCCCCAAACCACTTTATTCTTTGAAAGATAACTTTTAAAATCTTACTTGATTCTTCTCAGTTTCAGTTTGTCTTAGCTTATTTTTTATTGCCCCCTCATGCTCATCTGCTTTAGCTTCTTGTTTCTTTAGTGCCTGGAATGAAAGAGGTGGAAAAAAATTATCCCAAAATATGTACAAAACTGAAAGTCACTACTAGAATTTATTATGTATTAGGGCTGAAGAAGACATGGATATGAGTTACACAAAATCTATA
The DNA here is from genome assembly GCF_000001405.40 of Homo sapiens. Classification (NCBI taxonomy): domain Eukaryota; kingdom Metazoa; phylum Chordata; class Mammalia; order Primates; family Hominidae; genus Homo; species Homo sapiens. The sequence goes on from NC_000014.9 coordinate 80,840,890, forward strand.
AATTACAGTCTGCTCATAAGAACACTTCAGTGGGGATAAAATATAAACAATTCCTGATCACCCTAATTAATATTCACTTTGTTTCCTTTTTTTCCCCATCTTTGGGAATTTTACTACATTATTTAGAGGGCCTAGATAGCTAACAGTTTTCTTGGAAACAAATATTCTTTTCTACAGATTCCCCTCTTTAATAAAATGAGGAAAAAGAAAGTTAAGAAAATACACATTTCAAAAGTTAACTATAAAAGTGTTTGCTTTGGTTTGTTTCTATGTTAGAACAAAATTAAACTTAAAGGGGAAAATTATACTTGGAACTGTCTTTCATAATATCTGAAATGCATTCCATTTGTTTAAAAAATATTTTTAACAATTTTAGTGTTTAGACTTAGCAAGGTGTATGTGTAAAGTCCATACAGCTTGTGAAAAGCCAACTGCCAGAAGCTTTTTCCAACAAGATCAACAGAAAAACAATTTTTAGGCAAACAGCAAAATATGTTAAAAACTGCTTTGATGCAAGTATACTCAATCAATTTCAGCTCCCTCTGCCATAATTCCTACTCTCAAATAGAAATTGAGTAAAGAGGCAGAGAGGCATCAACAAAATGAAAAATAATTTTGATTTGAGAATAACAATATTATCATGCTTTTATAGTGTTTAGTATGTCCAGGCATTCTTCTTCTTACATATAATAAATAAATATATTACATATATTCAAAATATACATTTACTCCTCATGATGATTCTATGAATTATTATTATTCCAAGCCCATTTTATTAAAGGGGAAATTGGAGCACAAGGAGTTGGATCATTTGCCTAACGTCACTCACCTACTTAGTGACAGAGACAGGATATAGATTCTGGCTGCCTGCCTCTTAACAACTGAGGGCACTGCTTCTTCATATTGAAATAATAATACCAAACTTATAGGGTAGTGGTGAAAACTAAATGGTTTGATATCTGTAGAGCACATAAAGCAATGTCTGGCTCCTAGCAAATGTGCAATAAAATGCAACTATTATTATTGGTAATAATAGCCTGGGTAACAGAGTGAGACCCTCAAAAAAATTAAATTAAAAAAATCCAAATTTCTATGTTTAAGTTGGTTGAATAAAAGAAACTCTAATTCTCTTGGATACTTAGAAATTTGCTAAAATAATATTGTGCTACTCCTTTCTTCCTTACTTTCCCCTTAGAACATCTGATAAGTTGTTTATAATATTGATTTTCCAAAATAATGTACTTTTCTATTATAGCTCTACTTGCTGCCTAAAACTTTATTTAAGTCTCCTTTTTTCAATTTCTCCTTTTACTGTAAGTATATGTAAGTCTTAAGAAATTTTTGTCAATGATAACTTAAATTCTATTGTTTTCAATAAGAAGCAATAGTGAGATACTAAGGAACAATCCAAAGCAAATTACTACATTTCCACTATATCATCTAGAAATGCCATTGAGTTTGAACACTAGCTCTGCTTTCTATATACCATGAGTCAGTCAACAAGTAAACACAAATGCAATATTCTAGCCTAGAATATTGAACCAGTTTTTCTACATTACCTAGTTTAAAATGAAAGACAAAGAAGGAAAATCTGACACTTAAGACCCATTAAATATATCAATGATGCACCTGTAAACACTGAAAACACAGATAATACTCAAAGAGAGATATTTTTAAATCAACCAAATCAAAATCACAAGCCATTTCTTTAAACCTTAATAATAAACGTGAACTAATTTACTACCTTTTTTTAAGGGTGTAAGCCTGCACTGGATTTCTTTTCCATTTGACTTAAATCAAGCAACTTAGACTTATATTAAAACGGACCCAGTAAAAGCAGTTATAAAAGAAGAAAAAAAAATCACATGCCAATGAATTTCAATAATTATGTTATTTTGTCCTTTAAAGCTTGTTTGTCTCCTAAGAGCAGTTTAGCTAAAAACTATCATGTGCCCTGCTCCAGGATTTAGATTGTCTTTTACACGTTGAAGATCACAGCAACAACAATGAGCCTTAATAGAGGGTCCCCGGGGCACATTTAAATCTTTAATAACAACAATTTTTCTTCTTTCCCTTAAGTGTGTCATATCGTGTATTGTACTACTGCATTTCCTTAGAGGTAGGTGATTCTAAACTCTCATAGTTATATATAATAAAAAAAAAGGTAGTTTTTCTTTTCAGAGAGTAGTAAAAAGGGGAAAAGAAAAATGTTTGTAGACCTCTCACTTAACCATAAAAATCTCTACAACATTGACAACAAGCATGTTTATCAAGAGGCTCTAACAGATAACACACTCCAAGATGTAGAACAAATAGGGAATTAAAGGCCCTTTGTCTGCTTTAAATGGACCAGCAAGCTTGGTTAAGAATGATGGCATGGGAATGAAATAAAAATCACATGTTAATTCCCACACAGTCCAATGAAATTTCCGGAGAAAAATTATAAACATAACCTATCCCAAGTTCTCCTAATCACTCAGCAGTGCTACAGTTGCACACCTTTGGTCACAAGGGCAAGAACATGTAGATCATTCACTGATAAACTAACAACACTATAGAAAAACAAGTCTGTGCTCATATTAAACAGTCAGCATCATTTACTTGAAGGTACAAACTATCAAATCAGATTTTTTTTCCAGTAACAATAAAGAATGAAAAAGTTATATCACTGAAAACTAGAAAATAGTTGTTCTTACTATATTTTGTAATTAAATTCTTCACATGGGTAGAAAATAAAAGCCAGTGAAAAAATATTTTAAGCTTAACAGAATATGATGTGATTCCAATCCAAAGTAGACTACACGAGCTATAAATTGAAGTTACAAGTTGTTTATATTTATGTATATTAAAAATTTGAGGTAGCTTTAGGGACATTTTCAATCAAGCAAAAACTCAATATTAAGTACTGAGTATGTATAAAACACTATCATGGAAACTTTAATTAAAATTTTTTTAAGATGGAAATCTGATGTCTATCTCTAAAATTCTTTTTGGACGCTTAAACACAGCTCCAAAGCCATCAAACATCAATAAAATAATACATATTTTTAAAAGGACTCTATGCATAATACAGCAGGATTTTATTGCTCAGAACATGTACTACTCATTTATATTAACACATACTTTTTTTGTCATGTTCTTTGAATTTCTAAATTATGCTTTTTCTCAAATCAAATTAGAGATTCCTCCCCCATGAGAACTAGCTAAAGTAATGGAAAATTTTAGCCTTTAAGTTCATCCAGTTGAGGATTATCTGTGCCAACAAAAACCAAAACAAAAAAAAATTAAGTTTCTTTTCAAGGCAAAAAAAAACAAAACAACGCATTCACATTCTAAATCCCTGAACCAATATCTAATTTAAAAATAGCTAGGTGGGTATTACTTAAATTGTTCAAAGAAATTTATTTTTCAGCCATGACCAAGGAAAGGAAATTCTATACCAACAACTACAACTTAAAAAATAAAAAATAAAACAAACCGCACACACCACACACTTTGGTAGGTGAAAAGTAGAAATGCTTGATAAAAGTCCAAAAGGAATTCAATATTGATACTATTATGATACCATACATACTTGAGGGATATCAAAGTAAGGGAGAAATTCAAAAAACTTGGTATGAATTGAAATGTGTGTATTTTCCCGATGGAAATGGTAAGCACATAAGTCAAGTCACAAAATACAACAATTCCTCTTTTTCAAAAGGTAATATCCAATATCACGTAGTTAAGTAGGATTGATCATATGTTAAATACTATTTCTAATAGTAACAGTAATCCTTAATAACATTCCTTAAAGATATCTATGGTATTTAAACATAAAGCTCAAGGTTTTATTTTAAGAATGGCCTAGATGTGTTTTTTGTTTTTTTCATTTTTCTCTTCTTATAAGATGTTTATTATTTCAAGAATCCCAAGAATCCACAAGGGCTCTTATAGGAATTATCTTGGTGGAAGAGATGGATGCTTTTTCTGACCTATTTTCTCCAATGAACAAACTTCTTGGTTCCACTATGCCCATACCTACGGAATCCACCACTGTTTAGGGCATCCAGTGCCAATGAACCCAAACAAGGTCATGAGTTTAATCACCAATTCCCTTTGCTCTGTTTCGTGGACACAATCTTTACCCTAAACCTAGCCAAGGGCCTCACAGAAGGCTAACTAGACCAGAGACTATGAATGAATCAGCAAAAATTCAATACCATGACTACAAAAATAACTCAAAGGTAAACCCCTGTTGACAAGTGTCAGGATTTCATTCTTCAAATGTTATAAATTTGCCAATCTGCAAAACAAAACCTTAATTACTTCATGAAAAAGCCAGTATGCTAAAAAGACATACAAGTCTTTTAACTTCTTTAATTCAAAAGCAACAATGGTAATGAGTATTATTCCCTAACATGCCATTGCTTTTACTGGAACAGATTATATTTTTATGCAATCTTTTACTTAATAAAATCTTGCAAGTAAAGTTAAATGTGAGCCCAACAAGTGCACTTTCCAGGATTTCCTTCAAAATCAAAAAACAAATGCTCCTAGTAGAAGGTCTGTTTTTATCCGAGTAGTTTCCTCTCAAAAAGAGATGCATAGTTTTATTAGAAATCCAGAGTAATATAATACTTCATTTGACTTTCTAAATGCAGGGCCACTGAGTTAGGATTGTTGACAAATAGAAGATCATAGATAATTATGGAAATTTAATTTAGAATTTCTCAAGTTGTATATCTTTGAACAGAAAGCTCTGTAAATATACAACATCTTCCAGTGTCCAGAGTTAAAGGATGTTATTTTATGCCTTTGGGTTTAGAAGGGTTTTTTTTGTTTTTCACTATTTTCTAATAAAAATAAAACAGTACTAAGCCAATGAATAAGTCTATCTGTAGCAAAACGGTTTTTGTTTGTACAATATTACTATGCACTCAGTAGTTGCCCAATAAATATTAATTGATAATGATGGAAATGGGCTTTATAAACAGATGGCCTAGCATAAATTCACTGAAAACATAGATAGAAACATTCCACTCTTCAAGAAAAGCGTAACATAGAAATTGAACAAATCCTGCACACAGAAAATCTCAGTCTATTGTCAGGCAGCTGTTCAGTCAACAGGGGCAGCAGACATTTTTCATCATCGTCATAGCATTAACGGCATTAAATGTCTATTTGCATATGGTGCTGCACAAAGTGACTCACACAGATTCACGCTAGCCTTATTTGTTATAATTTACAATGACAATATTGGCAAGAACATATAAGTACACATAGCAAAGTAAAAGTGATTAAACATAATTTGAGATCTAGTAATATTTGGCATGAACATAAAATATGTGTCAGGCTTAAACACAACTCACAGTAGCAATCAGAGTATTTATTTAACATATAAACTTCTACTATTCCCCAATAGCATTACAGATGCTTTACAAGACGCTTACACATATGCTGAAGGATTAAGTAGAATAAAGAGAGAAGTCAGAGTCCCTAAAAGAATAAGTAATGACTCTTCAAGAACCTAGAAAGTGAATATAATCTCAATAGTTACCAGTGGGGAAAGAAGAGATAAAAGAAGAACAAAAGTCATATGGGCACTAGCTCACGGTTAGTAGGATGGTAAGATCAAGGAAGCTATAAGCAAATTGATCAACCCCGGAAGGCATCCTGAAAAACACACACTTTACAAAAATACTTAAATAAGAAAGTGTAAGATAACATACATGGTAGAATTTTGGAGAAAGACAGTTAAAATGAGGAACTGAATGGAGCAGAAAGTATATTGCAAGCATTTAATAATTAATAGCCTTTAGTATTATTTTCTTAATAAAGTAAAAAGCTTCAGAAGACATGACATAAATGTTAATTATATAGAAATCAGATTACAAGAATTTCATGACAACTTACATTTATACATCATCTTGTAAAACTGCACCCTTCAATGAATCCAAAAGCTAACAGCTGGCATGCTACTACTTCTGTGATGTAGAATACATTTCTAAACTTTCAACTTTTGTTTTATCATTATTCAATACTAGGCCAATGAAATATATTATCAAACTGGAATATTCTTTAATCCAGCCAACTATTTCCCAATACCAGAAAGATAATATAGCTTGTAGAGACTGTCTACAATATCTAAGTAGCTAGCTTGCTCTGTAAATGGAAATTCAAGTATCAAGTACAAGGTTGAAAGAGACATCCTCCAAGGTCTCTTCAGAATTCTCTTCTATAGAAGCTTTGGGGGAAAAAATATCTTTCACTGAAAAAAACATCAAAAGTGTTTTAGTGTCATCTGTAAGAGGCTGAATAAGAGGGCAAGGAGGGAAATCAAGAAAAAGACTAAAGAAGGTGACTGAAAAGCATGATGTATCTCAGACCTGCATGTTTCAAGCTGTGCCAAATAGTGTTCAAACGCCTTTGAAAACTAAATCCTATAATAGTCAATCATTCTTCACCATCCATTTTCTTTTTATCAGCATGTCGACATTAATGGTTCTCTCACAGTCTTATAGAGAACAATGTTTATTTCATCTTTGCAAAGAAAAAATTTGTTATTTGTTACCACAAGTAACAAATATAAAGAAGAAAATAATTAGTATGGTGTATGATGATAGGACAAAGAGCAATGGTATGGATAAAAATGATAGTAGGTCAAAATTTATATAAGTGTTTCAGCCATTGATTGGTAAAGTGCTTGACATGTTAACAACAAGCAGTGGGGCAGAATCACATTCATGAAGAATTTCCTAAAATAATGTGAAAATACAGTCTTAGCAAAAATGCCACCTCTCTCACCCAAACTTTCCCCAAGGGGCCATAAAGAGGTAATTATTTCCCCTCTGAGATATTCTGTAGACTACACAAATGTGGAATAATGCCCTTACTGCATTGCAAAGATAGTTAACATCTCTATTTCCTCAACTAAACTAGGGGTCCCTAAAAGGTGAGATAGTATTTTAGGTATCTTTAAATCCCTAGTCCCCAGCGCAGTACCTGAATTATATTAGGTACATGATAGTATTGGCCAAATGAATATTTTACTGAATGAATAGTTACTATACAGTAAGCAATATTTATTCATTCATTCCTTCAAGAAACACTTACTGGGCCCCTACTCTATGCCAAGCACTGGTCCTGGTACTGGGGATGCAGCAACAAGCAAAGCAGGTAAGTCCCTGCCTCCATAAAGCCTGCATTCTGCTCAAGGGGACAGATGGTTGACAAATAATGAAAGTGTTAAGAAAACATACAACAGTGCAAGGGGCTCAGGAGTGAAGGAGTGTTTTATCTATGATAGTCAATAAGGGCTTTCTGAAGTAGAGTTCTGAACATGAGCGCACAAACCGTACAACTGTTTCAGAGCTGAAAATTCCTAGCTGTGGGAACAGAAAGTGCAAATGCCCAGGAGCAGGAGGTACATGGTATATCCATGGAAAAGCAAGACGGCCAGGATGGTTGGCCTAGAGTTGGCAAGAAGAACAACAATAGAAAATTAGGGGTTGGGCATGGTGGCTCGTGCCTTTAATCCCAGCACTTTGGGAGGCCAAGGTGGGAGGATCACTTGAGGCCAGGAGTTTGAGACCAGCCTGGTCAACATGACGAAACTCCATCTCTACTTAAATTACAAAAAATTAGCTGGGTGTCTTGGCGCATGCTTGTAATTCCAACTATTCAGGAGGCTGAGGCAGAGAATCGCTTGAACCTGGGAGTCAGAGGCTGCAGTGAGCCAAGATCGTGCCACTGCACTCCAGCCTGGGAGACAGAGTAAGACTACATTTCAAAACAAAAAAAAAAAGAAAAAGAGAAGAAAGGAAAGAAAGAAAGAAAATTAGGGTGAGAGGAATTCAGAAACCAGATCAGAGGGGATCTATTGTCTATAAATAAACCATTGATTAGCCAGACATGGTGGGACATGCCTGTAATCCCAGATACTCGGGAGGCTGAGGCATAAGAATCACTTGAACCCAGGAGGTGGTGGCTGCAGTGAACCAACATCATGCCACTGCACTCTAGCCTGGGCAACAGAGTGAGACTGTCTCAAAAAAAAAACAAAAGAAACCATTGAAGGGTCTTGAAGAAAGATGTGACATTATCTGATTCTGTAAAAGACCACAAGGAGGTAAGAATGGAAGCAAGGAGGCTACAGCATTAGCCCCAGCAAAAGAGGAGATGTAGTGGTAGGAAATGAACAGTTTCCAATTTAAAAAAATATTTTTTAAATAGAGCTGACAAAATTTAATGATAGACTTGGTGTAAAGAACAGGAGAAAAGGAGAGGCAAAGACATAAAGGAAACATATAAAGGTTTTAAAATATAAAACAAATTATTTTATCAAGATGGTTATCTATCTGTTTAAGAAGAAACATTATAAGATGAACCACACAAAAAGAGTAAGATTTTGCACCTTCCAAACAAGTTCACAGGTCAGGAGGAGAAAGAACTGGAAACTGGGAGCTCCAGAGACCCAAGTTCGCCCACACTTTGTGGCTTTGAATCACAGCATCACTGTAACTTGATTGCCCATCCAAGACTAACACTGGCGAGGAAAGTTTCAGGATCTCATTCTCAGATAATAAACATAAAACTGTAACTTTTTTGTCACAACCATACAAAATCCATTAAACGATGAAATAATGAGGTTATAGTTCTAAATACTATCCTAATACTTGACCACAGTATGGACAAAGATATATAAGAAATAACAGCTTTTCATTTTTTGAGCAATGAATAATTAATACCACAACTTTAATATTTTTTAAAAAGGGATTTGGGGTACTTAATAGAAATACAAATTAACTAGAAACACAATGAGTCATGAGAGCTATAAAAAATGCTTTTCCAACAACTAAAGAAAAAATAGGCAAAGGATAATCTATCTGTTGGATAAACTATCCAACAGAACACCAATAGAAAATAAATATAACTGGGTAGATGGACAACAGTGTACAAAAGGAAATCACCACCAAAAACAAGAAAATAACAATTAGGAGAAAGAGGTTTAGGTCTACATAAGATGAATATTTATAGAAAGTATCTTTGGGAAAATTCTGCATGCACAGCTTCGAAATATTAAAAGTGGAAAAGGGAATGGGAATATATGATTCCCGCGAAAAAAATGCTCATATCAAATTATAATCTGTTTTACTAGATATAAATAGTTTCTTCCATAGAGGGAGGGAGGGAAGGAGGAAGGAAGAAGGGAAAAACCTGTAATCCTGAAGAGGAAGCATGAAACTATAATACAAAGGCAAAGAAATGACAGTTTTCATGATAAATACAGCAGGTGTCTTCATATAAAATACACAATGTGTCATACTTTTTAACAGCAGAGGGTAACACCGTTTCAAATTTAAATTTGTAATAACAGACAGTTAATTAGATTTTTTTCATTTGTGAGGCTAGTGCCAAGTACACTTTCAGAAAGCCCTAAGAGTTGAGAGTATACACACTATAAATAATTGTTTTTCAATAAATTTGGCCAACTTTAATAAACAGTGTCTACTACTTCACAATTAATGGTTCAATACTGACGACTAGTGGTCAAAACTTGTAGTAATTCCCTATCAAGTATTCTATGACCTTTATCAATTTATTTAAAACATTTAATGCAAATTATGTGAAAATCTAAATTAAAAGATATTGCCCTCACAAACATTCAGAAAAACACGAAGAAAAGGAATTGTATCTACAAAGTCTCTTTAAAAATTCTTTCTGTCCATTATTTGCAGTATCCCAAAAGAAAAGTCAATCAGCATTTGCTGTCAGCTCACAAAGGAAACAGTTCCATGAAATGTCACTTTATTCACGCTCACACAGCTATGTTAACATTCTTCATAAATCCATAATTAATATTTCAAAGAGGTCTACATTTAGAATGCATGTATCTGGGCATCTCCATTCTAAATTTCTTTTTCAAACTTTGTTAAACACAAAGATATCAAAAATCCAGCTGTCTTTATTAAGTTGTCAGTATAGTTTGAAAACCAGCAACCCACTATACGAAAATGTTATTTTTATAGAGTTGAATTATGTTTAATTTAACTATGATTGAATTCTTGAAGAATGTTTATGGAATTTTGAATATATCATTGTAACTACTATATAAACTTCAAATAAGTTAAAATTGTTTAACTTTTACTTTCTGTCTTCAGGAATGAGAGCAGTAGAGTAACACAAGGTATAAAAATCTTGGAGTGAAATTTACCAAGAATGTTATATGCAGCTGAACAATCACTTACATTTGGAAACGTCAATTTCTTTAGCACCTGTTCAGTGAGCTCTGTGTGATAAACCCTGTACTACCTGTCCCAGAAACAAGGGTAAACGAGATGCACAAAGCCCCTCCAATGGAGTCTACATTCTTTGGCAAAAGGCATATAATAGCATAAGCAAACAAACAATAATTATAGTTTGTGTTAAATGCTATTTTTAAAAATAGAGTAATATGATACATGACAGTGAGCAATGGAACTGAAGGGGCGATTTTAGAAGGCGAGGAGGAACGGGAAAGTTTTCCCTAAAGAGGTCACAATTGAGCCTGAGGAACGAGAAGGGAGAAAAATGTTCCAGTAAGACACTGAGAAGAATCCAATGTAGCTGGAACATAGATATCTTAGACTAATAAGTACTGTATGTTTAAAATCTTAGAACAGCTATCAAAAGAACAGAAATATAATCTACAGCTCCAAAGCAAACAGAAAGTATAAAAATGAATATATAATATACTCCACTCCAAATAGAAATGGGAAAAAGAAACAAAAAGAGAAGTTAAAAAAAAATAAATAAGATAAAAACACTTTAAAATATTCCAATAATCGCAGTAAGTATAAAATGACTAATGCAACCATTAATTTATAAGATAAAGTTATTTTTAACAAACTATAAGGTGTTTTGTAAGAAACATGGAAAAATGGAAATACTAAGGAAAGATTAAAGAGGGAAAATGATATGCCATGAATAAAGTAATCTTAAGAATGTTAAAATCAAGAGGCACACTAGGTAATATTTTTTAAATAATTGACCAAGAAGTAATTTAATTATACATAAGATACCACATGCACAAAACAGATAAAAGAAAACTGACACAAATCACACGGAGAAACTGATAATCTCTATAATAATGAGAAGCTTTAGATATATGTACTAAGAAAACAGAAGAACAGAACAACAAAATTCACAAATGACCTATTAAATTTATATATGTGTGTGTGTATGTATGCATGTATGACATGCACAAGCACATAAAATTCTGCATCCAAAACACAGAAAAATATTTGTTTCTTACTCTGGAGTACTTACAAAAAATTGGTCATAGAATTAGGTCAAAATGGAAGTTTCAACAACTTTCAAAGGAGTTAAATTAAAAACAATAAAAAGAGTTTAAAAATAAGCACACATATATCTCTGAAAATACCAAAAGACATTCCTAAATAAGTTTTGAGTTATAGAGAAAATTGTAACAAATTATAAAAGATTTTGAAAAAAAATTACCATAAAAGTATAACAAAGCATATGGTAATTTGGTTAAATTTTCATTATTCATTTTAAAAAAGCAGAAAAATCAATCAAGCATTCAATTTTCAAGCCTAAAAAATAAAACAGAATAATCCTTTAAATGAAGAGAAAGAGAGAGTAACAGAGTTAAGAGCAGAAGTTAATGAAGCAATAAACAAAGCCAGTCAAAAAGAAAACTAATAAAATAATACTATTTCTAGCAAGACTTTAAACATGAATTACCAAATTGACTTAATAAACAGGCTATACAACCCAATAAACATTAAAAAAAATTAGTAATCTGCAGCACCAAAAAGATATTAGACACAAATTGTTTTATGGGTAAGTTTCAACAGACATTCAAGAAATAGATAATCCCTCTCTTACACAAAACTAAACCACGAAATAGGAAAAGAAGGAATCCATCTAATTCATTTTATGACACTAATGTAACCATGCTTCTAAAACCAAAAACGTCAGTGCAAGGAAAACTAATCTCAATCATAAACACAAATATAAAAATCCTAAGAAAAAAATAGCAAGTTAATTCAGCAATGTATAAAAAAAAATTATAATCAAATAAAGTTCTCAGGAATGCAAGGAGGGCTCAACATCTATTGATGGAATCAACCATATTTAAATCAATATATTTAAATACCCAAAGTTAAGTGCACAGCAAGAATATCTGATAAATTTCACAACCCATTCATGATTTTTAAAATAAATAAATAAATAACAGCAAACATCTCTTGGCAACCTAGGAATAGAAGGCAATGTTCTTAATGCGACAAAGGTTAGCACTAAAAAGTAGGGGCAAACACCATACAACATTTAACACTTAAGAATCATACAAATATAGAAGTAACACAAGAATTCTTGCTATCTTTGCTTCCATTTAATATTAGACTTCAGGTTCTAACCAGTGCAATAAGATAAAAAAAAAAGAAAAGAATTATAAAGAGACTAAATTGCCTTTAATTTCAAATGATATGATTATCTATACACTAAGATAGTATGTCAGTAAAGCTATTAAGAAATTATAAGGACTAATAAGGGCATTGAGCAAAATTGTTGGATATAAGAACCATATATGAAGCCAGTTGTACCCCTGTATACTAAAAATAACCAATTAGAGATGCAATTTTAAAAAAAAATCCCATTCCAGATAGAAAGAAAAACCATAAGGTACCTAAAAATAAGTCTAACAAAAGAGGTCTAAGACATTTATACAGACAATTATAAAACATTATTGGAAAACATTAGAAAAGACCTTCTCTTTAAATTAGTCTGTACTTAATACAATCGCAATAAAAATGCCAGCATGATTTTTCATGGAATAGGACAAGAGATTTTCATTATCATTTACCAAAAGATAATAAAACCTATAATAATTAAGAAAGAATTATATTAGTATAGGGCTAGACAAGCAAATCAATGGCAAAGCATATAGAGGTCAGATAGATATTGTAGGAAACTAGATATACAACAGATGTGGCATTTAAATTAGAGTGGAAAGAACCAATTTTTATTCAAAAATGATGCTGAAGCAACTGATGAGTCATATAAAAAGCAAATTAGATCCTTTCCTCTCTCCTATTAAAAAAAAAATCCCCGGGGGGAAAGAGAGAAATCCCAAATAATCCAATATTTTTAAATGAGCAAAAGTCATACATAGGCACTGTATGTAAGCACAAATGCAAACTGCCAAGAGGTGTGTGAATAGATGCTCAAATTCACTATTAGAGAAAAGTGAATAAACATAAAAATGAGTTAACACTTTATACTGATCAGATGGCAAAAACTTAAAGAATTATAACCACTACTTCTGGTAAGAATGTGGGGGAAAGAGCTACACTCAACCATTGCTGGCAGAACAACGTGCAGTTTCAGAACCTCTGGAAAAATAAGATCTACCAATGGCAATATAAGATTACATTGGAACCATGTCAGCTAGTTGGATGAACTTCCAGAAAACATTGGCAAAAAAAAGGAAAAAACAAGAAGCAGAAATGTATACTAAATGTGATCTCATTTTCTAAAAACGAATACATGACCAAAAAGTCCCCATATATATGCAAAGGTGTATATATAGTCTATATACATCAGTCCAGGTAATTAAAAGCAAACAGAAAAATATAAAGGGATACCTTCCAGGCCGTCAACATGAGTTCCTTTTTTTAGGGGTAAGAGAAGTGGTTCATGATGAAAGAACAGAGTTGGAAGAGATGTAGGAAAAAAATCAGCCATGTAAATAAATAAATAAGCCTGTATTGTAAGAGAATGTCTGAATATTTCATATGATCACATTTAGTTATATTAAAAAACGCTTTTTGTACTAAATATTTAATAATGAAATGTTAAAAGAACTACGTGAGAAATAAACCTAGTTAAACACAGGACCAAAACAGTGTATTAATGTGGTCACTACTTAACGTATTAAACAAATATTTAGTAAGTATTATCTTCAAATACTAGAAATGAAAAGTGTTCAAAATAGGTAAAATTAAAAGAGAGAACATATCAAGAATCAGTAACATAAATAATCGGGGACAAAGCTCTCACATATGTATTACCAGAAACTGGACAGTGAAAGAAAAAAAAATGCCATCTTTACAGAAGAAGAAAAATAGTCAATGGGATTAAAGCTGGTTAAAAGAATAAAAAGTGTGGCTCAAAATAAGCCCCGATTTATACTACACACACAACTTTACCCCGTGAAGAATAAACACTGGAGTAGGAGTTTTAGGATTTTCACTTGCTACACGCATTTTCCAACAAAGTAGTACATGTGTGGTTGTCCTGTTGTGATAGTGCTTTCAGCCTCTTGGTGGTTTGAGGGCTCTGACACCCTGCCTGTGTTACTCTCTGCTTACCGAACCCCATGGGGCTCACACAGTCCTGTCCAAGGACTCAATTCTAGGGCTTATGTCCTAAGAATAAGAAAAATAAAGTACATCCTCTGAGTTTTCCTCCTGCTTTCCACAGGATTGTGTTTGACTTTTAAACTTTCATTTACTTGTAAACTCTATTGGTCCTTCTCAAAGATTAGAGAGGCTGCTGGGATGATCAATACGAGAGTGATTTTAATGGGCATTTATAACATCTAACAATATAATAGGGAAAGGAAAACTTATGAATAACTATGCAAAATATGAATATGAATAACTGTATGCAAAAATGTACGAGATGACTACAAAAAAAAAGGGGCATTGGTTATGGAAACAAGAGGGAGGCAAAGTGAATGATCAAACAAAAGTTTTACAACTGAACCTTGAAAAGGTAAGCAAAGGCGAGTCCAAGATCTGCCAGCCTTGGAAAGGCCTCCACGACTCCAAACAAAGTAGGGGAGTCTGGAAAGAAAGTGCAGGAAAAGGGGTTAATGAAGCCAGGTTAGAATATTTGCCTGACTAGGTTCTCCCCTGCTGTGTGATACTCGAAATATCACAGAAGCCTCAAGGGAGACGCAAAAGCTATTAAGAACACATTAGAAAAACATCCTAGGTTTCATGGAAGCTTCTCCCTTAATGAGTCCAAACTAAATACATTAATAAAGGGTACCCGAGGCTTTTCTTATGTGGTATCTGTATTACTCAGCATCTCTGGGGCCATAATTACATTTCTGGACAAAAATGAATAGCTACTTCTTCATTAGGTTTTTCCAAAAAAATGAAGAAAAATGTTGGAAAAAAAGTATCGATTACTTTAATTTTTCTTCATATGGCCTTAGTTTATTGATGAGCTTCACATAACCTGGTTGTCCCTCAGAACAGACTAAAAGCCACTGAGCTGAGCTCCCATCTTAAACACTTAATTTCTCACTTAAACTTCACCATCGTCTATTAAGATTCCATGCCCTTGCCTATCCCACAGACTTCCCCATGAAACAAATTTTAATTTTAAGGCATCTAGATCATATGTAAGCATAGAATATTGTTGATACAGATAAGGGAGAAACTACTGACTTAATATGCTATAAAATGCTCTGAAGACGGCCAGGCATGGTGGCTCACACCTGTAATCCCAGCAAGTTGGGAAGCTGAGACAGGCAGATCACTTGAGTCCAGAGTCTGAGACCACTCTGGGCAACATGGCGAAACCTGTCTTTACAAAAAATACAAAAATTAGCTGGGTGTAATGGTGTGCCCCTGTAGTTGCAGCTGCTTGGGAAGCTGAGGTAGAAGGATCGCTTGAGCCTGGGAGGTTGAGACTGAGTGGGCCATGATCACACCACTGCACTCCAGCGTGGGTGAGTGTGACCCTGCCTCATAAAAGTGCTCTGGAGTGTGCCTGCGTGTGTGTGTGTGCGTGTGTGTGTGTGTCCAGCATTTATCTCATGTTTTTCTTTTCTTTTTTTTTTTTTTTTTTTTTTTTTTTTGAGACAGGGTCTCAATCTGTCACCCAGGCTGGAGTGCAGTGGTACAATTCCAGCTCCCTACAACCTCTGCCTCCCGAGTTAAAGCTATTCTCGTGCCTCAGACTCCCAGGTGGCTGGGATTACAGGTGTGCACCACCACACTAATTTTTTTGTTGCTGTTGTTTGTTTTTTGTATTTTTAGTAGAGACGGGGTTTCACCATGTTGGCCAGGCTGGTCTCAAACTCCTGATCTCGAGTGACCCGCCCACCTCAGCCTCCCAAAGTGCTGGAATTACAGGCATGAGTCACCATGCCCAGCCATGTTTTTCATTTTAAGTAATTCGGCTGAAGATGAAGAAATAATATTCAATGTATATGAAATAGCCAGTAAAAAATGAGTCAGGAGTTTCCAGGATGCAAACCAGAAGTTTAAATTTTTATCTAGGATTTTATGTAAATATTGAACCTGCAAAAAAAGTGGTTTTGGCTTTTTTTTTTTTTTTACAGTTTTTTTTTTGTTGTGTGTTTACAGTCTACATACCTCTTTCCCAACACTACAACCTACCAAGCCTACCCCCACTCCACTAAACTAACCAAAGTTATGATACTATCAAGCACCTCATCAAAAGGAGTTTATAGTATGATAATTTACCTCAATGTTATATACTTGACTGTGTACACAGAAAAGGCTGATGGGTATAGGCTTAACAACACTTGAATTTAGGTCGGGCGTGGTGGCTCCCTCCCGTAATCCCAGCACTTTAGGAGGCCAAGGTGGGCAAATCACTTGAGGTCAGGAGTTTAAGACCAGCCTGGGCAATATGGTAAAACCCCATCTCTACCCAAAATACAACAACAAAAAAATCAGCTGGGCATGGTGATGCCTGCCTGTAGTCCCAGCTACAAGGGAGGCTGAGGTGGCAGAATCTCTTGAACCCAGGAATTCGAGGCTGTAGTGAGCCGAGATCATGCTGCTGCACTCCTGGGCAACAGAGTGACCCCATCTCAAAAAAAAACAACAACAACAACAACAACAACAACAAAAAACATGAATTGAATTAGTAAAGTTCAAAGTATCATCTACAATTTAAGAAAGATAATATTAAAAGAATATAGTCATACAACCCATTTAAAATACTCATCTCTCTTAAAGAAGAGACTTCCATGAGATAACCAAACCAGGTTGTTTAAAATACAATGTATGAAGGTCCTTACCAAATAAAGAAAATCTGGCCATACTGCCCAAGGTAATTTACAGATTCAATGCCATCCCCATCAAGCTACCAATGACTTTCTTCACAGAATTGGAAAAAACTACTTTAAAGTTCATATGGAACCAAAAAAGAGCCCGGATCGCCAAGTCAGTCCTAAGCCAAAAGAACAAAGCTGGAGGCATCACACTACCTGACTTCAAACTATACTACAAGGCTACAGTAACCAAAACAGCATGGTACTGGTACCAAAACAGAGATATAGATCAATGGAACAGAACAGAGCCCTCAGAAATAACGCCACATATCTACAACTATCTGATCTTTGACAAACCTGAGAAAAACAAGCAATGGGGAAAGGATTCCCTATTTAATAAATGGTGCTGGGAAAACTGGCTAGCCATATGTAGGAAGCTGAAACTGGATCCCTTCCTTACACCTTATACAAAAATCAATTCAAGATGGATTAAAGACTTAAACGTTAGACCTAAAACCATAAAAACCCTAGAAGAAAACCTAGGCATTACCATTCAGGACATAGGCATGGGCAAGGACTTCATGTCTAAAACACCAAAAGCAATGGCAACAAAAGACAAAATTGACAAATGGGATCTAATTAAACTAAAGAGCTTCTGCACAGCAAAAGAAACTACCATCAGAGTGAACAGGCAACCTACAAAATGGGAGAAAATTTTCGCAACCTACTCATCTGACAAAGGGCTAATATCCAGAATCTACAATGCACTCAAACAAATTTACAAGAAAAAAACAAACAACCCCATCAAAAAGTGGGCGAAGGACATGAACAGACACTTTTCAAAAGAAGACATTTATGCAGCCAAAAAACACATGAAAAAATGCTCACCATCACTGGCCACCAGAGAAATGCAAATCAAAACCACAATGAGATATCATCTCACACCAGTTAGAATGGCAATCATTAAAAAGTCAGGAAACAACAAGTCCTGGAGAGGATGTGGAGAAATAGGAACACTTTTACACTGTTGGTGGGACTGTAAACTAGTTCAACCATTGTGGAAGTCAGTGTGGCGATTCCTCAGGGATCTAGAACTAGAAATACCATTTAACCCAGCCATCCCATTACTGGGTATATACCCAAAGGACTATAAATCATGCTGCTATAAAGACACATGCACACGTATGTTTATTGCGGCATTATTCACAATAGCAAAGACTTGGAACCAACCCAAATGTCCAACAATGACAGACTGGATTAAGAAAATGTGGCACATATACACCATGGAATACTATGCAGCCATAAAAAAGGATGAGTTCATGTCCTTTGTAGGGACATGGATGAAATTGGAAATCATCATTCTCAGTAAACTATCGCAAGAACAAAAAACCAAACACCACATATTCTCACTCATAGGTGGGAATTGAACAATGAGAACACATGGACACAGGAAGGGGAACATCACACTCTGGGGACTGTTGTGGGGTGGGGGGAGGGGGGAGGGATAGCATTGGGAGATATACCTAATGCTAGATGACGAGTTAGTGGGTGCAGCGCAGCAGCATGGCACATGTATACATATGTAACTAACCTGCACATTGTGCACATGTACCCTAAAACTTAAAGTATAATAATAATAAATTAATTAATTTTTAAAAAAAAGAAAGAAAATCTGGCATTCATGTGACTTCAATAGCACATGAGTAGCTGAGGCTCAAAAAAGGAAGTGGATTCCTGGGCGTGCATGGCCCTTTTGTTCAAATCAGGACAAGAAACAGAAATGAGTGAACAATTCTTTAAAACCCCTACAGAAAAGGAAAATGGCTTTCCCTTGACCAATTTCCAATGATTAACACTGTGCTTTTGCATTAAATGGGAATAGGTAAAGCTCTGAGGACCTAAGGACCCGTGAGATAACAGCAGCAGATTTTAGCCAAAACCACAGAATGCCTCCCTGTAATATATTATACCTTCAAATCTCTGCATCCTATAATTTCAAATAAAAACTCTTAATGTCTTAAGTTTTAAATGTCATATTTTTCATTAACATTGAAAGATACATTTTAAGAAGGCAAAAGAGCACAGTGGCTAGAAGTTCAGGCCCACCTGCTCAATTATGGATTTAATTTTTCACCATAAACAGGAAAAAAATGCATCAATTACTATTATCATATGGTATAGGAATTTCCATAAGTATTTTTAATAAAAAGAAGGGAAAGTGTTTCCTCTCCTTAAACATGACCTTTCCGGAACAGTTTAAGCCATTTAACATGGGAGCAGGAAAATACATCAGCTTAATCTTTCCTAGCTTCCACTACTCTGTTTATAATCTAAAACCACTTTTTAAAAACGTATAGGTCACTGCTTATATTAAAGTAACAAAATATGAAATTAAATAGTTCTTATCAATAGTGATCTCCTATTGTATTGTCAGAGATGGAATTCCAAATCACAGCTGAAGCTTTTAGTCAAATTGACAATTTCAATGGAAATACCCAGGCTCTGGTATCTTAAGAAAAGTGGTGGGAAGCAATCTTTTTCTCCCTCTTTCTTTGTAATTTTGTGCATTCTGCAAAGAGAGAAGAAAATAAGTACAGAAAATTTCTCTAATTTTCTCTTGCAGAAAAGAACAATTGTCTCTTTAGTACTATTCTTATGCTCACCAGATATAATTTGCTTTGAGAACAAATGTATAAAAATCAAGGTTAAAAAAAAAAAGCTTACCCACATGCTGTATCTAATTATTCAACAACATATCCTCTTCAAAGTAATTACCAACTTACAAGGGTATGTCTTCTTTTGTGAAATGGAAGGAAATGGAATTTCAGAAAACAAAAGCAGATTTTTCTATCAGCTTACATTAAATTTCAGTGTTGCAATTTTTGTTCCTAATTTTCAATTAACAGTGAAAAAAACTTTAAAAAATCTGTCGATTAATAAAGATTAACGATCTACAAGCACACATAAGTGTATTTTTAGAACTCTTAGAAAAATCATTTCATAAATGAAAAGAATTCCCATTTGTTTTGAATCTTTTGTGTTTCTTGTTGTTTCTACTTTTTATATTTTATGTATAGACCAAAGAAACACTTAAAGGGAATTTCAACAATATTCTAAAATGATAGTAACAAAATATAACCAATATAATAAAATAAAAATCCATGAGTGCACATAACAAAAAGTTCTTTCTTACAGTAGGATTCTATAAATGTAGAAGGAATCATAAAAAAATTTTTAAATCACTATCTGGCACTACTTATAGTAGTAATTGTTTCATATGAGTCAATAATAGATGCTAAAATTAGTGAGCAAAAGTACAATAGAAATTTACAATAGAAAGTACAATAGAAAAGTACAATAGGATATGTTCAAGTCCCAAAGATAATTTTACTTTATAGGATAACTTAAATTTAAATAACTTAAAATTATTTAAATAATTTTAAGAGAATAATTGTAACTTTAACAGTGGATAAATCCACCCAGTAGGCAACACAATAATCAAGTGTTCAGTTTTCACCAGTAATGTAACAAATCAACATTATATGACTCCTGATATGATACTATGGGAAGGACATAACTCCAATTATCTGAGTTTCAAGCCAAAAGTCCATAACCTGAATCTAGTCATGAAGAAACATCAAGAAACCCAAAATGAAAGCCATTCTACAAAATAAATTGTTTACACCCTGAGAAGTCATCACTCATGATGACTGAAAAACTGTTCCAGATTAAAGGAAACTAAAGAGACATGACAACTAAATGCTATGTGTGAACCTATATTTTATCCTGGATCAGGAAAGGACACTACTGTAGTAGCAAAATTTGAATAAAACGTATAGATTAAGCCATAGTATTTTACTGATTTTAATTTCCTAATTTTGATTGTTATACTGTAACTATAAAAGAAAACATACATATCAAATTATATAGATGAAAAATGATTTATTTTTTAATCAGTTGACTTTAAGATTCACAGATAAGTATGTATATCATGTCTGCAAATTAAAAATGTTTCACAAAAAATTACATATATGTGGATGTATCTAGAATAAATGATGAAGCAAGTCTGGTAAAATATGAATAATAAGGGAATCTAGGTAAATGTTATACAGAAATTCTTCATTCTAAATTTTCAACTTTATCTATGTCTGCAATTTCAAATTAAAAAGAGTACCTTAAGGGTAACTATTCTCCATTTTAAATTGGTTTGATAATAACCTAATTCAGGAGTTGTCAGACTTTTTCTGTAAAGGGCCAAACTGCCAATACTTTAAACTCCATGGGCCATATATACTTGTGGGCTACAACTACTCAACTCTGCCATTGTGTCACACAAGCACCCACAGACAATCTATCAATGAATAGGAGTGGTTGTGCTCCAATAAAACTACTTACAAAAATAGACAATGGGCCAGCTTTGACCTGTGAGCCACAGTTTGATGACCCCTGGTCTAGTCTATGCCCAGAAAAATTAATCAGAATAATTATACTTTCAGTTAACATTTTCCGAGCATATGACAAACAGTATGTTAAGAGCTGTATTGGCATTAATTCATTTATCCTTGCACTAATCTAATTAGGTCAATACTATTATTATTTCCATTTTCCACAGACAAAACTAGCGCCTAGAGAAGTTAAGAAACTTGCCCAACTAATGTCACATGGACAGCAAGTATGAAACCAGGGAGGTCTGATTCTATACACTGAACTATAACCAATATGTGATATTAATACTTCTCAGATGGGTTGAATTATACTGTCACATGCAATAACCATTTTAACATGGCTAAATAAACATCCAAATTCAAGATTTACATTCCATGAAAGTGTTTTTCACAAACCTCCTGTAGCTGCAGGGACATGAGTCCCAGTTGATCCTGGCGTCTTTCCACCAGCTCCCTTTCTGTGCGCATCTCTCTCTCCAGTTCCTGAAGCCGCCGCTCCACCCGATCTGAAACCTTAATAAGAATTCAGAGAAACAGCAGCATTATAGAGCTAGCAAGCAAAACAGACTAAATTGAGAAGATAGTTTTATAGCAGATACACTACTGCTTAAAGCATTTAAGATTGTTTTGTTTGCAAAGCCCCTTCTAATGACGCTAACATGAAATAGCTGGCCAAAAAGCTTACTGAAAGTTACAAAAGAAAGTCATCACTGATCTCCAAATAATCGACACCTGGATCCCAATAAATGCCTCAAATTTTTTGAGGTATGATATAATAATTCAGTAGATCAGAGTTAAAAGTAATACACTAGAAAAGAGTGCCCTCTGGTGAGTTAGAATGAAAATACCAATTTTGCTAAAAATTGCATTTGTTAGCCAATTAATGATAAATTGTTCGACCTAATTAGTCCTTTTCTATTTTTATTATCCATGAGCATGACCTGCCTATGAAGGTATTGATGTTTATTTGTAGTAAATAATTAAGAGGGCTTTACATTAGCTTATCAATCTTTTCTACTGCAATCTGCTAAAAATAAAACAAGCTATAAAAGATCAAAAACTAAAGTCAAACTGAAAATGTTTAATCAGGACTCTAAACGTGAAAGAAAGTCAAACTGAAAATGTTTAATCAGGACTCTAAACGTGAAAGAATTTTTCTCTCTGACACAAAATTCTCCTTACTAAAAGTTGCATAAATTCAAACATATCTCATGTATTTCATTATACAGCCCACTAAATAAAATTTACACTATTGACAATGTCTATATTTGGTACATAAGGACACAGAAGACATTTGTATTCATATAAGAGAAGCAATAAACACAGCTGTTATAAGAAATCTTTTGTCACCAATTATTTATATGACAAAGAATCAAGAAAAGTCCTGACAAGGAACCTTATTGGGGTCGTGTAAATGTTCTAAAGTGAATTAGGGAGGTAGCTGGATAACTCAGTAAATGTATGGAAAAAAAAAGTTATTGAATTGTACACTTAAAGCATTAATTTTATGGTGCATTATAGCTCAATCAAGTTTTAAAAAAATAAATAAACATAAGTTTACTTAGGCAGAGCAGAAGTTTAGTTTACTCTTGAACAACAGGGATTTTAACTGCAAAGGTCTACTTATAAGTGGATTTTCTTCTGCCACTACCACTGCTGAGATAGCAAGACCAATTCTTCCTCAGCCTACTCAACTTGAAGGCGGAAGACCTTTATGATGATCAACTTCCACTTAATGAATGGTAAATGTATTTTCTCTTCCTTATAATTTTCTTAATAACTGTTTCCTTTAGCTTACTTTATTATAAGAATACAATATATAATACATATACAAAATATGTGTTAATTGACTATGTTATTGTCAAGGCTTCCTGTCAACAGTAGGCTATTAGTAGTGAAGTTCTGGGGGAGTCCAAATTTATACTGTATCCCCAGACTCTGCCTTCAAATAGCTTGCTATCTATTGAAGACTGACAATGAATGAGTAGTTAAAATTTCTCTGATTAAATTCAATAAGTTGAATGACTTCTATATTTCAGAAAAGAAGGCTGCTCTTATTAGAATCCTATCAAAATTAAAGCAGTCCAAGTAACCACATACTGAAATCAATATCCAAAATTATTTAGACATCAGCAACTTTGTCACCATAGCTAATACATATGATGATACAGAGTTACTATACTTGGAAGATTGTTTCTCAATTTTTTTTTTTTTTTGAGACAGTCTCACTCTGTCACCCAGGCTGGAGTGCAGTGGCATGATCTCGGCTCACTGCAACCTCTGCCTACTGAGTTCAAGTGATTCTCCCGCCTCAGTCTCCCTAGTACCAGGGATTACAGGCACCTGCCACCACGCCTGGCTAATTTTTGTATTTTTAGGAGAGATGTTGTTTCACCATGTCGGCCAGGATGGTCTTGAATTCCTGACCTCAAGTGATCCACCCACCTTGGCCTCCCAAAATGCTGGGATTACAGGCGTGAGCCACCATGCCCAGCCTTTGATTTCTTCTAAGTAAAAGTTTTTTTGAAACATAATTTCATGTATTAATATACATATACATTGTGAAATAACTAGTCAAGCCAATCAACATATCTATCACTTTACTTAGCTAACATTATTTTTGCCAATACTGTAGTCACCATTTTGTACATTAGCTCTCTAGAACTTATTCATCCTACATAAGGGAAACTTTGTACTACATATCCCCATTTTCCTGACCCCTCCCAACCCTGCCCTGCCCCTAGCAACCACCATTCCACTCTCTGCTTCTACGAACTAGACTTTTTGGAGTCCACATTTAAGTAAGATAATGCAGTATTTATATTTTTGTATCTGCCTTACTTCATTTAGCATAATGTCTTTCAGGTTCATCCATTTGTTGCTGCAAATGACAGGATTTCCTTCTTTTTAAAAATTGAACAATATTCCATTGGGTGTATATACGTGTGTATGTGTATTTCTTTATCTGTTCTTTGGTCAATAGATACTTAAATTGTTTCCATATCTTGACTATTGTGAATAATGCTGCAATGAACATGGGGTGTATAGATGTCTCTTCAAGACACTGATTTCCTTTGGATATGTATCCAGAAGTGGGACTGCTGGATTATTTGGTAGTTTTATTCTTAATTTTGATATTAACATTTCTCTTACACAACTTCTGACATAGGTCCCAATGATCCATGCTTCTTGGTATTCATGCACTTGTGTAATCCTCTACCCTTGAGTGTAGGCTAGCCCTAGGGACTTTCTTCTAATAAAGAGGACACTGCAGAAGTGATGGGATGTCACTTCCATTATTAGATTGCAAAAAACTGACTTCCAATTTGCTAGCATCTTCCCTCTTGCCAGTCATCTTCTTGTCTGCTTGTTCTAATAAAGCAGGCTGCCATGTTATGAGATGCTCTACGGAGACGCCACATGTCAAAGAAACAAAAGAAGCCTTTTAACAGGTCATGACAAACTGAAGTCTCAAATCCAGTAACCTACAGGGAACTGAATCCTGACAATGGCTTGTCATTCCAGTCAAGCCTTGAGAAAAATGCAGCCTGCAAGTGACCCAGAGCCAAAGGACCCAGCAAAGCCACACCTGTCTCTCAACCCACTGAAACTGCCAAATGAAATGCTGTTTTAAGCCAGCAAGTTAGGGGAAATATGTTACATTAAATGCTAATTGTACATACCCAGACACCATGACCATCCCTATGGACCCAGTATACAGGTCAGCCCCCACAGATGCAGGCACCAGGCCCACCTCCAGGAACTCAGGTTCCAGGTGCACCTCAGTACTAGACTGGCCCCTGTAAGCACAGGCTCTGGGCCTTCCCCCGTGGGCCCAGGTACCAGGCCCATCCCAACACCAGGCAGACCCCAACAGACTTAGGCTCTAGTCTCACCACAGTGCCAGACCAGCTCCTATGGGCATAAGCTCCAAGCCTATCCCTAAGAACCCAGGCACTAGGGACACCCCTGCAGACCCAATCAACTTGCCCCACACCAGTAGACCCTCGTGCCAGGCCAGCCCCAGAGGAGCCAGGATCCAGGTCCCCCACAGAAGACCCAAAGTCAATGTCTGCCCCAGTGAATACAGGCTCCAGGCTCAAACTCATAAACCCAGACAACAGGCTAGCCTCTGGGACCCAGATACCAGCTCAGGCCATCTGCTGACCCAGTCACAAGGCCAGCTCCCAAAAAGATACCAGCAGCAAAGCTCATTAATGAGCCCTGCTAGAGAGCCTACCAAAAATCTCTGCATAGACTCATTAAGTAAAGGGAGTCCCCTGCCAAAGCCAGTCTATAAAGTCTGGAAGAAGTGCCTGCTTCTTCAAATGCACAGAAACTAAGGCCATAAGGATCATAAATGATCAGGGAAACATGGTATCACTAAGAGAACAAAATAAAGCACCAGCAAGCAATCCCAAAGAAATGGAGATCTTCAAACTGCCTAACAAAGAATACAAAATAATCATCTTAAATAAGTTCAGTGAGCTACAAGAGAATACAGTAGTCCCATTTTACTCATGCAGGATACACTGCACAATCCCCAGCAGATGCCTGAAACCGAGGATAGTATCAAACCCTATATATACCATGAACAATTTTTCCCTTCATAATTTCACAGACAGTAAATTTGTTCATATCACAGAAATTAAAAATCTCAGTATATATTTTTTTTCTTTCCTTACTAAGTTGAGAGTTTCACATTTTCAATTAGAAGAAACACTTTATGGCTTCTCTTTGGCATTGCCAAACTGTCAACCTCACTACTCTGCACTTTGAAGCCATTATTTAGTAAAATAAGGGTTACTTGAACAAAAGCACTATCAGGTTACTGAGACAGTGAACCTGATAACTGACATGACTGCTAAGCAACTAATGGGTGAGTTGTGTCTATGGCATGGATATAATGAATAAAGGGATGATTCATGTGCCAAGAGGGATGAAGTGAGACTACTGAAGATTTCATTGCTCTACTCAGAATGGCATGCAATTTAAATCTTATGAATTGTTTATTAATGGAATTTTTCATTTACTATTTTTATATTGCAATTGACCACACGAAGCTGAAACCATAGAGAGCAAAACTATGGGAAAGGACAAGCTTCTGTACAGACAACAAAATCAGAAAATTGTTGCATGAACAAAATTAGAAATTCAGCAGAGATAGAAACCATCAAAAAGAACAAAACAGAAATTCTTAATCTAAACAACACAATGACTGAACTGAATAATTCCAGAGCAATCTTGAAGCAAACTAGATCATGAGCTCAAAGACAGGTCATTTGAAATTGCCCACTCAGAGAAACAAAAAAAACAAGAAAGAAAAAGAATTAAGAGAGGCTATGGAATTTATGAGATACTATCAAGTAAAGAAATTTACTCATAATGGAAGTCCCAGAAGGAGCAAAGAAAGAGAAGGAGATGAGAGGAGTTTACTTAAAGAAATAATAGCAGAAAATTTCCTATATCTGGAAAAAGAACACCCAGATCCTTGAAGATCAAATAACTACAAATAGATTAAATATAAAGAGATCTTACTGAAACGCACAATAATCAAATTCTCAAAAGGCAAAAACAAAGAGAAAATGCCGAAAGCAGCATGAGAGAAACAACTCATCACATACAAGGGAACCCTTATGAGACTATCAGTGAATTTCTCAGCAGAAACCAGGAGAGAATGAGATGATAAATTCAAAGTCCTGGCAGGGGGTGGGGGGAGACAGGTGCTGCCAACCAAGAATATCATAACCATTAATTTGCCTTACAAGAAATATAAAAGGGAGTTCTTCAAGACAAAATGAAAGAATGCTAATAACATAAAAGCATATGAAAGCATAAAATTCACTGTAAAAGTATGAATATACTCAAATTATAATACTCTAATACTTATAATGGTAGTGTTTAAGTTACTTTTAACTCTAGTTTAAAAGACAAAAGTATTAAGAATATAGCTGCTATAATTTTAATGGATACACAATATTTAAAGAGGTAAACTGTAACATCAATAATGTAAAATGGGAGGGGAAGTTAAGTGTAGACTCTGTATGCAGTCAAAGTTAAGTTGTCATCAGCTTAAAATAGATTGTTACAAGACATTTTATGTAAATACCATGGTAACCACAAAGAAAAAAACTTGTGCATATTTAAAAGACAGAGAAAGCAGTCAAAGCATACCACTACAGAAAATTATCAAATCACAAAGGAAGACAGAGAGAAAAAAATAAATGAAGAAACTATAAAACATTCAGAAAACAATTAAGAAAACGGCAGTAGCAAGTTCCTACCTATAAATAAATGTTTTAAATGTAAACAAATTAAATTCTCCAGTCAAAAGACATAGAGTAGCTACTTAGACTTTTTCTAATGACCCAACTGTATGCTGCCTAAAGAGACTCATAAATAGACTTTAGAGATACAAATAGACCAAAAAATGAAGGGATGGAAAAAGGTATTCTACACAAATGGAAACTAGAAGAAAACAGAGGTAGCTATACTTACATCAGAGAAAATACACTATAAGTCAAAAAATGTAAAAAGAAACAAGCTCATTAAATAATTATAAAGGAGTCAATTCATCAAGAGGATATAATTGTAAATGTATACGCACCTAATCAGAGCACCTAAATATATAAAGCAAATCTTAATAGATCTGAAGAAAAAGATTAAACAGAAATACAATAGTAGTTTTGTGGACAATGGACATATCATCCAGACGGAAAGTCTATAGAGAAACATTAGACTTGATCTACACTTTAGAACAAGTGGACCTAACAAACATATACAGAACATTCCATCAAACAGCAGCAGAATACACATTCTTCTCAAGCATGCACAGAACATTCTCCAGGATAGATCATGTTAGGCCACAAAACAAGTCTTAACATATTTAAGAAAATAAGTGTCCCTTTAGATCACAGTGGTATAAAACTAGATATAAATGAATAGGAAAATTCACTAATATGTGGAAATTAAACTACACAATTCTGAACAATCAATGGGTCAAATAAAAAATTTAAAAGAAAATGAAAAAATTCCTTGATACAAATGTGAACAG
The DNA here is from genome assembly GCF_000001405.40 of Homo sapiens. Taxonomy (NCBI): domain Eukaryota; kingdom Metazoa; phylum Chordata; class Mammalia; order Primates; family Hominidae; genus Homo; species Homo sapiens. The sequence continues at coordinate 80,869,415 of NC_000014.9, forward strand.
AAATACAATACACCAAAACTTATGGGATGCAAAAAAGCAGTTCTAAGAGGGAGTTTTATGGCAATAAATGCCTACATTTAGAAAAAGATCTCAAATAAATAACCTAACTATACCTCAAGAAACTAAAAAACAAAATTAAACTAAACTAAGCCACTGTCAATAGAAGAAAGGAAATCACAAAGATTGCAGCAAAAATAAATGAAATAGACTAGAAAAACAATAGAAAAGATCCATGAAACTAACAGTTGTTTGGGTAAACTTTTATTTTAGGTTCAGGGGTACATGGGCAGGTTTGTTACATAGGTAAACTTGTGTCACAGAGGTTTGTTGTACAGATTATTTCTTCACCCAGGTATTAAGCCTAGTACCCAGGAGTTATTTTTTTCTGCTTAAAGTTAGTTTTTTGAAAAGATAAAGAAAACTGACAAAATGCTAGCTAGACTGAATAAGGAAAAAAAGAGTAATGACTCAAGTCAATAAAATCAAAAGTAAAAGAGGAGACATTACAAATGATACCACAAAAATACAAAGTCTTATAAGAAAATACTATGAACAATTTTATGCCAACAAATTGGATAACCTAGGAGAAATGGGTAAATTCCTAAAAACCTACAACTTACCAAGACTGAGTCACAAAGAAACAGAAAATCCAAACAAACCAATAATGAGTAAGGTGATTGAATCAGTAATCAAAGACCTCCCAACAAAGAAAAGCCCAGAACCTGATTACTTCACAGGTAAAATCTACCAAACATGTAAAGAAAAGCTAATGCCAATCCTTCTCAAGCTCTTCCAAAAAACTGAAGATAAGAGAACATGTCCAACCTCATCCTATGAGGCCAGCAGTACCATGAGACCAAAGACACTACTAAAAAAGATAATTACAAGCCAATATCCCCGATGAACACAGATGTAAAAATCCTCTGCAAAATACTAGCAAACCAAATTCAGTAGCACATTAAAAGAATCATTACACCAATCATTACACCATGATCACTTAGTATTTATCCCCAGAATACAAAGCTGCAAATCAATAAGTGTAACATACCATATTAACAGAATAAAGAATAAAAATCATATGGTCTTCTCCATAGATGCAGAAAAAGCATTTAATATAATTCAACATCCTTTCATGATAAAAAGAGAAACTTCCAATAAATTAGACATAGAATGAGTTTATTTTAGCATAATAAAGGCCATATACAACAAGCCAACAGCTAACATAGTACTCAACAGTAAAAATCTAAAAGCTTTTTCCCTAAGATCAGAAAAAGCCACGGATGCCCAGTATGAACACTTCCATTCAACGTAGTACTGAAGGTCCTGGCCAAAGCAAGTATGCAAGAAAAAGAAATAAAAGGCATCTAGATGAGGAAGGAAGAAGTCAAATTGTCCCTGTTTTCAGATGACATGATCTTATATACAGAAAGCCCTAAAGAGGCCCCTAAAAAAAACTGTTAGAAGTAATAAACAAATTCAGTAAAGTTGCAGAAATCAAAATTAAACATACAAGAATCAGCAGCATTTCTATACATAACAACTCAAAAAAAAAAAGTCCTGTTCACTATAGCACCCAAAAAATACGAAGAAATAAATTTACCTAAGGTGATGAAAGATTTGTACTCTGAAAATAAAAAAAATTAAAGAAAGAGGAAGTCAGCAATGTAAAATCTTGGTAAAAGAAAATAGCCAGTGGAAAAAAAAATCAAGATATACAGAGAAAGCCACATAACGTAGGCACTATAGACCATGGTAAAGAATTTGGAACGAAAGAAACCCAGGTAGGATTTTTAAACCTGGAGGAATAATTAAACATAATGACAATTTAAAAAAATAATTTGCCTGCAGTGAGAAGCACAGATAAAGGCAGGTATGGGAGCAGAGGGACCAACTTCATTGGATGCCACTGCAGTAAACCCACTGAGAAGAGATGGTAGCTTGAAAAGTAGTATTAGAAGTAGATGGAATTGAGCAAGATTTCAGAAATTAAAGGGACAGGATTTTGTAATGGATTGGAAGTATGGTGTAAAGAAATGGATCTAGATGAATCCTTGGTGACCAGCTTAACGTGCTGGATGGAATATGATGCCATTTCCTGAGACAGTGAAGACCAAAGTAAGTAAAAACAACCCTAAATGAAGGTTGTGGACCTTAACCTAAAGACATATATTTATAGCTTTTGAGTGATGACATAATTCCTAATAATAAGAATTATTTTAAAGAAAGTATATTTTAGAACTTCTTTATTTTTTCTTTCTCTGAGACCTAAGGGAAAAATATTAGAAATGTAATCCAATACTAAAAAATTCATATTTACCAGAATACCATTATCAACTAAGTTTAAGACTAGAATACCAAAAATTCCTAAATCTCCATATTTGGTTATAAAAATAGCAAAATAACAAGAATAAAAATTAGAATGGCTTTTAAGATTAGTATTTAATGAAAGGTCAAACAAAAGAAAAAGCATTCTGTTTAAAAGATGGTATTCTCGCTTTTCAATATGTTGATTCCTCAGATCTTTAACAATACCTGGTGCTTCAAAGTCCACTTAAATAAATATGTTATATATCCTGCTGCTGTGATCTATGCAATAATCCTGTTATTCTAAATGCAGTATTGACAGAATTCTTATAAACTCTATTAATGGTCAACCCTTCCAGAAACAGCTGGATCCATGTTTACATTTTTATTTTTAATAGTGATCCTCCTATAGAAAACTAAAATAGAATTGACTTTTTCCTCCAAAAATAATCAAATAACATGCAGTCATATCACACTCAGCTCAATAAAATCTAGACAACTAATAAACTGAAATTTCCCATATGGTATAAGGCCTATGCAATATTGATTGCGTATCACCACAATTAAGTGTTAATAGAAAATATTTTCCATGACATCATACTATAAACAATAACTCTTCCCTTCCAATGGACAATTTGACATTAGCAAAAAATATTTATGATTCACAAAAGATTAACACATCAAATACTGACATATATGACAGCAACCACAACTTTTTGTCTCTCAAAGAAAAATGTGTTCCATAAGCTTTCAAGATATATTTTAGTCACTGAGAAAATGCATGATAAACAACTGTAGCCTCAGAATAATACACAATAAACGTGATTAAGAGGGCTTACCAGTAGAAAGTGAAATTGGCAAGAAATAGGGGCAGCATTTATTTTCACTTTATGTATGTACAATATTTAAGTTTGCCACAGTGAAGGTGCATCATTTTGGTAATTTTATTTTAAACTTAAATCTGAAGCAGGGGAAACAGCTGCAGTCTCTGAGAAGCTTAACACTCAAATAATGAAACCATCTTCTCTGACAGCAGGTTATGAATTCACAAATACAACACAATACATCGACCAGTTATAAAACATAAATGTTGACTTCAATTGGAATGAGTCACAAAGTCTATATTAAGCCCTGGAAACAAACATCATGTGGCCTTCAGAAGACCTTCTTAATTCCAACAATGTTATTATTAAGTTTCACTTTGGACATTTTTTTCTTAATCAGGACTATACACACCCATAAGAAATTTGAGATGCCCTTCGTGCAATTATGAGACAATCTTACTTTGACAGCAAATTACACAAAGCACAAAACAAGGTGTAACATCACAACTTGATGTAAGGAACTGGCACATGAACAATTCAACTGAGTGTACAATTATGTGGGCACAATTTTCTGGGTTTAGACAATATAAAAGGCTGTGTCCTCATGAGCTGGGCAGAGGGGATAGCTGGGTAAACTAGCATGTTTTATACAGCAATTACACCAATGAGCTGGGCACCAGTGAGGAGTGACATCCAGTTGCACTTTATGTGATATGGAGTCATTCTTGATGCATGGCAATAATTATGTGAAAGAGTTTGAGCTCTCTCTGAATTCAGCTAACTGCTAACTTTTTACTCAGTGGCTACATTTTAAATACAAAGTAAAACTGTAGACTATATATAGATAATACTTACTAGTTTTATTTGCTATGTGAAAGAAATCCAAATAAAATGATAACTGTTTATTATGGGTTCTCTTGTCACGTGGTGAAAGGTGAAACAATAAATGTAATGTGCACTATGCAAATTGGTACTATTAAACCCCAAATTGAAACCATCCTAACTATCTAATAGTTTCAAAAAACAGCATGACAGTACAGCTGGATATGACCATGGCTCACTCAGCTTTACAGGGACCTCAGTAGAATATTAAGGATATCTGAATTTAGATCAAATCCTGTTTAGAAGTAATATAATTTGGTGGTGTCCCCACCCAGATCTCATCTTGAATTGTAACTCCCACAATTCCCACGTGTCATGGGAGAAACCCAGTGGCAGGTGATTGAATTATGGGGGCGGGTCTTTCCTGCACTATTCCCGTGATATTTTTAACATCACGAATATTTTAAATAAAATATTTTAAATAAAATAAGAATATTTTAAATAAAATTGTTTTAGAAACGGGAGTTTCCCTGCACAAGCTCTCTCTTTTTGCCTGCTGTCATCCATGTAAGACCTGGCTTTCTCCTCCTTGCCTTTCGTCATGATTGTGAGGCCTCCCCAGCCATGTGGAACTGTAAGTCCATTAAACCTCTTTCTTTTGTAAATTGCCCAGTTCGTATGTCTTTATCAGCAGCATAAAAATAAACTAATACAACAAGCATGTTCACAAGATGTATATCTATATAGCAAGTGAAAGAAGCCTCAGGCAACAGTTGAAAAACTTAGTCAAATCTTGTGCATTAGAAAACGTACCCTGGGTGCAGTGGGGTGGCTCACACCTGTAATCCCAGCACTTTGGGAGGCTGAGGCAGGCTGACCATCTGAGGTCAGGAGTTTGAGACCAGCCTGGCCAACATCGCGAAACCCTGTCTCTATTAAAAATACAAAAATTAGCCAAGTGTCATGGTGTACAACTGTAATCCCAGTTACTCAGGAGGCTGACGCAGGAGAATCACTTGAATCCAGGAGGTGGAGGTTGCAGCGAGCTGAGATCACACCACTGCACCCCAGCCTGGGTGACAGAGTGAGACTCTGTCTCTGTCTCCAAAAAAAAAAAGAAAGAAAGGAAAGAGCAAACATAGTAATGACATCGGATATATAAAAAAGATTAAAGGAGTTTCACTTCCAGAAATAACAGACTAGATAATTCAGTTGAAAGTAACTAGAAAGCTAGAAAGAATATTTTAAATATAGTTTGTTTGTTTGTTTCTGAGACGGAGTCTCGCTCTGTCGCCCAGGCTGGAGTGCAGTGGCGCCATCTTGGCTCACTGCAAGCTCCACCTCCCGGGTTCACGCCATTCTCCCACCTCAGCCTCCTGAGTAGCTGGGACTACAGGCGCCCACCGCCATGCCTGGCTAATTTTTTTGTATTTTTAGTAGAGACGGGGTTTCACTGTGTTAGCCAGGATGGTCTCGATCTCCTGACCTCGTGATCCGCCCGCCTCAGCCTCCCAAAGTGCTGGGATTACAGGCGTGAGCCACCGCGCCTGGCCAAATATAACTGTTTTTTAAAACACTGGGAAGTTAAAAAGTAATAAGGAAATATAAGAATAACATGCAGAAGAAAGAAAACCGGAGAGAATGGTCTATCCTTTAGAACGACTTTTTCCCCTGAAATATCAGCTCATTTCAGAAAAGGCAGCTGAGACACTGAGAAGCTGAACAAAGTTTTTAGCAGATTCTTAAAGTTAAATGAGAAAAAGTGTTGAGCTGAGAGACTTGCAAGTAATGGGTCCCTGATTAATCACTCTCTTAGCCTTTGGACTGGAATCCTGAAGGGCTATACGCAAGTAGTAAGGGTGAACCAGAAATACTTAAGACCCAGTACCAAAGTTTATTAAGTATCTCAACAACAAGTAATAAGATAATCCAAGATTGCTACTGACCCTAGTCTATAACAAAAAATAAATGTCTATATTCTCATACGTAATAATGTCCTAAGCCTCAAATTATCTATTCAAATTTTGTTGGCAGAAAATAAAATACGCTTTCTGTCATCAAACAAAAATAACTAAAGAATCAAAACTAAACAGTAGGACAAAACAATGTGATCAAAGTCCAAGAAAAGCAAAGGATAATAGACAATCGAAACAGACACATTGAAGATCTAGATAATGAAGCTATGAGACACAGATAAACAGATTGATGATTTTGGAAAACAATTACAAAGTTAAAAACAATCAAATGAAAATTCTAGTACTGAAACTTGCAATGACTTAAAATGAAAATCAGTGAGTGGGTTTAATAGGCTTGCCTCAGTTGAAGAGAGATTAAGTTACTAAATAAAAAGAAATAAAAATTTCCTTTCTAAAGGAAATTCTAGATGGGATACTTTCAGGTATATGCACACTCGCCCTAAAGGGAATTTTAAAATATGTTCTTAAGGTAGATGTGCAATCTGAAAAATGCAGGAAGGACTGAAGAACAAAAGACAGTAAATCTAAGGGTAAACCTAAATAAACCATTATTGCATAAAATAATAGTAATGTCTTCTAAGGCTCAATTAAATACAAAATTAAATAACAAAATAGCATAAAAGTGAAAAGCGGGGTTTATGGAGTTGAGGTGCTATATAGAAGAAAATATTCAAAAGAAAGAAAGAAGAAAGAATTAAAACTGACAGAAATGAGCATAAGAGACAAAGGGGATGAAGTCAAAAGTTCAAGATTATATGAAATCTGAAGTCCTAAAAGAAGAGACAAAGAATAAAAGTAATTTTTGAAGAGGTAATGGTACTATAAGCAGCAAGCAACAAGTCAAAACACACACACACACATGCACACACAACTAAGCTTATCACAGTAAAACTATAAATAAAAACAAAGACAAAGAAGAAAAACCCAAAAGCAATTAGAGAAAAAAATCTATTACACCTTAAAAAAAAAGCATCAGGCCGGGCGCAGTGGCTCATGCCTGTAATCCCAGCACTTTGGGAGGCCAAGGAGGGTGGATCACAAGGTCAGGAGATCGAGACCATCCTGGCTAACATGATGAAACCCCATCTCTACTAAAAATACAAAAAATTAGCTGGACATGGTGGCACACGCCTGTAGTCCCAGCTACTTGGGAGGCTGAGGCAAGAGAATCGCGTGAAACTGGGAGGCAAAGGTTGCAGTGAGTCGAGATCGTGCCACTGCACTCCAGCCTGGGTGTCAGAGCAAGACTCCCATTTCAAAAAAAAAAAAAAGCATCAATAAGACTAGTGTCTGATTTCTCAATAGAAGCAATAAAACCCCCAAATGATTAAATTTCTTTAAAATACAGAATAGAGGGAAAATGGCCCATCTAGAATTTTATATCCAGTGAAAATTTTTCAACATAGAAAGTGAAAGAAATTTTCAGACACATACAGAGAAGATTTTTCACCAAAGCACACGCTCTAAAGGAAATTCTAGACGGGATACTTTCAGGCATATGCACACTCACCCTAAAGGAAATCTTAAAATATGTTCTTAAGGTAGATGTGCAATCTGAAAAATGCAGAAAGGACTGAAGAACAAAAAACAGTAAATCTAAGGGTAAACCTAAATAAACCTTTATTGCATAAAATAATAGTCATGCCTTCTAAGGCTCAATTAAATACAAAATTAAATAACAAAATAGCATAAAAGTGAAAAGCGGGGTTTATGGAGTTGAGGTGCTATAAGATCTTTGCATTTTCTGGAAAGAGCTAAAAGAATTAATTTATATTAGTTTTGATATTTTAAAGACATATGTTGTAATCCCTAGGTTAACAAAGGAATAAAAAGATATAATTAGAAAGCTAATAGACGTGGAATACAGAAAAATGAAAACTAATAAAAACGAAAAAAAACACACACAAAAAATGGAAATATAGTAAGTGGGTCCAAGAGAAAGCAAATAGTAAGATGGTAGATTTAAATAAATGAAATCAACATTTACATTAAATGTAATACAGCAAATCCTCCAAATCAAAACAGTGTTACACTGACCTTTAAAAAAATATTTAATGATACTCTATAAAATAGCATGAAAGATATCAAATTCAAGAAATAAGTTGTAAAAAAAATGTATAAGATATAAAACTTCTTTGAGTGACATCAGCAAGCTGGCCAACTAAAAGCTCCTAGCACTTTTCTCCACCACAAGAAAAGGCACACACACAAAAAACACATTTTGAACCAAAATAACTACAGGAGAGCAATGAGAACAGCAAGGTAGCCACAGAAATTCTATAGGGCACAAAAAGCCAGAATGGCTGCACAGGGAAGGAAAGGAATCACCTTGCCTCCACCATCTCATCCCCCCAGTTGGGGTCAGCCCTACCCACCTAGGGACAAGCTACTTCAGTCACTGCATATCCCCATCTCAGTCACTGCTATATCCTCCCCTTAAGACCAAGCTGAAGGGATGCCCCACTCCCAGGAACCCAGAGCCTTGAAGTGCTAGAACAGTCTCACAACAGTTGCCACAGACAAGACAATACCCACCCCCCACCGCAGGTACCTCAGGCCTCTGGCCTACTGGAGAATTTATGCCTCTGGAGCCAGAGCAGATGTGGCACCCTACCACCTGGGTACCTCAGACCTCCTACATACCAGAGAAGTGGCACCCCGCATGGCACAGCCGAGGTAGTGCTCTGTCACACAGGGACCTCTGGCCTCCTACACACCAGAGAAGTCTCCTTCAACACCATGCCATTGGTGAGGCAGCAGCCCCTCCCCCAGCAGGGACCCTGGTCCTCCAGCATATTAGAGCAGCTGCACCTTCCAGCACACAGGTGACATGACACCATATACCCAGGAATCCAGAGGCTCTACTGACTCACGTAGCTGCACTTTTAGCAGTGCCTCACATCCCAGGGAATAAGAGCCATGGCTGAGCTGTGCCACTCCACCCTCCATGCCCAAGAACCAGAAAACACCCCATCTACCTGAAACTAGATTAGCCCTCTACTGTCTAAGCTACTCAGGCACCTCACCTCTTCAAGGAATGGAGTCATCTCTGTGCTTCTCTCCACCACTTGAGATCCAAGCCACAGTGGTATATTACCATTCCTCAGTCCTTGCTGCTGTTGCACCTGGCCTCTTAAAACTTAGGTTACTACCATATCCCACCATCTTAGAGTACAGAGTCACCACTGCATGGTTCCTCATAACCTGGAGTCCAGCCTTCTACTGTGCCCTGTTGGTTCTAGGTCCCAAATTGCAGTTGTGCCCAACCCCAGGGCCTGAGCCTCTGGAGCACCCCTTCCTCGTTGGAGCCATACAAGTGTGGTGCCTGCTCCCATGGGTAAGAACCACAGCTGCTTCCCAACCCCCTGGGCCTGAGCTACCAGGTTGTCCCTTAGAGCAACAAACCTTAGCTTACTGGAAGAACTGCATCCACTCATGCCTTGGAGAGTGATTCTGTGCCTCAAGTCCCAGGTGCTACAAGTTTCAGAAGACAATGTGTGCAAGAGTCTGACCTCACGACCACTCTGAGCATCTGTGTTGTGGATCCCAGTGCCACTGTAGCTGCCTGTGAACCACGTCAGATCCAACTTCAAGAGAGATCCTCTCAGCTAAGAATCCCCACTCTAAGGAAGACAAAAACAGGAGAATCCCTAAAATCCTTGCTCTAATAACCTACACAGTCACTGTCACTACCACAAATTCCTTCAGCCTAGACCACTGAGGCTCTGCAGGTATCACTAACATTGATCACAACTGAAAAAACTTCACAGAGACTACAACACTGCACTAACAAAGAAGCAGAGCCACCACACTCTGCCATGCCAGGACCCTCAGGCCCATCTGCAGCTAAATGTTTTCCCTTATAAAAGCCACTCTGTGAAGTTTGGAAGGAGTGACCGTACCACCAGATAGGCAGAAATTAACACAGGGACACACAAAAAAATGATAAAGCAAGGAAATATGACACCACCAAAGGACCACAATAATTATATAGTAATTGATCCCAAAGAAACAAAAATTTATAAATTGCCCCAAAGGAATTTCAAAATAATACTCTAAAAACTCCAATGAGATGCAAGAAAATACAAATAGACAATTCAGTAAAAACAGGAAAACAACTCATGATCTGAATGAGAAATTCAGCAAAGAGATACATGTTATTAAAAAAAGAACCAATCATAAATCTTGGAGCTGAAGAATTCAATCAATGAGACAAGAATAAAATTGAGAGCTGCAACAGCAGACTAGATCAAACAGAAGAGACAGTTTGTGAATTTGAAGATGAGTATTTTGAAATGACTCAACCAGAGGGGAAAAAAGAACGAAAAAGAGTAAAGACTTATAAAAAACCATCAAGCAAACAAATGTTCACATTATGGGAATTTCATAAAGAGAAAAGACAAAGAAAACAATGTTTACTTAATGAAATAATTGCTGAAAACCCCCCAAGTCTTGGAAAAGATACAGATATCCAGATCTACGAAGCTCAAATGTTCCCAGATTCAACTCAAAGAGATCCTCTTCAAGTCATATTCTAATCACGCTGTCAAAAATCAAAGACAATTAAGAGTAGTAAGAATATCAAAATTTCTTACACTCTTCCAAAAAATGGAGCTAGAATAACTACATCAAAACACATTTTATGAAGGATTATCACTTTGAAACCTAAGCCAGATAAAGACATCACAAGAGAAGAAAGCTATGACAATCTTTCTGATGAACACTGATGGAAATCTTCAATAAAATATTTGCAAACCAAAGCCAACAACACATCAAAAAAATTATACAACATGACCAGATAAGATTTATTCCTGGCATGCAAGGCTGATTAAACATATGCAAATTGATGTCATACATCATATTAACAGGACAAAAGATAAAAACCACATTATAATCTCAACTGATAAGAAAAAAAAAAGCATTTATCGAAGTCCAACATACTTTCTTGATAAAAACTGTCAACAGTTTAGGCATATAAGGAAAGTTCCTCAACATAATAAAAGCCATTTATGAAAAGCCCATGGTGGACATTATAAAAATGAAGAAAAACTGAAAGCTTTTCCATTACAATCCAGAACAAGGCAAGGATGCCCCCTCCTTCTATTCAACATACTACTAAAAGTAACAGCAAGAACAATCAGACAAAAAAAGAAATAAAATGCATCCAATTTGAAAAGAAGTAAAGTTATCTCTATTTGCAGAGGAAATGGTCCTACACATCAAAAACCCCAAAGATTCCACACAAAAAAACTATTAAAAATAATAAGGTTCATTGGGAGGCCAAGGTGGGCGGATCACGAGGTCAGGAGATCAAGACCATCCTGGCTAACACAGTGAAACCCCCTCTCTACTAAAAAAAAAAAATACAAAAAATTAGCCGGGCATGGTGGTGGGCGCCTGTAGTCCCAGCTACTCGGGAGGCTGAGGCAGGAGAATGGCGTGAATCTCGGAGGTGGAGGTTGCAGTGAGTCAAGATCTCGCCACTGCACTCCAGCCTGGGCGACAGAGCAAGACTCCATCTCAAAAATAATAATAATAATAATAATAATAATAATAATAATAATAATAATTTCAGTAAAGGATACAAAATCAACACATAGAAATTACTACATTTTTATACACAATTATGTAACTGAAAAAGAAATCAGGAAAACAGTTCCATTTATGATAGCATTAAAAAAAAAACTGAAGCAAGAATAAACCAAACCCAAAATGAGTAGAAAAAATAATAAAGATCAGAGTAGAAATAAATGAAATTGAAATTAAGAAAATACAAAAGATCAATGAAATGAAAAGTTGGTTTTTTGAAAAGATAAATAAAATTGACAAACCTTTAGTCAAACTAAGAAAAAAATAGAGAAGATCCAAATAAATAAAATCAGAGGTGAAAATGGAGACATTACAACTGCTACTGCAGAAATTCAAAGGATCATTAGTGGCTACTATGAGTAACTATATGCCAATATATTGGAAAATCTAAAACACATCTAGAAGAAAACTCCTAGACAGACACAACCTACAAAGATTGAACCATGAGAAAATCCAAAAGCTAAACAGACCAATAACAAGTAAAGAGATAAAAGACGTAACATGTCTTCTAGCAAAGAAAACCCTGAAACCCAATGGCTTCATTATTGAATTCTAGCAAACATTTAAAGAACTAATACTTACCCTATTCAACCTATTCAAAAAAATAGAGTAAGAAGAGTAATAGAGTAATATTGGCCATTTTACAAGAGCAGTATTATCTTAATACCAAAACCAGATAAAGACACATCAAGAAAGGAAACTACAAGCCAATATCCTTGATGAATACTGATGCAAAAACCCTCAACAAAATACTAGCAAGATGAATTCAATAACACATTGAAAAAAGGTCATCAATACCAAGTGGGATTTAGCCCAGAAATGCAAGGATGGCTTAACACATGCAAATTAATCAATGAGATACATCATATAAACAGAATGCAGGACAAAACTATATAAAAACCTTCAAAAAACTGAGTAACCAAGGAATATACCTCAACATAAGAAAAGCCATATACAACAGACTCACAGCAACTATCATCCCAAATGAGGAAACACTGAAAGCCTTTCCTCTAAGATCTGGAACAAGACAAGAATGCCCACTTTCACCACCGTTACTCAACATAGCACTAGAAGTCCTAGCTAGAATAATAAGACAAGATAAAGAAAGGGCATCCAAACAAGCACAGGCAATCAGAGCAAAAATGAACAAACGGTATCACATCAAGTTAAAAAGCTTCTGTACAGCAAAGGAAACAATCAACAAAATGAAGAGACAACCCACAGAATGACAAAAAATATTCATCTGACAATAAATTAATAATCAGAATATATAAGAAGATCAAACAACTCTATCAGAAAAAAAAATCTCATAATCCAATTTAAAATGGGAAAAATAGCTCAATAGACATTTCTCAAAAGAAGGCATACAAATGGCAAGCAGGCATACAAAAAGGTCATCACTGATCATCAGAGAAATACAAATCAAAACTACAAGGAGATATCATCTTACCCCAGTTAAAATGATTTATATCCAAAAGACAGACAATAACAAATGCTGGTGAGGGTATGGAAAAAAAGAGAACCCTCCTACACTGTTCGTGGGAATGTAAATTAGTACAAGTACTATGGAGAATGGTATGAAGGGTCCTCAAAAAACTAAAAACAGAGCTACCACATGATCCAGCAATTCCACTGCTAGGTATAAACCCAAAACAAAGGTAATCAGTGTATCAGACATCTGCATTCCCATGTTTGTTGCAGCACTATTCACAATAGCCAAAATTTGGAAGTAATCTAAGTGTCCATCAACAGATGAATGGATAAAGAAAATGTACTTATACACAACGGAGTACTATTCAGCCATCAAAACAATGGGATTCTGTCATTTCCAACAACATGGATGGAACTGGAGGTCAAATTAGCCAACACAGAGAGGCAAACATCACATGTTCTCACTTATTTGTGGGATCTAAAAATAAAAACAATTGATCTCATGGAGATAAAGAGTACAAGGATGGTTACCAGAGGCTGAAAGGGTAGTGGGAGGATGGGTAAGAGGAAGGGAAGTTTAATGGGTATAAAAAAATACAGTGAATAAGACCTGGTGTTTGATAGCACAAAAAGGTGACTAAGGTCAATAAGAATTTAATTGTACATTTTAAAATAACTAAAAGAGTATAATTGGATTGTTTGTAACACTAAGGATAAACACTTGAGGTAATGGATACTCCATTTACTCTGATGTGATTATTACACATTGCATGCCTATATCAAAACATCTCATGTACCTGTAAGTATATACATGCCTACTACCTACCCGCAAAATTTTAAATAAAAAATTTTTTAAAATAAAATAGAATAAAGGCTGAATCTTTGAGAGTGGGAAAAAACAAAATAAAGGGCATCCAAATTGAAAAGGAAGAAGTCAAATTAATTATCTTTGTTTGCAGATGATATGATCATCTATTTGAAAAAAACCTAAAGACTCCATCAAAAAACTGCTAGAACTGATAAACTCAGTAAAGTTGCAGGATACAAAATCAACATACAAAACTCAGTAGCATTTCTATATGTCAACAGCAAACAAACTGGAAAATAAATCAAGAAGGTAATCCAATTTACAATAGCTAAAGATAAAAATTAAATACTTAGGAATTAACCAAAAAAGTGAAAGATCTCTACAGTGAAAACTATATAAGATTGATGCAAGGAATTAAAGAGAAACCATTAAAAAATGGAAAGATATTCTATGTTAATAGACTAGAAGAATCAATATTGTTAAAATGTCCATACTACCCAAAGCAATCTACAGATTCAATGCAATACCAATGACATTCTTCACTGAAATAGAAAAAAAATCCTAAAATTAATATTGAATTACAAAAGACCCATAATATTCAAAGCTATCCTGAGCAAAAAGAACAAAACTGGAGGAACCACATCACCTGACTTCAAATTATACTACACAGCTATAGTAACCAAAACAGCATAGAACTGGCATAGAAACAGAAACATAGACCAATGAAACAGAATACAAAACCCAGAAGCACATCCATACAATCACAGCAAACTCATTCTAGACCAAGTTGCAAAGAACTTGTATTGGGAAAAGGAACATCTCTTAAATGGTGCTGGGAAAACTGGATATTCATATGCAGAAGTATGAAACTAGATCCCTATCTCTTAACATATACAAAAATCAAATCACATAGATTAAAGACTTAAATCTAAGACCTCACACTATGAAACTATTACAAAGAAACACTGGGGACCAAACTCCCCAGGACATTGGAGTAAGCAAAGATTTCTTGAGTAATAATCCAAAAAGCACAGGCAGCCAAAGCAGAAACGGACAAATGGGATCACATCAAGTTAAAAAGCTTGCACACAGCGAAGTTAGCAATCATCAAAATGAAGAGACGACCCAGAAAATGACAGAAAATTTTGCAAACTATCAACCTGACAAGGGATTAATAACCATTATACAGAGAGCTGTCAAGATGGCTGAATAAGAACAGCTCCAGTCGGCAACTCCCAGAAAGGCCAACACAGAAGGTGGGAGAGTTCTTCATTTCCAACTGAGGTATCAAGTTCATCTCATTGGGACTGGCTAGACAGTGGGTGCAGCCCACAGTGGATGAGCAGAAGTAGGGTGGGGCATTGCCTCACCGGGGAAGTGCAAGGGACTGGCGAACTCCCTCCCCTAGCCAAGGGAAGCCGTGAGGGACTGTGCTGTGAGGGACTGTGCTATCCGGCCCAGACACTATGCTTTTCCCATGGTTTTTGCAGCCCACAGACCAGGAGATTCTCTTGTGTGCCTTCACCACCAGGGCCCTGGGTTTCAAGCACAAAACTGGGCAGCTGTTTGGGCAGACACCGAGCTAGCTGCTGGAGTTTTTCTTTTGTAGCCCAGTGGTGCCTGGAACCCCAGCGAGACAGAACTGTTCACTCCCTTAAAAGGGGGCTGAAGCCAGGGAGCCAAGTGGTCTCACTCAGCGGGTCCCACTCCCACAAAGCCCAGCAAGCTAAGAACCACTGGCTTGAAATTCTTGCTGCCAGCATAGCAGTCTGAAGTCGAACTTGGTGGTGGGAGGGGCATCGCCATTACTGAGGCTAGAGTAGGCAGTTTTCCCCTCATAGTGTTAACCTTGACTGTGAGTAACACCACAGCAAGGCAAAGTACCTGGGGCCAGACTGCCTCTCTAGATTCCTCCTCACTGGGCAGGACATCTCTGAAAGAAAGGCAGCAGCCCCAGTCAGCGGCTTATAGATAAAACTCCCATCTCCCTGAGACACAGCACCTGGGGAAAGGGGTGGCTGTGGGCACAGCTTCAGCAGACTTAAACGTTCCTGCCTGCTGGCTCTGAAGAGAGCAGCATATCTCCTAGAAAAGCACTCGAGCTCTGCTAAGGGACAGACTGCCTCCTCAAGTGGATGCCTGACCCCCGTGCCCTCTGACTGGGAGTCACCTCTCAGCAGGGGTCAACAGACACCTCATACAGGAGAGCTCCGGCTGGCATCAGGTGGGTATCCCTCTGGAACGAAGTTTCCAGAGGAAGAAGCAGGCAACAATATTTGCTGTTCTGCAGCCTCTGCTGGTGATACCCAGGCAAATAGGGTCTAGAGTGGACCTCCAGCAAACTCCAGCAGACCTGCAGAAGAGGGGTCTGACTGTGAGAAGGAAAACTAACAAACAGAAAGCAGTAACATCAACATAACAAAAAGGATGCCCACAGAAAAGCCCCATCCAAAGGCCATCAGCATCAAAGATCAAAGGTAGATAAATCCATGAAGATGAGGAAAAACCAGTGCAAAAATACTGAAAATTCCAAAAACCAGAATGACTCTTGTCCTCCAAATGATCGCAACTCCTCTCCAGCAACGGCACCAAATTGGACAGAGAATGTGTTTGACAAATTGACGGAAGTAGGCTTCAGAAGGTGGGTAACAACAAATTCCTCTAAGCTAAAGGAGAATGTTCTAACCCAATGCAAGGAAGCTAAGAACCTTGATAAAAGGTTATAGGAACTGCTTACTAGAATAACCAGTTTAGAGAAGAACATAAATGACCTGGTGGAGCTGAAGAACACAGCATGAGAACTTCGCGAAGCATAGACAACTATCAATAGCCAAATCAATCAAGCGGAAGAAAGGATATCAGAGATTGAAGATCAACTAAATAAAATAAAGCATGAAGACAAGATTAGAGAAAAAAGAGTGAAAAGGAACAAACAAAGCCTCCAAGGAATATGGGACTATGTGAAAAGACCAAACCTATGTTTCATTGGTGTACCTGAAAGTGATGGGGAGAATGAAACCAAGTTGGGAAACACTCTTCAGGATATTATCCAGGAGAACTTCCCCAACCTAGCAAGACAGGCCAACATTCAGATTCAGAAAATACAGAGAACACCACTAAGATACTCCTCGAGAAGAGCAACCCCAAGACACAAAATTGTCAGATTCTCCAAGGTTGAAATGAAGGAAAAAATGTTAAGAGCAGCCAGAGAGAAAGGTCAAGTTACCTGCAAAGGGAAGCCCATCAGACTACAGCAGATCTCTCAGCAGAAACCCTACAAGCCAAAAGAGAGTGGGGGCCAATATTCAACATTCTTAAAGAAAAGAATTTTCAATCCAGAATTTCATATCCAGCCAAACTAAGCTTCATAACTGAAGGAGAAATAAAATCCTTTACAAACAAGCAAATGCTGAGGGATTTTGTCACCAACAGGTCTGCCTTGCAAGAGCTCCTGAAGGAAGCACTAAATATGGAAAGGAAAAACCAGTACCAGCCACTGCAAAAACATACCAAATTGTAAAGACCATTGACAATAGGAAGAAACCGCATTAACTAACGGGCAAAATAACCAGCTAGCATCATAATGACAGGATCAAATTCACACATAACAATATTAACCTTAAATGTAAATGGGCTAAATGCCCCAATTAAAAGACACAGACTGGCAAATTGGAAAAAGAGTCAAGACCCACTGGTGTACTGTATTCAGGAGACCCATCTCACATGCAAAGACACACATAGGCTCAAAATAAAGGGATGAAGGAATATTTACTAAGCAAATGGAAAGCAAAAAATAAAGCAAGGGTTGCAATCCTAGTCTCTGATAAAACAGACTTTAAAACAAAAAGATCAAAAAAGACAAAGGGCATTACATAAAGGTAAAGGAATCAATGCAACAAGAAGAGCTAACTACCCTAAATATATATGCGCCCAATACAGGAGCATCCAGATTCATAAAGCAAGTACTTAGAGATCTACAAAGAGACTTGGATTCCCACACAATAATAGTGGGAGACTTTAACATCCCACTGTCTACATTAGACAGATCAATGAAACAGAAAATTAACAAGGATATTCAGGACTTGAACTCAGCTCTGGACCAAGTAGACCTAATAGGTATCTACAGAACTCTCCACCCTAAATCAACAGAATATACATTCTTCTTAGCACTGCATAGCACTTATTATAAAATTGACCACATCATAGGAAGTGAAACACTCCTCAGCAAATGCAAAAGAATGGAAATCATAACAAACAGTCTCTCAGACCACAGTGCAATCACATTAGAACTCAGGATTAAGAAATTCTCTCAAAACTGCACAACTACATGGAAACTGAACAATCTACCCCTGAATGACTACTAGGTAAATAACAAAATTAAGGCAGAAATCAAGAAGTTCTTTGAAACCAATGAGAACAAAGACACAACGTACCAGAATGTCTGGGATACAGCTAAAGCAGTGTTTAGAGGGAAATTTAAAGTACTAAATGCCCACATCAGAAAGTGCAAAAGACCTAAAATCGATACCCTAACATCATAATTAAAAGAACTAGAGAAGTAAGGGCAAAAGAATTCAAAAGCTAGGAGAAGACAAGAAATAACTAAGATCAGAGCAGAACTGAAGGAGATAGAGACACAAAAAAACCTTCGAAAAATCAAGGAATTCAGGAGCTGGTTTTTTGAAAAAATTAGCAAAACAGATAGACTGCTAGCCAGACTAATAAAGAAGAAAAGAGAGATGAATCAAATAGACACAATAAGAAATGATAAAAGGGGTATCACCACTGATCCCACAGAAATACACACTACCATCAGAGAATACTATAAATACCTCTATGTAAATATACCAGAAAATCTAGAAGAAATGGATAAATTCCTGGACACAAACACCCTCCCAAGACTAAACCAGGAAGAAGTTGAATCCCTGAATAGACCAATAACAAGTTTGGAAATTGAAGCAGTAATTAATAGCCTACCAACCAAAAAAAGCCCAGGACCAGACCGATTTACAGTCGAATTCTACCAGAGGTACAAAGAGGAGCTGGTATCATTCCTTCTGAAACTATTCCAAACAATAGAAAAAAGGGGGACTCCTTCCTAACTCATTTTATGAGGCCAGCATCATCCTGATACCAAAACCTGGCAGAAACACAACAAAAAAAGAAAATTTCAGGCCAATATCCCTGATGAACGTTGATGCGAAAATCCTCAGTAAAATACTGGCAAACCAAACCCAGCAGCACATCAAAATGCTTATCCACCACGATCAAGTTAGCTTCATCGCTGGAATGCAAGGCTGGTTCAACATACGCAAATCAATAAACATAATCCATCACATAAACAAAACCAATGACAAAAACCACATGATTATCTCAATAGATGCAGAAAAGGCCTTTGACAAAATTCAACAGCGCTTCATGCTAAAAACACTCAAGAAACTAGGTATTGAGGGAACATATCTCAAAATAATAAGACCTATTTTTGACAAACCCATACCCATATCATACTGAATTGGCAAAAGCTGGTAGCATTCCCTTTGAAAACCAGCACAAGACAAGGATGCCCTCTCTCTCCACTCCTATTCAACATAGTATTGGAAGTTCTGGCCAGGGCAATCAGGCAAGAGAAATAAATAAAGGGCATTCAAATAGGAAGAGAGGAAGTCAAATTGTCTCCGTTTGCAGAGGACATGATTTTATATTTAGAAAACCCCATTTTCTCAGCCCCAAAATTCCTTAAGCTGATAAGCAACTTCAGCAAAGTCTCAGGATACAAAATCAATGGGCAAAAATCACAAGCATTCCTATACACCAATAATAGACAAACAGGGAGCCAAATCATGAGTGAACTCCCATTCACATGTGCTACAAAGAAAATAAAATACCTAGGAATACAACTTATAAGGGACATGAAGAACCTCTTCAAGGAGAACTACACCCACTGCTCAAGGAAATAAGAGAGGACACAAACAAATGGATAAACATTCCATCCTCATGGACATGAAGAATCAATATCATGAAAATGGCAATACTGCCCAAAGTAATTTATAGATTCAATGCTATTCCCATCAAGCTACCATTGACTTTCTTCACAGAATTAGAAAAACTACTTTAAATTTCATATGGAACCAAAAAAGAGCCTGCATAGCCAAACAATCCTAAGCAGAAAGAACAAAGCTGGAGGCATGACTCTACCTGACTTCGAACTATACTACAAGGCTACAGTAACCAAAACAGCATGGTACTGGTACCAAAACAGATATACAGACCAATGGAACAGAACAGAGGCTGCAGGAATAACACCACACATCTACAACCATCTGATCTTTAACAAATCTGACAAAAACAAGAAATGGAGAAAGGATTTCCTATTTAATAAATGGTGCTGGGAAAACTGGCTACCATATGCAGAAAACTAAAACTGAACCCCTTCCTTACACCTTATATAAAAATTAACTCAAGATGGATTAAAGACTTAAACATAAATCCTAAAATCAAAAAACCCTGGGAGAAAACACAGCCAATACCTTTCAGGACTTAGGCATGGGTAAAGACTTCATGACTAAAACACCAAAAGCAATGGCAACAAAAGCCAAAATAGACAAATAGGATCTAATTAAACTAAAGAGCTTCTGCACAGTAAAAGAAGTTATCATCAGAGTGAACAGGCAACCTACAGAATGGGAGAAAATTTTTGCAATCTATCCATCTGACAAAGAGCTAATGTCCAGAATCTACAAGGAACTTAAACATATTTACAAGAAAAAAACAAACAACCCCACCAAAAAACTGGGCAAAGGATATGAACAGACACCTCTCAAAAGAAGGCATTTATGTGGTCAACAATCATGTGAAAAAAAGCTCACCATCACTGGTCATTAGAGAATGCAAAGCAAAACCACAGTGAGATACCATCTCACGCCAGTTAGAATGGTGATCATTAAAAGGTCAGGAAATAACAGATGCTGGCAACAATGTGGAGAAATAGGAACATTTTACACTGTTGGTGGGAGTGTAAATTAGTTCAACCTTTGTGGAAGACAGTGTGGCAATTCCTCAAGGATCTAGAACCAGAAATAACATTTGACCCAGCAACCCCATTACTGGGTGTATACCCAAAGAATTATAAATCATTCTACTATAAAGACACATGCACATGTATGTTTATTGCAGCACTATTCACAATAGCAAAGACTGGGAACCAACCCAAATGCCCATCAATGATAGACTGGATAAAGAAAATGTGGCACATATACACCATGGAATACTATCCAGTCATTTAAAAAAATGAGTTCTTGTCCTTTGCAGGGACATGGATGAAGCTGGAAACCATCATTCTCAGCAAACTAACACAGGAACAGAAAACCAAACACCATATGTTCTCACTCATAAGTAGGAGCTGAACAATGAGAACACATGGACACAGAGAGGAGAACATCACACACTGGGGCCTGTTGCAGGGTGAGGGGCAAGCAGAGGGAGAGCATTAGGACAAATACCTAATGCATGCGGGGCTTAAAACCTAGATGATGGGTTGATGGGTGCAGCAAACCACCATGGTGCATGTATACCTATGTAACAAACCTGCATGTTCTGCACATGTATCACAGATCTTAAAGTTTAATTAAAAATAAAAATAAAAACAAAATAACCATTATTCATAAGGAGCTCAAACAACTCTATAGGAAAAGATCTAATAATCTTATTTTTAAATCGGCAAAAGAAACAGGCATTTCTCAGAAGGAGACACACAAACGGCAAACAGGTAT
Source organism: Homo sapiens (assembly GCF_000001405.40). NCBI lineage: Eukaryota > Metazoa > Chordata > Mammalia > Primates > Hominidae > Homo > Homo sapiens. Next base: position 80,890,938 of record NC_000014.9, read on the forward strand.
ACAAAAAGGTGCTCAAGATCAATGAGCATCAGAGAAATGCAAATCAAAACTACAATGAGACATCACCTCACCCCAGTTAAAATAGCTTTTATCCAAAAGACAGGCAATAAGTAACAAATGTTGGCAAGGGTGTGGAAAAAAGAGAACTCTCCCACACTGTTGATGGGAATGTAAATTAGTGTAAGCACTATTTTGAGAACAGTATGGAGGATCCTCAAAAAACTAAAAACAGAGCTACCACATGATCCAGCAATCCCACTGCTAGGTATATACCCAAAACAAAGGAAGTCAGCATATTAAAAATATATCTGCACCCCCACATTTATTGCAGCACTATCCACAATAGCCAAGATTTGGAAACAATCTAAGTGTCCATTGACAGAAGAATAAATAAAGAAAATGTGGTGTTTATACACAATGGAGTACTATTCAGCCAAAAAAAAGATGAGGTCCTGTGATTTGCAAAAACATGAATAGAACTTGAGGCCATTATGTTAAGTGAAATAAGCCAGGCACAGAAAGAAAAACAATACATGTAGGAGCTAAAAATTAAGACAGTCAAATTCACAGAGAGTACAAGGATTGATTACCAAAGGCTGAGAAGGATAGTTGGAAGGGTGAGGAGGAGATGGAATGGTTACTAGGTGCAAAAAAAAAAAAAAAAATAGCTGGAAAGAATAAATAAAACCAAGTATTTGACAGCACTACCATAGTCAATATGAATTTAATTGTACATTTTAAAATAACTAAAAGAGTATAATTGAATTGTTTGTAACAAAGAATAAATGCTTGAGGTGATAGATACTCCCATTTACCCTGATGTGATTATTATATATTGCATGCCTGAATAAAAATATTTCACGAAATATGTATATTTCATGTTTTAAAAATTAAAAAACAGCTGAAGAATAAATTTAACAAAGGTGAAAATCCTGTACACAGAAAACTATAAGACACTGATGAAAGAAATTGAAGACAAAATAATGAAAAAATAAATGAAAAGATATTCCATCCTCATGAATCAGAAGAATTAATATTCTTAAATTATCCATACTACCCAAAGCAAAATATAGGTTTGACATAATCCATATCAAAATCCTAATGGCATTCCTCACAGGAAAAAAAAAAAATCCTAAAATTTGTATGGAAACATAAAGACCCTAAAACAATTCCAAGAATGAAAAACAAAGTTGGAGGAATTATACTTCCTGATTTAAAATTATATAACAAAGCTATAGTAATCAAAACAGTGTGGTACTGGCATAAAAACAGACACATACACCAATAGAACAGAACAGAAAACCTAGAAACAAACCCAAACAGATATGGTCAACTAATTTTTGACAGGGGCACCAATAGGATACAATGAGGAAAGAAGAGTCTCTTCAATAAATGGTGCTAAGAAAACTGGAATTTCACACACAAAAGAATCTGAACCTTATACCATACATAAAGATAAGTTCAAAATGGATAAAAGACCTAAATGTAAGACCAGGAACTATAAAATTCCTATAAGAGAACATAGTGGAAAATCTCCTGGACACTGACGTTGGCAATGATTTTTGCGTATCAAACCAAAAGCTCAGGCCACAAAAGCAAAAATAAATAAATGGCACTACTTCAAACTAAAAAGGCTCTATACAGCAAAAGATATAATCAACAAAATGAAATAGCAGCCTACAAATTGAGAAAAATATTGGCAAACAATATATCTGATGAGGTTAATACCCAAAATTTACAAAGAACTCATACAACTCAATAGTAGAAAAACAAATAATCCAATTTTTTTAAACAGGCAAAGAATCTAAATAGACATTTCTCCATAGAAGACAAAAATCACCAACAGCTATATCAAAAGGTATTTAACATAATTAATCATCAGGGAAATGCAAATCAAAACCACTATGAGATACCACATCACAGCTGCAAAGGTGGCTATTATTTTAAAAAGTCAAAAAATAACAAATGTTGACAAGAGTATACAGAAAGAGTAATTAAAAATAGAACTACCATATGACCCAGTGATCCCTCTGCTGAGCATATACCCAAAGGAAATAAAATCATCACCTTGTAAAGATTCTGCATTCCTATGTTCATTGCATCATTACTCACAATAGCCAAGATATGGAAACAACCTAAGTGTCTGTTGATAGACAAATGAATAAAGAAACTGTGGTACATATATACAATGAAATATTACTCAGCCTTAAAAAAGAATGAGATCTTTTCATTTACCACAACATGGCTAGGTCTGGAGGACATTATGCTAAGTGAAATAAGCCAGACACAGAAAGAAAAATATTGCATGATCTCACTAATTAAATATGGAATCTACAAAAAGAAATCAAATATACAGAGAGAGAGAACAAAACAGTGGTTACCAGGGACAGAGAGGGTAGAGGGGATGAAATGGGAAGATGCAGGTCAGAGGATACAAAGTAGCTGATATGTAGGATGAACAAGTCTAGAGATCTAAAGTATAACATGAGAACTACAGATAATAAAACTGTACTATATATGGGATTCATGCTAAGTAAGTACATTTTAGCTGTTCTTGCCACAAACCAAAACAAAAAAAAAAAATGGGTAACTGTGAAATGACAGATATGTTAATTTACTTCAATGTAATAATCTTTATACTATCTACATATATCCCATAACATCATGTTGCATAGCTTAAATGCACAAAATAAAATTTACAAAACAAAAAAAGTATAGTTACATTTAAACTTGAGTTTTAGGGGCAAGGAAAGGGCAAATCAGGGCAGGGTGGGTAAGAAATTTTGGGGGTGATGGATGTGTCCTTATCTTGGAGTTACTCTATCCCTATCACAACTAAATATAAAGCAACAGTAATCAAGACAGTGGAATACTGGCATTTGGATAGACAAATAAACTAGGGGATTAAAGAGTCCAGAAACAGATGTTTGTGTATATGAACATTTGATTTATGACAAAGATACGACTGTAAAGTAGTGGGGAAAGAGTAGTCCTTTTAATAAATGGAAGTTAATCAATTAAACATTCACATGAAATGTATTCCTCCTAATTCATACCACAAATACCAATTTCAAGTAAATATCACATCTAAATGTGAAAGGTAGAACCATAAGCTTCTAAATGATTACATAAGAGAACATCTTCGTGATCTAAGTATAGGGAATGACTTCTTAGGTCAAAAAAGTACTAATCACAAAAGAAAAGATGGAAAATTAAACTGGATTAAAATTCAATAGACGGTCCCATTAAGAACATTATAAAAATGAAAAGAAACAAGAAAAAAAGAAGACAGAACTTCAGCAGTTTCCTTTGTCAAGTAACAGGTTCCACTCTAGAATTTATGAGAAGAGACAGCATATTACTTAGTAAGTTAAAGAGGACCTTAGAGCAACATTCTTAAATGTGTACTTCAGCTCCTGTTTAGTATGTAAATCAGGCAATAGCACAGATTTCGTACTGTGTGAACTACTGCAATTAACTAAGAAAAGCACCAATCTGTTAATCTCAGAAAAGTCCTTTTTTTGAAGTATGTGATGTTTTAGATATTTTAGACTGGTACAATGTAAATTGAAGGTGCCCTTGGTACATCCGAAAAAATCTAGAACTTTATGCAAAAAAAAAATATATCTTGATATTCCACATTAGATACCACATTGCCACACATTAATTGGAAAGACGTTGTCTACTTCAGCAGAAGACAGGCATTGTATCTTCACCTTTCCAAGGCTCTTCACAAAAAACTTAATACCAAAAACACAAAAGAAAAGTATTTTTATGTAGCCAAGTGTTTATTCATATTTTTAAAATAAGCAAATTTCACTACAAGAGAAATTTTCAAATACCCTATTTTCAAAAAGATCAACTTAGTTGATCTTTTTATCTCCTAGCACATTCAGCCAATAAATTCAAACTCCAAAATGAACTCAACATATCTATGTAAGGAACTGTAAACAAATTAACAACTGGAGAAAAATTATCTACTTTTACTAGGAAACTTTCAATTTGAATAAAATATATTAAGAGAAAATCTTGCTAACTTTCCTTGAAAAAAAGGTATTATGAGAAATAAATAAATGAATAAATACACTCCTGAAGTTGACAAATTTGCAACAGTTTAGTGACCATTAACGGTTTCCTCCTAAAAAGAAAAACAATAAAAAGAAATGAACACTATATAGACTGTATTTTTTTACCTTAATTCCACCAAGGATAGTGATTTAATAAAAATAAATCACTGAACAGTGAGTGTCAACAATATGACTTTGAGATAATAAAGATTGGGAATTAGGAGTATTTTCAAGTGGAACCATATCAGACAAAAACAGACAGCAAAGAGGTCTTTGTAGCAATTGTAATTACACACATGTGAGATGACCTGAAAATGGGGAGTGCTACAAAACCACTGTGAAAGAATTCTTTACTTCTCAAATATCATTTCATAAAAACTACAGAAAAATCAGAGCCAGTAAAACTTAAATTATCTTTCAAATAGTCATCATAAACTCTAACCTAGTTAAAACAAATGTTGACTGTAATATGCTAATACTGTAATATAAATCCCTAAATATAAATACCAAATAAATATACCTAAATATAAATATACCAAATATAAGTACCCAAAATTCATGAACATTTTATAAGAGCTACAAGAACACACTTTTAGACAAAATGGGACATACCACCCAAAAGGTTAAACTCTACTAAACTTCACTGTGATTATGACCAGCCTACCCATCCTCTACATGTGAAATAAAACTTTTTATTAAAAAAGAGATCTCACCACTTCTTGTTTCTGGGCTTCATTAAGTTTTTCAGTCAATTCTTCCAAAGCCCTTTTTGTTTCGGCATCTGACCTAGGAAGAAAAAAAAAAAAAAGATTTAAATTTGGATATTTAGAAAATACACAGAACGAGTGAAATGTATAACATGATAATTATGTTATTACAAAATATTCTACTTTAGTGATTCTCAAATGTTATAAACATCTGAAACACGTGGAAGGCTTGTTAAAACACAGACTGCTGGATCCCGCCCCCCAGATTTCAAATCAGCAAATCTGAGATGAGGCCCAAGAATGTGCCTTTCTAAAATTCCTAAGTGATGCAGAAACAGAGGTCTGCAGGTCTGGAGACCAAACTTTGAGAACCGCTGCTACGCTGGAACATCACTCTCAATAAACACACAGGTTGCAATATCTCCCATTTTAAATTAAGAAAAAAGAGAGAAAGGGACAAAAGAAAACAAAAACTCTTGATCTTACACCCTCTTTCTAGCAATTTATAAAGAAAAGTGTGCTGTACAAACTCTATCCTCACTAACCGACCTCCCATTACCTTGTTTCTCCTCAAATTAATAACATACATGATAAACAAACAAATCGTACAGAAAGATTTACAATGAAAAGAAAAAGCCCTTCTGTCTAGCACTGTCTTACTTCTGGCTGCACTTCCCTCTGTGAATCATGCACAACCATTTCCATTATTAATTATTTTGCTGGTTGCCTTCATCATGTTCAACTCGAGACATTTTCGATGGACTGTTTTGAAATATTTAGCTCATTCTCTAATTTCAGATTATGTTATTACCATTTTTAGTTCTATTGGTTACCTGTAGAGTTTTATGTAATATATTTATACATCTTATGAATTTTATGAATTATTCCATCCTATGAAATTGATGGAATTGATGCTTTGTGCTCACATTCTGTTAGGCTCACATTTTAGCCAGCTTCACACTTGGATCATAACTTTCCCGTGTTCTTGTTTTTTCCAAGCTTTCTCATTATCTTTTGGCTTTATATGGGCCTTACTTATCACATCATTGATATTTTCCTCCCACTTCTTACTGAATGGTCAACAAACCATCTATTTCACTCTTTTTGAAGACCTTCTTCTCAAAGGACACTTACTTTCCTGCTCTAATTTAGAGTGAATACTTCCTGGGCCTGCTCCATGATTGTCATTCCAGGGTTACTTTCACTGAATCCCCAGGTTAATTTTACTGTTTCTTAATATCTTTATCTTTCTATTTCTTGGTTACAATCTTATTTAACTTATATATCCTTAGGTAATTTCCTCAAAAAGAAGTTACCTTAAAAAGATAAATTTTCAAAGACTTTAAACCTCTGAAAATGTCTCTCTGTATGTATGTATAGAATGTTAAAATACATTGCTGTATATCCACACAGTGGAATAACAAAGAATAATAAAAATGAGCAAACTGCAAGAACCTGACACAACACCCATAAATATTAGAGCCCCTTTCTTGGCTTTTGTGGTTCTATGCTATCTAGAATTTCCCCCATCTCACTAGCTATTCCATCTCAGCTCAGCTCCTTCTATCATAAGATTCCTAAATATTATAACTCCTTGCAACTCAGTTCTGTCCTTGATATCCTCCCTATAGTTTCTCTCTTGGTATTACCCATTCCCATGGTTCCAAATGACACTTCTCCATGCTGACCACTCTTAAATTTTACCTCAACAGAGACTTTTCCTTTGAGCTCCATAGTAAATATCCAGCTGAATATTTTACTTTCCATTTGAACGTCTCACAGGCATCTTAAACATATCCAAGGCCAAACTCTCTACACCTCACCTACCCAAACCAGTCTTCCATATCTCAGGAAGTGGAATTACCATCTACCTAGTTATTCAAATTGAAAATCTTAGAGTCATCCTTATTCTCCCTCACCCACCATTACCAAATCCTGTCTCTTTGATTTCCAAAAACAGTATCTTCAAACAAACCCCTGTCCATCTCTCTCCTGCTATAATCCTGGGTCAGGCCATCATCAACTCTCATATACTAGTGCAACAGACTTCTATCTCGCCCTCCTCAAATCAATTTTTTTTTCCTTTGTGACAGGTTTCACTCTGATACCCAGGCAGGAGTGCAGTGGCTCATCTCAGCTCAATGCAGCTTCAACCTCCTGGGCTCAAGCAATCCTCCCACCTTAGCCTCCCAAGTAGCTGGGACCACAGGCATGTGCCACCACTCCAGGTTAATTGTTTTGTATTTTTAGTAGAGATGGGGTTTCACCATGTTGCCCTGACTGGTCTCAAACTCCTGAGCTCAAATGATTCACCTGCCTCGGCCTCCCAAAATGTTGGGATTATGGGCCTGAGCCACTGTGCCCGGTCCAAATCAATTCTTCATATGGCATCCAAAGTAGGTGATTTCTGAATTAAACTTTACTTAATCCTTTCTAAAAGTTTGCTTCCCAGTGTACTTTTATTATTCAATGTATGTTTTGTAATAAATGTCAAAAGTGAAAAATCAGTAATTAAATGAGAATACCAACCTTTCAACATCAAATAGAAAGTTAAACTTTTTAACTTCCTGTCCATTATTTTTATAAACATGAAGTAAGAATCTGTAGTACAAGTAAAGCAGAACGGCATCCAGAAATTTTACACATTCACAAAGGTAAGCCACCTCATTTCCCAAGAAACCTAACTCCTATTTTGGGTAAAACAAAGTTTTCTGCCTCAAACATGCCTCTAGGTCACAAAGACTATTACCAGATCTTACAAGCCTAGAGATCACAAAAACTATTACCAGATACTAACAGCCCAGTCCAATATTGGTTACTCAAATCACCATTTAAACTAATCAACTAAATCATCCCTGCAACTTCCCCTGAATCTTCTTACAAGACAACTATTCCCTATAACTCATGTTCCCAGTGCTTAATGTATACCCTTCCTTGAAATGGATAATGGTCATGTAATAAAGCCATTCCTACAATACATTAAAGTGTTAATGTCATTTTGTTAATTTTATCAGCTTGTAAAAAAAAATAATAACCTAAATATTAAATTAACTAAGTCTTACCAGTTTAAAAGGTTAGCAATATAGCTCAATAATATATCTCACAATCCAGGAATTCAAATGCTTTATTCATATCAGCCACATGTGAAAATGATTTTGAACCACCATATACCGTAAGTGATAAAGAACAGAGGCTTTGGGGCCTTACTGCCTAGATTTTAATTCTGACTCCACTACAACCCTCCTGTTTGATTTCTAGAGAGCTGAGTTATTTCATCTCTCTGTGCCCATTTCCTCATCCATAAAATAGAGAAAAAAATAATGATTACCTCAAAGGGTAGTTACTAGAATTAAAGTTAAATCACGAAATAAGGGCTCAATAATATTAGCTAATAGAACTAGTAATAATGGTAGAATTTTTCATTCTCATTACAGCCTATACTTGATATTCATAGATTTAACATTTATAGTTTTGACTATCTTTGTTGCAGCAACACAGAACTGGTGTGTGGGATGATTTAGACAGCTGGAGTTAGCAAGCAAATATGGTAAACAAATTTCAATTCAGCTTTATTGTTCCTAATATTTGCTGTATATGGATTGTAATTCTTAAGAAGGCATAAAAATCTTTGTTTTTCAGCAAAACATGGCCTCCAAAAGAAAGCCACCTGCCACTGGTGATGACAAAAATGAAAAGACAGCAAAGAAGTTTTAAATTAAATAACAGCTATTGGGGACTATCCAGAATTGACAAAATTGTGAAGATGGGGCAGATGTTAACCACTGACCCTCAAAGATTTCAACTAAAAGCTAAAGTATTGGATTCTACAATGGCTTATGTCCACTGACAAACTCCATGTTACACTTCTTTTTTGGTGTGTGCAATGCCAAAAGTCAGTCAGGTAGCGAGTCGGTCTTTGTGTCTCTCTCTCCAATGTATTTGCAAATCTACCTCTTTGCAAAAGTCTCACAGTGTACCCCTCCATAATATCAGCATTCCATTGTATTAAGTTAAAGCGTTTTTAGAAAAAGGAAATTAATTTGTCTAACACTGAGTCATGATATATTCTAAATTCAAAGGGCTGTAAACTGTTCTGTTAATAAATTTTAAGGTACTGTATACAAACACAACATTTTTTAAAAATCTAGATAAATATGTCAATTACAGAAGCTAATTTATTCTCCTCATAATTTATCCCTCCCATAAAAACCATAGGCTGCTTTTACCGGCTCCTTCTGGAAAGCTCCCTGTTGAAATCATCTCCAAGGCGAATTTGTTCACTGCTGAGGTCTCGAAGAGACTGATGAAAACCATGAAGCTAGCAAAGGCAAAACACAGTTATCCATTTAGAATTCTGTTGAATTCTTCCATGAAGATTCACCAAAGGTAAGAATAAGATCTTGTTCCTTGCAATAATAACCAGATTCCGTAATATTATTATGAAAGAAAACACCTACTCTGAAAGAAAAAAATTTTCCAAGAAAAACAAATTTTTAAAAGCTGTATATAACATTTATCAACACATTTTCTACAGTACAATTCTACTCCTCCAGAATTCTACCCCTCTAGAAGGGGTCTGCTTCTTCCTTAATCAGAGCAAAAGAAAAAGAAAAAAGAGAGAGCGAGAAAGAAGGAGAAAACCGGTCTGCCAATTTTTCTGTAAAGGGCCCAATAGCGACTATTCCAGGATTACAAGCTATATGGTCTCTGTCACAGTTAATCTTGCCACTGTAGTGCAAAAGTAACTGTAAACAAATAAGCATGGCTGAATTACAATAAAATTTTATTCTATCAGCCTATAATGCCTTAGTTTGCCAACTCCTGCTGTACAGAAACTCTTCCTCATGTACACTTGGAACCATGTACAAGAAAGTATGGTACAGCATTATTCACAATGAGAACATGAGAAACCAAATGTACACCAAGATAAATAAATGGTGGTATATTCCTCCACCGGAGTATGATATAGCAGTGAAAACAAAACAATCATAGATACCTACGCATTAGTAAAGCTGAATGTCAAAAACATAACATCAAGTAAAATAAGCAAGTTACAAAAGATTACAGTAGTATCCCATAAATAAGATGTAGGTAGTAAAAATTAAAAAAGTAAAAAAATTGTTTTTTAAAGCAGAAACAGTGTCAGGATATGTATGAAGTCAGGACAGTGGATACCCCTTGGGAAAAGATGGAGTATAAAAGAGGCTTGGGGTGGCCGGGCGCGGTGGCTCACGCCTGTAATCCCAGCACTTTGGGAGGCCGAGGCGGGCGGATCACGAGGTCAGGAGATCGAGACCATCCTGGCTAACACGGTGAAACCCCGTCTCTACTAAAAATACAAAAAATTAGCCGGGCGTGGTAGCGGGCGCCTGTAGTCCCAGCTACTCGGGAGGCTGAGGCAGGAGAATGGCGTGAACCCGGGAGGCGGAGCTTGCAGTGAGCCGAGATCGCGCCACTGCACTCCAGCCTGGGCGACAGAGCGAGACTCCGTCTCAAAAAAAAAAATAAATAAAAGAGGCTTGGGGGTATGATAATGCTTTATTTAGTGGCCTGGGTGAGGGTTACATGGTGTTCATTCTCATTATTGTAACTTTAACTGTAAATATATATGCTGAATATAAATAGTATGATTTATAATAAAACTACGTTAAACAGACTTGCAGAAACAACAAATTGATTCATTTCAACAAAATGCACATTAAGCAATTTATTAGTGCCAGCTACTGAGAAGTGGCTCAAAATCTGATATGAGAGCCAGATATGTAAACAAACCACAAATTTTTTACGGGGGCATTAAGAAAGTACACAGTCAAGTGGAGCTAAGGGTAACCTTGAGAATGAACTTAATGAGGAAGAACCATAAAAAGAAAGGAGTGAAGTAGTATAGTGAATGAAAAACTTAAGTTTTGCCATCATGATTTTCCAATTTAGCAAACCAGAATCCGGGGATGCATCCTTGACACCTCCTTTTCACTCATTCCTACCTTCCCCACATGGCTATCTAATTTTCAAGACCTTTCCATTTTATCCACTAAAATGCTTTTAATTCTACCTCCTTCTCTCCAGCTCCACCTATCCTAATCCAAGTGACCATCAATTCACATCCAGAACACAGTAACATCCTTCTAATTGGTTCACCCACATTGAATCCATTTTCCACACTACAGCCAGAGTGATCTTTTCAAAATAATTTTGTCAGCCCTGTTACACGGCTCTACATAATCTCAGCCCTTCATACTTCTTTAGCCTCGTGGGCCTTCTTTAAATTGCTCATAGGGGCTATCTTCCCTCCTGCCAAGCCATTTGTTCTACCTAGAATGACTCTTACTCAACTTTCAGATCTCAGCTCAGTCAGCCTTTCTTCAGGAAGCCCTCCTTAACTGGGGCATGTCCTCTACCATACAATTCTGTAGCCCTATGCATCTTTCCACTATCGCATGCATCTCAGTTCATAAATAAGGTTGTATTTATGTATTTATTTAATATCTAGCTCCTCCTCTAGAATATAAACTTATTAAAAGACAAGGTTTCTGCTCATCACTGTTTCCAAGTGTAAGCATTATCCCAATGACAGAGACATTAAATAAACAGAAGGAAAGAGTAAATGAATAATGTTAAGATATTGTTCTCTGTTCTGGGCTTCATCACATAGTCCATGCTAGCAAGGTGCAACTATCAAAAAAATAACATAGTCAAGGAAAAGTTTCCACAGGGTGTTTCCTAATGCATTTGATTGTGTTGTCTCGTTATGCAGTAACAAGTGACAGCTACAGATGAGTATCTTAAGATACACTTTGAGTACCTAATCCTAAAACTACCAAAACAAAGAGGTCAAAGTGCAGAACTCCCCCAGCCCTTTTCTATTTAATTTAGCTACTTAAGACAACAAAAGGAAAAATTACAGCTCTGCAGAGAACTTTAAAGAAGCAGAAAAAGATTTCCACACAACTAATACTTCAGAAATCTTTAGTGAATAAAGTATGGAATTTCTTACTTAGTAGAAAATGGCTCTATCAATGATTCAACAATCAGAAAAAAACACTAATGGTAGAAAAATCAGTAGATCAATCACACAAAGATTAACTTGTTCATACTAAACCAAACTTAGTAAAATAGAAAGTAGCAGACTTAGCAGGGCTTACAAAAAATGTGCTGAACAAGAAAGGAAACAAAACACGTCCAATTAAACTCACTTTTAAATGTTCTGCAATATATAATCCTCCATAACAAAACTCAAAACAAAGATACTTTGTACATTGAAAATAAACTAGTTTATCTGAAAAATCCCATATTAACAATCTTACATTCATATAGAATGACAAAAGACCCCATATAGCCAAAACAATCCTGAGCTAAAAAGAACAAAGCTGGAGGCAGCATACTCCCTAATTTCAAAACATTATAAAGCAATTGTAATCAAAACAGCATGGTACTAGAAAAAAACAGATGCATCAATCTACGAACAGAGGAGAAAACCCGGAAATAAACACACACATTTGCGGTCAACTGATTTTTTATGAAGATGCCAAGAACACACAATGGGGAAAGGATAGTGTCCTCAATAAATTGTGTTGACAAAACTGCATATACATGCTAAATAATGAAATTAGGCCCTTATAACACACAAAAAAGTCAACTCAAAATGGAGAAACACTTAAATATAAGACCTGAAACTGTAAAACCACTAGAAGAAAACATAGGCAAAAAGCTCCATGACTTTGGTTTAGGCAATGGTTTCTTGGATATGACCCCAAAAGCACAAGCAACAAAAGCAAAAAACAGGCAAATGAGATCACATCAAAATATAAAGCTTCTGCATAGCAAAAGAAACAATTAATAAAGTGAAGAGACAATCCACAGGATGGGAGAAATATCTGCAAACCATATGTCTGACAAGGCGTTAATATCCAAAATATATAAAGAACTCAAACAACTCAATAGCGAAAAAAAAAAAAATTTAAAATGGGCAGAGGACCTGAACAGACATTTCTCAAAAGAAGACATACAATGGTCAATAGGTACATTTTTAAAAATATTCAGCAAAAGTAAACTTTAGGAAAATCCAAGTTAAAACCACAGTGAGATATCACCTCACACCTGTTAAAATGGCTTTTATCAAAAAGATGAAAGATAAGTGTTGGACATGACATGAAGGAAAGGGACCCCTTGTACCCTACTGGGAACGTAAACTAGTACAGCCATTATGGAAAACTGTATGGAGGGTCTTCAAAAACTAAAAATAAGACTACTATATGACCCATTAATCCCATTTCTGGATATATACCCAAAGCTACTGAAATCAGTATGTCAAAGGGATATCTGCACTCTCATGTTCATTGCAGCATTATTCACAACAGCCAAGATCGGCAAACAACCTAAGTGTCTATCAGTGAATGAATGGATACAGAAAATGTAGTATATATACACAATGCAATACTATTCAGCCTTTAAAAAGGGAGAAATCCTGTCATTTGCAAAAACATGGATGAATCTGAAGACATTATGTTAAGTAAAAAAGGCCAGGCACAGAAAGACAAACACTATATGATCCCACTTGTGTATGAACTCTAATAAAGTTTAACTCATAGAAAGATAGAGTAGAATAATGGTTACCAGAGGGTGGCGGGGAGAGGGGGTGAAGAGGGAGAGAAAGGGGAGTTGTTGATCAAACAGTCCAAAGTTTCAGACAGACAGGAGGAATAGGTTTTGAGATGTATTGCACATCAGGATGACCAATGTCAATAATAATGTATTATATATTTCAAAATAACTGAGAGAATAAATTTCAAATGTCTCACCATAAAAAATGATAAGCAAGGTGATAGATGTTAATTAACTTGATTTGATCATGCCACATTGCATACATATATTAAAACATCATATTATACCCCATAAATGTATACAACTATGATTTTTCAGCAAGAAAACAATAATAAAAAGTAAAAGTCGTTTACTTGGTTCCAAAAAAAGGGATCAGTATAAAGTTACTAATGATCAAATTCTTGGTTAAAATATAGCCTTAAAGTTCAAGCATTAGTCATTTATATACAATAGAAGCATAAGGAAATACTGCACACAAATTACAGAATGGTACAAAGTACCTGAGTCATATCATCAGTCTCTTGAACAAACCGGACACCAGTTCTTGATCTCATTCGTTTAATACCCTGTGGATCCCCATAGTCCTTGAGAGGTGAGGTAGGTGGAAAATGATGGAGCTCTTCACAAGTGAAAGAAAAGGGAAGGTATTAAAATACTGCATGAGAAGAGACAATCTAAAATTTTACTCAGTACAAACATGGCAGACATGGATATACATATATTCATGTCCCTAACCCAGACTATTTCCCAAGTATCTTGCTATGGCCATAAAGTTCCACCAAATTAGCATTAATCATGCTCTTAAAGCAGATAAAATGAACAACAGAAATAACCTGGAAATAGAACACTCAAAAGTTTCAATTTGTTATACTCTCCAAGAAGCAACATATTTTCTCATACAAAAATAATAAATTTCTAAATAAAAAACTCATATGACCCCTTAATATAACTTAATACTAAAAAAAACAACTTTTCAAACTACATAGTCTACAATCTGAACAGCATATAAAAATAAAAACTAACTACATGAAAAAATAGTGCCCAATTTTTAATCATTGTTACCATAATCAACAGTAATATTAACGATGTAAGGTACCAATGTTCAATTATCTAAATCACCTTCCTTCACTGCAGGCTTTTCGATTCAAACATGAATCTCAGTGCTATACAAAAGTGTAAGTAAGATTAATTAAGACAAACTGTCATAAGCTTTAAGCTAGCCATTCATATCTACCTGCATGCCAAGACTAAAATTCACCTGGTCTTAACAAGCATCACAGGGTATTTCATAAAACATGTGAAAATCTATTACGCTAGGACAGGATACCTAACCTAAAGTGTATCACATAGCGAATTTATGTATTTGTTTTGATTCTTTGGCAGCAGACAATTAAATCTAAGTTTTTGTCAGGTAAAGCTCTAATGTGGTCTACAGAGTTTGAGAAAAAAAAAAAAACAATATAACAACAAAGACCCTTCAATATATTTCAAAGCATGTACTATAAAATCCTTGACAACTACATGTACTATCATCCAATCTGCATGAAGTTATGTGTGGGTCATATTTCTCCAAAAATTAAATGTATTCAATATCTACTTCAAAAATATTTTTAATGTTTTTCAGAACATTTGAAGTGTTTACCTGACCCAGTGCCACCATCAAGGTCACTTGCACTCAAACTTGTAACAGAAATACTTCTCCCTCCTGAGTTTCTCAATAAACGTTGACTCCGGAGTTGGTCGATTGATTGTTCCAAGCTTTCTTTTAACTAATTTAAAGAATATAATGAATGAAGCGTTATTCTTCTTAAACAACTTCCAAATACAAATAGACCACAGATTTTCAAAGCTATTTCTGAAATATCTGGGTTCCCCCCAAAAAAAGGTATCAGAAAATTTTAAACTAAGTTATGTTTAAAATATAAAAATAGTAAATACAAATATTTTAAGAACCAATGCTAAAATCTGGTTTTAAAAGGCATCTGTCACTACCTATTCCATTTTTTATTGCCAGATGTGGAAGAGATGTCTACTGTGTAAGGGCTTACAAAACCAAATTGAAATGTCTAATTGGTGCACCACTCATGCGAAGAAACATAACAAGGTCAACACAACTGAAAGAAGACAGAAAGCTTTCCTCCCTTCTAAATATTCCTTCAGAAACTCCAGGTCTACAACAAATAGGAAACTAAACAGCTGTCACAGTGACAGCTGCTACTGAAACAATGTACACTGTCCAACTTTATCAGAGTACCTCTTTCAGTCATTCAAAGACTTCAAATCCCAGAAAATGATTGGGTCAGATATCAGACTGCCAGTACACACTAAGAACTACAGTTGTCCAAATGCTTTATTCAGTTTATTAAGGAGTCAGCCAACAGGGAACATATAAAAACATACCTTTAGACTTAAAGAGCTACATTAAATAAAAACATGCTAAATACTGAGAATAATGTCCAGAGCTGTACACAACTATAGGCCTGAGAAGAGGATTCGACTAAGACCCAAGGGAAAAAAAATTAAAGCTGAAGAAAATCCATACACCCTGAATTGCTGGGAAACTTCGGGTCTAGATATCTTATTCAAGGATGAATAGAAAGTAATAATTTTAAACATAATGCATGGATCCATGGAACAAGTCATCTATAACTCTTTAAGTAGAATGTCAAAACAAAATGATTAGTTGAGAAGACAAGGTTTCCTAAATTCAGCCAGCGTTAAAAGGTAGAACACCATTTACGGGGAGAACAAGTTGCTTTACTTGGTGAAATGAGCAGAAAGAAAGGAGCCTCAACCGAAGGAAAAGAACAGATGAAACAGAATGTGAGTCACAAATGAAGCAAACCCTTTTTCAGTCTGGCTATTTGGATTTGGCTGCTCTAATTGAAACAATCTGTATTAAAAGAAGTAGAGTTAGAATTTCAGGAAGCTGCTTCTTTTGTCCCTCTCATTTCCGAAAGAAAAAAAAAAGAGGGGTTTCCACACCCCTCTGTCTCCTCCTTACCTAAACTGGGATATGTACAATACCATCCTGCCTTGAGTATTCGCCAGCCAGCTATAAGATGCAGCATCGGCGGTTGCTCGCGCCTGTAATCCCTGCAGTTTGGGAGGCTGAGGCGGCTGGATCACTAGGTCAGGAGTTCAAGAATGGCCTGGCAAACATGGTGAAACCTCGTCTCTCCTAAAATACAAAAAATTAGCCGGGCATGATGGCTGGTGCCTGTAATCCCAACTACTCGGGAGGCTGAGGCAGGAGAACTGCTTGAACCTGGGAGGCAGAGGTTGCAGTCAGCTGAGATCGTACCACTGCACTCCAGCCTGGGCGGCAGAGCGAGACTCTGTTTCAAAAAAAAAAAAAAAAAAAAAACCTCAGCATCAATCCACAAAACATACTATGAGGCCCAGGAAAACCAAGGTTTACCTTGAGAGTAATTTACACATAAGTAAAATAACATATAAGTAGACCAGAGGTCTTATGTAGTGATCACAAAGTAGTATATCAGTAATCTATGACAAAATTATCAGAATAAAACTAAACAATATTAAAGCTAAAAAGCTCAAATTCAAACTGTAACATGAGAAACAGACTAGAAAAGTCACTACAGTGATTTTGATCATAAAAATTAGCGTCAGAAATAAAACGTAAAATCAGCTCTCTTAACTTTTGCTGTGTTTATTATTTCCATCTTTCAAGCTAAAC
This sequence comes from Homo sapiens, assembly GCF_000001405.40. Lineage (NCBI taxonomy): Eukaryota > Metazoa > Chordata > Mammalia > Primates > Hominidae > Homo > Homo sapiens. Next base: position 80,908,013 of record NC_000014.9, read on the forward strand.
TCAATTTCAGTATCCTTTTGAAAGCAGAGTCAGCTATCATTTCTTACTACTGCTTCTTTTTGAAGGTAATCTGCCTTTTCAGCTCTGGCTATTTTTAAGATTTTCTCTTTACTTTTGTCAGTGATTTTATTATGTATCATTATGTACAGTTTTATTTGTATTTATCCCATTTCCGACCCACAGAGATCACAAAATCCATAGCTTAATAAATTTCATATGTTGTAAATTCTCAGGCATCATCTTTTCAAACATTGTTTTTGCCTCATTCTCTCTCCCCTCTCCTTCTGGAAATGCAACTGCATTTTAGTTATACCTTTTTACCAAATGCTGTTATGTCTTCTTTTCTCTTCTATATTTTTTCAATCTTTCATTCTTCCATTCTTTTTGGATATCTTATGCTGGTTTATCTTTCAATTCATGAATTCTCTTTCAACTATACACAAGCTGTTGTTCACTCTATTCATTCAAGGTCAGTTGGTTATTTATTTATCTTATTTTTCAGTTTCTGAAATTTTCATTTGGTGCCTTTTAGTTTTCAATTATTTTCCAAAACTCTTAATCTACTCTTTTAATTTCTTGAACATGTTATTCATGGTTACCTTATAGTCCCATATATGTTTCTATTGTCTGCTTCTTCCCTTGGTTTTCAGACACCTTTTATATTCTCTTATGCCTGTGTATTCTTTATCATGTGATAGACATTTTACATGAGAAGTTGTAGAAATAATTTAAAGTTCTAGAGGATGACATCTTTCTTCAGAAAAATCTGGTTCTGCTTCTAATAGAAAGTCAGGTTAGGGTCACTAGCAATCTCAAATCACCTTAACCCAGTTAGGAACTGAAGTGGTTCAAGGACTGGCTTCTGTCACCGTGAAGGCTGGTCTATTTTCAGTTTATCACTTCTCATTTCCAATTCACCACTTTGCCTATACTATCACCCTTTGGGGTCTCCATTAAAGCTAAAGGGTTCCTGAACTCCAGCTTTGGTCTTCCTAGCCTCTTAAGTTAATTGATAACTCTGATCCTAGCCTCTCTGCTTTTAATCCACCTCTTTAGGAATCAGCTATCATCTTGAAGGAGGAAGAAAGTCCCAAATATAAGACTTACCCTTCTGGACTTAAGTTTTTTGCCAGATTCTGACTACATAATTCCTCACTGCCTTAGTAGTTCTTTGATGGATTCATAATATTATTTTTTACTTTTTTTTCATGTTTCTAGTTGTTCTCAGTAGAAGAGTTGATCTGAAATAATCTTACCTACCAATGCCAAAAGCAGATCTTGCCAGCATCCTTTTTATGTAGGCTTATTTGCTAACAAATCCTAAGCTGTAACTAAAAGCTCAGAAATAAAGTGAATTTTCACACACACACACACACACACACACACACACACGCAAACTCCCTGCCACCAAAAGAAAAAAAGTTACCATGGGACATAACAGAAGAACATTAAAGAACAAGAGAAGTGAAACACTTCCCCAAAATCTAATCTATCAACCCCATTTTAAAACTCTAAAAAGATATATCCGAAGCCATTGAAGATGAATAGGATGATTTTTAAGGTCCAAAAAATAAAATTACGTTATGTAAAGGGAGATGAATGAAATAAAGGCGATTTTAAATTACTCTTCCAAGCATTATGGCAAAAACAATTTTTGCACCTAAAACATAAAACTAAAAATGTAATAGAATTAAAATCTACACTTTAAGTAGTCACAACACAACACAACAGACACTGCACAAAATTTAGTGATGTATGGAGCCAATTTGATAACTCCTAAAACACAAAAACCAAGAAATAAAGAGACAAAGTACGAAGTCATAAAAATTGTTTTAAACTCTTTTGGATTATAACATCTTACTAGGTGTAACGCCAAACCAAACAAAATTAAATAAAAACAAAATAATATTAATAAAACTCAATCTAACATTTTCTATGATGGATGATGTTATTTTCCTAAAACTAATCAATCTTACCAAAGACTGTGGTACTAACTACAATGTTATAAATTCTTTTGAGTCTACTAGGACTACCTCACCAGATACCAAATGATGATCCTATTTTCCCCCACTTTCCCCTATATGAAATATTGTAAAATGGACATCATAGAACATAATATAATGTATATTAATATCTCACTTGATATAAATGCATGATTTAAAGATTAGGTCTATTCTTTTACCTCTGTTCTTTTGATATTAGACTGAAACAATGGAAACTACTGTGCACCAGTATAAATGCAAATAAAATTTGGGCACTGGAATTGAATGGCTATGATCTGGATCTGGGTCCTCACCGAATTCTCATGTTCAATTATAATTCCCAGTGTTGGAAGTGGAGCCTGGTGAGAGGTCACTGGATCATGGGGGCAGAGTTCTTATGAATGGTCTAGCACCATCCCCGCTTGGTACTGTATAGTGAGTGAGTTATCATGAGATCTGGTTGTTTAAAAGTGTGTAGCACCTCCCCACTCCTTCCCGTGCTCCTACTCCGGCCATGTGATGTGTGTGCTTCCCCTTTGCCTTCCACCATGATTGTACGTTTCCTGAGTCCTCCTAGAAGCTGAGCAGATACCAACATCATGCTTCCTATACAGCCTGTGGAACGGTGAGCCAATTAAACCTCTTTTCTTTATAAATTACCCAGTCTCAGGTAGTTCTTTATAGCAATGCAAGAATGGACTAACACAGGTAGTTTATCCAAATCATCAAGACATGCTTTTTCTGACTTAAGCATGTAGTAGGCTCCCTCTAGCCAAAGATAAAACAATTTGAGCATAAATAAAAATATTAACTGCAATGGACTAAAACACTTTAAATATGCATATAATTGTAAGTTAATAATGATACTCAAGGGGTAAAAAAAGTCATTGGTCACCACAAGAAGATGTAGGAAACCAATTATTTTGGAAACTGATATATAAATGAACTGAAAAATAACTGTAGATGCTTTTAGATTACCATGAAAATAAAATAACTAAATTTTAAAATTCTCACAGAGATCTCTGAAAGCCTTTTGATATCTCTATTTGGAAAAACTCTGATTAGAAACAAAATGTAACTCAAGGTTAATGAACTCAAAAAGAATGCATATAAAACGCAAAAGGATTGACTACACTCCAACCTAAATCTATGAAAGGAGATCATCTGGGCAACAATGGGTAATGCAAATAACAGAAGTGATCATTTAAAACATTATAATTCAGGCCGGGTATGGTAGCTCACGCCTATAATCCCAGCACTTTGGGAGGCCAAGGCGGAAGGATCACTTGGGCCCCGGAGTTCAAGACCAGCCTGGCCAACATGGTAAGATCCCATCCCTACTAAAAAAGTAAAAAATAAAAAGTAGCCAGGTGTAGTGGTACACAACTGTAGTCTCAGCTACTCAGGAGGCTGAGGTAGGAGAATTGCTTTAGCCCAGTAGTTCAAGGCTACAGTGAGCTGTGATTGTACCACTGCACTCCAGCCTGGATAACACAGTAAGACTCTGTCTCAAAATAAGTAAACAAATAAAATTTTAAAAATAGAAATATGTGATTCAGAAGGACCAAAGAAAAGCTTCATTTGCTTTCTTCAGCTGTACTACTTTTACTTCTGCCCCCGCTCTTTTCTGCATCTTTCACACCCCATCAGATAACTTTCTAACTTTCTTACATGTTTTATTTTGTGGATGAAATAAGATGATCTATGTAAAATAATTAGAACAATGCCTGAGGTAGATTTGGTCGTTCAGTAAATGATACTTTTTATCATTATGATTAAAGGCAATGACAATAAAAGTAAAAAATAAATAGAATGATGAAATAGAATGCTTTAATCTGGAGAAGCTATTTTAAAGAGTTTGTCATTCCCTAAACATGTATTTACAACTCAGATGGAAATACCTGTTGAATTTATTTACTTCCCACTTATAAAACCACTCCCGGGCAGGGCACGGTGGCTCGTGCCTGTAATCCCAGCACTTTGGGAGGCCAAGGCAGGCGGATCACAAGGTCAGGAGATCGAGACCATCCCGACCAACATGGTGAAACCCCATCTCTACTAAAAATAGAAAAATTAACTGGGCGTAGTGGCATGCGCCTGTTGTCCCAGCTATTCGGGAGGCTGAGGCAGGAGAATCGCTTAAACCTGGGAGGCGGAGGTTGCAGTGAGCTGAGATCGCGCCACTGCATTCCAATCTGGTGACAGAGCGAGACTCCACCTCAAAAAAAAAAAAAACTACTCCCTCAGAAAGTTTAGCATTATTCAACTCTAGGCTTACCACAGAGACTTGATGACAATGGATCCCTCGTTGAAAATTGCTTTCTTAACATTACAATATTTAGTGCTATGGAATATATCATACCTCAAATTGGGTATACATAATTTAATTTCCCAACTGCCCAATTCAAAGGAAATCTGCTACCCTAAGTAGGGATCTAATATTCAACTTTACAAAGTAGGACTATACTCTACTAATGGTTAATAATAATGTTTTCAATTTTTCACTAATAAATTAAAAAGCAAAGACTCAATTCCCATTATTAATAAGGTAATGAATCTGAAACATTTCATGAACTGCCCAAATATAACAAAGTCTATAGAGCTCCATTGGTCAAGTACATCATAAATCATAAAAATCCTGTAAATACAAGGATGTCCAAACTCATTTTCTAAATAAAAATAGTAGAAACCCTTATGAGAGAAGATATGTTTCCCTGTGCCCATTAGCTTGCAATTACAAGTGATTAATGACAACTATACCTTTACTTGTAAAAAAAAATAATAATAATAACAAGCCGTCAATTACAACTTGGGAGTTACGTGACAATTCAATACAACACAGATATGTATAAAACAGTCATTATTCCTTCATGTTTCCAATGATAGGTACATATACAATGTGATTTTAGTGTTTTCATCACACTGTATATATACCCCTCATTAGAAACATGAAGGAATAAGTTTAATTGGTTTTCCAAGAGTTTACAGGACAGGAGTAAGCAATTCCAAAGGAAAGAAAAGTAGAAGATAGAATTAGTAAGACATTAATTAAAAATACATTATTAACTTTATTCCAGAACTCTGGAGTACATTTTTTTCTTACATCCCCATGTAAAGTAAGTATAAACTGGAACATCCTTGAAAGGGCAATTTTGAAATATCCAGCAAATTTTTAAGTGCATATATCCTTTAACCCTGCAATTCTACTTCCAGCAATCCTACAGGATTACAAAAACATATGTATGTGTGTGTACAATAATGGTCACTGCTATAATGTTTATAATAAAAAGAAAAACTAGATACATTCATACTATGGAATACGGTATAACTGTTCAAAACAATGAAGTAGTGCTACACAAAGTTATATGGAAAGTGATATACATTATTAAATTTTAAAACGTTGTATAACATTATATTTAATATGATTCCATTTTTAAAGCAAATCGCACATATGCTTGTAAATACATAGAAAATGTTTGGAAACAAGCTCTCAAAATTGTTACCTCTTTTGAGTGGGGCTCAAAGGGAGGTTGGATAGAATTGGAGGCCATTATCCTAAGTGAAGTAACTAAGGAATGAAAAACCAAATACCACTTCTTCTCGCTTATAAAGGAGAGCTAAGCTATGTGTACATAAAGGTGTACAGAGTGGTATAATGGACATTGGAGACTCAGAAGGGACGCAAAGGTATACAGAGTGGTATAATGGACATTGGAGACTCAGAAGGGACGCAAAGGTATACAGAGTGGTATAATGGACAGTGGAGACTCAGAAGGGAGGAGGTTGGGAGCAGGGTAAAAGATGAAAACCTATCTATTGGGTACATTGTACACTATTTGGATGACAGGTGCACTAAAATCCCAGACTTCATCACTATACAATTCATCCATGAAACCAAAAAACCACTTGTTCCACTACAGCAATAGAAATTTTAAAAAATTAAAAAGGGGCTTTGAGAGAGGATTTTTTCATTTTTTGTTTTAACAATAAACACATATTACTTTAAAATAAACCATCCTTAAAATTCTTAACTCTACATGAGGGGTCTCTCCATGGCCCAAGTTTACCAAGTCTCCATTAAATTCATGTCTTGAATTCTACTCTCTCTGATGTAAAGCCTTCAAATTCAATAGAATCTAATTTATATAAGCTAGTTAGCAATCCATCTGACAAGCTAACCTAAACTTAAACTATAAAATAATAAATCAGTTTAAAATCTAAAGCACTTCACAATGGTTTTTTCCTTTAGCTCACAGCCCCATTCCCCAAAACACTTCATTCCCAAAAAGGTGGGTAGGAGAAAATGCAAACAAATGTAGTTTCTCACATGTTCTATCGCACCCGCCTGTCCATTACTGTATTCTCGGTATCGTCCAAGCATCTGGTCCACTTGTCGCAGGTTCCGACTGGTATCCTTGAGAAAGAAAATGGACTGAATTAATTATTCCAAATACTTTTTTTTCCTAATCAATCTTAGTAGTATGTCAATCAACTAAGTCAACAGTTTGTAAAATGTACAACTTTTATCATGGCTGAGTTGAATATCAATGTACTTCACACATATTAAGTAAATCTTAACACCACTGAGAGAAACTCAAATCCAACTGCAATTTACTTGTGTAAAATCTGAAGCACATAATGTAAATCCGTATTCAAGATTCCCTAGTAAGTCAGCAACAAAACCATAAATTCTCAGAATCATAATTTTCAATTTGTGCCCCTCAACCAATTCACACCCTCTTTATAGAAAAGGAATTCTGAAAGAGCAAATCTAGTAGACTGTGTACAAGAGAAGAAAATCATTAAGATCAATGTGATTTTGACTATTCTTTTACCTCAGAACTTGAGGAGAAGAAAAACAACAAATTTAATTTTAATCACAAAAGAAATGGTTCTTATCTAAATATTCTAGATTTCACCTGGGAGATTAATCAAGGTATTTCTTTCAAAAATATATACTTATTAATGTGTCTCATTGTTGGGAAAGCACAAGAATTCATACTACAAAATTCCATTGTTATCTTACTTTACTTACTTACATTTTACTTACTTTACTTACTTACTTACTTATTGATGAGAAAGGGTCTTGCTCTGCCACCCAGGCTGGAGCGAAGTGGCATGATCATGGCTCACTGCAGCCTCAGCTTCCTGGGCTCAAGGAATTCTACACCACTATGCCCAGCTAAATTTTTTTTTTTTCCTAATTTGTGTATAGACACAGTCTAAGTATGTTGCCTGGGCTGGTCTCAAACTCCTGGCTCAAGTGATCCTCCCACCTCAGCCTCCCAAAGTGCTAGGATTACAGGCATGAGCCACCATGCCCAGCCCATTATGTTACTTTAAATGAGTTTAAAAAGGATAGGTCCTCTGGTTTTCAAATCAATGCATGGCTTCGCCACCAGAAATTACCCTCTTCTTATCTAAGCATATTAATCCAAAGCAATTAAAAGCCAAAATCCATTCTTAGCCAGGCTAAGGCAAAGGTAAGGGATTAATGCGTAGGAAATACCTTATATTTCTGAGTTTTCTTTTTTTCCCCTATAGCTGTGTTACACTTACCCCACCTCTTTTCTAAAGCCCTTTCTAAGAAAAGGAAGCAAAATGCCTCAACTCAAACCTCCAAATACTAGCAAAAATTAGCCTCTAAATTAAAATGGCACCTCTTTATTTTCACCCACAAATAATCTACCTCACCAAAACATGAGTAATTTCTCTAAAGGCACATGCCCATGAGAAGCTAAACTACAATCATTTCTACTGGTTTCACTCTCACGATATTTTATTTGGAAATACTGCTTTACCCTAAAACACTCTCCACCACCTATCACATATTTCAAATATCTTTACCAACTGTCATAGGCAGAATAATGGCCCTCAAAGATATCCAAGTCCTAATCCCTGCAACCTGTGTATGTATACCTTACACGGCAAAAGGGATTTTGCAAATGTGATTACATTGAAGACTTTTAGATGGAGAGATTCTCCTGGATTATTGGGTGGACCCAATGAAATCATAAACATCCGTAAAAGAGGAAAAGGGAGGCAGGAGAAGTAAAGTCATAGGATGTGAGAAGGGCTTGACCCTTCCCTGCTGGCTTTGAAGATGAGGGAAGGCAGCCACAAGATAAGAAATGTGGGCAGCCTCTAGAAACCAGAGAAGGCAAGGCAATAGATTTTTCCCTTAGAGCCTCCAGAGAGGAACACATCCCTACCAACACTTTGAGACCCAGTGAGACCAGTGTTGACTTCTGATGTACAAGACCTTAAGATAATAAATTTGTGTTGTTTTAAGACATTAGCTTTGCAGTAATTTGTTACAGCAGCAAGAAAACTAATCCACTGACTGAAACTATTAAGCAGCTCAAACTATTTAAATTCTATTAAATGCAACCATTGTTAAACTAACCTGTAAAGTACTTGTTATAGTGTTGACCTTCTCGGTAACTTCTACTGTAGGAAGACTTCGAGTTCCCCTGTGCGTTGATCTGGCAGCCCATGGACTCAATCGGTCACGACAGCGGAAGTGATCTGATTCGCTGGATGATTCTGCCATTGATGTACACAAATCCTTTTAAATAAATATAGGTCAAAGTTAATGAAACAGTAAAAAGCATGGAAATAAAAGACTAATACAACAGTTTACTTTTGATCTCTTTTCTATGTTTAATACATTAGTAATTTTGCACACTGTAATTTCTACATACATAGCTTAAAAACACAAGAAGTCACTTCCCCATGTAATTCTCCCTCCTCCATTGTCTCTGCTTTAAGGGAGCGATTCCTCAGATATGATTTTGGTCATGTTTACAACTCCAGTGATAATAATCCCTTAGATTCATGCAATGCTTCCAAATTTTAAAAGTATTGTCACATTTAGTACCTCACTTAATCCTACCAACAACACCATAAGGTAGATGAGAAAAACACAGATATTCTCTAAAGTTAGGACCAGCAAGTATCTTAATATTCATCCAATGTCCATTATACTATAAGAACACAGGTAAAGGCCACACAGCATGACCTACAATAAGGCGGTCTCACTCAGTGTACATTGACAACTCTCATGTACCTTGATTTCAAATAGAGTAGAATTAAACAAATGCTGTAATACAGATACAAATTCTACAATAACAGATACATGAGAAGGTGGCATCTTCAACATCTCCACCAAAATAGAAAGCCAGACATCCTAAGTATATGCATCAGTAGATAATTCTCTAAACATGCTTTTCTTCCATCCTTACCTCAGTTTTCTATTTAATACATTAAAAAAAATTATTTCATGCAAAGGAATCTCAAAAGTTTCAGGAAACCTTTTAATAGAAGTTGAAGAAACTAAGTAAGTTCAGAACAAAGAAGCATCAGAGAAACTCAACTGATAAAAAGTGAAAGTATATTGAGTATCCCAATAATTTCATTTTCTACTTACTGGTGGGTTAACATTATTTTAAGATTAATTGCTAGAATCTTCCTAAAATCTATATGGCCATTTTGCTGGCTGATTAAATATAGTGTGATAAAAACATTTCTTTTTTGTTTTGTTTTCTTTTGTTTTTTGAGACAGAATCTCACTCTGTCACCCAGGCTGGAGTGCAGTGGCACGATCTCAGCTTGGCTCACTGCAACCTCCGCCTCCCAGGTTCAAGCAATTGTCCTGCCTCAGCCTCCCGAGAAAACATTTCTTGAATGACAGAGTATCTTAGACTTCCAAGATCTTTATTCTGAATGCATCTGGAAGTACATTGATCATACATTTAAGGAGACAATAAAGAGAATGTGCTAAATGTATACATGTCCTAAAGCATTTAATGAAAGCAACTGTGTTTTTAAAATATTGGATGAAACATAACTAAACAAATAAACAAGAACTCTTGCCATAAGGTTAGGTTTTTTTTAAATGAAATACAGTCTGTTACTGCTGTATCAAAAAAAGAATCAATGAAATAGCCAACTTCTTCACAGTAGCTAAGACAGGGTTAGAGAACATCCTGTTGAACACCCATGCTTCTCCTCTGCCCAGGGCTCTTAACTTCCTTCTGCACCTATCTTCTCTGGTTCTTGCCTGTCTTATCCCATGTATAATTACAAAGGTATAGTACCCATGATGTCACTCCCTCCCACCATAAGGAAACATGAACAAGAAATTAAGACTGAAGCAATTGTTTGGCTTTGTTTTTCCTGGCTCACAATTGCTTAAGTCCAAAGGAAAAAAGTATTTTCTTTAGAAGACAAGACATCTTACATATAACATCTTACATATAATGTTCACCTTTTAAACTTCAGAAATCACTTGTATGCATCTCATAAATCTATGCCACATAACATAACATCTTTTACTCTAAGTTACAGTACTTCCCATCAAGCATTTTCCATTAGTGAAAGCAGGAAAAATCAACATTTTCTAAGACTCTGCTATTCTGCCAAGTACTATGCAGATGCTTACATAAGACAACCCAATTTAATTCTCATAACAACTTATTAAAGTGAACACTATTAACCCCTAATTCATAGAGGATGCTACTGCTAAAAGATATTAAATAATATCCAACTCCATACAGTAATTATAAGTAGAATGCAAACCCAAGATTCAGCTGGCTTTCTCTGTCCTCAACACTATGTTCTTCCCACTGTGTTCTGCTGTCCGATTATCCTGAGAATTAACAATCTTAACAATTAACAAAAAGTGCTAAAGAGAGCAGGTGCAGGCCAGAGCCTACATGTGTGTATAATCTTCTCAACTCCCTCTCATTTCATGTCAGCATAAAAATATCAAGAAAAAAGGGAAATATCAAATAATAATATAAAATCTTAACTAGGCACCAGGAAAAAAACTAAGTGACATATCTATACTAATGCATTTAATAAAAAGCCCTGAAACAAATCAATCCACTGGTCCCAGATTAAGGGGTTTTTGTTTCCTTATTCCTTTTATCTCTTATATAAGAGAAAATAATAATTATGCCTGGCATCTGTCTCTTTCATATCAAAATTCTATAGCTTAAAGCATAATAATTTTCATTTTAACAAGTCATAATTCTGGAAACTTGATTGAAGTTAAGAAATCACTGAAGTTAAGAAATCAGGCAGAATAAAAAGTTAATATTGAAAAAGACAATGTGCTTACTATAATAGTTGTTAATGAGAACAAGGAACAAAATAACTGTCTTTGAGATAACTTGATATTTCTAAGAGTATCAAAATTTTAATAATAATCAGTTATCTGAAGACAACTTCACCAGATATAAATGGCATGTCAGACACTTCTAATACGTAGACAATTTGAGTTTCAACATGACTAAAAATAATTATAACTGAAATTTGGGGATGATATTTAAGATACAAAATAGTACAGACTAATAAACATGCATGTATCTATCACCAAGAACTAATAAACATTATCATTCTGACATATGTACCTTTGAGAGTTTTTAGTAAAATATTTAGAACACTGTAAATAAAGTCTTAGTACCTTCCAACCACCCCTCCTTCACCCAGTACTACTCCTGCCCCATTTTCCCAGGGATAATCACTAGCATGATTTCATGTATAACTCTCCAGGCTATGTTTTTATACTGTTCCCATAGGCATGGGTACCTCAAAGTCTTTTTTTATAAAACACACTGCACTGAATTGATAAATATTAATAAGTAAAGATACGGGGGCATCTGAATTTAACTCTAAAGCAGAAAATCTTACTGGTATTAAAAAAAATTAAGAACAACATAAACTAAATTATCTCTAATCGTCATACAATACAAGAAAAAAGAATGATCTCTCACCACCACTAGGATTACATACTTTTACTAAGACAGAATCACAAGTTCCGGCATGAGTTTCACTAGTACACACACACAAAGACTTCAGCTATAAAGTTAAGTTACTGTGAGCAATAAAAGATGTTCAAACTCCTGCATCTGATGGAACTCCTTCAGAGACATCAAGATTTAAGGTGAGATATATCTGAGAAATTTGCATGGCTTTTTTTAAGCATATGAAACATTCAGCAACTATCTAAGGACTTTAATTACCTAAGTTTCATAAATGTTAAACTAAGTAAAATTTTTAAATCTCATTATAATAAAAAATAAAAGTTAGATTATTTACATTGTTGATAAAAATCTGGCATTTTCTTCCACTCTTACTGACAACACAAGGTCTTACATGATTCCCATAGCTAACTAACAGAGCACCTAACTAACCCTTTGTGCCACAACACAGAAGGCAGCTATAGTGGCAGAAATCCATCCTTACCAAGAATCTCCGATCTATCATCAGCCAACACCACTACAACCCAGACACAGGACTGATGGAGAGAGAAACAGATGAGAATGGAGTGGCCGCTGAAGTTGGCAAGAGGCTCACACCACATAATCAGAACCTACAGTAGAATGCATGGAGGGCCATGAAAATTCTGAGAGCCTCTTAATATAACTGACTCAAAAAGAAAAGTACAAAGCAATATGCGTCAATTATATACTCTTCTTTTGTCATTAACAATGTATTATTTTATACTATAATTAAAAATTAATTTTATAAAAGAATGGTAAATAGTAATATCACTGGCATTAATGAAAACTGACCAGGCCTCTGAAAATATTTTCCTCAATTAAGGTTTACCTATTATTTCATTCCATGTTAATAACAACATATTGAGAGTCGTCACATAAGGAAACAAATATTCAGGGCCATGAGAAAACATTTAACCTAATAATCTAAGAAATATAATTTAAACAATAAGACGCTTTTCTAGACTATGTAATTGTTTTCTTTTAAATGGTAATGTCTATGGTTAGCGAGGTTGTAGGGGAAGGAGCACTCCTACACTTTCCTAATGGGAACATGTAAATTTGAATAACTTGTCTGGATGTCAGCAGGTAATAAGTATCAAGAAGAGCTTATACCTTTGCCCTGGTAATTACATTTCCAAAAATTTCTCCTAATAAAATCATTTAGAATACATACAAAAATTTATATACAAGAATATTTACTGTAATAGAGGCAAAATAAAAACAACTCAAATTTCAAAATACAAGAATGGTTAAACTATGGTACATCTATACAATGAACACAGACATTAAAAAATTTGTTTCTGAAGAACATTTAATGACAAAGCACGGGATAAAAGCATGAATTCCAATTTCATAATAAATGTTATCTGTATGTGTATATAAATTACCAGTTCTATGGTTTGAATGTCCCCTCCAAAATTCACGTTGAAATTTAATCCCCAGTGAGGCAGTATTGAGAGGTGGGACCTTTAAAAGGTGATTGGGTCATGAAGGCTCCTCCCTTATGAATGGATTAATCTATTCATGGAGTAATGGATTAGTGGGCACTGGTGGTTTTACAAGAAGAAGAGAGACGAAATAAGTATGCTTGGCCCCCTCACCAGGTGATACCCTGGACTCTGAAGACAGTCCTCACCAGTAAGAAGGTTCTCACTAGATACAGCCCCTCAACCTTGGACTTCTCAGCCTCCGTAACTGAAAGAAATAAAATCCTTTTCTTTATAAATTACCCAGTTTCAGGTATTCTCTTATAAACAACAGAAAATGAGCTAAGACAACCAATATATAAATTTAGAGGTGTGGGGAAAGGCAGAGGTAAAGAGGGAGTGGGGAGAAACAGAACAAAAATAGCTTTACTATCCAGAGGTTATAGCTGATTTGTTTTTTCAATAACAGTCCGGCCGGGCGCAGTGGCTCATGCCTGTTATCTTAGCACTTTGGGAGGCCAAGGCAGGCGGACTGCCTCAGCTCAGGAGTTTGAGACCAGCCTGGACAACACGGTGAAACCCCATCTCTACTAAAATACAAAAATTAGCTGGGCATGGCGGCGTGCGCCTGTAATCCCAGCCACTCAGGAGGCTGAGACAGGACAATCACTTGAACCCGGGAGGCGGAGGCTGCAGTGAGCCAAGATCACGCCACTGCACTCCAGCTGGGGCGACAACCGAGACTCCATCCCAAAAAAAAAAAAAATTCCTACATTTCATGAATTTTCTACAATGATTTGCATTAATATACATTAATGCAAATGGAGTATAATCAGAAAGAAAACTATAATGTGTACTTAAAAGAAACAAAAACAAATTTAAAGACCTCTTCAGAGATAGCCGGTTAACAGGCTGACAGCAGATTAACAAGCTGTCGACCTGGAAAATTTGATTAAATAAAAGCTCTATATTCAGAACTTCCATTTTCTTGGTAACTGTGTCCTTTTCCTCCATGGCAACTTCCTGACCTTATTTCCTAGTCCCCTGGCATCTACCTAGGTAGGGCCATGCCACTAGTTCTCACCAACTGATGAGCTGAAGAAACGGGATCACAGTGCCAATCTTTACTATTTCATACTGAAGAGCATTCACTGACCAAAGGAAACACTTATCATGCCTTATGAACTGAAAGAAAATTTATTTTAATTGTATATTATTTTCGCTGTGTAGTTTTACTGAAGTGCAGTTACTAGATTCAAAGATGACTCACTTAAAGAAACATTCTAAACTACTAGAATGAACATAAAAATTGGAGGATATAAAAATATATTAATGTGTACCAACATCACTTATGCATCAAAATCTACTTTGGAGAACGAATTAAAAATGGTTCACAAGTTATGTTTAATCACTATTATAATTTGAAGCGCAAAGACGAATTATTAAGAGTAGAAGAAGAAAAACATTTATGTATGCTCAAGGAAAATCTTCATTATTGTCTTTAAAGATTTAAAAGAAAAAAGTTCAATTAGATAAGAAATTTACCCTCATTATCATAAGAAATTTCAGCATGACACATTGCTGAAAGAAAAGGAAGAACTGCTAAATTTGAAGAATGACCAAACTCTTGAATAACAATTTAAAGAAACAGAAATATCTAAATTCTGGTTAAAGCTGAGAAAGGTATTTCTTTCAATTGGAGAAAAAGCAGTGAACACTCTTCTGCAGCTTACTACCACCTGCTGGTGCAACAAAATTTCTTATTAACAAGAAAGCAACAATATTTGTGCCGTCTGCTTTTCAGACGTGAGCTTTTTCCAAATCTCTAGAGAAGACTAAGATGGGTGACCTTGAGAGAAAGTCTCTGGAATCTTAGAGCAAGCTCTGGGTCTGATATCACAATTCTTAGAATAGCTTATTTAGCTGCTCCCAACAAATCAGTATTTAAAGGCATAAATATTGTTGCTTCTGTCTTAATGAACCTTATAAAGAAGAAATACAGCCACCAGAGCAAATAACAAATCCTCATCAATTCACTCCCACTGAGGATCTATCCATCTGAAACAAATGCCCATATGCAAACTTGAATACTCCAACTAGAGAGAGTAAAACTGAATTCAACCTTTGTAATAAGAGGATTGGCAATGAGCCTTTACAAACTCAAGTCCACCTCTTTTGTTATTTGACCTAAAGAGCCATCAGATTGTCTTCATTATAATGATGCACATTTGTATGTATGAGAGCTGTAATTTATTGATTCTCAAACCTCTTTTCCTCTGAGCCAGTTTAAAACAATTAGGATTTGCAAGCTGTTCCATAAAAGATAAGCACCCAGCATCAGGGGTGATATTTCACAAAGACTGACTAGTGCATGTTAAGTAGGTGATTGCTTCTGTGGCCTCCAAGTGCCTCAGCTGTCCCTGCCCAAGGTAATCATCCTCAAAGAAGATGCTCAAGGTAATTGTGTTGATACTTAGGGGGGTAAGGGAAAATTGGGAGTGTACTTTACACTTAATCATTAACAAAATTCAAATTTTATGTATTTCTCACTGTTTCTGATATGGTTAGGCTTTGCGTCCCCACACAAATCTCATCTTAAATTGTAATCCCCATAATCCCCATGCATTTAGTGAGAGACCTGATGGGAGGTGACAGGATCATGGAGGCAGTTTCCTCCATGCTGTTCTCATGATAGTGAGTTCTCACAAGATCTGATGGTTTTATAAGGGGCTCTTCCCTCTTCGCTCCTCACTCTTCTCTCTCCTGCCACCATATGAGAAGGTCCAAGCTTGCTTCCCCTTCACCTTCCACCATGATTGTAAGTTTCCTGAGGTCTCCCCAGTCATGCGGAACTGTGAGTCAATTAAACCTCTTTGTTTATAAATTACCCAATCTCATGTCATATCTTTATAGCAGTATGAAAATGAACTAAGAGTTTCAATAGCTGTAGGACTTGAGAGCTTTGCCTTATCCTTCTAGTGAAAAAGTTAATAAGCCAGGAGACATTACCATGCAGAAACAATTAACAATTGTACCTGTCTTCTTTACATCAGTGCTCTTCTGTAACTTCATCTCCTCAAAGTCTTTTGGTAAATTTATAAAAGATCAAAATCAACTGTCCAGTCCACCAGTCAGTTCTGTTATGTTAGTGAACATAATACATTAGGAAACAGAATCAGATACTTAAATTGATTTTTCATCATTTAATGAGTTGTCACTACATTAGAAATGAAAGATGAAAGTAAATAAATAAGTCATAGTCTTGATGGGAGAGAAGGACATTTAAGTGTATTATAAACGGTGAGCTAAGTAATACAACAAAATCCTTGGGGAGTCAGGTTAGGATTTTTCCACTCATCTTGAAGGATGCACATAAGTTTGACAGGTGGATGAGACAAGGAAATAGGATCCACTTAAAACCTGTCTAGAGAAAAGTAGACAGGATCCAAATAAGCTGAGCTCTTGCATCCTTCTACCAGGGAAGTTCTGCCCTCGTCTGATTTTCATTCTATGGTTTCATGGGGGTTTTTTTTAATGATTCTACTATTTTCAAAAGAAAATAAAAACATTTGAAAGCCACTACTATAACTAAAGAAAAAAAACTGAAGGATCCTGAGTGGGGAGTGACATGGTAATAAGCACATCAACAGTAGAACAGCTGGGAGGCTGTTGCAATCATTAGGTAATGAATGGTGAGCACCTAAGACAATGGCAGTGGAGATGAAGTATAGCAGGGATGAATTAACTCTGATGGCAAGGTAAAAGAGTAAAAGATGAATCACAAGTTTCTGGTTTTGGTAGCTGGATGGATCCTGAACTATTAAACTGAGCAAAGAAATCAATGAAAAGAAAGAGCTTTTAGGAGAACATATGTTCTAAATTGAACTTGTCTAAGCTTCAATTAGAAAGAGAGGATCAATTTGTGTTTCATGGGAGGAAATATCAAACTAAAGATGTCTAATATGCAACCGGATATGTGAGTCTAAGGAAATATTTGATAGTCATCAGTATAGGGGTGGATAAGACCACCAAGAAAAAAAATGCACAGTGAGAAAAGAAGTAGAACCAAAGAAAACCCCGCAAGAACTCCAACATACAAAAGGCAGACAGAGGAGGTGGCCAATGAGATTGAGAAGAAACATGAGAAGTAGGTGAAAAACTAGGGGAAATTGTACAACAGAAGTTATGAAAAGAAGGGTTTCAAAAAAGTGAGAAAAAAACTGTTAGAATTTCCCAGTAATCAATGAATTGCCTTTCAACTCCAAATCCATCCTTCATTGTCTGCTCTTTGCAAACAGAGCTGAGGCCTTTAAATATTTCTCCTTTGTAGCTAGTGTGATGTTAAACTTTGTCATAGAAAGTGTTGGAAGGGTTTTTTGTTTTTTTGGTTTTTTTTTTCTCCAAGATAGTGGAATGGAGGCATTATTGGCATGCCTCTCCCACTGGGATAAACAAAATAGTGTGTAGAAAGTCATGCTATGAACTTTCTTCCAAGAAGCAACACAGGAACTTAAAAAACACTGAAAGAAACCACAAACCCTTTGAAAGAAGCAGTGGGCAGTAGTCTACATGATAAACCAGGAGGAAAACTGGGAGTTGCCAGAGCATGAGTGGGGAGGAGAGACTGCCTCCATGATACACTCTCCCACTGGGGAGCCGAGCAATCCAGGCCACAGGGGAACACCTTAACCCTACCTAGCGCTGGTGCTACTTAGTGAGCAGTGAGGTTTTATGAAAAGGAGCAGCATCGAACCGTGTTTACTCCCAGAACCAAGCAGGGACAGAGGGAAGCCATTCCTGATCCTACCTCACAGGGGACCTCACCTGAAGTCTGCTGGTTAACTGAGGCAGTGGTCACAGGTTGAGAGAAGCTCCCAACTGAGACCTGTGATATAATCTTTAGTGGGGACAAATGCCCTTGGTCAGAACCGAGGGGTGGGCAGAAAGTGTGCTATAGCCACAGGCACAGGACCTGGGTGCCTCTACTTCATGGGCTGACCAGGAGGGGCACGACCTAAAAGCTGGTTTCTGTGTCAGTTGGGAACACTTATGGCTTGGGACAGTTTTGAGGGCTGCCTGGAACCCAGCTAGCTACTGCTAGCACAACACTGTGGGTATGAGACCTGCCTTGCCAAGTTCATGGGAGCTGAGTGGGGCTTACTGCCACCCGCTACCACACCCTTCCCCTTGTGGATTCTTCTGTGCAGCAGACGTAGCTGTGCTCCTCCCTGGAACATTACCCCTGCGACCAGGGAACTGCCCTCTAATCCCCATTGGAGCCACTATTTGCACTCAAACGTGGGGAGCCAGAGTGTGGACTTGCCTGACCCAGCCCCAACTAGCTTTGCCCATCCACCTACTCTGGTAGCCTAACACAACAGACAGAGACTTTTGCATGCTCCATGGCCCCACCCATTGCCTGAGACACTAGAATACCTCCCCTGGGTAACATAAGGCAAGCACAAATCCCACCACTGATACTGCAACTGTTGCTCTTTTGCAAGCACCACCTCCAGGCTGGAAGCAAACCAGCACAGCCCATTACAATATCTGCAGGCACATCACAGTGCTCAGGAAGGAGAAAACTTTTTGCATGACCTCAGCTACCACCATTGCCTGCATCACCCTGGTTAACCAGGAGGCCTTGAGTCTGTCCACAGCCCCAGTACATTACTACTACAGCTGGCATTTGAGAAAGCCAACACACTAAGGCTATTTATAACCAAGGAAATCTCACAGAGTCTATGTCACTCTCCTCTCACCCCCATCAGAGCCATGCTAGTACTCACTGTTGGGAAACTGGAGGACAGTTTACAGCAGTGGATCCCTTTTAGACATTCTCCAGCTCCAGCCCAGAGTGCGGCAGCCCCACTAGGTGGCTAGACCCAGAGCAGCAGCAAGATTCACAGTGGTCTGGCCGTCAGAAACTGCTACTCCTAGGGTAAGGGGGCGTGTACCACATTAAGAGGGCAGACACCCCGTCGGACAAAAGAAACCGGACTGCAGGCTCTGAGTCCCTGAACCTTCCACTTGTGGGAAGTTTCTTTCAGCAGAGGCACAGGTGCAGTGCTGGGCTCAGTAGGAAAAGTATGTGGCTCTACCCCAATTGTCAGGCAGCCCTGGTGCTCATGAAGGATCTTGGAAAAGGGAACTATTTCTCCCCCTCACTCAGCACTGCAGACACAGCTGGGGCTCCTCCCACAGGAGCATGGCATGGGTGCATCTGTAGACAGCCTTTCCATAACACTTCAGGGTGACTGCACCCCCACAAGAGGAATGTCCTCCAGGTTCAGGCTTGCAAGACAGCTAGAGTCACAGTCCGCCTCTACATGCATGAAAAGAGGTGCCTGTCTGATCTGAATAGCCAGAGCACTTCGTGCAGAGTGTGACTGGGAGGTGGATTGCTTTCCCAGTGGCCCAGAAGGGAGGCTGTGGTGGCTCCCTCCCTTGCCCACCAAAAAGACCTCAGTGCATTTCACTGAGAGCTTTCCCAGCCATCTCTGTTGAGGCTGTGACCTCTGCCCACCACTGGGATACTGCATTTACCCAACTGCTTTAGTTGTAGCTGTTTTTCACCATGGGCACCTCCTACTGGCCTGAAGCCTGAACTGTTCAACCCAGTAAATAAAACAACAGGAAAATAAAATTTTAAGTGCATACCTCTGAGGAATGAGATAAGCTTCATAAGATTTCTACCATTCCAGCCCCACAGGAGAGAGTAAACCTGCTCACACACCCAGCACATCGCTACTACAACCAGCATCAGAGAAAGCCATCACACAAAGATTTTCTATAACCAGGAAACTCACACAGAGTCTTTGCCATTGAAAGTACCCAAAGCCAAAACTAGGTGACAATCAACTATAAACATTAAAGTTACATCCTCAAGGTGGGGCAGCGGGGAGAAGAAAGTTTTTAAAAATCCCTGTCCAATCAAAAACAAATTCAAAAATAATTAGAAGAAACAGTCTACCCAAATAAGAAGGAAACTAGAAAAATAATTCTGGCAATATGAAAGAACAGAGTTCTATAACACTCCCAAAAGATCACACTAACTCTCCAGCAATGGATCCAAACCAAGATGAAATTTTTGAAATACCAGATAAAAAATTCAAAAGGTTGATTATTAAATTATTCAAGGAGATAAAAAGGAAAGGTGAAAACCAACATAAAGAAATTAATGAAACAATTCAGGACATGAATGAAAAATGTTCTAAAGAGACAGACATTGTAAAGAAAAACAAACCAGAACTTTTGGAAGTGAAAGACACATTTAGGGAACTACAAAATGCAGCGAAAAATCTTAACAGTAGACTAGACCAAGAAGAAAAAAGAATTTCAGAGCTCGAAAACAAGGCTTTCTAAGTAACCCAATCAGACAAAAATAAAGAAAGAAGAATGAATAGATATGAAGAAAATCTCCAAGAAATATGGAATTATGTAAAATGGCCAAACCTAAGAATCACAGGCGTTCCTGAGAAAGAAGGTAGATCCCTGTCACTCTCCATATACATAATTAACTCGAGATGGATTAAAGATTTAAATCTAAGACCTAAACCTATAAAAAATTTAAGAAGAAAACCTAGGAAAAACTCTTCTGGACATTGGCCTAGGCAACAAATTTATGACTAAGACCACAAATGCAAATGCAACAAAAACAAAAATAAATGGGACCTAATTAAACTAAAAAGTTTCTGCACAGCAAAAGAAATAATCATCAGAGCAAACAACCTACAGGATGGGAGAAAATACTTGCAAATTATATATCCAACAAAGGGCTAATATCCAGAATCTACAAGGAACTCAAACATATCAGAAAAAAAAAAGTAATCCTATTAAAAAGTGGGCAAATGACATAAACAGACAGTTCTCAAAAGAAGATATACAAATGGCCAACAAACATGAAAAAAAATGATCAACATCACTAATCAGAGAAATCCAAATGAAAGCCACAATAAGATACCATCTTATCCCAGCAGAATGGCCATTATTAAAATGTCAAACAACAATAGATATTGGTGTGGATGTAATGAAATGAGAATGCTTATACACTACTGATGGAAATGTAAATCAGTACAACCTCTATGGAAAATAGTATGGAGATTTCTCAAAGAACTAAAAGTAGATCTATCATTTGAATCAGGAATCCCACTACAGGGTATCTACCCAAAGGAAAATAAGTCACTATGTCAAAAAGACATCTGCACATCTATGTTTGTCACAGCACAATTCACAATTGCAACGATATGGAATCAACCTAAGTGCCCATCAACTGATGAGTGCATAAGGAAAATGTGGTATATATGTATACCATGGAATACTACTCAGCCATAAAGAAGAACAAAATAATGTATTTTGCAGCAACTTGGTTAGAACTGGAGGCTATTATTCTAAGTAACTCAGAAATCAAAAGCCAACTATTTCATGTTCTCACTTACAAGTGGGAGCTAAGCTATGAGTACACAAAGACATACAGAGTGGTAGAGTGGACACTGGAGACTTGGAAGGGGGCAGTGTGAGAGGGGGTTGAGGGATGAAAAACTACCTATTGGGTACAATGTACACTACTCAGGTGACAGGTGCCTAAAATCCCAGACTTCACCACTATACGATTCATCCATGTAACCAAAAACCACTTACATCCTAAAGCAGGGGTCTCCAGCCATGAGCCAAGGACCACTACCAGTCCGTGGCCTGTTAGGAACCGGGATGCAGAGCAGCAGGTGAACAGCGGGTGGGTGAGCAAAGTTTCATCTGTATTTACAGCTGCCCCCTTCACTTGCATTACCACCTGAGCTCCACTTTCTGTCAGATCAGCGGTGGCATTAGATTGTCCTAGGAGCACAAGCTCTACTGTGAACTGTACATGCAAGGGATCTAGGTTGTGTGTTCCTTATGAGAATCTAATGTCTGATGACCTGAGGTGGAGCTGAGGTGGTGATTCTAGTGCTGGGAGCAGCTACAAATACAAATTAACATTAGCAGAGAGGTTTGACTGCCCAGAGACCGTAGTAAATCTACTGCTTGCAGACTCATATCAAAACCCTATCAGTGAGTGGCAAGTGACAAGCTGCATCTGGCGGCAGGCTTTAAGTCAGGATCTGATACTTCAGTCCGCACATGGCCCGCCCATTATTTTATTTACCACTTCTGTCCATACCTCTTTCCTGCACTATGCACTTGTCTCAGTCACTGTTTTGGTAAGCCCGCAAGCTACCCCTAGCCAAAATGAGTAAAAAACAAATGTCACTGGAGAGCTTCTTTGAAAAGGGGGAAAGATCCAATGATGGGACAGCAGAAGATGCTAAAAGTGCCAACAAGAAGAAAACTCCATTTAAAAAAATTACCAAGAGTCCTCCTTAAATTAAGAGTTCATTGCAACAGGTGATTCGCCTTCTCCAAGCCTGCTTTGTGTATGTGATGACCAGCTATGCAATAAAGCCACGAAACCTTCAAAACTGCTTCACCACATGGAGACCATGCACACTGCATTAAAAGACAAGCCTCTGGAGTTTTTCAAAAGAAAAAAACATGAACACAAAGAACAGAAGCAATTATTGAAGGCCACCACTTCATCAAATGCATCTGTACTGCGAGCATCATTCTCAGTGGCTAACCACATTGCTAAAGCTAAGAAGTCCTTTACTATTGGTGAAGAGTTGACCTGCTTGCTGCTAAGGACATTTGTCATGAACTTTTAGGAGAGGTTGCAGTTCAAAAGGTGGCACGTGTTCCTCTTTTGGCTAGCACTATAACTAGATGAATGATGAAATAACAGAGGATAGTGAGGTACAACTGTTAAAGAGGATTAATGAGTCATCGTGGTATGCAATCCAGGTTGATGAGCCTGTCAATGTTGACGATAAGGCAAGAATGCTTGTTTTTATGTGATATATTTTTCAGGAGGATGTGCATGAGGATACGATATGCGTACTTTTGTTGCCAACCAACACCACAGCTGCAGAACTATTAAAGTCTTTGAATGATTACCTAACAGGAAAACCACATTGGTCATTTTGTGTTGGTATGTGCACAGACGAAGCAGCTGCCATGACTGAACGGCTTGCTGGTTTCACTACTCAAGTCAAAGAGGGTGCTTCTGAATATGAGTCTATGCACTGTGTCATCCATGGAGAAATGCTGGGTAGCTGAACAATGTCACCTGAACCTAACAACGTTTTGCAGGATGTGATTAAAATTATCAGCCACATTAAAGTACATGCCCTTAACTCATGTCTGTTCTTGCAGCTCTGTGAGGAGATGCAGAGCACACACATCATCTCTTATACACAGAAGTGAGATGGCTTTCTAAAGGTAGATCACTGGCCAGAGATTTTGAGTTACAACAGCTGCTCCAGAGAGTTCTTTTAGAAATACAGTCACTACTGGCAGCACATTTCAGTGACACAGAATGGGTTGTAAAACTTGTTTACTTGTGTGACTGACATATTCAAATTCAACCTGCTCCACAAACTCAACCTGTCACTTCACGGGAAAACGACAACTGTGTTCAAGTCAGCAGATAAAGTGGATGCATTCAGAGAAAACTAGAATTATGGGGGCAACCAGTGAACATTGGGATTTTTGACATGTTTCAAATATTAGCAGAGATTTTGAAAGAGACTGAGCCAGGGCCTTCTTTCTCCCAGCTGGTGTATGATCATCTATCTCAGCTTTCAAAGGAGTTTGAGTATTACTTCCTAATATAGTCTGGCTGTGTCTCCACCCAAATCTCATCTTGAATTGTAGTTCTCGTAATCCCCATGTGTCGTGGGAGAGACTGGTGGGAGGTAATTGACTCATAGGGGCAGTTACCCCCATGCTGTTCTCATGATAGTAGTGAGTTCTCACAAGATCTGATGGTTTTATAAGGGGCTTTTCCTCCTTCACCTGGCACTTCTCTCTCCTGATGCCATGTGAAGAAGGATGTGTTTGCATCCCTTCCACCACGATTGTAGGTTTCCTGAGGCCTCCGCAGCCATGCGGAACTATGGGTCAATTAAACCTCTTTCCTTTATAAATTACCCAGTCTCGGGTATTTCTTCATAGCAGCATGAGAATGGACCAACATACTTCTCAACCATAAAAGATCCCCAAATTGGGAAGAAATGGTTCCGCAACCCACTTGTAAATAAACCAGGTGAATCAACTTTGTCCATGCTAGAAGAGGATCAACTTCCTGAGATTGCAAATGACTCTGGCCTTAAAAGTATGTCTGAGACAACTTCAAACCTCTATATGTTCTGGATTTAAGTCAAGGCAAAATATCCTGAGATTGCCTTGTGCACCAAAAAGCCTGCTTCCATTTCCAACATCTTATCTTTGTGAAGCAGGTTTTTCTGCAGTGACAGCAACAAAAATGAGACTACAGAGTAGAATGGACGTAAGCAACACACTTTGGGTGTCACTGTCTCCCATGACCCCAAGACGGGACTGTCTAGTTGCAGGAAAAAAAAGCTCAGGGCTCCCACTGACTCTATGGTGAGTTGCATAATTATTTCTTTATATATTACAGTGTAATAATAACAGAAATAAAGTACACAATAAATGCAATGCACTTGAATCATCCCAAAACCATCCTTCTCTCTGCCTCCCAGTCTGTGAAAAAATTGTCCTCCATGAAAAGTGCCTCTGGTGCCAAAAAGGTTGGGGACCCCTGCCCTAAAGCTATTGAAACCAAATAATAATAATAATAATAATGATTTTTTAAAAGGACACTGCAGAAGGAAGGCGCTTCTCTTTCTGGTTCCATGTTTTCCATTTGTTGCATTTTCATTTCAGCATCCTGTGTGAGGATATCCAGTGGTACTCAACTCCATCAAGTTTCAGCAGTACCCACATTGGGCAGCTTCCCATCAAGTTTCAGTAGCCCCACCCCCTACTCAGATTCTTACTGAATCTGACAGACAACCTCACAGTCAATCCCCCAGCTTCACCCTACCAGCATCCTGGAGAGGTGTTTCCTGCCCATCATTCGTGGTGTGGTTCCCTGCCTTCCAGCGTCACTCCGCCTTTAATTAGGAACAGTGTCCTCTCCTTCCCCAGCAACTGTGGATCAGCTATGGCCCCAGTAACTCAGTAAGTCTCTCCACCATTCAGGGAGCTATAGCCACACCTCCAACAAGGTAGGAATCCCAGCCTTGCAGAGAGCCCCCTCTAAGTTTATATCTCCTTTGGGCACTGTCTGTCAGCCCAGGGGATTCTTTAGAGTCATCTCTGTCCTTTTACAGATAATCCCCTTATAGTTAATTATATCAGGAGTCAGCAAATTTTTTTTCTCTGCCCAACTGTGAGCCTCTGCCAGCTGTAGCACAAAAGCACAGACAATTATAAATGAATGGGGTAGCTTGATTTGACCTGTGGTAAGCTAAATTTAGCCCATGGGATATGGCTTATCAACCTCTGCTGTATGTTAAGCTTTCCCTGTTAAAATTACTATGGGACATCTGTCTCATCTGTTTAGGGGCAAATGCTGAGTGAACTCTGAGGGACAAATCCAACAAATACGTCAAGTAGGAAAAGGAATAGAAAGTATCCTTTGGAAGTGCTAGTGACTGTATCAAAAGCAGTCTCAGTAAAATGCTTAGGTGAGGACGATGCCAGGTTGTGGAGTAAATAGGAGGTGAAAAAGCAGAAGCACTGTGTATAAATCATTCTTTTAGGAAGTCTGCATATGTGAAGAAAGAGATTAGTAGCTAGAAAGGAATATTTATGTGTGGGAAATAAGCCTTAGATTGCAAAATATTTGAGACTCTGATGCCAGGGAGGTCCGATATACAAGAAATAAGATGGCAGACTTCAGACAAGCCCGACCTACCATTAGGATCCATGCAAGCAAGTCACTTACTGTGGAGAGTCCTATGCAACCACCAGCTGAGGATGTGCTACACATCTTTCCTGCAAACACTGTGACACACTTCCCCCACCCTCTGCAGTTAATTCCCAGCTTTCAAGCCTCCTGTCTTAATAAGTTACACAAATAATGGCCTTCATCCTAAAACTGCTTTACAGTACCAGATGGTTCAGCAAACTATGGCACAGCCAATTTTAAGGGTCAGGAAGAAGATAATGATTTCTTGTCTAAGAACTCAAAGACCATCCTTTGGCAAAAGTTTATTGAGCAGACCTTAAAATTAAAGGTCAACAGGAAATGTTTTTTAAAACATCGATAAAGTAGAAACATACTGGATTTAACGATTGGAGCACATAGCTGGAAATCAGAACATCAGAGGTACAAACGCGAGAACCACCATTTACTGAGCACCTAGGTATGACAGATACTTTGCATACAGTAAAGTATCTCTGCAAAGCTTGGCTTAACCTCAGGCCAATCTTACAAGGCAGGATTTCTAACCTCCCTGAGGGCATATACTAGCTCTTGTTCATCTATTCCCAGGCCCCAGCATAGTGTCTGAGTGTCCGGCACATTCAATATTTACTTCTTAAATGAACAAAGTAGTCCCTTTTTTGCAAATGAAGAACTACTAACGCTCCCAGTAGTTAAGTAGCTAGAAAAGCCTGGATTCAAACCATAATCTTAAAGCAACCTTCTAAATAAATAGGAGACCCCATAACTGGAAACATATATAAACCAAGACAAAAAAGAATATTTGTTTTAATTTTTTTTCTGTAAAATTATGAGACTATAACTGGTATATTACTTGCTTACATTTATACAAAGGCATAATAATGTTCAACTTTATTGAAATAATAATAGCTATTGATTTACAGTTTCCTATGGACTAATTTCTGTACTAAGTGCTTTATGTATGCTCTCTCATTTGATCCTCATAACATTATTATTATCATCCCCATTTTACAGAAAACAGAACTAAGGCTTAAAGGAGCAAAGTAACTTAAGTGGCAGAGCCAGGATTCAAATCCAGGCAAGAAGACTATTTCCGAAACCCAACTTTTTAATCAGTACACTTGTTACATGTAAATGGCAGTGGTGAGAAAGCAAAAAACAAAAACAAACAAACAAATGAAAAACAGGTATACCAATGAGTAAAGGTACTCTTCCCTAAAAGCAAAATAAGCTGATAAGAATAAAGTGCTTGGCTGGGCACAGTGGCTCATGCCTATAATCCCAGCACTTTTGGAGGCCAAGGTGGGTGGATCACTTGAGGTCAGGAGTTCAAGACCAGCCTGGCCAGCATGGTGAAACCCTGCCTCTACTAAAACTACAATAATTAGCTGGGTGTGGTGCTGAGCACCTGTAATCCCTGCTATTTGAGAGGCTGAGGCAGGAGAATTGTTTGAACCCAGAAGGCAGAGGTTGCAGTGAGCCGAGATTGCACCACTGCACTCCAGCCTTCTGGAGTAAGACAGAGTAAGAGTCTGTCTCAATAAATAAATAAATAAATAAATAAATAAATAAATAAATAAATAAAAATAAAGTACTTATTGTTGTATTCAAGCTATGAGTCCCCCCACCAAAAAAAAAAAAAAAAAAAAAACAGAACACACATGAGCTAGCTTAAGTGAAACAGAAATTAATCGTTTTTAAAGAATACAATAATGATGGTAGTGGTGGTGGTGGTCATCATGGTAGAAGCCAAAATAAGCAATAATACTAATAATTCAACAATTAAATGGCCCTTTTCTGTGCCAGGCTCTGTTCTAAGCACTTTACTTGTATTAACTAATGTAACCCCAACAGTAGCCCTAGAGTAAACATAGCTGTAATCAATATGACAGGTAAGGAAACAACTTCCAAAAGTTAACTTGCCCAAACTCAAAAAAGTAGAAAGCTTTCTTACACACAGACATCTCTATTCCATAACCAAAACCTAGCAGGCTCAGTTCCAGGCTGTATTTTTGCTCTAATTTCATCAGGAGTCCACCCTGCTCCAGCACTTCAGAGCAGGAGACAGAATCAAATGGACCAGTGCCTGGGAAGTACAGAATTAAAGCTCATCCATTCATTCATGAGCACATTCGTTCACAAGCACTTATTCATCCATTCATGAGCACCTGTTTCACAGCAAACCCTGTATGCAGAGTAGATTCTAAATGTTTATCAGGCCAGGCACAGTGGCTCAGGCCTGCAATCACAGCACTTTGACAGGCCAAAGTGGGAGGATCACTTGAACCTGGGAGGTCGAGGCTGCAGTGATCCAAGATGACACCACTGCACTCCAGCATGAGTTACAGAACAAGACTTCATCTCAAAAGAAAGAGAGAAAGAGAGGAAGGAAGGAAGACAGGGAAGGAGGGAAGGAGGGATGGGAAAATGTTTATCAGAATGAATTAAATGGATTCATGTAACCACAAATACTCCCATCTCCCAAATACCCCAAGCACTAGCATTATAGAAATTTCAGAGAGGTGTGCATATCCGATAAAGGCCTGACAAGTCTCTGAGTCATTCATAATTAGTGATAACAAGATACCAGAAACAAGCTTTAAAAACTAAAAGAAAAACTCACAAAAATATTTGCATTATATGGGAACCAAAGGGTTAATCAGCTCTTTCAAAAACACAAGAAAAAGAACAGTCCAGTTGTAAAAGACTCAAAAGATACATAAGCAGACAATTCACAGAAATCAAATGACCCTAACAAATGTTATTTGTTATTTCACTAAATAATTACAAATTAAAATAATAAAATGATATTCTTATCTATCTGTTTTATACAGATGAAAAAACCTCTCACTCGCAGGGTTAGCAAGGTTATACCTTGTTGTAAGAGTATTAACTATAAAAACTACATTAGCATGTATATCTACTATGTACCCACAAAAATTAAAAATTTAAAAAAAAAAAACCACATTAGCTTTTCTGGAGAACAACCTGGCAATACAAGTAAAAATAAATAATACGGGCCAGGCGCAGTGGCCCATGCCTGTAATCACAGTATTTTGGGAGGCCAAGGTAGGAGGATTGCTTGAGCCCAAGCGTTCGAGATGAGCCTGGGCAACACAGTGAGACCTTGTCTCTACAAAAAAATAAAACAAAATTAGCCAGGTGTGGTAGTGCACACCTGTAGTCCTAACTACTCGGGAGGCTGATGTGAGAGGATTTCTCAAACCTGGGAGGTAGAGGCTACAGTGAGCCAAGATAGCACCACTGCACTTCAGCCTGGGTGACAGAGTGAGACCCTGTCTCAATCAATCTGTAATATACATAGACGTTGACCCAGAAAATCTATTTCTATGACTATTAACCTAGGAAGATAAAATATTTATATATATTTTATGTATAGACATATGCATAAGAATTTCACTGTAGAAATTCTTCAGAAATTTTAATTCACTCATCCATTCATCCATGAGCACATTCAT
The DNA here is from genome assembly GCF_000001405.40 of Homo sapiens. Taxonomy (NCBI): domain Eukaryota; kingdom Metazoa; phylum Chordata; class Mammalia; order Primates; family Hominidae; genus Homo; species Homo sapiens. The sequence continues at coordinate 80,937,497 of NC_000014.9, forward strand.
TCACTCCAGCCTGGGCAACAGAGTGAATGAATTTTTTTACAGTTGTAAAAGAATAAGAAAAAAATATAAATCCACTGGATAAGCATACAATAAATGTATCTAATCACTGGGATACTATGTATCTGCTAAAAGAGACAAGGTTGAATGGTAAGTGCTGACCTGTAACAATACATTTTACGAAAAAAGAAAAACATACTATACAATAGTATGAATGTATTGTAACTACTTTATATCAGAATCAACCCAGAGACATTACATGGATAGTGTATTCTATAATATACATGCTAATATAGTTTTTAATAACCTGGTAAATCTAGATTATTTTTATATTATTTCCAAAATTTCTGGACCAGATTATCCCAATAGGTCCCCCATCCAGCTCTAAAATTCTTTAATCCTAAGAATTTTTTTTTTTTTTGAGACAGCATCTTACTCTGTCACCCAGGCTGGCATGTAGTAGTGTGATCACAGCTCACTGCAGCCTCGACCTTCTGGGCTCAAGTGATCATTCCACCTCAGCCTCCCGAGTAGCAGGGACCAAAGGCACATGCCACCATGCCTGGCTAATTTTTTGATTTTTTTGTAGAGACGGGGTCTTGCTATGTTGCCCAAGGTGTTCTAAAACTCCTGGGCTCAAGCGATCCTCCTGCCTTGGCCTCCCAAAGTGTGGGATTACAGGCATGAGTCAATGCACCTGGCCTAATCCTATAAATTTTGTACACCACTGATCTTAATACACAGTGTTAGTATTTTTTTTTTTTTTTTTTTGAGACAGAGTCTTGCTCTGTCGCCCAGGCTGGAGTGCAGTGGCGCGATCTCTGCTCATTGCAAGCTCTGCCTCCTGGGTTCATGCCATTCTCCTGCCTCAGCCTCCCAAGTAGCTGGGACTACAGGCGCCTGCCACCACGCCTGGTAATTTTTTTGTATTTTTTAGTAGAGACAAGGTTTCACCATGTTAGCCAGGATGGTCTCGATCTCCCGACCTCGTGATCTGCCTGCCTCGGCCTCCTAAAGTACTGGGATTACAGGCGTGAGCCACCGCGCCCGGCCACACAGTATTAGTACTGCAAGTCCGCAGTGTGTCTCCCCTCTATGTTTCAGAGCCTTTTATCTATCGAGCACAATATGAAATCCAAAAAAAGGTCCAGAATTTTTACATCTATGTTGTAAATTTAAACTTTAAACATTACACCCTTAATTATCAATGATAATTCATGTTGAATTTATTTATGGAAATCACAAATTATAATGATCTCTTACCTCAATAATAATATAAGGACCACTATATTTTTTTTAAAAAACTAAGAAAGATAATAGAACTTTTTGAACATTGAAAGAGATGAATAACTGCACACTGTGCCATATATGGTCCACTTAATCCAAAAATGTTAAGTGTGAATCAAATTCTATTAGAGGGCACTTATAAACAGCAATGAAGCCCCTTGGCAGTGGGTGGGACTGAAATTTGGAGTCAGAAGACCTGGGAACAATGATCACTCTTTTGGCTCCAGAATCCCAAGCAAATTAAATAACCTGAGACTCAACTGTCTCCTTTGTAAAAGATAAGCATGGTAAAGGAATTATATAATGCCTGTAAAAGGTGTCTGACAGAATGCCTGAGACAAAGCAGGTTCTCAATTCCTTGCTTAATAGAAACAGGTACATCACTGTTGCTTTTGTTAAGGTTATAAAGGATATCTCAACTTATCTACTTTGTTCATCTGAATTTTTGCAACACTGCATACACAATCATTCGATATTTTATTTTTAAACCATATATTAGAAGGGGCTTCTTGCTCCCAAAACTCTATTTCTTGGCATAGTCTTTTCTACCATAAATATGCAAAAAATGTGTTATCTCAGAAACTCAGGGAGAAAGCATACTTACAAAGCACACCCCCAAAACTCCGAGTTGCTCTTCTCTGAGCTCAACGCTCTTTTTAGGCACATATGTCTGCCTCCTATCATTTCTTCATGAGGTTCAGGGCAAAGGGCCTAGTCAAGCCGATGATCTTTGGTTGCCCCTACACTTTCCCCAAACCACCTACAAATAAACAAAACAAGGGGGTAAGACATACCTACAACTTTAAACATTTTTAAATAATGAAATATGAAAATTAAGTCCCTATGTACAGACTATGGCATAACACAGAATAGAGAAAATGCTCCTAGAATGATTCAAAAGCCCAAGAGACCTCACTACAATTCTTCACATCCAAGTGCCCAGCCCACATATTGTCACTGGTGACTTCCATCCATGCCTGGGCATCCCTGGGGCTTGCCAGAGAGTTCATGCTCCAGTGTGAACCGCAGCCCAAGTCTAGCCAAAAAGTACTATGTATGAGCATGTCTAAAAGTTGGTAACTAAGTCAGGTAATACAGTTAACATGTTACTGCTGAATGTGGTGACCCAATTATACTTCCAAGCCAGTCTAACACTCCTAAAGGAAATATTTTATAAGATGCCCAGTTCTTCCCATACTCAGTGCTACAATTAAATAAATAAGAATAAAATGCCTTTGGTTGTAGAAAAGAGCTGTGGACAGAAATATTTTCAATTAATTGTGACTGCTTTCAAAGCAATCTGTAAGAATCCACAGGAAGTGATCCAGAGAACTGGGAGTTGTCTACATAAAAGGTAGATCTGGGAATACATCTATAAACCATTTCAAGAAAAAAAAAAGGTATTCTGAAAAAGTTAATCAAAATAAACTGTCAAGAAACAGTTCAAAGAGACCCAGGTTATGCAATGGCAGACAAGATACGCTGAGAGAACATAGGCACAGTGCACACTTCACTCTTCTAACAAAACAGCCACCATCACCCATGAAATGAGTCATAGGCACAACCAAATTTATGTGTGCCAATGTGAAACTGCCAAAGTTTTAACCTTATCTCTAGTGCTGTCCAGTACAGCAGTCACTAGACACATGGCTACTGAGCTCTAGCTCTTGCCAGGTCAAACTGACATGTGCTATACATGTAAAATACACAAGAGATTTTGATGACTTAAAATATTTTTTTTTTTAATGTACAGCCAGGCATGGTGGCGAGTGCCTGTAATCCCAGCTACTCCGGAGGCTGAGACAGGAGAATCGCTTGAACCCAAGAGGTGGAGGTTGCAGTGAGCCCAGACCGCGCCACTGCAGTCCAGCCTGGGCGACAGAGCCAGACTCCTCAAAAAAAAAAAAGTAAAAATCTCAATAAGTTTTATATTTACTCCATTGAAAACATTTTTCTATATTGCGCTAAATAAACTATTATTTAATTTCACCAGTTTCTTTTTACTTTTTTAATGTGGGTACTACAAAATTTAAATTCACCTGAGTGGCTCACACTGTATTTGTATTAGACAACACTAATCTGCATAATTAATAAAAAATAAACAACAAATGCTGAGCACTTGCAGGGTGCCAGGCACTGTGCTAGATACTTTACATAATACTCAAATCAATGCTGCAATTAATGGTAAAGTTTTACCAGACGCCTACATAACAGATTGGCTCCATCAAACCAATAAAAGATGCAGCTGGGATTCAATGTCAGGTATTTTTACGAAATAATTCAATTAAGGGACTGCTAACAGCTAAGGCTGGAGCAAATCCTATGATGGCACGGGAAAGAGAGGTCACTAATAAAGCGTTCCCGAGAGTAGCACGCTTTCTGTGACTACAAAACAGGTATTAAAAAAAAAATCAAATTTGCTTGCAGGACAGGCAAGCAAATGTCAGACGGTCCTCTGGAGGACCTACCGAATGAGTCCAATCTCCTGTCCCTTAAAGCTTCACAGATGCTAGCGGTAGAGCAAGCTGCTCCCAAAGGAAGGACAATGTAGTCCAGATTCGCTGGGTAACCTGGCCAGGACCTGACCGCGGACACCCCTGCCGAGGGAGGGAGGCCTCGGGATGACAGGCGCGCCGTCTCCCCTCACCTCTGCACACACTCCACCCATCCACGGCCCCACCCCAGATCCCGCGCCGCTCTGAGGTCCCCACCCCTGGGACGAGGGGAAGTGGGACTAAAACGTCTACAGTAAGACGGGGAAGTGGTCGAAAAAGGGCAAGGGGGAGGTGGGGGCAGGTACCTGAGACGGAGGATGATCCCAGCTCCTTAATGCCGGATCATCGCCTAGGCCCCACCCGGCTCCCGCGGCTACCAGTGACCCAGAAGGTGCAACTGACCAAACGCAGCGACTCAACCGACTGTGCTCTCCCCAGACTCGCAGCTATGGCAACTTGAACTAGCCGCCCAGCCACAGCAAGAGTACAGGACCCCGCTGCCGCCGCTTGGCCCTCTGGGAGTTGTAGTCCATCTCGGCCTCATGATCAAGGAATTACCAAGGGAGAGAGTCCCGAAAAGGAACTGCAAATCCCAGGATGCCATATAGCTGGCCTTCGGGTAACTTTCCCGGATAAAAGCCTGATCCCTTGGCCGCGCCCTCTTGCCCTGCTCTATTTTTTTTTTTTGTTAAAGGACCAGCCTCCTTTGTAGGAGGCAAACTCCAGTTAGAAAGTGAATAAAAATGCTTCCTTGGCCTTGACTGTAATTTTACTCCTTGGGGGACAAAAGGAGTCCCCCAGGACTACGGTAAGATGGGGAAGTAGAAAAAGGGCAAGGGAGCGGTGGGAGGACAGGGAAAGACAATTTCTAGCACTGAAATGTAAAAATCCCCTTAATACCAGGGTCCAGTATATTGTTCCAAAGACTCACAAATTCTTAGAAGCGGACGGGAACAGAGAAGATTATGTAGGCCAACCTGTTTGGCCTGGAAAGAGTAAGGGACTTGCCTAAGATCATATGGCTTATTCACGGCACACCAAAAGTAGATGTGAGGCTGTCAGCTCATTACTGCTGCTACTTCAGTCTAGGTGTCATCTCCTCACTCTAGAACATAAAAGAAATGTTTTCCACTCAGGGGAGTTGGTTTCAGTCACGAAGAGAATGAAAACCTCAATAAAAAACTGAACTTTGGAAAGCTAAAAAGTAACAATTAAATTAGTCATATGAATTGCCCTTCTTCTCTGCCAAAAAGACCACTTCCCCTTCCTTCTTTGAGGCTAAACTCAAATATTACCTGATCTGTGAAAGCTTTCCTGGCTACGTGAAGAAGAGCTAGATCATGTTTAATAACAAGGGTTCCTTAATCTAATAATTCTGTGCTCTATAATCCATTTCCCAGTTGGTCCCCTCTATTAGCCCTTCAAAGGGACCTAACCTTTTTTGTACATTTTTATCTTTCTTCTCACCCTTTCCTCACTTGCCCTTCTCCGTTCATATCCCTCTCTCTCTTTCTTTCTCTCTCTCCCCCTTTCTCTCCTTCCATCCCTCCTTACCCCTCCTCCCTCCCAACAGGCAGAGTCATAAATAATTAGCACATAAATTTGATATAGTCGTATTATTCAAATTTTTTTTCTGGCCAACACTGAGACATAAAACTATCTCATATTGGTTTGAACATAAAATAATTCTTCCAAAGACCTCCTATGCATTTGCAACTATCTTCAAGCTGCTTACTTGAAATTGTTCCTCAAGAATACACTCCACCAGACAGAGTTTAAGATAATTCAGAACAGCCATAAAATTGCCCCATATACATGCAGAAGCATAATAATAACTGTTTATTTGTAAACATTTTAACTTTCAAAACAATTCTATTCATTTATGTAATTCAGCAAATGTATGCTGTATATTTCTAGTATCCAGACATTGTTTTAGACACTGAAGTTGCAGTGAAAATAAACAACATAGACTTTGCTTTCAAATTGCTCAGAGCCATGTGAGAGAAAAAGACAATAAATGATTACAAATCTCTGTGTAATAGAATACTGCATAGGTTTGTATGGAAAGACATAAAAGAGAAACTTTCTGAAGAAGTGATAATCAGATCAACTGCAGGAGAAATGTCTACCAAAAGAGCTAATGTAATCACGAGCTACATTAATAAAAACTGATTGTCCACAGCTTTTCCTCCCTGGTTCAACCATATTTAGAGAATTGGATTCTATTCTATAGGCCTTATTTTTCAAAGTGATATTAACCAAATAAATCAAACATTACAGGACACAACTGGGACCAAAGGGTTAAAAATCAGATATTTTCGTTCATTTTGATCAAGAAATGCTTAAATATGTTACTAAATTCATAGCAGCTGTTTGTCAGCTTTGGTGTGCTCTCAGTCAACAGACGTGGCATCCCAAAAAAATGTAGTGAAGTCAGGCCAGGGGTGCTGACTCAAGCCTGTAATCCCAGCACTTTGGGAGGCTGAGGTGGGTGGATCACGTGAGGTCAGGAGTTCGAGACCAGCCTGGCCAACATGGCGAAACTCCATCTCTACTAAAAATACAAAAATTAACCAGGTGTGGTGGTGGGCACCTGTAATCCCAGCTATTCGGCAGGCTGAAGCAGGAGAATCATTTGAACCTGGGAGGTGGAGGTTGCAGTGAGCTGAGATGGTGCCACTGCACTCCAGCCTTGGTGACAGAGTAAGACTCCATCTCAAAAAAAAAAAAAAAAGTAGTGAAGTCACATCACTGAATCTTTGTTTTTTATGTCTTAACAAAATAGACAAAATGAGTTAAAGCCGACAAAATGAGTTAAACCAACAAAATAGATTTTACATGAAATTGTCTCATAACTCCCAAAGATATGTATTACTTTTAATCAATATGGCCAACACACATTATACAAACACAATACCATACTCAAGCAGAATCATCTGAGCTTAGATTTAGAAAAACCCACAAAGAGTATTGATATGGTCTGGCTCTGTGTCCTCACCCAAATCTCTTGAATTGTAATCCCCACATGTTGGGGGAGGAACCTTGTGAGGGGTGATTAGGTCATGGGGCAGTTCCCCCACGCTGTTCTCATGATAGTGAGTGAGTTCTCAGGAGATCTGATGGTTTTATAAGAGGATTTTGCCCACTTCTCTCTCCTGCCACCATGTGAAGAAGGATGTGTTTGCTACCCCTTCTGCCATGATTGTAAGTTTCCTGAGGCTTCCCCAGCCATGCAGAACTGTAAGTCAATCAAACCACTTTCCTTTGCCAGGTGCGGTGGCTCACGCCTGTAATCCCAGCACTTTGGGAGGCTGAGGCAGGCGGATCACGAGGTCAGGAGATCGAGACCATCCTGGCTAACATGGTGAAACTCCGTCTCTACTAAAAATACAAAAAATTAGCCAGGTGTGGCGGCGGGTGCCTGTAGTCCCAGCTACTTGGGAGGCTGAGGCAGGAGAACGGCGTAAACCCGGAAGGCAGAGCTTGCAGTGAGCCGAGATCGTGCCACTGCACTGCAGCCTGGGCGACAGAGTCAAGAGTCTGTCTCAAAAAAAAAAAAAAAAAAAAAAAAAAAAAAAAAAACAGAAAAAACAGAACAAAACAAAAAAAAAAAAAACCACTTTCCTTTATAAATCACCCAGTCACAGGTAGTTCTTCATAGCAGGGTGAAAACAAACCAGTACAAGTATCATTTGCAGTACCCTTCTTTTGCAAACCATGTATTACAGATAGGGGCACACAGAGGTTACATGATGTATTAGTTTACTAGGGATTTGATTAAATACCACAGAATGGGTGACTTAAACAACAAAAATTTATTTCCCACAATTCTGAAGGCTGCAAGTCCGAGATCAATGTGTCAGCAAGTTTAGGTTCTCCTAAGGTCTCTGTCTTTGGCTTGCAGAGATCCATCTTTTCTCTGTATCCTCAGATAGGCTTTTCCCTGTATGAGCACATACATGGTTTCTCTCTCTTCTTGTAACGACACCCGTTATCTTGAATTAGAACTTTATACTATAGCCTAATTTAAACTTAACTACCTCCTTAAAGGTCCCATTTTCAAAAACAGTAACATGGGGGGTTAAGATTTCAACATGTTTTCCCCAAAATTGTACCTATTCAGGATTAGTGTCATCAATGATCTCATTACGTAATACCTTGATTGAGGTAGATGCGGGAGATATTTTTGATATGCCTCACCCACATCACCCCTTAAACTGGGAATGATTCTACCCACTGTGTTGGGCCCCTATAGCCTTGTTTATGTTATACAAAGCCCCTACCTGTCTCACCATGGCTGATTAGACAAGGAGTAGAGAGACACCTGAGACAATTTGGGCCAATCAGGCTCTTTATCCTTTGAGAATTTAAAATGGGCACTCAAGCTCCCAATTGGTTGCTAGAATAGTCTTGATGTACGGGTAAGAGCTGAGGCCGCCATAGAGAGGTGACCATCTTCACCTGTGTTCAAGAAGCAGCTGACAATGCTAACCTGCACAGACAGAGAGAAGTGAGTAAAGCAGTGAAAGGAAATAAACTACACAACCACGAGGAAATGAGCCCAAGAGAATACAGCCCCCGTTCCTGACAACTTCCAAGTTCCTGGATCCAAGCCTTGTTATTCCCATTTGTATTTCCTGTACTTGTTTTCCACAATACACTAGTGGCAACTAGAGGTGGTTAAATGCACAGATTCTGGACCCAAACCACTTGGATTCAAGTCCGTTATAATGCCTATCAGCAATGTTACTTCAAACAAGTTACTTAATCATTCTGTGCCTTCATTTCTTCCTCTTCTAAATGTGGACAATAAAAATAGCACTTCATGTGTAGAGGTGTTTGGGGGATAAAATAAATTAATGTGTGTAAAGCACTAAGCCTAGTGTCTAATTCATGGTAAGCATTATTGAATGTAAGCTGACATTATATGTAGGCTGACAAATACTATGACATCCTAAAAATGTTAGTTCCATGAATATTGGTACTCTATTATTTTGTTCTAGACACTTAGAACAAAGAATTTATTAATACCTTGATGCCTCATGATGCATCATGATGATGCCTCATGATGCATCATGATGATGCCTCATGATGCATCATGATGATGCCTCATGATGATTTCCCTTTTGAAGCCTAAGATTAGTTCTGTTGATTGAAATCTAAAGAGCCTTGACTAAGATTATACTAATGAGATCACCAGCCTGTAAGATCCAAGATGCTAATTCTAGATCTAGTTTCCTGAGCAGTTTATCAGAAACACTTTTGAACCATACGAAACATTAAATACCTAGAGGAACTAATCAATAAAAAGGTTCTGGAATGGGGCTAGTCTAAAAGCATTGACATGACCATCCTAACCCAACTCATCTAGAATGAATAAATGTAGAGAAGGGAAGACAACTATTATGTAAGAAGCTGTGGGTGGCAGACAGAGGTAGTGCCGTTTCAAGGAGAAGGGACAGAAGTTGTATTTCACCAATAACTTCCAAATTTATACAACTATGAAACAACAACAGCTGATATGGCTTGGTTCCGTGTCCCCACCCAAATGTCACGTGGAATTGCAATCCCTAATGTTGGGGGTGGGACGTGGTGGGAGGTGATTGGATCACAGCAGTGGATTTCCCCCTTGCTGTTCTCATAATAGTGAGTGAGTTATCACAAGAACTGTTGTTTAAAAGTGTGAAGCACTTCCCCCTTCACTCTCCCTTTCTCCCACTCTGCCATGTGAAAAAGGTGCTTGCTTCCTCCTCACCCTTCAAAGCACCATGATTGTAAGTTTCCTGAGGCCTCCCTAACCGTGCTTCCTGTACAGCCAATAGAACTATGAGTCAATTAAACCTCTTTTCTTCACAAATTACACAGTCTCAGGTGGTTCTTTATAGCAGTGTGAGAATGGACTAATACAACAGCACACTAACTATGTCCATGTGACACAAAAATGTATTTGAAATACCAACATTTTCCTCAAATGTTTATTTTTTTCACCTTGGCTCTCTCCTTATCTCCATTTCTGTCAGCTACACTGTTCTGCACTCATGGCCTTAGAGATGGGGGGTGACCACAGAAAGCAGAAAGGGAGGGGAGTTGAGAAAGAAAAAGAAGAAGAAAATGAAGCATTTTCTTCCTGGATTTTGCATATTAAACACAAACATTCTCAGATAGGACAGGATGTGTAATTTGTTGTAGGACCCTGTGAAAAATGAATATGCTAAGCCCTTTTGCAAAATTTATTAAGATGTCAAAATGGCAACAACACAGCATTAAACTAAGCACTGGGCCTTTCTGAATACAGGGCCCTGAGTGATTGCACAGGTCACAAACCCATGAAGTCAACCCTGCTGTCACAGAGGAGTCATGCTATAAACAAATGATTTGGAAGGAAATACCATGAACAAAAGAAAAGAGATTCCCCCCAAAAGAAAAGAGATTCCTGACTGGGAATGTGGTAACAGAGAAGAAGGGGGTCCTGGAAAGAGAGGAATAGGAGGTTGGGGAGGCAGACCTGTAGGCATAGGGAGAAAGTCTATGTTGACAGAGTGCCCGGCCTCCACTCAAGCAAGCACTATTCATAGCTTGAACCTACCTGTTCTGCCCATAGGCATCAAAGGAGGATGTTACTTCAAATGTAGCCTGCATTGTTCTTGGTGACTGTCCAGCACAAGTGATGACCACCTACATCATTGGATTTTGCTTTGTTCCCTCTAGCCAACACAGATGGTCAAGCTCCCCTATAGTATCACTGCACAGTTATAAGTCATAAGACAGAAGACACCAAGTATGATGTTATAGGTAAGTAAAAGGGAAATTCCCCCAAATCTTGATTAGGTGGGACTAAATGGAGCTACTCAAAATTCTCTCTCAATCAAGTCAGTGGTGAAATTCACTCTCTTTACATCAGCAGAAAACAATCATAAATGGTTGTTGACTTTTTCTACATCAAGTTTGCAAGTTACCTTCAAGTTTAAGAAGAGTCAAGATAAAAAAACAAGGTATTGCAGGGATAATATTGCCTACTACTCAAAGAATCATCTTTAGCCATTCATTGTGCTGAAGCCCTGCTGATCCCATGAAGTTCTTTTCAGCCACACACTTACTAATTATAGGTAATTATCACTGCCAAGAGCGTCACAGATATAAAACACAGTAATTCATATGCATTTAGGTCAAAGTGAGCCACTATTAATGTACTAAACCAAAATTGCAAAACATTTCTGTAGTTAAGCAATATAACTAATCAATAAAGAGGTTATGGAAAGGGGCTAGTGGAATGCTCCACTTTAATGGGGACTTTCTGAAAAAAGATAAAACACACAGAGGCATAAATTGCCAAACACCACTTTCTAATATTTGAACCATGCTAATAATTCCTCTACAAGAAGGAAAAAGTAGTGTTCTATAGCCATTCTCATTCATTTGTTACATTTAAAAGGATTCTGTGCGTGTGTTTAAGGGAACTGAGTGCACTTTTCTCTTTATTTAACCTGATCACAAAGATTGGTCATCATCTTATCTCATGTGTTTATTTGCCCCATTTTAAAAGTTATGCTAAGGAAAGAAAATTGTCTTATTAATTGTCATAGCAATTTGTTGAGCAATTTGTTGAGCAGACTATTAGAACATGGTTAGCCCTAAGGCATGTTCCAATTTGCTGAACTGAAACTGTAGGCATAAGAGTTTTTGCCTACATTATAATTGCCACTAAGCCAATTTCATGCTGTCTAAATCTTGATATAAAATGTTATAGGTTTCAGCATACCACTTTTGTTCCCAGCAAAGGTGGAGTAACAGAGACCAGATTTACCCTCCCACCAGAATTATACCAAAAAAACAGGCAAGATATACGAAGCAATGCTTTTCAAGGCAGCGGCTATCATACCAAGAAAGACCATGATCCCTGAAAGACAGGAAACAAATAAAGCAAGCCTTATGATTGCCACAACTTACTGCCTTGAGAGAGTTTCCAAGTCATGGTGCAAGGAGAGCGAACCCAGGCAGAGTCCAGTGGATTCTTTAATTGGGGAGACAAAGCTGAGAGTTTGGAAAGATGCAGGTAGGTGGAGTTTGCAGGACAAACTACGGGAGGTAGAGAGCTACGTAGAGAGAAAACTTCCGAGAACTATAAAGGGTCTCCATGGAAGATTCAGCAGAGTACTAATCATTACACACATGTGAAAAAAATGAGGCTGGAGAAAAAAGCAACTAGCAAGATTGGAGGTAAAATTGTCTGTTGCTCACAGGGGACCAGGAACAGTGACTCCTCCCACCAGCCAGATTTGAAATCCTCATAATTCATGGAACACTGGCTAGAGTAATCAGAAGGGTATTGCCTCGGGAATGAGGAATAATTAGCCCTAGATTATATGCTGTGCTAGTCCCACCTAATAAAGCTTAAAACCAAGATCCACAAATCCCAAATTGTTTCAAAGTAATTTACATCTGACGACAAATCTCAAGAATATTTACATGAATGCAATAATTCCAGTGCCAAAAAGGGTAATATTTACAATATCTGCCATCCAAACAAAAATTATCAGGCATACAAAGAATAGAAAATGCAACCCATTTTCAGGAGAAAAATCAACCAATCTAAACTGACCCAGAATTGACAAAAATATATATATATTCGAATTATCAAACAAGGACACTGTTGTATGTTGAGTTTTGTTCCCCAAAAAGATATCTTGAAATTCTAATGCCCAGTATCTGTGAATGTGACCTTATTTGGGAATAGCATCTTTAACGATATTTAAATTAAGTTGAGGTTATAATGGATTAGCATGGACCCAAATACAATGACTGATGTCCTTGTAGGAAGAGGGAAATTTGGACACAGAGACACACAAAGAGAACACCTGATGATGACAGAGGAGAGATTGCAGTGATATAACCCAAAAGATGTCAAGGATTCCCAGCGACCACTAGAAGCTAGGAACAGTCAAGGAAACATCCACCCACAGAACTCTCAGAGGAAGTATGCCCCACCAACACCTTAACTTTAGACTTCTAGCCTCCAGAACTGTGAACAAATTAATTTATCTTGTTTTAAGCCATCAAGTTTGTGGTACTTTGTTACAGCAGCCCTAGGAAACTAAGATAGATATCAAGGCAATTATTGTATTTTAGATGTTCAAAAAGTGTTATATAAAGAGACATGGAAAATATGAAAAAAGCCCCAAGTTGAACTTCTGGAGATGGAAATCCATTTTATGAGATAAAAAAGACGTTGGATGGGATTAGTGGCCAATTAAATATTACGGGAGGACAAAAAAGAATACTGAATTTGAAGACATAGCAAAAGAAACAATCCATAATCAAAGACAAAAAGAAAAATAATTTTTTACTGAGAAAAGCATCAATATTCTCTTTGTGAGACAATTTCAATTAGCCTAATAAGTGCAATAATTGGAATGCTCAAGGGAGAGGAAAGTGATAAGGGGGAAAATCATAGATGCAGAAATGGAGAAACAATGGCTAAAAATTTTCCAAGTCTGATGAAAACCATAAACACACAAATCCAAGAATCTCAAAATACCCCAAGCACAGGAAACTTGAAGAAAAGTACATCAAGGCACATTACAGTGAAATTGCTCTCAACAAGTGACAAAATCTGAAAAGCATCCCGAGTAAGAAAAAAAAAAAAAAAAAAGCAGATTATAAAGGAGCAAAGAAAACTTTGACATAAGATTTGTCCTTGTAAACAATGCAAGCAACAAGAAAATGAAGCAATGTTTTTAAAGTACTGAAAGTTAAAAATAATGTCAATCTATGATTCTATACCTAGTGATGATATCCTTTTTTAAAAAGAAGACAAAAGTAATACTTTTTCAGACACAGAAAAGCTGGAATAATTTATAACCAGCAGATATGTATGACAAAAAAATTAATGAATGTCATTCAAGCAAAAGGAAAGTGACAGCAGTGAAAAATATGGATCAATACTAAGGAATGAGAAAGACCAGAAGGGGTAACTGTCTTATTATTTGAATCCCTTTAAAAGATAATAACACTGTATTATGGGATTTATAACCTATGTATGAGTAAAATGTATGGCGATGGAAGCATAAAGGTTAGGCAGGAGAGGAGAAATGGAGTATAAACAAGCATTCAACAAGTACAGTGTTGAAGGGTTCTTTTAAACCAAGTATAAATTGGTATAATATCAACTGAATGTGGACTATGATAACTTAAACGTACATGCTATAAACCTTAAAGCAATGAGTATAATAACCAGAGTTATAGCTAAGATTCAGCAAAGAAGATAAAACGGAATCATAAAAATTCCTTAATGACTCCAAACATATGTTTAAAATAAAAGGAGAATTGGATCAAATAACAATGGAGAAATAGAAAACTAATAGCAAGATTATTCACTTAAATGTAATGTGAATAATGACATTAAATGTAAATGATCTATACAAACCAAACAAAAGGCAGAGACGGCGAGACTGAAAGCAAGACCCAACTCTATGCTATTTATAAGAACTGCACATTTAATATAAAAACTCAAAGAGGTTAAAGTATGAAAAAATCATACCATGATAACGCTGATCAAAAGAAAGATGGATTGGCTCTACCAATAACAGAAAAGTAGATTGAAGAGCAAAGGATATCACAAGGTATAAAGAAGGCCATTTAATAACAATGAAGAGAACAAGAAAATAATAGTCCCAAACACGTATTTACCTAATAATAGAACTTCAAAATACATGAACTTTAAATTGCATGAAGAAAAACCTGATAGAAATGCAATGAGGGGGAAAAAAAACAAATCCCCAATTGTAGTAAAAAATTTCAGTACCCATGTCTCAACAATTGATATGACAAGTAGACTTTAAAGTTAGCAAAAATACAAAAGACTTAAACAATACTATCAACAACTTGACCTAATCACATTTGTAGAACACACAACTCCACAAAAGCTGATCACTTATTTTTTTTCAAGTACACACTGAACATTTTACCAAGATTGACCATATTCTGAATCATAAAATGAGTCTCACTAAATTTAAAAGTGTTCAAGTTATACAAACTATTTTCCCTGTCTATAATAGAATTAATTTACAAATTAACAACAGAATATCTGAGAATTCCTCAAATATTTGGAAACTAAACCACATGCTTCTAAAGAATCAAGGAAGAAATCTAAAAGAAAAACTAAAAAGTATTTTAAACTGAATACAAATGAAATTACAAGATATCGAAACCTGTGGGATGTCTCTAAAGTAGTATAGGGAAAGTCTACAGCACTACACACATACAATATTATAAAAGAAAAATGGCCTCAAATCAGTGACCTCAGTCTTAAGAAACCTCACCTTAAGAAGTAAAGAAGAGCCAATTAAACCCCAAGTAGGCAGAGTAATAAAATAATAAAGATCAGAGCATATATCAATGAAATAGAGCACAAAAAAAAATAGAGAATCTAAGAAACAAAAATTTGCTTCTTTGAGAATATGAATAAAATTGATAACCCTCTGGATAAAGTACTTAGGTGAAAAAAAGAAGATACAAATTATCAATATCAGGTATGACAGAGTTGACATCAGAATAGATTATATAAATATAAGAGGATAAGAGAATATTATGAACAAACTCATGCCAATAAATTCAACAATTTAGATGAAATAGACAATTCATTATATGACACAAACTGCCCAGGCTACCTCAAGAAGAATTATATGACTTGAATAGCCCTAAATCTATGTTTAGAAACTGGATTTATAGTTAAAAACCTTCCAATAAGGAAAATGCAAGGTTCCAACAGCTTCACTGGAGAATTCTACCAAATAAGTAAGAAAGGAATGATATCAGTTCTACACAAACTCCTATAGAAATTTAAAGAGGAAGGAATATTTCCCAACTTATTCTGTGATGGAAGAATTAATTGCCCTCATACCAAAATTTGACAAAGAAGTTACAGAAAAGAAAATAACAGACTACTATCCCTTGTGAACGTCTATGTAAAACTTTTAAACAGAATTTTAGCAAATCCAATGAAGGAGTATATTAAAAAGATGATAAACACGGCCGGGCACGGTGGTGCATGCCTGTAATCCCAGCACTTTGGGAGGCTGGGGCGGGCGGATCACGAGATCAGGAGTTCCAGACCAGCCTGGCCAACATGGTGAAACCCCGTCTCCACTAAAGACACAAAAAATTAACCGGGCGTGGTGGCGGGCGCCTGTAATCCCAGCTACTCTGGAGGCTGAGGCAGGAGAATCCCTTGAGCCCGGGAGGCGGAGGTTGCAGTGAGCCAAGATCGTGCCATTGCACTCCAGCCTGGGCGACAGGGCGAGACTCCGTCTCAAACAAACAAACAAAAAAAGGATAAATACATCATGATCAAGTGAGATTTATCCCTGCAATTCAAGGTGGGTTTAACATTCGAAAATCGATCACTATGATTCACCACATTAATAAACTACCATGGAACCATCACCACGAACAAGATTTAAAACAGTTTTATTACCCACAAAATTCTCTGGTGTTCATTTGTAGTCAGCCCTACCCTAGGCCTTTGCAACCGCTGATCTTTTTCCTGTCCCTATGGTTTTGCCTTTTTGAGAAAGCTATATAAATGAATCATTAATATGAATAATTACATATAAATACGTAATATTTTGAGTTTGGCTTTTTTCACTTAACATTATGCATTCAAGATTTGTTCCATAACAATACCATGGTAATTTTTAAAAAAACAACAACAAAAGCCCGGGTGCGGTGGCTCAAGCCTGTAATCCCAGCACTTTGGGAGGCCGAGGCGGGCGGATCACGAGGTCAGGAGATCGAGACCAGCCTGACTAACACAGTGAAACCCCGTCTCTACTAAAATTACGAAAAAATTAGCCGGGCGTGGTGGCGGGCGCCTGTAGTCCCAGCTACTCGGGAGGCTGAGGCAGCAGAATTGCTTGAACCTCGGAGGCAAAGGTTGCAGTGAGCCGAGATCGCGCCATTGCACTCCAGCCTGGGCGACGGAGCAAGACTCCGTTTCAAAAGAAAAAAAAAAAGAAAAGAAAATTTGTGCATGTTGTATCAGCAGTTCATTCATTTTTATTGCAGAATAGTATTCCAATGTGGAGGTATCAGAGTTTGTTTATCCATTATCTAGTCGCGAGACACTTGGTTCGTTTAGTGGTTATGAATAAAGCTTCTGTAAAATTTGGAATACACATATTTTAAATGTACGGTTTAATGAATTTTGATAAATGTATACATCCACTTAACCTCCAGCCTAATTACGATATGGAAACCCTGTGTGTTCCCTCCTGTCTTTTTCTAGTCAATCTTTCCTAACCTTTATTCTGATTCCCATAACCACAACTTTTTCCTTCCTGTCCTAGCCAAGTTCATATAAAAGGAATTATGCAGTATAGAAGGAATTGACATTCCTTTTATCCCAAGAGGAATAAGTGATTGAAGACTTTTAAGAAGGAAATAGGCACAATCTGATTTATGTTTGTAATGATCTTTTTGGCTACTGTGCGAAGAATGGTGAGTATGCCACTTAAGTATTATTTTTCTTCCCATCTTCCAGGGGGAATATGACTCAATGAAATTCTTGGGTCGACCAGAATTTCCATACTGGACCCATTATTAAGGGAACCTGGAATTATTTCTGCCATTCCCGATTCTTCCCAGCAGATGGCCCCAAAGTTCAGTTCCTGAATTGCCTCGCGGAGCCGCGGGCTGCAACGTGAGGCGGCCGCTGCCAGTCGACTCAACCACCGGAGTGGCCCCTGCAGTTGGATAGCAACGAGAATCCTCCAGGGGTGCAGGGCGACGGCTTCGGCCGCACCGCGGGCTAGCCAGGGCTGCGTGCCCGCCTCTGACCCTCAGCAGAGGTGTCTCTGGCCAGGAGGAGCTGAAGTTCTGCAGGACATTGGTCCGCCCGCGGACAGTCCACTCCGCGGGGACTTTCTCTGGATAAGGAGTGCGTGCGAGTGGCTCCCAGGCAGACAGGGTGTCTAGAAGGCTACACGCTAGGGAAGGTGGCTCCTTGGATTTAAAGAGGAGGAAAGGAGGGGGCATCTAAACTAGGCTTTGGAGAGAACTAATGGGAGGGGCGCCCGGGGTGGGGGGGCGGGCTGGAAAACAGAGGGGACAGCCAGGACTGGTGTTGGGTGTCAGGGAACAGACGGAGCGGACTGCGTGGGTCCAGCCAAGGAAAGTGAAGCAAGCAGACTTGTTTGGGTCAAGGTTGCCTAGGGAAGCGGAGCACTTAAGTGCCTCTTTTTCCCCTTCTCCAGCCTCCTCCACAGTGGTGAGGTCACAGCCCCTTGGAGCCCTCCCTCTTCCCACCCCTCCCGCTCCCGGGTCTCCTTTGGCCTGGGGTAACCCGAGGTGCAGAGCTGAGAATGAGGCGATTTCGGAGGATGGAGAAATAGCCCCGAGTCCCGTGGAAAATGAGGCCGGCGGACTTGCTGCAGCTGGTGCTGCTGCTCGACCTGCCCAGGGACCTGGGCGGAATGGGGTGTTCGTCTCCACCCTGCGAGTGCCATCAGGAGGAGGACTTCAGAGTCACCTGCAAGGATATTCAACGCATCCCCAGCTTACCGCCCAGTACGCAGACTCTGTGAGTACCCGGGAGAGATCAGGGTAGGACCCAGAGATCAAGGGCATCTGCAGAGGTGGCCCGAAGTGCACAAAAGCAGCTCAATAACAGCCCGAAGTAGTGTGTGAGTGTGTGTATGTGTGAGTGAATGTCTGTGTGTGTAGATGTGTGTGTGTGCTAAAAACTTAATCGCCCACACTTGGGAAGGTATCATTGTTGACATCCTCATTCCCAACACAGGAAAATGTTACAAAACTTTGGTGTACAATGACCGTGAGAGCTGTTCTTTCCAACAAGCTGCTATTCAGCACTTTGCCTAACCCTGGTTGAATCTGTTTTATTTGAATTAATAAGGATAATGGCATCTCAGGAACTGACCTTTTTGATCTTACCTTGGGTAATAAAAAATTGCAAAAATATGTATTTCTCCTTTTTGTTTCTCTAGATGGGAGGTTATCTTAGCAGTTCTGCTGATTCATCAAATTGTTGACAAAGGTTTAAGCAGGGGCCCTTTTTAAAATGAACTGTCTATACAGTATCTGTAAGTTACTTACTCAAATGTGAACTGCCAGTGAAATAGTACGTCCAGAACCCTGCTTTGTGATAGAGGTATAAAGAAATGAAATTTCATAAAAGTATAGTACATTTATCTGCATGTTAAATGTTACCAGATTAGAAACCTGATGTTAAATAAGATTATACACACACAACCTGTTTCTTAACAGCAATTTAAATCAGTGATCATTGAAATTGTAGACAAAACCAAGGGAATAAAGTCTGTCTTGATTAGTTAAAAAGAGAACAGAAAGAAAGGACAGTAAAACAACCTAGGCTGGTTAAATCCAGTTAAGATAAAAAAAAATGCAGGTTATTAAAGAAAATGTTGATAGATGAAAAGAAATGGGAAAGTTGCACCTCTAGATTTTCTCAAGAATTTAGCTCATGAAGACTATTTAACAGTAGATGAATATTTGAGCACAGAGATATATTTCTGTGCTCAGAGATATCCTAGTGTCTTAGCACACCTGAATTAATTAGTTCAATAACCTCCAAACAGTGTGGTAGTCATTCTCCATGCTGCCACCACAGAATAAGATGTGTAAAAGGTGTAATGGCCTCTTGATTACACCTCTACATAGGTTGCTTGTCACCTCTAGAATAAAATTCTTTTGTGCAGCCTACCAGATCTTTCAAGACCTAGTCAAGTCTTTCCAACCTCATTGCTCCTCATTTCTCTAACTTCCCCCTCCTGCTGAGAACTTCTGGCACTTCCCCAAAGGTCCCTGCTGTTACAGCTGCCCTTGCCTTTCTTCCCACTTTCTGGCCCCTCTGCCTGAAGCACATTTCACCCATTTCTTCACCCAGCTAATGCCTACTCCCAGATCCAGATCCTGGATCAACCCTGCAGGAAGCTTCTCCTGACCCATGACCTTCAGGCTGGGTAAGCTATACCCCCCTTCCCAACAGCGTTCTCTGCATGAACCTAACCCTAGCCCTTAGACATTGTCTACTTTCTTGTAACTTGTTATTTATTTGCATGCCCACTCAAGCAGGACACAAGCTTCTCTAACATAGGGAACTGCCATTCAACCCCGAATTCCTGAAACCCTGGAACTACTTAGACACTCAGAAAAAACAAAAAAAAAAAAACTTAAGTGAATAAATAAACAAATGAATATGCCAGGTCTCTGAATGTCCACTCTATGTTGGGGAGAAAGAAATCCAAAGACATCACTTCTTCAGAGACTTCTTTAACAGTGGCAGAAATTCAAGTCATTGAAGAGAGATGTGGCTCTGACAGTGAAAAGGAACTCGTAGACATCCTGTTTAAAATTCCACCAAAAGTTGAGAAAGAAAGGGTAATGGAGAATGAGCAATGGAACAGGAGTCAGGAAACCAGCATTCTCTTTAGCCCTTCTTTACTAACCATGAAATTGTGTAAGATGACTGATTTGGAAGGAGCCAAATTTCCTTCTGGGTAAAAGAGAATGTTCAACTAGGTGCTTTCTAGGTGATGACATGATGCTGATGAGAATAGTCTGAGGGAAGGCACTGAATCACAAGAAAAAGACATAAAGACAGTGGCAAGGAGGATCTGCCCTTGAGAATAATGGAGAGGGAGGTAGTATGTCCTGAAGAATAAAGTTATTCTGAGATCGAAAAGAGAAACCTGATAAAAAGTGTGGGTAAAACAAAATGGTAGTCTCCTTTGAACAATGGCTACTACCATCTGCAACAGTAGAAAAATGATTTTTAAATCTTTTGGGGGCGGTAGAACTCTTTGTTGAAGAAAAGCATATGAGAGAAGTAAAACATGTAAAGCTAACAATTATATTGTGTTTACTTACGGGGGCGGGGGGTCCTGTTCTCAGCGCTTTGCATGAACTCACCCAGTGAATCCTCACCAAATCCAATTAAGTAGGTGATGTTATTATGCTCATTTTATAGATGAGGACCTTGAGGCACAAAAATAAAATGAAGTAATTTGCTCAATGTTGCACAGCTTGTAAGTGGTAAAGTCAGGATTTGAATATCATATCATCAACTATGGAGCCTGCACCCTTAAGCCACCACTCTCAGATGAGAAGTGTGTCTCACCACACCAGTGTTCCCCTGATGGTCATAGGCTTTGGAGAAAAAAGTCTGAAAACAAGTCACATTCAGTAAACCGACTGATAACCTCGGGGGCTATTCATCAGATGCAAGAACTCAGAAAGCAGGAGGTTAGCAGGGAAAGGAAAGAAGAAGGAAGGAAGAAAGAGAGAGTGGAAGAGAGGCAAGGAGGACAAGAAAGACTAAGTTAGTCTTTCTTGACAAGAAAATCTAGATCTTTTTTTACATCTTTCTAGACAAGAAAGATCTAAGTTATGGAAGGTATTCCTTGCTGAAATAAACCAAGTTTTTGTCATTAAAAAGCCGTTCTGGGTGGTGACCTCTTTTTGGAATCTACTTAAATTATACAGGATCTACTACTGAGGCATGTTCTCTCACAAGTTTTGTATTATTCAGAGTGTACCTCTTTTTAAAGTTTTTGAAGAGCTTACACTGGTTTAAAATGTAAGGTATTTTGTTCCTGTAGAGTTATTTGCATTACTTCTGCAACCTTCATTAAGATGCTGTATAACCACTTCTTAGACATTTTACAAATTATGATGGTGCCGAGAACAACTCTTTCTAAACTTTATCTTCTACTCATAGATTATTGTTCTGAAAGGTAAACAGCTCTCTTGCCCTACTACCCATATCCCAGCCCCGTGGTCTTATGGATGCAGGGGAGAGAGTTACGGACTGTGGCCCTCACTGAAGAAGTGATGCTGTATCTTTTCCTCACTCCTCCCCTCCAGAAGGGTATGATGCTTTACCTGAGTGGAAGGTGAGGGAGAGCTGGGATCCCTACTTCCCCCACTGCCAGTGGAACATTCTAGAATCTTTGATGTGTAGGTAGTTTGAAAAAAATCACTCTCTTCCATTGAAAATTACTGATTTAAGGAAACTTAAATGAAGCAAGAGAATAAAATTAAAAATTTAAATGTTGGCATATAATTATAGATCATATATCTCAAAACCAAGGATAACAAGATTGACCCATCACCCTCTCTTACTCAGAAAGTTGCCATTTGTTGCCTCTGTGCATGAGAAGATCCTTCCTTCTCTGAATAAGGAGGTAGAAAGGATTTGACAACCATTCTGCACCACTCTATGTATTTGTGTGGATTCTTCCTCCAGAAAGTGCTGGCACGCCTTACTGTGTTGTTTTAACCCTGCTTTCAGTTTCATTATGACAGTAACTGCTACATCTGCCTTCTCCAACCCCACTGCCATCTGTGGTCTTGGGTTTCGACGAAGTAAGTGGTTTGGACACCTGTGTGCCTTCAGATATGTTTCTGAAGGAGCTGTTGTTTTCAGGTTCTGTTTTTACTCATTTGCATTCTGCATCTGTGGCTCTAATTGATGGACTCTCCTACTGTTTACTAAACTGAAGACAATCATTCATCATCTTTGGCATTTGTACCCTGTGTTCCATCTGTGCTGTTATTTACTCAGTATTTTTAAGTTGACTCGCTTCTCTAACTGAAATTTATTTAGAAAGGTTACAAGTGGAAAATTAGCATGACTTCGTACAAATAAGAGGTAACCAGAAAACTAAAGACAGAAAAAACAAAAATATAATTAAATTCTAGCTACAGACTATTGTCTGTGAATACACTGAGCCTACAGCTGCCTTCTCTTTGTTAAAAAGGAAGCAAAGTAAGTGTTAATAAGTATTAAAGAGATAACAATCTGGCACGGTGTCCTTGGTAGTATCGAAAGGATGGAAAGACAATAGAGAAAGGAATTACTTTCTCACTGTGTGATTCACGGTTATTTAATGCCAGGTGGGCACTCCACCTAAAATAATCTCACGTACCTCCAAGTCATCTTTGTTCCACACTTAAAGAAATGTGGATGTTTTGTATATTTCACAATGGTTTTAGTCACAATCAGTGGTTGTAATCTGAATAACAATTGTTTCCAAGCTAAAGAGAAGCCCCCTGCTTCAACACCCACGTGCTCCCCAAACACAGCCCCACACATATAAAGGTGACTTCATTTCATATATCCAGGCTCTGTGAATTATTCTTTTCCATTCTCTCTCTCCTCTCCCATACATATGAAACACTGTTCTAAGAGGAGTGAAGAATTCTGACCTGAAAGTTAAAGGGATTTGATTTATTCACTTGGAATGAACATAATAATGAACAATAAAATGTGTCCATCATATATATATGAGAGAGAATATATAGAGAGAGGGAATATATCTGTATACCTATGTGTATATATATTTAGACAGATATATATGTGTGTATTTAAATCAGTCAAGGTTTCTGATGATAAGTAACAGAAAACCAACTCTGTTTAGGTTAAGGAAGAAAAAAAATATTTTGAAAGAACATGTAATTTACAGAATTACTGTAGGACCAGGCTTTGAAAATAGGCCAAGGCCTACTGTGGGCAAGGAACTGGAGCCACAGTGAATCATCTGTTTAGGACAATTCCATGGGCAATATAGAAACCACAGCCACTGGACATCTGCGGTCTTGTAGCTGCCAGACTGTCTATGTGCTGCCATCAATAATTTCCCAACTGTCCCTGTCTCTTTAAATATCCTACCTGGGAGTAGTATCCTGTATGGGAGCATTTGATTGGCTGGCAAGCCATAGCTGCTGGAGGTAGGAAGAGAAAGGTGGTCACCCGCCCACTTTTGGCGTCTGAAATAGGAGACGCAGAACTGGGTCCTTCTAATATTCCACACAACAGGGGATTCCCCACTGAAGAGGGGCCATATGCCCTCTACATTGCTCATTACTTCCTTCATTCTGCAAATCTTTACTAAGGACTAACTATATCCCAGACACTGTGTCACACTCTGGACTTAATGGAGAACACCACCAACACGTCCCTGTCTGCAGGGATCTTACAGTCTAGTGTGGGAGCTGCATATTAATCAAATAATTACATAAACACAGAGTTATAATTGTATAAGTGTGCTTGAGTATGCTCTTTGTAGGGGTGAGGGATATTTACTTAAACTGAGGTTCAGCGAAGGCTTTGAGCTACCTCCTGAAGAACCAGTAGGAGTTGAGTGTAAGAAGTTTCAGTGGAGCAGGTAGAAGGTGGAGATGTGGTGTTCAAGAGCTTTGAAGAATTCTGACCTGAAAGCTGAAGGGGTTTGATTTATTCACTTGGGATGAACATATTAATGGACAATAAAATTTGTTACTACTCCCTTCATAACTCAGTACAGGTTGAGGTGAATTCTGATGTCCTTGGGAGCAGTTTCTATGCACACACAAAAAAAACAGTTAATGGGGGTAGCTGGCTTCGTAAATTAATATTTGGTTTGTTAAAGAAATAAATGTAAAACCTAGTTCTTTATTGAGTTTTCTATGTATTTATTATTTTGTTTGGAAATCTAATCGTAACAATTACTTTGAGGAGTATTTTATCATTTAATATTTTAATAACTGATTTCCCATATAGTTTAATCAAATAATAAATAATTTAAATGAAAACAAATTTAATGTATTTTATTTTAAAGTACTTGAATGCTTGATGAAACCTTCCCAATCCTTAGAAAATTTGAAAACATCTATTATATTAAACTTTATAAGTACCAGGAATCCTATGTTTTTAGATTGCCAAACTCTGGAGTGAGATCCTCCGGGTTGAATGCCTTGGTCTGCTATTTCCTAAATATGCTTTGGGAACATTGCTTAGTTCCTCTGGGCCTCAGTTTCTCCATCTATAAAAAAAGAGTAATAATAGGCCCTGACTCACCAGATTCCTGGGTGGTATGAATGAGTTAATACTGTCAACAGATAATTTTCAAAGAAAGGAAAAATTGTAACTTTCATACACCTATAAATTGAACACATGTTAAAGATTTTAATGAACTCATTGATGAGTGTATATGAATTGCCTAAGATTGCCATAACAAAGTACCACAAACTGAGTGGCTTAAAACAACAGAAATTTACTCTCTCACAGTTCTGGAAGCTAAAAGTTGGAAATCAAGGTATTGGCAGGGTCATGCTTCCTCTGAAGGCTCTTGGGACAAATCCTTTCTGGCTCTTCCTAGGGGCTGGTTGCTGTTGGCAATCCATGGCATTCCCTGCATCACTCCAATTATTGGTTTTAGGCTCACCCTCATTCACTATGGACTCAACTTAACTCATTACATCTACAAACATTGTATTTCCAAGTAAAGTCACATTTTGTGGTTCCAGGTAGATATGAATTTTGGGGGCATGCTTTAACCCACCATAATGAAGAACCTGGTAAGATATTACAACTGGCTTAAAGGGTAGCCCACCAACTAGACATATTTATAAATTAGGAATATCAGAGTGACTATGCAGATGGAGGCCAAACTAGCTTCTTCCCTAGTCAGGGAGGGAAGTTCATAGAAGCTCTTCCATACGGGACAGAATTTACAATCCGTAGACAAAATTGTTTTGCATTGCTACAATTATCTACAATCTAGAAAGGTGTAAAATAATTCCCATAGAATCAGACTGAGAAACTTGGAAGGGTGTGCTCTAGTCAATTCACAGCTTTTCATTGAAACACATTTTTCCCCAGTAATACATGCAAAATTATAGAAAAGTTACCACCTCCCAGTGAGCACTATACAAGTAAACTTATTAAAACCTCTAATTTCCTTTTCAACTTAAATCACAAGTCAAAATAAATTACTCAATTATACATTTTAAATTGGAATAGCAAGACCAATCTATTAGATATCCCAAGTAGGTCAACAACTTCTGTTAATACAAATACTCAAAATACCAAATATATATTGATTATTCTTAAACTCAACACAAACATATTAATACTATGGGTCTGATTTAGATTCTCATTTCTATTGTTAACTCTAAATTTTCCCAAGCTAAAAAATGTTTATTAATTTTAAAAATTGATCTTCATCCCCTAATGAACTCCAGGTTCTTTATGGAACCATCCACTGGTTTCCAGGTTCCATATAGTTAGGGTTGCCCTATCCAAATGGACCCTCCTCTTACACCTGTAAGGCAGAAAATATCTTTTCTTTACCCATCACATGGTGCATGGCTGAGACCCTACAACAACAACAAAAAACAGATTGACAAGAAAAAAAACATTAAACAACTATTAAATATAAGTTTTACATGACACAGGAGGCTTCAGTAATAAAGACCCAAAGGAACAGAGAAAACTGTATCTTTTTATGGACAGTCATACAGATTGGAGGACAAAAGGATATGATCGAATGGTAATAAACTGTGGTCTGTGGGGCAGATCTTAGCAAGTCTTATTTGTTCAAATTCATCTTGATGTCTTTGTGTCTTCATTCCTTTTCTCCTGGTGTAGGGAGAGCCCCTCTGAAATGAGGGTCTTAAGACCTACTTTAGAGGAAGACCAGAGAATTGTCTGATGACCTGACTCAGGGGAGAAGGGCAGGAAAAAGTCGGAGAGACCTTCTGCTTCTGTTGTTTTCTCAAATGCCAAGGTGTCACATTTGGGGATAGAATGTCTTGAACCCCATTACATCTGTCATTCAAGTGTAGTTAATAGCATTCCTTTCACTCTCAAAGGTGTCCCAATTTGGGGGATAAATTGCTAATACTAATAGATCTTCCTATTAGACCATGAAGTCCAGAGGCCCGTGGGACATGCTCAGCCTTGTGTTTCATTGCCGTAGGTGGGAGTCTATCACTTAAAAGAAGGTTGGTCTCAGCCAGGTGGGGTGGCTCACGCCTGTAATCTCAGCACTTTGAGAGGCGGAGCGGGGGCGGATCACGAGGTCAGGAGATCGAGACCATCCTGGCTAACACGGTGAAACCCAGTGTTTAAAAGTCCAACCTCAACAATCAGATCAGTTTTGATGAGGCCAAGACCATTCAGACATGATATCAGAGGCATAGATCCAGAATGTCCAGTTATTTTCATCTGTGTGAACAAATTAGCTATCCTGGGGCCTAAGTCTATTCTCTTAGATCACCTCTGATGAAGTAGTAAGCATAGAAAACTAATTCGTAATACATAAAACATATTGTTAAATGAATTAGTTTTGTCTGAATTTATCAGTCAATTTACTAGAGTAGTAGTTTTTTGTCCAGAGCTGAGAAATTAAGTTGAATTGATCTATTTGATTATTTCAGTGTTTCCTGGTTATACAAAGTGTGTTTGTTACCCTTCAGACTAAGGTTTATTAGACAAAAGTTCATGGGCCTCCAGGAGTTCATGGTTGTGCTCTTAGGAATCTGTGGTTGTGTGAAAATTTGTCCCCATCAGTGCATTTCTGAGACTCTATAACTTTCCTTAGATCTTCAAAGGTGTCCTTGACCCCTCACAAGTTAAGAAATTCTGCTTTGGAATAATTTGGCATTTTGTAAGTGTACTCACTATGACTCAATCTTTTTATTATATTACAAACAACCCTAACAGACATATTTTAACAATAAATGAAAATCGCCTGACCTTTGTGTGGCAAGCTGTCACAGTTAGTTACTACTTGAGACTGTCATTTCAACAGTTACTACTGTTACTACTTGAGACCGTCACTAGGACAGTTACTACTGTTACTACTTGAGACCATCATTGTGAGAATGAACAAAGGAATGAACGTAGAAATGAAAAAGTAAGACGAAACTGTTTTAAAGAAAGTGTCCAGGGGAAGAAGAAGAGAGCTCCCTGCTTCTAGTGAGCAAAGGCAGCCCCTGAGCTTCCACAGCCCTTTGTATTTATTGGGTAGCAAGGGCAGGGAGGAGGAGGTAACGATTGGTCGGCTGCTTAATTGATCATGGGTTCATATTGTTACTAACAGGCTTCAGATGTACCTAATTACAAGCAACACTGCGCTTGGGGTGTGACTGCCCTCAGCATTCCTTCTGGGTGGAGGACGCACTTTTGTCAGTTTGCCAACATTCTGCATTTATGAGAACAGTTTGCTGTTTACTCATAGAGCCTCCAGTGGTATAGTGAGTTGATCACGACCCTCACTCTTTCAGCCTGCAACACCTTTGAATGTCATGGTTTTCCTTCTGAACATGTTATTGTGGTGATTACTTTCTTCATGGCTCACACTTAGCCTGTCCCTTGATAGGCTCTTCACACAGAAGTTCACTGAATGTTGCCACTTTTTCAAGTCAATAGTTGACAGATTTTTTCAAGTTTCTAATGCCTCCTACATGATGGTAAATTCTTCATACTGACTCTGTTTCCATTTTTACTGAAGCTGGTCAACATACTTAATTACTCTCTTTCATTACATTAATTAAAAAATAGCATTTGAAAATTTTAAGAATGAGCAAAATGGTCCCATTTGTTCAAAATTATAGATTGAGTTTTAAAGTGTTCCATTTAGATATCAGACCCTACTTACTTGGCTTCATTTCTGTATGAACCTTTAAGAACATTTAGGGTATTCCAGAAATTTTCAAAATAATTTTTTAATTACAAAGTTGGCACTTGTGATTTTTAAGACATCTTATAAATATTGTTCTCTTATATGTGGTGACAGGTATATGTGCTCTGGATTTTTATAGCACAGTCCCACTGAAAAGACTGCCATCAGAATGTTCCAGAAATTCAAATATTTCATCATCCTTTTAATCTAAACTTCCCACATCACTTGCACACCTGGAAAGAGCTTCCTTATGTCCAAATTTTTCTTTCAGAAAACATGATCTCTGTATTTATATGACACATGAAGCTTTTGGCTTATATTTTGTAGGCATTAACTTAATCTTACCCATGCCTGTGTGTTCTCATAATTATGCAACTCCAGCGAGGAGACTGAAATTGTTTCCTCTTATTGCCAGGTACTGTCACTTTATATTTTGTTATTTCAATCTTTTTTTAAGCCAAGAAACTAGAAGGCTACTTTTAGGAAAGGGCTCTGTGCATGAAAATAAAGAGGATCTAAGGACGGGCATAAATGAGATACTCTTCCATGAGAAAGTCTTTAGTGGGCTTTGAGATGGCAGTATTTCCATCTCAACACCCTTGGCAGTTATTTCTGGGTTTGTGGACATGATCCAAAGATTTGAGATGACCAGAAATACTACCTCTAGATAGGTGGCATTTTATTGTAAAATGTTCTTCCTTCTTTCCTTTTTTATATTTTAAATAAATATGTATTGATCACCTATCATACACTAGTACTATTCTAGGCATTGATATATAATAAACGACCTCATTGATTTTACATCATAACAGGAGAAAATAGCAAAAAAAAAAATAAAAATTTAAAAATTTAAAAAAGTAAAACAGAGAATGTCAGATGGTGAAAAGTATAATGGAGAAATATAAATGAAGGAAGAGGGAGAAGGAATACTGGAAGTTGCATTTTAAATAGTCAGCAAGGTGTCTTAGTTTGGGATCCTCTAACAGAATACCACAGACTGAGTGGCTTACACAATAACCATTTACTTCTCACAGTTCTGGAGACTGGAAGTCCAAGATGAGGGTGCCGGCAGATCTGTTGTCTTGTGAGGGCTGCTTCCTGGTTTGCACTTGACCACCTTCTCATTGTATCTTCACATAGCAAAAAGCCAAGCTCACCTCTCTTGTGTTTTTTATTATAAGGGCACTAATTTTGTCATAAGGGTTCCACACTCATAAACGAATTTCCTCCCAAAAGCCCCATCTTCTAATACTATCACATCAGAGATTAGGATTTCAGCATATGAATTTGGGGGACACACAAACATTCAGTCCATAACAGAAGCCCTCACTGAGAAAATGACATTTGAATAAGGACCTGAAGAAGCTAAAAAAGGAATCCAGGCTAATATCTGGAGGAGAAAAAAAAATTATATATATATATGTATGTGTATATATATATATATATATATGCTTATTTTTGGAATGAGATAAGAAGCTATTAAGGATTTTGAGCCACACACACACACAAGCAAGACCTGACTTACATTTTTTTTTTTTTTTTTTTTGAGACAGAGTCTCACTCTGTTGCCCAGGCTACAGTGCAGTGGTGTGATCTCGACTCTCTGCAACCTGCACCTCCGGATTCAAGCAGTTCTCCTGCCTCAGCCTCCCTAGAAGCTGGGATTACAAGCATGTGCCACCATACCTGGATTATTTTTGTATTTTTAGTATAGATGGGTTTTCACCATGTTGGTCAGGCTGATCTCGAACTCCTGACCTCAGGGGATCTGGCCGCCTCGGCCTCCCAAAATGCTGGGATTACAAGTGTAAGCCACCCCGCCCGGCCCTGACCTGACTTACATTTTAGTAGGATCACCCTAGCTACTATGTTTCTTAATCGGGTGAGAGATGATACTGGCTTGAACCAGCTTAATTGCAGGGAATGTGGTAAGAAATTTCCTGGGCTTATTTTGGAGGTGAATCCAACAGGATTTTCTAGCGGACTATGTGGACTTTGAGTAAAAGAGAGGAGTCAGTGATATCTTAGTCTGAATTCTCCAGAAAGCAGAGCCCATGTGAGAATTCTTGTTGGGGAGTATGATCCCAGGAGCAGAAGGTAGGATGGGGAAGTGAAGCAGGGAGAGAGGGAGAGTTTGCTGCTGCTAGAAACAAATGGTTGCTGAAACCCCTGAGACCACCTGAGAATTCAGATGACTTGCATCTCAGGACCCTTGCTTTAGGAAGGAGGAAAGGTAAAACATCTATCCATCAGTTCTTGGCTCCCATGAGTCAGGGATTTAATTCTACTGACCTTCCAGGTTTCCTGTGCCTGGGTGATGAAAGAATTTCCTGATATTAACAAAAAAGTCCCCAGGTGGGAGATGAGAGGTGTGTGGTACAGGGCTGAGATGCAGTACTGTCGAGTTGTACCTGCCTGAAGCTAGTCAGAGCTCATACAGAACTGGTAGCTGCAGCAGGGCTAGCATAAGAGGCAAGCTGAGAGAATCTAAAATGATGTAAAACAGGTACCCAGGGTTGGTTAGCCTTTGCACAACTCAGACCTGCCCAAGCTTTTCATTATGTCTAGCTCCCATAATAAAAT
This sequence comes from Homo sapiens, assembly GCF_000001405.40. Classification (NCBI taxonomy): domain Eukaryota; kingdom Metazoa; phylum Chordata; class Mammalia; order Primates; family Hominidae; genus Homo; species Homo sapiens. The sequence continues at coordinate 80,968,341 of NC_000014.9, forward strand.
ATAGGGCCTCCGATTTTGTAAGAATGAGATGTCCTTACTTTTTTTTTTTTTATTCTTACAAGAAAGGGGAATACAAGCCCCATCTTCCACAGATTCCTTCAAGATGCAGTCCTTGCAAAGACATAATGCAAGAGGGTTTGGGAAATAAACTAGTCTGCCCTGCTGCAGCTGATCTTAAGGATGCCATTGATAGTCCTTATCTCTCTTTGACTCCAATCCTAGATTTGTCTCACCCTTGCCCAGCACTCTGACTGGTTGAGTTGATTGCCTGATGGAAAGACCCAGACTTCAGCTCCAAGGGTTCTGAAAGCTTAGTTGCCTTGTTCTTGTCATATATAGCTGCTGTATTTTCTCCTTCACCATTATCTGTGGGCTCAAAAGAACCAAGAGATGCCCCAGTGAATTCCCTGCATTCTAGACACACTCCTTACTCTTCCTAATGTGTAGCAGCTGCCCTAGCTTCTCATGGTAAAGAGGGCCTAATATTTCTCAATAGAGAAACTCCTTTATTTACCTATTTGTCCTCTAGCATGAGAAGCTCAAATGACCAGGTGGTCATTATAGTATCAACCTCCCTGTATTGGAGGAGGAAGAAGTAATCTTTCTCCTCAGGAACTAGTACCATTAATTGGGCAGGAATACAGACAGGAAGCTCAAAATTTGAATGTTAGGTTACTAGGGTGATGGTGAGATGAGCCAATTCTATCATTGCCCCCGGGTTTTCAGACATGTGTATCCTAGCTACATAGAACACAATAGCATATGTTGGCTATTGATTCAGCTCATATCCTTTCTTAGATCAGATCCCCAATCCTGCAGGGCTTTGTCCCCAAGATGGCACCTTAGCTGAGTCTTTAATTCATTCCACCATTCTCGTAGGCAGTCTGGTTCTTCATGACAGGGCACATAGTGAGACTAGTGGATATAGTGTTCATATGCCCTTTGTTGCACCTTCTCTGCCATGAAATGCATCCCTTGGTTGAGGCAATGCTGTACACGTTTTCATACTGGTAGATCAGGTATTTTATAAACCCTTAAATGGTGGTGCCGGTGGAGGCATTGAAGTCAGAGAAGGCCAAATCCAAAGTAATCATGAGGTTTTAAATGAATTACTATTTCTTACAGGGTGGAAATGGTCCAGTATAATCAAACTGCCACCAAATGACTGGCTGTTCTCTTTAAAGAAATGTGCCTTACCAAGGGTGCAGCAATGGGCTATACTGCTGAAAGGTTGGTCATTTACAGGAGAAGTATCTTGATTAGACTTGATGAAAAGGAGCCCAAGCCATTGGGTCCATGCTTGGCTTCCATTCCTGTCACCATGACCACTTCATTCATGTTCATTTCTCCAAAACTGGATGGCATTTATAAAATGAGTCATCTAGTCTACCTGGGTGTTGAGATTCACCGCAAACCAGAGTAATCAGTGGATACTCTCTGATGAGCATTAACGTGAGACACAAAGGTCCACAGAATTTGTTCCCACCCCCATAGATATAGCCATATTTGTTTCCTAGACTTTCTTGTTCTCTGTTTTCCAATAGTATTCTTTCTAGGCCAGTGGTCAACCAGGTAAATTACTTGCTACTTCTTGGTATTCCATGTATACCCTTGCCACGGTTCTTTCTCCCTTCATACAAAAAGAATGATTGCTATAATGCTCACAGATGAACTGACTGTGAAGATTTCCCTTCACCACTATCCTTTAGGGCCACCCTTGAGTGGGGCTGTAATGCAGCAGTAGTTCATTTTTTTTGGCTGGCATTAGCTTGTGCCAATCTGTAAAGCAGACACCAACCTATGAACTCCATCAAGTGGTCATATGGAGCTCTCCATGAAGCCAATTTCAGTGAGAGTGCAGCAGAAATAAGTGAAGTGGGAGTCTAGGCCACCTATTCATGAATTTACCTTCCCTTTCTAGACTTTCTTGATCCAGAATGTAAAATTTCTATCATAAAATCAATTGCTGCTGTGCTCACCTTATTTTATGTAGTAGAACTGGCAATACCCAATTCACAATGGGCAGCTGTAGTCACAGAGTCACTTAGTGTCCCATTGAAGAGATCTCAGTCTCTACTAGGGCAGAATAGCATGTCAGGAATTATTTTCCTCATAAAGGGTATTTCTGTCCTTCAGAAGGCAGATCCTTGCTCCAAAACTTTAAGAGCCTGAGCTTTCATTCTCTTCTTGGGACCTGCTGGCGAGTCCACAGAATATCCTTGTCCAGGATGGATATCTGTAGTGTTGTAAGACCTGCTGGGCTGGGCTGTATGGCCCACATGGCAGGGAAGCTGGCATTTCAGCCTGAATCTGTTATAGACTCTTGTAGGTCCTACCTGAAACTGGCAGCCTTCTGAGTTATCTGATAAATGGGAAAATGGGTTACACTGCTGCCAAAAGCCAAGACGCCCAGCAAGTGCTGTACTTCTTTGTAAAAGGTAGAAAGGGCAAGATACAACTGTATGTCCTATACCTTAGAAGGGATTTTTTTGTGAGACAGGGTCTCACTCTGTCACCCAGACTGCAGTGCAGCAGTAGTTCATTTTTTGGCTGGCATTAGCTTGGCTTGTGGCAACCTCTGCCTCCAAGGCCCAAGCAATTACCCTGCCTCAGCCTCCCAAGTAGCTGGGATTACAGGCACATGCCACTACTGCCCGGCTAATTTTTGTATTTTTAGTAGAGACGGGTGGCCAGGTTGGTCTTGAACTCCTGACCTCAAATGACCCACCCACCTCGGCCTCCCAAAGTGCTGGGATTACAAGCGTGAGCCACCATACCTGGCCAGAAGGGATTTTTTAGAATGCCGCAGACTAAGCATGTTGCTAATGGAAGAGGTCCCTGAATCTTTGTGGGATTTATCTGCTGCCCCCAACCTTCAGATTTCTTACTAGACTAGCTAGGCTTCTTTCTACTTTTTGCCCACCAACTCTAATTAGCATATCATCAGGTAGCAGACCAGTATGATGATGTGCGTGATGTCCAGATTATCCGTCCCCACAAACTCTTATGAAATGGAACCCCTTGGGCAAAGCAGTGAATTGGTATTGCTATTGTTCCTAGATAAAGGTTTACTACTTTTGATTCTCTCTATTGATAGGAATCAAGAAGAGAACACATTCACCAGATTGATAATCACATATAAAGTGCTACAGGCTGTGCTGATGTGTTCCAGTGAAGACATATCTGGCACAGCAGCTATGATAGAACCTACCTATTGGTTAAGTTTGTTAAAGTGCATTGTCATTCACCTTAATCTATTTGTTTGGGGTTTTTGTTGGTTTTGTTTCTTACAGGGGGCAGATAGGTGAATTGAAAGGATATGAAGCACCACCATTCTGCATCCTTTAAGTCTTTCAAGTTGACACTAATATCTGCAATTTATCCTTGGACATACTCCTGTCAGTATAAGCTCAAACCTTGTATCCAATGATCTTCAAGAAGCCTTGGATTTCTGTTTACCAGTTGACAGTTACTTTGGCAACTGGCCACAGGTCCCTTTTAGGAATGATTGGGGGACAGTCACCAATAATACTTGTAGTGGTATACACTTTCCCTACACTTCCCTAGGGGGATCCAGCAACACTTTTAATCAATGAATTCCTGGTTCCTGAGACATTAAAGTTTTAAAATATGTGCCTCTTAAGATGATGAAATATAGTAACTTGATGTGGTTACTATACACAGTACTAGAGGGAAGAATTTTCCATAACACAAATGTTTAGATTTAAATTCATGCCTTGAAGCCAGATAAATGAAGTATAAGCTATAATTACAAAACACCTAGTTCTTCAGTGTTTGGATTTATGAAAATTGCCATGATTGTTATCTATTGTGAGTTATTAATCCAAGTTACTTTTATTACATTTTAACAGTTTTAGCTATAACATAAATTCCATGGGTTTTCGTTTTTGTTTTTTGTACTACCTTAAAAAAACCTATCATTGTTCTGTGGGGTTTTTTTTGCTCAGTTATGTGTTTGTATCAGCTTTATGCCCAGACCCATACTATATGTCTTCACATATAATATCTCAGTGTTCACAGTGGTCTTCCTTGGGAGGTGTTTGACTCTCATTTAGATGCAAAACTGAGACCCAGAAATGTCATCTTTTTTGACTTTTATGTCACAGCTGGTAAGTGAAAGAGTCAGAATTCAAATTCATGTCTCCCAACTCTAAACCCAAAGCTCCTTCTACTATTCCATAGCTATCTTCCTAAATCTGGTCTATTTTCTCTCCCTCTCCCTCCCCTCCTCCTCTCTCAGTTGATGTGAAATTCACACAATATAAAATTAACCATTTTCAAGTATAACTACCATTCAGTGGCATTTAGTACATTCACAATAGTGTACAGCCAGCACCTGTATCTAGTTCCAAAATATTTTCATCATCTCAAAGGGGAGCTCGTGCCGATTAAGCAGTCATTCCCCATTCCCCACTCCTCCCAGCCCCTGGAAACCAGGAATCTGCTCTCCGTCCACATGGGTCTACCTATTCTGGATATTTTGTGTAAATGGAATGCTACCTTATGTGACCTTTGTATCTGACTGCTTTCACTTAGCATAATGCTTTCAAGTTTCATCTAAATTGTAGGGTGACAAAGAGTATGGGCAATCAGACAAGTGACCCAAAGGGAAAACAGATGTAAACAGGCCTGGCTAAAGCTTGCAGCAATTTTTGGACAGGTTCATTTCTAACACATCAATGTAGATAGCAGCCCCATTCCATGCTGTAATACCTTATACCTTAGATACAAAAATCTGAACATCAAAAAAATCTGCGTACTTGGCCGGGCGCGGTGGCTCACGCCTGTAATCCCAGCACTTTGGGAGGCCGAGGAGGGCGGATCACGAGGTCAGGAGATCGAGACCATCCTGGCTAACACAGTGAAACCCCGTCTCTACTAAAAATACAAAAAATTAGCCGGGCTAGGTGGCGGGTGCCTATAGTCCCAGCTACTCGGGAGGCTGAGGCAGGAGAATGGCGTGAACCCCGGGGGGCGGAGCCTGCAGTGAGCCGAGATCGCGCCACTGCACTCACGCCCGGGTGACAGCGAGACGCTGTCTCAAAAAAAAAAAAAAAAAAAAAAAAAATCTGTGTACTTATTCTCAGAGGCTTAGAGCTACCAAACATACTTTCCCGTGTCGAAAGGTTTTAAGAGTTCCCATCTTGTGAAGGAGGCTGTTTCTAGCCAGTTGGCAGAGGAACACTATGCATTTATCCCTTCTGGATCTCATGGCAATCTTAGGCAACATTTCTAGAAAGCGGCGACTTAATAGCAATGCATGAAGCCATTATTCATAACTCTTTTAGAGTCAATATTCATGCAAAGGGCTTTTCTCTGTTATAAGGAAGCTGAAGAACAATTCTAACAATATCCTATTTCTATCGATGTTTCTTATAATAATATTGGCTTCTATGCCTTTTTTTAAAATCTCCATTAACAAATTTAACCAATGTGCCAAGGAAGAAAATTTGCTGTGAATTGGAAAATGTTTAAATGAGAGACATAAATTATTCTTCACCTTATGTTTACCAGAGCTTACTTCTCAGTTATTTTTCCCCAACCTGCTTTAGATGTGGAGGCAGAAGAGGTGTGGTATAATTCTTATCTCCCACCATCGCCCTGGGTGGGAGATTCTATTTACTCAATTCACAGGGTGAACAAACTAGTAAGATCTGTAAAATCTGCTCTCCCCACAATGAGTGATTATACGGAGCTCATGAGCTAATGCTGGTAGCATGATGTAACAGAATACGCCTTGATCACAGGTTAGCTATTATTACTAATGCGGTGGTAGGTCTGAGAGCCTGTCAGATGTGGCCTGATTTAACCCTCGGTGTGAGCATTATATCAATTTGTGGAGGGCAAGCTTCCATGCAGGGACCATCCAGCAGCTGTTTGGCATCAGGGTTGCACAGCTTTATTAGGAAGAGCAACACTTGTCTACTTTTCAAAGGGGACATTTTAAAGACTTCCAAGAGTTCTTATCTTCTTCCAGATATATTCATTCCCAGTAGGGTAAAGGGACTGAAAGTCTAACTAGGGGGTCTCTGTGCCAATAGAGCACATAAATCTGTAAGAATGATTTATCTGTTCTGTGTCAGAGTTTGGCTGAAAATCCTGTTAGTACTGCCAAACCCTCCAGATGCCCATATTTAATGCTTGGTTGGCCTTATGTAGCATAACCAAATTGCCATTTCACAACCACCCTCAATCCCTGGAATCTAAAACAACAAAGCCAGAAGCTCTGAAATGTGCTTTATGAAGCATGAAAGAATCTTTTAAGGCTCTGTCTGATTCATTTCTGTGTGATGATAGAAGGTCTAATGTACTTGTGAAGGATTCCTTTTACTCGTAAGAAACTTGGCACTTTATAGAAAGTATGTATTTCATGACCAAAAAAATAGGGTGGCTTGGAGGGATTGTGCTTTCTTTTTGTATTGTATCCAATATGTTCAGTATCAACAGCAGCAAAATAAAGAGGAAAAATATCTGGTATAAAGCTATGTCAGCTAAAAGTCACGGTGAAGAGCAGAGGACAGTTTTCCACTGAATTCAGGGAAATTATTGCATGACTATGTGAAAGGACTACTTACACAGTAAGAGTGCTAAGTAGAAATGGACAGTGGAAGTCAGGAGACCTTCCATAAGTCCTAAGAATCTTAGCAAGGCACATAATCATTCTGTGTCTTACCTTTTGTATCTATTAAAGGAAAACCATAAGATGGTCATGTCCTATTTCAGAGAACTGTTAGGAAGACCAAGGACATCATTGTTCAAATGTTCATGGAGCTCTTCCTATTCAGGGACAATCTTCCCCATTCAGCAGAGTAAGACTATGGCAGGTTATTGTTTGTCACATATTTTGAAGAACACAAATGTATTATACAGGGATTCTGAAAGAACTTGACTATTAAAACAAAGCAACACAAATGAAGTATTTCATTTAAAAGAATCTACACCCATCCTTTTCTTCTCCACTTTTGTAGCAATACAAAATGAGTCCCTCCACCTACATCCATGTTCTTTTGGTTTCCTCACCCTATTTTGACTTTTTCCTCCCTCTCCTACTCTCTCAGATGCTTTTCACAGCTATCTAAACACACTCAAGTATCTTTCCTCTAAAAAAATTTCACTCCAATACGTTCTCACATTTGCGTCCACCTACCACTCCTTCCCTGCCTCTATCCTTCCCTTCACAGCTAAATGTTCATAAGGAGCTTTCTCATGTTGCTCTTCTGATTTTTTTACTCCCCATTCACCATTTAGCTTGGTGCAATCTGGCTTTTGCCCCCATTACTTAATTGAAAAAGGTCTTGCCAAAGTCATATTAACAACCTTTGTTGCAAAATCCAAAGGACATTTTAGATTCTTTCCTAAGTTGAATGCTCAGTAGCTTTTGTCACTGCTGACTGCTTCCCTTGGTTTTCTCCACATCATACTCCTTGATTGCCTGGTGCCTTACTTCAGGTCTTCTGAGCAGCACAGGAGGCAGGGCTGCTGTTGCATAATGGGGAGGATACTGAGCTGGTTAGGTGTGCCAACTGCACTCCTTGCAGCTTAACAGCAAATGCATTTTTTTTTTTTTTGAGATGGAGTCTCACTCTGTTGCCCAGGCTGGAGTGCAGTGGCACAATCTTGGCTCACTGCAAGCTCCGCCTCCCGGGTTCACACCATTCTCCTGCCTCAGCCTCCCGAGTAGCTGGGACTACAGGCACCCGCAACCACGCCCGGCTAATTTTTTGTATTTTTACTAGAGACGGGGTTTCACCGTGTTAGCCAGGATGGTCTCCATCTCCTGACCTCGTGATCCGCCCGCCTCGGCCTCCCAAAGTGCTGGGATTACAGGCGTGAGCAAGTACATTCTTAAACGAAGCCCTCACTTCCACAACAGCCACAGCCCACCCCTTGCAAGATACAGATCTGGTTCTCCACATACCTTTGGGGAACAGGTTATCCAGGATTCCAGTGGGCCTGTCTTCCTGAGGAGAAGCTTGAAAGAGGTAACTTAGGGAGTAGTCTGACCCCTGTTGCAGCGGTTGGTCTGTCTGGGATCACAATTGGTACTTATCATCTCTCTTCCACTGTTCATTTTAAATTCCCCCTCAGCTTTCACCTCTGCTGGTCTTGATGACTTATCTGCTGATATGATCAAAGCCTTCATTTTTGAGGGCCTGAACCCATAGTTACCATACTTTTCTTAGGCTGGGGTTATTGCACTTGTTTGTCTATAGTCACAATTGAGCAAGTATGTCCAACTGGATCATCTGAGTTCCAAATATATTTCTCCCTGTCCTCATTGTGTAACAGCAGCCCTGCTTCTTCCTCCTGATCAGGGTCAGTTACTCCTAACAAGATATTGACTTCTTCAGCCTGCTGGTCTCTGTATACAAGAAGTCCTGAATGCCCAAGTGGCAGTCATAGCCTGAGTTCTCCACAGAGCCTAGTATTATAGGAAGAGGAAACACAGACTCTTTCAGCGAATCATTGAATGTGATAAGTGGACTCTCTCCTGCTTCTGCCCAATGGTTCCCAGACCAATATATTCTTCCTAATTGGGATAACATCCATATAGAGGTTTGTGATGCAGTGTCTAGCCTGCATGATGATACCCCACCATGGCAGATGCCATGATGTAGGCAATTGCCTACAAATTGGCATTCCGGTTGTGCCTTTGGTAGGCTCTTGCATTGCTCTATAGAGCTACCTTCTCTGGATTATGTGATATGTGATAAAACCAGAGGATCCCATGGTCACAGGCTCATTCGTCTCCTCCTCTGTGAAGTGTGTCTCTCATGGTCGGATGCTGTGTTATATGGAATTCTATGTCTGTGGATCACTTTCAAATCCTCCAGCTAGTAGTGCTGCCTGGGACTTTGTAGGTAAGAAAGGCAAACAGTTATCTAGAATAAATGTTTACTACCATGACAATAATTCACAGGTCCTTCCAGGAAGAAATGGCTCAATGTGTCATAAAGTGGCCATGTGATCCCTGTTGTACTGCTCAGGTTTGATCCCTGGTATACCACTTTCCACTAGACAAATTGCTGCTGAGTCTGCCTGACATTCTGACTTAATGTATTCTACAGAGCTCAGCTCACAAGGGGCAGTTTAGAATGCATAGTTACTGGCTTCCATGGTCAAATATTCAGTCTCAAACAGGGCTCAGTAGCACCCCAAGAGATGTTTTTCTGCACTGCAGATGGTGTGGACTCACTCTAGAAATCCAGAGTACTGTATTTTGATTCTTCTATGAAGGCTTGCCACAAACTCCACACCAAACTACCTCTTTTTTCACTTTTCACTCTTCCAACACAATAGAGTCTATGAGATCATATGGCCCAAGAGGCAGGGCTGCTTGTACCACAGCCTGGTGCTGCAAAGTCCTGCTCAGGCCCTATTCCAAGTTGCCAGACTTACATGTTAACTGATACATGGGCGAAGCAATCTTTCTACAGTATTCAATTCAATGAATAAATCACAGCTTATTTGTCCATTTTCTTAGATATAAACAAAAGTATAACTCTTAACTGTAAGTTCTGAGTTTAGTCTTCAGCTCTTTCTAATATCCCCTTGCACCAGATATAGGCCTTCTCATACAGTGTTCAATTGCTTGTCAGTTGCTGTCAACTTTATCTCAGCATTAGCTGGCTGTAGTAGCTTCAAACTTAACAAAAATCCAGCTAATTCCTTCATCCTTGTATTCATTGCTTTCCTTCATCTTCCTTGCCTCCTCCTCAACAACATCCCTCCAACACACACACACACACACACACACACACACACACACATGCATGTGCACTTTTCTAAAGCATGAACATTGCACAGGCCAGGAAAGTTCTCTCACGGAACTTTCTTCCAAGCCATCATTGATTAAAGTTTTTAGTAATTGGGCTGCCACCCTGTGCCAGAGACTATCTGTGCCCCCTGTGCCACCCAGAATGGGATCCTCATCACCAGCTTGCAGGAAGTGATCTGCTCCCAAAACCTCATTTTACCTCCTGCTTTCTCAGACCAATTCCAGTACCAACTGTATCAGTTCAGTTATTCTGGGAAGCAGATGCTGAGACAGCGTTAGGAGTGCAAGTGGTTCATTGAAAGATAACATCTGTGAAAGATAAAGGGGGAGAGCCCCAGACTGTGCTACAGAGCTGACAAAATCTTGGCCAAACCAATGGGGAGCTCTAGAGCAAAGACTGCCTGTTAGAGGGACCCACATTAGGCATAGAAGCCAGGCTCTAGCACCACTGCCATGCTCAGCCCTGGGCTGTGGGCTTCCCGGGAAGAGTAGAGCCTTGGTTAAAACACTGTGACAGTTCCTGCAGGTGCTGCAGATGGAGGCTGGCAGCTAACTGCCTCCTGACAGTTACACAGAAAGCTGTTTCCTGGAGGGAGATCTGAGTGGTGCATCTCTGTGGCTGCCATACCCATTTTCTCTTTCATCTTCTCTGTTTGCACATCTGCCTTTCTGTACCAGCTTCTCTTTCTTCCTCTACCTATCATTTAAATGATGCTGGATGGTTTTGAGGTTCTTATCTCATGCCACACTTCTCCAGCCTCGCCTACTCCCATTCATACATCTAATGAGATTCTAATGAATTTGAATTTCAGATCTGTAAGCCAGGTCTCTTTTCTGAGCACTAAACTTATTTCATCCAATTGCTCACTAAAATATCATACAGTGTCCTTATATTTAACATTTCCAAAGGTGACATTATTATCTTCTTGGCCAAAACTATCTGTATACCCATCTCAGTGAATGGATCCATCGGTTACCCGGATGCTCAAAACAGCATAGTCATCTGCAACAACATGGATGAACCTGGAGGATATCATGTTAAGTGAAATTGGCCAGACACAGAAAGACAAGTGGTGCATGATCTCATGCATATGTGGAGTCTAACAACATTGATCTCGTAGAAGCATCATGCATATGTGGAGTCTAACATCATGCATATGTGGAGTCTAATGACATTGATCTCATAGAAGCAGAGAGTAGGATAGTGGTTACCAAAGGCTGTGCAGAGGGTAGGGGGAGGAAGAAATGAGGAGAGGTTGGTCAACAGGTATAAAGTTACAGTTAGGTAGGAGGAATAAATTCTGATGTTCTATTGCACAGTAGGGTGACTATGTTAACAATAATGTATTGTTTATTTCCAAATAGCTAGAAGAGATGATGTTGAATGTTCTCACCACAAAGAAATGATAAATGTTTGAGGTGATGGATTTGCAAATTACTCTGATTTGATCATTATACAATGTATACATGTATCAAAACAGCATACCGTATTCCAAAAATATGTGCTAATTAAAAATAAGAGAAAACTAAAAACATAAAATCAGTATTTAAAGACAAAGAAAAACAGACACATAGGATTATTCTTGATACTTTCTTCTCACTCATCCCTAATATCAAATCCATTATTAATTATTACTAGTCTAAATATATCTTGAATCTGTCTCCATTTCATTTGTTTTCATCTGAGTTCTCACCACTAACATTTTTTTCCACCTGAATGGAAATGGAGTTTCTTTTGTTCTTGCTAAACACAGCAGTGAGGGTGATCAGCCTGTACTGCGGATGGGGTCTCGGTCTCTTGAGTAAAATACGCTATTGGCTTCCATTGCTCTTCAGAAAATTTCAGACTCTTCACATGGTTTATGAAGTCCCCGTGATCTGGCCCTGCTTGCTTCTCTTTGCAGGCAGATCTTTTACTAGTTTCCCTCCACTTTAGTCACTTCTATTATTTCAGCCACTTTGAACTATTTTTATATTCTAGAATTTTATTTCAGCCACTTCGAACTATTTTTACATCCTAGAATGTGTCATTCACTCTGCTGCTCTTATTGCTTGCACAAGCTATTCATTTTTGTGGGAACATTCTTTATTTCCACTCTTTTTTTTCTATAATTAACCCTTTTCCATCTTTAATGCATATGAAAGCACAAAAATAGCAACACAGATAACTATGTGCTACCATCAAAATTAACCAGAAGTTAACAATTGGCTTTAACTTAGGTTTCTCTTTTATTTTTTAAATAAATAAAATGTTACAGCAACAACTAAAGCTCTGCCACTATCCACTTTTTCCTTCTCTCCCCACGCAGGGATTAAGATAGAATTTTACTGTTATTGTACCCTCTCTTGCTGTTAAGAAATCTGCCACCAGCTCAGTTATCCTTCTCTTGATGTTTTCATCTTTGACTTTTATTTGCTTTTAAGATCTCTTTGTCTTTAATGTTTAACAGTTTTCCTGTAATATGTGTAGATATTGATGAATTTTTATTTACCCTGCTTTGAATTCATTGTTCTATTTTGAATGAGAAGTTCTTAGCCATTATCTCTTTAATATTGTCTGTCCTCATTTTCTCTATTCTTTTCTCATGTGAGTCCTATTAGATGTAAGTTGGATCATCCATCTTTCATTCTTGCCTTTTAACTTCTCTTTTGTGTTTTCTAATATGATATCTCTCTGTGCTACATTTTATCTGGTTTCTTAGCTTTACATATATTTCCAGGCCACTATTCTTCAGCTAACTACTCTTCTGTCTAATCCATTTCTGTTATATTTCGGTTGTCTGTTCTGTTTCATATATCTGTTCATTTTTGTGGTTTTGATCATGTCTTTTATGTCCTGAATTAGTTTTTAAAAAAACTTATTTTATAATCACTTTGAAATCATTCTATTCTCTGTAATTCTTGGGGGTGTCAGTTTGAAAACTGTGAGATCTTAATGGCTCTTTCATGGTGAATTGTTACCTTTTTATTTTATAATTTAGGATTATAAACTCATTTATCATTGAGAAAATGGCTCAAGGGGAGTTCCACAATTGTTTCCAACAGCAACATCAGGGATTTCACTGCTCAGGGATATATTTTATGATACTATCTCAGCTTGGGAGGTGTCTCAGCCATCCAGTAGTTTAAATGCCAACCAAAACACACAAGTTTATGGGCAAGGGCATGGTTCCAGATTCTCAAGAAGGTTTTTTTAAAAATAGAATATTGAGTTTGATGCAGTGGCGTCAGGAGCAGGACGACTCTTTGCCATTCAGATCATGGGGAAAGCAGTGGGAATCCAAGTGAGGAGCAGCCAGAGGACAACAGAGGAGAGGATGGGAGGCTGATGACCTGGGCCCTGGGCGTGTGGAGGCTGTGACTCTTCTCTAGCTAGAGGACTCTTCTTTTGTGGGAAGGATAGCATCTTCTGAGGACCCTTGCTATGTGAGCAGGCTGACATAGGTGGTGATGAGGTCTGTTCCTTTCTAGGTTCCTGTAGAGATCTGTAGGTAGCTGTTCACTAGGGAGTTAACTAAGAAAGAGAACAAAAACTATTCATTTGGATCCAAGGTCCATCACCGCTGGTAGCTGTGGTGGCTTTGGATTGTCGGACGACCATCAGCTTCAGCAGGTCTGCACTAGGGAACAATCATTCTTCCCTAGCCCAAGCGTGCCTCTGCCCTCTGTATCGTTGACAGAGGCTGCATGTTTGGCAAGAGAACATAGTGACTGCTGAACTGAAAGTTGACTCTAACTCTCGCTACCAAGTTTTTCCCTGACACAGTGAAAGAGTATTAAGACATCAGCCTAGGACACCTTGAGAACCAAGGACAAGATGGACAGGGCCAAGTAACTGGGCTTCAACCATGACTGGGACTAAGAATAAGACAAGAGGCCAGGCCAAAGCGGAAAAGAGTCTGCTATACAAGCTAAAGCTGGAGAAGAGAGGGAGGCTACGGGTGTGGTTAGGCCTGTAGCCAATACCTGGGCCAAAGCAAAAGACAAGCCAGGGTCTCTGACAGATGCAGTGGCAGAGATGAAGGCAGTGTCTAAGAACAAGGTCGGTGCTGAGATGAAGGAAGGAGCCCCTGTCAGAGCCTAAGGCTCTGGGCAAAGCCACTGGAGATTTCAGTCCCGAGGCTGGGAATGAGTCCACCAGCTCCACATGTAAAAATGGGGCTGGTATTGATGCCTGGGTCTGGGCTGAGGAAGAGGCCACTATCAATTCCTGGTTCTGAAATGGAGAAGAGGCTGGTAATCATTCCGGTGCTAAGAATGATAAACCTGAAATTGGTGCCCAGGTCTGTGCTGAGGAGTTGGAGCCTGTGACTGGGGCCAGTTGCAAACCTAGGTCTGGGGCTGAGGAAGAGGAGGAAGAGAATGTCATTGGGAACTGGTTTTGGGAAGGAGATGATGCTAGTTTTGACCCTAATCCTCAATCTGTGAGTAGGATAGTTAGATCTCAGCCTGTGGATGAAATTAATGGAAAAAAAAAATAGGCCCAAGGACTGGTCTGAGGTAACTATCTGGCCCAAAGCCCCTGCTGTAACTCCAGCAGTATTCGGATTAGATCCCAGGCATCTAAGGCAAGCCCTCCTTCATATATTGTTTTGGCCTCAGCTGAAGAAAATGCCTATTCTTTGCCTGTGGCAACAGCCTGCCCTTGTAGGAACACTAACTCATGCTCACAGCCCATCCCTGAGTGTCCTTTTGGTTCCGACCCTTGCATCCAGACCATAGATGAGATTAGACACCAAATCAGGATTAGGGAGGTAAATGGGATTAAGCCATTTGCTTACTCTTGCAAAATGGAATGCTATGTGGACTCTGAGGAATTTGAACAACTTGTTAACTTACTTAAGTCAACTACTGATCCTCTTGTTCATAAAAGAGCACAGATTGCAATGGGTATCCATAACGTTCACCCATTTGCCCAAGAGTTTATTAATGAAATGGTATAATGATGCTTATTGAAAGCTTGCTCAGTTTTCCTTCCCCAGAAATGAGAAAATTACTAATTTTCTTATGAGTAATTACTCTGAATCCTCCTTCTGGGGATGAAAGACAATGCAAAATTGAATTACATGTTAAGCATATGTGTAAAGACACCATGTCATTTCCTTTGAACTCACCTGGACAGCAATCTGGATCAAAGATACTAGGGCAACTGACTACTGATTTTGTCCATCACTACATTGTTGCCGGTGACTTTTCAGAGCTTTTTCATTTGCCATCCTTGAGAAAGTACAAAACCAGACATCTTGTTTTGAAAGTAATTTTAAATATATCTGAAAATCCAACTGCAGCCAGAGACATGATCAATATGAAGGCACTGGCAGCATCAAAACTCATCTTTAACCATAAAGAGGCAAAAGCCAGTCTTGTTAGTGGTGTGGCCATATTTATTAACATAAAGGAGCATATCAGAAAGGGCTCAATTGTAGTTGTTGATCACTTGAGTTATAATACACTCATGGGCATTCTCAGGGAAGTTAAAGGGATTATTGAAGCAATGTAAAATGAGCCAGAGATAGAACACTTTGAACCATCTCCAAACTCTAGCAGGCTGTACATTCCCAAAGAGCCTTGTATCATATTTGGTTATTATGGTGTACAAGTTATACATTGCATCTTTAACACATAGTTACCTGTGACAAGCTCTAGGTTTGAGCTAAACTATTTTGGGGGTATCAGATGAATATCATATCACTGGCTGAAAATGTTTGTTGATTTTTTTCTTGTTTAGATTGGCATATTTTTTACATTTTATTTAAGAAAGCGAACGAGTTCGTTGTAAGTGAGCTAACTTGTTCATTAGTATCTCCTTAGATCCATCTGTGGCTTAAAATGGCAAAAAAGAAAACATCCTTGAATTTGAAATCTAGTTATAGAAGTAAGGCATACACACACACAAAGATAACTAACAGTACCTAGAGAGAGAGTGAGTGTGTGTGTGTGTGAGTGTGCACGTGTATACCCATGACCAAATGTGCACTCTCTACATAAAGGAGGCAGGGGTTGCTATAGGCTGTTTAATGTAAGAGAAACTACTCTTTTTCTCCTATTCCAGCCGTATCAGATACTCATTCCACAACACAGAAAGATCCAGAATTTCAGACAAATGCATTATTTGTTCAATTTTAATTTTGCTTCTACATTTATAACTCTTAAATTGTCAGGCTGTTTCATTTATGTCAAAGTCATCTCACAAAAGAGAAGGTGGAAACATTTTGTGAGTGCCTATTCTATGTCAGACACTAAGTTGGCACCATATTTTGCAAGTTTATTTTTTTCCTGTACTCACAGTGATCCTGTAAACTAGGTACTCGTGTTTTTATTAGAACTCATTAGTCTGGGTACCCTCCAATGAGAATTAGAGAGGGTAAGTACTTTTTCCTAGATTCCCACAGCAGGCAGGTGGCATAGCTGTTTTATCTGACACCAGAACCCATCTCACCATACTCCTTTACAGTTCCCCTGAAGGACATTTTGAGGCGACGGCCTTCAAAGCTCAGAGACTGGTTTTAATGTTTAATTTTGCATGCCAGGTTACAATTCTTAACTTCCTCCACATGCATGTGTCCATCAGACATTTGACTGCATCTGGCTGGAGGTCAGCTGAAAAGTCTGAGATGAGTAGATGGATTTTATCTGGCAGTGTCAGAAAAATAGTAGGTGCCCCAAACTTTGTTCAGTGAGTAAGATGGAGATTTGGAGTCATCAGCAAGGGGAACTTGTTAGATGTCCTTTGCATCTTTTTCTACCCATTTGTACTTTATCTTCCCCAAAGAGCTGAAATCATCCTGTACATTGTTTTATATCCTGAATTAAAAAGGTAATTGCTTTTGGCCGGGCGCGGTGGCTCAAGCCTGTAATCCTAGCACTTTGGGAAGCCGAGGCGGGTGGATCACGAGGTCAGGAGATCGAGACCATCCTGGCTAACATGGTGAAACCCCGTCTCTACTAAAAATACAAAAAATTAGCCGGGTGTGGTGGCGGGCGCCTGTAGTCCCAGCTACTCAGGAGGCTGAGGCAGGAGAATGGCGTGAACCCGGGAGGCGGAGCTTGCAGTGGGCGGAGATCGCGCCACTGCACTCCAGCCTGGGCGACAGAGCGAGACTCCGTCTCAAAAAACAAACCAAAAAGAAAAAGGTAATTGCTTTTTTCCTCCTTGCAAAATCATGCCTTAATTTTTTTTATCATTTGTGATTTATTCTCCTATGTGTCCTATGAAAGGCCAAAGGGCTTTATCTTTTACTAGTAGGCAAGCCTGGGCATTTCTGCATTTGTACCGGCTAACACGACAGAATAAATGTAATCGGAGAAATTTAGATCCAGAATTGCAGCTTCAACAATACAAAACAGCAAAGCTACAAGAGGCTGCTGTGCCAATCTACAAGACAGTGATTCTTAGTCGTTGGTATGGACCAGAAAGCATGCCCAGGACGTTTAGGTTATGGCTGAATTCTCTAAGACTCATGGTGGGAATTGTAATCCCTAGTCTGAGCTGAAACGGAAGTTTCTATGTGTGAAAATATGGGGTAATATGCTTTGAGGTTTTCTGACAGTTAAGAAACTAAGACAAGATCATACTGTAAATATGTATGGAACTTGCTTCCCCCCAGTTGTGTATTGTAAACATCTTTGCATGTCAATAAATATGCCTCTATAACAACAACAACAACAAAATAGAATATATACAAGGGGTATGCAAACTTTGGTCAGTGGGAAGATCTTTGCTGACTCACATTTTCATTAAGTGTATAGCACTTTGACATCCCTCATTTTGTAGCAATATCTTAATTCCAACTCTTCCTGTCACATGTGCTGACATCTCTTCTTACCTCGTGTCAGCATTAAAATCCAAACTCTCAGCATCCTGAGGCTGGCGATTCCTTCCCCATGATCATCTTTCTACTTCTTGAGCATTCACAGAGCTTGTTACTCTGTTTTCAGTTCTTTCATAATATCTGGGGAGTTCCTGGATTTCTAGAGAGTTCAGGTATTCATTTGAAATAATTGTTATGTTTTATCTAACATTTATCAGTGGTCATAGTGGGAAGGTTTGGGGATTATGTAGACTTCCAGGAAGTCTTCATCTTTCAGTTCCTAGATTATTCATTGCCCAGATATTTATTGTCTTGGGGACTATATTGGGTATTGAAGAGAGCTGGTAAAAAATACAGATAGAGAGAGATAGATAGAGATAGAGATAGATCCTACACTATTAACTTTACAATAAAATTAGACATCAGTTTCTCCAGGAGGCTTTCTCTAACTTTTCTCAAATCTCAAAATTAGCTATTATACGTAGCTAACTCACTGTATATTTCCTCATTCTGTCATTCTTTTTTTTGTTTGTTTTTTGTTTGTTTGTTTTTTGAGACAGAGTTTCGCTCTTGTTGCCTAGGCTGGAGTGTAATGGCGCAGTCTCGGCTCACTGTAACCTCTCCCTCCTGGGTCCAGGCGATTCTCCTGTCTCAGCCTTCCAAGTAGCTGAGATTACAGGCGCCCACCACCACTTCCTGCTAATTTTTGTATTTTTAGTAGAGATGGGGTTTCATCGTGTTGGCCAGGCTGGTCTCAAACGCTTGACCTCAGGTGATCTGCCCGCCTTGGCGTCCCAAAGTGCTGGGATTACAGGCGTGAGCCACTGCTCCCGGCCTCATTCTATCATTCTATCACACTATTTTAATTATATATTAATTTGTCTGTATCATCTTCAAGATTATAAGTTCTGAGAAAATGGTAAAGCATGTCCTTCTGATTCGTTATTCCACAGTGTCTTGCACAAAGTCCACCACATTGCAGAAACAAGATTATTATTGCTGAACACAGTTGCTTCAGAAAGTACTTGAGAATTTTCAGTATCTTTTAAGAAAATTCAATTGGCCTGTTTTTCCCAACATTCATGCACTATCGACCCTTCCTTTTTCTTAAGTTTGTTCTTCTCTGTATGTAAATTATCTCAAGCCTCCTGTATCCTTAAAAACAAAGAAAAAAAGGAAACAGTAATACCTTCCCTAGTTTCCTGGATCTAAGGATTGTATTCTGTATCTCCTTCTGTCAAATATTACACAGTTTACCATTCCTGCATTTATAAGCTCTTTTAAAAGCCAGCCAAAGCAATCCTGGTGCTTCCCAGATGCCAGTTCCACAGGAATATTGGTCCCCCATGAGGCAATTTGCTAAAGCACTCTGGCTCTTTCCTGATGTCTGCACTTATGACTCATGGCTGATTTGATTACTTCCCGGTGACTCCCTGAATCCTTTGCTTGTTTCTATACTTCAACGCTAGTTCAATTTTCTTACATTAATTATGTTTTAAGCATTAATTATGTTTTAGGCTTGATTCAAGTCTTATGCTGCATCCCACACTTTTTAAAAAATTAAAAAACAAAACATTTTTATTGCATCCCATGCTTTTAATTGACAGCTCAATTCACCTGGGATTTCTCCATCAGGTCACGCAGCTCTGAAAGCTCTCTATTGCCCCCTTCTGGTAGCTGGCAGACTAGCTCCTCAATTAGCTTACATCGTCAATGCTAACCTTGTTGCTTGATGTTGCTATGCCTCAGATACTAGTATCTTCCTTTCTTTCCTATATTCTTCACTGCCGCTGTTTCTTCATCATCTATTTATTCCTCATTCCTTTCAGACTGACTTCTGCTGCCTCCAGCCTTCTACCAAAACTTGCCATCCCATTGATACAAGGCCCTCTCAAGTCTTCTGGATGATCTCTGTATATGAAAATATTGCCCTTCCCTTTCCTACTTCGCCCCAACACTTTATTCTAAGAACTTGAAATTCTATTAGAAATTATCTACTCTAGGAGTCTTCAAATTTGACAACAGATTAAAATTGCCAGGACAACTTAAAAATACTGTTTCCTGGGCCCCCTTCCTGAAAATTCTCACCTTTTAGGTCTGAAGTAGAGGTCTCTTTTGACCTATTGTCATCATTAAAATCCCAACTCCCATTTGAACTTTAATTTAAATGTATTTATTCAGTTAGGTAAATCATGCATTGGGTAAAAATTTAAACAATACTTAAATCCACCCTTCCTGTATAAGTGTTCTTACAAGCTATAGAGAAATACCTGAGACTGGGTAATTGATAAAGAAAAGAGGTGTATTTGGCACAGAGTTATGCAACCTGTACAGGAAGCATGATGCTGGCATCTACTTGGCTTCTGGGGAAGCCTCAGGAAACTTACAATTATGGCAGAAGGTGAAGGGGAAGTAGGTGTGGAGGAAGGGGGTGGGGAAGTGCCACACACTTTTAAATGACCAGATCTCATGAGAGCTCACTCACTATCATGAGAACAGCACGGCAGGGGAGATCTACCCACCATGATCTAATCACCTCCCACCAGGCCCCACCTCCAACATTGAGGATTACAATTTGACCTGAGATTTGGACAGGGACACAGATCCAAACCATATCACTTCCCCTTAGTTTCCTTACATTTCCTCTCCTAAGGCAATCCTTGTTAACAGTTTCTTAAGGATCCATGTAGGCACAAATTCCATATTCTAAAGACATGTCTCAACTGATTTGGATGCATTTGGTCCACTAAGCTTGAGGAGCCTCTGATTTAATTCACCCCTCTCATCTTCCTTGAAATTCTTTCATCCTTCAACATCCTTTATGCTGATTGTCGAACATCTCTGATAGTTTGATTCTGTCTTCTTGGTCCACACCTCCTACTTTTTCTGACTGTTTAATGTGGGCATTCCCCCAAACTACTCCCCTTGATCTTCTTTTCTGTCTATATTTTCTTTCTTGACACATCTCTCCAGACCTATGAGTCACTCACAGAATATACTCATATCACTTGCGCCAACATCTCAAGCTAGCCACACACCAGTATTTTTTCTACCAGTTAGACATTTCTGTCTAGTTGTCTGGGAGCACCTCAAATTCAGCACCCAAAATGAACTTACCTTTCTGTTAACAAAACTACTTATGCTTCTCTTTTCCCCATTGTCCTTACTTCTGTTATCATTGACTCTTCCTCTGCCTCTTTTATGTTAATTGCACCTTGAAATGACCCACACTTCTTTTCCCTCCACTTCAGTTTCGTTTGTTACAGCATTTTTTACACTAGCTTCACTTGTGGTTACCACTTCCCTGCCCACTGCTCATAAGCCCCTTGAGGATTCTTCAGGGCAGCAACTATATTTTCTTTATTTCTATGTTCTCGGCACCTCACTCATTCTCTCATAGTAGGTGTTCCATGGATATGTTGGGTCAATGAATATCCGTTAAAGCTCAAATTTTTAACATGGCAGTCGACATCTTCCATTTCTGATTTACCAACCTCTTTAATTTAGATAACTTAATTTACGCCTTGCCACAACCAAACTGAACTATTCACAGCTCTCCTGAATGCACATTGCAATCTTCCTTTTGCACTTCTTTGTTTATGCTTTTCTTTCTGCTTGAAATTCCCATCTGTTCCCTGCCTATCAAAATCCTACAAATCCTTCAAGTCTCAGATCAAATGCCTTATTCTTCCCAAAGCCTTCCCAAATCCTTAAGTCCTGGGTTCCCACAGCGTGTGGATTGCATTTTAGTCTCACTTCTATTCGACTAAATTTATAAAATCATCGGATTTTAGTTGTGGAAGACACTTTAGAGGTTTGGATTTTAGTTGTGGAAGACACTTTAGAGGTTACCTAAGACAACCCTGTATTTTACAGCTAAGGGAACTGAGACCCAGAAAGAGTAAATGTCTTGCTCAAGATTAAATATCAGCCAGCGACCAACGGAGCCAGACCTAGAACCCAACTCTCCTGAATTGTTTTCCAGAGCTATGCTGCCTATGCAATTGTTTTAGCTTCTCTTCCGGACCATTAGTGCCAAAAGTCAAGGATTAAATTTTATTCAGCTTTAATTCCTTATAATATCCAATATAGCACCTTTCATATAGTAGGTTCACAAAAGCTATACTGGATTGAAATGAACATTTAACGTACTGGTTAATAGATATTTTTAGCCAGAGTTCCCTGGAAAACAGAGTGTGAGGCAGAGATTACTTGCTGATGTGAGAGTAAGGAGAAAGAAAAGGCAGGAAGGGCTAAGGGACAATGCAGTGACTACTGCTTCCCAGCGAACCTGGAAACCCAGCAGGGAATGTGGCAAGTGGTCTGTACATCCAAGCAAGGTATCTGTGGCCAGGCTGTATGGACCTATGCCTTGGGGCAGCTCATAATAAGCAACTTACTGTCCCCATATCGTCTCATATCTTTTTTCCCACCGATCAAAGTTACTCCCCTGCACTTCCAGTTCTGTCATCTGGCCCCTTTGATGGCTCTTTGGAAAGCCAGATTCCATGCCCTGCGGGAAGGTTCCTCGGTTGAGTCCAGAGTGGAAGAGGATGCAAATAAGATATGTCCAATAAAAAAAGCTTTGAACCTACACCTGTTACTTAACCCTGTTACTTGAGATTGTTCCTATTTTGGTTTTTGAAATCCATTGATGTTGGAAACACAAAACTGGTGATGGCTTTCTTTAAGAGACAGGCTGAAACAGAATTTTTTTTTTTTACACGGAGTTTCGCTCTTGTTGCCCAGGCTGGAGCGCAATGGCACAGTCTCGGCTTACCGCAACCTCCGCCTCCTGGGTTCAAGCGATTCTCCTGCCTCAGCCTTCCCAGTAGCTGGGATTACAGGTGCCCACCACCACTCCTGGCTAATTTTTATATCGTTAGTAGAGACGGGGTTTCACCATGTTGGCCAGGCTGGTCTCGAACTCCTGACCTCAGGTGATCCACCCACCTCGGCCTCACAAAATGCTGAGATTACAGGCATGAGCCACTGCGCCTGGCTGAAACAGATAATTTTTAAATGTTTTGTGCAAGTTAACAGTGACATTCATGAAGAGAATGATTAAAGTACAGCTTGAATAAGTTCTGATTTTTCTCTCTTAAGAATTATGTGCAAATCCATATGTGACTTTTAAAAATCATCAGATTTCAATGTTTTCTCATATGATGTTATGATTCTACATTAAAAGAACTATAAACTCTTCTAATTAAATTACTCAAGATAGTGCAAAAGAATCCATGACTCTTTGTCCTCAGATATAACTCGTACCCTAAATGCAAGTTGTTTACCAGTGCACATGACAAAAAACACCTAAGTAGGGGGAAGAATTCTTTCTTTCAGACAAGTGGTTTTACCTACTTAAAAAAAAGCCTTGAAAACTTGGACACCCTTCAAGAGCCTCTGAATATTTTTCTTCAGCAGAAATTCCAGCCCAGATGTTCAATAACTCAGGTTTGTTTTAAAAGAGGAAATAGAGAGACAAATTTTTGTGAAGGGCAAAATTTGAAAGCAATTAATGGTGACATGTCCCAGAATTTTGCTTCATTTTATTATTAACGCAACCATTCTTTCCAAATTTTATTGTCAGATATTGGAGAAGAGAGAGGAAAAAAGTCTGGGAATTGGAGATAAAATTCAACATTGAAGGAGACATTTTAAATCCCAGTCAAGAGGAAAGAAAGAGTTGATGGCTAAGCTGACTGCCAAAAGACATTGTAAAGTTACCAGATAACAACAAGTGATAATAGAAGGGCCTAGGGAAGTTCTGCTCATAGACTTCAAACTTGGAAAGGTGTCCTGCAGACCAAAACCTGCTGACCTAGCAGTGGCAAAGTTGCCTTAAATGAATTCACACCGACAAGCCTGGAGGGATTGTCTCTTGATGCTAAAGTGATTCGGTCATACATATCTGAGGGCACTAGGTGAAATTTCTGGAGAATCTTGGAAAATAAGTGTGGGACCAGAAAGATAGAATCACTTTGTTCTGGTTTACTTTAAAAGGATAAAAGGTGCTTTTCATTTGCTGGATCACTTAAATGCTCTAAGTCTCTGGTTCTCCTATAAACTGGGGACTATTTACTAGCCCCATTTATTTACCAGAATTGTTTTGATAATTTAAAAAAAAGATATGCAAGCTAATCATAAATTCTAAATCAATATAAAAATGGGCTGGGCGTGGTGGCTCACGCCTGTAATCCCAGCACTTTGGGAGGCCGAGGCGGGCAGATCACGAGGTCAAGAGATCAAAACCATCCTGGCCAACATGGTGAAACCCTGTCTCTACTAAAAATACAAAAATTAGCTGGGCATGGTGGCACATGCCAGTAGTCCTAGCTACTTGGGAGGCTGAGTCAGGAGAATCCCTTGAACCCAGGAGGCAGAGGTTGCAGTGAGTCGAGATCATGCCACTGCACAGAGAGACTGGCGACAGAGAGACTCTATCTCAAAAAAAAAAAAAAAAAAAATAAGCTAGTGAGTGACTATTTAAGTCTCCTTCTTCTTTCCATTTTCATTGCACTTTACACATACTACTGTTGTAGATCTTACTGTGTTGCATGATGGAGAGGTTTATGTCCAGTTTCCCAACTGGAATGTGAGATACTCAAGAGGACAGACGTCAACTTATTTTTCATATGACCCCCCCAAACCCAAAACAAGGATTAGCATTTAATGAGTGCTTAACAAATGCTTGCTGAATGCAGCAAGATTAAAAAATAATCTCAGCAGACTGTGCTGCAAAACAGAATTGCAAGATGATAACCTAACTAAGATAAATATAAACCCTACATTTGACTCTAAATAATAAATTGCACAATTATTGGATTGTAAAGTCCTAGTCCAGAGGTCATGGTAAAAACATCTGGGAGCTGCAGTTAACTATAAAAACAGGAAAGAGACCGATGAAGCTTCTAAAAATATTAACTTATTAATACTAGCATAGAATCATGGGAAATGATGGGAACCAAGAGAAATGATAGTCTCACTGCGTTCCTTGTGGGTCGAATCACATTTTAAGAGGAATTGATAAACTAGAGTAAATTCAGGTGACTCCATCTAATAGGATAGACAGTACCCCATGCTATACCAAAACGAGTTAAAAGAGCTCAAGTAGGGCTCTGGGGAAGAGAAAAATAAAA
Organism: Homo sapiens; assembly: GCF_000001405.40. Classification (NCBI taxonomy): domain Eukaryota; kingdom Metazoa; phylum Chordata; class Mammalia; order Primates; family Hominidae; genus Homo; species Homo sapiens. The sequence continues at coordinate 80,993,090 of NC_000014.9, forward strand.
TATAGATTTGAGCTGTCTTCAGTTATTTGAAGGAGATCCAGTGTTGTCCCAGTAGGCAAAACTTAGACCAAAAAAATTGTACTCCCAAATTTGATTATCACATATCAGATTTGGATTCAGTAAGAAGAACTGTTCTAAAGATCACAGCTGTTCAACAATGGAATGGACTCCTCTGGACGGTAGAGAGATTGTGTCACACAATACCTGGGGCTTAGACATTTCTTGTAATCCTGTCTGTACTTAGCATAGCTCTGGACACACAATCCATAGTCACTAAATATTTTTTCACAGATTGATACTAGGGAAAATAATAATATTTAACTATGAGTATATGCCTACTCTGCCCAGTAATGTTTAGTATTGAACCAGAGATCTAGATTAGTGATCTCCAGATTTAATTCATTATATACTCCTATCAGTAAAGTTTTTGAACAGGTACTCCTAATATATACATTTATTTATAAATTCTATACTATACTACTCTACTAATCGTCATATCAAATACATGTTTATAAAACAAAAATAATGTAAGGGCAAAAATATGAGATAAAGAAAAATAAATGTTAATGTGTTTTCTTTCTGCACACCAATGGATCATCATGGCCACCCCACTTTGCAGAGAACTGGTCTATAATTAAGGGACTTAACATCTGCCTCAAATACCTGGATATTTTAGGCCCTTCTGAGTCTGAATGATCTACATATCAATCTTAATTTTTTCATTTCTCTTTTCCCATGTAGACAAAAACAGGATTAAAAAAAAAAAGGTTAAGCGATGTTCTACCATTTCTATACAGTTGACCCTTGAGCAACACAAGTTTGAACTTCACAGGTCCACTTATATGAGGATTTTTTTTCAATAAAAGTAACACTGAGTATGCTGCCTCTTCTGCATCCCCTTGCACATCCTCCATCTCTTCCATCTCTGACACAGTGAGACAGCAAGACCAACCCCTCCTCTTCCTTTTCCTCCTTCTTCAACATGAAGATAACAAGGATGGGGACCTTTATGATGAGTCACTTCCACTTAATGAATAGTAAATATAGTTTCTCTTCCTTATGATTTTCTTAATAACGTTTTCTTTTTTTTTCTAGCTTACTTTATTGTAAAAGTACAGTTTGCAATATATATGCAAAAAAAGTCTTCACTGACTGTTTATGTTATCAGTAAGGTCTCTAGTCAGCAGTAGGCTATTAGTAATCATTTTAAAAAGCCACTTATAGATTCAATGCTATTCCCATTAAACTACCTTTGACATTCTTCACAGAACTAGTGAAAAAAAAAACTATTTAAAAATTTATATGAAACCATAGAAGAGACCAAATAGCCAAGGCAATCCTAAGCAAAAAGAACAAAGCTGGAAGCATCACGCTACCCAACTTCAAACTATACTACAGGGTTACAGTAACCAAAACAGCCTGATACTCGTACAAGAACCAACACATAGACCAATGGAACAGAATAAAGAACCTAGAAATAAGACCACACACATACAACTATTTGATCTTTGACAAACCAAGCAAAAGCAAGCAATGAAGAAAGGATTCCCTGTTCAATAAATGGTGCTGAGATATCTGGCTAGCCATATGCAGAAGATTGAAACTGAACCCTCTCCTTACACCATATACAAAAATTAACTCAAGATGGATTAAAGACTTAAATGTAAAACCCAAAACTGTAAAAACCTTGGAAGACAACCTAGCCAGTACCATTCAGGACGTAGGCACGGGCAAAGATTTCATGACAAACATGCCAAAAGCAATTGCAACAAAAGAGAAAATTGACAAATAGAATCTAATTAAACTAATGTGCTTCAATTTACTTTGTTGAGAGTATAAAAAACACTATCAACAGAGTAAACAGGCAACCTACAGAATGGGAGAAAAAATTCGCAAACTATGCATCTGACAAAGATCTAATATCCAGCATATATAATGGACTTAAATTTACAAAGAAAAAATAAATAACCCCATTAAAAGGTGGGCAAAGGACACGAAGACATACATGTGGCCAAAAATCACATGAAAAAAGGTGCCATATCACTGATTATTGGAGAAATGCAAATCAAAACCACAATGAGGTACCATCTCATGCCAGTCAGAATGGCTATTAAAAGTTAAAAGAAATGCTTTTACCCTGTTGGGAGTGTAAATTAATGCAGCCATTGTGGAAGACAACGTGGTGATTCCTCAAAGACCTAAAGACAGAAATACCATTCAACCCAGCAATCCCATTACTGGATATATACCCACAGGAATATAAATAATTCTATTATAAAGACACATGTGTATGTTTATTTCAGCACTATTCAGAATAGCAAAGACATGGAGTCAACCTAAATGTCCATCAGTGATAGACTGGATTAGGAAAATGTGGTACATATACACTATGGAATACTATGCAGCCATAAAAAAGAATGAGATCATGTTCTTTGCAGGGACATGGATGGAGCTGGAGGTCATTATCCTCAGCAAACCAACACAGGAACAGAAAATCAAATCCCATATATTCTCACTTATAAGTGGGAGTTAAATTATGAGAACACATGGGTGCATAGAGGGAACAGTACACATTGGGGCATTTTAGAGGCTGGGGGATGGGAGGAGGGAGAGGATTAGGAAAAACGACTAATGGGTACTAGGCTTCATACCTGGGTGATGAAATAATCTGTACAACAAACTCCCATGACACAAGTTTACCTGTGTAACAAACCTGCACTTGTACCCCTGAACTTAAAATAAAAGTTAAAAAAAAAAAAAAGAATAAAGGGTAGCAAACACACCTTCTTGCTACAAAAGAAAAAAACAGTAGGCTATTGGTAGTTAAGTTTTGGGGTAGTCAAAAGTTATGTGCAAATTTTTGATTATGCCATTGTCGACACTCCTAAACCCCTCCATTGTCAAGGGTGAACTGTATCTGTTTTTGTAAGTCTTTTATGAAAATATTTTTAAATGTCAGTTTTTTGTTGACCCTGCATGATTGTGATAGAATTTTTCTACCTCGTGTCTCCAAAACAGATGTTGTTCCCTTATAATTATAATACATTTTACAAAATCGCAACTGCAGAGTGTTTTGTTGAAGTGATCATCTTAAATGAATGCATGAGCCGTAACCGGATCAATCATTCTTACTCCTGTCAAGCTTTCAATTACATTCCAGAGTCCCAGCACAAACCTAGCAGCTTGTTGGAACATCTAGATGCCCTTTGCTTCTACATCCTCCCTCTTTCCTCCCAGATTTGGATTACCTTTAAATGAGCTATTATCTGATATGATGCCACAGTTTCCATGATTCGTATTCATTTTTTTAAAACTTTCGTCTATGATCTAGTAAGTGACGATGACTGGTTTATTGCAAAATTTTCTGAATCACTTTGCTCTGTCAGATTAAGCTTTCAGCTAACCAGCAGAGGGAGCACAAAGAGACACACTGGTTTCATCTCAGTGTACAGGGAGTCTAGTTACTAAGTGGACGAAGAACTCCCGCACATTGAGATCTGGTCCTCAACTGGCAAGAAGCACTGTTCGAGCAATCAGGAAAATCTGGGCTTTAAGCAGTGGCACCACTACGAATTTATTCTCTTGCCTAAGATTACTTGGAATTCCTATAGTAGTGGGGGAGGGGGGACTCTCTTTTGTACTAGTTCCTCCTTAAATTTTAAAGAAATTGAGCCCGTGGACTGAGGTGGGTGCGGATGGTGGGATGCAGAGGAAACAAAAATTTCTTCTCATCTAGCTTCCACTCCAAATCTGTTTCTCCCAGAGAAAATACAAGACTTAGGAGTGCTGTATGAAGTCTCTTGCTGCTCTATTCTCTAGGAAACCTAATATGAAATCATTAAGCTACTGAATGTCAGTTTCTTCAACAGTAAAGAAGACACATTATTATTGCTGTTATTATTACTACTACTACTACCACCACCACCACTACCACCATTACTATCCATTTAGTGACTTCTGTTTTCTCTACTTAATCTCACTTATTCAGCATATCAGCCCTAAGAGGCAGATTTTATTGCTCCCATTTTACAGAAGAGGAACTGGAGGCTTAAAGAAGTTGAAGAACTCAACCAACGTCAAGCAACTAGAAAGGAAACTGGAAGAAGGTGTCTCTGATTCCAAAGCTCCATGCTTTTCATCTGTGTTGGTAATAAAAAGAATAATACCATATCACAGTTATATTGTACATTACAAAGCACTTTAACCTTTATCATCCCCACCTCGGGATAATTCTGTGAGCTAAACACGGACAAATAGTAACATTCACCCCTCCCTATCTCTCTTTACCTCTTTAGCTCCTATTTTTAAAAAACAAGCAATTAAGGGAACTAAAGCTTACAAAATGTAAAGGATTTTTCTAAGGTCACATAGATGAAAAATGGATTTGGGATTAAATGGGTTTTATTCCTGTAGTTGCCACATCACACTGCTTTGCCACATAGAGAGGAAGAGACCCAGCTTTGCCTCCAACTAGCTCTTTTACCCTAAAATGATCATTTAAACCCTGGAGTTCTTGCATATATAAAATAGATGGGAGTAACAATAATAATTAATACTTATGTTAACAACCTCACGGTATTCACAAAGATCAAATGAAATACGGAGATAGTTATGAAATAAGTAAATAATATACAGACAAATATAGTTCTATTGTAAGATTATCCTGGGTGTTGAAACTAGGTTATGTCTGACTTCTGGCAAAATTACAGGACAGGGCAGGTTAGTGTCTAATCTGCCTACTTCCCAATCCCCAGGTAGCTGTCGCCTGAAAAGGCATCGGAAGATACTTAAGAGATAGGAGATTGTTCATATTTACTTAATTTTTTGGATGAGACTGTTTGTCTGAACTGTCTCATGAGATGGTATTTACCTACTTGGGAAGCTCATTCTCTCATTTGGGACTTGGAAGCATTCTCATTGTACAACAGTGAGAGCTGGAATGCCATTACATCATTATGAACCACCCAGTGCCCATTTGATATAGTTAATAACAAGGATTAATGAAGTAATTTAAAAGGAAGAAATAGAATCCTTGCCTTGATCCAAGACAAAAGGACAAAAAAAATTTCTTTCTGAAATTTGAGGGAAAAAATATTGGTTGCTTCTATTCTTTTAAGAAACTGCCTGAGAAAAGTCACAGTGTGTGTGTTATGTGGGAAATAAGAGTATTGGGGCAGGCAATCATTCATATGTTAGATTTCTTTGTTCAGATCAATATTGTTTGAGTGCTAACACTGTGGTAGGTGCTGGAAATCGAATGCTGAACAGAACAGATAAGTTGCCCACACTTTCATGGAATTTGCATTTTAGACAGACAGCCAGCAATGATCAAATAATTACATGTTTGGTGGGTGTTACAAAGGAGAAAAACAGACTTCCATTATGACCTCTTATGTAATCACACTGCAATATCTTGAAATTATTACTTATAAAGATCAAGCAGAAGCTACTGCTGCATACTAGAGAATTTTAAATGATTTCCAACATCGAGAAACTTGAATTTCTTAAGGAGTAGTTATTATAAAAAGAAACTGGAATGGCTAATCTTGGCTGTCTCTCTAAAGCCAATATAAAGAAAATGAGTGATACACAACATTATCTTGACCTCACTGACAACTAGATAGCCTAAGAAACAGTGTGTGCAATAGAGTAGAAGGAAGAATCAAAGGACATATTTTATAAGGATAATGAGTTCTGCTTTCTTTTCCTCTTCTGGGCTATAATAATTTTTGTCTCTTTTGTAATCATACCCTCTTGGAAAGCCACTGGCTTGGACTGATTTATGCCTACTACAGATTTTTCCTTCCAAAAGTACATCTCCATGACTAAGGAAATGGGCTGTCTCAGGTTGGCTGGTTCCATCAAGAACACTTAAAACTTGATTGCACAATTGTAAAACCAACTGGGGTCTTAGCATCAACTTGCATTTTCTCATTGGCATCCAATTTTGAGGATATCATATTGCTTGGAGAAGAAAGAGGCAGTAGTTATTATAATTTCCGTGGACTTACAGAGTTTTAGAGACTTGGATATCGTGTACTTTAACCTCACACCCAGTGTAAGAATCTCCTATACCTGATTCATGATATTCATCTTTTGAATACATAGGGTAAAAAGAGCTTACTATCTCATTTTTGAAGAATTCTGTTATTCTTTTTTATATTGGAGAAAATCTACCACCATTAGTCTTAGATATGTTCACCAGAGCCATCATGGACCAAATCAGAAGTAATCATTTCTACTTAAAGACTTTCCTCCTCTTCACCACTAACAAGTCTTTTCTCTTCTAGGCTAAACATTCCAGGTTTTTCCTCCATTCTGTATACCACATGATCCTCCAAATTGCTCCCATTTTGGATGATGGAGCTTGAGGAGGTGGAAGATCAAAATGTTAGTGTGTGTTATCTAACAGATTTGCTCTTTCTCTCAGTTTTGTAACATTAGCAGGTTTGATCAATATTTCACCTGTGCTGCAATTCACATCGATAATTAAACTATACAGGGTTGCTTTAATTATAAAGCTAAAAGTGGATTTTTTTCCATTAACATTACCAGATAGGATGATTTGCCAACTCGTTCTCTGGGTCTAGAAAATGCCCAATGAAGTCATATTGACTCTAAAATCAAGCTCTGGATGTGAAGATGCTGCCATGCTGTTGAGTCAAAAGAATATATTATTTTTCATTTCTGTTAGACCAGTAATTTTAGTAACTTTGGCAAAAGGAATATAAAAACAAGCAATCTCCAATTTATAGGGCTGCACTGTAGAAGTCATTTGTTTGGAATGTATTTCACATGAGTATTAAATTTTTGGGGAAGACTACCAAATTTTTTTTCTTTTTTTTCTTTTTTTTTTTTTTGAGACAGACTCTTGCTCTGTCACCCAGGCTGGAGTGCAGTGGCATGATCTTGGCTCACTGCAACTTCCACCTCCTGGGTTCAAGCGATTCTCCAGCCTCAGACTCCCGAGTAGCTGGGACTACAGGCGCATGCCACCACACCTGGCTAATTTTTTGTATTTTAGTAGAGACAGGGTTTCACCATGTTGCCCAGGCTGGTCTCGAACTCCTGAGCTCAGGCAATCCGCCCGCCTTGGCCTCTCAAAGTGCTGGGATTACAGGCGTGAGCCACCGCACCCGGCCAAAATTTTTAACTCCTAAGACAACTGACATTGTAAACCAGAATGTCATTTCCGGTTCTTTAACTTAACATGTACCATAAGCACCACGAGAAATATTTTGACATCTAGCACGATGTTTAACAATGTTTTTCTGGATTCGGATGACCAGGATCACTGCTGGGAACACCAGGAATATTTTCATGCTTTTATTCTCTATCCAATTGAGTTAAGGATCCCCGGCCCCACATCTGCTGAATAAAGAAAACTGGGATCCTTGTGGCCTGAATCTGGTGGTGGCTGGGAAGGTTAAGATGCAGTGATAGATGCTACAGAGCTTCTGGAATAAAGCCTGCCTACCACTGGGGTATACTCCTCAGTCTTCATGGGTCGCAGTCAGACTCCCATTCTCTCTTTCCCTCCACGTCAGCCTGATTCATAGCCTCTTCGTACTCATTCTCTCTCTCTCCTCCTATTCTCTCTTCCTCAGGGGTCATGACAAAATCTTCCAGTTTTGTTTCACTTATCCCTTAAGCACTCTCCAATGCTTTAACAGTTTTCTAAGGTTTGTTTTTCCCTTGCTGGGTAGCTAATGAATTAATTAAGAGGGGAATATTGCTAGTTGCAAAAGGGAAGTGGGGTCTATAGAGGATCTCTCCAGTGGCAGCCTCTGTCTCTCAATCTCTCTCCCATTCTGTCTCACTTACAGCTGGCAGGGAGAGGCAGAATCACCTGCAGATGCTGCCTGTGGGCTGAGTAAAATGCACCAACTTTTCAAGGAAAAACAAGGACAGGCGATTCTAGGCCTTAAGGGAAAGATGGTGAGGTAGGTCTGACATCTGGCCTTTGATGAGAACACAGAACAGTACTTCTTTGTGGGAGTTGGGAGTGAGAAGCTGAGAACTAACTTTTATTTTTTTTTAACTCTTAATTGCATTTATTTTATGCTGAATTTATTCCCATGCCGTAAGTTTTTGTTTCTTCAGTTTCTTTTGAGATATCTTTTTTTTCCTTATGTACAACAGAAATATCATATGTTGCAGCAATATCAGCACAAAAGAAACTTACTGAATCCTTACTGAAAAGGAACAGATTGTTCCAGATTACTTCTCTTCAGGTTTAGGAAAAATTTGTTCCTTTTCAGTAAGGATCATCTTGATGTGGCAGGGAGAGTACATGCATGGGTTAATCCGACCATGAGCTCTATAAGGCCAGTAGCAAATCTTAGGTGCTTTATTTACCTGGGTATGCTCAATGACCTGAGAATCTACATCTACACCCTTAAGTTCGGCATTTCTCTCAGCATTTATAAACATGTGCAGCAAAAATTCAGCACTCATTTTGGGCCACCAACCCTGTGTCCAGCCCCACTGCTTGGCCTGGGCACTACCAACTCCCCCATTGTAACGTCAGAATGGTACACACTGTTTCTGTGAAGTGACATCTTTCAGATACTTGGTGGCTTTTCGTACAGGCACACCCTTGTTGGCCTGGGCAGTTTCACGAGTGTTCTTACAGGAAACACAACTATTTGAAATTCTTGATTTGCCTGATTTTGAGGGGTTTTCTGGGTCGAGTGAACAGAAAACTATTTTCACAGATCACCTCAGGCCACTTAGGGGAAGAGCGGGACTAACTTTCTTGATCTTGCTTTTGCCTGCCTTCTCTTTTCACAAAGGAACAGATGTTCCTTTCACCAATCTTTCACCGTCATTCATTTTTCTTCCTCCCCTTCTAAGACACACTTGGCTATTGCAGAAACACAGTTCCTTAAACACAAGTCCAAAATTCAAACAGCTCTGAACATTGAAAGTTTTTGGCAACCTACATTGCAGCAGAATTTGGCCCAAACTGACATGAGGTGATATCATCTTTATTTACTCACATATTTACTATAAAAATATCAATTATCAATGGGATTGTTTTAAAGTACAGCCCCAGTTCCTGCTTGAGTATAATCAAACATATGTATATTACCTTTCTAAAATCTGAAAATTTTTGAATTCTGAAATACATCTGGCCCCAAAAGTTTCTGGGTAAGGGATTATAGCCCTTTATTTCCTGTTTTCCTACATCTTTCTCTTTCCAGCTAAGTGTAAAAGAGTATAGACTCTGGTAACCCAAGCTGAATTCAAATCCTATCTCTAAATATCAGTTGTGTGTGATTTTGCTCTGTTTACTTAACCCGTCTGTGCTTCAGTTTCCCCATTTGTAAAATAGGGATAATAGTATTACCTATCTCAATGTTGTTGTGAAGATTTAATTGAGTTAATCTATGTAAAGTGCTTACAGTAATCTCTAGCACATAGTAAGCACTATAGGTTTGCTATTATCATCAACCTTAATCCTTCACTCTACCCAAAAATATTACCTAATGTCCCAATTATAAAATCCCTGCTCTTCGCCCTATTCCCTCCATAGTTAACCCTCTATCCATTTTCTTCCACTCATGCCATAAACAGAAAACCATTTGTCATTAGTTACCATTGACTACTCTTCAACTGGCTGAAATCTGGTTTGCTATCCTATTTCTCAACTCCATGGTAATTTCTCTCATTAAGGTCCCTAATGCCTCTTTTTTTTTTTTTTTTTTTTTTTTTTATCTTTTTTTTTTTTTTCTTTTTTTATTATTATTATTATACTTTAAGTTTTAGGGTACATGTGCACATTGTGCAGGTTAGTTACATATGTATACATGTGCCATGCTGGTGCGCTGCACCCACTAACGTGTCATCTAGCATTAGGTATATCTCCCAATGCTATCCCTCCCCCCTCCCCCGACCCCACCACAGTCCCCAGAGTGTGATATTCCCCTTCCTGTGTCCATGTGATCTCATTGTTCAATTCCCACCTATGAGTGAGAATATGCGGTGTTTGCTAATGCCTCTTAACTGCCAGTTTAAAAGACTGCTGTTTAGTTTCTTTTGTGCTGTTATTTCTGCAACATATAATATTTCTGTGACAAATAGACTCAGTTCTCCTTCTACTTCATTTTCATTCTACTGCTCCGGTGACTCGCTCATTAAAGGTTGACCTCCCCAGGTGTTTCATCCTTTGTCCTTTTTGTACAGTACACATGCTCCTTAGAAAAATCTCATCCAATTTAAAGTGTCAGCTATCACCTGGATAATAATGACTGCCACATTTTATCATTAGCCCTGACCTCTTCCTTGTGCTTCAGACTACATTTCCTATTTGCCTCCTGTGTCCAGCCCCACCACTTGACCTGGGCACTACCAATTCCCCCATTGTAATGTCAGAATGGTGCACGCTGTTTTTGTGAAGTGACATCTTTCGGATACTTGGTGGCTTTTCATATATGCACACCCTTGATGGCCTGGGCAGTTTCACAAGTGTTCTTAAAGGAAACACAAATATTTGAAACTCTTGATTTGCCTGATTTTGAGGGGTTTTCTGGGTCGAGTGAATAGCAAACCATTTTCACAGATCCATCTCCACTTGGATGACCTGCAAGAATCTCAAATGTAATATATCCCAACAAATTGTATGATCTTCTCCCTGACATCCTGCCCCTAACCCCCATTCCAGCCCCCAAAGTAATCTCACAACATGTATGTTTTTTCATTTTTAATCTCAGCTTTAATGGCTTTGCACACTTCACCTATTAGCTTAGGCCAGAAATGTTGAATCTTCATTCGTCTTTAACTTCCACATTCAATCAGTCACTAAATCCCGCCAATTTGTTTTTAGTAACATCGCCAGAACCTGCCTACTGATTTACTAAGGGCTTGTACTAACTATCATGTAGACCAGTGGCTTGACCTTTTTGCCCATAACCCATGGTATAAAATATATTTTACATTGTGCCCTGGGATATAGACATGTTTATGTACATCTGTGCTCTATTTTATTTCATTTCACTTTTCTAAAATTATGGTTATGATACCCTAAATTGATTTTACAATCTACCAATGGGTTACAATTTGCAGTTTAAAACACCCTGACCTCAAATAATAGCACTTTACTCGTCTCCCCTCTCCCGACCCCGGTGGGTCAATAGATAGCACTTCAGAGGTTGTGTACCAAAACCCTTAAAGGCAGGGATTGTAATCTGCCAAAGAAAATGCTCCCAAGAAGGTGATTCTGATATCTCCTATATGTTCTACTCAGTTATCAAGACAATACTGAATATTTCTTAGACATGTACTATACATAAAGCACACAGCTGTGGCTCAAATAAGCATGGTTCACTGATTTGGCACTCACATTTACATGAACTTGGAACCCTCAAAAGCCCTTAATGCTCCATGTATTTTCACACCTCCATTGACACTGCACATACTATTCCCCTTGCCTGGAGTGTCCTCCATACTCCCTTTCATCAGGCAAATGCCCATCTGTAGCAATGTATACAAAAATCTATTTATTTACCAAAGACAGTTAGGTAGCAGAGGGGTAGTAGTGGTACTGGGCCCAGTTTATGTCCCTCTCCAGTTACTCTGTTTCCTGGTCACAATGGTCCCAGCAACCGCCATGGTCATTGCTGCCAGCTCACTCCACAAAGTCTGTCACAATAGCCTGCCTGCCCCTCACTCTTTGATTTGCTGACTCAGAAATACTGGAAGTCATATTCATGGTTTATTTAAACAAGGAAAAACATATGTATGAGCAGGATGCCCCACAGGTGTTAACAACCACATGGCCTTCTGATTAAGAAAGTTTCCATCCTTGGATACTCATGGTTTTCTCCTCATTTCTCTCCTACCTGGGAAATATAATATGAGGAAGGCACTGTTAGGAATCCCCACCTTAAGGGTGAGGGAACTGGGGCATAAAGAGATTGAGTGATTATTGCAAGGCACTTAACCAATATGCAGCAGAGCCTAGAGTTTGAAAACATCTCTGGAGATGAAAATATGTTCCTTTTCTCTCCTATAATATTTAAGGGAAAAAGACTACAAATCCAATTTGTACTTGTCTATGCACTGGTCCTGTTTCTCCTGCCTTCTCATGAAGGGGACTCAAGCCTTTGTGTGTGTGTGTGTGTGTGTGTGTGTGTGTGTGTGTGTGTGTGCACGCACGCACGTGTATCTCTGTGTGTGTACTCTCAATCAGCACTCTAAAATATATTGGCACTCTGAAATATATGTGTATTTATGCATGTTTTATAGGCACATATTACTGTATAATATACTATGTAAATTATAAAACAAACACACAAAAACATAAATTCAAAAAGCATGAATTTTTAAAATTATAAGAGAAAGTTCTAATATTTTTCTGCACTCCCCAGTATATTACCTTGGATACTGTATTTTGGAGACCTGCCATAAAGTATCATACTTAGTAGAAAAACATATTTTCTTTCATATACAGGAAAAATATTGATCCACAATCAATATTGTTCACAGGGTTGCTTCTCAAGCTGTGGTGTTGTCTGAATGTCATATCCCCCAGGATGCCATTCAAGACAAGCATTTGCAGTTTTGAGATGGCTAATTCTAATTAGGAAAGCAGACTGCCACCACAGGTTATAATCTGACTAATGTGTTCTTGGAACCGCGGAGCTACTGAAGTTTTCGGGTATGACGTCAGTAAGGAGTGATGAAAGGAGGACTGGATTAACAGCAGATAAAAGTTCTAAATAATTTGACCTCTGCTTAAAATAGCGATGGGCCTTGAACAAAACATTTAATAGTAACGGGTCCTTTGATTAAATTGCTTTTGCATGTATTTAATATTAATTCCACTGATATGATACTAACCCTAAGAAATAAGCATGGCTGATACTAGCCCTTAATTTTATATCATAAATGAGCAAAATCTTAAAGAGAGTAAATGACTTGCCCACACAGTAAAAGGCATAACTGGGCTTCACAATGGTATTTTTGACTCATGTATTATCTTACCTTGCTTAACCTCTTTGGGCTTCATGCCTTTAAAATAAACTTTCTGTTTTAGAACAGTTTTAGGTTTTAAAAAAAGTTGTGAAGATGGTCCAGGTAGTTCCCATATACTTTACACGCATTTTCCCCTATGTATTCGCTTGCTAGTGCTGCTGTCACAAAGCCCCACAGACTGGGTGGCTTAAACAACAACAGTTTATTTTCTCTCAGTTCTGGAGGCTATAAGTCCAAGATCAAGGTGTAGACCAAGATCAAGAGGCTTTTCTGGGGCATCTCTCCTTGTCTTGCCCATGGCCTCCTTCTTGCTGTGTTCTCACATGGTTTTGTCTCTGTCCTGATCTCCTCTTCTTATCAAGGACACCAGTCAATTTGGATTAGGGCCCACCCCAATGACCTCATTTTAACTAAACTACCTCTTTCAGGGCCCTATTTCCAAATATAGTCAATTTTTTTTTTTTTAATCTGAGTCTTGCTCTGTCACCAGGCGAGAGCGCAGTGGTGCAATCTTGGCTCACTGCAACCTCCAACTCCCTGGTTCAAGCAATTCTCCTGCCTCAGCCTCCCGAATAGCTGGGATTACAGGCACACACCACCATGCCCAGCTAATTTTTGTATTTTTTTAGTAGAAATGGGGTTTCACCATGTTGCCCAGGATGGTCTGCATCTCCTGACCTCGTGATCTCCCCGCCTCGGTCTCCCAAGGTGCTGGGATTACAGGCGTGAGTTAACATTCCTGGCCCCAAATATAGTCACTTTCTGAGGTACTGGGGTTAGGACTCCAATATATAAATTTGGATGGGGACACAAGTTAGCCCCTAACACCTTATTATTAATGCTTTACATTAGTATATTTATCACAATCAATAAACAAATATTGATACATTATTATTAACTGAAGTCCATATCTTATTTAGATTTCCTTCATTTTCACCTAACAAACTTTTTCAGTCCCAGATGCTATCCAGGATACCACATTACATTTTGTCACTGTTATGTATTTAAATGTTTGCGTCCTCTCAAAATTCACGTTGAAGTTCTAACCCTAATGTGATGCTATCTGGAGATGGGGTCTTTGGAGGGAATTAGATTTATATGAGGTCATGAGGATTAGTGTCCTATAAGAAGAGGAAGAGAAACCAGAGCTTGATTTATACTGACACCTTGATCTTAGACTATCCAACCTCCAAAACTGTAAGAAACAAATATCTGCTGCTTAAGCCATTCAGTCTGTGGTATTTTGCTGTGCCAGTAGACTAAGATAGTCATCAGGTCTCCCTGAGCAACTCTTGACTCTGACGGTCTTACAGTTTTCTTGTTTTTGATGGCCCTGAGAGTTTTGAGAGTACTGGCCAGATATTTTGTAGAATGTCCCTCAATTGGGATTTGTCTCTTTTTTTCTCATTAATAGACTGGGGTTATGAGTTTTAGAGAGGAAGACCAGCAAGGTGAAATGTCATTCTCATCACTTCGTATCAAGGGTTCATGCTATCCACATGTCCTATCACTGATGTTGTTGACATTGATCACCTGGCTGAGATGCTGTTTATCAGGTTTCTCCACTTTCTCCCATAATATTACTCTTTTCTCCTTCTTTCCATACTGTATTCTCACTTACAGAATGGGAAGTTTAGGACTTCACATGTTATTTGTAAAACAGCAGGACTGGATTAGTCCATTTCTAAGTCATCTCTAGTTTGTTCCTTATAATCAATGAGAAGTACTGTCCTGATTGAAAAGGAAATCTGTATTCACAGAACAGGGTGAGAGAGCAGGATCACTTAGGTTCAAACCCTTAGTTTTAACCGTCTTAGCGTTCTTTCTGAACAGAGGGACTACAAAAAACCATTGTGAATGTAGCAATTTAATGATCTACTTTTTTGCAAGTTGGCACCATATTATGTATTGATCAGCCTTGGACAGATCACTGTGTCCAGACTCAATTCTGAAAACTTGTGGAGGGTTGGAGAGTAGGGGTATGTCTATTCTTCACCTAACAACACTGATGATGATGACACTGTTGGTCATAAAGCAATACTCAATAATTTTGTTGATTGCTGATCAGTTACTTCAAACACAAACTTGTAGACCATTTTCTTTCTTTCTTTTTTTTTTTTTTTGAGATGGAGTCTCGCTCTGTCACCCAGGCTGGAGTGCAGTGGCATGATCTCGGCTCACTGCAAGCTCCGCTTCCCGGGTTCACGCCATTCTTCTGCCTCAGCCTCCCAATTAGCTGGGACTACAGGCGCCCCCCACCACGCCCGGCTAATTTTTTGTATTTTTAGTAGAGACGGAGTTTCACCTTGTTAGCCAGGATGGTCTCCATCTCCTGACTTCATGATCTGCCCACCTTGGCCTCCCAAAGTGCTGGGATTACAGGCGTGAGCCACTGCACCTGGCTTTGTAGACCATTTTCTAGAACCAACAGGTAAAATTTACTAGAGATTTTATCTTGGACGTGAACTCTAGGTAGTTTACATTTCTTATTCTAGCATATAGTGCATGCATTGAGATTCTACCAATATAAATATGTAAAATAAGGCAAAATAAATGAATTTCAAAAGGAAATTAAGGTCTTTAAGCTTTATCTATGTGAATTATCCTTAAAATGTGAAGAATTGCTAGCTGTTTTTTATCCAACTTCTTATTTCCTGCACCAGTTTGAAACATACTCTCCTTAAGAAATTCTTAAAAGTTTCCAATTACTGTAAGAATAATGGAAATTTTTCTCTTTAAATAACCCGAACATTAATTTGTTGTTCTTTAACAGGATTTCCTTTTTAATGATTATAAAAGCTCATCTGTCCATGATATATAGCAATGTACCCATACAATATGAAATTGTATTTTACCCATAAACAGTCTTCAAACAAGACACACAATTTTCTTGCTTACTGGCTAATTAAAATAAAATTTAAACCCACATTAAACTTGATTACATTGTCAAAACACCCACATTTTTAAAGGAGAGGCCTACAGTGTTAATTCAGAGAGAGTGATTCTTTACTCTTCAGCTAATAATCGCTTCAGTATTAATAATAACTTCAGCTAAAAATAGCTTCGGTAGTCTCAGATTTTTAAAATCATGTCAATGTAATCATGCTTTTATGTCCTCTTCATTTGTGGAAAAGGAAACAAATGATTTGTCCTATGTATGAGAAGATCTTTTAAAATGAAGTTTCTAGGGTTTCCAAGTTGGCAAAACGTTTGTCAGTATCATCATTTGGTTTGTAGACCACATTGATTCATATACTGGCTACACTGCATATTAATTGCAGTTTCTTTATTATGGAATATTTAAAATGCACAAAGATACACAGTGAACTATAATAAATACCCCTATGCGCCCACCTCCAGGAAAAGTAATCATTGTGTTTTTAAAAAATAAAACATCATACTGGAGTTCCTCTTTGTTTCATGTTCATTCTCTTTCTTCCTCAGGAGTTATCAGTGTGCTGCAGTTGATGTGCATTTTACTCTTCGTTTTATCATATCTGCCCACAACCACAAATGCCATAGGACTGTGTTTTGTATTTCAACATTTTATTTAAACTGTATCATATTTTCTGTATCATTCTATAGCTTACTTTCTTGACTCCATATGTGAATTCAAGAGAAATTAATGTTGATGCATGTAGTCTAGTTTATATTTTTGGCTATCTAGTATTTTGTCATGTAAATAAATCACAATTTGTTTATCCATTTCCCCTATGATGAGCTTTAAGTTGTTCCACAAAGTTGAGTCTTGCAAAGGTTGCTAGACTGAACATCCTTGTGTATTCTTGTGTACGTCAACTGTGCCAGTTGTGGGGGGAGAATATACCTAGATGAGGACTTGTTGGGTTGGAAGACAAGTTAACTTCAATTTTACCAGATAGTTCCAAATTACTCTTTGGAGTGATTGTAGCAGAATTCACTCCCGAGTAAATGAAAATTTCTATTTCCAAATATCCTCACCATATCCTCAGACATTTTAAATATTTACCAATCTGATAAGTATTCTTCTTGCTCTCATTTTCCTGATGACTACTGAGATTGAGCATTTTTCATGCTTTTTCTTGTTTCACTTTACCTTCTTTTTCTGTAAATTATTTATTGCCTTATCTTTTTATTGCTTCATAAGAGTTCTTTATATATCTTGGGTATTAATGCTTTGGTATGCAACTAGTAAATATCTCTTCCCAGTTTATAACTTGCCTTTTAATTTAACTTTTTAAATATGTATTGACTAAGAAGTTAGATACTAGTCATTTAACTTTATGTAATTTTTTATTCTATAGATAATTTAAATTTCGGAACAGCCATATATATGTCTAGTTTCTTTTCATTTTGTCTTTCAATCAGCTCTAATAATTTTCTCAACTGAGATCTTGTATGAGTTTCATTTATTTTTAACTATATTATAGTTTTTGTTTTTCTTTTTTAATGAGCTTTTTAAATTTACATTTTCTAAATGATTTTTTGCTGGTATATATGAGCACTATGGATGGTTGTACATTAATCTTTATATGCAACAACATTGCTTAACTCTCTTGCTTTTCCCTACAGGAAAATATATTAAAATAACCATTTTTTTCTCCCTTTTCAAAATTAATTCCTATTTTTTGTCTTATTGCATTCATTAGAAACCCCAGTACAATGTTGAATAGCAACATTCTGTCTTCTTAACCTTAAAGACAATACTTCTAGAGTTTCCCTATTAAATATGAAATTTGCTATATTTTTGGTATATGGCCAAAAGATGTACATGTAAGATGTATCAGTCAATATTTAGATTTGGAGGTAACAGAAACTCACCCCAACTATCTTAAACTGAAGTTGGGTAAATCTGATTCTTTAGGTCGCTGCTGAGAACTCCATTACGGACATCACTGCTTCTTGGTACTCAGCACTAATTCCATCATGTTCTCATTTTCATAGCTACCAGAAAAACTTCTCCACTGTTCTTGTATCTTACTGTCGCTCTCTTGAGAGTCAAAGGCCTAGATGACAGCATTCAATTAGCTGGAGCTAGGAACTAACATGACTGAGTTGGGTTTTTCCTTTCTTGTACGATCCAGGCCCAGTTTTGGTGTCAAGATTGTACTAGCTTCATAAAATGAATTGAAACACTTTTCTTTTTCCTTCCCTTCCTTCCTTTCTTTTCTTCTTTCTTTTTTTTTCTGAAATTGATTAAGAAAAAAAGTATCAGGTTTTTGAAAGTTTGGTAAATTGTAAAACCATTCTGGTTAGTGCATTTTTAGGGACAGGGAAAATAGATAGACAAAAATAATAATTTATTCAGTTATTAGTTGTCTGTTCAGGCTTTGCTATTTCTATTTTGGTCATTTATATTTTTTGGATACATCAGTTTCTTTTAATTTTTAAAAGCTTTGAAGATAAAGCTATTCACAGTATTCTTTTAAGTTATTTTTTCAAATTTGTACAGTATTTATAGTTGTCGCTTCTTTTTCATTCCCAGTACAATTATGTATCGTGCTTTCTCTTTTCTTTTGCTTGACCAATTTTGCTACATGTTTATCTATTTTATTAGTTTTTTCAAACCAGTTTTTATACTAGTTCATCAGGTTCTAAAAATTATGCTGCAATACTTATGGCCTAAAAGGAATAGTAATTATAATTTTTAGTCATATGTAGTAACTACTAGGAAAAACTTTATTTTTCTGTTTTAATTACATTAAAAAGTCCCCTGGAAAATATGAGTTAAGTGTTTTCTCCTGCGGAGATTGCAGTGAGCCGAGATCGCGCCACTGCACTCCAGACTGGCGACAGAGGGAGACTCTGTCTCAAAATAAATAAATAAATAAATAAATAAAAGCTTTTTCCTATCTAGTTTTTACAAGGAAAATCTTTTTTATTTATTTATTGATTGATTTGTTATCATAATACTTTAAGTTTTAGGGCACATGTGCACAATGTGCAGGTTAGTTACATATGTATACATGTGCCATGCTGCTGCGCTGCACCCACTAACTCGTCATCTAGCATTAGGTATATCTCCCAATGCTATCCCTCCCCCTTCCCCCCACCCCACAACAGTCCCCAGAGTGTGATGTTCCCCTTCCTGTGTCCATATGTTCTCATTGTTCAATTCCCACCTATGAGTGAGAATATGCGGTGTTTGGTTTTTTGTTCTTGCGATAGTTTACTAAGAATGATGATTTCCAATTTCATCCATGTCCCTACAAAGGACATGAACTCATCATTTTTTATGGCTGCATAGTATTCCATGGTGTATATGTGCCACATTTTCTTAATCCAGTCTATCATTGTTGGACATTTGGCTTGGTTCCAAGTCTTTGCTATTGTGAATAATGCCGCAATAAACATACGTGTGCATGTGTCTTTATAGCAGCGTGATTTATAGTCCTTTGGGTATATACCCAGTAATGGGATGGCTGGGTCAAATGGTATTTCTAGTTCTAGATCCCTGAGGAATCGCCACACTGACTTCCACAATGGTTGAACTAGTTTACAGTCCCACCAACAGTGTAAAAGTGTTCCTATTTCTCCACATCCTCTCCAGGACTTGTTGTTTCCTGACTTTTTAATGATTGCCATTCTAACTGGTGTGAGATGGTATCTCATTGTGGTTTTGATTTGCATTTCTCTGGTGGCCAGTGATGGTGAGCATTTTTTCATGTGTTTTTTGGCTGCATAAATGTCTTCTTTTGAGAAGTGTCTGTTCATGTCCTTCGCCCACTTTTTGATGGGGTTGTTTGTTTTTTTCTTGTAAATTTGTTTGAGTTCATTGTAGATTCTGGATATTAGCCCTTTGTCAGATGACTAGGTTGCGAAAATTTTCTCCCATTTTGTAGGTTGCCTGTTCACTCTGATGGTAGTTTCTTTTGCTGTGCAGAAGTTCTTTAGTTTAATTAGATCCCATTTGTCAATTTTGGCTTTTGTTGCTATTGCTTTTGGTGTTTTAGACATGAAGTCCTTGCCCATGCCTATGTCCTGAATGGTAGTGCCTAGGTTTTCTTCTAGGGTTTTTATGGTTTTAGGTCTAACGTTTAAGTCTTTAATCCATCTTGAATTGATTTTTGTATAAGGTGTAAGGAAGGGATCCAGTTTCAGCTTTCTACATATGGCTAGCCCGTTTTCCCAGCACCATTTATTAAATAGGGAATCCTTTCCTCATTGCTTGTTTTTCTCAGGTTTGTCAAAGATCAGATAGTTGTAGATATGCGGCGTTATTTCTGAGGGCTCTGTTCTGTTCCATTGATCTATGTCTCTGTTTTGGTGCCAGTACCATGCTGTTTTGGTTACTGTAGCCTTGTAGTATAGTTTGAAGTCAGGTAGTGTGATGCCTCCAGCTTTGTTCTTTTGGCTTAGGATTGACTTGGCAATACAAGGAAAGTCTTAACAGATGTACACAATTTTTGAGACATATAAGTAGGTTTTTTCTCCAATAAACAGATGTTTATAAAGGATTTGTACGTGCCATTATGATAAACTACAAAGATAAATACACATGCTCTGTTCTCTAAGAGTTTTCCAGCCAATAAAAATTTACAGCTACTCTTTATTGTCCACCATACTCTGTTATGAGCCATGGGCTTTAGTAAGTTCTCATGACATTGGGCACTGACTTCCTGGGAGTGTAAGTGACTCACCTGGACCCCACAGCCAGTGAGCATTAGTGCTTATATTCCATCCTCCAAAGCTCTTTCTTCATACCAGACCACACATGTGGCCCAAGGAGGGATATTTACTCTGCACTTTTAGAGTTCTAGAAAACATTGTTTAGTGGTCTGGCATCATCTATATTTACTTGGCTTGATTTGGGATAGAGTATAATCCTAGTCCTCGATGAAAGGATTTTGATGAGTTAACCTTATGGGGTGATGGGATTTATGGGATTATTTCCACACTTAAAATGATTTGTGGGAAAAAAAAGTGTACTAATCCCTAATTTAGGATTAAGACAGATATACCTATGAGATATGGGTCTATAAAATTCATCATAATTTGAGAAATGCAACAAATAATCACCTCTAAAATATCTTGTTGGTTCAGTTATTTTAGTCCAAAAGCCAGTTGGAGATCTGTTCTGTATCAAGGGCTCCAGCCCTCTTGTGAGAGGTAGCTGTTTTTCATTCGCTTGTAGTCTTGAAGTAAAAACAATGTCAGGGACGGTCTCCTCAGAACCCCAGAGGGTCTGCCTTTTAGGAAGTGTTTGTCCCCTCAGAAACGAGAAACCAGATGAGCTGAGTTTAGGGGTCAGACCAGAGGAAATGGCTGGAAATTAGAGGTCTCCTGGCTAATTCACATGATGCCAAATAACAGTCTTTCTGTTGGGTGTCAGAATCCAGAATGGTGGGAAATTTGTATCTAGGGGATATAAAAGAAAATGAATGAGATAATATATGCAAACAGATGAGTAGAGTGCCTGAAATGTACTAATAGCCTTCAGTAGATTCCTTCTCCAATTTCACCCCTTCTCCATCTCAGGTTTGGCTTTCCCCTGGACCTGTCAATAAAAACCCTGAGAGTTTGATTGAACAATGGCACTGTATGGTCAATGCTACCAGACTCTTTAACATGCCTTGTTTGCCACAATTTCATTGAATGGGAGCAGAATGGCAACCAAACCAAGGCTAACAGACTTTGTCCTAGAATTCCCACACCAAGTAGGAAGCATAAAATAACTTAGAGACTTGACTATAGTTCCTGCAGCTATTAGTCATGGTGTGTTAGCAGAACACAATCTCAGAAAGTTATTTCCTAAATGCCTTCCAAAGCCTTGGTTCTTCATGCAGATAGTTTTGGCCAACTGTAATGGCAGTGAGAAACTTCACGAGTGTCCAGAAGAACAGAATTTATACTTTAAGTTTAACTTTGTTTTGGATTGAATGTTCCTTAAAAATAAACCTTCACCTGATTCTTATTTTCATTTCAATTCCATGGGCTGGTGATTTGAGTGTCAGGGATAGAGTTCTTAGAATCTGTTTATGTGGTGTGAATACAGAAATGGTCTGATTCTGAGTATTAGGATCATGATCAGAGTTTTGATATAAACTCAAAACCTCACTAAGCCACATGTTATTTTTTGAAGCATAGAAATTGGACTTTGCAAACAACCAAAATCCTTTTGTTTGAGAAACTCTAAATAAGCATTGAGTTTTCTTGCCATGAAGTTTTACACTGTATCTAGAAAGTTTCTTTGAAAAATTCCTCTGTAAACCTAAGGCTGACAAAGAAGTTGGCTAGTTGAAGGGAAAATGATACTTATGTTTTGTGGCAAGGGGGAACAAAAGGAGGGGGAAAAGTAATTACTGTCCACTTAACATTTTATATTAAATTTCTAATGCATAATTTTCAAGACGGGCAAGAGTTTTGGTTTGTTTTAACCAAATATAGTTACAATATTAAATACGTGTTCTAAATCCAGCATGTGAATATCACTTCTTCAAAAAATTTTTAATTTTTTAAATTGAAAAATAAATATATGTATTTATGGTGTACAACGTGATGCTTTGAAATATGTATATATCGTAGAATAGCTAAATGATGCTAATTTACATATGCATTACCTTACATATTCATCATTTTTTTGTGGTGAGAGCACTTAAAATCTGCTGCCTTAGAAATTTACAAGTACACAATGTTATTAACTACAGTTACCATGTTGTACAATAGATATCTTAAACTTATTCCTCCTGTCTAACCGAAATTTTGTATCCTTTCACCAACATTTCCCCAACCCCTCATCCCCCCACTCCTCACCAGTAACCATCATTCTACTCTCTGCTTCTGTAGTTCAATTTTTTTAGATTCTACATATAAGTGAGATCATGCGGTATTTGTCTTTGTGTACCTGGCCAATTTCACTTAACATAACGTCCTCTAGTTTCATCCATGTTGTTGCAAATGACAGGATTTCTTTCTTTTTTAAGACTGAGTAGTATTCTATTGTGTATATGTGCCACTTAAAAAAAATCCATTCATGTGTAGATGGACACTTTGGCTGATTCCAAATCTTGACTATTGTGAATAATGCTGCAATGAACATGGGAATGCAGATATCTCTTTGACATACTGATTTCATTTCTTTGAATATATGCCCATAAGAGGGATTGCTGAATCATATGGTGGCTCTATTTTTAAGTTTTTCAGGGGCTTCCATGCTGCTTTCCACAGTGGCTGTACCAATTTGCAATCCTACCAACAGTCCACAAGTGATCCATTTTCTCCACACCTTCACCAACATTTATCTCGTCTTTGTGTTGATAACCATCCTAACAGATGTGAGGTGATCTCTCACTACGGTTTTGATTTGTGTTTCCCTGTTGATTAATGATGTTGAGCATTTTTAAATGTTTCTGTTGGCTATTTGTATTTCTGTATGTCTTCTTTTGAGGAGTGTTTCCAGGTCCTTTGACCATTTTTAATGGGTTATTTGTTTTCTTGCTATTGAGTTGAGTTTCTTATATATACTGGATATTAGCCCCTCACCAGATATATAGTTCACAAATATTTTCTCCTTGTCCATGAGCTGCCTTTTCATTGTGTTGTTTCCCTTGCTATGCAGAAGCTTTTTAATTTGATGTAATTCCACCTTTTGTTTGCTTCCTTTTATTGCCTGTGCTTTGGGGGTCATATCTAAAATATCATTAATGAGCAGCTTTTCCCCATTGTTTTCTTCAAGATCAATGTCAAAGAGGTTTTCCTTTCTGTTTTCTTCTAGTTTGAGGACTTATGTTTGGATTTTTAATCCATTTTGAGTTGATTTTTGTGTCTAGTATAGGGGTCTAGTTTCATTTTTTGGTATGTGGATATACAGTTTTCCTAACACCACTTATTGAAAAGACTATCAATTTATTAAAGAAAAGTTTTGATTTGTTTTATCCAAACACAGTTACAATGTTAGATGTGTGTTGGAAACCAGCATGTGAATGTCACCTCAACAAATTTTAACAACAGAAGGAATGGGAACAGCAAGGGGATGAGGAAATAAACAGAACATAGGATTTAACAATCAATGGGATATTAACACATTTATGCCTGAGGTTGCAATTTTTTGCATTTTTGCAATCAGACCTTGCAATGACCTTGAGCAGTAAGATATAATAACTCCCATGCTTAGCGTTCCAATAATGGAACACTAGGCATAAATGGGTTTAAGGGCACTTGGGGTCACAGATGTAAGCTTAGAAGGGGATTAAATGTGGCCAATGCCTTGCTTTTGCCCATTTAAAAAATTTCAACTAATTCTGATGTTGTTCTAACATTCTGTGATTACAGGATGGTAAGTTTGCATGGTGGAAGATCAGATTGGGCACCAGGATAATGGCCACAGGGACCTCAGTAGAGCTCCCAGTAACTCAAGGGCACCAGGAGTATGTAAGGAGTGGAGAGAGTGCACAAAGAAAAACTTGACCCACTTCATAATTTAAGCTAATGTCAATCCGCCTGGCACTTCAGAGTCTTATTTCTCAAAACGTGGCCCCAGAACAGCTGGTACCCAAATGCCCTGTGGGTCTGTTAAAAATTTAAGTTCCCAGAAGACACTCTAAACCAGTGGAATCAGAACACTGGGAATGGGGTCTGAGAAGATACATTCCAAACAAATAGCCTAGGCAATTCTTAGGTACTCTCGTGATTGAACCTCTGCACCAAAGAGGGAAAAGTATAAGTTAGAAAGGAATTTATAAGCACCATACACAAAAATAGCCATGACTCAGGCCTCCACATCTCATTTGTGCTGTCACTTCCCCTGGGAAGCCTGATCACCCCAAATGCCGCATTGTATAATCTTTTTTTTTTTTTTTTTTGAAATGGAGTGTCACTCTGTCGCCCAGGCTGGAGTACAATGACATGATCTCGGCTCATTGCAAGCTCCGCCTCCTGGGTTAAAGTGATTCTCCTGCCTCAGCCTCCTGAGTAGCTGGGATTACAGGTACCTACCACCACACCTGGCCAATTTTTTGTATTGTTAGTAGAGATGAGGTTTCATCATGTTGGCCAGGCTGGTCTCGAACTCCTGACCTCAAATGATCCACCTACCTCGGCATCCCAAAGTGCAGGAATTACAATAGTACCTAACATACTCTATTGAATTGCTGGCTTTTCTTTCTCTTTAGCCCATGTAATCCAGTGTCATTCATCTCCTCTGCTTAACAAAGAGCTTAGTTCATGAAAGCCGCCCAATAAATGTTCTTTAAATTAATAAATGACTTCATGTCTTGCTGTTCCAAAATATACTCCTTAACCTGCCTGAATACTTTCACTTCACTTTGCCAATTATTTCATTTGGTATATCTGAGAATTTTAGTTTAAATAATGAAATCAGTCAGTTATCCAGTAGGGTCAATTAATTCCACTTTCGCTTTCCCAAAGATTGTAGAGCAACCACACACAGCGAATGAGGAAGCAGTGATGCAAGTAATTTTGAAACACAGTTTTAGAGTTAAATTGTTTCTGGATGCAGGCATACAATAAATGGGTAAGTGCTGTGTGGGGGACACTGAGCACCGAAGAGTTGGAGGGAAAGCCCCAGGGAGTTATGAAAGGGAGTACAGGGAACAGGGAAGAAAAGGAAGATGTAACCTACTTATCTAAAACTTTTACCTAGAAATGAACCTGCATTCAGGGTCATGGTGGGAGAAAACACTCCTCCTCCTTTGATGGCTGTGACCTCCTCATAGTTCCTGAACATAGCACTCAAGCTGGTCCTAATCCCACTACATGAATAAGTGAAATAGGCTTTGAGAAACTAGTCTGAAAAGTTGGTCACCCTATGAAAAAATGCATGCAAAATCCCAGAAAACATTTCAAAACTTTTGAAATCTAACCAACTCAGAAATTGAGCAAAGCCAAGATTAGATGTGTCTTGCAGATCAACTTAGTGAAAGCAGATGTTACTCGTGAAGACAAAGGTCAGGACCCTAGAGACATAACAAGAAATATTTTATGAGAAGGAAACTTGATGTGGATTGAAAGGCAGAAGAAATGAAAAGAAAAAGGCACATGAACATTTTTAAGCAATTGTAACAGAATGACCAAATTGCCTGAACCCCAGACATATGATAAATCATATAACATGAATAGGCCCCCTTCAAATTGGTGGCATGCAACATGGCAAAACCCATCTCTACTAAAAATACAAAAATCAGCTGGGCTTGGTGGCGGGCACCTGTAGTCCCAACTACTCAGGAGGCAGAGACAGGAGAATCGCTTGAACCCAGGAGGCAGAGGTTGCAGTGAGCCAAGATCATGTCACTGCACTTCAGCCTGGGTGACACAGCAAGACTTTATCTCAAAAAAAAAAAAAAATGGTTGCATGAGCAATTATAGTGATGGTGACTCCAGTTTTGCCAAGATATAAGCAAGATTGAACAGGCCAGAAAATGTGGATATGTTAGTGCAAGCAAATCATCAATTCTTTTTTTTTTTTTTTTTTTGTATTTAAGTTCTGAGGTACATGTGCAGAATGTGGAGGTTTGTTACATAGGTATACATGTGCCATGGCTGTTTGCTGCACCCATCAACCCGTCATCTACATTAGGTATTTCTCCTAATGCTATCCCTCCCCTAGCCTCCCACCCCCCAACAGGCCCCGGTGTGTGATGTTCCCCTCCCTGTGTCCATGTGTTCTTATTGTTCAACTCCCACTTACGAGTGAGAACATGCAGTGTTTGGTTTTCTGTTCTGGTGTTAGTTTGCTGAGAATGATGGTTTCCAGCTTCACCCATGTCCCCACAAAGGACATGAACTCATCCTTTTTTATGGATGCATAGTATTCTATAGTGTATGTGCGCCACATTTTCTTTATTCAGTCTATCATTGATGGGCATTTGGGTTGGTTCCAAGTCTTTACTCTTGTGAACAGTGCTGCAATAAACATACATGTGCATGTGTCTTTATAGTAGAATGACTTATAATCCTTTGGGTATATACCCAGTAATGGGATTGCTGGGTCAAATGGTATTTCTAGTTCTAGATCCTTGAGGAATCGCCACACTGTCTTCCACAATGGTTGAACTAATTTACACTCCTACCAACAGTGTAAAACAAAACAACATATATTTATTAAACATATGTGTCTCTGTCTGTGTGTGTTACACTTAGGCACATAAAAGATATTTAACAAACATTGTTGAATGGATAAATGACTGAATGAGCAGCTACTATGTGTCAGGTGCTAGAAATAGCCAAAATGTTCTAAAAGACTGTGGGGAATTAGCAATTCCTTTTAGAACAGGAGTCCCCAACCCTGGGGCCATGAACCAGTACCTGTCCGTGGTCTGTTAGAAACCAGGCCACATAGAGGAAGTGAGTGGCAGGTGAGTGAGCAAAGCTTCATCTGTATTTTACAGCTGCTCCCCATCCCTCACATTACCACCTGAGCTCTGCCTCCTGTCAGATCAGCAGTGGCATTAGATTCTTATAGGAAAGTGAACCCTATTGTGAACTGCACATGCGAGGGACCTAGACTGCGTGTTCCTTAAGAGAATCTAATGCCTGATGACCTGAGGTGGAACTGAGGCAGCGATGCTAGCACTCAGCAGCAGCTGCAAATACAGGTTAACATCAGCAGAGAGGCTTGACTGCATAGAAACCATAATAAATCAATTGCTTGCAGACTCATATCAAAACCCTAAAAGTGAGTGACATGTGACAAGTAAGCTGCATCTGGTGGCAAGCTTTATAGTGGCAAGTGAGTTGATGTACTTCAATTGTACAGCTGTATCTGGTATCCTTAAAAGTATGTTTCAGACAATTTCAAATCTCCATATGTTCTGGATTGAAGTCAAGGCAGAATATCCTGAGATTGCTACAAAAGCTCTGAAAAGCCTGCTTCCATTTCCAACATCCTATCTTTGTGAAGCAGGGTTTTCTGCAGTGACAGCAACCAAAATGAGATTACAGAGTAGACTGGACATAAGCAACACACTTTGGGTGTCACTGTCTCCCATCACCCACAGATGGGACCATCTAGTTGCAGGAAAACAAGCTCGGGGCTCCCACTGACTCCACATTATGGTGAGTTGCATAATTATTTCATTATATATTACCATGTAATAATAATAGAAATAACATGCACAATACATGTAATATGCTTGATTCATCCCAGAACCATGCCCCCGACCCTGCCAGTCTATGGAAAAATTGTCTTCCATGAAACTGGTCCCTGGTACCAAAAAGGTTGGGAACCGCTGCTCTAGAATGTCCCCCTTGGCTGAGGAGTCCCTGATCAACCACTGAGGCTCTGCTTAAGTGTTCCCTCCCCTGCAAAGTCTACTATCACCCTAATTAATTACTATTCCACTGAAAAGCTCATCCCACCATCTTACACTGGTTAGATGTTTTACCTGCTTGTCTTCATTACTAGGATAAGGGGAAAAAAGATTCTGGGTTTGTTCCATATTTGTTTTCCCCAAATCTACTGTTTGTAATAGGGAAAGGGAGAAAGGAAAGGCATAAGAAAGAGAAGAGAGGACAGTAGGCAGGGAAAGAAGGAGAGCAAGGTGAAGTAAATCATGTTCTTTTGCCCCTAAGGAAATTATGTTACATGGTAGGTTTGTTGTTAGATACTGAGACCCTGATTCTACCTTATATTCAATGGACATTGTTTAATTGCATTTATTGCTTTACCACTCTGGAAAGAAATGTATTAATTTAAAATGTTTTGGATCAATTATTTCTTTTTATTACAGTTCTTACGGCTTATTGAAACCACTCAGCACACTTTTAAATATGTAAAATGTATGATCTGAGTCATGATAAAAAAGAAATTTCATAGGTAACAGCATCAGTAAATATGTGGCTGCACTTTCAGTGCTGACCTACCTATATTCTTTTCTGAGTTTACAACCTCAGTTATCAACAACTGACATTACTCAATAGTTGGCACATGGCATCCAATGCATGGACTTGAAAGTAGGCTTTTAAAATTACAGTAATCGGCCGCGTGCGGTGGCTCACGCCTGTAATCCCAGCACTTTGGGAGGCGGAAGTGGGCAGATCACGAGGTCAGGAGATCAAAACCATCCTGGCTAACATGGTGAAACCCCGTCTCTACTAAAAATACAAAAAAAAAAAAAAAAAGCCAGGCGTGGTGGTGGGTGCCTGTAGTCCCAGCTACTTGGGAGGCTGAGGCAAGAGAATGGCGTGAACACGAGAGGCGGAGCTTGCAGTGAGCCGAGATAGTGCCACTGCACTCCAGCCTGGGCAACAGAGCGAGACTCCGTCTCAAAAACAAAAACAAAACAAACAACAAAAAAATTACAGTAATTACTGTGGGCATGATAATTGTATGTGTCAACTTGTGTTGTGTGCCACAGTGTTTCCAGATATTTGGTCAAAGAGTTTTCTGGCTGTGGCTGAGGGGGTGTCTTCGATGAGATTAACATTTGCATCAGCAGACTGAGTGCTATGATTTGAATGTTTGTGTCCTCCTCTCCCCAGAATTCATTTATTGAAACTAACCCTTAATATGGTGGTATTAAGATGTGGGGTGTTTGGGGCCGGGCACGGTGGCTCACACCTGTAATACCAGCACTTTGGGAGGCTGAGGCAGGTGGATTACAAGGTCAGGAGATCGAGACCATCCTGGCCAACATGGTGAAACCCCATCTCTACTAAAAATACAAAAATTAGCCGGGCATGGTGGCACATACCTGTAGTCCCAGCTACTTGGGAGGCTGAGGCACAAGAATCGCTTGAACCCGGGAGGCAGAGGTTGCAGGGAGCCAAGATCATGCCACTGCACTCCAGCCCGGGCGACAAAGCGAGACTTCATCTCAAAAGAACAAAAAAAAAGATGTGGGGCGTTTGGGAGGTGATTGGGTCATGAAGGTGGAGCGCTCATTAATGAGCTTATTAAGGAGATTACTGCCCTTAGAAAAGAGCCCAAGAAGTCTATGTGCTCCTTCTGCCATCTAAGGACACAGCTAGAAGGCACCAAAGAGCAAGTCCCCACCAGACACTCAGTTTGCTGTGTGCATGTGGAGATCTCTTGGTGCCTTGATCTTGGGCTTCCCAGTTTCTAGAAGGTGAGAAATAAATTTCTATTGTCCATAAATTACTCAGTTTAACATATTCTGTTATAGCAGCCCAATGGCCTAAGACACTGAGTAAAGCAGATTGACCTGAATAGGCTATAAATGGAAAGGAAAACTCTTCCTGCCTGACTGCTTGATCTGGGACATCAGTCTTTATCTGTCTTCTGACTCAAACTAAAACATCAGCCCTTTGGGGAGTCTCAAGCCTACTGGCTTGAGATAAGGGGAAAGACCCACCCCCATGATTCAATTACCTTCCACTGAGTCCCTCCCACAGCACATGGGAATTCAAGATAAATTTGGGTGGGGACACAGCCAAACCACATCATCAGGGTTTTCTTACATAGTGTTGATAATCCTTTCCAGGGTACTGGGTGTAATGAGCCTTAAAGGTCTTTAGGACCCTGATGTAAAGACTAAATTAAAGATGTGTGTTTGGGGGCAAGTAGACCACTTCAGCACCTCCAGTGTTGAACTCATGGAGTTCTGGGTGGCCAGGGGCATTGTTCAATATCAAAAGAACCTTAAATGGCAGTCCCTTACTGGCAAGGTACCTCCTGACTTGAGGGACAAAGCATAAATGGAGTCAATCCAGAAAAAGAGTTCTCATTGTACAGGCCTTCTTGTACAACCAAAAGATTGGCAGGTGGTGTTTAACTTTTCCCTTCAAGGCTCAGGGGTTAGCTGCTTTATAGATAAGGGCAGTCCTTATCATAAACCGAACTGCATTTGCACAAAACAGTAGAGGTAGCCCATCTCTTCCTGCCTTAAATCCTGGTGCTGACTTCTTTTTCTTACTAATAAATGTCCTTCATGGCATTTTTTTGCAGAACAGGGCACCTTTATTTGCATTAAAAACCTATTTAGTACACCTACTATGTACCCCCTAAAATTTTAAAAAATTAAAATCTATTTAGGCAGATATTCTTCTCAGTGATTGTCTTAATGGTGCCTGGGAACTCATCTGCTGCCTATTGGTTGGCAAAACCTGATTCTCCTGTTATCGTCACATTTTTAAAACCAAACATCTTTCTAAAACTATCACACCATCTTTTGCTGGCATTAAATTCTTCAGCTTTAGTTCCTTTAACTTCCTTTTACTTTAAGTTGTTATATGACTTCACTTTTTTTCAAATAATAATAGAGTATTTAGGCATGGTTTTTTTTTGTTTGTTTGTTTGTTTGTTTTAGATGGAGTCTTGCTCTGTCACCAGTCTGGAGTGCAGTGGCGCAATCTCGGCTCACTGCAACCTCCACCTTCCGGGTTCAAGCGATTCTTCTGCCTCAGCCTCCCGAGTAGCTGGGACTACAGGTGCACGCCACCATGCCTGGCTAATTTTTTGTATTTTAGTAGAGACAGGGTTTCACCATTTTGGCCAGGATGGTCTCGATCTCCTGACCTCATGATCTGCCCACCTTGGCCTCCCAAAGTGCTGGGATTACAGGCTTGGGCCACCGTGCCTGGCCAGGTATGCCTTTCTTATAGCAATTCTGCACCGACATAAAAGCTCCATTTTCAATATGAGATAAAAAGGTATTTTGCAAAAAGTATAAGTTTTTATACCTGCTGGTGTAGCTGCAGTGACAGCCTCATGAATTTTCTTTCTTTTTTAACAATGGGCCTTGCACTAGATTCATTTATCTTGAAATGGCAGGCAATCGC
Source organism: Homo sapiens (assembly GCF_000001405.40). Classification (NCBI taxonomy): domain Eukaryota; kingdom Metazoa; phylum Chordata; class Mammalia; order Primates; family Hominidae; genus Homo; species Homo sapiens. The sequence continues at coordinate 81,024,743 of NC_000014.9, forward strand.
AGCTGCAGACCTCCATCTATGGTAAACATCAAGCAGTTCAACTTTTTCCTGTCATGATTTTTCTCTGCTTCTTGGGAGCACTTTCAGCAACACTAATGGCACTTTGTATAGATCCCATGGTGTTATTCAAGGTTTACAGTATTGCACTAAATATAATGAAAAATATGTGAGAACAGTGAGAGGTCACTTTTTACTGTCATATGGAATTTACTGGAGACACAAACTGCTTATACAGAGATAATTAGTGACATGAAATTTTAAGCAGATACTTGCAACACCTGAGCTTAGCACAAAAGCAACAGGAGCTGGCTATGACATTTTTGCAGTAATACAGTATGTACAGTTAATTGTATGCAGTAATGATTTAATACTTTATGTTTGCTCACATTTCTCTTGACTGTGAATGGTACATGTGCAGTCTGTATTTGGGTTTGAAAGTTTTGAGAAATTTTAACTTTTTATAATAGATTTGTATGTATTTTATCATAATGTATGATAAAACAGATGAGTATATCCCTAGCTTTTTTCTTAATTTCTTTTTATATTTCCAGGCCATATGGTTCAACTGCAAGTTTTTAAAAATTGTTGCAAATCTCCAAAAAAGGATTCAATATGTTTATTTTTTAAAATTGTATATAATTAAACTTGCAGTTCAAAGATAGACTTGAACCCTAATTATTCCAATGGATAAATCAGTATAAATATGTAGTTATTTTTTTTTTAACATGAGAAGAGATGGGAAGTTGGTTTTGGACAAATCTGAAGCTGTTTCTATGATATTCTATAATATTGGTTTGTTTCCTTGATATTTATGTATCTTTCACATAAAAATAAAATATAATAGACAATACATTAAACTGGGAGCCCAGAAACTTTGGTTCTAGGATTGAATTATATGTGAGACATTCAATAAATCACTGAACCTTCTAGGCTTGAGTTCCCTCACTTTGAAAGTGAAAGGATGAAATATTTAGTTTCAGGATACTAAAGACATCTTGATCCCTAAACTGCTTTCTGGAAAAAAGCCAAAAGCAACAAGGAAATTTAGCAGTACACACTCCCATCTGTCATTATTAGAAAATCTTCATTAACTTCAACCATAATATATATGAAGAAAGGCTGGCAAGTATAGTGAATTTGGACCAGAGAGAGGCAAGAAACTGAAAGAAGATGGTTACTGGACCTCAAAGGATGACAGTGCAGAGGTCTTTGAAGTAAGTGATACACATCAAGGGGTAAGACATGATAGAACAAGATGGATGGCCTCAAGGAGCTCCTGAAACCCCACAAGAAACCCCTCCAATGCAGGGGATGTGATGACAAATGAAGACACATGCAGACAAGCTAACTCTACAAGAAACTATCTGTTTGGAAGACCAGATGAGAAACTGAATGATAAGCAGCTTGAGGCTGTCAATCTTTATCCGCCATTGAATGTAAACTCCAGGGAGGCAGAAATTTTTTTTCTGATTTATCTATTGCTGTATTCTCCAAACCTAGAGCAGTACCTGGCACAAAGCAGGTGCACAATAAATATTTGTATGATGGATGGATGAGTAAAGAAAGATTACAGCTAAACCACACAATCGACATACTTGTGTGTATGTGTGTGTGTATATGCACACGCATGCAAACATGCAAACATTACCCTGTCACCTCTAGAGAAAAATCCCTTCATTATTGAAAAGGAATTAACATAGGATTTATGCAAAAATAACCCTATTTACATAAAGAAGCAAGGCAACAAAACAAATAAAAATCATAAAAAGGGCAACCACCAAAAATATTTTTATTGCCCTAGAGAAGGTAAAACTTGTGACCAAAGTTATCTGTGAGTTCATAAAACTTAATGAATAAGGTGACCTTTCTGTGTTAGGACTCCAGAGTGAAGATAAGAAGTCTCAAATTTAAAAAAAGATAAGGCAATAAAAAATGTTAAAAAAGGTATTTGGTAGATCTTGGGATAGAAGTAAAAGAGCAAAATAAAAACATCAAAGAAATAAAAGCTTTGGGCCAGGCACAGTGGCTCACACCTGTAATCCCAGCACTTTGGAAGGTAGAGGCAGGCAGATCACCTGAGGTCAGGAGTTCAAGACCAGCCTGGCCAACACAGTGAAACCTCGTCTCTACTAAAAATACAAAAATTAGCTGGGTGTGGTGGCGGGCACCTATAATCCCAGCTATTTGGGAGGCTGAGGCAGGGGAATCACTTGAACCTGGGAGGCGGAGGTTGCAGTGAGCCAAGATCACGCCACTGCACTCCAGCCTGGGCAACAAGAGTGAAACTCCATCTCAAAAAAAAAAAAAAAAGAAAGGCCTTAATGGGAACAGCAATGTTGCCCATGTTGAAAATATAAGTGAAGACATTCATGACATCTTGAGAAAGTGGAGCAAAATGAAATAGAAAAGAAAAAAGACTAGAGTAGGAAAAAATTGTAGATCGAGAACACAGGGGAAATTGACAGGTACAACACATTGGATTTTTATTAGAAATTATATGTAAAACATTCAATATTCTTGTTTTTAAAGACAAAATCAGAAAAAAATGGAGAACAAAAATATCCAAAGTTATATCAAAAAACTCCTGAAATAAGAGATTTGAATCTGTAGAATTAAAGGACACACAATATTCCAGCAAACATAAATATCTATTAATTTCCATGCATAATCTAGTAAAGTTAAGGAACTTCAAAGAAAAATAAAGAACCCAAGAGTATCTAAAAAAGGTGAGGGCATAAATATCTTATCTGAAAAGCAAAAGAATAAAGCTAGCTTCAAATTTCTCTCCATTCAGTGCTAGGAATAATGAAATCATCAAGTTCTCAGGGTAACAAAGTATGACCCCTAAATTATATACCCAGACACACCAGGCTTGTTTCTTCTGTCCATCTGTGCAATAACTTTTTCAAATGTGTAAAACGTAGGGGAAAAAAACCTACATGAGCTTTAAAAAAGCTGTTAGCCAACTAGGTCAACCAAGATATAAATGATGAGCTATGAGCATTAAGTCATTTTAAATTTAAAACTAAGGTTAAAATGACTTCAGGAAATTAGGGTGTGCAGAACAGAATAGAAATGTAATAAGTTATCCCTTTATAAAAATAATATAACTAACAAAAATCAGGAGCGAGAGGGAAATGAAAATGGGAGATAATTTAAGTACCAATCTTCTCATTTTTAAATATATTGTTTAAGGCTGATCTGAGACTAAGGCTGATCTAAGATTAAGCACATAACTAACCAAAATGAGTGTAGCAGAAAAGAAAAGCAAGAAGATGGAAGTAACTGGACATATTCTAAAAGCATCATTCATAGTGAGAAATTAATAGGTACTGTTTAAAGGAAGAGAGACCTTACGATACATAAAGTTATATCTTACAAAGTAACAAATTACTAGAGGAACTCAAGTAGATCATAAGCCTTTCATATTATGAAAAATTGACCTTAGAAATCACAGACCAATGGTAAAATATTAAAAACAAAGTGTAATGAACTTATCCTTCCAGGAATGCTGGTTTACATCACATAAACCACTCCTGGTAAGAAAAATTAGCAAAGCAGGATTCAAAAAAATTTAATCGCAAAATAGTAAACAATTATGAAACAAAGAGGAGAAAAAGGGAAATCAGAGAGGTAAATCCTAGGAACGTGATTCAAGGAATAGTTGAGCAGAGGTTTGGCAGCACTATAGGGCTAGACAGTAAGAAAAAAAAATCTATCAAGAAAGGATCTCTGATAAACCCCCTACATTGAGTTGGGATCCCAAAGGGCTCCATCTAGTAGTAAGGGGTAGCTGGAAAAAAAACTTGGGACAGAAGTCCAGTTTTCAACCATCTTAGTTCCTCTAATTGGATTACGGTAATATAAGATTGCTAGTTCCCCTAACCAACTGCCATGAGCAAATGGAAATCCTACCAGGAAATACAATTTTAGGCTTCAAATGATTTCAACACTTTTTGTATACAACATCTTGCACACAATAAAAAGTAACCAGACAAATGAGAAGAGAAGATGATGTAATAAAAAATTGAGAGAAATACCAGCAACAGAAATGAATGCACAGGAGATTCAGAATATGAATAATCAGACATTTTACAATTTTTAATAGAGAAAATTTTTTTAAACCCAAAATGGATTCTTTGAAAAGACTAATAAAATTGATAAACCTTTGGTAAGGTTGATTGAGGAAATAAAGAATCAGAAATAAAAAAGGAGTCTATTATCACAGAGCCTATAGATATTTTTAAATTATATTATTTAAATATATTAACTTTATGTCTCTAAATTTGAAATTTTTAATAAAATGGATATATTTCTATAAAAAACAATTTACCAAAACTGACATATGAAGAAATAGAAAATATGAATCATTCTGTAACCTTTAAAAGAATTAAAAACCATAACAAAGGCCATCATGATTTCCCCAGAGTTATTTAACTCCCTTTTCCCATGTAAAATTTACTTCCAAATCTTTGAGAAGGCATTCCTTACTTCAGCAATAGGAATCTTCAGGGTTTTTTTTAATTATGAGGACATATTTTCCCTTCCTCATCTTATTTAACTCAGTGTTATAAAACTGTTCTATGATTTACTTTTGAGGATTATATATATTAGCTTCTCATATATTTCATACCCTAGGAGTTTAGATCATATAGCATGATAGTGAAGGGAGAAAGGGAGAAAAGTGGGAGACATGGAAGGGGAGCGAAAAGAGAGCTGTCCTGATTTGGATTGTTACAGTTCCATATCTGCACCCCCAGCAGTTTATTTATGATGGAGAGAAAATAAGTAAAAATATATGTGACTTGATTTTCAGTTTGAAAATGTGTTAATGAGAAAAAAACCCAAATCAATCTAATTCTTTATGCTTACTTTATGGAAATAAAAAATTTCTGTACTATGTGGTAGAAATGAGTGTGTGCCATTCTGGGAAACTGTTCTTCAGACCACCTGGTGACCTATCAGTTAATCAAAGCATTTGACATTTTTTCTAAAGAAAAGAGGGTGAAATAATAACTTGGCCTTTCTTAAAAAAATATACCCATGGATTCTGTATCCTTGCCAGTTGTCTATTACATAGTTTGTTGAGACTGCCCAACGTTGTCTGGAATTTCCAAGCCTCAGCGCTATAAAAATAATTCACTAGAACTGCCTCAAAATAATTTATATTGTGTAATTACTTAACACTGCACTTTGGACTACAGTATGGGATGGATATGCTAGGAATTATGCTGGGTTCAGTGAGAGTTCTGCACAAAGGCCTCTTTTGCCGTAACTACCAGGTTCTTGATGTTTAAGGAATTGTGTTGATAGGCCCTAGAAACTTAGGACCTACAATTACTGGAGCATATTTATTGCAGCACAGAAGAGAGTTGATGGTGGCTGATACAATATTGGTATAAACAAGGTCACTAGTGTTCCAGTATGAACATTCAAGAGCCCTTAGGGAAAACAAAGAAGTCACTTTCACAAAGAACTTTCAATTGCCTGCTCTCTGATACTAAAACAGAATTTAAAAATGAACCTAGTTCATTTTTTTTCTTGTCTCTTGGCGAAAAGACCACAGAAAACTGATCCTTCACTTAATTTCAAGCAAAAATTGTATTGTTTTTGGTGAAATCCATTTTTTACCTCAAGGATTCAGCCTAAGGTTATCACATCAAAATATATTTTCTTTAAAAATCTGAAGTTTGGCCTTGAATTTTAAAGGAAATTCTGCTTGAATTATTATATAGGATGAAATATTTAAGTATTAATCTTTTTTTCTCTCTTTCAATGAATTAAGACAAATACAAGCACCTTTTAAAAATCAGGCAGGGAAATAAATGCTAATTAAATTCTCTTACCAGTAGTTTTTCATTTTGTGAAACAAACTTTTCTAGATCGGATAGACTTTACTGACGAGTGTTTTTGATAATGCTGAATGGAATTGAGTATGACCTCCCAGATACAGATGCATTTGGACTTCTCATCCACTTAGTCTTTTTCATTCAAACTGGAAAATCATGTGGTTTCATTTTTATTATTTTTTTAATTGAGAGGATTGTCAGGAGAAAATATGTATGTGGCTTTATTTTTATTTTAACCAATAAGATTGTCAGTAGGAAATGCATTCTGAATATAGCACACATGGGGCAAATGTTCCTTTTTGGTCATGACATTTTTTCATTATAATGGAGGTTTGCCAGGGCATATACCATGTTTTAATGCCTTTTACATATAAAATCACAACAAGATAAGACTTTAGACCTCTCTGTAAAAGCTGCGGTATAATGGGAACTAGCATGCTCTGACTGGTTGCCTCAATTAATAAAACAGTCAGGAAATCTCGAGGGTTTCCTTCCACAGATTTGAGTATCCCTTGATGACCTGCATAAACCCTAGTTCTTATAAATCTGTTCACTCTCCTGCACCGGAGGAAGGGGAGATGGAAAGCTGGCCTGTTGGTGACATACACAGCATTATGCTTAGAAAAGTATGGGTTTCTTCCATGCTACCATCCTACTCTTGGCATGAAATTATACTTTGTGATCCTACAGTCATACATATGAAGGAACTACACACATAGGAGACAGCGTGACCCTAGGCTCTGACTGGGTATCTTTGTTTATATTTTGATAAAGAAGTTTATGGAAAAAGTTATTTTTAATTGAACAATAATTTGAGGCATGGTAAAAAAAATATGTATTGTCTAGGAATTATTATTTAATATTTAGAAAAAAACATGAGGCTTTAACTTGAAGAAATAAATATATTTTCAGGGAAAATCTATGTTGTTTCTTATTTATTTGCACTTTGGTACTCTAGAACACCATTAGGATGTCTTGTTTCAGATTTTAAAGGTAGGTATTATCCCTGTGATCCTTCGTGTGCAAACTAGCTTAGCAACCTGCGCCCAGGAGAGTAACCACAGAGGCAGTGGATCTATCCCATGCTCCCTTGCATGAACCAGCCTGGCACTTTGCCCACAGGGAAGCAGCGCCAGAACCAGCAAACTAGCCACACAAACTCTAGCAGCCTAGGTCACAGAGGCACTTACAGGCATCACTGACATTGACTATAGAAACTTCAGAGAGGCTACACTACTGTCCTCACCCAGAACCAAAGCCAATGCACTCTACCCAACTGACTCCCTAGGACACACCTTCAGGTGAAAGTCTTCCCCTCTGGAAGCTACTGTATAAAACTGGAAGAGGCAATTCTTCCACCAGATGCATAGGTATCAACAGAGGGACACAAGAAACACGACACTGCCAAATAAGCACAGTGATTCCCCAGTTACTTAACACAAAGAAATAGAAATTTATGAATCTTAAGGAAACTCAGATACAAGAGAACATAGATAGACATTTCAAATACATTGGGAAGATAATTTATGATCTGTATGAGAAATTGAACAAAGAGATAGATATCATTAAAAAGAACCAAACAAACTTCCACTTGAGCAGCCTGAGACATCCATGGGTGGGGGTATTTTCTCCCTCAACTGTTCCTACCACAGGCTTCCTGAGGTTTTTCCTAGTGAGGCCAAGAGGGTCTTTGAGGAAAACTGCATCCAGACATGCCTTGAGGGAAGGTGTCAAATGCAGGAGCATGGAAAAGAGTTACAATTTGGATATGAAACCATTTTTCTAGCCCACCTTAGAGAAGACTGTTGACACACTGGTCAAAATGGTTCCAATCGCCTACCTTGCAAGACACTTCAGGTTCAAAGAATTTCCCTTGTAAAAGCAACAAGGGAGTTGTCAGAGTTTTCCATTTAGATCAACAAATTCAAGTTCTTACCATGGAAAATTCAGAGAAGACTGTAGTGGTTCTCCTTGCTTGTGGCTCCTTCAATCCTGTCACCAACATGCACCTCAGGTTGTTTGAACTAGCCAAGGACTGCATGAATTGAACAGGAAGATAGAGAGTTGTCGAAGGCATAATCTCTCCTGTTGGTGATGCATACAAGAAGAAGGGACTCATGCCTGCCCATCACCAGGTCATCATGGCAGAACTTGCCACCAAGAATTCCAAATTGGTGGAAGTTGATACATGGAAAAATTTTCAGAAGGAGTGGATAGAGGCTGTTAAGATGCTAAGATACTATCAAGATAAACTGGAGGCTAGTGACTGTGATCAACAGCAGAACTCACCTACACTAGAAAGGCCTGGACGAAAGAGGAATTCCATGAGCTGAACAAAGACAAGCTTCTAGTCAAAAGAGATCCCTAGAGCCAAAAACAAAAGGTGCACCAAAAGTCAAGCTGCTGTGTGGGGCAGATTTACTGGAGTCCTTTGGTGTTCCCAATTTCTGGAAGAGTGAAGACATCACCCAAATCATGGCAGACTATGGGCTCATATGCATTACTCAAGCTGGAAATGCTGCTCAGAAATTCATCTATGAATCTGATGTGCTATGGAAACACTGGAGCAACATTCATGTGGTGAATGAATGGATCACTAATGATATCTCATCCACAAAAATCTGAAGAGCCCTCAGAAGGGGCCAGAGCATCCACTACTTGGTACTAGATCTTGTCCAAGAATACATCGAAAAGCATAATTTGTACAGCTCCAAGAGTGAAGACACTCCGAGAGTGAAGACAGTGAAGACAGCTCCGAAAGTGAATGACAGGGGCCATCCTGGCCACTTTACAGAGAAACACTGCAGAAGCTAAGGCATAGAAATTCTGCAGCATGATGTTTTGCACTTTCCTTTCAGGGTTTGAAACAATCTGGGTGTTAATAACTGGGAAAAGAAATTGTGGTCCTGTTGCATAAACTAAAGATTAAAAGTTTAGTAAAAATCAGTGGTAAGTTAAAATCAGGGTTTTTTTTTTTTTCTTTTTATCAGAAGTTGCTAAGATGAATGTTTTCCATATGGTCTTTTTCTAAAAAAAAAAAAAAAATGTACAATTCTCTTTATCTTTAAACCAAGAGCTTAGCAGCACACAAAAACCAGAAGAATTTTCAGTGAAACTAGCTACAAATAAGAAATCAAAAAGTACAGCCTAGCTCTACCACATAAAAGAAGCAAAGTGTGAAAAGCAAAAGTTCACTTAAAATTCTAATTTAGGTTATGAAGAGAATTGACATTTTATGCATGCCTGCTGTGGGTAATCTGCAGCTAGGGTAGACAAAGGAAGGAATTCTTATAGTGGTGATCTTGTAAAATGCACCATTGATAAATCATCTCCAGTTATGCAAAATAAAGGTTGTGCATATGCCTGGCAGAAACATTGTACCAATAGTTAGTTCTCTGTGGCACACATCACAATTGCTGACTAAAGTTTGGCAAGACCTATCGGCCTGGAGCTTCCTCTTTAGAAGTAGGAAGTGAAGTCCAAGCCCTCATATGTTTAGAAAAGTATGCAAGTTTTCTGATGCCTACCAGAGGTAGAGACCTGCTGCCTTATACTTTATACACAGTTACTTTTCCTTGTTATGGGTCATGCTCTAGCCTTGGTCATCCACCCTCTCTTTATCTTCAGAAACAATTTCAGAGTTGACATCATGTTACCTTGAAGTGAGAGAACCACAGAGAATGAGAAGTCTATTCAAGGATTTTATGTCTGAATGCTCTTAGCCTTTATTGATAGCTTAATCAGAAGATCTAAGTGGGGTGCAGTGGCACATGCTCTGTAGTCCCATCTACCTGAGAGGCTGGAGCAGAAGGATCGCTTGAGCCCAGGAGTTTGACACCAGCCTGGGCAAAATAGTGAGAACTCATTTTTTAAAACTGTGAAGTTTCTGAAGGGCCCTGCTGTTTCTGTTCCAGCCAACTGTGAATCTGCCATTTGTGAATTTAAGCAGAAAAAGGGTCTGTTTTCTCATATTTTTTTCTTCTTGCCCTTTTGTATGAAGTTTAACCTAAAGTAGTATTCTCAAATAATTAGTCATAGCTTCATGTTAAAAACACATGCTTGTTACATGGTTTTCCACTGATTAAAATTTTGTGGAAATTTCACCAATTGCTAAAGCAGAAAGACCAGAAATAGCTTTTTATAGAATCGTTTTGGGGTTTGCGAAAATTGTCCTATGACAGAAACAGGACTAAAGTTAAATTTCTAATGAAAACATAATAATTTGCCTTTTTGCAATTTCTATTTCATTCCTACACAAACCCAGATGAAGGGTTTGTAACTCCAGAAGAAAAAAAATACTTAGATATGTGCAATTGTATAGTCAGATCTGAATCTACAGTTTAAAAAATAAAAATGTTAAATAAAGTTAAGCAAACATATGTGCTTCAGCTCCCAACTTACTCTTACTAAAGCCTTCGGGCCAATTCCCAAAAAACAGGGAGGGTGCAAAGCCTGACACCTAGCAGCTTTCAGGATCCATCTGCCAAGTGAATGAAAGGTTGGAATCTCAAATCCTACAGATAAGAGTCATTTTTCTCCTCCTCAGCTTCTTGGAGTTTAAGAGTTGAAGCGGCCCTGAAAAGTAATGATTGAGCATGAAGAAGCTATAAGAATTGAACTTTGATACCTTCTGGGAAATAATACACAGTTTATCTGAAGTGTTGTGTAAACTGCAGAAAGGTTCCAATGCTAGAAAATTCTCTCATACTGTCATGCCTTCCCACTTAGAAGTGCCCATGCCCTGCTCAGCTGTGACTCTACTGACCTCAGGACCTCACTGGACAAGTCATGTGGTAACCCTTGCAGGAGACCTGATAATGGTGAAATGATTCTATTGTTATATTATTTATGGAGCAACAACTTTGTACAGAGAACGAGCTGCTTGGCTTTTTCTTCCAATGCCGAGGATGCTGCTGATGCTGCCATGTAACAGCATACTTTTGGGTGTCCTCAAGGATAGAACTTCCCCTCTGAATAATGGAAATTAGAACAATGAACTTCACAGGGGAATAAATATTAATTACTGATGTGAAGAAAATATTCCATTGTTTATTCCCTACCACATCATTTCCATAATTGGCTGTTGTACTGTGAATTTAGAGGAAATGGGTAATGCTTGTGTTTTGTTTTGCTTCTTTGTTTGATGCTGGGGGTTTTATGTGTTGTACACTTTACCCCTTACATTGCATAATTTGAATGCAGCAAACAAACCCGCAATAAAAGTCATTTATTGGCATCTTCATTCAGATGAATGGAGAGCCTTTGTGGTAGTGTCAAAAAAAATAAAAATAAATAAAAATAAAAAGAACCAAACAGAAATTTTGGAGCTGAAAAATTTAACCAATAAAATGAAGAAATACAATTCAGAGCTTCAATAGCAGACTAAATTAAGCAGAAGACAAAAATTTGTGAACTTAAAGACAGGTCTTTTCAAATAACCTAGTCAGAGATCCAAAAGAAAAAAGAATAAAAAGAACAACCAAGGCCAGCTGGACTTCTGGGACACCAACTAAGCAAACAAATATTTGCATTATGGGATTTCCATAGGACAAAGATGAAGAGAGACACAGAAAGGTTACTTAAAAAAACAACAGTTAAAAACTTCCCACGTCTTTGGAGAGATATGTACATCCAGCTCCATGAAGCACAAAGGATCCCAAACAGATTCAACCCAAAGAGGTTCTCTCCAAAGCACATTTTAATCAAATCATCAAAAGTTAAAGACAGAATTCCAAAAGCAGTGAGAGAAGAGAATCAAGTTACATATAAGGGAATCCCCACTAGACTATCAGCAGATTTCTCAACAAAAACTGCAGGCCAAGAAAGAACCAGATAATAAATTTGAAGTGCTTAAAGAGGTGAGGTGGGGGTGCGGGGGAACTGTCTACCTAGAATACTACACCCAGAAAATTTATACTTCAGAAATGAAGGAGAAATAGTGTTTCTAGGCAAGAGAAAGCTGAGGTAATCCATCACTGCTAGACCAGCCATATAAGAAATGCTAGAGAGAATGCTTCAACTGGATGTATTAGGAAAATAATTACTAGTATGAAAAAAAGAAAGTATAATCTCATTGGTAGGAGTAAATTTATTATCAAATTTAGAATACTCCATTACTGTAGTGGTGGTATATAAACTTTCAGTTGTCTAGTTTGAAGATTAAAAGTCAAAATGGTCAATGATTACTATAGCTACAACAAGTTGTTAAAATACGTACAGGATATGAAAGGATACAAAGTAAGCAACAAAGTTATAAATTTGGTGGGGGAGGCCAGGTGCAGTAGCTCATGCCTGTAATCCCAACACTTTGGGAGGCCGAGGTGGGTGGATCACCTGAGGTCAGAAGTTTGAGACCAGCCTGGCCAAAATGGTGAAACCCCATCTCTACTAAAAATACAAAAATTAGCTGGGTGTGGTGGTGTGTGCCTGCAGTCCCAGGTACTCAGGAGGCTGAGGCAGGAGAATTGCTTGAACCCGGGAGACGAGGTTGCAGTGAGCCAAGATTGCACCATTGTACTCTAGCCCAGGCAACAAAGCAAGACTCAGTCTCAAAAAAAAAATGTTTTTAATAAAAAATAAACAAATTTGGGAGGTAGAAGGTAAGTCTAGAATACTTGCATGTAGCCAAAGTTAAGTTATTATCAACTTAAATTGCCTATTATAACTACACAGTTTTTAAAATGTAAGCCCCATGGTAACCACAAAGAAAAAAATTACGGCAGATACACAATGAAAAAGAAAAAAAAAATCAAAGTTTATCACTACAAAAAAAATCACCAAACCACACAGGTAAACTATAAGAGAGGGAAAAAGGAACAAAGGAAATACAAAACAAACAAACAAACAAACAAACAAAAAACAGAAAATGATCTAACAAAATGTCAAGAGTAAGTTCTTACCTATCAATAATAACCTTGAATGTAAATGAATTAAATTTTCCAATTAAAAGATATAGAGTGGCTGAATGGGTAGAAGACAAAACCCAACTATATGCTACCTACAAGAGATTTGCTTTACCCATAAGGACACACGTAGACTGAAAGCGAAGGGATGAAAAATGATATTCAATGCAAATGGAAGCCAAAAGACTACAAGAGTAGCTATACTTAGATAACAGATAATTCAAAAATTGAAAGGGGAGACAAAGAAGGTAAATCTATACTAAAGGGGTCAATTAGCAACCAATTAAAACAATTCTAAATAGATATGCACCCAACACTAGAGCATATATAAAGCAAATATTATAACATCTAAAGAGTGATACAGACTGCAATACAATAATAGTAGGAGATTTCAACACCCTACTTTCAGCAATAGATAGATCATCCAAACTGAAAATCAGCAAAAAAAAAAACACTGGATTTATACTGCACTCTAGACCAAATGGACCTAACAGATATTTGCAGAACATTTCACCCACCAGCAACCTACAGAATACACATTTTTCTCAAAAGTACATTGAATTTTCTCCAGAATAGATTATATGTTAGGCCACAAAACAAGTCTCAACAAATTTTTAAAAATCAAAAGCATATTAAGTATTTTTCTGATCACAATGGAATAAAATTAGAAACTGATAAGAGGAAGAATTTTGGAAATCGTGCAAATACATGGAAATTAAACAACATGCTCCTGGAACAACCAATGGGCCAATCAAAATATTTAAAATGAAAATTTAAAATTTCTTGAAACAAATGAAAATGGAAACACAACACACCTCAATCTATGGGATATAGCAACAGCAGTTCTAAGAGGGAAGTTTATAGCAATAAACACCTACATCAAAAAAATAGAAAGATATCAAATAAACAACCTAACATTGTACCTCAAGGAAGTAAAAAAAGAAAAAAAAAAGAACAAGCTAAATTTAAAATTAAGAATGAAGGGAATAATAAAGATCAGAGCAGAAATAAGTGAAATAGAGGCTAAAAAATAGAAAACATCAATGAAACAAAGAATTATTTTTTAAAAAGATAAACTAAATTGACAAACCTTTCGCTAGACAAAGAAAAAAGAGATAATACACAGATAAATAAAATCAGAGATTAAAAAGAAGCCATTATACCTGATACCACAGAAATACAGAGAATCATAAGAGACAATTATGTTGTGCACATGTACCCTAGAACTTAAAGTATAATAAAAAATAAATATATATATATTAAAAATAAATAAAAAGAAATAGAAAAAATAAAAAAAAGAAAATCTAGAAGACATGGATATTTTCCTGGACACATATAACCTACCAAAATTGATAATAGAAAATATGAACAGATCAATAATGAGTAACAAGATTCAATCAGTAATAAAAATTTCCGATCACAGAAAACCATGGGACCTGATGGCTTCATTGCTGAATTCTACTGAATATTTAAAGAATAATTAATACCAATTCTTTTGAAACTATTCCAAAAAACTGAAGAGGAGATAAGTTCATCTAAATTCATTCTATGAGGCCAGCATTACCCTGATACAAAAACAAGACAAGGACACAACAAAGAAAGAAAACTACAGGCAAAAATCCTCAACAAAATACAAGCAAACAAAATTCAACAGCAAATTAAAAAGAGAGTTCACCATGACCAACTGGGAGATGGAAGGATGATTCATCATATACAAATCAATAAGCATCATACATCACATTAATAAAATCAATGACAAAACTGATGCAAAAAAAGCATTTGATAAAATTTAAAATTCCTTCAGGATAAAATCTCTCAACAAATTAGGTATAGAAGGAACATACCTTAACATGATAAAGGCCAAATATGATAATTCCACAGCTAACATCATACTGAACACGGAAAAGTTCAAATCTTCTCCTCTAAGATCTGGAACAAGACAAGCATGCCCACTTTCAACACTTTCATCTACCCAGAGCAATTAGGAAAGAGAAAGAAATAAAGGGTATCCAAATGGAAAAGGAGGAACTCAAACTGTCCCTGTTTTCATATAACATAATTTTATATATTAAAAAAACCCTAAAGACTCCACCATAAAACTATTAGAACTAATAAACAAATTTAGTAAAGTTGCAGGATACAAAATCAACATACAAAAATCAGTAGCACTTCTATGTGCCAATAAAAAACTATCTGAAAAATAAACCAAAAAAGCAATCCCACTTACAACAGTTACAAAAAAAAGATACTTAGCAATAAATTTAACCAAGAAGGTGAAAAATTTCTACAATGGGAATTATAAAATGTTGATGATGAAATTGAAGAGGACACAAGTAAATGGATAAAGATATCTTGAGTTCATTGATTAGAAAAATTAATATTAAAATGTCCATACTACTCCCAAAAGATCTACAGATTCAATGAAATCCTTATCAAAATTCCAATGACAGTTTTTCAAAGAAATAGAAAAAACCCTAAATTCGTATGAAGCCACAAAACATCTTGAATATCCAAAGCAATTTTGAGTAAAAAGAACAAAGCTGACGGCATTGTACTAGCTGACTTCAAGATAAACTACAAAGCTATAGTAACCAAAACAGCATGGTACTGGCATTAAAATAGACACATAGACCAATGGAACAGAAGAGAGATCACAGAAATAAATCCACGCACTTAAAGCCAATTGATTTTCAACAAACATGCCATGAATACACATTGGGGAAAGAAGAGTCTCTTCAAAAAATGGTTCTGGGAAAACTGGATATCCACAAGCAGAAGAATGAAAGTAGACCCCGTCTTTCATCATATACAAAAAATCAAATCAATATTGACTAGAAGCTTAAATCAACACTAATGATAAAATTACTAGAATAAAACATAGGGAAATCCCTTTATGACACTGGCCTAGGCAAAGATTTTTTTGATAACATCTGAAAAGCATAGGCAACAAAAGCAAAAATTGATAAATGGGATTACATCAAACTAAAAACTTCTGCACAGCAAAGTCAACAATTAACAAAGTGGAGAGACGACATACAGAATGGGAGAAAATATTTGCAAAGCATACATCTGATAAAGGGTTAATATACAGAATACAAAAGAAACCCAAACAACTCAGCAAAAAAACAAATACAGTCATGTTCCACATAACATTTTGGTCAATGATAAATGGGATCTAAGTAAACTAAAGAGCTTTGGCACAGCAAAAGTAACTATCAACAGAGTAAACAGACAACCTACAGAATGGGAGAAAATTTTTGCAAATTATGTATCTGACAAAGGTCTAATATCCAGCATCTATAAGGAACTTAAACAAATTTACAGGAAAACAACAAACAACCTCATTAAAAAGTGGGCAAAGGACATGGACAAACACTTCTCAAAATAAGATACATCCAGCCAATGATCATATGAAAAAAGGCTCAACATCACTGATCATTAAAGAAATGGAAATTAAAACCACAATGAGATACCATCTCAGACCAGTCAGAATAGCTATTATTAAAAAGTAAAAAAATAACAGATGCTGGTGAGGTTGTAGAGAAAAAGGAATGCTTTTACACTGTTGGTGGGGGTGTAAATTAGTTCAGCCATTGTGGAAGAAGGCGTGGCGATTTCTCAAAAACCTAAAGACAGAAATACCATTCAACCCAGCAATCCCATTACTCATTACTAGGTATATACCCAAAGTAATATAAATTATTCTCTTATAAAGACATGGCACACATATGTTCATTGCAGCACTATTCACAATACCAAAGACATGGAATCAACCTAAATGTTCATCAATGATAGAATGGATAAAAAAATGTGTTACATATACACCATGGAATACTATGCAGCCATAAAAAAGAACGAGATCATGTCCTTTGCAGGGACATGGATGAAGCTAGGGGCAATTATCCTTAGCAAACAAATGCAGGTACAGAAAACCAAATACAGCATGTCCTCAGTTATAAGTGGGAACTAAATAATGAGAACACATGGACACACAGAGGGGAACAAAACACACTGGGGCCTATTGAAGGGTGGAAGGTGGGAGGAGGGAGAGGATCAGGAAAAACAACTAATGGATATTAGGCCTAATAACTGGGTGATGAAATAATCTGTACAACAAACCCCCAGGACACAAGTTTACCTATGGAACAAACCTGCACTTGTACCCCTGAACTTAAAAGTTAAAGAAAAATTTTGGTCAATGATAGCATATATAAAAGTGATTCAATAAGATCATAATATTGTATTTTTTGTGCCTTTTCTATGGTTAGATATGCTTAGGTACACAGATATTTACCATCATGTTACAACTGTCTACAGTTTTCAGTACAGTAATATACTATACAGGTTTCTAGCCTAGGAGCAATAAGCTATACAATCTAGGTCTATGTAAGTACATTCTGTGATGTTCACACAATAACAACATTGCGTTGTAATGCATTTTTCAGAATATATTCCAACCCTTAAATGATGCATGACTGTAATCTGATTTTAAAATGGGCAAAAGACCTAAATAGACATTTCTGAAATGGCCAACAGGTATATGAAAATATGCTTAACATTACCAATCATCAGAGGAATATAAATAAAAGTCACAATGAGATATCACCTTGCCCCAATTAGAATGGGTATTCTCAAAATACCAAAAAATGACAAATGCTAGTATAGATGTGGAGAAAAGAGAACTCTCATACACTTTTGGTGGTAAATTAGGACAGCCATTATGGAAAACAGTATGAAGTTTCCTCAAAAAATTAAAACTAGAACTATTATGTGATCCAGCAAGCTCACTATTGTGTATATGTTCAAAGGAAATGAAATCAGTATGTCAAAGAGATATCTGCACTCTCATGTTTATTGCAGCACTATTCACAAAAGCCAAGATATGGAATCAGCCTAAGTGTTCATCAAGAGATGAATAAAGAAAATGTCACAAATATACACAATGGAATTATATTTAGCCATAAAAAATGAAGGAAATCTTGTCATTTGGGGTAATATGGATTAATCTAGAGGATGTGATGTTAAGTGAAATAAGACAGAAAGAGAAAAACAAATACTGTATGATCTTACTCATATGTGAAATCTAAAAAAGTTGACATCATAGAAGTAGAGTGTAGGGAAGTGGTGACCACAGGCAGAAGAGTGTAGGGGTAAGAGGAGGATGGGGAGAGATTAGTCAATGGGTACAAAGTTACAGTTAGATAAGAGAAATAAGTTCTGTGTTCTGTTGTACAGTAGGGTGACTATAGTTAACGACATTGCATTGTATATTTCAAAATAGCTAGGATAGAGTGTTTTCAATGTTCTCACAACAAAGAAATGATAAATGTATAAGGTAATTGATATGCTAAATGCCCTGATTTGGTCATTACACAACTATACATGTACTGAAACTTCACCCTGTACCTGATAAATATGTACAATTATAATGTGTCAGTAAAAAACAAAACAAACATAAGAGCCGTATATAAAAAACCCACAGCCAATATCATACTGAATGGGCAAAAGCTGGAAATAATTCCCTTGAAAACTGGCACAAGACAAGGATGCCCTCTCTCACCACTCCTATTCAACATAGCATTGGAAGTTCTAGGGCACGCAGGCAAGAGAAAGAAATAAAGAGTATTCAGATTCAAAGAGAAGAAGTCAAATTATCTTTGTTTGTAGATAACATGATCCTATATCTAGAAAACCCCATAGTTTCAGCCCAAAAGCTTCTTAAGCTGATAAGCAACTTCAGCAAATTCTCAGGATATAAAATCAATATTCAAAAATCACTAGCATTCCTGTACACAAACAACAGGCAAGCAGAGAGCCAAATCACGAATGAACTCCCATTCACAACTGCTACAAAAAGAATAAAATACCTAAGAATACAGCTAACCAGGGAGGTGTAAAGTCTCTACAAGGAGAACTACAAACCACTGCTCAAAGAAATCAGAGGACATAAACAAATGGAAAAACATTCCATGCTCATGGATAGAAAGAATCAATATTGTGAAAATGGTCATACTGCCCAAAGTAATTTATAGATTCAATGCTATTCCCATTAAACTACCATTGACATGCTACACAGAATTAGAAAAAACTATTTTAAAATTAATATGAAACCAAACAGAGCCCAAATAGCCAAGACAATCCTAAGCAAAAAGAACAAAGCTGGAGGCATCATGCTACCTAACTTCAAACTACACAACAAGGCTACAGTAATGAAAACAGCATGGTACTGGGACAAGAACAGACACATAGACCAATGGAACAGAAAAAAAGAACTCGGAAACAAGTCCACACACTTACAAACATCTGATCTTCAACAAACTTGGCAAAAACAAGCAATGGGGAAATGATTCCCTATTTAATAAATGGTGCTGAGAGTCCTGGCTAGCCATATGCAGAAAACTGAAACTGGACCCCTTCCTTACACCATATACAAAAATTAACTCGAGATGGATTAAAGACTTAAATGTAAAATCCAAAACTATAAAAATCCTAGAAGAAAATCTAGGCAATACCATTCAGGACATATGCACAGGCAAAGATTTCATGATAAAAACACCGAAAGCAATTACAACAAAAGCAAAAATTGACAAATGGGATCTAATTAAAGTAAAGAGCTTCTGCACAGCAAAAGAAACTATCATCAGAGTGAACAGACAACCAACAGAATGGGAGAAAAGTTTTGGAATGTATTCATCTGACAAAGGTCTAATATCCAGAATCTACAAGGAACTTAAATTTACAAAAAACAAACAACCTCATTAAAAAATGGGCAAAGGACAGGAATGGACACTTCATAAAAGAAGACATACATGGGACCAACAATCATACGAAAAAAAGGTCAACATCACTGATCATTAGAAAAACCCAAATCAAAACCACTATGAGGCCGGGACAGTGGCTCATGCCTGTAATCCCAAAACTTTGGGAGGCCAAGGTGGGCGGATCACGAGGTCAGGAGATTGAGACTATCCTGGCTAACACGGTGAAACCCCTTCTCTACTAAAAACACAAAAAATTATCCAGGTGTGGTGGCATGTGCCTGCAGTCCCAGCTACTTGGGAGGCTGAGGCAGGAGACTTGCTTGAACCTGGGAGGCGGAGGTTGCAGTGAGCCGAGATTGCGCCACTGCACTCCAGCCTGGGCGACAGAGCAAGACTCTGTCTCAAAAAAAAAAAAAAAAACACACACACACATGCACAATGAGATACCATCTTACACCAGTTCAGAATGGCTATTACTAAAAAGTCAAAAAACAACAGATGCTGGCGAGATTGCAGAGAAAAAAAGAATGCTATACACTGTCGGTGAGAGTGTAAGTTAGTTCAACTATTGTGGAAGACTGTGTGGTGATTCCTCAACAATGTAGAGGCAGAAACACTATTTGACCCAGCAATCCCATTACTTAGCATATACCCAAAGTAGTATAAATCATTCTATTACAAAGATATGCACACATATATTCACTACAGCACTATTCACAATAGCAAAGACGTAGAATCAACCTAAATGCCCATCAATGACAGACTGAATAAAGAAAATGTGGTACATACACACCATGGAATACTATGCGGCCATAAAAAGGAATGAGATCATGTCCTTTGCAGGGACATGGATGGAGTTGGAAGATACTATCCTCATCAAACTGATGCAGGAAGAGAAAACCAAACACCACATGTTCTCACTTATAAGTAGGAGCTGAAAGATGAAAAAAGAGCTGGGCTTATGTCCATGTCTGGTTTTGGTAACAGAGTAATGTTGGCCTTGTACAATGCATTAGGGAGAATTGCCACCTCTTCAATTTTTAGAAACACTTTGGGAAGATTGGTATTAGTTCTTTATACATTTGGTAGAATTCCACAGTGAACCCATCTGATCCTGGGCTTTTCTTCAATGAAAGAATTATTATTTATTTTAAGTTCTGGGATACACGTGTAGAACGTGCAGGTTTGTTGCATAGGTAAATGGGTGCCATGGTGGTTTGCTGCACCTATCAACCCGTCAGCTAGGTATTAAGCCCAGCATCAATTAGCTATTCTTCCTCATGCTCTCCCTCCCATGGCCCCCAACAGGCTCCAGTGTACATCGTTCCCCCTCACGTGTCCATGTGTTCTCATCATTCAGCTCCCACTTGGTTTTTTTTCATCATCACTGCTGTTTCAATGAAAACATAAATTCAAACCAATTTCACATTTACTGAATAATTATGGAAGCTAGAAACCCACAGGGTAATTACACAAATACAAAATACCTACCTAAATAATATCGGACATATACTGGGTATTTTGGTTACCTACAGCTACATAAGTATTTACTGTAAAATATAAAAGTTTAAAACAACTACCAATTTAACATCTCTAATGATAGTGTATATCAGGAATTGGGGTAAGAGATAGCTGAATCATTCTCATGGCATCATCAGAGTTTACTCACTGGTATTCAGATGACAAATGGGCTTTTCTGGAGAGTCCAAGATGGCATTATTCACTTGTCTGCTGCCTTGATAAGGATGGCTGAATGCTAGTCTCAGGTGGAACTTTGCTGCAAGGCTTCCTCTAATGTAACCTCAAAATTTCAGAACACACTTCTGCCACATTCTATAATCAAGCAAATGATCAAAGCCAGCCCAGATTCCCAAAGAGGGAAATTGGTGGCCATGTTTTTACTTCCATAATCAGGGAGAAGGGCAGGAAATATGATCCAGAACAAACAGAAAAATGAGTTAGTAGCAGCAGACACAGAATGACAGAGATGATGGAATTAACAAGAAATGACATTAAAACATCTATTATAAGTCTTCTAAACAACCTCAAAAAAATAAAAGAATGCATAATCATAGTGAGAAAAATGGAAGACATAAAGAAGACCTGAAAGGAACTTCTAAAGTTAAAAATATATAAAATGAAAATAACTGGATGAGATTAACATCAGTGAATACTACAGAAGAGGAAAAAAATAGAACTTAAAGACTTAACAATAGAAACTAGCCAAAATTAAGCCCAGAGAGGGGAAAAAAATATAAAAAAAAAACAAAAAAATTGAGTGCATCAATTACCCATATGACAATATCAAGTGATCTATCTTGTGATCTATCTTATACGTAATTGGAGTTCCAGAAGGAAATGAGAGAGAAAAAAACATAAAGAAAAATTTTAATGCAACAATAATCATATATTTTCCAAATTTGATAAAAACTCTAACCCCATAAATTCAAGAACCTCTCAATGAATCTCAGGAAGAATAAATATAAAGAAAATGATACCAGGACATATCATAATCAAACTGCTGAAAACAAGTGATAAAGAGAGTATCTTAAAAGTAGCCAGATTTAAAAAATACAAATTACCTACAAAGGAATGAAGGTTAAAAGGGAAACAGGCTTATTGTCAGAAACTTCACAGGCTGGAATACAACAGAATAACATCATTAAAGTATTGGAAAAAACCTGTCTACATATAATGGTATATCCAGTAAAAGTGTCTTCCCATATTAAAAGTAAAAATACTTCCTCAGATAAGCAAAAGTTGAGCGAAGTCATTTCCACCAGACCTGTACTAAAAACAAAACACATTAAAGGAAGTTCTTCAAGACAGAAAGAAAATAGAAATTTGGATCTACATAAATGAAAGAAAGAAACAGGCATAGTGGGTAGAAAATATGTGGTTTTAAATCAATGTATAATAATTGAAACACACATACTGAAAGGAAAATTAATGCAGGAGTGTTGACACCTGAAATGCAAATCAAGAATGGGAAGAACTCGCTTTTTGGCCGTTTTTCAAATAAAATTATTTTTTTCCTCATAAACAACAGCACAAACAACGGACACCAATACACACACACACACCCCTCCCCCAAAATGTTTGACTATGGTATTCCATATGTCTGAGTAGAATATATAGGTGATAAACATATACATACTATTTTTGAATGCCTAGCCCATTGCTCTGACTGGATTGAAAATGCCTTAAGACAATTAGGTGTTTTCTCCTTGAATAAAATTCACTGACAACACTTTGAAATTGTAACGATAGATGGTGAATTTATGAACTGCCAAAAGGCATGTGAAAACCAAGAAAAACAGTTACCCTGTGCTAAAGCCCACATTGCCATTTGTTAAGGACAGCTCCTTTCCAGAACACTGGACAGATGACACATGTTTGTTCATTGGCTCTTTTTTTTTTTTTTTTTGAGACAGTCTTGCTCTGTCGCCCAGGCTGGAGTGCAGTGGCACGATCTCAGCTCATTGCAAGCTCTGCCATTCTCCTGCCTCAGCCTCCCGAGTAGCTGGGACTACAGGTGCCCACCACCATGCCCTGCTAATTTTTCGTATTTTTAGTTGAGACCGGGTTTCACCGTGTTAGCCAGGATGGTCTCGATCTCCTGACCTCATGATCCACCCACCTCAGCCTCCCAAAGTGCTGGGATTACAGGTGTGAGCCACCGCGCCCGGCCTGTTCATTGGCTTTTATATAGAAGTATTAACTGAATGCCTGCTATGTTTATGGACAACATTGTAGCTAAGACCCCATATATTATAATTCCTGACATTCACTCAGGACTTTGCAATAGATAGCTCGCTTTTATATCTACCTTGCTTTCTCTTCATAACAATAAATGAGGAGGGTGGATATTATTATCCCTTTTTCAGTTGAGGTTAAGAAAGCCCTGACTCCCAACTCATCACCCTACTTCCTTCACTAAAGCTGTAATATCCTTTAGACTCTGTCATAAACAGAAGCCTTCAGGTCTCAGCTGAATTCAGTTTTTTCATGGGGACTTCTCATATACAGCAGATCTTCCAATAAGGTCGTTTTGTTATAATGTTGATGAAAAAAAACATTGATTCCTGGCCGGGATCACTGTCCATGGGAAGTTCACACATTCTTCCTATATCTACATGGGCTTTCTTCTGTTATTATTAATATGGTTTCCTTCCACATCCCAAAGATGGGCATACTAGGTTCGTTGGCCTGTCTAAATGGTCTCAATCTGATGAGTGCAGGGGTGTATGTGCGAGTGTGTCCTGTAATGGAATGATGTCAAAGGCTGGTTCCTACTTTGCTCCAAGCTGCCAGGATGGGCTCTGGCCACCAGTGACCCTGAGCTGGAATAAGCAGGTTGGAAAATGAATGAATGAATAAATACAAGTTATTATAAAATAAAAAATTTTTAAGTACATGATAATCATACAATAAACAATGCAGTATGAAAGCGCTTAGTGAGATTACTATATTTGTTGTTTGTTTCTGAACTGCGTGATGGTAGGAGGTGCTTCTGACAATGTTCATTTTGCAAACATTTATTCTTTGATTGAATCTACCACCATGATTGCCCTCACTCTCTGATTCACCGAAAATTGAGTAAATCATTATCTTG
This sequence comes from Homo sapiens, assembly GCF_000001405.40. Taxonomy (NCBI): domain Eukaryota; kingdom Metazoa; phylum Chordata; class Mammalia; order Primates; family Hominidae; genus Homo; species Homo sapiens. The sequence continues at coordinate 81,048,870 of NC_000014.9, forward strand.
TTTTTATTTTTCTTTCTTAAATGTATATATAGTTCACATTTATTTCAATGTTTAATAGTATAAGTGTTTTGGTCTTTATTTAGAAGTTTGGTGATGTTTTTGTGACCAGAAATATGCCACAGGAATTTAACTCTTGTTTATATCCATTATCCTATGATAAAATTGGTTTTGTTATACATCATTTTCTTAAAATTGTAGTTTCCAAGAACCTAACCAGGACATTAAGTGAGAATGTACTGTACTCACGTAGGTCTTGTATTATTTCTTCATAGCATATAGTTATTAAAGTGAGATTTTAAAAAAAATGTTTGGCTCCCACATTGGTCTCAGCTTCAGGCAGGCAGAAGCTTTGACTCTACCATAGCAACCCCAGCACTCTGAATAATGCCTGGAGCATGGTAGGCACTCAATATATGTGGTCTACTAAATGTGTGTTGGTTCCTGAAATGCTTCTAGATCAAAACTGCATAGCAAAGGAAGGAATCTGTCTATGGTTATGTAGTTTCAGAATACCATATCTATATGTACTTTATAATGAAAAGCTTGCAGGAAAATTGGCTATTATTACTTTATTAAATGAATTTGAGTCACTCATCCTTTCTTCAGATTATTCATCCATAAAATAACAATGTTTGAAAACCATATAGGTATTAAACAGTGCTCCTCAAAGCCCAGATGGTTCTGTGAGGGTTGAGGAAGAGCAAAGAGATACATTTAAGTTTTTTTCTTTTATTTACATACCAAGTAAAAGCACTACACATATTAAATGGCAGTCCAAGGCTAGGTTTGGTTCTGTGTCCCTACCCAAGTCTCATCTTGAATTGTAATCCCCACGTGTCAAGGGAGAGATCTGGTGTGAGGTGATTGGATCACAGGGACGGTTTCCCCCATGCTATTCTTGGTATAGTGAGTTCTCACAAGAGCTGTTGGTTTTTAAAGTATTCGGCAGTTCACCCTTTGCTCTCTCTCTCCTGCCGCCATGAAGAAGGTGCTTGTTTGCCCTTCACCTTCTGCTACCTTCTGCCATGATTGTGTTTCCTGAGGCCTCCCAAGCCATGCAGAACTGTGAGTCAATTACCCAGTCTCAGGTATTTATTTATAGCAGTACAAAAACAGACTAACACAGTTTATAATAAAATGTTCCCAGTAATATTGAAGGAGCACTATAATGCTCCCTAAGAACTTAGAAACAAATGAAATCAAGTAAATTTTTAAAGTAACATACAATGGATCATAATAAAGACATATAAAATCTCTTAAGGGAAACAGAATAACACCCTACAATACGAAGAAAACATCCATCAGGCAGGAGATTGATCAGCAATAAAGCCAAAGGAAAAGTGGAGTCAGAGATGAGAACTCTGGAAATTCCCAACCGGTCTATGTCCAGGAGAAAGGAAAGTTAAATCAGTGTTCAGACCTTCAGGCAAGGTCATTTTTTGTATGAAACAACAATACTATGCTCTCTTAGCCTGAGAACATTTTTTAAAATGGATTCATCTCCTGTTTTGATTGATTTCATGATTTCAGGCAAACTTCTGAATATTTCATGGTTCCCTAAAATAGTCTGCTGAGAAGAAAAATTGCTCATACCATCACGAATATTCAGACCCATGTGACAGTTGTATTTCTCATCATCAATAAATTGGCAAACTGATTTATGTTTTTGTTTAAAACACCTAGTTAGTGTTCACTATGTTCCTAACATTGTTATAAGTGCTTCAAATAATAATTTATTACATCTTCATAGCAACTCCATGTGGTAGGTACAATCCTATAAAGATAATAATAGTAAAGTAATGCACTTTTTCTGTTAAAAACTATTTTTAATTGACAAATAATTATATCTATTTATGGGGTACAGTAGGATATTTTGATATATGCATACATTGTGGGATGATCAAATCAGGCTAATTAACATGTACACCACCTTACGTATTTCTTTGTGATGAGAACACTTAAAATCCACCCTTTTTTCAATTTTGAAAGATTTGGGAGATTTTATGGGTCCTTTCCAAACCATCACAATAAAGTAAGTCGCACAATTTTATTTTGTTTTCTGGTGCATATAAAATTATGTTTACACTACATGGTGTAGTCTACCAGTGCTAAGATTTCTCTGTAGCATGCAATGCTGTTTGATAGCATTTTACATGCAGTGGAATTTCTTTCAAAATTGGAGTCAATCTTCTCATACCCTGCTTCTGCTTTATCAACTAAGTTTATGTAATATTCTAAATTTCTTTGTTGTCATTTAAACAATACGCACAGCATCTTCACCTGGACTAGATTCCATTTCAAGAAACCACTTTCTTTGCTCATTCATAAGAAGCAACTCCTTATCGAATAAAGTTTCATGATGAGATTGCAGCAATTCAGTCACATTTCAGGCTCTACTTCTAACTCTAGTTCTCTTGCTATTTTCACCACATCCGTAGTTACTTCCTCCACTGAAGTTTTTAACCCCTCAAAATTATCCATAGAAGTTGGAATTAACTTCCTCCAAACTCCTGTTAATGTTGAAATTTTGACCTTCTCCCATGGATTACAAATGTTCTTAATGGTATCTAGAATGATGACTCTTTTCCAGAAAGCTTTAAATTTACCTTGTCTTGGTAACTGTGAATACTGCTGCAGTGAATGTGGAGTGCAGACGTTTCTTCAGCTTACTGATTTTTATTCCTTTGGGTGGCATAGCTGGATCATATGGTATTTCTACTTTTAGTTTTTTAAATAACCTTCATACTTTTTCCAAAATAGTTGTACTAATTCACATTTCCACAACACAGTGTGTGATGGTTCCCTTTTCTCTACATCCTTGCCAACACTAGCTAGCATTCACCTTTTTGATGACAGCCATACTTACAGGTGCAGGGTGATGTCTCATTGTGGTTTAATTTGCATTTCCCTGTTGAGTAGTGATGTTGAGCATTTTTAACTATATCTGTTGGCCATTTATATGTCTTCTTCTGAGAAGTGTCTATCCATGTCATTTGCCCATTTTTAATACGAGTATATGTTTTATTGAGTCATTTGAGTTCCTTATATATTTTTGATATGAGTCCCTTATCAAAATGAGGCCCTTTGACAATATATTTGCAAATATTTTCTCCCAATCTGCAGGTTTTCTTTTCACTCTGTTGATGGCTTCCTTTGCCATGCAAAAGATTTTTTAGTTTGATGCAATCCCAATTGTCTAATTTTGCTTTTGTTGCCTCTGCTTTGGGGGACATACCCATGAAATAATTGCCCAGACCAATGTCAAGGAGCTTTTCTCCTAGTCTTCTCTTATGAGTTTTACAGTTTCAGATCTTACATTTAAGAGTCTCACCCATCTTGAGTTGATTCTACTATCAAGGGAGAGATAAAGTTCCAATTTTATTTTTCTGCATGTGGATAGCCACTTTTTCTAACACCATTTATTGAAGAGACTGTTCTTTCCTCATTGTGTGTTCTTGGCACCTTTGTTGAAAATCAATTGACCACAGATATGTGCGTTTATCTGGGGACTCTCTACCCTATTCGATTCATTGATGTGTCTGTTTTTATGGCAGTACCCTGCAGTTTTGGTTACTATAACTTTGTGATGTATTTTGCAATCAGGTAGTTTAACGCCTTAACCTTTGTTATTTTTGCTCGAGATTGCTTTGGTTATTCAGGGTCTATTGTGGCTCCATACAAATTTTAAGGTTGTTCTATTTCTGTGAAAAATGACATTGGAATTTTGATAGGATTGCACTGAATCTGGAGATCACTTTGGGTAGTATAGACATTTTAACAATATTAATTCTTCCAATTCATGAACACAGAATATCTTTCCATTTCTTTGTGTCTTCAATTTCTTTTATCAATGTTTTATAGTTTTCAGTGTATAGGTTCTTCTCCTCCTTGGTTAAATTTACTCCAGAGTATCTTATTTTTTATAGCTATTGCAAATGGAATTGTTTTCTTAATTTTTTTCAGATAGTTCATTGTTACCATATAGAAACACTATTAAATTTTGTATGTTGATTTTGTAACCTACTTTACTGAATTTTATTCATCAGTTCTAACAAATTTAGGGGGCTGAGGGAGGGGAGAGGGAGAGGGAGAGAGATTTGTACTGTACTGTAAAGAATTGGTTCACATGATTATGGAGGCTAAGAGGCTCAAGAGAAGCAGTTGGAAAACTGAAGACCCAGGAGAGCCAAAGGTATAGTATCAGTCAAAGTTGAAAGTCCTGAGAACCAAGAGAGCTGATGGTATAAATTCTGGTTTGAATCCAATGGCCTGAGAACCAGGAGAGCCTGTGGTGTAGAATTTAGTCCAAGTCTGAAAGCAAAGAAAATTGATATCCCAGCTTAAAGACAAGCAGAGATAAATAATTTTTCTTACTGAGCCTTCAATTGATTGGATGAGGCCCATTCACATTGGGAAGGGCAAGCTGCTTTATTGAGTTTACCAATTCAAATGTCAATCTCATCCAGAAACATCCTCACAGACACAACACGAAATAATGTTTAAGCAAATATCTTCATATCCCATGACCCAATCAAGCTAACACATAAAATTAAGCATTATACTTGTGTACACAAATAGACATTTTTAACTTAGCTGTGCATTTCTCCAAATCCTTTAGCAAATTACAAATACCAATCAAGAATGCTGACGGAAACATACCTACTTGTGTGACTACAAGTTAAAACACTGATAACACCAGGTGTTGGTGAGGATGTAGAGTTGACTGGAACTCCTATAGATCACTGGTATGAGTGAACATGTTACAATCACTTTGGAAACTGGAAGTTTTTGTGATAGTTAAGTATACACTTACCTATGATCCATAAATCATATTCCTAGATATTTACCCAAGAGCAATGAGTATGTGTGTCCATAAAATGATTTGTACATGGATGTTCTTCATAGCAGCTTTCTTCATAATAGCCCCAAACTAGAAACAACCATCAACTGGAGAATGAACAAAAAAATGCATATTCATAATTAGCAATAAAAATCACTACTGATACATGTAATAACATAGATTTGTCTCAGAAACATTATGTTGAATAAAAGAAGCAAGGCAGAAAAGTGGCTAATTTTTGATTATTTATGTGAAGTTAATAAACAAGAAATCTGTGATGATAGAAGTCAGAATAGTAGTTATCCTATAGAAGAGCAGGATTGCTGATATAGTTTGACTGTGTCCCCACTCAAATCTCATCTTGAATTCCCACATGTTGTGGGAGGGACCTGGTGGGAAATAATTGAGTCATGAGAGCAGGTCTTTCCTGTGCTGTCTTCATGATAGTGAATAAGTCTCACAAGATCTGATGGTTTTAAAAACAGGAGTTTCCCTTCACAAGTTGTCTTTCTTTGCCTGCTGCCATCCATGTAAGATGTGACTTGCTCCTCCTTGCCTTCCGCCATGATTGTGAGGCCTCTTCAGCCATGTGAACTGCAAGTCCATTAAACCTCTTTTTCTTCCCAGTCTTGGGTATGTCTTTATTAGCAGTGTGAAAATGGATTAATACAGTAAATTGGTACTGGGAATGGGTTGCTGCTGAAAAGATACCTGAAATGTGGAAGCGACTTTGGAACTGGGTAACAGGCAGAGGCTAGAGCAGTTTCGAGGGCTCAGAAGAAAACAGGAAAATGTGGGAAAGTTTGGAACTTCCTAGAGACTTGTTGAATGCTTTGACCAAAATGCTGACAATGACATGGACAATGAAATCTAGGCTGAGATGGTCTCAGATGGAGATGAGGAACTTGTTGGGAACTGGAGCAAAGGTGACTCTTGTTATGTTTTAGCAAAGAGACTGGCAGCATTTTGCCCTTGCCCTGGAGATTTGTGGAACTTTGAACTTGAGAGAGATGATTAGGGTATATATATCTCTATATATCTGGTGGAAGAAATTTCTAAGCATCAAAGCATTCAAGATGTGACTTGGGTGCTGTTAAAGGCATTCAGTTTTAAAAAGGAAACCAAGCATAAAAGTTCAAAAAATTCACAGCCTGACAATGCAACAGAAAAGAAAATCCCATTTTCTGAGGAGAAATTCAAGCCAGCTGCAGAAAATTGCATAAGTAATGAGGAGCTGAATGTTAATCCCCAAGACAATGGGAAAAATGTCTCCAGGGCATGTCAGACAACTTTGTGGCAGCCCCTTTCATCACAGACATAGAGGCCTAGGAGGAAAAAATGGCATGGTGGGCTGGGCCTAGGTTCCCTCTGCTGTGTGCACTCTAGGGACTTAGTAACCTGCATCCCAGCTGCTCCAGCTGTGACTAAAAGGGGCCAAGATACAGCTCAGACCATGGCTTCAGAGGATGCAAGCCCCAAGCCTTGGCAGCTTCCACATGGTATAGAGCCTGTGGGTACACAGAAGTCAAGAATTGAGGTTTGGGAACCTCCTCTTAGATTTCAAAGGATATATGGAAATGCCTGGATGTCCAGGCAGAAGTTTGCTGCAGGGGTGAGGCACTCATGAAGAATCTCTGCTAAGGCAGTGCAGAAGGGAAATTTGGGGTGGGCACCCCCACACAGAGTCCTCACTGAGGTACTGCCTAGTGGAACTGTGAGAAGAGGGCCACCATCCTCCAGACCCCGGAATGGTAGATCCACAGACCACTTGCACCATGCACCTGGAAAATCTACAGACACTCAACACTAGCCCATGAAAGCAGCTGAGAGGGAGGCTGTACCCTGTAAAGCCACAGGGGCAGAGCTGTCCAACACCATGGGAACTCAACCCTTGCATCAGTGTGACCTGGATGTGAGACATGGAGTCAAAGGAGATCGTTTTGGAGCTTTAACATTTGACTGTCCTGCTGTATTTCAGACTTGCTGACTTTTTGGACTTGTAGCCCCTTTGTTTTGGCCAATTTCTCCCATTTGGAATGGCTGTATTTACCCAATACTTGTATCTGCATTGTATCTAGGAAGTAACTAGCTTGCTTTTGATTTTACAGGCTCATAGGTTGAAGGGACTTGCCTTGTCTCAGATGAGACTTTGGACTGTGGACTTTTGAGTTAATGCTGAAATGAGTTAAGACTTTGGGAGACTGTTGGGGAGGCATGATTGGTTTTGAAACATAAGGACATGAGATTTGGGAGGAGCCAGGGTGGAATGATATGGTTTGGCTGTGTCCCCACCCAAATCTTGAGTTCCCACATGTTGTGGGAGGGACTCAGTGGGAGGAAATTGAATCATGGGAGCAGGTCTTTCCTGTGCTGTTCTCATGATAGTGAATAAGCCTCATGAAATCCGATGATTTTAAAGATGGGAGTTTCCCTGCACAAGCTCTCTCTCATTACCTGCTGCCATCCATGTAAGACATGACTTGCTCCTCCTTGACTTCTGCCATGATTATGAGGCTTCCTTAGCCACATGGTACTGTAAGTCCATTAAACCTCTTTTTCTTCGCAGTCTCGGGTATGTCTTTATCAGTAGCGTGAAAATGAACTAATACAATTCCTGATTGGAAAACTACACAGGAAACTTTCGGGATGATGGAAATATTTTATATTTTGATCCAGGCCCTGGTCTCATGGGTTTATGTGTACATATATGCATACATATATGTAAAGTATAAGTATACTTATATACACCGAAGTATATAAATATGCATTGTAGACTTGTGCATCTCACTGGGCGTAAAGTATGCCTTAATAAAGAACTGTGAAAAATAGCTTCAATACAAAAAATTATGCTAAATAATGAAATGAAACCAAATTTAATATTTTCAACAATTTGGAGACCTAAACCAATACTTGTGAATAGACAACTCTCTCCCAGATGGCCTAAGCTGAGCAATTTCCATAAGTCAAACTTATCAAGCTATTGCTTGAGTTTCTGGGGTTCAGATCACACACAAAAAAAGCCCAAATCAAAACTCTGTTTGACCCTACATAATAACTCACAAATCCACTTGGATTCTGGCCAGTATGCCATTCTATTTCAGCTGCAGTGTCACACCTTGCATTGTAGACATCATATCACCTGATATTTTTGTATCATTTGTAAATAATTTAGCAGCAACACTGACTAAAATTTACTATACCACCCAAAATACAAAACACAAGAGAATGACAAGTTAAAATTATTTTATTTTAAAAAATAGTCTATATGCAAATAGTCCCAAGTGTTTAACTGCATGATCCTTGTGGGTCTACACCCCTGATTTTAAATCCTATGCTTGCTGTATTCTTTCACAGTTTGCCACAGAGTATTTTCTTAATGCACAACAGTAAAACAAATTCACCAATGAAAATTTATTCTTGGCTGGGTGCAGTGGCTCACACCTGTAATCCCAGCACTTTGGGAGGCCAAGGCAGGTGGATTACTTGAGGTCAGGAGTTTGAGACCAGCCTGGTCAACATGGTGAAACCCCGTCTCTACTGAAAAAACAAAAATTAGCTGGGTGTGGTGGTGGGTGCCTGTAATACCAGCTACTCAGGAGGCTGAGGCAGGAGAATCGCTTGAACCCCAGAGGCAGAGGTTGCAGTGAGCCAAGATTGCACCACTGTGCTCCAGCCTGGGTGACAAGAGTGAAACTCCATCTCAAAAAGAAAAAAGAAAAGAAAAAAGGATTTATTCTCACCAAAATAAGAACACAAGGCAAGTGATAAATGTCACATTAAATTGTATTAATATTGCCTAATTTGTAATCCACAACTTCACAATATAAAAAATATGGATTATTTTTACCAATTCCCTCTTTTTCTACTATGAATACTTTCTATACTCACATAGAATAGTTCAGTGAAATATACTTGGTACACCTCAGTGAAATACTGGCTGATTGATTGACACAGGTGGTTAATACAAGAGGCCCTTAAGATGAAGATGACATTGATATTATACAAACACGCAGAATCACAAAATACTCTCAGCCTGTTTGCCAGGAGGCAAATAGGACACACAAGTGGGAAGTTTGGTGTTTCTGGACCACACAGTCTCTGCCACGGCAAAGAAGATCAGCCAGCCTCCTCAACTCAGTACAATTCAGACATGGTCATGAGGTAGGGGCTATAGTGAGAAATGTGTTAGAACCCACACCTATATATGCACATATGCAACACAAGCTATGTGTTTAAGATTCCAGAAACTGTGTAAGAAACAAGATGTTGGAATGTTGATTGGATTTACATGTTGATGAAATTTCAGTCAACTAAGCCTAGTATCATGCAAGATTACTGTGAAAAGTTTAATTGTACCAACTGCTCTTGTTTGGAACAAAGAACTGTCAGCTCTCTTTACATTAACCATATTTCTCTCCCCCATTGCTACTGCAAGAACCAAAAAGAGAGTACTTAAAACTGGGTTCTACCTGCAAAATCTGCAAGTCAGTCAGTCATGGTTTACATGCATGTCAATTTCTACATTATATTTTCCTAAGGCAGACATTTGACAGATATAAATCTTGCCTCAGCAAGGCCCAAAGGAAACATTTGTCATACCTCCAATGGTCATTCTTGATTAAAGAAATCACAGCAAAACAAATTGGAATTGCAAACTCAGCTTATATCTTTTCTCTCACATAATTTCTATATCTTGAAGCCAACTTCTTTAACCATAAAATGTGCATTCTCCACATAGGATACAAGACTATAGCTGTGAACTATTTTCCCAATGAGTTACATATGATGCCTTAATCGTTAATAGTAAATAGATGTACTATTTGTATGAGGTGAGGTTTTTTTCTCATATTTTAGAAAGAATCATCATTGTCTTCTTATTGTGAATTATCAAAGGCAAATAAAAAACAGCCTCTTCAGTACCTAGCATATTTTCATTAGAAACAAATTCTATTGCGATGCAAATTCTTTGGACAAAAGTGAAGCACTTTGAAGATTTTCTAATATTTTTGTCAAAAGAATACACATGTAGATGTGTACTTTGCCTTTTCCATAAATATTCAAAATGTATTCTGAAATTAAAATAAAATATTTCTATAAAATAAACACATTCACTTGGTGTTTTTTCTTTCATTTGCATTTAAAGCAGTAATCACAATATCACAAGATTCTTTGAGTAAAAGGCCTTCTCTTGAAAAGGTAGATAATAGAAAGAACATCCAGCCCCTTGCCCCTAGATGGAGGGATAAAAACAGATAGATGACAAACATTCTATAAATTAACTCTAGCCACAAAACTACTGCAAATCAAAACAACCACAAAACCTCCACAAAGGTTATGTGCATGCCGGAGCACATGTGTCTGGGGGTCATGAGGCATCCACATATTACAATAAATTTTCCCCACAACCCTTATTGTAAGGTTGAACTATTAGGGAAAAATGGAGCAGATGCTCTCTAAATAAATATGATGTCTTTATTTAATTTCCTAGATGCCATGCCCTCACTAATTATTTTTGTTCTTTATTTGAAGGGAAATAGATACCTTAGAAGAAAACTCCTTTTAAATGTTTTCATAAGCTCAATCAAACTAATCACATGTTAAAAGCCAGAAAAGAAATTAAAGGAGAGCTTAAGCTAATATGATGAATTTTAGAGAGGCAACCAAGGCAATTTATACCAAAAGTCAACAAAATTTACACAAACTCAATTGTGTATTTTTTTAGATTATGCGCACATTACTATGAAAATATCCAGGCAAAATGTATGAACTGTTAAATTGCAATTGAATTTGGCAATCTATACAACTAGTTGTCATTCTAATAATTCATTTAACATTATTGAAATCAGTATTTTGTCCCAGCGTGTTATCATGATATTAACTGAATTTATTCAAAAAGGAGACATTATTTTTATCTCAGGCTGATTGCTAGCACCCTCAACTTCAATTTTGTTTGATTTACTGTGCATATTGTATTATTACTAAGACAGATGCTCTGAGACACATAATCCTTATTGGTCTATATATATTGGTGAGCTTTCTTTGGTAAAAAAAATCTGGCTGGGAAAAATATCTTGTTTGTGGAATTAAGCAAAACATTAGCATTTCAAATATTTTTGTCTTTTAAAACACCTTGTGCCACAACTAACTCAATAGTGGGAAAAAGATCTTTGTTCAGAACTGTATGTGTGTAAAAGAGAGAGAGAATTCAAGAAACAGGTGTTATATATTTCAGAAACTCATACTTCGGGAAAGAATAGAAACATTATTTGAACCTTTAGCCCAAAGACTATCCAATTGCACTTAGATGCTATTTCTGTTCCAGGTTAATTTCTTAGAAACCATTGCAATCTTATTCTAGTTTCCTATTTAATTTTATATATGTTATTTACTTTTGAACATGGGCTAAACTCAAAAAATTTTAGTCAGTGAAGGTTACAGTTTAGTCCCATATTACCTACAATCTTACCGTAAGTATGCCCACAAAATGTTTGCCTTACGACAGCTCTATGAGTAAGACTATCTTTGAGCTTAAACTCAATCGCCTTGGGTGATACTCAACAGGTGTGTATCTTTTGTTTTCCTTTGGCATGGCCCAATTTTACACAGAGATTTTGGTAGAATGACTTGTTCTTCTCATATCTTTTTAGCTTCAGAATCCGGATAACTCAATTAAGGAAATAAAAGTGGGAGACCTTCAAAGGAGAACAAGTAATTTATGGGACCTGAATTTCTGAAATAATATTAAGGCAACATTGGGCTTCATGGCAAAACACCAGAGGTTGGGAAGAGTTGCAGATTTACTCTTTTGACATTCACATCACCTCCCTCCCTCCATTTTAATAGATGCTTTTACCAACTAATTTGGTCTTTCTGATGCTTTGATTAGGCAAGTTACAGATATATTTTAATAGTTGCAAAAATGAATACTTCAAAGAAAGCATAGACCAAGGAAATATATTGTTGAAAAGTAACCCCTCAGCTTAGAGAAGAAAAAATACACAATGTTATTCTACTATCTATAAATGAGGTACTAACTGGATGATGTGTGATTACCAGTGTGATTAAATGGCAAAAACAGACACATGGAGAAGCTAAGTAGTATGCTGAGGCATTGTCTTTTTGCCAAGTTAATACACTATGCACACTGTTTTCCATACAAGATTCTCAAGTAGTAACTATAGTAAAGAGCGTAACTCAAAAAATGGAGTGCCTAGGTGGAGAGGCATACTGGAATGCATGAAGGTGTTTCATTATGTATGATGAGAACAGTCTCCACCTTCTGAAGAGTCTTCAAAAAAGCAAACTGGAGGAAAAGTCACACCTTTAAGGTGCAAATCCAACAAAGATGTCTTAAGATTCTGAGGAAGAATTTGCTCCTTGCCAGTCAGTTATTTCCAGACTGCAGCATGTAGATGATAAGATCAAGATATGATCGAAGAGACTTTTACTTGTGCAAGAAGGTAGTAACCATGCTACTATTTTTAATCCTTAAGATTTAAAACATGCATTTAATTCTTTTAAAGATGTACTTAATGTATATTCTGATAGCATTCCAAGGCATTTCCATTGAAAAGTACATGCTATAAATTCAGTAGTCTTAACATACATAATACAATATATTATGTTGTTCGCACGAATGTTCATTGTAGCACTTTTCACAATAGCAAAAACATGGAATCAACCTAAATGTCCATCAGTGACAGATTGGATAAAGAAAATGTGGTACATATATACCATGGAATATTATGCAGTCGTAAAAAAGAACAAGATTATGTCCTTTTCAGGGACTTGGATGGAGCTGGAGGCCATTATCCTCCGCAAACTAACAGAGGAACAGAAAACAAAATACCACATGTTCTCACTTATAAGTGAGAGCTAAATGATGAGAACTCATGGACACAAAGAGAACAGACACTGGGGCCTGCTTGAAGGCAGAGGGTGGGAGGAGGGAAAGGAGCAGAAAAAAATAACTATTGGGTACTAGGCTTAGTACCTGAGTGATGAAATAATCAGTACAAAAAAAACCCTGACACCAGTTTACCTATATAACAAATCTGCACATGTACCCCCAAACCTAAATTAAAAGGTAAAATAATCATGTTTTTTCAATTTAATAAAAAGACCCCCCAAAAAATATTGCCCTTCAGTTAACAAATAAAGTGTGATGCGAGGCAAGACATATTAGTTTACTGCTAATTCATAGATGAAGTCTGATGATTTACTTTCTGCATCTGAATCTAACAATTCTTATTGGGAGAAAAAAATGTGTACATATGGTTCTTTGGTATGTTTGTTGAGTATTATTTTTGTTGATTATGTATCAGCCAACATATTGTGAAAACTGTCATGCTTTTTAATTATGTGTTTTTATAATTAAGGTGAATTATTAGAAAAGCCCAATGATTAAAACTCTAATTATGTAACTGTTATTTTCACAGGAAGCTTATTGAGACTCACCTGAGAACTATTCCAAGTCATGCATTTTCTAATCTGCCCAATATTTCCAGAATGTAAGTTTTTTTAATATAAAGAAAAGTTTGCATTTGTGATATGTTATTCTCTAAACGTGTTCTATCAAGAAAAATACTTGGTATTATACTTGCATAAATCAATGGCAGTTATATTGTCAATGTATATGACAATTTTATGTACATGATTTTTATTTCATTTTGCTATATCTCTACTCCCTAATTCCTACATGATTTTTTAAAACCTAAATCAAATTTAAATTCATTTGATTTTGAGCAGTTCATAATTCTCGATGTATTTTAATATATCTTGGGATATGGCAAAACCTTAGCTGTAAATCTCTCCTATAAACATCCCGTAGTTTATAAAGTAAACATATATACAGATAGACAAACATCCATCTGTCCTAGTCACCAAGTCTTGAATCACCTTTCACTACTAATACAAATATTTACATTTTGTTATAAACGTAGCCAGTGGTTTCAGATCTCTCACGTTAAAAGAGAATTAAAAATAATTCTAAACCTTAAAAATTGAATTGCTATCCACTTACAGTAAGGAGAAAAGGGATTTTCCATATTGGGTTGACAAAGAGTGAATGAAATGAAGCAGGTCTTTATTTCATTTAATTGATTTTGACAGGCAATCCAGATAGTTCAGGCATGCGAAATAATATAACCAGAAGCAACCTGTACAGTTTTTGGCCAAATGTACTCACTCCGTGGCCATTTTGTTAGTGTTTCTGTCATTTCAGTAGTTCTCAACCACAGACGACTCTACCCCTAGAAGCATTTAGCATTTTTGGTTGCTAAATGCCCACTAGAGAGGGGGCTGCTACTGGCACCTAGTGGGTAAAAGTGAAGGTTGCTGCCGAACATTCTACAGTTCATAGGACAGTCCCCACAACAGAATTATCTAGTCCAAAATGTCAGCAGTGCTGAGGCTGACAGACCATCCTACTGAACATCTCTGCAGTTTTTTATGTTGCTAACAAGTCCTTCCTCTTTCAAATTCTTGCCTCTTTGTTTTCCTTGATATTGCTCTCTCATTCCTCTTCTTGTCTCACCTGGCTACTCTTCCTTAGTCTCCTTTTCTGACTTCCTATTTTATTTTTGCCAGCTACTTAATTACCAGCTCTTTCTTTGTATATTTTGTTCTAATTCCTCTATACCCCACTCTCCTTGAGTAAACACTCCCATTCCTTGGGCTGCACTATTTCCTAATACAGCTAATTTCCAAATATTACCACTTGGATGTCCCACAGGCTCTTCAAAACCAGCATATCCAAAATAAACACATCATCTTCCTCCCAAGCTGTTCCTTCTCTTTTAACAGCACCACTGTAGCATCCTATAAGCTAAAAACCTTGAATTCTCCTTTAGCTCTTCCTTTTCCCTCATCTACCTTATACAACTGCCTATTTGGTGTCTCTGTTTGCATGTCCCAACAGCTTGGCCATTACTTCATTCATTCAACAGATATTTATTGAGCCCTACTTTGTGCCTGGCACTTTGCTAGGTGTTCCGTACACAGCAGTAGACAAAACTCACAGCAGTTCAGTTTTATTCCTAAGAGAGTGATGAGTATCATGATGGGGTCAGTTATTGGGTGATATGGAAACTCACATAAGAGGTCTATTACCTACACAGGAGCAGGGAGAGGAGTTGGGGAAGACTTCCTGAAAAAAAAAATAGCACCTGACCTGTGATCTGCATTATATAGCAAAGAGCAGAAGGGAAAAGCCTGGGCTTTCTGAAGAATTGAAATATAATAAGTTTCTTGGGGGTAGAGCTTAGGCAGGGAGGTGGGCAGTAGAAAAAAATAAAACTTAGGTCTAAGTTAGTACAGGGTCTTGTAAATCATGTGAAGGAGTTTAAAATCTTCCCTAAGGGCTGAGCCATTCAATGGTTTTAAGCAGGCAAGAGAAATGGTCAGATTTTCATTTGAGAAACATTCCCTTGGCTATGTAGTGGAGTGAGGGGTGGAAGTGGAGCAAGGCTGTAGGCAGGAAGCTAGTGAAGAGGCTGATGCAGTGCCCAAAGTACAGGGGATGGCAAATTGAAGGATGATCATTGAGTGGGAATAATGAAAAAGGATAGAGATTTGAGACATAAATAAGGGAGGGCTGATCAAGTTTCTGATTAGGACATCTGTGTGGTTGATCGGCACATTCATTTAGGCAGAGAAGTGTTTTGTATATTTGCTGTGGAGGGTCAGGGGGTATGTTAGGAATTCAATTTGGGGCATATGGCATTTGAGGTGCAGTTATATTGAGTACACATCAGGACACAGACAGAATTTTTTCATTCATTTGATAAATATTTGTTCAGCCCCTACTATGTGCCAATCACTGCTCTGAGAGCTGGGGATACATCAGGGAACAAACAGACAAAGATCCATGTCCCCATGGAGTTTCCATTTGAATGGGAGGAAATAGACAATGAACCAAAAACACAATAAATAAGTAAATTAGATACTAATTTAGAAGGAAATAAGTACATGGGAAAAAAAGTAAATTAGAGTAAAGAGGATTGGGAGTTCTGGGTATATGGGGGCACTCAGGGGAGAGATTCAGGTAGAGATTGAGAGTCACAAACAACTGGGTGTAACTGGGACCAGGAGGAGGCATCCGCAGAGAGGGAGAAGCTAAAGAGAGTGAAGAAAGAACAATTTTAAGAGCATGTGGTCCCTGAAGAGGCAGGAGGGGATGAGATCCAAATAGAGGGATTGGCCTTCTAGAGGAAGATGGTCACTTTTTACATCATAACGAGGAAGTCATGTTGTAGGACTTTCTCCTTAGTTCAGCTAAAAGCCAGGTTCTTGTCACATGGCCATAAAAGATTAGGCTCACAGACACTTTGAAGGGTGACAAAAATAGAATTTATTGGGTGAAAGAGGAAAAGAGGGAAACAGGGACTCTCAGCAAAGCGAGAGTCCTCCTAGTCCACTTCCCGCCTCACAGATTGAATCCCAGGTACCACCCCACAACAGGAGAGGCCAGGCTCCTCCCCACTATAAATGAACTTCCCGAAGCTCCACCCCAGTACACACTTCTCCCAGGGCACAGGCAGTTGAAGGTTCTGCTAGGGAGCCCTTTTTTACTTAGCTGTCTCAGTTGTAGGAAAAGATGGGACAGATGCAGGTAAACTAATAGGCTTATTGGTGGGGAATTCAAGGCATTCTCGTGTTAAAGTTTCAAACATTTCTATGACTTATCAAATTATTAAAGGATATCTAA
This sequence comes from Homo sapiens, assembly GCF_000001405.40. Taxonomy (NCBI): domain Eukaryota; kingdom Metazoa; phylum Chordata; class Mammalia; order Primates; family Hominidae; genus Homo; species Homo sapiens. The sequence continues at coordinate 81,065,417 of NC_000014.9, forward strand.
GAAGATGGAAGATGGAGGTGGCAGAGTTAGAAATTTGATGAGAAGATTTGAAATAAAAGTGGTGAGCAATAAGAAGAGGGTTGGTTGACTGAGATATAGGAGACACCCAGGCAGATCTGAAGGCTCCACTGAGGCTTCCCCCAGGGAGACTGCTGGATTCTCCAGTCTGGGTTAAGTGATAGGGGTCCCTGAACCCTATCAAGCATTTAACACCTTGTGTTAATCCCATTTACCTTGTACATTAATCTGTATCTGTGAGTACTGTGAGTTCCTTGAAGGTAGGGAACAGGCCTGTTTTGTCATTGTCCAGAAGGATGTCTGTCATACAATGAATGTTCAATACATATTTGTGGAATAAAAGCACATACACATACCTGAATAATGATTAAAGATTTGATATATCTTGGGGAGAAGAAAGAGATCAGTAGGATGATGCTAGGTTTGTCTGAGATGGTTCAAATTCCCACTTGGGATTCTGGCATAATTGTTAATGGCACCTTGCTTTAACTCACAAAACTATCCCAGTTTGAATGATAAGTCATATGGTGACTGTAATGATTATATGATGTTTAAATGCGAAGAAGAAGTAGGATCTGATTTTTCCTAGTTGTAAAAATGGGGTAAGTAAGCAGGGAATCACAATTTTTATCCCCCTGAATAAACGATTCCTGCCAGTTGTCTTCACAACCAAGCAATCACAGCCATACAAAAAGATGTCATTAGGTTGGAGAAACTGGAACTTCCATTTGATAATATGGGCCGAGTGACTATCCTTCTGGAACCTTGAGAAAGACTCATACTTCTTAACTGAGAAATTCAGTAGAAGATTTGGAGCAATGGAAAAGATGCTTAGGGAAACAAGTTGGCAGCCTTGAAAAATGAATCTTGCTCTGCTAGCTTGCTCAGCTTCATCCATGGTAAATCCCCACAGTCTCTACACGGTAAATTAATTCCTTTCAATCTGTTCCATTGTTTCCTTTATGTTAGAAATATATTTGTATCAAAACAATTTATATAACGTTATTATCTGCAAGAGGCAAAGGGTTAAGAGACTGGGTAAATCAAAGGATAATTATTTAGAGAACAGGTAATTCAAAATAGAAAGCACAGAGCCATTATAATACTCATAATAACCAAGATAAAAACTTAGAATGGAACAATCAGCACTCCTCTTGTAAACATTGCATCGATGAGGATACTTTACTGGCAGATTCAATTCAAACTATAGGTCAGTGGTTCTCAACATTGCCTACACATTAGAATTGGCTAAGAAGCTTTTGAAAAATAAAAGTACTTGACTCATCCCTCATAAACTCTGATTTAATTATCCTAGACCGGGTCTTGGACATCTGTGTACTTTAAAGCCCTTCAGGTAGTTTAATTGCATGTCCAGGGTTGAGAATCTCTGCTATGGCTATGGCTGGAAACCATCTGTCAATTGTTCATTTTCCCAAATGTCATAGAAATACCTCACAATAGAAAGTGGTCATTGAATTTGGCTGCATTAGTCATTCTCATTACAAGATGGAATTTGAGGAAACTATTTGAAATATTCCTTATATGTTCTTGACAAGTTGTATTTAGGAATTTCTCTGTTTTCCTTTTTCAGTACTTGAAGCTTTTATTTGAATTACTTTTTGCTTACAAAGTTTAAGACGGAGCTTGAATTTTCAGCTTCATTTAAAATCATGAAGAGAAGTCTTAAGGGAGTATGTCGTCAACCTGTGGAATGTTCCACTAGAGAATTGCGATTTTCTCTTCATCTTTGAAACTACATGTCTAATTCCATGTTATTAGACATTCCATTAAAAATGCTTCTTATTGACTCTAGTGTTCTTTTCTGATGCTCATGTTTTTTTGCTATTTTGAGGAACTCTTCTATTCATTCAGTTGTTTAATAAGAGTCGACAACATGCCAAGCACTCTGAAAGGCACTCAAGATTCAGTGGCCAAAAACAGGCACAGTTCTGCATTTCAGAGAACTTACAGTCTAGTGAGACAACAGAAATATCACCCAAAGAACTGGAAATTTGCACTCTGATAATTAGTGAAAGGAGTTTATAGTTTTATATATATATATATATATATAGTGATATATCACTATATATAATCCCTATATATACACCATATATACATATGTATGGCAGGTTCAATTCAAACTATAGGTCAGTGGTTCTCAACATTGCCTACACATTAGAATCAGCTAAGAAGCTTTTGAAAAATAAAAGTATTTGACTCATCCTTCATAAACTCTGATTTAATTATCCTAGACCAGGTCTTGGACATCTGTGTATTTTAAAGGAAATAGAAGAGTTCCTTTAAAATGGAAGAGTTCCTCAAAATAGCAAAAATAAAATAAAATAAAATAAAAGCAAGCATCAGAAAAGAACACTAGAGTGAATAAGAAGCATTTTTAATGGAATGTCTAGTAACACGGAATTAGACACGTAGTTTCAAAGAAGATGAAGAGAAAACCTCAATTCTGTAGTGGAACATTCCACAGGGTGACACTATATATATATATATATATATATATATCGCTAAATATGCATATGGGAAATTTTAATCAGGGAGTTTGGGGAAAGTTTCTGAAGGAAGTGACAGTTAAATGATAATTTCAGATAAATAGGAGTTAATATACAGGAGGAATTCAGGTATCACAAGATCTGAAAAAAAAAGTAGTAAGTAATTTTAACATAATTTGGCAGAATCCATGAGGGTTGTACATGTTGCATGATCTGGGAAGCGCATAACAAAAAGTTATGTCAAAAATAGTATGTTTGAAGTTTACAACCTTACTAACTTTCTACTTTGTCTTATATTTTTCTGACATTCAGCTACGTATCTATAGATGTGACTCTGCAGCAGCTGGAATCACACTCCTTCTACAATTTGAGTAAAGTGACTCACATGTAAGTACAAGGAAAAGTGCAGCATAGACCTAAGCCACAACCACTCTTGACTGATAATCTTGGGGCTCCAGATGGCAATGGGAGCTGGTTTCTTGATTGTGAGTCAAAACTTCTGTTTATGATTAAATTATTAACCTGTTCTCATTCTCAGTTCATGTTAATTCATCTTCATTACACCTCAATTCCATGGTTGGAAGTTAAAGACAACATTAAAAGTTCTGTTCTTGAACCACTATCTGTTCTATTACTACTGTGTCAGCATATTTTATTGATGTGAATGTCAGTGAGACAATAGGTATTTACTGAGTAACTACTTGATTCTATGGTCTGTGCAAGATTCTACAAAGCTGGCATATTTTCCTTAATTCGGAAAGAGAAGAGTTGCTTGGTGAGATTAGAATAGTAGGGAATTTAATAACCCTAGTTCTGGAGTTGGTCAGAGTTGGATTTGAACACCGGCATCTCTGCCTACTCATTATCTACCCTTGGACAAGTCACATAATCTTTCCTAGTCTCATTTGCAAAATAAGTGTAATAAGAGCTGCAACTTCATGTTTATCATAAATATGGAATTATATAATATCTAGCACCTGAAAACCAGTCAATATACCATTCAAAAATAGAATAATTTTTCTATTTCGCTAGTAGATTACAATCTATAAAAAGTGTTACATAAATAATCACATTGCATTATTTTAAGTAGCTATGTATTACTAATCATGAACTCTATTTTCTTGATGAAGAAACAAAAATACTTATCTACAAATACTTAGTATATCCTAACATTACATTAAACATTGTATGAACATTATTTGTTTGGTTATTATTTACCTCTTAAAACAACCCTGTGAAGTAAATACAATTATTTCCATTATTTATATAAGAAAAACATAAATGCAGAGAGACTAAATATGTTTTCCTTGGTCGCACAGTTACCAAGGGACAGGGCCACAATCTTTATACCATAAATGTATGACTTAAAAATTCTTCCCTATCCACTACATTAAGATGCTTTCAAGAATACTGAGGTCCAAGATATTGCTTACAAGTATGGTAGGCTACCTTACATCAGATCAACTATTGGTCTGAGAATAACTTAAGGAGCTGAATTTTTAAAAAAATGTTTGAAAGTATTAGAGTGTTATGAAGACAGTAAGAACTCAATGGGCAATAAGCAAATCCCAAAAACATCATTTGGTTATTTTCCCTTGAGGTATTTCCTGAATTGTAAGCAAAAGCTTAAGGGCTAAGAAACTGACCAGAGGTTTAGGCATCTATTAGGGCTAGGAAAATAAAACTCTGAGTTCCGGGCTTGCTAAGAAGGATTGTTCCTAGTAAACAATCCAGGATTTTGGTTGAGATCACTAAAGAGCTTCATCCTAGAAGTATGGGAAAACTGTGACTAGATCAGCCCTTGCAAAGACTAAAGCCTAGCTTTGAATCAATAAAAAATAACTCGAGTTTGTGGGGCAAAAAAATCAAGAGAAGAAAATAGACAATAGAAAATGATCCATAGGAAGTTCAAATATTGGTTATCAGACACAGACTTTAAAATAACTAACATGTTCAAAAATTTAAATGGCAAGAGAAAATTTCAGAATAAAACTGAAAATGATAAGAAGGATCAGTTGTAAACTCTAGAATCTAAAAAGTCAATAAAACATCTAAATACATGAGTTTCACAAGAGATTAGGCATAGCTCAAAGGAGAATTAGTAATCTGGAAGATAGGTCAGAAGACTATAATCAGTCTGAAGCATGGAGAGAAAGAGAAAATAAGAAATATATAGCACAATAAAAAATCTAGCATACCTATGACTAGATCCCAAGAAAAGAGAGAAAGAATGAGAAAAGCAATATTTGAAAGCAACTTTCCAAAACTCTTAAGAGACATCAAGTCACGTATGTTAGAAGTACTGCAAACCCCGAAAGGATAAATACGAAGAAAGCTACATCGAGGCACATCATAGTAAAATTGCTAAAAACCAAAGACGAAAAGAAAATTATAAAAGCCAGCAAGGCTGGGCGCGCTGGCTCATGCCTGTAATCCCAGCATTTTAGGGGGCCAAGGCAGGCGGATCACGAGGTTAGGAGATTGAGACCATCCAGGCCAACATGGTGAAACCTTGTCTCTACTAAAAACACAAAAATTTGCCGGGCATGGTGGTGTGTCCCTGTAATCCCAGCTACTCGGGAGGCTGAGGCAGGGAATCACTTGAACCTGGGCGGGAGAGGTTGCAGTGAGCTGAGATTGTGCCACTACACTCCAGCCTGGGCAACAGAGTAAGATTCCATCTCAAAAAAAAAAAAAAAAAAAAAAAAAAGCAGCAAGGAAATAATAAATAATACTTTCAAGGATGTAACAAGACTGACAGCTGACTTTTCAACAGAAATCATGGAACTTATAAAACAACAGAAAGATATTTGTGAACAGCAAAACAGCAAATATCTGCCAACCCAACCAAAAGATTATTTAAAATTAGAAAAAGATAGATACTTCAAGCAAACAAAAATTGAGAGAATTTATTACCATTAGGCTCATATTAAAGGAACTACTAATGGGAATTACTAAGACAAAAGGAAAGCCATCCCACATGCTAAGACATTTCTGTGCAGGAAGAAATGAAAAGCAACAGAAAAGGTCAATATATGGGTAAATATAAATGAACCTTGACTGCACAAAATGAAATAATGTCTTAGGGGATTTAAAATACTGTTCTTTGCTCTGCATGATAGTGTGGGATCATAAAATTGTGCAGACTGAAACTGTATTAAGCAGTCTTAATAATCAATAAGAAAAATTGTGTTGTGATTTCTAAAAGCTTTTATGAAAACATTAAAATTTCTCAGTCAGTTATAAATGGAAAGAAAAAATAATAAAACTAATATTTCACATACTGTAATTGTCAACATTAGAAATACTTAGAAGTAAAATGCTTTATTGCTTTGTAAAAGCTTAGCAAGAGTAGCTTAGACAGTGCTTGACCTTTTATCTTTATTATATAAGTTACAATAGAATATCTTTTCAATACCCTGGCAAATTGTCATACTTCTTTCTAAGTCTAGATTAGCTTCCATCATTTTATCCTTTGCTTTTTAAATATTATAAAATATTTTCAAGTGTTTCTTTAATGTAAAATTTTTTTACCGTCATTGTTTCTTTTGGGACATCTTCATCCTTTGCATCCATTTTTCTCCCATCACTAAGTTCCTCTGATTAATATCTAGAGTTTCTCAGCCAGCCTGGACAACATAGTGAGATCTTGTCTCTACCAAAAAAAAAATTAGCTGAGCATGGTAGTGCAAACCAGTGGTCCCAGCTACATGGGAGGCTGAGGTGAGAGGATTAATTAAGCCCAGGCATTCCAGGCTGCAGTGAGCTATGATCACACCACTGCATTCCAGCTTGGATGACAGAGAAAGAGCTGGTCTCTAAAATAAATAAATAAATAAATAAATAGTCTCAGATGGTGGTGGTATCAACATTTTCATGCCAGTGATTTATTCTATAACTCCATTTACATTTTGTTTGAATTTCCCTTTCAGTAATATTACATTTCATTTCTTGGCTTCATTTTCATCTTTATTGGTAAATTCACTCTTTCAATTAGCCATTTTTAGGAAATGTCATATGAGGTGATTACTGGGAAACACATAGGAAACACAATGACATGCTTTATTGTTTGTGAATGAACTGAGCAAGAGATGCCCAGTGAGCAACCATCAATGACTTTGAAGAGTGATGTAGTTGGTCACCTATTATAATGTGCATCTGTTATTTACATAGTGATTTGTGGACTGAAGAGCTAGCAACAAAGTTTGTACTTTATTCAATGATTAATAGTTAATATACTATGGTAACTGAAACTTGAGGGATGTGTTGAGGACAGTTATTATTTACATTTGATTAAATCATGGTAACTGAACTTCATGTGTATTGGAGCCATTCAAAGTAGAACTGCTTGTATGCATAGAATTAAAATATGCAGTAGCTTTTTAAAAAAAGTATAGGACATTATAAATAATGTGAAAGTGTTCTAAAGGTCTTTGAATTATCTGAGAAGTGGTAAAAGTACTAACTGAAATTAAACTTTAATAAATCATAAATAAATGTTTTAACTCACAGGGCAGCTACTAAAATGCTTGTAGAAGACTGGATAACTAACAGGCTAATAGTAGTGGGGAATGGAATGAAATTAATTAATTAATACAAAAAAGCGAGAAATTGGAAGAAATAGAGAGTTTCTGGAATAAATAGTAGATTTAACTCCAAATAATCAGCATTTACATTAACTGCATTAAATGTAAAAGGACTAAATACTCTAAGTAAAATACAAAGATTGATTGCTGAATTTTTAATACTCGCTGTATGCTGCTTACAAGAGACATTTTAAACATTATACAGAAAGGTTGAAAGTGAAAAGCTTTGGGAGGCCGAGGCGGGCGGATCACGAGGTCAGGAGATCGAGACCATCCCGGCTAAAACGGTGAAACCCCGTCTCTACTAAAAATACAAAAAATTAGCCGGGCGTAGTGGCGGGCGCCTGTAGTCCCAGCTACTCGGGAGGCTGAGGCAGGAGAATGGCGTGAACCCGGGAGGCGGAGCTTGCAGTGAGCCGAGATCCCGCCACTGCACTCCAGCCTGGGCGACAGAGCGAGACTCCGTCTCAAAAAAAAAAAAAAATAAAAAATAAATATATATATATATATATATATATATATAAAATGCACACAGTAACTAAAAGAAAACTGATGTAAATATGCATACATATAAAGCATAAAGTCTTACTCTAAGGGACACTTCATAAAGATTAAAGGAATTACTATATAAGATATAGTGATTCTAAATTTAATGTCTATAAGAGCATAGCTTCAAACCATATAAAGCAGAAATTGGTAGAACTAAAAAGATAAACAATAATTGGCAATCATACTGAGAGCTTATTTTAATATAGTTTTATCAATAATTGATAGAACAAGCATACCAAAATAGTAAATATACTGATAAAAAGTTAATAAAAAGATTTGAACATAATTTACAAACTTGATCATATTGGCTTATAAAAAATATTGTATCCAACAACTGCAGAGTATATATTCTTTTCAAAGACACATGGAACATTTACTAAAATTGACCACATGTGGGGCCATAAAAGCAAGTCTCAATAGATTACCAAAAAAATTAAAATCACCATGTTCTCTAACTAGTAAATAACCTAACTTCTAAATAACTCTGATTTCTAATTAACCATAGGATTAAGGAAGAAATCATAATAAACATTAGAAAATAATTTTAACTAAATGATAATAAAAATATGACATATCAAAACCTGTGGGATGTAGTCAAAGTCATACTTAGAAGAAAACATATAGCCTTAAGACAACATATATTAGAAAAGAAGGTTAAAAATAAATCATTTATGTATCCTTCATAAGAAGTTTATATAATAGAGCAGTACATTAAAACCAAAGAAAGTAAAATAACACTGAGGCCCAGGAAGGCTGAGGATCCAGTACAGTAAAGACAACAACAGTCTTCAAAATTGAAAACCAAATCTTCTGACTCCAAATCTCATATCCATTTATCAAACCATTTTGCTTCTTTGCCCCTTCACCAAAAATAAAAGCAATTAATTTGTAGTGAAGTCCTATATAAACCCCATTGATCTTAAAAGCAGTCATTTTGTTTGTATTATGATCTTTTTCCTCACAAAGATTCCAGTTGTTATTTATAAGTTTTTTTAAGTAAACATTCAATTCTCTACTCTGAGCAAAAGTGTTAACTTCCTAAACCGAAGGAAACTATTAAATACAGTAATTAAAAAGAGAATGAGTTTAAAAATAAATTATTAAAAGATAATTTGCTTATATACTTGAGATATTGAGAGTCTAATATCTTAAAGATTTAAAGGATAATGCACCTTGTATTCTTCAAATGTTTCTAATATGTATCTGACATTATTGTCTGCAAATGGTTTTGGTCAGCAGAAAAGATTAGTGAAGATTTTTGCATGCATGCCACCCAAATGTTTAATACATTTGTTTTATAATCATTTATTAAGCAGCGACTATAATCAAAGCATTATAACTTGCATGAGAAATATAGAGCTGAAAGATCACTCATCTTTGCTCAAGGAATTGAGAATGGTTTTGTGGGTATAAGGCATGAAACTGAGTATCGATATAGAATGATTTGTTTAATTTATATACCATATAAGTACCATCAACCAAACGTTCCTGGGATTCCTCAGTATAGAATTAAAGCCCTCTGATTTGTTTAGGAAAGAGAGCTCTTTATTGTGTTGGATTTGCTGCAAGGATAGATATGTAGATACTAAACTTATGAATACACATTTCAAATGCCAATGCATATTGCCAGCATTTATTGAAAAGCTCCAATGAGGACTACAGCAGTAAAATAACATAATGTTATTCCATTTCATAAGTGTGTTTTCTTTCTAAGCTGCCCTTCAAAACTGACTTTTTTTGGTCCTGTGATTTGGTAAATAGAAAGATGAGCAGTTAGTTTACCATTGCCACTTCTAATTATCCCTGCCAGTACCTGTCCAGTCTTACAGAGCTCTATATACATTCTCTGAGATGGCTTCCCAATTCATGTTTAGATTTTGTTCTGTGATATGAATTAGAGTATTAGAACATAAGCACTCTTTAGCCTAAAGCTGCCTCCTTGTAAATTTGGCCTAAAGGCCTCTCTGTATGCAGTGAACTATAACCTAACTGGATATGTGAACAGACCACAGACCATAATTTACTTTTTTACCAATCACCGAGTTTCAGCCAGTCACAGGCGACCAATTGTTCAAACAGTGTTCAAATAAGGCAAAAGCTAAGCTATAACCAATCTAGCTGCTTCTATACCTCACTTCTGTTTTCTGTATATCACCTTGTTTGCATCCCTCCCAGCTCCAGAAATTCTCTATCACACAGCAGCACCAAAGTCTCTCTGAACCTATTCTGGTTAGGGGGCTGCCCAATTAATGAATTATTCTTTGCTCAATTAAACTGTTAAATTTATGTAACATTTTCATCTTAACAGTACTGACATTGGGTCTGTGACCTAGAATTGTCATTCCCAAAACAAAAAGCTATTCATTCAATAAATACAGTATGTTTAACACAGTTAAACCTGTGACCATGGCATCTTTTTTTTTCTTTTATTATTATACTTTAAGTTTTAGGGTACATGTGCACATTGTGCAGGTTAGTTACATATGTATACATGTGCCATGCTGGTGTGCTGCACCCACTAACTCGTCATCTAGCATTAGGTATATCTCCCAATGCTATCCCTCCCCCCTCCCCCCACCCCACAATGTGGAGAAATAGGAACACTTTTACACTGTTGGTGGGACTGTAAACTAGTTCAACCATTGTGGAAGTCAGTGTGGCGATTCCTCAGGGATCTAGAACTAGAAATACCATTTGACCCAGCCATCCCATTACTGAGTATATACCCAAAGGACTATAAATCATGCTGCTATAAAGACACATGCACACGTATGTTTATTGTGACATTATTCACAATAGCAAAGACTTGGAACCAACCCAAATGTCCAACAATGATAGACTGGATTAAGAAAATGTGGCACATATACACCATGGGATACTATGCAGCCATAAAAAATGATGAGTTCATGTCCTTTGTAGGGACATGGATGAAATTGGAAATCATCATTCTCAGTAAACTATCGCAAGAACAAAAAACCAAACACCGCATATTCTCACTCATAGGTGGGAATTGAACAAGGAGATCACATGGACACAGGAAGGGGAACATCACACTCTGAAGACCATTGCATCTTAAAAGGCTATATGCAAGATTCAAAATAGTAGATCATTCTGTTCTTATTCATACCTCTTCCCTTGGCCTCTGTGATATCACAATCCTGGTTGGACTCCTATCATGCTGGTCAGTCTTTCCTATCATCTTTTGCTGGCTGCTTCCCCTTCCCCAGCTATAATTATTGGGCTTTCATATGGCCCAATCCTGTGTAGTCTTCTCTTTTCACTCTAACTTCTCCTGCTATGTGATCTTATCTAACAATTCCCAAATTTATATATCTAGTTCAGGCCCTCATTCTTAGTGTTGGTATATACCTATTGGTCTACTTGACCTCTCTTCCCAGACATCTTACACATATCTCACGTTTTATATCCAAAACTGACATCTTGATTGTCGTCCTGAAATCTACTACTCCTGTGTATGTTGAGCCAATAAATGCCAACTTCCTTCATCCTGATGCAAATCCCAAATACCTGAGATGTATCACTATACCTTCTTTCCTCATCACCCACTTCTACTCCTTCACCATGTCCTGTTGATTCTACTACCCTAATATACAGAAAATGTATCCTCTTCCTCTCCACTGCCACCACCCTTATTTAAGCCACCATCATCTCTTGTTTGAACTATGATAATTTTATATCTTAACTGGTATTCCCAATTGATTTCCTCTAATTCAGTATCTTCACAGCAGCCAGAATGATTTTTCTTGAATAAAATCCAAGTATCTTAACATAAACAGCCAGGCCCACAAGTTCAGCTGGTTCCTGCCCACCTCTGCGTTCTCATCATGCTTCACTCCTGCACACCTGTGTTCTTTGGTTTTTTGAACAGTCCAATATCTTTCTCACCTCAGGGTATTCACATGCTTTTGCCTCTGCCTAGACATTTATTTCTCTCTCTCTCTCTCTTTGCCTAGTTAACTCTACTGATTATTTTTTCAGCCTAATTATGACCTACACAGAGACACATACCATTCAGCCCACTTCTGCATCTAAGTTAGATCCCCATTTGAATCTATCCTTGAATGCTTTTTGGTTTAGAACTTACTAAAATTTAGTATGACAATGCAGATGTTTGATAATAATAGGTCTCTGGAAGGCAGGATGCTTTGTGTGCCATTCACTTACACCAAGCTGTGAGGAAATCAAACTAAAACAAAAAATGAAACAATGTATTCTGAACATGCATTTTAAAAATAATGGATTGGAAGAGTAGGCTAGTCTGAATTCATGAAAAATCTGATTGACAGAATGTTTAGTATATGTGTGTACACACACATATTCATACATATATGTTTAGCCAACCTTAATTGAGCATTTACCATATCCCAAGCACTACACTAATTGCTCAACACATATATACTCATTTAATCCTCACGACAATTCTCTAAAGTAGTTACTATCATTTTACAGCCAAAGCAACTGAGATTCAATAACTACATCTTTATATTTAAAATGCATTTCATGTAAACATCACAGAATTGGATCTTGCTTTTATATCCAGCCTGAAAATCTCAGCCTTTTAGTTGGAGTGTTTAATCCATGACATTTATTGTAATTATTGATATGGTTGGATTTCAGTCTACCATTTTCCTATTTGCTTTGTCTTCTCTGTTCTTTGTTCCTTTATTTCTCCTTGTCTTCTTTTGGATTAATCTAGTTGTTTTTGCTTTTGTTTATTAGTGTTCTATTCCATTGGCTTTTTAGTCCTTTGCAAATTTTTTGTGATTACTCAAGAAATTATGACATGCATCCTTAACTTATCACAGTCTACTTAGAAATAATATTATGTTACTCCACATATCATGTAAGAACCTTTTGAAATTAAAATTCCATTTACCTTCTTCCATCTTTCATGCTATTGTTGTCATATATTTTATTCCTATATATGTTATAAACCTCATAATACATTATTATGTTAACTTTAAAGATTCAATTAACTTTTACATAATTTGAGTAAAGAAAAAAATAGTCATTTATATACGTTCAACATATTTAATATTTCCAGTGTCCATGCCCTTCTGTAGGTCCAATTATTTCCCTTTAGCCCAAAAAACTTTTAGTATTTCACTGTGGTTCTACTGGCAGCAAATTTTCTGAGGTTTTATTTACTGAAAATATATTTTACCTTAATATTTGAAAAACACTTTTGCTGAGTATAGAATTGTAGCAAAGCCATTTTTGTTTCAGCCTTTTGAAAATATCCTTCAATGTCTTCTGGCCTTCTTTTTTTCTGAGGAGTAGTCGTATCCGTGTTATTATTCTCCTGTAAGTAATGTGTTTTTTCCCCTCTGGTTACTTGTAAAACTTTTTCTATATCTTTGCTTTTCAACTGTTTAATCATAATATGCCTAGGTGAGTTTTTTTATATTTAATCTGCTTAAGGTTTGCCGAACTTCGTGGATTTATGGGTTGCTGGTTTTGTTAAATTTGGACATTTTTGTCTACTATTTCAATAGAGTATGTTAGAAGTGATACAATGCCAGTTCTAGTCCCAGTCTTTAAAAGAACTGGCAGCTTTTACTTTATATCCTTGGAACCCTGAACAACCATGTAAGACGTCCAACTGCACTGATGGAGAGACCGTGTGGGAAGATCCTGAGATCCTGGGATGGAGAAAAGCCTAGCTGAGCCTAACCTTCTAGCAATTCCCATCAAAAAGCCAGGCATGTAAGCACACCCTTTTGGACCCTCCAAATTGTTCCAGACACCAGCTGAATAACACCCAGTGATCCTGGTGGAGGCTACAGAGAGCAGAAAATCACCCAGCTCAGCACTGTCTGGCATCCTGATCCACAAAATTGTGAGCTATAATAAAATGTTATTTTAACCACTTAATCTGGGGTAATTTGTTATGCAACAATAGGTAGCCAGAGGAAGTAGCAATTATATGTCAGTTAACAATGGGTAAAGGCATTGAGGATTTGTAAGAAAAAAATACAAGAATGGTAGGTTCTCTGTGAGTTATTCAGGATCCTAAGTGGATACAAATCATTTCCCCTGGGTAGTAACTTCAGCGAGGATACTGTTTGGACCGAAAAGTATGCATGTAATAAAGATTTATATCTGCAAAATGATGAAACACTGGACACTTCCATTTTCTATTGTACTTTCTCTATAAGAAAGTCAATAACATACAGATTGCTGCTGTTGTTACTCCTAATAATAATAGTGACCAAGTTCTGAATGCCTTTTGTGGGCCAGCACTCCACTAAAAGTACTTCACATACACTATCTCACTAGTTTTTACCAAGCGTTAGTTTCTGCTATGTCAAATGAAGATGGTAATACATACCTTGCAGAGCTCTTGCCAAAGTTTTCTTAGCTAAGACATTTCAAAGTGAGAATTTGAACCCAAAAGTGTCTGCCTCCAAAACCACTGCAATGCCATAAAATCTCTTTAATTAAAATATCTGCAATAATTAAAGAAAATGCTGGCCAGGCGTGGTGGCCCACACCTATAATCCCAGCATTTTGGGAGACTGAGGCAGAAGGATGGCTTGAGCCCAGGAGTTTGAGACCAGCCTGGGCGGCAGAGTGAGACATCATCTCTATGAAAAATATTTTTTAAAATTAGCTGGGCACAATGGCACTTGCCTATAGTCCCAGCTTCTCAGGAAGTTGAGGCGGGAGGATCACTTGAGCCTACAAGGTTGAGGCTGTAGTGAGTCATGATCGTGCTACACACTCCAGCCTGGGCAACAGAATGAGACCCCTAGCTCAAAAGAAAAAAAAAAAAAAAAGCAAAGAAAAAGAAGTGCTGCCCTCAGAAGAATGTTTTTACTTTTATGTGAGTTTTTGGGTTTTGTTTGTTTGTTTGTTTGTTTGTTTGTTTTTGAGACGGAGTCTTGCTCTGTCGCCCAGGCTGGAGTGCAGTGGTGCAATCTCAGCTCACTGCAACCTCCGCCTCCTGGGTTCAAGGGATTCTCCTGCCTCAGACTCCCAAGTAGCTAGGACTACAGGCGTGTGCCACCATGCCCAGCTAATTTTTTGTATTTTTAGTAGAGAAGGGGTTTCACCATGTTAGCCAGGATGGTCTCAATCTCTTGACCTCGTGATCCTCCTGCCTCAGCCTCCCAAAGTCCTGGGATTACAGGTGTGAGCCACCGCACCTGGCCTATGTGAGTTTTTTAAATCAAAAATAAGTGAAAAATTTTACAACTGGGATAGGTGAAATGTGTGACTTATGCCTTATAGTACAATAAGACTATATTTTGCTGATCCACTAAGTTGAATCAAGTGGATGCATCAGAGGTTTCAAAATCACCAGCTTTAGCACCAATCCTTAAATAATCATGAAAGTAGCTGTATGCACCTGCCAGGCAATTTAGAGAATCACTTCTATAATGTTCTATTTTTAGTGGAAAATCTGCTGATAAATTTAAATTTTCTTCAATGTGCTTTAAAAATCTGAATACTTATAAACTCTCCTCAATATCTCTTATTTTTAATTTCTCAATACATTAAAAGATACATCAAATCATGAATATTGCCTTTTGGTTATAGATTATTTCTTTCCTCCAGTTACATATGGAATGTTAATAATAATTCATTAATAATTATCAAAGAATTAAGACTTCTCTCATTGAAAATCCTCGATAATGTAGGAAATAATTTATTCTGTGAACTTTCATATTATAGATTAATATGAAAAGTAAGTGCTAGTCTAACAGTCAAGGCTTTAGAAACTAAGGTCTAATCTATACCAAGAGCTTTGACAGACTTTTAACTTTTGACCCAGTAATTCCACTTCTATAAATTTTCCCTAAGAAAATAGAGTAGTGAAAAAAAGTTAATGTAAAAAGCCATTTGTTTCGGAGTTAATTATTTATATTAGAGAGAATTTGGAAAGGACTTAAATGCTTAGCTAAGAGAATGGTCAAATATGAAATACTAAGCCAGGCGCAGAGGCACGAACCTTTAGTCACAGCTACTTGGAGACTGAGGTGGGAGGATTGGTTGAGGTCAGGGATTTGAGGCTGTAGTGCACTATGACCCTGCCTGTGAATAGCCACTGCACTCCAGCCTGGGCAGCATAGCATGACCCTGACTTATAAAGAGAAAATCTGTTGCTATAGACAATTTAATCACATAAGAAAAGCTTTTGTCATTATGTTATTTAAAATATATATGTATGTATGTATGTATATATATATACTTAACAGAACAAAATAGTTTTTCTCTGTATTATCAAATGATGAGAGTTTTTTTTTACATTTACCAGCTTATTATAAAGGATATTACAAAAGATAGAGATGAAGATTGCATAGAGTGAAGTATGGGGGAGGGGCGCAGAGCTTCCGCCCCCTCCCTTGGCACACCACCCTCCAGGAGGATGGTCAGCTGTCAGAAAGTTCATTTCCTTTTTGTATGAATGTGTTTCAAAGTTTTTTACAATAAATATGTATTACCTCTATAGTCAGATGAAATTAACTTTTTAAAGATCACTGTGCATTAAACTTGAAATTAATACTTGATGTCAAGATACATCAGTAATGTATTATGTGATAGAACCCTGTCCTAAAATGTTACCTTAAAATTAATTTACCTATTTATTAGTCTCAGGTTTCACCTAGGGATTGTATAGCACTTAAAAAATTTATAGTAACAAAATGATGGCTTGGGCAATATATACACATCTTATTTTTAAAATAAATAGTAACTATTTCCTTATACCACCCAGAGTATGCAGCAAAGTGCACCTAATAGATGTCCAGTAATTATTCACTTATATTCTAATTAATCTCTTCCCACTCTAACCACTTGAGTGAGCAAACCTAGTCAAAATCAAGGTGACTGCCTTCCATTTTTTTGAACTATAGGTGAGGTGGGAAATTAAAGAAAAATAAAATTAAAAAGAAAGAGAAATAAGCTTTCCTATATTAAGCTGACTTGTCCCAGAGGCAGCAACAGGCACAGCCCAGACCCAGGAAAAGTCTTGATAATACTATTTAATGTGCTCTGGAGACTCTCCCAGCACTCCCTCAACATAGGGAGAAGAAAAACAAATTTTCCTTTGTTTTATGGAATAAGTTTATAGATACTTGTTCTCTGTCACTAGTGACTTCAAGTATTCTGTTTTATCTAAGAAGTACAAAGAAAGTCATAAGAAGCCTGAGTAGGCCTGAACTACAGCTGCCTGGGCACCATAGTGAAGGTTATGAGATAAACCAGTGCAAGGCTCTTTAGAGCAAAACCTAGATAATGAACATCTAGGTTGCTTGGCAACGGTCATGTGCAATCCTGAGTTTGTCCTGCCTCTGTATCCCTGCTTTCACACCACTGTAAACTTGCTTCAAGCTAGCCCACCCCCTTTTGTGAAATGTGTATAAAAGTCAAGTGCTGTCTTTGTTCTAGGCCCAGTCTTTGGACATTGAGTCTGCTAAGTCCGAGTGCACTCAATAATAAAGATATCGTCCTGTATACACCCCAAGGTCTCTCTCTGGTCCTCCTGATCCCACAACACGGGCATTTAAAAGTAAACGGGAAAAAAATTGAAAATCAAATTGAAACAAGAGTTAAAAAGAAGCTGGGGACTGGTGGAGAGCTAGGCTTTTGGCTAATATTCTTGTTCAATTTATTGTTTTGGGTAACAATAAATTGGCTGTGGCAGCTTCTCTTCTGACATCATCTAACTGAGTCTTCTTGGTTTATGCTGGTCTGAAGTGTTCTCATCCCCATCTAATTTTGCAGATGAAATGCAAAGTCGGCTTTTTGATTGCCCTCAAATTGTTTCCTGGCTTGGCATGCTTCTCACTCATTAACTGGGGCAGTTTAGGGTGTGGGGAAATATCTCCAAGGGTGAGAAGCACAGTCAAATGCCACGATCCAATGCCCGTTGAATAATTGAGGTAGGAAGGGGGACACTAGGAAAATGGAAGGAAATTAGTGGTTGGAAAAAAAAAAAGTCTTCCTTAACAGAAGATTTTAAGTGTTTTCCCCTTCTTCTGTTCCTCATTCCCTCGCCTGAGAACTCCCTTCTCTCATCCTGCTGATTTCCCATATACTCTTTGAGGTGTGGACTCAGGGACTGAGTGCCTGCTGCAATGCTAGTCGTAACGGGAAAGCCAGATGTCCTGTGCTACGCTTTTATTGAGAATTAATCAATGTTTCTTAGGGGAAGAAAAAAAACCCAGAATGTAGACATGTGATTAAGTGAACCTAACTGCATGCTGAATTATTGATCTGTTGATTTGTGAAAACTGCCATTGGACAGCAATGTTACACTTTTCATCTAAATGTTTATTTCATTTGAAATCTAATGAAGGAGAATTAGACAATGAATATTTACATATATTTTTAGTTCTGCTGGATGATTTCCTTGAAACCTCATTTAAAAAAAAAAAAAAGGCTGTATTTGAAGTCATAAGTCCTAGATAAAGGCCCAGTGTTGCTGCTAAGTGTATAACAGGAGATTATTCACTTGCCCTTTCAAAACATGTCTCCATAGTTTTGTCTGCAAAATCAGGATGATCCTTACCTGCATCACACGAGTCAGTTATGTTGCTCCCTCACTAGGAGGAAATTCACACCCTCCCTCAGGTGAAAAAAAAGTACACTGTTTCTTTTTACCCTTTAATCTTCTGTATTAATTTGTATTCATGCTTCTGTGAAGAAATACCTGAGACTGGGTAATTTATAAAGGAAAGAGGTTTCATTGACTCACGGTTCTGCATGGCTGGGGAGGCCTCAGGAAACTTACAATAATGACAGAAGGGGAAGCAAACAGGTTCTTTCTCACATGGCAGCAGGAAAGAGACATGCAGAGCAAAGTGGGGTAGATCCCCTTATAAAACCAGCAGATCTCATGAGAACTCACTCACTATCACGAGAACAGCATGGGGGAAGCACCCTGTGATCTAATCACCTCCCGCGAGGTCCCTCCCCCAACACGTGGGGATTACAATTTGGATTACAATTCAAGATGAGATTTAGGTCCCTCTCCCAACACATGGAGATTACAACTGGGGTTACAATTCAAGATGAGATTTGGGTGGGGACACAGAGCCAGACCATATCATCTTCCAAAGCTGAATTTTTCTAATCAATACGCTTTAAGAGCCTTGCATATTTCCCCAACAAAGAAAAAGAGCCTCGCTCCATAAAACAGCATACTTAAGCAGCATATCTGGCACATATTTTAATGTTATTTTTTATAGAGAATATATAAAGCTTTACTTTTTTGTTTTTAAAGTTTGAGATTTTTTGCATCCTCTTTATTACTTTTTTTTATTTAGATAAAATAAAAAGTGAAAATTCCACATTCCTTCTTTTTAAACCTATCTGCTAGATGTGACCACTATGAACAGAGTACTCTATATTTTTGGAATTTTATTTATGCTTATTAGTTTGGGTAGGTGAATTACTATAAGAAATAGACAAAAATACAGACATGTAACAGCCCTTAGTGAGTGAGGTTTACTGCTTGCTCATGGGAGAGTACTGGATGGATGAGTGGGAGCACAGAGCAGCCACCTTCAGGCAGTCACTCAGGGCCTCAGGTTGCTGGAGGCACAGCCATCTTCAGCTCTGGAGGGCATCTCCATTCCTAGTGTGCTGTATTACAAACAGCTTTTCTTTCTTCCAATGTCTCCAGCTTTCTGGCAGCATAGCTAGCCTCCTGCACACTCAGGCCATAATTGCTTAACTCAAAATGGTGTGATTCAAATTCACCCTCAGAGGCATGCTTGAAGGCATTCAAATTTGAACGCCTCTTTCACCCTTCTCTGATTAGATGTTCTTTTGTACTCACTTCTGCCCTTCCTTTCTTCCTATCTTTGAATAGGTTTTACTAGTTGCATTTGCTTCTTATGTTACCTCTCTATTTAATGATTGATTGATTGATTGAGACAGAGTCTTGCTTTTTCGCCCAGGATGGAGTGCAGTGGCACAATCTCAGCTCACTGCAACCTCTGCCTCCTGCGTTCAAGCGATTCTCATGTCTTGGCCTCCCAAATAGCTGGAATTACAGACATAAGCCACCACACCCGGCTAATTTTTGCATTTTTAGTAAAAACAGGGTTTCACCACGTTGCCCAGGCTGGTCTTGAACTCCTGACCTCAACTGATCCACCTGCCTCGGCCTCCCACCTGTCTCGGCCTCCCAAAGTGCTTACAGGCATGCGCCACCACACCCAGCTGTTATCTCTCACCATTTAGCTAAACTACTGGCAGTCTACGACCACTCCACCCCTTCTCTGCTTCAGGAGATACTTTTCAAAAGTCACTTGTGAGCAAGTGGTAAGCTGTTGCCTTACCTCAGAAAGCAGCTTCTTTTCCCTGCTGTTTTCTTGTGGGGTCTCTCATTCATCTTTCTCCTTTGTAGCTCTTACATTTCCTTCTAGAAATCTTCTCCTCCTTCATGTTTCCTTCTCTCTCCTTGCTGCCTCTCCCACATTTCTCCTCTTCCAGCCTCCATGTAAGTTGCCAGCCTCATTTAATCAACTGTTACTAGCAGCTGCATTTCATTTCCCTTTTATTCTCTACCTTTTCAGCTGACCCAGGTGGGCTGCATTTTCTTTCACTCTGACGTTCTCTTAGACCACTCACTCAGGACTACTCGTTCAACGACAGTCTCTTGTGGAGCAATTTTCCAGACTGCAAACCCTGCTCAATTTCCAAACTCCTGCATCTAGTTTACATCTGTTTGTCTCTGGCAGTAGTTCAAACCCTCCTCCCCCAATGGAAAGCTCTGGCAAGGAGTTTATTGCTCACCCTGGAAAGAGAGAACCACCTCAACAGAGATTGATAGTCTCTAGAGGGGCAAGGTGGGAAAATTATGAGATTTTGGAGTAGGGTGGCCAACTGTCACACTTTGCCCAAGACAGAGGGAATTCCAAGGATATGGGCTTTGCATTTTAAAGCCAGGACAAAAAAATGAAAGATTGTATAAAGAGGATCTTTCCATGCAGGGTCTTGTTTAGGTAAAAATCATGACATAATAGTTTAGGATTAGCATAGTGAGGATTTGGAAGTGAGGAGTTCTAAGATCTTGGGGTATAAACTGTTGATGCTTTCTGTTGAAGCATTGATGGTTCTTTGTTTCAAAAACTCTCTGTAATGAACAATAAAGCAATTTGCCTGGGCAAGAGTCTCCTGGAATTGTAGTTATGTTAATGAGGACAATGGACCAGTAAGGGTATATTATTATAGACAGTAAGCTGTGTGTTTAGGGAGGAGAGAGGTAGGTGATTTCTGTTCTCAGAGTTAACTCCATCCTCTCTTTTCCAAGGTCTGTTTCATATTCAGTGTCCTTAGTTGAAATGCCTAGTTGAAAAAACCAGAGAGTTTTTTCTAATTTTGCAAGAATGTCACAACATCTCCAGTCCCAAGTCCCTGATGTCTCTTCTAGCTTTCATTGCACTTATGAAAATAACAATAATAAAAGCATTATTTTAGAGCCCTAACTATGTGGAGGCCAAACATAAAATCCCTCATGAATATTATTTAATCCTCACAAAAGCCCCACAAAAGAGGTGTTGTTAATTGTTCCTATTTTACAGACAGGAAAACTATGGCTCAAAGAGGCCAAGAAACTTGTCCAAGGTCATATAATCAGAAGTGGCAGAGCCAAGACTCTATTTCGAGTCCATCTGGGCTATTCAGAAATAAAAAGGAGTGAACTACTAATTCATGTTACAACATGGATGAACCTCACAGACATTATGCTAAATGAAAGAAGGCAGACACAAAAGACTGCCTGTTATATGATTCCATTTATATGAAATGTCCAGATAAGGCAAATTTATAAAGAAAGAAAACTGATCAGTGGTTTCTAGGCATAAAGGAGCAAGTGGAGACTAACTGCAGATGGGCCTATGGTTACTTTTGTCATTGACAGAAATGTTCTAACCTGTGATGATGGTTTCAAAATCATGTAATGTTACTAAAAATCATTGAACTGTATGCCTACATACAATGTTTGAAGTTTATGGAATGTAAATTCTTTTTCAATAAAACTTTAAAAATTACAGAGGTCACATTCTAAGCTTTCTGACTGGTACCACCAATGACTAGATGCTGGTTCTTTTAGGTGCCACTCCTAAGGAGAAATGCTAAAGGTTTACTGGGTTCTTATATACTTTTCATGTAAGCATAGGGAATGCCTTAAACTCTTTTAGCCAATCAACCTATGTTGAATATGTTTAATTTAACCAGTGAGAGTTCATTTCTAGCAGTTACTTATTTCTCTAATGCTAACTGTGCATTCTTGATCAGCATTTATATAAACCTAAGTATGTAAGTTACTGACACACGATATTGCACTATACATGCAGAAGTGTCTTCGATTGCTGACATGACAAAATAAACCCAAGTGAACTGTGAAGACTTACCACTTCTGTACATCTGGTATGGCAATGACAGAGCCTTACTGTCCATCTTGCTGTGCTGTCGTTCATCATAAAATTCCCTCATCCTCCCACTCCAACACTCATTGTCTTGGCCAGAATACTTATAAATAATAAAGATATTTGTCTTCAACTCCTCACCAAATCATTGGAGGGATTTTTCTTTTTTCTCTAAATGTAAAAGAAAAAAAATTCTGATACTACAATTAAGAACAATGTAGCCCATAAATTAAAGTGGACAGAAACCAAGCCAACAATGCAAAAGAGCTGAGCAGCCATTGGGTCCCCGTGAGGAGACAGGAGTAGTTTGTCATTGATGGGACCCCTGGCAGCTACAGCCCCTGGGGTACCCTGTGGCGTAAATGCATATTTTTCTCATGAACGTTTGTTAAAACTGATTTATGTTGTTTTGTCTTTGATAAGAACAGATACGGATGCATTATAGTGACTGTGTTCCTTGTAACTTATACAGAGAAATTCGGAATACCAGGAACTTAACTTACATAGACCCTGATGCCCTCAAAGAGCTCCCCCTCCTAAAGTTCCTGTAAGTATTAAATCCTCTCCCATCCTACTTTTCTGGGGGGAGGGGGTCAGATTTAATGCTGTTGTCTCCCAGGAATCTCCCTAGATGATGTGGTCCAGGTTCATTTTAATGGTGTATAGCCTGGGTCGGGGGCAAGGTATCGGGTGAAATGATCCACATTTTTAAAACCTATTCAAAAGTCAGCACATAATGCTGGAACCAGAGACCTGCTCCAAGAAACAGGAGGGAGAAAATGCTATCATGTATATGTGGTCCTTAAATGTAGTATTTCAGAACAAAACAAAACAAAATTCTGAGAGCCAGTTGGTCAATTTTGTTTGAAAATGGGTATCACAACAATATTATTAGAGTGGCTGTTACACAGGAAAAAAAACCCACAAAGAGTAAAATACACTTCCATGGGGAGTGGAGGGAAAACAGAAGGGACAACAGTTTCAACCTCCCACTCCAGCACTCAAATGTCCAGCACTCACTGCTTTGCTTTGAAAACACCTTATGAGCTAACCATAAGCTCCATGAATCCAGGGACCACAACATTTTTTTTCTCTGTTGAATCTTTACTGCCTAGTACAGAGTAGGCGCTCAGTACAAATGTGTTCAGTGGATGTGTCTGTATGACCTCAGGCCCCCTGGATACCAGGTGGAAGAGTCCTTTTTCCTACTTGCATGCATTATAAAGATTAGAAAACAAAGAGTATGAAGAAGAAAATTGTTAAAAAAAACTTAATCCCAAACCCCAAAATAAGCACTATTAACATTTCAGTTCATCTTCATCCAGACCTTCAAAACAAACTTATGTTATCATAGATATTTTATGAGATAAGCCCTTAAGGATGAATAGAGGGTATCTTGAACAAGAATGGGGAGATAGAAAAGAAATTTAGCTGGATGGAATAGCATGATAAAGACACAAATGTAGGGAACCACGCAGCTTCTTTGGGGAACTAAAAATAGTTGCTTTTTTTTTTTTTTTTTTGAGATAGAGTCTTGCTCTGTTGCCCCAGGCTGGAGTGCAGTGGTGTGATCTTGGCTCACTGCAACCGCCACTTCCTGCATTCAAGCGATTCTCCTGCCTCAGCCTCCCGAGTAGCTGGGATTACAGGTGTGCACCACCATGCCCAGCTAATTTTTGTATTTTTAGTAGAGATGGGGTTTCACCATGTTGGCCAGGCTGGTGTCGAACTCCTGACCTCAGGTGATCCACCCGCCTCAGCCTCCCAAAGTGCTGGGACTACAGGCATGAGCCACTGTGCCTGGCCAATAGTTGTATATTGAAGAGGTGGGTGTGAGAGATGCCAGGGGAATGGAAGACACTGATGGGATATGAAGATGAAAGGATGTCTGGAAAGCCATGAAAGCTTATGGGACAAGACAATCACTCTTCTTATGGACTCTGAGTTTCAAATAATACAATAACCCTTTGATGTGATGATCCCCCACTATATGCTCTGTGGGGAACATACAGGTTTCTAAGACATTGTCCTTGCCTGTAATCTAGTTGAGGAGATGTGTATGAAATTGAAAAGTGCCTCTCCTACAGAAGAATAATGGAAAGTGACGAAGGAGAGACATATACAGTGTTTGGGGGTTCAGGTAATTAGAGAAGACATCAGAAAGAAGACCCACAGCATGGTTTTAAGGGACTTGTTTGAGATTTTTGAAGAATAGAAAGATCTTGATCCAAGTATATGGACCCCACTTGACTCTTGGACCTTTTTCCCTCCTACTGTTCTTCATGAGCACCTATTGCAATTGAACTAGTTCGTTTACTGTATTTCAAATATACCTTATGGAATCTCACCTCTCTCCTTTGTTATCTGGAATGTCCCTCCCATTTGCTGATTTTGAGACCTCTGGCTCCTGCTGCCTCTTCAAATCCTATGCCTTCTTCTCTAGAAGGAGTCAAGTCTGAATTTGCCTCAGAAGGAGTATCAATGGATATAGTTTTTCTACCAGAAGACCTTCTCTAGAGCTTTACTGAGTAGTGTCTAGATCTCACTCTATGCTATGCCAAATTCTCAAAAAAAAAAAAATTCTAATTACATTCAAGTAGCTGCAACAAATGTTAAAACAACTAAATCTGGGAGGCATCAGGAGCCTGAGAATTCTTGTATTCATGGTGTTTTATGCATGTCTTTTAATCTTAACATTTTTCTGTAGATGATATAAACTACAGAAGGTAAAGACTTTGTCTTTGATTGGTTTCCTTCCTTTTCTGGACACTGTCTTTTTTTGAGACAGAGTCGCCCTCTGTCACCCAGGCTGGAGTGCAGTGGCATGATCTCGGCTCACTGCAACCTCCACCTCCCAGGTTCAAGTGATTCTCATGCCTCAGCCTCCCAAGTAGCTGGGATTACAGGCGCATGCCAACACATGCAGCTAATTTTTGTATTTTTAGTAGAGACAGGGTTTCGCCATGTTAGGCTAGTCTTGAATTCCTGGACTCAAGTGATCCACCTGCCTTGGCCTCCCAAAGTGTTAGGATTATAGGCGTGAGCCCCTGTGCCCGGCTCTCTGGACATATTTTTTTAAATGGTACTGTTATAATGGTACTCTCAGGTCACTGCTGTAGGAAAGATATTCTTGGCAAAATAACAGCATAATATCATGTAGAGCTTGAAAGAGGAAGCTGGCTTAAAGTCATCATATCTTCCTGTCCCATCTTCTTCTTAGCCCTTCACTAACAAACACATAATTTTTTCCAATTAAACGAGAAAATCACACACACACACACACGAAAACTGAATTTATATTTCTAGTAAACCCACTTGGTTAAAACAATCTCCAGAGCATTCTAAGCCGAGCAGATGTATTGACACCAGTGGACTGGATTAAATTATTATGCCTTGAGGGAATATCATCTCATCCAACCATCAGAACTTGCCCATAGTTACTCAGATATTTAGGGAAGGTGTTGGGAGTTTGACTACAGGTTGTCTTCAGAACCCATGCTTTCAGCTATTACATTATTCTCCTTCCTATGTGTTGATTTTTTTACCTAAATTCTATGCTTTTTTTTCTCTTTTTTTCATTAATTTAGTGGCATTTTCAACACTGGACTTAAAATGTTCCCTGACCTGACCAAAGTTTATTCCACTGATATATTCTTTATACTGTAAGTATGCACACATGCCATGTTTGACAATATTTTGTTTGTCACTGACAAGAACTAGAATACAGTCATGAGGGTAGGTTGAAGATAAGTAAAGCAATTGTTTCAAGGAGTAAGCAATGATCAGGTGTGACTACACTGGCATGAAGTAAGGCAAGGACTGAGAAATAACCACTGGCTTTAGCAATGTGGTTTGTTGGTGACTCTGCCAAGAACAGTTCCAGTGGAGTGCTGGTTGGAGTGGGCTCAAGAGAGACTTGGGTAGACAGAATTAGAAAGAGTTACCATAATTAACTCTTTTGAGAGGTTTTACTATTAAAAGGAGCAGAAAATAGCTCAGTAATTGCAAGATATTGAGTCAGGAGAAAAGATTTTGTTTGTGTGTTTTTGTTTTTAAATGGAAGAAATTATGCAATGTTTCTTTGCCAATGGGAATGGTTGAATAGAAGGAATATTTGATGATAACTATGATACCTTATTTTTCATAGAGTTTTAATAGTTTTTTAAACACTTTCCCACACATGACATTTGCTCCTCTCAGCCACCTTATAAGGTGTAAAACAAAGTTACTGCTTTTCCATTTATGAATGAGGAAACTGAGGAATAGAAACCTCAAGTGATTTTGTCTGAGCAGTGTCTCAAGGAACAGTCAGAAGTGGTACTCAAATTACTGCCTGTGACCTTTGATTGGCACCCATGTGCCCTTTTTCAAAGCTGGTGACATGGGTCAGTTGTCTTACTAATTGTATAGGAATGAAAGGACGTAAGGCAGAGAGAATTACAAGTTGAGTTTGCATTAAAGAGTCAGCAAAATGTAGAATGATAAGCTTCAAACTCTTGGGGTTTTGCTAGAAAAAAAAATTGATCATACTTCTTTGTTGCAAAAGAGCTCAGTTCAAAATGTAAGCAATCTTCCAGAAACTAGAATGGCGTAGAAAGGTTCTCCAGGAGCCTGGCGAAGTTTGGCAAGTGAAGGACATTTTAGAAATACTCATTAAATGAAATCCTTTAATCCTTTTATCCTGACCTTCTTAAAGGTCCATGCATGTAGAAAACTCTAGTTGTTGTGGACAAAGTGTTGCAGATTCGGGAGAAGCCTCTCAAATCCATCTGCCTACCCCAAGATGAGGATTAAGTCAGGGACCTCCACCCACACCTAAAGCTCTCACTTACCCCACATTTGGGCTCCAGGTGCATGTCATCTAGGACAGCTCTCACCACCTCACCAGACCTCTGAGCCACTAGCGGTTAAGAAGGGTCAGTGAAACTTAAAAAGAAATAAGATTAAGCTATATTGTGTCCTGTTATTTAAGTGCATATGCGCAGCAAGACCCCTGCTGCAGAAGGAAAGCATTTTTTCATTAAGTGTTTTTGTCCCTCTCTCTTGCAGTGAAATTACAGACAACCCTTACATGACGTCAATCCCTGTGAATGCTTTTCAGGGACTATGCAATGAAACCTTGACACTGTGAGTATTACCAGTTCTACTCCCTCCATCAACTAAATTCTATTTTGAGCCATTTTCATATGTTTACAGACCATCCAAGAGCCATACTGCCTTATCATATATACTCTATAGAGTACAAAGTGTTTTACACAATTAAATAATAGTATTGTCTTATGGGATGGTACTCTGTAGACTACAAAACAGTTTAGGTAACAAGACAAGAGGATTCCATTACGGCAGTGGTTGGTACATTTTTCACGTGAAGAACCAGTTAGGCATTACAGACCATGCAACCTCTGTAGGAACTGGTCAACTCTGGCATTGTGTGGCAAAAACCGCAGTACTCAATATATACACTAATGAGCATGTCTGTGTTCCAATAAAACTTTATTTATAGAAAGAGGCAGTGGACT
Source organism: Homo sapiens (assembly GCF_000001405.40). Classification (NCBI taxonomy): domain Eukaryota; kingdom Metazoa; phylum Chordata; class Mammalia; order Primates; family Hominidae; genus Homo; species Homo sapiens. The sequence continues at coordinate 81,093,001 of NC_000014.9, forward strand.
AGATTTGGCCTGCAGGCCTTATGGAATAATCATCTGTATCCAAGTGTCCCCATTCTACAGAAGAAGAACTGGGGTTTAAGCAAATTGAAGTGACTTACCCAAGATCACTGAGTTAAAAAAAAGTGGTGCCACTAAGAACTTTATAAATTCTGCACTCACACTTTTACTCAGTAATCACAAACTGTTATTAAGCTCCTGTAAGGGGATATTACATAGAAAGCATAGTGCTGCTATAGGTCAGCATTTTTCCAGAGCCTGAATGGGGGCAAAGCCCTTTAGATGGTCAAAAGTAGATGCTTAATTAGGGATATTCACAAAATGTTCTAAAGGAGAAGATCTAATAGAGGTATAAAGGATAAGTTAATTCTCCAAGCTGGTAGAAAGTTCCTCTCTCATTGTGTAAGTCACAAAGTAGAGTTGGAGCTACCTCTGCAGGGTCTCCTCTCTATTTTCAGGACCACTGCCCAAGTTCAAGCCTGGTGAAGTTTTTGTCTGGATTGTCACCCCAGTTTCATTTCTCTGCTCACACTAAAGTTGGGGTGGAGGTCTTTATCAGATACAAACCTGATCAAATTACTCACCAGAAAAATGGATCCAAGCTTCATACAGTTCTTCTAAGGGGCTATTTTCTGAGCCATTCCTAGTTTATCAGTTTGGGCCCAATGAAGTTACCTCAACTTCTGAGAGCAATGGAGCATTTCAGATGATCCTTCTCATCACAACCTGGTGAGCGGTCCCTTGAAAAGACAAAGGAGGCTCCTTCTCAGTCATAATTTCTTCTTACCATGCAGAAAAGGCCCAGGCTCTTAGCCTGCTCAGCTCCAAACTTCAAAGCCATTTACTTCCTCAGTAAAGCTTTCCATTGCGCCATATAGTGCTCATCATAAGGAAACTCCTACATGCTAAACTTCTTTATAGAATATTACCTCTACCCCTTGACACCATTTCTCTAAAACCCCCATATCTCAAGCACCCCCCTCAAGTGAAAGCTCATTGTCCCACACCTAGCATAGAGCCCAGCATGTGTTTCTAGAAACATCTGAGTGAGGGAAGCCCATATTTCCTAAAATATAGAGGAGAGGATGGCATGGATTATTCATGATCTTTTCAGATGATTATTTCTACATTTTGGCAAAAGTCCTTGCTTCTTCGAAGCTCAGGCTCAAAAAACTATCAACTTGAAAAGACACATGTTCCAACAACCGACTTTGTACCTGTATTCCTGGTAGGAGAAAGTTTCAGTCAAAGTTTGTAATTCTTTTGTCTTGCTTCACCATGTTCCCTTTTCAAGGCCGATTTGTTCATTAAGAATTCTGTTTAATATCTGAAATGCAATTCAAACAAGTATTTTTAATGTCCAGGACTCTCAACAAATTTAGGAAAATTAAAATGCCATATGCACAGTTCTCACATCTTCATAAAAGAGTTCTAGTTTAGAAAAAATTTACTTATCCACAGAGTTTTCTCAGCCATTGTGCTTATATTCCTGGGATATTGCAATCCTCACCCAGGACATGTTAGTAGCTGGAATTAAACTCGCTATGTAATTATTTAAGATGAAACAAAAACAAACACATCAACAATGACAACAAAGCCACGAGAATCTTGCTCAGTTTCCCACAACTATATAGGATAAATCCAAGTTTTAGAATTCTCCTTTTATTTATTTATTTTTTTAATTTTTTTTTTTTTTTTTTTTTTTTGAGACAGAGTCTCACTCTGTCACCCAGAGCTGGAGTGCAATGGTGCGATCTCGGCTTACTGCAACCTCCGCCTCCCAGGTTCAAGCAATTCTCCTGCCTCAGCCTCCCGAATAGCTCCTTTTAACATGGTCACCTAATAAGTGTTCCTCACTTTGTTAAATATATAGTTATTTGATCCTCTCTGCAACCTTTTGATTGGGCATTACATTTATGTACTAATTTATCACATTTTTAGAGATAAACTGAGGATAAGACAGGTTGAGAAATTCTCAGGATCATCCAGCTATTAAGTGGCAGAGCCAGGTCTAATTCCAAATTTGAACTTTCCTGTGTGCTTCTTATTGTGTTCCCAAGGTTCACATGTGGTAGATTACTGTGGTTTTCAAGGTTCCCTTACAACTGCCACTAGGAGTTCTCACTAGCAGTGCCTGAGTGTGGTTATAGCTGTCTTCTCTTATCTTCATGCCAATAACCACCAATAACCTCTTGCATTCCCATATAGCCCAGAGGTCCCAAGGCTGGGGCTCCTTCTCCTGCAGAAAGGGGGGCTGCTTTTGGTAGGTGGAAATAATTATATTTGAGGTTGGCCAGGCACAGTGGCTCACGTCTGTAATCCCAGCACTTTGGGAGACCGAGGCAGGCAGATCACCTGAAGTCAAGAGTTTGAGACCAGCCTGGCCAACATGGTGAAACCCCCATCTCTACTGAAAAATACAAAAATTAGCCAGACCTGGTGGCAGGCGCCTGTAATCCCAGCTACTCAGGAGGCTGAGGCAGGAGAATTGCTTGAACCCGGGAGCAGAGGTTGCAGTAAGCAGAGATCACGCCACTGCACTTCAGCCTGGGCAACAGTGCCAGACTCCCTGTCAAAAAAAAAAATCATATTTGAAGTCAGGGATCCTAAGTCTCAACAGTCCTAGACCAATGTGTTTTTGGCAAGTCACCCTCATGTCTCAGTAACTTCAATAGGAAATAGAAGTAATAACATTTCAGACTGGCTCCCTGAATCATTAAATGAATTAATTAGTCATAGAAACACAGCAACAAGTTAAAACATTAACATTTCCAGCCCAGTGGTTCACACCTGTAATCCCCAGTGTTTCGGGAGGCTGAGGCAGGCGGATCACTTGAGCCCAGACTAGCCTGGGCAACATGGTGAAACCTCATCTCTACAACAAATACAAAAATTAGCCAGGCATGGTGGCACATGCCTATAGTCCCAACTGTTTGAGAGGCTGAGGTGGGAGGATCGCTTAAGCCCAGGGACTCAAGGCTGCAGTGAGCCGTGATTGAGCCAGTGTACTCCAGCCTGGGTGACAGAGTGAGAGACCCTGTCTCAAAAAAAAAAAAAAAAAAATCCATAAGAGGACATGGTCTATCTACTTTCTTAGATTCATCTATGAGGTTTAATTTAATTCAGCCCATAACCCTTAAACATTTAATCTGTGATAAGCTCTGAGGATAAAAAGATGGATAAAATACAAAGGTGAAATAACATTTAAATATTAATAGAAAAATAAAAACATACGCATTCAGATGAATGTCTTTCAAAATGTTTATCTTAAGAGACTGCAGCTGCTCCTCCACTATTGACATTGGGTTAACTATTACCTCAAATCCCTTTTTCTGAATGTATGTGGAATATTCTTTTAAAATCTTCAATGGTAACAAGTTTGTTACTCAAAGTAAATATGATTCTGAGAAACACCTTAAATTTACTAGGAGCTAAGTCAGGAGAATGGGCATTCAAACTGAGAAATATTATCTTGTTTCCAACAACTTGTACTGGAAAGTTTTCTTGTGGGATACATATGTGGGACCTGAAAAACCTTTATGTACATTTATGACACTGAAGAAATATAGTCCAACTCTCCAGAAACAGGCCAGCACCACTTCTCACCAGTCACTGATTTCTCTTCTCTCTGTTGGTTGTAGGAAGCTGTACAACAATGGCTTTACTTCAGTCCAAGGATATGCTTTCAATGGGACAAAGCTGGATGCTGTGTAAGTCAAGGGTAGCCATGAAAACTGTCACTTTCCCTTACCCTAAGAACCATCCAATGGGGCAGAATGCTGTTGAGAGATAGGTTCTACCAGAGCATCTTCCACGCCAGAGTTAGTGTGACCAACATGGAAATGAGGTCAAGGAACTTGGCAGGGGCCCACTTTAGTGGGCGCTTACGTTAGCTCCAATGGTAAGTTCCAAAGCTTTTCTCCCTGGTGTGTGTGTGTGTGTGTGTGTGTGTGTGTAAATGTTCATCTATTATGTACATGAAGTAAAAGGATATCTTTAATGAAGCCCAAAGCTGTTCAGAAAATAAGGTGGTTTCTCTTTTAGTCCTTTCTGACATGTTTTTGGGAAAGATGTCAGTTTATATTTGATTCACTCAGAAATAGCTAAAAAATCATATCCAACTTTTGCCTTTTCAAAAAATAAATAGTGCTGGGAACAGCTGAAACAGCAAACAATAGACTTTGTGTTTGATGTGTTTTATAACACTTTTTGAGTATTTCTTTACAAATGATATATTTTTTCTATTTCACCTTTTTCTATTTGTTGTTTTTTTCAAATTTACCTGCTCATTTTTGCTAGTGTCTTGTTATGTATTCATTTTTGTAATTATATTATTTGTTTCACTTTAAACATTTCATACATAGTAATTTTATGTTCCAGAAATGATCCCTGCAAAATCTGAAGGCCTTATGACACAAAATCTGTTGCGTATGGGGCTTCTCAAACCTTCCTGGGCATCAGACCCTCTGAGAGGTCTTATCAAAATACACAGTCTGATTCTGTAGCTCTGGATTTGGCCTCGGGATTCCATATTTCTAACAAACTCCCAGGTGATGCCGACACTGCTGTTCATAGACCACACTTTAAGTAGCAAGGGTGAGGTCAATAAGCTGTCTAACCCTATGCAGTGGCTCTGGATGGAGAAGAACACTCATGTAGATTATGTGATTTTGGTTGATGTTCTGGTTTAGGGGTTAGGTGGTAGGTTCTGGAACAATTCCATTTTTAAATGGTAAATGGTAAAAAGGTGTTTGAACTCATTACACTGAGGCAAGGCTCCCTGAGTTCTGTTTGAAGTGAAGTCTCACTCTTTGCTGGCTTTTGTGCTTCATACCAGTCTTTATGAAATGAAGAGTTACAGTACCATTCTCTCGATTGTCTGGTTGTGGAGTCATAATGGTTCATTTCCATTATTTTTTTACTACATAATTATAGGCAAAGTCTAAAAAGACTCTATCGAGTAAGGTGATACTTACCCCCTCAAATTTATTTACAGAATTGGAGAGACCCTCCTTCCATCTTAACTTTATGATACTAACTTCTTACAATCTTTCATCTACTTTTCAACATATTTATTAGACACTTGCAATGTACCAGGCCCTGTGCCATTCACTGGGAAAACACAGATGAACAGGAGCCATGTGCTCCCTGCCCACACTGAGCGTACATTCTGGTGGGGGTCAGCTCAAGGGCAGCAACATCAAAGGGCAAAGTACATTAGGGAGAAGTGTACCCAATCCAAAATATGCATCTCAGATAGAAAATAACTGAAGCCTAAATATCGAATAACATTGCTTTCCTTCTTTGGAGATACAAGCTAGATTTTTTCTAGGTTTATCCCATTGTTTTTTAAATCATTATTAAAATTAATGTTTTAGAAATGAATTATCCTATATTCCAGGTTTCAAGTTCTTTTTCTAATCTAGCATTCTGGAAAGGTGGCATTTGATTTTAATATTGTATGAATTTCACCAAATATTTTCCTCTTTGATTCAACTATTCCTAGAAAGCTATGACTCTTAGGGTAATGATCTTCAAATTCAAATTTTCTATGAATGGAGTATGGAGAGTTCTTAAAATAATGAAGATAGTTTGTAGGTACTTAGGGTATAAAGATTTCAGATGACTATCACACAGTTCTAGACATAGAGTGCACCAAAAGTTTAGTTAGCATAAAGGCAACAAAGACTCACATTAGCAGGGGCAGGGATAGGAGGTAGTAAGGAAATCTTCAACCAGGGAAACCAAAGCTGTTAATATGGCTCCTGAATTCAGTGTGTTCACCTGACTCTTGCCTGAACTAGAACTGCCTTTCCAGAATGGTGGATTAGAGAAAGAACCTGAAACCTGGGATATAGGGTAATTGATTTCTAAAACATTAATTTTTCCACAAGCAAAAGATTTTGGAGCCCAAGATAAGAATCTATGCTTCAAATTAACTGCCTGTTTTTCCTGCCGTATTTAGTCATTGGAAGATATGACCCTCAGACACTATCAATTATCATTTATTCAAGATAGAGTATAAAATTCAGACCTTAAGGTCTACAGAGCAATAATTCTCAACATTAGGGAGTTTTCAAAGCACTAATGCCTAGGTTTTGCCGTCAGACATTCTGGATGTAGCAGGATCATGGGGATTTAAAACTCTCTCCAAGTGAGTCCAATACAGAGCAAAAGTCAAGAACTACTGCTGTAAAATACATTATCAGTCTTCTTGTCCAATTGTCACGTTTTACATATGAAGGGAATGAAGCCCAACAAGAACACATGGCTTTTTTTTTTTAACGTGGCTGTTTTAATTTGATAGAGCTTCCTAGTGGCCAAGTCAAAGCTGAGACCTGGGTCCCCTGGTTCAGAACTCTTTCCCTGCCCTCTGCTGGGATTCATCATGGCTGACTTACCAGCCATCACCAAGGTGTGAACATCCAACTCTGGCAAGTGCAGCTTGTTTCTTAGCCCTGAAGATTGCTTAGACTTCTTAGCTCAATCTATTAAAGGCGCTAAACACAGAAGTTAAAATATCTTGATCCTGAAAAGAATGAGATCATGTGAGAGAAAGAAGGCAACTCAAAACTCGAGGCATAATCAGGAGAAGTTTCAGAGGACAATCACATCAAGAAACAGTGTTGTTAGTCCACGAGAACCTGACTTTACCAATGCTGCAAAGCCATTCGTGAGCTTCCAGATGAAGTCTGGTCGGCGATAACCTGACAAAAATGCTGGGATGATAAAACGTTATTCAAGTCAAAGAATTGGTATTGAACTTAGTTTACGTATATTGACTATTTTCCCTCAAAACATCTCACTCCTCCTCATGATTGGCCTCCTGGTCATGTTTAGAGAACTCTGCAAAGACTTCAAGAGATTTTCAAAAGAGGTCTTCTTCAATCAGGAAGTGTTAGTGTGCTAAGTGGATCTCAGTGTAGGTCTAGCAGCTTATTATCTTATGACCAGCCATAAAATTAGACACAGAGTATCAAAGGAGTTTAGAGACATTTTCTATTGAAAGGATGGAAAAACGAACAAGTGAACAATAATTTCTCTTTGAGCTTCTCCTCAGCCTTTGTGATAAGAGAAGGGATGGGAGAGGGGGAGCTATGTTCCTTTAAACTATATTTCTTCAACTCTCTTTCCATAGTAAATTAATGGGTGTTACTTTTTAAAAGAAATTTATGATCTTATAAAGTTAAACAAGATATATAAGTGGACTTTTCAGATCTTCTAATAAAATCATCTGAATTATTCATATCAAAGAGGGGGCCTTAGTTTGCAGAGCTTCTCAAGCAGTTCTCAGTTACAGGAGCATCTCTCTGGTCTGGTGTTCTACAGACTTTTGAGGGGAATACCGCCTCTGATAGGTAGGAAAAAAATCAAGGTGTTTTTCTACCATCACACACTCAATACAACAGTTTTGACACCAAATGTTTGGAGGCTTTTCCCCCACACAACAAGTAATCAATTCTCCAATGCACACCAGCTGGATGTCCTACAATTTAACTCAGTTCTGATACTCTACCTGGAGATAGCATCAGATCCACAGGTTAAGGGCTCAGTCCCACAAGACTGCCTGCTACTTCAGATGCCAGTCACAGCTCCCAGGTTGTGTCCTATGCTTCTGACTGACCAATTATAAATCAGGGTTCCCCCAGTCCCCTCCTCAGTTCAGTTAATTTGCTAAAGCAGCTCACAGAACTCAGGGAGACACTTTAAAGGATATTACAAAGGAGCAGCTGTGTGGCAAAGATGCATAGGGTGAGAGGTAGGAAGGAGTGCAGAGCTTCCATGCCCTCTCTGGGCACACACCCTCCCCTCAGCTCCACATGTGCCTTGACCACCTTCCAGCTACCTGGAAGCTCATCCAAACCCTCTCCTCTCTGGCTTTGTATGGAGGTTTCATTACATAGGCTTGATTTATTACATCACTGGCCATTGGTGATCATCTCAATCTTTTCAGCCCCTGTCTCCTACCTGAAGGTGAGAAGGTGGAGCTGAAAGTCCAACCCTCTAATTATTTATTGATCTTTCTGGTGACCAGCCCTCATCCTGAAGCTATCTAGGGATTGACAGTCACCAGTCATCTCATCAGCATACAAAAGACACTTGTCACTCTGGAAATTCCAAGAGTTTTAGGAGCTGTGTGCCAGGAAACAGATAAGACCAAATACATATTTCACAATATTACACTACTGAAGAAGAATCTTTCGATATACCATCTGCTTGGGAAGCAGGTAAATTTAAGAAGGTTTATTCAAGAGATAGCTGTGGAGATTCTAAGAACTAGTAAAGATTTCAAATGATCAGATGGCCTTCTGAAATTAACCCTATGGAAAAAGTACGCAAAGTCCTCACTTAGCATCCCAGATAGGGTCTTGAAAACTACAACTTGAAATACAAACAATGTATAATGAAACCAATTTTACCATAGGCTAGTTGATATAAATAGGAGTTGAGTTTCTATAGCATATTTCTGGTCACAAAAACAACCAAACTTTTGCATAAGGACCAAAATGCTTCTAATGTTAAATATGGAAACAAATATGAGCTATACATACATTTAAGGTAGGTTAATAAAAACAAGAGAATTATTTGCCCAATTATTCCAGTTCAAGGTCACAGGTGGCCACAGCCTATTCCAGAAGCTCAGGGCACAAGGTGGGAGCCAACCCTGAACAGGACGTCACCCCAACATGGGACACAATCACACATACCACCACACTCACTTGAACTGGCACCATCTAGACACACCAAGAAACCTGATCTGCACATCTTTGGGGTGTGGGAGGAAATTGGAATACCTGGAGAAAACCCACACAGACATGGGGAGTGTGTGCACACTTCACATAAACAGTAGCCCTGGCCTGGAAAGGATTTTATTCTCATTAAAACTAAGCAGGCCGGGTGTGGTGGCTCATGTCTGTAATCCCAGCACTTTGGGAGGCTGAGGCAGGTGGATCACAAAGTCAGGAGATCGAGACCATCCTGGCTAACACGGTGAAACCCCGTCTCTACTAAAAATACAAAAAAATTAGCTGGGCGTGGTGGCGGGCGCCTGTAGTCCCAGCTACTCGGGAGGCTGAGGCAGGAGAATGGTGTGAACCCGGGAGGCGGAGCTTGCAGTGAGCCGAGATCGCACCACTGCACTCCAGCCTGGGAGACTGAGAGAGACTCCATCTCAGGGAAAAAAAAAAAAAAAAACTAAACAATAGTGAATGAGACAATATTATTAGAGGATCTGCTGTATATATAGAGACTCTCCGTACGTTCACACCAGCTTTCTCCTCAGACCATATCATGGATTCTGTGGGAGGCTTAGCTGACGGCAGAGATATTCTGTCAGTGACAATGGATTTTCAATTCACTGGTGCCATGACTTACTGTCTAACTATCCCTTGAAACATAGGAAAGAAATCAGTGTACTATTTCACAATACTTTCTTGACATTTTTATGTTAAGTATTAAAGTTATTTGGAAGAGTTTAACAAATGTGGAAACTATTTCTTTGTTAAGAATCTTTTGTGTCTTGGTTTCTAAAAGTCTAGATCAGGGGTCAGCAAACTTTTTCTGGGAAAAGCCCAGATAGCAAATATTTGGGGCCTTATGGGACATATGGTCTTAGTTGCACTACTTAAGTCTGCCTTTGTAGTGTGAAAGCAGCCATAGACAATATATAAACAAATGAGCATGGTTATGTTCCAATAAAACTTTATTTACAAAAACAAGGGCAAGGTAGGATTTGACTGGAGGGTCATAGTTTGTAGACCTCTGGATAAAAGTATTCAGTGAGGATGACCATTGTGTGGCGAAATATGTACTCTGTTTCTCTGAATTTCTGGTAAAGGTTAAAGGGCAAGCGTGGGATCAAGATAAAAAGTATCTGGATTAAAATATTTGGCGTTAGAAAGTACAGATCCAATCATAATAGAAAACAAATTTTTTTAATCAGTATTTTGAATCCAAGCTGGAAACTGCTCCTGTTATAAAACAATGCTCCATCATTCTACCCTAAGTTTCTGACTCCTAGTCAATAGAAATTTATTCTTTCCTAGATTTAAGCACTTCAGTAAAAGGTATCATGTAAATCCAGTGTAAAATCAAAATGATGGTTGTGATAAGGAGCCCTGGGACTGGAGGAAGACAAGGATTGAGCTATAGGTGAAGGAAAGAAAGGTCAAGGTTCCATGGTAATAATAAAATAGTATTCACATTGTGTTTTTAACATAGGGATGTTGCTTTTGGTGTCAATGCTAATTAAGATTTTAAACTAAGGCAAACACATCAATCTCCTGTAATTATCTTAATAGTGTTCAAGGATTTCACATGGCATGTTAGCAATTTGGTAATTTCTCCAGAAGTTTGTCCAGGTATCATTAGGTTCTCATTTAAACAATGTGTCATCCAAAAGAGCAATCATCCCCTATCATTCCACTTCATGACAATTTACTGAAATTAGCAGATCGACCTCATTTACACTCATTTTTTAAAATGTAACTGAATAATACAATTACAGCCAAGCTGGACAAATTCCACATCGAGTGCAAGTGCTGATGCCTCAGCAGCAGTCAAGCAATTAGTTAGGATTTCATGAAAATGATGGCAGATGTGTAAAAGCACATTGTCCTATGACTTCCTATGGCGCCAAGAATGTTGTCATCACTCAGAGGTGAAATTAATAATAATACAAGCATCCCTTGCTCAACAGAAGTTGAACTGTACTTGGTCACAAGTTAAGTCACACATTCATTGTTTGGAATTTCTTTTCCATCCTCTTTCCACGCAATCTGCGTGGGGATATGTTGCTTCTCACAGAATGTCTGATTCTCTGTATCACATTTCCTATTGTCAAACTCTAGTAACTAGCTACTATCTGACAGTAAACATTTAGGCAGGAATAAAAATACCATTTTGATATGCTAAGAGCCCACCAATACACTAATTATTATGAACAGAGTCAACAGAATTAATGTGCTAATTAGCATCATGCATTAGCTGATTCGAAGTAAAACACCACATCTTGGCACACTGGGAAAAGACAATGATAGAGAATATTATAGGATTAAGAAGGCTATTATTTATCATGGGGTAAGTATTTGAACAGCTTGTAGGATATACTCTAAGGCTGACTTTTCCCTCTGCCTATTGAGAGCTTGAGTATTTTCTCACAGGTTACTATTTACAAACAGCTGTCCTGATTTCTGCTACAAAAGGATTTCCATAGAGCAATCCAGCTTCTCTTTAAACTAACATGAGAGGTAGGCAGGGGGTCCCTTTAATTTTCTGAATTAGCAACGCTGTGGGAGGAAAACATGGTTCCCCACAGAAGTGTTCCCATGAGAGTCTCACAACATAATCAAGGCCCAGCCCAAGTTCCCCATAAAGGGACTGTGGAGGCACAGGCTGAAATTCCATCTTGGAGCTGCAATGTATCCTAAAACTCCCCAGAGAGCCAAGTTCAGCAGCAATAGCAAATTCTCTTGCCACGACATCACACTCCTCTCTCTGGCATAGATCACGTCTTTCTAAACCTGGTATAGAGGGTGCCTCTTTCTAGGAGTCACCCAACAATCAGGCTTTCATTCCTTCCTCCAGCAAGTCTTTACTGAATGGCCGCTATGTGCCACGAGTGAGTCCAACAGAAAAGGGCGTACATAAACACACATATAGTACACATAATACTGAGTTTGTCAATCGAATATTTTCCTCAGCTCATTCCTCACCACCTTCATTTTCCTGACTGCATTGGTCTTCCCTAACTGTGAACTATTCACAATCTTAAATCAGGGCAGGGCTTCTTAACTCCATGTATGGAAATCTGACATCTCTTTTCTCAGAAGAACTTCATTTCTTCCAACAGGTTCTCAAAGAGGAATAAGACCCCAAGCGGTGAAAAGCTGTTGAACACATAGAGATGTAGCCATGTCTATCTTATTTTTAAAGGAAATACCAGTTCTTTTCTCATAAGCCCTTTCCAGCATAGATATTTAGAAACCCTGACTTTCAAAAAGTATTTCCTTTCGTCTCTTACTACAAGCCTTTTGAGTCTCTTTTAAGCTACTTTATGTTCATCTTCTCCTTGCAAGGGATAGTTTTTATCACTCCTCTCTAAAATAATCATTTTCTAGAGTAGGTTAACCAGATAGCCTACCAAGATTTGTGACTGATTTATCCAAGCTGGTTACAAATGTGGATTTCAGAAGAATCAAGGTAAGTCATGGTCAAGGAATCAGTTTAACTAGACTGATAATCCCAGGAAATGTCATGTGATAAATGAGGTTGATGGAAGCACTTTCCTGGATATCAAGGCTTCTGTATATGTATTTCCCCTCCCCACTGTCTTGACTTCAGATGGAAGGCAAGAGCAGCAAGCTGATGCAAGGTTGAAAAGCTAAATGAGGCAGCCCTCAAATCTGCTGAAGGCAGAGTGATGGTTTCACTTTTAAGCATCTAATTAACTCTAAGAGGTAAAGTACCCCAACAGCAGTGCTGGTTTTAGAGAACACAGTCTCCTGAAGTGTCAGTTCATCTCCGTTCATCTTGGCCAGGGCTCCTCTGCATCCTCCTCCTCCCCTCCTGGACTCTGGCTGGCTTTTCCAGTCTGAAGTCTTCTGCAGAGTTTCTGGTAAACTGCAATGCTTATCAACCAGGCTCCTTATCCTCAGGAGTATATTAAATATCAGATGAAAACACTGCAGAATTGGACAAGCAATAATTTAGTTTTACAATAATTTCTAATGATTAGAAAGAACAAGCTGAATTTCACTTGCAGCAGTTAGAGATGAAGAGGAAAAACTGAGATGAGTTCACCGGCTCTTACTTGATTTTCAACAGCCTGGGAACAGAATGTGATCTGCAAGCTGCATTGTCCAGAGAATACAAAAAGAGATGCAAGCCAGTGCAGCCCTTGTACTGAACTTAGTTGTCTTTTTACAAAATCATGCTGTTCAATATCTTCTCTGCAGTTGTTTTTTTTTTTCAAGGTGGATTTTGCCCACTCTGGGTGTCACTGACCAAAGGAATTCCATGGACATAGTGGGTTAAAGGAGAGTCAAACAATGATCAAGTGGGGATTGTGATTGAAGCCACTGGGAAGGCACAGATTGGCTGCTTTAGCATCTTAGCCAGGTCTCTGAATGCATTTGAGATTTATTGACTCTCCCTTTGTCATACTTAACAATGCCCTGAATACTGGGTGTTCTGCCACTACCAGAAGATGCCAAGTTTGGGCTATACCCTTGAGGTGTTTGTAAACCAGATGCCTCAAAAATCACTACCTCAACAAGAACAGTTGGTCAAATGCCACCACACCATAAGCCAAGTCTTCTATTTTTTCACTCTTTATGATTTTTTCTTTAAAGCAATCGTCTGTGTCACCCTAAGAGTTTAACACTGCCCACTTTACTGTCTTGATGAAAAAGTATGTTGATTTATTTTCTACTCATTCACATATTCATCCAACAAATAGTTACAGAGATGGTGAACTTGGCACTGGGTAGACATAGAACTTTCATTCTGGCTGGGGAGACAAAAAATAAAGTAAACAAATAAATAAACAAGGTAATAATTATGGATTGTGATAATGCTGTGAAAGAAATAGAGAGTGTATGGAGGCAAAATGGTAATGGCTACTTTAGATTAGCTAGTTCTCAATCTCTATTTAAGAAGAAAATTGGGCCGGCACGGTGGCTCATGCCTGTAATCCCAGCACTTTGGGAGGCCGAGTTGGGCAGATCAGTTGAGGTCAGGAGCTCGAAACCAGCCTGGCCAACATGGTGAAACCCTGTCTCTACTAAAAATACAAAAATTAGTCAGGCATGATGGCGATCGCCTGTAGTCCCAGTTACTCAGGAGGCTGAGGCAGGACAATCGCTTGAACCCAGGAGGTTGCAGTGAGCAGAGATCGTGCCACTGCATTCCATACTGGGCGACAGAGTGAGACTCCATCTCAAAAAAAAAAAAAAAAAGAAGAAGAAGAAAATTGAAAGACCCAAAAATATATACCAATTTATGACATGTCATTTTGTGGAGTCTCAGCACTTACTCGTCATTTAGTGATTCCCTCATCCTGCCCAGAAAGGAGAGATTTCTTCAGCACTGGTGATTGGTAAAACTCTTCTTCCTCCCACGGTTTCAACGAAGACTCATGCCTGGGTCCAGTTAACCAGGAGGGAAGTTTCTCTGTGAGGGCTCTGGAGAAGAAATCCTTCCGACTGAAGGCTTAATATTATTATTAACCATTACCCTTAAAAATGTTCCACCATGAAGAGCAAACCCCGTAAGTAGAATAATGGAAGCATTAGCCATATCTAAGCAGACCTTCTGAGGGTCTCTGCTATATTCTTTTGCATCAACAGGTGGCCACTCACTAATGTTTAAGTGGACCAGGTTATGTTGTGAGTTATTCTAAATGTGTAAATTGGGAGCATTTGTAACAAGGATATATATATGTGCTATGCTTCTTTTTAGATAATTTTGTTGTGTAATAAAGTTATGGGGAAACAGCCAGTTTCAAAATCCTTGGAAGCTTTTATCCATTTGGAGGGAATTTTATTTCAAAATCACTTTGTAACTTAAATTGCTCCAAAAACATTTTACCCTCTAATGCCCAGTGTGTTTTTAAAATGGAATGGCCAATGTGCCCACCAAACCTCTTCCATGGAAGGTTGATGAGATTACTCTGTAATCTCATCTGGCTAAACACTGCTCACACACACACTATTGGGTTGTCAGATCAAATACAGGCCACCCAATACAATTTGAATTTCAGATCAACAACAGACAACTTTTAATATAAATATTTTTTAAATTGCATGGCAAATATTTTTACTAAAAAATTATTCATTGTTTATCTGAAACTCAAATTTAACTGGCATCTTGTATTTTTATTTGCTAAATCTGACAACTTTACCCAAAGAAAACATCTGAATCTCTGACAGTCCTCAGCATCTCTCACCACCCTCACCATCTTCATTCCATTCCTAATTTAAGCCTAGTCTTCAAAGTTAAATTGGAATATAAATTAATACTAACAAACAAAATTTGGTATTACAGAGGATTGGCATTAAAGAGAATTAAAAAATACAGTTGCCACTGGCCTGAAAAATAGGGAATTAAAACAACTTTTAAGAAATTTAGGTATGCAAACTAGATCATAAACATGCTCATTTTCAAAAACTTCTGCCATAATTAATGTGTAAAACTTTATACAATTGAAACCTAGAATGTTTTAAGTGCTCAAGCCAGAAGAAGATAAAGTATCTTCTAAATTCTTGAAATCAGTCAATACTATGGTCACATTTTATTCTGATATTTGTACTAATTTGATGTGATTTCTTAAAATCACCTAATTCATTCTCTCTCTCTCTTTCTCTCTCTCCCTCTAGTTACCTAAACAAGAATAAATACCTGACAGTTATTGACAAAGATGCATTTGGAGGAGTATACAGTGGACCAAGCTTGCTGTGAGTAAGACATACAAAAGAATATTTTAGTCTTTTTTTTTCTTTTTTTTTTTTTGGAATAAATGGAGACATTAAGGGGAGAATCTTATGTTCAAGGGTAGAAAATGTTGCTGTCTCGGGTAAAGGCTTCTGCAAGTCCCTCTTTTCCTGGCTGTATAGGCTACCTCTTGGAAGAAAGTCCTTGTCCTTTGAGACTCAGAAGGCCCCACGCTCCAGTATGCCATCATGATGCCTGCTAAGGCAGCCACCTTGGTGTACATGCTCACAGAGGCTCTGTTCATGGAGCAGCTGCTGTTTGAAAAATTTTGAAATGCAAGATCCACAACTAGATGGAAGGCACTCTAGTCTTTGCAGAAAAAAATGTACCTGAATGTACATTGCACAATGCCTGGCACAAAGAAGGAAGAATATAAATGATAGTTCGACTCGTCTGTGGAAGAACTTACAATCATGGGGAAAGATGGAATAAAAACATTTTTTAAACAGCATGAAAACATACCTATTTGTGCATTTCCTTTGATTTACACCCCCACATCCAATCAGTGATCAGGTTCTATTGATTCTGCTTCCCTGAAGCCTCTGTATCATTGCCACCTTCCTCATTCCCTTGGTTTTGCCTCAGTTTAGAATCTCATCATTGAGCATCCACTCTAGTCCTTGCCAAAGTGGATCACAGGCCGGGCACAGTGTCTCACACCTGTAATCCCAGCACTTTGGGAGGCCGAGGCGGGCAGATCACGAGGTCAGGCGATCGAGACCATCCTGGCTAACATGGTGAAACCCTGTCTCCACTAAAAATACAAAAAATTAGCTGGGCGTAGTGGCGGGTGCCTGTAGTCCCAGCTACTTGGGAGGCCGAGGCAGGAGAATGGCATGAACCCAGGAGGAGGAGCTTGCAGCGAGCCCAGATCGTGCCACTGCACTCCAGCCTGGACGACAGAGCGAGAGTCTGTCTCAAAAAACAACAAAAACAAAAACAAAACAAAACAAAAAAACAAAGTGGAACACAGCACCGTAGAGATACACAAGATAATCTGTTAGGGGCGAGAGGAAATATTAGAGGTTCTATTTATACTTATTTTTAAATAAGAACAAATTAAGTTTTATTAATCTTTTATTTATAGATAGCCACTGTCCCTCAGGTGTCAGGTAGGGGTGGATGCCTCCTAGAGAAGGGTGAGTGATCCACAGTCCTGAGCACTGGATACCTTCACTCTTTCACCTTTAACAATGTTATTTCACTTTCAGACTGAATGCACCCAGTGCATTTAAGGTCCTGTTCTCTTAACACATACGCTCCATCCAAATAAGAGGTCAGAGTGATCTTGAAAATCTGCTGTGCCACGTGGGGGTTACTGTTAATTCATGGCAAAGTACTTAAAATTATTATGCATTTTTCTTTTTACAAGAAGACAAGTGGGGAAAAAATGTATTAACCTTTTCTGTGATAAAGTCCCTGTCAGTAATTTTTAACCTGGAAGATATTTTTCAATAACACTTTTATATCTGCTTCTTCAAGATTAAGGTACTACTTCGCCAAGTAATAAGAAAAGTCATTGCTTTTTCAAAGAAATGTATGCTTTAGAGAAAGGCTTTAGAAACAGGTATTTGGAAATATTCACATATTATGCGATTTTCCTGATAAAAAATTGTCAATGCCATAAAAATTCTGTTTGGTTCAAATCAGAAATAGAATTTTAACTTGTTTTTAAATCTTTCAAATTAAGTTTGTTATGAACTAAATTGTATCTGTCTTCCTAAATTCAAATGCTGAAGCCTTAACCTCTAGCATCTTAGTATGTGACTGTATTTGAAGATAGGGTCTGTAAAGAGGTAATTAAATTAAAATAAGGCTGTTAGGTGAGCCCTAATCCAATCTGACAGGTGGCCTCATAAGACAAGGAGATTGGGATACACAGAGAGACACCAGGGATGGGCGCTCACAGAGGAAAGGCCACGTGAGGCCACAGCAAGAAGGTGGCCATCTGCAAGCCAGGGAGAGAGGCCTCAGGAGAAGCCAAACTTGCTGACACTTTGATCTTGGACTTGCAGCCTCCAGAACTGTAAGAAAATACATTTCTGTTGTTTAAATCAGCCAATCTGTGGTATTTTGTTACCATAGCTCTAGCAAAGTAATACAGAGTTGTAGCAGGTTTAAAATCCATGTGTATAAAATGTGAAAATGAAACACCTCCAGATCACCTTGCAAAAACAACTGATTGACATCAGAAAATATAAAATTTCATTAAAAACATGTATTTAATTACTGAATTAGATTGAAAAATGAGAATCTTAGTTTAATAAATGCAGTTAAGCCTGCTCTATTCTTGGTGAAACACCCATCTTTGGTAATTTTTTCAACTAGGACGGCCATTTAAACCAAAATCAAAATAAACTGAACCAAAAGCAGACTTTGAACAGCCATAGCCAAAAGGGTTAAAAATAATTTTCAAAACTAATTAAGCATATTTGATAACATTGCTTTTGCTTTTATGAAACTTTAAAAAATATATATTACTTATCTTCATTGCATTATTTTAAAATGTATGTTTAGTGTGTTATGGTATATATTATATAGTATTACAAAAATACATGTATAGGGTTCATGACTGTTCATATGTTAGTGGTACATACTCAGATATTTTTTACTTATTAATATGTGAGATTGAAAGAATTTGAAGACCAATAGTGTAGACCAGAACCACTCAAAGTGAGTTCATTACAAGGTAAGTGGCT
The DNA here is from genome assembly GCF_000001405.40 of Homo sapiens. Classification (NCBI taxonomy): domain Eukaryota; kingdom Metazoa; phylum Chordata; class Mammalia; order Primates; family Hominidae; genus Homo; species Homo sapiens. The sequence goes on from NC_000014.9 coordinate 81,111,189, forward strand.
GTCCAGGATATACAGCAAAGCACAGCTTCTTTTTTGGAGAAAATCTTGTCATGAAAATAAAGTCAACCAAACTCAACAGTGTGTTTAGTTGAAGTAGCTGGCTTACATCCAGCATACGCTTCTTATCCTTGGAATGGTAAGAAGCTATTGGCCAATGGGCACCATACGTTGAGTAGCAGTAGTCTAGATGATTAGCGTCTCCAAATCTGGCTCCTGCCTTTATTTAGTCTTGGTTCCTCTCAAATCCACCCTCCCCAAACCTCTTTGGGTTCACATGCAAATAGAATCTTAAACCCAATACTGGCCTCCCATTCCCCTCAGGATAGAGGTCTTGGTGTGGCTTGCAAGGCATTGCCATAATCTTCAGCTTTGTCTTTTACACTACTTTACGCCTCTGATCAATGGTCCATCCATATCGAACCTCTTAGCTCCCTTAATTCTCCAACCTACTTACACTGTTATGCTAAACTCTTACTCTTCCTACTGTCTGGAAAACCCTGCTATAATCTTGTCTTTCTGATGAGCACCTGCTGGCATTTTAATTCTGCCTTAGAGGGCAGAATTGTATTTCCACAATTCTGGTTCATATTATAATGCCCAAAACACAGTATGAGCTTAATAAATATTTGTGAAATTAATATGGTACCCAATAAATAATTAAAGCACTCTTCTGTAAACATTATAGCACTTAAAGAGCAATCATATTTTAAAGATATTTTAGTCTGTTGTCCTCAAGGGAATGTGTCCATTTCTACTTCTTTGGAAGTGGTCAATTAAACTACCTGCTTGTACTGCCTCGAAGTTGTTTTTTATATTTATGGCAAGATTTTCTACAAGACTCTCCCACCAAGTTAAGAGGATTTGTGAAACTGCCTGAAAATGCTTTCCCTGCCTCTTGGTGGCATTCCAGGTTGTGGAAAGTGACAAAGATGAGGAGTTATACCTGGAGTTGACTCCCAGCCCCATCACTTACTAACTGTAAGACCCAAGTCTCAGTTTTCTCATCTGTCGAAACAGGATAAAGTAAGCTAATAAAGTTTAAATAAGATAATAAAGGAACTAAATATATCCTCAATAATGTTAGACATTATTATGATTATTTTCACTTCTTCCTGAACTTTGACACTTCATTATTCTGATCTGTTGTAACCTCTCTGATCACTCCTTCCCCATTTCTCTCCTTAGCTCACTGCATCATTCCTCAAAATGGGGTTCCATCCTGGGTCCTGGCTCTTTTTCCTCTATATCTTCTCCTTTGGTTAAATCATCTGCTCACAAGTATCATGAGAATGTGAATGATTTCTAAGTTTAGGGCCTCATACCTTAGCTCTTATTTGGCCATTCACCCAGCTGAAATTCTTTTCTTGCTCCCTCTCATTCCTATCCAATCCCAACAATCTGGTTAAACTCTCCCTAGCCAGCCTTTGAAAATGTACAATAAGCATTTACTGATGAGAACTTGCTAAGCTTGGGATTCTTCACTGGGAACTACCAGTAGGGGAGGGTCACTACATTAAAGAACAGTGAGTGAAAAGCCTCATCAAGAAGGTGGCAATTCAGAAAATATCTGAAAGAAACAAAGGGACAAGCCTGGGGACAATCTGAAGAAAGAGCATTTTAGACAAGTGCAAAGACCCCCAGGTGAGAATATACCTGGCACGTTTGAGGAATAGCAAGGAGGCCATTGCCGCTCAAACAGAGTAAAGTAAACGGGGGAAAAAGTAAAAGCTGTGATCAAAAAGATGATAGGGTTGAGGAGCAACTTGCAGATGGTCTTAGAGGCCATCATCAGGTCTTTTGATTTGCTCTTTAGATAGAGGGGAAGCCATAGGAGCATTTTGAGCATAGGTGTGTCACAGTCTGACTCAAAGTTTCACAGGAACATGCCGGCTGTTGTGTTGAAAATAAACTGTAGGGAACCAAGTATGGAAGCAAGAAGACCACTTAGGAATATGCCAAAATAATATAGGCATGAGATGAAAGTAGTTTGCACTAAGACAGCAGCAGTAGAGATGATGAGAAATAATCTGATCCTGACTATATTTTTTAAGGTAAAGCCAACAGGACATGCTGATGGATCGGATATAGCAGATGATGAGAGAAACGAAGGAATCAAGGAGAACTGTAATTATTTTTGACTGAGCAGTTAGGAGAATGAGATCACTATTTCCTGAGATAGGGGAAGTTAGTTTGAGGTCCCATGATGCATGCAGGCAGGCAGTGATATATGTGGGTTCAAAAGTCACAATAGGGGTCAGGGCTAGAGATATATTTGAGACTCTTTGGAATGTAGCTGGTGATGAGGGGATACAGGTATAGAAGAAATCTCAAAAAATGAATAGAATTGAGACTTCTGAACTTTCCCCACCAATGTGATTTCCCTGATCTTTTTTTAAACAACATTAAAATGACAGTACTTCTGAGAAAATATAAATACATTAAAAAGCATGTATTTTTAATGACAAAGAGTAGGAAAGGTGATCATGTGAGTAAATGATGAATGTCTTCAAAAACCAAGAGAGAGCTGCACGCTAAGTACTTGCATGGGTGAAATCAATAAAATGCAAGCTAATTCAAATCACAAAATCTAGGAAATATTTTATCAATTAAATCTTAAGTGTTCTGCAAATGAGAATATAGGTGACACTGAAGCTGGTCAGTCTCATTCTGCACAGTCAAGCACTACTTCTTACTCATCCCAGAAAAAAGACTAGAATTTTCTTTCTGTTAAAATGTCATCACCAAGACTCAAGGAGAATAAGCACAGTTGGGGTTAGAAGGCAGGTACTGTTCTGAAAACAGGATTATATGAAAATTTACATTCTAAAATGTAAGAATAACAATCCTCTTATCCACTCACTCAACTCATAGAATATTGGCAAAATGTATACCTTCCAAGTAAGAGATGAGAGTACTGAGGAAGCTGACAGGCCCAAGGAAAAGAAAAAAAAAAAAAACCTACAAAAAGTATCACTGGGGGGGAGGAGCCAAGATGGCCGAATAGGAACAGCTCCGGTCTACAGCTCCCAGCGTCAGCGACGCAGAAGACGGGTGATTTCTGCATTTCCATCTGAGGTACCAGGTTCATCTCACTAGGGAGTGCCAGACAGTGGGCACAGGTCAGTGGGTGCGTGCACTGTGCGCGAGCCAAAGCAGGGCGAGGCATTGCCTCACTCCAGAAGCGCAAGCGGTCAGGGAGTTCCCTTTCCTAGTCAAAGAAAGGGGTGACAGACGGCAACTGGAAAATCGGGTCGCTCCCACCCGAATACTGCGCTTTTCCGACGGGCTTAAAAAACGGCGCACCACGAGATTATATCCCGCACCTGGCTCGGAGGGTCCTACGCCCACGGAGTCTCCCTGATTGCTAGCACAGCAGTCTGAGATCAAACTGCAAGGCGGCAGCGAGGCTGGGGGAGGGGCGCCCACCATTGCACAGGCGTGCTTAGGTAAACAAAGCAGCAGGGAAGCTCGAACTGGGTGGAGCCCACCACAGCTCAAGGAGGCCTGCCTGCCTCTGTAGGCTCCACCTCTGGGGGCAGGGCACAGACAAACAAAAAGACAGCAGTAACCTCCGCAGACTTAAATGTCCCTGTCTGACAGCTTTGAAGAGAGCCGTGGTTCTACCAGCACGCAGCTGGAGATCTGAGAACAGGCAGACTGCCTCCTCAAGTGGGTCCCTGACCCCTGACCCCCGAGCAGCCTAACTGGGAGGCACCCCCCAGCAGGGGCACACTGACACCTCACATGGCAGGGTACTCCAACAGACCTGCAGCTGAGGGTCCTGTCTGTTAGAAGGAAAACTAACAAACAGAAAGGACATCCACACCAAAAACCCGTCTGTACATCACCATCATCAAAGACCAAAAGTAGATAAAACCACAAAGATGGGGAAAAAACAGAACAGAAAAACTGGAAACTCTAAAAAGCAGAGTGCCTCTCCTCCTCCAAAGGAACGCAGTTCCTCACCAGCAACGGAACAAAGCTGGACGGAGAATGACTTTGACGAGCTGAGAGAAGAAGGCTTCAGACGATCAAATTACTCTGAGCTACAGGAGGACATTCAAACCAAAGGCAAAGAAGTTGAAAACTTTGAAAAAAATTTAGAAGAATGTATAACGAGAATAACCAATACAGAGAAGTGCTTAAAGGAGCTGATGGAGCTGAAGACCAAGGCTCGAGAACTACATGAAGAATGCAGAAGCCTCAGGAGCCGATGTGATCAACTGGAAGAAAGGGTATCAGCGATGGAAGATGAAATGAATGAAATGAAGCGAGAAGGGAAGTTTAGAGAAAAAAGAATGAAAAGAAATGAGCAAAGCCTCCAAGAAATATGGGACTATGTGAAAAGACCAAATCTACATCTGATTGGTGTACCTGAAAGTGATGTGGAGAATGGAACCAAGTTGGAAAACACTCTGCAGGATATTATCCAGGAGAAATTCCCCAATATAGCAAGGCAGGCCAACGTTCAGATTCAGGAAATACAGAGAATGCCACAAAGATACTCCTCGAGAAGAGCAACTCCAAGACACATAATTGTCAGATTCACCAAAGTTGAAATGAAGGAAAAAATGTGAAGGGCAGCCAGAGAGAAAGGTCGGGTTACCCTCAAAGGGAAGCCCATCAGACTAACAGTGGATCTCTCGGCAGAAACCCTACAAGCCAGAAGAGAGTGGGGGCCAATATTCAACATTCTTCAAGAAAAGAATTTTCAACCCAGAATTTCATATCCAGCCAAACTAAGCTTCATAAGTGAAGGAGAAATAAAATGCTTTACAGACAAGCAAATGCTGAGAGATTTTCTCACCACCAGGCCTGCCCTAAAGGAGCTCCTGAAGGAAGCGCTAAACATGGAAAGGAACAACCGGTACCAGCCGCTGCAAAATCATGCCAAAATGTAAAGACCATCGAGACTAGGAAGAAACTGCATCAACTGACGAGCAAAATAACCAGCTAACATCAGAATGACAGGATCAAATTCACACATAACAATATTAACTTTAAATGTAAATGGACTAAATGCTCCAATTAAAAGACACAGACTGGCAAATTGGATAAAGAGTCAAGACCCATCAGTGTGCTGTATTCAGGAAACCCATCTCATGTGCAGAGACACACATAGGCTCAAAATAAAAGGATGGAGGAAGATCTACCAAGCAAATGGAAAACAAAAAAAGGCAGGGGTTGCAATCCTAGTCTCTGATAAAACAGACTTTAAACCAACAAAGATCAAAAGAGACAAAGAAGGCCATTACATAATGGTAAAGGGATCAATTCAACAAGAAGAGCTAACTATCCTAAATATATATGCACCCAATACAGGAGCACCCAGATTCATAAAGCAAGTCCTGAGTGACCTACAAAGAGACTTAGACTCCCACACATTAATAATGGGAGACTTTAACACCCCAATGTCAACATTAGACAGATCAACGAGACAGAAAGTTAACAAGGATACCCAGGAATTGAACTCAGCTCTGCACCAAGCGGACCTAATAGACATCTACAGAACTCTCCACCCCAAATCAACAGAATATACATTTTTTTTCAGCACCACACCACACCTATTCCAAAATTGACCACATACTTGGAAGTAAAGTTCTCCTCAGCAAATGTAAAAGAACACAAATTATAACAAACTATCTCTCAGACCACAGTGCAATCAAACTAGAACTCAGGATTAAGAATCTCACTCAAAACCACTCAACTACATGGAAACTGAACAACCTGCTCCTGAATGACTACTGGGTACATAACGAAATGAAGGCAGAAATAAAGATGTTCTTTGAAACCAACAAGAACAAAGACACAACATACCAGAATCTCTGGGACGCATTCAAAGCAGTGTGTAGAGGGAAATTTATAGCACTAAATGCCCACAAGAGAAAGCAGGAAAGATCCAAAATTGACACCCTAACATCACAATTAAAAGAACTAGAAAAGCAAGAGCAAACACATTCAAAAGCTAGCAGAAGGCAAGAAATAACTAAAATCAGAGCAGAACTGAAGGAAATAGAGACACAAAAAACCCTTCAAAAAATTAATGAATCCAGGAGCTGGTTTTTTGAAAGGATCAACAAAATAGATAGACCACTAGCAAGACTACTAAAGAAAAAAAGAGAGAAGAATCAAATAGACGCAATAAAAAATGATAAAGGGGATATCACCACCGATCCCACAGAAATACAAACTACCATCAGAGAATACTACAAACACCTCTACGCAAATAAACTAGAAAATCTAGAAGAAATGGATAAATTCCTCGACACATACACTCTCCCAAGACTAAACCAGGAAGAAGTTGAATCTCTGAATAGACCAATAACAGGAGCTGAAATTGTGGCAATAATCAATAGCTTACCAACCAAAGAGTCCAGATGGATTCACAGCCGAATTCTACCAGAGGTACAAGGAGGAAATGGTACCATTCCTTCTGAAACTATTCCAATCAATAGAAAAAGAGGGAATCCTCCCTAACTCATTTTATGAGGCCAGCATCATTCTGATACCAAAGCCGGGCAGAGACACAACCAAAAAAGAGAATTTTAGACCAATATCCTTGATGAACATTGATGCAAAAATCCTCAATAAAATACTGGCAAAATGAATCCAGCAGCACATCAAAAAGCTTATCCACCATGATCAAGTGGGCTTCATCCCTGGGATGCAAGGCTGGTTCAATATACGCAAATCAATAAATGTAATCCAGCATATAAACAGAGCCAAAGACAAAAACCACATGATTATCTCAATAGATGCAGAAAAGGCCTTTGACAAAATTCAACAACCCTTCATGCTAAAAACTCTCAATAAATTAGGTATTGATGGGACATATTTCAAAATAATAAGAGCTATCTATGACAAACCCACAGCCAATATCATACTGAATGGGCAAAAACTGGAAGCATTCCCTTTGAAAACTGGCACAAGACAGGGATGCCCTCTCTCACCACTCCTATTCAACATAGTGTTGGAAGTTCTGGCCAGGGCAATTAGACAGGAGAAGGAAATAAAGGGTATTCAATTAGGAAAAGAGGAAGTCAAATTGTCCCTGTTTGCAGACGACATGATTGTATATCTAGAAAACCCCATTGTCTCAGCCCAAAATCTCCTTAAGCTGATAAGCAACTTCAGCAAAGTCTCAGGATACAAAATCAATGTACAAAAATCACAAGCATTCTTATACACCAACAACAGACAAACAGAGAGCCAAATCATGAGTGAACTCCCATTCACAATTGCTTCAAAGAGAATAAAATACCTAGGAATCCAACTTACAAGGGATGTGAAGGACCTCTTCAAGGAGAACTACAATCCACTGCTCAAGGAAATAAAAGAGGATACAAACAAATGGAAGAACATTCCATGCTCATGGGTAGGAAGAATCAATATTGTGAAAATGGTCATACTGCCCAAGGTAATTTATAGATTCAATGCCATCCCCATCAAGCTACCAATGACTTTCGTCACAGAATTGGAAAAAAACTACTTAAAAGTTCATATGGAACCAAAAAAGAGCCCGCATCGCCAAGTGAATCCTAAGCCAAAAGAACAAAGCTGGAGGCATCACACTACCTGATTTCAAACTATACTACAAGGCTACAGTAAGCAAAACAGCATGGTACTGGTACCAAAACAGAGATATAGATCAATGGAACAGAACAGAGCCCTCAGAAATAATGCCGCATGTCTACAACTATCTGATCTTTGACAAACCTGAGAAAAACAAGCAATGGGGAAAGGATTCCCTATTTAATAAATGGTGCTGGGAAAACTGGCTAGCCATATGTAGAAAGCTGAAACTGGATCCCTTCCTTACACCTTATACAAAAATCAATTCAAGATGGATTAAAGACTTAAACGTTAGACCTAAAACCATAAAAACCCTAGAAGAAAACCTAGGCATTACCATTCAGGACATAGGCATGGGCAAGGACTTCATGTCTAAAACACCAAAAGCAATGGCAACAAAAGCCAAAATTGACAAATGGGATCTAATTAAACTAAAGAGCTTCTGCACAGCAAAAGAAACTACCATCAGAGTGAACAGGCAACCTACAAAATGGGAGAAAATTTTTGCAACCCACTCATCTGACAAAGGGCTAATATCCAGAATCTACAATGAACTCAAACAAATTTACAAGAAAAAAACAAACAACCCCATCAAAAAGTGGGCAAAGGACATGAACAGACACTTCTCAAAAGAAGACATTTATGCAGCCAAAAAACACATGAAAAAATGTTCATCATCACTGGCCATCAGAGAAATGCAAATCAAAACCACATTGAGATACCATCTCACACCAGTTAGAATGGCAATCATTAAAAAGTCAGGAAACAACAGGTGCTGGAGAGGATGTGGAGAAATAGGAACACTTTTACATTGTTGGTGGGACTGTAAACTAGTTCAACCATTGTGGAAGTCAGTGTGGCAATTCCTCAGGGATCTAGAACTAGAAATACCATTTGACCCAGCCATCCCATTACTGGGTATATACCCAAAGGACTATAAATCATGCTGCTATAAAGACACGTGCACACGTATGTTTATTGCGGCACTATTCACAATAGCAAAGACTTGGAACCAACCCAAATGTCCAGCAAGGATAGACTGGATTAAGAAAATGTGGTACATATACGCCATGGAATTCTATGCAGCCATAAAAAATGATGAGTTCATGTCCCTTGTAGGGACATGGATGAAATTGGAAATCATCATTCTCAGTAAACTATCGCAAGAACAAAAAACCAAACACCGCATATTCTCACTCATAGGTGGGAATTGAACAATGAGATCACATGGACACAGGAAGGGGAACATCACACTCTGGGGACTGTTGTGGGGTGGGGGGAGGGGGGAGGGATAGCATTGGGAGATATACCTAATGCTAGATGACGAGTTAGTGGGTGCAGCGCACCAGCATGGCACATGTATACATATGTAACTAACCTGCACAATGTGCACATGTACCCTAAAACTTAAAGTATAATAATAAAAAAAATAAAAAAATAAAAAAGAATCACTGATAGTCTCCCAAAGTCACCATGGTAATGCCCACCAGCCAATAAGCTTCCACACACAGAGCTTCCCATAGGCCTCCCTTACAAACAAGAACAGACATCCAAGAACCAGCAGACCTTCGAGGAAATCCATTGACATGAAAAACGTCAATGTCTTAGAGTTTTCAGTGTACAGATCTTTCACCTCCTTGGTTTAAATTTATTCCTAGTTTTTGTTTTGTTTTGATGCCATTATAAATGGGATTGTTTTCTTTGTTTCTTTTTCTGATAGCTTATTGTTTGTTTATAGAAACACAACTGATTTTTGTAGGTTGACTTTGTATCCTGTAACTTTACTGAATTCATTTCTTAGTTCTAACAGGTTTTTGGTGGAGGCTTTCTGATTTTCTGTATAAGATAATGTCATCCGCACTCAGAAACAGTTTCTCTTCTTTCTTTAGGATTTGGATGCCGTTTATTTGTATTGCCTAATTGTTCTAACTAGGACTTCCAGTACTATGTTGAATAGATGTGGTGACATGAAAAACAAGGACTAAAATAAACAGAAAAAGGAACTTGGAAGGAACAGAAACAATGCAAGAACCAGAAGAAAACTTTCATGAAAGTTATAACAAATATCCTCAGAGAGACAATGTTTTACATGTGCAAAACAATTCCTTATACAGGAATATTCAGAAAACAATAAAAGAGCTTTTGAAAATTAAAAACATGAAAGCCAAAACCAAAAAAGTAAGCAGAAGTTGTTAAAGATAAAGGGAAAAATGGCACTCAGTAGAGACAGCAAAAAAATATGAAATAGAGGAAAGAAAAAACATGAACATTAGAAATTCAAGCCACGAGGTCCACAACCCAACTAACAAAAGTTTTAGGAAGAGAAAACAAAAACTGAAAAATAGTGTAGCAGATTTCCCATTAATAAAGAAAATGAATTTTCAGAATAAAAAGACCCACGGAGAACCCATATGGCAAAAAAAAAGGGTGGGGAGGCATGAAGGTACATCATAAAACATGAAATCAATGGGATAAAAATAATAAATTAAAGGCGTCTAGACAGAGAAATCATGTGGCCTGTGCAGGTGGGAGAATCGGAATGCCCTCAGCCTTCTCAATGGCGACATTGAAGAAGACCATAGATAGAATACACCTGTTGAATTCTGAAGGGAAAGTCATTTCCAAACTACCAATCAAGTATGATTGATAAAATAAAGATATTTTCTCACATGCAAAATCTCAAAACCTTGATTTCCTGTTCACCTTTTCTTGGAGAATAAACCAGGAAAAAGAAAAATGAGGACTTTGTTAAAACAGTGATCAACACAGGAAAGAAGCAAATAGAATCCCCAGGATGACCACAAAGGGAGGTCTGAGGAATCTTGGGAACATGATGTCTACATCAGAGCTGAAGAATGAAGACTCCAAGAGGAAGGTCTTCTAGAAATAAAAGAGGGTTGGCTGGGCACGGTGTATCATGCCTGTAATCCCAGCACTCTGGAAGACAGAAGCAGGCGGATCACTTGAGGTCGGGAGTTTGAGGTCGGCTTAGCCAACATGGTGAAACTCCATCTCTACTAAAAATACAAAAATTAGCCAGGCATGTTGGTGCATAATTGTAGTCCCAGCTACTTGGGAGGCTGAGGTAGGAGAATCGTTTGAACCCAGGAGGCGGAGGCTGCAAGTGAGCCGAGATTGCACCACTGCACTCCAGCCTGGGAGACAGAGCAAGACTCTGTCTCAAAAAAATAAAAGGATTGATAGATTATTTGATGGAATTCATTGTGTGAAAAACTGGTTTGAGATGTGTTTTCTTTTCCTTTTTTTTTTTTTTTTTTTTTTTTTTTTTTTTTTTTTTTTTGAGACGAAGTCTTGCTCTGTCACCCAGGCTGGAGTGCAATGGTGCGATCTCAGCTCACTGCAATCTCCACCTCCCGGGTTCAAGCAATTCTCCTGCCTCAGCCTCCCAAGTAGCTGGGATTACAGGTGCCAACACCATACCTGGCTAATTTTTGTATTTTTAGTAGAGATGGGGTTTCACCATGTTGGCCAGGCTGGTCTCGAACTCTTGACCTCAGGCGATCCACCTGCCTAGGCCTACCAAAGTTCTGGGATTATAGGTGTGAGCCACCGCTCCTGGCCTTGAGAGGTGTTTTAAAGAACATTGGAGCATGTAGAAAACTTAGCAAGAGGTTTGTTCAAACAAAGACACCCAAATAAAAAGAGAGAGACAGATGGACATCTTATGAAAAAAAAAACAAACAGTTACATGACAAAGGAAATGAAAGCGCAATATGCAAAGTTGCAATAACCACAGTACTGAATATGGGTTTAACCAAATATGTCACAAAACTATTTCAGGAGAGTAGAAGAGTGTGTCAGGAGAGGAAATGTGTAGGGGTGAGGGATGATAAAAGAAAGCCAAATCCTCATCTTCTATAGTAGAGAGTTAGCGGATAAAACCTAAAAACAATACATCAAGAAATACTTACACTTATGGAAGGAAATACCAGAAGTTAAAAGGGGTTACTTCTGGGACATCAGACACCAGACTGCAGGGAAGGGCTGCCTCTTGTATTAACAAGCTTCCAGTATAATTTGCTTTTTAAAAATAGGTCCATGCATTATTTTAATAAAAATTAGGCTGGGCGTGGTGGCTCAGGCCTGTAATCCCAGCACTTTGGGAGGCTGAGGCGGTGTGGATCACTTGAGGTCAGGAGTTCAAGACCAGCCTGGCCTACATGGTGAAACGCCGTCTCTACTGAAAAATACAAAAATTAGCTAGGCGCGGTGGCAGGCGCCTGTAATCCCAGCTACTCGGGAGGTTGAGGCACGAGAATCGCTTGAACCTGGGAAGCAGAGGTTGCAGTGAGCCGAGATTGCACCATTGTACTGTAGCCTGGGAGACAGAGCAAGACTCCGTCTAAGAAAAAAAAAAAAATTAACACTTAATTTAATAACAAAGCCACAAAGCATAGGAAGAGAAGACAATGGAGATGTCAGCATGTGAGAGGTCAATAGGAGAAAAGTAAGAAATGAACAAAGAAGAGTCCAGTCTCATTCCTGAACTTCCAAGCATAGTTGTTGTCTGAAAATGAATTTGTTAACTAATCATACATAGACATGTGATGTCTCTTTAATTCTTGTCTTGATCTTTTGTCAAAATCTCCATTATTTTTTCCCACATAGCTTCTTTCCATAATTAGATTTTAAGATCCCAGAGGAAATAAGTGGTGTCTTATACTTTTTATAACCTTCCTGTATCAAAACAGAAGACAGAAAGTGCTCAATAAATATTGGATGAATTGTAACTAAATATCAAATAGCCATGATTTCATTGTCATTTGTTGTCAAAGCCAAACTTCAAAAATCGTAAACTCCATCTAAAGAAAAGAGAATCAGATGCCATATATATTTCTGCCTTATAAAGGTTTTTGAGGGAGAATACAGTCACGTCTAATAGTCTAAAAAGTCAAACTTACCCACTTAATCATTGTTTTTCAAGGTCACTTCTCAAAAGATAATCTAATTTAAAGCAGGTGCAATATCTAGAGTCAGAGGATCTATTATCCAATATTTGCTGTTTTTCAAAAAGACTTATAAATTTAGTTTGGAAGTATAATAAGGTTTTTTATTGATTGATTTTTAATCAAGATATGCAATCTCATTTTCCATTTTTATACTTTCCATTTTTGATTACCTTGTTTTCTTTTTATCTTATTTTGAAAGAGAAGTGCTTGGTGTTTTAAATCTCAGAGGAAAGAACACACTGAAATGCAATGCCTTTCATAATAATCAGAGTTCTCTAAATTCTAAATTATGTAACCCACTTTAATATAGCATTTAGCATATTGTTGAGTAAGTACCTCCTAAGAAGAGGAAATCTCTGTAATAATATCCTTGAGTTTTCATTACAGGTATCAGCATAAATAAACTTCAAAAACACACTTTTCTTGTTTTTAGCTGATCAAATTAATACAAGGGTCATGGCACTGTCATATTTCTTTGGTTTCTTTTTTTTCTTTTTTTTTTAAACTCTTCATGATCTTCACAAGATAATACTATTAGGTGGCTGAAAATTTGTGGCAGAGTCCTTACCGGCATGCCTGAAAGACACAGGTGAATACACGATTTTCTAGGATGATCCTGAGCAAACATATATTTTAAATATAATTTGCATACAATAACGTACACAATTTTTTAAGTGTACAGGTTGATGCAATTCGACAAAACTATATTACTCTAGCCTGATTAAGACTTGGAACATTTTCATTATCCAGAAAGTTCCCTCATGCCTCACCCCACCTCCCATAGACATGCTATTTTTCTAATATAAAAATTTAGTAGTAAAATTAACAGGTAATAGGATAGATTTATATCTCTATATATATGTCTTTATGTATACTTTATAGGAAATACTGCTATACTGTTTTCCAAAAGGGTTGTCTCATTTTCTATTCTCACCAGCAAGGTATGAGCATTTTATACTGGCCAATGCTTTTAATTGTCATTTTTTTTTATTCTAGCCATTCTAATGGGTCTCTCATTGTGGTTTTAATTTGTGTTTCCCTGATTATTAATGATGTTGAGCATCTTTTTATGCACTTGTCAGCTATTTGTATATTTTCTTTTACCCAGTTTCTGTTCAAATTTTTTGCCCATTTTCATTGGATTTTTGTTTTTTTATTATTCAATTGTGTTCCAGGATAAAATTTTTGACCTAAATAAAATTTTGGTCCTGGCCACCAGCTCTCTGCCAACCCTAGTGCAAATGGTCCATTTACTCACTTATTCCACAGCCATTTTACTAAGCACCTACTGAGCTCCAGTAGTTATAAGGATAAGACACAGCCTCTGCTTTAAAAAGGTTACAGTCAAATTTAGGAGAAATGTGAATAAGTAACTGTAACATAAGTTTAATGTAAAAAGCCATAGGAGATATTTAGAGACTGAACATGCCATTTCTAGTTAGGGTGATCAGCAAAAGCTTTATTAAAGGAGATAGTATTTGAGATGGGCTTCAGGTGAGGAGCAGAATTGCAACAGACAGTGATAGAGTTATGAGAGAAAACAAAGGCATGTCTATAGGAAAACATGGGATGTGTTCAGAGGAAAAAAAATTACATAATTCAGGCAAAAGGATAGTGTTGGGATGTTGTGTTGAAATCATATTATGGACAACCTAATCTGACGCAGCAGGTAAAGATGGTCCCTGTGGAAGTAGTAGTAATAGTTGCATAACAGATTAAAGTTTGTGGCCCTCAACTCGCCTCAGCCCTGACTATATTATTGCTGATACCTCTGTCACAGCCACTGAGCTGGGACTGCTAATCTGCACCTCCTGGCAATTTGACAGGGACTGGATCTCCCTCTGAGGGGAGGGAAATTGAGCCCCAAATACCTCATCAGCCTGGAGCTCCTTGACTTTCTTTCTGTGCTTACCAAGTGAAGCTCTTGGTGCAGCTCCCTTGGAGAAGGGAACCTCCTGCAGATGCAAAGCCAGGGGAGGCTTGCATGCTAGGCTGCCCTGCTCACCGACTGTGAAATGAGTTGCAAACACAAGACAAACTGCCGTCTTGCACACCTAGCTTGGGCACCAAGCCAGACCCATGCCAAAGGAGCCGAGTTGTTGGGGAAGCAACTGAAGTAGGTCATCCCTCCTAAGTCACACGCTCACATCTCCAGAGGCACAGCAAAGGGTCTGCAAGGAAGATCATGAAAGAATTTGAAGAGAGAGAGAGTAGGCAATGATCTTTCCAGAATGGTGTGCATGCTGACTTCTTGACAAGAACAGGGAATGGTCTGCTTCAGCCCTAGGAATTTTCAGAACAGAAGAGTCACATTGACAACTCAGGATACTTGGTTTCCCCCAAAATCCTAATTTATTGATTGGTAGCATCTCCTACTACCACAGCCACTATTATGAGAAAAAAGAATTAATACATTAAATCACAGCAATCTATATTGGCAAGGTTACTTTCATAACTATTGAGAAATTATTTGCAGAGCAGTCCCCAACTAGTGGGTTGCCTGCTGGTGGGAGAGGGATAAAGCAGTTAGTGCAAAGATCCTCAAAATCATACAAACCTTTGTAGCTCTTCAACTGACTAACAGTGCAACTACTATCATCCCCGAAAGATTTTTACTTTAAATAAAAGTTCTCCAAAACACCAGGAGCCACTGTCTAGAGCAATGGCCTCAAATGGTCATGCATTTTATATTAGGGGATTCAGTCTGAGTAAATGTTTCCTATCTATGCCAGGCCAAAAAGTAAACTAGATAGCTTTTCTTCTCTAAAAATAATTTGCAAATTCATAAAATATTTCTTTAGCATGGTTTTGCTAAAGTTACTTATTTAAGTAAGGGCTTTTTACCTTGACAAAAACTGGTAGAACATAAAAGAATTTTTGCTGAGAATGAATACTAGGAAAACAACACTGCCAAAATGTTCTAAACCTTGTAAATTCTGAACCATTTTATTAACTAATTATCCCTCTTTAGCCAGGAGCTCGTAACAGTAAAGAATCTGAAGTTTGTTCTTTGTTGAGCAAGTAGGACGATAATTACTTCTTCACTGTTCCTTCTTTGCAATTTTATGTATAAATAACTCTACCTTTTAGTGAGTGCCCGCTAGGCTCTGTGCTATTTTTACATAAATTTGATTTCAGCCTTCCAACCCCAAAAGATTCTGACTTCTCCACACACTCTTCTCAATTTTGGGTGATTTTGCCCATTTCAAGTCTCAATTATCTGTATAATGAAAGAAGAGAAACAAGACTGCATAGGACCAAATAGTAAAGGCAAAAGCCATGTATACTATGTTCTGTAGCAGGTTTTACTTGTGATTTTACAATTAATTGGAGGATGCTGGCAACAGGCTAAATAATGACAGGTATAAATCAACCTTGGATTAAATTTTTGAATAAATAACAGAAACACAAAAAGCAGTTTTTAGCATGTAGAATTAGGCACACAGTTCTTCCCAAGTAAATGTGGATGGGTACTAAATGTTTTCACTTTTCTGGGAGTTTACTCCTAGATCAGGTGGGAGGAAATAATCAAGCATTGTCATCTGACACACTATCTCTGCCAGGACATGGAAATCTATTTTGTTAATTACATTCTGCCTCTGAGTCTAAAAGAAATAAACACTTAAAAAAAAGTGGACCTTTTATCTCCCACAAGCAGCATTGAGCCTGACCCTTTTGCCAGTATGATGATGATCATTTTGGGTGTGTGTAGGGGTTGTGAGGTTGAGAAGGGAGGGGATTCAACATTGAGGAGGAGGCTATGCTTGTGTTTCAGCTTCAGACTATTGGCAGTTGATACGGTTTGGCTGTGTCCCCACCCAAATCTCATCTTGAATTTTTGCTCCCACAATTCCCACATGTTGTGGGAGGGACCCAGTGGGAGATAATTGAATCATGGAGGTGGTTCTTCTATACTGTTCTCATGGTAGTGAATAAGTCTCACAAAATCTGATCGTTTTATAAGGGGTTCCCCCTTTCACTTGGCTCTCATTCCCTCTCTTGCCTGCCGCCATGTAAGACGTGCCTTTTGCCTTTTGCCGTCCACCATGATTGTGAGGTGGGAGGCAACGTGGAACTGTGAGTCCACATTGGGCAACTGTGTTCCCCAGCCACGTGGAACTGTGAGTCCATTAAACCTTTTTCTTTATAAATTACCCAGTCTCTGGTATGTCTTTATCAGCAGTGTGAAAATGGACTAAAAATTGCCCTGGTTTCCTTTTGTCACTGTGTGGTAGAATGCTGACTCACCAACTTACAGGATACGGCAATTTTCCATTGCAGAATCCATTATGTTGCAATAGTAAACGCTGAAAGATTTCATAGATCATGGAAAGTATAGGCTTATAAGAAATGATTGTAGTAATATCTGAGTTATAAAGCAATTTTATTTGTACACATAGACTTTAAGAAAAGATTCATAATTTCTGATCAATTTTCTGAATAGTCAGACACGAATTTTCTTGTTAATAATAAGTCATTTTTGAGCATTAGCTTTGTGCTGGGTTCTTTACAGATAGTCTATCACTTTGGGCCTAACTATTCAATAGAAAGTATTCTTATTCCTATTTAACAAATAAGGAAACTGGTGCAGAGATATCAGGTAAGTCCCCCGAGGTCACCTGGCCATAAGGGAAATACTAGGATAGAAATTCAGTATTAACTAACTCCAAAACACGATCTCTTCCTGGTACATCAGGTCAACCCCTTTTATGTAAGATTATTCTTGCACCTGTTGTAATTCTGCAACTTTACTTGATCATCTTCTTAAATTTCTGCTTAAAAGCCTCCAGTGGTGCTTTACCATCTTCATTTTTAAAGAGACAAAGTCCTCACAAATAGCCTTCAAAGACCTGTGCTGTTTGTCTCCCACCCATGCCACGTATTCTCTCATCCTACCTCCTATTTCTTTCCTCCTCATGGTTCTACCCCAGCCACACTGAATAGGACACATGGCATGTTCCCACCTTAGGGGTTGGGCACTAGTTGTTTTCTCTGCCAGAGAGCCCTCTCCCCAGATATCCATAGCTGTCTCCTTCGTCTGATACAAGTCTTTGCTTAAGGGTAAGTTTCTCATTGAGATCTTCCCTGAATGCCCTATTTAAGTTTGCAAACTGCCCACCACTCTTCATCCCACTTCCCTGTTTTATTTTTCCCCATGATGCTTATTACCATCTGACATTCTAGACATTTGCCTACAGTGGTACCCCCTTTACTCATGGAGGATATGCTCCGAGACCCACAGGGGATGACTGAAACAGAGGATACTCCCTAACCCTATATATAATATTTTTTTCCTCCAACACTGCTCCTGTCCTAACTTTGGTTATTTCAATATCCACATGGATTATCTTTCCTATACCTTGACCTCCGAGCTCCACTCCCCCAATAAGCCTGCCCTTCATTGTACTTCCAGGCTTCACTAGACCTGTCATGACCAATGACTACAAAGCCTCCATAACCTTAATCTTAAACATCCTGCTCTCTTTCTATCTCTTTCCTTAGAATACATTAATCCTTCAATTTTTTGGTTCTGCCAGGATCTACAGTCTGTTACTAACATTTCACTGTCTCTCACCTCCCTCATATCCTCACTCTTTCCTTATGCAGCTTAAATGCCATGTTCTGTCATTATAAACACTGACTTGTATACGCAGCCAACTAACTACCTTGCCTCTCTGTCTCATCAGCCTCTTCTGGCCAAGCCCAACCTTGGTTAGGTCTAACCACCCACCTGCTGCAGGCCTGGGCTTTTGCAGCTGAACATAGCAAGTGATTTCACCTTAAATCATTCACCCCAAGCAGGCTCTACCTGCTGCACAGCAATCACATCCCACTTCCCCATTCCCTCTCCCAGTCTGTTGGATGACCATGTCCTATGGCCTCCCCTCTCTTCAGTTCTCTAGTCCTCTCCCTCATTCTCATGTCCACTTGATCACCTTGATTTCCATTTCACTGAGCATAAAATCAATCCAAAGAGAACTCCTCATGTCCCACTACCACATCTACCCATCTTCCTGTGTCTATGCCCACATCCTTTCTCCTCTCTTCCGTATTTTAAGTCACTTTTTAAGGCTGGCCCCTTCACCGGGGCCCTAGATCCCATCGCCTCTCAAAAACTCAAGGACATTGCTTCAGCAATCCTCTCCCTTCTTCCCTAATCATCTGTATTCCCCTCCCTACTAAGTTATTTCCCATCAGTGTATAAACATGCTGTAGTTTCTTCCATCTTAAAACAATGTTTCGTGAATATGGATTAAAAGACACCTAAAAGACATCAGTTGAATGCCATGTCTGGGTCTATTTGGATCTGACTTAAACAAGGTAAGAACTACCTTGCCTTTCTTGGAAAACTGATGATTGAATATTACACGGCCTTAAAGAGTTATTGTTTTAGATGTTATTTATTTTTAAAAGATTCCTTAATTCTTAGAAAATATTGAAATATTTATAATTTTAAAATATCCCTTCCTTCAAATCTACTTCCACCTACTGCCCTATTTATCTGTGTCTTTTTGCAGCAACTATCCCAATTTCTGTTATGCTCACTCCAATCAGGTTTTCACTTCCCACCATGCCACTAAAACTCCGTTTACCAGGTCAACAGTGACTTCCACAATTGCTAAATCAAGTGGCCAATTAGTACTTATTTCAGAGGCATTTGACTCAGTTGCTGACTCCATCCTCCTTGGAATGTATTCTTCTTTTGGCTTCCAAATCACTACTCTCTCTTGGTTTTTCTCCATACCTCTGATTGTTCCTTCCTACTCTGTTTTTCTAGCTCTTCTTCTTCTTCTTCCTGATCTCTTAATGTTGGAGTGCCCCAGGCCTCCATCTTTGATATTCTTTTTATCTATATCTTCATTCACTTCCTTGGTGATCTTATCCACTTGTATGGATTTACCTAATGCCTATGATACCCAAATAGAAATCTCCAGTCCAGACAATTCTCCCAAATTCCACGCTTATAAAACACTGCTTGGGCCGGGCGCGGTGGCTCACGCCTGTAATCCCAGCACTTTGGGAGGCCGAGGCGGGTGGATCATGAGGTCAGGAGATCGAGACCATCCTGGCTAACAAGGTGAAACCCCGTCTCTACTAAAAATACAAAAAATTAGCCGGGCGCGGTGGCGGGTGCCTGTAGTCCCAGCTACTCGGGAGGCTGAGGCAGGAGAATGGCGTGAACCCGGGAAGCGGAGCTTGCAGTGAGCCGAGATTGCGCCACTGCAGTCCGCAGTCCGGCCTGGGCGACAGAGCGAGACTCCGTCTCCAAAAAAAAAAAAAAAAAAAAACACTGCTTGACTGCCGTCACCATCTGGATGTCTAATAGGCATCTCAAACTTGACATGCCCAAAAGTGAATTTCTGATCATTCCCTCCAAACCTGCCTCACCTGCAGCCTTCCCCATCTCAGGAAATGGCAACTTCATTCTCCCAGCTGCAGACTAGAAATCTTGGAGTCATTCTCAACCCTTCTCTTTCTCACATACCCCATATCCCATCCATCAGAAAGTCCCAATGGCTCTACTTTTCAAATATCTACAAACTCCAACCATTTTCAGTATCTCCACTGCTACCACCCTAGTCCAAAGCACCATCCTTTCTATTTTTGATCTCCCTGTTTCCACGCCTTACTCACTTTGGTAACTTTCAAAGCAGCAGCCAGCATGATCCTTTTTAAATAAGTCAGATTATACCATTCCTCTGCAGCCTTTTGATCTCACTTCCATGAAAATGTAATGTTCTTTCGACAGCCTACAAGGCCACACATGATCTGGCTCCCAATACGTCCGCTGACTTCTCCCACATGTTCTATGCCCTCACCGTCTCAGCACCAGCAACACTGGCCTCCTTGCTTCCTCAAATATACCAGGTGCACTCCTCACAGTCTTTACACTGCTGGTCCTTTGGCCTGCAATGCTTTTGCTCCAGATATCAGCTTGGCTGTCTCCCTCACCTCCTTCAGACACCTCCTCAACTATCTCCTCAATGAGGCCTTCCCTGACACTGTCCCCTCATCTCTCATTGTGACCCACTCCTGGTCTCTGCCTTTTCTCTTCCCTGTTCCCCTTTTCCCCATAGTACTTATCATTATCATCTAACATACTGTATGTCTTCACTTTTTTAAGAAAAAATTACCTTTTTCTCCACTAGAATGTAAGCATGAGGAGAGCAGGAATTTCTGCCTGTTTAGTTTACTATTATAGCCCTAGCTTCTAGAACTATACTTGAGACATAGACAGCAATCAATACATTCTGTACTTGCTAAATAAATGCATATTGCATTTCTAAATTATTTAAACATATTAATAGACAAGCTCACTGTCTTGAATTTATACCTTTTAAACCTTTAACTTATTTTTCAATTCAATATTAATAAATTAATTACATTGTATTTTAAACAGTAAATTAATCTTTCTGCTCTTAGATGCATTTCATTTACCAATTTACAGATGTAACTGCGCATTTATAATGGAGCAGCTTCCACATATTGACCTTTGGGAAAACCTACTTTCATGACAAGCAAACAGAAAAGACACTTGCAATTGCTGTTGGAACACTGGCAAGCCAATTAGTGCTTCTTTAATTTGCAATTGAATTTATCATAAATTAATCTTAAATAATAATCAATGACAAAATATCTCTCAAAAAATAAAAATAGTTCCAATGTTTGGGGATACTAGAGGGCATAATTGCTTTTGAGGTTCAATTTGCTCTTCCTATGACATTAAACGTAGTTAGCTCTTTTTTTTCCTGGCATCATTAAAATCTCATGATATTCTTCTCTGTATATAATACTGCAGGACTCACTCTCTCCAAATTCAGGTCCTGTTACTTTCATTAGACACTTAACTCGAGATTATTCCCACGACCTAGGCAATTAGACTTCAAACCATCTGCCAGACTCAGCTCAGCTGCATTCTGATTTGCGAGTAAATACTTGCTAGAGACAAATTCTCATGGAGTTCAATGCCCATTGCTTGATGAGCTCTTTGAAGAGAGTGCCAGAGTCAACAAAACAGAGGGAAGCCCTCCAGCTTGTAGCTTTCTATCCATATGGCTACATCCACAAGTGATTTCAGACCCCTTCATCACCCATAACAACTCTTTATATTCTTCTTACTCAGAAAAAAAAAAAAATACTACATGTTGACAGGTTTATTTTAGGAAAGAAGGTACACACTATTTAAAAATCCTGGATTTGAAGTAACCAAATAAAACTTTGGGTGAGTGGGAAAAAATACAGCCTCAAATAACTTAAAATGATTCCTGACTTGTTGAGTTTGAGGATCTCTTCAGACTGAGATTTATTCTCCGACAACTCCAGAATTGGGAGACTATCAAATGTGGCTCAGTACTCAACAAGTATTTGTTCCAAGCTCTTGCACAGTTCTGTGTGCTAAATACAGTAGTGATTAAAAGTTAAAGATGAAGCATTACACCTAAGATTTTATTTTCTCTCCCTCCTGAGATCCCCTTAAAAAGATGAGAAAGGAGTTTTTCCTATTTATACATCCACAAGAATTTTTACTATGCATACATTCACAGAAGACAGGTGAGAGCCCATCCATGGTCTGAAGAGCTACAGAATTCAGAATGAAGAAAAATAGAAAAGAAGGAAGGCAAAACTCACAGTACTCAGAGGGAGCGTAGTCAGAGACTGCTGCCTTGCTCTGTAAAATCTCTGGGAGGAATAGGACTTAGAGGTGATGGGTATGGCATGTGGTAAGAGTAAGACATGGGACTGAAAACAGAAGGGTTAACTGAAAGTTTATATCTGGAAGCATTAATCCTGTACTCTATTTATGCAAAATTCCAACAGCCAAGTACCTCCCCACTAAGCTGAAGAGGTTGAGAAATCCTAAAACAAAAAAGACATTCACATTCTGGCACTTTAGGGTCTACCAACATAATGGCCAGCTCCCTAAACAATTACCCTAAAGCAAAGTCTGCCAACAGAAAAGCACCCTCTTAAATACGAATGTGTGCAACCAGAGATCTCCAGTCAAAGAATGCTCCTAACATGGAAGATCAAAACCAAGATACACAAATGGCGGGGAAATGAGCCTGGAGAAATCAAAGAAATCACAGAAAAGAGAAAGGAACCTTTAACAAAGCAATAATTAAGGACCTGAGATAAATCTGAGAACACATTTCATCCCTATCACTATAACAATCATGATAATAATAATAAAAATAATAGCTAATATTTATTGAGAACACACTAAGAGCTACTGTTCAACAAACTCAAGACAAGGAAACTGCAGCACACAAAGTTTCAGTGACTGATAGTAAGCACAGAAGCCAGGGTTTAAGTCCAGATAGTGTGAATTTAAAACCCATGTTCCTAAACAAAGGGGTATGCTTTCTCAAATATGCTGGTTTTATTTCATTTTATTTTTTATTCTTTTTTATTTTTTATTTTTAGAAGGAGTTTCGCTCTTGTTGCCCAGGCTGGAGTGCAATGGTGCAATCTCGGCTCACCACGACCTCCACTTCCCGGGTTCAAGCGATTTTCTCCTGCCTCAGCCTCCCGAGTAGCTAGGATTACAGGCATGTGCCACCATGCCCGGCTAATTTTGAATTTTTAGTAGATACTGGTTTCTCCATGTTGGTCAGGCTGGTCTCAAACTCCCAACCTCAGGTGATCCACCCGCCTCAGCCTCCCAAAGTGCTGCGATTACAGATGTGAGCCACCGCACCCAACCAAATACGCTGTTTTTAAAAGGAACAGAACACAAGAAAGTGCTCTTAAAAAATCTATTCAGGTATTTAACAAGTATGTGTTTAGAGTCTTCTGTTGGCTAAACACCAGTCTAGGTACCAAAAATACGGCAATAAACAGAACAGGCAGTATTTCAGCTCTCATGAAGCTAAAATTAAAAATTTAGTAGAAGAGATGGAAGATGCACTCAAGGAATTTTACCAGGCAATTTAATAAAAGTAATAGGAGAAAATTCCAAGAAAAAATGGAGATATGTCTGATGGACCAGGAGGTGCCTTTTCCTCTTATTAAGAATTCCAGAGACAAAACAGATAAAATGAGAATAAGTTATCCCATAAACAATACAAGAAAATTTCCTAGCAGTGAAGAACAAAGGTCTTCAGATTGAAGGGGCCTGTCTTCCCCCAGTGCCCATTATAATAAATGGAAAAAGATTCCTATCAAGGTACACCTTCATGAAATGTCACACCAGGGATAAAGAGAAGGTCTGAGAAGCTTCCAGAAGTAATAACAAGTCAATGACCAAAGAATAAGAATTTGAATGGGGTCATACTTACCAAAAGCATCAATGGGTGCTAGAATATGATAAAGCCTTTAAAATTCTGAAGAAAGGCGATTTGCAACCTTAAATTTTATAGCCAGCTAAAGTACCAATTGAATATAAGGGTAGAAAAAAATAAGGTCATTTTCAGACATGCAAAGACTCAGAAAATATCTCCTTCACACAGCCTAAGAAATTACTTGAAAATGTGCTCTAGGAGAGAAAATCAAGAAAAAAGATGACACAAGATTCAGAAAGAGACTCCCACTGGGGAGAGGGGAAATAGTCTCCTAAGAAGCTTGAACTTCATTCTGTAGATATTAAAGGAGGCATGGATTTCAAGCTGGAAAGCAATATAAGATCTGTGTTTTAGAAAGGACATTCTTTCCTAAGTCTTTCCTAATGTCCTTTAGAAAAAACATTCTTTCCTAAGTTCCTAAAATCAGAATAGTGGAAGATTTCTGAGACCAGTCACAAAGTTTTTGCAAAACTCAGGTGAAATGTAGTTCAGACCTAAACTAAGGTGGTAGCAATGAGAACCATGAAATTGTAGATGTGCAACAGCTGGGCTCACATCTGATTGGGGTGGGGGGTTCTTAGCACAATTTCATGTTGTTGTAAATATTCACGGCATGAACGTAGGGCAAGGGCAAGAGAGACTCCACAAGGACATCGAAGCTTCAAGCCCTGGAAAGTGGTAGATGGAAGACAAGAAATAAAGACATTCCAGTAAGCTTCAAGGCAAGAATCATTCTATTTGAGATATTTTGAGTGGAGAGGCAGTGCTAGATCCATAGAGAAGTACAGAGGAGCTCCTACCTTTCTGTCTGATAGCAACCAGACTGTCTGATTAAAACTGCAGATCACTGCAAGGGTGGTTAAATCAAAAAAGAAAAAAGGCAGTTGTTCCCCCTGCTTGACCCTGAAAGTGCAGAGATAGTGTGGGTGGACTGCACAGGAACACTTAAGGTGCAGCATGCCTAATGGATACTTAGAACGATGACAAGTGAGGATTAAGATGTCTTCAAGTATAATAGATTCTAATTTTGTCTGTAAGTGGCCTTAGAGCTCTGAGATGAGACTACAGAGGTAGTCCAGTGCTAGATCTGCAAGACCTTAAAGGGCATGGTAGGAAGCGTGGATGTTATTCATGGTACGTTGAGAAGTCACTGTAGGCCTTTAGGCAGGAAAGTGACATTACTCAATTCATATGTTATGATTACTCTGGCTACTATGTGAGGAATGGATTGAAAAAGAATAAAAGTGGACAGGAAAGATATTTCAGTAAGAGATAATGTTAGCTTGGACTAGAAAGCTTACACTGGAGATGCAAATACGTGGATTTGAGATTCCTTTGGAGTTCAGAATCATAGGTGTTTTGCAAGATTAAATGTGGATGGGACAATGGTCTTGAGGAAATCCAACATTCCTCAAGGTTACTAATTTGAGCAATCAAGTGGATGAGAGTGTCAATTACCATGTTGGGGGGAAATAGAGGAGGAGCAGGTTGAGCTAAGGGCAAAGGATGAAAAGATAAGTTTTGAAAGGCCCTATTAAGTTGGAGACGCCTGTGAGGCATCCAGGTGGAGATATCAAATAAGCAGTTGGATATACAAGTTGAGGTCTGGACTGGAGCTGTATTTGCCAACTTCATTGCTTTTGGCTTCAGCTCAGATAAACTTCAAATTGGGACAAGGAGGAAATTAACAATTATTGAGCACCTACCATATGCCAAGCACCCACATTTCCCAACATCTACTTTCTCCTTGCCTGCCCAAGCACCCTCCCAGTTCAGCCCGAGTGGGACCTAACTTAGAGGCCACCTGGGATATGTCATTACATATACTCAGACAAACTTTGGAATCTTCCCTCCCAGATTCCTAATGAGTCCATGGAGACTTACTGCACCTGGATCTGTGTTCAAAGACTCCAAAGACCTGAAAGTGAAGACTAGCTCCTGGGACACTGAAGCTGAGAACTCCAGACCCAAATGATACTTATGACTCCACCCTTGGTTCACTGTATCTTTTTGGACACAACATCCCTTATTTCTTTGTCTGAATTTTAGTATCTGCCCGCTTCATAAAAATGCTTTGAGAATTGAAACCAGCTTCTGAATCACCTGGAGAGCATCTTAAATAATGCAGATTCCCAGCCTCCACAAACAGAGATTATAATTCATTTGGTCTGGAATGTGTCTCAATCTGTATTACAGGTGATTCTGATGCTGGTCCAGAGTGATCCCTGGACTAGAAATGCTGATTTGCAGAGTGATAAACTGCCAGTTTTTCCCCAAATTATCTGCCTCAATGCTGTCTCCATCACTTAGAACATTAGGGCAGTTTTAAAAGAAGGCACCGAATTCTTTGACACTCTTCCCATTAAGAGGTGGACTGTATGTCCTCTGCCCTTGAATTTGATAGTTCTCTTAGAATCTGGCTGACATAATGTGGGAAGGTCAAGCCACATGGAGTAGCCACAGCAACAGTCCCAGCTGAGCTCAGTCTTTGAGTCACCTCAGCCCTGGCACCAGACATGCCAGTGAAGGAAATTGCAGATAATCCCAACCCCCAGGCATTGAGTCATCCCAGACTCCAGATCTTCCCAGCTGACGCCCCAGACATCACAGAACAGAGACAACCTATCCCCACCATTCCCTGTTCAAATTAATGATCCATAAAACCTATGCTCATAATAAAAAGATTGTTGCTTTATGCCACTTAGTTTTGGGGTGTTTTGTCACGCAGTAACTGAAATAATTACTAACATGTTTTCTCAAGAAATATGTATTAAAATGCAAACACATTACTTGGATGAACTCTTTCAGATGAACACACACAATCAGTGTATCTAGCAGACAACAAAGCAGGGAAATGAGCCATGAGATGCTCTCCCGTTTCACTGACGTGAAAGCATCACTGGGAAAGGCAACCTAAGATGCTTCCAGAAAGCTGGAATTGAAAGATGGCCACACCTTGAAGACAGCATGGCTAAAAGAGAAAGACATGCCTCAAAAAGGACGGATGAGGCCAGAGAGCAAACCCAGATTCATTTTCTTCACAACTGTGCTTAAGTCTGGCTCAAAAGTCCCTCCACTCTCTCACTAACCGCAAAGGTGTTTATTTATGCCAGTTTATAAATGTCTAATGTTAAAAATCACCTGGGAATAATACAGGAACAAGCGCCAAGGGTAATTTTTTTTTTTTTTTTTTTTTGAGACAGAGTCTCACTTTGTCACCCAGGCTGGAGTACAATGGCGTGGTCTCAGCTCACTGCAACTTCCGCCTCCCAGGTTGAAGTGATTCTCCCGCCTCAGCCTCCTGAGTAGCTGGGACTACAGGCACGTGCCACCATACCCGGCTAATTTTTGTGTTTTTAGTAGAGATGGGGTTTCACTATGTTGGCCATGCTGGTCTTGAACTCCTGACCTCGTGATCCGCCCGCCTCAGCCTACCAAAGTGCTGGGATTACAGGCGTGAGCTACCGCACCCAGCAGCACCAAGGGTAATTCTTACCAGCAGACCAGTTTGGAAAATGCTAGATTATATATTTTTTTAATTAAATACAAAACAAAATAGCAACTGCACCAACCCTTTCCTCACAAGAGTAACAGTCCTGTGGTGAGAATGGGGTTAATACATGAGCTTTAAGTTCTGACGGCCTTGAACCTTGAGAATGTAAACCCCAGCTAAGTCCAATTACAACGATGTGGGGGGAGGAAATGGAAAATAATGGAATTCACTAGCTAATTGGATACTATTAATTATATTAAATATTTTAAATGGAATTATCTTCTATGAGGAATATTTTAATTGACAAAATATAAAATAGGAGGGATATTAGGTTAAATATTCATGGCCTTATTCAAGCTATTAATGGTGCCAATAAAAATGATGGAGCAAGACATGGAACCTGGACTCTCTGGGATTCAGAAAAGAGCAGAGAATGCCACACTAATGCCACGAATTCATTCTATTTTAGTAACTAACACTGATGTCTACATGTTCCCAGCCTGACCACCACCCCCCTCACCCCATTGTTCTCAGAAGTGATTTGAATCTGATTTCACATTGTTAATATCAACACTTGAGTTTTCTTTCCAAGAATCAATTTACAGTCTTCTAAAGACACTGGAGTGGCGGGGGATGGGGGGAAATGTTGTCAGTCATGAATTCCCAATGTAACTGGTTATGACTCTGAGGTCTGCATCATTATCAGATTTTCATGATACTGATGTTGATTCATATCAGTGAGCAGTTTATCAGTCCCCAAACTCTAGTCCCCACAGCAGCTGATAGCAAAGTAGTCCCCTTCGTCTCTGTTCTACTTCATTTCTCTTGCCTCTTGAGACCCTTTCATAGTCACATGGTGGCATGTTGCAGAGTAAAATTGACATCTCTCTCTGATTCCAAGAGTTTGCATGTATTGTGATGGATAGAATAAAATGACTGTGGAAATAGCATTTGTACTACTGGATACTGGAATTCCAAGGAGTTCCTATAACACAGGCTTAGAAGCCTAATATCCATCCCTCCTTAGACCAGAAGCTCAGCTTATGTACTCAGTAGAAGAAAGGAGCATATCATCTCCCAATTAACCTCAGGCCTGTTTGAGTTTCTGGCCAAGGCTGAGAAGGCCCTGGCTGCTCACTGCCTCTCTGCATTTTTCTGTTCTCTGCCTCCCAGGGACGTGTCTCAAACCAGTGTCACTGCCCTTCCATCCAAAGGCCTGGAGCACCTGAAGGAACTGATAGCAAGAAACACCTGGACTCTTAAGAAACTTCCACTTTCCTTGAGTTTCCTTCACCTCACACGGGCTGACCTTTCTTACCCAAGCCACTGCTGTGCTTTTAAGAATCAGAAGAAAATCAGAGGGTAAGTGGCAGGGACCCGGCATAAGTGACAAAAGACCTTGGTGGAAGTGGAATTCATTTCTTGGTTTTGGGGAAGATGCTTCCTGGTTTGAAAACCAGGTGGAGAGGAAATTGGAAGCATCCATATGAAACAGGAAATCCATGGGACACAGTGACCCTGCGGACCCAAAGTGGGTGCAGCTGAGAAATAAGGCAATTGCTGCTGGATAGCGGTAGAGCAGAGGAGGTGACAGATGGCACAGGAGAGAGAAACACAACCAGATCTCATAGAATCTTGTAGAGGTTATGTAGATATGATGTCCGGTTTCCAGGTACAATTCAGAATTAGATACTGCAACACATATTAGACCCCAGACACCACAACCATGAGAACAGACTTATAAACAACACAAACAGTTGGGTTACCTGATTGGTTTGGGCCTTGCAAATGTCATAGCTCCCTGGTTACATGCCTGCAGGCTTTGGAGTCAGCTGGGTTTATACCGCAGCTCTGCCATTTTTCAAGCTGTGTTATCCCAGCCTAGTTACTTAACCACTCTGAGTCTTTGGGAATGGAGATCCTAATACTAACATTCATAGCAGTTTTGAGAAGATTAAATGAGAAACTGAATGGAAAACACTGGAATGGAATGGCCTGGAATATTATAAGATCTTCATTAATATTAACTATGATATACAGTATGTGCACATCAGGCTGCTTATGAGCCTGCGAAGGAGGAATTGCCTTCATTTTCTCTCCAGGCTTTCTCTGATTCTTTTACTTTTTTGCTTTTACTCTGCATTATTTCCCCCATTGTGTCTTGTACAATCTCCTGTTCTCCTAATCCACCTTCATCATCTCTATTCAGTCCTCCTCAGCTTCTATGTATTTAGTGATTGACTTACTACACACATAATTGCAGTCAGGAAAATATCAGATCTAGGTGTGAGGGCAGAAGCTAAAACAGCCATACAAAGAAGGCCAATATGGTGGCCGGGCACAGTGGCTCACGCCTGTAATCCCAGCACTTTGGGAGGCTGAGATGGCCAGATCATCTGAGGTCAGGAGTTCGAGACCGGCCAGGCCAACATGGTGAAACCCCGTCTGTACTAAAAATACAAAAAACAAAATTAGCCAGATGTGGTGGTGGGTTCCTGTAATCCCAGCTACTGGAGAGGCTGAGGCAGAAGAATTGCTTGAACCCGGTAGGCGGAGGTTGCAGTGAGCCGAGATCGTGCCAGTGCACTCCAGCCTGGGCAACAAAGCAAGATTCTGAGATTCCATCACACACAGGCACATGCACACACACACACAAAGAAGGCCAATATGGGCATCATAGCTGCAAAAAGCCAGGAGTGGGGTAGAGGATGGTGATAGTGGACTCTACACTGATGCCATGCGGCATTGAGAAGGACTGGACAAGGGCTGGGTGGGAGGCTTAAGTGGACCTCAGGGGCAGGGTCTAGATTTTTCCCTAGCCTCCAGTTGAGAAGAGCAAGTCCATTGGACATTTTAAGCAGAACCCAAGAGATCACTCAAACTCTGCTCAGCAGCTGAGGCAAGTTAAAGAATCCCTTTTGTTGTGAGTCTGGTGAGCAAGGAAAAAACTAAATCTTATTTCCACAAGCATGCCTGTATGGTAGTGTCCATTTGTTCATTTGTTAAACAGATATTTACTGAGCACCTTCTATGTGCCTGGCTGTTGTAAATAGAACAGACAAGAATTCCCTCTTGTATTTTGCTTACTGTCTAATGGAGGAAGTCAGAAAATAAACAGGCTGGCCGGGGGCAGTGGCTCACTTCTGTAATCCTAGCACTTTGGGAGGCAGAGGTGGGCGGATCACTTGAGGTCAAGAGTTCAAGCCCAGCCTGGCCAACATGGTGAAACCCTGTATCTACTAAAAATACATAAATGTTTTATTTTTAAAATATTCAGTTTGAAACTAAATAATGATGAGTAGAGGCAGCCATGGGTTTTTCAGGCAATGGGAACATAGGGTTTTAGAGCTTTGAATAGGAATAATAATAACAATAACCACCATATGGCACTCACAAAGCTGCAGGTGCTATTGTAAGAGCCTTAAAAAGATAAATTCATTGAATCCTTTAATAACCCTATATGAAATAGTCACTCCCATTGTCCCATGTTACAAATGAGTTAACCAAACTTCATGGGCCTACCCAAGCTAGTCAATAATTGAGCCAGGTTCCCACCAAGGCGACTGGCTCCAGCATCCACATTTTTTTTTTAAACAGAGTCTCACTCTGTCGCCACTCAGCCTGGAATGCAGTGGCGCAATCTTGACTCACTGCAACCTCCACCTCCCAGGTTTAAGCGATTCTCCTGCCTCAGCCTCCCAAGTAGCTGGAATTACAGGCACGTGCCACTACGCCTGGCTAATTTTTGGATTTTCAGTAGAGATGGGGTTTCACCATGTTGGCCAGGCTGGTTCAAGCTCCTGACCTCAAGTGATGTGCCTGCCTTGGCCTCCCAAAGTGCTGGGATTGAGTCACTACAGGTGTGAGCCAGCACACTTGGCCACTTTTTTTTTTTTAATCACTGTTCTTGAAGTGGTTGCAGAAGAGAAATAAGACCAATGCCACTGGAGCACAGTAGGGGAGGGGAGGTCATAGGAATGATGTCACAGAAACAGGCCTGCCTGGATCCTGTAGAACCTTATAGAATTATGTACATCATAGTAAGTAGTTTGCACATTTTCATAAATGTGGGAACCATTCGTGGGTTTTAAACAAGCATTCTTTTTTTTTTTTTTTTTTTTGAGACAGGGTCTCACTCTGTCATCCAGGCTAGAGTATAGTGGCCTGATCTCGCCTCACTGCAGCTTTGACCTCCCCAGGCTCAGGTGATTTTCCCACCTCAGCCTCCCGAGTAGCTACGACCATAGGCACATACCACCATGCCCAGCCAATGTTTGCATTTTTTATAGAGATGGGATTTCACCATGTTGCCCAGGCTGGTCTCAAACTCCTAGGCTCAAGCAATCCACCTGCCTTGGCCTCCCAAAGTGCTGGGATTACAGTCATGAGCCACTGCGCCCAGCCTGGCACTGACTCTTTTCTGTTGCCTTGCAGAATCCTTGAGTCCTTGATGTGTAATGAGAGCAGTATGCAGAGCTTGCGCCAGAGAAAATCTGTGAATGCCTTGAATAGCCCCCTCCACCAGGAATATGAAGAGAATCTGGGTGACAGCATTGTTGGGTACAAGGAAAAGTCCAAGTTCCAGGATACTCATAACAACGCTCATTATTACGTCTTCTTTGAAGAACAAGAGGATGAGATCATTGGTTTTGGCCAGGAGCTCAAAAACCCCCAGGAAGAGACTCTACAAGCTTTTGACAGCCATTATGACTACACCATATGTGGGGACAGTGAAGACATGGTGTGTACCCCCAAGTCCGATGAGTTCAACCCGTGTGAAGACATAATGGGCTACAAGTTCCTGAGAATTGTGGTGTGGTTCGTTAGTCTGCTGGCTCTCCTGGGCAATGTCTTTGTCCTGCTTATTCTCCTCACCAGCCACTACAAACTGAACGTCCCCCGCTTTCTCATGTGCAACCTGGCCTTTGCGGATTTCTGCATGGGGATGTACCTGCTCCTCATCGCCTCTGTAGACCTCTACACTCACTCTGAGTACTACAACCATGCCATCGACTGGCAGACAGGCCCTGGGTGCAACACGGCTGGTTTCTTCACTGTCTTTGCAAGCGAGTTATCGGTGTATACGCTGACGGTCATCACCCTGGAGCGCTGGTATGCCATCACCTTCGCCATGCGCCTGGACCGGAAGATCCGCCTCAGGCACGCATGTGCCATCATGGTTGGGGGCTGGGTTTGCTGCTTCCTTCTCGCCCTGCTTCCTTTGGTGGGAATAAGTAGCTATGCCAAAGTCAGTATCTGCCTGCCCATGGACACCGAGACCCCTCTTGCTCTGGCATATATTGTTTTTGTTCTGACGCTCAACATAGTTGCCTTCGTCATCGTCTGCTGCTGTTATGTGAAGATCTACATCACAGTCCGAAATCCGCAGTACAACCCAGGGGACAAAGATACCAAAATTGCCAAGAGGATGGCTGTGTTGATCTTCACCGACTTCATATGCATGGCCCCAATCTCATTCTATGCTCTGTCAGCAATTCTGAACAAGCCTCTCATCACTGTTAGCAACTCCAAAATCTTGCTGGTACTCTTCTATCCACTTAACTCCTGTGCCAATCCATTCCTCTATGCTATTTTCACCAAGGCCTTCCAGAGGGATGTGTTCATCCTACTCAGCAAGTTTGGCATCTGTAAACGCCAGGCTCAGGCATACCGGGGGCAGAGGGTTCCTCCAAAGAACAGCACTGATATTCAGGTTCAAAAGGTTACCCACGAGATGAGGCAGGGTCTCCACAACATGGAAGATGTCTATGAACTGATTGAAAACTCCCATCTAACCCCAAAGAAGCAAGGCCAAATCTCAGAAGAGTATATGCAAACGGTTTTGTAAGTTAACACTACACTACTCACAATGGTAGGGGAACTTACAAAATAATAGTTTCTTGAATATGCATTCCAATCCCATGACACCCCCAACACATAGCTGCCCTCACTCTTGTGCAGGCGATGTTTCAATGTTTCATGGGGCAAGAGTTTATCTCTGGAGAGTGATTAGTATTAACCTAATCATTGCCCCCAAGAAGGAAGTTAGGCTACCAGCATATTTGAATGCCAGGTGAAATCAAAATAATCTACACTATCTAGAAGACTTTCTTGATGCCAAGTCCAGAGATGTCATTGTGTAGGATGTTCAGTAAATATTAACTGAGCTATGTCAATATAGAGCTTCTCAGTTTTGTATAACATTTCATACTAAAGATTCAGCAAATGGAAAATGCTATTAATTTGGTTGGTGACCACAAGATAAAATCAGTCCCACGTTGGCTCAGTTCAACTAGATGTTCCCTGATACAAAGAGAACTTGATTTCCTTAAAACTGAAAAGCCAAACACAGCTAGCTGTCATACAAGAAACAGCTATTATGAGACATGAAGGAGGGTAAGAATTAGCTTTAAGTTTTGTTTTGCTTTGTTTTGTTTTTTAACTCAACCTATTAATCATCTCTTCACAAGAATCCACCTGATGTGACCAAGCTATTATGTGTTGCCTGGAAAAACTGGCAAGATTTCAGCTTATGTGGCCTAGCAAACTAAGAATTGCTCTTCTTGGCCAGCCTCATAGCATAAAAGATGTGAACTCTAGGAAGTCTTTCTGAGTAGCAATAAGTGGGAATTATGGGCAGAGCACACTCAATCCCCTGTTGATTAATAAAACAGGCTGGACACTAATTAACTATGGGACTTAAATCTGTAGAAATGAAGGAGTCCAATAGCTTCTTCCAATTTTAAAACTCTAGTACATCCCTTTCCCTCAAATATATATTTCTAAGATAAAGAGAAAGAAGAGCACTAAGTAAGTAGAATCTGTTTTTCCTATTTTGTAGGGCTGCTGACTCCTAGTCCTTGAAGCCTAGACACATGACCCAGGAAATTTTTCCTTTGTTTCACTTTTGATTATGATGTCTGAGCCAAAAATTCAATTAAGTAAACATACTCGCCTGGATCTGAATCATTCATTTAATTACTAGATCTACCCAGCTGTTATATCAGGCCAAAAACAGATTCGTGTTTATATAAAAGAGTAAACGATGGTTGCAAATTTTGGCTATTTAGAGTTGCTACTTCACTATGAAGAGTCACTTCAAAACACTTCGCTTGTCTTTAGGGATGATTTTTGCCATTTCCAGTCCACGGTATGATACTAAAGCTGTCAAGAGAGGTTTCTTCTTTTCTGAAACTGCCAGCTCTTTCCAGCCCTGTTGATCACTGGACATAAAGCTTCTTTTCCCCAATAATTCTTCTTTACTTAAAATAGTCAGGATCTTTATCTACAGATGTACTCTCCAGGTTACCTGTGATGATAGCCCCCTAATGTCCTGCTAGAAAAGTCTCCAAGCAGAGATGACATTACTTCTGAATGCTCATAAACCACACCATGAAATAAAAGCTCTTTGTTGTTTTAAGATTGTGAAGTGTCGTTAATGGGTCCCCACAGATGGTCCCTGCTGGACTCACCTGGAATCTCTCCACAGCCATACCCACTCATCACTATCATTGAGACCTGCACATCTTAATAGAAATATTATAAACATCGAAAATCATGACTTACCTAGAAGTTCGCTTGTAACTAATGAAATTAAACAAATGTGTTGCCTTTTGTCATGTGTTTCTCTCCTGTGACATTTCAAAATATCACATCTTGATAAATAATGTGTTTCATCTTGAATAGCTGAACTAATTGCTTTGGAAACAGAGTCCTAGAAAAGTGACTTCAACAGAATTGTTACTAAAATTTGCACTCACAACATGAAATAAATTTTCTTCCTATGGAATAATCGTGCCAAGTCCTAGAGTGTTGTTCTTTTTTGTTAATCTGTGAGTTTCTTTCGGGGTTACTATTGTATGTGTTAAAACTGAAGACAAGAAAACTAATTGGCACATTTGCTAATGAATCCATATTAATAAATAAGTTGTTGACTGTCAATTAATAACTTAAATATAACATTGTGTCTTGATCAAAAGTGGTCTTTATGTGGAAAAACTTACTCCTGGTGAACTGAATTATGATTAATTGACAGGGATCACTAAGAGAAAAAACAATAAAACCAAATATATCAAGCAAATGATTGGTATTGACACTAGAAATTTAAATAGTGTGCTAATGAAGACAATAAACCTCTAAGGCCTCAGAGGCCTTATTATTATTCAGAGCTCATGTTATCTAGCACCTTTCAATTATCTGAAGATAAACCCAAATCATTGAGGATAAATGGCCACAGACTAGTCGCAGTGGAGGTCACACAATTCATTCTCTAAAGCTCATGCATGTTTCTCAAAAGGCTGTCTCTTAAAACACCCCCAAAGTTTATTGACTCTTGCTTTAAGGATAATCTACTGCATCAAAGAAGCAGCCAATGAGGAGAGGGTCTTACAGGGCAGCACCATGAGAGTGGCAATAAAGTAAAAGTCAGGGCAAAAAGAAGAAAACTATAACCACAATACTTTTTTAAAACAATAGAAGTTTGAGAACAAATGCTCCTACTTTAGGAGAAAACTGTTTCATAACATAATTGAGTGATTCTCATTCATTCTGAGTACCTAAAGGGTGCCAGAGAAACTTGTTGGCATCACTGCATTCTGTTTTAAAAGCTATAAAAGTTCCAGCTCCAAGTGGTAGACTGACTTTCTTTCAAATCCCACTGACATGACAGGGAAGAAATTTAAAATGAGACCAAGCCAAAACTGCATGGTGAACAGGAGAAATAGAACCACCAGCAAAGCAAACGTGTTGATAGCTTTCTGAAAGATGGAAGGTGTATGGCCTTGAGTTGATGGTAACTAACTGTACAGGAGGTTACAGCCTAGAACACTGACAGGATAAGGCTGCAGCTACAGAAGAATATACTTCCCTGCAGAGTCCCAGTGAGCCTGCCAAGCCTGAAGGTTACAGGACTGAGGGTTAATTAGGGCAATTAATTGAAAGTCTGTGTCACTTGGACCCTCCAATCTGCCATCACTCCATTCATAGAATAACTGACATATGCAGTGTTTGCTGCAATTAATATCTCAAAGAAAGTGAATGATTCCTGTAAACAGGGAACTCCTCCCACTGGCCCACTTCCTGCCCTCACACATAAGTGAAGCCTGATCATTGAGGCGTTACCATCAGCACCCCCCACCACCCCCACCTGAAGTCAGGGAGAAACATCTTGGGGAAAATGATCTATACAATCTGCTGACATTAGCTATTCTCATTCTTCACTCAAAAATATAAAGAAGACACAATAATTGCCAGACATTTGAGAGAAATAAACTGCACATCAATAGCACACAGACACAGAGACACACACACACACACAAGGCCAGAATGTACAAAAGAACATTTCTCCAGAGAAAATAGATCATTCATAAACAGAATATTGTTGTTTAATTTCACTTAATAACTTCAGAGAAATTGGAGAGAATGTCAGACCCAAAAACAATCAAAATTACTATTAAAACAATAGTAGTAATCAAAAATTAGAAAGAGTTTTGGAAAATTTTAAATGAGATTGCCAAAGCAAGAGCTTTACCAGAAGGAGTGGAAGTTAAAGTGAGGAAATTTCTTGGGATGTTGAACAAGTAAACAAAGGTGTGAAATATAAGACAAAAGTTAAAAGATGCAGAGGATCCGTCTCCAGGCCAAACATCTGTCCAAGAGGAGTCCTAAGGAAAACGTAGAAGGCATAATCATCAAGGAAACAGAAGGAGAAAATTTTCCAAAGCTGGTAAAGATTGATAGTGTCCACTTAGTGCAAAAGGTGATGAATGAAAAGGCACATGGGCAGAACAGCACTTATAAAATGTCAGAACACCAAAAGTAAAAGGCAAACCTTAAATGCTTGAGGGAGAATCAAGAAAGAAAAGTAGACATTGGAAAAGATATTAATAACAGTATAAACTAGAAGACAACAGAGCGACATCATCAATGCCTCCAGAATAAAAAAAAAAAATACTGGAGTTGAAGATCTGAATATAACCTTTCATCCCCCAGAAACTTAGCCACTAATAGCCTACTGATCGCTAGAAGCCTTACCAATAACGTAAACAGTTGATTAACACATATTTTGTATATGTATAACATACTATGTTCTTACAATAAAGCGAGTTAGAGAAAAGAAAATGTTATTAAGAAAATCATAAGGACAGAAAATATATTTACTATTAATTAAGTGGAAGTGGATCACCATAAAGGTCTTCATCGTCTTCACACTGAGCAGGCTGAGGAGGAGGAGGAAGAGGAGGGGTTGGTCTTGCTGTCTCAGGGGTAGCAGAGGTAGAAAAAAATCTGCCTGTAAGTAGACCCACGCAGTTCAAACCCGTATTGTTCAAAGGTCACTTGTAATTTCCTAATCTTCATTATATGCAGCCAAAAGATATGATGTCTAAATATTTATCGTTCAGAAAACAAGTACATAAGTATATTATACAATTACAGTGACTAAAATCAGAAAATAGCTTGAAGTGGTTTTCTCTGGAATTTGGACTTAGGGATTGAGTGATATCAGGACTGAGTTATGTCTCCCCTAAATTTATATGCTGAAGCCCTAACTCCCAATGTGACTATATTTGGAGGTAGGGCCTTTAAGGAAGCAATTAAGGTTAAATGGTATCACAAGGGTGGGGCTTTAAACCAGTAGGGCTATCGTCCTTAAGAGGATGAATACCCCAATTACCCTGATGTGATTATTACACATTGCATGCCTGTATCAAAACATCGCATGTACCCCATAAATATATATATATGTTATGTACCCATAATAATTGAAAATAAAAATTTTTTAAAAAAAGAAAGAAGAGCTGTCCCTCCTCCCCACTCCCATGCACACAGCAAGAAGGCAGATGTCTACAAGTCAAGAAGAGAAGGCTCCCCAGAAATCAACCCTCATAGGACATTGATCTTGAACTTCTAACTTCCAGAACTGTAAGAAAATATATTTCTGTTGTTTAAGTCACCCAGTCTGTGGTATTTTGTTATGGCAGCCCAAGCAGACTAATACAAGTAGAAACTTTTCAACTGGTACTCTTCTGTACTGCTGATTTTTAAATATGTACATACTTTTTAAAAATATTGGATTGGAAATTATCGTAATAATATTATGCTTTAAATAATTAACAATAAAAGATGTGGCATTTAAAGAAATTCGCAGAATGGCTAATTGAGTTATTGTGTATTTAGAGCTATACTAGGGGAGTCAGATATCAGTGATGTGACATGAATAATAATCTAGCTATTATGAAATTTAGATTTTTTTAGGATGTGATAAATCTAAGCCAGTGAGTTGGGGTTTTTTCCCTGTAAGTTATTGGAGTACAGGTGGTATCTGGTTACATGAATAAGTTCTTTAGTGGTGATTTGTGAAATTTTGGTGCAGCCACCACCCAAGCAGTATACACTGCACCATATTTGTAGTCTTTTTTCCCTCGCCCCCCTCCTACTCTTCTTCTCCAAGTCCCCAAAGTCCATTGTATCACTCTTATGCCTCTGCGTCCTCACAGCTCGGCTCCCACGTATCAGTGAGAACATATGATGTTTGATTTTCCATTCCTGAGTCACATCATTTAGAATAATAGCCTCCAATTTCATCCAGCTTACTGCAAGTGCTGTTAATTCATTCCTTTTTATGGCTGTGTAGTATTCCATCATATATATGTACCAGTTTCTTTATTCACTAGTTGATTGATGGGCTTTTGGTTTGGTTCCACAATTTTGCAATTTTGAATTGCGCTTAAGCCAGTGAGTTTTAAAGTGCTTATCTTGTAGCAACATCTGGTAAGCTGAACACTAAGAAGGTGAAACCCCTGTATAATTTATTCCATTGGTCAGCATAATCATATTTTGTCAAAATACTTGTTTCCCATAAATGCATAGCTATAAGTTGCATAAGGAAAATTAAGCAACTAATTGTTGTTCTTCATATGAATTTAGTAAGTAAAAATCTTTAAACAGAATAGAGAAAAAGTTATTTGTATAAGCAACTTCAAATCTGTCACCCTCAATCATTTAGTATAATTTTGAAATTTCTCCTGGAAATTTAGAAATATTTTGAAGTATTCTGTTTCATTTGTTGAAGTATTTTAGATGGAGAGGGCTTAAGAAGGTAATAGCCATCATTATTTAACAACATACAATTAAAAGTCTATATATATATATATATATCAGTCCTATGCCTGTTAGTCTTAAAAAACAATAACATGGTTTTTTGTAATGAATTCTGAGGGGATTTCAGTCATGAAGCACTATAGAAATAGCT
This sequence comes from Homo sapiens, assembly GCF_000001405.40. Lineage (NCBI taxonomy): Eukaryota > Metazoa > Chordata > Mammalia > Primates > Hominidae > Homo > Homo sapiens. Next base: position 81,150,756 of record NC_000014.9, read on the forward strand.
CCATGGTATGGAAACCATGTAATGATGTATTAATAATTCATCATAATGGGATTTTTATTCTCTATTTTATTTATTTATTTTTTGAGACAGAGTCTCACTCTGTGGCCCAGGCTGGAGTGCAGTGGTGCCATCTCTGCTCACTGCAGCCTCAACTTTCCTGGCTCAAGCGATCCCCTCACCTCAGCCTCCCAAGTGTCTGGGAATACAGGTGCACAGCACCACTCCTGGCTTATTTTTGTAGAGACAGGGTTTCACCATGTTGCCCCGGGTTCAAATGATCTGCCTGCCTCAGCCTACCAAAATGCTGGATTACAGGCATGAGCCACCCCGCCCAGCCTGTAATGGGATTTTTTAAATTTTATATTATTTTAATTGGAAAAATCATATTCAATTTACACAGTACAATGTGATGTTTTGATGTATGTATACATGGGAAGTGGTTAAATCAAGCTAATAAACATATTCATCACTTCACTTATTTGACATTTTTTGTGTTGATACATTTGAAATTTACTCTCTTACTTATTTTGAAATATACAATGCTTTATCATTGACTATAGTTACCCTGCTGTGCAAGAGATAGCAAAACTTATTTCTCCTGCCTAGCTGAAACTTTGTACCCTTTGACTAGTAACTCCCCATTCCCGCTCCCTCCGCCCTTTTCCCCCTAGCCTCTGGTAACCATCATTCTAGTCTCTACCTGTATCAATTCAAGTTTTTTCAGATTCCACATGTAAGTGAGATCATGTACTATTTGTCTTTCTGTTCCTGGCTTATTTCACTTAGCATAATGTCTTCTAGATGTACCCTGTTGTCTCAAATGACAGGATTTTGCTCTTTTTTAAGCCTGAACAGTATTTCATTGTGTAAAGATTAAAGATAGCAAGTGTTGGTGAGGATACAGAGAAAAAGGAACCCTAGTACACTGTTGGTAGGAATCTAAATCAGTACAGTCATTATGGAAAATAGTATGGAGTTTCCTCAAAAAACTAAAAACAAAACTACCATATGATCCAGTAATCCCATTTCTGGAATATATTGGAAGGACTTGATATCAGCATGTCAAAGGTGTATCTGCACTCCTATGTTCATTGCAGCATTATTTACAATAATGAGGTTTAAACACAGAATTCTAGTCATTAGGAAATTTGCTGTCAAGGCTGGGCGCAGTGGCTCACGCCTGTAATCCCAGTACTTTGGGAGGCTGAGGCAGACAGATCACTTGAGGTCAGGAGTTCGAGACCAGCCTGGCCAACATGGTAAAACCCCCGTCTCTACTAAAAATACAAAAAATTAACCAAGCATGGTAGCACATGCCTATAATTCCACCTACTCAGGAGGCTGAGGCACAAGAATAGCTTGAACCTGGGAGGCAGAAGTTCCAGTGAGCCAAGATCATGCAACTGCACTCTAGCCTGGGTGACAGAGTGAGACTCCATCAGAATAAAAATAAAAATAATAAAAAACAAAAAGAAATTTGCTGTCAAGAGTAGCACTATCTATCTGCCTATTGGAAGGGAAATATTTTGACAAAAATCTCTTCATAACTTATTCCTTCCTGTGACTCAATTTTCTCTTTCACCATAGACACTGCAATTTAAAGATTGACCTCAAGGGCAGCTGCAAAAAATCCAAGCCTCAATTCTCTAGGAGAATTTTCAAGTTGCTCAGCAAGAGCTATATTAAAGAAATGAGGTAAAAGTTTGAGAAAAACAAGACTAATACCACCTCTGTTTCTTTTCAGCAAATCCCAGGTTTAAATTTTATTACATTCCATTTCAGTTCCCCTGACATCATATGAAAAAGACTTCTGGAATGATAGAGGACAAATGGAGACACTTACAAACTAGATATTGACACATGATTTGTAGATCTGTGGGAATATGGGACTCCTATGATTTGTTATTAACAACAAAGAGAACCATTTCACACTATTTGCTCTCAAATATTTTTCTGATTTCTCAAAGTGTTCTTCAAACACTCTGACAGGAAGGAAACTAGGGGAAGTATTAATAGCTTCAGCAAATGTTGGAGAAATGAGATTCCCTGAGCAATCAATGCCATGGTCTGGATGAAAGAGGAGATGCCTGACCTCATACCTGTTTTCATCATCTGCAGGCCAACTCTGTGAAAAGGAAAGAGTGAGCACACACCTTTGGCACTCAGAGGTCTTTCCAGACATCCAAGTTGCTACTTGATTTCATTTTAATTAGTACAGTTGAGCCACTCATGGGAGCAATACTTGGAGAAAGTTAAAGTATTTTCTCTTGCTTCTTTAACTATTTGCCCATCCAGCCTCTTTGGTACCCATAAATTCTCTTCAAACCCACTCACCCTGCAGCCACACCCTGTATTACATCTGGAAGAACTTCAACCTACACCAACCCCTCCATCTTATCCCAATCCCAATATACTTTGTCCAACCTATTCCATTCTGTCCCTGTCCAACTCCTAAAAAGTGTACTGTAGTTTCTATGCCCCCATTGCCAACATCAAAAGGGGGAAAAGGGCCAGTGGTGGTTGATGCTGCATCTAGGATATATTGAGAAACTTTTTAACAATCATCATCATAGATAGGATATGAAACAGAGAATAGGTGCAGAGTATAGTGGTAGGAAAGTTTGAGTGATTCAGGATTAGAGATGGTAATTACACAGAATGAGAAAGAAACCTGTGGCTGGTGCTGCTTTTCATCTGTCCCAGTCAGCTGAAAAGGAAATGTAGGGGCTAAGAATTTCATACTTACATAGCTAACTCTTAGAGCAATTGCTTAGTATTATCCACGAGTTCTAGAGAAAGGTTCTATAACTTTTTGGTAAGTTAACAACAACCACAACAAAATCAGCGGTTGAAAGAAATGTCCAGAAACATCTAATTCACTTATTTTCTTAAGTTTTTATTGAACAAACCTTCTCAAATATGCCTAAGGCAATCTTCACCTTTGTCTTATACAAAGTACTTTTATGTACATCTCTTAAGATGTCTTAAATTAAATAACAATTAATTGAAAAACAAAGCTGAAGTCATTCATTTATTCAAAATCTGAGCACAGAGAGACACCAGCAGGCTGGAAAATCAGTAGATTGTCTAATGTTGGTCTTAATTCCACAGGGATGTTTGGAAACGTATTTTGAAAAGTCTGCTGAGAACCTGATTACTGTTTCTATGATTCTGTCTTTTCAATTACAAAGTCCTCTGAGAGCTGCCAACAAAAGGTTAAATTGAAAGTTGTAAGTTGAATGACTTATCAGCCACTGATTTGACTGGGTGTGGTGGCTCCTACCTGTAATCCCAGCACTTTAGAAGGCTGCGGCGGGCAGATCGCTTGAGTCCAGGAGTTTGAAACCAGCCTAAGCGACATGGCAAAACCCCATTTCTACAAAAAATAAAAATAAAAAGCCAGGTGTAGTGGCACTTACCTGTAGTCCCAACCACTAAGGAGGCTGAGGCAGAAGGGGAGGCAGAGATTGCAGTGAGCCAAGATGGCGCCACTGCACTCCAGCCTGGGCAACAAAGCAAGACCCTGTCTCTAAAAAAATAAATAAATAAACCACCATTGATTTGTTTCCTTGTAACCTATATTTCCTCTGATTGTGCTTGCTCTAAATAAACTAAGAAGGAAGGAGGATGAAATGGAGAAACTGGTATTAGCGATACATACAGAAATATTTTTTAAGGCAAGAATCATTGTCAGCTTTTGTTGCTAATAAAATTATTGATAAGTAAGACTAATGATGATAGTTCTATGGTCAGTAAAATGATACTGAATGCCTCTGTTAGGGGGAAGTTTAATGAAAAGGAAAATCAAGTTATCAGGTCAGCTTCTTTAACAGAAATGGGTCATACAATCCATCATCAAAAAGGTCTTGTAAATTCTAAGGTGGCAAGTAAAACTGTAAATTAAACATTAAAAACTTTTTATAGCTAGTCAGTCTAACGGATTGGAGTATTTTTATGTTATGTGTATATAATATACCTGGTGTGATTATTGTAGACATTGATGCCCATTTCCTAGTAAATGGAGTATAGATTTTCCTCTTTGAGTTATTATAAAATAATAAAGTTCCTGTATTTGGATTCTTCTTTTTTATTGGTACCCCTAATCAGCATACAAACGTTTTTCTCATGTTTAGAAAAAAATAATCTTGCTTGATTTCACTCTTCCCCCATTATTTCTTTGGCACCTTTGCAACAAAACTAGAAAAAAAAATGGGGTTATCTTTACTCACTTTTCCCGTTCTCTGTTAAACCAACTCTAACTAGTTTTTCAATCCCACAGCTCATGGAAAGTGATCTCGTTAAGGGCATCTGTGAATCCATATGGCTAAATCTAATGGTCAGTTTTCAGGTCTTATCTTACTTATCAGCAATACTTGATCCAATTGTTCACTCCCTCCTCATTGACATCCTTTCATCCCTTGGCTTTGAGGACACCACAGTATCCTGGCTTTCTAGTTACCTCACTGACCACTCCTCAACGGCCCTTGCTGCTTTCTTCTCTTTGCATCAACCTAAAATACTCTGGGATTGAGTCCTTGGCTCTCTTTTGCCTTTTCTGTCAACACTTATTCCCTAGGTGATCTCATGCAACCACAAGACTTTGAATGCTATCTACATGCAATGCTTCCCAAATGTCTTATCTCCAGACCAGACCTTTCTCCAAACTCTAGGCTTATATATCCATCTGCCTCCTCACCAGCTCCACTTTAATATCTAATAGCAATCTCAAAATTAACATGTCCAAAACCAAACTCCTAATCTTCTACTCCAAAACCCACTTCGTCTACTGCCTTCTCCATCTTGGTCAATGGCAATACATCCTTCAAAGTGCTCAGACAAAAAATCTTGAAGTCTTCCTTGTTTCTTCTCTTTCTCTCACACTCCACATCCAAACCACCAACAAATCTTTTTGGCTTAACCTTCAATATATATTTAGAATATGGCCCCTTCTTACACAAGCACTGCCATTATCCTCGTCTGGATTACCACCATCTCTTTCCTTTGGATTACTAAATAGTCTCCATTGTTCTCCTGTCCCCCTACAATCTATTCAAGGGGTTGACAAACTACTCCCCAGTGGCCAAATTGGGTTCACTGCTTGCTTTTGTACATCCTAAAAGCTAAGAATGATTTTATATTTTTAAACCAGTTGGAAAAAATCAAAATAAAAAATCTTTTGAGGGACATGACAATTATATAAAATTTCAGTGCTCATAAATAAAGTTTTAATGGAACACAACCACGCTCATTCATTTACATATTATGCATGGCTACTTTTGTGCTATAATCATTGAATAGTTGTGACAGAAACTGTATAGCTCACAGATCATAAATGCTCTGGCCCTTTACAGAATAGTTTGCCAACCTCTAGTGTATTCTCAACATATCAGTTACAGTGGTTCTCTTAAAACTTAAGTCAGATCAGGTCATTCCTCTGCTCTCCAGTTCTCTCATATCAAAAGTCAAAGTTGGCTGGGCATGGTGGCTCACGCCTGTTATCCCAGCACTTTGGGAGGTCAAGGCAGGCAGATCACTTGAGGTCAGGAGATCGACACCAGCCTGGCCAACATGGCAAAACCCCATCTCTACTAAAAATACAAAAATTAACTGGGCACGGTGGTGGGCACCTGTAGTCCCAGCTACTCAGGAGGCTGAGGCAGGGGAATCTCTTGAACACGGGAGGTGAAGGTTGCAGTGAGCCGAGATCATGCGACTGCACTCCAGCCTGAGTGACAAAGCAAGACTCTGTCTCAAAAAAAAGAGCCAAAGTCTTTAAACAAGACCCGTATGATCTGGTCCAAATTGCCTCTCTTTTTTTTTTTTAATCTCCTACACGTCTTCTCCCTGCTGACTTCTTCTTGCTGCTCTGCCTTCCTGCTCTTCTTTGGTCATACCTATGAACTCCCCAACCAGACCCATGACATTGGCTCATCACTGTCTGGAATGCTTTTCTCCTGGATAGCTGTATGGAGAAATCCCTCACACCCATCAGGGCTTTATTCAAATGGCACCTTTTAGTGAGGCCTGTCCTGACCACCCTAACTTAAATGTGTTACTTGTTCCATGCTGTATTCCTGGTCCTCTCACCCTGCTCTATTTTCCTCTTTTTTTCTACTGTACTTACCACTTCCTAATATACTAGTTTATTTATCATGTTATAATAAACATAATGGGACATAAGCTCCACAAAGGCAGACATTTTTGTCAGTTATATTCACTGGTGCATCCCAAGAGCCTAGAACAATCCCTGGCACATAGTATGTGCTCAATAAATACGTGCTGGATTTGAATTGAATTTCTGATATATTATTTTTCATGTCTATGAAATGTTTAATTGATGCTGAGCCCTTAAAAATGTATCCTCCCCCAAACCAAACATCATATGTTCTCACTTATAAGTGGGAGCTAAGCTATGAGGATGAAAGGCATAATAATGATATAATGAACTTTGGGGACTCAGGGGGAAGGGTTGGGAGGTGGGTGAGGGATTAAAGAGTACACACCAGGTACAGTGTACACTGCTTGAGTGACGGGTACACAAAGATCTCAGAAATCATCACTAAACAACTTTCCCATGAAATCACCACTAAACAACTTTTCCATGCAACCAAACACTACCTGTTCCCCAAAAACTATTGAAATTTTAAAAAAAATGTGTCCTCTCAAATATAATAGCTTACCCCTGGTAGAGCATGAACATTTGACAATTTTCTGTTTTATGATATAGTCATCCTCTGTAGTTAAAAATTAGACATGGCCTTATATAAATTCTTACCGATCATTAAAAAAGAGTCCACTGTCCATCATTTTCTCTGTAAGAAGCCTATTCATTGAGTCATCTATCTTACAGTAAGGAAGCACTTGTGGTTACAAGCTAAAAACTCCTGCAATTCAGTAAAACTCAGTCTCAACTTCCCATTTAAAAGCCCAGAGAACTAGTCATCTACATGCAAGAAAGTGTTTGAATTGAGCATTTGTTTGACTTGTATTCATTTATTGAGTACCTTCTGCAAGCAGAGCATATACATCAGAATTTTTTTAACTGTGTCCCAGACTTTAAAAAAACTTTGAATCTAGAGAGGAAGATATATGTGTCACCACAGTATAAAAATTATTACAGTTTCTGAATGTTACTACAGAGCAGTGTTACTCCATAGAAATCTATCCTAAGCAAAAAGAACAAAGCTGGAGGCATCACACTACCTGACTTCAAATTACACTGCAAGGCTATTATAACCAAAACAGCATAGTACTGGTACATACATAGACACATAGATCAATGGAACAAAATAGAGAATCCAGAAATGAAGCCACATACCAACAATCCAACTTATCTTCAATAATGCTAACAAGAAGTTACACTGGGCAGAGGACTCTCTTTTCAATAAATGGTGCAGGAAAAATTGGATAACCACATGTGGAAGAATGAAACTTGGCCCCTATCTCTCACCCTATAAAAAAAAATTAACTCAAGAAGGATTAAAGACTTAAACATAAAACCTGAAACCATAAAAATCCTAGAAGAACACCTAAGAAAAACTCTTCTAGATATTGGCCTACGCAAAGAATTCATGACTAAGACGTAACAAAAACAGAAAAATGAAACTTAATTAAACTAAAAAGCTTCTGCACAACAAAAGAAATAATCAACAGAGTAAACAGTCTACAGAAAGGGAGAAAATATTTGCAAACTATGCATCCAACAAAGGACTGATACCCAGAACCTACAAGGAAAAACTTAATAAGAAAAAAAGCACTTGTATTACAAACCAAAAACCCCTGCCATTCACCAAAACTCAGTGTCAACTTTCCATTTAAAAGCTCAGAGGTCATTCACATGCAAGAAAAACTGTTAAATTAAGCTTTTTCATTTTTTTTTCTTTTTGTTTTTTGTTTTTGTTTTTTTTTTTTTTGAGACAAGGACTCATTCTGTCACCCACCGCAACCTCCACCTCCCAAGTTTAAGCAATCCTCCCACCTCAACCTCCTGAGTAGCTGGGACTACAGGAGAGCACCATCATGCCCAGCTAATTTTTTGTACTTTTTTGTAGAATGGGGTTTCGCCATGTTGCCCAGGCTGGTCTCAGAACTCCTCGACTCAAGCGATCCGTCCGCAGCAGCCTCTCAAAGTGCTGGAATTACCAGCATAAGCAACCATGGCCTGCCTGAACTGAGCTTTTGTTTGGCTCAGTTCAACAAGAAAAAAACAAATAACTCCATTTAAAAGTGGGCAAAGGATGGCCAGAGACGGTGGCTCACGCCTGTAATCCCAGCACTTTGGGAGACCGAGGCAGGTGGATCACCTGAGGTCGGGAGTTCAAGACCAGCCTCGCCAATATGGTGAAACCCCGTCTCTACTAAAAATACAAAATTAGCCGGGCGTGATGGTGCACATCTGTAATCCCAGCTGCTCCGGAGGCTGAGGCAGGAGAATCTCTTAGAACCTAGGAGGTGGAGATTGCAGTGAGCCAAGATCACACCACTGCACTCCAACCTGGGCAACAAAGGAAGACGCTGTCTCAAAAAAAAAAAAAAGAAAAGAAAAGAAAAGTGGGCAAAGGACATAAACAATGAACAGACATTTCTTCAGACATACAAGCAACCAACAAACATGAAAAATGTTCAACATCACTAATCATCAGAGAAATGCAAATTAAAGCCACAATGAGATACCATCTCACACCAGTCATAATGGCTATTAATTAAAAAATCAAAAAACAGCTGATGTTGCCAAGGATGTGGAGAAAAACAAACGCTTATACATTGTTGGTGGGAATACAGAAAAAGTATGGAGATGTCTCAAAGAACTAAAAGTAGAACTACCATTTGACCCACCAATCCCACTGAGTACCTACTCAAAGGAATAGAAATCATTCTATCAAAAAGATGCCTGCACTCTGTGTTTATCACAGCACTGTTCACAATAGCAAAGGCATGGAATCACCCTAACTGTCCATCAACAAATGATTGGAGAAAGAAAATATGGTATACATGCATCATGGAATACTATGCTGCCCTAAAAAAGAATAAAAGCAGGTCTTTTGCAGCAATATGGATGGAGCCGGAGGCCACCATCCTAAGTGAAATAACTCAGAAACAGAAAGTCAAATATTACATGTTCTCACTTATAAGTGGGAGCTAAACAAGGGGTACACATGGACATATAGTGGGAAATAATAGATACTGGGGAGAGTCGGAGGGGGCAAAGGTCAAAAATTACCTATTGGGTACAATGTTCAGTATTCAGGTGACGGGTAGACTAGAAGTGCAAACCTCACCATTATACAATATAGCCATGTAACAAAACTGCACATGTACCTCCTGAATCTATAAGAATTTAAAAAAATTAAGGTTAAAAGAAAAAAGTGAAAGTCATTTTAATAATATACTTTAACCCACTATTATAATATCATTTTGACCCAAAATCAATATGAAAATTATTAATGAGATATTTTACATTCTCTTTTCTTCTAGCTCAGTCTTGAAAATTCAGTATACACTTAAAACACATGGCAATTTGGAAACTAAATTTTCTTCAGAAATACCGTAGCCACATTCAAAGTTTGTAAAATGTACACTTGAAAAAAAAAAGACTTGCAAACCCAAATTGCTCTAAACAGACTTAAAAGTTTTTCATAACTGAATTGAGTGTTGTTTTTTTAAACTTGAAATTCAATTCATAAAAATGAAGTAAAATTGAAAACTCAGTTTCTCAGTCTCACTACCCACATTTCAAATGTGCCATAGCCACACATAGCTCATGGCAACCATAGTGAATAGCACAAGTTTAGAGCAGGGACTGTCAAATATTTTCTGTAAAGGGCTAAAGAGTAAATATTTTGGCCTGGCACGGTGGCTCACACCTGTAATCCCAGGACTTTGGGAGGCCTAGCGGGGTGGATTGCCTGAGTTCAGGAGTTTGCCACCAGCCTGGGCAACATGGTGAAACCTTGTCTCTACTAAAAGATACAAACAAAATTAGCTGGGCGTGGTGGCATGTGTCTGTAGTCCCAGCTACTTGGGAGGCTGAGGTAGGAGAATTGCTTGAAACTGGGAGGCAGAGGTTGCAGTGAGCCTGTGCCACTGCACTCCAGCCCGGGTGACAGAGCGAGACTCCGTCTCAAAAAAAAAAAAAAAAAAAGTAAATATTTTAGGCTTTGCAAGCCATAGATGTCCCTGCCCTAGAGGATTCCACTTGAGGGATCAAAGAAATCTTTAAGAAGGTCACCTCTAAGCTGGGATTTTAAAGATGAGTAGGATTTCAAATGTATAAATATAGGAGGGTGCAGGAAAGAGCATTCCATACAGAGGCCTAAGCATGAACAAAATGACAGAGGTGCGAAGGCTGTGGTACTGCTCGGAAAAGGAATCAGCATACAGGATGAGAGGGCTGGAAGGAGGGAAGGCAATATGCTAGTTACTCTCCCTGTAATTGACCCAATTACAGGCATTCCCCAACTTTTCTGCCCTGCAGGGACTGACCACTATAGACTGCATCGTGCATGCCCTTTTGTCCTCTGTGTTCCAATGGGTTTGGCCACCGGGGCTCTGGCTTGAGATCAGAGTACAAGGGCAGAGATACATGGGCATTTATCCCCGGTTCCCTCCCTGCTTCTTAACTACTAAGCCAGTGTTAGCTCCATAGTTATAGCTCCTGTCTTCTGTGACTCCAAGTTCGCTCCGGGGTTCAGTATCATCCCCTGTTTTTTCTGTCCTTTCAGCCTTAGGAGTGGTAACCGCTTTGCTATGGCTAATTCCTAAGTGTTTCACCATCCCTGATTGGTTCCTCTCACCCCACTCACCTCTTTGTAAATAGTCTGTAAATTCTCCTCAGTCAAACTCTTTGAGGAGACCATTTGTTTTCTGCCAGCCTCTTCACTGACTCAGATAGACTGAAGCTGCATCATCCAGGATCTTACATGACAGGCTATCAAGTTTGACCTGTGTTCAGTAGACAGCACAGAGCATCAAGGCTCTTAGCACAGAGTTGTGTGGGTTGTGCACTGCACAACTATGTATGGAAGCCCTGGCTCTTAATAAAGAGAGAGACAGAGGGAGAGAGAGAGATGATTAAAGAAAATAAAAAGGAGGAGGGCTTGGGAGGCAGCTCAAGGAGAGAATCAGCATAACCATGTCATCAGTAGCTGAGAGTATGTCATAGGCACACAGTGCCAGCACTGGGAGGAGTAAGAGTGGTCTGGTCCGTTTTGGAGACTATCACAGCTACTTAGCTCTGAGTTAAACAGATCATATTCTGTCCTATGTTCCAGAGCCACTCTTTGCAGCAACCAGTGCCCATTCACTGCAGGGTCCTCCATGACTTCTGGCTTAGAATCCAGTTGTAGCTCAAAGTTCTTCAGCAAACATTTTCCCACTTCATCATTTTCTAATATTAGTGTGCTGGTTCTGGAAACCAGATAACCAAGTATAAGGAAGACCACACATTTCCTTCAAGATATCAAACCCAAGTCCTTTGTAAAGTAATATCTTATAGCAGTGCTCCCCAAATTTGTTCACATCATGGCATTCTGAGAATATAATCATATTGCACACACACTAGGTAAATGAACAAGGGTACTCCCAGCCAGAGGTGACCAGTACAGAGGCTCTGGCTTCCCCAGACCTTGACCAGCTTCCTCAAGGCACACTTGCAACACACTTGAGACTTAGAGTTCAAGGTGTGAAGGTCTGCCTTAGAGCTCCAACTCCATCAGCACAAGAGTCTCATCCTCGTGGGACTCTCTCATGAACTATCAATGACCTCAGGCAAGCCCTGGTCCCCCTTTAACATTTGACCCAAAGCCATCATGGTGGCTCATGCCTATAATCCTAATGCTTTGGAAGGCTGAGACTGGAGGACCACTTGAGGCCAGGAGTTCAAGGACCAGCCTGAACAAAACGGTAACACCCTATCTCTATTAAAAAAAAAATTAATTTAAGAATTAGCCAGGTGTGGTGGCATGCCCCTATATCCCAGCTATTCAGGAGGCTAAGGCAGGAGGATCACTTGAGCCCAAGAGTTTGAGGCTGCAGTGAGCCATGATTGTGCCGCTACACTCCAGCCTGGGCCACAGAGGGAGACCCCCATATCTTTAAAAAAATTTAACAATCATATGACCCCATTACGGGCATATAACTCCTCTCTGATTCTCTGAAGTCATAGGTAGGGTCACAGCTAGCCCATATTGAACCTTTGCACAAATTAGAAAAAGGTACCCTTGCCCTGGATGGACATTGCCAAGCACCAGGGTACAACAGCCACCGGCCATGATTAAGAATATTCAAAAACTCATGGGATTATAGAATAAAGAGGAAGTGACACCACTCAATATTTGGTCTTACAAAATGCCCTTAGTCATGCTTGGGGCATTGGGGCCCACATCAAGGCTGCCTCCTTATCTTGCTGGGAACCTTTCTAGCTCTCCTGCGAGTCACTCTGCCCTCGTGACTCTTTAGCTGGGAAAGTGATTGTCCTGTCCTATTGTGATATGTTTCCAACCTCCAATGTTGTACTGGGAGACTTAACATCTGTCTTGGTGATACCCAATATCTTATGGAAGTTTGACAAGTTTTGTGATTTCTCTCTTGAAATTTCTACTCTTACTTCTGCATCTGGGCCACCATCAGCCAGTAGCCAGGTTAATCCCATTAATCCAACAGCCTAACCCACTAACCATAATGTATAGTATCAGCGCCCTTATCAATGTCAATCCCTTGCCTTCAAAGGCTGGCAATAGAGAAGACTAGGAGAAGACTAGAAGTTCAAGTTTTAAAGTTTAGGCACCTTTCTCTTTATGGAGTGTCTAGCTTCTTGGCCAACCTGAATCTGGGCCTGATTTTATTAGTAAATCAACAGATCATTTTAGTTTTTACTTTGTGTAAAGTAAGCATAAAAGGTTCTCTCCCATGAGTCAAATACACATGTCTTCACACTAGGATTGAAGCTATTAACATGAATATTGACCAGTTACGTGTTTTATTTACATACATCTATGTTCTCCCCTGTGACCTAGATAAGTCCAGTTGTTGGGCAGCTGAGCTCTGCAGTAATGGCCCAAAATGGACAGAGCAGACTCATCCTCAAAATCAAAACACGGCAAAGGGATGAACCTTTCTTTCAAATATGAGGAAGGTTAACATGACCTAAAAACAAAGCTCTTCTGTTCTTTGCCAGATAGAAATGACCTTTCTGTGAAGAATTTAAAAAAAAAAAAAAAAGAAGAAGAAGAAGAATCTTAATGAAATACACCTGCGTCATTAGGTGCTTATTACAGACACTTAGTAAGTCTGTTAGGTCAGTGAGTGAGGCCAAGAACCTGCCAAACTGAAGGGTCATTGTCAACCAATGGAACAAAACAAATGGACAAGAAGGAGGAGGAAAGATAAGTAGTTTTGATCTGGGACATGCGGCACAGACTCCTTGCTAGAGCTGCTTGAAAACCTATCTTTCTCCCTTTTCCTTTTGCCAGAGACTTAGGGCCCACTTGACATATTCACAGTTGGCTGATGCCACACTCTAAATCCTTACCTGAGGAGCAGTGTCTCCCTCTACAGGCAGCACAGCTGAAACACAAGGAAGACCTCTCTCCACAGCAGTGCCTCTGTAACTGACATGTCCCTGTACCTCTCAGCCAGCACATTGTGATAATGACTCATTGCTCCACTGCCGATTCACAGACCACTGCCAGGCAATGTGTGGGCCTGGAACTGGTCATGCTTCTTTACCTTTCTGCATTTATCTCTAACATAAGTAACATGTCATACCCATCCATGTTAGTGTGGCCCCCAGCACAACCAGAAAACACCAACTAATGGAATTTTCCACATTCTATGGGACCCAGCAGTACCTTCTTGTTTTAGTTAAAACTCTCCAATATTGCTTATCCCATCTGATGATCATTAAATTGGAAAGTGGTAGGCCAAGTGCAGTGGCTCACACCTGTAATCCCAGCACTTTGGGGGGCTAAGGTGGGTGGATCACCTGAGGTCAGGATTTTGAAACCAGCCTGGCCAATATGGTGAAACCTCGTCTCTACTGAAAATTTAAAAGTTAGCTGGGCATGGTGGCGGACGCCTGTAGTCCCAGCTACTCGGAAGGCTGAGGCAGGAGGATCACTTGGACCCAGGAGGCAGAGGTTGCAGTGACCTGAGATTGTGCCACTGCACTCCAGCCTGGGTGACAGAGTGAGATTCTGTCTCAAAAACAATTTTTTTATTTTAAAAATTAAAAAAGTAAAAAGTTGGAAAGTGATAGATTGTACTACCTCCCTGCCCTCACACCATTACAAACTACTCAGAGGATTGAAAACAAGCTTCCCTTTTCAAAAAGGATAGGGCAATCTGATTTCAAGTCACCTGTGAACAGTCAAGGAGCAGAAATAAATGTAAGGAAAGAAAGACACCAGATAGAAATGATTCTTGCAGCCTATTAACTTACATGTTTCATCAGACTTCCCAGGACAGTCTCTCCCTCGATTTCTCATAAGAATTCCTTAGATGAAGCCAGAACCAATGATTTAGCCTCCCTTTGACACCACTCTTCTTGTCCTGTATCTGTATACCGACCTCCTTTGCCCAACTGTTGTTAAATCCAAAGCAACGTTATTCCAGGAAGTGCTGTCCCCACCTGTGAGAGTAGGCAGACATGAAGAGTTGCTCAACATCTGCTTTGCTGGATAGCTTTCTTCATTTATGAAAGCTCAAAGGCAGAATTCAAAGTTCATAGGTGGAAGAACTTAGTGCTGGCCAGCATCATCGTGCACTCCCCAGGCCACATGGAGGAGCATGAGGTGTTTGTAAATTGTTAGGTGTCTATTAAAGAATGTTATGTGTTTAAACACAGGGTTGAAGACGATACAAACTTATAGGTGAATTAAATTTAAAAGACAAAATGTTGACGAACTTCTTCAACTAAAATAATGTGACATTTATTCTCTTCTCATCACATAAATAAGAAGCAAGCTGCATATTAAAAATACATATATATGAGACCAGGCACAGTGGTTCACAGAGGCCTGTCATCTCAGTGCTTTGGGAGGCCAAGGTGGAAGGATCACTTGAGGCCAGGAGTTCGAGACCAGCCTGGATAACATAGGGTGATCCCATCTCTACAAAACATAAAAAAATATGAATTGTTCAAACACATAAATAAATGAGATCATGTTTAGGCAATGGGGCTCATGCTGATAGCTATCAAGAAATCACAGAAGTAATTAACTTGGAAAAAACATCAATGATCAATTATAAATGTGACCATGCCTGATTTTATCATTCATGTTATCTTTTTCACACTTTTCATACTTGCAAAACAAAGTCATGATTAGCTCTCTTATAGCAAACACCAGCATGTATACTCACCAAACCCATTTTCCCTACATCCTGGACACACACCTACATACTCATTCCCCAGCTTCCCTTTCAAGGAGTGTCACATCCAGCCCTTAAGACTCCTAACACAATCCTCTTGTGCTTTCCGTCTCCATATCTGCCAGACAGATGCAAAGGATCCCAGAGAGAGGGAAAAAGAGTATCTGAAGCTGCAGGGAAAAATAAATCACTAGATGAAAGAAGCCTGTGTCTCTGAATTACTGCATGGAGAAGAGCCATCCATACCAACCAGCATTGTCCCGTGACATGCAGAAGAAGCAGACCTTTGTTGAGTTAAGCCACTGAAATCTTGAAGTTAAATAAACATTACTTAAGTTTACCTTCCTGAACTAATTCACAGTCTTACACTGTATTTTTTCCTTTTACTTTAGAAATTGAGCAACTATGGACAATTTATATTTATTTTTTCCACAGTTAGAGCATATTTTAGCTCTTCATCAATGTTACTTGACTTTCTTCTGTGTCAAAACAATGTGACAGCAGATAAATAAGACAGAACTGTGCACTCATCTTTAATACAGTCCTTTAGGCAATCATGCTATCTCACAGTGCTAAAATGGAATAAAATACATAAAACCCAAATATTAAATCATTGAGAGAAATTTTTAAAATAGTCTTAGATTCCTTCTTTTTAATGATTCCTTGATGGGTGGGTGAGGTGGCACACACCTGTAATCCCAGCACTTTAGGACGCCAAGGCGGGTGGCTCACTTGAGGCCAGGAGTTAGAGATCAGCATGGCCAACTTGCCGAAACCCCGTCTCTACTAAAGATGCAAAAATTAACCAGGCGTGCTCATGCGAGGCTGTAACCCCAGCTACTCAGGGAGGCTGAGGTGGGAGAATTGCTTGAACCCAGGAGGCGGAGGCTGCAGTGAGTCGAGGTTGTGCCACTGCACTCCAGCCTGGACGACAGAGCAAGACTCTGTCTCAAAACAACAACAACAACAAAATAATAATAATTATAATTCTACGACAGCCATTTCATGAAAAAATAGAATTTATCTTCCCGTAATACACATTACTGTCAATAAACATTCCCAAATTACACAGGAAATCACTGTTAATGCCTAATGTATAAGAAAAGAAAATAAAGAAACCTTCACAACACTTTTTTCTTAAAAGAAATAATTCTGACATTTTTGACACCTGTATTAATGCTATCTAACTAATAAAATTATGAGAATTACCTGGACTAGTTCAGGAACGGTGGCCCACACCTATAATACCAGCACTTTGGGAGGCCAAAGCTGGTGGATCACCTGAGGTCAGGAGACCAGCCTGGCCAACAGGGTGAAACCCCGTCTCTACTAAAAATACAAAAATATAAAATTAGCAGGGTGTGGTGGCACACGCCTGTAGTCCCAGCTACTCAGGAGGCTGACAGAAGAATCACTTAAACCCAGGAGGCGGAGGTTGCCGTGAGCCGAGGTTGCATTACTGCACTCACTCCAACCTAGGCAAGATAGAGTGAGACTCCTTCTCAAGAAAAAAAAAAAAAAAAGAATTACCTGGACTAAATCAATGAATATAAGTGAAAATGCATAAAGAGATAGGAACACTGTCTTTGTCATCTTAGATTTCCACCAGTGCAAGGTAAAAAAACAAAAATGAAATAAGCAAAGTGTGCATTTTCCAAGTAGAATCAACTCGGGTTAGGAGGGTAATAATGGTGGCATCAACAAAAAACATTTTTGGCATCATTATTTTATTCTTTGAGTTTTTGCTTTATCTTTATATGTAAGGAAGTTTTATTGGGCCATCCCTCTGAAGAGAGACGACTAAACTGAAATAAAAGCTTAAAGATGTCTTCGTTTCTTTAAAGGATCCTGGTATATTGTTATTACTGTGTGTTTGTGGTTTTACATATAGGTTTCCATCCATGTTCCTGGCTCATAACTCCAATAGCTCTTGGTATAATGGTGGAGCACTTTAGGGCTCAGAAGCAGGCCTGAGAAAACAGAATGTCTCTCTGCTCCTCTCCTGCCCTCCTTGCACCTGCTCCTTTTTCTCTCCAAGTGAGGAATCTTCCTTGTTTTTCTATATTGGCGCTGGCCATAAAGGAATTCTCTGACCTACCTTGTCTGACTGTGGGACGTAAGACCCTCATTTCAGAAGTGATCTTGCCCCATACCCTAAAAGAAGGAGTCCTACACAGAGGGGCCAAAAGGAATCTGAACAGACAGGCCTTACAGGGTTTCCCCTCTCAGTCTATGAGTATTAGACCATACTCTTTTTGTCCAATCACATTTCTACACAGTTGTCAGTCATGCCTATTCAATGATGTTCCCATGAAAGGCTCAAGCAAGAGACCAAGGTTCAAAGAGTTTCTGGATAGCTGAACACATGGAGGTTCCTAAAGGGTGGCATATCCAGGGAGGTCACGGAAGCTCCATGCCCCTTCTCCCCTACCTTGCCTTTGCCTCTCTTCATCTGTATCATTTCTAACATCTTTTATAACAAACCAGTAAACATAAATGTTTCCCTGGGTTATTTGACCCACTCCAGCAAATTAATTGAACCCAAAGAGGGAGTTATGAAAACCCCAACTTGAAGCTGATTGGTCAGAAATTCTGGAGGCCTGGAGTTGCAACTGACATGTGAAGTAGGGGCAGTCTTGTGGGAATGAATCCTCAACATGTGGGATCTGATGCTATCTCCAGGTAAGCCACAACAGAATTGTAGAATTTGTTGCTTGCTTAGTAGCAGGAAGAACACCTCCACCCCAGTTTGGTCACAGACATCTTCTGTGTTGATTGTTGTTAAGAGAGAGAATAGAAAAAGCACTTTGAGTTTGAGTGTGGTTTTTTCCCACAGAAGTCTTTATTGTCTACAATTCATGAAGCAATTTAATGTTGTTATGCATTATATTTCTTCCACTTTCCTTTAAAACTTAACATTCTAATTTTTCTCTCACAGTCAATATTTTGACCTATTCATGCTTACCAATTTCTTTGTTTTCCATTTCTTCTTTCATCCTCTTTTGAATTTCCATAATCTTTTTTCTAAAGTTTATTGTTTACTAGGTCTTTCTGCCTGGATAGAACTTGTAAATAATAAACACTTTCAGTTTTTATTTTAAAATATCTTTATTTCATCCTGACTGAAATAATATTTTTAGCTGGGTCTAGGTTCCTAGATTGAATTATTTCCCCTTAGTACTCTGAATACACTAACAAGGTCTTTATCCTCGTTTTTAATGAGGAACCTGCTCTTAATGGGTAAGTAGTCATCTCCGAAGTCAGACTGGGTCCAACTTGACTCCACCACTCACTTGCTGTGTGACTTTGGGCAAAGTCTACAATCTCTCTGTACCTCACTTTTCCTATCTGTAAAATGGGGAGAAATCTAAAGCGTAGTGCATTGGGTTATTTAAAGATTCATACATGTGTAGTGTCTGAGACATAAAAAGCATTTGGCATTATTCCTATTTATTTGCTCAAGATGAGATGCCTTCTTGCGTTTGAATTGTTGTGTTACATTGCTCCCAGAAACATCTTGATTAGATGATTTTTCCCAGAAAAATAACAGATGCAGTCAATAAGTGCTGCTCCCACCGAGACACCAAAATATCCCGTAAACCAACACACTCTGAGCAGATCTTCGCAGTGAAACGCTGAGTCCACAGAGCGGCCACACAGACACGAGGCTGAAGAGGAAGGAAGCTGGGAACCCTGCGCGGGGTGAGTGCCAGGACTAGTTCCAGGCCCAGAACGTTTCCTAGGGAAGGGTTGAGTAAAGTGACAGTGGGGCAGCCCACTCTCCTCACGTATTTCTGGGATCCCAGCTATAAGAGATCCTATGACCCCCACAGACAGTTGAATTGGCAGGGGGATCTGCCCAGGGAGTAGGCAGAGACAGAGCTCCAGGTTGCAGGGAGCCCAGGGGGTTTTGTGTGCATGGCAGCTGCAGAGGAAGGTGGCTATAGGCGCCTATCCCCCAAGGCTCCCCATCTGACCTCAACTTACCAGTGAGCCAAGAGAGAGCAGGGCGGTCCTTCCTGCGGGACTGGGGCGCATATGTTCTGCGGGACCCCCTGCACGCAGCCCCTCCCAAAGCCCCTGTCTGGTTGTTCCTGCAGGAGTGTGTGCACTGTGCCGCCTCCGCTGCCCAGCCTGAGTTCTTGCTAGCGACCCCGCCTGAATGCTTTCCAGGCAGCTTGGGAGCACTTCGGATCCCCCAACACAGCAGGGGTCTGACCCCGAGGGGCCGAAAGACAGAGCCCAATGCCCCAAGGTTGCAGCACAGAGCTCAGGAGTGCCCAGCTGAGACCTGTGGCTGGTGCGCAAGCGCGGGGGAGGAGCCTCCACTCAGAACACTGGGAGGAGTGAGAAGCAGTTCGTGGGCCAGCGCGGGATGAGACTTGTCTCTCTCAGGGCCTTTCAGGGAAGGGTTGCGGCCTGTCTGCAAGCCTTAGCCTCTGCCGGAGAGAGCCCCCACAGCTCCGAACACCTAACAAAGGAAACGTAAGTGCAGCTCCAGTGATTGGAGGGGGCTCCTCTAAGGGCCAGGAGAGGACTTGGCAAAAGGATCATCTCTCTCCCCTGAACTATGGAGCATGACTGCGAATACAAAATACCAAAGAGCCAGCGCTGAGTCAGAGCCTGCCGGCAATTACTCTTAAGCGCCATCTACTGGTTTGCCGCCGAAATTACAATTTCAAAATATTCTGCCAGTATAGAGCACCTGTAAAACCCAGAGCAAGAATCTAGCCACAAAGATCCCATACAGAGCCTTGGCCCTCTGAAAGTATCCAGAAATGAAGCCAATTGACTATACTCAACATATACCACAGTTAAGCCCTCAAGGTAAATGAATAATATAAAAACAAGACGACAAAGGAACACCAGCCCTCTCAAAAGAGTCAGCACAAGAACTCTGGCAATTCAAAACGTCAAATAAGCATACTAGCCCCTCAGCAAGGACTGAAATGTCCGGAATGACAGACATAGAATTCAGAATCTGGATACCAAAGAAGCTCATCAAGATTCAAGAGGAAGTAGAAACCCAATCCAAGGAATCCAGTAAAAATGACCCAAAAATTGAAAGACAAAATAGCCATTTTTAAAAAGAACCAAACTGAACTGGAATTTAAAAATTCACTACAAAATTTTCATAATAGTGTTGGAAGCATTAACAGAGGAATAGATCAAGCTGTGGAATCTCAGAGCTCAAAAACTGATTCTTCAAATCAACTCAATCAGATAAAGAAAAAAATTTTAAATATACAAATCTTCAGAGAGGATACTCAATCTGTATCCACTGAACAATTTCTCATTTCCTGCTTCCTCCAGTCCGGAGTAACCACCATTCTACTTTTTGTTTCTAAGAATTTGATCACTGTAGATAACCTCATTTAAGTGGAATTGTGTAGTATTTATCTTTTTGTGATTGGCTTATTTCATGTATGTGAAATGTAAAAAAAAAATGAAGCTAACAAATATTTTATTAAAACTAAACATTAATGTGTTTCATGCCACTGAACTGTACACTTAACCATGGCTAAAATGGTAATCATATTTTATCACAGTAAAAAAAAATGGAAAAACACTCTCAACGCTAACTGTAACACTAACTGTAACAATTAGACCAGTTAGAACAAAAAATTATTTCTTA
This sequence comes from Homo sapiens, assembly GCF_000001405.40. Lineage (NCBI taxonomy): Eukaryota > Metazoa > Chordata > Mammalia > Primates > Hominidae > Homo > Homo sapiens. Next base: position 81,171,757 of record NC_000014.9, read on the forward strand.
TGGGAAGGTGTTCTATCATTGACATAGTTTAGGATTGCTGGCACATGGTAATAATAAAAAGCACACTACATGTAATCAATTTAATAATGATTGTGTTTATGTTCTCGGCCAGCAGTTCACCTCCTTATTGCCCGTCCCCCAGGACTGACTGCCCCCCTCCCTGGGCACAACACTACTGCAAAATATGCCAAGAGCAGGATTTGATAGCTTTACCATGAGGCTGTCCAGCAATGTGGGCTCCCATGCTCACATATTTAAAGTGGGGTTTTTCAGTAACTGTCTTAGTCTGTTCAGGTTGCTGTAACAAAATACCATGAAATTGGTAGTTTCTAAACAATTGGCATTTATTTCTCAGAGTTCTGGAGACTGAGAAGTCCCAGATCAAGGGGCCAGCAGATTTGGTGTCTGGTGAGAGTCTGTTCCTTGTTGCACTCTCACATGGTGGAAAGGGCTAGCTAGTTCTCTGAGTCTCTTCCTAAGTGCATTATGCCCTCACTGCCGAAAGACACCCCGTCTAATACCATCACCTTGGGTTAGAATGGCAGCATATGAATTTGGGGGTGTAGAAACATTCAGACCATAACAATAACCACAGGACATTTGTCTCCAAGTTTCTATATTCCTGATGCATCCTGCCATGAAACCCGCAGAAGCCACGCCCACTTTAATTGCATTAGGGAGCTCTCTTAGGAATAAACTTATTTCACCATCAGATTCACCAGAAGGGAAGTGATATGAGGTAAGGCTAGACAGATCTCCTTCAAGCAAACAAACATACTTTTTTTTTTTTCTGTGAAAACATTCTTTTCCTTTAACTCATTGAACTATTAGGAGAGGGCAAAAACAGAACTGACTACTTTGCCAACCCCCAAGTCTTCACTGAATGACTCTTCAGAAGGACTTTGCTGTCATGGTCCCAGCCAGTGTTTTTATTTGTCTCTCTGTCTTTTCAGAGTGGTGAGTACAGACAGTGGAGAGTGAAGAACTGTCCCCAGAATATCTCCTCTGAACAGAAACAAGAGACCAGGTTGGCTGCAAGGCCACAGCCTCTTATTAACAGGTGTAGCTAAGATGGAAACATTTGTTCCTGGAAACTGAGGTGACGAAAAGACCCATCCCATCCTAAGCTAGGGATGGAGTATCTTGACCTCACTCTGCCAATCTGCCCTAGCTTCAAACTATGGTCTCGCTGTGTGGCCTTAGGCAAATTACTTGGCCTCCACAAAGCTCCATCAACTCATCTGTAAAATGAAGATAAAAATAACCACCCTCAAGACTACTGTATTTGAAAAAACAGGCAATGCATTTGTCACTCAAGAAGTATTTGTTCCGAGTCCCCATCCCTGTTTTCTTCATACTTGCTGCATACTTCAAAACCAGTATTTCCAAACACTTCTCTCTGCTCCACAAAAGCTGTGTCTGTAAAATCTTTCAGTGTCCTTCTTCTACCTTTAATACCCTCCCTGAGAACAGGAACTCTTGGTTGTGGGAGACGAATTCTATGGAAAGGCTCCAGAACACATGGAGCATGTCAAAAAGGAGGCTTTAAGAACATGAAAATAACACTAAGTATATATATCACACACCCTCTTTATAACATAGAACTTAAAAGCTGAGTGCCATCTCAAGATAGAGCACAGGGTCCTTATACATTTCACACCAAGAAGGAGAGGAAGTCTTGGAAAGTTGATCAGAGCAGATTTGTGCTAGAACAAGTTCAGGAAGATGTCAAGGACTTTGGAGTCTCTGTGCTCTTTCAACTCCTACAAATGGACCTCCAGTGGCCTCATCCACTGAGGCCGATTGGCCCCCAGAGAGAGATGCTATGCAAGGGATGAAGAATCTTGAAGGGACTCTGCCAATTCTACCAATCAGTCACTTCACCAAGACTGTAGGGAGTTTGAATATGGGTTGTCATGGTACACATAGTAGGTATTCAAGTATTTGCGGAATACATGAATGACACAAAATATAATGGGCTTAAATGTAACAAACTCCTTTATGTTCGAAGATAATCAGCCAACCACAATTGTGATGCTGGTATTACAAGTATTGCTATTTTGGTAATTCACTGAAGATTTTTGAATAGGATATTGAATGTCTAATGGGAAGAAGGGGCTAATTGGGAAGGCAAAAGACTCCTACAAGGGAAAGGTGATATCTTAAGACACACTTTGCATGAATAATGCTTTTCTTTCTTGGTTGCAAACAACAGAAACAGACTTATTTTAAGCAGAAAAGGGATTGGAAGGGTACAGTAGTTTGCAGCCAAAGTCTGCTTAGGAGGTTGCCAATAGCACTCTTGCCCCAGTCAATATCACACCACCAGACCTGAACATATATAGGACCTCTGACTGATCCTGCAACTTTGTTTCATGCTCTTAAGACTCAAAGTCCTGAGTGTAAGCATCAGTCTGACCACCTCAGATTTTGGTCCCTGTTTCTGGATCCAGTGACAGGTGACTTCTTACTTGCTATTCTACTTCCATAAAGAGGTATATATTACCCTCCATTCTTCTTGGCATGAAGCAAAATAGGAAGGGTATTCTGACACTGAGAAGCCAAAACAACAAATGTCCCTTGTACATCCCTGCTGAAAGTGAACAGCTCTAAAGAGCTTTACTCTCAGCCGGGCGCAGTGGCTCAAGCCTGTAATCCTAGCACTTTGGGAGGCCAACGCGGGTGGATCATGAGGTCAGGAGATCGAGACCATCCTAACATGATGAAACCCCGTCTCTACTAAAAATACAAAAACAAAATTAGGAAGGCGTGGTGGCGGGAACCTGTAGTCCCAGTTAACTTGGGAGGCTGAGCCGGAAGAATGGTGTGAACCCGGGAGGCGGAGCTTGCAGTGAGCTGAGATGGTGCCGCTGCACTCCAGCCTGGGCAACAGAGCGAGACTCTTGTCTCTAAAAACAAAAAAAGCTTTACTCTCTTCATCTCTTGCAACTAACCTGGGTGAACTTTAGTTTTCCTGGCCCTATTTGCCCCACTCAGCAATGCCACCCTAACCTATGCATCATTAGCATGGAGGTCCTGTCAACACAGAGAAGTCAATGTACTCTTTTTCAAAGTGGAGGAGACATTGTGAGAATCAGAGTGATGTATCCGTATCTTCAATGTTTGACAACTCTGTTTTGCTCCTTAAATGAACTGGACAGACTCCATTCATATTTGGAAAAGTCCATTTTTAAAATGATAGTTCTATCATAGTTTTAGCTTTGAGAAAATTCAACTTATTTAGACATATAATTTAGGATTTTTTTGGCGGGGGGAGAGAGGGAGCTTAAAGGCCCTCCCACTGTTTGATTATCCCTCTCCCATACCCAGCACTCAATTTTCTTCCCTCTGACACTTTCTGCTGTAGCCAGATGCATTGTTTCACCAACTTACCCTCCCAGGATTGTTTGGTTATAATGAACTCTTTCACTGGTTCTCAATTTGTTTTTGCTATTTTTGACCATTAATTTTTTCCGGTTCAAGAATAATTTTAAACTATGCAAATAAGTATGAAATTAAGCATATAATTGTGACATCTGAGTGCTGACTGTGTACCAGGCACCAGCCTAAGAGCTTTACATGCATCACACCTCATTTCATCCTCAAAATCTTGTCATTTTACAGCTGGAGAAACAAAAGCCAAAAGCTTAAGCTTAATCAAAGTAGGGGCTTGAATTAAACTGCAAAATACAAGATTTGCTGGCAATAAATAAGATATCTTTATTATGATTATGTTAATAGTTAAAATTTGCATGTTTTCTAGATAGTCTGTTAACAGGATAAAAAAATACAAAAAGGCGAGCTTCTTAATGATTCAGCTGAATTAACTATAAAATTAAAATACCTGCTAATTATTATCTTCTAAAATAACACAAAATATATTCAATACGCAATACAAACCTCAGTAATCCAATTCTCCTAATATGCAATTATTTATAACCTCTGAACTAAGAGGAAGTGGTTTGACTAAACAGAGAAATAACAATGTTTTTATCCTAAGTAATCTATACTTTGGAGTAGAAATACTTATTTAATACAATATGTTAATTATTAATATTTCACAAGGAGTAATCTTTATTTTGAAAAACAATGTTAATTATACCAATTTTTAGTTATAATTTGTTAGTGTGAATTCGCCCAACCTAAATTCCTGTGTGCCTGGAAAATACAACTTTTTAAAAGCTAGTATTAATCATTTGTAACACAGTTTACTAATTCAAATTGACATCTCAATCTACTTATCTTTAAGGTACAGAATTTAGCATCTTTTTGTTGTTGTTAAATGGAATTCTCATTAACAATGTAAAGCATTTTCCTTTCTAAATTGTATTTTATTCAATTATCTATAACAATGCCATATACTAGTAAGCAAAGCAAGCAACATTTTTTTTTAAATAACATCTTTAATTAAAGTTTTTGCAAAGTAGAATATTAAACTTAAAATAGGTCTTAGTACATCAAAATACTAAGTTCTCTAATTGTATTCCAAGATGGTCTTTAAAACATAATATCCCATATATCACAGAAGAGCAACCTTGATCTGCAATGAATTTTACAAACATAATAAATATATTTACGCCATTACACATAACAGTATGTACAACAGCAGTTGACAATAGTAGCTCAGAACAGCAAAAAGGATTAGCCCCGCCCCCCAAGTCATAGTCCTGATGTAGACTGGACTGATTAAGGAACCTTGACTGAAAGAGTAGTTACTAACTCAATGTGTAGTAACTTCCCTTAAAAGAGAAAAGTTTTTTTGTTCCTCAAAATAAACAAAAATGTTAGTTTGGTGTGTTCTTCATTAAACCATAGACAATGACAAAAGACAAGAGTAAGGCAGGCTTAAAAAGGGAACAATATAAACTTCGTAATAATTTTCATAGCATAATAGAGGACTAAAATGCAAAGCTATTTAACAAACTCATGAGGAAACAAGTAAAGCAACTATTTTTTAACTAAAGAATTCAAAATCTGCTATAGCTGATTCTGACAGGTAGGTGAGAGAAAGACATGAAATAAAATGAAAATGTACAAAGATGGATCAACAAACTATTACATTGCACAAAAGCTTAAAAAAAAGAAAGTTCAAGATGAAATAATCGGAAAAACAGGAATTTTCTCAAGTAGAAGAAAATGCTAAGTCATAAAGAGAACTCCCAAGAGGAAATTATGTCTGTTTTCCTATACAAGGGGTATTTACCCTCTGATAAGAATGGTGACATTATTGCTATGAGAATCAAAAATAGTATACTCTTAGAGGGAGACAACTCTTTTCATTCCTCCATAAAAGCCAGGAAAAAAAAAATCTGTGACTTTCATTATAGCAAAAGAAAATATTCATATAAAAGCTATATGTTATTTCCTAAAACCAGAATCTATTATGCTCATTAAGCACACATTTTAATTACTACACACTGCTCAAGTCTTGATGTAATCTTAGAACAAGAAAGTGGCTTTGCTTTTAAAAGAGGCAACAGTGTAAATGTGACATTATGATGGCATTTTAATTAACAGAAAGAAATGTGAACATTTAAAAAATAGAAAAGCCCAACATAAAGATCCCCCTCACATAACAGACATTTTACTCTAGAAATTAATTGCACATTAAAGAGTTGTTTTAGCCATATGTGGCACTCCACAGAAATTAAACATGCTCTCAGGCATTCAAATGGTCTGATTACCCAAATGGCCACCAAGCAAGAGTTTGTATACTGAAAGGCACACATTTCCATGTTTTATCTTGTAATTTTGTGTAAATTTTCCTTAGCACTGTTGATTAATGTTAATTTAAGTAAAAGGTGCCATCGCCATCTGTGCAAATCTAAACAAATCCTCTCCAGAAACCATTACTTATTTTCATAATACCAAGTCCGAACTATTTTCTGCCTTTAGATAAACATGCTACTTTCATTTTCAAATTCTGAAAGTGGAAATCCCTTGCCTTTTCAAAGGAATGACATTTTAATGGAACCTAATACGAAATGATTTGTTAAATACAATGTTAAAAGCATGATTAAGAATTCAAGTACAATAAAAGATAAGCAAGTGACATTCTTACAGCAAAAGCTACTATAATAAAACTAAAACATGCTATTTGATTAAAAAGGACACGATGCAAATAATATATAAGAGCACAATTTGGTATGCAATGTAGCTTGGACCAGCTTTCAGAATTTTCACAGGTAAAAGAAAAGCATTTGCCAAGTATACCATAATTCATATGCAATACGCAGGTGCAAATACAAATGGTTATTTCCTGCTTCAAAAATAACAAAATAACCACTCTGAAAGCAGTGGTTGTTAATATTTGAAAAATAAAGTTATAAAAACAGGCCAGTATACAACACTACTATGAATATGAATGTTTGTCTACATAGAGGGCCCAAGACAAGCTGAATATCATACAGTAATCCAAGTTTCAGTAGCATAAAAACTACTAGATAGCCAAAGGGTTTCACTTAAGCAACACTGCAGCACTGCTGAATTTTTATAGGTAGTTCAGGTCACTGACTTCCTTACTGAGTAAATACAAACCTACTAGCAACTATATTGAAGAACAGTTGAACAACAGCACTTCTGTGATGTTACTCCCTCCCATTTCCTCTTCTCTCAGTCTTAATAATATATATTTTAAAACCTCTGTGTGCTTTGAGAGTCACAGAATAAACAAACTTCCCCTCAAAAAACTAAATTAATATAGTCAAAATAAAAGCTGTATTACCAGTTATGGCATCTAAATAAAATCTAACTACTAGCATGCTAGACACCACCATTAACACCAAAGTTTAGAACATAAGTTAAAGAGATCAAGGTGGTAAGCTGGGTGGGAAGTAGAAAAAAAAAATTTTTGCCTTTTTTTAAAGTTAAAAGATTTGTGTTAAAAAAGAAACACTATATAATAGCTCACAGTTTTCTTCTCTGTAATGTACTTTAAAAAGTGTTCATGTGTTACTTCTGAAAACACAAAGGCAAAAGGAAGACAAAAACTGAAGATTAAAAAAATATATCAATATACAAGTAACCTAAACACATGTAAATTTTGTCAAGATAAACCATGGAAAGTTGAATTCGTTGTAAGAACACAATGGTGAAGACAAGCATTCCTGCAGTTCTCCCAGGCAGTGAATTCACACTGAACACAGCAGTGCCATATTGTTCTTCAGAGCCCCTTACAGAATACAGACCTATGCATTCTTAATATACATATTACATTTCTATTATTTTTAATATACAAGTCAAATTTCTATGCTTTCTTCCCAATGTGCAAACTGGAGCCAACGTCTTTATTTTCAATGGCCTGGAAGGGCCACCAAATGAAAGAGAGGTAACTTAGTGGCCCACCCACCTCTTCCCCCCAAATTTTCCCCTCAAATTACAAAGTTGATTTTAAAAACTTGTTGAATTAGAATAGATTTTTAAAATTCTTTACTAGTAAACACAAGAAACTTTTATAATTACTAAACTGTTTAATAAAAATCCAGGTCCTCACCACCTGCCCTATGCTAATCAATGCACAGACTGTTAACTGAATGTTTAGCTTAAAAACTAAACACATTTATAAGCACACACTTCAGCCCAACAGGAAAAGTCTACATATATTCATGTGTATACAATTTCAGCTAGATGGTATGCTTGCAAAATAAAACTATATTCCTGAGGAGCTAGTTTGGGGTTTCTTTTTAAGGTGTGGCACTAAAAGAAACAAATTAAGTTTTTCTGTAAGGAAATTAAAGTTGTGGTTTCAATTCCACTGAACTCAGACAAGACCCAAGTCTTTAATTACATTTAATAAGTATGAAAACCTAATTAAAATAAATATTCATTCCTGGGTCAAATTTTATCTCCAAACTATGATCACTGATAACTTTAAATCTTAAATAGATGTTTCATAAAGCTGGAAAGGAAGAGGTATATATCACTGAGGGAGAATAGCAAGTAAAAATATTTAAGACCTATTATGAGAGTTTTAAATTGTTTTCTTATACAAGTGAATTAAAATTCAACACAATTCTTACCCTTTTGTAAAAAGCTCACACGCAACTTTTACCAAATATAACCACATACAATAAGCAGTTTCAGTTCAATCTATCAAAAGGGAAGTTTCTTCAGTTCATTCCAACAAGTATCTTCTGATTGAACCCAAGTTGGAGGAAGGAATATAGACAAAGCTTTACATGCTAATTACCGGTGGCAGGTACCTGTATTTAAAATCAACAATTATGGTTTTCCTACACAAAACCCCAACCCTCCCACCCAAAAACCCTAGGTGCTACAGTTCCATGGCTTGCCAGTAAGTAGTGTCTATGTTGTCAAGGTCTATCTTTGTTCCAGTAGCTTTGCTTCTACTGCACTTTTCTGACATGCAGAAACGAAGTTTTGGTTGGCATATGCCCCAAGTTTCAAACTGTCCGCTTTACATTTTTTTTAAGTTTCTTTTATTTATAAAAGAAAAAAAGCAACTCTTCACCATTCTGCATCTCCAATGGCTTTGGAAAATATATAATCTCTTCCATTAAGATTCATAATGCCATCCTTGAGATGAAATTTCCATTTGTTTTTACTTCTGTGTATCTAAACAAAAACAACATTTTAAAAATTGAGAGATACAATCAGAAAACAGAGAAAACAAGTAACAAAAAACCCATACACACACACACGTACACACACACCCCCCCACAAAACAGTATTTACAGTATTGTATTTGCAAATTGGTTTGTTTTTGTAGAAGAAGGGTCTCCTATGTTGTGCAGGCTGGGCTCGAGCTCCTGGCCTCACGTGATCCTTCTATCTCAGCCTCCCAAAGTGTTGGGATTACAAGCGTGAGTCACAGCACCTGGCCTAAAAATTGGTTTCTTAATAAAGTTTAATTTCACCAAAAAGAACAACAACAACAAAAAAACCACACACAAAACTCACTAGGTGGGTCTAAAAACAAATTTATCTGTAATTAGTACTATTTTATAGCTTTTAGTACTTGTGTTCATTAAAGTAGTTAAAAAATATTTCTTTACAAAATGTCTTATCTCTCTACCAGGTTTGCATATATATTTTCAAGGTCTACCTCAAAAAGACTATCCTCCACAAAGCTTTCCCAAATCTTACCAGCTAAAACTATTCTTTTCCACTGTTAAATTCCCAATGGTATTTTCATTGACATTTCTTACATTATTTGTAAGTAATACAATTATGGACTCATTTCTTCTACCAAAATAAAACTCCTTATAGAGTTCTCAAGACCTAACTACCATGGAACCTTATACATAGCAGTATTTTAAAAATACATCTAAAGGATGCTAATCATCCAGTCACTTACACCAGATTTCAAAAACTATGTACATCCACAGTTAAACAAAAAGAGCTGAAGGGCAGGCTCTGGGCACTCCCATCTTTGCCTTCACTTATAGTCCGTAGTTGTTTGTAATTCCATGGATTTGGTGGGGGAGAGGAGTTGTAAAACTTAATGAACTGAAGTGACCTTTCTTCCTTTTCCCAGTAAGTCACACTAATTATTTAATGTTCAAGTTCCACATCTTCTGCAAAGAAGGCCCCCTGGTTCTCCCTATTCTATGATCTAAAGGTACCTAAAAAAAAAAAAAAATCAACTAGTTCAGGCTTTCATTTTCAGAAGAAGAAATGACAGATTGGATAGGGTTCAATGGTTTGACCAAGTGTATACTGCTACTAAGTGACAATCATGATTTTCAAGTCTTGGTCCAGTACGCTTTTACTAAATCAGTCTGTTTCATATAATAATGCAGAAATGCTCAACAGGTATAGATATTTTCTTTTTCTTTTTTTTCTTTGAGACAGAGTCTCACTCTGTTATCCAGGCTGGAGTGCAATGGCACGATCTTGGCTCACTGCAACCTCCCCCTCCCAGGTTCAAGTGATTCTCCTGCCTCAGCCTCCTGAGTAGCTGGGATTACAGGCACTCACCATCACGCCCAGCTAATTTTTGTATTTTTGTAGAGATGGGTTTCACCAGGCTGGCCAGGCTGGTCTTGAACTCTTGACCTCAGGTGATCCCCCACCTCGGCCTCCCAAAGTGCTGGGATTACAGGCGTGAGCCACTGCACCCGGCCAGGTACAGATATTTTCTGAGATCTCATTCCTAAAATTCCATGGCCTAACCTCCCAGTGCAAACATTCTTCATGACATATTCCTGGCAAATGGTTGTGCAGTGTCTGCTTAAATACGATTAGAAACAGTGAGCAAAGAATTTCAAATTAAGTTATTCCTTTTTGGAACAGCTCTCTTGTAAAATCTTTCAGAGTTTACCCTTACGGAAATCTGCTTCTCCAACTTCCATTTATTGATCCTAGCTCTGCTTTTTGAGACTTAAAAAAAAAAAATCACTCAATCAAACAACCTTCATCTTATTTGGAAACTACTCTCATGTTCTTCTTCTGGATTCAAACTTTGCTTACTTATTAAAGCAAAACAAAGCACAATAAAGGTAAAACAGCAGGTAGGGTAAAGACTGTTGGATTAAGAACTAATTATATCTCTGGTCTAAATACACTACATAAATGCTAAATGTAGCATCTTAAGATTGATGACTTGAATGTCTAACGGACATACCAGACTTGGCATGTCCAACCAGCTCCACATGCAGCTTTTCCTCATCTGAACTGATGGTATCACCATCCTTCTTTCAGAATCCTCATCAAAAAATCTCAAGAGTCATTCTTGATTCCTTTTTCTTTTCTACCACAAATCTCAGAGTCAGGAAATGCTGTTAACATTCTTCCTTCAAAACAAATCCAAAATCCAACTACTTCTCACCAACTTTAATACCATCACCATAGGCCGAGTCATCATTATCTCCCATGTGAATTATTATAATATCCCCCTAAATAGTCTCGTTTCAGCAACCTCTGCTTCCTCCTCATATTATGCTCTCTACAAAGAAAGCAAAGTAATCCTTTCAAAATTTAAATCAGTTCATACCATTTGTCTCACTGAAACCTTCCAATAACTTTCTGATTCACTTAAGAGTAAGAGCCATGTCCTTACAAAATCCTTACTATCTGCCTTCCCTTACCTCTCTACCTACTACTGTACTCTCCTCTTCCCTCACTCCAGTCTAGCCACACAGGCCTCCTTGCTGTTCCTCACATACAACAGACTCTGCCACCAGATGACAGGGCTAACTCTTTCCAAGTCTTTGCTAAAATGTCATTTTCTCCAAAGACCTACTATGACTATCCTATTTAAAACTGAAACCAAACCTGTCCTCTTTCCCTGCTCTTTATTTTTCCATACCGACTATCAGCTTCTAACATATAAATATTTTATTATGTTTTAAATAAGTAAATAAATCCTAATTTATTATGTTTTAGCATCTATCTCCCCTGATTGGAGTAAGCTTCCCAATGGCAGGGACTGTTCTGTTTTGATCATTAGTGTATCTCAAGCTCCAAGAATAGTGCCAAGGGACATCATAAACAGTATCTGTTGCACATGAAAAGAGCTGTCTCCCCTTATCTTTGAATTCCTATAAAGTATTATTTATTCTACAAACGTGTATACAAATGTATTTCCAGCATGAACCAAGTGACTGCAACCAGAAAGACCGTGGGCTTAGCTAGACAAAAACAAGAAAGTGATGAGTAGCCAGGAAATAAGAGATTCTATAGACAAGTAAAGAAACTGCCTGCATTCTGTCATAGGACAGGACAATTTGCAAAAAATAAATGTACCAAAGTTTCATGGGCCAACTAATCCACACAGTCAACACTGAAGTCATGTTGGGTAATAAATGGTAAATATTTTTATATTAATAGAAGTACAAAGTCACAACTTAAAAAGCAATCTATTTACCGGCCCTAAGCCCTTCATGAAGGAATATTCTTAAAGCCAGGAGAAAGCCCTCTTAAATTTCCTAATTAAAAATGTGTTAAAGCAAGTTTACCTACATCTGATGCTATTTTCGCTAAATGCTGTATCAGCCCTTATCCACCCACACGTAAGCAAGAACTCTACCATATTATTAGCATTTAACTAAGATTCTGATTTGATTGGCAATACAAGCTTTATTAGTCGTTCTATGATCTCTTCTAAAATTGACTCATTGTTGACATTCTAAAGTTAAGGCTTCAAAACTACATTCCTGAAATTCAAGTTGGCTCAAACAATATCCAACCTCATTTTGCGCAGTCAAAGAAAACTGCTGTTCTTTACTATTGGCTAAAGACATCAAGCCACCACCCTCCTCCAATCTTCAGAGCAATTCATTTGATTCTCAAAATTAGACCTCTGCAAATTTTAAAATTATTTATCATTCAGCACACCATTTAGAGCTATCTCCCACTTACTAATTTAAAACAGTAAAGTAATGTCTCTGGGAGCAAAACAAACCAATTTTAACATTTAAAATATTATGAGTACAGTTTGTGCCAAAGGAGAATACAACCATTGTCTTAAAGTAGGAAGACACTTAAAAGTATATTCTTCAGTCAGGCTAAAACAAAGGTCCTCGCTTGCCTGATAAATCTGACATCTCATCATGAAATTGTGTTCTGGATAATTTGGTTGCAAGGAGATCCTCTGAGACTTCCTAACAATAAAGATTTAATGGTATCTTTTGTTTTAACCTCATAGTCTTGCTCTATGTGTATCTAACAGGAAATTACATTTATTATACTGCACATGGTATATGGTTTTAAGAACAGTCTCTCAGAAGTCATTATGCACAAAAATGAATGCTGTGAAACTCTCAATGACCTTACTGTCTTCATTCTATAACTTCACTGGTAAAACTAGCCTAACTCCACCTTTTTATTAGTAAATAAGATCCATAGTGTTGGCATTCTCCCTATAGATCTGTTTGAAGTAAGCACGGCTACTTATCACATTCATTTCCATAAAAGCAACAGAATTAAGATTTTCTTCATCTATAAAGGAAACTTCATGCAAGGCATGAATTTTACATGTTCATAACTACATCGCCAGGGCCTAGAATAGTGTCTGGTAAATTTCCGCACTCTATAAATGTTGAATAAATAAGCTTTTGTTAGAATTTTTAGCATTTGGTAAAGATCTCTACTAAAATTATAAATGCAACGTAATATTTGCATGCATTATAAATTTAATGATTGCAATAAAAAAACTGTATTACAATTTAAATGTCTTGAAAACAAAAATCTCAGAAATAATACAAATAAATGTAACAAAAATACTTGGAAAGAAGCACCCTGTCTAGGAATTAAGAAAATAAGGAATCAATGGCTAGTTTTCACAGTATCTGGTTTAAAAATTCCTTAATGTTAGCAAACTACAGCAAAGTTAAATAATATTTTAAATAATTTTCAGTAAAAACTTATGTTTGTTTTTAGCACTGTTCATTGCCTTAGTCTTTTCCTTAATAATAAAAACAGTTACAGAGATTCAATTGAACCCTTCTAGTTTTGAGATAGTTGAGGCTAAATAGAAAACAGAATTATCTCATTGAGTTAGCTATTACCACAAAGGACAACCTCAAAGTGGCTGTTTACTCTGCTTACAAGTTCAAAGACTGTCTAAATAGAAAAAGAAGATCGTAGCTCTTTTCATTTCATTCATAACTTATTTTTCAAACATAAAGCTAAGAAATTAATCTTTCATTCTATTAAAATAATCCACAAAACTCTAACAGGGTTTTCGTACTATTCATAATGAATTTAAGAGGCATGAATCAGCTGCCCAAATGTTTCAATAAGGCAGAAAGAATAATGTAGGGAAGAAATTACAACACAAATAACGTCAGTAATCTGAAGATGACATCCTTACCTTATCATATTGGCATACAACAACATTTTCTGTGTCAAAGAGTTCCTGTCCTTCCTCATCACTCACATCATCTTCACTATTGAGGGGCTCCTACAAATAAAAGGAGAGTTCTTATTACTATAAGAAGGCCTTAATATTCACTGAAAAAAAAAATATAATGACCTTGATGTTCTTTGAGAACCAAATGCCAAATGCATATATGTACGCCATGAATTTAATATTGTCAAATCAGCTGTTAACAGTTTGCCAATATTACTGAAATGTAAGAAATTAAATATAATTAAATTAGCTAAGCTATGTAATTTTTAAGTCTGAAAAGATGTTTATCTTTATTTTCTTCTTTCTTTTTTTGAGACACAGTCTCGCTCTGTAGCCAGGCTGGTGCAATCTCGGCTCACTGCAACCTCTGCCTCCCGGCTTCGAGCAATTCTCCTGCCTCAGCCTCCCCAGTAGCTGGCACTACTGGCACGCGCCACCACACCCAGCTAATTTTTGTGTTTTTAGTACAGACGGTGTTTCACAATGTTGGCCAAGATGGTCTTGATCTCTTGACCTCGTGATCCACCCCGCCTAGGCCTCCCAAAGTGCTGGGATTACAGGCGTGAGCCACCACACCCGGCCTATCTTTATTTTCTTTATTTTTTAAAAACAGTACAAGAAGATAATTCTCTACAATAACTGTTTAAGATGCCTAGAAAAGGACCTAATATGAAGGTTCAAAAGAGCTAATGGCACTATGTACTACAAATCATATAAAACAGAAAACAGTGGAGAAATTAGAGGAGAAAAGAAGAGCAATGCAATAGGCTAGCAGTCTGCCTTGCTGTCTTTACATTAAAGAACTTGGACTCTAAATACAAATCAGCATGTTTAGCATGATGATGGTTATGGTAGAGGTATGAAGCAGAATTAAGATTCAGACTTTTTTTTTTTCTTAAAGGCAGAAAGTAGGAAATCTCAGCATTAAAGAGAGTTAGGGGCCAAGATAAAACCTAACTAGAGCATAAAATAAACAACCATGTTAAATTTCGCTTCAATTGTGACAGAAGATAGAAGATGTAACTGAGATTTCTAATAAATGCAGAAAGAGAAGACAAAACCAAAGTAGAGAAGACAATAATCAAGACTATATTATGGACAGGCACAGTGGCTCATGCCTGTTAATTCTAGCACTTTGGGTGGCCTAGGCGGGACAATCACTTCAGGCCAGGAGTTTGAGACCAGCCAGGGAAATACAGTGAGATGCCACCTCTACAAAAAATAAAAAAAATTAGCGAGGTATGGTGGCATATGCCTATAGTCCCACCTACTCAGGAGGATGAGGGTGGGAGGATTACTTGAACCCAGGTGGTTGAAGCTATGAGCCTTGATCACACCATTGCACTCCAGCCTGGACAACAACCTGAGACTCTATATCAACAATAAGAACAAAAAAAAAAAATTATTATGTCTAGGCCTATACCTACTTACACAGGTGTGTATGTATAGATATTCTTTAATTTAAAATAGGTATCATCAATGTAAAATGAAAAAAATTTTCTACACCAGGCGTGGTGGCTCACACCTGTAATTCCAGCACTTTGGGAGGCTGAGGCAGGCAGATCACGAGGTCAGGAGATCGAGACCATCCTGGCTAACACGGTGAAACCCCGTCTCTACTAAAAATACAAAAAAATTAGCCGGGCATGGTGGCAGGTGCCTGTAGTCCCAGCTACTCGGGAGGCTGAGGCAGGAGAATGGCGGGAACCCAGAAGGCGGAGCCTGCAGTAAGCCAAGATTGCACCACTGCACTCCAGCCTGGGCAGCAGAGTGAAACTCCGTCTCAAAAAAAAAAAAAAAAATCTCTGAGGTAAAATTCAAGTTAACAACATTCACTATTTTAGCATTTGTACATGTACAATTCAGGTGCAATGAACATTTACAGTGTATATAACACTCACCACTACCTAGTTCCAGAACATTTCATCACTCTTACCTATTAAGCTGTCACTCCCCATTCTCCCTGTCCCCTGGCAATCTATAATCTGCTGTCTGTATGGATTTGCCTATTCTGGATATTTCATATAAATGGAATCATATAATATGTGGCGTTGTGTGGCTGATGTCTTTCACATAGCATGTTTTCAAGGTTCATCCATGTTGTAGCATATACGAATACTTCATTCTTCTTATGGCTAAATAATATTCCACTGTTATCAGCTGATGAACATTTGGGTTTATACCACTTGGATATCATAAATAGGGCTGCTATGAACAGTCACATACAAGTTTTTGTTGAAAAACATGTTTTCAGTTCTCTTGTGTATATATTTAAGAGTGGAACTGCTGGGTCATATGGATAATTCTATACTGAATTTTTGAGGACTATCAAACTGTTTCCCACAGCAGCTGTACCATTTTACATTTCCACCAACAATGCACAAGGGCTCCAATTTCTCCAAATCCTCACCAGCATTTATTTTCTCTTTCTTTTTTGAGTATAGCTATTCTAGAAGGTGTAAAGTGGTTATCTCAGTGTGGTTTTCATTTGCATTTCTCTAATGACTAATGATGCTGAGCATCTTTTCATATGCTTGTTAGCTATTTGTGTATCTTCTTTGGAGAAATGTCTATTCAAGTTCTTTGCCAGTTTTTAAATTGCATTATCTTTTTGTTGTTACGCTGTTTAAGAGTTCTTTATATATTCTGGATAGTAGATCCTTATCAAATACATGATTTGCAAATATTTTCTCCCAGCTACTCAGGAGGCTGAGGCAGAAAGATCACTCCAGCCCGGGAGGTCAAGATGCTGAGGCTGCAGTGAGCCACGATCATGCCACTGCACTCCAGTCTGGGCAACAGAGTGAGATTCTGTCTCAAACAAAAACAAAAACAAAAACCACCTTTTTAATCTACAAAGTCCACTTTTTCTTTGATTGCTTGTACTCTGGGTGTCATGTCTAAGAAAACTGTTGCAAGCGGCTGGGCACAATGGCTCACGCCTGTAATCCCAGTACTTTGCGAGGCCGAGGTGGGCAGATCACGAGGTCAGGAGATCGAGACTATCCTGGCTAACACAGTGAAACCCCGTCTCTACTAAAAAAAAAAATACAAAAAATTAGCCGGGCATGGTGGCGGGCACCTGTAGTCCCAGCTACTTGGGAGGCTGAGGCAGGAGAATGGTGTGAACCCGGGAGGCTGAGCTTGCAGTGAGCCGACATCGCGCCACTGCACTCCAGCCTGGGCGATAGCGTGAGACTCTGTCTCGAAAAAAAAAAAAAGAAACTGTTGCCAAAGCTATGGAGATTTACCCCTATGTTTTCTTCTAAGAGTTTTATAATTTCAGCTCTTAGATGTAGGTCCCTAATCCACTTTAATTTTTGTATGTGGTATGCCGTAGGGGTCCAACTTAACTCTTTTGCATGCGGATATCTAATTGTCCAAGCATAATTTGTTGAAGACTATTCTGTCCCTACTGAATAGTCTTGGTTGATGTTAAAGTTTTGCAACAAATAGCATAAATAGCAATATTCTATTTTAAAAAGATTAAGTTTACAGATCCAAAATGTTTGAAAAGTGAAAGAATGAAAAAAGCTGTACCAGGCAAATTCTAACCACAACAAAGCTGGTACAGCTCTAACAGTATCATACAAACAGACTTCATGGTTAAAAAAAATTTACTAGCAATAACTTAAGACATTGTATGATCATAAATGGTTCAACTCACTGAGAAAAAACAATGAATGTTAAACTTACATGCACCTGTTTTGAGGCTCAAAATACAAAAAGGAAAAATGGCAGAAAAACAAGAAGAAATATATCAACTACCATAGCAGGAAACATGAACATATCTCACTCAGTAGTAAAAAATGGATCAAGTGGCCAGGCGCGGTGGCTCATGCCTATAATCCCAGCACTTTGGGAGGCCAAGGTGGGCGGATCACGAGGTCAGGAGATCAAGACCATCCTGGCTAACACAGCGAAACCCCATCTCTACTAAAAATACAAAAAATTAGCCGGGCGAGGTGGCGGGCACCTCTAGTCCCAGCTACTCAGGAGGCTGAGGCAGGAGAATGGCGTAAACCCGGGGGATGGAGCATGCAGTGAGCAGAGATAGTGCCACTGCACTCCAGCTTGGGTGACAGAGCGAGACTCCATCTCAAAAAAAAAATGGATCAAGCACACAAAAAATATCAAGGATACATAAAGAGCATCTGAGCAAACCTACTGACAATATAAATCTAACAGACACATACAAATACCAAACAAGTGCAGAAAACACATTCTTTTCAAAGCATATACAAAAACTGACCAAATCAAGCAAGTCTCAAGCAATTTCAAAAGATTCACACATCACACAGATCATATTCTCTACAAACAAAACAGTTAAGTCAGAAAAGAATAGAATGGGAAAAACACACTAGAGAGAATAAAGCTAAAAGTTTACTCTTTGAAAACATTAATAAAATCAACACATCCCTGGTAAGACTGAACAGGGAAAAAAAAAGATGGCACAATAATTATATTAGGAATGAAGATGACAAAGGATTCTGGCATCAAAAAGACAATATCATGATTAACTTCATGTTAATCAACTTGAAAATTTAGATAAATATATAGAGAGTCCTAGAAAAATATAACTTATCAAAACGGTCTCAAACAGAAACAAAATACTTGAAGGGCATGAGATTACTAGACCCAGGTATCTGTAGTGTCATGTTTTAACAAATATCAACAGAAGAATTAAATACAATCTTTGAAAAAAAAAAAAGAGTTCAAAATACAGGAAACATGTCCCCAAATTCATTTAACAAAGCTACCATAACTGAAAACCTTGTAAGAAGAGTATGAGAACAGAAAATCACACAGTATCTATCAATCATAAATATCTACAAAAAAGTCCTCAACAAAATGAATTCAGCAATTTATAAAAAGAGAAATATAAAATGATCAAGTTGTGCTATCCCAGGAGTACAAGATTGGTTTACAAATAGAAAATCAATTAATGAAATCCATTATAAATAACATTACGTGAGAAATTATACAAATCATTGCAGAAAAGGTGTTTAATTAAATGCAACATTCACTTACAGTTTAAAAAACAAAGCAATGCAAAGAAGGGAATTTACTTAACCTGATGAAGATATCCATTAAAAAAAAAGAAAACCCACAACAAACATTAAACTTAACAGTGAAGCATGGAAAAGATTACTTTTCAGTTTAAGAAGAAGAGAAGAGTGCCTGCTATCACCACTTCTAATCAATACTGTTCCCGAAGGCTTAGCCAATGAGCCACAAAAAACTGCCGTTCTTCATATAAGATGTGAAAGTCTACACAGAAGATACAAAAGAATCTACAGATACATTATGAGGACTAACAAAAGACATTAGGACGGTGGCTGGTTCAAGGATGAATATTAAAAGCGCTACATATTTCCATCCTACCAATAAACTGGAAAAGGTAATAAAAACATGTTACTTCAAGAAGCACTGAAACTATGAAGAATTTAGGGGGAGGAAACGGGCAAGAGACCTCAATAAGCACTTCTATACAAAACACAAATATCAAATAAATATACAAAAAGAGGCTAAAACTCCTAAGTGAGGAAATGCAAACTAAAACCAAAATGAAATAATACTATTTTCTACCTACCAGACCAGCAAAAATCAGGAAGCCTGACACTATCAGGTATTGATAAGGGGGTATGGACATCTGCACAATTATGTATTGAATGGCAGAAGTGATTTGGCATTTTATTATAAAGTTGCAGATGTGCATGACTTAGGAGCCAGAAGTTCAATGTTCGGTATAAAATTTAGAGAACCTCTTGCATTTGTGTCCCCAGAAGACATACACTACAATATTTTATAACTGTTTGTAACAGTAAACAACAAGAAACAATCCTTATGTCCACTGGATTAGAAAAATTGACAAATAAAATTATGGTATATTCAGCAATGAAAATAATTATAGCTATATGCAACAACTTGGATAAACCTCAGGAATATCATTTTAAGGGGAAAAAACCAACTTGCAGAAGAATACGTAATTACTTCATTTACGTTGTAAACATGCAAAACTAAACAATATGCTATTTAGGAATATAAATATATATGGTAAAATATAAAAGCAATTAATAATCAACACAAATGTATGAGCAAAGGTACTTTGATGGCCTAGGAATGATGGGATTAGGGAGAGGCATCTAAGGCACTTTAAATAATGGAATTTTATTTTAACTAGATGGTGGGCACCAGGATGATTTTTATCTTGAAACATTTCTATTCATTTGTGTCTATTCAATATTCAATAATAAACTATGTTTTCTTCAGAAAAAAAATTACTTAGATAATTTAGAAGAACTTTGTACTAAGAAACAAAAAGACTGCATTTTAGGCTAACGAAGGCAATTAACAGTGAAAATTGTGGTGGGACAAATAGTTTTTGGAGCCTAGTAACTAAGCTGAAATAGTGAGGAAAACAAAGGCATATTTATATGCTTCTAGAAGAACACAGACATTAAGGGTACATAGGTTTTTAAGGAAGTGGTATAGAACATGGACCAAAAGGTTTTAAATATTTAATAAATTTGTGACATTTGGTTCTTGAGTTTGCTCTCTCCCCAAATGTTGCCACGCTTTTTAAATTACTGAAGCAAAAGATTAACCACATCTATTTATCTACCAATGTCTTATGTTTAAGCCACATTATAAATGCGTAAGCCAGAGTTAGAATTACCTGTACTCTTTACTACACATATTAATACAATTTAATTTGTTATACATTTTTTATTACCAGCTATATGAAAGTTATATTTTATGAAGATAAATATAGCCAGAATATAAAAACCTTACTAAAGTTAAAACAATCTAACTTTATCTTTAAAATCTTATGTTGTACAGCACCTAACAGTCTCTGAAAAAAACAGGATATAATTTATCAGTGTTGTACCAACTAAAAAAGGAAATAATCAAGTAGATTATTTTAAGTATGTTACTAGAAACTTACTTCTTCCACCTGCCCATCTTCAGCTCCATCTTTCTCTTTGTCTTCCTCCTCATCATCATCATAGTCTTCTTCTTCATCTTCATCTTCTTCAGATGATGTATCCCCAGTTCCATCAACTTGTAAGACCAATGGAGCTTGTGTTTGAGCAGGCTGGGCCTGCGGTTGCTGCTGGCCAGTTGCAGTTATCTGTGCTTGGGCTGGTGTAGGTGCTGCCACTGTCGTAGGTATAACTTGAGTCTTATTTCCTGTAAATAAGATTTGCTGAGGCTGGATGATGACACCTGTCTGTGGTGAAATCCCTCCAGGAAGAGGAGCCAGCACCTAAAGCAAAAGAAAACCACATAACAGTAACTAGTTAAGAGGATCAAGTATGGTACACAGAAATAGAAACAAATGCTTAAGATTCACCAGAATGGCCATATTTCATACACAGTTAAAAACTACCAAAGTACAAAAGCAATTAGTTTAACTAGTGTAGTGACCCATTAAATTTCTATTTTATCAAATTTCTAGAAAATAAGGATTTTCTAAAGATAACTGCTTCATTTATTGAGCACATACTATGTATATGCCAGCTACCAGGACAAAAGTTATACACTGCCTTCACATGAAGAACACTGGACTGAGAATCTGAAAACCTGGGTCTACCTTTTTTTTTTTTTTTTATAGATGGAGTCTCGTTCTGTCACCCAGGCTGGAGTGCAATGGTGTGATCTCGGCTCACTGCAACCCCTGCCTCCTGGGTTCAAGCAATTCTCCCACCTCAGCCTCCTGAGTAGCTGGGACTACAGGTGCGCGCCACCATGCCCGGCTAATTTTGTTATTTTTAGCAGAGACGGGGTTTTGCCATGTTGGTCAGGCTGGTCTCGAACTCACGACCTCATGATCCGCCCGCCTCCCAAAGTGCTGGGATTACAGGCGTGAGCCACAACGCCTGGCCAACCTGGGTCTACTTTTGTCTAAAGTCAGACATAAATACAGCAGACGCAAGTCATTTAACTCCTCTTGGCCTCTGTCGTTTCACTGTCAAACTAGGCTTAATGGTTCTCAATCCTGGCTGCAAATATGAACCACCTGGCAACTTAAAAAGTACTGATACCTTGGCCATACCCCTAATATTCTGACTCAGTGTGAGATAAAAGCTAATTATTTTTCTAAAAACCACCAGATCAGATTTCTGAAGTTCCTTTCCAGGTTCTGCATCTAGGATTCTAAAGTAAGCCACAACTTGAAAAAATATATACTAACAAATATTAACTATATGTATTATAATAAAGGAGGAGGACTAGATGCTTGTTACTTGCCATTAGGTTCAAGGAATGCAAAAATAAGACACAGTATTTCCTTTAAAATGCTTACACGTGGTGTAACAACACAAAAGACAAAAAAATGGTATAATAGACAAAGCACTAACAACTCAAAAACACAGCAGATGTAGTACAAATATGACACAGTGTTATGGGAACACAAGAGAGTGTACCAAATTCAACTTAGGGGACAAAGCATGATCAAATATTACTTATATTATTAGTAAGTAGTTTCTGTTTGTGCTTAAAGGCAGCGGTCCCCAACCCCTGTTAGAAACTGGGCTGCACAGCAGGAGGTGAGTGGTGGATGAGCCAGCATCACCACCTGAACTCTGCTTCCTGTCAGATCAGCAGCAGCATGAGATTCTCATAGGAGCAGGAACCCTACTGTGAACTGCACATGCAAGGATGGAGGTTGTGCACTCCTTATGCCTGATGACCTGAATTAAAAGTTTCACCCCGAAACCATCCCTGCTGCCCAGTACATGGAAAAATTGTCTTCTGCAAAAACCAGTCCCTGGTGTCAAAAAGCTAAGAGACTGCTGCTTTAAGGAGATTAGCCAGGTTTTTCTATTTGTTTGGGGGAAGTGCAGGGAGTTGCCAGACGGCATTCTTAAGAGAAGTGTAACATCAAGTGAAACCCAGAAGTGACAGCAGTACATAATTTTGGAAAGATGTAAATAAACTGGATTAATAGTACTGCTCTGATCTTGTCTCTATCATAATACTATTTTACTGACATTTAAAAAAGAGACAGACACATAAACATATAAAGTACATAAGTTCCTCAAGAAAATAACCATTCCTCTTTCATTTTAGTGCCACAGCACAAGAATATAACACAAGTAGATCCAAGTGTTTATTTTGATGTAAATGCAGCTAAAGAAAATAACTGGGAGCATGGCAAGAAATAAACCTGGAGAGTTCAAAGAAACAAGATCCACAAAAAGATTTTATAAACCATGTTGAGTTGTTTAGGCTCTTCTCAGTAGGCAATGAAAAGCTGTTAAAAGTTTTAGGATTTTTAGAAAGATAGGCCAGGCACAGTGGCTCACGCCCATAATCCCAGCACTTTGGGAGGCAAAAGCGGGCAGATCACCTGAAGTCAGGAGTTCAAGTCCAACCTAGACATGGTGAAACTCTGTCTCTATTAAAAATACAAAAATTAGCTGGGCACAGTGGTGCGTGCCACTAATCCCAGCTACTCAGGAGGCTGAGGCAGGAGAATCACTTGAACCCAGGAGGCGGGAGTTGCAGTGAGCTGAGATTGCGCCATTGCACTCCACCCTAGGTGACAGAGACTCTGTCTCAAAAAAAAAAAAAAAAAAAGATGACTATAAATCAGCCAGGTTAGGAGGGCAAAAGATGAGAGGCAGAGAAACCATTAAGAAGACAATGCAGCATTTTAGTGACAAATCATGGACAGTATGAACTAAGGAAATGAAAAAAGAGGCTGAGAAAAAAACAGTGTCAAACATATTAAGGGACTGCAACCATGGCAAAACTGCAGTTAAAGAAAAAAAAAAGGCCGGGCGCAGTGGCTCACACCTGTAATCCCAGCACTTTGGGAGGCCGAGGCGGGTGGATCACAAGGTAAGGAGATAGAAACCATCCTAGCTAACACGGTGAAACCCCATCTCTACTAAAAATACAAAAGTTAGCCAAGTGTGGTGGTGGGCGCCTGTAGTCCCAGCTACTTGGGAGGCTGAGGCAGGAGAATGGCATGAACCCAGCAAGCAGAGGTTGCAGTGAGCTGAGATCGCGCCACTGCACTCCAGCCTGGGTGAAAGAGCAAGACTCTGTCTCGAAAAAAAAAAAAAAAAGAAAAGAAAAACTATTAACAAGAATTGGTAGGGCTTGATACCTTGGGTATTAGAGGTAAGGAAAAGGGAGGATTCTACACACCCACTTCCAGTAAGCATCATAAAACTAGAGTCATGTCTGTGTCATTCACTCCTAAATCCCCTGACCCTTGTGAATACCCCGAGACTCAGTAACTGCTTATTGAATAAAGGCTGAATGACCAGCTTAGGAAGCTGGAAGGAGAGTGCTGCCACCTTCGAGGGGATGATGAAGGATGGGCAGAGACAACAGTAATTGTTTAATACATGTTTAATACATGCTGAATCTAAGTTAAGCTGTATACAGGAGAAATTTGAAACAACTGGGTCTGTAGCACTGAAAAAGAGTCTTTTGTGCATATAAGGAGAGGGAAACTACCCAGGGAATACATACAGAATAAAACAGAACCCCATACTGATCATAATAGAAGATTATTTTACCTGCTGTATAACAGGAGCTTGTACTCCACCAGGCTGCATTTGTGGTATAACCTGTTGTTGTAGAACCACTGACTGCTGAGGCTGAAAGATATATTGGGCACCATTGGCTGCTCTGACCACCTGAAGAAGCTGGCCTAAAGCAAAAAGCATGCATTCCGAGTTATCATTTTAGCAGTGACCATCTCAAAAGAAATGAATTCATATTTAATTTCATACCACCAAAGGCACAAGAAATTATCAAGAAAACTAACAATTTTATTAAAGGTTGTCATTCATACACAGTATGCATAATCCTCCCCTTCTCTGACTTCTCGCCATGTTCAAATACATTCCTTAAAATGTTTTATTTTTCATATTTACATCCTCATTCAGCTATTTCCAACAAGGTTTTAACAACAGATTATGAGACTTGACTAAAGCTTACATTATCTTTGCTAACCTTAGGAGTGAAGAAAGAGCAGTAAGATCAGACACTTCGGGAGCTGTTCATTTTTAAAGCTTTAAAGGAACAAAAGCTTAATAGCTCATTTAATATCTTGAACCAAACAAAGCACCAAAGAACTTTGCTTCAAAATTGGTAAAAGCAATAAAAGTTCACAGAACCAGTTATCATCATTGTCATACAATTCACACAGAATCAAATTCCCCCAATATGTTCCTTTAGACAACCCAGAATCTTGAATTGATTAAAAAGCAAATTACATCTTATTAAAATATGTAGCAAGACAAGCCCCTAATTTCACAAATTTACAAATTAACAAAAATAACATACACAGAATAGAAAATAAATAATAACTATATAATCAAGATTATAGGGAACACTTAAAATCCATGTAAATAAATTTTTCAAGCACCAATATGCCAAAACACATGAGCTAGACATTGGTCTTTTGTCAATGAAGAGATACTATGTATAATAATAGCATACAATAAATTTGCTCTTAATATGCTCTAGGAATTACTTTGATATCACAAGTTCAAAGAAGTTTAATACTCACTTGGCATGTTAAATGTGTTCAGTAAAAAACTAAGTAAGCATTTTTATATAATCATACTTCAATAATAGGGTTATCATGCACAGATCAAAGGTTCAAGTACAATTTTCATCTTCTTTACTGTATCCTCAACAACGATTACAGTTATATGTGTTACAGCCCTCAAATAAAGTTATTTTAATAACCTAAACCAAATGGTAAAAGAAATATTAGTATTTTCTGTCTTTCAAAGAAGACAAAACCTAAGGGCTAGATAGTACAATTTTCTGAATTACATTTTAAAATGGTTCCATCATTCCTAATTACCTGAATTTGTTAATATCTGCTGAACAGGAGTCACACCTGCAGGGAGTGCTAAGGTAGCAGCTGTAGCAGCAGCACTCTGAAAAAAACAAAGAAAAAATATCAAAACCACATACATGTATAATACTGTTTCTCTCTAGCATATTTTAATAGTGTATGAAACTTTTTGTTTAGAATATACCAAAATTTAAAAAATCTAGTAAGGCTAAATCCCATTTTATAAAATGGTACAAGACTGACCAACCTAGCCTCCAACCTACTAAATTATTTTAAGCAGTTAAATACAACAATATAATTGGGTTTTTTCCCCTAGAGAAGGTGCTCTAAGTAAATCTCACAGGTACTGCAGTTTTTTTTTCCTTCTTGTCCCATCAATCTTCTTTAAGGTACCAAGCCTTCCTATACTCAATCTAACCTACACATTTTTAGACAATACCCACATTAACAATGCTGTACAATATATGAAATGGCTATTTCATTATTGCTTCCTTTCCCACTGTTTCCTTATCCCCATTTCCTTGAGATAAAAGTATAATTATCTACTTTTTAGAATTCTTAACTTTTAAAATTTCTACTAAAATCAACAGATATCTATAAAGAACACTGTATCAGAAGACTTCACTGGGAGTACAGCTGACAATTCTTCTAAGATGTCATATTAGCAAAGAAAAAAGGGACATACTGGCATTATATTCTAGGTGAAACATGCATTAATAACAGATTAATACAAAAAATCTGTAAATCTTAAGAAAAGTCACACCAGGCAGACTGGCTCACGCCTGTAATCCCAGCACTTTAGGAGGCCCACGTGGGCAGATCGCTTGAGCTCAGGAGTTTGAGACCAGCCTGGGCAATATGGTGAAATCCCATTTCTACAAAAAATACAAAAATTAGCTGAGCAGGGTGGTGCACACCTGTAGTCCCAGCTACTTGGGAGGGTGAGGTGGGAGGATGGCTTGAACCTGAAGGTGGAGGTTGCAGTGAGCCGAGATTGTGCCACTGCACTCCAGCCTGGGCAATAGTCACAAACTTTAGTTTCAACATTTTGAAATCAAGTTAGTATGTGACACTTAAGTTATAAAGATATAGACGGGATTATATTATGAATTTCTTTAAATCCAGGACAAATTCTTGACTTCCTGGAGAGTTCTGGAGAGTTTTCTCCTCCTGTCCTCCCGCAAAGAATTATGCCATTCTCTGGTTTTTTATTCTGCACTTTAAGTATTTTCCTGTATCCCGCTATAGCTACACATTTTGGTAGTTTTTTCCCTCTCTTTTCAATCTTCTTTAGCTACCAACCATTCATACATTCAATCTAACCTATACAGTTTTAGAACTACCCATATCTGAAAAAGCTTAAAAAAATAAATATAACTGCTTTGGAAATGCTAGTGTCAGAGAAGTCAACAAACTTAGAAAATTATTAAACTGAGTTAATAGTTCAACTACTGTCTAGTCTGGGCTCTAGGTACATAGCTTTCCAAGAAAATACACTTGTTGCCACTTGACAAACCTAAGTAATTTCTACATCTTGGGCCTGAAATTCCCACTGTGTCTCCAGAATTTAACTATAGCCCACCCGGGTGATTCGTATTTAAGTTGGATACTCAATTACCCAATTTAAAATAAAACTTGGCTATATAAGCAAATTAAAGGTTATCTAAGTTTAAGGAAAATATTAACCACCACATACTATTAAGAAATATTTAAAAAGAAAAAAACAAAAATATTTAGAAATATTAAGTGCCTATAATTCATATTTTGAAAGACAGCAATTCTCCCTCTACCAGCAAACTGACATAGTAGTTTCCATATAGAATACACGACCCAATAACTACCTGCACACCCTCCACAAATTCAAGCTGCATAACATATATTTGCTGAGTCATGTACCATACACTAACCACCTTATACTTAATAACTATTAAAATTTCTTCTTGTATTCCACAAAACAGCCCAAACACAAATAATGCATTAGACCAATCATTTCATAAAAAAGAACCGAAAACAATGGTTTTCTAGAAGTTCCCTGAAATAGCCTTCTACTATATTATCTCACGTTTTTATGATTAGTTCATTTCTAATGCAAACAGAGCCATTAGAAAGAACAAATATATTTTTGCTATTTCTAAATCAGAATAATGCAAACCCACAAAAACCTAAAACACTTTTATTGGTACAGAGCCTATACTGATTATGTTCAGAAATACATGAAGGAAACACTGACTAAAAACAACAAAGTAAAATGTAAAATATACAGAAATGTTAAATCAATTTTCCTGAGTAACTGACCTATGATTTGTTTAAATACATATGCTCTTTAGAATAAAGGAGACTTAACCAGTAAGTAAGAGATGGACCACTAATTTTTATCCCAGAAATAACTTACTAATTCAAAATTCTCTTCCACAACATTTAAAATTCTTTTAGAGGGGCCTACCACAAGAGACTCTGCCAAAATTTGTTTTAAAATAATGTGAGTTATTCCCTAGGATATAGTCTTAATAACATCAACTACAATAAGCAACATATAGTGAGACTTTTTTTTTTTTAAGGGTGGAGGTTAAAAAAAATTGGGGCCTTAGACTTAAAATGGAGTTTTTTCCAATAAAAAATCTTGTGAGAAATAACAGGCATGAAATTTTTTATTTTCATGTAAACGAAAAGATTCTAGAAACTGCAACTACAAGTACAAACAGAGATCCTCGATATTTGTGAATTTAAAAACTGCAATTTCTACTATCATGTAGAAACTTTCAATTCTGCCACAGTATGAATTTGTGAGGCTGGTAATGTGTAGGAGGAAGTCATCTGTCTAGTGGGTAAGCCCTTCTTATCTGGCTTATAAACCACAAATGAACTTTGTGATTCAGTATCACTCACAAAGTAGAACTCATCTTTTCATACACTGCTTTTTGGTTTAAAAAAAAACTTGAGGCTGGGCGTGGTGGCTCACACCTGTAATCCTAACACTTCAGGAGGCCGAGGTGGGCAGATCGCTTGAGGTGAGGAGTTGGGCGACCAGCCTGGCCAACATGGTGAAACCCTGTCTCTACTAAAAGTACAAAAAAATTAGCCAGGTGTGGTGACATACACCTGTACTCCCAGCTACTCAGGAGGCTGAGGTGGGAGGATCACTTGAACCTAGGAGGCGGAGGTTGCAGTTAGCCAAGATCACACCACTGCACTCCAGCCTGGGTGACAGGGTAAGACTCCATCTTCAAAAAAAAAAAAAAACTTGAACGGAGGGAAAAAAAAATCTCATTTCTAGTACTAACTAGTTACATAGGTTAAAAGATCTTTTTACAAATATTGATTCTTTCACCTTTAAATAAAAGTTTTGGCTGAAGAATGAAATGTAAGAGCTGAGTCACCACTCAATGAAATCAACAGTCTGTATATTTTAAACAGAATAAAGAAAAACCATTTATAAGGAAGTATTGAACTACTCTAATCTGACTATATTTTAATGTTTTATCCAAAAAAAAAAAAAAAACAAAAAACAACTTCAAGGATATAGGTAAAGATTTTCTAAGGATCTGAAGAGGTTCTTTCAAGTTTACAGTTAACCTATACTACATTTGTTGAGAAATATTATATGTCTGAAATGTAATTTGAAAATATGAGTGAGGACTTGTAAAGTTTAGTGGATAGTCCTCAGAAATATAAAAATTCTAATATAACTCAGCTGGTTAAAATGTATTCTGTGGTAATTTACACACTATAATGACTTATTAGACTATACTATGGTTAAGTCAGAGTAATATTTTTAAATGCTTGATTTTAAAAATAGTTATACTGAACTATCCAGTCTATCTTCATTTTTTAAAAGTTCACAATTCTTAGCCTTCCCACCCTCTTGCAATTACTAGGTCTCCTGAAACAGAACCATACTTGGCATTATAAGCTTGGTAGGTACCCTAAAACTTTTTCGGAAATAGTAGGGAATGGAATAACTCTCACAAAGCACCATTCTTTTGGTATTCTTAAACAATTCCGTAATTTTATGAACCTTAATGTCTAGGTACCAAGCTAAACTTCAGATCCAATATTCAGGAAACTAAAACAGCTGTTTTGCTTGAGTCTTCAATAAACTTCAAGTAGTTAATATAGGACATATATAGGCATAATTACAATGTGGGTTAGAATTAAGTACAGCCAATCAAACTGCTACATTCTGAGTCTTACCATGTTTGATGCATTCATATGCTGTATCAACTTAGAATCTGGAACAATAACTTGTGGTGCTGTGGCTACAAAAAAACAAGCGAACATGCAAACAAGGAACCATGAGGCTATTTTATAATCACAAGAACACTTTACATACAATGATGAAAACTTTTTTCATGTTTTTCATGTTTTCTGCACTCAAATGCTTTCAATCATTTCATCTCAGGACATTATAAATGTATATGGCAAATAACAGCTGTGATATACCCACCCTATACTAGAAAACATTAAAAAATATTTAAGCCCAGGCGTGGTGGCTCACACCTGTAATTACAGCACTTTGGGAGGCCAAGGCGGGTGGATCACTTGAGGTCAGGAGTTCAAGACCAGACTGGCCAATATGGTGAAACCCCATCTCTACTAAAAATACAAAAAAATTAGTTGGGTGTCAGGCTGAGGCATGAGAATCACTTGAACTCCGGAACTGGAGGTTGCAGTAAGCTGAGATCACGCCACTGCACTCTAACATGGGTGACAAGGTTCCATATCAAAAAAAAAAAATTAAGTGGCAATTCCTAAGGATGCAAGGGAATTTAGGAACATGAAGTAGTGAGTTACCTTAACATCTAAACATAAATAGTTCTATGCATTCTTAAGTAAACTGGACATTTTCAAACATAATTTTGTCTTAACTCAAGGTTAACTGTTTTACTGATACAATGATACCACTGTTACAATGAGTTACTAATCCAATAAAAGTAAGCTCAAAAAGTTGTGACTAGTTTTTGAAATCTACATAGTCCTTTTCTTCCAAATATGACAGCTGACAGACTCATGCCACTTTCATCAGCTGTTTAAAAAATACAAATCAGCCGGGTGCAGGGATGCATGCCTGTAGTCCCAGCAACTCAGGAGGCTAAGGTGGGAGGATCACTTGAGCCCAGGAGTTCTGGGCTGTATGTGCTATGCTGATCAGGTGTCCAAATAAGTTCGGCATCAATATGGTGGCCTCCTGAAAGCAGGGGACCACCAGGTTGCCTGAAGAGTGGTAAACCGGCAAAAGTCGGAAAAAATACAAATCAGAAATAATGGCAATGTTACTTAAGCGTAAAAGGAATTACATGTTTGATTCCGCAAATTTCAGAGAACAGATAACTCCATTATCCTAATATTCTCTGAGTGAAGAAAATCAAATTTTAATTTATGATGACCTAAAATCCTAATGCCAGGTCTGAAGGCAACAGGAAGAACAGTCATCAAAAAAGAATAAAAGGATAAAATTATTTGATACAAAGTACACATTAAAATTAGGTATGAAAAGTACCACTAGATATCAACAGTAAAATAACCCAAATACTCTTCTACTGTGTGTCATTACCAATTTTAAGACACATATATATACTGTCAAATGAGGCAAATGAGTAACTAAATGATATTAAAATGAACTTTTCATTTACTTCTAGTGTCCTCTCCCATAAAAGCAGATGCACTGAATTAGAATGCTCAGGAAGTTTTATAACTGAATAGATGTTTGTCATGAGAGAAAATACAGATCAAGTTTCTTAGCCTTTTCTGGGCTCAGATTTTCCTCAGCTGTAAAACTGAGCCAAGGGCTATTTTACAAAGCCCTTATAAGATGCCAGTGAAACAGTATCTATAAAATGACTTGCAGAGTACAAGGCACTATGGACACAGTCTATGAATATTTGCTTTTTCTTAGCTTTAATCCAAGTAATATAAATTAAGATATGTTATATATCCACTCTTAACTTAAAATAAATCTAATTCAGTCCATTTAGGCTTACATAAATTCCTATGGAGCTGAATTTTCAGATTGCCAAAGTATACAAAAAACTCCAGAATGTAAGATATATTTTAAAAACTAATCTGAAACATGTCTTTGAAAGAACATGTTTTATAGAGAAAGCAAATAACTATTGTACCATATAAAATAATAAATCCCTTAGTAAATAAACCTTTTAGATTTAACTTAGGAAATCCATCACTATATAGCCTTTTCAAAACAAAATATTAATATAACTTCTCTGAATATCTTAGGCTTTCAATTAGTAAATTACTTGTCTACCATTACTCTACAGATACAACCTACATTGTATACAAATTTATATACATTTACATACACATCCCTCAGCCAAGAGAAAGGGGGGAAAAAGCCCGAAATCAACAGAGGGGTTTTTGTTTATTTTTAGGTTCTCCATGTGCCCCTTAAAAGACAAGATCCAAAAAATGCAGAATATTTCTCTTCTTTCATAATGACAAACTTAATTTCCAAGTCATAAGTAGGAAAACAAGTCCAGTCTCACCTTGCTGTGATGCAGGAATAAGAACCTGCTGGGTCTGCGCTTGCTGAGGTACTGTCTGCTGAGGCTGAGCTTGCTGATGATGGTGATGGTGGTGATGCTGCTGCTGCTGGGGTTGATGCTGCTGTTGAACTTGCAGTAGAAGCTGCTGCTCTTCTGAATGAAATCCATCTACTGCCCTGGACTGCATTAGTTTGTTTTCCCATAACTAAGGCAAAGAACATTAAAGATTTCTAAGTGAAAAATAACTCTGGACAGATGAATACAACAGTTTTATTAATCTCTTTATAAAGTTATTCCATTTTAAAAACTGATACAGACACAGAAATACAACAAATCTGTAATTCTAACCCAAGTGAAACAATAACAAAAACAAAATTTTAAAGTATCAAACCTCATTTTTGCCACATCAGAGTACTGAAGATTTTGTTTCTTTTTTTTATCTTCCAATGAACTTTCTATAGTAATTCCTTAATCAGCAGTTATTATTAAGCGATGAGTTTCATACAAGCAACTTCTTTAGTAATCAAAGATTATCCTTTATAATAGCAAAACCATTACTAAACTATTTTTATATGGAACTTTTTCCTTATAAAAATAGAAAATACAAAATTTTCTGCAACATATAAAACATAAATTCTTAAATAACATACAAAACATAAATTCATTTACAACAGTGAGATACATAGATGCAATCCCCCAAAGAAGAAAAGCCTAACTTTCCATCTGTCCAATCCTACATAAAGAAAAAGAACCGGCAACGCCCGAAGGTCTTAGTAGTTATCCCAACTCTCCACACTTCTTGAAATGTCCTTCCTTCTTCCATTACGCCAATTGACAATCCTTTTCTGTTTAGCCATTTCTATTTTCTCATTTCACCTTAGGTTCTATGATGGGAAAAATCATAATGGACAAAAAGAAAGAAAAGAAAAGAAAACATGTGCAACGATTTCATTCTTCTACCTAACACATTTCCTCTCTACCAGGTTTAGTGTTCAATCTAGAGCCTTTACCTTTTAAGAAACTGGCCAAAAAGTCACAAACTATTCCCTGAAAATACAGATAAAACTTCATTTGGTCATTCTGTACACAAGGATCTACACATACTTTGTCTTCTCCTCCAGGATTTGCTCTTGGCATATTGCCTAATTGACCTGAAGCTTCTATCAGATCCTTCAAGAACTTCCCTTTGCCATACTCACAGAGAGTTTCTTTATTTTTTTATTTTTTTTTTTAATTTAAGAAATAGTGACAAGATCTCACTATGTTGCCCAGGCTGGTCTCGAACTCCTGGGCTCAAGCAATCTGCTCGCCTTGGCCTCCCAAAGAGCTGAGATTATAGGCGTGAGCCACCATGCCTGGTCATACTCACAGAGATTTTTTATAATCTTCTGACCCTTCCAATCATTCCAGACATTCTAGATTTGTTGTCATGATGCTAGTAACAGTTCCACTAAATCTCTAATGGCTTACTGAGAAAGCAAATGTTAAGGTCAATTTCCTAGGGAATCTTACTGGCAGGCCCAGTATTTAGACTTACCTGAAGTCTATTCTTAGAGAGATGGTAACAAGATCTATCTCACTGGTTGTTGAGAGGATTAAATGACATATCTATGTAAAACAATTATCAGTGTTACATAAAGTTGGTGATCAAAATATATTATTATTGGTGGCAGTGGTGGTGGCATTAACTGTTTAACAGAGCCTTACACCAGAAGTCAGGAACCCAGTTAGTCCTGGTTTGGCCATTTATGTAACCTGATCATTTATCTTTCTTAGGCATCTTCTTCACCCAAAAGGGGAACCAACTGAATAAGATTACTTCTAAACTCACTTCCAGTGAATAAATTTAAGTCTCTGCTAATCCCAGGCGAAAGACAGCGCTTCTTCCCGTAGTAACAAGCACTACTTTCTGAGATCCCATGTTGTGTCTGATTCATCTCTGTAAAGTAGGCATCTAGAATAGCGCACCATCAAAATAGACACTCACATGCTAAATAAAACACATTATGACTAATGTATTATATATAGTAAGGCTTCCAAACACTCTGTTATCACCCAAACCTTCTACATCTTCTCCTCTCTTCCAAAACAAAACAAAGCCTGTTTCTTGTGAGCCAAAAATCAAGGTGAAAAAAAGTCTTATTAATGTTTTGTTTAAAAAGTTTTTGAAATCATAATTTTCTAAATTTTATGCTTCACTTTTACCACCTCCAACTGGTTTACCCACAGCAATCTCGACCCATCACTTCTACGAAGCTCCTATGATAATGGTAAACATTAATGAATACACATCATGTGTGGCTAAGTACTGGGCACCATGACTCACCTAGACTCCCATGTAAACGACCTAGGAGTCAGAATCTACCCCAACAGCCCACCATTATTGTCTATTCTGATTCAGTGTTCCAATGCATCTCTATGACATGGCCCTGGTCCTTTCTGCCCAGCAGTACTGCAAACAGTAGTAATGTAGTGACTCAACTCTTGAGTTTCCTGCATCAAGTCATACAGTCCACAAATAATTATGTCCTATATGCCAAACACTGTTACAGGCATTGAGAAGATACAGTGAACAAACCTGAGAAAAATGCTCGACCTTACAGAGCAGACATTCCAGCGGACACTTGCCCTTCCAATCTATCCTCTATAAATCAGTGATCCTCAAAATGCGGTTCTAGACCCAACATCAGCATCACCTGGGTACTTGTTAAAAATACTGAATCAGCAGCTCTGGGGGTTATTCAGGTTATTCTGATGTATGCTAAAGTGAGAACCGCTTTAAAATCTAGACCGATGTTTTTCAAACTGAGGACTGCAACCCACTAGTGATTCATAGTCAATTTAGAATTTTCTTTGTAGCCCTCTCTCCTTCTCTCCCTTTCCTTTCTTTCTCTCTCCTTCCCTCCCCTTCTCCGTCCCTCTCTTTCCCCTTCTCCCTCCCTCTCTCCACTAAGAATGTTTTTTGTAAACAAAATAGAACTGAGAAAAAATCAGACTGTACTACACTGAGAAAAAACTTTTGCAGATTTTTGTTATACACACATACACTGGCGCATGTATTTATTCAAAATGTTAAATACTATTAATTCTTAAGGAGGGTCCTAGTCAAGAAGTTTGAGAAACACTGTTCTACACTGTTATCAAGGCGAATTTTTTTAAATTTATAAATATGATATCCTCTGCTTAAAAACTGGAACCACAGCAAAGTAATTAATATATCTATCTATCTACCTACCTACGTACCTACCTACCTACCTACCTACCTACCTACCTACCTACCTACCTACCTACCTGATATGGTTTGGCTGTATTCCCAACAAAATCTCAACTTGAGTTGTATCTCCCAGAATTCCCATGTGCTGTGGAAGGGACATGTAATTGAACCATGGGGGCCGGTCTTTCCCACGCTATTCTCAGGAGATCTGATGGGTTTATCAGGTGTTTTCGCTTTTGCTTGTTCCTCATTTTCTCTTGCTGCCAACACGTAAGAAGAGCCTTTCACCTACCGCCATGATTTTGAGGCCTCCCCAGCCATGTGGAACTGTAAGTCCAATTAAACCTCTTTTTGTTCCCAGTTTTGGGTATGTCTTCATCAGCAGCGTGAAAACAAACTAATATAGTAAACTGGTACCAGTAGAGTCAGGGCATTGCTGAAAAAATACCTGAAAATATGGAAGCGACTGTGGAACTGTGTAACAGGCAGAGGCTGGAACGGTTTGGGGAGCTCAGAAGAAAACAGGAAAATGTGGGAAAGTTTGGAACTTCCTAGAGACTTGTTGAATGGCTTTGACGAAAATGCTGATAGTGATATGAACAATAAGGTCCAGGCTGAGGTGGTCTCAGATGGCGATGAGGAACTTGTTAGGAACTGAAGCAAAGGTGACCCTTGTTATGTGTTAGCAAAGAGACTGGCGGCATTTTGCCGCTGCCCGAGAGATTTGTGGAACTTTGAACTTGAGAGATGATTTAGGTTAACTGGCAGAAGAAATTTCTAAGCAGAAAAGCATTCAAAAGGTGACTTGGGTGCTGTTAGAAGCATTCCGTTTTAAAAGGGAAACAAAGCATAGAAGTTCAGAAAATTTGCAGCCTGACAATGCTGTGGAAAAGAAAAAGCCATTTTTTGAGGAGAAATTCAAGCTGGCTGGAGAAATTTGCATAAGTAGCAAGAAGCCTAATGTTAATCTCCAAGACCATGGGGAAAATGTCTCCAGGCCATATCAGAGACCTTCACTGCAGCCCCTCCCATCAGAAGCCCAGAGACCCAGGAGGAAAAAGTGGTTTCAGGGGCCAGGCCCAGGGTCCCCATGCTGTGTGCAGCCTAGGGATTTGGTGCCCTGTGTCCCAGCCACTCCAGCTGAAAGGGGCCAACATAGAGCTCAGACTGTGGCTTCAGAAGGTGGAAGCCCCAAACCTTGGCAGCGTTCCTGTGGTGTTGAGCCTGCAGGTGCACAGAAGTCAAGAATTGAGGTTTGGGAACTTCTACCTAGATTTCAGAAGATGTATGGAAACGCCTGGATGCCCAAGCAAAAGTCTGCTACTGCAGAGGCAGAGCCCTCATGGAGAACCTCTGCTAGGGCAGTGCAGAAGAGAAATGTGGGGTCGGAGCCCTTACACAGAGTCCCTACTGGGGCAGTGCCCAGTGGAGCTGTGAGAAGAGGGCCACAGTCCTCTAGATCTCAGAATGGCAGACCCACCAACAGCTTGCACCGTGCTCCTGGAAAAGCCGCACTCAATGCCAGTGAGTGCAGCTGGAAGCAACCCACGAAAGCAGCTGGAAGCAAGACTGTACCCTGCAAAGCCACGGGGCAGAGTTGCCCAAGACCGTGGGAACCCACCTCTTGCATCAGCATGAACTAGATGTGAGACCTGGAGTCAAAGGAGATCACTTTGGAGTTTTAACGTAAGACTGCCCCACTGGATTTCGGACTTATATGGGCCCTGTAACCCCTTTGTTTTGGCCAATTTCTCCCATTTGGAACAGCTTTATTTACCCAATAACTGTACCCCCATTGTATCTAGGAAGTAACTAGCTTGCTTTTGATTTTACAGGCTCATAGGCAGAAGGGACTTGCCTTGTCTCAGATGAGACTCTGGACTGTGGACATTTGTGTTAATGCTGAGATGAGTTAAGACTTTGGGGGACTGCTGGGAAGGTACGATTGGTTTTGAAATATGACGACATGAGATTTGGAGGGCCAGAGACAGAATGATATTGTTTGGCTGTGTCCCCACCAAAATCTCAACTTGAATTGTATCTCCCAGAATTCCCACATGTTGTGGGAGGGACACAGCAGGAGGTAACTGAATCATAGGGCCCAGTCTTTCCCATACTATTCTTGTGATAGTGAATAAGTCTCACGAGATCTGATGGGTTTATCAGGGGTTTCCGCTTTTGCTTCTTCCTCATTTTCTCTTGCCACTGCCAAGTAAGAAGAGCCTTTCACTTCCCACTATGATTCTGAGGCCTCCCCAGCCATGTGGAACTGTAAGTCCAATTAAACCTTTTTTTGTTTCCAGTTTCGGGTTACGTCTTTATCAGCAGTATGTATACGTCTTTATTAGCAGTGTGAAAATGAACTAATACACCATCTAACAACCTGGAATACTTATTTGCAAAAGATTCCTAGGTCTCATTTTACTACCCTATCGAGCCAGACTCTCTGGAAAATCCAAAAATCTGCATTTTAACTAGTACCCCAGATAATCCTCACACTAAAGACCAAGCTCCTTAGTATAGCATGTTACCATACACCAACTGCTACTATAACTTGTACTCTATTTTCTCACAGTACCAAATTACTTGGAGGTCCCTGAATATAGCATACGTAACCTTAATAGACTATTCCTTACGATCAGCAGTTTTCTCCCACAATTCCCTATACAAGACAAATGTCAAAGTCTCAACAGCCTCAAAGAAAAGCCATCACTCACTGCCTCCATGCATAAAAGACATTTCTATTTTGTACTTACCACACAAAGTCTACCATTTCTACCAAAGTATGAACATCTTCTGGGCAGCAACTGTCTTATTCAGGATCTAATTTCAAAGAAGGGAAAACAAAACTATTGTCTTCTAGAATACTGTTCCTATATAAGGATGCTACTGACATTTTCGGCAGGACAATTCTTTATCATACAGAATGGTCCCACAAGAAATATGCAGGAATTGCAACATTCCTGGCTCCTGCCTAATAAATGCGAAAAATCCTCATGAAATGTTGAACATGGCCCCACACATTTCCAACAGCTTTGGGAGAGGCGGGTAATCTATTGAAAATCATTATTTACCAAGTACTATAATACTGGTTCTAGGTAATGTAAGACATACAAAAAGAGTATCATACAAATACTTTGTATTAAGCTTATAATGCCAATTACCAAAAAGTTCAAATTAATTGAATGTTTACAGTTTCTCCACAATTCCATTTTCACACAATCTTAATTTTATTTATCAAAATATTAGACATCAACTGTTTAAACAATGAGGCCGGGCACGGTGGCTCATGCCTGTAAACCCAGCACTTTGGGAGGCTGAGGTGGGCAGATCACGAGGGCAGGAGTTCAACACCAGCCTGACCAACATGATGAAAATAAAATAAATAAAATAAACAATGAAACACTATTTTGGCAATAGTAATCATACTAACATACGTTTTTGTTTTTGTTTTTTTTGGATATGGAGTGTCACTTTGTTGTCCGGGCTGGAGTGCAATGGTGCGATCTCGGCTCACTGCAACCTCCACCTCCTGGGTTCAAGCAATTCTCCTGCCTCAGCCTCCCCAGTAGCTGGGATTATAAGCATGCACCACCATGCCCAGCTAATTTTTGTATTTTTAGTAGATACGGGGTTTCACCGTGTTGGCCAGGCTGTTCTCAAACTCCTGATCCCAAGTGATTCGCCCACCTCGGCCTCCCAAAGTGCTGGAATTACAGGCATGAGACACCGCACCCAAGACACCGCACCCAGCCACTAACATAGTATTGAAAACAATCAGGAATACTAATCTTTGCCAGGTATCTGAAATTACATGGAGAAAATTCATCTTCTGTTCCCAAAATGATTCAGGTATACATTTGTATATTGTGTTGACTAATAACTAAAACTTACTAAATTCTGTGTACTTTATAAATACATGTACAAACTAGTTTTTTCACAAAAATCCTATAAGATAGACATTATTATCTCCCTTTTACAGAAAAAGAATCTGACAAGAAAGAAGTTAGGTAGCTTATTCAAGATCACTCTAATGGCAGACAGAATAGGGATATAACCCAGGTGGTCTGACTTCAATGTCCCAGTCAGGGCTAGAGAGTGAATGTCTCTGCATTCTGTACCCCAGGACCCTCACTTGCCTCCCTTTAATCCCAGTACTAGTCCAAATTCCTAGTCTCTAAACTAGACTGCTGCTATCAGAGCAGGTCACCGACCATCAAAACCATCTCAGGTGCCATTCACCAACAACCCAAGATCTAGTCAAAACTCTGTTACCTTCCTGCTTACTGCTAAGTACTGTATATGTCACATAGAGGCAAAAGGGCTAGGTTCATGGCTCTACCATTTATTAGCTAAACGACCTTGTCAAAGCACATTCCAAGTCTACTTTCTCACCTATAAAATGTGATGAGACCTACTGCTCCCCAAGTTAATCCCCTTATCACTCCCCTACTGTTAATCCCCAAGACCATGGAGAAAATGTCTCCAGGCCACATCAGAGACCTTCACTGCAGCCCGTCACATCACAAGCCCAGAGGTTAGGTGGCTAAACCTGGCAACATGGTGGGCTAGAAATTCTGAAGGATTCTCCTACTTTCACAAAACATCTAGCTCCTGGATAAAATATATTACACTTCTAGGTTCCCAAGAAATAATGCTGTAGAAACAGAGCTTTCCCTAAGAATAAATGAAATGAAATAGTAGATTATTATTCAACTTATGGTCCAAATATTTACACATAATTAGAGTGTATCAAGTACTTTATATATATATATATATATATATATATATATATAACTAGAGTATATTTAGAATAGTGGTTCTCAGCCAGAGGTGATTTTGGCCCCCGGCGACATCTGGCAATGTCTAGAGACATTTTTGGTTACAACTGAAGAGTGCTACTGGCATCTAGTGGGCAGAGGCCAGTTGTGCTGCTAACATTCTACAATCAATAGGACAGCCCCTGCAACAAAGAATTAACCAGTGCAAAATGTCAATAATGCCAGTGTTGAGAAATCTGAACCAGAGGCAGATAAACTGAATTTCAGATATACTTCCAATTGAGGCAACTCTTCTCATTTGTTTTATTAAAAAGAGAGAAAATGTTTTATATCTCCCACAGTACTTGACATTTGGACATAGGTAGGTTGGAAAATCTAGAAATCAGGTTGATTTTATCATTCACTTTGAAGAGAATTTCTACAGTGTCATTCCCACCCACAGACACTCACCAATCCAAAACACATTTACATTCGAATATAGATTTACTGAAAACCAGGGCTGTATTTTATTGTGTTTTTTCTACCTCTCACAGTTTACACATTAAAGTAGGCCTGCAGTGTTTCAAAAGATAACCTCAAAGATTGGGTTGAAATATTCTTATCATCTCCCTTTCTGCTTACCTCATTAACCCTCAAATTACATGCATTCTCATCATTCATCTTTGTTCTCAATCTAATTCACCACTGCCTCCTTTACAGCCTTATACAAGCTTTTGATAAGTTTGTAAAATGGCCCCAGAAAGTAGGGAGAGGGGCTAGAGCTAATGACAGGCTTTCTAAACCATAAAATATGAAATTAAAGTTCGTTTTATTAAGCAAGAATGTCTAAACCTGAGCAGTCCAATATGGCAGCAACTAGCCATATGTAGTGATTTAAGTTTAGATTAATAAAAATTCAGTTCCTCAGTTCCACCAACCACATTTTGAGTGCTTAATAAGCACATGTGGCTAGTGGCTACCATACTGAAGAGCACAGGTACAGAACACTTTCATCACTGCAGAAAGTTCTATTGGACAATGCTGGCTGTCCAGCTGTTAAATCTAGGGCATATTCTAGAAATTCTAATGAGATCCTGAAGAAATTCAGTGCAGAGAATTAAAATAACAAACTCATTTTAGTCTAACCGTTTTATTTTTAACTCCAATACAACCCAGATAGAAGAGTATGGCCCATTTAAAAACAACAAGAATATTACACTATTTTGTTCAGTTAGATTCAGGTGCCGTATCTATTATCAAACACTTCAATCAAATACTTACTGAATGCCAACCACATATGCCCAGACATCGTGGTAGAAGCTGGGGATTCAAAATTGAGTAGGTCACATTTTTTGTCATTTAAAAACTAACCATTAAACTAAAAATCAGTGTGTTACCTATAAAATATGTACTAAAAAAGTCATATATAACAAAAATGGAGGTGGAAACATTTGGTCTCAAAGATGCTCATTCTCTTCGAGAGAATGTCTTGATTCTACTATTAACGATAGGGAAAATTCTCCAGATTTTCATTGTGAAAAGCGAGAGTAGATAACAATCTAGACTGACCACTAGTTTGACCTAGAGAAAATTACCTAACATCTTTAGAACTGATTTTCTACACCTAAAAATGCTGCATCTTCTATACAAGGTCACAAAACTACAAGGACAACCATTATAAAAGTATAACATAAATTGCAAAAAACTCATTCCACGTTACACTAAGGAATCAAAAGAAGCTTGTTTTCTTATTATTCACATCCCTCAGTTACTTCATGCTACTTGAACAATTTATATTGTTCTTCTTCCAACTCATGTCTCGGAATTAGCACTCTTACACTTGTATTTTTAGATACCTACTCTTCACTATTAGTAACCTGTAATTTTTCTCAAGGTAAATAAATATTTGCTCATCTGTTTCACACCTATATATTTTTCCTACCTCACACAGGAAATATTTTTGGGTTTTTCTGTTTTTTTTTTTTTTGAGACAGAGTCTTGATCTGTCACCCAGGCTGCAGTGTAGTGGCATGATCTCGGCTCACTGCAACCCCCGCCTCCTGGGTTCAAGCCATTCTCCTGCCTCAGCCTCCCCAGTAGCTGGGATTACAGGCACGCACCACCATGCCCAGCTAATTTTTGTATTTTTAGTAGACATAGGGTTTCACCATGTTGGCCAGGCTGGTCTCAAACTCCTCACACAGGAATATTCTTATTGAAAATTCTAGAGAAGTTTCCTGTAGATACCTATTAATAAATACGCCAAGACCTACCTCATCACCGCAATCAAGGTAAGATTTGCAACTGGTTGCCAAGTTGCAGCCTCGACACCTATGCTGAATGGATGAGACCACAACAAATGTTCCTTAACATTTATTAACTGTGATTATTTATTTGTACATAGATTTAAAGGAGCCTAATAATCAACTTCTAAACCAGCAGTTCTAAAACTCTTTCATCTCAGGACGATTTATCAAATTACTGAGACCCGGCCGGGAGCGGTGGCTCATGTCTGTAATCCCAGCACTTTGGGAGGCCGAGGTGGGGGGATCACAAGGTCAGGAGATCGAGACCATCCTGGCTAACACGGTGAAACCCCATCTCTACTAAAAATACAAAAAAATTAGCCAGGCGTCGTGGCGGGCGCCTGTAGTCCCAGCTACTTGGGAGGCTGAGGCAGGAGAATGGCATGAACCAGGGAGGCAAAGCTTGCAGTGAGCCAAGATAGCACCACTGCACTCCAGCCTGGGTGACAGAGCGAAACTCCGTCTCAAAAAAAAAAAAAAATTACTGAGACCCTCAAAGAGCTTTTCTGTATGTGAATTACATCCACCTATATTTATACTAATAGAAATTATAACAAATTTTTAATTTTCACTAATTTGTTTAGAAATAATGGATCCATTATATGTTAACATAAATAACATTTTTCTGAAAATAGCCATATTTTAGTAAATAAAATTGAGTGAGAATGACAAATGACTTAAAGGAAAATAGCTAGATTCTCGTATCTGACCCTGTTTTTGCTTTGTTTTGGTGGAGGTGTACAAAGAAAATCTGCCTTCCTACAATTAAGTAGTTGGGAAAAGAAAAGGTACT
The DNA here is from genome assembly GCF_000001405.40 of Homo sapiens. Taxonomy (NCBI): domain Eukaryota; kingdom Metazoa; phylum Chordata; class Mammalia; order Primates; family Hominidae; genus Homo; species Homo sapiens. Next base: position 81,214,973 of record NC_000014.9, read on the forward strand.
TTTAAGTGACAGTTTCTTAATAGTTAGTTACAATGCAGAATATGAAACCATATAACTGTGAACTTTTCATACTTTTAAAGTCCATTAATTTATCTTGCATTTTGAATGAATTTTCCAACATTATGCATTGGATATTCAGAAAATACAAGTTCAGTGAATTATATGGATCTTTCAACTGTAAACACACTTCATTACGGAATATCAAACAATCAAATTTCTTAATATCAACATTGAGTCCTCATCTTTTTAATATTCAGTTTGTCAGAAATGAGAAGTATACATAAAGCATTTCTGCTGCTTATTTACAGTTATCTCAAGGAAAAGCACCTGTGCACTTGAATTGTGAATTTAACTGGTCACTTTTCTCACAGAATACAACTTTTACTTGAAAGAATGACGGGCAAACTATGATTTTCCAGACTTAAGCATTTAGTCAACCTTGTGGACCCCCTGAAAGAACCCTTGGGGAGAATCCAGGGCTCCATGAACTATACCTTGAGAACCACTATTCTAATCAACAGGGCAAAAATATTCCACAATTTCATGAGTCATTACAATGCAAGGAAAACACAACTGCTAATAAAAAAAATCTAAATATTTCCACTTGAATCCAAGATACAGAAAACCAGCTCTCAATGTAAAATATATTCAAAACATTCGGCCTACATAAAGGGTCTACTTCAAGAACCTAAAATTCTTTTATCAAGCACTTAATCCCTACAACTTAAAACACACTTTAGAATACAGGTACATTAAGACCATTAAAAAAAGATAAGATTAAGGCTGGGCGCTGTGGCTCACACCCATAATCCTATCACTTTGGGAGGCCGAGGCGGGAGGATCACTTGCAGCCAGGAGTTCGAAAGCAGCCTTGACAACATGGTGAAAACCATCTCTACCAAAAATACAAAAATTAGCCAGGCATGCTGGCATGTGCCTGTAGTCCCAGGGGTGGGAGGATGGTTTGAGTCTGGGAGGCAGAGGTTGCAGTAAGTCCAGATTGTGCCACTGCACTCCAGCCTGGGCGACAGAGCCCGACCCTGTCTCAAAAATAAAAAACGAAAAAAGAAAGCAACAAAATTCTTCCAGACATGTCAAGTAATTAGACCATAAAATGTAGAATGTTAACTATCCAATAATAACTGCTAATGCTACTATCAAGCATTGTGCTAAGATTTTATATGGTTATTCCATTTAATCCTCAAAACAAACCTATAAGGTAAGTACTACCAATTTCCATCTTACGTATAAGAAAACTGAAATATAAATGTAGCTTGCCTAAGGTCAGAGGAAGAATGCATGGCAGAGTTGGGATTTAAAACCAGCACACTTCACTCAACTATACGTTCATCCTATAGAAAAATTACAGATTCATCTCCGGCTAAAGAAAATGTTTTGTGGGGGAAAAGTAGGAATATTTTAAAAAAAAGACAAACTCACAGTTTTTAGTTCCATCAGTACTTGTTCATCCACTCCATCATCCAGAAAGATGTCTCTCACATCATTAATGACATCTTCAATCACAGATCTGTATAATTTAGGCTTTAAAGGAAAAATAAAAGACTTGAAAAAGACAGTTTTTCACAGCTTATAATGTATAACAGGTTTTCACAAATTCAAAACGAATAGTCATTTTGCCAACTATCTATATATGACTTTAAAGATACGACCACCATCATTTGCCATAAACTGGATTTGATGACTGCACACTTTAATAAAAATTTTAAGATTAATGCAGTTCATAAACAGAAGGCCCCTAAGACTACAAGGTCCATACAATTTCCAATTATAATTTCCTATGTTGTAGTCAAAATACCTAATGTAATGTTCAATAATAGCTTTACGGGTTGCTTATGTCTGGCTTCTACTATTCCATGCTTGGTTTGAACTCTGTTGTATGTCTTACTACCTCACCACTGTATCTTAGACTTTGGAGAATCTTATGTCCGGGAGTCATCTGCCTGGTAATAATCTGCAACCTAATGAACATTCAGGTTTAAAAATCACCTAACTTCTGTTGTGTGACCCAGTCTGTACTTTCAAGCTGTACCATTAAACTACTCATACACTCACAATGGCAGGTCTTAAGGTCCCAAGGAACAAGGTATACTGATTTCCTTCCCAGGATTTCTCCTCTACTACTGCCCAGGTAATGCTATGAAACATTATAATGAACATGAACCCTCTAAATGTTTACTATTATTATTACAATTAGCACCGTTGATACTACTTGGAGGAGCGGGAAGTAAAGAAGCTGGCTTCTAGAAGGTTGAATGGTAAAATGAGTAAAATGAGAATAGATGTGAAAGAACTTTCAAAAAGTATAAAATATTTTTTAAAAACTACAAAGTGGGAGATAGAACAATTAGCCCAATCCACATCCTATTTTTTCCCCCACATCCTATTTTTAACCTGTTAGACAAAAGGAAGTCATGTCAGATGACAAAACTAGAGCTGCCTTGACAAAACTAGAGTTGCCTGGTTATAAATCCTCCCCATTATCAGAGGGTTATGGTTAACAAGCTTTTTAGATGTTTTCTCATTACTTCTGTTTCATACCTTGCTTAAGGTTAATCGCTATCAAATAAAACCAATTTTGGGAGGATCGCTTGAGCTCAAGAGTTCAAGACCAGCCTGGGTAACATAGTGAAACCCAATCTCCACAAAAAATTAGCCAGGAGTGGTGGCACGTGCCTGTAGTCCCAGCTGCTTGGGAGGCTGAGGTGGGAGGATGGCTTGAGCCCAGGAGGGAGAGGGTGCAGTGAGCCAAGATTGCACCACTGCCCTCCAGCCTGGGTGACAGGCCCAGACCCTGTCTCAGAAAACAAACAAATACAAATGAGTTTGTCAATACAATTTACCTCAACCATTAAATACTATTTAATCCTTCTCATTACAAGAAAACCAATTCAAATATCTGGGTTCTTGCTTTACTGTTCACTCACTAACCTGCTTTATTTTGCCAAATCCGCCTCTTGAAGTTTATTCATCTGTAAAATGCACATTTCTATAGTCCCTACTTTAACATTCTAATTCTATATATAAGGAAAGTATATCTGACTATGGACATCATCTTGCCTAAAGTGACTTAACTGAATTACAAAAGTATCTCTATAAAGTGCTTTTTTTTTTTTAACCAATAATTACTCCTCGAGGCGTTAGGAGGGCAATGTATTTTAAATTGGGAGTATAAATCTCAAATTGACAATATGTATGCTTTTCAGTAAACTAGATGGTGTTTTGGCGTTTCTGAAGTCAGTTACCTCTAAAAACCTTTTGCTTGGAGATCCAGACATGTGTAGGTATAAATCTGCTTTCTTCTAGTACTCTCAACTTAATAAATCATTAAGATTTTATTTTTGTGCCTTAATGAACTCACAACTTGACCACTTAACAGCTTCATAAGCCCTATAGGTGAAGGAAGGGAAATGTGTATTCTTCACAAAATATATGCCTAACGAGTAATTTAGCAGAATTGTTCACAATTTGAAAAGCCTTCAAGATACTAATTTTTGAAAAGTATGTGGGCACATAGGAGTATTTGAAATAAGCAATTTCTAAATTATTGCTTAAAATTCTACACTAATACTTGAGGCAAAGTTTCTTTCACGAAATACAATTTAAGTTTGTCCTAATTTTTAAAAAACAGGTTATTTCAAACTTAAGAACTGGTAAATCAGAGGGCCACTAGTGGCATTATTAAGTCATTTGTTAGGTTTCCTTCAAAAATGTTAATTCCCTGATGCAATGCTGGAAAATAAATTGGAATAATTTTTATACCGGATACCCATGTTAATATCCAAGGCAATAAAGTTCTACTTAGATTTTTTTTTAATCTAGTTTGCAGTCTGTCTCTTCCCTCTACTCACGATTCTCCTACACATAAATGGTCCTATACTGAAGCTTTAGGTACTTATCTATTTCTCTGAAAAGCCTCGTGTCTTTTATATTTACTATAGGAAAACATAATGAAATATTAGGAGCTATATTTCTAACATTATTTCCTGAATACTTGAACAAAACACTACCAAAACCAAGTCCTCTGCAGCTAACATTTTCCATGTAGAAAGCAGTTTTTTAAATTCCCGAAAATAATGCACATAAGAAAAATGGCTAGACCATCTGATCTAAAACTCTTTGTTTTAAATAATTAATTTTGAAAATTGTAAACAAAAAGGGACAGCGATTCGGATATATTCCCCCTAGCAAACAAAGAAGGCAAATCCTAGCTGCTGCTGGGAACAAAACCAAAACTTGGGGCTCTGAAAGCAGCCCGCGACGGGTGCGAAATCACAGGGTGAAAAAAGGACCTAGAAATAAACTGAGCTCTGCACACGCCTGGCTCTTGCCTCGGGAGCACGCACCTCCCAGCCCCGCTCTCAGCAGCTCTCACTATTTAAAGCCGGATCTGGTGTTTAAATGGAGAGGCGGTGACGTAGGCCTGAAAAGCACCTTCCCATCCTGGCAGAGTCTATATTAGAGAGCGGCAATGGCTCTATATAAACAGGGCAGCCAAAGGGAGGAGGACCACAAGGCTCAGGGACTGAAAAGCAGGGTAAGCGGCCGCAGCCATGATGGTTAGACCCGAGTCGCCAACGGTACGGTGTCGGGCGGCCGCGGGCTGGTCTGCGGCATTTGGGACCGGGCAAAAAACGTGTTTTATTGTCATCATAAAAATAAGAGTTGGGTGGACTAGTGATCACACTGCGTTGGTGACTGAAAAGGTTATTTATGTGACTGCTTTTTGCAAACCTACGTGATCGCAAGTAACAAAAAGGGACCAACGGGAAGAAGTAGGTAAATTTCAAGGCGAAAGCGGGGACACTTGGACCACTGCAGGCTTTTTTTGTTTGTTTTGGTGCTTCTGCTAGGCGAAGATACGATGGGGGTCTTCCCCTTCGCCATTTTACCCATTCGGAAGGAACTGAGATAAGTGCTTTTCAACCAACCTTCGTCCTTTTTTTAAACATAAAATGGCCTCAGAGAAGGTTCCCAAAGCACAGCCGCCAAAAACAACCTAAGAAACCCCCAAAGTAACCATTAATCTTCCACTGCATTAAAGTGGATCACGATGGGTCTCGGGGGTTCGCCCGATTCCCCACACACAGTTTTTGTTCTGTAGCCACTCGGGGAGCCCTCGTCAAGCCAGCGCGGACGGGCCCCTCGGGGGGAAGCGGCGGCTCCCCTCCCGCCCTCCCTCCCGGCGGCCGGGTTCTGGGGCCGGGGCTGCGCGCCCGACCGGGCCCAACCGCCTCCGCGGCCCGGCCCGGCCCGCGGCGGCCCCAGGCCCCACCGGCGCCCCCGCCCTCCCCGCGCCGCGAGCCCTCGGCGCCCCCCCGCGCCCGCCGCCCGGCGCTCCGGCCCGATCCGCCCGAGGCGGGAAGCGGCGGCGGCGGCGGCCGCGCGGGCGGCTGAAGAGTCGAGGCCGGGAGTCGCCGCCGTCCCCGCCCCCGCCCGGTCCGGCCGTTGCTGCAGCCTGAACGAAGCCCCCGCCGGCCACCGAACCACGTCCTTACCACGGTGTTTGTATTTGCCGAGTTCGCCATTTCCACACACAACACAAACAAGAGGGGGCAACCCCAAGAAAACAAGATAAAAACAAAACCAAAAAAAAAAAAACTATAACACCCGGAGGGTGACCCAAATCACCGCAAGATTGGGGAAAAAATTTTAAACAAAATCAATCCTGAAGGAGTAGGGGAGAGCGGAGAGAGGAGGAGGAGGGGGGCACTCCTCCCGCAGCTGAAAACCTCGAGAATCGCCTTAAAAAAAAAAAAAAAGCCACGACCCTTCAGGGGTCCGGGGGGCGTTGCCCGCTCCCCACCCCGCGCCAAGGAGGGAAACCACCACCGGTCACCGCTCCCTGCGCCGCCGCTGCCGCCACCGGCTGCAGCTCCAGCCGTCCGGTCCGCCCGCTTCTCTCCTTTATATAGCGAGCCAACAAGCTGCGCGAGCCACCACCGCCGCCGCCGCCGCCGCCGAGAGACAGGGTGAAGGGGGAGGGAGGGGCGGAAAGGGCGGGGGCAGAGGTGGGCGGGGCTGAGCGCGAGACACCGCGAGAGCCGCGTGCGCAGGCGCGCCGGGGCGGAGGCCGCCGGCGAGCCGCGTTGTCACGCGCCGTGGCGGGTACTGGACTGGCGGAGCCCGGGGAGTGAAGTAGTGAAATCGGACCTACGCCTCTCCAACGCTCGCGTGATCACGTGGTTGGCACCCAGGCGGAAGTCTGCGGCAGTTCTTTGCGGTGAAGAACTTGCAAAGCGTTGCTGGAAAAGACGGGAGTTCTACTGACACTCCAGTCCAAAGCTAGGTGGGACCGCCTCCTGTCGCACGTTTCCGCCTGGTCCCGCGCTTTAGGAGCTAGGAAATGTGACAGAGGCGGTGCCTACTGCCTCGCTAGGAATGGCCGCGGAGGAGGACTGGTCACGTGGCGTGGCTTCCGGCCTCTGGCGCGTTCCTATTCGGGAAGGTTTTAAATGCGGAGTCATCTCTTGATTTGTCAGCGAGGCTTTGACTGTGAGCTTCGCGGCGTTCGCGCCTCACCGCCTCACCGAGGGTGGGTCTTTCGCGCGCAGAATTGTGTAGGATTTTCCAAAGGGAGTAAAAGCCGATCGGGGCCTACTTTTAACATTCCACAATTAGTAACGTCTGATTCGTTTGTTTCCACAGTGGGTACGCTGCGAAGACTAGGCTTATGTTACCCAGAGGTTAGTCCTCTACTAGGCCACGTACTTTAAATAATTTATCACGCTAGTGGAAATGCGGGGTGGAAGAAAACCCCACCAGCCTTTGGATTGTAACAGCACAGTAACTTTCCCTGGTTTTTAAAAATATTGCCAAAATACTGCGACTCCATGTGGCCAACGTATAGTGACTGATCACTTTGAAATGCATGCCCTTGACCCACCAACTCGCATGGCCTCTCGCTATAAGAGAGCAAGCCGGCTGTGTTCCATGTTCAATTCAATAAGTGCAATTCAATAAGCTTTTGACTTGTTCTGCCCAAGCAAATCCTGCCTTTATATCGACCTTGCAAGCAGAACAGAGAATGCTGTTTGGAAGGCAGAATTCATAGTACCTAGTTTTCTTGTCCCTGGGAATTTTGAGGGACTTGAAATGTCGCGTGGATGAGTGAGGGAGTTTGTCTTCCAGAGACAAAGCAAAACGAAACGTCAAAGTTCTGTGCTGGTGAAACCAGATTTGAAGAATATCAAAGGCGTCTTACCAAAGAGGAAAAAAAATGCATCTTGCCAAGACTTGAAGAAAGGGATTAGAGAAACCAGAGGCCTTGAATACTCAGAAAATGGGAGATTGTGAATGGGTGTAGAGGATATCTATGAACCTTGACATTTCTTTTCACGCCAAGTCCATTCCCCTGTTAACAGTTGCTTCCCAGTTTCCTGCACAGCTGCATGGTCTGGGACACTTAAAGAAAAAAATCACAGGAAATCAGTGTTCTTGGTATATTATATAAAGTTATGATTCTATCAACATTTGTAATTCATTTAATATTCAGGTGACAGCCCGAAAATTTACACTAAACAATACCATTCCTGTTAAGTTTTACTACATATTGAGAGGACTTCTTGTTACCTCCCTATTACATACTCCCAAACGCTTTGCACATGGAATCCCTCACCTTCCACCTAGTTTTCCCCCCTACTATTGATATTCTTGACTAAAAGGTTGAGTAGTTTCGCCATCAATTAAAGTTAAAACCACTGCAGACAGGACAGGGAAGAAAAGCTACGAGGTTTGCTCTTCACAGAATTAATCTGTGAAATAATGGATTGTAGTTACTGGATTAAAATGGCAGAAAACCTAGTCTTGGCCTCCTTAAGACCATCAGACTCCCTGGAGGCTCTGAGTTGGCTTCTCTCTTTACACCTAGATTGCAACAAGACCTAAGCACTTGGTTAATATTTACCCAGGAACTTAGATTGCTTGTGTGTCTGGCATCTAGCCATCATGGATTCCATTCCAATATATTGGTTTTCCAGTCCCTCAATAGCTGTTATATGCCTTCATTGCAACATATGTGTGCCATCCAGTTTAGTTTCGGAAAGAAATATTTTCTGTTATACCAAAATTGTAGGACTGAATACTTGGAAGCTGCAGCCCTTTAATTCACAAAACAAAATTTGTGAGAGAAAACTTCTCCCAAGTAAGATTACATTTAGCATCATATTTAAATTGTTTCTATCTGAACTTTTTATTCTTGGTCTCCTACAGCTTGAATGACGTTTCTAACTTTAACAGCTCTTTCTACTATATAAAACATTTATACAGGATTTGCTGTTTGTGATCTTACACTTTGTAGCAGCTATGTACTTAGATAGATACATAATAGTACTCTCCTTGTGATGAATGTTTATGTGTTTTTTTTAACTTCAAAATGATTTATACTGGGAGTTAAAATGTTGCGTCTTTCTTTTAATATGCAGCCTAAACACTAGATAACTGTAAAACAAGAGAAGAAAAGGGAAAAAAAATCGATGTATAAATTTTGCTACACCATCAACAAAATGACAGCAAACCTTCTGTGTCCAAACATTTAAATATTTTACTGTCCAAATGACTATTTTAGCAACAATGCCAAGAAAGAGAAGAGTCTAAAAAGATTGTGGAAATTGGCTTAAACTAAAATCTTGTGACTTCCCAGCAAACTCCATTTTCTTAAATAGTGAAGAAAGAAAAAAAACAAAACTAGTTTTGAGGCATATTTAGGCCCTAGTGCTCAGTATGTATTGGGCACTTTGTATGTATGTATGTATGTATGCTCAGTATGTATTGGGCACTTTGTATGTATGTATGCTCAGTGTGTATTGGGCACTTTGTATGTATGTATGTATGTATGCTCAGTATGTATTGGGCACTTTGGGAGGATACAGAATTGAAGAAGAAAGATGCCTTGAGCTTACTAATCATTTTTTTTCTTTCCTTCTTTTTTTTTTTTTTTTTTTTTGAGACAGACTCTTGCTCTGTCATCCAGACTGGCATGCAGTGGTGCGATCTCGGCTTACCGCAGCCTCTGCCTCGTGGGTTCAAGCTATTCTCCTGCCTCAGCTTTCCAAGTAGCTGGGATTACAGACTCACACCACCACGCCCAGCTAATTTTTGTAATTTTGGTAGAGACGGGGTTTCACCATTGTTGGCCAGGCTGGTTTCAAACTCCTGACCTCAGATGATCCACCTGCCTCGGCCTCCCAAAGTGCTGGGATTACAGGCGTAAGCCGCCGTGCCAAGCAAGTTTACCAATCTTAATGAAAGTCCCTGTTTTAAAGTGTAGTGCATAGTCATAGCATTCATTTAAGCTGTTGAAAGCATACATATTTCAGTCCTACCAAAAAAAATTATACTGCATTCAGATTTCACCTATGTTTTTGTCATTTTCAAAGAAACTGCCGATTTTCACATGCACAAATTTTTGATGGTGGCTATAAGAAATTGCTGACCATACAAATTAGTTCTATACATGTGATGAAGAGATTTTTTAAAATCTTTTTAAATTATCTTTGTCTGTTGTAACTTAGTTTGAAATTGCTACTTCATGTCTTAAAACACCAACCAGCTCTAAGTTATTTTCTGTAGAACAAAGTGTAGACCAGTTTGTAGTTTTTAGCAAAAGTAAATTAACTTAGTGTGGAGTTTTGGTGGAATCAGGTTTGACTCTTGCCACTAAATTCCTGTGTGACATTGTGCCATGATTCTGTGTCAATAAGGTGAAATAATCACCACCACCTATCGTTGTTGGAAAATCAAAGGTAGTAGGAAGTGCTTTGACAAGTATTTGGTGGGTGTTTTATTATTAATGGTAACTGTAACAGCTACACCAATATCATCAAAGCTGGGGAAAGATGTTCTTAAATCACTTTGTAGAACACTACCATTACATTTTAATCATGATGGCTGCATGTTGTGGTTCATGCCTGTAATCCTAGCACTTTGGGAGGCTGAGACAGGCAGATCACTTGAGGCCAGGAGTTCAAGACCAGCCTGGCCAACATGGCGAAACCCTGTGTCTACTAAAACTGCTAAAAATTAGCCAGGTATGGTGGCATGTGCCTGTAATCCCAGCTACTTGGGAGGCTGAGGCATGAGAGGCAAAGGTTGCAGTGAGCCAAGATCGTGCCTGGGCACCAGAGCTGGAGACACACTCTGTCTCAAAAAAACAACAACAGCTGGGAGTGGTGGCTCAGGTCTGTAATCCCAGCACTTTGGGAGGCTGAGGTGGGTGGATCACTTGAGGTCAGAAGTTTGAGACCAGCCTGGCCAGCATGGTGAAAACCCATCTCTACTAAAAATACAAAAATTAGCTGGGTATGCTGGTGCCTACTTGTAATCCCAACTACTCAGGAGGCTGAGGCACGAGAATCACTTGAACCCAGAGGCTGCAGTGAGCCAAGATTGCACCACTGTACTCCAGCCTGGGTGACAGAGCGAGACCCTGTCTCAAAAAAAAAATTTTTTTTTAAATAATGATGTCAGTGGCCAATGCTTACTTTACAAGAAACTCAGCCAAATTTTGATAACTCAAGTGGTGAATATCTAACAGCATCCCAGCCTCACAATGCATTTTAAAACTTGTTTTTTCTTTCTTGCTTGCCTTCAGCCTTGAAACATACTTTGAAACTGTTTGTCCCTTTCCCACCAGCCTTTTCTGAGAACAGGGCTCACTTATCTTAATGATGTGCTTGCTTAAAAATTCCAGGGGCCAATTTTGAAACAAACTAGACAGAGAGACCCCAACTGCAGAATCCTCCTGCTCAAGGGGGATTAGGAACCATTAGCCCAGCACTACCAGCTGAGGTCAGGATGACATGAACTGGGCCTTCAGGCAGGCAGTTACTGAAGATGACCGTCAGAAGAAGACACACAGACCTACACCTTCCTGCGCTACTCCTGCATATTTCCCACACCTTTTTGCTTCTTAAACCCCTTCACTCACTCCAAAAAGTTGGAGTGATCTGTTAAAGGCATGAGCCTGTCCATCCCCCAACTGCTAACATTGGAATAAAGTTGCTTTCCTTTCACTACACGTCGCTTCTCATGCTTTCAGCCTCTGAGCAATGAGCAGTCAGACTTGAGCTGGTTATAAGTACGGAGCATATATATATATATATATATTTTTTTTTTTTTTTTTTTTTTTTGGAGATTGAGTCTCACTCTGTTTCCTAGGCTAGAGTGCAGTGGCTCGATCTTGGCTCACTGAAACCTCTGCCCCAACAGGTTCAAGCAGTTCTCCTGCGTCAGCCTCCCAAGTAGCTGGGATTACAGGCGCCTGCCACCGTGCCCTGCTAATTTTTGTATTTTTGGTAGAGACAGGGTTTCACCATCTTGGCCAGGCTGGTCTTGAACTCCTGACCTTGTGATCCACCCGCCTTGGCCTCCCAAAGTGCTGGGATTACAGGTGTGAGCCACCGCGCCCAGCCCACAGCATAATTTTTGTATGTTAATATAATGAGATGATTCCTTAAGCTGAAAGCTGATTTATTGATTAAATATATCAGATTGCTTAGTTACACATGTGCCCAACTATATGTAGTAAAAGTTATGTATGAATTTGCCCATTGACCTAGCAATGCCAAATCTAGGACTCTGTCCCACAGATACTGTAGCAAAAATAAGAAAAGATGTATGCCTCAGACTATTTGTTGTAGGACTGCATTAACACCCATCCTACCATATAAACTATATTTACTTTATATAAAAAGTAAATATTTTATATAAGAAGATTATATAATACGTCCATGTCCCACATGTCCATATAAGGAGGTTGGTTGAATAAACTATAGTACATGCACACAGGTGAGGACTATGCAGCTGGAAGAAGAAATAAGGAATATATATATATATATATATATATATATGCCCACTATGGATTGATCTTTGGAATATAATGCTGAATGAAAAAAGCAAGATGTGGAAAAGTATTCTTTGCCTCCATTTAAGAAAAGAGAAAATACAAAAATGTGTGTAATATACTTGCTTACTATTTTTTTTTTAAAGGAAATATGGCCAGACACGGTGGCTCACACCTGTAATCCTAGAACTTTGGGAGGCTGAGGAGGGCAGATCACCTGAGGTCAGAAGTTCAAGACCAGCCTGGTCAACATGGCAAAACCCTGTCTCTACTAAAAATACAAAAATTAACTGGGCACAATGGCGGGCATCTGAAATCCCAGCTACTCGGGAGGCTGAGGCAGGAGAATCATTTGAACCAGGGAGGTGGAAGTTACAGTGATCTGAGATCACACCACTGCACTCCAGCCTGGGTGACAGAGCATGACTCCCTCTCAAAAAAAAAAAAAGGAAATATAAACCATATGTATGTATCTTTAAAGGTTACCTATAAGGACTGGGAGAGAAGAGTATGGAGAAGACAGAAAAAAAAGCGTTATTTAAATGTACTTTGTTTTTTAGATTTGACTGAAAACACACATTTTACTTAGTTTTTTAAAAATCAACTTTTGAAAAGCAATTCCCCAAACTAAAAATTAAGTTACTTAACCTAACCGGATATTACATAACACACAAAGAACTTTTTCAAGTGACTTTCAAACACAATAATTTGACTAGATATCCATAGTGGGATATTTTTAAGGAGAAAAAGAAATGTCCAAAAACATTTAAGTGTTTGCATTTGTATTGTTGGTGATAATGTTTGGAAATGTATTTTGATAATTTTATGTGAAATGTGGATTAAAGAATACGAGTAATTATATTATGTTCTAATTATCTAATCCCAATTGTTCTTGAGAACCAGGCTCTCAATAGATTGGATAAGGCCTACCTGCATTATTGAGGGCAATCTTATTTACTCATTCACAATGCTAATCTCTTATCATATGGGAGAAAGACGATGCAGATGTAAGGTACAGGAGGATAAGTACAAATTCTGTAGTCCTGAATTTGAATTAGAAGTATCATGGTGAATTTTGTCAAAATTCCCTGCTGGCTCTGAAGAGGCCTAGAAACAATTACCAACACAGTAGTAATGAGTATATTTGGTACCTAAATTATAAGATTTCAAGACCAGTGCTCTGTGGAGAAATGTCTGATTCTGATTCCAAGTCAAGAGCAGGAAATGTCTTTTCTTAACAACAAAAAAAACCCAAACTCAATGTTTCATCTTATAAAATATATTTGTCCCCATAAAAGCTAAAACAAACCATGACCAGTCCAGTGCTCCAGAATTTGGGAGCACCTCTTGCTCCCAGATCATTATCTTGAAATACTATTTTCCAAGGAATAATGGCTCTTCAGAGATATTACTGACTCTAGGACTGGGATTAAAAAAATGTTTAAACCAAATGAAATTACCAATTATTGCCCAAAATAAGACAAAGTGACTCTAGAATATCTTTTCATGTGGATAACAAGTAAGGTGTATTTGTTTCCCAGGGCTGTTGTATCAAAGTGCCACAAACTAGGTAGCTTAAAACAACAAGAATTTGGCCGGGCACGGTGGCTAACACCTGTAATCCCAGCACTTTGGGAGGTCGAGGCAAGTGGATCACGAGGTCAGGAGATCGAGACCATCCTGGCTAATACGGTGAAACCCCGTCTGTACTGAAAATACAAAAAAATAGCTGGCCGTGGTGGCAGAGGCCTGTAGTCCCAGCTGCTCGGGAGGCTGAGGCAGGAGAATGGCGTGAACCCGGGAGGCAGAGCTTGCAGTGAGCCGAGATGCACCACTGCACTCCAGCCTGGGCGACAGAGTGAGATTCTGTCTCAAAAAACAAACAAACAAAAAACAACAAAAACAAACAAAAAAACAAGAATTTATTGTCTGACAGTTTTGGAAGCTAGCAGTTTAAAACCAAGGTGTCGGGCGGGGGGGCGCGGTGGCTCATGCCTGTAATCCCAGCACTTTGGGAGGCTGAGGCAGGCGGATCACGAGGTCAGGAGATCGAGACCATCCTGGCTAGCACAGTGAAACCCTGTCTCTATTAAAAAAAAATACAAAAAAAATAGCCAGGCGTGGTGGCACATGCCTGTAGTCCCAGCTACTCGGGAGGCTGAGGCAGGAGAATGGCATGAACCCAGGAGGTGGAGGTTACAGTGAGCCAAGATCACGCCACTGCACTCCAGCCTGGGCGACAGAGTGAGACTCCGTCTCAAAAAACAAAAACAAAAACAAAAAAACCAAGGTGTCAGTAGGTCCATGCTTTCCCTAACACTGGGTAGAATCCTTATGTGATAGTTAATGTTATGTATTAACTTGACTGAGCTAAGGGATGCCTAGATAGCTGGTGAAAACATTACTTCTGGGTGTGTCTGTGAGGGTGTTACTGGATAATATTAGCAATTAAATCAGTAGACTGAGTAAAGAAGATTGCCCTCACCAGTGTAGGCAGGCATCATCCAGTCTGCTGAGGGCATGAATAGAACCACACATTGAAAGAGTGAATTCATTCTCTCTGTTTGAGCTGAAACAGCCATCTTTTTCTATTCTTGGACATCAGCTCTTCTTGTTCTCAGGCCTTTACATATGGACTAAATTTCAGTAGTCCCCCCTTATACATGGTTTTGCTTTCTGAAGTTTCAGCTATCTGCAGTCAACAGAGGTCCAAAAATATTACATCATCACTCTTGCGCTTTGGAGCCATTATTAAGTAAAATAAGGATTACTTAAATACAAGTATTGTGATACTGGGCCAGTTGATCTGATAACCTGTACGGCTAAGTGACTAATTGTAATTGGGTTGGACAGAGCAGGACAGTGTGAGAGTTTATCATGATATTCAGAACAGCATGTAATTTAAAACTTACGAATTGCTTATTTCTGGTAATTTCATTTATATCACAATGTCCGTGTCATTCATGATATTCAGAACAGTGTGTAATTTAAAATGTATGAATTATTTCTGGAAATTTCATCAGAAATTTTATAATCTCACATCATAACATGAAGAAGATAGGTGAGTGTATAGTACGCTATGATAATTTGAGAACGTTAGAGCAAGTAAGAGACAGCACATAACTTTTATTATGGTATATTGTTATCATTGTTCTGTTTTATGTTATTGTGGTTAATCTCTTGCTGTGCCTAATTTATAAATTAAGCTTTATAATATGTATATACAGGAAAAAATAGCGTATATAGGGTTTGGTACTCTGTAGTTTCAGGCAGCCACTGGGGGTCTTGGAAAACCCATAGGTAAGTGGGGACTACTATACACTATTGGCTTTTCTGGTTCTCTGGATGTAAAAGGCAGATCATGGGACTTCTTGGCCTCCATCATCATGTGAGCCAATTCCCAATGTGTGTGTGGGTGTGTGTATGTGTGCATGTGTGTGTGTGTGTTTGTGTGTGTAATCTCCAGTGGTTCTCTTTCCCTGGAGAACTCTGACCAATAAAATATTTTGGTACTGAGAGTGGTTCTAGAGGAACAGAAAGTACTGATAGTCCAGGGAGTGAACTGTTTCTAGAGATATATAAAATATCTGCATTGGATACTCCTAACTAATAAGAAGCAAAGAGCTAAGTAACTCTGTATATGATACTTTTGAACATTTTTGGACAATGGAAAATAAGGAATATAATGACATTGGTTTGTTGCTTCTAATGTAGGACCAAGTGGTAAAAGAAAAGGAGGGGCTCAGGATTCAAATTTCCAGCTCACTCACTGTATAAATGACTTAAAAACTTGTAGTTGTGCCCTAAGAAATCATTAACTCCTGTAGCCACAGGGCTAAAATTGCTGAAAATCAAACCCAGGATCTCATTGTGCAATTGGCTGAATTACAAAGCAAGTTGAACTCCCAGCCTCACGTGATATCTACTGTTAAAGTGATGGCATTGGTTGAGAAAAAGTGGGATCCTGTAAGATGGGATGGGGATATGTAGGAAGAGCCTGATGAAGCTACAGACATTGAGACCCTAAATTCTGATGCATCTTCTTTGCCAGTGGAAGAGGTTTCTCCATCCCCAGCAAAAGTAACCTTCCCAATCCCAGTGAAAGTGGCCTCCCCACCCTAAATGGCATAGGTCTCCCCACCTCTGGTGGTAGCAGCCTTCCCACCCACAGTGGTTTCCGTATTTCTACCTCAGTCTGAGGTATTTAACCCTGAGGAAGCAGTAATGGCTTCCTCTGAGGCAGTTGCTATGCAAGACAGTGCTGGTTCTTCTCAGGATCTAATCTACCCCTGCCATCCCTGAAGGGCCTACTTTGAGTTAAAAAGTGTGACCCATGAGAAGGTGCACTACATTCCAAAAGAACTACTTGAGTTTTCTGATTTATATAAGGAGAAATCTGGGGAACATATATGGGAATGAATATTAAGAGTGTAGGAGAATAGTAGAAGAAACAAAGTTGAATCAGGCTGAATGTATAGATATGGGCTCACTAAGTTGAGATTCTGCATTTAATATTACAGAAATATTACATTATTTCTAAATCAGAGAGTTAGAAAGGGCTCTAACAGTTTGGTTGGTTGCTGAAACATGGGTCAAAAAGTGGCCCACCAAGAGTGAGTTGGAGATGACTGATGTCTCTTAATTTAATATAGAGGAATGGATTCAAAGGGTTAGGGAGATTAAAATGTTAGAGTGGATTTGTCATTTAAGACCTATTTACCACACTGGGTGGGTCCAGAAGACATACTTTTCACCAATACTTTGAGAAATAAATTCATAAGGGGAGCCCTAGCATCCTGGAAGAGCTCCATGATTACTCTTCTCTATAGGATAGACCTTACAGAGGGAACCACAGCCATTCAGTTGGAAAATGTAAACAGAGTGAGAGTAATTGGATCTCAGGGTGACAGGGGCCAAGGGTCAGCACTCAGGTAACAAAGGCAAAGTGGATGTAGTTATTGTAATGCCCAGCAGAGTCAAAGCAGCAATCACCGTAGTCTGACACACAGGGACCTATGGTGTTAGCTAGTTATCCATGGTGTTCCTAGATGTGAAATAGATAGGAAGCCTACTAAATTCTTACTTGGTCTGTATGAGCAGAAAAGTTCCAGGTTAAGTGAAAAAAAAGTCTAAGTTGAATTATAAAACAGAGAGTCATAAACCCCCATTCAATTCCCAGAGTTTAGCCAGTTTATAGACCCAGAGCCCTTTGGACAAAGAGCAGTCAGGTCCCATCAAGAGAAGACCCTGGTGCACTACTGAAAATTGATACTGTTAATGCTTAGCCCAGCCTTCTCCAAAGGGACTTACACAATTTTACCAGAGTAACCGTGCATGGGTTTCCGGCAGGGGGGTGGGTGGGGGGCAGGGAGCGGGTGGAGGAATCAGAACTTTAAGGGACTACTGGACACTGGCTCTGAACTGACAGTGACTCCAGGAGACCCCAAACATCACTGTGGCCCTCCAGTCACAATAGGAATATATGGAGGTCAAGTGATCAATGGATTTTTAGCTCAGGTCCTAAAGTTTTAGCTTTAGGAGGTTTAGCACAGTACATCCAGTGAGTCCTCAGACCTATCCTGCAGTTTTTTCTTCAGTTCCAGAATGCACAATGGAAGTAGACATACTTAACAACTGGCATAATCCTTACTTTGGTTCCCTGACCTGTGTGTGGAGTGGGGACTATAATGGTGATAAAAGCCAAGTGGACGCCATTAAAACTACTTCTATCTTGGAAAAGTGTAAATCAAACATAATACCACATCCTTGGAAGGGTTGTAGAGATTAGTGCCACCATCAAGGACTTGAAAGATGCAGGGGTGGTGATTCCCATCACATCTCCATTCAACTCTCCTATTTGGCCTATGCAAAAGATGGATGGATTTTAGAGAACAAGTGGATTATAAGCTTAACCAAATGGTGACTTCACTTGGAGCTGCTGTAGATATGGTTTCATGGCTTGAGCAAATTGACACATCTCCTGGTACCTGGTGGGCAGCTATTGATATGGCAAATGCATTTTTCTCCATCCCTATACACAAGGCCCATCAGAAGCAGTCTGATTTCAGTTGGCAAGGTCGGCAATACACCTTCATCATGTTACCTCAGTGATACATCAAGTCTCTAGCCCTATGTCATAATTTAGTTAGCAGAGATCTTGTCTACTGTTTCCTTCCACAAAATATCACACTGGCCCTTTACATTAATGACATTGTTAAAAGGAAAACTTTAGCCAAATTAAATTTAAAAGAGTTTAATTGAGTAAAGAATGATTCGTGAATTGGGCAGTGCCATGAGCCAGAGTAGGCTCAGACCCTAGTGCACCCCTGTAGCAGAAGGTTTATGGACAAAGGAAAGTGGTGCACAGAAAATCAAAGTGAGGTACAGAAACAGATGAATTGGTTACAGCTCAGTGTTACCCGTATTTGAACACAGTTTGAACAGTTGGCCATATTTGATTGGCCAAAACTTGCTGACTGATATAAGAGTAGGCTACGGTCTATATACAACTCCATTTAGGTTATAGTTCATGATGTACACAGACACCTTTAGGCTGAAGTTAAAATATGTAAGGAAGAAGGTTTAGGCTAAACTTGATTTAACAACATTATACTGATTGGACCTAGTGAGTGAGAAGTGGCAACTACTCTTAGACTTGTAAAACAGTTGTGTGTCCAAGAATGGGAGATAAACCTGACTAAAATTCAGAGGCCTTCTATCTCAATTAAATTTCTAGGGGTTCAGTTGTGTGAGGCATACTGAGATAGCCCTTCCAAAGTGAAGGATAAGTTGTTGCCTTTGGCCCCCCCTACAGCCAAGAAAGAATTGTAACCTCTAGTGGGCCTATTTAGATTTTAGGTGCAACCTATTCCTTATTTGGATTTGTTACTCTAGCCCATTTACCAAGTGACCCAAAAAGCTGCTAGTTTTGAGTAGGGCCCAGAACAGGAAAAGGCTCTGCAAGAGATCCATACTGCTGTGCAAGCTGCTTTGCCACTGGGGCCATATGATCCAGCCGATCCAGTATTGCCTGAAGTCTCAGTGGCAGACAGGAATGCTGATGGAGTCTTTGGAAGGCTCCTGTAGGTGAACTGCAGTGCAGCCCTTTAGGATTTTAGATCAGGACCCTGCCATTTTCTGCAGATAACTATTCTTCTTTTGAGAGACAGCTCTTGGCCTGTTACTGGGCCTTAGTAGAACCTGAGTGCTTGACCATGGGCTACCAATTACTGTGTGACCTGAGCTGCCCTTCATGAACTGGGCATTATTTGACCTGCCAAGCCATAAAGTTTAGTGTACACAGCAGCACTCCATCATCATGTTGGTCAGGCTGATCTCGAACTCCTGTTACTTTTGAACATCCTAGTCATTAATATATGGCTCTGAAAAGGGGGAAAAAAAGAAAAATAAATGGAGTAGGGGGTGCCAGCCCTTTTAATCCCCTGGAAGTTGCTTCAGCTGGAGGGGGAGGGGCATACAACAGTTGGGAGAGGTCAACAATGGCTACCTGCCTCTGTCTGCACCTTTGTGAATCAGAAACAGCAATCAGTGATTAAAGTCCAGATCCCTGATATTTGGAGGAAAGGGTCCTTTTTACTCACCCTGGCATCTGCAAGCTATATGAAAGCTGCTCCTGGAATGTGTGCATGGCTGCTTGCCAAAGGGCTGGGGGGTGGGGGATGGGTAGCTGCTACTGTGCTAAGCTAAAATTGACCAGAATTAACTGCAATTTACCATCCAAGCCTTCCCTGGAAGCTGCAAGCCTTCAACAGACACTAGAGTTTCAAAATAGGTAAGACAGATTCCCTCAGTGCAATTGTTGTCAAGTTGGGGAGACAGATTTCAGGTGCTCTCTACTCTGCTATCTTCCCAGAGTCCTCTCTTCTAATAATTTTTTGAAGGTGGTATTTATTAGAGACTATTTCCTAACTGTTGGAAAAATCCAACAGAAAATCAAAACATAATAGTACAAGAGAAAGTGCTTATTACAGACATCTGTCCTTGAGAAAGGCTGAAGATAGGCTTTAGAGGTGTTCATCTTTGCTAGGAACATCTTTTGCTTTTGTGTACTGTAAAAGGAGAAAAAAATGTGGGCAAAGAAAGTCAGAATTGAAATGAGAGAAAAGAATGTTAGAATGAGCTAGTAGATTTAGTGGGGAAAGAAAAGTAACTCCCTGGGATTGCTTTCACTTTTTCTATAGAATACAAGAGAAAGTTACCAGCTGAGAGTGAGGTGTAAAAGATACTAAGGGATTGTGAGAAGTTTGAGAAAAGAGGAGAACACCCAAAATAGCCATTTCTTGAGAGCAGAAGATCAAATGTATTAAATACGGGTATAAGTTTGTTATGTAGAATTGATTGCTCACTTGAGATTTGGAGTGAGAATCATCATGGCTGCATACTTTGATCTGTTAGTTACTTGTGGGAAAGCACAGACTAGGTGGGCGTTTAGGCTTAAGTAATGTGCAGACATCACTAACTGTCCCCAAATAGTCACATCCTCTTTTCTTTTAATAATAGAATGCCCTGAGTTTTAGCCAGTTGTCTTATTTCATTTGTGCTGCTACAACAAGATACCTGAGACTGGGTGACTTATAAAGAACAGAAACTTACTTTTCACAGTACTGAGGGCTGGGAGTCCAAGATTAAGGAGCTGATAGGTTCAGTGTCTGGTGAGAACCTGGACTCAGCTTCCAAGATAGCGTCTTCTGGAAGGGAAGAATGCCATGTCTTCACATGATGGAAGGAATGAAAGGGTTGGAAAAGAGTGAACTTTCCCCCTTCAAGTCTTTTATAAAGGCATTTATCCATTTATAAGGGCAGAGCCCTCATTATCTAAATAACTCCCCAAAGGCCCCACTTCCCAGCTGATCCAATAGGGTGCGAAATGTGATGTGTGCAACTCCTGAGTCATCTTCATAAAGAGGAGACCACTTGCCCTGATCTCAGTGAGTGACTATGATGATAGTCCATTGAATCTAAGGGGTTCAATGAGATGTGTGTCTTTGAAAGGGCAATAGATAATGAAAAAATAATAGACTCAGTGAATTGGAAGTTGTAATGAAATAAAATTTTGAAGTGAGATATTAGATAAATTGAGAGGTGACAACGTGCTAGCAGCCCTCGCTCTCCGTGCCTCCTCGGCCTCAGCGTCCACTCTGGCCATGCTCGAGGAGCCCTTCAGCCCGCCACTGCGCTGTGGGGGCCCCTCTCTGGACTAGCCGAGGCTGGAGCCGGCTCCCTCTGCTTGCAGGGAGATGTGAAGGGAGAGGCGCAGGCGGGAACCGGGGCTGCGCATGGTGCTCATGGGCCAGTGCCAGTTCTGGCCGGGCACGGGCTCAGCAGGCCCCACACTCAGAGCAGCCGGCTGGGGGCACCGGGCAGTGAGGGGCTTAGCACCTGGGCCAGCAGCTGTGGAGGGTGCGCCGGTTTCCCCAGCACTGCCGGCCAGCCCGTGCCGCCCTTGAATTCTCACCGGGCCTCAGCCACCTCCTGATGGGGCAGGGCTCGGGACCTGCAGCCCGCTATGCCCATGCACCACCCCCTGTGGGCTCCCACGTGGCCTGAGCCCCCCGCCACCCCCTGCTCTGTGGCACCCGGTCCCATTGACCACCCAAGGGCTGAGGAGTGTGGGTGCCTGGTGCGGGACTGGCGGGCAGCTCCACCAGCGTCCCAGGTGCAGGATCCACTAGGCGCAGGATCCGCTAGGGGAAGCCAGCTGGGCTCCTGAGTTGGGTGGGAAGTTCCAGAACTTTTATGTCTAGCTGGAGGATTGTATATGCACCAATCAGCACTGTGTATTTAGCTTGGGGTTTGTGGATACACCAATCAGCACTGTGTATCTAGCTAATCTGGTGGGGACTTGGAGAACTTTTATGTCTAGCTAAAGGATGGTAAATACACCAGTCAGCACTCTGTGTCTAGCTCAAGGTTTGTAAATGCACCAAACAGCACTCTGTGTCTAGCTCAAGGTTTGTAAACACACCAATCAGCACCCTGTGTCTAGCTCAAGGTTTGTAAATGTACCAATCAGTGCTCTGTGTCTAGTTAATCTAGGGGGACTTGGAGAACTTTTATATCTAAGTAGAGGATGGTAAATACACCAATCAGCACTCTGTGTCTAGCTCAGGGATTATAAACGCACCAATCAGCACCCTGTCAAAACAGACCAATCAGCTCTCTGTAAAATGGACCAATCAGCTCTCTGTACAATGGACCAATCAGCTCTCTGTAAAATGGGCCAATCAGCAGGATGTGGGTGGGGTCAGATAAGGGAACGAAAGCAGGCTGCCCCAGCCAGCAGTGGCAAGCTGCTTGGGTCTCCTTCCATGCTGTGGAAGCTTTGTTGTTTTGCTCTTTGCAATAAATCTTGCTGCTGCTCACTCTTTGGGTGCACACTGCCTTTATGAGTTGTAACACTCACCGGGAAGGTCTGCAGCTTCACTCCTGAGGCCAGCGAGACCATGAACCCACCAGGAGGAATGAACAACTCCAGACGGGAGGAGCAAAGAACTTCAGACGCACCGCCTTAACAGCTGTAACACTCACCTGGAAGGTCTGCAGCTTCACTCCTGAAGCCAGCAAGACCACGAACCCACCAGAAGGAAGAAACTCTGAACGTGTCCAAATGTCAGCAGGAACAAACTCCAGACACACCATCTTTAAGAACTGTAACACTCACCGTGAGGGTCCGTGGCTTCATTCTTGAAGTCAGTGAGACCAAGAACCCACCAATTTCGGACACAAAATCACTTGAAAGATAGGGATAGTGGTCAGAGAGTGAAGTGCTTGGATCAAAGAGTATAATTATTGGGCAAATTTATGCCTGTAGAAGTGGGCAGCTGATGTGAGATTTAAAAAAAATTAGAGTTGAGGAGGTCAAGGAACTAAGAGGCCTCATTGTTGATTTGATCATATATCAAGATTGGCGATGTGAACCCTGACTATCTGAGACAGGTCTCAGTTAATTTAGAAAGTGTATTTTGCCAACGTTGAGTATGTGTGCCCATGACACAGCCTCAAGAGGTCCTGATGACATGTGGCCAAGGTGGTCAGAGCAGTTTGGTTTTATACATTTTAGGGAGACATGAGACATCAATCAACATAAGATGTAAAATGAACATTGGTTCATCTGGAAAGGCAGGACAACAGGGAGGGAGTTTCCATGTCATAGGTAGGTAAGAGACAAATGGTTGCATTATTTTGAGTTTCTGATTAGCCTCTCCAAAGGAGGCAATCAGGTAAGTATTTATCTCAGTGAGCAGAGGGGTGACTTTGAACAGAATGGGAGGCAGATTTGCCCTAAGCAGTTCCCAGCTTGGGTTTTCCCTTTAGTTTAGTGACTTGGGGGCCCAAAGGTTTATTTTCCTTTCACAGTGACAGGAGTAGGGATGAATAGAAAGAAAGAGAGCCAGGTGCTAAAATCCTGAGTGAATAAGGAGAGGCTTAAATGTCAGCAGTATAGCAATATTTGGGGTTGTAGCATCTGATAGCATAAACTTCAAAGGATTTAAATTTTTTAAGAGGAAAGAGAACAACTTATAAAGCTGCAATAGGAATCAAGAAGGATACTGGTCTTACGTCTCATCTTCAAACCCAGAGGTGCATGGTATAAGAGTGGGAAAAAACAAAAACAAAAACGCATCCCTTGCAGAGTACTGCAGGGCAACCAGTGCCCTTAGGGAACAATTGGCTTTCAGTCAGGGCATGAAATTAAGGGAAAGCTCAGAGAAAATATTATAGATGTTGTTAAGAGATCATGAGTCTCTGAGGGCACAGGAAGTTTTCAGGCAATTAGGAACAAGTGGGAGAGGGGGCCATATGAATGGATCAATTGAGGTAGAATGGTGAGAAGTGTTTGAACCTCTACTGGTGCAAAAGGCAAATGGACATGTGAGACATGTTGATATAGTGATCCTAAGGGGCAATCAGAGGAGGGTTGGAAATTGGCTTAAGATAAAAAGACTAGATGCCCCATCACTCTTGCAGTCAGTAGTGGTCTGGCAGATACAGGGATGAGTAAAGATATCTGAGATGTTGATCTGTCAATGGTAAGGCAGCCATGGCAAGCTCCAAAAACAGTTTCACCAAAAGCTCTAAGAACTCTGTAAACTCATATTATTTAAAGCCTCAGTTTACTTATCAAGGAAATGAATGAAATGGATATAATAATGATAACTGATAATTATGAAGATTAAATATGTGATAAAGTAATGGCTCCAATTCTTTTTTAATTTAAATTTTAATTGACAAATAACTTTATATAGTCATGGGGTACATAGTGAAGTTTTGATATACATAATGTATATATCAAATTAGCCTAATCAGATTAGGATAATTAGCATATTAACATATTAAACATCCCAAACATGTATTATTTCTTTTTTTTTTGGAGACAGAGTCTCGCTCTGTCACCCAGGCTGGAGTGCAGTGGCACGATCTCAGCTTACTGCCTCCCGGGTTCAAGCGATTATCCTGCCTCAGGCTCCCAAGCAGCTGGGACTACAGGCGCCCGCCACCACGCCAGGCTAATTTTCTGTGTTTTTAGTAGAGGTGGGGTTTCACCGTGTTAGCCAGGATGGTCTCGATCTCCTGACCTTGTGATCCGCCTGCCTCAGCCTCCCAAAGTGCTGGGATTACAGGCATGACACCACGCCTGGCCCCAAACACGTATTATTTCTTTGTGTTGGGAATGTGTTTCAATATCCTTCTTCTAGCTATTTCAACCTATATACAATATTATTGTTAACTATAGTCATCCTACAGGGTATAGGACACTAGGACTTAATCCTTTTATCTAGCTGTAATTTTGTATCCTTGAGCAAATCTCTCCCTTCCTCTTCCTTCCTCCTACCCTTCCCAGCCTCTAGTATCCTCTGTTCTACTTTTTACCTCTATGAGATCCACTTTTTTTAGTTTCCACACATGAGGGAGAACATGTGGTGTTTAACTTTCCCTTCCTGGCTTATTTCACTTAACATATTGTCCTCCAGTTCCATCCACGTTGCTGCACATGACAGGGTTTCATTTTTTTTTTAATCACTGAATAGTATTTTATTGTGTATATATACCACATTTTCTTTATCCATTCACTGAAATTTATTCCTAGGTATTTTATTTTTTGTAGCTATTTTAAATGGTTTTGCTTTCTTACTCAGCTAGTTCATTGTGTATAGAAACACTACTGATTTTTGATATTAATTTTGTATTCTGCAACTTTACTGAATTCATTAATTGATTAATTCTAAGAGTTTTGGTAGAGTCTTTAGTTTCTTCTCCATATAAGATCATGTCATTTTCAATTTCTCCTTTCTAATTTGGATGCCCTTTATTTCTGTCTCTTGCCTAATTGCTCTGGCTAAGACTTCCAGTACCGTATTAAGTCTGGTGAGAGTGGGTATCTTACCTTGTTGCAGTTCTTAAAGAAAAGCTTTTAGCTTTTCCCTGTTCCATAAAGACCTTAGCTGTAGTTTTGTCATATATGGCCTTTATTGCGTTGAGGTACTTTCCTTCTATACCTAATTTATTAAGATTTTTCCATCATAGAGGGATATTGAATTTTATCAAAAGCTTTTTCTGCAGCTATTCAGATGATCATATGGTTTTGTTCTTCATTCTATTGCTGTGATGTATGACATTTATTAATTTGCATATGTTAAACCATCCTTCTATTCCTAGAATAAATCCCATTTGATCATGGTGTATTATCTTTTTGATATGTTATTGGATTTGGTTTGCTGGTATTTTGTTGAGGATTTCTGTGTCTATGCTCATTGGGGTATTGGCCTGACTGAAGTATTCTTTTATTGTGTGTTCTTGTCTGGTTTTGGTATCAGGGTAATGCTGGCCTTATAGAATGAGTTAGGAAGAATTCCCTATGGCCAATTTGTTGAGGTAGTTTGAGAAGAAATTATATTACTTCTTCTTTAGATGTTCAGTAGAATTCAGAATGTTAACACCATCTGGTCCTAGACTACTTTTTGTTGGAAAACTTTTTATTACTGATTAAATCTTGTTTCTTATTATTGGTCTGCTCAGGTTTTCTTTTCTTTCTTTTTTTTCTTTTTTTTTTTTTTTGACATGCTTCTATTATAGAGGATGTTCAGGTTTTCTATCTCTTCTTGGTTCAATCTTTTTAGGTTGTTTGTGTCTAGAAATTTATCTGTAACCTCTAGGTTTTTGAATTTATTGGTATACAGTTGTTCATTGTAGTCTGTATGATGCTTTGTATTTCTGTAGTATTCGTTGTGACATCTCCTTTTTCTTTTCTGATTATATTTATTTAGGTCTTCTATCTTTTTTCTTAGTTATTCTCGCTAATGCTTTGTTGATTTTGTTTATCTTTAAAAAAACAGCTTTTGGTTTTGTTGAATTTTTAGTCTCCATTTTGTTTATTTCTGCTATTTTTATTATTTCATTCTATGAATTTTGGGTTTGGTTCTTGCTATTCTAATTCCTTGAGGTGCATTTTTCAGCTCTTTATTTGAAATCTTTCTACTTTTTTGATGTAGGCATTTATTGTTATAAATTTGCCTCTTAATACTGCTTTTCCTGTGACCCATAAGTTTTGGTATGTTGTGTTTCTATTTTTATTTGTTTCAAGGAATTTTAAAATTTCATTCTTAATTCCTTCACCCATTGGTTGTTCAGCAGTATGTTATTTAATTTCCATATCTTTTTTATAGTTTCAAATGTTCCTCTTGTCATTGATGTCTGGTTTTATTCCATCATGACCAGATAAGATACTTGATATGATTTCAATTTTTAAGAATTAAAAAAAGTTTAAGACCTGTTTTATGTCCTAACATATGGTCAGTCCTGGAAAATGTTCCATGTGCAGATGAAAAGAATGTGTATATATATATGTATATATATATATATATACATATATATATATATATACGTATATATATATATATACATATATATATATATATATATATTTTTTTTTTTTTTTAAAGATGGAATCTTGCTCTGTTGCCCAGGCTAGAGTGCAGTAGTAAAATCTTGGCTCACTGTAGCCTCCACCTCCTGAGTTCAAGCGATTCTCCTGCTTCAGCCTCCAAAGTAGCTGGGACTACAGGTACGTGCCGCTGCACATGGCTAATTTTTGTATTTTTTTAGTAGAGTTGGGGTTTTACCATGTTGGTCAGGCTGGTCTTGAACTCCTGACCTCAAGTGATCCACCTGCCTCAGCCTCCCAAAGTGCTGGGATTACAGGCGTGAGCCACCATGCCCCAAATAATGTATATTCTACAGCTGTTGGTGAAGTATTCTGTAAATGTCTGTTAGGTCCATTTGGCCTATGGTACAGTTTAAATTGGATGTTTCTTTAATAATTTCCTGTCTAGATGATCTGTCTAATGTTGAGAGTGGGGTTTTAAAGTCCCCAATTATCTATAGTGGAGTCTATCACTCCCTTTAAATCTAATATTTGCCTTATATATCTGTTGGGTGCATATATATTTACAATTGTTATATTCTCTTACAGAACTGGTTCCCTTATTAAGATATAATTAATGTCATTCTTTTTTTCTTTTTACAGCTTTTGACTTGGAGTATGTTTTATCTAATGTAAGTATAGCTACTCCTGCTCACTTTTGATTTCCAGTTACATGGGGTGTCTTTTTCTAGCCCTTCACTTTCAATTTTTGTGTGTCTTCACTGGTGAGGTGAGTTTTTTTGTAAGCAGCATAAAGTTGGGTCTTGTTATCAATTGTTTTAATCAATTCCTCCAGTCTATATGTTTTAAATGGGGAATTTAATCCATTTCCATTCAAAGTTATTATTGGTAGGTGAGGACTTACTTCTGTCATTTTATTGATTGTTTTCTGGTTTTTTTGTTTGTTTTTTGTTTTTTTGTTTGTTTTTTGAGACAGTCTCACTCTGTCGCCCAGGCTGGAGTGCAGTGGCACAATCTTGGCTCACTGAAAGCTCCGCCTCCCGGGTTCAGGCCAATCTCCTGCCTCAGTCTCCCGAGTAGCTGGGACTACAGGTGCCCGCTGCTACACCCAGCTAATTTTGGCTAATTTTTTGTATTTTTAGTAGAGATGGGGTTTCATTGTTAGCCAGTATGGTCTCGATCTCCTGACCTCGTGATCCGCCCGCCTTGACCTCCCAAATTGCTGGGATTACAGGTGTGAACCAGTGCTCCCAGCCCTGTTTTCTGGTTGTTTTATATGTTCTTTGTTCCTTACTCTCTTTTTGTTTATTTTTGCAGTTGGGTGGTTTTCTGTAGCAATAAGCTTTGATTCCTTTCTTTCTCCTGCATGTAGGTAAATAATGGTGGTAGTTGTGTTTTCACTTCCAGATATAAGATACCCTTGAGTATCTCTTGTAAGGCTGGTCTGGTGGTGATAAATTTCCTTAGTTTTTTTCTTATCTATCAAAGATTTTACTTCTCCTTTATTTTAGAAGGATAGCTATGCTAGGTATATTTTTGACTGGCAGTTTCTTTTTCTTTTAGTACTTTGAATATATTATCCTATTCTCTTCTGGCCCGTAAGGTTTCGCTGAGAAATGCTTTGTTAGTTTAATTGAGATGCCTTTATATGTGACTTGATGTTTTTCCTTTAATGTGCCTTGGAGAGGATCTGTTTGGGGTTCTTTGATCTTCCTGAACCTAGATCTCTGTCTCTCTCCCAAGAATGTTTCTGCTGATTATTTTATCAACTATGTTTTGCTCACCTTTTCTCTTCTTTTCCTTCTGGAATGCCCATGATACCCACAAATTCTGTATACTTTCTTCATTCGTTTTTATTCTTTATCCTTTATCCGTTTTTTTTATGGTCTGTGTATGTTATTTCAAAATACCTGTCTTCAAGTTTAGAAATTCCTTTCTCTGCTTGGTCTAGTCTGTTGCTGAAGCTCTTAAGCATATTTTGTATTTCATTCACTGAATTCTTCAGCTCTTGGGTTTCTGTTTGCTTCTTTTTTTTTATGTGAACATTCATATTTTAGTAGGAATCAAAGTTCTCATGAAATATTAGGGTAGAAAATACATTTAAGAAAGAATACTAAAAAGAAAAGATAGACTTTTGCAGTCATTATGTTTATCAATTTTTTTTTTCTTAGCATTTATTGATCATTCTTGGGTGTTTCTCAGAGAGGGGGATTTGGCAGGGTCATAGGACAATAGTGGAGGGAAGGTCAGCAGATAAACATGTGAACAAAGGTCTCTGGTTTTCCTAGGCAGAGGGCCCTGACGCCTTCCGCAGTGTTTGTGTCCCTGGGTACTTGAGATTAGGGAGTGGTGATGACTCTTAACGAGCATGCTGCCTTCAAGCATCTGTTTAACAAAGCACATCTTGCACCGCCCTTAATCCATTTAACTCTTAGTGGACACAGCACATGTTTCAGAGAGCACGGGATTGGGGGTAAGGTTATAGATTAACAGCATCCCAAGGCAGAAGAATTTTTCTTAGTACAGAACAAAATGGAGTCTCCTATGTCTACTTCTTTCTACACAGACACAGTAACAATCTGATCTCTTTCTTTTCCCCACATTTCCCTCTTTTCTATTCGACAAAACTGCCATCGTCATCATGGCCCGTTCTCAATGAGCTGTTGGGTACACCTCCCAGACGGGGTGGCAGCCGGGCAGAGGGGCTCCTCACTTCCCAGACGGGGCGGCCAGGCAGAGGCGCCCCCCACCTCCCAGACGGGGTGGCGGCCGGGCAGGGGCTGCCCCCCACCTCCCGGACGGGGTGGCTGCCAGGCGGAGGGGCTCCTCACTTCCCAGACGGGGCGGCTGCCGGGCGGAGGGGCTCCTCACTTCTCAGACGGGGCGGCCGGTCAGAGATGCTCCTCACCTCCCAGACGGGGTGGCGGGGCAGAGGCGCTCCCCACATCCCAGACGATGGGCGGCTGGGCAGAGACGCTCCTCACTTCCTAGACGGGATGACGGCTGGGAAGAGGTGCTCCTCACTTCCCAGACCGGACAGCCGGGCAGAGGGGCTCCTCACATCCCAGATGATGGGCAGCCGGGCAGAGACGCTCCTCACTTCCTAGACAGGGTGGCGGCCGGGCAGAGGCTGCAATCTGGCACTTTGGGAGGCCAAGGCAGGCGGCTGGGAGGTGGAGGTTGCAGCGAGCTGAGATCACGACACTGCACTCCAGCCTGGGCAACATTGAGCACTGAGTGAGCGAGACTCCGTCTGCAATCCCGGCACCTCGGGAGGCCGAGGCTGGCAGATCACTCGCAGTCAGGAGCTGGAGACCAGCCAGGCCAACACGGCGAAACCCCGTCTCCACCAAAAAATAAAGAAACCAGTCAGGCGTGGCGGTGCGTGCCTGCAATCCCAGGCACTCTGCAGGCTGAGGCAGGAGAATCAGGCAGGGAGGTTGCAGTGAGCCGAGATGGCGGCAGCACAGTCCAGCCTCGTATGGGTATCAGAGGGAGACCGTGCCGAGAGGGAGAGGGAGGGGGAGGGGGAAGGGGAGGGGGAAGGGGAGGGGGAAGGGGAGGGGGAGGGAGAGACTGTTTGCTTCTTTTTATGATATCTATCTTTTTGTTGAATTTCTCATTCAAATAATAAACTGATTTTTGTGATTTCATTAGTCTATCTGTATTCTCTTGCATCTTACTGCGGTTCTTTAAGATTATTATTTTGAATTCTTTTTCTGTCATTTCATATTGTTTTATTAGAGTCTGTTACTAGAGAAGTATTGTTTTCCTTGAAAGTGACATGTTTCTTTCCCCTTTTCATGGTTGATGTGTTCATACATTGATTTCTACACATCTGGTGGAAAAGTTATGTTTTCCAGTTTTATGAAGAAGGCTTCATAGGGAAACACTTATTTGTACCAATAAACCTTTGGGTGTCAGTTCAGTGGGGTGCATTGACCTTGATTCTAGGTATGTACAGTAGTGTACTCTCCATTTAGTCTCTTCAGCTGTAATCCATACTAGTGGCATTTGTGTGTTTCTCAGTGGTCTAGGCTGAGAGAATTTGTGATAATGATGTGGCTTTGCTGGAGTTGGGCTTCCCAGACTGTTTCTCAGGCCTGGTGTGTGTGTGTGTATGCACACAGTGGGTCAGCCAACTTGGGGTTTGGCTCACTGTGGTTTAGGTCACAGGGTTGTTACTCTGGCTGGGGGCATGCACACATGGTTGCTCAGTTGGCCTTGGGGTGTGCCTGCCAGGAATGGTTTGTGGGACTTTTTTTTTTTTCTTTTCACATCTGCAACAGATTTATTTTTTAAAGGAATGGATTTTGAGAGAAAACAACGTGGGGCAAAAGTATGGAATAGAAAATAAATACAGATGTAGGCTATTGTGCTAATTGTTTTGTAACCACAACAAGCTAGTACAGAGAATGCCCTGTACAAAACACAACAAAGGTTCAAACATCGAGGAGTTCCCTTAGCAAGGTTGAAAATTTCAGTCTCTGGTATTTGGAATTTAGGCTGCAGTCCTTGTTTTTGGATGGACCACTGGGTGTGTGGCACAGTCCATGCTTTTAACCAGATTTGAACAGAAGAATGGCCACTTGGCCCAGGTAGAAGTAGATGAAGTGTTTGGTTTCATGTGTCACGTAACTACTGAAGTTCCTCCCCAGGATGCAGTGCCAGGTGGCATTGTACTTCTTGTCACATTCCTTCTTGATATGAGCCGCAGTGTTCTTCTCTATGTTGTATTTCTCCAGCGCCTGAGGAGCGCACTCCACTGAGTTCTGTTGCATCTCCTCCGACATGTCCGCATTTTTGATCACGGCCTTTCGGTCGCACATGGTTACCATGGAGAAAGGGGCTGGCCAACTCCAACGGTCCCCTGGGAGGTGCCAGCACAGCTCAGGCCCGGCTGGAGCTGCCGTTGCTACCAAAGCCGTGGCGCATCTCGGTTTGTGGGACTTTCTTCAACCCAGGATGTGGGCACACAGCTGCTTGGCTGGCCTGGTGATGTGTCTGCCAGGGGTGACCCACAACATGCTTTCTTTGGTTTAGGATGCAGGCATAAAGCTGCTTGGGTCTAGGGTGTGTCTGCTCTGGGTGATTCACAGAGTTTCTTAGGCCCAGGACACAGCTGCCCAGTTTCTCAGTTGGCCTGGGGCATGTTTGTTGGGGGTGGTCCCTGAGGTTTCTCAGGCTCAAGACGTGATCACATGGCTTCTTGGCTGGTGTGAGTGCACATCTGCTGAGGATGGTCCAGGGGGCTGTTCCTCTGGCTCAGGATGCTGGTACACAACTGTTTGATTGGCCTGCGGACATGTCTGCCATTGGCGGCCCATGGGGCTGCTTTTCACGCCCAGGATGTGGGCACAAGTCTGCTTGGCTGGCCCAGGGGCACGTCTGCTGGGGGTGGCCCGCAAGTTATTTCTCAGATCCAGTGCATGGGTGCATGACTGCTCTGCTGCCTGGGTTGGGCACAAGGCTATTTCTCAGACCTATGACATATCTGCATTGCTGCTCAAATGGCCTAGGGGCATTTCTGTGGGTGGTGGCCCATGAGATTATTTCGTAGGCCTGGGCAAGGAGCACAGGACTGCTTAGTCAGCTTGTGGTTGTGTCCACTACAGGCAGCCTGCAGGGCTGTTTTTCAATCTAGGACACGGACACACAGCCGGTCAGTTGTCCTGGGGGATGACTGTCAGGGGCAGCCCACAGGGCTGTTTCTCAGGTCTGGGATTCAAGTGCATGGCTGCTCAGCTGGCTCAGGGGCACGCCCACAAGGGGCAGCCTGCGGGACTGCTTTTTAAGTCCGGCATATGGGCTCTTGGCTGCTTGGCTGCCCTGGAGACGTGCCACCAGTAGTGACCTACAGGACTCTTTCTTAAGCTCTTATCGGAGACACAGGCCCACTGGGCAGGTCAGGAGCATGACTGTTGGGGGCAGGGGTGCTGCAGGGCTAGTTCTAGTGTAGCCACTCTGCTGGCCTGGGGCATCTCAGCTCCCATATGTGGGAGGACACACAGTGGTTTGGCTAGCTCATGGACAGTTTGCCCTGGGCGAGACCGGCAGACTCTTTCTCTAGCTGGATGTATGGTGGTGGGAATTGGTTTCTCTGCTTTGCAGGACCAGAGTTACAGCTGATCCTGGGCCCAAGCTCTGCACAGCTAGGGCTGTGGCATCCAGCTACCCTTGTGGGCTTGGCGTAATGAAAATGGAGCCCCAGTGCTGGGGTGGCTGCTGACCCTGGGAGGAGGGTGCACTCCACAGGTGGCTCTGCTGTCAAGATGGGGCTATTCTGCAGCAGCTTCGCTCACAGGGAGTGGGTGGGGGTGGGGAGTGCACACCTTACACTCCTAATCCAAGGCAGTGCAGCTGCATGAATTCCAGGCAGCTCTGCAAACGGGGCTCAGGGCTTGTGAGAACTGTGGGGTTCTCCTGTAGAAAGGACTATAGGTGTTTGTCAAGATAATGAAGGCTGGTGGGGATCTGCTTACCTTTTCTCCACAACAGGAAGTCCCTCCTGTCTTCAGGCCAATCCGATTTGGGAAAAGCAGATGGGGCTGTAGAGGCCGGGTGCCTCCATGCTGCTCTTCCGGACTTCTGTCACTGCAGATTCATCCCACTCCCCCACTGTACTCCAGTGCTCTCCCTTCGACACTCCAGTCAAAGTGAGCTGTTTATTCATTGCCTTGGGCCTTTCTTGTTGGGCGGGACAAGCAGCAGGTGTCTCTAGTCAGCCATCTTGCTGACATTACTCCTGGCTCCAATTCTTTTTTTTTTTTTTTTTTTTTGAGACGGAGTCTCGCCTTGTTGCCCAGGCTGGAGTGCAGTGGCGCAATCTCAGCTCACTGCAACTTCTGCCTCCCGGGTTCAAGTGATTCTCCTACCTCAGCCTCCCGAGTAGCTGGGATTACAGGTGTCTGCCACCATGCTCGGCTAATTTTTTGTATTTTTTTAGTAGAGATGGGGTTTCACCATGTTGGCCAGGCTGGTCTTGAACTCCTGACCTCAGGTGATCCACCTGCCTCGGCCTCCCAAAGTGCTGGGATTACAAGCGTGAGCCACCACACTCGGCCCTGGCTCCAATTCTTTACCCCTCCCAAAGTGCATACTCTTTCCTTGTGACTTCATAGTACACTAAATAGGTGGTGTATGTTTTCCTAACTCTTTAATCTGGGTCTGGCCATGTAACTTGATTTGGCCAATAGAATGTGGGAGAAGTGATAGTGCGCCTTTTTTTTTTTTGAGATGGAGTTTTGCTCTTTTTGCCCAGACTGGAGTGCAGTGGCACAATCTCAACTCATTGCAACCTCCGCCTCCCGGGTTCAAGCAATTCTCCCACCTAAGCCTCCCAAGTAGCTGGGATTCAGGCATGTGCCACCATGCCTGGCTAATTTTTTGTATTTTTAGTAGAGATGGGGTTTCACCATGTTGGTCAGCTGGTCTCAAACTCCAGTCCTCTGGTGATCCACCTGCCTCAGCCTCCCAAAGTGCTGAGATTACAGGTGTGAGCCACCACACCTGGCCAGATAGTGTGCCATTTTTAAGCCTAGGCCTCAAAAGCTTTATGTGTTTCCACTGTCATTCTTCCCCATGAAAGTGACATATTCAGGCAAGCCTGCTGGTTCCTAGAGGAGGATGAGAGACCCATAAAGCAGATCTGTCCTAGCTTAGATGCCCCAGCCACACATGGCCTGGAGCAGAGCTGCCTGCCAACACTTAGACACCAGAGTGAGCCCAGCCTAGGTCAGCCAACCTCTAATAGACTCACGGATGTGTGAGCTATAGTAGAGAAATAACTGTTTTGTAAGCTACTGAGATTTGGGGTGGTTTGTTACACAGAAATAGCTAACTGATATAAAATATAAGGCATCAAACATAGAACATGGCATATGGTCATTACCCAATTGATATTAGTGTTCCAGTTATTATGGTTATGTCACAAGTTACCCCCAAAATTATTGGCCTGAAACAACCAGTTATTAAGCTCACAGATTATGTGGATTGGCAATTTGGACAGGGCACAGAGGGAATGGCTTGTCTCGGTTCTTTGGTATCTGGTGCCTCAGCTGGAAGACATTGAGTCTGAGGGCCGAATCATCTGCAGGTTCATGTACTTACGTGTTTTGGTTGATTCTGGCTGTTGGCTGAGACTTTCGCTGGGACTGTCAACTGGAACACCTACATGTAGCCTCTCCTTGTGGCCTGGGCTCCCTCACACATGGTGGCTGAGTTCCAAAGGTGAATGTCCTAAGAGAGAGCCAGGCAGAAGCTATATCCTTTATGACCTAGACTTGGAAGTCACATAGCATCACTTCCACTATACTTTCTCAGTTGAAACAGACATAAACCAGTCATAACCCAGATTAAAGAGATGGGAAAGAGACCCCACCATTTGATGGCGGATAGAATAAATAACATGTGAAACTGAAAATATTGCTGTTCACTGCATTCATTTTGGGAGAACACAGTCTGCCATAGTTAGGCACTTTTATTATTTCTACTATCCTTGTCAAACAGATATACTGATTTTCTCTAAATCCACCACTTACACTTAATTCTGCCTCCTTTACTTACATCATAGTGTTCTCTCTACTTGGAATGTACTTCCTTTCTTCACCCTGCCTTGCTCTGCCTTTTGAAGTGGTACCCTTTCCTTTAAGAGCTAGCTGAAAGCACAGCCTTTCTCTGTCTTTCCCCTGGTTGTAAGAGGTAATTTGATTTCTCCCTGCATTTCCAAAATCCATAATTTTAGCACCATTTATAGCACTTGTTATCTATACCCTGTATTATACATTATCTTCTTCTCTTTTTTTTTTTTTTTTTTTTGAGATGGAATTTCGCTCTGTTGCTCAGGCGGGAGTGCACTGGTGCGATCTCGGCTCACTGCAACCTCCGCCTCCCAGGTTCAAGCAATTCTCCCTGCCTCAACCACCCGAGTAGCTGGGATTACAGGCGCCCGCCACTACGCCTGGCTAATTTTTGTATTTTTAGTAGAGATGGGGTTTTGCCATGTTGGCCAGGCTGGTCTTGAACTCCTGACTTCAAGTGAGCCACCTGCCTCGGTCTCCCAAAATTCTGGGATTACAGGCGTGAGCCACCACGCCCAGCCTACATTATCTTCTTAAATGTAATTCATTTTGAGGGCAAGAAAGACAATATTTTCAAGTTTTAATGTGTACCGCTTAGTAGTTAGACTCATTATTTTGCTAATCTTAAGAATTCCCTAGGCCGGGCGCCATGCCTCACGCCTGTAATCGCAGCACTTTGGGAGGCCGAGGTGGGCAGATCACAGTGTCAGGAGTTCGAGACCAGCCTGGCCAACATAGTGAAACCACATCTCTACTAAAAATTAGCCAAGCGTGGTGGCACGTGCCTGTAGTCCCAGCTACCTGGGAGGCTGAGGCAGAAGAATCGCTTGAACCCAGGAGGCGGAGATTGCAGTGAGCTGAGATCGCGCCACTGCACTCCAGCCTGGGTGACACAGCGAGACTCCGTCTCAAAAAAAAAGAATTCCCTAAACGATTTTTGTTTTTGTTGATGAGGGTAATATTATAGAGTGGTCAAGAATACTGTGGTCTCATGACAAATGCAGCCTTATAAGCAAAGGTGAAATAGTCATTGCTGGAATACGCAAATGTGGCCCAGCCTCCCAAAGTCATTCCTGGGAACATTTCTGTATGTACTTGCTTACAATAGACATATTACGTTTTCCTAAAGTTTCAAGATTAAGGAAGTGCTCATTCTCCATAGGGCCTTCAGTCATTCCCTCTTCACTGGTTTTGGTTTTCCGTTTGTTGCTCCTCTTTTTTTCCTCTCAAATACTTTATTGTTTCCCACAGGCTTATCTGTTTTCCTACCCTTTATTGATACTGGGATTAAAATGAAATAGTAGAACATTCCATCACTGCCCCATATTTTCTAACATATGGATTCATGTTTCCATAAATTCTATGCATCTAATATTTTCATGCACGTCTTTAAAGAATAGATCTCCACAAGCTCATAATTTGGGTACCAACTATAGAACTGAAGATACCACATACTGTTGTGTAGTTTTCACACTGCATAAAAGGACTGTTTTATAAAGGCAGAGATGAAATCCAGCTTTTCTTTTTTTTTTTTTTTTTTTAGACAGGGTCTTGCTCTGTCACCCAGGCTGGAGTGCAGTGGCATGATCTCGGCCCACTACAGCCTCCACTTCCCAGGCTAAAGGGATACTCCCACCTCAGCCTCCTGAGTAGCTAGGACTACAGGCATGTGCCACCATGCCCGGCTAATTTTTGTATGTTTTGTAGAGATGGGGTTTCACTACGTTGCTTAGGCTAGTCTCGAACTCCTAGGCTCAAGCAATCTGTTAACCTTGGCCTCCCGAAGTGCTGAGATTACAGGCATGAGCCACTTGGCCCAGCAAAATCCAGCTCTTGATCTACCTGCAGTATTCTCTATGTTCTGGTGTGGAGCTTTGTCAGCCAGAAAGTGGGGTGCCCTTTTGTAACTCAAACAAAGAGGTCAAGTGTGTTGCTCTTGGCTCTGACGGTAGATTTGCTATCAAAACTGTCTTCTGAATGGGTGCTTCTAGAGGGTTGGGACCATATCTCATTTATCTCTATGCCCTTTCAACCTCATGGGGGGCTTAGAGACATTTATTGAATTACTACTATATTGCTCTGCAATTATTCCTAAAGATGACAGAGTGCTCCGAAGATACTAGTTATAACTGTCACCTGAAATGGAATGGACTCACTCACAACCTTCCTGTAGGTGGCAGAAAACCAGAGATGAGAGCTTAAACAAAGATTAGAAGCAGAGATAAAGACAGTAAGTTCCACCATTATCTTTATGACTGTTGGGCAAATTAACTGACCTTCTGTGCTTCAGTTTTGTTTTTTTATATACCTGCAAAATGAGGATATTTACAGGTATAAAATGTTTAGTAACCCTCCTTTGTAGGGTTATTACAAGGATTAAATGAAGTAATGCACATAAAACACAAAGCAGAGTGCTGGCCATTGCTGCTGTCACTGTTGAGTAATGTAGAGGAAAGCACATTGAGCTAGCAAAGGAACTCACAGGCTAAATGTTAAATATGTAAAATTTATTTGATAAGAGGTTTTGTAGTGGAATGTATGTATTTTGTGCCTTATGTTTAATTAGAAGCAATAAAATATGTTAAGAGGAGAGACTAGTTAAAAGGAAGGCTCTTGCTCTGTCTTGCTCTGTCACCCAGGCTGTGCAGTGGCATGATCTTGGCCCACTACAACAAGCTACTGTGATGATGAGGATGATGCTTATTGTTCCGAAGGTCAACTTTTGGAGATACTGTCTCCATATCTATCAGGGCACATTAAAAATACTTCTAACCAGAAACAAGTACTTCCAAAAATTTACTGCCAAGATCTAGAGGATACAAAATCCCTGAGGTGGGATTCCAGAGGTAACACTGTTGGGAAGCTGAATTAGCTTTGCCATCATTGAAGCATTAAATGGTTTATAAAGAAAAAGTCTCAGAGCACAGATAACTCAATTCTGGGTTGCAGAGATGAGAAAAGCATTGCCTTCAAAATTCCATCCCTAGTTGACCATGTTGCCTTGCCTCAGAGAACATTCCCCGATGGAAGCACTGTCTGCCTGCAAGTAGAAATCCCATTACTTGAATATTTTTGGAAAGGGGCCAAGGATCTTGAGTAGAAATGAGGTCCTTTCATTCATTTAGAAGTAAGTCTTCACCTTTGTGGCGTGTCCTGGGGTTTTGCTCTTATTTTTCTTTGGTTATGCAGCTTTCAATTTTTTAAAAATGCTTTTATTGACAAGTCATAGACTTTCTTGTTAGCTTTTCCGAACTCAATTCTGGGTTGCAGAGATGAGAAAAACATTGCCTTCAAAATTCGATCCCCCATTTGACCATGCTGCCTTGCCACAGAGAACATTCCTCAATGGATGCATCGTCTACCTGAAAGGAGAAATCCCATTACTTGAATATTTGTGGAAAAGGGTCAAGGACCTTGAGTAGAAATGAGGTCCTTTCATTCACTTAGAAGTAAGTGTTGGCCGAGCGTGGTGGCTCACGCCTGTAATCTCAGCATTTTGGGAGGCCAGGTCGGGCAGATCACAAGGTCAAGAGATTGAGACCATCCTGGCCAACATGGTGAAACCCTGTCTCTACTAAAAATACAAAAATTAGCTGGGCATGGCGGCGTGCACTTGTAATCCCAGCTACTTGGGAGGCTGAGGCAGGAGAATCACTTGAACCCAGGAGGCGGGAGTTGCAGTGAGCCGAGATCACGCCACTGCACTGCAGCCTGGGCGGCAGAATGAGACTCCGTCTCAAAAAAATAAAAGAAGAAGAAGTAAGTGTTCACCTTTGTGGGGTGTCTTGGGGTTTTGCTCTTATTTTTCTTTGGTTATGCAGCTTTTAATTTTTTTAATGTTTTTATTGACAGATCATAGACTTTCTTGTTAGCTTTTCCTAAACTGAGCAGCAGACTGATGTCTTGGGTACTCATCAAGTTCATAATTTAAAAATCTTAGGAAAGGATATATTGGTATAGAACTTTTTATTTGGTATTTTGGTAGCAAAATAGCAACTTTTTAAGAAAAACATTAGGGTTTTTGATAGGCTACTTATAGGATAAACATGACCAGGTTCCACATTTCTAAATCATTATTTTTCCTTTGTTCCACCATTCAGTCTGGTCGCTAAGTGCTTGCATTCTTCCTTTGCGCAGAACCTTTCTTTTTCATTGCAGTTGTCATTCCCTTATTAGAAGTTGTGATATTGTAAAATAAATATTGGGCCTTCTTCCTGTTTCCTGACGTACAGCTTCTAAAACCCTTAGAATCTATGGACTGATAAGGGTATCTTTTAGGTGCTAATGATACGACTGGTGGCTGGGGGCCCCTAGATAGCTTCAGGGTGGGGTCTGGTTACTGGAAAGACTGAGGCAGGATTAGAGGGTTGAGACTCTCAGCCTCATACCCCGATCTCAGAGGGAGGGAAGAGGGGCTGAAGGTTGAGTTGATCACCAAAGGCCAACGATTTAATCAATCATGCCTGCATCATGAAACTCCCATAAAAACCTAAAAGGACTGGAGTCAGAGAGCTTCTAGGTAGCTGAACATATGGAGGTTTCTGTAGGGGCATGGACGCTCTGCCCTCCTTCTCCCACACTTTGCCCCATACATCTCTTCCATCTGGTTATTTATCTGTATCCTTTGTAATATTCTTTATAAAACATGAGAAAACAGTGTTTTTCTGGGTTCTGTGAGCTGCTCTAGGAAATTAACTGAAACCCAGCAAGGAGTACTAAAAACCCCTATTTATAACCAGTTGGTCAGAAACAAGTACGGGCCACAATCCATGGCATCTGAAGTGGAGGGCAATGTTGGGAACTAAGCCCTTCAACCCGTGAGATCTGATGCTATCTCCAGGTAGATAGTGTCAGAATTGCCTGTTCACTCCAGGTGGATCGTGAACTGGAGGACACCTGGCTGCTGTCCGCTGGAGAATCTGTTGCAGAATCCACTGCAGAATTGCTTGATTTCTGGCGAAAAACTCCCACACACCTGGTGCCAGAAGTGCTGAGTGACTGTGTGAGAGTAGAGAACAAGAAAAATACGTCTTGTGTTGTTTTTTTTCTATTTCTAGAGTTGGTGTCAGAACTGTTGCATTGAGGAACCGAGTAAGAATGGGGAAAAGTACTTTGGTGTTTTTCCTATTTCTCCTCACAGAAGTGTACTGAGTAAGAGGGGATAGATTTTTTACTGCCAGCAAATTAGAAGGAAACATGCTTGCAGCACTCCTGACAGCACTAACCTTGGAGCTGCAAAGAGAAAGAAAAGCAACAGTAGGGAGAAGACTTTCCAGACTGCAGATCCCCAGTAATGGAAGCAGGGGATTGACTTCAAGCGATTACAAGAAAGTTTTATTAGAATGCAAAATTAAATTTGTCATTTTTAATTGCACATTGATTTGTGTTTGCTGATTCATATTATTTTTGGTGTACTTTGCCACACACGGAGAAAGCCAATTCTCTTAATTAACTATTGCTTTTTTAATCAGGAGGACAAATCTAATAAATACAAAACATTAAAAAGCAGCACACAAGTATTAAAGGCAACCAATGAGATATGCAATAGGAGTGTGGGCAAAAAGCAATCGACCTGGGCAGATAGAATTGAGGACTGTTTCAGATCTCTAAGATATGTCCCTTTCTCTGCCGCTGCCACCAGGTTAGTCTAGGCTCTCAGGACTTCATGCCTGTTAGTGAAGAAGAGAAGAGACAAGAGAGAGGGTAAAGGAAGGGGGAGGAAAAGAGGGAAGAGAAGGTCATGACCCATTGGGTTTGCTCTCTATAGGTGGAGAATAGGTTGTATCCTGTTCCTGTCCATTGACCTAGACTGTGGCAGGGCAGGAAACTATAGGTATTTGGACCTTAATGCTTTCTGAAAATTTTATCTGTAACTTTTGAGACCGCTAAGAAAATTGTGAGTTTTTGTTAGCTCTTTTTTGGAGATTTAAGGCAGATTTCTCTTCTGTCTGTAAAAATTCTTCAATGGGTCCATGACAGGACAAGATAGAATGAACTAAAAATTACTTTGCCTAATAAAGGTGGCATATAATGGAGACTCATTTTACCTCCCATCAAGTTATTTTGTCTGCCATTCCACTCAGTGGGTCTGTGAAGGATGATGTCAAGTCAGAAGCAGTCAATTCACGTTGGTAAAACTCAGAATAATTGTGTGACTCATTTTACTCACTTCCCCACACTAACCAAGAACTGGAACACATCGTTCAGGTGGCTGGGATTTACTTGGTGATCACTCTGTCAATATCAAGGAAGAAACTGAAAAATTAATTGAGGGCCATAGAACAATAAGGTTTGGCTCTTGTGTCCCCACTCAAATCTCATGTTGAATTATAATCTTCAGTGTTGGAGGAGGGGCCTGGTGGGAGGTGATTGGATTATGGCAGGGGGATTTTCCCCTTGCTATTCTCATGATAATGAGTGAGGTCTCACAAGATCTGCTTGTTTAAAAGTGTGTAGCACTTCCTGCTTAGTGCTCTCTCCTGCTCTACCATGCTAAGACAGGCTTGCTTCCTCTTTGCCTTCTGCCATCCATGACTGTAAGATTGTACATTTCCTGAGGCCTCCCAGCCATGCTTCCATACAGTCTGCTGAACTGTGAGTCAATTAAACCTTTTTTCTTTATGAATTACCCAGTCTCA
This sequence comes from Homo sapiens, assembly GCF_000001405.40. Lineage (NCBI taxonomy): Eukaryota > Metazoa > Chordata > Mammalia > Primates > Hominidae > Homo > Homo sapiens. Next base: position 81,256,952 of record NC_000014.9, read on the forward strand.
GGTGGTTCTGTTTTTTGAGACGGAGTCTCACTCTCACCCAGGCTGGAGTGCAGTGGCATGGTCTTGGCTCACTGCAATCTCTGCCTCCTGGGTTCAAGTGATTCTTGTGCCTCAGCCTCCTGAGTAGCTGGGATTACAGGCACGTGCCACCACACCCAGCTAGTTTTTATATTTTTAGTAGACATGCGTTGGCCAGGCTGGTCTTGAACTCCTGGCCTCAAGCAATATGCCCACCCCCGCCTCCCAAAGTACTGGGATTATAGGCATGAGCCACTGTGCCTGACCTCAGGTAGTTCTTTATAGCCTTGTGAGAACGTACTAAAAAATAGAGCAACTTTCATTAAGGAAGACTCCATTAGTCTACTTTATGGGCAATTTATGTTATTTTCAATAGTGTTGACTTTAGAATTTAATCCCCATTAAAGATGAGATTTTCAGAAGAGTTTTCAGTTTTCCTCTAGCAGTTAAAGAGACAATGGTCTGGAACTTGAGGAGTCAGCCCATTTACTCAGGCTAGGGCCAAAGGAGAAAGACGTTTGAAAGGGATTTTCTCTTTAAGGTATGGTCAATGAACTTTAGGAGGAGGAATGGGGCTGGGCATGGTGGCTCGCGTCTGTAGTCCCAGTACTTTGGGAGGCCAAGGTAGGAGGATTGCTTGAGCCCAGGAGTTTGAGACCAGCCTGGGCCATATAGTAAGATCCCCATCTCTACCATAATAAAAATTAAAATTAGCCAGGTGTCACCTGTAGTCCCGTCTACTTGGGAGCCTGAGGTGGCAGGGTTACTTGAGCCCAGGAGGTCAAGGCTGAAGTGAGCTGTGATCATGCCACTTCACTGCATCCTGGGTGATAGAGCGAGACTCTGTCTTGAAAAAATTTTTAGAAGTAGAAGAAAGAATAATGTCTGATATTCAGTTAAAAAACAAAACAAAACAACTTCAACAGTCTTTTATTACCAAACTAGCACAGGATTAACTCTAACCCAGCTAACAGCAAAACAGCATCACTAGCAAGATCAAGGATGGAGGTGCAGTAACAATAAAGACTGTCTCCTAAAAAACGAATTGGAGGCCAGGGGCAGTGGCTCACGCCTGTAATCCCAGCATTTTGGGAGGCCGAGGTGGGTGGATCACCTGAGGTCAGGAGTTCGAGACCAGCCTGGCCAACATGGTGAAACGCTGTCTCTACTAAAAATACAAAAATTAGCCGGGCATGGTAGTGCACACCTGTAATCCCAGCTACCTGGGAGGCTGAGGCAGGAGAATCGCTTGAACCTGGGAGGCAGAGGTTGCAGTGAGCCGAGATCGCGCTACTGCACTCCAGCCTGGGCAACAGAAAGAGACTCTGTCTCAAAAAAAATAAAATAAGATAGAAAACGAATTGTGAAAATATATACATATTTGCATAAGTATTTTTTTAAAAAACTAAAACTTTTCAGTGTTGCCGAAAAAATACCGCAAAGTGATTGCAGTCCACAAAAAAACAGCATTTGGCAGTTCGTGCTGCCTTAAAAACCCCAACTCAAGATAACTCTAGGAGAAGCTCATCCCCGCATTTAAGAAAAATGCCTTTTCTCTTCTTCCTTGTTCAAATTCCACTGCTTATTCCATAAAACAACCGAAGAATAACAAGACCCAGGTCACTTTTCTCAGCCCCTGTCTATCCGTTAAGGCTCATACCACGGAGTATTTCTTAGGAAACTTCACCTCCCCTACAATCAGGAAATTGAGCCCTGATTTCTGGGCTAGATTTCTGGAAACCTGCAGAACATCCTCATGCTTCCTTTATGGAGGGGCCTGAGGGCTCCTTAAATGATCAAGGGGGCAGTGTGCCTGGCTGGGACTGGAATGCCAGCCAGGCTGGGAAAAGGGTTCTTTCTTTTTTTTTGAGACGGAGTCTCGCTCTGTCCCCCAGGCTGGAGTGCAGTGGCACAATCTTGGCTCACTGCAAGCTCTGCCTCTCAGGTTCACGCCATTCTCCTGCCTCAGCCTCCCGAGTAGGTGGGACTACAGGCGCCCACCACCACGACGGGCTAATGTTTTGTATTTTTTTTTTTTTTTAGTAGAGACGGGTTTTCACCATGTTAGCCAGGATGATCTCGATCTCCTGACCTCGTGATCTGCCTGCCTCGGCCTCCCAAAGTGCTGGGATTACAGGCATGCGCCACCACGCCCGGCATTGAAAAGGGTTCCTTTCTAAGCAAAAACACCCGAACACCTTGTAACTGGAAGTCTAACCAGGCAAAACCTAGTAGCAGCAGGTACAATACTAGGGCTGTACCAAAAAGTGCAATCTCCCCCCTTAAACATAAAAGTAAAGGTGGTGAAGAGAGCCAAGTGAATATTTGACCTCACCTGTCTTCTGAGAAGTTTGCATATTTTGGGCTGAAGCCATGTTGCAGAGAAAGACATTTGGTCACAGAGTAGCCTTTGCTGTATCTGGCTGGATAAAGCTGCCATTCCTGGGCAGCCTGCTTCGTGGCTGTTTTAATGAAAGCTTTGCCCCCTTACGCAAAGTACTTAAGAATTAATTCAGAAATTTTCAATTCGACTTCATAAATGACAAATACTTTAACAGAAGCTTCTCAAAAACACCAATGGAGACAGACCACCCCTCAGTTGAGGATCACAGCTCCTTCTACTCTGTGAGCTTCTGGCTGGACTTCTGCAGCAGCTCATTGGTCTTGGAATAAGTGTCTACATCCAAAGAACACTCTATACACCAACAATCAGAAGAGATGAGCCACCTGCAGTACACACTGCCACCTCCTATCAGTGGCAATGCCCTCCTTCTAAGAGCCCAGAGCAAGAAGACAAGGCCATTCAGTTCGGATTTAGCCAGGACACAACTGCATTGGCAAATGCTCCCAGCCTCTCTCAGGAGAATTGGCTTGATGGCTCTGCACAGTGAAGACGGTGAATAGAACACCTTGTTTGGCCCACCCAGATAAATCTCCATGGCCAGGATGATCAAAACCATCTGTCTGTAGGCAGCTCTTCATACATGTTTTCCAAACTAGGCAGAGATCGCACAGGCCTTTGGACACTAAAGCAGCTTCGTGAGCTTGATAGGGTCTGTGATATGGATCCTGTCCCAGGATGACAACCTCCACACCTCCTATGTCACACATCTGGGTCCAGGTGAAGACTTGGTGTTGGGGAGGATAAACAGTGTAATGTTTTCTTTCTTCTGCAACAAATCCCGTTCGTTTTATAGAATACAGTTTTCCGAACTCTCCATTGAGGTGTTTCTTCCAACTCTCACCAAACACCACAGGTACGCTGTGGGCACGACATCGGCTCACTGCAACCTCCGCCTCCCAGGTTCAAGCGATTCTCCTGCCTCGACCTCCTGAGTAGCTGGGATTACAGGTATGCACCACCACACTCGGCTAATTTTGTATTTTTAGTAGAGATGGGGTTTCACCATGTTGGCCAGGATTATCTCGATCTCTTGACCTCGTGATCCACCCACTTCAGCCTCCCAAAGTGCTGGGATTACAGGCATGAGCCACTGGGTCCAGCCAACCTATCTTGAATTGACTAAATTATATCTATGACAAATTTAACTAGGATAATTAAACAGGTCATTTGTTAATTTGTCAGCTTATGATCACTAACCATACAAGCTGGGTGACTGGCCTTATATTAATAAGCATTACTCTTCATATGTCTGACTTCATTAAATTTGGCATAGTGATATTTTGTTCAAAAATTTTTTATTAATAATTCATTTTCATAGCTCAGAAAAGGATATAATCAGTAGAACAACTAAAAACAAAACCTCACCTCTACAGAGATAGCCAGTGTGTAGACTTTATTACATAGGCACATATTAAAAAAAAAAAAACATAAACTGGTTTTACATAAAATTAACCACAATAGTGCAAGAGGTTACACTGAATGAGAATGGATGATGAATGATGGAAAATGTAAGGCTTGGAACAGCTGAATCATTCACTGGATCTTGGGTTCATCCATCCTGACGCACTGAAATTTATTACAGACATTACAAGAATGGAGGGTGAGGAATGGTGCTTCTCTGTCATCGCCTGGCTAAAACACTGATTTTGATTAATCTCTTGAATACGGTAGTTTTCTCCAGGTTCTCTTGTTAAGTAGACATAAAAGTTAAATGAATGCTGGCTTAAGGTCAGAGGAGTTCATATCCTTCTCTTCCCTCACCCCTATACTTTAGAACTCTCACACCCAACAATTTGCTGTTGGGACCTGACTATACATCTGCTTTCCCACAATGCTCTGGTAGAATACCACTGGGGTTGCTGATCCAAAGCACATGGAGGCGCAACAGTGCTTAAGGCTTCAGTCATGGTGTGGGGCTAGACAGCATCCCCAACTAGAATTGAGGGTTTGATCTGTGGGGTAACACGAGCAAGCAGGAAGAGGATGCTGGAATTCCTTACTCTGTCCAGTTGGAATCAATCCAACACATCTGACTACCACAAATACAACCAGAAAAGAAACTAAAATTACACACTCAAACATACCATGAAAGAGATGCTATTTTGTAGCTTGTACATAGTTTAAAATTTTTTTAACTACAATTTGATGTTACTAAGAGACAACGAGGATACAGAGGGGACTGTCCCTTTTCTCTCATCTGGTTTTGCCATAACTTACAAATAGTCCCAGGATGTTTACTGAGTGTCCTCCTTCAATTTTCACAATATTTTATACAAAATGACAAATATATATATACCTCATTGATTATCCTATCATCCCCAGTACTTGGAGGGTTAGACCTACTTCTGTGTCAGGTAGCACCCAAATCCTAACATCTATTTTGGAGACCTGTCTGTGCCTCTTCATGCTCACACCATTGTTCTGATAGATGATGCCAGTGGAACTTCCAAAGAAGCATTCCACCTGATCTTCACCACCCTCTTTGATCCTCTTTTTAAATCTGTGTGTGGAAGGCAACTGCAATATAGAGGATTTGGAAGGTTGTCTGTTTCTGTTGTCTGGGGAAATGATAAAAAAAAAAAAAAAAAAGAGAGAGATGTGAAAAGGAAAAAGATGGACCAGGTGATTTTTCCAATCTTCAAAATTTAAATTTCTTGGTTCTTATAAACATAGGAAGAGTCACTGAAAGGTGGCACCAATGGATATTTTGTAAAATAACCCACAACTTTAGAGCTGGAAAGGACTTGAAGAAACAATTAATCCAACTTCCTCACTTTTTTGTCTCAGGAAACTGAAGCCCAATTGGGAAAACAGCAACTTACTTAACATAGTGATTGTCTCCATGGCTATGTCCTGTAAAGATTCACAGAAACCCCAATTTCCCCTTAATAAATCCATTATGGCATGCCTATGAGTGACTTTAAATAAACAATCCTCAATGTCCTCGTGTCTAGCCTTTCCTCCCTTTAGGGAAGCTGGCTGCTAACACAGCACCTGACCAGAGTAGACATTTGATAAATATTTGTTGAGTTGAATTAATCCTGCCATCTATCCCTTTTTACTATGCAATCTTTATTTTTCCTGGAGCTTCTTACTTTTAACTTTAAGAGATGGCTTCTAGTTCAAGTATTTTGAGGCTTGGTACCCAATGCTGATTTGTCATCTCTCTAGATTTTACTTTTTCATATTGAAATTCTTTTTTTAGTCTATTCTCTTGTAGCTTTTGTTACATCCAATGATCATTTGCCTCTCTCCAGGCACTACCAAACTCATTACTGTGGATAGTTTCTGCCTTTACAGGCTTAGAATTGACAAATTGAGAGACACATTTTTTTTTCAATTCTCAAAACAACTAGACTCTTTCCAGCAGATTTGCTAAGGCACACTAGAAGAAATGTAAAAATCTCACATTCTTGTTCTAGTTAATACATGGGAGAATATTACTAATACATACATTTGTTTTCTACATTTGTGGTTGCCTTATACATCTCCTTCACGTTTAATTCCTTAAACACATAAATATGAGTCATGATATCTAAAGCCAGTCTCATTTAAACAAGATAAGAAATGGTTTGTGGGGAATTAGCACTTAGACCTTGGTAATGTTTAGAAATCATCTTTAGAAACTTGGTGAGAATGCCCTAATTTTATGTAAAGGGTCGTCATGGTTTGAATGGGACTTAGTAGTAAAGTGTGTGAGACAGTGCATTTACCAAATGATATTTTTTTGTGGATTTAATTTTTTGTTAGTTTTGCTTGAAATTCCTGTTAAATTGCATTCTGGACATGACCTAAGGCTAGCTTGTCCAACCCTTGGCCCATGATGGTTTTGAATGTGGCCCAAGACAAATTCGTAAACTTTCTTAAAACATTATGCTATTTTGGCCAGGCGCGGCGGCTCATGCCTGTTATCCTAGCACTCTGGGAGGCTAAGGCGGGTGGATCACCTGAGCTCAGAAGTTCAAGACCAGCTGGCCAACATAATGAAATCCCATCTCTACTAAAAATACAAAAATTAGTCAGGCGTGGTGGCACATGCCTGTAGTCCCAGCTACTCGGGAGGTTGAGGCAGGAGAATCACTTGAACCCGGGAGGCGGAGGTTGCAGTGAGCCGATGTCGTGCCACTGCACTCTAGCCTGGGTGACAGACTGAGACTCCGTCTCAAAAAAAAAAAAAAAAAAAAAAACAAAAAAGAAAATGCTATTTTTTGGCCATGTTTTTAAAGCTCATCAGCTGTTGTTACTGTATTTTATGTGTGACCCAAGACAATTCTTCTTCCTATGTGGCCCAGGGAAGCCAAAAGATTGGACCTCCCTGACTAAGGTCTAGATATGCTGGAATTAACATATAATCCTCATTTTTAGAAGAGTTAAAGTTACCACTCGAACTGGGAGCATTTCTATAAGCAGGCTGGATGGTAGTGCTTCCTACTTAAACCAATTTAATATTCCCAAGGCTTTTAAGAAAAAACTTCAGCTCATTCTGTTTTCCCACCACTAAACTTATGGTGAAATATATATCACCTCTGAAATCATGACTTTATCTCACAAATTTTGACCTTACTATCTCAGACCTCCATCTTACTGTGGTGACAAAATAAATGCAAAGTAACGGTCAGCGGTTAGTGCTGGAAGAACAAAGACCTACTGCATGAAGACTGGTTGTGCACTCTATCAAATGCTTTCTTTTCCTACTGACCATTGAAATGGGCAAGGCTCAGGCTCATGGATCTGTTTGACTTGCAGGAACAAAGCAATCAATCACCGTGACTATGGACAGCATCTATGCTACTATGCTTTGGGGCACAAAAATGTTTTTCAATGTGAATGAGGTACATTGTAGTTCAAATTCAGCAGCATATTAAGTGCCTAAATGCTGACAGGTTTTATTACTTGACTCTGGAGGCAGGAGTAAAAGGAAAGCAAAATTATTTAAGTCCTTCAGGAAATAAAAGCATGCTTGCTGGCTTTATTATGAGTATTTGATGATAAGTAAGGGTTAAGTAGCCTTCGAGTCTCAGGGTCAGTATTCTTTCAGCAAACATTTATTGAATACATACTCATTTTCCTTTATTTCATGAGTATACGTTTGCCCTCCTGGCAAGCATTTAAGGTGGCTGAACCCTATTATATTCCAAGCTTTGTGCTAGGTGTTGGAAACACAAAAAATTATATATAGTCCTTGCCTTCATGGATCCCATTTATCAGAAACATAAGTTTCTAGGGAAATAAACTCTTACTCCCAGCCACTGGATTTGAATAGAAATCAGTCTCATTTCAAATAAAAAATATTTTAAATCAAACAATGTTCTCAAGGATTATGAACCCTGCCAATAATGCAGGAAGGCACAGTAAGGGAAGAGCCAAATAGAAAAAATGAAACTGTCCAGATAATATTTAATATGAATGAAATGCAAACTTTTGATAAGGAATAACTAGTACTATGTCTGCAAGAGCAGGCAAGGGGGATCATCTAATGGTCTCCCCACAAAGTGCCTCACATTGTCTTGTCTGACATGTCATGAGTACATTTCTTATCTTTTTGCTGTAAAGTCAAAAAGCAGGCCCTAGACTCAAAAGAAAGCACAGCTCTTGATACCACGTGATATCTAATTTATGTTCTAAGAGTAATACTATGTACTGGTAAAATGAATTCATTTTTAATATTTTCACATTATTGATAACAAAGATTATTTGTGACCACAAAAAAAAAAAATAAAAAGTCCAGGTCCAGGGTTGCAAAAGTAGAATCTGCATATCCACAGGTAATTTGCCCAACTGTTTTCTATGTAGGTTATTACATAGCTAATTTGCCCACTTGTATTTTCTTTAGAAGTTATTTAAACCTAGTAAAACACTCATTACGTCTAAAAATATATAGTATTATTATCCCCAAACCCCTAAATGCTACCCATAATCAGTTTCCTAAAAACAGTAGAGGGAAAACAAATTTGATGAAATTAAGATGTTAGGTTTTTAAAAATTAATAATAATTTGTGGGTCCAGCATGGTGGCTCACGCCTGTAATCCCAGAGCTTTGGGAGACTGAGGCAGGCTTATCACCTGAGGTCAGACATTCGAGACCAGCCTGGCCAACATGGTGAAACCCCATCTCTACTAAAAATACATAAATTAGTGGTGCATGGTGGCAGGCGCCTGTAATCCCAGCTACTCAGGAGGCTGAGGCAGGAGATTTGGGAGGCAGAGGTTGCAATGAGCCGAGATCACGCCATTGCACTCCAGCCTGGGCGACAAGAGCGAAACTTTGTCTCAGTAATAATAATAATAATAATAATAATAATACTCTGTCTCAATAATAATAATAATAATAATTTGTTTGCAGAATATAGATAGCATAGAAGGGATTTTTCCCAACTCTTGGTAAAAAAAACAAAAAAGTCCAGGTGCATGTACACAGGAAATGAGAATTTACCATGGGGGGCGGGGAAATAAGCTCCAACAAGCAATCCACATGTTATGCTAGCAGATGAGGCAGAGATCTTGACAGAGTGCTAAGCGTGAGTGACTAAGGAAGGTGCTGGGATGAGCTTCATTTCCCTTGCCAACTCTCCAATCCATTTAGATGTTCTATGAGGAATTAATCTCAAAAGCCTTCAGTACAACAGGGGAAGAGATATGCGTTGAAATTCCTTGACAAAAACCTCAAAGGAACTCCACTGTATTTCAAAGAGCATGAAAAACCACTTATGAAGAAAAAGACAAATGAAGTTAGAGAGTCTTATTACTATTGAGACTAAACCTATATTTAGAAGGAATCTTGGTAGACATATAGACCAAATCCAATGTAAGATTCCCTTTCACAGCACGTGGGATAGGTGGTTATTTTAACTGTTGGGCATTCACAGGAACAGGAAATCTTACTAACTTGAGTCTATTCCTCTTTAGAACAACTCTTATTAGACAATTCTTCCTTATATTGAAGCAAACATTTGTCACCTGTAAAGTTCCTCTTTGTTCTTATTTTTGCCCTTTGAAGCTACACAGAATAAATCTAATTCCTCTTCCTTTTCATAGCTCAATAGAAATTTCTAGGCAGCTATTGTATCATTCCCTCCTTGTCTGCACTCCCTTTCCAGCTATACCTTCTGTTCCTTCAGGGAAGCTACTCCCTTGTTCTTGCATCATCAGACCCTTTACAACCCTGGTCACCTCCCTATGGACACAATCAACTTATTAATGTCTCTCTTAAAATATGATACCCATAATTGAACTCAACCCTCCATTTAGATATGGACTAGATGGAGGGTTAATAAAAGCATGTAAGGCTTTTATTAACACCAGCTGACTACATTAGCTTTGTGAATAGCCATGATATATTTCTGATTCAACATTGAACCTCCATTTCTGTAAGGAAATATTTCTCTATAAACTACCGTGAAACCAGGTCTTCCTAACACCGTTCCCATCAACACCACACACATAAACACACACAAACACACACATCCACAAACACACACTCCACTCTGTACTTAGAGGGTTGCATTTTAAAAACCCAGAATATAGGGTTTCTCATTAATGCCTATTCAATCATCATTTTACTTTCAGTCTTAGTTCAGATATTTCAAAATACTGTAACTATTTCTATATCCCAGTGTCAATACACATTTAGACTCCAATGATTGTTCATTGAATACATTAATCTTGAATCCATCAGCCAAAAACTGGAGATATTTTTCATTTCTGCATCATCTACAAATCCAATGAAGTGTGCTTTCTGTCCCCCGACTTGTATTCTTCATGGGAGAAAACACTAAGATACAAATAAGAAGCAGAGGTGAGTAGGAACGGATGAAGGAAAAGAAGATTAATTGTCCCAGAAACAGATGAAGAAAAAGAAGATGGAGTGAGCGTTCTGACTCTTGGAATCAGAATATAATGTTCCCAACATTAGAAAAATATGGCTTTTCCACGTCTCTACCCTAGAGATGCCTTTTCAATCCAATCCAATACTGTGATTATCAAACTCTGAATTTTGGGGGAAAGCTCATTCAAGCTTAATTTTAAAACAGCTTTAAAAATTATCTTTGCAGCTTAAATTTCCTATAAAGTTGGGTTAAAGGGACATGCAACTGTCTATTGGTCATGAGGTATAAAAAGAACTCCCAAATGCCCCTTACAAATGCCTCAGGTATTATGTATATTTGTTTCAGGAATCAGAAGTGGACTGTATTTTTCAGTGTGAATTTGGGAATTCACTGAGATTGAATCTACCTCTTGAACTGAACATCATCTTATATTTAATGTCTCTTTTCTCCAAAATGAAGAAAACTAAGATTAATTTTGCCTTCCCCTCAACACCCATTTTGCAGAATGTGGGTCCATTCACAAAATTAAAAAGTCTCCTATTGTGCCTTTTTCCATTGTCTATTGTGACTCAGGATAGCAAATCCTGTGACTGAAACCTTAGAGAGATGGAAAAAGTGTTCCAATCTAAACGATCTAGAGCCAGGAGGGAAATGTCTTGAAAGCTTAACAGTTAAAGAATGGAGACACCTCAAAAAGGTCTAGTAAGACCCAAAGAGGAAATTTGTTTTGCACCTTTTCTGAACCTTTTCTAGACAGAGTGAAAGAGATGGATTCTTAATTAACTTCTCAAGACTGCCTTTGCCAGAAAGTTATGCGAGTGACAGATGAACATCAGAAGGCAATCGTGCTAACACTGATGTGGGAGGTTCTTTTCCTGACTGTAACAGTCACAACAAACCACATACCAGTGCTGTGAGATAAGCAGAGACAAGACAAGGAGGCTTAATTATACAGTAAGCTCCAACAGTCAGGTGAACCTCGTGCTTTAGGCATGACCAGAATCAAAGAGCCTCTCCAAAAGCCACCATTCTCAGGGTTTCCTGGTAAAATACAAGTAACTGCAAACAGGAAGATCTGGTATACTGTTCCCAACATGCAGTGGCCACAGCAGGTATTGACTGCAACTTCAGCTACTCAGGAAGACACCCTATCATGACTCAGGAAGACACCCTATCATGACTCTGGGATCAGGATTCCTTGCCGCAAGGCTTTGTCACTGCACTCCACACTCCTTGGGATTTTCCATTTCATCTCCTTCAAAGTCCGGCTTCAAACTCTTTTTTTGCTCAATTTCCACCTGCCAAGAATAGAAGTTGGAGATAAAGATCAAAAAGAAGAGAAAAAGCATGCAAATAAATAAGTAAACCAAAACTCCATAGGTACTTTGAAATTTCTTATAATTTTGCTAACATTTTGGGCGTTAGCCACATTGGAGCTACTGGCCCTGAGTATATCATGTCTCTCTCTTTGCACATGTTCTTTAACTGGTCTGTAATTCCCTTTCCCTCATGGTCCACCAGGAAAATTCTTATTCTTTGCCTTGTACATTTGGTCAAAGATCACCCCTTCTGTGAAGCTATTTTTGACTTATTAAGTAGACTTAGGTACTTCTCTCTGTGAATATTTCCACCGTATCTTGCACACCTGTCTGGCTCCACTATACCATGGGCTCCACAAGACATGGGCAGGATCTTGTTCAATATTTTATGCAATAATGTAGGAATACAGTGGGCAATCGACAAAGATTTATCAAATGAATGAATTTCTTTGTAATTGACTGTTTGTACCCCCTCAATACTTGTTTTTTTCTTTTTTTGAGACAGGGTCTCATTCTGTTACTCAGACCGGAGTGCACTGGCACAATCTTGGCTCACAGCTCACCGCAACCTCCACTTCCCGGGCTCAAGTGATTCTCCTGCCTCATCCTCCAGAGTAGCTAAGATTACAGGCACGCACCACTGCGCCTGGCTAATTTTTGAATTTTTAGTAGGGACAGGGTTTCACCATATTGGCCAGGCTGTTCTTGAATTCCTGACCTCAAATGATCCACCTGCCTTGGCCTCCCAAAGGTCTGGGATTACAGCCATGAGCCACAGCACCCGGCCACCTCCAGTACTTTCTCTCTTTAGAAAACCTCCGAACTGATAAATACTGGAATGTTTACAGTTCTGCAATATCTTCTGCAAAATACTGTCACTGTAATTATCAAGAAATTAACAGATTAATCTTTGAAAGTAATACATCTCAACCGAAATCTTTGATAGCTCAGGCAAGGAATTCTTTGAGCTCAGGGTTCAGGTTGCTCCTCTCAGCACCACTCTGGATATTTATGACGCTTGACCTACAGGGTAATGATTCAACACACAACAGTCAGGTTTGAGGGAGGTGCTATTTTTTTCCTAGCCACAAGATGGAGTGTTTGTTCCTTTTGGTAGTTAAATATTTTAGCCCACACAGCTAAGGAAACATTTAGAGGAACAATAAATCACCATATAAATCCAAGGATATTATTATAAATAGAAAACCACTTTGCAAAATCCTTCTTTAACAAACTCCTTTTCCAATCGTTGGCATTTAATCTCCTATTGAATTTCTAACTCCCCAGGAAAGTATCACTTTCTATTTATGTCAGAAAACTCCAACTTTTATGATTCCTTCCACAGCCCTGACCCTGTTACTATTATAAACATTTGCTTGGCTTTTGAGTTTTGTCCTGTTATAGCCCAGTACCCAGGTCATGTGTGTCCTAACTTTGTTCAGGTCCACTTCATCAACTCTAACTGAAGCATATGCTTTGGGATAGCATTTTCTCCCCTCCATTTCCAAGCTCACTACTCTGTGACATAAATTATATTGCAAATGAATAATAACAATTCCTTTACCCCATTACTCTTTTTCTTTTTTTGAGACACAGTCTCGCTCTGTCACTCAGGCTGGAGTACAGTGGTGCAATCATGGCTCACTGCAGCTCAACCTCCCAGAGTCAAGTGATCCTCCCACCTCAGTCTCCTGAGTAGCTGGACTACATGCACAGGCCACCATGCCCGGCTAATTTTGTACTTTTTATAGAGATGGGGTTTCGCCATGTTGGCCAGGCTGGTCTTGAACTCCTGAACTCAAGTAATCAGCCCACCTCCACCTCCCAAAGTGCTGGGATTACAGGTGTGAGCCACTGTGCCTGGCCCCCATTATTCTTTTTGTTGTCATTGCTCATAATGACAGAAAGACATTATATTCTCCTCTTTGATGAGCCTCTTTATTTTTTTCCAACCTTTCTCTCATCCACTAGCCAGATTATGCATTTAAATCAGAGCAGACGCACCCACAGCTATGTATGGTGAACTTCCTCTAAGGCAGTAAGAGGTTACCAGGCGAACATAGTAAGCATGGCTAAAAGGAATAAGAGGGGGAGGGTAGTGGGGTGAACAAATGGAGTTGGAAGCATTAGCCAGATGCTTCCCAAGGCTACCTGGTAGCTGTAGTGTGCAGAATAATTGACCCACTTCCTGACGTCAGTCTTGTCTTCTACAGAGATAGATCTCACGCTGGCTTTGGAGGCAGAAGTTGTGGGCATGCTGAACTCGACATTCACGTGATTGGCAAATCTGGAAGGCACTTCCCGGTCAGAGCCGAGTTCAAGGTGGCAAAAGAAACAGTGTGGGTGACCGGAAGCTATGAAAGAAAGACAATCGAGAGATCAGATTATTTGGGGAGAAAGTGGAAGGAGCAGCCAAAGGAGCCACTTTGGTAATAAAGGAGGCCTGTGGGCTCGGCACCCGGCAGCCTTTCAGAGGGTCCAGTGTTGAGCACGAGGATCCGCCCGGCTCAGCAGAATTCACGCTCCTGTATGCCTCAGCCCCTCGATATAACTCCATCGGATTCTAGCAGCCTGGTATCCTAGCAATAAAACCCAAGGCCTGAGAAACAGGGGCCATCCTGCCTGCTCAAGTGAGAGTGATATGTGAACACAGCCCCAACACTAAGAAATAAGGGGTAAGGATGTGAAGAATGGAATGGAAGGGATCAGCACTTAGCACCTAATAAAATACCAATGACAGCTTCCTGGAGCAAATCATTGCTTTCCTTTGAAGAATGAATTGATTTTCTTAATAGTATTTCATACTTTCAAAATGCTTTTGGCATGCTTTTGCGGGTAAATGATATATGTAAATGACAAGGACTTTATAAATAGCACATAGATATTAGGGAAGCATATGGAACACTGGACAAAACACCAACCAGCAGAACACCTGGGTTGGACTTCCAGCTCCCCTGCTAAGCAGCAGAGCTCCTGCCCTCAAGTCCTTTATACTCTCCAGGCCTCAATTCCTCCTCTGTAAAGTGGGGAGATTAGGGTACAAGGGATAAAGAGGGAGAAGTACAACAGGGTGGGCTGGGCAATGCCAGGCACAGTCCCTTGCTGCTCCTTAATTCTATACATCTATGGGTAACTCCACTATACTCGTGATGGCAAACTTTGGGTTTGATTTTTACTTGAGAATTGTTATTGAGATTTTTGAGGAAAAAGAGAGCTTACTGCTGTGACTATAACCACTGAAACATCATTGTCATTCACCTGCCATACAGGAAACATTGAAGTACCCTATGCCTTCTTCTATGTTAAATCTTTTATACAGATTCTCTCTTTGAGTCTTCAGTATGATCTTTCAGGTCAGAATGTTACCTTCATTTTATAGTCGAGGAAGCTAAGGCTTAGGGAGGTAAAATGAGCTACCCACAGTCACAGCTAGAAAGTGGCAGAGCTAAAAACTGAACCTAGCGGGAGGCCGAGGCAGGTGGATCACGAGGTCAGGAGATCGAGACCATCCTGCTAAAATGGTGAAACCCCGTCTCTACTAAAAATACAAAAAATTAGCCGGGCGTGGTGGCGGGCGCCTGTAGTCCCAGCTACTCGGGAGGCTGAGGCAGGAGAATGGTGTGAACCTGGGAGGCAGAGCTTGCAGTGAGCCAAGATTGCGCCGCTGCACTCCAGCACGGGTGACAGTGTGAGACTCCGTCTCAAAACAAAAAACAAAAAACAACTGAACCTAGCAGTCTGACTCCAGAGTGTTCTTAACCACTTTGTCTGAGTTATAACCTCATGGTCCCCAAAACAGAAGACCAAGTTTGCAGGGTGACAGGGGTAGAGAGGGATTGAGCTGTAAGAACCCCCATATAGCAACTAGCTATAGATAAACAACATGAAATGACCTTGCCTTAATTATGTAACTGAAACAGCCCCTTAGTTATCCCAGTTTCCACAAACAAACAATTCCAATGTTCTTTATTGGTCTGGCTAGGACTTTTCAATCTCAGAGAGTAAGGACATACACACCCGCTCTCCAAGGAAAACATTAGATAGTGAAGTATTTGTTTTGCTCTGTTTCACAAACGTAACATATTTCAGTGGTTATTTCTAAAGAGTAATGCTTTGGAATATTGAAAAATTTGCACTGATTTTCAGAAAAGAATTTAAGATACATATAACAGTAAAAATTAAAGTAATTGAAAATGAATCCACTCAATGTTTTTAAATTGTGTGCCACAGATGTAATTATACAGCTATCATTTATGGGACATTTATTACAGGCCAGATACTGCACTAAGCCCTTAAAAGCATTATCTCATTTCATTCTGAATGAACTAGATATTAATAACCCTATTTTATAGATGAAAAAAATTAGGTTTCTCTGAGAGGGTTAAGTAAATTGCCCGAGGTCACACAGCCGTTAAGTGGTAGAGCTGGAAATAAGATTCAGAGATGACTCTGCCTTCAAACTATGTCCTAAATTCTTCTCAATATATTGCTGTGAAATTAGATCACAACAAAGTATACAGATGCATCTCTTAATTTAATAGCAACTTGGACAACTCTTTTAATCTAATTACACTTATTTTGCACATTGTTGGAATATGGAGAAATCTTTCCTTTCTACACAACTGATTCCCTCCTTTTACTCCACCAAAGTGTACTCACAGCAAATTCTGAAAGCAGCATTCTTTACTAGAATTCTAGCATCGACTCTCAGATGGGTAAGGGTGGTGGACAGTTAAGGAAGTTCAATTTTGAAAGCTATTATGGTTTAATTCATAGTAATGCATTAAATAAGTCCACACATTCTGTCATTTCCCTTGATGAGGTTGAGAAAATTCAACAACAAAAAATTCAGATTTTTAAAATTTCCCATACAAGGATGAACATATTGGGACTGTTTTCCCTTCACCTGGTCTAATGAGAAGGGGGATTCCTGCAAAGAAAGCCACTTATGCAGGACAGAATGTTTTATTTCCTGGCAGATGATCTGTGGAAGCAGCAGGACTTGTTTCGGTGCCTTCTAAGATTAAGAAAAACTCTTGGGATGAAGGTAGGAGGGGTCCTTGGAGAGCTCAGAGAGGGGAGCTGCCCACGTATGTGGCTGGGCTGGGCCAGGCTGGGCTGGGCCCCGCCGGCGGGAGTCACGTTGGAATTCAAAGGTAGCTGCTTGATCTCTTGGTGGCTGGGACTGGGACAAGCCTGCTATAGGCTAGGGATGCCAGCAACACAAGGGTGCTGACCTGCTGACCTGCTGGCCTCTGCTGCCTGGGGTTTGACTGCCCTGCCCACTGGGGCCTGGAAATGCAGGGCCACCGTAGGCAGGAACGTGTGAGGAGAAGTAGGCTTCCAGTCAGCGGGGCCTTTGACCTCAGCTGAGCCCTAGCTTCCTTAAAGAAGGTTAAGGATTACAAAAAATAACCTGTACAAAGCACCTTCCCAGGGCTGTCTGAACACCTAGACAGCAGAGCCCAGGAAAGGGCTATTACTGAAAGATAACCATCAATTCTCTGGGTTCCCGGATGGAACACTGCAAGGGAGGGCAGGAGCTGGGCACAGTGAATACCAGCAATGAGTGAGAACTTACATTCTGCCTGGAATTCAGATCCTATACACCTCAAGTTTCCAAAAAAGGGTGCTGTCCATTTCCTGAACTGGTATGGAAACATACCACTGGCTAGAGAAGTATAAGAAGCCTCTTTATGGGGTTTCACTATTGAAAATATTGTTATATAACCATGACAGCAAAATCAGTAATGGGGCAAGGCTGTGAGGATTTAAGTAAGAAACATCAACAGATATCCTTATGCTGTGCTGTATTTCAAAAATCTTCCACAAACGAGGTTCCAGCAATCTGGAAACAGATATGTAAAACAGCATATAAGCTGCATTTACTTGCCCTTGAGGCAACAGAACACTCTCCACTGGGAATCATTAAGGAGAGTGTTTGCTGAAGGCCTGGTTTTGCTTTTTCCCTGTCCTGTATCCATCCTCCCTCTCTTCTGGTAGCAGTCTTTTTCTTTCTCTCCTTTTGGGAAATAATCTTCCCCGGTGCTACATGTTGTCTTGGTGGTCACGTCAGTCAAAATGCACTCCTCTCCCCTAGTCTCTTGAGCCAAGTTGCAAAAGTACAAAAAATAGGGCCAGGTGCGGTGCCTCAGACCTGTAATCCCAGCACTTCGGGAGTACGAGGCAGGCGGATCACCTGAGGTCAGGAGTTTGAGACCAGTCTGGCCAACATGGTGAAAACCTGTCTCTACTAAAAATACAAAAATTTAGCTACTCAGAAGACTGATGCAGGAGAATCGCTTGAATCCAGGAGGTGGAAGTTGCAGTGAGCCAAGATCGCACCACTGCACTTCAGCCTGGGCAACACAGCGAGACTTCATTTCAAAAAAACAAACAAACAAACAAACACAAAAAAACAAAAACAAAAAATAGTCTGTGATGATTTGTCCTAAGGCTACATGCTGAGGAGACATCCATTAGTCTCTATGACCAGAGCTACTCTAGTGCTGTCTGTCTAAAGTCTTCTCTTGATCAGTCTTTTCCTCAGGTCTCTGAGCTATCCTATCCAATAATTTGTTTTGTTGCTTAGGGTAGCCGATAAGTCTTTGTTGCTTATAATAATAATAATAATAAACCTTCATGCAGTACTTTTAAATGTTTGGGAGAAATCACTTTGAAACAAATAGATACGTTTGTACATACTGGAAAAACTGCAAATATCTGTTCTTCTGGTGGAAATTATTTCAATATTTGTGTCTATTTGGCTTCATCTACCAGGAGGCACCAGTGATATATTAAGAAAAGGACCCTGGATGTGACTGCATGACTCTCTAGATACGTCACATCACCTTCCCGACCTTAATTTTCTCATCTATAAATAACTTGACTAAGTTATTCAAGGTCCCTTCCAGCTTGAAAATCCGGTAATTCCATGGTTGTCTCTTTCCAAGGGCTTCCGTGTCAAAGGAGAGTTCAGGGTTTTCTCTCTTCCTCTGTCAATTCAGAGGGGCCCCGTGGATAAGGTAGAAGTTACAGTGCTACCACCAGCAGAAGACAGTGCTGATTTCAGGGGAAATGAATAAGCAGGCACAGAGAGGAACACTTGGTTTTAAAAATTCTGTCAGTTTAGAAGTAGGGAGTAGCAAATCCAGCCTCAAACACAGAGATCCAATTGTCTCTTCAGTTTGCATAGCTACACCCAGTGTCTGATACAGAATGCCCTGGTGTGTGTCCACTCCCTGGACTGCCTGGGGAGCTGGCCCGATTATACTGCCGTCGGCCGTCACATTGCATTACACTTAGGATATAATAATACAGACACTCCACACTCAGAGCGGGAGAGGAAGACTCTTAACACACTGCTACGATTTATAGTGAGAATCTAAGAAAGGATAGCCACATAAGAGAAAGCCATTTCACTCAAGAGTTTTTCCAAACCTTATCCTTTTTGCTCAGCTAGCGTATCCACTTTCGTTAACAGATGGGCAAAATGTATTCTAAACAAGAAAAGAAGGGGTTTAATGGCTTACAAGATCATGGGCTTGCTGCCTACCATTGGGGTCACCCAGACATACTCTAAGAAATATGTGTATTAGTGCTGGTTTGACTGCTCCCTCATTTTGTCATTTCACTAAATCTCACGGGACCCACGGGGGAAGTAATTGCCTTCTGGACTCACTCAAGCACAAAAGCATCCCTGATAGCTGCGAGCAGCCCAGCTAGGGCTGGTAAGCATTTTTTTGTTTGTCTAAATAAAACATTCTTTTCTTTATATTTTGTCTGCTAGACTTCTGGCCCTTTTAGAAATTCATGTCCTAGCTGGATCTTCAGTCTGATTGAAGGCCACTTTTCTTTCCCATCCCCCAGTCCCAGAGCCAAAGTCTGAATGTGAGATATTATGACTAACAGACCCTGCACAGGGTAGCTGGAGTCGTAAAATTAACCTCTCAGTGTATTGTCCATGATTGGCCATAAACTGGCCCTTTTACCTACATCGAGGGCAGTGTGAGAAAGATGTCTCTTCAGAAGCCATCTAGAAATGAATCACTTCCAGCACCACAGCTAATACGTTAATGAGTCCCCAAAGAATATAAATTCAGAAGCTGCCCTGAAAAGCTGCTTAGCAGCTCAGCTGAGAAGAATAATCCCTAGTTTTATGGAAGATGTGTGATAATGAGAGGGTGAAAAGACAGAGTGAACTGGGTCACTATACGCATTACTTACCTTGCTCAATTATTTTTACTTTTCTGGTCCCACTCCCCCTCCATCACCACTCCCATCACACAGCAAAAACAAGCACTTCATACAGGATGTGGAACTTTGATCTCAGCTTTTTCACAACTGTATGTTTGTTTTCACAGAAGAGGAACCACCACCCACCTGAGTTTTTGTCCGGCAGTCGGTTTATCCTCCACACAATGGAGTTGAAGGCATGCTCGTACTTGGCAGTTCCCAGAGTTACTCTCATGACAGGCTCAGAGCCAGAAACACTAGTGGAGCCAAAACTTGCCCCCCGGTTCACTTTGGCTTTCAAAGACTTTTCCCCCAGGACACTTTCCCTGCGGAAGTTTTTCACCCACTCACTGGGCACAGGGTAACGGATCATCACATTCTCACAGGGAACCTGAGTGAGGGGGTCACGATTGGCGGAGAAGCCAGTTGACATCCTCAGCCAGCTCTGCACCTCCACCTCTGCCCCATTGACACTTGTGGCCGTCCTGAGTGTGAAAGGCAAGGTCTTCTCAGCAAACACTGTCCTGAACCGCATTAGCTCAAACCGGCACGCATCCAAAGGGTTGAACAGAATGACCCGTGAGTTGTGGAAAACATCCTCATCCACACACCCATGGAAACGGCACTCATGGAGCTTGATCCACTTTGTGGTGGTGGTGGGCATGATGTCCTGCCTCAAAACTATTTCATTCCCTTTGACGAGGATGTCATTGAGGCCCAGGCGGCACTCTGCGAGCCCAGACAGGAAACTCAGGATGTGGATCCGTGTCAAGACATGGTGCTGGAGAATCTGGTTGTCTCCTTTGCTCACAATGCCAGAGAATTCATCTCTGACATCCACTGTAATCTCCTCTTCAAGGTAGTTGAGGCCAACTGTGCTCAAGTCCATTGACAACACTGGCAGATCCATGAGACGGTCCTGAACTGCATGGATGAAACTCAGGAAGTCATCGTAATTGGTGGTGCCCAGCTTAATCACCTGTTCCCTCTCTGCTGTGTGGGCCACAGCAGGTTTGGGCTGGTATTTCTTCTTCTCTTTATAGGTGACACGGTCTATCCGCAAGCTGTGGATTCTGCCATTCTCATCATAGTTTTGAAGCCGGGGTTCTGAAATCTCATGACAGATCTCCAGCTTGAACTCACGGAATGGTTTTTCTAGGCCCTGCTCATAATACAGCTGCAGGTAACCAGTGTCTGTCAGTTTGACGAAGATCGGTCCCCAGTGCCTGGAGGACATGATGTTTTTCTTCTCAGGGATCCTCAACATCATTGGCCACCCGTCACGAGGCTGGGACCGTGCTGATCCAGGCGGGTGAGCATCTAGTTCAATCCAGGCTACTGGGTCATCATCAGGTAGAGTTGCACTGCCAAAGTGATCAGGGTCATCAATTTGGAGTTGTTTGAGTTTTTCAACAGCATCAGAGTGTGACTGGGTTTTGCTTGAATCATCAAAACTGATGGCATCCTGGTAGATGACAATGAGGGAATCTCTTTGGCTTTTGCCCGTGGTACTGGAAATGGAACTGTTTTGGGAGCGCCTCTCCTGCTCCTCAAAGAAAGCACTGAAAGGGTTGATAGGGGAGGGCTGTACATCCTGCAGAGTCTCATTCAGGAAAGGGTTGGTTGCCCTCCAAGGTGAAGCCTCAGTTACAGAAGGCGTGCGGTTTAAAGAGGAAATATCCAGCTTCTGAACTTTGGAGAAGTTCATCAAAGTGCTCTTGGGACGGTCCCTCTTCTTAAATGATCCCATTGAATTATAAGGTACATCTGGGATCACAGATGCACTTGGTGGTGTATTTGGCTTCAGAGGAGAGGTGACTGGTGGTAAAGGGCAGCTGACTTCATTGTCATCAAAGGTGACCCAGCTGGGAAAACGAGCAGAGGTCACTGGAGGGGCAGGGTGCCCATTCATGGCTGGACTGCTGGCCTGCCAGCTGATGGCCTCCATCTCTACTTCTTCATCTTCTTGAAGCGAGGAGGAATTGTCTAAAAGGAAAAGGAGAACATATGAGCTACTGTTCAGGGGCTCTAGAGGTAAGGAAAACTGAAGTATAGGAATGAGGGATTACTAGAATTTTAACTGGAATCCAGTACATTCCAAAGCAGCTCATTATCTGTTTCAAGTGCTTAGTCTGGGCATAGATCTCACAATTCTGTAATGAGCACCCCAGAGGAGCTATCGCATTAAGTGCAATAAGAACCCAATGGCTATATCAATACAGAAGTATTGACTGGTAGTACCAAGGTCTCTTGCAATTTATATACTCTTCCTTATTTTATAAAAGCTTCTGGAATAGATGTGTTCTGTACTTAGCTTTGAGGAATGTGTTCTTAATTTTTAAACATTGAAAGCCATCTCCTATATAAAATGATATAAGCTCATCTCACTGAAAAAAACCAAGTTATCGTCTGTAAGTGATAATATGATTATAAATAATATTCTTGGAGGGATTTTAGCCTAAACATAATGAATAAATATTAAAGACAAACAGTTAACCTTCTTAATATTCAGTAGGTTCATACATGTGAATAAGAAAAACACAAAAACCCCAAAAGAAGTCTGAGTAAAGAACATAGACAACTCATGAAAGAGAAACTAAAAAATGTCTAGTAAGTATGTGAAAAATATCGAATCTCACTAGTAATAAGAAAAATGGCCGGGCACAGTGGCTCATGCCTGTAATCCCAGCACTTTGGGAGGCCGAGGTGGGCAAATCACGAGGTCAGGAATTCGGCACCAGCCTGGCCAACGTGGTGAAACCCAATGTCTACTAAAAATACAAAAAAATTAGCTGGGCGTAGTGGCAGGCACCTGTTATCCCAGCGGCTTGGGAGGCTGAGGCAGGAGAATCACTTGAACCCAGGAGGCAGAGATAGAAGTCAGCGGAGATTGTGCCACTGCACTCCAGCCTGGGCAACAGAGCGAGACTCTGTCTCAAAAATGAAAAATGAAAAAAAAAAAATCAGTGAAGATTTTGAAAGATTTTAGTGCTCAATGAGGGTAAAGGTGCCATAATAGGAGCACTAAGTGGATGCTTAGTGAAACTAAGTTGCAACAGATGCTCTGAAAAGAGATTGGGCAATTTATATTAAGGATCTTAACACATGTTAATAAACAATGACTTAGTAATTCTACCCTAAGAAAATAAATCTAAATTATGAACCAAGTTTGAAGAACAGAGATGTCCATTTTGGCATTATTTATAATAGGGAAAAATATTTTAAATATTCAACAATTGGGTGAGTGTTAAGAAATTGAAGCCTACAATAAAATAATACCCACCCACTAAAATGTTTACAAGTAGGCAGTATATCAGGAGAAAATGCTCATGATATAATCTCCTTTTTTTCTCTAAAATATTTTTCCATCTCGAAGTTTATTTTTTATGATAAAAAGGTTATTACAAATAAAACTCCACTTTAGCAGGGCCTTCAAGGAAAGAGATACAGGACTTGGGTTTGATGAGGGCAAGATCTAAACTTTTTCAGTAACCTAAGGACCGTGGGTATCTGCTGGGGCTGTGGGAAGGGAGGGGAAATGAGGCTTTTAGCAAGGAGGAATGAATTCTGATGAAGGAACAGCACAGACAACAAATGTGTGCATATAGTAGGTACTCAATAAGGTTTTTTGATTAAATAAGTGAGAAAAGAAACTTTGCTTTAGAGTAGCTCTTCCATTCTCTACGTCTCTGCAGGAATGGGTATAGGGGATCTCTGCTACCATCCTACCCACTGTTTCTATGGCCAGTTGTTTGGAATCAAAGGGAAATGGATACTCAAATGACTGAGTTTTCTGACCACCTCACTACATCTTCATGCATATCACATCCAACCACACCCATCAGCAATGCCGCACATAATTGCACATAATTATACAAGGATGGGATGCTGGCTTGTCACCCATCTTTCCAAGTAATTTATTCAAACAGATAGCAATTCTCTCAAATGAAAACGTAAGTTTGAAAATGTAGGCTAGGCCGGGCACGGTGGCTCATGCCTGTAATCGCAGCACTTTGGGAGGCCGGGACGGGCAGATCACTTGAGGTCAGGAGTTCAAGACCAGCCTGGCAAAAATGGTGAAACCCTGTCTCTACTAAAAATACAAAAATTAGCTGGGCGTGGTGGCACAAGCCTGTAATCCTAGATATTCGGGAGGCGGAGGCAGGAGAAGTGCTTGAACCTGGGAGACAGAGGTTGCAGTGAGCCGAGATGGCGCTACTGCACTCCAGTCTGAGCGATAGAGCGAAACTCCGTCTCAAAAAAAAAAAAAAAAGAAAAGAAAAGAAAATGTAGGCTGTAGGCTAAACACGAGTATGCATATACATATACACATATCCATACCCACCCCAGAAACAAAATGAGCGAAAAGCATTTTCTATATCTACAGTGACTAAAAAGGATTCTAAAGCATTTTTAAATTAAAGATGAGAATCTCCTTCAAATTAAGCATGAATCCAGTTTTGTATAAGTGATTAATTTTCTGAAAATCGAAGGGAAAACGGTCAGGAAACAACCTACACTTACAGTATTTATATTTTATTTATCATTTTGGTAACAAAGTCTAAAAGGAACATTGTGGTCCTGAGTGAAATATAATCACTTCCTTGGAATGGTAATTGATCCTGTCTAGAGAACTGGGAAAGGGGTACATCTCAAAACTCATCAACTTCTAATGAGGCAGCTCTAGAGAGCCTTTGTGATGTAGTGTTTCCACCCAAACAATCTCTATTGGCCCACCCCTGGCATCAGGGTTATCCTTTTTGTCTTGGAGCTCACCCTGTAGTTTAAAACAAGCTGAAGTCCTTTTTCTTTGGAGGGCGGCTTTCTGCCAAAGCTGTTTACACTTGCCACCAAAGGATTCCCTTCTGTTGGGAATCTTGTCCTCAAAACAGCCCTTCTCATCTTCTAAGCCAAAAATGAAAAGAGAAAAAAAGGCCTTTGTCCCTACTGAAGATCATTTTCTTACAATAAATTCCTTTTCAAACCAAGTTAGTTTAAATCACGCCAAGTCCTAAACAGTTTTGAAGCATTAGAGTTATAATACAAATTAAACAAGTGTCTTTAAATTTGAAGGGAAATGTTTGAATTCAATTAATTTCTAGGGATTCTATTTTCTTTCTGACAGTCATTAAAAAATATCAAAAGACTTTGTTACAAAATTATCTTCCCTTTGGCAGTTTCATGTCCCATAATTGCATGTATTTTTAAAACTTATTCTCTGGGATGGTAGCAGGGCATAGGTAAAATTTCTGAAATTGAGATTTTGTTTTTCTATGAAATAATTTATTTAAAGAAATCTGAGAATTGTAAGAAATAAATTCTAAGAGTTTATCCTAAGGAAATAACAGGACAAGCATGCAACGATGTACACAGTGATGTTTATTACAGCAATGCTTCTATCACAGAAAAACATGAAAAAACCTGAATGCCCAACAATGGGAGACTAGTTACATCAGTGGTCATACCCTTAAAATGAAATTCCATGTAGCTGTCAAGATGATGCTCTTGATGCATGTTAATTCACACGGAAGTTGACTAGGACATATTGTTGAGTGAATAACAAGAAACACCTAAAATCTGCAGTCAAATTGCCTGCGTTTCAATTCCATACCTACGGCTTTTTAGATATGTGATTCTAGGCAAGTCTTAAATTTCCCTCTATCTCAGTTTTCCTATATATTAAATTAGGGAAATATTAAATCCTACCAGACAAATAATAAATGCTCAGTAGATGTAGGCTGTTCTTAGTACTACTGCTACTACTACTACTACTACTAGAATGATAATGTGTCATTATAGAAAGTACGTATGTATTAGAAAGCTTTGGAATATAATAATCTCGTAATATTTTGATGTGAAAACAAATCTCTCATGGGATAAGAGGTGATTTAAAAAATTCGAAATCTGTATTCTTTCTTTCAAAAACTGCAATGTTCCTTACAAAATAAAGCAACATAGCATTATAATAAAAGTTCAAAACATCTCTTTATTATTACTACTAATTAGCCTTAGAGAAAGGAAACAAAGTGCTTAGCTATAGTCTGTATTGAGAAAGCAGCAGTTAGATCTTTCCCAAGACAATTATGACTGGTGTGGCTGGGACTGGAAACAATGAGAGGGGGAAAAGCTGGCAAATTTCTCCAGTAAGAAATAGGCAAAAACCAAGTATCTTGATCACAAAGCTAATTCTTCTCCACAATTCAATTTACTAATTTATTAAAATAAAACCAAAACCCAAACTCCAGCATTATTTTAATTACTATCCCTTCCACTGGCTACCTCCAAATTGTTTTTATTATGAGTCGGGCTGCTGCCAAACAAAAGCCATGTGTAAGGATTAGGTTCTCAGTCTACACCACAGGGAAAATTTCCAGTACCTAAGAGGTTCCTAGTGTCTTTACTGATGCAAACTAAAGAGAAGTGGTGGATTCTTTTAATGTTAGGCCGCAATCTATTTCAAGCTCCTAAAAGATTAAATTAAATAAAGTGATTTCAGTAGTAGTCAAAGCCACTAAAACTGAATAAAAAGTAAGAACTATGGCAGGAAAATTGTCTACATTTTGAACATAGAGACTCTACTATCTTCTTTCCCTTATTTGTTAACCTAATTTGTAAAAAAACCATATTGACAAATGTTCACTGGAATTTATTAGGAGTGGCAAGAACAAATGTTCTAACATCACTGCAGGCTTCTAAACATGCAAGAGCAGTGACTGTTACATAACAGCATATAAAGGCATACCTCGTCTTTTTGTACTGCACTTTACAGATACTGCATTTTTTTTTTTTTTTTTTGAGATGGAGTCTCGCTGTGTTGCCCAAGCTGGAATGCAGTGGCGCTATCTCGGCTCACTGCAAGTTCCGCCTCCCGGGTTCAAGCCATTCTCCTGCCTCAGCCTCCTGAGTAGCTGGGACTACAGGTGCCTGCCACCACGCCCGGCTAATTTTTGTATTTTTAGTAGAGACGGGGTTTCACTGTGTTAGCCAGGATGGTCTCGATCTCCTGACCTCATGATCCGCCCGCCTCGGCCTCCCAGAGTGCTGGGATTACAGGCGTGAGCCACTGTACCCAGCAGATACTGCATTTTTTATGACTAGAAGATCTGTGGCAACCCAAAGTCTGTCAGCACCATCTTTACAACAGCACGTGCTCACTCTGTCTCTGGGTCACGTTTTGGTAATTCTCGCAACATTCAAACATTTTCACTATAATTATATCTGTTACAGTGATCTGTGATCTTTGATGATACTATTGTAACTGTTTTGGGGCACCATAAACTGTGCCCATATAAGATGGTAAACTTAATCAATAAAATGTGTGTGTTCTGGGCTGCTCCACAGTCTGGCCATTCCCCTATCTCTCTCTCTCTCTTCTTCAGGCCTCCTTATTCCCTGAGACAAAGCAATATTGAAATTAGGCCAATTAAGAATCCCACTATGGCCTCTAAGTATTCAGATGAAGAGTTATATGTCTCTTACTTTCAATCAAGAGTGAGAGATGAGTAAGCTTAGTGAACAAGGCATGTCAAAAGCGGAGACAGGCCAAAAGCTAGGCCTTCCATGCCAGTTAACCCAGTTGTGAATGCAAAGGAAAACTTCTCAAAGGAAATTAAAAGTGCCACTTCAGTGAACACATGAATGATAAGAAAGTAGTGACAACATTCTCTTAAGCCAGAGCCTAATTCAGAGGAAGGCCCTACCTCTCATCAATTCTATGAAAGTGGAAAGAGGTGAGGAAATTGCAGAAAAAATAAATAAATAAATAAAGCTAGCAGAGGTTGGTTCATGAGGTTTAAGGAAAGAAGCCATTTCCATAGCATAAAAGTAGAAGGTCAAACAGCAAGTGCTAATGTAGAAGCTGCAACAAGTTATCCAAAATATTTACCTAATATAATTGAGGAAGGTGGCTACACTAAGCAACAGATTTTCACTGAAGATAAAACAGCCTTTTACTGGAAGAAGATGCCATCTAGGATGTTAATAGCTAGAGAAAAGTCAATGCCTGGCTTCAAAACTTCAAAGGACAGGCTGACTCTCTTGCTAGTGGCCAATGTGGCTGGTGACTTTAAGTTGAAGCCATTGCTCATTAACCATTCAAAAAATCTTAGCACCCTTAAGAATTATGCAAATCTACCTTGCCTGTGCTCTGTCAATGGAAGAACAAAGCCCGGATGACAACGCATCTGTTTACAGCAGGAATTACTGAATATTGTAAGCCCAGGTTGAGACCTACCGCTCAGAAAAAAGAGGTTCCTTCCAAAAATATTACTACGCACTGACAATGCACCTGGCCACCCAAGAGCACTGATAGAGATGTACAAGGAGATTAATGTTGTTTTCATGCCTGCAGCCGTGGAACACAACATCCATTCTCTATCCCATGGATCAAGGAGTAATTGTGATTTTCAAGTCTTCTTATTTAAGAAATACATTTTGTAAGGCTGCCATAGATAGTAATTCCTCTGATGGATTGGGGCAAAGTAAACTGACAACCTCCTGGAAAGGATTCATCATTCTAGATGCCATTACAAACATCTGTGATTCATGAGAGAAGTTAACATTCACAGGAGTTTGTAAAAGTTGATTCCAAGCCTTGTGGATGACTTTGAGGAGTTCAAGACTTCAGTGGAGGAAATAACTGCAGATGTGGTAGAAACAGTGAGAGAACAAGAAGTGAAACCTGAAGATATGACTGAATTGCTGTAATCTCATGATAAAACTTTTCTTTTTCCTTTTTATGGAGAACAGGGTCTCAAACTCCTGGGCTCAAGCTATCCTTCCGCCTTTGCCTAAGTGCTCAGATTATAAGCATGATCCACTGCACTCGGCCTCATGATAAAACTTTAATGGATGAGGAGTTGCATCTTATGGATGAGAAAATAAAGTATTTTCTTGAGATAGAATCTACTCCTGGTGAAGATGCTGTGAACACTGTTGAAATGACAGCAAAGAGTTTAGAATATTACATAAACTAGGGCTGAAAAACTACAGATTGGGTACTATGCTTACTACCTGGGTGACAGGATCATTTATACCCCAAACTTCCATGTCATGTAATATGCCCATGTAACAAACCTGCACATGTACCTGCTGAATCTAAAATAAAAGTTGAGGCCGGGTGCGGTGGCTCATGCCTGTAATCCCAGCATTTTGGGAGGCCAAGGCGGGTGGATCACTTGAGGTCAGGAGTCCGAGACCAGCCTGGCCAACATGGCAAAACCCCATCTCTACTAAAAATACAAAAATTAGCTGGGCATGGTGGCGGGCACCTGTAGTCCCAGCCACTCATGAGGCTGAGGGAGGAGAATCACTTGAACCCAGGAGGTGAAGGTTGCAGTGAGCCGAGACTGCGCCACTGCACTCCAGCCTGGGTGACAGAGCCATTTCCATTTATTTGTCTCAAAAAAATAAAATAAGTAAACATTGAAAATATGTTTAAAAATAATATTACATAAACTTAGTTGATAAAGCAGCAGCAGGATTTGAGAGGATTGACTCCAATTCTGAAAGATGTTCTACAGTGTGTTAAATGTTATCAAATAGCATCACATACTACAGACAAATCTTTCATGAAAGGAAGGGTCAATTGATGCAGCAAACATCATTGTTGTTTTACATTAAGAAATCGTCACGGCCATTCCAACCCTCAGCAGCCACCACCCTGAGGCAAGGCTGTTCACCAGAAAAAGATTATGTCTTGCTGAAGGCTCAGGTGATCATTAGCACTTTTAGTAATAAAGTGGTTTTAATTAAAGCATGTACATTGTTTACACATAATGCTATTGCACAACTAATAGACTATAGTATAGTGTAAGCATAAGTTTTATCTGTACTAAGAAACAAAAAAATATGTGTGACTTGCTCTACTGCAATCCTTGCTTTATTGCAGTGGTCTGAAACCAAACCTACAGTATATCTGATGTATGCCTGTACTTAAAACTGTACAACCAGCCACAGATACACAGTAGGTATTTCATATTTATGCAGTAATTTGTTAAGTGAAAAGAGGAACACAGAATTTTGGGGCTTGGAGAGATTTCAGAAATAGTAAAACTTGACCTCTTCATTTTACAGAGAAGCCTGAGGTCAGCAATTTTAAGTAAACTGTCCAAGTTGAGATCAGAAGTCAAGTCCTGCTTTTAATTTTTAGTAACTCTAGTATTTCCTTAATGCTTGTTCATTAAGCTAAAATCTGGTGAATTTTTCCCATTACCTTTTGAGATTGGCAAGAGTTATCTTGACACAACTTCTTAGGAACATTTTTCAACAGGGAAAATAAGTTAATTAATTAAGGATTAACATCTATTTACATAGAGAAGTCTTTGGGCAAAAGGTCAAGTGATGTCATGCACTAATGTGTAAATGTATAGGGTGAGAGAAGGGAGGAGTTAGTCATATCAAGCTTATCAAGGGAGCTTCTAACGTGCGTAAAATATGCTGGAATCTACTTAGTCATAACAAAATACTATGATAAAAAGAGGAGCCGGAGGATAAGTCTACGCTGGGACCTACTTAGTCATTACAAATGATACGTACTAATGATAAAGAGGACGCCAGAGGATAAGTGTATTCATCTGTCTCAGCATTGTCCAGGACGGAGGATGCTTCGATGCTGGTAAATAAAGTACCTGGTCAGAGATATTCCCAAAGTGAAGAAGCCAGTTCATCAAACTACCACTTAACATTACTTAACAGAATCTTTATCAAGACACCACATTCTCATTTTTACTTACTAAGGTGACCTATGAAGCAGTACTGCGCACCTTCTTCAAATGACTGGTTCAGCCTGCCCTGCCAACTCCCTCCCTGCCATTAGGACAGCCTGACCTGACACATCCCAGCTTTCATTTTTTTTGCTCAGAAAAGCAAGCATCAGACTTTAAGTTTGTTGACTGGTCCAGGACTATCCCCAGTTTATTCCATGTTGGTGGGGTACAGCCTCACGTGGTGACCAAGAATATCTTTTCTCTCTGGTTCTAAACTTCTGCCTCTGTTTTACCATTGCCCACTTCCCCATGCTCTCCCCAATACTCTACCTTTGGATCCCTACTTCTGGCCTCTTCCTCTGACAACCAACTATGACTGAACTGGCTTATTGGTTCCCTGCCTCAATGTGCCTTTCTGATATCCGTTTCTTGGGCTGTCTTAGATGAGGGCTCCATTCTCCAACTCAGCCTGGGCAGAGACTCCATTACGACACCTTGCTGTGGTCTGATACGGCAAACACCAGTTCCCCAGCAGAGGTCTCACGCCGAGGGCAGGGATAGATTCTGGCATCTATGGTAAACTGAAAAATCAGTATTCTGCTTTATAAATTAGTTCCTTAACATTTTATATAACAAGGTATCTTGAAAAGAGTTAACTAGTGATAGTGAAACCTGCAGAGACCCTAAGCTGTGTTTTATTTTATATTGCCATAGCAAAAAGCACCTGTTTCCTTCCTATTCTCAAATATAGTCATTTTCAACTGTAGAGTGTATCGCCATTGTTGGTTAATGACAGGAATGTATCCTGAGAAATGCATCAACAATGGTGATTTCCTCATTGTGGGAACATCATAGATAGAGTGTAGTTACACACACCTAGGTAGTATATCATCATAGACTGTAGTTACACAAACCTAGATAGTATAACCTACTATACTCCGAGGCTGCATGGTATAGCCTATTGCTCCTAAGCTACAAACGTGTACAGCATGTTACTGTACTGAATACTGCAGGCAATTATAAGCGTTTGTATACCCAAAGATATCTAAACATAGAAAAGGTACAGTAAAAATATGGTTGTAGAGTCATACAGGACCACTGACATACACGTGTTCTGTTGTTGACTGAAATGTTATGTGGGGCATGGCTGTACTTATGAGCCGATCAAAGAGAACTAAACCAAGGAGTTTGCAGGAGCTCAGCCTTTTGGATGTGAAGCTCTGCTCAATGGACCATCAAACACCTATATGGTATGAAAAGAAGTGAAAAGGGGGCTCTTTTTGTTTCGGAGGTTAAAAGAGAAGGTGTCCTATATCTACAGGTACCATAAGGGAGAATGTATCATAGGAGCAAGGGAAAAAGGGTGGGGGGGTCTCCATTCTTACTGATTTTAGCACACTTCTTATACCCATGCCAGGGCTGGGGAGCCAGAAAAAGTACTTCCTGGAGGAGCACTGGGTAAGTCCCCAGAAGCAGTGGCAGGACTATAATGCCCACACTCTTACTGTGACCAGGACAGGTGACTCATTAGGACTGCCCTCTGCCACAGAAGTCTCACTCATGTGCACCTCCACATCCTCACTATTCACCTGCCCACCAGGTGAACACACCCCAGCAACAACGCAGGATGCTTGCAAGATCCAAGAAGCTTCTGGACCTTTGAAGGGGTCAGGAACAATTAGGTTCCTGGATGTTAGTGAAGGGCTAGGCTGTATCAGTAGAACCTAAAGTGGAATTAGATGGGACTGAACCCTGATGTTACATTTGGTCAGAGATACCCATTTCTAACAGCCACATCACCCTTGGGTGAGCAAGTAAGATCAGTTTCAGGCTTTGTAAGATGATTCTCAGGTCCTGGAATTGCCACGGAAGGTAAAGGCTCACCGTTGCAATAGTTAGAAGACAGAAAAAAGGACCAGATTTATAAAAGATTAGGGAATAAGTGGGGGACTGGTCAGTGGTGGGAAAAACTATAGGGAAAGGACGCAAACCTTCTGAAAGGTCGGAAGGTTCTGCAGAGCCCCAGGGGAGAATAGCTGAAGACAGCTGTTCTATAACCCTGAGGCAGAGGGCAAGGAGTGGGTACAAGGGAGTATGGGGGAATTTATCTTAAACAGGCTTATTTACTTATGTTGACCAGGAACTGACCTTTATCATCTGCGCGTGTGACATTCCTTGAAAGGGGAACAATAAATGTTAATTACCTGCTGGTTGTGTTGGCTCCAGGTTTTTGGCATTGTGCCTGCACTGAATAAAAAGCAAGCAGCTCCAGCTCCTCGGGGCTGCACTTTGGCCACCAGAGCCGGCCAGTCCCCTAGCTGCTCTTACACTGCATACCTGTGTCTGAGTACTCATTTCATCCATCCGTCCGTTGGCCAGGGTTTGTGGGACAGACTCAGCAGGAATTATACAAGGGCAAGGGCTTGATTATCCTCCTGGTTATGTTGGTGAATAACAGAAAGCCAAGCTATGCCTTAAAGAGAATGTCAAGTGGCCAAATGAAATAAACCTAGAGGTTTCAGTCTCACCAATAGCTCTGTCTATTATCTCCCTCACTGCTTCCTTCAATATATGGGTCTACTTTTCACCAGCACTAAAGTCCTACAGATCAGTAACACTGCTGCAGAGCTGGTCCTCATCAGCCTCTTTATATATAATACTTTTATATTCCATTGTATGGGCACAGACCTATGCCTACTTATTCTGAGAGTGGAGCTTGGTAGTCTCACTAGTCTCACCTTCTCAGAAGTCTCTTAGCCTCATAGGCAAACATACTTTAAGCACACACAGCAAAGTCTTCGCCTTCACAGTCCTGAAACAGTTATAATAGTGCCATTCTACCAGATTCAAAGTCTGATCATTTTGAACCTTAGTGATGAGAATTTCTGCTTCAATCAAGTTGGGGATTCTGTAACGTTGGTCAGGGGGCTGGTGATATGGGCAAAGAAAGAGAGCTGAGATCTCTTGCATGTTATTATATGTGCTTGTGTACATGTGTCCTGGGAATTAGGAGAAGAAGATGCGTTCTGAGTCTGTATCACATCGATCTTCTGTTTGTTACCTTTGTTGTGCTATATCATTTCCAGGAGAAACTCAAGAAGTCTGTTGGGGGTAAGGGTGCATACAGTCAGCTGACCAGCATCACCCACAGGAAGGTTAGGGGCAAGTACTGCAAGCTGAAAGGATCCCTACAGATGGCCCCTTTCATCTGTATTACCCAAAACTCATGTTCTTTATGTGGACTTTCCAGCAATGACACTGACAACAAAATAACCAAATAGCTCATGTATGCAGTAGGCCTGTCTTTTCAATTGGATTTGGAGTTGGTAATTTGATTTCATTTCAGTACTTGTCCAACTCTCTTTTAGTTACCAAGATCAAAGGGGACATCCTCACAGACTGATGGTAGATGCAGTTTATAAAAGTGTAAACACATCAAGTTAAGATAATCTCTTAGAAAAACAGGAAAACAACTAATTCCCAGCATACACCTGGCACATAGCTCAATAAATGTTAGCTCTCACAGGAAGAATATATATATGTCTCATTTCAAAATTCTTAAAGCAGCAAAAAACAGGATAGGAGGAAGTAGGGAGGGAAAATGCCTTTGAAGTTATATTAGTTATCAATCCAACAGAGAAAAAAGGAAAGGAGACAGGAAGAATGAAGAAAGGAATTGGAGAAAGAAAGAACAGGTTATGATTTCCATGAATCCAAACCTTTCCGTAATTATTGCAGAGATAAACTTCAAAGACTTGAGAACTACAAGGGATATGAAAGTCCGTACTTCAGGTATGAAGTACAATTATGAAGACAGAATGTATATGAAGACATATACATTCACAAAGCCAGTATGGATATACCAAAGAAGTACAGGAATTCACCACATAAAGGAAGTATTAAGTCATGAATACACTTTGATCAAGGCAGAATGTTCAACTTTCTATTATCCCTCTGGTACTGAGAAATGTCTTTGTAATTGTTGGGCAGGTATAAAACGTTTTAGCAGTCTAGACAAGCAGTCCCCAAAGTGGAACAGTAGACTTAAGGAGATACTCAATTGATCCACTGGGGTATGGAAAGAAAATATTTTACAACTTCTATTTTTGTTCACTTTTTAACCCATCTTTTCAATGTTTCTACTTTTTATTTATTATGTTACAAAACATTAACTAAAACACCTAGTATGTTTGTATGTTTATTAGTTTATTAGAATAAACTAATAAATTTATTAGTTTTAGTTTAATTTATTATTCTAATAAATTAGTTTATTAGAATAAACTAACACATTTATTCTAAATATATTAGAGGATCATGATTAAACCTTTGTAGAAACTTGATCAAACATGTGGAGAAAATGCTTAGTATACTAGGCATGTTTCAAATACTTAGCATGGGTACACACACACACACACACACACACACACACACACACACACACACGGATATCACCTCTTCCCTATCCTTTGTAAGAGTAGGCTATTATAGCCAGAAAAATGGCCCTGGTTGTCAGTCCAAAGGGAAAGGTATTTTGGCAAATATGAAGGATCTGTTATTCCTTTAAACCTTTCTATTATTTGGGCAATAATTCAATCTTAAGTGCTCTAGCTCCCTGGTGACAATGGTAACAGCCTATCTTAGGCTTTGCCTGTTGCTTGGACTTCAGCTAAATGTCGACTTTACTGCCATCCCTTCTTTATTTCTAGAAAGTCTTAAAACCAGCATTCCAATTCTGCACAAATTCTAAAACTGATTTAAACAAACAACTGCTGGAGTTGCTGCCAGGGCCAAGGATCATGTTATCTCACATCAGAACACCAGTCCAGTCCCTTTCTTGGCTATACACTTGGTATCCAATAAATATGCAGCAATGACAAAAAGAGGAGAGGTCAGTGAGATCTTGACCCATGCCAGGTGATATGGTTTGGCTGTGTCCCCATCCAAATCTCATCTTGACTTATGGTTCCCATAATCCCCTCTTGTCATTGGAGGGACCTGGTGGCAGTTAACTGAATGATGGGGGCAAGTTACCCCTGTGCTGTTCTCATGATTGTGAGTTCTCATGAGGTCTGATGGTTTTATAAGGGGTTTTGCCCACTTTGCTTGGCACTTCTCCTTCCTGCCACCATGTGAAGAAGGATGTGTTTGGTTCCCCTTCCATCATGTTTGTAAGTTTCCTGAGGCCTCCCCAACCCCGCAGAACTGTAAGTCAATTAAACCTCTTTCCTTTATAAATTACCCAGTCTTGGGCAGTTCTTTATAGCAGTGTGACAGTGGACTAATAGCACCACTACCTTTATAATAAGTGTCTTCTGAGTTGAATATTTGAAATCTTCTGTTGTTCAAGTAACAGGCTGAGATTACTACTTTTGCCCTTAATAAATTCTTAAACCAACATGGTTCAGAGGGAAAGGACAAAGTCAACATAGTGAACAATACAGAGAGAAGGAATATTGTATTGCCTTCTCTGCATCCCTCCGCACTGATCTGGGTTACAACTTCACAATTGTCCTTTTGGGGACTCCCCCGTCTTGCTCAAGTCTTCATTGACTGTCAACCAAGGTGCACCATCCATGATGCATGTAATTCAAGCACAGTGAGGTTCTTTTTGGAAATCTTAAATGGACTGACTCAAGGGCAGGAAGATAGTGGGGGCTAAGTTATTCAGACGGTGGCACCCTAGGAAGCCTTCACCTTAGTTCTTGCTGACTTGTGTCTTTTTTTTTTTTTTTTGAGATGGAGTCTCGCTCCGTCATCAGGCTGGAGTGCAGTGGTGCGATCTTGGCTCACTGCAACCTCTGCCTCCTGGGTTTAAGCCATTCTCCTGCCTCAGCCTCCCGAGTAGCTGGGACTGCAGGAGCGTGCCACCACGCCCAACTGATTTTTGTATTTTCAGTAGAGATGGGGTTTCACTATGTTGGCCAGGATGGTCTCGATCTCTTGACCTTGTGATCTACCTGCCTCGGCCTCCCAAAGTGCTGGGATTACAGGCGTGAGTCACCACACTCGACTGGTGACTTGAGTCTTAAAGGTGCCAAGGTTCCTGGCCATCTGTGGGAGATAACAAAAATGGCCACAGATTCTTCCTCCTTCTCTATCTGTACTCTTGGGCAGCTGCCTCCCACTCCGACTCTGAGCTTGGCTATGTGATTTGCTTTAGTCGAGATTAAATACATATATCTTAAGCAGAGACTAGAAGAGTGCTTGTGCACTGGGGCTTGCCTTCTTTTGCTATACTTGGAACTCCAAGACCATAATGTGAGTGACCCTTCCAGGGGATGAATGACCATAGGGAGAATCAAGACATAGTAGCCAACTAGGCTACTCATGGGACTGCAGACCCATGAGTGGGCTGCTGAGGAGGTCAGCTGAGCCTAGCACAGGTAGGGGAATGCTCAAGCACTGACCAGATTGCTGATTTGCAGAATCATAAGCTAAACAAATGGTGGGTTTTTTTCTTCAGCTACTAAATTTTGAGGTGGTTGTAACACAGTAAAAGCTGATACACCAACTTCCTGAAGCCTGGGTATTCAGTTTTTCTTTTGCTTCTGTAAGCTACTATGTCTTCAGAATAAGTTATTTTCGCTCACAGTAAAATTGGCTTCTGTTACTTGCAATTCAAGCTCCTTAGCAGCCAGACAAGAGATAGATGAAAAGATCCTTGCAGCAACCATGGCAGATATAAATTCCTAGAACCTTCCAATCTTGTCTAACTATTGAGCAAAAATATTTCAGTTTTGTTATGCCTCTTTACTCTCCCTGATTCTTTCCACAAGGAGATAGGACAGTATTCTTATTGCTTAAGTAATATAAGACACATACTTCTGTAAGTTTGGAGAAAAGGAGTTTTAGGACCCTTACCAGAAGAATTTCCATCTTTGGCCTAGGTCAACCTAGGCATAAACAGGTGGGAAGCAGACAGGACTTAACCGCATTGTCAAGTGGTTAAGAGCACGGACTATGGCTCCATGCTGGTTCATCTCTTGGCTACTCTACTCCACCTACTAGCTCTGTGACCTTGTGTAAGTTACTTAAATGTACTAGGCCTCCATTCCCTCAACTAAGGCCTATTGAGATAATAATAGTACTTACCTCTTACATTGTTGTGAGAACTGAGTTAATGTATATGAAGTATATATAGCAAACATTTTATTTTTGATATTATTATTATCATGATTATTCCTTAGAGTCCATGTATCCCTGGGGAAGATCCTGGAAAGAGACATCTGGAATTGTGGGGCCTTTGATAAAGTCATGGGATGAAAGGTTTTATTTCTAGTCCTGGCTCTACCACAAACTCACTGAGGTCTAAGGCAAGCCTCTTTGTGCCATTTCCTCATGGGAACATGAAATAATCCTAATCCCTGCCCTAGTTCACAGGGTCGTTTGGAAGCAAATATGAAATAACACATGTGAACATGCTTCTAAACATTCAAAAGTGCTCAACCACTGTATGGTAAGGCCTACAATTGCTATTCAGACATTGAGGTAATTCAAGGTTCCAAATCAATCCTGCATTCCTCATGCTGTTTAAGTGGGTGCCGGGTGGGCAGTTATTGCATTTTAGAAATAGAAGATCATAGGGCCGGGCACGGTGGCTCATGCCTGTAATCCCAACACTTTAGGAGGCCGAGGTGGGCGGATCACGAGGTCAGGAGATTGAGACCATCCTGGCTAACACAGTGAAACCCCATCTCTACTAAAAATACGAAAAAATTAGCCGGCTGTGGTGGCGGGCACCTGTAGTCCCAGCTACTCTGGAGGCTGAGGCAGGAGAATGGCTTGAACCCGGGAGGCAGAGGTTGCAGTGAGCCGAGATTGTGCCATTGCACTCCAGCCTGGGCTACACAGCAAGACTCCATCTCAAAAAAGAAAAGAAAAGAAAAGAAATAGAAGATTATAAATATGGAGAAAGCATTCTTGGAACATTTATTTACAGCTCTATTAAACCAAAACTTGTCTATACCAACTATGGATCTGCGTTGAGAGTCTTGGTTATGTATCAGATGAAAGAGGTCATGGCTTTTTCAACGATCTCCTAAATACCAAAAGAACTTCTGAGAAAGGAAATTAAATCAAGTAACCACAGAATAGGGGAAAGTGGAAAGGCTAGAACATTCTTGCACCTTTATATGTCCTGAAGTGGCAGATGCCACTCAAGTGACTTGTCCCCCACTGTCCTTAGGGCCATAGAGTTAAGTATTCTTTGCCTCCAATGAAAACGACTCAAGATTTAAGGCACATTGAATCTAAGGCATTCACATATGAATTCATTTCAAAGCACATTGGTTTTACAGATGTTCAAGTCACCAAGTTCTAAAATAAATAAGTTTGTTTCTATAAATATCAAGAAATTAAATTTCTTAATAACTTTAAGAAACTAGTTATATGTTAGAAAATTTGGAAGGTGCAGAAGCACATAAAAAGCACCTAAATCCTGCTGCTACCCCAGATAATCAATGTCACCATCATAATGTGTGTTTCCTTCAAGCAGTCTTACTCTATGTACACATTCATAAACATAAACAGTTCTAAAACATAAGGATTATTCTGCATATCCAGTTATAGAGCCTACATTTTTTCCGTAGTATTTTGGGATGAGAATTCTCATAGGACAATATTCAAAACAGGCAGTGTGGAAGACAGTAAGTACAGTAGTTGTTGGCAACATCTAACCAAGCTGTTAGTATGAGCATTGTGTATGCTAAAACAGTTTGGAGGGCAGGACATTAAATGTATTTAATTTTAGTACATATATGCAACGTCTGGCTGCCTCAGAGTGGGGAATACAGGATATGTGAAAAGTAATGAGAAAATGTGGTGCTAGATAGAGAACGATCAATGCTGATGATTTGTTTTATGAAGTAAATTTGATTCCTGTTGACATTTAAAGTCAGGGACTTCAGTAGACAAAAATGAGGTAATGGGATCAAGACTTCTATTTTCAAATCTAAAGTTTCCTGCCTGGCTGTGACACACCATGAAATGTTGACAAACATGCTGCCCTCCACTCTAAAAATAGTAACCTTTGTATCCTTCATTGAGGGCATTTCCTAGGGATAGGCTCGAACCCCCTTTGCAGCTAGACACACAGCAGACTGGCATATGTCTCTTTTTCTCTTTGTCTCTTTTTCTCTGCATATATGAGAGAAGTCAAGCAAAAGACATAAAGATGAACTGTCTCCCCACTCATAAGCAAAAACCTTACTTAACTGTAGGGCAGGTTGCACAATATAAAACACAGAGGGTTGCTTCCTCAAAGACTTTTTAAGAACATGTACTGTATAGCATAGGAATTTCTATGCTACTTCAAGAGCAGACTGTGGCAAATACACAAGTCAGCATGCATTTGATAAATGTTGATGGCAAATAAAGAACAAATACTCCCTAAAATATTTAGAGAGGAAGAATGTAACAATCCTATCTAAAACTTTCTTAAGATTTCTGATTAAGCTTGTGTAAGAGGAAATAAGCACATACCATCTTCAGCCACCTGGCAAAACTGAACCAAGGAAAAAGATCTTTATGGTATGAGTTTTTCTTTAAAGTATTTAATTTGGGGTTGGATTCTCTAACCCTACAGGGCCCTTGGGGACTTCCGGAGTGTGTCAGGCACTTTGGTGACTCCTGGAGTTGACTTCAGGTTTCAAGGCAGGAGAGGTAGCTGGAAGGACGGAAAGATAAAAATCTACCACCGCTGCCTCCAAGACAAGTAGTGGCCTGGCTGACCCTCACCAACCAGGTACTGTATGCCAGCTGGTCTGTCTAGAGCTATACCAAAATGATCTCATTTGATCTAGGAGACATCTGTATGAGGTAAGTCTCCATTACCTCTATTTTAGTAAGGGGGGACACTAAGGCACAGAGGTTAGGTGACATGGCCAAAGTTACAAAGCTAGTAAGAGGAAGAGCTAGGATCTGAACCCAAGAGGTCTGAGTTGGCAACCCTTAGTCTTAACCACTCTGGTATACTGCAGCATTTGGACTGTAGCTCTACATTGTTAGAACTGTCCAATCTTGAGCAAATTTCTCAATTTCTGAGTCTGTTTCCTCACTTTTAAGGAGGATAATGATATTTCCTATGCCCCACAATATGGTTGTGAGGACCAAATAAGACATGTGAATGCTACTGTAAAATATGGCATGCTATATGATTTAAATTATTTTCATTATTACTGGTAAAAAATGACAAGGAGCACTTATTCATTCATTTTGAGGTTTGAGGTTTGTTTTGCTTCGTATAGTATAAAACTTTCTAACTTTAATAATCAATAGAAAGTAATAAAAATAACTGGCCAGCTGGGCACAGTGGCTCACGCCTGTAATCCCAGCACTTCGGGAGGCCGAGACGGGCAGATCACCTGAGGTCAGGAGTTTGAGACCAGCCTGACCAACATGGAGAAACCCCATTTCTACTAAAAATACAAAATTAGATGGGTTTGGGGCGCATGCCTGTACTCCCAGCTACTCGGGAGGCTGAGGCAGGAGAATCGCTTGAACCTGGGAGGCAGAGGTTGTGGTGAGCCAAGATGGCGCCATTGCACTCCAGCCTGGGCAACAAGAGCAAAACTCTGTCTCAAAAGAAAAATAATAATAACTGATATTTATTGCCATGCACATTAAGTACTGAGAAAGAGGAGAAAACATTCCTTCTATCAGGAATCTGTAATTAGAAAGAAAAAAAGGAGTCAAATAGAGCTCCTTGTGGGGGCTCTATAATTCCAGCGATGAAGCCTATTCTAGATGCGGGTGCCCTTCCAGGAAGGAGAAATGAGCTATCAAGAAATTGTGAATCTCCAGATAATGACTTCCTGTTCCACAAAAACAAAGCACAGCAGCTGGAAATAACAGTCTATCTCCAATCCCTATTCCACATCCTAGGGCTGTCATCCACAGACTAGTCTGAGGGAGGCTTCCTCTAGCTCCAGGCCTCTAAAGCCTCAACTGCTTCAGATGGGGGGGGGGAATCACAGAATTTAAAAGCCAAACTTACTAAGAATTACCCCTGAGCAAAGTCACCCTGGACTCAGACTCCATCTGTTGCAAGTCATTAAATTCCCAAGCGCGGCTGAAATCCCTGATCTATATACCTCTGTCATGACACACACAATCTGTTGGTGTTTATTTTCCTGCTCTGGTAAGTTCCCAAGGAAGAGAAACTACAGAAAAGCATGTTGAACAGAACCATGCTAGGAGTTTCATCCAGGAAACTGAAGTTGGGACAGATGAAAAAATGAGCACCTTCTAAAATTAAATGATTAAAGGATCAACAGAGAAATCCTTAGTCACCCACCACGAAATGGTTTGTGAATATGTTGCTCTCAGAGATTTAAGAAACACCCATATCCAAGCAAGGTGAGTTGGATATAATTTTAGAAAGACTTGGTAGAAATGTGTTTGAAGTGTATTAATCTGTAATCTAATTAATTATATAGAATTTTAAAACTTTTTAAAACACAATTCATCCATGTCACTAAAGAAATTTAGAAAATACAGACAAGAGAACGACATAAAAAGTACCCAAAGTCCCACCTCTACCACCAAAATAAGAGACATCTGTTTTGTTAAGAAGGTTGATAAAGGAAAAACTGAAAATAGCAACAGCCCAAAACACTCATAAGTTCTAGCCACATGGCTCAGATCAAGTGACACCAAACTGTATTTGGTACTAGAATCATGGTGGTCACTTTAAACCACATGCCTGGGCTTGTCTTAGGCAACTCTTCTGCATCCACCAGGAATATTGCAGAAGTTACCCATACATGCACAGAATTAACGTGTTATACAAACATATATGTGAGACTATCTCAATAAAGGTAGAAAAAGTATGGTAAAATTTAACTTACATTAACTGTAATAGTAATACTATTATCACCATACTAAGAATGGAAGGGAACTTCCTCAACCTGATAAAGGGCATATACAAAAAGAAAACCCTCAGCTAACATCACAATGGTGAAATATTGAAAGTGTTCCTCCCAGTCTCACCTATTCAGCGTTGTAATGGAGTCCTTAGGCATTGCAACAAGGCAAGAAAAAGGAATAAAAAGTAAAAGAAAGAGGTTGAGCCCTGTGGCTAACTTATGAGCATTTTGGGCTGTTGCTGTTTTCAGTTTTTCCTTTATCAACCTTCTTAACAAAAGTAAAAATAATTGTAAAACTGAATACAGCAAGTCCTCAGGATACAAAGTCATTCTTTAAAAACTCAATTATATATTAAAATACTAGTAACAAGTCAACTGGAAATAAGACCTCTAAAAATATTGTTTACTATAGCATAAAAATATCAACTACATAGAAGTAAACTTAATAAAAGATGTGTAAGGCCTCTTCACTGTTGAGAGAAGTTAAAGAAGGCCTAAATAAATGGAGAGATTTCATGTTCATGGATTTGAAAACTCAAAATTGTTAAGATGGAAAAAAAATTTTTTTTTTTTTTAAATTGATCTATAGAATCAATATGATTCCAATAAAAACTCCCAGGCTTAAAAAAATTTTTTTGATAGTTGGTCAATTTCTATCAAAGCCTATCAATCACCAAGACAATCTCAAAGAAGAAAAATGTTGTAGGACTCAAAACTACCAAATTTCAAGATTGACTATAAAGTTTCAGTAATTAAGACAATCTCATAGGAAAGATAAATAAGTTAATGGAACAAAATGAAGAGTGTAGAAGTGGACCCACGCATGTAAAGTCACTTGAGTTTGGGCAAAGATGCCATGGAATTCAAGAAAAAAAGTTCTCAATAAAACATCCTGGAGCAACTAGATATC
Source organism: Homo sapiens (assembly GCF_000001405.40). Lineage (NCBI taxonomy): Eukaryota > Metazoa > Chordata > Mammalia > Primates > Hominidae > Homo > Homo sapiens. The sequence continues at coordinate 81,300,234 of NC_000014.9, forward strand.
CATACAGAAAAAGTAGACCTTTACCCTTCCTTCTCTCTCTCTGTCTAAAAATTAATCTGAAAGGGATCACAGATCTACAAGAAAGCCAAAACTATAAAGCTTCTAGAGGAAAACATAGAAAAATATCTCCATGACCTTAGGGTAGGCAAAAATTTCTTAGGACACAAGAGGCGCTAACCATAAAAGAAAAAATATAAATAAATTGTACTTCATCAATTTATCAAGACATCAGTAAAAAAGTTAAAAGGCAAGCCACTGATAAAAGAATACATAACTCCCAGAAATCAATAATAAAAATACAAACACCTCAGTAGGCCACAACGAAACTATATAAATGGCTAGATAGCACATGAAAAGGTGCTCAGCATCATCAGACACCAGGCAAGTACAAATTAAGCTATAATGAGATCCTAAATACTCCCATGATAATATCAAATGTGAACAAAGATGTGGAGCAACTAGGACTCTCGTGCGTCATTGGTGAGAGTATAAAATGGTAAAATCACATTTAAAAATGGTTTGGCAGTTAAAAATGGTTTAAATGATAAATTTAAACATTCACCTACTTTATGACCCAACAATTCTACTCCTATGTTTGTTCTCAAGAGAAATGAAAAATATGTCTACAAATAGACTTGTTCAAGAATGTTCACAGCAGCTTTATTAATAATAGTGAAAACCTGGAAACACCCCAAATGCCTATCAATAGGAGAATGAATAAGCAAAGAGTATCATATTCATATCATAGAATACCACTATAGCAATAAAAATAAAATGACCATTTATATATGCAACAACATGACGAATCTCATAACCATTCTCTGAATCTCAGAAGTTACTATTGCACCATCATTTCTCCAGGTTTGATTCATTCATTTAATCTCACACCAACCCCATAAGGAAGATATTTTTATCCTTCAGCTTTAATAATAGAAATAATTAATAGAGAAAAAATAATATCTAAGATTATATTCTCTCATTCAATATTTATTGAACATACTCTATTTGTTACTAGGCAGTAAACCATGTCCGAAAAACATAATGTCAGCCAAAAAAGACACAAGATTTAAACTCAGTCCTTCCACACTACACAACACTGCCAGGTCCTATGACAAGCTAAATGTAAAAGAAGGAATAAGACTTTGTCACTACCTTTAAGAAGTTCAGAGACTAGCAGAGGCAACAGGCAAATAAACCAACAACCACAATACAGCAAAAGCAATTACAATACAACACAAAGTGTTCTTATGGGTATATAAAAAGTGCTGTGTGAACCCAAAAGAGGAAATGACCAGTAATTCTGCCTGGGATAGTTGAAGCCAAACTGGCAAAGGAGCTGACATTTCAGTTGGGTGATATACTAGCAGAGAGAATGTCTGAAGACATTGAGACAGAGTGGAACGTGCTCAAGATTTGGAAGTAAATACATCTGGTTGGGATGCCAGCTCAGTATTCACATTTGTGAAATGTGAATAATTACTCAAAAACTTGAAGGGTTGTTGTGAGAACTGGAAAAAATACATGTAAAGAACTGAGCCCATGCAGAGGAAACTCCATTTTTAGTAGCTTTTAGTTTTTGAACAAATAACTGTTATTAGTCATATTGCCCAATATACATCTCCTATTGTAGATTTGTCAATCTCCAGAAATGCTTGCTTCTCAATACAATAATATTAAGTTTCTGAGGCTAAACAGCTTAAGCCTAGATCTTAAGCCCATGGTGATTTGCTAGCTTTGACCTCCCTCCTCACTTGAATATGACTCAAGCCCCAATGCATAACATGACACTGTGCACTGAGGGCAGTTGGCTGTCCCAATCAGAGTGGTTTATTAGAAGGCTGGAGGCGAGGACACAAAAACATCAGGACTAATGGGAGTAGTAGCCACTCTGGACTGTGCCTGTCTGTGGAAAACCATTTAGAACAGCATTTGTAAGCATGCACCATATCAGCTGCCCCTCTGTGCCCAGCTTACAGCAATACTCACTTTAATCAGCATCAGATACCCCTATCTGTCTACAAATTTCTGGAACAGAGGCTAACAATAAGTGTTAAAGTAGTCTAAGAGAGACAGTCTAATAAAGAAGGCCCAAAATGGCAGAACTTTCTCAATACACACAGGCTCTTCCTGTAGTGATGGAAAGTCTCACTTGGATCCAAGATTTTAATATAGATAACGAAATAGGCTCAGTATCCCTTCGGATGGTGCAGCAGGTTAGTGCTTCTGAATGTTAAAGCATTTATGCAACAACTCAGAAAGTGTTTGCAAGGCTGACTGGTTCTATACTGACATTTCTAGTCAAACTACACTCATTAAAGTAAGAGAATGACCATGGTGTCAGAATCCATAGTGGCAACTTCTGCTAATACACAGCTTTGCATATAAAGTTGATTGCATGACAAACTGATACAGAGGGTGTTTACATCATTTAATCATCAGAGAGGACACTGCAAATGTCTCCACAAGGAATACAGCATGTCAAGAGACAGCGGACTTGTGCTGTGCCACAAACAGGCTGTAGGGGACAGTGGGAAAATTATATAAGATCTGTAAGCCTCAGGTCCCTCACCTATCAAATGGGATAACGATGCCCTGCAGGATGTTGTGAGAATTACAGATGATGTGGGCAAGTACCTGACATGGTGCCGTACACAGAATGAACACTTAATGATTGTTTCTGCTATAATTAATGTAAGGCACTGCCATCTATAGTTTGGAGGGGCAGGAACAAGTAGAAAAATATTTGCTGAGTTGATTGCTTTTGTTAAATGGCTGTTAGACTGATTATATGGAATGGAGTTCAGTGAGGGTGTACATGTGTGGGGGGTGTGTGTGTGTGTGTGTGTGTGTGTAAAAGAGATAATGAATACAAATGAGAATGAGAATAAGAAAATGTGTATTGGGTGAGCAGAGGATAAGCAGAGAGAAAGAAGGGAAGAGACGGGGAAAAGTAGCTTTCAGAAGAAACATGTCTACCTTGTTAGTAGACCAAAATATTTGAAGGGCAAGCCTTCAATGTGTTATGTTGTTTTACTTTTACTCTGCTTTTAGTCATTATTATATGCTCCATCAGAGCCTGACACACAGCAGGCACTCAGTAAATATTTACTAAGTGCACACCTGGATCAAGCATTGTGCACACTTGCAGGTGTGGCTATGACTAAGCACAGAAAAAGGAAACCAACAGTGGTGGTGTGGGACAAGTGTCAAGCAGTGGCCCTGACAGGCAGAAGTGCCCTTTGCCCCAGTGGCTGAGTCATTGCGCCACCACAGTGACACACTGAAACAGGTTCCATTCACAACATCAATAATGACATGAGGTCATTCTTCCAACAAAGCAATGAACCCCAGAGAGAGGCTCCAAATCTTAACACAGGAAGGGTCTGCTTCCGTTTGTCACCCTCTTCCTCAGTGAGCAGATCAGGTACATGAAATATTTTACTGTCCCATCCTGGACTGGATTTTGCCTTCATTAACCCTATGACAACCCAAGGGGAGGTATATTTACAGTTTATATGTGAGGAAAATGAAACTCATAGAGCTTACATAACATGCCTATGGTCAAATATCAACCAGGTTTCGAAACCAATGCCCTTTTAACCTCCTTGAAGTAGAACGCATATACAGAAAAGTGCACATATCGTAGCTCCATATATTTTCACAGTTGAGCACATGCATGTAACCAGCACCCAGATCAAGAAACAATTGCCTTTGTGCTCCTGACCAACCTCTTCCCCGACCGTGAATAATGACTATCCTGACTTTTAACAACGGCATGAGTTTTGCCCAGAACACTCTAAACTACAGTAATCACTCCTTCCACCAAATTCCTCTGATTTTCTTATCGGCATCGCTCATTTGGAATTTCCCAATACTCTCTTGTAGAGTCAAATAGTTGTTCTTTTACGTATCTCATCTTTCTAATTATGATTAAAACCTCCTTGAGACCAGGGTTTTGTACATTTTTAGATTCCCCCACACACCTATTATGGAGGAGCCACTGTAAAGTGTATCTACTTAAGAGTTATTTTCTGGTTACTGTGTATCTGACACTGTTTCAAGCACTTTACGTGGATTATCTCCTTTGATCCTTTCAACAACCCTGTGAGGTAGGTACTGCTCTTATCTCCCTCTTACAGATGACAAAACTAAAGCACAAAAAAGTTAAGTAACTTGCCCAAGCTCACGCTGTTAGAGATGGAATCAGGGCCGGGCATGGTGGCTCATGCTTGTAATCCTAGCACTTTGGGAGGCCGAGGCAGGTGGATTGCTTGAGGTCAGGAGTTCAAGACCAGCCTGGCCAACATGGTGAAACCCTGTCTCCACAAAAAATATCAAAAATTAGCTGGGTGTGATGAAACAGGCCTGTGATGAATCTCAGCTACTCAGGAGGCTGAGGCATGAGAATTGCTTGAGCCTGGGAGGCGGGGGTTGCAGTGAGCCAAGATCGCGCCACTGCACTCCAGCCTGGGTGACAGAGTGAGACTGTCACAGGAAAAAAGGAAGGAAGGGAGGGAGGGATGGAATCAGGATTCAAACCCAGGCATTGTTACTTTAGCCTTTCTTGTTATTCTGTTTTTTTGGCAAACTTTTTAAAAAGTATAAAATACACAGAAAATAACATAAATCATAAGTTTAAAGTTCAATAGCTTTTTACAAAGTGAAGACATGTAGGTAATTCACTATCTCAAAAGACAGATCCCCAGAAGACCCCTTTGTACCCCCTTCCTATCACTAACTACCTCTTCCCCCAGGGTAACAATTATTCTGACTCCTAACACCATACTGTAACGTGCTTGTTTTTGAACTTAGATAAATGAATTCATATAGTATGTTCTCTTTATGTTCATGAGATTCATTCATTTCATTACATGTGATGTGTTAGTTTGCATTTCTGCATCGTATTCAATTGTGTGAATGTGACACAATTTATCCATGTTAGTGTCGATGGACATTTGAGAGCCAGGCTTCTATGAATATTCTTGCACATGCCTTTGATGCACACATGCTTGCTTCTGTCTTGGGTACTCAGGAGCAGAACTGCTCTCTCACTGGATATGCAAAGCGACTATGCCAATTTACACTCCCACCCACTGTGTATATGTGTTCTGGTTGTTCTACATTTTTACCAACACTGGATACTGCCTGTTATTTTCATTTGAGCTATGACGGTGGGTGTGTGGTGTGTTATATTGTGGATTTTACTGAACTTTCACTGATGAACACTGAAGGTGTATACCTTTTCATATGTTTATTGGCCATTTGGATAGCCTCCTTTGTGAAGTACCTTTTCAAGGCTTTTGTCCATTGGGTGGTCTGCTGTCTTCTTGTTGATCTATAGAAGTTTTTTTTATATATTCAGGATTTGATTTCTTTGTTATTATGTATTTATTGCAAATATCTCCTCCTCTTATGCTGCAGCTTGCCTTTAACTTTCTTAATGGTGGCTTTTGCTTAATAGACATTCTTAATTTACATGTGGTTTAATTTATCAATTTTTTCCTTTATGGTTAGTCCTTTTTAAGTCTCGTTTAAGATATATTTTTAAGGGACTTACCTTATTAGAGATTGACTGGTGGGATTGTCAGTTAAGGTTCCTCACCCTGATGTAGTCACATGCTAACCCAAATCAATGCAAAACTTTTCGCCTGGTATTTGGTTCTTTTGGAAAATGAAAATGAATCTGAAAATGGTTGTTGCTCATTCATGAAGATAGTGGTACTCAGCAAAAACCAGCTATAACTCCTTGCCAGCGACCCAAGAGCTGATCTAGCTCTGGCCTTTTCTGAGCTTGGCCTTTCTGCTTGATTATTTAACTTCCCCTTCAACTCTGTGAGCAGCCCCCACCCTCAACTTGCAATACACTCTCCTTTTTAATTTTTTTTAATTGCAACCAAAGAATCCTATTGATTCTTTTAAATCTCTCTCTCTCTCTATATATATATATATATACACTCTATTTTATATATACACACACATACATACTCTTTTTTTTTTTTTTTTTTTTTTTTTTTGAGATGGAGTTTCACTCAGTCGCCCAGGCTGGAGTGCGGTGGTGTGATTGTGGCTCCCTGCAACCTTCACCTCCCGGGTTCAAGTGATTCTCGTGTCTCAGCCTCTGAGCAGATGGGACTACAGGCGCCATATGCTCTATTTTTTTTTAAGAGATGGAGTTTATGTTGTCCAGGATGGAGTGCAGTGGCAATTCACAGGTGTGATCATGGCATACTACAGCCTGGAACTCCTGGGCTTAAGTGATTTTCCTGCCTCAGCCTCTCAAGTAGCTGGGACTATAGGTCTATGCCACTGTGCCTGGCTGATGTTCTCTATTTTAATATATGGCACTAAGCACAGAGTTAAAGTCTGATCAGTCACACTGTTCAAACAAGAAATTTCACCTTCACGGATTTCAGTCCTCATCCTTTCACGACTGCAGGATGACTTCCTGACATCCCCAGAGATGGTTCTGCCTTGACACCACATTAGGAAAAACAATGGCATTTTCATCTCATTGGCTCTTAGGGAAATAAAGAAGAGGAAATCCAGTTAAAACTGAGCATCCTCCAATAAAGCAGACAATTAAAAAAATGCAATAGGACATTAACCCTTTAACAAATTAGCAAGCAAAGTCAGCTCTGCAGCTGTGCCCAAGCAGGATAATTACTATCTTTTTTAGTTGGCACTATAGCAACAAGCACTGATTATTTAAATGGGGAGCAAACAATAATTTGGGTGGAATATCATTTAAATAATGAGCACTTCTAAAAGTCAAGTTGATCATGAATAGCAAGCATGGGGAGGTGCACACCTATAGAAACTCTGACTGTTATAACTGGAAGGATGTTTGGGGAATCATCTCAGTGATCACTCCCTTAGATCCTCTACATTTCACAAGATATGAGCACAGGCCAGAATTAACAAGAGAAATTTAAAAAACACACAGAAAGAAATTACACCTTCAAGTGAGTCTAAGCTGGTGAGCCGTGCACAGATTGCACTGATGCAATTATAACATTAGGCATTTCTGGATTGCATCTTTTGGAAGCATTTCAGAACGGTCAGTGTTGTCTTCAGCATGAACTAAGCAGTAGAAAATCTTCATTCCTTGAGGCTGATTGAGTGTAATTTTTCAAAACAGTCAAAACTCACTTGGACTCAAAGCTAGTGAGTAAATTTCTATAAATTTATTTTCTTTTTAAAAAAGGGACAATACAAAACAGTATGTAAGAGCCTGGGCTTCAGAGTTAGAGAAATCTGGAATCCAAATGTCACTGGCTGGTGTGTGATTTTGAATAGAAAAGCCTAGTTGAGCCTCAATCTTCTTGTAAATGAGAAAGAATTAATAGTCTACTGTTGACACTTGAACCACAGGGGTTTGAACTGCACTGGTCTGCTTATATGCAAATTTTCTTCTGCCTCTGCCACCCCAGACAACCCCTCCTCTTCCTCAGCCTACTCAATGTGAAGGAGACGAGGATGATAATCCACTTACACTTAAGGAACAGTAAATATATTTTCTCTTTCTTATGCTTTTCTTAATAACATTTTCTTTTCTCTAGCTTACTTTATTGTAGGAATGCAGTCTGTAGTGTATATATAACACAAAAAATATGTGTTAATCATTTTATGTTATTGGTAAGACTTCCAGTCAACAGTTGGCTATTTTAGTAGTTATGTTTTTGGGGAGTCAAGTTATATGTGGATTTTCTACTGCTTGGGGGTGGCATTCCTAACTCCCATGTTGTTCAAGGGTCAACTGTATCTGATGGGCATGGTTGATAATCAGATAATATATCTGAAGCTGTTATATCTTTATCTTTTATTAGGACACAGAAGCTAAAGGAAAATGGCTTTTGTCTATTGAATATAAATGGGTTCTGAAAGGACTTCCCAAACAGAAATGTATGTTTGAAACACTGTCATTACGCTTACCTGCTCTGGATTTATGCAATCTAGCTCAGACTCAGAAATTATTATTATTTATTTTTTTGAGACAGAGTTTTGCTCTGTCACCCAGGCTGGAGTGCAGACGCGATCTCAGTTCACTGCAACCTCTGTCTCCTGGGTTCAAGCAATTCTCATGCCTCAGCCTCCCAAGTAGCTGGGATTACAGACACCCACCACCATGCCTGGCTAATTTTTGTATTTTTAGTAGAGACGGAGTTTTGCCATGTTGGCCAGGCTTGTCTTAAACTCCTGACCTCAGGTGATCTGCCCACCTCAGCTTCCCAAAGTGCTGGGATTACAGGCATGAGCCACCGTGCCCAGCCTAGAAATTATTTTTAAAAGAACACTGAGCAGACAAAACCTAACCCCAGAATTCTACATGCTGAAGGTGGGGCATTTATTCAAGGGTATCCCTCTTGGCGTCTAATAAGGCCTGGCCACTCATGCTACAACTCTACGTCCATCCCTAATAACCCATGGGCAGGGGAGGGAGCAAAGAAGAGAGGGCAGCTTTTGGTGCAAGGGAGAATAAAAGAACTGAGGGAGGAAACAGAAATTCTCAAGAGACAACCAAATTCACCCAGAGGACATGGTTTTACCCATATATATATATATATATATATATATATATATATATATATATATGTGTGTGTGTGTATATATATATATATACACATACATACATACATACATACATACACTAAAGGGTTGTGGCAGGATTTGAGACAGAAAGGCTGCTTTAAAAGGCTATGTCTTCAATATTCTCAAGGGCAGGGAGAATAGGCTGGGCTTCTGATAGGAGTGCTTTATTTGGTTCAGCAACTAGATTAACCTTTCCCTGGTGTTTGCCTAAAATCTTGCTTTGCCCTGCTTCTATGAGAATGGAAATAGGTTGTCAAAATTCTATAAAAAAAAAAAAACTCGTTATTTTGACCCATGAGCCTCAGTATCCTTATCAATAAATGAGGGAAATCATACTTAACTCACAGTACTGTGCAAATTAAATGAGATCTCATGACAAGCATTAATTACACTGGCACATGGCAGCTACTTGACAGGTAACAGTTATTGTTATTATTGGCTTTAAACAAACAAGGAGGTACCAAATATTAGATCTGAACTATTAAAAAAAAGATAATCTATAAAGAAAAAAATTTAGTCTAGTCTGTATAATTCTAGAATTTGCTAAATCTTGGTTTGAACAATATCTATTATATCTTGAATGTATATTTATTGTCTCCAAATACTTTCTCTATGCCTTCTCATTTATTTACATGTACTTTAAAATTTTACTTAGTTATGATAATTTTTTAAATCACTTAATTATCCTTGAGAAAATCTATTAATAAATCCCTAGGTCTAGTGCTCTGCAAATCTGATCCTTCCTTGGAATTGCAGAGCTAGAGCATGAGGTTTCACTACGAAACACTCTAGGCAATCCCTAGAGCCATGTATGTAGCTCAGGAATCTTATTTTGTTTTGATCATGATTATGTATCTAAGGGACAGGGTTTGGGGAGGAGCTATCCTAAAGAGGGAAAAAACAGGAACCATTCTTTCTGTCATCATTGCCTCTTCCAAATAATAGGCAGGCATGTATTTCCTGTGGAGAGTTAGGGATAACGTACCAAAGACAGGAAGAGACTGGGCCAAAGGTGGTGGTATCTTATTTGAGAATCCTCTGCACAGATGACCACTCTTACATTTCAAAACAGCAGCTTTCAAACAGTTTTATGTTCATGGTCACTTTGGAAGAGTAGCAGGTCAAGAGATCATATATGCAGGACTCTGAATTAGAGCTGGGAGACCTCCCCTTCTGCCACTCAGAAAATTCATTATTTAATACCCCAGGAATCAATTTCCACACTTTAAAGTGAGGGGGCTGGATTAGATGATCCTGAATTCATCTTGTCTTTAAAACCCTAAAATTCATATATATTCTTCTTCTACTTTATATTATGAAAGACAACGGTGTAAGTCACCCAACTTTGGCCAGAATGAGTTAAGAATATTACACTGCTTTTGATAAGACACAAATAAAAGACATAGTAAAATAAAAATTCACATTAAAGATAAAATGTATGTAAATATAGTACCATCCTGCAGTCATTGCCAGGAGAGCTGCCTGCTTGTTTTGTGATGTGCCTGCTTGTCATACACTTCTTCTCTTGCACAGAACAGTAACTGTGAACCCTCAAAATGGGTCATTTAATTTCAACCTATGAACAATTAAGACAAACTAGAGGTGCAGATAGATGGACCAGTGTGAGCAGCATCTCCTCCCCATTCAATGTGGTCAACATGTGAGTGGCTGGCAGCATTAGGAATAGGCAGTAAGGTTTACGTAAGACTGAGAAGTCTAATTGCCCTCCAAATAGCTGAGTATCCAGATGTTATTCATGAACTAATTATGGCTAACATTTATTGAGGACTTACTATATTCCAGGCCCTAAAATCATGTTTTATATACACATCTCATTTAATATTCAATTATCTCTCCTATTTTGTGTATCAGGATACGCTGCTGCATTGCACTGACATCTCTTTCACGGCAGAGATGGACAGGAAACCTCCTGTTTCCTCTCCCCATGCCCTCTTTCCAGGTCCAATGATTCACATTCCTTCCCCTCAAGCCTGAAAGTCCAGAGGGAATGGAGCTTTTAGGAAGTTTGATATTTGACCTTTGACTTTTCATAGGTGTTTTCCTCTAAATGCAAAGGCCTTTGACTTTTCATAGGTGTTTTTCTCTAAATGCAAAGGATTTGAGGACTATGTCTCTGTCTTCTATGGTGAGTCAACGGGTGCCACTGATATCCCTCGAGTACTTGTTCCCTATTAGGCATCAGTGCACAGGGTAGGTTTGAGCTAGGATTTGAGCTAAAAGGCAAGTATATGGACTTGGAGAAGACGGGAAAGTAAGCCTGGGACTTAGATGACCACTTCTTGGACAATAGAGCTGAATTTATATTCTTTTTTGTATTGCACCTAGTATTATACCCAGCCACCAACAGGTTAAGAAGCAGTATAATATACCAGAAAGAGCAATGGAATAGGAGGCAGGAGAAGAGTATGGGAATAGGTCTCTATCACCCTCATTCCTGCCTAATCATCTCTGCTTTGCTCTGCTCTGCTCTGCTCGCCTCTCTTCCTCACCGAGGCTCCTCCTACCCCAGCAGAACCCCTGATGTTGAGAAGCACCAGATGTCACAAGGGGTGTTTCTAATTTGAGAAGGGTAAAGGAGAAAAGAAAAGGCTGAATATCTCTTCAAGATATTATTAAATACAGTAACAATTTTAAAAATCATACGATGAGCCAGGTACTGTACAAAAGAAGATTTCTTAGATGATCTTATTTCCTTCTCACAAGAATCCTATGACAGAGACATTCTATTAACTCCACATAAAATTGACGAAAATGAGGCACAAGGGTTAAATAACATCGCTGCTAGTTGTACAGTTAGGAAGTGGCAGAGCTGAGATTTAACAGAGGCTTTGCCACTGAAAAGAAAGGGATTTGCTTTAGAAATAATTCTGTTAAAATGTTATTTATTTCCCACAGGTCTAGAAAGAAGCAGATCCCTAGAAAACAAAGAGAATGCTTATAGGAGACTTTCTCTGGAAACGAGTCAGGGGATATGAGATAGGAAAGCACTACATTCATACATATTACTTCTGTTTTGCATATTTTTTAAATGAAGGTTGGCCAATTAATATTGCCCAATGAGACATGTGAGCCTTATGGTTTGGCTGCTTGTCAACCCAACACAATTATTTCCTGATCTTTAGCCAACACGGCATGTCTCTTCATCAGTAAGTGAATAAGCAGAATGGACCTGTGTGTGTGTGCACATGCCCACGCTTGTGTACGTAGCATGTGTGCAGCATAGGTGTAAAGCCTGCAGGCACACCTTGCATTCTTGACTAAAATTCCTTCTCCCTCATAAGAAGAGAGATTACATGATTGTCTTAGTCATTTTCTTTTCGTGAAATGGTTCTGGGATGGATAGAGTCTGCTGGGATCTAAGCTCCCAACTGGACCAGGCAAGCATAAAAAGGCAGGCTACTAACACCCACTGTGTCTGTGGGTGCTGGCAAGAAGGGAACCTCAGATAACTATGCAGAGAAAGCCTGACTTTGGCCATTAAAGCTAAACACTTAGGGAGAGGAGTCAGAAAAACTTTTACTGGTCTTACCTGCCCATACTCTCTTATCTACACCTGTCTTCAAGGTAACGCAAAGAGGCTACTTCACTTCTTGAAGGTGGAGAGCTTATGCTTTCTACTGAAACTTAATTTACATAGTAAAACTCCCCTGAACTACTTCCTCTATAAATTGCAAACTCAGAAAGAAGAAAAGAAGTTGTACCTTCTAATTCAATCAACTTCCCCCTAAGTCTTCTGTACCTAGCAGATGAACGTCCATCACACCTCCAACCTAAGGAATTCTCCCTCTTGCCTCCCAGCATCTAGACTTAGCCTAGCTGCTTAAAATCAAATTGCCCTTCATTGTTTAAACATAACTGATGTAATGGCTAGCTCTGGTTTCATGATGCATTTGCTTGTATTGACCATAACTACTGGTTTGCAGGAACCTGCCAATCCTTTTGAAAACTGGTAATTTTTTGAAAGCAAAATATTTTATGCAATTCAGACCACTTTTTGTATGCACGTAATCATATTTTGGTAGCAAATTCTTTGTGCTATTACACAACGATGCCGGTAAGAATTCTATTTAAGAAACACGTCCTTGCTTGTAAGGCTCGGCAGTCAAAAAAGAAGGACCCTTACAGGCAAACTAATTAAAAGGGCAAAGCCCCGTGTTTTCATTGCTCTTCTTGTCATTGTCCTCCTTGTACTCCTCCCTTCCTACCTCTTTCTTTCTCTTTCTGTCTACAATTTCCATTCTACATACTATCTACTATAATCTCCTTCCAGGGCCTGGCCTCATTCCGTGGTTTCTGTCACAAAAGACTTACCAGTCCAGGCAAGGAAAATCAAAACCTATCTAGTGATTAGATCAAAGACAAGAACCCAGGGAGTTTTGTTTTGTTTTAATTTCCAGTAGCATATTTTGGGTCTTAGAGGTAGATAATAAAGGAAGAGAAGAAAAACAGAGAAAGTAAATCTTAAGATCCTTGAGGACAGAGACTGCAATATAATCATCTTTAGACTCTCCATAAAGCCTGACGCAGCACCTTCTGTCGTTTAGTGAATGTTTACTGCATGACTCCTACGTGCAGATACGATGGTGAACAAAACAGATTGGGTGCTTGCTTCACAACTCTTCAGTCTCACAGTGAGAAAGAAAATTGATTAAAAAAAAAAAGCCAGGCCAGGCAGGCGTGGTGGCTCATGCCTGTAATCCCAACACTTCGGGAGGCCGAGGCAGGTAGATCACTTGAGGTCAGGAGTTTGAGACCAGCCTGGCCAACATAGTGAAGCCCCATCTCTACTAAAAATACAAAAATTAGCCAGGTATGGTGACGGGTGCCTATAATCCCAGCTACTCAGGGGGTTGAGGCAGGAGAATCGCTTGAACCCGGGAGGCAGATGTTGCAGTGAGCCAAGATCGTGCCACTGCGCTCCAGCCTCAATGACAAAGAGAGACTCCGTCTCAAAAAAAAAAAAAAATACACACACACACACACACACACACACACACTAATGAAACAGATCATTCATTACAAAGTGTGGTTAAGTATGATGAAAGAAAATAACAGATTTATTAGGGAACATACTGTGGGAGTCCTGATCTAGCCTGAGGTTCAAGGAAGGCTTCCCTGATGAAGCAATACTGAAGCAGAGAGGTGATGTGGTGTGTGACTAAGAGTTAGGGAAGAAGTAAGCGACAGAGCCTTCCAGTGCCTTGCAAATTGTAAGACTTCAGTGAAGCAAAGCCTGTGCTACTTTTAAAACAACTGCTTTTTCACATGTAGGAAGAGATGTAAGACAAATCCTGGAAATCTCATCCAAGTCTTTCATTTTACATATAGTGAAATTAAAATCCCCATATGAGCTGGCCAAGGCCACTTCCTGGTAGGACCAGATGTCCAGGCTTCTGGTGCCCAACCCAGTGCCCTTTTGACTACACTGGCACAAGAACGGCAGTTTCAGTGGCCACACAAACTTCAAGGCAGTGATGGGGGCCCTTGAAATTTATACAAGATGAAAGGGTTTATCCTATATTCAAATGGTCTATAGTGGGATAAAGATAAAAGCTTTGAAAAATTGAATTCTGTGCTGTTTGTGAAGAAAGGCTCAATATGTCCAGGTTATTTTTGACAAGATGTATTTGTAAACCAGCAACAAAGAGTGAACCAGGCAGATTTTCCTGCCAGCACGCAAAGTGAAAACAAGATGTAGATGTCATCATGGTACTGTGGCAAAGTGATCCATCAATCCAAAGTGACAGTTAAGGCCTATTGATTCCATGCATTAACCCAGCAAGATCCACAATTAGCCCTAAGCTCTGATTATCACCACACCTGAGCCTTCCCTGCCACTTACAGAGATCACAAGAAACAGGCCTGAGTAATAAGCTAGGCATTTTATTACATGCTGTGAAGCCCCCTGGGAACATAATACCATTTAAGCAACTTTCCTCTGTAGCTTCCTCATGTTCTTCTCTTTACAACACTGCTACACCAAATAAAAATAATACCTCTTTGTTTTTTTTTGTTTTGTTTTTAGAGACGGGGGTATTACTCTGTTGCCCAAGGTGGAGTGAAGTGGCATGGCTCACTGCAGCCTTGAACTCTTGGGCTTTAGGAGTCCTCCCACCTCAACCTCCCAAAGTGTTGGGATTACAGGCGTGAGCCACCATGCCTGGCCTAACACCTCCATTTTGCATTCTTGGTTAGCTTTTCCTTCTCAGTAAACAACGAAGATACAGAGTTGGTTAGAAGAATGGTAAATGCAGAGGAAAACCTACATTCTGGTCCATTCTGGCACCTCCAAATTTAGAAGTGAACACAGGCAAGAGTTTTTACTATCACTCTATTTGCTAAGCAATAATAGTAAGAGAAAGTTTTTGAAATGTTGCCAGGGGTTACATCTCAGAAGAGAGGCCTCGTTTAGAAGACAGAAAAAGATGCTACCAACTACAGATAAAACCTCAATTCCTTCCTCACTCAACACCTCTTCAAGGGACAAAAGACTGGAAATGTCCCTCAGATAAAAACAAGATCTCTCTCTGCCTTTCCATGATTCTTAGCCCCTGCTTTGTGCTGTCTCTTTGTCTCCAAAAAGAAGCTGCTTTATTGAAACATCATAAAAAAAACAGTGGTCCCCCCAGACAATGAAGTCGCCTGCACGCAGGCATTTCCAACGTAGGCAGGTGACGATACTGGCAGAATTCTCAACCTGTTGCTATAGTAGCAGAAAGAATGTGATTCCAGCAGCTCTGCTGAGATCCATATCCAAATCCCTCCTGCTCCCGCAGAGAACATTAACCCTTCACTGTCCTTTCTCAGGGGCAGAAACACCTGGGAAGAATCCCAAATTTTTCTTATGAGCTGGGTGCTGTAGTCTTAGCATTTGCTCATTCACTCATTCAATACCTACTTAGGCTCTATTATGCTGGCTCCCAGGTTTTAAGTGGTAAACAGAGCAGACATGGCCCTTGGCATTGAGCAAGAAGAGGAGGAGGATATGAAATTATTGCTCAAACAACAATATATTATGTAGCATCCATGTATACGGGAGACAATATGATATTTACAGCAAAAACGTCACCAGAAAGGTAACAACCTATCCAAGATAACCAGCTTATCTATCAGTTGGAGCAGACCCTATATTTTCTGGGCCATTATAATTATTTGATTGTTTGCAATGTGTTAATTGGAGAAAAATACCAATAAAAATGCCTGCTCCAATCATATCATGCCTCCTACAAAACATTAGTTAAAACACGTTGTTTAACTACACAAATTTTTTCACATAAAACAGAAATAGTATAATCTGTCAGGGAACCACTGTTGAACATGAGGTTATGATCCCTCATTTACAGTCACCAAGCAACAGAAATGGCAGGTGAGGGCTCAGAAAACATGTAAAAGCAGCACAGTCACAAAGACTTTGTGAGAACTTCTAAATAGTCTCCTCGCCGTCTATTTCAGTGGTCAGGGCAGTAATGAAGAAACTTCAGGAAATGCAGTTTAGGAATGACCTATAATCCAGCTTACTTTCTCTAACATTGTGGTATGGAAATCTCACATTGTTAAACACCTTCCTGCTAGATTTCCTTTTTTCCCATGGAGCACAAATAGTAGGGAGGCGGGGTTTCTTAGGAAGATCAACTCAGTAAGTAATGCTATACTCAGTAAGTAATGCTTGTTTTGGGAAACAAGGTACTATCAGCAGATTGCCAAGAAAAAGCTGAAAAAACAAGAAGATAGGTGGCTAATCTCAGTTGGCCATTAGATGTGATCTCAGGAAGGTTACATAATCCTTTGTACTTCAGTTTCCTCACAGGTAAATTTGATACACCACAGTGTTAGTTCATTTTGCATTGCTACAAAGGAAGACCTGAGACTGGGTAATTTATAAAGAAAGGAGGTTTGGCCGGGCGTGGTGGCTCACGCCTGTAATACCAGCACTTTGGGAGGCCAAGGCGGGTGGATCACGAGGTCAAGAGATTAAGACCATCCTGGCTAACATGGTGAAACCCCGTCTCTACCAAAAATACAAAAAATTAGCCGGGCATTGTGGCAGGCACCTGTAGTCCCAGCTACATGGGAGGCTGAGGCAGGAGAATGGCGTGAACCCGCGAGGCAGAGGTTGCAGTGAGCCGAGATCGCACCACTGCACTCCAGCCTGGGTGATAGAGTGAGACTCTGTCTCAAAAAAAAAGAAAAAAGAAAAGAGGTTTATTTGGGCTCATGGTTGTGCAGACTGTACAAGAAGCATGGCAGCAGCATCTGCTTTTGGTGAGGCCTCAGGAGGCTTTTACTCAGGGTGGGAAGGTGAAGGGGGAGAAGGCATGTCACGTGGCAAGAGAAAGAGCAAGAGAGATGCTAGGCTCTTTTAAACAACCAGCTGTTGAGTGAACAAATAGAGGGAGCACACGCTCATTAACACAGAGAGGGCACCAAGCCATTCATGAGGGATCTGCCCCCAGGACCCAAACCTCCCACCAGGCCCCACCTCCAAAATAGGGGATCACATTTCAACATGAGAATTGGAGGGGACAAATATACAAACCAAACTAGCCACATATATTGAAAGGCACAGAATGATCAATAGCAAAGCCTATAAATTAGTGGCCTAAAATAAAGTGCTTTATTCTTCTTCTTAGTGTCACCATAAAACATAATTTCTGCCCTGGAGAATATCTGAGAATCTCAATCATATGTGACAACACTGGTTTCCTGTCTCAATGAGAGAGGCTTAGGCACAAGCCTTTCACAAAATAAATCAGGGAAAGATGTGCCATCGGGAAGGGACAGTCTCACCCAAATCTCTTTTAACCACTGCAATGTTGGGCTCGGCTATGGGAAAAGGTCCCAGTGTTCAGAGTAGATGGAAACTCATATCTTTTCACCTGAGAAAAACGGGATGACAATAAGGGGATATCATGTGATCTAAAGTAAAGACACCACACACATAATACCCCTCCTGGAACTGGGAAGTGGATAACCAAGCCCAGTAACCCATAATCTTTACATTTTAGAGGATACAGTGGGAATGGAAACAGAGGCATTCTACAGGAATTCCAATGCCATCTCTGCAGCTATCAAGTTTGAGATATCTTCAGGACTTTCTCTTTTGTTTTTTATTTATTTTTTTATTTTGGGGGTGTGTTTTTTAGGCGGAGTCTCACTCTGTTGCCCAGGCTGGAGTGTAGTGGTGCAATCTTGGCTCACTGCAACCTTCACCTCCTGGGTTCAAGCGAGTCTCCTGCCTCAGCCTCCCGAGTAGCTAGGATTACAGGCGTGCACCACCATGCCCGGCTAATTTGTATTTTTAGTAGAGACGGGGTTTCACCATGTTGGCCAGGCTAATCTCGAACTCCTGACCTCAAGTGATCTGCCAGCCTCGGCCACTCAAAGTGCTGGGATTATAGGTGTGAGCCACTGCACAAGGCAGGAGTTTCTTTCCCTTCAAAATTCCATTAGACAGACCACAGCAGCTATGAGTCCCCTGCTTACTTCCACATCACGAGGAGCAGAAGACGGCTCCAGAGGATGCACACTTCTCTGCTTCTGGGTTATTCTAGGGTCCAGCTAGGACTTTAGGAGCCTTCCAAAGCAGGAAAAAATGCAACTCCCTCTTCATACACCCTTCTCCCACTGGGGAAGAGTATTTTAATGGCTCTATTTCTTCACTCTTCTCCATATCCATGCCCTTTGCCACAAGTATTTGCAGTTTCTCACACTAAAAAAGTGAAATAGGCTGGTCCTGGTAGCTCACGTTTGTAATTCCAGCACTTTGAAAGGCTGAGGCGGGCAGATCACTTGAGGTCAGGAGTTTGAGACCAGCCTGGTCAACATGGTAAAACCCCATCTCTAGTGAAAATACAAAAATTAGTCAGGTGTGGTGGCCGGTGCCTGTAATCCCGGCTACTCCGGGGTCTGAGACACAATACTCACTTGAACCTGGGAGACGGAACCTGTGATCACGCCACTGCACTCCAGCCTGGATGACAGAGTGAGACTCTATCTCAAAAAATATAATAAAAAATTAAAACAAATAAAAAAGTGAAATACATTTCCCTGCCCTGGCGCTGTGCTTGGTCATGTGACTTTCCTTGACCAACAGGATGCTAACAGATTAGTGACATTATCAGAAGCTTAAAATGAGCTTGCACACTGTGGCTTGTAGCCCCATCTCTGCCATCTCCACGAGAATAACATGCTAAAGGTAGCGGCTGGTGCCAAGGGAAGGATGAGAGACATGGTATAAAGCTACCCGCCTCTAGAGTCCAGCCTAAAATCAACCAATTGCCCCCCTCAAACCACAGACACAGTGGTTAGGAAATGCACATTGTTGTATAAAACAGATTTTGTGGTTGTTTGTAAAGCAGCATTATTGTAAGCAACAACTGGTACATATGCCATAGTAAAATTTCACCTGAAATTTAATGGTTAAAATACTGCTTGCTTTGTTTTCTTACTACATTATAAGTAATTTATACCTGATTTTTTTTTTCAATTGACTCTAAGATCCTCAAAGCAAGGTCCTATTACATTCCCAGTGTCCAGGATTTATTCATGAGTCCGCATCATGTCTAAACCCCAGGCAGATACAATGGTAAACAATATACATTCTAGCCATCAATATGCAACTGTGGATTTTTCCCATCTAGCATCTGGGTTAGTTTGCTTTTGGCCAAAGGTGATCATAAAGTTTACTTTTGCAGCTAGAAGTCTATCAAGTCAGTAATGAACTCTGAACCACCTGAGTGTTATTTGTTTAAGTATAGATGAACTGGAATCACTGCATCTTTCAGTAATGGAAGGGATTGACAAGACCATTGAATTATTGGGTTTTAATCCTGGTCAATTACCAGAGCTTTAAAAATTACAGGTTCCGAACCTTCATCTACAGATATTTGATTGAATACTCTAGTACAAGGCCTAGGCATCTGTGTTAAAAATGTCTCAGAGTAATGCTGACAATCACAAGAATTGAGGACCCACCACCCCCATTTAATAGAACCCCTCCATCCAGTGACTGAATCTCTTCTACTGAGTTGAACTAAGGGTTTATAATGACATTAATAGACCCCATAAGGGGACCATGTCCAGGGAACTACGTATCAGTTGGCTATGTTAGTATAACAAACTATTCCAAAACTCAGTAGCTTGAAACAATAAGCATTTATTATTGCTTATGAGTCTATGGATCTGGATGGATTTGTCCGATCTCTGCTAGGCCCACTCAAGTGTCTGAGGTTAGCTGGCTGGTCTAGAATTGCCTCACTCACGTGGCCAGTGTAAGGTCACTGTCACCTGGGGTGATGGGGTCTCTGGGCCACAGCAAGCAAGCCCATTCTGTCTACATTCCAAGAGACGCCAGATTCTAGGAGAGCAAGCAGAATTGTGTAAGTGAGCCTCTTAAGACCTTGGCTTGGGACCTGGGCTTGGAACTGACATACCCACACACCTTCACTTCTATGAATTCTGTTGGCTAAAGTAAGTAAAAAGGCCAAGCCCACATTCACAGGCTAGGGAAAGAGACTCCAACCCTTGATAAGAGGAGCTGCAAAGTCCTATCTCAAGGAAATAGATTTAAAGAGGAGAGTAATTGTGACCATTTTTATAATTAATCCATTACATAGCATAACATGGGGGAGAAACAGCACTTCCAGCCAAATGTGATTTCTTTCTAAGTGAGGGCTGAAGTTTTCACTCTCATCTCAAAAATTACAAAGTCCACACGTTAAAGCTACATCTTACATTCATTATTTCTACTCCTGCCTGCACATGCACACATCTTACTTAATCCTCAAGATCTCAGTCTGAAACTAAAGCGAAAGCAATCTATTTACTCTCAGCACTATTTTGTATTATCCTTTGGGGTTAAGAAGACTGGATGACACTCCCCTCTTATGAGGATGTGTTCAGGACAGGTCTCTGCGATGTCTCTTCCTGGCTTAGGATGTGCCTACAGATGAAATGTGACAGTGATCATCAGAGCCACACCCTCTAAAGGACCCCAGAGCATTAGCATGAGGAGCACCAAAGCATAAGAAGAAACATTACAGGAAAAGATAACACACAAGACCAGCAAATAACCCCAAGGAGCAGGAAACTGGAGCTCCTTAAAGACTACAGGCTGATGCTAATTAGATTTTAGGCACCAGCTGTTTTCTAGGCCCTCTTCACTCTACCTCCCTTCTTTACCCACCCTTGCCAGACTGTGACCACTTAGAAAACGCACTAATACTGCAGGGCCTGAATCCACAACTATTTTCCCTGATCCAAGCTCCAAGATGCATGCAGCGTGTCTGGGATGTCACAGCAGTTATTCTAGCATCTCTACAGCTAAGGTGCTGCTTTCTGTTTTTCAGAAAAATCACCATGACCTTTTGGATGGCTCCGCTCAAATTCTTTAAATGTTTACATGTGGGCCAGGCGTGGTGGCTCATGCCTGTAACTCCAGCACTTTGGGAGGCCAAGGCAAAAGGATCACTTGAGCCCAGGAGATCAAGACCAGCCGAGGCAACAAAGTGAGAGCCTGTTTCTACTTTAAAAAAAAAAAAAAAAAAAGAATTCCAGAAACCAGAAAACACAGGATGGTAGAGTGGTGGCCACAGCTGGGTATTGTTCTGAAGGCTTTTTGGAGGTGATGCAGCAACTGGTAAGGAGAAAGTACATGCTGCTCAAAGGCAAGGCTATCTCAAGTCCACAGTTAGATGCCTCTTTAAATATACAGTTTTCAATCAGCTTGGTAGGATCACTGCTTAAAGGACTAAGCAACAGAAGTAGATGCAAAACACAATGAAATAAAAAGAAATGCTAAATTCACCATACAGTTGCCTTAGGAAAGCCAAATTCAAGCAGATGTTGCATTCAATTTGCTTCATGAAGAAACCCCAGGAAGTTCTAAAAACATACCAAACAGGCCATGAATGGGAGTGTATAAAAGATGTACTTGAATGTGTTCAGAGTTCTGAGCTAAGGATTCTGGGAGCAACCAACCCAGAGATCCATTTCTTATCCATGAGGAACATCTGAAGCCCCCATCCCATCCCATGGAAACTGGACCATACAGGCGATCAAGGCCCTTTGATTTGGTCAAATGAAAGTTGCCAGGTGGAGGTTAGGGGGTGGGTGTTGAGTGAAAATGCTATATAAACTGCATGTTTTTGCTTTTTGTAAGTGGTTGTGGTTTTCCTGTTCAGCCTGCTGCGACTGGACCGTCCGTCTACATAAGTACCCCCTAATAAAAACCTGTCGTGTTTGCTGGCCCTGGGTCTCTTCTTCCACCTCTTGAATTGGTGCCATCCCTACTGAAGTTAACAAGGGGCTGGCACTACATGGAGGAAATTTGCCAACACTCTTCTAAACTGTATTCTATTCCTGAGCACTGATTCTGGGAGAGAAGCACGTTTGGAGTGGTGATGGTTTTGTACCGTAACGTGTAGCATCCAATGTACAAATGCCTATGAGAGTCAGGATGGCTATCAGTGCCGTTAACTGCATGGGCGACTTACAGTGGCTTCTATTTGTTTTTTAATCATAACTGAAAAGTCACAAATTTGAACCAGCAATCTCTAGGCAAAATCATCATCATGGTTCCTACCCCCACTTCTTGCTCACTTGGCCTCCAAATAAGTGGCATTCTTGGATTGTCTTCTAATGAGCTGGCTGATGGGGCTGCAAGCAATCTATGCTTTCGATTAATCAGCCAAGGGGAAACTAGAGCCGCAAAAAAACAAACTACTGGCATTATCACCACAGGAACACTGGGCATGACAATGATGACGTAGTGCTGATTTACCTCCAGCAAAAGACATACTACTGCACTTTCCTGAAACTTGGAAGAGGGGCATTCACCCTAAGAGAGAAATTTTCACCCTACCTGTGACCCTCCCAACTCATACCCTCACTCACAGCCAACTTCATAGACTTCCTATATGCCAGAAAGTTCAGATGTGCCATCTTGGTACACTGTGTTTTAGGGCAATTTGCTGCAGCTCTAGAAACCTGGATATGTTAAGCATAGGCTGCTCCGTACAGGGAATCCTTAAGTTGCCTGCACAGAGTTGCCTAAAACAAACCTGTGCTGCATATTCAGAGTCATCTGGCATAGGTCAAACCTTCACAGGTGTCATGGCAGTGCCTCAGTTTGGGCAATTTCTATTGCATTTCCCATACCGCCCTCCTATAAAACCCCTTAGCTTAGCATCCTCACACTCTGATGTAATTCCTCAAATTAACTTTACATGTAGCCTTGTCTTTCCTACATGTTTATGAATATCTTCCCAGGTATTAAAGTTTGGACTAGGCCAAGAACAGAGGCAGCAACTTTATTCCTTCACATGTCAGTGCAATCAACGGCTTGTGTTTAGAATAAATATTTGAGACACACAAGCCTGTTAACAATGCAGTGCTTGATTACTCTGAATTACTCTCTCACCCACAGCAACTGAGGGAGAGGGCCTTGGCACCAGCTCCCTGCACAAAACCTGCTTCCCAGCCTCCACCATTTGCCTCCCGACCATTCTCTCAAAGAATTCTCAACACACTATACAAAGATCTCAGTTTTCTCCCTTAAATGCCACACAAATTCCACATTGAACACAGACTTTTTTCTTCCCATTAGCACCACAGATTTAATTCAATACCTTCATGTTCACAAATATTTAATTGGACTTACCTTGTAACTCTTTTCCTCAAACCCCACCTTGCATCTTCCGTTCCACACTGAACTCCTTTAAATAAAGGGTCTCTTTTTGTTTGTTTTGAGACAAAACATCACCTTGGTCTATTACAAAGCTATCTTGACACTTAAGCTACATTTCAATTAGTCAGAGGTGCCTATCTATTAAAATGTCCACAATCCTTCACACTTTTTCTTCCTCAAAACCTATTTGGTAAGCAATGTAGTTTTTTGTTTTGTTTTGTTTTTCTACAGTGCCAAAAGGGTACATTGTACTAACTAGAGGTAATTAGCATGTTAAGTTTTCTTCCCAGGCCAGGCTATCGGGTTACAACTTCTAATAAACCCTCCTGCGAAAAGACATTTCTTTGTCTGGGGACCACCGAGAACTAACCAAACAAAACACCTTCAATTGTCTCAGAAATTCTGCCATCTAAACACAATCAAAAAGAAAAGCCAACACCAAAGCAAATAAAATGAATGAAGCGTTCCTGCTGCGGGCAGCCCTTACCATTGGGAGCAGAGGCCCCCTCCGGACCCTCGCCGGGGTTCTGGCTCCTCTTGGGCTGGGGTGAGGGTGGCGAGGGGTCCAGGCGGTGGGTGCGGGTGGAGGTATGCTCCGAGCATGCTTGAACAGGACTCACTGCCGTCTGCCTGCCTGTCTGCCACTCCGTCCTCTTGTCTGGGTGGGAAGGGCCAAGATGAAAAAAAAATGTGCAGGTTACTCACTGGCCTTCTCTGGCGGGCAGACACACCCAGGAGGAGGGAGAGGCCAGGCGCAGACAGGAGAGTCTTCAGAGGCTGAGCCTGAGATCTCCCTTCTGATTTCCTTTTGTGATTACTTCCTGAACTTTAAGCTCAGTCTGCATGGGCATGGGTACTTAGGGAGGCAAATAACACTTGGGTAATTAGATTCTAAGGGCTTAATGCAAAGGTTACTTCAAAAGGCAGTGCTTTAGCACACATCCTTTTGCATTTCACTCTGAAATTTGTTTCCTCCGAGTTAGAGTGTTAACACTAGCATAGGAAATGAGAGTGAAGGGTTACTCTGGGGCAGGGGTCTGGAAGAGCCTGGAGCAAGCAAACCTGGATGTGATTTAAACAATGAGTTTCTGGAGTCACTTTTAGGCTGAATTTTAGAGAAACAGGATTCTCAACAGTCTCCCAGTGCCTATGGACTTTGCCTTGTCCAAGGGGCACATTCTTGAAGTAGGCATCTAGAAATCAAGATTTTAGAAATGGATTCACATTGAAAGTTCAAGAACTTATTTGATAGCCTGACCTCTGATTAATCCTGAAATGAAGCCTTTCACAAATGGATAATAACTTGTTGGTTTGGAGGAAGCATGGGTGTTCATAAACAAAGGCATGGCAGTAATACAGCTGAGGGAGATGGAGCGGAGGGCGACGGAACAGGTACTTGCCTCAATTAACCCTAAAAATGTGCTTATGAGGGAGGATAACTGTTCCTCTTTCACATGTGAGCACACTGAGACCCAGAGGTTAGGGAACTTGGCTCATGCTGGGCCAGCTAGTGAATGGGAGACCCCGGATTTGGACCCAGGTTTGCCTGAACCCAAGACCTGGTATCCTCCCACCATACAGCCAGGAATGCCTTTCACCACTCCAACACTCACCTTTCCTCCACCTGCAGCTGACCTAAGGCTAGATACCTTTCCTTAAAGTTTTATAACTTTTCCAAAACTGATATGCCATGAAATGTAATTCTGTGGGTTTCTAGTAAGTGCAATAAAAGGGGGAAAATGTACTATATAGGTTTCTCTACCGTAGCTTCTCATAGCCTTTTGTATGCTAATATACATTGTGACTCTCCAAGTTCAGGACCTACAGTGTGCCACGTTTCCCTTCCCAAAGAGGGGAAGGGATCTTCTGAATTTGGGAAACAGTATTAAAGAGATGTGTTGTTTTTTTCTCCTCCTCTTTTTTTTGAACTTATAAAAAATTCATTATAAAAAACTTCAAACAGTATATAAGGGCATAAAATAAAAAGTAAAAAATTCTCTATTATTCTTAACAATCTGTCCCATTCCCCAGAGGTAACCACTGTTAGCAATTTCTTATGTATCTGGTTCAGAAATGTTTATGTATATAAAGCATATATGACTACCCTCTTAAAAACAACATAACTTGGATTAAAGGATACCCGTGATGTGTTATTTGGCACTTAAAAAAAACTTAATGATACATTTGAGATTTTCCATATCAGCATATAGAATTGCTTGGGCAAGTTAGAGTCAAGAAAAGTAAAAGTTAGGTCTAAAATACTGGATTACCACTTTATAGAAGGGTCTGCAATAGGGGCCACAGTATGCACAGAGGGGCAGACTGAGAAGGGATAAAGAAGAGGGACTCACACCCCTGTAAACATGATTACAATTGAATAGATACTACACGTTTTACTCTACGGGTTAAAAAAAAAAAAGTGACAGAGAAACGAATTTCTTCCCTCTTCCAGCTCTCTCACCCCAATGTATTAATTGAATAAAGCCTTACCCTAAACAACCCCAGCAATCAGTTGCTATTATTATCCTCATTTTACAGATCGAGAGAGCAACCTCAGAGTATGCACCCAGCACACAAGAACGGCAAAATAAATGCTTGAAGTTTTATTAATGAAGCAAACATGGCATTGGCCACCCTGATTTTTGCCACGCTGTGTTCCTAAAAGCCACACTATAAAGTGGATCCTATTTTCCCTTAGGAACAATGTTGTAATTACGGGTTCTGTTCCAAGACCTCATGTTGGTTTCCTATAAATTCAAGACATAATCAATAAAATCTTGTAAAAACAGAGACACAACAGTAAATCTAATAATCATGTAAAATAGTAAAATGATGTTCCATGACTCAGATTTTGCGAGATTGGCTCATACAACCCCTCCTTTTTACTGATGATGGAAAGAATATCCAGAAGATTGTGTGGATCTTCTCTAAAAGTATATACCTTGTTATACTGTCTCAGTAATGAAACAATTTTAAAATGTGCCCACATTTGAAACCTGCATTACACAAGGAACTCCAACATACTCTACGGTGTACATACAAACATATTGTATCACAAATTTGACACAATATTAATATACAAGTTAGAACAGGCATTACTCGTTTAACTAGAAATAGCTTCCCCTGCCTGCCTCCTTAGAATTAAAAGGTCATTTGAGGAATGATTTGACTGACTCATTTCTTAGAAAAACTGTCTAGGGATAATGTGAATCAATACTTTCCTATTTTCTCAATATGTTTTTCTGTATAAACCAGAGGCTTTCAACATCATTCCATGGGTTTTATCCCTGCTAACACAGTTGCAGAAGTGTCTTCATAGTTTGAGACATTACTTGGGACCTTAGATTGATTTGGGGTGTACAGTTTGACCTAATCCTCCTGCACTCCTGACAATTCTTTCTTTTTTATTCCTCCCCACCCATTGTCCTAAGTAAGGAAGCCAACATGGCAAAACCCCGTCTCTACTAAAAATACAAAAATTAGCCAGGCGTGGTGGCACGCGCCTGTAATCCCAGCTATTTGGGAGGCTGAGGCACGAGAATTGCTTGAACCTGAGAGGCAGAGGCTGCAGTCAGCCAAGATTGTGCCACTACACTCCAGCCTGAGCAACAGCGCAAGACTCCATCTCAAAATAAAATAAAATGTGAATTATAATTATTTAATATTATCCAGTCTCTAGACAGTGTTAAATTCCTCTAAATATATCAAATTTTTTTTTATACTTTGTTCAAGTCAATACTGCAGTTGGTTCATAGGTGTTGTCGTTTTATCTAAACATTCTTTTTCCATCTTTATTTTTCTTCCTTGCAATTTACTTCTTGAAGAACCTGGTTCTTTGCCAGAAAATGTCCCACAATCTACATTTTGATCATGGTATGATTTAACATGTTCCTCTCCCTTTGGAATTTATAGTTAGATTTAGAAGTTTGATCGCATTTAGATTTGATTTTCGGACAGACTAGCTAGTTAAAAGGCAGTCTTACGTACTTCCATCAAGAGGCAACTGGCGTTTGATAAGTTCTGGTATTTGTGCACTTAGCAACCACTGAGAATCAATGCCTTGGTATTATTTCCTAGGGATTGAAAAATGATTTTCTTCCATTTCTTCCTCATTCATTAACTGGGATGCTATTAATATTAAAGGCTTATACTTTCCAAAATGAAAGCATACATTTCCCGTTTCTGTTTTTGGCCACGACATGTTATGTTAGACAATATATATTTTTTCCACCTACGTATTTCATTAAAATCTATTTTACTGAGATTATTAGTAGTATTATAAATAATTACTCAGATTTCTGTAACATAACAACAAGTGGAAAACACCATTCAGAAACCTTCAGTCAAAGAGTGGTGAAGGACTGGTCCACAGTACACCACTCAAGTTCAAACCTAATTTTGCCACTTGTGAGCGCTATGACTTTGGTCAAGGCTTTTCATCTTCTTACCCTCAGTTTTTTCATCTATAACATGGAGATAATAAAGCCTACCTTACAGCTTTTATGAGAATTCATGATAAAGTATGCAAAGAGTATGTTTCAGTGTCTGACAAATAGTAGATACTCAATAAGTTGTAGTCATGACTAGTTTCATCGCTGTCTCCCCCATACCAAGCACAGTGCCTGGCAAACCGCAGCTGCTCAATCAATATCAAGTGAGTAACTTCAGGGATGATTGGCTTTACTTTGTCTCAAGCTGATGGTGGCTTTAATAGTTCAAGATCCTGGGAATATAGAAGTCTATTAATTAAATGTAAATAGAAGTCTATTAATTAAATGTAAGTCCATTCATGGGCTTACATTTAATTGGCTGTAGGAATGGAAAAGGGCATGATTTGCTCCCAGGTTCAATTATCCCAGTCAGCTATTTTGAAAGTAAGTACTACTGGTAACCCAGGGTTGAGGAGCAGAATCAACTCAACTATATCTACAGAGAGGTACGAAGACATCAATTTTCTCCAAAAGAAAGATGTACCAGCATTGCTATCACCTTGACTTGGCCTGAGGTGCTCTGAGGGCTCACTCAGTGTACTGAGTTAAACTGTGTCCCTCAAAAGATAGGCTGATGTCTGCTACAGTTTGGATGTTTGTCCTCTCCAAATCTCATACTGAAATTGGACCCCCAGTGTTGAAGGGGGGTGCCTAATGGGGGATGTATGGGTAATGGGGTGGATGCCTCATGAACAGATCAATGCCCTCCCTGGGGAGGCAAGGGGGCAAGTGAGTTTTCATTCTTTTAGCTCCCAAGAGAGCTGGCTGTCAAAAAAAGCCCGGCACCTCCCCTCTCACTCTCTCACAGCCTCTCTCACCATGTGACTTCTGTGCATGCCAGCTTCCCTTGTGCTTCCCACCATGAGTGGAAGCAGCCTGAGGCCTTCAACAGATGCAGATGCCAGCGCCATGCTTCTTGTACAACCTGAAGAACCATGAGCCAAATATCTTTTTCTTTATAAATTACAGTCTCAGGTATCCCTCTATAGCAACACAAAATAGACTACGATGTTGAAGTCCTAATCCCCAGAACGTACGAATGTGACTTTATTTGGAAATAGGGTGTTTACAGATGTAATCAAGTTAAGACGAGGTCATATTGGATTAGGGTGAACCCTAAATCCAGTCACTGGTGTCGTTATAAGAAGAGACATGGCCGGGCGCGGTGGCTCACGCTTGTAATCCCAGCACTTTGGGAGGCCGAGGCGGGCAGATCACGAGGTCGGGAGATAGACCATCCTGGCTGACACAGTGAAACCCCGTCTCTACTAAAAACACAAAAGAAATTAGCCAGGCGTGGTGGCAGGCGCCTGTAGTCCCAGCTACTGGGGAGGCTGAGGCAGGAGAATGGCATGAACCCAGGAGGTGAAGCTTGCAGTGAGCCGAGATCGTGCCACTGCATTCCAGCCTGGGCAACAGAGCTAGACTCTGTCTCAAAAAAAAAAAAAAAAAAGAGAGAGACAAAGATACAGGGGAAAACGTCATGAGAAGATGGAGGCAGAGACTGGAGTTATGCTGCCACAAGCCAAGGAAAGCCAAGGACTGCCAGCAACTAGAAGAAACCCCACTGACATGTTGACTTTGGATTTCTAGCCTCCAAGACTGTGAGAGAATACATTTCCGTTGTTTTCAGCCACCCAGTTTGCGGTAATTTGTGACAGCAGCCCTAGGAAACTAAAACATACAGTGAACTCAGACCAAAAGTATGGATCAGTCAGCCTACCTATGGCTTAAACCGTTTAGTGGGAAAGAGAGAGAAGGGGGTGGGGGAAATCCTAGACAGGAGAACCTGAGTCAGCTTTAATTTGTATTAGACCAGCTGGGCCCACAGCTGACTCTTCAAAGCTGCACAAGTACCAACAGGTAAGCCTGCTTTACCTGAAAAGCAGGTGGGCAGAAGCCACAGGACTTGTTGGCACTGATATGTTAGGAATGAAAATGCCCTTTGTAGGGTAAGGCAGCTTCCGTCTTCCTCCACAGGAGGGAAAGGGGGAATATTAACACCATCCCACGTTGGGGGAGAAGTACTTTATCCTAGGTATCCACCTCTCTATCCTGTTGTATCTCAGGGAGGCTCCATGGCCTAATAAAAACATCTACACTCTCTGACGTGGGATGCTCCTTAGCACTCCCCTGGTTATTCAACCATGCCAAGCCTCAGCATACCATCACCCCCTCTCGGCACCGTGAGAAGAATTCAAATGCAATAATGCAGTGGAGAACCTGGCATGTGAGAGGTGCTGGTCTGGCACCCTTTACAAAGCCGTATCTGGATACTTGTGATGGTAAACAGTCATGGTGGCCACTCACAAGCCCTCCCTTTGTGTGCCAGGCACTGAGCTGGACACTGTAGAGACTGAGTTACGATCTTTGATAAATGAACTGTGTTAGGGCTTTGGGATTTAGAGATGGTGTCTTTTTTTTTTTCTTAAAATGTTATTTATGTTATAGTAGTGTTTTATAATAAAATGTCTTAAAATTCTGATCTAATATTTTTAAAAAGAAGTGGGAAAAGCTGTCACACATATTTATTAAAAATGTATTTTTTACAACATTGCTCAATTGTTCAGCAAGGCACAGCTGAATCTTGCCAAAGCTCCAAGAGAGCCAGTGTCCACCTCAAATTTCCCCTCACCCACACTGCATTCCAACACTGTCAGGAGCACATGATTTAGCACTTAATTGGTGGCTAATTATTGCAGGTGTGCTAGTTTTATTTTCCTAGCTTAGCTCCCTCAGGGCAAAAATTACCTCCTTTCACACCATCTATTAGCACCTACTCAAAAGTCCTGCATGCCCAAGGATTAGCTGGCCTTACAGACAGGACTATGCAATAGACTTCTCTCTACCTTTCTGGAGAACAAGCCATAACAAGCTGCTTAGTGATTAAGTTAGTGCAAGGAAGGAAGCAGAAGAGACTATGACTAAGAGCTGTGCTCACATTTGGGGTCTGCTTAATAATTTCCTATTGGTTCACTCTGAAATGGCACCACCAAAGCCACGGGGCAAAACATGGAGGTGGTACTCAGAGATCCAGCTATGGGTCAAAAGCACCTGAGAAACCGGTGTGTATGTGTGCAGGCTTGTGTGTGCACGTGCAGTGGCATGTGTACATACCTCAAGGCTAAAGCAATTCAAGCTTTTCTCTTTCTAAGATAAAAAACCAGCCTTTCTCAGTGACTGCTAGAATGTATTATTTCTTTACGACTGCCACAGATGCTTTGGGTACTTGCTGGAAGCAAGAAAGAGACTTTAGCCCCATGTGTCTTTGGAAATGTGGATAGGAGAATTATGCACCAGACACTGTGCTAATTTCTTTACATTTGCTCTTTTAATTATTCCACTCAGAGGTTCTAGGGGGTTGGACCAACCCCATTTCACTGGCTGGAAAACTGCCTAGAAAAGGCAGAGCCAGGACTGGATCTGACGTGTCAGTGACTCCAGCATAGACTTCTGCAGGACCACAGTTCAATACTACTGGGAGGGGGGGTACAGAGCCACAAACTAGTATCAGGCAAAGTTGTTAGACCCTAGACATTTTCCTCCCATACCCTCATCCACTGCCCACCAATACAACGAATGAACTTTCACTGCAGACCCTCAGATCACTTCATAAAGAAGGCCTCCAGGCCTAAATCCAGCCATGGATAGAGGGAGAGGAAAAAGAGACCTATGTTGAAGCCGTTGGACTTGGGTTAAAAGCTGCATTGTCCCTCCTCTCCATGCAGAGCAGCTAATTGAGGTTAGAGCCATAGAAACCAAACAAAAGGCTCTGAGGAGCCCACACATCCTAGCCTAACTGCTGCCAACTACTGTGGGAAGGGCCAGAGGAAGCCCTGCTTGCCCTCATTCCTCAACAGTTTAATGAAGATTTGGTCTGTCATCTTCCCAGGGAAGACACTCCTGCATGACTGTCTGAGAGAAACTGATTTTTATTCTCAAACAAAACAGTGGATCCTCCTTTAAAGCCAGAAGTCGGCAATAAAATGGGTCATAAACATATTTATGGGGTTACAACCCCCTTAGAATAGGCACTTGGACTTCTCTCCCAGCCTCTGAGCCTGCCAAAACCAAATTTCTGGAGAAGTTCCTCAGCATCATGGCTGGGGAGCGGTGGGAAGGTCTGCAGAGGCTGTGGGCCTCCCTGAGCCGCTGCCACAGATGGGCACTTTTCGGGCCAGATCTTCCATGGTCTCTGAAAGTTATGAGAATATTCACCCAACACCATCTATTAGCAAATGAGGATATCCAGCTTGCTTTGTATGTTTGGGATGATTCTGAAAGAAGTCACATTCGCATTTTAAAATGTCTAAGATTTTATCACATAAATGACACACAAGAAAGCAAAATTTTATATGCATCATAAAGCAAGGATTACCTTTGAACCGGCAAAGAAACCCAACCATTTTCTTTTTAGATTTATTTTACTTCTACTCTTTAAAAACCTCTCTTTTGGGGATAGAAATTCCTGGGAAGAAGGCATTATTACTCAGATATTAAAAATATCTTACCATATGTTCCCCACATGGGCTTGAGTATACTAAACCTACCTCAGTGCCTTGAACTTACTGTCATCTACAACTTTTTGCCATTTCTGTAGAACTAAATTGACAAGCAGACTTTCTGGGACTGAGGATTTTAGCACTTTTCAAACAGGGAAGAAGCTGTCATATGAAAAAAAGATTAGATTTGCTCTTTATGGATTCAAGACATTGTCATAATAACTATAATAAAATAATAATAAATTATTGGAAGAGCTGACATCTATCCATTAAGCATATTTATTATATCAGTCATTATTTTAAGAGCTTTTTTTTCACATGAAAGTTTTTAGTTTATTGATCTTCCTGTGAAAAATCCACAATGGCCACAGATAACATCATTGCAACACCTTTACCCCTTCAGCTGTGATCCAATCTCCACAGCTCACTGCTAGACACCTCATTTCTTTTTAGCGACACCAACTTTGGCCTTTGCAGTCCCCCTGACTTTCCTCATTCTGTTCTTGTGTCCCTCTTGTTGCTTTCTTGAGTTCTTTTTCTTCTCATACAGACCATGTCTTACAAGTCTATGTTTGGATTCATATTTCTTTGCATAATCCAAGAAATCATAAATCATGCCAAAGCCAGTTGTCTTGCCACCACCAAAATGAGTTCTGAATCCAAGTACAAAGATGACATCCAGTGTGGTCTTGTACATTTTTGCTAGTTTTTCCCGAATTTCTGTCTTAGGTACGGTACTGTTGCCTTCCCGGGGTGAAGGACGTCAATGACCATTTGTTTCCTCTGAAGTCGTTGGTTGGTCATGAACTTTCTAGTTCAGATAGTTACCATGTCATTCATGATGGCGGTCTATCCTCAGACAGCCAGGGAGGCTATTCTAAGAGCTTTAAATACGTTTTTTTCATTCAGTCTTCTCAACAACCCTATGAAATCGTTACTGTTATGGCTCTAATTTTGCTGACGAAGAAAACAAAGCTCAGAAAAGTTAAGTGTTTTGTACTGACTCAAACGGCTAGTAAGTAGGGAAGCCAGTATTCCAACCAGGCAGTTTGTTGCCACAGGACTAGCTGTTAACCGTAACACTGCATGAACATGGAATGAACTTCCTCTCTAGACAGCAAATCCTTCGAGATGAGAGGCAGCCACTATGGTACAAGAACTTGAGCTTCACTTGGGATACTGGCAAGTTACCCCATCATGTCCCCCTGGTGATGCTGAATTCATATTCCACTGTATTAAGCTACTTGGTATCAACATGATTTTCTAGTTTTGAACAGCTATAGTTATATTTTTCATTTTTGTCAGGAAGTTAGTGTGCCATTTAAGAAGCAGAAGGGAGATCAGCTTGTCATGGCAGGTGGCATTCAGATTTCTAATGAAAACATTTACATTTGTACACCTGTTCTGAAACCGCCTCCATTTCTTCTTAGAGGCAGGTGGTTAAATACATACCTTTACCAAGGTTTCTGCTCTAAAGCCAAGAGGCTCAACCCTGAGACAGATGCCACACAGCACCTGCAGCTTGCACTACTCTTAAGCAAACCCAGTGAGAATGCATGTCAGGTTCAAGCATGGCAATAAGGCCAGAAGTGATACTGATGCTGAAAGGCCAGGTAAGATTTCATTAAACCAGCCTTCTCTAAGTCACTGTGCCACCTCCAGGGCACCAGTAATTGCCCAGATCCAATACCCACCTCCTCTCTGCCAGAAGTGCTGAGTGCAAGAAGCATCTAAAAGAGGTAAAATATTAGATTTGTTGAAAGACTGCTCATTTTGTCTCCCTCGACTACTTTTTCCCTTTACTTCATTTACTTAAGTATTAAGATACAATTCACGTTCCATCACATACAATGGAGCTTGCAACACAGAGGAAGTGGGTAATGTATTCGGTTCATCATCCAGCCTTGAATCATTAAGAGAAAAACTTGACCAATCTTCTAGAACCTCTAAAACAGTAACAGCAACCCCCTTTTATTATTCTGAAGGTGAAGAACTAGAATTTTAGGCCCAGGCAAGCTCTTCATATCTTTCTCTCTTTCTACTTCCAGTTCCTCTTAGCCAACTGTCTCCAAAATGCCCTTTCTGGGCACCTAGAAAGAAAGAGGGACATGTCCTTTTGTAGGGTATGAAGCACATTGGCTGTTGTTACTTCTCCAAGTGAAGCTGAGCAGAAAACTACTGGCAATCCCAAGGCAGAAATAGGGCAGAAGGGTGACTGGGAAAGAGCAAGACAGGGAAAGAGAAATGTCCTATCGTAGTCTGGTGAGCTATAACAGGGAGCTGGCTGCTCTTTGGACCAATGATTTTTACCAATTTTATTTATTTATTTATTTAGAGACAGAGTCTCATTCTGTCACCCAGGCTGGAATGCAGTGGTGTGATCTCAGCTCACTGCAACCTGTATCTCCCAGGCTCAAGCAATCCTCCCAGCTCAGCCTCCCAAGTAGCTGAGGCTACAGCCACACACCACCACGCCTGGCTAATTTTTTTTTTGTATTTGTGTGTGTGTGTGTGTGTGTGTGTGTGTATAGACAGGGTTTTGCCATGTTGCCCAGGCTGGTCTCAAACTCCTGGACTCAAGTGATCCACCTGCTTCGGCCTCCCAAACTGCTGGAATTTCAGGTGTGAACCATCACACCTGGCCTACCAATTTTAAATCTAAGAGTTGGCACTAAAAATGATGACCCATTCTTTATATAAAGACTGACCAGTGATAGTCTCAAAAACACTATTCAAGAACTCACTCTGTGGTAATGGGAAGAAAATTTAAAAAGATGAGAAAGAACTAGAAGAAAGAAGAAAAGGTAGAGAGAAGAAGTCTCAATGTATCTTAATCATGACCCTCTCAAAAGTGACCAAGTATATCTTTCCCCACTCCAAACACTTCCTGTCATTTCCATCTAATGAAATGTGCAGGGATGGTCTGAAGAGATGCATTCAACAGGAAAGGAAGCTGCTGGGTAAGAATATCCAGGGTGTCACCTCTCAAGAGTTATTGTTTTTCTTTTGGTTCTGGAGACATAGCTGGACTGTCAGATACCCTGCTGCAGGAAAAGTCACACACCTACAAGGGAGACAGAGGAAAGAGCTGAAGGGAGAAACAAAGACGTAAGTTGGAAGAAGACCTAGATTTCAGAGTATCGCAATGGGTTCCATAAGTTTCATAAATAATACTCTTGGATTTACTATGGAGTCAGTCCTGCCAAAATCTACACTTGGACTTGAAACCTAATTGAAGAAAGTCATTCAAAAATACCAAAATGAGTGAAAGTACGACCACAAAAAAAAATTATTTTGTTGAGTAGGAATTCATGGAGCATATTTAGGGGAGAGAGAATTTAGGAATGGGAGAGAGAGACAGACAGATATACACACAATATTAAGAGGAGGTACCTGAAAAGGTAACAAAAACAATTCCAGACTTTCAAATGGTTTTTGTAGAGCTCAGCAGCACAAAGGTTATGAGTGTCTGGTAGGGGCTACTCAGGACTGAGTAGGGGTATGGCAGAAGGTCAAGCAATCAGAATTCCAAGGCTATTCTTACAAGGACTAAAGAAAAAACTGCCCTTGAGGTTGAGGCTGAGTCAGAAGGCAAGTGAAGCCAGGGGATTCATTTCAGGTGAAAATGAGATTCAAAGTTTGGCACGCCGTACAATAGCTGAGAACAGGTAATTCCAATTATACCTGCCATCTATGTAACAGTCATAATTTACAAGTTAACTTACCACTGCATACCTCATTTCATTCCTCAATAAACTCTGTGAAGCGGTTAGGTAGGGTGGGTATCCTTGTTACCACATTCCAGGAAGAAACTAAGGCTTAGTGGGGTTGAGTGATTTCCCCAGGTCTTATGGCTGCTAAGTGGGAGAGTGAGGGCTCCTAGTGACCTCTTCTGACTTCTACTCCAGTGCTTACTCCACCATACCATAACACAGGAGTACCAGAAATATCACTAAGGGGAAGGTGGATTTGGAAAATACTTAAGTGAAGGGCCAAAGTCAGCAATGTAAAGTACATGACCTGCATGGAGGGTGGTAGAAGTGGACCCTGCTGGTTTGTGGGAAAATGTGGAATGATGGCAGCTCAACAGGACATGAAAGTCACCATGGGGAAAGGAGACTATGCCAGTCCTCCCAAGGTTGAGGGAATCAGGACCACAAGCAGAAGAAGGGAAGTCTGGTGACTTTAAGGAATTAAAGGGAGCACAATGTAGAGGTAGAAAAGGTAGGACTATCTCCTCACCATCAACAAGGATTTGAAGGATACAAGATGGCTCAGGTTGGAGTGAGTGAATGAATTAGTGGGTGAATGAATGAAAGCCAAAGACGCTGGGCAGAGAGGCTTTAACCTCAGATGAGTGATCAGCAGGAGGAGGGATGAGGATGACCATGGGTAGAGAAGAAGGTGGGAGCTACAGCAGTGACAGGAAAGGAGGTAGCTGTTGGGGAAGTTGCAGAACTTTCCCAAGGTTCTTAGTCTTAGTCCCAAGGTTCTAACTGCAGTAATAAATTCGAGGATGTGAAAATCACTGTGAGCTTTAGAGAAGATAATGTATACGAAAGTGTCTGGCAGTGCCTGGCAAATGGCGGTGCTCAACAACCTCTGATTAAAACAGAAGTCAAGTCACATGGACCCTGGGAAATGTGCTCTTCACTATTGACCTTTGTGTTTCAATCAAATATTTACTGTATACTACTATGGGTAACATGTTGGAAGTGATCTAATAATGAATCAGACATTGATATTGCTTTTACCCTCCAGGCACATCTGATACAGATTACAGTGTAATGTGGTAGTAAATTCACCTGTTAGCAGATAATTATTGAGCATCTACTATGTGCCAGGCACCGGTGATACGCCAATGACAACAGAAAGTCCCTGTGCATGTGGAGTTCATGTGGGCACAAAGGACAATCCAAATCAGACAAATCATTTCAAGTAGGGTTAAATGCAATGGAGAAAGACAAAGGAGAGTAAAGAGGTAGAGAAGAAAGAGGGCACAGGAGACCCTATTTTACTCATGAGGTGGTTGGGGAAGGCCTGTATGAGGAGGTGACAATTGAGCAGAGACATGAATGGAGTGAGGGAGTGAACCGTATGAAGATCTTGAAGAACGACCTTCCAGAAAGAGGGAACAGCAAGAGAAAAAGCCTAAGACGTCAGCAAGTATGAACATGAGAATGGAGAAAGTGGTGACTGACATAGCACAGCTGCTGAGATAGCAAGGAGGTCAGTCCTACCTTGGGGAGTCACTGTATGTATGGGGGTGTCACATTATGATATAATATGAAATATAAATTAGGTACAGTAGCATGTGCCTGCAATCCAGCTACTAGGAAGACTGAGGTGAGAGGATCACTTGAACCTAGGAGTTCAAGAACAGTCTGGGCAACATGGTGAGACTCCACCATAAATAAAAAAAGAAAACAAGATTTTAAAAAAGATAAAAAGAAAAAGAAAAACATGTTTGGTTTCTACCCCAGGTTCCTAAGACAGAACTCCTAAAGCTCTTGTAGATAGAGGTCATAGGAGAATCTTCTGTTCTAATACTTGGTTGTTGACCCTGATTCTTGACACAGACATCTTAAGTCCCTTGGAATTTCTTGGGTGAAAGGAGCATCTTTTGTCCTAATGAGGCAACTCTTGGCGGACTTCTGAACATCAGGATAGGAGCTGGTTGCCAGGGGAACCAACCATGTGATGAAAGGATTGGAACTTGCAGCCTCCTCCCCAACCTAGGAAGGGGAGAGGAGCTGAAGGTTGTGTTGATCACCAATCAATGGCCAATCATGTAATCAATCATGCCTATGTAATAAAGCCTCCATAGAAAACCAAAAGGACAGGGTTCAGGGAGCTTCCAGGTAGGTGGACACATGTGAGTGTCAGAGAGGGTGTGGAAGCTCTGGGCCCCTTTCCACATGTCTTGCTCTGTGTGTCTCTTCTGTCTGGCTGTTATCCTTTAAATGAGAAACCAGTAAATATAAGTACAGTGTTTCTCTGAGTTCTGTGAACCTCTCTAGCAAATTAAACTTAAGGAGGGAGTCATGAGAATCCCAGATTTATATCTGGTCGATCAGAAGTATAGGTGACAACCTACTACAAGCAACTGGTATCTTAAGTGGGGGATAGTCTGTGGACTGAGTCCTCAGCCTGCAGGGGTCTGACACTATGTCCAGGTAGATAGTGTCAGAATTGAGTTAAATTAT
Organism: Homo sapiens; assembly: GCF_000001405.40. Lineage (NCBI taxonomy): Eukaryota > Metazoa > Chordata > Mammalia > Primates > Hominidae > Homo > Homo sapiens. Next base: position 81,338,728 of record NC_000014.9, read on the forward strand.
AGAACATTTCATTGGTGTCTGCTGGATAACTGGTTGTTAGTGGGAAGCAATCCTCACATATTTCAGTGACCAGAGGTGAAACATTCTGTATTGAGAGTAAGAGCGAGAGAAACACTTTGGTCTTTTCGATCCTCAATGGGAGGCATAATAAGGAATCAAGGAAAACTTCCTGGAGGTGCTGGCAATTGAGCTGAACCTGGACAGAAAAGCAGCATTTGGTTCCACAGCAAAGAAACGCCATAAACCAAGACCCAAAGGAGTAAAGCAAAGAGTGTGTGTAGGGAGCAAAGAAGAGTTTGGTTTGGATGAAGAGGACATTCGATAGAGGGAAGTGGTGGCCAATTAGGCAGGAAAGGTGGAGGCAAGCAAGAAAGGGCAGGAGGAAAGAAAGGGCAGGAGAAAAGAAAGGGCAGAAGGAAAGGAAACCTTAATTTTTGAAAATGCATTATCTACTAGGCACCTAGGTAGGTTCTTTGTCTTATTTCATTTAATAAACACAGCTACCCTAAAACATCCCCATTGTAATAGACGGCAAACTGAGGCTAGGAAAGGTTAAACCCCAGAGTGAGTTATGGATGTCAGGCTAAAGAAGTCAGGGTTTAGGCAGGGGAAATCACAGAAGGTTTGTAAATGCGGGAGGGACACAGGCAGAGCTGTGCTGCTCTGGGATTAACCTGGCACGCAAGGTGGATGGCAGCTCAGGGGCAGGCAACCAGCAAAGACAGTGCAGATCTCCAACCATCACTGTGGGAAAGAACCATCTTGTTTCTTTCACATTCCCAAGGCCCTGAGTAGTAGGTCAATATCAGGTAGCCAGCACTTGATTACCAGACTACCCAATTTGAAGTTCAGAGCCAAGAACAGCATAGCCCCTGTTCAATCTAATCTTCCTTTTCTTGTGACAGGGATGTCATGTATGAGCCAAAGAAGGCCAGGCTAAAGTTTTAGCTTTTTCAGACTGTAAGGCAAAGTATCAAGAAGGAGTGGCTTACCTGCTCCTCAAACACTAAAAAGTTGCATTTGATTTTTTAAAAAATAAAACAAAGCATTATGCTATAATATGATGGAATACTACCCATCAATAGAAAATAATGGATTATTGGTACACATAACAATATAGATGACTCTCAAAATAAGCTGAGTAACGCTGGGCGTGGTGGCTCACGCCTGTAATCCCAACACTTTGGGAGGCCAAGGCAGGTAGATCACGAGGTCAGGAGATCAAGACCATCCTGGCTAACACGATGAAACCCCATCTCTACTAAAAATACAAAAAATTAGCCGGGCGTGGTGGCGGGCGCCTGTAGTCCTAGCTACTCGGGAGGCTGAGGCAGGAGAATGGCATAAACCCGGGGGATGGAGCCTGCAGTAAGCCCAGATCGCGCCACCGCACTCCAGCCTGGGCGACAGAGCGAGACTCCGTCTCAAAATAAATAAATAAATAAGCTGAGTAAAAGAAGCCAGGCAAATTAAAGAACCCACTCAATGAGTCCATGTATACAAAATTCTTGAAAATGCAAACTAATTTCTAGCGACAGAAAGCAGAGCAGTGGGTGCTTAGGGGTGGGGTGGGGGACAGAGAGAGAGGAAGTGATTATAAATGCACACGAGGAACTATTGGGGTTAGTGGATACGTTCATTATCTTGATTATGGTGATGACTTCACAGGTGGGTACATGTGTCAAAACTCATGAAACTCCACTCCTGAAAGCTGGAGAGAAACACAATGGCTCTATAGATCTTAAATAGGGCCCTTAAAATCAGGGGAGATGAGCACTACGGATTTCCATAGCTTTTGGCACACAGATGTCTTGTGAGTATTTGTGTCCTTTCAGGGCACAGAGCTGGACCACATTTTCCAGCCCCGCTGGCAGTAAGCTGTGGCCAGGCCCTGAGTTCTGGCCAGTAGGATGCACACTTCCACAGCCCACCCACCACCTAGATGACTCTGAGGACATAGAGTAGCCTGGGTTCCTGAACTCTGGAGCACTGCACACAGACACCAACTCGCACTAACGGTGGCTTGAATGGAAAATGAACTAGGCTGAGTCACTGAAATCTTGGGTTTTTATAGCAGTTAGCCTCCTGGACAAGGACATTATATAAATTATCTAAATACTATTAATATATATCAATATATACTATATAGATTATTACATAACATCTAATCACTAGTGGAATATGTTATATAATACATGTTAATATATTAATAATTGGTATATTAATATTCTTAATACCAATATTAATACTAGTAGAACAGTAGGTAAATCACTGAAACTTAGTAAGTCCTAGTGTCCTCCTCTGTAAAAAGGAAGGACATTTTTCTGCTTACCTCACAGGCTGTAATTAAGGATGAATAAAATCATGTATGTGACAGCTTTTTGAAAACAGACGTTACTTTTCACATACAAGATAATGATCATAACTACTATTACAAATGTCTGTATCTGATTTTCTTAGGCCAAGTTCACAGTTTCACTTCCAGTGAGCACCAGGTGACTTTTGTTCCAAGTCAGAAAGACCTCACTCTTAGCTCCAGCAACTCCCTTCTATTTGATAGGCCTGAAAAGCATTCATCAGGACGGTGCTTGTTGATACAAGAAGGGAGAGGGTTGGGTGGATATGTTTAATTGTAAATTCACAGATAAGGGACACATTTTGCAAAATAAAAATAAGATCAGCTATGCTTCTTGCTTTATATTTCCTCATTTTATAAGTGTTTTTTTTTTGTTTTTTTTTTTTCCCAAAAGTCTGGCCCTGAATCCTATTTCCGGGAGGTCACAAGGGAAGCAAGCCAAGACTGATGTATTACTAACCTAAATCATCACTGCTGGAAAAAGGGCCTCAAAGTGCACTTGAACACTAGCAATTGAGAAGGCACAATGGGAGCAAGTGGGCGTGTATGGGGCACATACCCACTCACCCACAGAGCTCCAATTAACTCCTGGGATTCCTTTCAGACTCTTCTAGATAGTGCTAGTCCACCTACTGTAACAAAAGTTCTGCCAATACTATATTTTAAACAGGTGAAGTAAGAAAGCTTTCAACAAATGTCACTTTTTCCTTTTGGAATCCATAACCCTAATCTAAATTATGCCACAGTAACAGATAATCTCAGAATCTTCATGTCGTAAAATCACAAAGATTTATTTTTCCCATTTATACCCAACAAGGGTCACCTGCAGCTCCATTCCTCATTTTCATTTCAGGGCTCAGGTTGAAAGAACAGATCCTGTCTACAGCATCTGACTCATCCCTGGCATTCACAGGCACTGATCTAGGAGTTCAGATGCTGGCTCACATAATACATGTTTAAGCATTTAAAAGTATAAACCACGCTAGACTGTTAAATTATGTGTTATACTCCTTGACCAATATTATGTTCATAACAACGCAGAAAGCCATAATGGAGTTTTTTTGTTTTTTTTTTGAGATGGAGTTTCACTCTTGTTGCCCGGGTGCCATGGTGAGATCTCGGCTCATTGCAACCTCTGCCTCCCAGGTTCAAGTGATTCTCCTGCCTTAGCCTCCTGAGTAGCTGGGATTGCAGGCACCCACAACCACGCCCAGCTAATTTTTGTATTTTTAGTAGAGATGGGGTTTCGCCACATTGGCCAGGCTGGTCTTGAGCTCCTGACTTCAGGTGATCCGCCCATCTCAGCCTCCCAAAGTGCTGGGATTACAGGAGTGAGCCACTGCGCCCAGCCCATAATGGACTTTTGATTTCTCGGAATCCTTGGAGCTCCACACAGAAATGTCACAGTGCAGGGCAAGGTAGCCCCTGGCCTGAGGCCTGCTCCCTTCCCTTTCCCCGTTCACTGCACTGCTCCAGCCTGCACTGTGAAGGCCCTGTGTGCTGTGTGGGGCCCTCCTGATCCACACATCTGAGCTCTATTCCCGGTCCCCATAAGTCTAGGGGCACACAAGAGCAGCATGGTCCACGCTTAGGTGCACAGATCTTGGAAGAGGCCACAGAAGAGAGCCAGGGTCTGCCTAGGTAGAGGATCCTGGAGTCCCGGGTACATGAACCATGGTCTAGAAGGGGGGGCATGGGGACAAGTGAAGCCAGAGAGCGCCAGAACAGAGTCCAAGCCAGGGTCTGAGGGGCAACCTGTGAGGCAGTAATGGGTGGTTTTGACAGAGGAAAAAGAGTGGTGGTGGAAGCACAGAGAAATCCGCACTGGAAATGTCACTTCCACCTGCTTTCCACTGGCCCCAACACAAGTCAAGCGGCAATGCCTATGTCAGTGAGGCAGGAGAGCCATCCTGTTATAAGTGGAGACCACATCTCAGGGAGGGTAGGGCATGCTTCCTCCAGGAATATCATCTTCTTTCCTTAGATACCAGTACCGAGGGTTTAGGAGAAAACACATAAGTTGAAAATAAAAGTTAACAGCTCACAACTGGTAGCATTCTAAATGTGGTGAAATGACACAGTGCCTTGCAAATAGCAGACACTGAGGGAAAGGGGGAGAATTGGATTGATATATGCCAAAGTGAAAAATGCCCCCCAATCCCAGCATCCTCTGTGGGAAAAGGACAATAATTTGGCAAAAGAGAAAGCAGTAAGTCTCCTGGGATACATTCTGGCTCAAACTAACAATGTGTTGCTTGCGGCAACCAATTTGTACAAACAAATCAGTCCTGGGGAGGGGGAGAGGGGAGGCAACTCATACAAGTAAACCTGGCAGCATCTCCCTTCTCCCACCCTACCCTCCCTCCCACCTCTTCTCAAGAAAGCTTTTCTTCCTGATTCCAATTCTGCAGCAAAATGCCACAGACACAAGCATTTCACAAAGCATATCGGGTGAGCCCACCCTTCAGTCAATGAGAACTGAAAGAATAAAAGAAACCGCCTTTATGAAAACTAGCCAAGGATATCAAATGAAACTTTTTCTAGTTAGATGCAGCTGTTTTTCTACAACCTTAAAAAATTTTCTTCCCATTCACTAAGTCTTAGTTTTAAAATATAAGGCATTCTGAAAAGTACATTATATTGTCATACTCATAAAAGCTACTCCTTATCATATTCCAGGCATTTTATGTACCTGGTCTCACTTAAACTTCAGAACAAACCTGCAGCTCAGTATTGTCATCATTATTATTATTATTTCCATTCTACAGCTGAGGAAACTAAAGGTCAGTGAGGTTACATGATTTGCCCAATATCACAGAGCAGGGAAGTGTTAGAGCTGGTGTTTAACCCTGTTCTGTCAAACTCTGAACACTATGACTTTCCATTATACTATACCTATGTCCTGTAAAGAATACGGAACTAGCATTATGCTGGTGAGAAATTAACCACTAGCTCATGGCTCTTTCATACGGAAAAGACAGAAATATTTGAAAGACTAGCCCTCCCCAAAGCAAACAAGCCAGCCCCTAGCCCCTGAGCAAACAGGTCAGCCCCTAAACACATCTATCATAAAAGAAATTTAAAAATAGTCCCCGTAAGATATTTCATTTTATTTCAAAATAGAAATATTTTCATTCTAATTTTTTCTGATTTTTAGATTAACGTATACTTATTATAAATAACTCAAATTATACAGAAATAAATGCAGTAAGGAATAAAAGTCCTATGTCCTCTAGATAACCACTATTAGCAGTTTGGGATATATCCTATCAAACTTTTTCCTAGATATTTAGAAATATACATATAAACACACACACTAATATAGCAAAATTAAATAGAGGCCAATACAGCAAAATGATTACACATTCTATTCTGTAACCTACCTTTTCAATTAACAATGTAATTGGGATAATTTCCATGACTGCATAGTATTCCACTGTATGTATGTATCATATGTTATTTGACATTTGCTTAGATAGCTGGGCTTTGCTTTTGCTAATATAAACACTGCAGTACTGTACACACAGCCACATGTCTAATTACTTCCTTGGGATAAACTAATAGCTAAAGAGTATGACATTTAGACTGACACTGACTGCCAAGAATGCCTTCCAGAAAGATCTTCCCACAGTTCTCGCATGCAAATTCCCAATTCTCCACTCTCAACACTAGATATTTTCAAGCATTTTAACTTTACCAAGTCAATAGACATTACCGTTTAATCCACACAGCTGATTATTGGGATTAAATGATGTTTTTCATATCCTTTCTTTGCAGTTTTTCTTTTATGAACTAATGTAGTATTGACTTTTGAATTGGCATGTAAGCCAATGAGAGCAGTGGGATAAACTAATCCCTTGGCGAACCACCAAGTCATTCTGTAGGTAAGCAGATGAAAAGGCTGATTGAGAGACTTATTAAACATAAACAACTCTTTCCTCCTTATTACATCTGTGGGAAGTAAGCTATAAATGTTGGATCCAAAACCCAGCTCCTATAGCTTGTGACAATGCATATAATGGGTCCAGAAATACTATATAGGTTGGGCTTACAGTGTCAAACTGGTTATCTTGGGCAGGGTTGGGAGGAAACTTCTGAATTGTAGTTACATAGTATTATGGGCTGAATTGTGTCCCACACAATACATGTTAAATTCCTGACCCTGGTACCTCAGAATTGTGACTGTATCATACAGAGGTATTTAAGATGAAATGAAGTCATTGCAGTGGGCCCTAATCCAATATGTTGTCTTTATAAGAAGAGGATGTTAGGATACAGGCACCACAAAGGGGAGATCATGTGAAGATACAGGGAGAAAACTGGCCATCTCCCAGCCAAGGAGCGGCCTCAGAAGAAACCAACTCTACTGACACCTTGGTCTTGGACTTCCGGACACAGAATTGTGAGAAAATAAATTTCTGTAATCCTAGCACTTTGGGAGCCTGAGGTAGAAGGATGGCTGGGGCCCAGGAGTTCGAGACCAGCCTGGGTAACATGGTGAAACCTTGTCTCTACAAAAAAACAAAAATTAGCCGAGCATGGTGGCACATTCTTGTAGTCCCAGCTATGTGGGAGGCTGAGATGGGAGGATGGTTTGAGCCCAGGAGGCAGAGGTTGCAGTGAACCAAGATCATGCTGCTGCACTCTAGCCTGGGCGACAGAGCCAGACTTTGTCTCAAAAAAAAAAAAATTCTGTTGTTTAAGCCACTTAGTCTGTGGTACTTTGTTATGGCAGCCTTAGGAGACTAATACATATAAGACTCCATATAAGCCTGAGGAAAAGTCAGCTATCAATTTCACAGAAGAAAAGTCCAATGAGCATCCTTGGTACTGCCACTGGAAGGGCTGACATCTTGTTGACAGCCCTGTTTGCAACACTTGTCTGAGTTTCCAGATGCATCACAAAGTGGTGATGTGATTTGTTCTTGAGTCTCATGGCAGATGTGCTCAGCAGCAGTAAATTCTATCAGAGAAAGCTGCTCTTTTCCAGTAGCTCGGTCTCCTGAACTTTTTATGATGTTTCGTCCCTTTGACCCAATGAAAGTTGTGAAGTCATTCTCTCCTTTGAAGCAAATATGAAACATTAACTCTCATTTTTTGGGAAAACTTATCTTAGTATCACATCAAAAAGGAGCTTTTTTTCCAGGACCTGAGTAATTTGAGAATAGAAGGAAGAGGTGCCCCTGAGGTAGTGAGGTGGGTGCAAATGGATCTGTAATGTAAAGAAGAATGTCAGCACAACTTCAATGAGAAGACGGACTACAGGTCACTATAAAAAGAGACCTCAAGGAATTACAAAGACCCAGGCCTTCCCCCAAAGGACTTTGGGACCAGAGAAAAGGATGTATGATCTAAAACTCATTAGCTTGGACATTAGGACACAGGCACCACAAGGAAGTCAAGAGACTTTCTATAGCCACATTTCATTACAGTGTCAAATTTGTTGTTAAGAAAAAAAAGAAGTGGATTTAAACTGCACTTCAGACCAAATGAACCTAACATATATTTATCGAACATTTATCTAACAGCTGCAGCATACAAATTATTCTCATGAGCACATGTAACATTCTCCAGGATAGACCCTATGTTAGACCACAAAACAAGTCTCAACACATTTTTAAAAACTAAAATAATATCAAGTATCTTCTCAACTACAGTGGAATGAAACTAGAAATAAATAATTAGAGAAACATTGGAAACAAAGCAAATACATGGAAATTAGACATGTTCCTAAACAACCATGGGGTCAATAAGAAATTTAAGAACGAAACGAAAACATTTGTTGAAACACATTGAAATGGAAACACAACACACTAAACTCTATGGGCTAAAAGCAGGGCTAAGAGGGAAACAATAAACGTATACATCAAAAAATTAGAAGATTTCAAATAAATAATTAACAATGCATCTCAAGGAACTACGAAAACAAGGACAAACCAAACTCAAAATTGGGTGAAGGAAAGAAATAAGAAAAGATTAGAGCATAGCTAAACAAAATAGAACCAAAACAAAACAAAATAAAAAAAAACCCCGAAGAATCAACAAAACAAAACTGGCTTTTTGAAAAGATAAAGAAAATTGATAAACCTTTAGCTAGACTAACCAAGGGAAAGGAGAGAAGTTCCCAATAAACAAAATCTGAAACAAAAAAAGGATACATTAAAACCAAAAATACACAAATAAAAAGGATCATCAGAGATTATTATGAACATCTATATGTGAACAAATCAGAAAATCTAGAGGAAATACATAAATTCCTGGACACACATAAAACCTACCAATAGTGAACAAGGAAGAAATAGAAAATCTGAATAGACCAATAACAAGTAATGAAATTGAATCAGCAACAAGTCTCTTAACAAAGAAAAGCCCAGGGTCAGATGGCTTTACATTGAATTCTACCAAACTTATAAAGAAGAATTAACATCAATTCTTCTCAAACTATTCCAAAAAATTGAAGAGTAGAGAATTCTTCCTAACTCATTTTATAAGGCCAGCATTACCCTGATATCAAACTGGACAAGAAGACAGTAAAAAAAAAAAAAAAAAAAAAACCCTACAGGCCAGTATCCCTGATGAACATAGATGCAAAGATCCTCAACAAAAAACTAGCAAACTGAATCCAAAAACACTAAAAATGTGAGACCCCCTCCCCCTTCTCTATAAAATATAAAAACATCCTGGGCATGGTGACACATGCTTGTAGTTCCAGCTACTTTGGAGGCTGAGGCAGGAGGATTGCTTGAGCCCAGGAGTTTGAAACTGTAGTAAGCTATGATCGTGCCATTGCAGCAACAGAGTAGGACCCTGTCTCTTACCAAAAAAAAAAAAAAAAAAAAAAGATAATAAAGTAGGAGTAATCCCAGGGATTCAAGGACAGTTCAACACGTGCAAATCAAGAAATATATACATCACATCCACAAAATGAAGAAAAAAAAACTAAAATCATCTCAATAGGCAAAAAAAGAGCATTTGGTAAAATTCAACATTCCTTTATGTTAAAAACTCTCAACAAATAAGGCGTAGTAAGAACAGCTCTCAACATAATAAAGGCCTTATGTGACAAACCCACAGCTAAGAATGAAGAAAAGCAGAAAGCCTTTCCTCTCAGAACTGGAACAAGCAAAGATGCCCACTTTCACCACTCCTATTCATCATAGTACTGGAAGTCCTAGCCAGAGCAATCAGGCAAGAGAAAGACATAAAAAGCATCCCAATTTGAAAAGAGGAAGTAAAATTGTTCCTCTTTACAGATGATATGATCTTATATAGAAAAACCTGAAAATACCACTGAAAAACTCTGAGAACTAATAAATTCGGTAAATTGGCAGGATACAAAATCAACACACAAAAATCAGTAGCAGTTCTACACACCAATAATGAACTAGCTGAGAAAGAAATAAAGCAATCCTATTTACAATAACTACAAAAACAATCCTGGGAATAAATGTAAACAAAGAGGTGAAAGACTTCTACAAGGAAAACTACAAACCATTGATTAAAGAAATTGAAGAGGACATCAAAAAAATGGAAAGACATCTCATGCCTATGGATCACAATAATTAATATTGTTAAAATGACCACACTACCCAAAGCAATCTATAGAGTCAATGTAATCCCTATCAAAACGCCAATGACATTCTTCTCAAAAATAGAAAAAACGATCCTAAAATTCATACGAATCCACAAAGGAGCTCAAATATCCAAAGTGATACTGAGCAAAAAGAACCATCTGAAGGTATCATACTACCTTAGCTTCAAAATATTATTCAAAGTTATAGTGACTAAACAGCATGGTAATGGTATAAAAACAGACCCATAAGGCCAATGGAAAGAGCCAAGAAATAAATCCATATATTTACAGCCAGCTGACTTTCAACAAAGGTGTTAAGAACATATATTGGGGAAAGGACACCTTCTTCAATAAATTGTGCTGTGAAAAGTGGATATCTACATGCAGAACAATGAAACTAGACCCCTATCTCTATCCATATACAAAAATCAACTCAAAATGAATTAAAGACTTAAACCTAACACCCGAAACTACAAAATGACTAGAAAAAAGTAGCAGAAACACCCCACGGCATTGGTCTAGGCAAAGATTTTATGGCTAAGACCTCAAAAGCATAGGCAACAGAAGCAAAAATAGACAAATGGGACTATGTCAAACTAAAAAGCTTGTGCACAGTAAAGGAAATAATAATAGTGCAAAGAGTCAACCTATTGAATGGGAAAAAACATTTTCAAACTATTCATCTGAGAAGGGACTAATACTCGCATATATTAGGATATCAAACAGCTTAAATGCAGAAAACCAAATTTCCCATTAAAAAGTGGGCAAAGGATCAAACAGACACTTGTCAAAAGAAGACATACAAATGGCCAACAGGCATATGAAAAAAATGCTAAATATCACAAATCATCAGAGAAATGCAAATCAAAGCCACAATGAGACATCTTACCCCTATCAGTATGATACTATCAGGAATACAAAAGATAACAAATGCTAGCCAGCATAGTGAGAAAGGGGCAATACTGCTGGTGGGAATGTAAATTAGTACAGCCATTATAGAAAACAGTGTGGAGATTTCTCAAAAAACTAAAAATAAAACTACTATATGATCCAGCAATACCATTACTGGGTATTTATCCAAAGGAAAGGGTATCTGTTTATCAAAGGTGTATCAGCACCCCCATGTTTATTGTATCACTATTTACAATAGTCAAGATATGAAATCAACCTAAGTGTCCACCAATGGATGAACAGATAAAGGAAATGTGGCATACATACACAATGGAATATTATTCAGCCAAAAAAAAGAAGGAAATCCTGTCATTTGCAGCAACATGGATGGAACTGGAGGTCATTATGTTAAGTGAAATAAGATAGGCACAGAAAGACAAACGGGCAAGTTCTCACTCATTTGTGGGAGCTGAAAAAGTTGATCTCATGGAGGTAGTGAGTAGAATCACAGTTATCAGAGAGTCGAAAGGGTATGCAGAGAGGTTGGTTAATGGGTACAAACATACAGTTAGATAGAAGGAACAAATTCTGTTTGGTAAGATGACTATAGTTAACAATACTACACTGTATATTTGAAAATAGCTAGAGAGAATATGTGAAATGTTCCCAACACAAAGAAATGATAAAAGTTTGAGGTCATGGATACCCTAAATACCCTAACTTGATTATTATACACTGTATGCATGTATTAAAACACCACATATACCCCATAAATATGTACAAATACTATGCACCAATTAAAAAATGTAAGAGAAAGAAAAAATGTTTTCTAGGCTCTGAGGGCTTCCATCTCCATTGGCTCCACTGCTTTTAACTTTCTGCATGACTGAATTGAAACCTTAAGAAAGGCAGTCCATTGTTTAATTCAGAAGAAGAAAAAAAAAAAAACTTTCAGAGAGGAATGAAATGAAAAATAATCAGTTGTGCCCAGCCAATCTCTTAGGTTTTTAAACAATTCACAGAATGGGTGGGAGGCAAGGAATGACAAGGCCTGGCTCTGCTCCTAATACTTCTAGGCCTTGGCTTTCTTACCCGTAAAATGTGGAAATTCGACTAAATAATCTCTTAAGTTTCTTCTAACTTTAAAGGTCTGAGATGCTTAAAGAAACCAAAACTCATTATGATTCTAAAACCAAATAAGAAGACTTATTTCCAGAGGCTTTGGGGTTAATAAAGTAATAATAAACACTCGCGGGGGTACTCTGTACCAGCCACCATGGCTTGAGCACTTGATGTCCACTGATACTTTGTTGAGTGCATGTTAACATTTTATCTTTAAAAAGCATAGCTCATAAATCTTTCTGAAGCCCTGACTTTGCACAAGAGATTCAGTGAGCAATTTCTAATGTCATTTAAATCAGTGGTGTTAAATTACTCATCTGGGAAACTACTTAAAGCTGGAGACACCATCTTTCATAGGTGAATTTGATGATTATTTGAAATGCTATCTACATTTAAAATATTCAGTAAAACAGTTCAGAATTATGACCGGAGGAACTACTTTCCATTTTTCTCAATTCTCTTTCTAGACTCAAGTGCTTGAGACTAAGGTATTTTGAGGTAAGCTCTTCTTTTTTTTTTTTTTTTTCTGGTGGGAGGCAAGGGATAATGCTGATTCAATGTGGCAAAAATGGGAAATGTAGCTTTACAAAATTCATTGGACACCTCCCTAATTCCAAGAATTATGCTGAAAACTAGAGTGTGAGGACAATCCAGAAATGAAAACATCACTATTGCCCTGGAGGACTGAAGAGTTTGGTAGGGAGATAACATCCATGCCAAGAGCTCTCCTATAATAAGAGGTGACAGGAACTGTGACATGGAGCAAAACTCCCTAGAGAACCTGCTTGGGATAGCTTACTTTGAATTTTTTCTTTAGGACCATACTTGGCACAAAGTAAGAACTGTGTGAGAGAAAACATTATTTTAATTTGATCTTATATCATCAGTAGGACTTTGTCATGTGGATAAAAATGGAGTTATTAAGGTGAAAGCAGCAGTAGAGGCACAAAGGTGCAAAATTTTGAAGCATAATGGGGCAAAGAGTTTGATAGAGATTCTGTCCATTCAAAATGTGAAATCCCTTTTAAATCTGTTCAGTTTTTTTCTAACCTAGTCCAGTTCCCCAGTCCAGGCCACCATCTATCTTGTCTGGATACTGCCCTGACCTCTAGCTGGTATGAGGTTCTAGCCCAGTGGCTGGCACATAGTAGTTCCTCATCTGTTGAATAAATGAATCAGCTGGCATTAGGCATTAGATCCACAGAGTCTGTGCTTCATTGTATAAGCACCAGAGGCGTATAAGCAAAGCAGGGATTCTTAGCTTGTGCTATCAACTGTTTGTCAGTCTCCTAAAGCCTAGGACGCCTTCTCAAGATAATGTGTTAAATACATGAACAAATACATAAGACTTAAAAAGAAAAGTATATATTAAAATACTTATCTAATATTAAAAACTAACTTCATGAGTTTCTGATATAACAATATCAGCACTTCTTTATTAACACATTAATACTATCATAATTAATGGTAGTATTACCATAATAACTATAATAATGCTATCATTATTATGGTTAATACTACTACTAATACAACCATTAATACAGCCAAGAACTACCATTATTTCCAAGTAGCAATGATAAAAGATAAAGGATATCTTAAGATATCTGTCACAACTATAATGTGCTACGGAAACATCTATGCTTTCTGTTGGTGACTAAGTGGAAGGTACTGCTAATGTTACTGTGGTTTGTTGCCTACATCCATAATTGAGGGACATGCTCATCTCATTAACCTCCTTAGGGACTGGAGACAATAAAGATGTAAATCATCCAAGTTGATGGACCCTCTGGATTCCAGGTGGTTCCATATCTAGTTTGAATCACCTGACTGGAACTGAAAAAACACAGCATCTTATACTCTCCCCTACAGGATTGGGAACAGAGGAGTGACCCTTCCTGAGGGCCCAGCCACAGGAGGGACAGAGCTGCATAACGTTGACAAGCCTGGATGTCATTCTTAATTTTAGCACTTAACTAACGTGTGACTCTGGCATTGGTGTCCTCATCTGTTAAAGAAGGATCATAACACTAAAAGAACATCACAGAGGATATCAATAAAAAGCATTACAGTTGTCACCTCCTCTTCAGTATTACCACATTAGCCATTCTGAAAGGGACTTGCAAAAATCTCTGGTTGGAGACCACAAGTTTTTTATTAAGAGCTTCCAAAATACCTCGTTTACACCACCCTTTTGGAACACAGCATCTTAAACTGTTGCTCTTTCTTAGATTTTGCTCCACACAGATGGTTCAGTAACCACAAGAATATATTTCAATATCATGGAAAAGCTTTCCCTAAGTCACCATATTTGCAGTCTCTGAGGTGAATAAATAGGGAAGAAAAATATGGCTATTTTGGTCAAAGAATGTATAGGACAGTAATATTCTCAAATATGTAAACTTAGAGAGCATTCTTCCACTGCACCTCCACACATCTACATGAATTAATTCAAAAAAAATTTAAAAGATGACAGTAAAATTCAAATAAGAACAGGAAAAAAATGGAGATTATTGGATAATAGTCTTACATTTGAAAACATGGGGAAAAGTTTTATTTCCACACTAGTCACATCCATGTGTTCTCTTTTAATTCTTACCAATCATGAAAATACATTTCAGTGAGCAAATACACTTAAGCCTAGGTAATTGGAGAAAAGGTTTGGAAATGAAGGTCTTCTAGCTCTGTATCAGAAAATTTAATTTAGGACATTAACAAGATGACAGAATGGAAGGTCCCAGCTTCACCACCCCCAACAAAGAGTTCAACTAGCAACTATCCATAGACAGGAACACCTAAGTGAAACCCCACAAATTGGAAAAAATCTCAGTCACCTACATGGTCCACAGGATGAAATGAAAACCTCATGGAAAGGGTAAGAGAAATAGACTCACTTTAACCACTTTACTCCTCCCCTTCCCCCACAAGTCGGCACAGGCCCAACAGAGAGGATTTCCGCTTGGGACCACATTTTCTACAGAGGAAAAAGAAAATCAGAGGCAGACACCCAGCTTCCTTAGGATTCTCAAACACTTCCCAGTAAGCCCACGGTCATTTCACACCTCCACCAAGACCTGTGTCCAGAAGGAAACCATAGATCTAAAACACCTGGGGTCAGGTAGCAACAAAGCAAGGCAGAGCCCACAGCAAACAGGATGTAGACCTTGGTGGTAGCTCTGTGTACTTGACAGTGGTGGCGCCCTATCAGAGTTACTAGCTAACAGCATAGCCCACGGACAAAGCTGATCTGCCATACCTAGGAGTTTCAACAGTTCTCAGTCCAGCCTCAGAGCCCACCCCAAGGCGCCACATGGTAAGGAGGCAAACCTCAACTATGTATTTACACTGAGAAAAGCAGAGGAAAACAAAGCAGCTTGTCCTATCTTTCCTGATCAGAAACTCCACCTGACCTCTGGGCTTCTCCTGCAACCCTGTCTAGCTGCTAAACTCAAAGAGTGGTATCACCTGGCCAGGGAATGCACCCTGTGGCCTGGCCCAATCTGAAGTGACGACAGGGTCCATCCAACAGCTCAGCCTGACTGCAGAGGTCAGCCAGTGGTCTTACCAGATACTGGAGCCCAGCCAGCTGCCCCATCCAAATGCAAGGCAAAGGAAGCAGCCCAGCCATCTAGAGAATCTGAAAGCAAGTTCTGTCTTTCCAGGGTCCTTACCAGCTGTCCTATCGGAATCACTAAACAGTGAAGGCCTACCTCTACAAAAGAACACCTGTAACAGCCAGAAAAGATGGCTGCATCCTCAAATACGCAGATATCGATGCAAGAACACAAGGATTACAAAGACTTAGGAAATCATGACACCTCCAAAAGAAACAAACAAAGCTCCAACGATGGGCCCAAAAGAAAGGGGGATCTATGAAATGACAGACAAAAAAATTCAGAATAATTCTCTCGAAAAAGTTCAGTAAATGACAAGAATATATGGATAAATATGCAATAAAATTTGGAAAATTATACATGAACGAGAATTTTGACAAAAAAATAGAAACAACAACAAAAAATAGAAATCCTAGAGATAAAGAACACAATTACTGAAGTGAAAAATGCAACAGAGGCTGGGCACGGTGGCTCACGCCTGTAATCCCAGCACTTTGGGAGGCCAAGGAGGGCGGATCATGAGGTCAGGAGTTCAAGACCAGCCTGGGCAACATGGTGAAGCCCTGTCTCTACTAAAAATACAAAAATTAGCTGGGCATGGTGGCACGTTCCTGTAATCCCAGCTACTCGGAAGGCTGAAGCAGAATTGCTTGAACCAGGACCTGGGAGGCGGAAGTTGCAGTGAGCAGAGATCACTCCGTCTCAGAAGAAAAAAAAAAAATGAAATAGAACACTTCAACAGCAGGCTTGACTAAATGGAAGAAAGAATGAGTGAGCTCAAAGACAGAACATTTGAAATTATCCATTCAGAAGAGAAAAAAAAGAATGCAAAAGAATGAAGAAAGCCTACAGGACTTATGGATAAGGCACCATCAAGAGACCTAACCTTCACACAACAGAAATTCAAGAAGGAGAAGAAAGAGAAAGGGAGCCAGAAAGCATATTTTAAAAAATAATAGTTGAAAATTTCTCTAACCTGAGGAAAGATGACAACATCCAGGTACAGGAAGTGCAGAAGTCTCCAATAAAATTCAACCCAAAGAGGCGTTCACAAAGACACATAATTAAATTATCAAAAATCAAAGACAAATAAAAAATTATGAGCGCACCAAGAGATAAGAAATACATCACATACAAAGGGGTCCCAATACAACTATAATCAATTTCTCAGCAGAAACTGTAGGTCTGGAGAGAATGAGATGATATATTCAAAGTGCAGAAGGAAAAAAGAAACCTGCCAACCAAGAATACTTCGTTCAACAAAGCTGCCTCTGAAATGAGGGAAAAATAAAAAATTTTCCAGACAAACAAAAGCTAAGGGAGTTCATTGCCAGTATGCCTACCTTATAGGTACTGATAAGTGAAGTTTTTAAAAGTTGAAGCAAAATGCTGCTATTAAATCATAAATAACGTAAAAATTATGAAAGCACAAAACCCTTCACGTCCCTTGTAAGGTGGATTCCTAGGTATTTTATTGTCTTTGAAGCAATTGTGAATGGGAGTTCACTCATGATTTGGCTCTCTGTTTGTCTGTTATTGGTGTATAAGAATGCTTGTGATTTTTGTACATTGATTTTGTATCCTGAGACTTTGCTGAAGTTGCTTATCAGCTTAAGGAGATTTTGGGCTGAGACAATGGGGTTTTCTAGATATACAATCATGTCGTCTGCAAACAGGGACAATTTGACTTCCTCTTTTTCTAATTGAATACCCTTTATTTCCTTCTCCTGCCTAATTGCCCTGGCCAGAACTTCCAACACTATGTTGAATAGGAGTGGTGAGAGAGGGCATTCCTGTCTTGTGCCAGTTTTCAAAGGGAATGCTTCCAGTTCTTGCCCATTCAGTATGATATTGCCTGTGGGTTTGTCATAGATAGCTCTTATTATTTTGAGATACGTCCTATCAATACCTAATTTATTGAGAGTTTTTAGCATGAAGCGTTGTTGAATTTTGTCAAAGGCCTTTTCTGCATCTATTGAGATAATCATGTGGTTTTTGTCTTTGGTTCTGTTTATATGCTGGATTACATTTATTGATTTGCGTATATTGAACTAGCCTTGCATCCCAGGGATGAAGCCCACTTGATCGTGGTGGATAAGCTTTTTGATGTGTTGCTGGATTCGGTTTGCCAGTATTTTATTGAGGATTTTTGCATCAATGTTCATCAAGGATATTGGTCTAAAATTCTCTTTTTTTGTTGTGTCTCTGCCAGGCTTTGGTATCAGGAGGATGCTGGCCTCATAAAATGAGTTAGGGAGGATTCCCTCTTTTTCTATTGATTGGAATAGTTTCAGAAGAAATGGTACCAGTTCTTCCTTGTACCTCTGGTAGAATTCGGCTGTGAATCCATCTGGTCCTGGTCTCTTTTTGGTTGGTAAGCTATTGATTATTGCCACAATTTCAGCTCCTGTTATTGGTCTATTCAGAGATTCAACTTCTTCCTGGTTTAGTCTTGGGAGAGTGTATGTGTTGAGGAATTTATCCATTTCTTCTAGATTTTCTAGTTTATTTGCGTAGAGGTGTTTGTAGTATTCTCTGATGGTAGTTTGTATTTCTATGGGATCGGTAGTGATATCCCCTTTATCATTTTTTATTGCATCTATTTGATTCTTCTCTCTTTTTTTCTTTATTAGTCTTGCTAGCTGTCTATCAATTTTGTTGATCCTTTCAAAAAACCAGCTCCATTACCATTTCAGGACATAGGCACGGGCAAGGACTTCATGTCTAAAACACCAAAAGCAATGGCAACAAAAGCTAAAATTGACAAATGGATCTAATTAAACTAAAGAGCTTCTGCATAGCAAAAGAAACTACCATCAGAGTGAACAGGCAACCCACAAAATGGGAGAAAATTTTCACAACCTACTCATCTGACAAAGGGCTAATATCCAGAATCTACAATGAACTCAAACAAATTTACAAGAAAAAAACAAACAACCTCATCAAAAAGTGGGTGAAGGACATGAACAGACACTTCTCAAAAGAAGACATTTATGCAGCCAAAAAACACATGAAAAAATGCTCACCATCACTGGCCATCAGAGAAATGCAAATCAAAACCACAATGAGAAATCATCTCACACCAATTAGAATGGCAATCATTAAAAAGTCAGGAAACAACAGGTGCTGGAGAGGATGTGGAGAAATAGGAACACTTTTACACTGTTGGTGGGACTGTAAACTAGTTCAACCATTGTGGAAGTCAGTGTGGCGATTCCTCAGGGATCTAGAACTAGAAATACCATTTGACCCAGCCATCCCATTACTGGGTATATACCCAAAGGACTATAAATCATGCTGCTATAAAGACACATGCACACGTATGTTTATTGTGGCACTATTCACTTGGAACCAACCCAAATGTCCAACAGTGATAGACTGGATTAAGAAAATGTGGCACATATACACCATGGAATACTACGCAGCCATAAAAAATGATGAGTTCTTGTCCTTTGTAGGGACATGGATGAAATTGGAAGTCATCATTCTCAGTAAACTATCGCAAGAACAAAAAACCAAACACCGCATATTCTCACTTATAGGTGGGAATTGAACAATGAGAACACGTGGACACAGGAAGGGGAACATCACACTCTGGGAACTGTTGTGGGGTGGGGGGAGGGGGGAGGGATAGCATTGGGAGATATACCTACTGCTAGATGACGAGTTAGTGGGTGCAGCGCACCAGCATGTCACATGTATACCTATGTAACTAACCTGCACATTGTGCACATGTACCCTAAAACTTAAAGTATAAAAATAAAATTAAAAAAATTAAAAAAAAAGAAAGCACAAAACCCAATGGTATAAGTAAAGCAGAGCCATATTCAGAATACTCTAAATGTACTATAATGATGATGTGTAAGGCAATTTTATCCCTAGCATTAAGGGTTAAAAAACAAAACTATTAATAACAACTATAGCTAAAATAAATTGTCAAAGGATACCCATTACAAAATAATATAAATTCTGACATTAAAACCATAAGGTGTGGGGGGAGGGAGGAGTAAATGTGTAGAGTTGTTATATACAATCAAAATTATCATCAACTTGAAATAGGCGATCTGATGTATAAGATGTTCTACGTAAGCCTCTTGGTGATCACAAAGCAAAAATCTTTAGTAGAAGAGCAAAAGTACAAAGGATCAAAGCATACCACTACAGAAAACCATAAAATCACAAATGAAGTCAGAAGAAAGGAAGGAAAATGTATCTACAAAACAACCAGAAGGCAATTAATAAAATGGCAGTGGTAAGTTTTTACCTATTAATACTTACCTTGAATGTAAATTGATTAAATTACTCAATAAAAAGACAAAGAGTGACTGCATGGATAAAAAAACAAGACCCAACTATATGCTGGGTCACCTCCCTTTTAAAGACACACATAGACTGAAAGTGAAGGAATGGAAAAAGATACTCCACACAAATGGCAACCAAAAGAGAGCTGGGATAGCTATACTTATATCAGGCAAAATAGACCTTCAGTCAAAAACAGTAAGAAGAGACAAATAAGGACATTATATAATGATTAAGGGGTCAATTCATCAAGAGAATACAATGATTATAAATACATAAGCCCCCAATATCGAAGCACCTAAATACATAAAACAAACATTAAAAGATTGAAGGGAAAGACATATTGCAATACAATAATCATATCGGACTTGAATACTCTATGTTCAATAATGGCCAGATTAACCAGACAGAAAAGTAATAAGGAAACATTGGACTTGAACAACACTTTAGACCAAATGGACCTAGCAAACATATACAGAACATTCCATCCAACAGCAACAGAATATACATTCTTCTCAAGTGCATCCAGAACATTATCCAGTATAGATCATATGTTGGGTCACAAGACAAGTCTTATTAAATTAGAGAAGACTGAAATCATATCAAGTGTGTTTTCTGACCACAGTGTAAACAAATGGAAATCAATCACATGGAGAATTTCAGAAAATTCACAAATATATAGAAATTAAACAACATGACTCTCAGCCAATGGGTCAAAGAAGAAATTAAAAGGATTTAAACATATCTTGAGACAAACAAAAACAGAAACACAATGTACCACAACTTATGGAATGTGGCAAAGACAGTTCTAAGAGAAAAGTTTATCGCAATGAACACCTACATCAAAAAATAAGGAATATTGCAAGTAGTAATTTAATGTACACCTCAAGAAAACAGAGAAAGCTGAACAAACTAAGCCCAATGTCAATAGAAAAAAGAAATAATAAAGATCAAAGCAGAAATACCTGAAGTAGAGACTAGAAAAATACAAAAAAATCAATGAAACGAAGAGTTGGTTTTTTGAAAAGATAACATGGATGAACTTTTAGCTAGACTAAGAAAAAATGGAAGACACAAGTAAATAAAATGAGAAATGAAAGGGGAGACATTACAACTAATCACAGAAATACAAAGGATATTAAAAGAATATTACGATTACATGCCAAAAAGTAGGATAACCTGGAAGAAACGGATAAATTCCCTAACAAATGTAATCTACCAAGACTGAATCACAAGGAAATAGAAAATCTGAGCAAACCAATAACCAGTAAGGAGACTGAACCAGTGATTTAAAAACAAACAAACAAACAAAAAACTTCCATCAAAGAAAAGTCCCAATGGCTTTACTGCTGAAGTCTGCCATTAGCCAGGTGTGGTTGTACACACCTGTGGTCCCAGCCACATAAGGGGCTGAGGGCAGAGGATCGCTCATTCCTGGGAGGTTGAGGCTGCAGTGAGCTGTCTTCATGCCACTATACTCCAGCCTTGGCAACAGAGCAACACCTTGTCTTAAAAGAAATGTTTTTAAATAAAGAAGAATTCCAATCCTCACAAACTCTTGAAAAAAATTAAAGACAAAACATTTCCAAACTCTTTTAATGAGGCCAGCATAGCTCTTCTTATGAGCCAAACAAGGACATTACAAGAAAAGGAAACTACAGGAAAGGATCCTTCATGAACATAAATGCCAAAATCCTCAACAAAATACTGGCAAACTAAATTTAATAGCACATTAAAATAATCATTCACCTATAATTAAGTGGCATTTATCCCTGGGATGCAAAGATGTTTCAATATATGCAAATCAATATATGTGATAATCACATTAACAAAATAAAAGATAAAAAAAGATCATCTAATTAGATACAGCAAAAACATTTGACAAAATTCAACATTCTTTAATGATAAAAAAAATAACAAATTAGGTATAAAAGGAATGTACCTTAACACAGTAAAGGCCATATGTGATTAAACACACAGCTAACATTATATTTAACAGTGAAAAACTGAAACTCTTTTCCCTGAGTCCTAGAACAAGACAAGGATGCCCACTCTTGCCACTTCTATTCAACATAGTATTGAAAATCCTTAGAGAAATTAGGCAAGAGAAAGAAATAAAAGGCATCCAATTAGAAAAGGAGGAAATGAAATTGCCACTGTTTGTTGATAACATAATCTTCCATATAGAAAACACTTAAGATTCCACCAATAAACTGTTATAACTAATAAACATACACAGTAAAGTTGCAGGACACAAAATCAACACACAAAAATCAGTACTGTTTCTATACACCAACAAATGTTCTGAAAAAGAAATCAAGAGAACAATTCCATTTACAATACCTACAAAAACAAAAGAATACATTTAACCAAAGAGGTGAAAACTATAAAATATTGATGAAATAAATTTAAGAAGATACAAATAAATGGAAAGATATCTTGTGCTCATGGATTAGAATAATTCATACTGTTAAAATGACCATACCACCCAAAGCAATCTATAGAATCAATGCAATCCCTATCAAAATTCCAATGTCATTTTTCATTAAAATAGAAAACAATCCTAAAATTCCACACTGAATTAAAAACAAAACAAAACAAATACCAAATAGCCAAAGCTATCATAAGCAAAAACAACAAAGTTGGAGGTATCACACCATATTACTTGAAACAATACTACAAGGATATAGAAACTAAAAGAGCATGATACTAGCATAAAAAGAGACCCATTAACCAATGGAACAGAACAGAAAGCCCAGAAATGAAACCACACATGTACAGTCATTTGATTTTTGACAAAGGTGCCAACACATTAGGAAAAGGATCATCTCTTCAATAAATGGTGTTGGGGAAACTGGATATCCACATGCAGAAGAATAAAATTAGACCCTTATCTCACACCATATACAAAATCAACTCAAAATGGATTAAAGGTTTAAACATAAGACCTGAAACTGTAAAACTATTGGAAGAAAATATAAGGGAAAAACTAGACAATATTGGTCTAGGCAATGATTTTTTACATTTGACCCCAAAGGCACAGGAAACGAAATAAAAAAGACAAATGGGATTAAATCAAAATAAAAAGTTTTTGTACAACAAAGGAAACAACAGAGTGAAGAGACAAATTATGAATTTGGAGAAAATATTTGTAAGCCACATATCTGATAAAGGATTAATATCCAAGATATATACAAAACTCAAACAACTCTATAGAAAGAAAACAAATAATTGGATTTAAAAATAAGCAAAGGACCTGAATGACATTTCTCAAAAGAAGACATACAAAAGACTAACAAATATATATATAATACTCAACATCATTAACCATTAGGGGAATGCAAATTAAAACCACCATGAGATATCACCTCACACCTGTCAGAATGGCATTATCAAAAAGATTAAATATAACTAGCGTTGGTGAGGATGTGGAGAAAAGGGAACCCTTGTATAATGTTGGTGGGAATGCAATTTAGTACAGCCATTATGAAAAAGGTTCCTCAGAAAACTAAAAATAGAATTATGATATGATCCAGCAATCCCAGTTCTGGGTACTTACTCAAAAGATTTGAAATCAGTATGCCAAAGAGATGTCTGCATGCCCATGTTCACTACAGCACTATTAAACAATACACAAGTTATGGAATCAACCTAAGTGTCCATCAGTGGATGAATGGATGAAGAAAATGTGGCATACATACACAATGAAATACTATTTAGCCTTTAAAAAGAAAAATATTTGGTAATTTGCAACAACATGGATGGACTTGGATAACACTATGGTAAGTGAAATAAGCCAGGCACAGAAAAACAAGTACCAAATATTCTCCCTTATATGTGGAATGTAGAACAATCAAACTCAAAGAAGTAAAAAGTAGAATGGTGGTTACCAGAGCCTAGGGAGATGCAGGGAATGGGTAGATGTTGGTTAAAGGGTACAAAGCCTCAATTAGACAGTAGTAATAAGGTTTTTATTTCTTGAAAATATATTACATGGTGTGATGAATACAGTGACTAATATTGTATTTTAGATTGGAAAATTGCTAAGAGAATACATTTCAAATCTTCTCACCACAAAAATAATAAGTATTTAAGGTGATAGATACGTTAATTGATTTAATTGTTCCACATTGTATTAAAAAATCATAACATAACTTTGTACCCCATAAATACATATAATTTGTCTACTTATAATTTAAAAATTTTAAATTTAAAAAAGGATTAATTTATTCCACAAAAATCCACTGTATAATTTCAATGTGCCAGGCAACATGCTGGGGATATACAATAGAAGTGGCTCCTGCTTACACAAAGGTCTCGGTCCAGCGGAGGACTCCTAAACAAAGAATTGTGGTCCAGTGAAATAAGCACATGATGGGGGTTTGTATATTGCTCCTGAGAAATGTGGCGGAGGCAGCACTGCATCTGGGGAAGGCTCTCTATAATTGCTCCTTCCAGCAAGCGACTGTGTTCACAAACACCAGCCTCCCACAGTATACCAGGCACAGGGCAGGGTGAGCCCAGGAAAGAGACTTGGGTTGAATCCCAACTACCCTTTTTATTTGTGTGACTTTTGCCAAATCATTTAACCTCTTTAGCTGTTGTTTCTGCATTCATAAAATGGGATAATATGTACTTTTAAATTGTGAAGATTAAATGAGATAATATATGTATAAAGTATATAGGACATTCCTGGCACACAGTAGAAACAATTACACATAGAAACAATTTTAAAAATTATATATAAAAATCATTTTAATGGCAAAAAAAGCTGTTTGCAGATTATCACTTCCTCATGGGAAAATATCACATAGCTTACTTTTCTTTGTATTCTCAGTAACTGCCAAATGGTAGGAACTCAATATATGTGTTTCTGAGAAACTTTTGAACCTCCTGGAAAAAGCTTCAAACAAAGCAATCATTAGAGTTTTTTGGTTTTAATAAGGATTAAAATCTAAAATGCACAACAAATGAAGACAAAAATACATAAGAACAGAAATGAGGTCAAATTTGTTAATGAAAGAGTGAAAAGATGTGATTTGTTTTCAAAAAAAAAACTGCTCTGCTATTCTTCCATTTTGAGGAAGGAAAATATTGTTCAGGAAAAAGATGAGTATCTCTGACGTTTGTAACTAGGAGAAAGAATTTTAAAAATTAGTTAACTTGTTTCTGTTATCCAAGCAAAATATATTCAAGGTTTAAAAATATCATAAAATAGAGATGTGCCTTAAGAACACAAAAATTTCCTGTAATCCCATCAAGCACAACGGTAATCACTGTTTACCTGCAAATCTGGGCCCTCCACTCTGGTTTGGAGCTCTATGAGCTGCAGCAGGATTACAGCAAAACAGGCAACAGAGAAACATGTTATATCTTGTACAGAGACATGCAGCCCAGGCGATGATCTTATTAAATAATGACGAGAACCTTTCTGAGCATCTAAAGTTGTTGTCACAAAAATTGAGGTTCCCCAGGCTACAACTCTCTACTCACTTTGGGAAATCACTTTGAGACACCCTTTGGGAAATGCTGGACTCTAAAATCCAAATAGAATACAAACACTTGTTTCTGAGAAAAAGAAACTGAGTTCAAAATCTCTAGGGATATCCTACTGCTCTGGCAGGAGTCCACTGTGATCCGTTAAATGCAAATGAATCAAGAACATCTGGTCTAAATTTGTTTTAAAGCCTATGAGGGTTTAAATACAAAGAAAGTCTGGCAAAATATAGTTTTGAGTCTGCTGAATCTAGAATTTTATATTTTTTAAAAAGGCCAAGAGGTTCAGCAGAGCAAGAGACAAAGTAAGGCTAACTTTATAAAGTTAACTAATACAGGTAGTTTGTCAAAATATTTCTTTCTGGTTTCTCTAGCTTTCTAACACTTTAGCAGTGTTAGAAAACACTGCTAAAATGGCATGTACTTCCAAGTCAGCTTTGCCAATTTATGTATGTTTGGGTTTCTGTACACCACGATCTGACCAAGTAGGCAGTAGAGATTAATGAAAAGCTACATTTGTATATGTATGTGTGTGTATACATATACATATACATGTATACGAATATAAATTATACATATACATACATATAATTTCGGGAATTTTCAAAGTCTTTAATAAGCGAATACATGTTATAAATCTCCAACAAAGGGGGCACAGCGTGACCTAATACACTGGCCCCAGCATCTGGATCTTTTTGGCCTCTTGCATGGGACACACTTTGGAAAATGCTGGACTCTTAAGTTCAAGTGGGATACAAACATCAGGGATGCAGACGATTTTAGCCACCCGTATGGTAAATCCACCTGATAGCAATAACATAAACACAGCCTGAGAAGGACCCTGTATGGCAGATTCACATGAATGTGTGTGCTGAGCTAATGAATCCTGGTGTAGCCAACTTGGGGATTTGTTCCTTGTCTATGAGGAACATCTGAGCCCCCAGCCCATCCCATGGAACACAGGCTATACAGTGGATCAAGGCCCCAAGTTCTGGGTTGAATAAAGGTTGCCAGATGGAGGTTGCTAGCAAAATGGTGCTAACTGAAAATGCTATACAAACTGCATGCTTTTTGCAAGTGGTTGCTGTTGTCCTGTCCAGTCTCCCGCCACTGGACTCTCTTCCCTGTATGTAAGCCACCAGGAAAGGCCCACGTCTTGTTTGCTGGCTTTGGGTCTCTTCTTCAGTCTCGTGAACCTGGTGCCATCCCCACTAGAGTTGACAGGGGTTTGGCAGACCACCACCTGCAATCTCAAGCTATACATTCAAGGGTACATTAAACAATTATTAAATACCTGCTATGTGCTTCATCCAGTCTTGACATCCTCAGCTTACATATATCTGAGCATTCTAATCCTACACTTAAATCTACACTTTTCTTATGCATAAAAGAGAGCCTGGACAGGTGCAGTGGCTCATGCCTTTAATCTCAGCACTTTGGGAGGCCGAGGTGGGCAGATCACTTGAGGTTAGGAGTTCGAGACCAAACTGTCCAACACAGTGAAACCCCGTCTCTACTAAAAATACAAAAATTAGCCAGACATGGTGGTACGTGCCTGTGGTCCCAGCTACTCAGGAGGCTGAGATGGGAGGATCACTTGAACCCGGAAGGTGGAGGTTGCAGTGAGCCGAGACCATGCCACTGCACTCTAGCCTGGGTGACAGAACAAGACTCTGTCTCAAAATAAAAAAATTAAAAAATAAAAAAAAGAACCCAAACCAAAGACTACTACTTAAGAGCAGCTTGTGTGCAAGCATTTACATATTTTCTCTTCCCTGGTTGGAATGAACTTCAAAGGCAGAAGGTTTGCTTTTATTCCCTCGACCCTCTTACTGTTCACCAACCCATGTGAACCTAGTGGCATTACAGAGCTACCCTGACTGGTGAAAATAGCAGGGTGTGCCCACCTTGTCTAGACAAAGGAGACTCCTGTGGAGATGAGGGGTAAGAGAGGAGTGAAATGTTGTTTGGGATTTTGCCTATTAACAATTCTCCTGCCATTCGCTCTTGAGAGCAGACCTCAGAGCTAACATCAACACTGCTCTCCAGCTCTGCCCCCCCGCACCCTGTGATTTAACCAAGGTAAGGGGATTTGTTTGCCTTCCTACTAATTATCCCCTTGGTGAGAAAATGAGAATAAAGTGTAGGCTGATCACAGAGTCTTTCCCTCCACGATTATGCTGGGAACTGGATTGCCCTGCAGGGCTGCCAAATCCCTGCAGAACTCTGCCGCAGATGACAGGGAAGAGGCTGTGGCTCTGCTCTCGGCAGCCCACTACCAAGCAAGGGGGCCAAGGCAAATAGGCTGGGCCCAGAGCACCGTAATCCCTCTCCAAACAAGAGATGAATCACAGAACATGAGGTGCCCAGTGGTTACCCTGACACACTGTGCTGCCAGGGAGAGCCCAGCTCAGCTGAGGGAGCTCCGGATGAGACTGCAGTTCCAAGGAACTCTTCAACCTCTACCACCCTCTGCAATGCTAAAGGGCACGGCAGGGGGTGGGGGGGCAATGACAAACATCTCCCCAAGGCAGTTCCTCCCAAGGTTCCCCAGGCACAGAAACCAATCATACCGAACTCCCCACTGCATCTCTGTATTTACTGCTTGCTGCTGAGAAATGCAAAGCACTTCTCAGATCTCATTCCACATGCTATAGTTTGAGTAACAGCTTTCTTTGGGGGTAACAGAGGAGTCGACAGTAATTATCCTTATGCCCCATATCAAATGGAAATGAGGCAGAGAGATATTAAATTAAGATTTTTTTTATTCCTACAGCACTTGGCACTGTACGAAACACCTTCATATATACCCTGTCACCCTGACTGAGCAGGATCGCTCAGTTCCATTTTACAGATAAGAAAGTAAAGCTCTGAAGAAATGACTTACCCGGAGGACAGACTGATGGGAATCTGCCCCATAACCCCAGGGGGTTTCGGTTTACCCAACTGGAACCATCCAGCCTCAAAGCAGGGCTCTCCCAGAGGTTGGCACTGCCACAAGCCTGGTGCCAGGCAGAGGGCAGGGCATCACCTGGCTGGAGGGCTTTCCAATGTGTACAGATATCCTTGAAGCTCTCGATAGCTCATCTGAAAGCATTTTTTTCTTCCTTTTTTTTTTTGTGAGACCAAGTCTCACTCTGTCAGCCAGGCTGGAGTGCGGTGGCACGATCTTGGCTCACTGCAGCCTCCGCCTCCTGGGTTCAAGCAATTCTCCTGCCTCAGCTTCTCAAGTAGCTGGAATTACAGGCGCGCCACTATGCCCAGCTAATTTTTGTATTTTTAGTAGAGACGGGGTTTCACCATGTTGGCCAGGGTGGTCTCAAACTCCTAGCTTCAAGTGATCCACCCACCTCAGCCTCCCAAAGTGCTGGGAATACAGGCACGAGCCACCATGCCTGGACAAATGAAAGCATTTTTAAATTCCCTGCTACTGGAGTAAATGGTTAAATGTCACAGGTTGAAAAATACTTGTTCATTCTCCTAAACTTTGTCTTTCCTTCTCCTCCTTCTATTCTGGGACCCAGGATGAGGTGAAGACTTTTCAAAGCCAGAGCTCTACCCTGATAGCACACGTCAGGATGTTCAGGAAGAGCCTCATGGGTTATTACAGCTCAGGATGCATCCAGACACTGTCTCCATGGCCTGCGGAGCTGCTCTCTGAGGACTCACTTCACTGCCCCTCATTTCCCAGGCTCATGGAGATATACTACCTGTCACCTCTGGGCCTGGAGGGCAGATGGAGGTAAGATGCAAAGGAAGACTGCGTCCGTCAAAGCAGATGGAAGCATTCCCTAGCACCTGGGCCATCCTGGGTCCTAGCTTAATTACTAAAGAATAGGGAGATTTCAAAGTAAAATGTCCAGACATTTGTTTATAGAACATAATACTGTGGGCACACAGCAGTTATCTGTAAGCATTCATATCTGTCAAGGACATATGGACTTTATCCTCAAGCTCTGCCTGCTACACATCTTGTTTTAAATCCCTTGGTCCTATTTATATTAAAAATAAGCCAAGGCAAAATATGTATATATGCTTGTATGCATCCTCTATACATATCTGTATGGAAGGTCTGGGGGGTAACATAGCAAATAAATAACTATGGTGACTGTTTGGGAACTGGCTGGAAAAGGATTTGGAAGTTTCACTGAAATTCAGGTCATCCATTTCTCAGTGGTGTTCTCTTAACAAGTTGCTTCACCTTTCTCAGACTCAGTGTCAACTAGGAAATGGGGAGAATGACACCTGCCTTGCAGGATTGCTGTAAAAGCCACAGATCATACACCTCATATGCTGGCACACAGCAGACACTCAGTAAGTGCTAGCTATAACTATTACTACTGTAAAAGAGGATGGGGCCAGGCATGGTGGCTCACGCTTGTAATCCTAGCACTTTGAGAGGCCAAGGCAGGTGGATCACCTGAGGTCAGGAGTTTGAGATCAGCCTGACCAACATGGCGAAACTCTGTCTCTACTAAAATAACAAAAATTAGCCAGGCGCGGTGGCACACACCTGTAATCCCAGCTACTTGGGAGGCTGAGGCAGGAAAACTACTTGAGCCTGGGAGACAGAGGTTGCAGTGAGCCGAGATTGCACCATCGCACTCCATCCAGCCTGGGTGACAGAGCGAGACTCCATCTCAAAAACAAACAAAAAAGAGGATGGTTGCCAAAAGGCCATACCTCTACCCTCCTTGTAGCCATAGAAACTGCCTCTTGTTGAATAAGAGCATCCCTCCTCATTCTCTAGTCCCAGATTTGCCTTTGAGTCTCTGGTGTAAACTCTGGCGTAGGGGCCAGTTAGTTTCTGGTGAGGATCAAGTGTGCTG
Organism: Homo sapiens; assembly: GCF_000001405.40. Taxonomy (NCBI): domain Eukaryota; kingdom Metazoa; phylum Chordata; class Mammalia; order Primates; family Hominidae; genus Homo; species Homo sapiens. The sequence continues at coordinate 81,368,905 of NC_000014.9, forward strand.
GCTATTCCAACACACCTGTTTGCCGCTTCCAACCTCAGATCCACTCTATCTGCTCTGGCGACTGACCTCTGTGGGCTGCTTCCCCAGGGCTTCATGTCCTTTGGCCTCAGGCTAGGATCTACTAGTTGGAAACACCAGCACCAGATTTGGGAATTTATTCCTCCCTATCTCCCTGCTTGGTCAAATCTCTGCAGTGGCTCTGTCCTTTCTGTCGCCATAGCTCCTGTTGGGCAGTCCCTTTTCTATGATTCCAGCGCTTGCTTTCTCTGTAGGTGGTCCCTTCATTAAGCTCTCTCCAGATAAACCTTTTTAGGGCACCATCTGCTTCCCGCCAGGACCCCAACCAAAACAGGGGAGGAGGTTTTCTTGATGCAAACTATGACACTGTTAGAATGACTTTAGAACAAGGAGATGTTAAAAATAATTATAAGCTGTGGAGGCAGACTAATAATGTCTAGTTCAGGCTAGGGCTCTGATTTTCATCACTTGAACCTCCAAGAATTAAAGCAACTTTCATCTAATAAGAAAGTAGATTAGGCAATGAAAAAACAGCCTCAGCATAGAAATCTTGGCTTTTCCTTCAGTGAGGGGCCCATTTTGCAACTCTCCAAAGCAACAAGAACCTTGCAGCAGGAAAGAGAACTTGTTTCAACCCTGATGGCCACTTATTCTGTGTCAAGCATCACATAAGTTATTCTACATAAACTGTCTCATTTGGAGATGATAACTTGGTGAGGTATACCCATTTTTCAGATGAGGAAATGGAGTCATAAAGATAGTAAGCTGGTCAGTGCAGAATCAGGGTTTGAACCTGAGCAGTCTGGCTCTGGAGTCTGGGTATGCATATGGGCCTCCTCCCTGGAAAGGCCTGGAAAGGGGGCCCAGAGCAATGAAAAGTGAAGCAGGGAGGCAAGCTCAGCCTCTCTTCCTAACAGCCTCAGCTGCTGAAGGTGTGCTCGCATCCATGAGATGCCCCCACTGTGGAAATGGGGCTGTGGGGGCATATTTCAGCCACCAACCAGGATCATCAGTCACAGAGACAAACCAGAACTGAAGGAGTGTCTGTGAAAACAAAATGCTATAAAGAACCACAGCTTCTGAAGACAAAGGGAGTCCATGATAAACTAGGATTCTCTGCAACATTATCAAATACCAAACCAAATCCTGCCTGAAGCCTTCAGTCTACAAGACAGATCGCTCTCTATACTTGTAGAATTGAATGGCACATAGCATGAGGGCAAACATCCGAAGCTTAAAAATGATCTAGAAACTCTGAACAACATTGAAGAGGAAAAACAAATCTTGTCAACACACTGGGTAATTTCATCCACAGAGAAACGAGCAGTAACTTCATCACTTTCAGAAGAAACCAATCTCTCGGGTCAAATAACCAAAACACCAAGAACATCTTTCCAATGCCAAGTATCTTTCCAGTGCCATTCCCAAACCTTGCCTGTAATTCAGCACTTGTTAACAGACCCATATTCCACCTGCAAAGAAAGCCAGCATTCCATCTTACACCTACTGGAAAGTTTAATAAAGGAGGCATAGTGCATTGCCGATTGATGTATCACTCAACCAAGGCACAACAGAATAAACACTTAACTGCCAAATGATTTGTAGTCTGGACACAGTGGCTGAGTGTTGATTCTCATTCTGTTTTATATAACATTCGTTTTCTCTGCTTAAATCTACCTCCCTCTTATTGAAAAGGCAAGATGCATGGGTAGTAGGATGAAAGATTCAGCCTTGTGCATATTTACACACGTTCAGTAATTCCAGGAGAAAATAAATTGACAGAGAATGGTATTTATACCAAACAGTCAGAAAACAACATATTAAGATACACTGTCAAATGGTTGCCGAGTATGAATAATCTGCCAACCAAGGATCCAATTTGTGTATACATCTTCCCCAATGCAATTTCCAGCCACTTTGGGTTCTAGCTTTTTGACTGGATAACAACACCTGAACTCATTCTGCAAAGGAAGCCAGCTGCAGCAATTTTTAAAAGGACTTTAAAGTGGACCTGGGTACACCAAAAGTGATTTGCAAAGCCCTCTGGCTTAGAGCTCCATCTTACCAGTTGAGTCAGCCCCAGAAGCCTGGCCACTCGTCTGCTCCTCAGCATTGATGAGCTGCAGATCTGTATACGAACATCCAAAGCTAGGACTGCTGGTGTCTTCAGAATGGGTGGTCCAGCTGCTCTCAGAAGTCAGAGGGCATCTCCCCAGGGAGTCAAAGGAAGGGCATGTCCAGCAGGGCATGGTCAATGGTAGGGCTGGGGAGAGACCAAAAACCAAAAGCATACAATATAAATAGTTGTACTTTGTTTATCTTTAGTGCTTATCTTACTTTGATGTTGCTCACATCATATGAAATCTCAACAGTCATATGAGGCAAGGAAGTCTTGTATGGAGAGTATCACTCATGACACAGACAGGAAAAACTGACTGACTGAGACCCCATGGTGAGTCAGTATCAAAACCAGTACGAAAAGTAAGGTCCTGGCTGGGTGCGGTGGCTCACGCCTGTAATCTCAGCACTTTGGGAGGCTGAGGTGGGCGGATCACGAGGTCAGGAGATCGAGACCATCCTGGCTAACACGGTGAAACCCCGTCTCTGCTAAAAATACAAAAATTTAGCCAAGCATGGTGGCTGGAGCCCGTAGTCCCAGCTACTCGGGAGGCTGAGATAGGAGAATGGCGTGAACCCAGGAGGCGGAGCTTGCAGCACTCCAGCCTGGACAACAGAATGAATGAGACTGAGTCTAAAAAAAAAAAAAAAGAAAAGAAAAGAAAAGTAAGGTCCCAGGACTCTCCAATCAAAGAAAATCTCACTAAAGGAACACAAGTTACTTCAGGGTCTAATTTCACTTCTTAACTTAGATTTCAGCTTTTTTCAAACCCAAACTACAGGAATCTTGCAGTTTCACCCTTACTGTTACATTTCCTCCATTTTTAGTGGCACAAAAAAACTCACCAATTTACACTGAAACATTAGAGCCAGTTTAGGTTAAAGGATAAAGAGTAGATATGTAACTATATATGAACATGTATGTGGCATGCCCCTGCTTGCTTTGAGTTGACTGTAACTGGAGATTCTGCTGACTGTCACATTTACAAATGGAGATTTACTGAGGCTGCCAACCTGCTGCAATACAATGAAAAATACCTTTAAGGGGAAAATGTACAAAACTTGGCTTTATCTCCTTAGTCTTGAGAACCAAATCAGACTTTAAAAACTACTTTAGAAAGGTTTTTTAAAGTCTTTCAAATTTGAAACTTTCGAATTCTCCTAATTTGTCTTTAGTTAATTTCCTATCACATGCTGCCTCCACGGTGCTGCATAAGAATCATATCATTACGGCCGGGCACGGTGGCTCACGCCTGTAATCCCAGGACTTTGGAAAGCCAAGGCGGGTGGATCACCTGAGGTCAGGAGCTCAAGACCAGCCTGCCAATATGGCAAAACCCCGTCTCTGCTAAAAAAATACAAAAATTAGCTGGGCATGGTGGCGGGCGCCTGTAATCCCAGCTACTTGGGAGGCTGACACACAAGAACCGCTTGAACCCAGGAGGCGGGTGTCGCAGTGAGATCGCGCCATTGCACTCCAGCCTAGACAACAAGAGATAAACCCTATCTCAAAAAAAAAAAAAAAAAGAAGAAGAAGAATCATATCATTGCAAATTTACCAACAGGTACTGAAACAAGTGCTGAAAATAACCTAGATAAGACAGGAAGAATGAAAACAAGAGAAACTACCATGTATTGAGTACCCATCAAATGTCAGGTATTTTACAAATGTCTTGTTTCATCCATCTATCCTGAGAGATAGGCAGTAGTCTTATTTTAACTCAAAGACATTAAGAAACTTGCCCAAGATGATAATGTCAGTTCTCCTGCCGGGAAAACCAAAACAAATAGAAAAAGAAAAATTGAGATTTAAGAGAGAAGAAAGAATAAACATCAATGCTTGCAATAGTATAAATATAAAATTTTTCATTCCTTATTCCCTTAGGCATTTGTAAAGCATTTAGGTCCTTTTTCTGGAGTTCTCATTGTTCATATCCTCTTTTCTTTAAAAATGTCACCCTTTCTGCATATTCCTGAGTATTCTCTCCAAAAATGCGAGGTCCCCTTCCCTGCTTTATTTGTCCTTAGTGTTATCACTGTCTAATGTACTACACGCCCATGTCTTCCATACTAGAATCCAAGCTCCTTGAGGGGGCAGGGATTTTTGTCTATTATGTTCACTTCTATACCCCCATTCCTGGAATAGTGCCTGGTATAAGGCAGGCATTCAACAAATATTTGTTGGTTATATCAACAGAAGCACCACAAATCATTCCATAACAGTCTATACTAAATACAGAATATTAAAATTGGACTGGTATCTATAACCCCCACCCCAAACATAGAAAAAAATTAAAATACTAAAAAAGAAGAAAAGATAAAAATTTTTTATAAACCAACCAAAAGTAAAAAGCAAAGCCAAATTTATAAAAGCTTGCTATATGATGCCATTTCCTATAGTATGGTGGTTAAGATACTTTAAACTACTATGGAAATACAATTAAAATATTTGTAAAATGTAATAACATTATTTAAAATGCATCACACGGTGAGCAACAAAGTAAAGAATCATCAGAGGCCGAGTGAAAGCTGCAACCCCAAAAGAGTAAACAGAGGACACAAGCTGATTTTCACTCTCAAGATTTTGAACAAACCAGACTCTTGAGTTTTCCAAATCTCTTATGAAGAAGGCAAACAATAAAGAACCTAGGGCCAACCGAAGATGGGGAACAGAAGAGCTGACGCATAAAGTGAGAATTCCTAAAAGTCTTAAAGGGTAAGTTAGAAATAACCTCCACCCTTAGCTGAAGATAGGAAAGAAAATTGTCTGCCTTAGGATTGCATGAAGAGTAGAGGAAAAAATATCTCCTGAGAATTAATAACCACAAATTTTTTCACATAGGGGTGTACAGCTAAAACTACTTGTGTGGTCTGAAAAACCTCCAAGTTGAGACTAGTTTAAGTACTTCCAGGTTAGTAGCCTCATGTATCTAGGAAAAGCAAATACTATAATAATGCCTTTTTTTTTTTTTTTTTTTTTTTTTTTTTGAGACAGACTCTCGCTTTGCTGCCCAGGCTGGAGTGTAGTGGTGCAATCCCAGCTCACTGCAATCTCCACCTCCCGGGCTCAAGTGATTCTCATGCTTTAGCCTCCCAAGTAGCTGGGACTGCAGGCTCCCGCCACCATGCCCGGCCGATTTTTTTTTTTTATTTTTAGTAGAGATGGGTTTCACCATGTTGGCCAGGCTGGTCTTGAATTCCTGACCTCAAGTGATCCATCTGCCCACCTCTGCCTCCCAAAGTGTTAGGATTACAGGCGTGAGCCACCACGCCCGGCCAATAATCCCTTCTGAAGGAAGATACCTTCAAACCAGCCTCCTCAGACAGAATGTTCCTAAGTTGATGTGCACATGGCAGAAAAAATAATAAATAATAAATAAATAAATCACAAAATGCATAAGAAATCAAGTTACCATGAACAAGAACCAGCAAAGTGTGTGGGTGGGTGGGGTGAACAGGCAGAATGAGATCTGCAAAGAACTTTCAGACACTAGAATTGTTGAGCAAAAAATACAACTGTTTAATCTGTTTAAGGAAATAAGAAAAGAAATTAAAAATATGAAAAAGGAGCATGTACAATTGAAAAAGAACTAAATAAACTTCCAGAGAAGAAAAATATGCTACTGTAAATACAAAATTGAATGGATAACATAGACAAAAAGATGAAAATATGAAAGAGAGATGAAGACACACGGAGGGCAGCGTGAGACAGTCTCATAGATATCTAATATGAGTTCCTAAGGAGAGGAGAAAGAAAATGGTAGAGGGGCAATATTTGAAAAAATACTGGTTGAAAATTCCCTAGAATTTATGAAAGATTTTACTTGTCAGATTAGAAATTCCAAGATATCTCAAGCAGGGTAACTAAAAATAAATCTACAAATAGACACCAAAAATACATAAGACCAAAAACAAAGAGAAGATCTTAACAGCCATCAAAGAGAAAATACACATTACCTTCAAACGAAGAATGTTTAGACTGACTACCACCTCTTTCCAGAGCAGGAGAAGCCAATGTGCACTTCAAAGTATAGACAGAAAAATAACTATGAAGTTAGAATTACATACCCAGTGAAATATCTTCACAGAACAGGGAAAAAATAAAGACAATTCAGACAAACAAAAACTATAAATATCCTTAAAGGAGGAAAGAAAGGTGAAATAAAAGGAATGTAAGAGGTTAGAAATAAAACTATATCAGTACTTAAAAATAAACATAAATGGACTAAGCATTCAAGACAAAAAGACTGACAGGTTGAATTAACAAATGAAATTTAACATGGTATGCACAAAAAATATATCTAAAATACAAAGGATTATCAATGATGAAAGTAAAGGGATGGGAAAGCCATATAAGATAAAATATTAATGAAAAGAAAGTTGATATAGTTATAGATTATGGATAGACTTTACAACAAAATGATAAAAAGTACAATTCATCAGAAATATATAATCCTAAACTTGGATATATTTAATAACATAGCCTCAAAATTATTAATGCAAAAATTGACAGAACTGTAAGAAAGTAAGAAATGTCCATCATCATAATGGAAGATGTTAAAATACACCTCTCAGTTATTGATATATCAAGCAAGCAAAAATATCAGCAAGCAAACAGAAGCTTTAAACAACAAAATGACCACGCTGATCTAATGATCATAGAACATTACACTCAACCGGTGAAGAATGCATATTTTTTATAATAACACCAAGAATTTTTATGATAAGTGATAACATGCCATCACTTGACATGAAGCAAGCTGGAACAAATTTCAAAAAATTGGTATACAGACCACAAATACTGGTTATGATACAATTAAGTATCTAGTTATCTAACTAGTTGTCTGGTTAACTAGTATCTAGTTGTCTATACTAGATAAAAAACAATTTGAAAAATTTAAAAATTAAGAAACATACTTCTAAATAATTCACTGGCCAAAGAAGAAATATCAATAAATATTAGGAAATATTTTGAATCAAGCAATAATGAAAATACTATATGTGAAAATTTTAAGAATATATGTAAGCAGTATTGTCAGCTTATATTAGAAGACAAATGAAACTTCATACAGTAAGCTCCCAATTTATTAAGATACAAAAGTAGAGCAAAATAAATCACAGAATGTTAGAAAAAGGAAATAATAAATATAAAATCATAAATTATTTAAAAAATTTTAAAATACACAGATAAAATGTTCTTAGAGAAGACTAATAGAATTAAAAAGAGTGCAAATAACAGTAGGAATGAAAAGTGTACACAATTACAAATACTATATTCAGAAGGCAATGAAGGGAAATAATAAATGTCTTTATACCAATACATAAATACGGATAAAACTATAGAAGTCCTAGCAAAATATAACTTTTCAAAACTGATTCAAGAAGAAGGTTAAAAACCTGACTTGTCCAATAACCTTGAAATAAAGTGAACCAAGACTTAAAACCTTCCCACCAGAAAAATGTCAGGCCAGGTGCTTTTACTGAAAAGTTCTATCAAACGTTAAAGGAAAAAGAAAAAATTTTAATCTTCCACTAACTACTCCAGAGTACACAAGAAGAAAGGCCACTCATCTACTCATTTTATAAGGTTAGCATTTGTAAGGTTAGACACCAAAACCTGACAATATATACCCAATTTATATGTAAAGTCTCTAAAAGGAGAATTACAAAATAATCTCAATCATGGACATAGGTAAAAGGATCCCAAACAAATTATCAAAGAGAATTTAGTGATCTATGGAAAGGAGAATTATATAATGACTAAATTGAGTTATCCAATTTATACAAGGTTGGTTTAACACAGTGTTTCTCAACCTTTTTCTCATTATTGTCCCCCTAAGGAAACTTCTTGTACATTTTTTCCCCTAATCACTCTCTCTTGAATTCCCGTCCTCTAATAGAATATTACAATCAGAAAATTGACATTAATACAATCCACCAATCTTATTCATATTTCCCCAGTTTTACATGTACGTGGGGGTGTGTGTGTATCTAGTTCTATGCAATGTTATCAATGTGTAGGTACATGTATCCACCACAGTCAAGATACAGAACAGTTCCATCACTGCAAGGATCTTTCCTGCTGCACTTTCATAAGCATGCCCATTTCCCTCCTACCTTGCCTCCATCTCCATACTCTGTTCCTAACCTTTGACAACCACTAATCTGTTTTTCATTTCTATAATTTTGTCATTCCAAGAATGCAATATAAATGGAATCATGCATTATACAACTTTTTAGGACTGGCTTTTATTACTCAGCATAATGCCTTTGAGCTTCATCTGAGTTGTTGCATGTACCAGTAGTTCATTCCTTTTTATTGCTGAGTAGTATTCCATGATATACATATATCAGTTAGTTTCCTTCTTTCTCCATCAAAGGACATCTAGGCTGTTTTTGGTTCTTAGCTATTATGGATAAAGCTGCTATAAACATTTGTGTACAGGTTTTTGTATGAACGTAAGTTTCCATTTCTCTGGGATAAAGTCCAAGAGTGCAATTGCTGGGTCATACGGTAATTGCACGTTTAGTTTTATAAGAAACCACCAAACTGTTTTCCAAAGTGGTTGTACCATTTTATATTCCCACCAGCAATGCATGAATGATCCAATCTCTCGGCATCCTCACTAGCATTTAGTCTTACCATTACTTCTTATTTCAGTTATTCTAATAGATGTGCAGTGAAAGGATCATTTTAATTTGTATTTCCCTAATGGATAATGATATTGAATATCTTTTCATGTGATTACTTACTATCTCGATACATTCTCTTTGGTGAAACATATGTTTATTTCTTTAGCTCATTTTTTTGTTTTTTTTTTTGGAAGATGGAGTTTTGCTCTTGTTGCCCAGGCTGGAGTGCAATGGCATGATCTCAGCTCACCACAACCTCCACTTCCTGGGTTCAAGCAATTCTCCTGCCTCAGCCTCCCAAGTAGCTGGGATTACAAGCATGTACCACCACGCCTGGCTAATTTTGTATTTTTAGTAGAGACGGAGTTTCACCATGTTGGTCAGGCTGGTCTCAAACTCTCGACCTCAAGTGACAGCCCACCTTGGCCTCCCAAAGTGCTGGGATTACAGGCATGAGCCACCACACCCAGCCTAGCCCATTTTTTTAATGGGAACTTTTTACTGTTGGGTTTTGAGATTTTTCTATATATTCTAGATACTAGTCCTTTTGTTTTTATTCTGAGACAGTGTTTCACTCTGTTGTCCAGGTTGGAGTGGAGTGATGCCATCTCAGCTCACTGTAACTTCCACCTCCCAGGTTCAAGCGATCCACCCACCTCAACCTCCAGAGTAGCTGGAACTACAGGTGCACACCACTATGCCTAGTTAGTTTTTCATATTTTCATAGAGATGGGGTTTCACTATGTTTCCCGGGCTGGTCTCAAACTCCTGGGCTCAAGTGATCCACCTGCCTTGGCCTCCCAAAGTGCTGGGATTACAAGCATGAGCCACTGTGCCTGGCCTGATACTAGTCCTTTGTTGGCTGTGGTTTGAAAATATTTTCTCCCAGTCTGTAGCTTGTCTTTTCATCCTTTTCACAGAGTTTTTGCAAAGTAAAAGTTTTTGAAATTTTAATGCTACACATATATTTTGTTTACTTTTGTACTGTATATATATATTATAGCTATTCTGTATACAACAAAAATTACAATTTATTTGCCCTACTCAAGAACTATTTTTAGCCCCCTTGGGGATAATATCACCCTGTTGAGAATACATGGGTTAACATTAGAAAATCAATTAATGTAATTCACTGCAATAACATATTAAAAGAGAAAAATCTTACCATCATAGTATAGAAAAAGCACTAAAAATAAATTTTAGTCTTTATTCATGGTAGTAATTTTTAGCAAATTAGAAACAGAAGGACTCCCTAAACCTAACAGAAATACCCCCCAAAGCTTAATTAACCCTTGGAGATTCTGATCAAGATGGTGATGTTCATTATCCTCTCTTCTGTTCAACATCATATTTATGATCAGAGCCTGCACAGTAAGGCAGGAAGTGAAAAGAAGTAAAAGAAACATAACTGTCATTATTTGCAGATGATATTTTTGTATATGTAAAATAACCAAAAGACTTTACCAATAAGTTAGCAAATTAATAATGTTAGCAAGGTATGCTTGTTAATTAAAAAATCAACATATAAAAGTGAATTGTGTTTCTGAAAGCCAGCAAGAAATATTTAGAAAATGAAATTTAAAGCAAGACAGTATTTGTAATAGCAACAATAAGTATGAAGCATATGTAGTATCAAACCTAACAAAAAATGTGCTAAGCCTTAGAGGAAGTATTTCTAAAGTTTATTAACAGACAATAAAGAAGATTAAATAAATGGAGAAAGATATATATGGAGATATATATATGGAGATAGAGATAAATAGATAAACATTTAGAGATTGAAAGATTTAACGTTGTAAAGATGTTAATTCTCCCCAAACTGGTTTATAAATTTACTTCAGTGTCAATTAAAATTCTAGCATGGCAAAACAATCCTAAGCAAGAAGAACACAGCTAGAGACATCACACTACCCTTTTCAAACTACACCACAGGCTACAATAATTAAAACTGCATGGTATGGTATAAAAACAGATACACAGACCAATGAAATAGGTTAGAGAACCCAGAATAAAGCTGCACACCTACAACCATCTGATCTTCTACAAAGCCAACAATAACAAGCAATGGGGAAAAGACTTTCTATTCAATAAATGGTGTTGAGAAAACTGCCTAGCCATTTGCAGAAGATTGAAAGTGGACTCCTACCTCTCACTATGTATAAAAAATAACTCAAGATGGATTAAAGGCTTAAATGTAAAACATGAAACTATAAAAACCCTAGAAGAAAATGTAGGGAATACCATTCTGGACATTGGCCCTAGCAAAAACTTCATGACAAAGATTCCAAAAGCAATTTCAGTAAAAACAAAAATTGAGAAGTGGGACCTAATTAAACTAAAGAGCTTCTGCACAACAAAAGAAACTATCAACGGAGTAAACAGACAATCTACAAAGTGGGAAAAATATTTGCAAACTATGCATCTGACAAAGGTCTAATGTCAAGAATCTATAAGAAACTTAAATCAACAAGCAAAAAACAAACAACCCCATTAAAATGGGCAAAGGCCATGAACAGACACTTCTCAAAAGAAGATAAACATACGGCAAACAAGCATATGAAAAAATGCTCAATATCACTAATCATTAGGGGAATGCAAATCAAAACCACAATGAGATACCATCTCACCCCAGTCAGAATGGCTATTATCAAAAAGTCAAAAAATAATAGATGCTGTTGAGGTTGCAGAGAAAAGAGAATGCTTACACACTGCTGGTGGGAATGTAAATTAACTCAGCCACTGTGGAAAGCAGTCTGAAGATTTCTCAAAGAACTTAAAACAGAACCACCATTTGACCTAGCAATCCCATTACTGTGTATATACCCAAAGGAATAACAACACATGCACACATATGTTCCTTGCAGCACTATTCACAATACCAAAGATGTAGAATCAACCCAGATGCTCATCAATGGCGGACTGGATAAAGAAAATGTGGAACATATACACGATGGAATACTACGCAGCCATAAAAAAAATGAGATCATGTCCTTTGCAGCAACATGGATGGAGCTGGAGGTCATTATCCTAAACAAATTAACCCAGGAACAGAAAACCAAATACCACATGTTCTCACTTGTAAATGGGAGCTAAACACTAAGTACACACAGAAATAAAGAAGAAAACAACAGACCCTGGGGCCCACTTGAGGGTGGAGGGTGGGAGGAGAGTGAGGATTGAAAAACTACCTATTGGGTATTATGCTGATTACCTGGGTGAAAAATTATCTGTAGACCAAACCCCCATGACAGGCAATTTACTCAGGTAACAAACCTGCACATGTACCCCTTGAATCTAAAATAAATGTTGGAAAGAAAAAAAAATTATAGCATGGCTTTCACCCATATTAACAAGCAGAATCATACTATTTAGAATGAATGAAGCTGAGTTTTGAGTAATATATTTATAAGTATTCATGTTAAAATAAACAACAATAAAACATTGTATTAGAAAAACTGGATATCTACATGAAAAAGTGAAACTAGACTTGTACTTCAAACTGTACAGAAAAATCAATTCTAGCTAGATTGAATGTCAAAGTGTGAAGGCTATATAAGAAACATTTTAGAAGACAATATAGCCAAATGCATTCATGACTTTGGAGTAGAGAAATATTTTCTTTACCAAGACACAGAAAGCACTAATAATAAAAGAGAAATTGAAAAAAACTGTATCATTAAAATAAATAACTTATTTTTGCCAAAAGACATAAGGAGAATGAAAAGACCATTCACAGGATAGGAGATAATATGTGCCACACATTGAATGCACCAGGAACTCCCAGAAATCAGCAAGAAAAAGGCAGAGACACCAACAGGAATATAGCTGAACAGGGATTTCATGAAAGAAAAATCCAAATGGCACCAAAAAAGGATGCTCTCAACCTTGTTAGTAATCTAGGAAATGCAATTTAAATCACATGATATATTAAGATCCTGTTACCCTTCCCCCTTTCTTTCTCCACTTCCCTGATCACAAAAATAGAAAAATATGACAATCCTAAGTGCAGCTGAGGAAATGGAGCCACAGTGTCTTTCATGTACAGCTGGTAGGATAGTAACTAGAAACCACTTTAGAAAATGGCTTGTTGTTATCTGATTAAGCTGAATATGAACACATCCTAAAGCACAGCAATTCCCATCCTACTTTTTTATACAAGAGAACCACCTGCACATGTTCACCAGGATACACGTTAAAAATGTTCATAGAAAGACAAAAATAATGCTCATGGAAGTGCATTATCATCTTAGAAACAACCCAAATGGGCCGGGCACGGTGGCTCACACCTGTAATCCCAGCACTTTGGGAGGCTGACACAGGCGGATTACGAGGTCAGGAGTTTGCGACCAGCCTGGCCAACACAGTGAAACCCCATCTCTACTAAAAACACAAAAAATTAGCCAGGTGTGGTGGCAGGCACCTGTAATCCCAGCTACTCAGAAGGCTGAGGCAGGAGAATCGCTTGAATCCGGGAGGCGGACGTTGTAGTGAGCTGAGATCGTGCCACTGCATTCCAGCCAGGGCGACAGAGCAAGACTCTGTCTCAAAAAAAAAGAAAAGAAAAGAAAAGAAACAATCCAAATGTCCATCAAAAACAGAATGGATAAATGGATTGTAGCATATTACTATAATGGAACACAGAGTAATAAAAACTAAAAGAACCATAGCTACAAGTTCTTTTCGTTTTTGACATGGACAATTCCCACAAAAAATGTATTAAAGGAGTAAGCCACAGAGTAATACAGTATTATTCCATATATATAAAGTTCAAAACCAGGCTAAATTATCATTCTTGATGCATGTGTAGGTAGTAAAACTGTCAAGAAAAGTAAGGTAGTTATCATCATGAAACTCAGAAGGTGGTGATACAGAGGGGAGGGAAGGGGATGTGATGAGGGAGGAGGGTGTGATCAGTAGGGAAACACGCAGGGCCTCCGGCGATGACAATATTCCATTTATTAAACTGGGTGATGGGTTGTACTGCTGTTCTTTATAATCTAATACACAATCTTAAATGTTCTTTTGTATTTATTCAATAGGTAATAAAACTTATTAAAACCACATATCAAAAAAAGACAGATTACTCAGTAAGAAAGCTATTTCACTTAATGGTATTTGCACATCGGCTCCTTACATTTGTGAGATAAAATGCCAACGTTTCTCTTGAAAGAGAAACTAGGAAGAGTGCATTTGGGAGAAGCAAAGCTTCTGCCTCTCACAAACTGTTCTCATTCGCTCTAATACACTTTGTTTATTTTTCGGCTTAGAAATCTCCGATAAGTTATTTTATTCAGGTTCTTAGTTGAATGTCCTCAGGCCACAAGCTTAGCTGAAAGAAAGTACTGGGCTTGGAGCTGACTCTGCTCCCAGGGGCCAGACCTTTGATGTCTGAGCCAGGTAAAAACAGGATGCTGCCATCATATTTCAAGCCACATCCATCCAGCTTGAAGGAATAAAGTGAAGGAAAGATCAATATCTGCTTCTTCTCCTTTCCTATGAGGTTAAGATCAGGGACCCTGGATCCAGACTGCCTGGTTTGCATACCAAATCCAGCCCTGTAGCCTGGAGCAAGTTGCTCAAATCCATTTGTTCCTCCTTTTTCTCACCTGTAAAATGGAGCTGAAGAGAGTACAAACCTCCTAAGGGGATTAGGTTAATACTGATGAGGCACTAGCAAAAGTGCTTGGCACAAAAAGAGTACTCAACATGGGTTAGGTGGTGATGGTTATTATTCTCAAACATATATTTTTGTCCAAATCGACTTGACATCTCCATCTGGGTCTCTAACTTTACATGTCCAAAACTAAGCTCCTGTTATTCCCTCCAAACCAGCCCCTGCATCCTTTCAACTGCTCAGAACAAAACCATCAAGTCATCCTTGATTCTTCTCACAGTTGCTCCATCACAATTTTTGCTAGTCCTACCTTCAAAATACATCTGGAATCCAATCACTTCCTGCCTTCTCCAAGCTACCACCCTGCTGCAAGCCACAATCCTCTCTTGCCTGGATGGATACAGTGGCCTCCTACCTGGTCTCCTTGCCTCCACCTCTGTCCTCTCCTCCCAGTCTATTCTCAGATACACCACTCTCAACCGCTACACCATAGCTGCCACACAGTTTTAACAGAATTACTGTTGAAACTCAAGCTGGATCAGGCCACACCTCAGTTCAAAACCCTCCATTAGCTTTCCATCTCACCCACAATAAAAAATCAAAGTCCTCAACATGTCTGCCAAGGACCTGTGTGTCTGAGTCTCTGTAACGTTTCTGCCTCACCTCCTTGTCTTCTCTCCACATTCACTCTACTCCGGTCACACACCAAGAGCACAGGTGCCCCTCAAGGGCTATTCACTTGCTGTTCCTTCCACATGGAAGACTCCTCCCTACTTTCTGCAAGGCTTGCTGCCCCATTTCCCCCAGGTCTTCACTCACATTTACCTCTCAAACAGTCACTCCCTGGCCTTATGGAAAATTTCACATCCCCCTCACCATAGTCCCTTGTTTTGCCTCATTTTTCTCTCCTTCCCAGTTTGTTACCTAACACACTTACTGTATTATTTTTATTTATTTATTTATTTATTTTATTTTTTGGAGACACAGTCTTGTTCTGTTGCCTAGGCTGGAGTGTAGTGGCACAATCTCAACTCACTGCAACCTCTGCTTCCCCAGTTGAAGCAATTCTCCTTCCTCAGCCTCTCGAGTAACTGGGATTACAGGCGCCCGGCTAATTTTTGTATTTTTAGTAGAGACAGGGTTTCACTATGTTGGCCAGGCTGGTCTCAAACTCCTGACCTCAAGTGATCTGCCCGCCTCAGCCTACCAAAGTGGTGGGATTACAGGCGTAAGCCATCGCGCCCAGCCCCTAACACACTTATATTTACTTCTTTAGTGTGTTTCTGGTATGAACCCCCCTCCCTGTCCCCCCGCAGAATGTGGGCTCCATGGGGCACGAGTATTTGGCTGTATCCACAGTGTTTGAACATGACTTGAACGTGAGCATAAAGCGGGAAATCAAAATAACATGGATTATGTGAATAATAAATCTGCAAGTTGTCAGCTAATACAGTATTTTTCTTTCTTCTTGTCCTTCGGGATCCTGGGTAGATTAAAATTTTAAATACATATATTTTGATGTCATGTCCTTTATATTTTGATGTTTAATCACCAGAGTTATAGGATTTTTTTGATGTGTAAATGTGCCCATCCATGCACAGAAAATAGATCTAACTCCATTCTTTTATCTGTGGCTCCTCTGCTTTTTCATAGCTGGCAGTATGAAGCAGCTACTGCTCCCAGGACTAGCTCAGAGGAGCTCTTGTTCACTCCCCAAAAGCTCCATTAGTAACAGATTGCCCAACTGTTAGGCAACTTCAACGTGGGGAGAGCAGGGACTGTGTCCAGCTCTCCCATAACTGTATTCCCAGCACCTACATTTTTTTCTGCATGAATGAACTAGTTAATTGATGCATGCTTGGGTGGTTTATTGTGTTTTGTATCCCACACCAAGGGTGAGCTAGGCCACATGGCCTCTCTGGGTGAGCTTGCACATTCTCTGCAAGAGGAGAATATTGGAGTTTTAATAAAATATTCTGTTTCCTTTTAGATACTGGAAAGAGTTATTTTTAAGAACACTTCACCATCCTCCGTGGCATGATGACACTTTTAAATACAACAAAACTATTGCTTTTAAATGTGCTTTTTAAAGCAGGCCTCAGGAAAAAAATATAGGTGTAGTTGTGTATGTGTATGTATGTATGTGTGTATGTATCTATGTATATGTCCATGGTGTGTATACACTCATGTATGCACATACATATGTGTGTGGAACAATGGGAAATCATAACCCTATGAAAATAGCTGAAAAGAAGGGGACAGGATGGGTAAGAGGCCAGTTTCCTTGCCTATCTTGTTTAAAAAACAACAAGCTGACTTCACTGAGGGCGCCATCCTTCAAGTTCTACCTAACAGCTCATTAGCCCCACAAATGGGAGTCAGTCACTTAGTCATTCTGCAGAAGGTTTCATGTCCATCTTTTCTCTCTCCTTTCACTAGTCCAGCAAATCCTAGGTGGGCACCTACTAAGTTCCTCAAACCATATTCTGGAATAAAGAATAAATTAGATAGACAAAGTCTTTCCCTTTATGGAGAAGAGAGATAATAACAAGTAAACTAATGCATATTTGACCCAATTGCAGGTAGAGGCATGGGCTGTGAAGACATTTGAAGCAGAAAAAAGCTAGAGAGTGGAGGTGGAGGGTTCTGGCCCCCCGCTGCAGAGGCGATGCTTGAGCAGAGTTTGGAGTGAAAATGTGGAGGAAAAGCTCTCAGGGCAGAGGGAACAGCCAGGGCAGCAGTGAACTGGCCTGGAACGGCGAGAGAGGCAGTGCAATTACAGCAGACGGAGCCCAGGGGAGAGGATCAGAGACGGCATCAGCCCTGAGAAGGAAAGGCTCTGCTGAAATTTATTCCTGGGTACAGCATCCTCTGAGACGGACTCCACAAAGGTCATTAACTACATTTAGAAGCACAGAAGAACAATTGAAGGTATTAAAAAAAATAAAGCCTCTTCTGTTGCAGGGGGAATTACATATGCATGCAAAATGCAGTAGGGCCTTGTCCACATATTCACCAAAAGGGTTGGGATATCTTATTCCACCCCCACCCACCACTCACTACCCCCATTAGCCAGAATGAACAACATAATAGAAATTAACGGCGGGGCTAGTCTTCTTCAGGATGAAGCCTCTCAGCTGTCACCCCTGCCTCCCTCTTAAATGGCTGACATCATCTCTGATCCTCCCCCAAACAAGTGGCTCTTTCTCTGGTCCCAAATAATTAGTTTCCCCAGACACAATGGGAAGGCCTTAGCCCAAGCTTTTAGGGAAGACGTTTGAAGCATAAGGGAATACTAGTGTTTTGCTTGGGCTATGGGACAAAAGTTCCGGAAATGAAAGGGTTTTTTTGTTGTTGTTTGTAATTATGCACATCCTGCAGTATCTGCATAATGGGTCCAATTCAGCCCTGGCCTTGCAGAAAAATTACCATGTCCCTGGAGGAAGGTCAGCATATGAGTGAACAGGAAGCTTCATGCTGACAATAGTGCCTTAATTTTTTTTTCTTTTTAAATTTTAAGGATGAACTTTGCTCTTTTAGTCCATTTGTCTGCAGGCATTTGCAGACATGTTCTAAACACACCCACACTTGTAAAATGTACGTACTTAAAATCAGCCTTGGCTTTGAGAGAACAGTATAAAGATTTTGGATGATAGATGGGCTGACTGCTATATTCTTCCCGGTACCTGGTGGAATTTTAAAGCCAGAGGAAGCCTTATATGTTAATCAAACTTTTTGTAACTAGAGATAGTCAGGAACACTATTGGCTAAAGGACTCAACGTGAATAAGACATGAGATGGGTTTAGGTTCATTTTCAAAAAAATTTCTTTAGAGAACTATACAAAATTTCATTTTGATTTAACACCAGAAGGTTGTTTTTTTTTTTTAAAACATGCTGGTTCTGCTCATGGTTTTGTAGAATATCTATGCATCTAGTTCAGAGTTCAATAAATGAGTTTTCAGTTAAATTTGTTGACATTTTTCACCATACAACCTTAAATCATATGGCAACCTCAAATGGGAGATGTGAACAGTGTTCTTGTGGCTAATTTAAGTATTTGACATTAAAGGTTCTAATAAAAATCTTCTAAAGAGCTCACTTATCAACATGGCCCGACTCAAATGGGTCTTATGAAGTCAAAGAGGTATGAATCCCTCATTTGGCCTCCCTCAAATTTCAAGGGTTTTAATGTTGAACATAATTTTCATAAAAGATTCAAGGGGTATGATTCCATATGCTTCTTCATTCCTAGTAAACTCAGGTCTGAAGAACTGATGCTCTTTTTCCATATATATGGTTATACAAAGGCTTTTGTCAGGCCAGGCGTGGTGGCTCACGCCTGTAATCCCAGCATTTTGGGAGGCTGAGGTGGGTGGATCACCCACCAGAGGTCAGGAGTTCAAGACCAGTCTGGCCAACATGGTAAAACCCATCTCTACTAAAAATACAAAAATTAGCCAGGCATGGTGGCGGGTGCCTGTAGTCCCAGTAACTCAGGACGCTGAGGCAGGAGAATCACTTCAACCCAGAAGCGGAGGTTGCAGTGAGCTGAGATCACACCACTGCACTCCAGCCTGGGTGACAAGAGTGAGACTCAGTCTCAAAAAAAAAAGGCTTTTGTCACTCTCATTTTATTTTAATCATATTTTTATTTCTTTTCTTTTTTTTTTTTTTTTTTGAGATGGAGTCTCACTCTGTCACCCAGGCTGGAGTGCAGTGGCACAATCTTGGCTCACTGCAACCTCCGCCTCCCAGGTTCAAGCGATTCTCCTGCCTCAGCCTCCCAAGTAGCTGAGACTACAGGCACCCACCACCACACCCAGCTAATTTTTGTATTTTTAGTAGAGATGGCGTTTCACCATGTTGGCCAGGCTGGTCTCAAACTCCTGACCTTGTGATCCGCCTGCCTTGGCCTCCCAAAGTGCTGGGATTACAGGCGTGAGCCACCGCACCTGACCAATTTTAATCATATGTTTCTAAGGGAGACTGTATATCTCCTTTTTTCCCTGGCCAACCGTGATGGCACTTATTCACTTCAAACCCTGCCCTAATTAAAGTCCAAGAGAAAGTTGTTGCCTTGATGATTTAAGCATTTCTGGAGTTGTTTTTCCTACCAGCTGTTGCTCCTGGTTTTCCAATCAACCTTGGTATGCTTCAGTGCACAATAAAATAAGTAGCAGCCAGGTCACTAGGGTGGGGACTAACAACTCCCTGGCTTCTCTAAGGTTCTCAGTGCAGCTTCTAGCCATTTAAATACCATCAAAAATAAGAGACGTACCATTAATGACAGTCTCTTTGTCCCTAACTCCACTGTGCCTACAGCCTTGTTGCATTTTAATTAGGGCAAATAGTACATTCCAATTCCAGGCTGAAGTCCAATGCTCGCTTGGCTTTATTCTTAGGTGGCACAGTTTAAAAGATGTATTCTTTTGATTTTTACTCTTCATCTGCCAGAAAAACTTCAAAGAGTGGAAGAAAGGGAATTGGGGGATGGAAAAGGAATATCCCGGATAACCTCGCTACTTCCTCTGTGTGTGTTATGTGTGTGTGCTAGTCTCTTTCCCAACTTCTCTCTACAAGCCAGGATGTTCAGGTATAAAACAGCTGGCTAAGTAAGGTTTCACTTTTTCTTCCAGAAATTAAAACTAGGAAGAACACTGATCAGTTCTACTTCTCCTCCTCCTTCTCCTCCCACCACCTTTTTCTCTTACGACCTTCTCACAAAACAACATCCACAGAGGGGTTGCACAAGACAGGTACCAAGATAAACATTTTTACATCTCTCCCAACATGAAGACATCCGATCAGAAAGTATGGGCTCTTAATAGAAGTAAATGGAATATGAAGAGTAAAATGGGAAGAAATTAAACACTGCAACTATACATTATATATAGGAAAGAGTCAGTTTGCTCCAGTGATGCTGATGTGATTGGGAAAAGGGCTAAAGCCAAAAATTAGTTTCCACTGTTCCTTTTTTTCCTGGCTGAAATTTTTTTCTTGCACGCACAGAGACACACCTACATACTCCAAACTTCACCAAAGATTCCAAATTTTTGCATTTAAATACAGCACACCAAACACCTCTCTTGCCCTAATTCCATTTCATTCTTGCGTTATCCATGCTAAAAAGAGTTTGCTCAGTCTACATGAGTGAAGCTATAGCCCAAAATAGATCTAACATCTGACTGATGGAAATTAATGAACTAAGAAAAGCATTTTAGAGTGGATAAATGAGAAATTGATGGGCAAATCATTTCTATGTGGTCAGTTTAGACAAAAAGCACGAGAGGGCCATTTTGTCTAAGCTGGTCACCTAGCCGCCAGCAAACTGGCCACTACTTGGCCCACAGCTAGGTGGCCAATTTAGACAAAAGTTTCTCCTAGGTCAGTAGTGCCTACTTTCTCCAAGTGAGGAAAACTGGATAAAACTGAGTAAGAGCTGTGGGGAAGCCCCAGAAGTAAACGATAATTAACAAGGGAAGTTGCTTTAAATTCTGATTTTCATCCTTCACAGGAAGAGACAATAGATGCACCTGTCATAAAATGAACTTCTCAGACAAGTAATTCTCCCAGCATCCACTTATTCCTTTGCTTCCTCAGAGCCAGTTTCAAATTCTCAGCTGTATGAAATGAAAAACGTAGGCCAGGCATGGTGGCTCATGCCTGTAATCCCAGCACTTTGGGAGGCCGAGGTGGGCCGATCATTTGAGGTCAGGAGTTTGTGACCAGCCTGGCCAACATAATGAAACCCATCTCTACTAAAAATACAAAAATTAGCTGGATGTGATGGCACACGCCGTAATCCCAGCTATTTGGGGGCTGAAGCAGGAGAATCACTTGAACCCAGTGAGCTGAGATTGCGCCACTGGACTCCAGCCTGAGTGACAGAGTGAGACTCCATTTCAAAAAAAAAAAAAAAGAAAAACTTAAAAACAGAAAGACAAGTAGTGGTTGAAAGACAACCGCAAGAGATGGTAATCACAGCAGCACAGGTTGGCTCTGGTTTGCTACTAGAGGATCCAGGAAGAAGCCCAGTGGATTTCTGCTCAATTCTGAGCACTGCGCTATGTCTTTGAATATCCACACCTAGCAGAACTATACAGAGGAAGTGCTTAGTAAATATCTGGTGACTCAATGAGTAAATTATAAGGAGCTGTAAGGTTTAGGGACAAAGCACACTGACATGCACACATCTCCTTAAGAAATACCCTGCATCGTGAGCTGGGATCGCGCCACTGCACTCCAGAGCCTGGGCAACAGAGCGAGACTCCGTCTCAAAAAACAAAACAAAAAACAAACAAACAAACAAACAAACAAAAAGTCCTGCATCATTACAGATTTACAGATGCTCCCCTAATTCAGACTGACTCATTCTCAGCCTTATGCAAAGGGTTCCATTTTAAGATTTTACAGACTTAGTACATTAGTTTCCTATGGCTGCTGTAACAAATTACCACAAACTTGGTATCTCAAAACAACAGTAATTTATTCTCTCACAGTTCTGGAAGCCAGAGTCTGAGATGAGAATCACTGTGCTAAAATCAAGATGTCAGCAGAACTGCACTCCCCGCAGAGGCTTTAAGGAAGCATCTGTTTCTTGTATCTTGCAGCTTCTGGTGGCTGCCGGCATTCCTTGGCTGTGGCTTCATCACTAAAATCTTTAAGATCAGCATTTTCAAATTTCTTTCTGTTTCATCTTCACAGTGCCTTCTCTTCTGTGTAAGCAAAATCGCCCTCTGCCACTTTCATAAGGATGCATGTGATTGCAGTTAAGGCCCACAGATAATCCAGAATTATCTCCCCATCTCAAAATCCTTACTCTCATCTACAAAGACCCTTTTCCCAAATATGATAATATTTATAGGTTCCAGGGAGGACAACCTAATGTCTTTGGGAGCCATTACTCAGCTTAGTATTACTGGAAGAACAGAGCAGGTAGCAGTGATTGCAGCAAGTCTCACACTGTCTCTACTTGCTGCAAACATCTGTGTTATTTCTGCATAATGCCTGCAGTTACATATGTGGTATTATTGCAATATACAGCACATGCATTCAAACATTTTGGATTCAAATTAAAATCTGAGCTGCACAACAGCCTCCTGAATGGAATGACTGTGTAACTTGGGGAATGTCTACATTATCCATTATGTGGGGGCAGGAGTGGGGGGCTAACGCCTAGTCTCTCCTGTGTAATTGGCCTTAGCTCTGCCAATTACTCTATCCTTATTGTTAAACACAATCCATGGGAGGAAACCCAAGAGGGAATTAGCTTATGTGGGAGAGGTTAGTTTGGGTAATAGGAATGTACTCTGCAGCTTTTGATTCAGTTTAGGTTCATTGATGGGTCAAGTTGGGTATTGGCAGAAAATTTGGAATTGAACCATTTTCTTTACCACTCTAATGCTGTGCACCGTCCCCTATGCTCCTTGGGTTTCCAGGTTAGAAACACTTCTTGAGGTGGGGCTGGCCCTCCACATGGTTTATTTCTGCTTCTTGCCTACAGACTGGGCATCAAGTCTGCTGGGAACCCATCCTACAGGACCCTCCTAAGGTAGAAAACTCCATCTCCACAGGGTTGAGTTAAATTTTCACACATATGAACAGATGGAATTATTCATACTTGAGCAGTTTTCAAAATTATGCTTTCATGCATTTGAACACTGTCATTTCTTGATTTATTCTCTAGTAATATTAATACATCTAAAATTCTTAGGACAATGCAGGGCTGAGATTAGGCTAAGGCAAGTGACACACTTGCCTTGGAGGTAAAATTTAAGAGGGTGCCAAAAAACTCAGTAATCAAAGTAACATTTTAAGGCAATATGTTAAAAATATCAACTCAAAATCAAAGCAGCAAACTACAGCTCACAGGTTGACTATCTCTGTAAATAAAGCTTTATTAGAACCAGTGAGACAGCCAGAGGGGAGGGGGTTCCCAGAAAAACTCCAACTGGCCTGTGCACTGGGGTGGAGCTGCGGAAGTTTGTGCCACTTGCAGCAGGGAAGAGCCTGGCCCCTCCTCTTCCTGTGTGGAACCTGGGATTTGGGCGCGGTCCGGAAGTGCTCTAGATGAACTCTGGCCTCGCTGAGAGTCCCTGTTTCCCCTCTTTTTTCCTTTTCACCCAATAAAGCCCTGCTTTACTTACCCTTCAAACCATCTGTGAGCCTGAATTTTCATGGCTGTGGGATGGACAAGGACCCCATCTTTAGCTGAACTTTAGGAAAATTCCTGCAACACCAGGTCCAGGTGGGCCAAGTGTAGCATAGTCATGAAAGTGTTAATTGAATCTTGTCTTTAAAGTACTGATATTTTGTTCATTAAGAATTTTTTGCATTATGTGATTTTAAAAAATAATTTTAAAATAACTTTAATTTTTAAACTGAATTCTTAAATATTTTTTTAAAAACTTTTTTTTCAAGACAATTATTACAATTTGATATGGAGCAAAAGTGCTTCATGTATTTTTTCCCAATCTGTCACAGAGAATGTTAAAAAGACATACTCAAGAATCACAATTTTAAGAAATTAATAATTTTTACTGCCTCATCAAGGATATTATTGGGTGAAATATACATTTTGTTTTACTGTGAGTAGACAATGGCCAAAAGTTTCATCTGCTGTTATTTTTTAACCATCAATGCAAATGTCAATGCAGTGAAAAGGCAAATAACATCTTAGAATTAGAATGAAAATGATTTTAACCCCAAAGACGCCTTGAAAGGGTCTCAGGAGACAGCAAGGTCTATGGGCCAGACTGTGAATTGCTGCCTTAAAGGGTAAAGCTTTCACAATATATCAAAAGCATTGTCAGTCACAAGATAAGATCCTCAGTCAGATGGGGGCAACATAATTATGACTAATCTCAAAATTAGTTTTGGAAAAATCAGTGAAGAGTTGAGCAAATTGACTGTCATATAAATAGTTTTGAGCAATCAGGAAATCTTTGAGGCTAAAGATAAAATGTGAAAGAATCTGAATGGCATGAATATAATCCATGACCTGAAGGCACGGCCATTTTAGGGCAGCAAAGTGGAGAAAGAGCACCCCACCCATCACTTACCTTCCATTCCTTGCCCCCACTGCCTCCTGGGTAATGAGGGAGCAGAGGATACTAGAGCAGCAGCAGCAGCAGCAGCAGGAAGAGTGAGGCAAACGGAAGGAGAGCACAGGGCATCCGAAGGCTGCTCCAAGACCTTGGGGCCGGTCAGCCTGGTGCGGAAGCTCTCCTGCCATTTCCTAGCACACAATCTTGGTTGAATTCCCAAAGCCCACTTCTGGCTGAGTCTCCTCCACCATGTGTAATATGGATTAATATTAATACCTTCCTCATACAATTGTTGTAAGGAGTACATGATATGAAGTAGCTAAGGCACTGAGCACAGAAACTGAGACAATAAGTATGCAGTAAATGTATCATATTAAGCAGAAGGAACATTATTTCTGTGCTCATTCACTGCCCAGTGTTCCGTAACTTTTCCCTACATGCATCAACACTTAGCCCAGAGCCTTCTCAGTGTTAGGTGTTCAGTAAGGGAAGCCTGTCTGGACCTGTCACTTCTTCCACGCTGCACTGAGAGTCATGACTCAATGACAATTCATGCAGAAATCTGATGTTTAGGCTGGGCATAGTGGCTCACGCCTGTAATCCCAGCACTTTGGGAGGCTAAGGCAGGTGGATCACCTGAGGTCAAGGAGTTCGAAACCAGCCTGGCCAACATGGCAAAATCCTGTCTCTACTAAAAATACAAAAATTAGCCAGGCATGGTGATGGGTGCTTGTAATCCCAGCTACTCAGGAGGCTGAGACCTGAGAATTGCTTGAACCTCAGGGGCAGAGGTTGCAGTGAGCTGAGATTGCACCACTGCACTCCAGCCTGGGCAACAGAGCAAGACTCCATCTCAAACAAAAAAAAAAGGAAATCTGATGTTCAAATATGAAAAAATAGACATAAATGTGCAAATTATTATGTAAAAATATAAATGTTTGTTACAGAATTGTTTTATATTTTCTTAAAATCATTTTAGTATTGAAAACACACTGAAAAACAAAGGAATCAGCCTTAAAAAGTGACACTAGCAAAACATTTAACACACCAACAGAAAAATATATCAACCCTGCTTTTTGCTAGTAGGTCTCTGTGGTAGACAGAATGCCTCCCATTCTACCCCAAGATGTCCACATCTTGATTTCCAGAACCTGTGAATATGTTACTTTATATGGCAAAAGAACTTTACTGATGTGATTATGTTAAGGACCTTGAGATGGGGACATTATCCCGGTGAGCCCAGTGTAACCACAGAGGTCCTTAATGCCTGGTGAGCCCAACATAACCACAGAGGTCCTTAATGGAAGACAAAGGCAGATGTCAGGGAAAGATGTGACTTCAGAAGAAAGGCACAAAGAGATGCCACATTCCTGGCTTTGGAGATAGAGGAAGGGGCCATATGCCAAGGAATGTTGACAGCCTCTGAAAGCTGGGAAGGGCCAGGAAACAGACTCTCCCCTAGAGCTTCCAGAAAGGAACACAGCCCTGCCAACACCTTGATTTTGACCCGGTGACACCCATGATGGACTTCTGAAATACAGAATCATAAGATGATAAACTTATGTTGTTCAAGCCACTACACTTGTGGTGACTTGTTACAGCAGCAAATAGAAAACTAATACAGTCCCAAAGCTTATCCAATCACCTGTGGCATACTTCAGTGCACAATAAAGAAGTAGCCAGGTCACCAGGATGGGGACTAACAAGTCCTACAGCTTTACTAAGCTCCCCAGTGCAGCTTCTGGCCATTGAAATGCCACAAAATAAGAGATTTCTCATGAACAACCATCCCTACCCATGAGGATTTGGATTCAAGAGTTCTGAAGTGTGAGAATATCCATGTTTAACAAATCCTATTGGTGACTTGGTTAGACATGGTCAGTGGTCCACACTTTAACACACATTCATTTCTGTTTTTATTTTTTGGAGACAGAGTCTAGCTCTGTCACCCAGCCTGGAGTGCAGTGGCGCGACCTCAGCTTACTGCAACCTCCGCTCCCAGGTTCAGCAATTCACATGCCTCAGCCTCCTGAGTGGCTGGGATTACAGAAGTGCACGACCACGCCCAGCTAATTTTTGTATTTTTGGCAGAGACGGGGTTTCTCCGTGTTAGCCAGGTGGGTCTCAAACTCCTGACCTCAAGTGAGCCACCCTTCTCGGCCTCTCAAAGTGATGAAATTATAGGCATGAGCCACCGCACCCAGCAGAAACATTCATTTCTGTATGTAAGGTGCTTACAGTTTAGGGGCTGAGTAAATATAATTCCAATCCCTAATAGAAAAATATATATGCATTATTTTAAAGACAAGTCAACAGCCAGGGACAAGAGTAAAGGACTAGAAATGTCCTAGAACACATACATTCTTTTGTATGCTTATGTCAACAAAAACAAGTTACAGAATTAAACCAGATGAGAACTCCGTCTGCTCTCCCCTATGCGACCAGTGCTTCAGGGTTAGGGGGCAGATGAAATGGAATCCTGGCAGCCCTATAGACCTCTCACTGAAAAGCATCCCTGCTGACCACAAACCCAAGCCGGGCCCTTCCTACCTCCTCACCTGTCTCAGCTGTTTCCTGATGAGGTGGAGATGTGCTGGCCCAGGGTGTGTCATCTTCAAACTGAACCCAGTTGCTGATGGCCGAGGCCAGGTCAGGTGGGGGCTGCTCAGGGCTCCCAGGTGGGGAAGCTGCTTCAGAGATGAGGCCCATCTTTTCAGAGGAGTCATCCTGCTCCGAGTGGGAATGGTCTTGAGAGCCTCCATCCACCACATGGTTCTCCCCGGAGGAGCTCTCGGACTGGTCTGGGGAAGATGACAGTCCTGGGAGGTGCTCTTCCGTGCCCCCTGAAACAGATACCAGACGCCACCATCATGTGAGGAAGGCCGCTCTTCAGAGCCATCTCATGGAGGCAAAAACTAAGGATGACCATGGGGTGCCCGCATGACTCGCCACTGCAGTGAGTGGGGAGAAGAAAGAGCCACACCCATCTGACTGCATGTTAAATGACTGTTTCCCTAATCATGTGTAAATGCTGTAAGCTCAGCATGTCTCCAGTCAGTATCCTGGCAGGCAGAGACTAGGAGCCTTCTTCACTATTCTTATGCCAGCATCTACTCCAGTGCTTGGGGGTCACAAAGGAAAGTGCTTACAGAGGTCAAGTAGGAAATATACCTGAGTCAAGTGAGACAAGTGAAAGGCAAAAGGGACTGGTGGGGACTGTGGCTGAACAAGAGCACTTCTGTCTGAAGACATTCAAATTCAAATTTCAAATTCTTTGCAGTCTAAGCTATACACAGCCACAGGACACCAGGTGCAAACCCATGTGCACTAATGACCAGCTGAATGTAACCTAGAGGTTATTTCTGCAGCACTGTATCACTTGATTGGCCCCAGAAAATTAAACAGCCTTCAAAAATTTTTTTTTTGGAAATTAAAAAACCTGGCCGGGCGCAGTGGCTCATGCCTATAATCCCAACACTTTGGGAGGCCGAGGTGAGTGGATCACCTGAGGTCAGCGGTTCGAGACCAGCCTGACCAACATGGCAAAACCCCATCTCTACTAAAAATACAAAATTAGCCGGGCATGGTGGCACATGCCTGTAATCCCAGCTACTTGGGAAGCTGAGGCAGGAGAATCGCTTGAATCCAGGAGGCGGAGGTTGCAGTGAGCTGAGACTGCACCACTGCACTCCAGCCTGGGCAACAAGAGCGAAACTCCGTCTCAAAACAACAACAACAACAAAAAAACTATATCCTGATTATGGTGGTAGATACACAAATGTATACATGTGCTGAAATTCATCAGCTGTACAACAAAAGAAGTCAATTTTTCTGTATAAAGGTTTTTAATCAAATAATTAATATAAAATCTTTTCTCCCATCACTAGCCAACCGGTCCATCTGCAAGTATTCAAAGCCTCTACAGCACGTCAAACAGAAATAAAATGTGAGCTACATATGTAATTTTAAATTTTCTAGTAGCCACATGAAAAAAATTAAACACAACAGGAGAAAGTATTTTAATAATACACATTTCAACCCAATGCTGAAAATTTATAATTTCAACATGTAAGAAATATAAAATTATTAGCTATTTAATTTTTTTAAACTAGGTCTTTGAAATTTAGCATAGGTATCTGATGCTTACAGCACATCCCAATTCAGACTTGTCACATTTCAGGGGCTCAGTAACCACATGGCCACCATATTGGAGAGCATACCTGTCGACTCACACTTTCTAGGTGTTATAAATGACGGTGGGATGACTTCAGTTGGCACTGGTAGCTGTAGTAGAACAGAACCAACTCACATGTCTCTGCAAATATCTCCTGGATCCTACCTTGACCTTCATCCCTGAGCACAAGTTCTCCAAAGTCAATATAGTCATCCTCCTTATGATCAAGGATGACCGTACTGAGCTCTTTCCACGTGCCAGGCACTGCTCTAAGCACTTTTATGTATGAATTCACTTAAGCCTCACAGCAACCTGTGAGATAGGTACTGATTATCCCTACTGTACAGATAATGAAGCTATGCATGGAGAGGTTAAATAAATAATCTACCCAAAAGCATATCACTCATCCCTGGTGCAACAGGGATTTGAACCCAAGCACTCTGGCTCCAGAGCCTGTCACTTTTAACAACTACTTTTAATAACTACATTTTAAAAAGGCTGAGAGTAAAGTATTTGGTAAATATTAAGTTTTTGTTTCTTGGGAGAAAAGAGCCACTACCTTTGGTGTTTCCAAGCCTCTTTTTAGGGCCCTAAGGTTCCCAAGATGCTTTTTCAGTGTGTAAATTCTTCCACTTAGGATTCTAAGATCTCAAGAAAGAAAGTGAGAAACTGACCCTTTTTTCTATATTAAGATCCCACCCAAAGAATAATCAAGTAGAAGCCATAACAAATAGACATGGTTCTTTGACAATCTCTTCACTTTAGGAAACGAAGGCACTCCTTACCCTGCGAGTGGGCAGGAAAGGGTGGCTCTTCATTGAAGGAGACCCATTCTGACTGGTGGGTGGCAATCACATGGTCCAAAGTCGTCATGCTAAAAAGGCACTGGTCATCTTCACACTGCTGACCTCAGGTGAACCCCAGAATACTGTCTGGGGTGGGCTGGAGTAGGGGTATGGTAGTACGGTAGACTTGGGTCCAGGGTCTGTTCTAGGTGTCTTGCCAAGGGCAGTACTCAGAATGTAGACAGATCAGCCTCTCTTGCCGTTGGTTAATCTGCCAGGCAGAAATCTGTTTAACAAACAAACAAACAAAAAATTAAAAAGGATAACCATCACATTACACTGAATCCACATAGGTCTAGGGCTTTTAGCGCTGCCCACAAGAAGGCTTGGGGTGGTTTCCAACTTGCCTTACTTCACTCTGTTCCTGTCATGCCCTCACCTTTTATACTGAAATGTCTGTCTTTAGCATCAAGGTTTCTAGATAAGCCTTCATATCACACTTGCAAATAATTACACAAATTTCAGCAATTAGATTCTCTAATTTCCCTAATTATTGTATTTTAGAAATATTGTCATCTATAATACTATCATTGCTAAACAAATATTAAAACTTTTCAAAATGCTTTCACTTTCTCTTACTAGCTGGCAAAATAAAAGCATGTTCTTTTCTATTAAATTAGTCCAGTTTCTTGCCTTAGGCAGGTAACTCTTTATAAACCTGATTTAAATCTCTGGCAGAAACCCAACAATCTCCAGATGGTATCTCCAAGCATGGTTTATCAATCAAGAAAAATAGAAATGAAGTGATCTTGTTCATTTGGAGTAAGAGGATAGGGAACATCTGTGGTAGTGAAAAATGTGAGTTAGAGTAACATTTTCAATCTAGGCCTATTTAAATTAGTTACAATGGTCTAGCCTTTGCTCACACTGCAATTATGTTCTAGGAATACAGAAAGATTCTTAATTGACATAATTTTGTTCATGGTATTAATATCTTTTTACAACCTGAACCTAGCTCTTGATCTAATAATGATTTATAATGAATTAATAAAATCTGAATTTATCTAAAATTAATGTGCTTCCATAGAAGAGCTACTATATACCTTGAACAATATCAGTTCTTATTAACTAAATATACACAATATTCAGATAGTTTCTAGAACAACTTAACTCACAGTCTTCCAATTGCTGCACAATGAAAAGTTTAGGAAATTTTACTACAGGTTATCATCTGCAGTAAATAATCTCTAGGTGGGAAAATCGGTAAAAACATGAACAGCTTTTGCTTTTTTGGTGTTTAAAACAGTTTTGGCATATGATGCTTCCTAAAAACAACTAATGTTTATATAGAATTTATAATTTTCAGAAACACATTTTCATACCATACTTCACTTGATTCAGTAGCCATTTTGATGAGTAGGACTCATAGTACTCTAATTCTTCTATGGATAAAGAAATTTGGGCTGAGAAAAATTAAGTGACTTACCTAATACTTTTAGTGCTTCCAGGCCCTTTTGGTAAAATGCTTCCTCCAGGCTAAGTGGAAGAGTTTACAAATCTCAGCACAGTGGCTGACTTTTCTTCATAATAAGATCTCACCCAAAGAATAATCAAGTAAAAGCCATAACAAGCAGGTGTGTTTGAAGCACCACACTAAGTGATAGATCCAACCCTTGAGCCCAGGTCTTCTGCAGCCAAAACACTCTAACCCTGGTGTCACAGCCGCAAAGAAGTACAACAGAATACAGTACATATAGACTATCACCCAACTTAAGTACTTTACAAATATCAATTACAATGGAACTGTAATGAAATGTCCGGGAAACTCCCCATGTGAAAGTTTGCCAGCACACCCCAAGCTGTATAAAGGATGGGAAGCCCAGAAGCCTCTTCTCCAAGTCCCTCTCCTAGGATCCTTGCCAACCACAAGGCCAGACATAGGCAAACAGCCTGGAGAGAGCAGGTCTCCCAAACCAGATCTTACCAGAGAGCAGTGCAGGGTCCACAAGCACAAAGAGCTGATTCCCACTGGCTTCTGCCTTTGACGACTTTCTCAAGCCCTGTCAAATGTGTGTCACTCAATGTGGTAATGGCTGCGGGCCAAGATAAGGCAGTAAAATTGAAGAGTCAGATTCCTCCTCTTTCAACGACAGCAGCATGTAAACCAGCCCCACAGCACCCGTCAAAAAAAAAAAAAAAAAAACCCACAATACAAGTCCCTATGCTGACACATGCAGTGTCATCACTCAATGGGGAAAACATCCTGCCAATCCTGCAATGATGAACCCAGCAAAAGTCATGGATAAGTGGGGTAGGGAAGAGAACAGGGGACGAAGGTGAAGGTAAG
This sequence comes from Homo sapiens, assembly GCF_000001405.40. Lineage (NCBI taxonomy): Eukaryota > Metazoa > Chordata > Mammalia > Primates > Hominidae > Homo > Homo sapiens. The sequence goes on from NC_000014.9 coordinate 81,400,642, forward strand.
AGGAAAATATTTAAAAATTTTAAACTGAAAGGTTTTAAAGATCAACAACTTCAGGTGTTATGAGAAAACTGAGGCCCAAGGAAATCAGGCACACGAATAGAGATTGTGATCACAGGCCCAGGAGTTAGGTTGTTCGGATTTGAGTCCTATACAGTCTTGGAGTCCTATACAGTCGTGGACTCATAACTCAACCTCTTTAAGCTTCAGTTCAACCTTGTACAGAAAGAATAATAAAACTCACTCCATAATTCCGAGGATTAAACAAGATAATGTACGCCAAGTACTAAGGACTGGATGTAATAAACCCTCTGTAACGATGACAATGAAAACAGCAGGTGACCTTACAGAGGGCTTACTGTGCCCCAGGCTCCATTCCAAACCAATGTTAGCCATCGCCAGCACTGCTGCTATTGTTAAATGACTCGCCCAACGTTGCGTAACTTGTTCGTAGAAGTCTTGGGACTGGAATGCAGATTTCATGAAACCACTGCATTTCTGTCATTTGCAGAATCTGGTTTCAGTCATTGTTCAAAATGCTAAGTAGAGTCATGTGCTCAGCTACAGTGCCCAGAAGGCAGATTCTAAATCCTCTTCATTATAGATATAGGTGCATTCTGGCCAAAGTACCAAGACCATTCCTCAGAACGTATGAACGAAAAAAGAGCCCCAAAACTTTATCTATCCTTCCTTCACTTGTCCCAGACCAGACATGGGCTGGTGACAGACAATGAGTGGTCCCAATGAAGACTGGTGGAACAAATTGATCACATGGAACCCCCCATCATATTCCATACCATAAATCCATAAAATGGATTTTAGGTATTTGCCATGGAAGAGCCACACCAATAAGCCATAAGAAATCAGACCTTGAAAAGTGCTGTGCTAAGCAGCTGGAAACCCACAGAAGAACCCAATAATTGTGAGGTTAAGTTCATACTGGAATTAGTTGCTTGGTAAAAACCTCACCCCATTTTTAGAATGTGAATCATAAAATGAGGTTTAGAATCACCACAAATGAGTGGTGACTCAGTATCAGCAGGAGGATTGACCAACAGATGCTAAAAGTTTCATTGAAGTCTTGGAGTTGCCATTTCAGAGAGCTACTTCTTTCTCAGCATTATACAAAAATTTGTAGAAGGGAGAATGCAATTGTCTGATAAGATGGGGGTCATAGAAGTAGTTTTGTCTTATGACAGTCCTCTAATTGCCACAGTTTAGCCGTAGGGAGATCTCTGAGAGTTGGAACCATATGGGACTGGGTGGGTTTCTGAGATGTGAAGGATGTCCTTGATTCTGGACCAACAGAGGGACAAGTGAGGGAAGCCTCTGGACAGGGGATCACCGCAAGTGACAGTAAAAATCAGAAGCAGACCTTAACAAGGTGTGTTTCTGTCTGAACAAGCCTCTGTCTGATGAGAGCAGAGGTATCTACTGGGGGAATATGGAGTGAAGGGATTGATTGACCATAAAAGCTAAGGAGAGTTCAAGGGGAAATGAGAAGCTGTGGGAGGTTTAAAAGCAGAGAGTGACTCAAGAAGTGTGCTTAAGGGAGATAAGCCTTCCTCAGACAGTGCTGGACAGAAGCGTGGTGATGGAATTTTTCAGCCATCAGTACCTCCGGTGTGTCTCACAAAGTTGGGGGGCACAGTCATCAGGAACATGTACTGTTTCTGCCCATTCTAGGGCCTGAGGGTCAAGGGAGAACAAAACAGCATCTCTGCCCTCAAGCAGCTGTCAACTGCAGGGAGATACCACAGCAACCTAAAACAATAACCTCTGCTCTCTAACCTATTCTGGTGGTTAGTCACCAAAAGTAGGACAGCAGCAAGTAAGAGTGTTAAGAGACTTCTGAGAGCTTGAGCTATAGGTGGTCTTGAACTGTACCCTAAGCCGGAAAGGAGGGGTCTGAGCAAAAGAGCTGAGGGGCACAGGCACTCAGGAAGGGGGAGCAGGAATGGTATGTCTAGCCCACAGTGAGTTACACTCTGTTCATCTGAAGAGGGTGTCAAGCATCCTGGAAAAGGAGCTCTAAGTTTCAGAACGAGTTTGAGCTCTGGAGCTTACCCTCTCCAATCCCACTGCCAATGCCTTGGCTCAGCCCCTCATGATCTCTCACGCAGACAGTTGCAAGTCTCCTACCTGTCTCCCTGCCTTCAGTATCACCTGCTCAAACCTACTATCCAGCCTATTATGGTAGAGTTATCTTCCTAAAACCTGAAAATGGCTATGCTACAGCTCTGCTTACAGCTCCTCAAAGTCTCCTCACAGGATAAAATGAGGTATGAGAAATGAACAAAGGATTCCTGAGAGCAGGGGTTGCATGCTATACCCTCAGCATTGAGCATAGTGCCTGGCACAGGTTAGCAGCTCAATAAAAATTGTCGTATAAATGCAGGCACTTTGTGAATCTGGCCCTGATCCACCTCTCTAATCCCATGTGTCATTCTCTCCCCTTGTGAATCCTATATTCCTGATGAACTGAGTTATTTGAAAGACTGTGTTTTTTAATATACTTTGTCCTATTCGATCACTTGTTCATATATTAATACATTATTAAATACTATATTTGGGATACATTTTCCCTACATTTTTATTTCATGAGCTCCTGCTCACCTTCAAGTCTTAGCTCAATCATTATCTCAGGCTTGGCTCAACAAGCATTTATGCCAAGTGGCAATCACTGAATGCAAAGATAAAGAACACAAATTATTTTGCCATAAAACCTTTATAATATGCATGCTCATTGTCTTTTGCCTACTCAACACCCAAAACTCCTTTCTTTTTCGAGAAAAAAAATATTATCTTTACATCCCTCCTGGCAATTAATCCAGGCTTTGTCAACGGCTGCTAGAATATTGAGGGAATGCTAAAAGGTACAAGGGCCTTGAATACATGCAAGAGTGGCATGCGAACAATGGAAACTTGACCCAAGCCCAGAAGCAGGCACAACTCAATTCCGTGGCAATGGTGACAAGTGCAGCATCCTAACCAGACCCATGGTGTGACTCTGTCTCTGTTTACTGCCGGCTAGGTCCTATGGCTCCTACCTATTTTCCAAGCCACGTTTGAGAGTCATCTGGCAATCCAATGAGCTCTTTCATACCCTTGAATAGACTTCTTTCCTGCTTGTATTAGCCAAAATTAATTTCTGTTGCTTGCAACCAAAAACTCTGATCTATGGTGGTACTCCTCAACTTCCAATAAGTAAAGTACCACACTTCCCACTTGCCCTTTATCCCCCATATCTTCTGAATGCTGATACTATCTTAACTTACACTCATTTACCAAATTATAATGAAATTATTTGCTAATGTCGCTATATGAGGAAAGGGACTTGATCTTTTGCTTATTGATGTCTTTAACTCTTAGAATAGGGTATGGCTTTTAGTAAATGCTTGTTGGGTAACCAGCTGAATGAATGAATTTGCCTTAACATACAGTAGGTAGCCTCTTCAGCTCTTTTGAGACGTTAATAAATGTTTTAGGAAGGTTAATTTAAACACTATGTGTAAAACAGCTTCGGAGAAAATCTAGATATAGGGAAATATGTTCATTCCCCTTTCTCTTTGATCTAAAATTATATCATCCAATTCCAATACAGCAGACACTAGACATAGGGACTACTGATATGTGGTTAATCTGAATGAGTTGTTCCTTAAGTGTAAAATATACACCAGACTTTAAAGAGTATAAAAAGGTGTAAAATATCTAATAATTTTATACTGCTTTCATGTTAAAATGGTATCCTGGATGTATTAGCTTAAGTAAAACATACTGTTAAAATTAATTTCACCAGTTCCTTTCAACTTTTTTAAATGAAACTACTAAAATATTTAAAATCATATATAAGTAGCCCACACTATATTTCTTCCTTTTTTAACTGAGACAGGATCTCACTCTTGCTCATGCTGGAGTACAGGGCACTATCACAGCTCACTACAGCCTTGACCTCTGCAGGCCCATGTGATCCTCCCACCTCAGCCTCCTGAGTAGCTGGGTCTATAAGTGCACACCATCACACCCACCTAATTTTAAAAAATGTTTCCGTAGAGACAGGGTCTCACTCTGTTGCCCAGGCTGGTCTCAAACTCCTGGGCTCAAGCAATCCTCCCACCTCAGTCTCCCAAAGTGCTGGGATTACAGGCACAAGTTACTGCACCTGGCCTCATGGTATATTCCTATTGGACAGCAATGCTCTAAAGCAGTCCATTTTTTATTTCATCCTTGATTTTGAAGGCTACTTTTCACAAGACAGAGAATTTTTCCTTCAGTATTTTGCCTTTTGGTCTGAATGTTTCTAATGAGCAGTTGATTATATGTAATTACTCATGCTTATATAATGTGTCTTCTTTCCTCTAATGGCTTTCAATATTTTCTCTTTATCTTTCATTTTCAGCAACTGACTATAGTGCATTTGGATGTAGTTTTCTTAGAACTCATTTTACTCGAAGTTAGTGGAGTTTCTTGAATCTGTATGTCCATTTTTTCATTAAATTTGGAAAAACTAAGTCAGTATTTCTTCAAATGTGTTTTTCTGCCCCTTTTCCATCTCTTCTGCTAATCTGTCCTTGCGTTCACTGACTCTTTCTCTTCTCATCTCCATTCTCCCATAAGCTTATCCCATGAATTTTGTATCTTATTCAGCTTTTCCATTTTATAATGTTATTTTACAGTTTCTATTTCTTTGCTGTGATGCCTTATATATTCACTCATTGTGACAATATTTTCCTTTAGTTCTTTGAACATATTTATAACGGCTGCTTTAAAGACTTTGCCTGCTAAATCCAACCTCTAGACCATTTGGGATTAGTTACTATTGTTTTTTTTTTTTTTTTGCTTGACTATGGTTTTTATTTTCCTAAGGTTTTTACTTTCCTAAGGTTTTTTTTTTTTTTTTGCATACCTAATAATTGTTGGTGATACACTGAAGACCTTCTGGATTTGACTTTCCTCTGCAGAGTGCTGATGTTTGTTCCAGCAGGCAGTCTGACCAAGTGCTGCTCGCCTAGAGCTTGTATAAAGCTTGGTCTTTTACTTCATTGGATTAATTTGTTTCCCATGGCCCTCTAATTGCCATAGGACTCAATTTCTAAACTCTGTCTCCCCTGTAGATCTTGACAGGGTATGATGGTTAATATTGAGCGTCAACTTGATTGGACTGAAGGATGCAAAGTATTGTTCCCAGGTATGTCTTTAAGGGTGTTGCCAAAGGAGATTAACATTTGAGTCAGTGGACTGGGAGAGGCAGACTCACTCTCAATCTGGGTGGGTACCATCTAATCAGTAGCTAGTGTGGCTAGAATAAAGCAGGCAGAAGAAAGTGGAATGACCAGACTTGCTGAGTCTTCTGGCCTTCATCTTTCTCCCATGCTGGATGCTTCCTGCCCTCAAACATCAGACTCCAATTTCTTCAGCTTTTGGACTCTTGGACTTACACCAGTGATTTGCCAGGGGCTCCTGGGCCTTTGACCACAGACTGAAGGCCACACTGTCGGCTTCCCTACTTTTGAGGTTTTGGGGCTCGGATTGGATTCCTTGCTCCTCAGCTTGAAGACAGCCTACTGTGGGACTTCACCTTGTGATCAATACTCCTTAATAAACTACCCTTCATATATACATCTATCCTATTAATTCTGTCCCTTTAGAGAACCCTAACACACAGGGCTTGGTTCTAGGCTTTGCTAGGGTAGCTTAAAGTAAATCTTACTCTAGAGCATGGGCTGGCAAACTACAGCCACAGCCTAAGTCTGACCCTCTGCCTTTTTTGGTAAATAAAGTTGTATTATTAGTATATTTACCAGCCACACTCATTAGTTTACATATTGTCTATGGCTGCTTTTGGTCTACAATAGCAGAGTTGAGTAGCTGTGACAGATACTGTATGGCTCACAGGGACTGAAATAATTACTGCTCAATAATAATAACTACTGGCCCTTTACAGAAAAAAATTTACAGACCCTCCTTGAGAACATGATCCTTACCCCTAAGACACAGGCTTTCCATACTTGGTTGGATGCTTGAGATGTTAATAAGACGTTAACGAGCTCTTTCCACTGTGGCTGGGCTGGACCACCAATGTCCCCCACTATTGCCTGATGTCCAGTATCTTTGTCCCATTCTCAATCCTCCAGCAGCCACTCTATTAAGCTCTGCATGGTTTCAGTGTGCACCTGTGCACTCTAAACTGGCCAACGGTTCTCTGGGTACACCCAGACATACTTCTGCTCCTCTCTCCCCATCCCCATGCTCTCTGCTCCCCAACTCTCTGCTCTCTGGTGCCCTGTCCTGCAGATTCCAGCTGCTTCAATTGCCCCAAACTCTGATCTCTGTTTTCTTAGCTCAGTATGACTGCTGTGCTTGGCTTAGACTCCAGCTGACCACACTGCAGTCACGAAACTCTTCCCTGGAAAAGAGCCAAGGCGAGTGTCAGGCTCACCTCAGGATAGAAAATCTTGTGCTGCCTGTTGACCGAAGCCTGAAAACAGTTGCCTCATAGATGTTGCTGTTTTGTGGTTGTTCGCTGCAGAAGAAGGGCTAGTTACCAAGTATAACCAGAACTGGAAGTCCTCCCCTGGAACATTACTTTCTGACTTGTGTTCACTTTTAAAAAGAGACTAGTTCAGACATCTAAATACAGGTCATTTCACAGTAATGTACTGAAAATTAATTGGAAATTTTACAGAAATTTTATAAATTATATGAGAATAAAAGGAAGGTTTCACTCAGCCATATAGATTAATTCCATTGCTCCAGAGCTGGGAAAATGATTTATTTTGTTAGGTTAGCTATGCTATATAATACAAAAACATTACTTGTGCCTGGTTAGTGATCCAAAAGAGGTTGTTAAATCTTTGGCCATCTTCCCTGTCTACCTCTTTTTCATAGGTATTAAGCTAGGTAGCGTCTATGAAAATCGCCACATCCACTTTTTGGGTTTGAGACTATTGGCAACCACTGTCCAGTCATCTGTTTGGAGTTTATGCAGAAACATCTTCAACTAGATCCTGGTGTCCATTCCAAACCCACAAGTAAGGCCTCAGTTTTCTCTTGAATAAGGACAAGCATCTAAAGGTCAAATCAAAAGCTACAAAGAAAGGAAGAATGGGAAAAACAGACTACATAAATTCTACATATTTCTTTACAGTGTTCTTCTAAAGCAAGATATTCAGCTACCTTATTGAGCATCTATTATGCACTCAGAATTGTGCATAGCACAGCGACACAAGATAATAACAAGCTTTCATACACTGATATCTGTGTCACAGTGGGCTACAGGAGCCATAGAAGCTGAATCAGAAGTTGAAATAACCATGCTGCTTGTTTCATAAGTTGCTAGAACAAAGAGAAGACTGGAAGGCCCCATTACCCTGTGAGGAAGACTAAATTAGATTAAGGACTTGAATACTGCTTCTCTTCCCTTTCCTCTTCCACATTCTTTTCCTTGATGAGAGACCTGAATTCTCATTAATAAAACCTGAACAGAGTTCACTGAAGAACACACACACACACACACACACGCGCACACACACACACATTAATTAATAGGTACCTTGATGCTCCTAAAAGAGAAAATGAGTTGAGTAATCCTGGTTGTTTGCTCTTATTATTTCGACGTTTAAAAATTTCATTCTTTCATTTAAATATTTTATTTTAAAAAACAAAAGGAGACCACCCAATCTTCTTCCAATTTCCATTGAAAACTGGGGAACAGAATGAACACCTCAGCCTCAAGTCAAACATGTATGAGAAAGAAGTCCAAAAGAAACAAATGTCATACTTTGACCACAGTTAGCATCTATCTATGATTCTCCATAAGTGAACTCCCTCTTCTTTTTCTCTTACAAGCACACACAGCATAATCTCCTAACCCTAGGTGGCTTCCTTCTCTAAAGTCATATTACTTGTGTGTATGAGTGTGTGTATATGTGTGTATACACACTTATAAATATACACATTTATGTACATGCATACATATATGTATATCCCAAGGTTATAATTACAAAATACTCTACTGTGTGATTTTCCTTCAAAATCAACAATCCCTATGGCTCTGCTATCTAACAATTCCATGGCCCCACATTCAGAGTCAAGAATCTAAGTTACACTTGGCTTGAAAAACTGGTTAGGCATTGCCTCTGATCTTTGGTGCATTCCTGAGGCAGTGACCTTGACTGACATCCCCACGTACCTGAGCAGTGTATCACATTAGTGAATGGCTCTGGTAGGAGGTCAGGCTTTAAAGTTTGCAAAACATTTTCCAGTTCCTTGAACTCTTAGAAGACATTGACTTACTCCATCTTGGTACATTCATCTTGGTTTAACTCCACTTCATATTTTTTTTGAAATGAGAATACTAATATTTTGTCTATGTGACAGTAGGGAGTTGATGTGGATAATTTCTTATCTATATTTTAGAGCCATATATAAATTAGATGCATTTTACAATTCATCTAATTTCAGAGAAGATAAAATATTTTTTAAGGCTGGGCACAGTGGCTCACGCCTGTAATCCTAACAATTTGGAAGGCCGAGGAGGGAGGATCACTTGAGATCAGGATTTTCTGACCAGACTGGCCAACATGGTGAAACCTCGTCTCTACTAAAAATACGAAAATTAGCCAGGCGTAGTGGTGTGCGCCCATAATTCCAGCTACTCGGGAGGCTGAGGCAGGAGAATCGCTTGAACCCAGGAGGTGGAGGCTGCAGTGAGCCGAGACTGCACTACTGCACTCTAGCCTGCGTGACAGAGTGAGACTCCATCTCAAAAAAAAATAAAAATAAATATAAAAATATATATATATATATTTACTTATTTATACACACACACACATATTTCTTAGAATCAATGAAATTGTCTTATTTTTTACCAGTTACCAAAAATTACAATTAGTATATAGTTCCAGAATGCAAAGAACTTCATGGGTTATTTCAATTCACTTTTACAGTAACCCTGAGATAAGTAAAGCAAATATTTCTCCCACTTGATAAAGTAACTGGCTCAGAGAGGTTCTGTGACTAGATCAAGGTCACAGAGCTAACCATCTCCCAGAATTGGGACAGAATTACAGACCTCCTGACTCTATAAATTCTGCACTCTTTCCACAACAGCACATTCTGCCTTCTAGAAATGAGGTATAACTGACAGTGTTCACTGCATCACCAGCATCCATTTCTTCTCATCATCCTGGTTTAAGCCAATCACAATAATTCCTATTCCTGCTTTCCTATCTTCACCTAGAGGTGATAACTTCACCAACTTCTAGCTAGTTAAACAAAAATGGAGATACAGTGAGAAATATAGTTCTGAAATATAGTTCTAAAATATAGTTCTAAAAAGTATTTTTTATCTTTGTTTTGTTTTGCTATCCCAATGAAGGAGACAGATTAGTTCATACAGCTCTGATCCTTCTTATTTTCTCTTTTTTCCCAACTTGAATATGGTCTTAACAGCTGGAGCTACAATAATCATAGGAAGGACAGGCTAAGAGAATAACAGTCATTGGCCCTGATGTCACTGAGCCACTGAACTGATATCAACAATCATTTGTTTCTCTATTTTTTATGTGAAAAAATATATTTTTGCTTAAGCTATTAGAATTAGACTTTCTGATGCATGCAGATGAATGTAACTCTAACCAAAAAAAAAAAAAAAAAAAAAAAAAAAAACAGAAGAGATCAATGTGGTAGGCAGAATCCTAAAATGACCCCATTATATCTGAGCCCTGGTATTACTCTTGTAGTTATGTTATACTGCATGGCAAAACAGATTTTACAGATGCAATTAAGGTTACTACTCAATTGACCTTAAGACAGGGAGATGATCCAGGTGAGCCAAATCTAATTAATGAGCTCTTTAAATGGGGGCTTCAGTCCTGCAACCACAAGGAGCTGAACTCTGCCAACAATAGGCCATAGCCTGAAGGGGACCCTGAGCTCCAGTGAGAACACCACTGGCCAACCCTTGATTTCTGCCCATGGTACCCTGAGCAGGGAACCCATTCAGACTGTACCAGACTTCTGACCTAACAAAGAGTGAGGTTTCAACACACATTTTGTGGTCCTGTGATACACACTTACAGAAAACCAATACATAAACCAAGAAAATCTCTGATTGTCAAGGAAATTGGGAAAGAAAAAGGGAGTATAACAGTAAAAAATGGGAGGAGAATTTACTCCAGAGCTTAAAATCTTCGGAGTCTAGGCAAAGCCTTCTTTAAATAATTTCCCAATATGGATAAGGGACTGAACTTCAACTAAAATCAACCGTTATCCATAGCAGGGAATAAACAAAGACAATGCAAAACAGCAGAAAATACAAAATTACACATGTCGCACTTTGAAACATACTACATGGGTATTCTCTCGCCAGGTTTAATTTCTGTTTTTCTTCCTTGCTCATTTAGGCCACTGTAAAATTAGGTTGCCTTTTCAGAGACATGGGGCAAGGCTGGTAAAGTGATCATTTTTAGTGGAGAAGGTTAAGGAAAATTTTGGGGTATGTTCCCTTTCAACATCAGGAGGCCAATGGCAATTCAACCAGTTTTCTGGAGCAGCAGTGATCATTACACGCCAGTGATTCTTCTTAACAGTGAGGGATGTTAACATTTTAGAATGTTTTGAAGGTGGGATGAGGGGAGAGTGAGGAAAAAAGGAAGGAAAGGAAAAGTAAACTCGATTGTGGTATCTTCTCTCACACTCTTTCCTTAAATAGGATATTTATTCATTCATCCAACAAGTGGTTATTAAATACCAGCTAGATGTTCAGGGTACAAAAGTAAATGAGGGCTGGGCGCACTGGCTCACGCCTGTAATCCCAGCACTTTGGGAGGCCAAGGCAGGTGGATCACCTGAGGTCAGGAGTTTGAGACCAGCCTGACCAACATGGTGAAACCCTGCCTCTACTAAAAATACAAAAATTAGCCAGGTGTGGTGGCGCATGCCTGTAATCCTGGTCACTCCAGAGGGTGAGGCAGGAGAATCGCTTGAACCCGGGAGGCAGAGGTTGCAGTGAGCCAAGATCACGCTATTGCACTCTAGCCTGGCAAGGCTTTGCAACAGGAGTGAAACTCCGCCTAAAAAATAAATAAGTAAATAAAATAAATTTTAAAAAGTAAATGACACAGATATAGACCCTGCCTTCAAGGGGCTTACATCATGAGGGAAAAGGAAGTATGAAACAAGTCAACCAAAAACAAAAGACCTACAAATAAGCAGAGTTAAGACAAGGAATAACAAGGAATCTTATACATAGAGTGACAGAAGATGTCTCTGAAGAGGTGACATTTAACTATCATCTCAAAGACAAGAAGAAGCCAACCACGATGGGATGAAAAGTGAAGAGGATTCAAGGTAAAGGGAACCAAAGACACAGAGTCTGAGATGAGAAAAACAAATAAACAAATCCAGAAAAAACTTGACCTGGGAATAGAGTAGGCAAGAGGCATGAGAGGTTGTAAAGGTCATGAGTTTTTAGAACTACAAGGTCTTGTGATTCAGATTAAGATGTTTAACTTTTACTCCAAGCACGATGAGAAGTCACTGAAGAAGTTTAAAGAGGAGCAACAAAATTTGATTTGCCTTTTTCGAAACTCAGCAAAGAAGAGAATGGAAAGGGAAAGACTGGAATTAAAGCAAACAATTAGGAAGCTGTCAAAACAGTTGAGAAAAGAGATGATGGTGGCCTGAAACAACCTAGGCGTCCGATGATGAATGGGATGGATAAGCAAAATGTAGTATATACATGCAATGGAACATTATTCAGCCTTAAAAAGAAAGCAAATTCTGATACATGCTACAACATGAATGACCCGTGAGGACATCATGCTAAGTGAAATAAGCCAGTTACAAAACGACAAATACTATATGATTCCACTTACATGAAGTACTTAGAGTAGTCACATTAACAGAATAGAAAGTAGAATGGTGGTTGCCAGGGGCCAGGGAGGCAGAGAAGTGTTTACCAGGTATGAAGATTCAGTTTTGCAAGATAAAAAGAGTTCTGGAGATGGATGTGGCAATAGTTGCACAACGATGTGAAAGGACATAATGCTGCTGAACTCTACTCTTAAAAATGGTTAAGGTGGTCCATTTTATAGTTGTAATTTAACAGAATTTTTTAAATTAAAAAAAAATGACCACGCGCAAAGCAGTCTTCGCAAAGGGGAAAATATGATTGCTTTGTGACCTTTAAAACTTTCTGTCAAACATTAAAAGCTTTCTTCTTAGAGGCGCCACGGCTTCCATAGCGATGGCAGCTCCAGCCGGGCGATGCTTAGCACCTCCCCAGGAGACCGTTGCAGTCAGCCAGCCCCCTTCTCCATGGGTAACCATGTGCGACCAAAAGGCCGTGATCAAAAATGCGGACATGTCGGAAGAGACGCAGCAGAACTCGGTGGAGTGCGCTCCTCAGGCGCTGGAGAAATACAACAAAGAGAGGAACACTGTGGCTCATATCAAGAAGGAATGTGACAAGAAGTACAATCCCACCTGACACTGCATCGTGGGGAGGAACTTCAGTAGTTACGTGACACATGAAACCAAACACTTCATCTACTTCTACCTGGGCCAAGTGGCCATTCTTCTGTTCAAATCTGGTTAAAAGCATGGACTGTGCCACCCACCAGTGGTCCATCCAAAAACAAGGACTGCAGCCTAAATTCCAAATACCAGAGACTGAAATTTTCAGCCTTGCTAAGGGAACACCTCGATGTTCGAACCTTTATTGTGTTTTATACAGGGCATTCTCTGTACTAGTTTGTTGTGGTTACAAAACAATTAGCAAAATAGCCTACATCTGTATTTATTTTCTATTCCATACTTCTGCCTCACGTTGTTTTCTCTCAAAATCCATTCCTTTAAAAAATAAATCTGTTGGCCGGGCGCAGTGGCTCATGCCTGTAATCTCAGCACTTTGGGAGGCTGAGGCAGGCAGATCAAGTGGTCAGGTGTTCGAGACCAGCCTGACCAACATGGTGAAACCCCGTCTCTATTAAAAATACAAAAAAATTAGCCTGGCATGGTGGCGTTTGTCTGTGATCCCAGCTACTGGGGAGGCTGAGGCAGGAGAACTGCTTGAACCCGGGAGGTGGAGGTTGCAGTGGGCAGAGATCACGCCATTGCACTCCAGCCTGGGCAACAAGAGAAAGACTCCATCTCAAAAAATAAATAAATAAATAAACAAACAAATCTGTTGCACATGTGAAGAAAACAAAGCTTTCTCACTGTTGTAATTTAAAATATTAGCAACATTTAATCAAACATTAAAAGCTTTCTTACTGTTTTAATTTAAAATATTAGCAACATTGAGAATAAAGTGTTTTATTTCTTTATAAAGAAAAAAAAAGATAATGATGGCCAGAGTCTGGATGAAACAATGGAGATGAAGAGAAAGAGATGTCATCTGAGATATATTTTAGAGGCAGGGTCATCAGGACTTACTGATGGATGTCTCACAGGAGGGAGGACAAGGAATTCTGGTGGAGGACATGGTGGGTGATAGTCCCACTGACCGGGATACAGAGAAAGAGTTAGGATTTGGGAGTAAAGTAAGCATTTCTTTTTAAATATGATACATTTGGGATGCTCATTAGACATCCAAGAGAGATGTCAACTAGGCACTTGGACTTTTGAGTTTGAAGCTTGAGGCCAGAGATACAAGTTAGGACATGATCATCAGACAGAAGGGATCCAGTTACCTAGGGAGAAGCCGTAGCAAAAGAAAAGAAGTGGCCAGTGCTCTCACACGCCAGGGCAATGTGGATGCTCACACTTAGAAAGCTCCATCCAACCTTTAGAACCCTGTGACGCCAAATGGACAGAGAAGATGGTAGAGTCCCAGATAGGGAGTGCTGCTGTGCCCTGCTCTTCAATACAAGGGCATGCATGAGTTAGAGGTCCTGGACCAAGCAGCCCACTCTCTATCTGGCCACTTGGAAACACAAAAGTTTGAAATGAGGCTTTTCTCAAGATTCCTTGAATACTAGATGTGAAAAAAAAAATGAAGATGTTGCCAAAGAACTCAGTAAATACAAGAACAAATGTCCTCTACGATAACTCTGCCACTCGGGGAGGAGAAGGTACCAGGAATGACACAACAAGAGCAGGAATTTCCTGACACCGCAGCCCATTTAATATTGATTAAAAGAGTAATTATTAAATGAAATAATAATTATAAATTAGATAATGTAAATTATTGAGATAATTAGATTATTACTTCATTTAAGAATGTGAGTGAGAATGCTTGGTGGCCTGATGTGGGTGAGGATGCTTGCTGGGCTGCAGAGTGTTATTTAAAAGGTAAGATCTGCCCATGGTCGTCCATCAAATGGCAGAATGTGGAAAGGGGCTAAGGGCTCTGGGAACAAAGTCAGGTGCTTTGGAGACTCTCTTATGATCCCCAATCCTTCTTCTCCATGGCTGGTTGGGGACACAAAGGCACAGAGAAGGCAAGCAGCTGGAGTGGCTCTCACTTTGCTGACAATGATGCCCATGACCTGCCTCCTACCACCCCTGCCCTGGACCCAAGCACTGTTCATGACAGTTCACTTTTGCCATCCTATAGATGAGGTACATTACCTCCTTTGTTCCTCTTATCAACCTTATGAGGTAGGTACTATTATTAATAACACCAGCATTTCAGAGAAATGCTGAGGCCAGAGAGGCCTCAGCTGAGGCCAGAGAGGTTAAGTAACGTGCTCAAGGTCAGAGAGTAGTAAAGAGTAGTCTGGGATTCTAACTAAAATCTTTCTGACGTCTGAGACTGTTCACAGACAATTCATTGACTCATTCATTCAATCAACCAAGACAAATTAAGAGCCCCCAATGTGCTGAGCCCTGACCCTCTGCTAGATGTTAGGGATATAACACTAAAAATACAAAAATTAGATGGGTGTGGTGGTGCACACCTGTAGTCCCAGCTACTCGGGAGGCTGAGGCAGGAGAATCACTTGAACCCAGGAGGCAGAGGTGGCAGTGAGCCAAGATCGCACCACTGCACTCCAGCCTGGCAACAGAGTGAGACTCCATCGCAAAAAAAAAAAAAAAAAAAAAATCTATTGTAATTCCTATAGCTGCCTTGCACATAGCAAAATTATATTACATTGTGGGTTTCTATGTATATGATTATACACTTAAGGTTTTAATTTGGTCCAATCAGAGAAGAAAATATATCCAAAAAAATCATAATATTTTTCTAATCCTGTCTTGGAGCTTCTTCAGTTTTTAATATTCTGAGAACTCAGAAAAAGCAAGGAACATAGGTCTCTCTCCACCACCTCTGAGAGGCCCTGAGCTTGCATGACAGCACAGGTTACTAAGGAGCATGACCAAAGGTCAGAAGCAGGGTGTGGGGAGCCCGGGGAGGCTTCCTGGAAGAGGCTGTATCTAACCTGAGTCTTAGGAGGATGCCTAGCATACCCTTCAGAGCACAAGCTCTTCGGGCAGCAGGCCAAGTCCCCCGTTGTTAACTCTAGCCATGGAACATCTCTGTCTCTGAAATGCTCTACGCCTGAGTTTCATCTAGTAGTATCTACCTCAGAGATTCTGTAAGATGCTGCAGGTAAACCTTTTCATGAATAATAAGCGCTCAGTCAATGCTATCTATTACCATTATTATTTCTACCCATAAAGATTGGGAGGAGTTAGCCTAGTCAAGAGAGAGAACAAGAACTTGCTGATTTCATTCCTGTGGTCATGGCATTCAGGAAGTGAAAGTGCAAAGAAGGAGGAGACCTTAGAAATTTCGGGAAAAAAAGGAAGTAGTGGTGTGAGCTTCAGCCTGAGACAGGAAAGAGCCTAGCTGGCTCAATGCGAGGCATCAGTTGGCCTAGAAATGAGTAGTGAGAGAAGGTACCGGAGGCAGGGTCAACACAGTGGACAACTTCAGGGCCCATTCCCATGGTCATCTATGTGAGCCATGCCCACGAAGAGTGTGTACCACACAGTCTGTGCAGTGGAAGGTGGCAACCTGCCTGTCTGGGTGCTCCACAGGCCCCTGAACAGAGGACACCGCTGCTATAATCGTCAGCCAAGGTGTCCTACTGCTGGTGTGGCCAAGTCATCTGGGCCATTTCAGTCAACAGGAGGCAGCACTGTGACCAAAGCTATGACCAACCTCTTTGGACCATAGGAAAACCATATCGAAGGGAGTCCAGTTGTGACATAAGGGTCTGGTTTTATCTAATTTATCAGTAGAGCTGCAGGCACACAAAACCTTTATGTTTAAAGCTCCTGCCAACACTCTCTATACCAAGAATAACAAGGATTAGAGGAAAACAGAGCTCCAGGCCACAAATCTCAAGCTTGGTGGGTAGCTCTACAATGAAGTCAGCTCAATGCAGATCTGTCTAGAAAAACATAGGGTTTTATTTCCCAGGTAGATGACGCAGAGGAAAAACTATTTCCCCCTTCCTCTTTTGTAAAAATCAAACTTTCCTTGTGGGTTGAACTGCCAACTCCCCTCAACTTGTTCCTGCCACTCAAGTCTTTAGCATCCCAAAAGGACTCACTGACACTCCATCCCTTGCATGCTTACACTCCCACAGCACTGTGTTGCACAACTCCAGGAGGTGCCATTCACACAATGCGACAAAAACCACGTTCTCTTATCTGACGCTGCCCCTAGAGCTATTCACCGCCCCGCCCCCGGCCCCCAGCTCTGCAACAGCACAGGCCCTCCCACATCACCATCCACACTGTAGAAAAGCAAAGAAATGTTGAATGTTCAGGAGAAAACCTTAACTGGGCAAAAAGATGAAAGTAGAGAAAACACCTTATAGCCACAGGAATCCTTGGTCTTGTTCTTTACTCAACAGAATAGAAGAAACAACAGTGATAGGAAATAACAATTAAGCTTGGGTGATAGGAGAATAGTAGTGCCATAGTATCTGAGGTAAGGGCAGAGAAGACCTCAATACATACCCTAAGGAAACTAGGAGTGGTCCCTTAAACTGTGCAATTAATTGGAGACAGGATAGGAAATACGTTTTTGGGATATGTTGAGATGCAAAGACTGTGAAAATGTAGATTTGGTGCCTAGAGAAAAATTACGGGTGAAAAGTTAGATTTTAGAGTCATCCAAGAAAAAACAAAGTATGCAGCCAAGGGAATGAATAGGTTATCAACAGGGGAAGTAAAAAGATAGAAGAAGATGACTGACTCTTGGAGCATGCCTACATAAGGGAGTGGGGCTGGGACGGGGGAAGTTAGACCCTCGGGTGACAGAGCCAGGCAGAGAGAGAGATAGAAAAACCAGAGGGCTCCAGGCTATGATGGCAAGAGGGAATTTTGAAAAAGAAGTTTTCTCTAGTGTCAAATGCTGAGGAGAGACATAAAGGGCCTTGAGTGGTCGCTGGTGACTTGAGAAAGCTTGCAGAGTTTAGCTTCTGGAGGGATGGACCCTTCCTGGCAGCATTTCTAGTGTTCAGAGCCATTACACAGAAGGAAAGTGTATTAGTCCATTTTCATATAAAGACATACCCAAGACTGGGCAATTTACAAAAGAAAAAGGTTTAACTGGACTTACAGTTCCACATGGCTGGGGAAGCCTCACAATCATGGCAGAAGGGAAGGAGGAGCAAGTCACATCTTACATGGATGGCAGCAGGCAAAGAGAGAGAGCCTGTGCATGGGAACTCCTCTTAATAAAACCATCAGATCTTGTGAGACTTATTCACTGTCATGAGAACAGCACAGGAAAGACCTGTCCCCATGATTCAATGACCTCCCACCAAGTCCCTCCTATAATACGTGGGAATTCAAGATGAGATTTGGGTGGGGACACAGCCAAACTGTATCAGAAAGCGACAAGCATTTGTAGAATAAAGTAGAACAGCTGAACTGGAAGCTTGATTGCAAGGAGTTAATAATAAACCCAGATTACAGTTTAAAGCTTAACGACTCTTAATACAGCTTTGTAAAAAAAAGGCAAAAAGTTACCAGCATACACATTGTTAATCCTGATTATGTGCTTCCCTGGAGGAAGTACTTTTCTGTTTACCTGGCACAGATTGAAGCTTGCCTCAGGTAAGGGGCAAGAGGCTAGTTCCTGGGATCTTTTCTGCCACAAATTCTCTGAATGACCACAGCACAACTGTAAAACCTCTCTGCTTTTGTTTCCACAAATTTATTAATTTGGGATTGATATAAAGTTATTTGCAAAGACCTTAAAAATATTTGGAAGATAGGAAATACACTTAGGTAGTCTCAAGCCCCGTGTGGTTCTCACACATTTCCAATAAAACAAAATACCTGGCAAGTAAACACCACTTCCATAGAAGCTTTTTATCATGCCTTCCCACCCTTTTTAGCAAGATTAAAACTGGGTCTGAGATTTTGATTCCCTAGAAAAAAGTTTCAGACCAAGAAAATACCTCTTAAAATCTCAATAAAACCTTTCTAAGCTCTACAAATTAAAAAAAAAAACTCTCAACTTAAATTTGTTTACTATACTAGGATTAACACTCTTTATCATTCTCATATTGTATTTTAAAGAGGGAATATTAATAACTATAACTAATATCTTGTGAGTGCTTACTCTATACAGTACTATGTTGAGGCCTACAAATGCATTATCTTGTCCCATCTTTACAACAGCATCCTGATATAAGCTGCTATTACTAATGACTCTTTTCCAGATGAGGAAACTAAGGCTTGGACTGGCCAACTTTCTCAAGGTCACACAAGTAGTAAGTGGCAAAGCTAGGATTTAAACCCAGAATATATCACAGATATTCTTAAGGATCCATTTTCACAGCTGTATCACTGACATAAAAGTTTATATATATATTTAATTTCTTACATTGGGATTTTTAAAAACAGGAAATTATGGAACAGATGGTCAGCCTCCATAGGAACTAGTTCACAGGTTCTAAATGATGGATCTTTTTCTACTAATGCATCCATCTGCCCAATTCCCCTAAATGAGGGTGGCCAACACCACTCACTTGCATAGACAAGGACAGGGGATGCATGGCTGAAGCCTTGAACTTCCAGGCAAGCCCTGCTGCATCCACGCTCTAGAGACCACCTGATGCATAGTGTTCTTCCCTCTTCCACCTCCACTGGCCCATGATCCTCTAGGGAAATAATGGCAGGTGTGAACATATCTTAGGCCAGATTCCTTAGGAGGCAGAGCCTGAGGCCAAGCTTCTACACTAGTGTTTTACAGCAATCCCAAGGAAGCCCAAGTAAGAGAAGAGAAGTGAAGTAGGGAAAGCAAACATAAGACGGAGTGGGCCTAAACTGGCCATGGCTTCACAAGAATCGGCTTGTTGCTGGGTCAGAGAGGCTGCTGGGAACTAAGGTACCTCAAAACCTTCCACTGGAGGGGCTGGTGCTTGGACAGGATATGTACCTGCCAGCTCCCACCTGTCTCTTATTCCCCTTTGGTCAGAGTTCACACCATGTTGGCCCAACTCCCCACATTTTGGGGGTGCATCTGCTAGATCCTTTAGCAGCAGATGAGAAATCCAGATTCCACACCCTTCAACGTGGTACTTCATCTGGGTCCTGAAGTAGTGAAAGGACCTGCAGTAGTAGCCTCGGATGGCCGAATGATTCAGTCCAGTGGCCCAGAGACAGGTAGGGCTAAGAGGGTTTGAGATGTGCCTAAGAGATGGCCAATACGGAAAGTTAAAATCTGGATAAGAATCAATGCTGGTATGCAATGTCACATGCGTAGAATATAAAGAGATGATCTAATAGGTCTTATTGGACTCTGGGTTATTTATGCTCATGGAGCATCTGCAGGTTTTTAGAAGTCTGTCACAGAACATCGCCCATTCATTCATTCATTCATTCAATAAGCATTCAGCATCTCCTATTGCTAGGGATGTTCTTGTGAAATTCTAAGAACAGAGAGAGGACTAAGATCCAGCACCTGCCTTGGAGAGAGAGACAGGCAAATAAATAATCACAGTATGGTGTGACCAGGGCAATGAGGAGAATGTAGCAGTGCGATGGGTGCATAGGAGTGACACCTAGCCCAATTTGGGGTCAGTGAAGAATAACAGGGAAGGTAACAAGTGGTTGAAAGATGAATAGAAATTAGTTCTGTGAGGCAGGGGTCACTGGTGGAGAAAATGGACATTCCAAGCTGGCAGGATGGTATCTATAAGAACAAAGCATGACAATACAAAATGGTCAATAAGAGGGTACCATTGCACTCAGCCATGCTTAACCACTCACGTTAACATGCAAAACTGTTGTTTGCTATCAAAGGGTGTATGCAACCTCCCTGATTCCTACGTCCACCCCCAAACCTGCCCCTCCCTAACCTCACACCTGAACATCACCCATCACTGACCCCAACCCCTGCAGTGTGTGTCACAGACAGGGTGGGATCTGGACATGAATAAGGCATGATGTGAAGGGAGGACGAGAGGCTCAGAAATGAGGTTCATGTTCAAGGATGGCCTGAGATTCAGCATTAATGTTAGAAATAGGTCAGGGGGCAGGGATGGGATGAAGCACTGAGACGGTATGAGGATGTCTTTTTGTTACCCGACTTGGAATGTGAAGAGCAATAGTTTTTTCAAGGCCTCCACTCAAAACAGCTGCATTAAAAATGTATTATGCCCCTACTGAGTCCAGAAGATGAATAAAAAGATATGTTTTCTGAACTATAGGTGATTTACTTTGACGAAGCAATGAGCCAGAAGGAGAAAAGTAAGACAGGAGGCTGGAGAGCTAGGAGTCAGGTCAGACAGGGCCCAGTAGGCCATGCCAAGAAGGCTGGGTTTTGTCATAAAGGCAATGGAGATCGATTAAACAATTTAAGCAGGGAAATAACATGACCCAATTTGTTTTTTAGAAAAAGGTTATTCTGGAAGCAATGAGAGAGATCAACCAGAGAGTGAAAAGACCAGCTAGTAATTAGAGTGATTAGGCATCGCAAGATGGGGGATAGAGAGGAAAGGTGTTTTTACAGCCATTTAGGATGTAATGTTATCAAGATATGGGGATAGAATCTTTTTTGGACTCATTGAGATTGTGGAAGTAAAGATGCAGTAGGTGGATGAAAAAAACCTTTGGAAAACTGGATCAATTTTTGTACCATTTGCCAAGATAAGGACTTCAAGAGGAAGAATGGTTGGGACATAAAAGGGAGGTGATGAGCTTAGCATTAGGCCCAGTGATTTGATGGGCCCGTGGGACAACCACATTGAGATGTTGTCTTTAGGACCTGTTAAATAGGCAGATTTAGAGCTCAGAAGAAGAGAGATGAGTGCTAAAAACACAGACTGAGAGGCCACTGGAAGCTGGGGATTTGGACTGGGTAACTCAGAATAATAAGAGGAAAAACAAGAACCAAGGCTGGAACCCTGGGGAAGGTCATTTGTGTTTAGCACAGGATAAACAGCCACTTGGAAGAAGTTCCTCATAAATGTGTTATCTTGTCACCATCATGAGGGCCTGGATTATCTTAGAACTCAGCAGAAGATCAGGTGCTATGATTTGGACATGCTTTGTTTGGCCCTGCCAAGTCTCCTGTTGTAGTTTGATCCCCAGTGTTGGTGGTGGGGCTCAGTAAGAGGTGTTTGGATGGTGAGGCCAGATCCCTATGAATGGCTTGGTACCATTCTCACAGGAGTGAGTGAGTTCTCACTCAGTTCCTGCGAGAACTGAAGTTGAAAAGAGCCTGGCACCTCCTCCTTTTTCTCTTGTTTCTGCTGTCTTGCTATGTGATCTCTGCACACCTGGGTCCCCTTTACCTTCCATCCTGAGTGGAACCAACCTGAAGCCCTCACCAGAAGCAGATGTTGGCGCCATGCTTCTTGTACAACCCGCAGAACTATGAGCCAAATAAACCTCTTTTCTTTATAAATTACCCAGTCTTGGGTGTTCCTTAACAGCAACACAAACACACTGAGACACCAGGTAAAAGAGATATTTGTGTTCATTCCAACTAGTCAATACTATGATAATACAGAATATTAAGGGAGCTCTGAGTGTGCTTGAGAAAGGAGAGAATAGGAGGCATTAGGACAGAGGTCACAGATTTCTGGATGCCCAGTTTTCCAGCATTTGAAGAAGTGAAACCATCTTTCTGCAGCATGGGCTTCAGTAAGTGCACGGGTTTCTGTGGGTCCACCTAGTATTTCTAGACTTCCAGGCCAGGCACGGTGGCTCACGCCTGTAATCGCAGCACTTTGGGAGGCTGAGGCGGGCAGATCACGAGGTCAGGAGTTCAAGACTAGCCTGGCCAACATGGTGAAACCCCGTCTCTACTAAAGATACAAAAAAAATTAGCTGGGTGTGGAGGTATGCACCTGTAATCCCAGCTACTCAAGAGGCTGAGGTAGGAAAATCGCTTGAACCCTGGAGGCGGAGGTTGCAGTGAGCCAAGATGGCACCACCGCACTCCAGCCTGGGAGACAGGGCAAGACTCTGTCTCAAAAAAAAAAAAAGATTTCTAGATTTCCAGCTTTCCAGCACTTGAAAAAGTGAAACTATCTTCATCTTCCTGCAACATGACCTTCTATAGGTATACCTAAGGTGCGCTGCACACTTTTCTTGATGTTATCACTACGTACACAAGTCACCAACCAGGAAGAGTTCTCAAGTTAGGGCCAAGACCAAGATGTACAACTCAGACTTGAAGGCCTCTCCTTGAAACTGGTTCTTAGCCTTTAAACAAAAAATTATAGCTCTCTGAATCTCTTTGAGTTATAATTTAAGCCAGAGACTCTCATCTCTGGAAAAATACACATACATGCAACATTAATTATAATTTAAGGCACTTCACAGACACACTTCTCAAAGTCCTAGGGATCTGTGGACTCCCTGTTAAAAACTGTCACCCTAGAACAACTTATCTGGCTCAAGTTGCTTTCGGGCCTTTCAAAACAAAACAAAATTATTCCAGAGGAGCCCAGCAGAAGGAAGCCAGGCACTGTGGCTTCTACTGACCCTGAACTGATAATTCCTTATTTCCGTTTTCAGCAAAGCGGAGGATACGTCCTTCCCTTTTCTGAGAATCCTTCCCCTCCCTCTTCCCCCAACAAAACAGACGCATGGGCATAAAACCAAAACAGCCTGGCCAAAGGCTAAAACACAGGCTGCTGCAGTGGCCTCATGGGGCAGCTGCACAGGGGCCCCTGGCTGATCATGATGTTATCCTTGTGAACCAGGCCTCTCACAAACAAGAAACCGACGCATCCCAAGTTTGTGTCTGCTGACTGAAGGCTGGGGCATGTGGGTGTCTCCAACTGCCAGGGACAGCCACAAGGAACCAGGACACACTGGGTGGGCTTGGCACAGTGCGAGAGTCGATGTCTGTTGACTGAGGCCTGGCTGCTTTGGTAGAGTGGAGTCTGAGGTTTTGATACATGAAATGCACTACTGACATCCCCTATGTTTAAAGTAAATTCTAAATGTGGAGAGCAGGTATGTTATGAAATGCCACAGCTTGCAGGACAAAAGAATTCTCACAGTATAAAATGTGAGCAAATGAGCACCTTTCAATGGTGACAACTCACTCATCCCCACACTCCTAGTTTATTTCCTTCTTTTATTTTTCCTAATCAGGCACGGTGGCTCATGCCTATAATCCCAGCACTTTGGGAGGCCAAGGCAGGCAGATCACTTGATGTCAGGAGTTTGAGACCAGCCTGGCCAACATGGTGAAACCCCATCTCTACTAAAAAGATAAAAATTAGCTGGGAGTGGTGGCGCACACCTAAAACCCCAGCTACTTGGGAGGCTGAGGCAAGAGAATCGCTTGAACACGGGAAGCTGAGGTTGCAGTGAGCCAAGATCGCGCCACTGTACTCCAGCCTGGATGACAAAGCAAGACACCATATCAAAAAAAAATATTTTTCTGATTTCTGTTTTTATTATAAACAGAATACACTCTCACTAAAAAAAAAAAAAATGGAAAATACAGAAAAGTATAATCACTGGAGTACTTCTACAATGATATGATTTTTAAAATTCCATCAGCATGCATTTCTTCAACTTCTCAGGGACACTTCCATTGTTTAAGGGTAAGGCATTCCTTATAGTGGGAGGACAGGCTGTCACCACAGACAATGGGACAGGATCCTTTGACCTTGTGACTTCCTGGGCTCTCATCTCAGTGGCTAAGAATTATGTATTCTATTGTTTTTTCCAAGTTGATAGAAATTTCCCACCATGTATGCCTATTCTCCTTACTTTCTCAATCTGAAAGACCAAAAGAAAAATTTAATCACTGGAAGCTCTTTCCTATTAATGTTTCTGCTTTGTTGTTTCTAAAGATTTTTTCTTTCAGTCTTCACATCACCCTCTCCCATTTAGAGACAGTTTCTCAAAAACCACAGTAGGGATTTAGAAACACACCACACTGTTACATACATTTGGTCCTGACACCACTAATAGCAGTATTTCTTTTGGTAGATGTCTCACTGACAGTAACTCTTGCAAAACAGAAAAGCTACAAATTCAAAGCATATAAACCATAAATGCAAATACAGCAGACATAATAATTAGAGAATGGAGTGACAAGACTTCAGAATGTGATTCTCCACATCTCTGGGTTCTTATTTAGCTTTGAGAGTGAGAGTTTTTTAGAAACAGATTCAGAATATTATTATTTGCTAAGTGAAATAAAATGGATTAGAGGAATTTTCCAACCAAGTGTAAAACTTGGATTTAAAATAGTAGAGAAGACTGAGCTTGGTGGCTCATGCCTGGAATCCCACCACTTTAAGAGGCTGAGGAGGAGGGAGGATCATTTGAGGTCAGGAGTTCGAGACCAGCTTAGCCAACAAAGTGAAACTCCATCTCCACTACCAACACAAAATTAGCTGGGCACGGTGGCTCACACCTGTAATCCCAGCTACTTGGGAGGCTTAGGCAGGAGAATCACTTGAATTCAGGAGGCAGAGATTGCAGTGAGCCAAGATCATGCCACTGTACTCCAGCCTGGACGACAGAGTGAACTCTGCCATCAAAAAAAAAAAAGTAGGGAAGATTGGTTAGTATCTTAGGGAAGAGTGAGAGAACCTTCTTACCTGGCTCATGGTGGCAAAGAGCAAACATGAGGTTATTATACGTAATACTAAAACACTGTCATCCAGTGGTATCTCTTTTGTTCTGTGTTTCAGTTTTCATATCTCTGAATGCTTGAGCATCTGCGATTCTTGTAGCAATTACCACATATAGAGGCCAGATCTGATCGCTGGATGTAATGTTTCAATTACAGAGAAAACGTAAGTCTCTGGCATATGTGTATAGTTACTATAGTATTTCCCTGACCTCTCTCTTTTATTATTTTTTTTAAAGAAGAAAAACAGTAGCAATATAAGTGGAATTAAAATTCGGATTTCAGCTTAGGGAAAATTCAAAGGGATTTAAACACATGTGACTGTCACCACTCCTCACTTTTAACAAATTTACATGAACGGTGAGAATCTTTCAAGACATAAAGTGGTGAACAGCTTCACAGCACGAATGTCGCACTTACTGAGCCCTCACACCTATGAGATGGGCATTTTTAACCACCAGTTCTCATCTCACAGGCAAAGAAACTGAGTCTCAGAGACTAAGTAACTTGCCCAAGGGCACAAAGATAGTAAGAGGTCAAATGGTATCCGACCCTAGTCTTAACTCAGGCACCTAACCATGGGATTATAGAGCTCAAATGATAAAACCACCCAAAGAAAATGCCAATGGGTCCATACCTCATTTTACACTGGCAAAGTGAAGAAAAGCACAAACTAGAAACCTCGAGCCAGCTTGAATTTCCCAGTGAAGCTGGCATGTCCCCTGATTCAACCCTAGGACCCCTTCTCCAGCTGTTAAATACCTTCATTCCTTCACAGCTTTAGATTCCATCTATAAGCTAGGGACCCCCCACACAGATGCTTCCAGCCTTGACTTCTCACCTGACTTCTCCTGGTGCCCACTGAGCATCTTCACTTCAACATCTAACAAGACTCTCACACTTAACGCATCCAGATTTGACCAGCGACTCTCCCTTCCCTGAAATGACTGCGGCAAGAACCCTTCCCATCCAAGATGATGGCACTCTACCCCTCCAGTCCCCCTCGCCCGAAACATCGAGTCATCCAACCTTGTCTTCTCGCTTCCTCTGACACAGTTTCTCTCATGTTCATTTTACAAAAAGGCAGTTTACATACATATTTCTCACATGATTCTTTAAAATGGCTAGTTTCCCTAGGACATTTTATAAGATTTCGTTTGAGCATAACTCACCGTGAGTACCTTAACTGAGGTAGTCACGTAAGCTTCGTCTAACACAGCACTGTGTAACCTACAAATCATGATGTTCACCTACCGCTTTATTTTTATGTGCTATTTGATAAACACTTACGTAACACTTCTCATCTCTCAGACATTGATGTCAAAGTGCTTTACTGTTCATTTAATTAAATTATCATATAATCCTCATAACCCTATGAAGTAGGTTCCCTTTACAGAGATAAGGAAACTGAGGCTCAGGGAGATTAAATAGCTTACCTGAAACCGCACAATTCAAACCCAGGCAGTCTGGCTCCAGAGTCTGTACTTGTAACCACTTCGCCCTGCTCCATCCACGAGATGTACTTTTTTGCCTCGTGAGTTGTTTTCCTATGAGTAGAAACATACATGCATAAATGAACCTGCACTCTTATCTGGCTTTCTTATAGCCAGGACCCACCTCTGCAAAGTGCCTGACCTGACTGGGTGCATATTCTCTACCCTCTTCACAGGAAAATGGCAACCAAATGACAGGAGATCACAGCCCCTGGGCCCAGGAGCACTGTGCTGTGACCAGCCAAGTCACCCAGACCGGAGTCTGATATGCGACAGCAAACAACTCTGACTCCTTGGGACTGCCTCCCCAAGGCCTGCTCAGGAATCGGGAACTTAAAATCAACCGGAAGCAGAGCATGTGCGCTCCAGGGTGCCTGAGTATGATGGATGGCACAGCTGGAGGAGCTGGCTGTGTTGCAGACAGCACAGCCCCGCCTATGCCAATTAGGTTGATGGGTGGTGACTGAGAAACATGCTGGATTTACTCAAATAGATCCTCACTCCCTAACTCACCAACTTTTTAGAGATCATAACAAAAAGAATAAGGATGAGATGGGAAAAAAAAAAAGAGAGAGAGAAAAAAGTGTGCTTTGACTGCCCTGCTGATACTGTGAACTGACCGTGCAAAAACAAAAGCAGTTTTCCTCCTACCAGGCATCTCCCAGGGTGTGGCCAGAGTGCACAGATAGCCCCTGTTAACTCTTTAGAGCACATTTCCTTTTGCTTCCAGATACCACAGTGACTCAGGGCATAGCTTCTAGATCTAAGCGATTAAGAGAGGTAGGTTTAAAGCCCAGCTCCATTACAACCTTTGACAAAGTACTTAGCTCCAGCCTCTGTCTCATGAAATGCTACTCCTCATGTAATGCTACTCCTTAGATGAGATGCTACTCCTCCTGACCTTACAGCGTTGAGGTGCAAATTAAGTAAAATAACATGGTATAACCACTCAGCAGTGGACGTAAAACTCAACGCATGATAGCTATTGATAGTGTTTTTGATAATTTCAGCAATGATAAAAGTTTTCCACCCTTCAACTGTTCAAAGTCTGAAGTAGAGGGAAATGTAGGGACACGGAATGATTTAGAAAAAAATGAATATTTTATGTTTGGCAAGGATGGGGAAAAACACAAAGTATTATTTTTGACAGCTCTGAGTTCACATAATAGACGACATTTAAACAACGTATAACTGGATACGTCTACCAAATATGGATCACCCCAGCCTTATCCACTTAACCATGGCATTATCATTATTCTCTTTTAAAAGCTTAAGACAAATGGGCCAGGCATGGTGGCTCACGCCTGTAATCCCAGAACTTTGGGAGGCTGAGGCAGGTGGGCTGCTTGAGGCCAGAAGTTCGAGACTAGCCAGGCCAACATGGCGAAACCCCGTCTCTACTGAAAACACAAAAATTAGCCAGGCATGGTGGCACACACCTGTAGTCCCAGCTACTGGGGAAGGAGAGACATGAGAATCGCTTGAACCCAGGAGGCAGAGGCTGCAGTGAACTGAGATCCTGCCACTGCACTCCAGCCTGGGTGACACAATGATACTCTGTCTCAAAAAAAAACAGAAACAAAAACCAAAAAAACTTAAGATAAATGTTTTCCGTTTCTAAGGCAAACAAATAAAATCTGTTTTCATTTAAAGTATCCCATTTGGTTTTTTTAAACCAGTTAGCTAACTTCAAAGGGCAGCCAATGGAAGGACTATCAAGCTGGCAATGGTCTAGTGTCTAACTTCAAAGTTCAGGTAGATAGAAAGCCACTGATGGTCCCACTCTACTTCTCGGCATTTGGCATGAAATATGCTTGAGAATGCCCTTTCATTCAGATGGTGTGTTTGCATGGACACACAGCACTAAAATGGTACCTTCTTTCAATGAAAGCCAGGGAGAAGCCTGAAAGAGAAGTGTACAATGATCTCACCCCAAGCTTAAAATTAACAAGGACCCTTTGGGGTCACAGCTGAGAGCCCCCATGGGGCATAATATGAGTAGGAGAAATCCTATCTAAATGACAGGAGCCCTAGTGTCATCTTAATGTCATTCTTAGTGTCACCATCCTTACGGAGATATGAAGTGACTTAAGCTAGACACCACCAAATGTCAGGGGAAGCAGGGTCAGTTATTATAGAAGCACCAGGGGATTTCTGCATGACTTTCAACAAGTCATTTGACCTTTCCAGGTTAGACTGCAAGTGGAGTAGGACCAACTGCCTGCAAGTTTGACAGAGTTTATAATAGGATTAGATTTTATTTATATAGACGTTTGACATCCTTAGCTCCAAAGTGCTTTCCTATTAATACAATGAACATGTTAAGAGGGCCAAATCAGAGTCCAGTGTTATTCACCTACTAATAAATCACTGAATGGCTTCATTTGTAGGAGGTTATGCAGCCATTCAGATTAAACAGTGCTTTTGATAATTTAGGCAAAGATTAAATAGTCCGATGGCAGTCAAGAAAGGACAGCTTTAAGAAGTCATCTAGGTCGGGCATGATGGCTCACGCCTGTAATCCCAGCACTTTGGGAGGCCGAGGCAGGTGGACCACCTGAGGTCAGAAGTTCGAGACCAGCCTGGCCAACATGGTGAAACCCCATCTCTACTAAAAATACAAAAAATCAGCTGGGCGTGATGGTGGGCGCCTGTAATCCCCGCTACTCGGCAGGCTGAGGCAGGAGAATTGCTTGAACCCGGGAGGCGGAGGTTGCAGTGAGCTGAGATCGCGCCACTGCACTCCGGCCTGGGTGACACAGCAAGACTCTGTCTCAAAAAAAAAAAAAAGAAAAAAGTCATCTAGCTCCGACTTCCCTTCTCTCCCACTTGACCCCTTTACTTCAGATACAGTAGTCCAGTGAATGGACCTGAAAAGACTTGTGGACCAGTGCAGGGGCACAGTTCACTTAGACCCATTCCTTCCCTAAAGACTATGGTTCCCACCTAGCTAAATCCTCCTTCTCCATCCAGCCCGGAGTAGCTGCTCCTCCCTGAACCTTCCCAGCCCAGCACAATCTGGGAAAGACTCGCTGTCTGAATTCACAGCACTTGACAGCCCACTGGATTATTTGCCTACTGTTGGTCTCGCTGTGGTTTAACTATCATTGATTTTATATAAATATTATGTCTTTTCTCTCTCAGCATAGAGGCTGTGTCAGAGACTGAGCATAATACTTCTCTGAATTCCTCGTAACGTTCTCCTCAAAGCCTTGCACTCAGCAGATGGTCAATACCATTCAGATGAACATAACTCCCAAAGGTTTCACTGAGCCATTAGCAATCTGCAAAGCGGCTTCACACTCTTCGCTGTGATGAAACATCACAAGGAACACTGACCACCCCTTGCCAGTTAGAGAGGCCACTTCAGGGCACCAGTCCAAGTTAGTAGGCAGCCAGCTGGGGTGACAAAGGTTGTACACTATGAATGAAAAATCCAAGTTTCAATCCTGCCCTACTATTATGTATCTATAGAATTTTGGTCAACTGTTTCTATCTTTGTTACTGCATTTCAGAAAGAGAGCAGTAACACTAAAGTCTACCTCCTGAAAGTGCTAGAGATGTGAAAAAACATATATATATGAGATATAAGCATTTATTTAATATAACTAGATAATAGAAGATAATATTTTTCTATGCTGTGATACTTAACATTTCTTAAATATCAAAGTGCTGGGTAAATGTTATCCAGTGGGGATGGCAGCACCTTCTAATGAATTGTTCAGCATTTCAAATCCCCCTGGCTGGTTTAAGTGTCCCTTCTCTCACTGGCTCTCAGAGTTACATCCACAGTTTTGTTTGCTGCACCTTTTGAAATTTCAGGCCAGGTTTCCTGGAAACCTGAGCTGGAGGGAACTGTGGTAGTTCACCATAGAATAGATCAAGTGAAGGCAGTACCGAGGCCACAGCTGCACGAGGGGGAAAAACTGCTGGCTCTCCAAAATGACCTGGAGAGGGAAACAGTTGGCTTCAGGCCTCCAGGACAGAGGTTATAGTTCTAAGCTTTCTCATCCACCTCTGGGAAGGTACACAGAATCCTGGGGGAGTTTCTCCTGTTTCAGAAAGCACACCTTCAAGGTATGACTTGTCTCTCAAATCTCAACTGGAACAAGGATCTTTTCAAATCTCACTCACTTCATTTTATAATATGAGCTCATTATATTTCTTATTTTATACACATTTAATATGCATATAGAAGGCCGGATGCAGTGGCTCACACCTGTAATCCTAGCACTTTGAGAGGCTGAAGCAGGCGGATCACTTGCGGTCAGGAGTTCGAGACCAGCCTGGCCAACATAGTAAAACCTCATCTCTACTAAAAATAGAAAAATTACCTGTGGCCAGGCACGGTGGCTCACGCCTGTGATCCCAGCACTTTGGGAGGCCAAGGTGGACACATTACCTGAGATCAGGAGTTCAAGACCACCCTGACCAACATGGCAAAACTCTGTCTCTACTAAAAATACAAAATTAGCCAGGCATAGTGGCGCATTCCTGTAATCCCAGCTACTAGGGAGGCTGAGGCAAGAGAATTGCTTGAACCCGGGAGCCGGAGGTTGCAGTAAGCCGATATTGCGCACTGCACTCTAGGCTAGGCAACAACAGCGAAACTCTGTCTCAAAAAAAAAAAAAAAAAATTAGCTGGGCGTGGTGGTGGGTACCTGTAATCCCAGCTACTTGGGAGACTGAGGCAGGAGAATCCCTTGAACCTGGGAGGTAGAGGTTGCGGCAAGCTTAGATCACACCACCGCACTAAAGCCTGGGGGACAAGAGCAAAACTCTATCTCAAAAAAATAAAATGCATATAGAATTTCTAGAATTTTCTATTCATACCCCGATGGATAATTCTGCACTCATCCTACCTTCAAACAAATATTCTAATCTGGTAGCCAGCACTTAGAATGGTGATCCTAGAAGTATTTCATGCATTTACATGCTCTCTGTCACATGCTGGTAAACCACTGGTTTATTGGGACCCTAGGTAGAGTTCAAATTTGTGCCATGCTTACGAATGAGAAAAACCATAGCAAAAAAAAAGACACTCTCACTGTGTTTTATTTCCCGTGTCACATTAGACACCCCAACATATTTGCTCCTTTACGTCCATTTCTGGCATGCCCTGTTGTTACAGGAGTGATGAGTCACAGTTGGGGGGAATTGTAGTAACTTGCTCCATCTCGTAGTATAAGCCAAACCATGGACAATCTTGGGTTCTCAGGGGGTTATTTATCTTGGGGGTAGGTGCTGATCACAATCTGTATGACCACATGGCACAGATGTTTAATTATGATGGTGACCTCAAGTAAAGCAAGCAATTTCTTGGTCTGACTATATGAAAATTCAGCCAAATGTCCACCCAGTGGGAAAGCTCAGCTCCAGAAGAAATTATAGCTGGAATGACAAGAAGTGTGATGGATCAGGATTGGAATATGTGGACAGGCCTGAGTGAGAGGTCTGGAGCCAGACAAAAGGGTGTGTGCTAGATGACAGGATGGGAAGTCTGGGCAAAATTACAAAGGGATGGGACAAAGCAGCACTTGTATGCTTCTTCTCTGGACCCAAGCTTTTTTCATTTTCTCACTATGAGCATTGCATCTGCAATTTAATATACACCTAGAGACTCAGCTACTCTTACAGAGCCTACTGCTCATGGCCAGAGCCAGCCTTCAGCAAAACTTCTGCATGGAGAATGCTGAGACCTTCCAGCCCTTTTCCTCCTTCCATTGGACTCTTCTATTCAGATATTTATCTCAATCACATCTTAATGTCTCCCCTTAGTTTAGTGGTTTTCAAAGGGTGGGACCAGCGGCATCAGTATCCCCTGAGCACTTGTCAGAAATACTCATTTCCAGGCCCCAGACCAGACTGACTGATTCAGGAACTCAGGGGGCCAGGCCCAGCAATCTGCATTTTCTCAATCCCTCCAAGTGATTCGGATGCACACTAAAGTTTGAGATCCACTGCTTCAGGTGATATAAAATAACGACTTCAAGATGAGAGAGCACGTGCATTTTAGGAGAGAACTTGTGAAGAAGGCAAGCTGCTCAAGCGCCAACTAAATCAGTTTCTAGCAGTGGAATTTGAAGTCATGTAACAGATGGTGAGAGAGAGACTGCAGGCCACCGTATTTGCCCTGGCCCTCATCGCCTCTTGCTTTTTAGCTCACCTATTTCAATCTTCTCTCCACCTGGCCACTAGAAATGTGTGTTCAGCAGGAAAATCTGACCCTGTCAAAGCCCAACTCAAAACTCTTCAGTGGCTGCTCCCTGCCAATGGATAAAGTCCCAATCCCCTGGCACCCGACCCAGGGTCCTTCATCATCTGCCACTGGGCCACCTCCTGATCTTGTTTCCTTCAGCACTTTTCCTCCTGCTCAGCCATACCTTGCTGTCTGCAGCTGGTTTAGACTTCCCCATACC
This sequence comes from Homo sapiens, assembly GCF_000001405.40. NCBI lineage: Eukaryota > Metazoa > Chordata > Mammalia > Primates > Hominidae > Homo > Homo sapiens. The sequence continues at coordinate 81,433,578 of NC_000014.9, forward strand.
ACGGACAGCAGACTTTGCCATGTGAGTTACCTTGACCAACAGCATGAGAGCTGAAGTGATGGCTGCTACTTCTGAGCAGACTTTAGATGCTACAGTTTTGTTCTATCATGTCCTTTTTCCCTTTGTCATAAATAAGATCCACATTGTCCCAGAGAGAAGCTGTTTCTTAAGCCTCAGTGGGTCCCAGAATGATGACAAGTGAGGGGTAGAACTATGCCTGACTTACACTGGACATGCAGCATGAGAGGGAACTAAATCTTGGCTGTTATAAATCACTGAGATTTGGGGGTTACTTGTTATTTACCGTTAAACTGACTGTAACAGTCCTTTTGATCACTTCTCTCAGTCTGGAATGTCTTCTCTTCTCTGCTCTACCTTGTTTCCAATCCCACCTCACCCCTGCCTGCACAAGAGACTTGCTCATCATTCTACACTCAGCTCAAGTGTTACCCCTCGGTCAAGCTTTTTGTGTCTTTCCCAGGTATAACTTTTAAGATCTTCTCTGGATGCTACAGACCTGTAACCACATCCCTGGAACTGTGCCACGGCGCCTCCATTCATTAGTACTATCCTTAGAACAACTTCTAAGAAAAAATAATAATAAAATTAAAAATTCAACAACTCATTTTATAAAGCAGAAGCCTGGCTCAGAAAAACAAAGCAATTTGTTGAAGTTTCCCAGAATCAGTCACAGTCTGAGATCTCACGAGGTGGGAGTCTGGCTCTGAACTCAGAAGTCTTTGCCCCGCCCAACACATCTCTCTTACTACCCCCAGCAGCAAGCGTTCAGATCCTCCCACGCCACTGGAGAGAGTAAAAGTCCTCTTATCAACAACTGAAAGGGCTGCCATGCTAATCTGAGACTTGAAAGATTGCATCTGGAAGTGGGCTTCTTACCCCCTGAGAAGATAAGCATTTCCTCTAAGTCAATGTATTCATTCTAAGGCTCCTGGCAAAAGCACAAGAGACCCTAGAAGAACTGGGGCATTTTGTTTGCATCCTTTCCCCAGTTCCTAGCCTATGGGTTGGGGGATAGGGGGTAGTATGGTGTGGTAAGACAGATTCCCACTGACATCACCCTAGAGAAGCTTTGAGAAGGTTTTTTGGATTCGTCACACAGTAGGAGGCAATTGAGCAGGGGGTTCAGAACTCCAAGCAGGTCCGCTACATGTCGATATTTTAAGTTTTAAAAAGAAAAATAAAACGGGCCAATTATTGACTTTTCAGATTAACCAAGAAAAGAAAGTGACACAGTGACAAAGAATTAAACCAGACCACCCAGGTCAGGCATAGGAAAAAAAACACCTAAAAGTAGCAACTGCAATTTTAGGTTTCTATGAGCCACTGGCATTTTTGCTGTGTGGTTGAGTTTTTTTTCTCTCTCTCTCTTTCTCCCTCCCTCTCTTTTTAATTTTACCTTTTCGTTTAAGGGAGGAGTAAAAAGTATAAAACTTTCAAATACTTCCCCCAAATCAGCCATGCTACTGAAAGGTGAACACTTAACAAAGTACCATGATATTATTTTCACACAATATTCATACCAATTTTTTCAAAGGTCACAAAGCTTTTCTCAGTTACTAGTTGGAATGCATTTATCTCTCTCACCATTCCAATGGATCGGTTTTTTACCGCCCCCCAAAAGGACATGCTACCTTTAAAGATACCATCGGTCTCATTAATAATAGCATTTTTTTCCTTTCAAGTGTAGAAAGCTGTTCAGAGCTGCAAATGGTTGCTAGGCCAGTTTGGACACGTCTGATTTACTCTTTAAAAGCCCATCCACTCCGTATAATAAATAATAAGAGCCGGTATTTATTGAGTGCTTAGCGCTGTGCTGGGTGTTTTTCAGGCATTGGCTCATATAATCCTCAAAACAACGCTATCAGACCGGTGCAATCATTATCGCCACCTTACAGATCAGGAGAGGGAGGCACAGAGAGTAAGAAGGACCTGCTCAAGGGGGAAACGGGGAGCGTCGGGAGAGGCGGGGAGGCAGGCAGAGACCAGGAGCTGCACAAAAGCACAGTTAATGATTCACTCACAGCCCTCAGGCAGCTCCTTCCAGTAGGGGTTGCACCAGAACACACGGACGCGCACACACACGCACGAATGCACACACACGCACACGCGCGCGCACACACGCACTCTCATCTTCAACTCTTCATCCCAGCGAGAGGCGGGTGTCAGGCAAATTGCTTGGCAACGCGCAGAGAAAACTCCATCCAAGCCCCACGTCCAGGCCGCCTCTGGGCGCTGTCCAGCGGGCAGAGCGCCTGAGGCCAAGCTGGGGTCCTGCCTCCCGACACCCCGAAGGCGGGGCGCGGCGCCAACCCGGGGTTTCAGGCGAGGGGAGTGTAGGGGAAGCACCGTCCCCAGGGACACCTGTTGTCGCCTCCCCACTCGGGCCGATGAAGACATCCTGGGCGTCCCAATCTCGAAGACACCCGTCGGCCAGAAGTGTCTGTGTATGGGGCCAGGTGTCGCAGGAGTCCTCCTCCACCCCTACCTGCCTTAAGCAGAGTCCCCTCGTCCTCCCCCACCCCGGGACGCCCGCGGCTGGTGGAAACGCCGCGCCTCCGCGTGGCTCGACCAGGCAGGCTCGGGGGCGCCAGGGGGCACAGCGGCGCTAGGACCTCGCGGCCGGCCCGCCCCCGCCCCCGCCCCCGCCCCCCGCCCGCTCCACCTGCGGGGCCCCTCTTGGGGGGCGCGCTCGCCTCCTGCTGCGGGGCGTGGGTGCAGTTACCTGCGCCGCGGTCCGCAGGGTCCCCGGCGTCCGCCGAAAGGTCGCCGCGGCAAAGCCGGCTTCTCTGGCCGCGGGATACCCACCCGGCCGCACTGCTCTCGCCACGATCCCTCCCGGCCGCAGCGCCGACGCCGGCTCCAGACTCGAGCTCGCTCTGCGCCCGCCGGCTCCCGGCGCCGCTCCCGCCGCTCCTGATTGGCCGCGGCGCGCTCCCGAGCCGCGCCATGATTGGGCAGCCGGGGAGCCGGGGCGGGGGGACTGGCCGGGCGCCGCCGGGATCTGCTGGCCAAGCTTCCCGCGCCGCAGACTCGCTTTCCCGCGGCTCCCGGGGCCCCAACCAGACCCCGAAGCTGGGATTCTTCCCCTCTGCGCCTAGTGGGGCCGGCCGTCCAGGCACGAGGCAACACGGAAAGCATCGATTCGAGCGACATGGAAATGGCGTGGAATGGGGAGCGCATGGGAGTCCCACCCGCTCCGCCTGCGGGCTGGTAGTTGAGACCTCCTAGGAGCGGGAATCATTGCTCAACCAGCCTCACTCCTGTACGTTCATTTATTGATACTTTTGACTCTACAAAGGGCGTAGGCTCAGGACAGTGGCTTGTAAACAGCGGGCGCCAAATAGTTCTGTGGACTCATATCGGACTCTACACACAACCTCTCAGTGGTCCTACCTGAGCTCTCAAAGGGAGAGCAACTTGTTTAAGGTCTTAATCACGCCAACAAATTATTAAAAACACCGTGCTAGGTGTTTAGGGGGAAAAAAGATAAAAATGGTGAGATCTTCAATTACAGGGAAGTTCATACCTAGCTAGAGAGATGAGGCTGGATAATGATAATGACCCTAACGTTTTTATGGTGCATATTATTTACTAGGCACTATTCCAAACGCTTTACATTTATTAATTCAGAAATACAGAGGCTGTCATAAGAACATCCATATGCCCCGTGAACATGTGGACAAGTGACACCAGTTTTTAGTCTGGAGAGATTTTCATTGAAAGACACACCAGCAGTCACTCCACACTGTGGAGGAGAGGCACTGGTTAGAACCGAGGGCGTATAGGGAATTGAAATTGCTCTGTCCTCCGTCTCTTCTCCCACCTGCCCTGAATCTTTCTAAGGAATGAAAACAAAACATAAATCTGGGTGCCACCAGACCTTTGTTCTGCTACTCATAAAACACCCTCTCTAAACACCCAGATAGGAAATGAGTAGAAGTAAGTAACACAACTTACATTGTAGGACCTTTGGCTTGGTGGCACTACCTTGAAAGCAAGTATGTAGACATTTTTCTACAGACATTTCCCCCTTGTTTATTCTCCTATGTTGACAGAACGCCTTGAGCAAGAAATTTGGCTTAGGAGAGAAGTAAAGACTCAAGGCTTTAACAGTTTCACCCACTCTGAACAGTGTTGACCCTTACCTTAGGGTGAGCTTACAGTCATTTACTTTGAGGAGCCCAAGACCCCAAGAGGAAATTACCTCTGTTTTCTCCAGTTTATATCAATGGACAAACACTTGATTCACTTCAATTTTTTTTTTTTTTTTTTTTTTTTAGCCGGAGTCTCGCTCTGTCGCCCAGGCTGGAGTGCAGTGGCACGATCTTGGCTCTCTGCAACCTCTGCCTCCCGGGTTCAAGCTATTCTCATGCCTCAGCCTCCTGAGTAGCTGGGATTACAGGCACGTGCCACCACGCCCGGCTAATTTTTGTATTTTTAGTAGAGACGGGGTTTCACCATGTTGGCCAGGCTGTCTCAAACTCCTGGCCTCAAGTGATCGGCCCGCCCCGGCCTCCCAAAGTGCTGGGATTACAGGCGTAAGCCACCGCGCCGGGCCTCAGTTGATTCACTTTATATTGAATAGGTGGACACGCATGGGTTGAACCTCACCTGGGAGGAACACCAGACAGAGCACGGGGTGGTGTGGACTGTGTGAGGAGAGTTCTTTCATGGGCATCCCTCTCCAAGCATCGGAAGCACATGGAGACATCAGCCCATAATTCAGGTTGCTGGCTTTCCATAGCTGTGGCTTCTGCCAAAGCAGAAGTTCCATTTGGATTGGTCAAACTATCACTCCAAAGAAGAAGGACTGTTTCAGCCAGAGAACCAAGCTGACCCAAGATGGTTTGTCAAACTGCTCAACCCTCATCACATCACATTAAACTCAGCCCAGGGATGACAAGTGAAAGGATGGCAAATGAAGGAAGAGTGACAAGTGAAAGAAGAACCTGAATTCTACTTCCATTACCTTGGAATCTTACTGAGGCCAGGAACTGCTTATGTCTTGGTCTGTTCTCTGTCTCTAGCAAAATGCTTTATTTAGTTCGCCCCCTGTATCGCATTTCTTCCCTGGTGACTACTGCTTAGTGCTCAAAACTCAAATATTCTTTCCTCTGTGAAGCCTTCACTCATTCTCCCAGGCTAAGCTGTGAACCTCTTGCCGGTCTTATATTCCCATAACATCAATAAGCAACAGCATTCTAGTGATCTGCTCAAATGGCCATCTTTCTAACTAGCACACTGTGCATTACTTAGCGATGTATCCTCAATCAGTGTATCCCCAATTAAGTAGGTACTTAATAAACATGAAGTGACTGATGAAAACCCCTGACAGGCTAATAGGGTGGTATTAAGGAGACTAGGGCCACACCCTATCGTGGTCTTCAACAGGGCATTCTTCAGTTCCAGACTGGAAGGATATTTGGTGTGGAGCAAAGCGATCATCCATCCAATCCAACAATAATAGGTAGTTTCTGTGTGTCAAGCACTGTCAGGCCAAGAGAAGAATAAGCTCTTCTTTAAATGAACACAAGGTGAAGTGGTGCAGTTAATTTACAAGACAGTTTTGCTATTTCTCAAAAAGTTAAACATAGAGTTACCATATGACCCAGTAATTCCATTCCTTGATATACACCCAAGAGAACTGAAAGCATATGCCTACACAAAAACTTGTGCACAAATGTTCGTAGCATCATTATTCATAATAGCTGAAGGTAGAAACCACCCAAACGCCCGTCGATTAATGATAGATAAACAAAATGTATTAAATAGCACAGAAGGTCCTCCAATAACGTTGTTTCATTAGGATGTTGATGAGAAAAAAAAGATCAACTCCCAGCTGAAAGTTTGCATGTTCTCCCCACATCTGCATGGGTTTTCTCCAGGTACTCCAGTTTCCTTTTGCATTCCAAAGATGTGCACATTAGGTTCATTGGCATGTCTAAATTGTCCCAGAATGAGAGTGATGTGTGTGTGTGTGTGTGTGTGTGTGTGTGTGTGTGTGTGTGTGTCTGAGAGAGAGAGAGAGAGAGAGGCTTGCGATGGAATGATGTCCTGTTTGGGACTGGTTCCCTGTTGGCGTGCTGAGCAGCCAGATGGGCTCCAATCACCTGAGACCTTGAACTGGAGTAATGGGGCAAATAATTATCTTACTTGTTTTTATTAATCTTTTAAAAGTGTACATATAGCTCACATTTATTTCCAAATTTAATATTAGAAGGATTTTTGCTCTTTATTTAGCAGTTTGGTGATGTTTTTGTGACCAGAAATGTGCTGGAGGAACTTTATTCTTGTTTATGTCAATTCCCTTATGGGAAAATTGGGGGTTTTTATACATTGTTTTGCTTAAAGGTTGCCGTTTCAAGAACCTATCAATGACAATAAGTGAGAACTTACTGTATATCCACATAATGGAATATTATTCAGGCATAAAATAAATGAAGTACTGATAAAAGCCAAAATATGGATAACTCTAGAAAACATCATGCTATGTGAAAGAAGCCCGAAACAAAAGGCCACACACTGTATGATTCTATTTACATGAAATATTCAGAATAGGCAAATCCACAGAGACAGAAAGCAGATTAGTGGTTGCCAAGGGGAAATGAGGAGTGACTGCTTAATGGCTATGAACTTTCTTTTTGGGGTGATGAAAATGTTCTGTAATTAGTGGTTATGGTTATACAACTTTGTGAATGTGCTAAAAACCACTGAATTGTTAAAGAAAATTCACTGCATGCTCTCTGAGAATACATACATTCTGAAAGTGTGGAAACCATCAGTAATGGACGTGTTGGTTAAATCCTACGGTATAGTAGCTAAAAGTGAAAAGGAACTTTTCCAAGCCTGTGAAAAGCAGTTAAATGTGGCTCCCACCTTCAGCATCCCAGAGAAGATGTACTCTTTAGATCTGCGTTTTTCAACTGAATGTTCTGAGATGATGGAAATGTTCTTTATCTGAGCTATTTAATATGGAAGCCACTAGGCATGTGTGGCTATTGGACACTTGAAATGTGATTAGTGCAATTTGAAGAACTGAATTTTAAATTGTGTTGAAATTTAAATAGCCACATGTGGTTAGAGGCTACCAATACAGCAGTGCAGCTCTTGCTGGCTTGGAGGACTAGCGCCATTTTAGTCGGCAGTTTGGAAGAATACTGGTGGTCATGGGTGTGGGTAAATCTGTGTCTTTATGTCTCACACCCAGATCAACCCTGTATCCACTAGAAACCCTTCATAAGATCTCACAGCTCCCACTCTTCTCCTCTCTATAAACTCTTAATAAACTTCAGTCCATAAGAGAGGGTTTAGTTTTGTCTTTATGGCAAAGTACTTCTTCCACCCCACACATGTTTGTGGGCCAGGCATTTTTTGGAACATGCTAGGAACAGGAAGGATTGTAGACAATGACAGCCAAATTCTAAAGGGTTGGTCTTGAGAAAGGTGAGAGGAAAAAGGTACAAGAGAAATTCATTACAAAGACCCGGCCCTTTCCCTCCTTCCCTCCAACACCCCACTCTCAGACACACACAGACACACACTCCAACACTCAGACACACACACACACACACTTCCAAGTAGGAAATCTTGCTAGTAAGATGCTGAAGTGGTATTGAAGAATCTTTATTTAGATTTCCTGTTTCCAGCTCAAGCTCCGTAACATCCTAACTCCTCCAATACATCCTCTATTCATATTGATCTTTTCCATCTTTGAACTTTTACTGTACTTGAAATCAATAACATGGAATGTAATTTTTTTGTTTTTTTGTTTTGTTTTTTCTTTGAGACGGAGTCTCGCTCTGTTGCCCAGGCTGGAGTGCAATGGCGCAATCTCAGCTCACTGCAACCTCTACCTCCCAGGTTCACACCATTCTCCTGCATCAGCCCCCCAAGTAGCTGGGACTACAGGCGCCCGCCACCACACCAGGCTAATTTTTTGTATTTTTAGTAGAGAAGGGGTTTGACTGTGTTAGCCAGGATGGTCTCGATCTCCTGACCTCGTGATCCGCCTGCCTGGGCCTCCCAAAGTGCTGGGATTACAGGCATGAGCCACCCCGCCCAGATGGAATGTAATGACTTTCCAATTGTTCTTCTATAATGTGGTGTCCTCACTGCAAGATTCATTTGTTGCACAAATATTTATTGGACTCATACGTATTTTGTGCCAGAACAGTCTCAACGGGTGTGGATATAAAGGATGAAAGACAGAGTCACTGGACAACTTAGAGCCTGATGAGGAGGCACACAAAGAAACCATTCTACCACAGCTCTGCTTAGATGTGTAGGAAGCTTCGCTGAAAGCGCAGGGCAAGGAGCTGCCAAGGAGACACAGAAAAATCAGGGAAGGCTTCTCAGAGGAAGTGATATTTGAGGAATTTGAAGGATAAGTAAAAATTTCAAGTTGCTTTTATTTAATTCACCTTTATTGTGCACTTTCAAAAGTTAGATTTAAGGTAGCTTTTCAGGAGAAGTTTTAGGACCTAATGTTGGAAAGAATGCATTAACCTCAGGGTCTGTTTCAACATCTGTGACAATGTTTTGTATTGCTGATGAGGTTCTTAGCTGGACAGTCACTCTTGCTGCCCTCCAGACTTATTCCTGAGAGGAAAACAAAATTAATAGAAGATAAGTCTTTCTGATATCAAGGAGTTTAAAATCTCTCGTGCTGTTGCAATATCCTTCTTACCGGTTTCTTGGGGGCTTATTTTCTTCTAATCCAATGTATCCCAAATTTCAGTCACTTACGTCCCATTGTCACCATTCTTACCATTTCCATGTATCATCTGCACAATTATGTACTTAATTCCTTCTTCTTTGAATTGGCTTTCATTTTGCTCAGTTTTCCTAGAAAGGATTTTTGATATCATTATCATCAATGAAAAACCAGTGTCATTTGCCATAAAGAGATCATTAACCATAAAAATCATACAATAAAAACAAAACTACACTATTTAATCTTGGCTGGATATTGTTGGTTGCTGAAGGTTCTGAGTTTGAGGCCCTGCTCTTTCTTTGATGAAAAGGGAGGTTACCAAGCCTTGGAGAGACATGAAACACATACAGGCACCAAATGGATCATTTCTCCTCAAGTTAATCAAACAGACTAAAAGAGAATTTTAAAGAGAATAACTCTCTCACTATATGAGCCAATGAAATTCAATTTCCCTTTTGCATACCACTTAGAACCAGCTCTTGCACCAAGTAAAATCAGTTTGTCGTGGGTACCACACTTGTAAACATTGCTCTGATCCCCCCCCTCTCATAGCGATTGGAATGATCTAATACATAAATATCATCATTTCTCTCTCCTATTAAAATTCCTTCAATGGCTCTTTATTACTTATGGGAAAAATCTTAGTTCCTTATGATGAGATACAAGATCCTCCTTAATTAGCCTTAGCCTACTTCTCCATCTTTAACTTCTGTCATCCTCCTCTTTAACTTCCCATTCCACCAATGATGATCTATTTCTAGTTCCCAGAACGTACCAATACCATCACGTTTCTGTGCCTTTGAACATACTCTTCCCTTTACCCAGTGTGCTATTCATCAACTAGTCATCCTTATCATCTTCCATTTCTCTTCTCTGCTTATTTGTATTTATCTGCCCAATACCATATGCACACCACCAACAATAACTACAGTATAACAGCATTCCTATGGAAACACCTGCCCCTTTCTTCTGGGGGATCCTCCTCCACTGTCTCCAAGCACATGATTTTAGCAGGAACTGATAAGTTCTCATGTGACTTCATATTCCTGACCACAGCTGATTGTCCTACATGTGGGCAACCCAACCAAGGTGAACCGATCAGATTTCCTGAGAATTTCATACCAAGAACAGCACATTGGAGTTATTCTTTCTCTGTTTTAAGATGCAGAGAGAAACTGAGGCAAGTAAAGTAGACATTGTCTACTCCAGGGGTCTCTAACCCCCAGGCCACAGACAAGTACTGGTCCATGGCCTGTTAGGAACTGGGCCACTCAGCAGGAGGTGAGCAGCAGGTGAGTGAGAATTATTGCCTGAGCTCCACCTCCTGTCAGATCAGTGGTTTAGATTCTCATAGGAGGGCTACCCCTATTGTGAACTGTGCATGCGAGGGATCTAGGTTGTGTGTTCCTTATGAGAGTCTAATGCCTGATGATCTGAGATGAACAGTTTCATCCTGAAACCACCCCCCTTTCCCCCACCCCTGCTACCATGGAAAAAATTGTTTTCCAAGAAACCAGTCCCTGGTGCCAAAAAGGTTGGGGACCACTGCTCTAATACACTTGTGCTGAAGACCCGCTATTTCCTTGCCCTTCCTTCCTTTAGGTCATTCAGCTTTTCCTTTTATTTTGTGAAAGCAATTCCATTTTCCTTACAATTAAGTCTCTTTTTCTTAAACTAGTTTGAGTTGAGTTTCTGTCACTTGCACCCAAGTGTCCTAATACATTCCTAATTGTCCTTGAGGTCCCAACAAATGCTACTCCTTTGTGAAGGCTTCCCTGACTCCCCCAGTCTCACAAAGGTGCCCCTTCTCTTATGCCATCCTGCATTTTGTTACACCAGACCCCCTTTTTAGCAACTGTCTTCGCGATCTTGACATTTTTGTGTGGGGAATAGTGTGTGCTGTCCCTGTCACCTATTTTGAGTATTTCATTAAACACACTGATGGGAAGCAGGATTTGAGTATTTCATTAAACACACTGATGGGAAGCAGGTTAACAACCCATTAACATTACGCTTTCAAAGAAGTCAATATGTACCAAGAAAAAGTTTTGTTTAACTATTATTAGCTGCTCCACTGTGAATATTTTTTTTAAACTAAGCTTAATCTTTAAAAGGACCTCAAGGATCTACCAACCACAAGGAGTTCTTCTCTCCTGCCCTTCCAGGACGGAATTAGAAATGTAGAGGCTCATGACCATGATCCCACAAATAGCAACCACCAGGACAGAGGCAGCACCTGGAGATGAGGGCAGAAACTGACGAGCACATGGAAGGGAGGGTCAGAGAAAAAGGGAGATCTGAGAGAAAAGAAACCCTGGGAGTTCCACCTGTCACCGAATCTCTCTGAATTAAAAGACAGCTTCATAAAAAATAAATAATGTCTTCCACCACCCATGAATTTACATCTGTGATCATAGTTAGCTAAATAAGATTGAATTCTTTTAGGAAATTGATTGAACCTTTGTACCCTCTCAGGTGTTACTAGCATGACACAGAAGTCACATCTGTTTGCACATTTGTCTCATGTCTAGACTGGAAACTTTTTTAGAGAAGAGATTCTTCCAATTTTTGAGATGTTGTTGAGCATCTCCCATAGGACCCAGCACTTAGCCCACCCTTGAGCTGGACTTTGATGATTTTAGCCTATATTTTGTAGGAATGCTTTCCAGCTGCAAGTATCAGAATAACCAGCTATAGTAACTCACAGAGTAAAGAAATTTCATTACCTGACCTGAACAGTCTGGACATTAGAAGTCCCAGAGTATCTTGTTTAATAATGGCAAAAGGGGCCAGGTGTGGTGGCTCACGCCTGTAATCCCAAAACTTTGGGAGGCTGAGGCAGGTGGATCACTCGAGGTCAGGAGTTTGAGACCAGCCTGGCCACCATGGTGAAACCTGTCTCTACTAAAAATACAAAAATTAGCCGGGCATGGTGACAAGCACCTGTAATCCCAGCTACTTGGGAGAATCACTTGAACCTGGAAGATGGAGGTTGCAGTGAGCAGACATCATGCCACTGCACTCCAGTCTGGGTGACAGAGCGAGAGCCCGTCTCAAATAAATAAAAATAAAATAAAATAATAATAATGGCAAAAGGACCCTGGCTCTTTCTACTCTCTCATCCTAGGCTTTTTGTCTCTTTATCTTTGGCTTGTTGCCTTGTGATTGCAAAATGGCTGCCACAGCTCCAGGTATCTCATCTTTAGAAAGCTTATTTAAGGAAAGAAGAAAGTGATCTGGGCTGGAAAAGAGGCTTTTTTTTTAATATCAGGGAGGAAAATCTTTCTAAAACACCTCCTCCCAACCTGGTAAATTCTCACTTATATCTCAGTGGCTAGGACTGAATCACATGGCCATGCCTAGTTGCAAGAGAGACGGGAAAACTAGTTTAGTATCTGACTTTTCCAGCCTCAGGAATAAAAAGTAGGTGTATTACTGGCAATGCTGCCCTTAAACCAAACAAATGGAGGCCTGGCCCAGGATCCAGGCCTCAGGGGTTCTACGCTTTGTGACACCAGCTGGGGCTGACAGTGCTATCTGGGTGGGTGACCCTGAGCCTGGATCAAGACCCAAATGCAACGTCCTCACTTCTGTTCCCATTTTTTCACCTCGGAGCACTCTTCACCCACTATCACTCGTGGAGTTGACCAGAGACCCCGAGAAGCTCTTGGATTCATATCTATGGGATCTTTTTGGTATCTTGTGGATGGATTCTTCATCCAGGAGGACTGCCTGGAGTGTGGATTGCCTCACTGGCCTGTGAATTATTTCTTTTGTTAGATCGCACAAGATTGAGCTGCCAGAATCGTGCTGGGGTGCTGATTTGGAGTGATTCTCACTCACATCACACACAGGATGAGTTCGAGGCTCTGAACTATTGATAGTTCTCTGTTCCCTGCTAACCTTCCGTGTGAGCTGCATGTGTGGGCCCATGCCCTTGTTTTAACTGGCTATATTTCAAATGCAAGGCCACCTCTGGACCTGAGGGCAGCTGGGTTGGGGGAGACATCCTTTACCCTGTGCTGGGACCCAGGGCAGTTACCCTCTACCCCGTGGGCGCCCCACCAGTTCCCTAGGGACAGTCATACCTATTTCCGTCCAGGGCTTTCCAGGCCATCACCCCACAATGCCAATAAGCCCTTCTGGTCCATGTACCCTCTCACTTCTGATCAATGGGGTGAGATAATTCTCTTGTTGGTCAGTCTTAATCTTTGTGGAAAGGGATACACATTCCTTGCATGAATGAAATTACTCTTTTTTTTTTTTTTTTTTAAAGAGACAGGGTCTCATTCTGTTTCCTGGGCTAGAGTGCAGTAGTGCCGTCATAGCTCACTGCAATCTCGAATGCTGGGCTCAAGCGATCCTCCCGCCTCAACCCCTTTGAGTAGCTGGGATTATAAGTGTGTGTCACCACATCTGGCTACTTTTTAATTTATTTGTAGAGACAGGGTCTCACTATGTTGCCCAGGCTGGTCTCCAAGTCCTGGCCTTCAGTGATCCTCCTGTGTCAGCCTCCCAGAGCACTGGGATTACAGGTGTGAGCCATTGTGGATGGCCCGAGACTGCTCTTCCTGTTTGTTCTATTGTCTCCACCAGTGGCAGTGTATGGAAGGCAGGGGTTTAGCCAACAACCAGAGAACATCCTCTGGGAATGCAGTGGTTAGAACCTAAAGATCTCTAAAGATCTCTCGAGCTCGTTGGAAGGGGTGTTGTTCTTGATAGGGTTGCTGGGAGATTCAAATGAGATTGTGCACCAGAGAATCCTCTGTAATCTACAGTGTTACACACAGATATTAGTTATTTTATTCCCATTTGACAGACAAGAAAACCAGAAAAGAGGAAAGTTAAACTCCTCCCGTGACAGAAAGGCCCCATGGGAGTGCTGCTGGGAAGGGAAGCTCTGGTTTCAGATGACCTGGGATGGCTCACTCAGCTCTGCCAGCTTCTAGCTGGGCCATCCTGGGTCAGTTTCTGAGCCCTAGTTCCATAGTTACTAAGTGGGGAGAACAATCCACCTATGTCTGAGGGTTTTGGTGAGCATTAAGTATGCCTGGAACTTGATAAATATTAGCAGGTACTCAACAAATATTAACTGCTATTATTATTTTATTACACAGATATTTGTAGGACAGCCACAGGTCTCCTGGGCCACAGCCCTGCTGTGCACTAGAAATGAGTTATGAAAAAGTACTTCCAAAATGAGATTGCCAGAGGCTGCAGCGGTATGTTAGATTGCTTGGCATTGGAGAGGCAATACAGCAGATGGGAAACATTACAGACTCAGGAGCCAGGAGGCCTGGATTTGGATCCTGACTCATTCACTTAATCATTAAATCATTTAACAGGTCTTTGGCAAGTTACTTAGCCTCTCTGTGCCTCGGTTTCTTCATTTCTGAAATGGGGATATTAGCACCCACCTTATAGGTTCTTATGAGGATTGAATGAGTTAATGTACATCAAGTGTTTAGGACAGTGCCTGGGTCATAGTGTTAGGAATTATTGGATGCTATGAATTTTATTATTTTGAATTCATTTAAAATTCAAAACAAACTTTGCTCTTAAAAATTCCAATCGGTGGGCTGGGCGTGGTGGCTCACACCTGTAATCCCAGCACTTTGAGAGGCTGAGGCAGGTGGATCACCTGAGGTCAGGAGTTCCAGACCAGCATGACCAACATGGTAAAACCCCATCTCTACTAAAAATACAAAATGAGCCGGGCATGGTAGCGCATGCCTGTAATCCCAGCTACTTGGGAGGCTGAGGCAGGAGAATTGCTTGAACCTGGGAGGCAGAGATTGCAGTGAGCCAAAATCATGCCATAGCCCTCCAGCCTGGGCAACAAGAGCAAAATTCTGTCTCAAAAAAAAAAATAAAATGGAATGCAATGCAATGAAATGAAATAAAATAAAAATAAAAATAATTCCAATTGGCTTTTATTTCAGGAAACCTGCATTTTAGTGATTAAAAAAAAAAAGAAAAAAAAGGTAGGCACAAAGATATACTCTCTGTCTTTGTACCTTTGCTTGCGTTGTTCCCTTTGCCTGAAATCCCTCCTTTTAGACCCATAAAACTATCACATATTGTCCACTCTCCCAGAGGCCAGGACTCATTCTATCACACTCTTGTCCCCCAAGCAAGACCCATGGCTCCTTTTTACTTCTCTGTGTAATTCTTGACATGTTCAATAAATGTTTCTCGAATGGAAACGTGAAAGAAAGTAAGAGACATTATTTTCAATTCTTGCAGTTTGCGAATGCAACACTGTAGTTCATAGTGGACTAATGTCCTCCCTCTCAGAGAATGAAGGGATTGGCAGAGTGACTTGAGGAGATGGTGCCAGTCTCAACAGTAGGAGGGAAAAACACAAAGAATAACAAACAGCCCAGTCTTTCACTAAAAGGGGCTCCATCCTCCAACACCATGTTTTCCTGGATTGGGGAGAAGTAGTAGCATAGGGTGACCCAGAGGGGGACTGTGGACTCAGGGCAACCTCTGTATGATTCCAATTCTGTTATCCAATGGCTGTTTAACCCTAGAACCAAACATCTCTGAGCCTGTTTTCTTGCCTGTAAAATGAGAGTAATACCGGCCCCAAAGTGTAACTTTGATGATGAAATGAGATAATAGTGCAATGCCTGGCACTTAGGGAATGCTTAATTAATGTTTTTTTAAATGAATGAAGAGGGCTTTTAAAGAAAGTGCTATTGTTGAGGGAGACTGCTATCCTTGAAAGCACAGAATTGCTTGATGCTATGCACTGTTTGTCGCAGATCAGTGATTGATTCTCCAATCTTCACGGGGCCACCTCCTCAGACTCTCAGTCCAGAGTTGAACCACAACCAATAAGTCTGGGAGGCAGGATTTGGAACCCTCCTTCCCAAATCCTTCTCCTCTCCAGCTGGCACAGAAACACTCCACATTTGCAGCTTCCACAGCAATTACGAGAACCTACACCCTTTTATTGTTTGACTTTCCCTAGCGATGGAGCAATCACATGATTTTCACAGGAAAAACAACTCTGGGATCGGAGACAGTCTGGATTGAGCCATGAACTTTCTGGTCCCTGTGTCTGAGTTCCCAGAGAGAAAAGACATTTGATGCTGGCAGGACGAGGGCTGAGCTGGACAAAAAACACAGCCAGCACATGCTCATAGCAGGCTGGCCAACTGAGCAGGTTGCATTTCAGGATTAAAAACAGTAACGATCCTAACAAAATAGAAGCTCATATATACTGAGTGCTAAGTACCAGGTACAGACATCGTCAAGCTGAATCATCACCACAATCCAAGATGAAGATTTTGTTATCTTCATTACATCAAGGGGGAGAAGTCAAGGGCTTAGATGGCATTTCACCCCTTTTGCACTCCCCAGAGCCTACGTGTTTATCCTCTAGCTCCACGTCTACCTGTAGCAGCAGCGTTTCCAAGCTCTTTGCACACAAATCTCCTGGAGATCTTGGAATGCAGATTCTGAGATTCTGCATTTCTAACGAGCTTCCAGGGAATGCTGCTGGTCCAGGGCCTTTAGTTGCAAGGGTTGGACCGGTGGTCTCAACCTTGGTTGCACATTGGACTCACCTGAAAGCTTTCCACATACTGATGCCTTGGCCGCATCCTGGAGAGTCTGATTTTGTTGGTCTGGGGTGCAGCTCTGGCACAGCATTTCTAAAGCCCTCCCGTTGAAGGAATATGCAGCCAGGGCTGAGACCACGGTTCTGGAGGGAGGTAATATCTGCAGGTTCTTGAGGATACTCCATTACCCTGAGCTCCCCTTTCCCAACCACAGGGACATCCATGGCTGGGCTTCAAGGACGCCCTTGAAGAGGCCTCTCCCAGAAAACTCCAAGCCCATGAAAAGGCCAGAGCCACCACCTGTTTCCTTGAAATAGTTAGCAGCTGTGCTGGGTGACCTCATCGCTCTGGCTCTGCCTCAGGCCAAGCTGCGATCTGAAAAGCCCTCCTCCCAAGTCGGGGCTCTCCTTGTGTTGGGGGCAGAGCGGGAAGAGCCGCAGCTCAGGAGGAGCTGCAGGTTGATGGCAGAGCCCGTCTGGGGCTAGTGGGAAGAATGAGAGTGCAGGGAGGGGGCACCCCAAGGGACTTCACAATGGGCAGTCCCTGGGGTGTGACGCCATGGCTGTGAGCGCAGCTGACTGCCTCACCCCTGGCTTCCTCCATTGCTCACCCTCCCCAAACACTTGGGAACTGATGAAATCACGAGGGGGTTCTTGTCCCCCTCCTGTAAGTGATGCATAAACAAACAAACATTGAAGTATGCAAGTAAAAATGCAAAGCCCATTTCTTTTTTCCCGTTTCCAAGAGGTAATCACCTATAGCAGCTGGGCTTATGTCCTTCCAAATCTTTTCTATACATCAGTGTGTGTATTTCTACACACAAACATACATATGCAATCCTGTTTTATAAACAAAAATGCATCATAGAATATAAGTCCAAACACTATCTTGCATATTTTTTCCATGCAGTTATATATACTTACCAATTGTTTTAGTGTCTGGAAACTTGTCTGGAAATCAGAATCTCTCAGGGGTGCTTTTTAAACATTGAGATTGACAGGTCTCACTTCAAACCTGCTGAATGAGAATTTCTCAGGGAGGCACCTGGGGAAGTCTTTGTGTGTGTGTGTGGAGAGAGAGAGAGAGACAGAGAGAGAGAGAGAGAGAGAGAAACAGGGTCTTGTTCTGTTCCCAAGGCTGGAGTTCAAGGGCACAATCGTAGCTCACTGCAGCCTCAATCTCCCGGGCTCAAGTGATTCTCCCACCTCAGCTTCCCATGTAGCTGAAACTACAGGCATGTGCCACCACACCTGGCTGTTTTTAATTTTTTTGTAGAGACAGGGTCTTGCTATGTTGCCCAGGCTGGTTTCAGACTCCTGGCTTTAAGTGATCCTCTGAGCTTGGCCTCCCAAAGTGCTGGGATTACAAGCATGAGCCACCATACCTGGCCTATATTGATATTTTTAATAAGTGTCTCAGGTGATTCTTACGGGAAATATCTTGCCTTTTTAATGCCTGTACATGTCCCATGGATGTACTATCATTTATTAACCAGTTCCTTTCTGTTGAACATTTAGTTTGTTTTCAGCCTTTTTCTTCATGCTACAAACAATACTACAAACATACACGCATCGTGCAGATCCCCATGTGTGTTTCTGTAGGATAATTCCCTAGGATTGGATGGCTAAGTGCAAGGCTTGCCTGGAACTTCTTTTCCCCTCTAAGACTGCTCGTATTTGAATCATGGAACCTCATAGCAGGACAGAACCTTAAAATCTGTGTAAAGACCAATACTGTCCTCCTATAGAAATATAATGTACGTTATACATATAATTTGAAACTTTCAGTAGCTACATTAATTTTAATAATATATTTTTACTTAACCTAATATATCAAATCTATTATGATCTGAACATATAATCAAACAAAAAGTATTAATGAAAGTACTTGCTATGGTCTGAATGTTTGTTTCTCCTCAAAATTTATATGTTGAAATCCTAACCTCCAAAGTGATGGTGTTAGAAAGTGGGGCCTTTGGGAGGTGATTAGGTCATGAGGGTGGGGCCCTCAGAATGGGGTTAGAGCCCTTATAGGAAAGGCCTGTAATCCTAGCACTCAGGAGGCTAAGGCAGGAGGATCACTTGAGGCCAGCAGTTGGAGATCAGCCGGGGCAACATAGCAAAACTACATCTCTATGAAAATAAATAAATACATAAATAATTTTTTTTAAAAAGAGGCCTGAGGCCAGGTGTGGTGGCTCACACCTGTAATAGCAGCACTTTGGGAGGCCGAGGTGGGCGGATCACCTGAGGTCAGGAGTTTGAGACCAGCCTGGCCAACATGGTGAAACCCCATCTCTACTAAAAATACAAAAATTAGCCGGGCCTAGTGGTGTGTACCTGTAATCCCAGCTACTCAAGAGTCTGAGGCAGGAGAATCACTTGAGCTCAGGAGGCCGAGGTGGGAGAATGGCTGCTTGAATCAGGGAGGCGGAGATTGCAATGAGCCATGATCACACCACTCACCACTGCACTCCTGCCTGGATAACAGAGCGAGACTCTGATTCAAAAAAAAAAAAAAAGAGGACTGAGAGAGACTCCCTCACCCCTTCTACCATGTAAGGATAGAAAGAAAAGGTGCCATCTGTGAAACAGAAAGTGGGCCCTTGTCAGGCACAGAATCTGCTAGGGGCCCTGATCTTGGACTTTCCAGCCTCTAGAACTGTGAGAAATAAATTTCTGTTGTTTATAAGCTACCCAGTTTGTGGTACTTTGTTATAGCAGCCTGCGTGGACTAAAACAATATTGTCCATCTGCTTTTCCTGTGAAGTCTTTGGAGACTGTGTGGGTTTTACACTTAGAGCATGCCTCACTGGCACCAGCCACATGGGACAAGTAACTGTTGTATGCGGTAGCGCAGATCTAAACCTTTTATTTTACTTGGAGAATATTCATAGGGGACAGGAATAAATCATGGAGCAGCTACGATCTACTTGTCCCCGAATAAGCACTTAACATCCATTATTGTTACTGTGCCCTTGAGTTGCTGCCCGGAGTCCCTGTCCATTGCTGCGGTTTGGAATTATCCCTCTCTGCCTGCAGAGCTGCAGACGTGGCAGGAGAGAGTTGGGAGGGTGGGGCAGGGTGCAGGCAGAGTTCTGGACAGGGATGCAGGGCAGCGACTGGGTGAGTGAAGCAGCTTCTTTGTGAGCCCTCGTAGAAGTTTGGGGATGGGGGCAGTTTAAGGAAGGCAGGGCATGGGTAATTATGATGCTCATTATTTCAACTTGAGGTCTGTAATTTGCCAGCATCACACAGCCACAACACAGAGGCAGAAATGGAATAGAATCTTCAGATTCCAGAGCCCATGCTTCTCTTTTATCCCATAGATGTCTCCAAGACAGTCATTCAAAGTCTATCCTTACATTAGTGATGCACGGAGAGCTGTAAACAAATTAAGTGAATGATTACAAGTCACATTGTCAAACTATTCTGAACGGTGTCCCATTCCGCAGACTTGTGGTTAAAAACACACGCGCTGAGGTCCCCTGGTGGAAGTCAGAATTATTACAAGGGGCAGGCAAATGGGTTTGTGGCTTTCCTAGTTCATTACCTGAATACATAAAAATAGGACATTACATGAATGTCCTTCAATTTTTTTTTTCAAAAAGGACCTAATATATGGCAAATACTGGAACCACTGCAATACATTCTCCCATCTCAGACTGTCAGAGGGACAGTCACAAAGAGATCCTAGCTGCAGGTTCTGCTTCAGTTATATCATTTTTTGGGTAAGTATGTTCAGCTGTACATGGTTATAGCTCAGTTTCTACTACGTGTGTTAATGTGCCTGTTCTCCAGCTAGATTGTCAGCTGATCAAAGGAAAGACTCGAACCCCTAGTTTAAGGCCCTGCACATTCTGGGTTCTTAAATGATGATCAACGACATTAAATAAATGTTGTTGATTGCCTGAGTAAAATGATATACGAGCACAAAATGAATTTGGTATTAATAATGGATATCTATGGCTTTTGCCTGCTCAGGGTCCCCCCCTCACCTTTTTTTGAGATGGAGTCTTGCTGTCGCCCAGCCTGGAGTGCAACGGCGTGATCTCTGCTCTCTGCAACCTCCGGCTCCCGGGTTCAAGGGATTCTCCAGCCTCAGGTTCCCGAACAGCTGGTTCTACAGGCGCCCGCCACCACACACAGCTAATTTTTGTATTTTTAGTGGAGACGGGGTTTCACCATGTTGGTCAGGTTGGTCTGGAATTCCTGACCTCAAGTGATCCACCCGCCTTGGCCTCCCAAAGTGCTGGGAATACAGGTGTGAGCCACCACGCCCGGACAGTCTCTTTCTTTTTCTTTGGGCTGTAGCACCTGGATTCTCTTTTCCTCCCACAATCCACACAGCTTTTGTGAGGCTGCCAATCAAGTGCCCTGCCCTTCCTGGCTAAGGGGTGGGCCTAGAGATTTGAATCTTGAATAGAACTGCTGCCTCTTACAAGAAGTGCTGCCTCTTCTCCATCAGCGGGGATAATAATTTCAATTAAATAATCAGCCCTGTCTGCATATTCAGCTTTTCTTTGTGTGATTCTGGGACCTACCCCATACCTTAATGATAAATTTCTTTATCATTGCATCTAGAATCAATCTGACAGATGGCATTTCACATTTTTACTTAATTCTGCTTCAGTTTGGAAATTTACACACGTTTTCACAAGCATCAGAGAAATGGAAGACTTCCATTTGCTAAGTGTACAACTAGCTATTTTTCTCTAGGGGGCAAAATGACAACCAATTAATTCAATAAAAATTGTCTTTTATAAATCTTATGCAACAATTTGATCATCTCTAAGGGTTTGGGTACCAGCAAGAGCTATGAAGAGAGAGCTTTATGAAGCAAGTGAAACAGCTTTACGCTGGCACCTGTTCAAGCCGGAAGACTAGAATTCCAGCCTTCTGTTGCTGGAGCCTGGTGTTGCACTGTAGACCTTTGGCCATTAACGGTGGTTGTAGAAGACCCACTTGGGGAACTGGTTTCTCCACTCCAGAGAGCCTCTTAGAGGGTCTGCTGCTGCTGCTCTGACCCCCATGACCCCTACACTGTGGCCTCCCTTTTAATCAGCCCTGGGCTCCTGACCCACCACAACCCCCACTAACCTCCATACCTAAACAGGAAGGGCCACATCCTCTTCTTTACCCACAGATCCCCAGAGTGTCTCTCCGCTCTTGGCTGGACCACACAGCCTAGAGGGAGGTCTGAGTTCATCCACCCGAGTCAGGGTGGTAGCACTGAGTTATTCTTGAGAATCCTATTTTCAAATATTAAAAATTCAAATATTGATGAATTCAAGGTGATAGAACAACAATCCCAACACAACAATGTCACCATTGCTGATGGCTAACAGCTGTGGACATGCTGCTGTATTTACAGTGTTTCTAGACTCTGTGAAAAGAATGTCAGGGATCCCTCATGGTTTTTTTTTTCTACCCCATGATTATATAGGAGTTAATCATCACCAAAAAGCTCTCGCAGGGGCTTTGGACTAAATCATGCACTACTATGAAGATTAATGCCCGCGTGGAGTCCATGAATTTGTAATCAGCACTCACTTCATACTTGTTGATGGCAACCGATGACTGAGTCCAGATGAGAGCTTAACTGAAGCTTCAGTGGACTGTAGTGTGTCATCTAATTGAGTGACAACCTTAATGACAAAAAGGGGAAGGATTCAGGAAATTGAATGTGTAAAGAGCTCCTTGTTGGCTTATGATTCTCTATGCCTAGAAAATGAGTCATTAATGGCAGGAATATTTGGGGGAAATTTTTGGCCTCAAAATATTCACCACATCAGGCAGTGACTCTTTGCTCAAGGACAAAGTTACTGTGACAGTTGTGAAAAATGAAATAAACCACAGGGTGGATAATCGACACGTGGCTATATGGGAATTAAGTGTGTGTTTGAGCAGAGAAATGAAAATGAGGAGTCCAGGAAGTTCCATTTTTGAGCTCAGTGTAGTTTTCTTCCAGTTGGGCAGGTATTATGAAAAACCCCAAGGTGATAAAACCTTACTCCAAGATTTTACAACTGTAGGCAAAATAATATATTCTATCAGGTTTCTAAATTCAACTAATGAGAGAATCCTTCAATTGGTGATATCAAGGGGGAACACAGTAATTTTGTTATCACTATTTTTTTTTTTTTTTGAGACAGGGTCTTGCTCTGTTGCCCAGGCTGAAGTGCAGTACGCCATTGTGGTTCACTATAACTTCCGCCTCCTGGGTTAAAGTAATCCTCCTGCCTCAGCCTACTGAGTAGCTGGGACTATAGGTGTGCACCACCACAGCCGGCTAATTTTTGTACTTTTTGTAGAGATGGGGTTTTGCCATGTTGCCCAGGCTGGTCTTGATCTCCTGGGCTCAAATGACCCACCCACCTCAGCTTCCCCAAGTGCTGGGATTCAGGCATGAGCCACTGCAGCCAGCTACTAACGTTTTAAGAAGATGCACTGGCTGGGTGTGGTGGTTCACACCTGTAATCCCAGCACTTTGGGAGGTCGAGGTGGGCAGATCACCTGAGGTCAGGAGTTCGAGACCAGCCTGGCCAACGTGGTGAAACCCCGTCTCTATTAAAAATACAAAAAATTAGCCGGGCGTGGTGGCAGGTGCCTGTAATTCCAGCTACTCAGGAGGCTGAGGCAGGAGAATCGCTTGAACCCGGGAGGCAGAAATTGCAGTGAGTCAAGATCACGTCACTGCACTCCAGCCTGAGCAACAAGAGTGAAACGCTATCTTAAAAAAAAAAAAAAAAAAGCAAAGGCATAAGTGTAACTTTAAAATTAGATTTCCCACTTTTAATTTAAAGTCGGAATAGGTAACACAATTACATGGTTCAGGGTATATGGTCCTATTGGCATCCAGTTTTCTTCCCTCTAAGCACACCAATGTCAAAAAATATATGTTTTACATGTATTTTTTTCTGTGATAATTTAGGCATATGCAAATACACGTAGCTATTCTTTCTTTTCATTTTTACAAAAAGGGTACCATTATAAGCATTGTGCTCCTTGCATTTTTCACTAACTATATTTTGGAGCTTTTATCATATCACTACACAGACAGACTATATTTCACTAACTATATTTTGGAGCTTTTATCATATCACTACGCAGAAAGACTCTTCATTCCTTTTTGTGGCTACATAGTGTCATATTCCTTGGATGTATTATAGCATAATTTATTTAACCAGTCCTTTTGATGGACATTTAAGTTATTGCTAATCTTTTGCTATTACAAACAGTGCCACAATACCCTCACACTGCGCATGCCAAACAGGGGCCGTATCACCTGCAAAGGAGTGAAAATGGGTTCTTGGCAGGGGCAAAGAAATTTCTGTTTTCCTTTATAATGCACAGATACGCATACAGCACACAAATATACATAGAGCACACAAATAGATGTATCTATGGCATTATAATTTCTTGAGGGGGTAGAGAGCAAAGAAAAAAATATCTAAAATGGTTCCTTGGGTTGCCAACAATAAAAACACTGTTGATGGCCGGGCACGGTGGCTCACACCTGTAATCCCAGCACTTTGGGAGGCCGAGGTGGGTGGATCACTCAAGGTCAGGAGTTCAAGACCAGCCTGGCGAACATGGCAAAAACCCGTATCTACTAAAAATATAAAAAAATTAGGTCGGGCGTGCTGGCTCACGCCTGTACTCCCAGCTCTTTGGGAGGCCGAGGGGGGTGGATCACGAGGTCAGGAGATCGAAACTAGCCTGATCAACATGTGAAACCCCGTCTCTACTAAAAATACAAAAATTAGCTGGGCATGGTGGCGCATGCCTATAATCCCAGCTACTCAGGAGGCTGAGGCAGGGGAATCGCTTGAACCCAGGAGGCGGAGGTTGCAGTGACCTGAGATTGCGCCATTGCACTGCAGCCTGGGCGAGAGAGCTAGACTCTGTCTCAAAACAACAACAACAACAATTATATATTATATATAATTTATATATAATATATGTTATATTATATATAATTTATATATAATATATGTTATATTATATATAATTTATATATAATATATGTTATATTATATATAATTTATATATAATATATGTTATATTATATATAATTTATATATAATATATGTTATATTATATATAATTTATATATAATATATGTTATATTATATATAATTTATATATAATATATGTTATATTATATATAATTTATATATAATATATGTTATATTATATATAATTTATATATAATATATGTTATATTATAATTATATATGTTATATTATATGTTATATAATATTTATATATAACATATATAAAAATATATGTTATATTATAATATAATATATATAATTATATTATATATAATTTATATAATATTATATATAATTTATATAATAGATAATATTATATATAATTATATAATATATATTATATAAATTATATATAATTTAATAATATATATTATATAATTATATATTTTATAATATATATATGTAAATATAAATTAGCCAGGCGTGATGGTGCATGCCTGTAGTCTCAGCTACTCAGGAGGCTGAACGGGGCAGAAGACTTGGTTGAACTCGGGAGGTAGAGGTTGCTGTGGGCGGAAATCACGCCACTGCACACTCCAGCCTGGGCGACAGGGCAAAACTCTGTCTTAAAAAAAAAAAATTGAGAAACACTACCCTAGCCCAGTCACCACTGTCAAGGGGGTACAGGACTGCTAGCTATGAACAGCTGAGACTCAATCATGCTGGCATGACACTCTGTAGGAACCGTGCTCATTGATGTTGGAGAAAGTTGGGATGCTGAGAGCAAAGCGGAATGGAGGTGACTGTCAGAAATCTCCCAGAAGATTGGTAGTCTTGAGTCTACTGGCATCTGGGCCAAGGAGGGCCATCCTACCAGGAGCTTGGGAACCCTGGGAGCCTTGGACTCTGGTTTGGTGTGTGGGGCAGGACATGGAATGAATGAGGGAACGTCTCCAATGACAATCTCACCTCTTAACTTAGAAACATTTGAACCGTTATCGTAGTTTCTTATTTTTCTTCTTTTTTTTTTTTTTTTTTTTTTTGAGACAGAGTCTCACTCTGTTGCCCAAGCTGGAGTGCAGTGGCACAATCTTGGCTCACTGCAACCTCCGCCTCCGTGGTTCAAGCCATTCTCCCGCCTTACCCTCCCGAGTAGCTGGGATTACAGGAGCCCACCACCACACCTGGCTAATTTTTGTATTTTTTGTAGAGACGGGGTTTCACCATGTTGGCCAGGCTGGTCTCGACCTCCTGACCTCAGGTGATCCGCCTGCCTTGGCCTCCCAAAGTGCTGGGATTACAGGTGTGAGCCACCACACCCGGCCCCGTTTCCTCTTAATTTTAGAGTTTCTGGATTTAAAAAAATTCTCCCAAAGGTCACTTGGGAAACGTCCTCTCCACTCATGAATGCATTTGGCACCAGTCAGGGTTTAGAATAACTTGTACTTTCCCTTGTGTGTAATTACAGTTGGCATTCTTTCTTTGACAAAAAAAGAGGAATAAAGGAGTCACGACCAAAACATAGTCGTTTACAAATTACTGTGAGTCCTTCTCTAGTTAAAAGCCAGTTAACACACACCAAGCATTTTATCCACTGAAGATTTGTTGGGGGTCACACATATCTCTGAGTCTCTTTCAAAACCTCTCTCTGCTGCTCGCACGGAAGTCATTGCTCTCCCCACACCCTACCGCTTCCTTTCACAGTCCAGCAGGTTTGTTTTCTGCTTCCAAAACCATTGCCATTCCTTGTCCAGCCTTCTAGGGGACAAGCTGGCTTCCTGTGTCCGAATGGGGAAGACAGTTTCTGTTCCTACTGTTCATCAGGAACCAGTCAGGTCGCAGACACAGACAGTCTCAGGACAGGAGAGGCAAACAATGTCACCAAAATGCCAAGACAGCCCTTGAAATACAGCCAGAGGAACCAAGCTGCACTTAAAAGAATTCCAGCTCTGACTGGAGGGTGTGCCTGAGGCAGATGAGGGGGACCCCTCAGCTGTGCAAGGTGCCAGTTCCAGGAGCTCTTGCTGGCTGCCAGCTGCTTTCTAAGGAAGGTGGACCCTGTGCCTTCCTCCTCCACCATCCACCCTGTTTTCTAAATTTCTTTCTCTCTCTCTCTGTCTTTCCCCCCACCTCTCTCTCTCCCCCTACCTCTCTCTCTCCCTTTCTCAGACAGGGTCTTGCTCTGTTGCCCAGGCTGGAGTTCAGTGGTGAGATCACGGCTCACTGCAGCCTCGACCTCCTAGGCCCGAGGGATCCTCCCACCTCAGCCTCCCAAGTAGCTGGTACCACAGGCACAGGCCACTATGTCCAGCTAAATTTTTTTGTTGTTTGTTTCTTAGAGAGACGGGGGTCTCCCTATGTTGCCTGGCTGGTCTTGAACTCCTGGGCTCAAGCAATCTTCCTGCCTTAGCCTCCTGAGTAGCTGAGACTAGAGGCATGCACCAACACACCCAGCTAATTTTTTACTTTTTGTAGAGACAGGGTCTCCCTTTGTTGCCCAGACTGGTCTCAAACTCCTGGGCTCAAGCACTCCTCCCACCTCAGCCTCCCAAAGTGCTGGGATTATGAGTGTAAGCCACTGCACGTGACTTGTTTTTTCAAAGCACTGGGATAACAGAGGAAAGCTGTCAGCAACCTGAGGAGTCATCTTGTCTACTCAGTTGTTGAGTGCAATGACATGAGAAGCAAAAGATCCTCGAGCTTTTTTTTTTTTTTTTTTTGAGACAGAGTTTTGCTCTTGTTGCCCAGGCTGAAGTGCAATGGTGCGATCTTGGCTCACTGCAACCTCCGCCTCCCAGGTTCAAGTGATTCTCCTGCCTCAGCCTCCCTAGTGGGTGGGACTACAGGCACCCGCCACTACGCCCAGCTAATTTTTTGTATTTTTAGTAAAGACGGGGTTTCACTATGTTGGCCAGGCTGGTCTCAAACTCCTGACCTCAGGCAATCCACCTACCTCAGCCTCCCCAAGTGCTGGGATTACAGGTGTGACCCCCCCGCACCTGGCTCGACCCTTGAGCTTTGTATCCACTCCATAGGCCCTCCATACACAACTTCCCAGACCTCTTCAGCTCCCACCTTCCAACATTGTTCTTTCCACATCCGTGAGAAGCTGAGAAGCAGAGAGAAGCAGACCTCAGATGTGGGAAGCACAGTGTGTGCTGAAAGCGTCTGCAGCTGCAGGTCGCTCAGCGGTGGTCCCCCAGGAGGACGTCTGCTATATAAGGTGGTCCCACTTTCCCAATAAGAATCTCCAAAGAGCTCTCGGTGTAGTTTTTGTTTGCATTTCTTTTACTAGTGAGGCTGACTATCTTTCATGTACTAAAAGTCATATGCATTTCATTTTCTGTGAACTGTTAATCATGTTTGTTCACTTTTCCTGTCATATTAGTTTATTGATCCTTATGGATTTCTATGAGATATTATGTCTTCAGGAAATGAATCTCTTGCTGGAAAATGAAGTGCAAGTATTTTCGCACTTTGACATTTGCTTTTTGACTTTGATCACAGCAGGTTTGTCAAGCATACTGTTTTCATTTTATGGTGAAACGTATCCATCTTTTCCTTTATGGCTTCTGGAACTTGAGTGATAATTAGGTAACTTTTGTCTTTTTAAATGTATGTTTCCAACAAAGAAAGAAAGAAAGAATATCTTAGAAAATAAGACAACTGATTAGGGCTGAACACGGTGCCCTGGGTAGGCTAATAAGAGAAAAGTTGCAAATTAATATTCTTCAAATATTTATTTAAATTTATTTAAATTTATTTAGGCTGGGTGCAGTGGCCTCAAACCCCTGACCTCAAGTGATCTGCCCGCCTCGGCCTCCCAAAGTGCTGGGATTATAGGCGTGAGCCACTGCTCCTCGCCTTGAACTGCATTTCTTAACTTTTTTTTTTTTTTTGAGAAGGAGTCTCACTCTGTCTTGGCCTGCCAAAGTGCTGGGATTACAGGCGTGAGCCACCGCGCCTGGCCTCTCAACTTTTAAAAAAGAATTTTTTTTTTTTTTTAAATTTTTATTTTTTTTAGTATTTATTGATCATTCTTGGGTGTTTCTCGGAGAGGGGGATTTGGCAGGGTCATAGGACAATAGTGGAGGGAAGGTCAGCAGATAAACATGTGAACAAGGGTCTCTGGTTTTCCTAGACAGAGGACCCTGCGGCCTTCGGCAGTGTTTGTGTCCCTGGGTACTTGAGATTAGGGAGTGGTGATGACTCTTAACGAGCATGCTGCCTTCAAGCATCTGTTTAACAAAGCACATCTTGCACCGCCCTTAATCCATTTAACCCTGAGTGGACACAGCACATGTTTCAGAGAGCACCGGGTTGGGGGTAAGGTTATAGATTAACAGCATCCCTAGGCAGAAGAATTTTTCTTAGTACAGAACAAAATGGAGTCTCCCATGTCTACTTCTTTCTACACAGACACAGTAACAATCTGATCTCTCTTTCTTTTCCCCACATTTCCCCCTTTTCTATTCGACAAAACTGTCATCGTCATCATGGCCCGTTCTCAATGAGCTGTTGGGTACACCTCCCAGACGGGGTGGCGGCCGGGCAGAGGGGCTCCTCACTTCCCAGACGGGGCGGCCTGGCAGAGGCGCCCCCCACCTCCCTCCCGGACAGGGCGGCTGGTGGGCGGAGGGGCTCCTCACTTCCCAGACGGGGCGGCCGGGCAGAGACGCTCCTCACCTCCCAGATGGGGTGGCGGTGGGGCAGAGACACTCCTCAGTTCCCAGACGGGGTCGCGGCCGGGCAGAGGCGCTCCTCACATCCCAGAGGGGGCGGCAGGGCAGAGGCGCTTCCCACATCTCAGACGATGGGCGGCCAGGCAGAGACGCTCCTCACTTCCCAGACGGGGTGGCGGCCGGGCAGAGGCTGCAGTCTCGGCACTTTGGGAGGCCAAGGCAGGCGGCTGGGAAGTGGAGGTTGTAGCGAGCCGAGATCACGCCACTGCACTGCAGCAGGGGCAACATTGAGCACCGAGTGAGCGAGACTCCGTCTGCAATCCTGGCACCTCGGGAGGCCGAGGCAGGCAGATCACTCGCGGTCAGGAGCTGGAGACCAGCCCGGCCAACACGGCGAAACCCCGTCTCCACCAAAAAATGCAAAAACCAGTCAGGTGTGGCGGCGCGCGCCTGCAATCCCAGGCACTCTGCAGGCTGAGGCAGGAGAATCAGGCAGGGAGGTTGCAGTGAGCCGAGATGGCGGCAGTACAGTCCAGCCTCCGCTTTCACAACTTTGGTGGCATCAGAGGAAGACCGGGGACAGGGAGAGGGAGACGAGGGAGAGGGAGAGGGAGAGGGAGATGGGAGAGGGAGAGGGAGACGGGGGAGGGAGAGGGAGACGGGGGAGGGAGAGGGAGACGGGGGAGGGAGAGGGAGACGGGGGAGGGAGAGGGAGACGGGGGAGGGAGAGGGAGAGGGAGACGAGGCAGAGGGAGACGAGGGAGATCCTAAAAAAGAATTCTTCTAAGGAGCCCTTTTAGACATTTTCCCCTCCTAATTGTCCTTCTCCTCCCCACTATGTATAAAACTTTAATACCACAAATATACTGTCTATCTGTTTATGTTTATACATAAAGCTGTTTATAGGACCTCTTGGAGGATGACAAACCATTGTAATATCTAGGACTTTTTCACACCCTACCGGGAGCCCATTCTCTCCTCCTTGGAGTCACATCGCTCCCATTGACCACTCACGGTATAGGATGACTGTGCTAGTTTCCTAGGCTTATTGTAACCAATTACACCACAAACTTGGTGGCTTAAAACAACAGAAACTTATTCTCTCATAGTTCTGGAGTCCAGAAGGTCAAAATTAAGGTGTCTGCAGGGCTGTGCTACCTCCGGAGGCCCTAAAAGGGAACCCTTCCTGACCTCTTCCGGCTCCTAGTGGCTCCTGGCATGGCTTGTGGCAGCTGAACTCTGATCTCTGCCTCCATCTTCACAAAGCATTTTCCTCTGCTCTGTGTCTTCTCCTTTTCTGTGTGTCAAATCTCCCTCCACCTTTCCCATATAAGGACACCTGTTGGCCGGGCATGGTGGCTCACACCTGTAATCCCAGCATTTTGGGAGGCCGAGGCGGGTGGATCACGAGGTCAGGAGTTCAAGACCAGCCTGGCCAAGATGGTGAAACCCTGTCTCTACAAAAAATACAAAAATTAGACTGGCGTGGTGGCAGGTGCTTGTAATCCCAGCTACTCCAGAGGCTGAGGCAGAGAATTGCTTGAACCCAGGAGGTGGAGGTTGCAGTGAGCCGAGATCGCACCACCGCACTCCAGCCTGGGCGACAGAGTGAGACTCCCTCTCAAAATAAATAAATAAATAAATAAATAAATAAATAAATAATAAAATTTAAAAAATAAGGACACCTGTCACTGGATTTTGGGCCCACACTGATAATCTAGAATATCTCAGCTGGTGATCTTTAACTTTTTCCAAATAAGGCTACACACACAGGTGCCAGTGCCTAAGACATCTCTTTATGGAAGCCATCATTTAGTCACGATGATGACGAAAATATTTCTAGAGGCAGGGGGTGCATCACTTGCCTACAGAGGAACGTCACATTCATTCTTCAGCGACATCAGCCAGAAAGCTGTGTACACGTCACAACTCACACTGCTGGCCTAGTGTACTTTTTAACATTTTGTGATGTTTCTAGTAGTTACAGTGATTTTATTCCAGGAAATCTGGGGAGCACCTGTCCCTCAGATTTTGCCTACCCCAGAAAAGACGTCTGAAAAACTTCGAAAAACCCAGAAAGTTTTATCGCCTAAACTTTGCCTCAGATGTAGCCCTTTTGTGCCCTCTAGTGGAAATTACGGTAACTGCAGTCATACTTTTCCGAGGAACCGGTAGTCGCAGATTTAAAAAGATTAGTGAGACATAAGTTGCGTTTCAACCCAAAAAAGGAGCTTGGACCGTCTATACTATGATCCAATCCAATGTACTGTGCATCTTTGAGAGAAGCAATGCTAAACAGAGCAAAAGGAAACTGCCTGAGTTGTGAATTCGGTTCTTCTCTGCCCTGCACTTCCTTTTTACAGAAACAAAAGAAGTGGAGGCTGCTTGGGGGAGGAAGACAGAATGATGACAGCTGTGTATCTCCTCCAGCCATAAAATCCTAAGAAGGGGGTGCAGCGCTTTCCTTAAAGAGATATTAAAACGTCTTGGTTTTCAGTTTTTAATCGTACTTTGGCCAGAGTATCACTACTTGGTAACACTTTCATTTATTTATTATTATTTTTTTTTTGAGACAGAGTCTCGCTCTCTCACCCAGGCTGGAGTGCAGTGGCGCGATCTTGTTTCACCACAACCTCCGCCTCCTGCAAGCAGTTCTCTGCCTCAGCCTCCCGAGTAGCTGGGATTACAGGTGCACGCCATTACACCCGGCTATTTATTTTTATTTTTATTTTTATTTTTATTTTTAGTAGAGATGGGGTTTCACCATGTTGGCCAGGCTGGTCTTGAACTCTTGACCTCATGATTCACCCGCCTTGGCCTCCCAAAGTGTTGGGATTACAGGCATGAGCCACCTTGCCCAGCCGGTAACACTTTTAAGAAAATCTAAGCAAATCCTCCAACTATATTTCTTGCAATTTCTCATCATTATGATCTCATGACAGTGTCAACCTACTGGAGGAAGAAAGACATGCGTGGAAAGGCCATGCCCCGTGTAAGAATATTCACGCCCAACAGCATCTCCAGGTAGCATTCGTGGAAGAGTTAGCCCCCAGCTCCGTCACAGTGCCCCTCCTTCCTGGCACAAGGCCTTCGCCTTAATAAGCATTCAGGCGGTGTTGAGTGGAATTGCCACACTGTATCAAGGAGGGCGGGGGCTGCCTTGGTTTCTTTTCAGCGGTGGCTTAAGTACTCAGTGTTTCCTGCTTTTTGGTTGGCAAAGGGCTTTGTCACTTCAGTGGATTGCCTTCAATGTAGAGCCCTCCTGACCCAATTTCTGGAGCACCGCCACCCCACTGCGGGGTAGAAGTTGTCATCCCTGGGTCCCCCATGGGCCATGAAAGCACCTGCCAGACATACTCACTTTCTTTTCCCTCCTTGAAGCTGTTTTTCTAGGAGGGATTTCTCCTGCTTTCTTGGGAACAGGGAGAATTGATTGGGTAACTAGTTCAGAGAAATCTTACATGAAGTAGCTAGTTAAGTACACAGTGCCACATAAGTCGTTCAAGTACATTTGTATTTAGGCAGGTTTTCACAAGAGATGACTCTGGGTCTTCACTATCTTTCAGAATGTTATTTCTACTGGAAAGTCCATCTGCTCATTCAAATTCAAATATATATATATATATATATATATATATATAGCCAGCCGTGGTGGCTCATGCCTGTAATCCCAGCACTTTGGGAGGCCAAGGTGGGCGGATCACCTGAGGTCAGGAGTTTGAGACCAGCCTGGCCAACATGGAGAAACCCCGTCTCTACTAAAAATACAAAAATTAGCTGGGCATGGTGGTGGGTGCCTGTAATCCCAGTCACTCAAGAGGCTGAGGTAGGAGAATCGCTTGAACCTGGGAGGTGGAGGTTGCAGTGAGCTGAGATCCCACTGCTGCACTCCAGCCTGGGTGACAGAGTGAGACTCCATTTTATATAAATATAAATAAATAAATAAACAAACAAATATATATATAGATGGAGTCTCCCTCCGTGGCCGTCGCCCAGGCTGGAGTGCAGCGGCATCATCTTGGCTCACTGCAACCTCCGCATCCCGGCTTCAAGCGATTCTCATGCCTCAGTCTCCCTAGTGGCTGGGATTACAGGTATGCACCATCATGTCTGGCTAATTTGTAATTCAACTATTAATCAGTCCTAAGTGTTGGACATTGTGCCAAGCTCTGGGCACACACCACACTGGTGGGTGAGATGGACTGGTGCCTGTCCTTTTGAGATTTAACAATAGGGATATGAAGATTAATTAAATACCATAATCAATAAGTGCTATAAAGGGAAAACACGGGGGATGTATAACAGATGGTCTTGATTTAATGGGGGGGCAGTCAGGCAAGTCTGAGCAGAGACTTGGAGGAGAGTGAGCTTGGGCAGAGGGCAGAGGGAGGGAAAAAAGGCACAGCATAGTGTTGAGGCCCCAGCAGTGAGGAGAATTGAAATAGGTATGATGAATACTGCTCACGCACACACTCCCCCGTTAGTTCCATTAATCTCCATTAGCTCAGCTATTTCAGGTAAATGGATGTGGGAGGTCTCATTCTAAATTTGTAGACAAACTGAGTTGGTAGCAGTTAAATGAGAAGCTCTTACAAATTCCAACCAGGGAAGTAGCGTTAGTCTTGCCAAGCGCCTGAAGGCCACTGTTTAGGGAGTCCTTGAAGGTAGTGCTGATACCCGATTCACTGTGTCACCCTGTATTACACTTGATAGCAATTGATAGCATAAGTTATACACAGAGATGTGATCTAGAAGCAAGTCAAACGCTGATGTTTTCCGTAACTATTTACTAACTATAAAGTTTGCTGATACCATGGAGAAGAATGAATTTGTGATTGTGGCAGCCTCATCTGAAGAGGGCCACCATCCACTCCTTCCCTCCTTGGATGCCCAAGTCACTCCTCCACTGGGAGGTGGATCCTGTTTCTCCAACCAGCAACCCTTGAATCTGGGCTGGCCCAAGTGACCTGTGGACCAATAGGATGCAGTGGAATGATGGTTGAGTGTTTTTGTTGTTGTTGTTGTTGTTGTTGTTGTTGTTGTTTTTTGAGATAGAGTCTTGCTCTGTTGCCCAGGCTGGAGTGCAGTGGTGCAAGCTGGGCTCACTGCAAGCTCTGCCTCCTGGGTTCATGCCATTCTCCTGCCTCATCCTCCCGAGTAGCTGGGACTACAGGTGTCCACCACCACGCCTGGCTAATTTTTTGTATTTTTAGTTGAGGTGGGGTTTCACCATGTTAGCCTGGATGGTCTCGATCTCCTGACCTCATGATCTGCCTGCCTCGGCCTCCCAAAGTGCTGGGATTACAGGCATGACCCACCACACCTGGCCAATGGTTGAGATTTCTAAGTCTAGTCCTAAGAAGCCCCTGAGCACCATCTTGGCTCTTGGAGTGCTCACTCTGAGGCAGTTTTGTCTGCCCCGAGATCCCCACACGTGGAGAGGGTGATGCTGGCCAGCCCAGCCTGGGCACCAGGCATGTGTGTGAAGGAGCCATGTTGGATGTTCAGCTCCAGGTGTATGTCAAACGAAAAAAGGCTGCGGTCCCAGCCACATGGCTCCTCAAACCAGTCAAGCCATCTCACCTCACACTAGACATGGTGGAGCAGAGACAAGCCAATCCCGATGTGCTCTAGCTGTTTTTTTATGTCTTTACAACTGTAAAGCAGCAGATGTCTGCAAACACTGCTTTAGCAGCACATGCTAAGCATAGAACAGCACTTGTGAGCATGGACTAGGATGACGCACACTTGGGAGAAACGTTGCTCATTTTGTTGTTACTCTTTCCTGTTCCTTCATGGGCACTGCGTTTATAACTCCACTGTAAACCTTACCAAGCTGTATTAAGGGGACAGCATAACATAACAGTTTACAACTTGGGTGCTTTTAGCCAAGACAATTTTTTTTAAATTTTGAGACAGAGTCTCACTCTGTCCCCCAGGCTGGGGTGCAGTGGCATAATCTCGGCTCACTGAAACCTCCGTCTTCCAGGTTCAAGCAATTCTCCTGCCTCAGCCTCCCGAGTATCTGGGATTACAGGCATGCACCACCACACCCAACTAATTTTTGTATTATTAATAGAGACGGGGTTTCACCATGTTGGCCAGGCTGGTCTCAAACTCCTGACCTCAGGTGATCCACCTGCCTTGGCCTCCCAAAGTGCTGGGATTACAGGTGTGAGTCGCCATGCCCTGCCCAGTTCTTTATTTGAATTCGAGTTTTATGACTAACACTAGCTGAGTGACCTTGAGCAAGTTGCTTAGCTTGTCCAAGCCTGTTGCCTCATCTGTTAAATGAGAATGACATGACTAGTACTGACATCCTGGAGTACTGAAGATTAAATTCAATAATGGATGTAAAACACTTAGCATCTGTCACATATTGTGTTCAGTCAATGGTGAAGATGACCCGCAGAGGAAAACAGCCTCTTTCATTTCAGTCTTTCATTCATACTCATCTTTAAATTCATTTTACACTTCAGGGTCTGGAAGATAGTAGGTGATTAATAAAGGCTGTTGAATGAATGCCCACATGAAACCTTATGTTATAAACTTTATTTTAAATTTTGAGACAGGGTCTCACTCTGTCACCCAGTTTGGAATGCAGTAGTATGATCTTGGCTCACTGCAATTTCCACCTCCCAGGCCCAAGTGATCTTCCCACCCCAGCCTCCCAACCTTCCAGGTAGCTGAGACCACAGGCGTACGCCACCATGCCCAGCTAATTTTTTTTTTTTTTTTTTTTTTTTTTTTTGTAGAGACGGGGTTTCACCATGTTGCCTAGGCTGGTCTCAAACTCCTGACCTCAAGCGATCTGCCTGCCTCGGCCTCCCAATGTGTTGGGATTACAGGCATGAGCCACTGCGCCCGACCCCTTATGTATAAACTTTAATATTGACCTCTTTAACATAAACTTTACTTATAAATTGTTTGGAGTCAACCATTTTAGGACAGTGGAATGTTGTCATTTCCACCAGGAAGCCTTGTAAAGGGTCTGGTGTCAGTGGAATAAAAAGTCAATTTGGTTTCTTTTGGCACTTAAGACCTCCCACAGCTGGACAGGACCTTAAGGACCATCCCCAGTACCCAGTCTCTTGATGCCTATGAGAACCCTGTACAGCGAATGACTTGTCTGGGGTCACCCAACCACTGTGAAGACTCGACTGCAGTCCAGAACTTTCTCGCTATGGCGTCCTTCCCGTTTTCCTTCGCATAGGGCCATTCAGTGGGGCTAGGACTGACTATCACTAATCTGTTTGGGAGGGGATTGGGCAACTCAGAAGAACTCATGCGAGGATCAAACGGTTGGTTGTGTCTGGATCTTTTTTTTTTTTTTTTGAGACGGAGTCTTGCTGTGTTACCCAGGCTGGAGTGCAGTGGCACGATCTCAGCTCACTGCAACCTCCACCTCCTGGGTTCAAGCCATTCTCCTGCCTCAGCCTCCGAAGTAGCTCAGATTACAGGCGCGCACCACCATGCCCAGCTAATTTTTGTATTTTTAGTAGAGAAGGGGTTTCACCATGTTGGCGAGGCTAGTCTCGAACTCCTGACCTCGTGATCCGCCCGCCTCGGCCTCCCAAACTGCTGGGATTACAGGCGTGAGCCACTGCACCCAGCCATGGACCTTTCCCTTATGCATCTGTCTGATTTGTCATAATGGCCTGCCCTGAAATGGTGACTCACAATTACAAAGCCCCTTTAAGTAGTGGCAATAGGTCAGATGACATGGAGTTTCATTTCTCTGTAAATTGGGGTTTCATCTCTGTTCATGGGTTTCTCCTCTATTTAACTGCTCGAAGGCACAAATGTGCTCTCTTAACTTAATGTACTGTGTTGAGACTCAATAGATTCTTTGGTTTAGCTAATGTGAGAACACAAAACATCAGTCTAGTTATGAGGCTTTAATTACTTTTAAGTCTCAAATGAGTGATGAAATACAGATACCAATTACACAAACTTAAGGCTTCAATTACTTTTTCCTCCTTTTGAAATAAAGGCAGTTCTTTACAGGCCCAGTGTGGGTGCTTTCACCTACAGCACATACTTCAGCTACGGTCCAAAGAAGGCTAAAGGGAAAATACCGTGCTCTTCTCAGCTCTCGCGGTCCTGGAAGTAAATTTCCATGCACTGAAAGAAGTAAGATGGGCTGGGTACAGTGGCTCACACCTGTAATCCCAGCACTTTGGGAGGTTGAGGTGGGAGGATCGCTTGAGACCAGGAGTTTGAGACCAGCCTGGGAAACATAGGGAGACCCTGTTTCTACAAAAAATAAAAAAATAGCTGTCCGTGGTGGCACACACTAGTACTCCCAGCTATGCAGGAGGCTGGGGTGGGAGAATTTCTTGAGCCCAGGAGTTTTGAGGCTGCAGTGGGCTCTAACTAAGCCACTGCACTCAGCCTGGACAACAGAGTGAGACCCTGTCTCAAAAAAAAAAAAAAAAAATTTAAGATGTTAACCACAGAACATTGTCCAAATGATAGGTCAAAGAAAATACATGTACAGGTTAGAACAATTCAAGTAAATTCTTCATTAGTACTTAAGGGAAACAAAATCAGCTGGAAGGCTCCCCAACCCCTCACTACCATGCACTCACACACGCACGCACAGCCAGCGTTAGTCTCTACTCATTTCAGATTGCATTTAGAACAAAAAAAGTTCAATTAATCAAATTTTCCTAAGAAAAGCATCTACGAGCATGGCCACAGATGAAGGGTGAGGAAATGCAGGTGTGCAAACTCTGAAACCCACAGCTGGGCTTTCACATCCTGAAATAAATCTGTTTCCAAGAACAGAGATTTCTGTTGCCCACGTTTGAATCTTGAATCGTGTAAAACTCAATGACATATTCATTTTCGAAGTTAGAATCCTTACTTGGGATACCTGAATCTCTTATCTCCCAAGACTTATGAGACATTCTTTCCAAGTCCGAGAGGTGAATTAACGAGGTTATACTGGGCGGTAGAGAGGAGGCAGTGGGAAACCGGATTGAGCAGCAACAAATTATTTATATGAACATTCCAAATTCAGTTAACTAACCACATTCCACTCAACTTACATGAGAAAAAATTGTGTGGTTTTTAGAAATGGGATTTAATATACAATTCAGCATTAACATTGTTATGTTTAAAAGAAATTAACCCAGATAAAAAGAATTTGGCCTCTAGGGAAAATCAGAGTTCTACTCAAAATATAATACTACCAATAAACTACTAGCATAGTGAATTTTCAGGATCTAATTAAAAGCTTGTTCAATTTGATGGCGAAGTAGTGACGTAAGTGACATGAGAAGGAACGTACAAAGCCCATTACACAGCAGTACCTCCTTTTGAACTGATTAACGCTCACTTTTTCTTATTCGTAAAAAAATACCCAAAAAGTAAAAACTTTCCTTTTTATTTTTCGTAGTTTCTACTACAGAAATTCTGATTTTTTTTACTTGCATCTAATTTGTGTATCTGCTGTAACTTAATCTAAGCATACTTCCAAGCTGGTATAACCAACCTAAACTAGCATCATAAAGGAAGTTAGGAAAGAGGCTGTAGCTCATCAAGTTGCAGCCAATGAAGATGGAGGACATTCTAATGACTTGCCAGAAAGAGGCTAAGTGGTGAACAGGCAGGCATTGCCCCAGGTTGGATGGTCACCTGCTGGTGTTAAGGCTCTGACATCCGACTTCCCCCACAACTTTTAGGTCAGTCAAGGTCATCTGGGGTCACTGACTGTGCTCCCACAAGTACAATTTGAGATCTTGAGATCTGACATCTCAGTTGCCACAGTTTGCATCATGTAGGCTTTTTATCCAAGATCCAATGCTTCTGAGCTGGAACATTTTACCTCAGTTACCTCTTTGAGTTGCCTGCTGGGAAGCTGGGGGCCAAATTTGTAGCCCACTTCCAATTGCACTTTGTGTACATGTTCACTCTTGATTTAATATTTTTTCATTTCTCCTTTACTCAGAGCATATTTAGTCTAAATGTTACTGTGTGGTACGTGTCTCTGCAAGTCCTCTTAAAAAATTCCTGGGACAAGGCAATGCATAAACAAACTTTAGATAAATAATATTATAATCAGGCTAAAGTGAATCACGCTTACTACATATCAAGGCTGCTTCAAGACAAAGATATCAGAGATTTAAAAGATAACATTTCTTAGCAAATTCATGTTCTCCCTAGGGCAATATTGGACTTGTAAAAATCTGAATTTCAGGAGTTTAAAATGAAAGATAAATTCAAATTGCCACAAGTGAATGTTTTCAGAAGCTTCTGAATTTCCAAAAAACATTAAAAAATTGAATCATTCAGCTTAAAAAAAGTCTGTCTGGAAAGGTGCTTGGTTGTGGTATATTACAGCATACAGGATAACCAGAGGTGGAATCTTTATTTCACAAGTTTCAAGATACAGTACAAAACGATTCTGTACATCTCTCTATTAACAGGATTTGTTTACACAATTATATTACACTTCACCAACCTTTATACTGCATTTCATTAAATACAAAATACATTTACAAAAAGAGTCTACCATGGTGTTCCTTCACAATGCCAGCTTAAGGTCTTTTAAAACTTCCTCTTCTACATATTTATAGTGGTTACATCTTGATTATATCAACATTATGAGTTTTATGAGTTTATTTTCTAATCAAAGAGAATAGTGTCAGCCTGTTTCTCAAACCAAATAGGAAAAACAGCATGTGAGATGATTCCCTGCACATAACCAAGGAATCCTTTTCATGCACACAACATTGGACTTTTACTTGTGCAGTCACTTTAACATACAAATCATCTTTCCTTGGGATCGTTTTAAATTTTCTTGAAATACCAAGTGGGTGGAGAGCTTCTTTTCAATGAATACCACACATTTAAAATCCAGATCGTGCCTCAGGCATTCAGGAGTGTTATATTTTAATTTATATTTGAGAGTGATGACTGATGAAAAATATTTGCATGAAAATAGAAATTTTCTTTTGTTCTGATCATTTCTTACATACTTCTAGTCATAATAATGTGTAATACATATATATATTATGAGATTCACTTTCAAAACAAATATCAGCTGTCACTGAAATATAGCCCTGCTTGTCTTGGCAGGTAAAGGGGCTGTTTTCATGACACATCTTGTTTTGAAATGTGCATGTGAAATGTTAGTCCGAACCTCTGTAAAGGAAGTTTTTGCGTATGTAGTTAGACATTAATACACATGCTATACACATAAAGAATTGTGTTTTTCATTTATAGGCCTGCATGCATACTTCCAAAACACTGGTTTGAAGAATGAACATGAGGATAAAAGAAGGGAGAGAAAGACAAAGCAAAATAAAAAAAAATTCCTATATATATATTAATAAAATACTTAAGTTTCCTGGAGGCATCAACGGCTCTTTAAATAAATCATCAGATCATCACCAGATCACTGGCAGGGGTTTCCAAAACTTCCCAACAGTACAGAGACAGAATGGCTTAGTGGTAAGACTCTCACATGTAAGGTAAAAATTAACCTAATATGCAAAAAAGTAACAAATCCTTAGTATCAAGATTAATAATTTATAAATTCATCTGAGTTAAGTGCTAAACAATACATTTTGAAAAGAAGTCATCTTTGATTTACTTTTTCTTTGCCATTGACTGCTAATCAAAAATAAGCCTTACCTAGAAAACAGAAACTGAAACTTCAAACACAGAGACAGAAAAAAAAAAAAAAACCCACCAATGCTACCTCTGTAAAATAAAACTAGAAGCAAAATGAATAGTTTCAAGACAGTCGGCTAACCAACAAACCAAATGCACAAGAGAATACTAAACAGGGTTTTACTGTCATCAAGTTCGAAGGCAGGAAGACAGACTAGAAAAGGTCTTAGGAGAGATGGGCTACCATGGACAAATGAAGCCACACTCTATCTGTTAAATCTAAATTCTAACATTAAAACTCCTGAATCCTGGAGTTAGTTTAATGTCACTGACATTAACTAGCTTTAGTTATTGTCATTTTATTCAAATGGATGCCATTTGATTAGGTAAGTATTGAGCATTATTTTAGGAGAAAAACCAAACCCAACTCCTATTTGCTTAGGTACCATGTCCCATGAACAAAAAAGAAGAAGAGAGCAAAGTATTTTTGAGACAGTCTTTAAGTGAAGCCATAAGAACTAAGTTATTTGAAAGACACCATTCACAAACTGCTGGCAGCAAGTGACCCAGGGTAAAATGAAGTAGAAACAAGCCAAGAAAAGGAAATTCAGAACATTAACAATAGAAAAAGGCAAGTGGTAAACTAATAAGAAGTGTGTTTTTATATGAACAACAAGACTGCACTTTCCCATCCAGCCTTAGGTGGCACACACTGTTTTAAGAAATGTTTTCTCAAAGCACGTACTCAATGGAGGGAAGGAAAGTTAGATATAAAAATCTTGCTAAAGGAAAAATGAGGGTGGATGGCAGAAGAAAAAAGTGAAAGTTGGTAGTCATCTTGGGTGGTTTTTCAACTTTTAAATAAATTATAACAGTTCCTTCTAAAGGAAGTGTGGCTGCTACCGTGGATTACACTTATTTTGAAGCGGGGAGAAGGGACAGTGGTGGAGACACCAAAGTACTGTACCAACTGCACTCAAATCTCTACATGTAAGAGACCAAACAAGTCTCACTATTTACAAGAGTTGCCTAAAGCAACATTACACTTAGGGGGGGTAAGTTTCCTACCTTTCACAGATACGCTTTCATACATATGGCTCTCTTGGTGACTAACTCTTCGAATTTGGAAGCAATTATCTGGGAGGAAAGTTTTGCTTACCAGGTTTCCCATAATTCTCTAAACACAAAAAGGTATACAACTTCATATATAAAAGCCTTCATGTTCATTATAGACTAGTTAAATCTAGTTCTAACTACTACCCCAACTTCAAAAATCAAAGCAGTACAACTCTACAAGCAATAAACTTTTCAAGTTTTCTGGCAGATGAGGGATTCTGGGAAAAAAGCATGAAGGTTAGTATAAACATACTGACATCAGTAGGCATAGAAAACCTGCTCAGATACGAATGCAGTCTCAGACAAGATACAGGCTGGTGAACACCACCATCTGACAATAAAATGAAATACAAATTCAGTTTAAGCTTTAATTATTTCACGTGTGTAATTATGTGAAACTCTTCAGTTTTTTTCCCATACTATTTAACCAGACAATCCTGAAGCATAGTAGCCTTGATTTTCCTAATGTTAACAGTGAGAAAATGGTGACTATGATAGCTAAGCAGTGGCTGGCTTTCTATTATAATATAAAACTATCAGAAATAAAAAGATACCTGAATAGTATAGAACAGTACAAACAGGTTTTGGCTTTCATCAACCACTGAGTTTAATCCATCTTTGATTCTCTGAGTTTTAGTATTATAATAGTAGTCACTGTAAGCCATACCCTGGCAATGATATTTCATATTTAAAGAATTCAGGAAGGTGATGTGTTCTTTGTGCAAAAAGAAATGCAAAGTAAAATAAATCCTGGGAACAAATGCTTCAACTTTAGGAAAAGTATGTCTGTGTCTGTGATCGTAGTACCCCAACCAGAGTTCGTTTTGTTTTCTAATTTCTCCCACTTAGTCCATCCTCTGGCTTCTGGATCAAGGCTCTGTATATTCAAAACAAACAAGCAAATTACAGAGTAGGTGGGGCAAACTCGCGTTAGTGCAAGGAGTCAGTTCACAAGGTTTTGCATAAGTATATTCCATTCCAAAGAAGTAAAGCTCACAAAAAACTCCTTAACAAGGCCTTTCATTCTTTGAAGGAGAGGAGTATGGTATACCGTGTGACAATCACCAATAAGAAACCTCCCAACCCTCCCTTTTAAAATAACAAATATGCTGAATATGTCTAATTGCATGTGGACTGGTAAGAGTTTCTCAGTTATCGCAGTTCCAAAACATTTTCAAGATAGCTTTTTTTTTTTTTAACTTAAAAGGCAAGTTCTATTTTCAGACTTTCGAACACGTTTAAACTTGCAACTGGGTTTTCCTTTTTACACTGATCAGTTTTTAGTGTCGATGCACAATACCTTAAAGATGGTTGACATTAAGAACTTATGCACACTGAAATAATGACCAAAAGGATCCAAGAAAGATAGCTGGATACAGTAGACATTACTCTGAGTGTCTCACATATGTTTCCAGAAAAGAAAAAAAAAAGCCACTGAAAGTTGTTATTCCATATGGCACTGAAACAAACATTCAGCTCAGTTTAGGTAAGAGTTACTTATCCCTGAAAATAAAGGCATCAGATTCTAAGCAGCTTTAGGAATTCAATGCTTCCTTGTGCCGTGCCTCTTCTGGGAGGTGACCACTGATCCAAGGTCCTAAATCAAATGCAAGTGTTCCCAGCAGATAACTTCCTTCGCTGTCACTGATCAAGGCTGGACCCAGTGCCTATTACTGTGGTGGCTGCTGCTCTGGTGGCCCCTCCTGCTGGGGTGGAGCTGGCCGTGGCCCTGGAGGCCTGGGTGCAGGCATGTCTTGGTGCTGCCTTTGCCTGTAAGCTATGACTGTTCCCAACAGCAGCGCAATGATGGTCATGAGGTAAAGGTCCCACTCAGGTCCCAAAAGCTGGTCCATATCAAGTTGGGTGAACATATCTCGAATCTTAATGAAAATAATATAGAAACCATTATTATCACTAAAATGTCAGGCAAGGAACTGGGAAAGTTACATCACCAGAAGTAAGTACAGAAATTAAAATAATTTGTTTTAAAAACGTTTTGCAATGTGTGTGTGTGTGTGTGTGTGTGTGTGTGTGTTTAAAGCGGTTTTAAAAGCCTTCAACTGAAGCTCAAAATAATGTGTCTGAGGAATTAAGCTACTAATTTATAATAGCTGACACTTAATATAAAATGTCTGACAGTGTTCTTTCCACCAGTAATCCAATACGCTAATTTTAATCATTTTTCACAGAAAATATTTGGAAAACAAAACAAAACAAAACAACACTGGGGCCAGGCGCGGGGGCTCAGGCCTTGTAATCCCAGCACTTTGGGAGGCCGAGGTGAGTGTATCACTTGAGGCCAGGAGTTCAAGACCAGCCTGGCCAACACGGTGAAATCCCATCTCTACTAAAAATACAAAAATTAACCAGGCATGGTGGCGGGTGCATGTAATCCCAGCTATTCTGGAGGCTGAGGCACAAGAATTGCCTGAACCCAGGAGGTGGAGGTTGCGGTGAGCCGAGACTGTGCCACTGCACTCCAGCCTGGGCGACAGAGCAAGACTCTGTCTCAGGAAAGAAAAAAGAAAAAAACAGTGGTGAGCCAAGGGGAGAAATTAGTATCTTGGCACAGCGAACCTACTGGCAGTGACAGCACACCAGCTGGAAAGCTCTGTTCCATGACAGTGGGGCCATTTCACAATTCCCATGTAATTGAAAATAGCAGGAATTCAAACATTTAATAGCTGAATGAATAATGCTTCTCAATTAGGATTTAACTAAAACACAAAATATTTAACATCTGAATTGAAACCTGAAAGTTATGTTCTTAGCCTATAATATTTTAATTGTTTTAGTATCACTGATACTTTCTG
The DNA here is from genome assembly GCF_000001405.40 of Homo sapiens. Taxonomy (NCBI): domain Eukaryota; kingdom Metazoa; phylum Chordata; class Mammalia; order Primates; family Hominidae; genus Homo; species Homo sapiens. The sequence goes on from NC_000014.9 coordinate 81,478,115, forward strand.
ACTTTTATTATACTTACCCATTAAGAAAGTAAACATGGGGTATAATTTTATATAAAATTACATTTGAAAGATCTCTATAACACGTTTGTAGGTACAGGTGCTAAATTTTTCTGGAAAAAAAATGACAAGAAACCACTAATTGTGTTCTCTGGGGAAGAATCTGGGATGGGAGATTTGTGTTCTTCTGTACTGTTTGACTTTCTTATGATCGATACTTATTAGTCTTATACTCTCTTTTTCTTTTTAGTTGGAATAACTAGGTGGTAGGATTATGGGGCGTTTTTACTGTCTTCTTTATACTTCTGTATTAAAAAAAACAGCAAAGATACAATATACCCAGTACAGCATATTATAAGATGAAGTCCTAGACTATAACCAACAGTTAGTAATAAAAATTGTGAGAGATAAAGGTCTGAAATGGTACTGAAAGAGAAAGAGGAGGCTGCCACACGATCAGCTTTTAATTAAAGGAACAAAGATTGTTTCAATTGGCAGCGGTTACAGCACACCTGACTCATGCTACCATGCAATTATAGCAACTGACATTACACATGTGGAAGCGACTGGGAGGCCAGAGTCCCACAAGACCAGTGCTCTGGAACCCTATCTGTGGAGGACTTCAGCTGCATGGACTAGACAAGTCCATTTCTTTTCACTGATGCTGGAGCAGCATGGACTACATTTATACCTGTGACACACATGAGGGAAAGCCCATTCTTGAATCTAAAACTGAAAGACATTAACAAAAGGGTGAAACATCATCCTTTTCTGGTCCTGAAGAAACTTTCCTTGTCCTGAATAAGCCTATGTTAGAAACAAGGGCTCTGAACATCTTAGGGCTTTCAGAGTGAAATGCTCTACCAGTTAATCCATTCTAGGAACTATAGTACTGGAAACAAAATATAAAGCTGGCAGAACCCAAGAGTACCTACATACCAGTATTGCCAACTAAAGTTGGTAATTTTGAAGAAAATGGGTAACCCACTTCCTATATAGGTTCTTCCATTAGCCTATTTAAATAATTCACGCTATTTTTAGAGAAGAAAATTTGGGTGGTGTTTTCAACTTAATGCTTCACTATCGGAAGAATCTGAAGTACAACAACCTGGGGAGGTTCTCAGATTCTTCTTTTTTTTTTCCTTTTCTTTTTAAGGGACTGGTTTGAGTCATCTGATTTAATGTTTACTGAATTAAATACTGTTTCAAACTGCCATGAGTTAGTCTCAGTTTTCCCTAAACCAGAAAACATCTGCCTCCATGAAAAATGCTTTAGCGTCAGGAAGTGTCAAACGCTACCTAAAAACTGCAGTAGCTGCTTTATGCCTGCATTTATCCCTCCCCTGATAAGGTCCTCGGGTACCTGAGCTGAGGAGAAGGGAACACACCCGATACCTGCAGGACCACTCTTCCCTGTGCTTCTCAACTTTTGAAAAACAAACCTCCAGGACAGACCTTCCATCATTTATATTTTAATGAAAAGAGGTACGGACCACTTACGTTTGTTTCCCGTATGTACTGCAAGAAATAGACGACGCCCAATTTGCAGAGGGCTAGGAAGACTGGAACTTGTGCATCTGGGCTGGCTTCAGCTGCCATGTCATAAAAACGTTTCGCAAGGTGAATATCCTATAATACAGGTAAGAAACAAAAATGCATTTCTTGTCAAAATAAGTAAAAATATTTAGTGAACATATTAGACGAATTTATTTTACCTTTGAGGTTTTCATTTTAAAATGAGTTTCCCTCACCTAAACAAAAATGCCAAGCTTTACTTGGGTAAAATTCGTTTAATTATCTAACTGCTTAATATTGAAAAACTTAATTAAAAAACTCATTTTCCCCCAACATAACATCTAATTTGCTGTGTAGATATGCTGCATACAGCCATATATCTATGCATTAACACTGTTAACCTAGAGATTTCCAAGGGCGACTTCTGAAACTCACACTAATTTTTTGCTACTTAAAACTTCAATCAGTATTAGCAACGTCTGGTTTCAGTTCTGGACAGTGATCTTCAAAGTGGGGTAGAAACACTCAAGATTTTACAACAGATGACAGGCACGGTGGCTCATTCTTTTTTATTTTTTTTTTGAGACAGAGTCTTGCTGTCACCCAGGCTGGAGTGCAGTGGCGCGATCTCGGCTCACTGCAGGCTCCGCCCCCCAGGGTTCACGCCATTCTCCTGCCTCAGCTTCCCGAGTAGCTGGGACTACAGGTGCCTGCCACCTCGCCCGGCTAATTTTTTGTATTTTTAGTAGAGACGGGGTTTCACCGTGTTCGCCAGGATGGTCTCGATCTCCTGACCTCGTAATCCGCCCGCCTCAGCCTCCCAAAGTGGGCTCATTCTTATAATCCCAACACTTTGGGAGAGCGAGGCAGGAGGATCACTTGAGGCCAGGAGTTCAAGACCAACCTGGGCAACATAAACTGTCTCTACAAAAAATAAGCCAAATTAGCTGGGTGTGGTGGCGCCTGCCTGTAGTCCCAGCTACTTGGGAGGCTGAGTGGGAGGACTGCTTGAACCCAGGAGGCAGAGGTTGCAGTGAGCTGAGATGGTGCCACTGAACTCTAGCCTGGGTGACAGAGTGAGACCCTGTTTCCAAAAAAAGAAACAGATTTTACAAGAGGTACTTGCATGGACATGTTAAGGGACTCGATTCTGCAGTTCTGCAGCTTCCATATGTGCTTTTTCCTGAAAGGGATCTGCTGAGAATAGGCCTGTATGCACAGCAACGTTTCTCTGCTTCGCTTTGCTAAAGGAAGGCACAGCCCTTATCTACCCCACTCTTTCCTCCAGTGCATTGTCTTGGGGTGTAAAAACCTCAGGGGCTACCACCGGAAGAGATCTACCCCACTCTTTCCTCAAGTGCATTGCCCTGGGGTGTAGAAACCTCAGGGGCTACCACCGGAAGAGATACCTTGAAATACTGGTTCTGGAGAAGGCTCCTTTATTGACTAATTATAAACCCTTATTAGGGCATCTTGTGTTTCCCTGTGTTAGATATATTTCTGTAAAGGGTGAAACCAGGCATTCTTAATTTTGGCCCAGGCTGGAGTGTTCTGAATTCAGATATGTAATAGAATGGGATGGTGGGAATTTTCACTTAAAAATCTCACTTCTACTCCCTATTATCAAAGAATACCAAACTCTTAAGAAAGAATTCCATGAGATATGAGGAAGAAAGGTTAAAGACCAAAAATGACTCCCCCTCCAAACATATTTAAATACAAGCAGTTATTTTCAGCTATTCCTTATTCTTGTCCTTAGGGTGTGTCATTATTTAAAAAGAAGAGCATCTTCAAATAATGCTAACAGTATGGTTAGTGTCTGAGTTTTTAGAAAAATATAACTCAAATGGTTTTTTCGACTGCTATATTTTTCAAGATCATGGATCAAACTTCATGTGATTCATACATTGGATGATTCACTAGGGTAATTAAATAGATTCACTAGTATGTAATTAAAACTTATCAAATAATATGATGATTTTTTCCAATTATAGTCAATCCTCATATTTAATATTTTCCTAACTATATTAAATGGGGGATTGTTTTTAGTAGCATGAATATTTTAAACCTCAAAAGAAAAAAAGTAGAAAAGGTGATCACGATGTCTTATAAAAAAAGTAATGGGACCGCGTGCAGTGGCTCACGCCTGTAATCCCAGCACTTTGGGAGACCGAGGCAGGTGGCTCATGAGGTCAGGAGTTCAAGACCAGCCTGGCCAAGATGGTGAAACCCCGTCTCTACTAAAAATACAAAAATTAGCCGGGCGTGGTGGCAGGCGCCTGTAATCCCAGCTACTCGGGAGGCTGAGGCAGGAGAATCGCTTGAACCCAGAGGGCGGAGGTTGCAGAGAGCCAAGATTGTGCCACTGCACTCCAGCCTGGGCAACAGAGTGAGACTCCATCTCACCGAAAAAAAAAAAAAGTAATGGAGTTACTGATTTTCATACATGATTATTTATTTTCATAAATGATTATTTATTCTCAAAAGCTAAACAAAAGTTCCCTCCCCCTACTCTTATCAAAGGAGTACTATGCCTTTTATCATATTCTTTATTCACAAGAATTTCTATTATTAGCTATACAGTGTATTACAAATTAAATTAGAACACATTTTCTTGTTTTATAAGCTATTATAAAAACAGATTAGTTATATCATTTTAATTTTGACTACAGTCAGTAAATTATTACTAGATGTACTCCATGAAAGCCATAACTTACATGTGATCTTTATATTAGTCATGTTAAACTTCACTTGAATTAAAAATAAAGTCAGCTGGGTGCAGGGGCTCATACCTGCAATCCCAGCACTTTTGGAGGCCAAGGCGCTTAAGTCCCCAGGGGTTTGAGACAAGCCTAAGCAACATAGTGGTACCCCATCTCCATTTAAAAAAAACGACAAAAATCCGTCAGCCTTTCTGATAGAAGCTAAGTCTAATTTGGGACACTGGATGACTGGTTTGACAATAAAGAGAAGCTTCAGTTACTACATTAAGTGGCAGAGATCTTCCAGAAGTTGAATGTACTGAGTTTGCTGCTCCTGAGCCTTGACTGAACTATATTTAAGTATCTAATATTAGTAATATTCTAAGTATTAAGGTAAGTTTAAAATATAAATATTTACATACTGAAATTAAAAGAAAATGTCCAAATGTGAACAAAGCAGCAGCATTTTGTCAAGAAAATACCGCATTAGCAAAAATGAACAACTTTCCCTCAATCCTTAGGTCAACAAAGGGCCTCTAAGTGACACAGGAAGGAGTATAATTAACAGCCTATTTCATAAGTCTTGGTAAAGCCTTTTGTACTCTTCCTAGAAAATAAGAAAAGTGAAAGGTCCCAGTGTCAGGGAATGCATGCTTTCACAAGTCTCTGGTTTCCAATTCTTTGCTTTCAACACAACTGAAGAGGGACCTATCAAGTAGTCAGGAGATTGATCATTAAAAATAATTTCTAATGACAAGTCACTCTGATTTTTGGCATCTAACTCTTAAGGTAGTTTGAAGAATTAAGTGACCATGCTATAGTGAAATTCTTCCCATTTTCACATACATGACATTCTAGTCATACATTTAAAAAAATGAAAAACAGAATTAATGTGAAATCTCAATTTTTAACAAATACTCCATTTATCTCATTAAAAGATGCATTTTCAATTAATAATACAAAAAGCAAAGTTTTATCAAAATGTATTTTGTAGATTTGATCAACAATGCATTAACTGACCAACTGTGACTAGTAATATCTCATGAATTTTTCTTAACACTTAGATCACTGGTAATAAAATTCAAAATGAATTTATACACTTGTTTGTTTCAGGTAAGTATGATACAGTAATCAATAAAAGACCTAAGCATTAAAAACAATACATTAGTATTACATTCTACAGAAGTCGTGGTAGAAAACATAAATTTAGGGAAACAGGAAAAGACCTAGCTTTCAATTAAAAAACTTGCTTGTATATTTCTAAAAAATTAATAATGGTAAGTGGGTATTAAATTATTGTTATTTAGATTCTATTGGATATTTTAAGGGTAATTAATTTTATTTAAAAATGTTAATGCTTAAAATAGCTGGAACTTAGACCCTTTGAAACTTAAGAAAAAATTTAAATGCCAACTTAAAAATGTACAAGGGGGTCTGTAGTTTTTCCAAATTCTTTTGAGGGCACACAGGAAAAACCTTAAGTCATGAGTCCAGAGAATGACAGACTTCATTAGGCAAGTGTAAGAATCAGAAATAAATTTATCAGTAGAATACATTTAATTCATTTCAAAATAATTTGAAAAAAATAGAATTTGGCTGACGATGGACAGATAGTTTCTCAAACAAGTAGTTATCAGCAGAGGAAGCACTGCACTTCCATTTTCATGAGTCTGTCTTCAGCTTAATCCCTAAATAAAACAGCGTGGATAGCAGTATCTGTGCGTGCTGGAAGATGAGAGATGGAAGGGCAGTCTTCTGAAATATTACAAATCAGTCCCATAATTTAGTGGCCTGAAATCCAACTGAATGTCAAGGAAAGTCTATTTTCTATACAAATGCAAGTATTTTCCCCAATCACAATTATGTGATTCAAACGTGTTTGGAAGCCACACTCACCTGTTTAATGCCCAGTCCTTTCTCATGCATATATCCCAGATTAAACATAGCTTGTGCACTGTGTTGCTGCTCAGAAGCCAGACGGTAATGAATAAATGCAGTTTCATAATCTACATCGGTGCCAAACCCATAGAAATGGTAGTCTCCGAGCTTAATTCTAGCCACAGTATAGCCTTAAACAAAAGTTAAATGCAGAACTGCCAATAAATAAAGTATGTTTAAAACAGATCAAACTTTTTTCTCCTCCCATTGACATGCTTACATAAAACAAAGAATTTTAATTCATAGTACACAAACTTTGTAACAAATCCTTTCAGCCAAGTTATAAAGTCCAGTAAAAATTTAAACTAGAAGTGTAGCTCTTCTGCAGAAGGCTTTGGAATACAGAGAGGTAAAACCAAGTTGGTGTGTGTGTAGGGGGACAGGTTTAATATCCCTAATTCAAAAAGCTGAAATCTGAAATGCTCCAAAACCTGAAATGACATTCAAAGGTCATGCTCAAAGGAAACGCTCACAGGAGCATTTCAGATTTCAGATTAAGGATGCTCAAACAATACGTATGTGCAAATATGCCAAACACAAACAAAAAAAACAAAAACATCTGAAATCTGAAACACTCTGGTCCTAAGCATTTCAGATAAGGGATACTCAACCTGTACTCCCTTCTTTCACAAACACTCCTATGTAAATGATCAGGCTCTACTTTATAATGTCATTTACATTTTAAAATAGTCCAGCTTGACCATTTAGGTTTGGAGAAGGGAACAGGCAGAGAATGTTGAAAGGAACATGTATAAAAAATAAATATTCAAAAGAAAAAGAAAAGTCTCTTAGGTTTCAGACTAATGTTCTATCATACATTCTATTTAATTCCCATTTCACACAGTATACTGGCCTCAAACTGGAAAACAAAGAGTGAATCATAGCTTGATGGAAATGTGTAGTACAAAGACTTTACAACCCAATTTAGAAACTCTGGCTCTAGAAACTTCTGTTAAGAATAAATACCAATAATATGCAAACAAATTAAGTCACAGTATCTCTGCTTAATTAATTATTTTATTGTTTTGAGAAGGAGTCTCGCTCTGTCGCCCAGGCTGGAGTGCAGTGGCATAATCTTGGCTCACTGTAACCTCTGCCTCCCAGGTTCAAGCGATTCTCCTGCCTCAGCCTCCTGAGTAGCTGGGATTACAGGAGCCTGCCACCATGCCCAGCTAATTTTTTTTGTTTTTTTTTTTTTTAGTAGAGACAGGGTTTTACTATGCTGGCCAGGCTGGTTTCGGTTTCGAACTCCTGACCTCAAGTGATCCTCCTGCCTTGGCTTCCGAAAGTGCTAGGGTTACAGGCGTGAGCCACAGTACTCGGCTTCATGATTTAATGTTCATGGGAGATAAACAACATAGGGAGGTCCCTGGGTGAAACTCTTATCTTAGAATTAATCACTTACCTTGAGAGGCGGCCCTGTTCCAATGTAGCAAAGCTCTGGGATAAGTTTCATTCTCACCTACAATGCTTGCTTCTCCTACAGGAAAAGAAATGAAATACAAATCAGGCATTTAAGAAAAGGCACTAGACTTAATTTTCATTTGCAAAGTAGGAAGGATAGGTGAAGCATAAGTTAAACAAGAATTAGGATATAAAAATTAAAACAAATACTGAAATTAATTACTGAACTAAAATAGTGAGTTCAAAGCAATCACTGGATGCAAGAGGGCACTACTTTGTGAAACATGTTGTATCTATAGAACCAGTCATGAGACTACTGAGTCACTCTTCTACAGTGTTGGGAAAATGGCATTTTTGTATCCACTGTATTTTGAAAAATACATTTATGCAAAGTGCTTAATTTTAAAATGAATGTCAAATCCATTTCTACAGTCAACTCGTTATAAAACTAACTTTGATGGCTAAAGTAAAATATTAATAACTTAAGCCTGTGTGTTCAGTTCCAGTTACAATAATAAAGAATGTTTCCTAGTAGCTTTTCTTTTTGAATACATTAAACAGTTTACTGGTGTGAACTCGTACATTCTAAACCTAAGGCAGGACTAAAATGAACCTTACTCTGATCAAGAATAAAGGCTGCATTGCTTTGTGCCACTTCATAGCCCTGTTCAGCCAGGAGGAGGTACTGGATCACTGCAGCATTGTAATCGCCATCTTTATAGCTGTTATAGGCAGTCATAAGCCTTTCAGACCAACGGCCTCGTTCACATACATTCTTAAACAACTGTGTGAGGTGGGGAAAAAAAATATCAGTAGAAGAAAATAAGAAAGATATACCAGAAAATCACTTATGCACTTTGGTTACACATGACTATTAAGCTTGCTCCTTCAATTTCTGGCAGCTTTCTTGAACAGACATAAAAGTTTGAGATACTTATTTAAAGTTTTCACTTACTCTTTAGAAGTCAACAGGTTTATAAAAAAAAAAAACAGTACACAATTATTGTACTACAAAAATGACCATTTACTCTGCCCGGGCACTGTTGTAATGATTTATGTATATTACCATTCTTAATCTTCCCATGAGATTCATGAGGAACCACCCTAGGAGGTAAGTCCTGTTAAAAGCCCCATTTGACAAGTGAGTAAACTAAAGCACAGAGATTTAGAAACTTTGCTAAGCATTTATCAATGTCACTCTAAAGTGCCAAGTCTAAGAGAGAGCTAAGAGACAATTTCCAATTAGGAGATATTAGCATTCCTTTTTGGAACATTCATTCAACTTCTTTTTCTTTCTTTCTTTTTTTTTTTTTTTTAAGAGATAGGTTCTTTCTATGTTGTCCAGGTTGGTCTCAAACTCCTGGGCTCAAGCCTTCATCCACCTCAACCTCCTAAGTAGCTGGGACTATAGGCACGTGCCATTGTGCTCAGCTTATATATTTTTTTGATGCTGATTATTATCAGATACTGTCTTAGGTGCTAGAGATACTGCAGACACCAGTATCTCCCCTTATACAGTTGATTGTAATAGGGAGACACTGAATAAATAAGTATGGTAATTACACACAGACCCCTCGGTCTTCCCTCAGTATATCAAAGCTAGGTAGGCTGAGTCTAGAACTACAGAAGAAAACATACAAAAAAACCAGAATTGAAAGCGCAGACTTTCCTGCTGGGCAAATCAACTCCCTACACACAAGCTGGTAGGAAAGACCTTACCTCCACTGCAGTGTGACATGATCGCATCACGCCGGTGCCACTGGCATGCATCTGAGCTAGGTTATAGAAAGCCAAGATATGGCCTCCCTGAGAAGCTAAATTAAAATACTTCAAGGCCTGTTTATAATCTCTCTTGACTCCAATGCCATCTGTAAGAAAAAAAAAAATCACACGAGATAATAGACTTAAGATTTAGCTAAGTATCAGAGAAGGCTTATATATGAAGAATAAAACTCTAATGAAAGAATTCTTACTGAGTAAATATGTGAATCTAATACAAGCTAACACACTGATACAGATTAATATAATTTACAATGAAAAACAAGATGTACAAATCATTGAACTGGGAGAACATTTAACCAGCCAGAATTTGATAGCACCCATTTCCACATCATAATGCCATCTAGTAGAAAACAGCTTAATTTAGATCTTGGTGTATCCATCATTAATTCCAGTGTTACTTACTATAGTACATGGAACCAAGCTGTAGCTGCCCATCCACCCAGCCTTGTTCAGCAGCTTTCTGGAAATACTTAAGGGCTAGATCATAATTCTGTAGAAAAAGATGTCATATGATGAGAAAGCTCAAAAGGCAGACATACTCAAAAGTTAAGAGATTTATTTAAAAAAATGAACAAAGCATATAAAAAAATATTCCCAAAGAGCCATTAAAAAGACCACTTTCTAATTCTTATAATAGATAATAATATACATTAAGTCATAGGGGGATTAATATTTAAGGTGGTGAAGAAAAGTAAATAGAGTTTTTGTGAAACAATTTGTATGCTGCTCTCAGAAAGCATAAAAACTAGTAGAACATCAGACCAGGAATTAAGAAACAGTCAATCTTCTCTGCTAACCAATCAACCCTTTTTAAACCTCAATTTTCCTAAAATTAAAGAAAGAAAATTATCTCCTTATTCATTTATTCCGTGTACCTTACCAAACACTATGACTATTATACTTCAAAGGTCATATGTATCCAAGAAGAAAAGTTAAAATAAAGGTTACTACTGAATTTTAGTGTCCTAGAATGACTAGAAGGCCGCAAAATGAGAACACATTACTGTCTTTTGTGTTAGAGAATACCTATAGATATTAAAAACCTAGCTCTTAAACCTAGCTCTTAGTTTCAGCCTCAAATTAAAAGCACATATTACTTGGAAAGATCAAATAGAGAAGGAAACTGCAACGTGAATCCAGGGACATCCAACATGAGGAGGCTGCACAGAAGGATGAGATGCAATGGCCAAGGAAACCCAGACACAGACAGAACACCAGGGAAGCGAGAGGTCAAGTGAGGTAGAACCAAAAAATGTCAATTGGACCGACATTTAGGAGGTTACTGGTGATCTGTACAGAGAGTATAGTTCCATGAAGCAGAAGTTCGATTGCTAAGAACTCAAGAGTGAATGACAGCAGCTTAGTTTGACTCTGAGTGAAGGGCTGGGAGAAGACAGGTGGTAGCTAGAAGGGGTAAAGGGCAGAACAGAAAGCTTTCCTCCTCCTCAATGGAAGGCAGTTATGCATTTTGTCAGGATTGAGTAAAAAAGCAGGCAAGGAGATGTTTAAGTCCTGAGAGATGGTTAGAGGACGTGGGGTAGAGAGCAGAGATGGAAGAACAAGAAACAACTCCATACCTCTGGGAGAAAGTGCCAGACACAGAGCTGTTCTAAGACAGTTGAGATGGTGTCTGTCGGGTATGGGGTGGTAGTGAGACAAACTCAGACAACAGAAAGAGGTTCAGCTTTGCTTACAATGGAACAGCCCCACCTGGGCTGACTGGAAGCTAATTAAGGAACATGTCCCTACCTCTCCAGCTGACTGCTCATTAAAGAGAGAATGTCAGACTGAACACTTACAACTTGAACTCCTCTCCCATAGAGGTAGGCCATTCCAAGCCCACTCTGTCCAACTGGGTTGCCCTGCAAAGCAGAGAAATCAGACAAAAGAGTGAAAAGAATTCATTCAAAAATAGGCAAGAATAAATAACTGCAAAATAAATCATTTATAAGCATATTCAAAAACATGTCTTAGTACTTTTCAATTCAAAACAAAACTTTCTTCTTCTCATCAGACTAAACATAATATTGACTTTTAGACATCTGGGGGCTTTGGGTAATTTGCTGAAAAAGAGTAAATAGTAAATTCATTTAGAATTACATTTTGTTGACTTACTTTATGACCATCTGTACCATGAATTTATGACATAAAGCATGACTAATGTATTTCATCAAAATGAAAGGCAGGTCACATTTTTGCAGTTTTTCACTGGTAACATCCCACTCCAATAAAGAGGGAGGATATCATGGAACACCTTGTAATAATAGCATAATCATGTAATAATAGCAATGCTGCTATCAGGTGACAAAGATATACTTAGGATTATTGGAGTGTCATGGAACAAAGAAAATCACTGTTTTGGGACTAGAAAGAAAAAAATCTAGAATTTGCCTAAACTCAGAGGGACAGAAGACATCTTTAAAAAGATTGTCATAGCATTCCTTTGGGAAGCATTCAAGTGACATCTGGAACTACAGTAACATGTATAATAGTTGACAGAGAGGTAAGTGTACATACTGAAGACATACAAGATTTCAGGTACTCATATGCAGTTTTCTGAGCCAAAGAAAGCCTAAATTATGTACTATGATTATCAAAAGTACCCTATTATGTAAGCTTTTAAATTTCATGTTGTGATACAAATAGGGTAGATTATATAAGTTCAAGTTCCATTACTAAAAATCAGTATTTCCCCGATTAGGAAACTTCTCAGTGAAACTTCACAATTAAAAATCAACAACTTGGTCCCTAAAAAAATTGCCTTTTATCGGGAGGGCTTTGTTTAATTAATACATTCACATGAATCATACTTAATATGCAGTTTCAATAATGTATAGCATGAGTTGGTTATGATTAACCCTTTAATATAACAAATTCATTTATTAAAATATTAGTAATATGGTACACATTTCAGTACACTGAGACAAAGCCTTACCATGTCAGCAGCTTTCTTAAAGTAGTGGAGAGCTGTCTCATTACTCTGAGGTACAATGTCACTTCCTTCCGAATACATCTGGAAAACAGATCCCAATTTCAGTAAGAGCTGTAACCCTCTCTCCAATTACATTTTTCTCCTTTCTCATCTCCTTTGAGTTTTGTCAGATCTCATTAAATCTTTCCAAAAAATTTAGAATTCCCCACAGGATATTTTAGAATTAAAAGCAAAGGCCGGGTACAGTGGCTCATGCCTGTAATCCCAGCACTTTGGGAGGCCAAGGTGGGTGGATCACCCGATGTCAGGAGTTCAAGACCAGCCTGGCCAATATGGCAAAACCCTGTCTCTACTAAAAATACAAAAATTAGCCAGGCGTGGTGGCGTGTGCCTGTAATCCCAGCTACTCAGGAGGCTGAGGCAGCAGAATTGCTTGGGCCCAGGAGGCTGCAGCTGCAGTGAACTGACAGCTTGCTACTTCACTCCAGACTGGGCCACAAAGCAAGACCTCATATCAAAACAAAACAAACAAACAAAAAAAACAAAAGAATTAAAAGCAAACTCTTAAAAGCAAACATTTTAGTAATTATATACTCTGTTGCCATCTCAAATTTATGACTTATTTATAAACATGAATACATAAAATCAGCTCATATATTAGTCTCAGAAGAAATCTTTAAGCCCAACATGAATCATTTTTCTCACTCTATTCCAGGGAAGTCAAATGGTTAGTAAGTTGCTTAGGATCAGATCAGTGATTCAACAAGGAAAGGGGAAGCTGCTTGCGGCATTCATTCTTCTTTCTCCTCTACCACTACTTTCCCCAGGATAAGATCACAAGTGGGTCTTAAGTTCAGGAAACGAAGTAACTAAAAGGTTTACTTGAAGAGGGTTTAAACACTAAACAATTAGAGCATCAGGTATGGAGAATGATAAAGGGCCAAGAGAAAGAAAAACAGAATGGTCAAGACTGTCTTTATTCACATATATGTTAAAGAAACAATAAATGTAAAAAATAGTTTTTAAAGACAATGACAGTAATTCAGAGCAAGAACCAAAAGAGGAGGAATGAAACGTTCTTAAATGCTTAACAAAAACAGAGGGAAATACCAAGTTCTATGCTATGGAACAGCTGGAATATTTAAATGTAGTTACCACACCCCAATTACTAGTATGATCATGAGGCAAATCATGATGAAATTTCCCTATTGTAAAAACCTTTGTGATATATTCCATCTAAACTTCCTTACTTTAGGATTTAGTTATAAGTGAAAATACCCATTGATTTATACTATGTTTCAAAATAATGAAAAAGTTTTGAGATTCTTCCATGACATATGGAATTTATTTATAAAGTTTCTAGACTTAAATGTTCTGTTCCCTTGATTGAGAACACAGCTACAATGAGAAGAGGTGGGTCATGGCTATCACATTTAAGACAATTAAAAACTCTGCAGATAAATTTCAACAAACTCTAATTGCCTCTATTCAGCATGGAAGGAAACAGACAACTGTGAGAGTCTTAGCAAAAAACCGCACAGCATCAAGAATACATTCCTCATTATTGCATACAATACACAAAAAGTAAGAGCTCAGTGAGAGCTAATTTCAATGAAGAATTAACATACTGATGAGCAAACACTATTTTTTTTTTTTTAGATGGAGTCTTGCTCTGTCGCCCAGGCTGGAGTGCAGTGGCGTGGTCTCGACTTACTGTAAGCCTCAGCCTCCCACGTAGCTGGGACTACAGGCGCCCACCACCACACCCGGCTAATTTTTTGTATTTTTAGTACAGATGGGGTTTCACCGTGTTAGCCAGGATGGTCTCCATCTCCTGACCTCCTGATCCACCTGCCTCAGCCTCCCAAAGTGCTGGGATTACAGGCGTGAGCCACCGCGCCTGGCTGCAAACACTATGTTATATTTAAGTTGCCTAAGAAAATGCCTCAGAACAGCACTTTAAGATATAATAGTCTTGCACTAGAAATCTTATTTCCAATTTATTTTTGGTAAATTGTAGATCCTGAACACAATACATGCTAATTATGCAAACACCTCTTGCTATTACATAAAACATTCACAGGATGTACAGTACCTTTCCCAAAAAGGCCATGGCATGTGAATTGCCAGCATTTGCTGCTAAATTGAAGTAGTCAAATGCTCTCTATGAGAAAAGAATTTATTAAAATAATTAGTTTTTAACAGAATCTGCTTTTGACTTTCAGCCAAAATAATTATTTCAGGAACATTTAAAAAATCTTGTTATATTACAGTGCTTTAAAAACAAGAATACCCAGTTGCCAATATTTTGAAAGAGAAATCAGTACATCTAGAAGTTTTATTTTACCAAATAACAGTACCATTTATCATTAAGTCATCTGCATAATTATAGATGCAAAGAAATTTCTTGTGCTGCCTAAACGTAAGGTACAACAAGCCTCCTGTTACTTACAGGCAAAGCGAACATCAGCCTGCTTAAAAGACATTTAAGAGCAGCTTGACTTCTTTGGTCTATTTCTCTAATGATAACCTGGGAGAAAGGAAAAACTAGAAGTCTTTCCAAGACATGGAGCATATTTTCATTGTTGTCTAAAGGAATACATTCCTCTTGTACTGTTTAGAGAAAAATTCTTGACCCTACTTAAAAATCACTTAAGTAAACACACTAGCATCAGCAGAAATTCATCATCACCACTCTCAACTGTATTGCAGCCCATTTTTGTTAAGGACCTTGTACCATTGGTTATTCCTCTTATTTTCCTTGCTGACTTAACTTCTCCCTCTTTTGGAACCAGTTCCCCCTCAATCACATTCTATAATCTCATCATCAAAAAATAAAACTCAGCAGGGCACGGTGGCTCTCACCTGTAATCCCTGCACTTTGGGAGGCCAAGACGGGCGAATCACTTGAGGTCAGGAGTTCGAGACCAGCCTGGCCAATATAGTGAAACTCCGTCTCTACTAAAAATACAAAAATTAGCCTGACATGGTGGCATGCACCTGTATTCCCAGCTACTCAGGAGGCTGACGCAGGACAATTGCTTGAACCCAGGAGGTGGAGGTTGCAGTGAGCCGAGACTGCGCCACTGCACTCCAGCTTGGGTAACAGAGTGAACCCTGTCTCAAAATAAATAAATAAATAAATAAAATAAATAAAAAATAAAACTCAAACCAAAACACACAAGATATGTATCTCCTTTAGACCCCCAATTTCTCTCCAATGATGACTGTTCTGTTAGCTACTTTCCTTCACAGCCAAGCTTCTCGAATAAATTGGTGACATGCACTTCAATTCACTCTGCAATCTAGTCTTAATTGGCTTCCATACACTACATCAAAAAGACAGCTCATCAAGGCCAGTGATGATCTTCATACTGCCAATCTAAATTTCAGCTCACCTCACTCCACCTTTCTCTGCAACATTTGGCAGAGTCCATCATGGCTTCCTTCTCGACAGACTCTTAGCTTGGCTAACAAGATGTCACACTCTCCTGGTTTCCATCCTAAGTCTACCTGTACCACCTAAGTCTCCTTTGCTGGTTATTTTTCTATCAGTTGACTTCTGAACATTAAAGTTCTTCAGGGCTCAGTTTTGGACTCCATTCTCACTTTGCATTCTCTAAGCAATCTCATCTATTCCCATAGATTCACACACCATCGAGATGATGGCAACTCCTAAATTTATATTTTCAGCTTCAATCCAGTCTATTCGACTACCTCTGAACACACTATCCAATGCCTGAACATATCCCTAAAATCTTCTCTTCTTGACCTCAACTTGCTTCTCCTCCAGCAACTCAATTTAAGCAAATGGCAATACCATCTTACTGGTTGCTTAAGATATCAGCTCCCCTTCACTTATATCCCATCCATCCCTAAGGCCTGTTACATTTACCACCAAATACATCTTGAATCCACTACTATCTTCCTTTACCGTAGTTCTAGTCCAAGCCACATTCTCTCTCACCTGAACTTCTCGAATATTCCCCTCCCTGATCTGCCTGATTTTATTCTTGGGGTCTTCTAATTCACTTTCTATACTGCAGCCAAAGCCATTGTTTTCAAATCTGAACATGCTGATCTTTGTAGCTCCTTGAAGTGCTGCAGGGATATGCTGATGTGATCAGGCACTGCTTAATCTCAGTTCTGTTTCATGTACTATGGGCAGACCAGTCATATTCCTGTAGTATGGGCAGACTAGCCATATTCCTTCCTGTCTCTGGGCCTATGCACATACCGTTCTTTTTGGCCTGGAAGGACCTTATCTCCAGGGTCAACTTAAATGTTTTCTACTTCTCTTTACAGAAGTCTTCCCTGGCAAGCGGTACCTCCTACCCATTAACCAATTATTGTATCTTTTAAATCTCCTTTGTAAGAATAACCACAATTTATATTTGGTGTGATCATTTAAAAAATATCTAATACTCCTATTAAAGTTAAAGCTCCAAAAGGTCAAAGACCAAAACTATTTTGTCCAATATTGCATGGTGAATGCCTAGCAGTGAATGGCACATAGTAGGTACTAATATTTGTATTCTTCAGCTTTCTTAGGGGTTGGTTACATCTTGAAAGCTCATTTGTGATGGGTGTTTAAATGACAGAAGTTTGATACTGGTATTGACTTAGCAAGAAATACATTGGGAACATCATTTCCTGCTAAAACTGAGATGCAAAGCCCTAGGAACAGGGTAGTTACCTGATGATTCTGTTCTACTCCACGCCCTCCGTGCAGGTGCAGTTGTCCAAGACCAACCTGAAAATGATCACAAACAAGGCAAAAGTAAGTGGTACCATCTGGCACACAATTAAAATCAGACCAACAAGAAATGATTTGGTCGTAAAATGGCTTCTGTTCATGACTCAAAAAACAAAAAGATTTAGTCTTAACTCCTGAAAATGCTATTCTACTTTAATTAACCTAAAAATTTTGAAAAGTAAAAACGTGTACTTGTAATTGCAAAGTACCATTTGCGGCCAGGTGCGGTGGCTCACGCCTGTAACCTCAACACTTTGGGAGGTCATGGGTGAATCACTTGAGCCCAGGAGTTGAAGAACAACTTGGGCAACATCGCAAAATCCTGTCTCCACAAAAAAATAGAAAAATTAGCCGGGCGTGGTAGCATACGCCTGTAGTCCCTGCTACTTGAGAGGCTGAGGTGGGAGGATCACCTGAGCCTGGAGAGGTCGAGGCTGCAGTGAGCTGTGATTGTGCTGCTGCACTCCAGCCTGGGCGACAGAGAGAGATGTTTTCTCAAAAAAACAAAAAACGGGCTAGGCACGATGGGCTCATGCCTGTAATCCCAGCACTTTTGGAAGCTGAGGTGGGTGGATCATCTAAGGTCA
This sequence comes from Homo sapiens, assembly GCF_000001405.40. NCBI lineage: Eukaryota > Metazoa > Chordata > Mammalia > Primates > Hominidae > Homo > Homo sapiens. The sequence continues at coordinate 81,495,728 of NC_000014.9, forward strand.
GGAGTTCAAGACCAGCCTGGCTAACATGGTGAAATCCCATCTCTACTAAAAATACAAAAATTAGCTGGGTGTGGTGATGGACATCTGTAATCCCAAATACTTGGTAGGTGAGGCAGGAGAATTGCTTGAACCTGGGAGGCAGAGGTTAAGGTGTGCCGAGATCGTGCCACTGCACTCCATCCTGGGTGACAGAGCAAGACTTTGTCTTAAAAAACAAACAAATGAATAAACAAAACAAAAAACAAAAACACAAAGTATCCTGCTAAAGTGGAAGTGAAATAAAGGCATTTTCACATAAATTAAAACTGAATTTGGGCCGGGCGCGGTGCCTCACGCCTGTAATCCCAGCACTTTGGGAGGCCGAGGCGGGCAGATCACGAGGTCAGGAGATTGAGACCATCCTGGATAACATGGTGAAACCCTGTCTCTACTAAAAATACAAAAAAATTAGCCGGGCATGGTAGCGGGTGCCTGTAGTCCCAGCTACTCGGGAGGCTGAGGCAGGAGAATGGCATGAACCTGGGAGGCGGGGCTTGCAGTGAGCCGAGATTGCACCACTGCACTCCAGCCTGGGCGAGAGCGAGACTCCGTCTCAAAAAACAAAAACAAAAACAAAAAAAAAACTGAATTTGTCCCCAGTGAACCTGCTCTAAAGGAAACACAAATGGGTGCTCTTCAGAAAAAAGGAAACTTACTAGAAGCTGGGAGATACAGTAAGAAATAAAGAGCTGGCTAGGTGTGGTGGCTAATGCCTGTAATCCCAGCCTTTGGGAGGCTGAGGTGGGTGGGATCACTTAGACCAGGAGTTCAAGATCAGCCTGGCCAACATGGTGAAACTCCATCTCCACTAAAAATACAAAAATTAGCTGGGTGTGGTGGTGCATGCCTGCATTCCCAGCTACTTGGGGAGGTTAAGGCACAAGAATCGCTTGAACCCGGGAAGCGGAGGTTGCAGCGAGCTGAGATAGTGGCACTGGGCAACAGAGCAAGGATCTGTCTCAAAAAATAAAAAATAAAAAAATAAATAAAAAGCAATGAAAAGGTAAATTTGAAAATAAATGTAAATTAATATGGACTGTACAAAACAACAGTATCTCATGGTACCAAAATATATAAAATCAAACACACACAGAATACTCTGAGATCTCTGTGCTGTCCTGGAAATGGTAAAAGTGCTCATCGTACCAGACTTTGGTAAGTCAAGGATGCATGTTGTGATCGCTAGATAACCACTACAAGAGTAGCATCATGCTGGCAGAGGGGAAGAGATGCAACAGGAAAAAGCACTCAACCAAAAAAGGGCAAGAAAGGAGAGAAGAGTAAACACAACAAGCAAGATACACAGAAAGCAAGTAAAACAGAAAATTTTAAGTAAACTAAATTTTACAATAATGTAAAAATAAGATGTTTAATTGAACAAGTTTATTATAATTTCTATCAGCTAACATTTAGATCTACGTTTCACTACGTTTTTTTTTCCTTAAGACTCCACTGCTAGTCTTAAAACCAACTGTTCTTAATAAGTATCTAATGCTCATCTGTACATGTCCTAAATTAGAAATAATTGCAAACTTAGTGGAAAAAAATATAAATGTTAAAGTTCTTTTTATTTTAATATCAAAAGAAGCCACGAAACCTGTGTGTGCACACATGGTACTTTGACGGACATTATACAACTTCCATTAAACGAGCTTACTTCTGTTCTTGACCTTGAAGAAATTATGATTTTAGATGAGCCAAAGAAACACGAATGGTAAATAGCTCTGAAGAGCATCTGATATTGCAAATATTCCAGGGACTTCTTGTTTAGAGAAAGTGACAGTTTTCATCATTGGTGACTCCAGTAACAGCCTTCATCATCGGTGTTAATGCTGCTCTGTTCAAGCAGTGATTTTTTTAGGGGCAGTACACGGGAGAGTCACCTGGACAGTTTTAGGAACCCTCAATGCCTAGGCCCCATCCCACACTAACCCAAATGGAATCTCCTGAGAGTGTGAGACTCTTGGTTTTTTTTTTTAAGGGGCTCAGGTGATTCTAATATGTAGTTCATAATTGCTCAGGGCAATGAAAATGTAACTTACAGATATAAGTGCTTGCTCCCGTCCCCCACAGATTAAAATATACAATGCAGTAAAGATATTTGGTGAGATGTTCAAACACGTACCTGTGCTTGTACATCACCTTTTTCAGCTAGGAACTGGTAATATTGAATCAAATCTTCTTCTAGCATTCCACTGTTCATTCCTGGATTTTCCACTTCATCAGGCAGCCGTATTCTCTGTACTACTGAGCCTCCTGTTAGCGAGATATCACTAGCAACTGAAATAGAGGGATAAAACAATAAGGTGGAGGAAAATCAGAAGAATTGTTCCAGAGAGAGAGAAGTACAATTCCAGCTGCCAAACGTTGACGAACACATTGTTAAAGGAAGCTGTTTTTACAGTAGTCTATATAGATCGCAAATCAGTAATCTATTAATAAATTGAACTTTTTTCACAACGTAAATAGAACCTAAAGCAAAATTATATAAAGAAAAAAGTACTTCTGAACCTCAACTAGTTTAAAGATGAGTCCACATAAAAGAGCCATTTATAATACTTCAAATAGAACAATAAAAATAGAAATGTTTAAAGTTAATTCCATTTATTTTTTTTTCCTAAAAGGTAAAAGGGGAAACATAGATACCATGATTGGCAACAAGACGATAGTGAGTCAGGGCAGATTCACAACTCTGGAGGACGCCGATGCCAGCCCAGTATCTGTAACCCTGTAAAACAACTTCACGTGAGGAGGCAGCAGTTTCATGTACTTCAGTGTCATTCTTCGTGGAACAAATAAAGCTAAGCATACCCAGAATTTTGCTGTCATTTGATCCAAGTACACTAACACCTTATTTATGCTAAGTGTTAGGTTTTGAGGTAATGGATTCAGCAACTTCAACAAGAAGGCCATAGCTAAGAGCAAGGAAATAAATAATATAGTTCCTAGAGCAATCAAAATAGATGTCATAAACTTTATTTTTGAAGTGTGTGCATTTTACTCATAAGAGAAAAATTATAAGGGCTTTTGCTTAGAACCAGTTTTAATCTTAGACATAATTTTATTAAAAATGAGTTAATCTTCCAAATTAGCAAAGAAAAAGTAACAAATTAGCAAAATAGGGAAAATGAGACTACTGGAAGCAGGCACAGTGTCACTAGCAATAAATGACCAGAATAAATGGGAAGACAGCCAATCATGAAAAGTAAAAAACAGAAAGTAGAGCTCTCTGGAGTCATTCTGCACAAATAACTCCATGAATTTTAACAATTCTTAGGGCATTGTTGCAAAATATTGTATAATATTTCATGTTGTTTTTCTATAGCCACCATTTACAAAATTTTGAAAAACTAAAGAAAAATTTTTAAAATTATGATAATCTAATGTAAAAAATGATTCTGACAATTCCAACTCAGAGAAAATTTAAAAAGAGCCATTTATCAGATCTCTCTTTTTAGGGGCAATCAGCCAAACTAATCATTTTAAAGAAAAATTGTGGACTCCACCAACTTTCATTTACATGTAGATTCCATGTGTTATATCCATTAACAAGAATTTGAAGGAAGTTCAACTGAATATTTGGTCTTAATACAAGCAAATCTGGATCATGAAAGCTGAAAAAGTTGTGGCCGCTATAAACCACAAATTCTTCTGATGTTAATATTATTAGCCTTCCACTAAAGTCTACTTACCAAAACCATGTGGGCTATTAGATTGCCCCCAAGAGCTCCAAATGTATAATATACAAGAGCCTGTGAAAGAACAAAACATGTTTAACTGAACATAGGCACGCATTTATTCAATTCAAATTGTAATATGCAATAAAGTTTTAATAGTATTACCTTTGCCTGACTTGAATTAACACCAAGTCCAGAGGCATACAGAAAGCCAAGAGCCTGAAATAGATGATAAAAGTAAGAAATCTTGCTTTGGTGAAGGTTTATCCAAGACAGACACAGACAGACACAGTTTTATATACTATGAAAAAATGCAAGAGTCTTTAAATGCTAAAAGATTTGAATTCAAGTATGTACAAACATGGATTAAAGAGCCTTGGAAAAGCATTCAGAGTTTTACACATTACACAATTAAATTAAATGTAGCATTATTTTAAAAAAAATTTTATTTATTTGTGGCTTTTTTTTTTTTTTTTTTTTGAGACAGGGTATCACTCTGTCATCCAGGCTGGAGTGCAATGGCACGATCCTGGCTCACTGCAACCTTCGCCCACTGGGTTCAAGTGGTTCTCCCACCTCAGCCTCCCAAGTAGCTGGGACTATGTAGAGGCGTATGCCACCACGCCCAGCTAGTTTTTGTACTTTTTGGTAGAGACAGGGTTTCACCATGTCAGCCAGGCTGGTCTTGAACTATTGACCTCAAGTGATCCACCCGCCTCAGCCTCCCAAACTGCTGAGATTACAGGGGTAAGCCACTGTACCCGGCCACAATTAAATGTAACTTTATTTTTATTAATTTATTTTTTCCGAGACAGAGTCTTGCTCTGTCGCCTAGGCTGGAGACCAGTGGTACAATCTCGGCTCACTGCAGCCTCTGCCTCCCAGATTCAAGCAATTCTCCTGCCTCAGCCTCCCGAGTAGTTGGGATTACAGGTGCCGCCACCATGCCCAGCTAATTTCCTTTTTGTATTTTTAGTAGAGACGGGGTTTCACCATGTTGGCCAGGCTGGTTGTGAACTCTTGACCTTGTGATCTGCCTGCCTTGGCCTCCCAAAGTACTGGGATTACAGGCATGAGCCACCACGCCCAGCCAAATGTAACTTTAAACAAGACAAAAAGTTTAGCTTGAGGACAATTTAATACTAACTAGAAAGACAAAGCTGAATACATGTAAACATGACTTTATCTTTATGAACAGCCATTATGAAGACAACTCCCGCTATAGGTACATCAGCATATTTCTCTATATATGCAGAAAGGAATACACTATGAAAACAGACAAGATATGAATTACCAAGATAAACTATCTCAGATATAAAAAGGAGGAGCAAGGGGTCAAGCTGAAGAGGTCAAGGGAAAAAGGCTGCTCTACAATGTTAGAGCACACATGATTTTCTAAAAATAAAAACACAAAAATGGAAGAAATAATGCATTGGTGAAGTTCAACCTTTTCAACCCTTTGCCTTCTATGGATCATCCTTGATGATAGGAAAGTATAAGCTAACATGACAAAGGCAGGTGTGGCAGAGACTGGAGTGCTCACTGAAATCATGAGCTCCTCTACGTTTTCCAGCCTCTCCGTAGAATCACATGCCTGGGGTATGGCTGTCAGGGATGTAAGCCTGAAAACACCCTAATGAATCCTGAGGCTCTCTTTTCTCACTTCATCATGGCATGGAAGCCCCGTGTAGCAATCAGTGTAGCTACATAATAGAAACAGCCCATGACCAGGAGTCACTACTCAGAAAAGAGTGATGCCAACAGGAGAGCTACATCAAATCTAGCATGAGCAAGAAATAACTCTCTGTAGTGTTAAGCCACTGTGATTTGCGGGTTTTGTCTGTTGCATCAACTAGAACTAATTTTCATGGAGAGGGTGCTTTGCAACATATAAAGTGCTGTGGCTTTGTAAGGTTCTAATATTAGAGGGAACTGATGCCTTATAAAGTAAAACCGTTCTTCAGAGCAGAATACCTCTGAAAATAAGAATATATATGTTTTTATATAAACTGATTCACGCAAAGAAGAGAAAAACCTTTGAAAACAAAGGGGAACAATTAAGATATAATCTGCTTATAATAAAATACCGAGGAAAGAGCTGCAGAATTGTTAGGTATTCAGTTCTAAGAAAACAACTGTTATGACTCCTGTTATTGTTTATATAGTTTGAAAACAGACTTCCCTTGTGATTAGATATTTCACTTATCTTTAAGCAAGTCTCGCAGCTTGAATAAGCTTGAATTATTGAAGGAATTTTAAATAAATATGATGGCCCCCTAAATCCAGGTGTCAATCTTAGCATTATTAATGGGGAAACAACCAGATATGTTAGCAACTGATGTGATACAATGTAGAATACAGAACATCCCTTGTAATGTAGTCTAGCCAAAAATATTTTACTTGTATTCATCAGCCTTTAGCTGTGACATCCTATTGACAGGAAATACAGGTGATGAAGAAACAAACTAAAAGCCACCATGAAAACAAACTGAGGTAGGATATTCTGCAGAAAAACTGGCCCTATCTCTAATATAGACAAAAAAGGCATTGGGGTATACTAGATAACAACCAAATGTAAGGTAGAGTCCTGGATTGAATACTGGTTTGGACAAAACAGGTATAAAGAAAATTTTTGGGTTCAACATCATATGAACATAGTGTGGGTATTATATGACTTAAAATGTGCTGGGATGAAAAGGTGAAGTTCCAGAACAATAGACAGTGATATCTCATTTTAATAAAAATATCGTGTATATATACACAAAGAGAAAGATCTATTACAGAAAGATATGCATGCACACTAATATATTATTACTCATATTTGGGTGGTACATATGTGATGTGTACTTCTTAGTTTTGTTAGTTTGTATTTCTAGTTTCCTATAATGGACATGTACTGCTTCTGTAATAAAATACTTTTTTAAAAAAACACCAAGATTAACATGAGCTGCAACATCTGAACTTTGGAAAAATGCAATGGTGAGTAATTTCAGATAAAAAGTAATTATCTTCATATTTCATTCTCTACAGATCTAATTTGGAAGAGTACAAATGTAATTGTAGCAAGGCACAACTGCAAAAATGTCTTCCATGACCATAAATGTTCCCAGACTAAGGAAAAAGACTATCCAAGAAGACTGATAAAATGGTCAGCCACAAAATTGGTATTTATCTTCCAGTCTGACTTTTTAAAAGAAGTCAGGACATAGAGAGTAAACTGCTTTTAAAACTAACAAGTGTTACATGCAGAGAGATTCTTCACTGAGAATGTACTTACAGTCTGTCCCTTGGGAGAGCCTTCCTCAGTCAGCTTCTCAAACATCTCTCTCGCTGCCTGGATATTCTGTGGCAAGTAATCACCAAATAAAAGAGCATATGACACTCTCTCCAGGGCTTTGGTATGGTTCATGCTTGCTGCCTTTTGGAGATACCGATATGCTCTTCAAATGTAAACAATTAAAAACCAAATTAGTAATGTTTTGAAACTGCCATTAAGTTTTTTTGATCTACTAAAACGCAACATAAATAATTTCCTTATGTTACAAAACCCCTTTGATAATCTTTTTGAGATGGAGTTTCACTCTTGTTGTCCCGGCTGGAGTGCAATGGCATAATCTCGGTTCATTGCAACCTCCACCTCCCAGGTTCAAGCAATTCTCCTCCCTCAGCCTCCCAAGTAGCTGAGATTACAGGCGTGCGCCACCGTGCCTGGCTAATTTTGTATTTTTAGTAGAGACGGGGTTTCACCATGTTGGTCAGGCTGATCTCGAACTCCTGGTCACCTCAGCCTCCCAAAGTGTTGGGATTACAGGCGTGAGCCACCACGCCTAGCCACCCCCTCTGATAATCTTATTTCTATTCAGTCATATTACTTATACATGTAAAAAACATCCCTTTTTTTAATTTTTTTTTGAGACAAGGTCTTCCTCTGTTGCCCAGGCTGGAGTGCAGTGGTGTGATCACAGCTCACTGCAGCCTCTCTACCTTCCAAGTTCAAGTGATCCTCCTACCTCAGCCTCCCAAGTAGCAGGGACCACAGTGTGCACCATCATGCCTGGCTAATTTTTAAATTTTTTTTAGAGACAGGGTTGCACTATGCTGCCCAGATTGGCTAGCTATTTTGTTTTTCATATAAGGTACCAGTTCTCCCTGTTATCCTAATATCTTGAAATAGTCTAATTATACTAACAGTAATTTTAAAAACTTCTATTAAAAAAAGTTAACCGATTTGCAATAAGAGAATATGATGGTGTCCAGTATACGATCTAATAATAACTGTTGCAATTTTCTTTTTAAATCTTTGCAGACTATAAAAATGTCAGCTGAAATTAAAAGGACATAAGATGTTACGAGATAATCACTTGTTCTGTTTTTTCCAAGCACAAATTCCTAAATTCCAGTCAAAAATTACAAAGCAAAAACAAAAAACGTACTTGACAACAATTCTTTTTGTTTTATGTCATTTTGAATTCTAAATAGTATATGCATGCTTGGTTCTTAGAAACTACTACAACTTGAGTCAATCATTGCCATTTTACTCATTGTTTGTTACTGTAATCAGTATAACAATTTTACCTTAACTAAAGTGTGGTAAAAGCAATGCTACTAATGCCCGTAAGTTATATTACATTTTTTTGTAATGGAACTTAAAAAAATCTTCTGCGTCTCTGGCAGTGCACTTTTTAAAGAATGTAGTTGCTATTTGTCTCAGTAATGGCCTGTCATGGGGGAAAAGTGGACTTAGCAGTGCTACCTACTCTCTTTTTTGGCTTTTCTTATTGCTTCCATTAAGGATTTTCATTCCAGTTTGATACATCATTTCTGCTTCCTGCATCTGCCGTCTCTTAGCAGCCTCTTCTTCAGCTAAAAACAAAACGTCAGATGCATTTAAATGGATTTTAATTCTATCAATTATCAACCATTAGTATTCTTTCTTTTGGGCAGTCATACAAACAAAATGAATGATCTTTCACTATTCCCAAACATGATTCTAAAAACACTTAAGTGTGGCCTTTACATGACACAAGATAAAACTTAAAAAAAATATATATATATATACACACATATATAAAATTCACTGAAATCACTTTTTTATAGAAATACCAATACCAAGCCACTCTTAGAGGGTACTTTTCTGTTGGTAATGCTAACTTTTTAAATATAATTCAACTAAAATTTCAGATTATATGTGATATGGTTTGGATCAGTGTCCCCACCAAATCTCACACTGAATTGTAATCCCTGGTGATTACAATCTCTCTCACCTGTAAGGCCTGGTGAGAGGCGACTAGATCATAGGGGTGGTTTTTCATGAATGGCTTAGCACCATCCCCTTGGTGCTGTTCTTGTGATAGTAAGTTCTCACGAGATCTGGTCATTTGAAAGTATGTGGCACCTTGCTCCTCATCATCTCTCTCGTTCCTGCTCCCACCATATGAGACGGCTGCATCTCATATGGTAAGTTTCCTGAGGCCTCCCAAGAAGCCAAGCAGATGCCAGCATCATGCTTCCTGTACAGCTTGCAGAACTGTGAGCCAATTAAGCCTCCTTTATTAATAAATTTCCCAGTCTCAGGTATTTCCTTACAGCAGTGTGAGAATGGACTAACACAATATGCCAAGGTCAGCTAAAATAAGGTCAAGACATACGAACACAGTAGTCAGAAAAATACTGTTGGGATCAAAGGACACTTTAGCTCTATTGGAAATACTGTATATCTTTACAAGGTGAAAATATTTGATTAACTATATAATACAAGTTAGTAAAAAATTTTTATTAAATATAGAAACTGATTTAATGTTCAAGTTCACCAATTTTTCAAACTGATATAACACTGAAAATCATAGAACTGTTATAGATTTTTCAAAAGTTATTTTGCTACTGTAAGAACTCATCAAAACAAACATTTCATTAGAACCAGTATTTATAGAAACAGAAGCAAATTCTTCTTATAATATAAAAAAATTCTGGTGCATTAACTGGAGTACCCAGTCACGCTGGCCTACATCTAAAGATGGACTATATTTGATGTGCTCTTTTAGGATTGCCCAAATATTCTATAACAGCCATTATTTTTTTAAAAATTGGTATTTAAGGGATTATGTTCAAGATTTTCTGTTGTTTTTTCATAGTTAGGAAGTTTTTCCTGAAAATAGCTTTCCTTAGAGTCAGCATCTCTATAATGACATTTATACTAAAGATGGTTAAATACACTGTATTTGTCAAATGTTACCTTGGTATAGCATATTTCACCTTAAGTATTTTTAAAAAGTTATTTATTTTTCTTCTAATCACTATTAACCTTCTCCATAATGGCCCAGTTTCCTTTACTGCCCCCAAAATGTTTTATGTTTAATAATTTATCAGGCTGCCTGAAGGGTTTAACAAAACAACCTGTGTATACCAATGGAAAACCATCTCTAAATAAAACGTGAGTGTGACTTGAGTGACAGCCTGAAAATAAATACACCAAGTTTCCCACTCTTAAGTCCACTCTTTAAGGCTGTAATGACATCAGCAATGCTGGCCATTTCTGACCAATGTGGAAAAAGGATGGCTAGAAAAAGGCCTTAAAAACATTGCCCTAGACATAAAGCAATGCAGATCTGCCTCCTACTGAGCAATACTTACTTTCACAAAAGCCCCACTTTTCATCTGCTTTGTAGTCATAGGTTGTAGCACACCACAGTCTGCCATCTTCCCTCCCATCTGATGTACATTCATCATACTCCTTATCTAGGAAAAGAAAAGGGAAGTGGCAGGGCTCCCCATGTGCTGTGCCTTCAATGGCGGTCAAAGCTGGAATGACAAGAAATAAAAATCTAAACATGAAACAACACCTCTGGTATTCATGGATTCAATGCCATCAATTTTGGCTGTTGGAATTTGAAGCAAAGATTCATGATGCCTGATTTGTAACTGGGAACATAAAAGGGCTAGCAATGATTTTGATTAGGGAGGACTTGGTTTAGTCAATTTAGTGAGCATGGCTAGCTGACTACATAGCATCTGTGTCTAGGTTAGACTTTCTGAAGTTCCTGATATATAACCTTAGAATATTAAAGGTCTACTGTAAAACTCCTGCCCAAAAAGTAAGCAAAAAATAAGGCAAAATGCAAGTGAATCAATTCTACTGCTCAGCACAGCTCTCCTTGTTTCTGAATGCTGTAAGTCAATTTCTTCAGTAATACAGAGTTACAAAGGGCAAATGCTCCCCCCAAGGCAAAGCTAACCACTCACACACTCCTCTGCAATCCTGTGGCATTTTATTAGAGTACTTATCACATGTATGGAAGTTACTTCTTTACCATACTCTAGTTCCCATTGGACTTTGAGCTTGTTAAGGGTAGAGACTGCATCTGTAATTTATTCTATAAATTATTTATGAGTATCTCTTAGGTGTTGAAAATTATGGTAGGTGCTAGAAATGAGGTGCATCAGAGATCTTTGCTACACACAACTTACTGCCTAGCCAGGAAGAGAGATACTAAGCAAATGTGTGATGGATGCTATGGAAAGGAAAGCCTCCCCTCTCAGGAACTGAGGTTTCAATTGAACCTGAAGGGCGTGCAGGAGTAGCAGTGAATGAAAGGCTCATGGGTGGGGTGGGTAGGAGTACTCAAACAGATTGGTGCTAAGGTGACAAGAATCAAATGAATGGCAAAGTGGACAACAGAAGAGGCTAAAGCAGCATGAGGAAGACAGACTGGGGAAGACCTTACATGTCTTAAGGAGTTTGAACTTTTATCCTGAGAACAATGGAAACTCACTGAAAAGTTTTGCATAGGAGTGACATGCTCACATTTTATTAAAAGAGTGGAAAGTATGTAAAAAGTAAGGCTGGATGCAAGGTGACCAGTTTAAAGGTTGTTAACAGTCATCTGAGAAGCAATGGTAGCCCAGAGAGGGGAATGGAATGGAAGATGTGGATGTACTCAAGTGATTCTAAGGAGGTAGATATGGTACCACTTTCTAGATGTGTGGATAAGAGGAAAGTTGAGTCAAGGAAGATACCCAGGTGCGTTAGGGGTACATAGATGGCTGCCCTTACTAAGATACAGAATTCTAAAGGAGGAGTAGGTTACTGGGTAGGTACTGCTACATTCAAGGTGGCTATTAAAAAAACAAACAAACAAAAAACAAAGAAAAAACCCACACAAAAAAAACAGCAAAAACAAAAAATAAGTGAAAATGTCTTAAACATGTTTCAGTTACAGCTAAAAAAAAAAAAAAAAATTCTCCAGTACACAGATAACACTTGAATTCAAGGGTATGCCTAAGAATGCTGCATGAGAGGTATATGAGAAGACCAGAGGTCCAGGACTAAGCCTAAAACTGTACACAGTAGGTATGAGCCCATGTCAACTTCCACTGGTTGCTTTTACATGGAGAATTTAATTGGGTAGCAGAGCTCGGTCATGAAGGGTATAGATTCCGGGGTCAGAACATTTGATGCAAATCCTACCACTTATTAGCTGTGCACTTTGAGCAAATTATTTAATCTCTTAAGATTACTTAGAGATAACATCCTTATCTCCAAATAGGAATAACAGTCCTTATTGTTTGCAAAGACTGACTGAGATAATACATGTAAAGGACTCATTATGGTGCCTATCACTTTAGGTAATAAGAGTTCAAGAGATGACAGCTGCTATTATTATGGGCATCCCTGCTCTGAAGGCTAGAAAGTATCCCTTCTATCTTTCCAGTGTGAAAAAAGACATATCCTACAATACTAAATTAAAACATACTTTCAATAAGCTATGAAAGACAAAATGAATTTCAAATGGTTTACACCAGGTAAATGTCACTCATCATCCTGGTAATAAGAGGCAAATAACTTTTTTTACCTTTGCTTTGTCTATGTTTTAAAGAAAGGATCTCTAATGCAATGTATAGGCAAGGAATCCTTTAGCAACAACTTCAGAGGAGTCATTCTGACTACAGAATTTGGAAAGGACATCCCTATACACTGCTACTAGATCCAAATCTGCCGCTGCTTTAGAAAGACAGTGTCTGAGAGCCAGGCACGGTGGCTCACGCCTGTAATTCCCAGCACTTTGGGAGGCTGAGGTGGGCAGATCACTTGAACCCAGGAGTTTGAGACCAGCCTGGGCAACATGGTGAAACTCTGTCTCTACTAAAAATTCAAAAAATTAGCTGGGTGTGGCAGTGGATGCCTGTAGTCTCAGCTACTGGGGAGGCTAAGGCAGGAGGATCACTTGAACCTGGGAGGCGGAGGTTGCAGTGAGCCGAGAAAGCGTCTGTAGAACTGCAGTTTGTAAACCTGAATTTCAAATTAAATAGCAAATGATGGTTTAAAAGAATTAACACTTCTATGATAATAGAAATCTTTGTCTTAAAAACAAATAACTTATCATAGGAATTCCAGTTTGCCAAAACTTGTATTTTCTAAATGTTTCAAATATATGAAATAATTCCCTTTCATGTGATGAACTATACCACAGAAAAGAAACTGGAGAGAGTAAAAAAAATTTGACAACAAAAGGTTTTCATCTACTGCTGATTCAGCACTGACATAAGGAGGAAGAATCCTCAGGAGGCACTTGCTTCATCAATTTAGTCAAAACTGCAACCTGTCAAAATAATTCATTAGTGAAGAAAATTTGTTTCTCTCAGCTACCTTCTCCAAGGGAAATCACAATATGGAAAGTGTTACTACCTTTTAAACTTGTTCTAAAATCTTCCAAAAGTTACTGATTGGAACTCTCTAGTTTCAAATCGATTATCTCAAACAGAAACTCCTCACAATAGTCTTAATTTCAGTTAATTTTCTTTCTATGGAGAAATCCTGCAATAATTTCAAAGCCATCCTTTTAAAAACCTCCACCAGAAGAGTATCAATTTTAAAAACAAGGTAATCACTGCTCTGGTATAATGAAGCTGACAGGTTATGCAATTTAAATTAGCGATAACCAGTATCAAATCTGACACCGTGAAAGGGAAAAATGGGTTCTCAGTTCTGCAGCTTCATGTAAAAATTCACATTTTCTAGGTAATGAATCATATTTTGGCTCTACAATTAATGACACAGTATCCCAATCTATTTAGACCTCAAGAGGAAGATATTTATAGTACAGAACTTATTGTAATAATGAACAGAATGCTTTACACTTCAACTAGTAGAAATCTGCTCTTGCAAAGTCAATTAAAATCAGTCAAGAAAGTAAGAAAAAGTAAAAAGCAAAATAAAACGGAAAATATGCAGCGTCGGCCAGAAGATGGGTAAATAGGCCCTTTCATACTCTTAGCAAGTGTATGGATTAATACAATCTCTTCAAGAGGGGGCATTTGGTAATATCTGTTAAAATGTAAAGGTCCATATCTTCAGATCCAGCTTTTCCACTTCCAGGATGTTTACTTAAAAAAATGCTCCCATAAACACACAAAGAGATTATGTACAAGAGAATACTTGTACAGTATCCTAATTTTAAAAACATAAAACCAAATGAACTCAAAGATCTACTGATAGGAAACTGGGTAAATACACTATGGGGCAGCCATTAAACGAAAACCGGGGCATCGTCAACACGGAAGGAATTAAAGGTCCCTAGAGAGTAGTGAAGCCAGGGAAGAGGATCAAAGGCTGAGTCCTGAGGCAAGCTCATGTTTCAAGATCAGACAAATTCTAAGGAACCAGCAGCCAACTGAAGAAAGTATCTTCAGGGAAAAGAACACTAGTGAGGGGTTAAGATGAGGATCAGGAACCGACCAGGTATTCAGCAATTAGAATGTGACTAGTGGAGAAGAGTAGATTTAGCAGTCTGGAGGAGGCTCAAGCCTTGCTGGAGCTGGATTACAGAACAGGAAGAGAGAAAGGGAAATCAGTGATTATAGAGAACGATTTCAAAGAATTATGCTATAAAGGGGAGTAGAGGAGTGGGATGGTAGCTGGAGGGGGACTAAGGGATACAAGATTTTTGTTTTTAACAGATAAGATATTACAGTATGCTTGAACATTGAAGGAAAGAATCCAAGACAAAAAAGGTAAACATAGCTAGAATGCTGATCTCTCTCTCTCTCTCTCTCTCTCTCTCTCTCTCTCTCTCTCTATATATATATATATAGACAATTAAAGGCTAGGGGAATATAAGCACATCTTTTTCTCACTTTAAATTGTAAAATCAAAACAGAAAACTAAAAGTTAATTTCTTGATCTATACAGATAAACATAATTTAGCTTTGCAAATTTCTCATTTTAAGAACTTTTACAGTTTACATAGGTGATATTTAAATAAGAAAATTATCTATTAGGCTGTCTCTCTGAAACAATCTGGTACTTCCAAACATAGAGTACTAAGTAGCATATGAATCAAATATACCTGTAGTCAAAGATAGCTGAGAAACAATTATTTAATGTTAAAAAGCTACCAACCTCAAGACAACTGTCATAGTGTTCATCAATTTTAGTAAACACCAACATAAAAGCTCAACCAAGCAAACGATTGTCACCAAAAAAAATCTCCCAAGGACTATGAACAAAGCACCAGTACATATGGTTTAAAGGAAACAAAGTACCTGACTTAAAGTAAGTGATATAGGCCAAATGATACAGGCAATATTTTACTGTTGTCTGGGAATATGCTATAGTAATATTTTGGGGAAAATACCAATGGTATGTAATTTGCTACAGACTGCTTTCACCAAAAGTTGAAAACTGCTAAATAAGGTCTAGAAACTATCTTTGTAAATAAACACACGCTATACGAAGAAAGCCACCACTTTACAGATTAAAATGTATTTTTCAGAAGATGTATTCATATGCAGAATGAACAAAACGTTAAGATCAGGGTTCATACAAAGCTCAGCTCTTTCTGTGAGAAGCAACTAATCATTTTAAAATACAAAGAGAAAGCAGCACAATCACTGGCCCATGTGACCAGAATAAAGTGGCAAACTTCATATTAATCAGGTGACAGGCACTGTCAAAAACCATCCAGAGTAAAACTTGCTCAGGAAAGCTGCTGTTTAAGAACAGTGGGTTTCTCTAAACAACGGCTTTAAAGACACGTGAGTTTTCAAAGCTGTGGTGTGGCTGGGATCTACAAGGATGGTCTCCTAAAGGAGTTTCCTTGCACAAATAATTTGCTTGTAAAACCAAATCAAACCAAAGAAACAATAACAAAAAAAGCCTTTTCATGAAAGTCAGGACCTGTTGCAGGCAACTGCCTATTCTTCTATCTTCTGTTTAATATGATTGCTAGGTTAAAGGTCGTTCCTTCCCTGCCATCCCCATTTAAGCAACAATGAAGTAGAAATGCCATTCTGTTGCTCAACAAACTTGCTTCAGAACCCAATTTTAAGCAAGATGTAGTCAGTTTAAACTCAGTTCCTTTTGTGCCATTTGAAATAGATCAAGATGCCAATTACTCTATTTTTCTTTTTTAAGGCTATAAGGATGTGTTTACTGCAGAGACAAACAGTAAGAAAGTATACAAAATTAAAGAAAAATGACAGTTATCTTTACCTATCACTTCAAGTTATTTCTGTCAAGAGGTAATGACAGTTACTGAAAAAAGAAGTTCTGGACCTTTTTCATTTGCAAACTTATTTTTACAAATGGCTTCTTTTCACATAAAGGATTTGTGATGGTTTAATTTTGTGTGTCAACCTGGCTGGGCCATAGTGCCCAGATATTGAGTATATCATTGTTCTGGAAGTTTCTATGAAGGTGATTTTTGGATGAAATTATTTAAATTGGTGGACTTTGAGTAAAGCAGATTATCCTCCATGATGTGGACAGACCTCACCCAATCAGTTGAAGGACTGAGCAGAATGAAGACTGAACCCTATGAGGAAGAAATTCTCCAAGCAAATGGCCTTTGGTTCTGTTTCTCTGGAGAACTGTGACTAATACAGGATCATACTAACTGAACTACTTTTCAATAGGACATTTTTTTGCTTAACATATCATTGACATTCTTGTAGGTGGCAGACAGGGCAGACTGCCTCATTACTGATTCTGAACCACTTCCCCAGGAGAAATAGTTTCAGAATTCTCCTAGTGTCTTCTGAAAATGCTTCTGCTCTTCTGATGCAGGCAACACTTCTTCCTGAGGACCCAGGCCCTGAAGGTGCAGCCACTATCAGATTTGACCACATGGAACAAACATGAGGATGAAGCCAGTCTACTGAGGAGCTGAACAGGAAGAAAGGGAGAGCTGGAGTCTCTGATGGCACAAGTCCTGAACTGCCTATCTGTGAGTTCTAGTTACATGAGCCAAATAAACTTCTGGTTCTGCCATTGTCTGATGGATTTTTTTATTTACAACAAAACCTGTTCCTTTTAAAATGGCTATGGGTATTCTATAATAGGGAATACCACAATGTAATCATTCTCCTTATGATGGCGTTTTAATTATTCATTCATGATCAACAAATGTTTATTGAGATGATATGCAGAAAACAGTTAACACAGCAAGCCTGACTAGTTATCTTTTGAAAGACCGCTTATCATGTGGCCCTCGGCTGCTATCTACAAACTTAGATTTTGGAAGGGTTCCCACTGAGAGGTGAAGCCAGCTGGGCTTCTGGGTCAGGTGGGGACTTGGAGAACTTTTCTGTCTAGCTAAAGGATTGTAAACACACCAATCAGCACTCTGTGTCTAGCTGAAAGTTTGTACATGCACCAATCAGCACTCTGTAAGAACGCACCAATCAGTGCTCTGTGTCTAGCTAAAGGTTTGTAAACGCACCAATCAGCTCTCTGTAAAATGGACCAATCAGCGCTCCGTAAAATGGACCAATTAGCAGGACATGGGCAGGGCCAAATAAGGGAATAAAAGCTGGCCACCTGAGCCAGCAGTGGCAACCCCCTCGGGTCCCCTTCCACACTGTGAAAGCTTTGTTCTTTCGCTCTTCACAATAAATCTTGTTGCTGCTCACTCTTTGGGTCCGCACTACCTTTATGAGCTCTAACACTCACTGCGAAGGTCTGCGGCTTCACTCCTGAAGTCAGTGAGACCACGAACCCACAGGAGGAACAAACAACTCCAGACGCGCCACCTTAAGAACTGTAACACTCACCGCGAGAGTCCGTGGCTTCATTCTTGAAGTCAGCGAGACCAAGAACCCACCAGAAGGAATAAATTCTGGACACATTTTGGCACCCACGAAGGGACAATCAGCAAGCAGTGAGTACCATCAGACCCCTTTCGTTTGCTATTCTGTCCTACTTTTCCTTAGAATTCGGGGGCTAAATACTGGCACCTGTCAGCCAGTTAAAAGCGACTAGCGCGGCCGCCGGACTAAAGACACGGATGTCAGGCTTTCTGGGAAAGAGCTCTCTAACCACCCCCAACTCTTCGGAATTGGGAGCGTTGGTTTGCCTGGAACCAGCTTCCGCTTTCCCTGTACTTCTCGGCTGAGCCAAGGGTGGACAGAGAGGAAAGCCATTCAGCTCCGGGGTCCCGACAAGTTTGTTGACCCTGTGGCCATGAGCGGAACTCTCGAAGTCACGTCGCCCAAGTGAGACTCGCCCATCTATCCTATCTATCCTGACCCTTGCTTCCTGGGTCCTAATGCTTGTCAGACAAACTTCCTCTCGCCTCTCTTCTCTGAGGCTAGTCCTGCTTCTAAAACAACTCCCTGTCTCTGGTGCTTTTCTAGTTTCTCCTATGAGAATGATTTCTAGTATATACTCCAGGACTCTATTCCCTTCTTTAGGCACCTGGGCTCACTAACCAGAAAGACACAATTTTTGCCCAAAGCCCCATCGGGGCGGGGGACTAACTTATCTGTAATTTTAGGATCCCTCCTCAGGGTAGCAGGCCTAACAAAAGCTATTCCTGAAGCTAGGATATGGGGAGCCTCAGAAATGATATCCTTCCTATTCAAGTGAGGACAAAAGGCATCACTCTTCCAACTCTGGAGATCCCTCCCCTCCCTTAGGGTATGGCCCTCCACTTCATTTTCAGGGCATAACATCTTTATAGGACATGGGTAAAATCCCACTACTAACAGGAGAATGCTTAGGACTCTAACAGCTTTTCAAGAATGCGTTGTTAAGGGTCACTAAATCCGATTTTTCTCAGTCCTCTTTGGGGTCTAGGAGGACAGACAAGAGTGCAGGATTTTGAGAATGCGTTGGTAAGGGCCACTAAATCCAATCTTCCTTGGTCCTCTTTGTGGTCTAGGAGGAAAACTAGTGTTTCTGCTGCTTTGTCAGTGAGCGCAACTATTCTGATCCGGAGGGTCCAGGGACCCTTGTGGGTTCTTGGGCAGGGAGAGAAACAAACCAAAACCGCGGGCGGTTCTGTCTTTCAGATGGGAAACAGGCATCAATAGGCTCACCCTTGAAATGCATCCTAAGCCATTGGGACCAATTTGACCCATAAACCCTGAAAAAGAGGCAGCTCATTTTTTTCTGCACTATGGCCTGGCCCCAATATTCTCTCTGATGGGGAAAAATGGTCACCTGAGGGAAGTATCAATTACAATACTATCTTGCAGCTTGACCTTTTCTGTAAGAGGGAAGGCAAATGGAGTGAAATACCTTATGTCCAAGCTTTCTTTTCATTGAAGGAGAATCCACAACTATGCAAAGCTTACAATTTACATCCCACAGGAGGACCTCTTAGCTTACCTCCATATCCTAGCCTCCCTATAGCTCCCCTTCCTATTAATGATAAGCCTCCTCTAATCTCCCCTGCCCAGAAGGAAACAAGCAAAGAAATCTCCAAAGGACCACAAACCCCCACAGGCTATTGGTTATGTCCCCTTCAAGCTGTAGGGGAGGGGAATTTGGCCCAACCTGGGTACATGTCCCCTCCTCCCTCTCTGATTTAAAGCAGATCAAGGCAGACCTGGGGAAGCTTTCAGATGATCCTGATAGGTATACAGATGTCCTACAGGGTCTAGGGCAAACCTTCGATCTCACTTGGAGAGATGTTATGTTATTGTTAGATCAAACCCTGGCCTTTAATGAAAAGAATGCAGCTTTAGCTGCAGCCTGAGAGTTTGGAGACACCTGGTATCTTAGTCAAGTAAATGACAGACTGACAGCTGAAGAAAGGGACAAATTCCCTACCAGTCAGCAAGCCGTCCCCAGTATGGATCCCCACTGGGATCTAGACTCAGATCATGGGGACTGGAGTCATAAACATCTGCTGACCTGTGTTCTAGAAGGACTAAGGAAAATTAGGAAAAAGCCCATGAATTATTCAATGATGTCCACCATAACTCAGGGAAAGGAAGAAAATCCTTCTGCCTTCCTCAAGAGGCCTTAAGAGAACATATTCCCCTGTCACCTGACTCACTTGAGGGTCAATTGATTCTAAAGGGTAAGTTTATTACCCAATCAGCCGCAGATATCAGAAGAAAGCTCCAAAAGTGAGCCCTGGGCCCCGAACAAAATCTGGAGGCATTAATAAACCTGGCAACCTTGGTGTTCTATAATAGGGACCAAGAGGAACAGGCCAAAAAGGAAAAGTGAGATCAGAGAAAGGCTGCAGCCTTAGTCATGGCCCTCCAGACAAACAAACCTTGGTGGTTCAAAGAGGACAGAAAATAGAGGAGGCCAATCACCTGGTGGGGCTTGTTATCAGTGTGGTTTGCAAGGACACTTTAAAAAATTGTCCAGTGAGAAACAAGCTGCCCCCTCGCCCATGTCCACTATGCCGAGGCAATCACTGGAAGGTGCACTGCCCCAGAGGACAAAGGTTCTCTGGACCAGAAGCCCCCAACCAGATGATCCAACAACAGGACTGAGGGTGCCCAGGCCAAGCGCCAGCTCACGTCATCACCCTCACCGAGCCCCGGGTACGTTTAACCATTGAGGGCCAGGAAATTGACTTCCTCCTGGACACTGTGGCCTTCTCAGTGTTAACCTCCTGTCCCAGACAACTGTCCTCAAGGACCGTTACCAACCGAGGAATCCTGGGACAGCCTGTAACCAGGTATTTCTCCCACCTCCTCAGTTGTAATTGGGAGACTTTGCTCTTTTCACATGCCTTTGTTATGCCTGGAAGTCCCAGGACCCTTATTAGGGAGCGATATATTAGCCAAAGCTGGAGCTATTATCTACATGAATATGGGGAACAAGTTACCCATTTGTTGTCCCCTGCTTAAGGAGGGAATCAACCCTGAAGTCTGGGCATTAGAAGGAACAAATTCCGGACACGCCACCATTCTAACTTATAAAAGTGTACGGAGCCCAAACCGTACAAACATGTGGTTTACACGCAATACTACCCATTTTTCTTCTGGGATTCTACAGTTTTGGTACATGCTAGCAGAGGGTGATTACAAACTAGTTTTCAATAAAAACTCCAGGCACTGGGTCTCTAACAAGCCTCCCTGGTAGACAACATTTCACATGCGTTGTTACAATTTGCCGCTGGGGTAATTAAGTGATCCTGCATCAGTTCTGAGGGAGAGGACCCTTGGAAGCTTCTACCTTGTTTCCTCCAGACTTCCCCCCCATGTACCTTGCACCTGTGCTGATTTTGCTTTGTCCCCTTTTGCTGTAATAAATCATAGCTGTGAAGGCAACTATATGTCAAATCCCCCTACCAAATCATTAAACCTGGGGATGGTTTAGGGGTTCCCTGACACAGATGCATTAGAAGTGGGATTTGCTAGAATGACCCTGACTCACTGATATATGGTGAAAGCGTTAAGAAGAGGAAGGCTAAAGGGCAGAATATGATGAATCTCTGGGGCCTGAGTGGTCATGGAGTCATCCACAGTATGAAGCAGTAGCTGAGCTGCTGTTTGTTGAGAGCCATAGAATCTGAAAGTAAAAGATCCAGCTCCAGGAAAGCTGGCTTGCTGGATGCCCCTGACTGCTTTTAGTCCTGCTGGCTAAAATGAGGGAAAAGGCAGTGTATTGCAGGTGAGGCCTGTAGTTTTTGTTCTCTCTTCTAGATGGGAAGAGAAAGGACCCCCAAATTCCCAAGGATGGGCCAAACCAAAAACGTTACAAGTTTGAACTGCTCTCTTTAAAAAGTTAAATCTGGTCTGGAACAAAATTTTAGATAAACCAGAAAACAAACAAAAAAACTGGGGGAGGTAACAATCCAGCAGTTTTTTTTCAGCCTGGCTGCTGCTCTTGCTACAATATCCTCCCCCACCTCCCTTCCTCCACTGCATTCCAGGATCTTCCCTGGCAGCTGTAATGTTAACAGTGCAAACACTGAATTTACTGCTAGGAGGCTGAGTAAACTGCAGTAGGGAGAAAAAAGAAAAAGAAGAATATTTTTAAAATAGCTTTATATTTTGTGGCTATTGCATCTAGATGTATTGTAAAAATTAAAATAAAATGTTAAACACCTGTAATTTTGTAAATACCAGAGGAATAATCCTGATCAGGGGAAGCTGCAAAAAAATGTTTAGTGGGACACAACTTCCTTGCTTTTTGCTGCCAGTGAGAGGACTGGAATTTGAACTCTTTTGAGTTTTGGAAACAGAGTATCTGTAATTGATGGTTTGCTTCCAGGGTTACCATGTGTACCCTCTGGGACTGAACTTCTTCTTCTTTTTTTTTGAGACAGTCTCACTCTGTCACCTAGGCTGGAGTGCTGTGGCATGATCTTGGCTCACTGCAGCCTCTGTCTCCCAGGCTCAAGCGATTCTCATGCCACCATACCTAGCTAATTTTTTATATTCTTACCAGAGATGGGGTTTTGCAATATTGGCCAGGCTGGTCTTGAACTCCTGGCCTCAAGTGATCCACCTGCCTTGGCCTCCCAAAATGCTGGGATTACAGGCATGAGCCACTGCGCCCGGCTTGGGACGGAACTTCTTGTACTCTGACTCTCATGAGACTGACTCAGCCCTGGAAAGCTTTTAGGTCAGCTTCCACTTACTAGGCCACAGTTGTGCTGCAGCTGATTAAAAAAAAAAAAAGTTAATACAGAAACTTAAGACCACGTACAAAAACAAATAATAGGTAAAATGTGTTTTAAAAAAGGTAGGCCGGGTGCGGTGGCTCACTCCTGTAATCCCAGCACTTTGGGAGGCCGAGGTGGGTGGATCACCTGAGGTCAGGAGTTCGAGACCAGCCTGGCCAACCTGGTGAAACCCCATCTCTACTAAAAATATAAAAATTAGCTGGGTGTGGTGGCAGGTGCCTGTAATCCCAGCTGCTTGGGAGACTGAGGCAGGAGAATCGCTTGAACCCAGGAGGCGAAGGTTGCAGTGAGCAGAGATCATGCCACTGCACTCCAACCTGGGGGACAAGAGCGAGACTTCGTCTAAAAAAAAAAAAAAAAAAAAAGGTAAAAAGATTAGAAAGGTTAAAACTTAGGGAGGAAGCCTATTGTTTTTCTAAGATAGACCATTATGATAAATGGGAATTGTTTTAACTGGCTAAGTCCAGGCCTCCTAAAAGGCATACCTAAAATCAATATTGCAGGCTGGTCTCACTACTATCTGGGTCTTATTGGTAACTCTGCTATAAAGATGCCTTGGCCAATGACCTAGGGAGTAGACTGTGCAGAGAAGAGTTAAAAAAACAGACATAAACTTCTCTCTTTGAGAAGGCTGGCTTCCAAGGTTGGCCCTTGGTTAGCATCTGGAAATTTAGATTTCTGGAGAGTTCTCACCATCCTACAGATAAGAGTGGCTCACCCAAACTGTACAATGTTGAACACCTGCTTTCCTTCTGCAAGTTTGGTACATGCCAGGAAGAGACTGCCAACTTAACCAGCCCCCAATAAAAACTCTAGTTCTCTAATAAGCTACCTGGGTGGAAAACATTTCACATGTGTTATCTTAACTTGTTGCTGCTGGATTTAAGCACTCCGTGTGACTCCTCCGGGAGAGGACCCTTGAAAGCTTACATCTGGTTTCCCCTACACTTCATTCCATACTTTTCCTTTGCTGATTTTGCCTTCTAGTCTTCCACTATGACAAATTATAGCTGTGAACACAACTCTACACTGAGTCCTTTGAGTCAGCATAGATTTACTAGGAACACTTCCTACCAAATTACTGCACCTGAGGGTGTGGTCTTGGGGTTCCCCAACACAACTGGGAATAAGTGTGAAATATTCAAGAAATAGCAAGAGGGCAAGTTTGGTGGGAGTCACCTAAAGGGGAGTGGCAGAAGAGTTAGTTAAAGAGACAGGAAGGGCCTGATGTCAGGCCTTGTAAATAGAAGAAGTTTGGATTTTACTTTGAGTAGGACCGGAAGCCAAAGGAGGTTTCTGAGCAGGAAGTAGTCTCAGTCTGGCTGCTGTTAGGGAACTGATAGTGGGGGAAAGAGCAAAAGGAAGAAGGCCAGATAGGAAGCTCTTACATATAGTAAACACTTTGGTTCAGGAACCACTTCAGAAAGGAGAAAACCTACATTTATTTTT
This sequence comes from Homo sapiens, assembly GCF_000001405.40. Classification (NCBI taxonomy): domain Eukaryota; kingdom Metazoa; phylum Chordata; class Mammalia; order Primates; family Hominidae; genus Homo; species Homo sapiens. Next base: position 81,519,765 of record NC_000014.9, read on the forward strand.
AAGAATGAACAGAAATTTGTGACAGTGGATTTGGGCAAAGGAATGAGGAAGGCATCCTAAACAGTGAGGAGAATCTGTACAAAGGCCCAGGGGCATAAACTGTTATGTTGTGTTTGGAGAACAGAAAAGGGTTTTGTATTGCTGAAAAAGGCTGCTTAGGGAAGGGGTACACTGAAGGCTCTGTGAATCATGCTAAGGACTGCATACTTCATCTCTCAGGCAAACAGGGAAGTAATGGAGGCCTGTAAACAGGGGAGTTATGGGGTCAAATTTGAGTTTGAGAAAGATTAATATGGTAGCAACATGATTGAGAGGCTGACAAAGGGCAAAAGTTTCAAAGTAACTGTCACATAACCCAGTTCTAGTGTAGCTGGAACTGTACACAGAGCCATATATATGCAATTTATGTCATATATATGCATAAGTACTTAAGCATTTTCATATATTAAGAATAAATTAAAAACAAATCTAAATCATTATTGAAAAGTGAAAACTGGTACAAATTAATCTAAATGTTTATAAAGTTGTTGATATAACCAGAGAATTATTAGTGATTTTAAAACACTGTATTATTACAAGTCCCTAGCAAAATATATACCAAGAATAAGAAGGACCATAAAGGAATCTTGGGCTGCATTCTGTGGTCCCACAGTTAGTGGTAAGGGCCACTGTTATTTTGAAACTATATATGCATATTTATTATGATAAAACAAAATAACATTAATGTCATTAGGTACTAAGATTTTCAGCACCAGTGAAAGGAGATAACACAAAAGAAGCAAAAACTCTGATAAGGTGGAAAGGGCTCGCAGCAGACCTGTAGTCTGTTCTTTCTTCTCACTGGCCCAAAACAGAGTGAGCAGATACCTCTCTCCAAGCATCATCAAATCACCTTAGAAATATGGTAAAGAGAGACCTCTGGCAAACACACTGAAGGTATTTACTATTGGAAGAGTCCTTGCTTATGAAATGCTTCAGCAGGATGAACTTGATCTGTCTACATTGCTCATTATACAAAAACCTGGGATGTATGTAGGCATGACTCTCTAGAAAATATCACATACACTATGTAATTATCAAAGAAGAAACCAGTGATGTCTCATGTCGGAAACAGCTTTCTTTCGTGGAATTGACACTCTACAGGCATTACTTAGAGGCCTTGAGTGTTGAACTCTGGGCTGGAGCACAGTCTAATTGAGGAAAGAAACGACCCGAGAGCAGCTCTGGCAGTCACAGACTTCTCTACACCCCGCTCACGTCTTATGATAATTTTATCTTTGAAAATATTTGCCAAGCTTGATACTAGGTTAGGATCTCTGATTCTTGTAAGTTCAATTTGTCAATCTGATTTTTGTTATCTTGCCTGTAATATTTAATTTGAACTAGAAGTTATCGGTATGAAAGATACATTTCCTAACCCAATGCACCAAAAAGGCCTATAAGTAATGAAAATTTAGCAATGCAGATCACTGGTGCTTATATTATCTAACCCACCAAAAGCAATCTGGGTTCCTTGGAGAAATAGCTGACTTTCATTTCTGGGTCAAGAAATGTACAAAATAAGTTTAGGACATCCTTGTTCTGCCTGGAAAAAAAAAGTTACGAAAGATCACCAGGATCTAGTCAAAAAGACAAAGGAATGATTACCAATGGCCAAAAAAGGAAAATTCTGAGCAATCAACAAAAAAGAATGATTGCAATGAACAAAAATATGATCATGTGACACATCATAACTTCTTGGCCAATGACAGACTGTGTATACCATGGTGGTCCCATAAGATTATATCGCTGACAAATTCCTATCACCTAGTGATGTCCTAGTCATTACAACACTGTAGCACAATCCATTACTCATGTTTTTGTAGTGAAACTAGTGTGAATAAACCTACTGCACTTCCAGTTGTATAAAAGTATAGTAATACAATTACGTACGGTACATAACACTTGATAGTGATAACAAACAACTATGTTACTGGTCTACATATTTACTATACTTTTCATCCTTACTTTAGCATGTACTCCTACTTATTAAAAAAAAAAGTTAACTGTAAAACAGCATTAGGTGTGTCCTTCAGGAAGTACAGGCATCGTTATCATAGGAGATGACAGTTCCATGCCTGTTAATGGCCCTGAAGACCTTCCAATGGGACAAGATGTGGAGGTGGAAGACAGTGATATTGATGATCCTGACCCTGTGTAGGCGTAGGCTAATGTGTATGTTTGTCTTAGTTTTTAACAAAAACGTTTAAAAAGTTAAAAAAAAATTTAAAAATAGAAAACAGCTTATAGAATAAGGATAATATATAAAGAAAATATTTTTGTATAGCTCTACAATGTGTTTGTATTTTAAGCTAAGTGTTACTACAAAATAGTTGAAAAGCTAAAACATAAAAGTTTATAAACTAAAAAAGTTACCATAAACGAAGGTTAATTTACTATTGAAAAAAAATTTTGAAAATAAATTTAGTGCAGCCTAAGTGTACTTGTTTATAAAAGTTTACAGTGGTGTACAGCAATGTCCCAGGCCTTCACATTCACTCAGCACTAACCACTCACTCACAGACTCACCCACAGCAACTTCCAGTCCTGCAAGTTCCATTCATGGGAAGTGCCCTAGACAAGCGTACCATTTAAAAATCTTTTATACCATATTTTTATGTGCTTTTTCTATGTTTAGATAGGTTTAGATATACACATAATTACCACTGTGTTACAGCTGAGTACGGTATTCAATACAATAACAAGCTGTAGAAGTTTGTAGCCTAGTAGCAATAGGCTATAACATATAGCCGAGGTATAGGCTACACTAGCTAGGTTCGTGTAAGTACACTCTATATTTGCACAACGATAAAATTAACTAGTGATGCATTTCTCAGAATGCATCCCCATTGTTAAGTGACACATGACTGTCCCTCAGTATCACTGGAGGACTGGGTCCAGGACCTGGCCTGGTGGTACCAAAATCCATGAGTGCTCAAGTTGTTTAGATAAAATGACGTAGTACTTGCATATAACCTACGCAATCCTCCTGTTTTACATCATCCCTAGACTACTTCTAATACCTAATATAATGGAAATGCTATGTAAATAGTTACGCTACATTGTTCAGGGAATAATGACAAGAACAAAAAGTGTGGACATGTTCAGTACAGTTGCAACCACCCATTTTTTCCAAATATTTTCAAATATTTGGTTGAATCCATGGATACAGAGGGCTGACATGTATGTAAGAATCCATGAATTCATAATGATGCTTGTGATATTGTGAAAAAAATATTTGATCTTCATCCGTTTCCAGAAACATAGCTCTTAAAATCCCTGAAATCTCTTGAGTGATAAGAATGTCTTCTGTATGATAATGAGAAAATTGGTGGCTGGAGGTTCCTAGAGAGCCTTGGGATAGGACTTGGTTGCCAGGGAAACCAACCATTAGATTAGATTAGAGGGTTAGAATTTACAGTCCCATCCCCCAACCTCAGAAGGGCAGAGGAGCTAAAAGTTGAGCCAATAAATCAACGCGCAATGATTTAATCAATTATGCCTGCATAACAAAGCTTCCATAAAAACCCAAAATAGCTGAGTTCTGGGAGTTTCTGGAAAGCTGAGCACATGGAGATTCCTGGAAGGTGGGTGGCGTGATCAGATCAGAGTGGGCATGGAAGCTCTGCAGTCCTTCTCCCATACCTTGCCCTACACCTCTCTTCCATCTGGCTTTTCGTCTCTATCCTTTGTAATATCCTTTATAATAAATGTAAATTTATATTTACATTTACCCATTTATCATGCTTCCCAGAGTCCTAAGTGCTAGCAAATTAATTGAACCCAAGAAGGGGGTTGTGGGAACCCTGATTTATAGCCAGTCTGTCAGAAGCACAGACAACCCGGGGCTTATGATTGGCATCTCAAGTAGCGGGGACTGGTCTTGTGAGACTGAGCCCTAAACTTGTGAGATCTAATGCTATCTCCAGGTAGTGTCAGAATTGAATTAAATCAGCAGACATCCTGCTGGTCTCTGATGGAGAATCCTCTGCAGAACTGATTGCTTACTTGGTATGTGGGGAAATACCCACAACATATCTGGTGTCAGAAGTGTTAACTCAGTGAGAAAGAGAAAGAAAAACACACCTTGGTTTGGTTTTTACTATATCCTTACAATGCTCAAATACAAAGCAAAACAAAACAAATACAAACAAACAAAAACATACTCATTAGTCTCTTTCAGAGATTGCTTGGGCACCAAATTTTCATTTCACAACAGTGCAAAGGAAATAAGAATTTATCTAGCTTTCTCTGGATGAGACTATATTTCAGGGTAATCAAAGACTTGATGAGAGAAAATTCTTTATAAAAGAATCCCAGGTAACAAATGCAGGAGGAATGGTAGAATTAGAAAGTCACCATTTTGCAACCCCTAATAATTAAAAGATCCAGGCAACAAACATAAATGGTTGCCAAAACCCCTAGGCAAAAGATTAATGAGGAACTTTAGAATGGTGAGATCAGGGTGATACCACCTGACCTCGCTAATTAATCTTAACATCAGTAAAAGTGGAAAAATCAGACACTACATGTCTCTCAATGTAAAGCAACAGAAAGTACACACCACCACCTACCTATGAAATACTCTCAATAAAAAGACAGAACCAAATCTACCCATGTCTCTAGAACTAACTCCCAGTTTATAGAATAAACAGCAGATAATGGAACAAGCTCAATGACATTACAAGTTCATGACCAGCAAGATCCAAAACGTGGGAAACTGTATAGCACAAAGGATACTGCATATTTCTTTAGCAAATAAAATGACACTTAAAAACAAAGGAGGGGCTGGGTGCGGTGGCTCACGCCTGTAATCCCAGCACTGTGGGAGGCCAAGGTGGGCAGATCACTTAAGGTCAGGAGTTCGAGACCAGCCTGGCCAACATGGTGAAACCCCAACTCTACTAAAAATAGAAGAAAATTAGCCAGGCATGGTGGTACGCGCCTGGTATCCCAGCTACTCAGGAGGCTGGGGCAGGAGAATCTCTTGAACCCGGGAGGTGGAGGCTGCAGTAAGCCAAGGTCATGCCATTGCACTCCAGACTGGGCAACAGTGCAAGACTCTGTCTCAAAAAAAAAGAACAACAACAAAAGAGGGAGAACAGCAACAGATTAAGAGAAACCTAGGTCTTAGCTTAGAAATGAATTCAAACAAATAAATTGTAAACAGACACTTGAAGCAACTAGAAAAATTAAACAGTCTGGGTATTAGGTAATAAAGGAGTAATGGCTAATTCTGTGATTTTGCTGAAAAGAACATTCTTACTAGAGAGAGACACAGAGATGTAAAAGCACATGCGGAATTTGCCTTAAAATATTCTAGGAAAGAAAAAAAGGGCAAATGTGTGTAGGGTAGTAAAGATGAAAAGACCAGCAGAATGTTGATGTTTATTGAAGCTGAGTGAGGGTTGGTAAGGGGTGTCATTTTACCCTCTACTTTTATGCATGTTTAAAAATTTCCCAGGCTTGATGTAGTGTCTCATGCCTGTAATCCCAGCACTTTGGGAGGCCAAAGAGGGAGATCACCTGAGTTCAAGGCTGCAGTGAACTATGATCGTGCCACTGCACTCCAGCCTGAGTGACAGAGTGAGACCATGTCTCTAAAAATATAAAAACTAAAAAAAAAAAAAAAAAATCCCTAATTAAAAAATGAAGAATGAATTAAATTATATTTAGTAAAAATTTTAAAATGGTAATACACACTTGGGTGAGGTACAGGGAAAGAGGTATTTTCAGAGGAAGTAAACAGAATCACTTTTCTGAAGAACAATTTAACAATGTGTATCTACTGTCTTTTAAACTTTTACATCCAATTCAGCAAATTTACTTTAAGAATTCTAAGGAAATTTTCACAGATAGGCACAAAGATACATCTAAAATGATCTCCCAGCAAAACATAAACGTTTTGGTTTATGGTACCATATATTTACAAATAAAATTTTTTATAGCCATTAACTATCAAATTGAAAATAAGCTAAATGACATGGAAAAACATTCATGGTAAACTGTTAAGTGCAAAATGCAGGCTGCAACATAGAATACACATTTTGACCCAATTTACTTTTCTTAAAACTACTGATACACCTAAAAAAATCCTGAGAGAATATTCTCCATGATGTGAGCAGCTGTTATTTCTAGTTGATGGGATTCAGGTACTTTTAATTTTTTAAAAATAGTTTTCTATTCATGAGAATGGTATATTTGTAGTAAAAAAAAATTCTATTTTTTTAAAAAGTTCAAATTTGGATCAGTTCCTGAGAGTGGTTAGTAATGGAATAATAAACAGATAAGGCAGTGATCATTGAAATAATAAATGACAGAAGGGCAACAAGACATGGTAGAATGCATACATTAATAATTTTTAAAAGGATTAATATTTAGAAGACTATTGTGAAAAAGGTCAAGTTTTAAATTGAAAAGTAGAGGTTTCAAGATTGTGAAAGTTAGAATAGGATGGAAGTACACACAAGCGTCAGCTGAGGGATAAACACCTAAATCAAATTACCTAGGATGATCGACAAGGTTATTGTAGTAATAATCCTACCACAATCCTGAAAATAACCATAGTGGCATGTTAGACAGTTCTTCCTGAGTTTCTGTTTTGTATGCTACCCTGACATATTATTTTTTTAAATTTCTCAGTGAGAAATGTATTTACATACTTGATTCCAAAAAGAAACGTCAGGATATTAATAAAAAGATAAATGCAATCTCATCTATTGAATTCAGCTTATGTAACTTGGGTCAAATCTGTTAAGTGAATAACTTTGGTATATTAAAATCTAGAAATTCTCTCCAAACTACACTCCATATATTATTTGTGGGTAATAATCAGTGAAGCCAGTCTTCTTCAGCCTCTTTATTCATTAGCTTAAAATTTTCAGTTGTCCCCTAAATAAATCAAAAAGCAAGGAAAATGTCCAGACTACCTGGTTTCCGTACTTTCTTTGGCTCTTCATAGTCCTTGTTTTCTGGATTTGGAGACTCTAGAAAGCTGATATCTTCTGTGACACTTTCCCCCTCTTGGCTCTTGAGGCTGTCTTCCTCTTCTTGAATAGAGGATTCTAATTCAGATTCTTCTGAATCAAGAAATATTTGACCAGCAACTACTCTGCCTGCAGTAGTATGGTCCTTTACTGACTCATCTGATGTCAAAGTAGTCTGAGAATATAAAGTATTTTTAGTTATCAACAATGCCAAGACTTTCCCCAACCCTATTTGACCGTTATTTTTACTAATCCAGATATCACATCTCCTTCAGCTCCTTGAAGTGCCACACTCACTCATCTCTATAGGCTTTGGCATGTGTCCATCACGTGCCTTCCTTCATCACCTAACTTGTAGCCTTTTTGAATTTCAACTTAGATGTTACTTCCCCCAGAAGCCTTCCTTAATTCCCAAAGTCTGGGTTCGGTTTTCCTCCACATGCCCCCAACATACCTTATACTTCTACTTCCTGCTTTTATCTACATTCCCTCAAATCTAAAGATCAGAGCTCATAACTGACTGCAGGGTTGGGCTTGGTTAGTACTTGGAAGGGAGAGCTCAATCAACCAATAAGTGCATTAGCTCACTGGATTTATTTTTGAGAACTGGAAAGTGGAAACAAATGACACAGGTTAAATCTTCAAACTTACACACACACACACACACACACACACACACACACAGAGCACATTCAAGTTGAAATGAAATATTTACTATTCCCTCTTGTAGGTCAGTAATTTTTTCTTCCTCCAGAAAAACTAGAACTAATACTAATACCATCTGTCTTTTTCTGTCCTTTTTAATTCAACTGTTACTCAAAAGTTGCAGACCTCATATCCTTTCTAAGATACATAATTCATCCTTTTAAATCAGGCAGCAAATACTGGCCAATACACATTTTAGTACATACCTTGGAATCTAAGGATTCATCCTGGCTGCCTTCTTCATCTGCAAAGAAATTTTAAGACAATTTAGTAATCTTTCTTGTTGGGAAATTAGTTATTATTAAAAGAAAACATGTGAAAAGTATAGCAAATAATAATCAAACATTGGATAAATAAACATAGAATTATTTTAAAGTTAGCTATATTCAGCAATTGTTCAGAAAAGATCAAGTGAAAGGAAAAAAAAAATGGGTTGGGGGTTTAGTTTCTCTCTTTCTCCAGAAAAGACATTAGCTCCATCTGTTACAAAGGTAGGAAGACCAACAGCCTCCACCAACAAAAACAGGTATTTCTTCACATTCCATCCAATTCTTGTGGGTCTATTTAGTCTATTTCTGAGAATGAGTTACTAAGTTCATAAAAATAAATCTCTAATTTCATACTCCGGGCTTCCACCTATTCTGTTTGTCTGCTCAGGATCTTGAGTTAGAGTAGCCCATTTTAGTGCTCATTAGTATTTGTATTGTTTACTACTATAGTAAGGATGGAAACTAAGAATTATTATTTGATAGCAGAGTTGCAAAACAATTATATTTAGGATTTGTGTTCTACTCTACTCAGAGATAACCAGATGCAGGTAAAAAGCAGCATGGTCCTATCATATATTCACTCAATTGAGAGCTATGTAGTAAGAAATCAATAACTTACATTAAACAATGAAAAACAGCCACCGGTTACACCTTGCTTACACATTCACACAGCCTGCTTTGGTGTTGTCTGATTACATTAATTTTCCTTCTGTTACTTTTTCCATGTTTTCTGACTATTACTTTTCTGGCTGCTTGTTACTCTTCTTCCTGCTCTTACATAAACACATGCAACAACTCAATGTTCAGATGGAAATGCTTGATTTTTGTATTCCTTGCCAGTTTAAAACAGCGAATCTGTCAGATCATCTTTAAGTTTCCCTCTTGCTCTTAAAATTACCTGATTTTATTCAGGAGTGAGTTTCAGTTTTACCTGCTCCATAAGCTGTATGAGAAATTAACCAGTAGACAAAACCCTGTAAGACCATGTCATTTTTTACTAGAAAATTTGCTACTATAGTTGTCATTTATACTTTACTTCATATGGCTATATCCTAAATATCATTTGTAATTTGCAACTCTAAAATATAACAAAAAACCTGTGTTAGAGTTTGTTATCAAAGTACTGAGTTAAGACTAAGAAGTATAACCAACTCAATTATGCACAAAATACAAGACACTACCTCACAATATTTCTTTCGAATATTTGAGGAAACTAGTCCATTAGTGAGGTTTTGCCATATATGAAAGTGCTGTCAAGTCAAAGAAAATTTAAATTACAGCTACTATTCATATTCACCTACTTTTAGATTACCTTCAAAGTATGTTTTACTTCTGGCAGGTGGAGAGAAGGGTATGCCACATATTAGTCCCACAGCGCCCATAACATTAGGCAATGATGTCAGTTAATTAACAATTGTCCTTCATGCTAACTTCTTCACAAGTATTACCCAAAGCCCAATTTCTAACATGTGGTTCAAATTCCATTCTCAGCAAATCTTTAGATAAATTTAAAAAACCCATCTCTATAATATATCAAAGTTGTACTGTAAGTATATGTAATTAATCACAAACTTCAACTAGTTAATATATCAAAACAGATATTAAATGTTTAAACATATATGAAATACCCCCAAATACTGAATGAAACTTTAGATTAGCTGGAACTCTAAATCACTATCACTACATTGCTACATTTAGTACCTCACCACAACAGGTTACATAGGTAGCTAACAGGTGAATCATATGGACACATCTGTAAATACACTTAAAGACATGTACATTTCACACAGCACAAGCTGTTAGGCATTAGAGTAGCAAAACGTGTTTTCAAACTCCAAGAAACATGATTTGTAACATCAGAGTTATTTCATGTGAATTGCATCATGCTTCTCTTTCTCTCCCTCTCTCTTCGCAACCTGGACTATATGCTAATATTACTGGTGAATAAGATAATTCTCAGTTACTAAACTGGGAAAGCCTACTCCAGATGGTAGTCTCAAAGCATAAGCTATTTTCTTTTTCAAACTGATATAAACATTCACACAACACTTTTTAAAGAGTTGTTTATAACCTAGGAACTTCTGATAAGTAGTATTCAGGTAAGGATTAAAGAGACTGAAGTTATGCATAAATAAAAAGCAAACAGTAATGTTTTCATCAGAACACAGATATCAAGCAACAAGAAAAAAATGCAAAAGGATTAAGTTATGCGCTTCTCGCTCATCAGCATCACATCCAAATGGTTCATATTATTTTATTAACTGTACACCTTCCTTTGAAAAGGACCAGTTTTTATTTTTATTGTATTAGCTAACAAAACTGCAAAGTACCAGAGATATGCTTTCAGGGAAAAGTGATCACTACAAAATCATTTTTCCATTCATCACGTAAATTAAACAGACTGATAACCTTTAAACACAGAAAGTCTAAATAGTTTGGTGAAAACAGACCAGATATCCTGTTCTCTGCTTTAGCTCTAAATTGGTACAGATCCTAAGATACTCTCGATTCTAAATTTCTTCAATTCTGAGACCTGGAGAGCTAGGTCTGGAACCTGGCTTCATCACATGTTAATTCTGACACATGGTTCAGTAACAAAAGCTTGCTCAGCCTCTGTTTCTCAATCTGTCAAAAGGGGTAACACCTCTGTCCCGCTGACTCACAATATTTTAAGGAACGACCAAAACAGTGAAATTAAACATCCTCTGCTGTCTGAAAACTACTCTCTGAATTTATAATTATTACCTGAAATACCTGGCAGTGGACCTAACTAAAATGACTAACACTGCTTGGCACAAAGAAAAAAAAAGGTTAAGCCATTTGCCTCTTCTGCCAAAAATAAGAAAGCATGCATTTGTGAGAAAAATTATAACCTTTTCACTATTATCCTGAGAAAATGAAGAAATATCTTTTTAGTGTCCTCCTTTAAATTTATTAATAGAAAAGAGAAAATGTTTCTAATATTAGCCATGTGTCAATGACGAGGATATGTTCTGAAAAGTGTATCACTGGGCGATTTCCTTTTTGTATACTTAAACCTAAATGGGATAGCCTTCTACATACCTGGGCTACATAGTGTAGCCTGTTGTTCCTAAGCTACAAATCTGTACAGCATGTGACTATACAGACTACTGTAGGCAACTGTAACATAACAGTAAGTATTTGTGTACATAAACATAGCTAAACATAGAAAAGCTACAGTGAAAATATGGTGTAAAAGATTACAAAACATATACCTGTCTAGGGCACTTACCATAAATGGAACTTGCAGGATTAAGAGTTGCTGTGGGTGAGTGAGTGAGTGAATGTGAAGCCTAGGATGTTACTATACACTATTGTAAACACTGTACACTTAAACTACACTAAATTTATTTTTTAAAAAGTGTGCTACCATGTTCCAATGGCTACAATGTCACTAGGTGACAGGAATTTTTCAGCTCCATTATATTCTTACAGGGCCACCATCTTACATGGGGTTCATTGTTGACCAAAATGTCATTATGTAGCATGTGACTATATCATATTTTTACATGCTTCTAAAACATGATACTAGCTAACAGCTATCAACAGCAATAGAATCAAGATTCTCTTTGTTGGCTGACCATACTCCACCTGGAGAGATGCGACCTGCCCTGGGTAACCACTAATGTTCAAACACAAAATTATAACCAAAAACTTGATTTTAATACTGGAGTAAAACTTTAAACTTTGAGGCCGAAACCCTGTGAATGAAAATCACAATTGAAAATCCATAGCTTAATTTACACAACTTTATTTAACACAGGGTTGTTTTTTTTTCTTTTTTTTTGAGACAGGGTCTCGCTCTATTGTCCAGGCTGGAGTGCAGTGGCATAATCACAGCTCAGTGCAGCCTCAACCTCCTGGGGCTCACTCCATCCTGCCACCTCAGCCTCCCGAGTAGCTGGAACTACACGTGTGCACCATCACACCTGGAGTTACGTAGAGATGGGGTTTCGCCATGTTGCCCAGGTTGGTCTTGAACTCCTGGGCTCAAGTGATCCTTCCACTTCAGCCTCCCAAAGTGCTGGGATTACAGGTATGAGCTGGGCCCGCACAGGTGTTTTATGATATATGAACTTCATGTGAGCACAGCACTGCCTTTATTACCTTTTAGCATGCACATCTACATTGTTTTAGTTCTGGCTAAGGCTTCTGCCTTTACCATTGAAATGTTGTGGCACAGCTTTAACTATGATGGAAATCAGAGCAGACATTTCTTGAATACAGTCCTCTACCTACATCAATACAACCCAAGGATTTAATATATCAGTGTTAAGTCTTTTATTACAACATCCTGAAAGCCCCAACTGTTGATCTTCAAATATCTTTTCCACTGGCATGGAGCTCTAAGTATATAAAATGCAGTCAAAGACAGACAGCACAATTCCTATGCTTTAATTTTCTTTAAACTCTGCCAATTAAATTCAGAGGGATACACACCGTGCTCTTTCATTACTGTAGTTCTCTTTAGTGTGAAGAATCCCTCATGGAGATTGTTAATCTATGTATACCTGAGCTGTTCCAGACCTAAAACCCAATGTTTAACAAACCCATAAGAGGAATTCTGATGCAGGAGGTCCATGGTCCAGCAGGTACTCTACTCATTAAGCTCAACAGCTTCATTTCATGCTTTTTGATCAAATATTAAATAACTGCTAAAAGTGCTTCGAGAGTTAAGTATAGTCTAAAGATCTGGTCATTAACTCAAACCATCACTACTACTGGAGGGAGGGGAGTGGACCTGAAAGAATGATGTTGGCAGTAAAGTAATTAGCATAGGGTTGGTGCTTTTGAAATGGTATCTCAAACCACATCATGGATAGAATTTAGGTTTAAGCCTCTTATTTTAGAAGCAGAATGACGTTATGGCATTGATTTACAACTAGGACAGGTAATTTGGGGATTCAGATAACCATCTGGGAAATTTTCTGTTAAAAAAAAGCTGACATTTATTAAAAAAAGAAAAAGCTGACATTTATACTCCGTGTTGTCCCCCCAAAACGTCAAGCCACAGAACACCTGTCCTGTTAACTGAAACTGATTAAAATTCCAAAGTTTTACTGTACTAATTTTTATTTATCAACACTTAGAAACACGAAGTTTTCATGAACACTCTCAAAATGGAAATTTTCAAATGTAGGCAGATTAAAACATTAAAAAAGGGGGAAAAAAGCAGAACCAGAATAAACATTAGCTAACTGGAAAATCAATTCAAAAGCACACAAATTTCTGTATCTATATAAAACGCATCTTATAAGAACCAAGATTTTCCCAAACATCATAAAATGACTGTCAACAAACATGGGGCAACTCAGAAACACTGTGACAGGTCACCGCTTTCTCAGGAAGGTTTCAAAAAAGTAAAAAGTGGCTACGATGAGATCAAAAGTCTTCGTTTTTAAACAGACAGACCAGGGACCATCTCAGGTGTTAAGCAAACTACTGTCAACATCCTGGTCTGGATGGATCCTCCTCTGCCCCAAAGTGACAGCTCCAGGTTTGTCAATTATTTAACTTACAATTCCCAAGCCCAGAGTTCTAGACCAGACCCTTCCTCTACCCCAGGGTCGAGGAAGCTCCACTCGGGCTCCTGTATCAGGATTCATTCCTTTGGAGTCAATTCCGCGTTCGTGAGAAGAGTCGCGCAAAGTTTGTTACGTGGGAGAGAGGTGTGGGCAGGGTGACCGCCCCTTCTTTTTCCACCCCACTCCACCTTCCTAAATAGCCCCTTTGGCGCAGGCCAAGCAAAGCCAAAGAGCGAGTGACAGCCCAGTGCGAGATGTGCCCAGGGAGAACGGGGTCCCGAGCCTGGAGTCCCCACGGCCCCGCCGGCTGTAGAGGCTGGGGGGCGGAGGCTCTGGGCCTTCAGCCCGAGGGGGCGGATACTGACCCGAGGACGCCGAGGCCAAGCTCAGCAGCACCGCACACAGCAGCAGCGTCAGCCCTATCCGGACCCGCATCCTCCTCTCGGGGCCGGTGCCAACCCCTAGAGCTGTCGCCTTCGCCTCTGCCACCACGGACTCAGCCACCACCGCCGCCTCGCCGCTGCTCTTCCTGCTCTAGTCTCCTTCCTCCGCCCCTTCCCAGGCTTCCCTGACCCAGCGCGCAGCCAATCCCCGCCCGCCGTCGCGGGCTTCTGGTCCAATCACCATGGTCTCCCCGCCCACCCCCATTGCTCCGCCCCGGGGGTCATTCATTGGCCAATCATTGTACGAAGCTCCCACACCAGCTTTCTCGGTTGGACCACGACTCACGGACATGGCCCCAGCTAATTGGTAGCCCCTGGGTTCAACCGGAATCAGCGCGTGAGTCCAAGACTGGGAGAAAGAGGCTCATCCGAGACTACAATTCCCAGAATGCGCTTCATGTGATTAACTCGGGGGGTGCTCTTGGGAAACGTAGTCCATCGTAGGGCAAGATTTACAAGTGCGGGTGACTGTTGAAGTTAGAATTTAACTAACACCTGGGCTAAATATTAACTCAAGGCTATGGATTCACAAGCCTTTTTAAATTGACCCAAAATAAATATTAAGGAATAATTTTAAGAACTTGTAATGTGTTTAGCATCTTTTCCTGTTTTATTTAAAAAATTTAAATTGGGCATAGTGATAAGAGCACTGAGAAAAATGCCACAGCTAGTTGAATTTGAGGTGTTTTTTAAAACTTAGATAAAACAGTACCGTGAAGTACGGAAACCAGGGTGCAACTCAGTACCTGTCCTCCTTTCTCCGACAAAACAAAAGGAAATAAATCCGCTCGGCACAGATTATCTCAATACAGTATTTATTTTCACTAGGTTCACCAGACAATAATCATAAAGAAAATGTGCCAACAGCTTTGAAAAATTATTTTAAACACTTGTCCTCATCCTTCTCCTCTTGTGAGTTGCATTGTTCTCTTCTTTCCTAACTAAAGTCAGGAGACCAGGTTCACGTGTGTGGAGGTAGAGGTGATAGTGATTGCATCGCAGGCACGGAAATACTCTATGTAATAAGCACGAAATCCAGGCATGTTCCAACTGAGTAGCAGAGCAGTGACTTGGTGTGCCTGCCCTTTCTTTTCTCAAACCGTGTCATTCTGCTTTCCCTGTCATCCACCCACAGTCAGCTCTAAGGCCTAGAACCTAGTCCAGCCAAGTGAAGGACTTTGGAAAAGTCTCTGCTGGCCATGTGTCTTAACACTTCTGGGCATTTGTCTTCCTTCCTTTTTTTTTTTGTTTTTTGTTTTTTGTTTTTTGAGATACAGCCTTTTATTTTCAGGAAGATGGTAAAAAACCAACCACTGTTTCTCATTCACATCGGAGGAGATGAAGGAAAGAATTATCTCCTCCAAAAACTTGTCTTTTCAGCTACATCACCATTTCTGTCACTAACAATGTTCCCTCTGAGTTCCTCTGATTATAAATCATAGAGTAAAATCTGGTATATTTTCCTTTCTTTTTCATCTTATTGATAATCAAGTTCTATCAGTTTAAACTATGTAACTTTTAAATTGTTTTATTTTATTATGTACCTCTGTTCTCTTCCTCACTGAAAACTCCCCTAATGGCTTTCATTTTCTCTCACCTGGATGATGCACCTGAGTTCCAGCCATACTCACTGACATCATTCTCCCTTTAACCTGAATCACATATCATGGCCATATTAATTTTCCTTAAACACTGCTTTCATATGCCTATTGAAAATTTTCAATGGCTACACTTTTCACAGAATAAAAAAAATTAGAACTTATTCTACTCACAAAATAGGAACTGTGCTGACAGTTCTACTCTGTTGGGGAAGTACCAGGGAAGAAACTTCTGCCTTCTACAGAAGAGCCAGTGATTATCTGTTTGATTAAAACTGGGGAAAGTTTGCTGCTTAGTTAAGCCCCAACTTCTTTTTTCAGTTTTGTCTTTACTGAGTACGTCTTATATTTAAGGGTTGTTCTGGGTGCTGCTGCATGGACCAAATAGCCACTTCCGTTTTACTTTCCAGATTTCACATTAACACAATCATGTCTTCCTAAGGGTTCCTCTACCCTTTCTCCAACTGCCCTTGCTTCTTTCACTTAGCCATAACTCTGGCATCCTTCCCAATTTCATTCACATTTCGTCTTGGATCACACTTCTCCAACCAGATCTGTCCTCATTAATCTTCATTTCTCTAAGAATCTATTGAACACTCACAATCTTGCCTTATAAACAGATTGTAAACATGCTGAGGCTGGAGATGATCATGTGATTCTGTGTATAGGTATATAGTGCTGGACTTGCCACCACTAGCACTAGTTAATTATTTATTGGTTGATAGATATGTCTTGCCTGTCTGTTGTGAGATTCAAAATGGAGACACAGGATAAAAGCACTTTCTACATTGTAGGATGTTTTACATATAGTATTGTTTCTTATTGATTGCTTGGTTGAGGCGAAGGAGGGAAATTAGTTTTATACCCTTAATGCGAAAAGGGCTTAGAGCTGCTAGAGCTTTTGCCTTTAGCCAGCAATGAGTAGCTGACGTGCTCTGAGAATTCTCATAGGACCTGACTTCCTGGGGAAGTTCCAAGTCTCCAAAGTGGTTCAGAATATGCTGTGGGAAAGTCAGATTTATTTTATCAGCCTGCTATATTACATGAGATTAATTAGAAAAAAGGTTGTGAATTCTCCATGGCCTATCCAGTCTGTGCATACACTCCTCAAGGTTACCTGCCAGCATTCCCAGTTAAGGTTATGTACTTGTACAAAATGTTAATATTATTTATTAATTCTTAGACTGCTTCAATATTTGCTCAGCTGTCTTTATTCCATCTGTCCATATCAGCATTCTGGGTCATTGTCAGAGATTTCCAAGTTGCAGAAAACCTGTTTGCTCTGCATTGCAGCACAGCATAGCACTCAACAGAGGTAGGTAATAAACACCTTTTAATGCAGATGACACTGATGTAACCTCATGCCATTGAAATGAATCAAGCAATTAACAAATGCTGAGAACCTGAACGTGTTGAGGACATAAATCCAACTTGCTTTTCACTTAAGGATGGTGAGACAACCTCCAGAGACTTTTCCTGAGAATGGGGCAATTGTCACCAACTCTAGTGGGATATATCCTTTCCTGTGCTTTTCTTTGCGTTCCATTTGAATTGGTAATAGGCAAGACTGTCAGCATTTGTATTAAGGTATTTGCCAGGGCAGGATTAGGGAGAAGCAAGAAGCAGAATATTTTTCCCTTCAGGGCTTAGAAAAGAATGTACTTTCTTTCCTATAGATGAGGTAAATTAAAGTTTTCATGCATAAATGAAAATATAAACTCTTGCATTATATAGTGAGATAGAACCTGGCATCTTCTTATTTATATTCTGAGCTCTTGGAGTAAATGAACAATGGACTTATACCTCATCTTATCCCTCCTAACTTCAGGACAGCATATGGCAGGTGATCAAAGTGATCAAATTAATAAGTTTTGGGTGTTCATGCCAGTTTCCATGATTATAATTAAGAGCATTAAGTTTGGATTGCAGATCATAGATTGTGGAGGAGTATGTTTGATCTACCTAATGTTTGAAGCTGATAGAAGATGAAAGGGGGGAGGGAGCCTCAGGCTGTTTACCAAGTTTCATCGTGAGGTGACATTTGCTCTGGACATGTGTGTTCTCTGAGCAGTGTTGACTCATACCAGATAAAGGAAAGGCCAGGATATGTTTTTACCCTAAATAACTGGACAGGCATCCTTGGGTCCAATATTTTCATAAATTTGTTAACTGCTAGTTCCAGGGAGAGACTGGATTATAACTAAATTTAAATAAGAACTCGATGAAGTGAACTTTATAAGGTAGAGATAAACAGCTTAGAGCTCCCATTAAATTCAGTTAACCCTTGAGTAGATAGCAATGTATTTAATTAGTGAATGTTGCATTAGGAACATTATTTTCACAGGTCCTTCCTTCCTTCCACAAATATACAGGAACATTCCTGTAGTTGAGCACATTGGCTTTATTACTCATTGCAGTGTGGAAAAAAAATACACCATAAGGTATCTCCGTAGGAGGGTATTAGAAAGAACCTATCTTAGAATTTGGGCTTTGATTGGGTGATTTGTCAGAGACTAAGGAAGTTGGGTTTGCTCTAGATTGGATGCTGTTAGAAGTGCCCCTGCCTTCTATCGGGGGAACCAGCCCCCAATATTTCAACATAGGTTCTTTTTTATTTTCCCTAAGTGTTGGCTGGTCTGAAAAAGAGAAAGAGTACAAAGAGAGGAATTTTACAGCTGGGCCTCTTGGGGGTGACATCACATATTGGTAGGACCATGATGATGACCCCGAGCTGCAAAACCAGCAAGTTTTTATTAGGGATTTTAAAAGGGGAGGGGGTGTATGAACAGGGAGTAAGTCACAAGGATCACATGCTTCAAAGGGCAATAAAGATCACAAGGCGAAGGCAAAATTAGAATTACTGATGAGGGTCTATGTCCCACTGTGCACGTATTGTCTTGATAAACATCTTAACAGGAAACAGGGTTCGAGAGCAGAAAACCAGTCTGACTAGAATTTACCATGCTGGAATTTCCCACTCCTAGTAAGCCTGAGGGTACTGCAGGAGACCAGGGTGTATTTCAGTCCTTATCTCAACCACATAAGATAGACACTCCCAGAGCAGCCGTTTATAGACCTCCTCCCAGGAATGCATTCTTTCCCAGGGTATCAATTATTAATATTCCTTGCTGGGAAAAGAATTCAGCGATATCTCTCCTACTCACATGTCCGTTTATAGGCTCTCTGCAAGAAGAAAAATATGGCTCTATTCTGCCCAACCCCGCAGGCAGTCAGACCTTATGGTTATCTTCCCTTGTTCCCTGAAAATCACTGTTATTCTGTTCTTTTTCAGGGTGCACTGATTTCATATTGTTCAAACACATGTTTTACAATCAATTTGTACAATAATGGTCCTGAGGTTACAGACATTCTCAGCTTACGAAGATAACGTGATTAAGAGATTAAAGTAAAGACAGACATAAGAAATTGTAAGAGTATTATTAGGGAAGTGATAAATGTCCATGAAATCTTCACAATTTATATTCAGAGATGGCAGTAAAGACAGGCATAAGAAATTATAAAAGTATTAATTTTGGGAACTGATAAATGTCCATGAAATCTTCACAATTTATGTTCTTCTGCCTCGGCTCCAGCTTGTCCCTCTGTTCAGGGTCCCTGGCTTCCTGCAACACCATGATTTGATAGAAATAAATCAATAATTAGCAAGGCATGGTGGTGCACGCCTGTAGTCCCAGCTACTCAGGAGGCTGAGGCATGAGAATCGCTTGAACCCGGGAAGCAGAGGTTGCTGTGAGCCAAGATGGCACCACTACAGTCCAGGCTGGGTGACAGAGTGAGACTCTGTCACAAAACAACAAAAACAACAAAACAGAAAAACAGAAATAAATCTTAAGGAGAGTAGACAAGAATGAGGATAAAGCTGTAAGTAGAAAAGAAGTAGCATTCACTCATTTTGGCCAAGACAGGAGGTGTTTGGTGTTTTGTGGGTGGCACAGGGACCTTGTTTGGGTCTGTGCTTAAAGTTATAAAATGACTTTGACTTGTCTCATTGTATCCTGGTCTCAAGTAACCTGTCTAGAGTTGGTTTTCTGTGGGATTGCTTATGTCTAATCAGAAAATAATATGCCCTAGTTCTGAGTGCCAGGTCAACTCTGCTTGTTAGAGACTGCCCTTTATTTTCTTTCTGAGCACGTGCTGTGTGACACACCTGGTTCTTGATGAGGGCTCGAGCAATGAATAAAAAACAAAAAACCATGGAGTTTACCTTCTAAATAGAGTGAAAAACAGACAAAAATAAATAAGTAAATTATAAAATTAGGAAGTGATAAATGCTATGGAAAAAAAGATAATGCAGGGAAGAAGAATAAGAATCTTGGAGCAAGGGCATTAAAATTTAAAATGAGGAGGTCGGGGCAGGATTTCCTGTAAAGTTTACATTTGAGCAAAGACTTAAGAAGATGACAGAACCAGCCATGAAGATATGGGAGAGAAGAGCTGTCCAGGAATAGGGAGCATGCTGTGTAAAATTTCCAAGGCAAGAGCATGTCTGTTGTTTTCTAAAAACACGAAGGGGTTCTATGGTTGCAGAAGAAGGTGGGAGGGGTGGAGGAGGTAGGAAGCTGTGAGGTCTGAGCAGTGATTGAAGCCAGATGGTCTGAGGATTTTAGGCTGATATAAAGGGGAAGGTGAAATGCTACTTTTGATGACTTTGAAACAGGCTATCTCCAGGTGTGACCTGTGTAATGGCCTGGAGATCCTCTCCTGCATGGGAATGACCAAATTAATTACACAAACTTTTAAATTCATTGTTTGGATATAATGCTGAAATAACCAATGAAAACCATTGTACTCAAAGGTTTATTCAGAGGAAATTCATATGCCGGTTAGAAATGGAGATAGATGGGTGTGGCTGGCAAGATGGCTGAATAGGAACAGCTCTGGTCTGCAGCTCCCAGCGAGATCAATGCAGAAGATGGGTGATTTCTGCATTTCCAATTGAGGTACCTGGCTCATCTCACTGGGACTGGTTAGAGAGTGGGTGCAGCCTAGAGAGGGTAAGCCAAAGCAGACTGGGGTGTCACCTCACCTGGGAAGCGCAAGGGTTGGGGAACTCCTTCCCCTAACCAAGGGAAGCCACGAGGGACTGTGCTGTGAGGAACGGTGCACTCTGGCCCAGATACTATGCTTTTCCCACAGTCTTTGCAACCTGCAGAACAGGAGATTCCCTTGGGTGCCTACACCACCAGGGCCCTGGAGTTCAAGCACTAAACTGGGTGGCCGTTTGGGCAGATACTGAGCTAGCTGCTTACTCTCCTTAAGATTTATTTCTGTTTTTCTGGGTTTTTTTTTGTTGTTGTTTCGTGACAGAGTCTCACTCTGTCACCCAGGCTGGAGTGCAGTGGTGCCATCTCAGCTCACGGAAACCTCTGCTTCCCGGGTTCAAGCAATTCTCATGCCTCAGCCTGCAGGAGTTTTTTTTCATACCCCAGTGGCTCCTGGAACACCAACAAGACAGAACCATTCACATCCCTGGAGAGGGGGCTGAAGCCAAGGAACCAAGTGGTCTAGCTCAGTGGATCCCACCCCCACAGCGCCCAGCAAGCAAAGATCCACTGGCTTTAAATTCTTGCTGCCAGCACAGCAGTCTGAAGTTGACCTGGGATGCTTGAGCTTGGTAGGGGGAGGGGCATCCGCCATTACTGACCCTTGAGTAGGCAGTTTTCCCCTCACAGTGTAAACAAAGCCACAGGGAAATTTGAACTGGATGGAGCCCACTGCAACTCGGCAAAGCCACTGTGGCCAGACTGCCTCTCTAGATTCCTACTCTCCAGGCAGGGCATCTCTGAAGGGAAGGCAGCAGCCCCAGTCACTGGCTTATAGATAAAATTCTCATCTCCCTGGGACAGAGCACCTGGGGGAAGGGGCGGCTGTGGGCGCAGCTTCAGCAGACTTAAGTGTTCCTGCCTGCTGGCTCTGTATAGAGCAGCAGATCTCCCAGCACAGTGCTCGAGCTCTGCTAAGGGACAGACTGACTCCTCAAGTGGGTCCCTGACTCCCTTGCCTCCTGACTAGGAGACACCTCATACAGGAGAGGTCTGGCTGGCATCTGGCCAGTGCCCCTCGGGGACAAAGCTTCCAGAGGAAGGAACAGGCAGCAATCTTTGCTGTTCTGCAGCATCTACTGGTGATACCCAGGAAAACAAGGTCCGGAGTGGACCTCCAGCCAACTCCAGCAGAACTGCAGTAGAGGGGTCTGACTGTTAGAAGGAAAACTAACAAACAGAAAGGAATAGCATCAACATCAACAAAAAGGACGTCCACTCAGAGACCCCATCTGAAGGTCACCAACATCAAAGACCAAAGGTAGATAAATCCATGAAGATGAAGAAAAACCAGCACAAAAAGGCTGAAAATTCCAAAAGCCAGAATGCCTCTTCTCCGCCAAAGGATCACAACTCCTCACCAGCAAGGGAACAAAACTGGATGGAGAATGAGTTTGACGAATTGACAGGTAGGCTTCAGAAGGTGGGTAATAACAAAATCCTCTGAGCTAAAGGAGCATGTTCTAACCCAATGCAAGGAAGCTAAGAACCTTGAAAAAAGGTTAGGGGAATTGCTAACTAGAATGACCAGTTTAGAGAAAAACATAAATGACCTGATGGAACTGAAAAACACAGCATGAGAATTTCGTTAAGCATGCGCAAGTGTCAATAGCCAAATCGATCAAGTGGAAGAAAGGATATCAGAGATTGAAGATCAACTTAATGAAATAAAGTGTGAAGACAAGATTAGAGAAAAAAGAATGAAAAGGAATTAATGAAGCCACCAAGAAATATGGGACTATGTGATGGGAAGAATGGAACCAAGTTGGAAAACACTCTTCATGATATTATCCAGGAGAACTTCCCCAACCTAGCAAGAAAGGCCAACATTCAAATTCAGGAAATACAGAGAAGACCACAAAGTACTCCTTGAGAAGAGCAACCCCAAGACATATAATTGTCAGTTTCACCAAGGTTGAAATGAAGGAAAAAAATGTTAAGGGCAGCCAGAGAAAAAGGTCGGGTTACCCACATAGGGAGGCCCATCAGACTAACAGTGGATCTCTCTGCAGAAACCCTGCAAGCCATAAGAGAGCAGGGGCCAATATTCAACATACTTAATGAAAAAAATTTTCAACTCAGAATTTCATATCCAGCCAAATTGAGTTTCATAAGTGAAGGAGAAATAAAATCCTTTACAGACAAGCAAATGCTGAGAGATTTTGTCACCACCAGGCCTGCCTTACAAGAGCTCCTGAAAGAAGCCTAAATGTGGAAAGGAAAAACCGGTACCAGCCACTGCAAAAGCACAGCAAATTGTAAAGGCCATTGACACTATGAAGAAACTGCATCAACTAACAGGCAAAATAACCACCTAGCATCATAATGACAGGATCAAATTCAAACATAACAATATTAGCATTAAATGTAAATGGGCTAAATGCCTCAATTAAAAGACACAGATTGGCAAATTGGATAAAGGGTCAAGAACCATCCATGTGCTGTATTCAGGAGACCCATCTCACATTCAAAGACACACATAGGCTCAAAATAAAAGGATGGAGGAAGATCTACCAAGCAAGTGGAAAAAAAACCAAATGGGTGCAATCCTAGTCTCTGATAAAACAGACTTTAAACCAACAAAGATCAAAACAGACAAAGAAGGCCATCACATAATGGTAAAGGGATCAATTCAACAAGAAGAGCTAACTATCCTAAATACGTATGCACCCAATACAGGAGGACCCAGATTCATAAAGCAAGTCCTTAGAGACCTACAAAGAGACTTAGACTCCCACACAATAATAATGGGAGATTTTAACACCCCACTGTCAACATTAGACAGATCAACAAGACAGAAAGTTAACAAGGATATCCAGGAATTGAACTCAGCTCTGCACCAAGCAGACCTAATAGACATCTACAGAACTCTCCAACCCGAATCAACAGAATATACATTCTTCTCAGCACCACATCACACTTATTCCAAAATTAACCACATAGTTGGAAGTAAAGCACTCCTCAGTAAATGTAAAAGAACAGAAATTATAACAAACTGTCTCTCAGACCACAGTGCAATCAAACTAGAACTCAGGATTAAGACACTGACTCAAAACTGCTCAACTACATGGAAATTGAACAATCTGTTCCTGGATGACTACTGGGTACATAACGAAATGAAGGCAGAAATAAAGATGTTCGTTGAAACCAATGAGAACAAAGACACAACATACCGGAATCTCTGGGACACATTTAAAGCAGCGTGTAGAGGGAAATTTATAGCACTAAATGCCCACAAGAGAAAGCAGGAAAGATCTAAAATTGACACCCTAACATCACAATTAAAAGAACTAGAAAAGCAAGAGCAAACACATTTAAAAACTAGCAGAAGGCAAGAAATAACTAAGATCAGAGCAGAACTGAAGGAGATAGAGACACAAAAAAGCCTTCAAAAAATCAATGAATCCAGAAGCTGGTTTTTTGAAAAGATCAACAAAATTGATAGCCCTCTAGCAAGACTAATAAAGAAGAAAAGAGAGAAGAATCAAATAGATGCAATAAAAAATGATAAAGGGGATATCACTGCCAATCCCACAGAAATACAAACTACCATCAGAGAATACTATACACACCTCTATGCAAATAAACTATAAAATCTAGAAGAAATGGATAAATTCCTGGACACATACACCCTCCCAAGACTAAAACAGGAAGAAATTGAATCCCTGAATAGACCAATAACAGGTTCTGAAATTGAGGCAATAATTAATAGCTTACCAACCAAAAAAAGTCCAGGACCAGACGGATTCATAACCGAATTCTATCAGAGGTACAAAGAGGAGCTGGTACCATTCCTTCTGAAACTATTCCAATCAATAGAAAAAGAGAGAATCCTCCCTAATTCATTTTATGAGGCCAACATCATCCTGATACCAAAGCCTGGCAGAGACACAACAAAAAAAGAGAATTTTAGGCCAATATCCCTGATGAACATCCATGAGAAAATCCTCGATAAAATACTGGCAAACCAAATCCAGCAGCACATCAAAAAGCTTATCCACCACGATCAAGTGGGCTTCATCCCTCGATGCAAGGCTGGTTCAACATATGCAAATCAATAAACGTAATCCATCATACAAACAGAACCAAAGAAAAAAACCACACGATTATCTCAATAGATGCAGAAAAGGCCTTCGACAAAATTCAACAGCCCTTCATGCTAAAAACTCTCAATAAACTAGGTATTGATGGGACATATCTCAAAATAATAGGAGCTATTTATGACAAACCCACAGACAATATCATACTGAATGGGCAAAAACTGGAAGCATTCCTTTTGAAAACTGGCACAAGACAAGGATGCCCTCTCTCACCACTCCTATTCAACATAGTGTTGGAAGTTCTGTCCAGGGCAATCAGGCAGGAGAAAGAAATAAAGGGTATTCAATTAGGAAAAGAGGAAGTCAAATTGTCCCTGTTTGCAGACGACATGATTGTATATTTAGAAAACCCCATCATCTCAGCCCCAAATCTCCTTAAGCTGATAAGCAACTTCAGCAAAGTTTCAGGATACAAAATCAATGTGCAAAAATCACAAGCATTCCTATACACCAATAACAGACAAACAGAGAGCCAAATCATGAGTGAACTCCCATTCACAATTGCTTCAAAGAGAATAAATACCTAAGAATCCAACTTACAAGGGATGTGAAGGACCTCTTCAAGGAGAACTACAAACCACTGCTCAACGAAATAAAAGAGGACACAAACAAATGGAAGAACATTCCATGCTCATGGGTAGGAAGAATCAATATCATGAAAATGGCCATACTGCCCAAGGTAATTTATAGATTCAATGCCATCTCCATCAAGCTACCAACGACTTTCTTCACAGAATTGGAAAACCTACTTTAAAGTTCATATGGAATCAAAAAAGAGCCTGCATTGCCAAGACAATCCTAAGCCAAAAGAACAAAGCTGGAGGCATCACGCTACCTGACTTGGAACTATACTATGAGCCTACAGTAACCAAAACAGCATTGTACTGGTACAAAGCAGAGATATAAACCAATGGAACAGAATAGAGCCCTCAGAAATAATACCACACATCTACAACCATCTGATCTTTGACAAACCTGACATAAACAAGAAATGGGGAAAGGATTCCCTATTTAATAGATGGTTCTGGGAAAACTGGCTAGCCATGTGTAGAAAGCTGAAACTGGATCCCTTCCTTACACTTTATACAAAAATTAATTCAAGATGGATTAAAGACTTAAATGTTAGACCTAAAACCATTAAAACCCTAGAAGAAAACCTAGGCAATACCATTCAGGACATAGGCATGGGCAAGGATTTCATGACTAAAACACCAAAAGCAATGGCAACAAAAGCCAAAATTGACAAATGGGATCTAATTAAACTAAAGAGCTTCTGCACAGCAAAAGAAACTACCATCAGAGTGAAGAGGCAACCTACAGAATGGGAGAAAATTTTTACAATCTATCCATCTGACAAAGGGCTAATATCCGGAATCTACAAAGAACTCAAACAAATTTACAAGAAAAAAATCAAACAACCCCATCAAAAAGTGGGCAAAGGATATGAACAGATACTTCTCAAAAGAAGACATTTATACAGCCAACAGACACATGATAAAATGCTCATCATCACTGGCTGTCAGAGAAATGCAAATCAAAACCACAATGAGATACCATCTCACACCAGTTAGAATGGCAATCATTAAAAAGTCAGGAAACAACAGGTGCTGGAGAGGATGTGGAGAAATAGGAAGACTTTTACACTGTTGGTGGGACTGTAAACTAGTTCAACCATTGTGGAAGACAGTGTGGTGATTCCTCGGGGATCTAGAACTAGAAATACCATTTGACCCAGCCATCCCATTACTGGGTATATACCCAAAGGAATATAAATCATGCTGCTATAAAGACACATGCACACATATGTTTATTGTGGCACTATTCACAATAGCAAAGACTTGGAACCAACCCAAATGTCCATCAATGAGAGACCGGATTAAGAAAATGTGGCACATATACATCATGGAATACTATGCAGCCATAAAAAAGGATGAGTTCATGTCCTTTGTAGGGACATGGATGAAGCTGGAAACCATCATTCTGAGCAAACTATTGCAAGGACAGAAAACCAAACACCGCATGTTCTCACTCATAGGTGGGAATTGAACAGTGAGAACACTTGGACACAGGGTGGGGAACATCACACACGGGGGCCTGTCGTGGGGTAGGGGGAGGGGGGAGGGGGGAGGGATAGCATTAGGAGATATACTTAATGTAAATGACAAGTTAATGAGTGCAGCACACCAACATGGCACATGTATACATATGTAACAAACCTGCACATTGTGCACATGCACCCTAGAACTTAAAGTATAATTTAAAAAAAAAAGAAATTGAGGCAATAATTTATAGCCCACCAACCAAAAAAAGCCCAGGACCAGACGGATTCACAGCCGAATTCTACCAGAGGTACAAAGAGGAGCTGGCACCATTCCTTCTGAAACTATTCCAAACAATAGAAAAAGACGGACTCCTTCCTAACTCATTTTATGAGGACAGTGTCATCCTGATACCAAAACCTGGCAAAGACACAACAACAACAAAAAGAAAATTTCAGTCCAATATCCCTGATGAACATCCATGCGAAAATCCTCAATAAAATACTGGCAAACCAAATCCAGCAGCACATCAAAAAGCTTATCCACCACGATCAAGTCAGCTTCATCCCTGGGATGCAAGGCTGGTTCAATATATGCAAATCAATAAACATAATCCATCACATAAACAGAACCAATGACAAAATCCACATGATTATCTCAATAGATGCAGAAAAGGCCTTCGATAAAATTCAACACTTCTTCATGCTGAAAACTCTAAATAAACTAGGTATTGATGGAATATAATAAGAGGTATTTATGATAAACCCACAGCCAATATCATACTGAATGGGCAAAAGCTGGAAGCATTCCCTTTGAAACTGGCACAAGACAAGAATGCCCTCTCTTACCACTCCTATTCAACACAGTATTGAAAGTTCTGGCCAGGGCAATCAGGCAAGAGAAAGAAATAAAGGGTATTCAAATAGCAAGAGAGGAAGTCAAATTGTCTCTGTTTACAGATGACATGATTGTATATTTAGAAAACTCCACCGTCTCAGCCCCAAAGATCCTTAAGCTGATAAGCAACTTCAATAGAGTCTCAGGATACAAAATCAATGTGCAAAAATCAGCCGGGTGTGGTGGCTCACGCCTGTAATCCCAGCACTTTGGGAGGCCAAGGTCAGTGGATCTCGAGGTCAGGAGATCAAGACCACCCTGGCTAACACCGTGAAACCCCATCTCTACTAAAAATACAAAAAATTAGCCAGGCCTGATGGTGGGCACCTGTAGTCCCAGCTACTCGGGGAGGCTGAGGCAGGAGAATGGCGTGAACCCAGGAGGCGGAGCTTGCAGTGAGCCGAGATCACAGCACTGCACTCCAACCTGGGCGACAGAGTGAGACTCTGTCTCAAAAAAAAAAAAAAAAAAAAAAAATCAATGTGCAAAAATCACAAGCATTCCTATACACAAATAATAGACAAACAGACAGCAATCACAATTGCTATAAAGAGAATAAGATACCCAGGAATACAACTTACAAGGGATATAAAGGACCTCTTCAAGGAGAACTACAAACCATTGCTCAAGGAAATAAGAGAGGACACAACAAATGGAAAAACATTACATGCTTATGGATAGGAAGTATCAATATTGTGAAAATGGCCATACTGCCCAAAGTAATTTATAACTTATACCTACCATTGACTTTCTTCACAGAATTAGAAAAAACTACTTTAAATTTCATATGGAATCAAAAAAGAGCCTGAATGGCCAAGACAATCCTAAGCAAAAGGAACAAAGCTGGAGGCATCACACTACCTGACTTCAAACTATACTACAAGGCTGCAGTAACCAAAAAGCATGGTGCTGGTACCAAAACAGATATATAGACCAATGGAACAGAACAGAGGCCTCAGAAATAATGCCACACATCTACAACCACCTGATCTTTGACAAACCTGACAAAAACAAACAATGGGGAACGGATTCCCTATTTAATAAATGGTGTTGGGAAAACTGGCTAGCCATATGCAGAAAACTGAAACTGGACCCCTTCCTTACACCTTATACAAAAAGTAAATCAAGATGGATTAAAGACTTAAACATATGACCTAAAACCATAAAAACCCTAGAAGAAAACCCAGGCAATACCATTCAGGACATAGGCATGGGCAAAGACTTCCTGACTAAAACACCGAAAGCAATGGCAACAAAAGCCAAAATTGACAAATGGGATCTAATTAAACTAAAGAGCTTCTGCACAGCAAAAGAAACTACCATCAGAGTGAACAGGCAACCTACAGAATGGGAGAAAATTTTTACAATCTATCCATCTGGCAAAGGGCTAATATCCAGAATCTACAAGGAACTTAAACAAATTTACAAGAAAAAAACAAACAACCCCATCAAAAAGTGGGTGAAGGATATGAACAGACACTTCTTAAAAGAAGACATTTATACAGCCAACAGACACATGAAAAAATGCTCATCATCACTGGCCGTCAGAGAAATGCAAATCAAAACCACAATGAGATACCATCTCACACCAGTTAGAATGACGATCATTAAAAAGTCAGGAAACAACAGATGCTGGAGAGGATGTGGAGAATTAGGAACGCTTTTACACTGTTGGTGGGAGTGTAAATCAGTTCAACCATTGTGGAAGACAGTGTGGTGATTCCTCAAGGATCTAGAACCAGAAATACCATTTGACCCAACCATCCCATTACTGGGTATATACCCAAAGGATTATAAATCATTCTACTATAAACACACATGCACACGTATGTTTATTGTAGCACCATTCACAATAGCAAAGACTTGGAACCAACCCAAATGCCCATCAATGATAGACTGGATAAAGAAAATGTGGCATATATACATCATGGAATACTATGCAACCATAAAAAGCATGAGTTCATGTCCTTTGCAGGGACATGGATGAAGCTGGAAACCATCATTCTCAGCAAACTAATACAGGAACAGAAAACCAAACACCGCATGTTCTCACTCATAAGTGGGAGTTGAACAATAAGAACACTTGGACACAAGGAGGGGAACATCACACACTGGGGTCTGTTGTAGGGTGCAGGGCTAGGGGAGGGATAGCATTAGGAGAAATATCTAATATAGATGACAAGTTGATGGGTGCAGCAAACCACAATGGCACGTGTATAGCTATGTAACAAACCTGCACGTTCTGCACATGTATCCCAGAACTTAAAGTATAATTACATACATATATATATATGTGTATATATGTATACACATATATATATATGTATGTATGTAGTGGAGTTTCTTAAAAAATTAAAAAAGAAATGGAGATAGATAAGTGCAAAATAGCTGTTAAGAAAAAGATCTTCAAACAAGGGAAATAATATTACCGTAAATGCAAATTAATTGAGAGTAAGTTTAGAAAACATTCATGATGCAAAACAAGGCTTTTGGACCATTTCCTATTCTCCCAGCTATGCCATGTTGACATAACATAAATGTTAACCAAAGGGCTGCAGTTGGCAAAATATATGTGATATATAAAGATATATTTTATGTAAATACATGAAAAATATTTTCACAGGCACACACATATGTGATTAAAATAAACAGCCTAACAGTTGAGAGTAGGTTGCAGACATGATGCTTTTCCCCCCAATTATGTTAGTGTACATTTCCTGAAAACAAGCAATTCTCGTACACAACTGCAGGACTGTTGTCAAAGTCAGGCACTTAATGCTGATCCAATACTGTTGTCTAATCTACAGACTTTATTCAGATTGCACCAACTTGCCATAATGATGTCCTTCCTAATAAAAGAAAATCCAAGATCATGAAGTGTGTCCAGTTTGTCACATCTCATTAGTTTTCTTTCACCTGGAACAGTTCTTGAGGGGAGTATGTGTGTGAGAAAGAGAGTGTGTGTCTGTGTATGTTTTCCTGAGTCTCATGACACGGCATTTTGAAAGTGCATAAGCCAGTAATTTTGTAAAATGTGCCAATTTCAGTTTGTGTCATGATTAGATTCAGGTTATGCACTTTTGGTAAGAACACCACAAAAACGATTCTGAATTCTCAGTGCACCGTATCAGGAGGCAAATGCTGTTGGTTAGTCCTTATTCTGGCAATGATTATTTTGATCAATTAGGTATAGAGGTGTTTTCACTGTATTTTACCTTTTGTAATTAATAGGTATCTTGTAGGGGATACTTTAAGACTATGTAACTATCTCATGAGTTATCAAACATTTACCCACCAATTTACCATATATAGTCATGATTCTTGCCTGAATGAAAAATTATTATGATGGCTGCCAAATGGTGATTTTTCTATCATTCCTCTTATGTTTATCATTGGCTTTCTCCTGTAGGCAGAGCTTTCTCTTCTTATTTATTTTTTCATTTAATTAACTAATTTACATTGGTGTGGACTGTTAGATTCTTAATTTATTCAATAGGTTATAATTCTTTACTATCATCAGATTATTTCAGATTTGACCAGTGGGTACCCCTTCAAAGGGACACCTATATCTTTGTGACATATTCCCATCATTCTTTGAGCACATCCTTACATTTTTGTACTATTTACATTTTTTCTACTTTTCCTGACCCAGCCCTGACATCAACCACTTCTCCAAGGAGCCGTGCTCTCCCTTCAGTGGAAAATGGTATCTATATCCGCGGAGTGCTTACTGCTACTGAGGTGTTATTGCCTCTAAAATCTCTTAGCAGATATAACTGAGAAATATATATGTATGCGCTTCTCTTGTGTGTGTGTGGGGGGGTATAGATGTGTGTGAGTGTGTACATATGCATACATACACACACATATACACAGTCACACACATCTGTAGTCATTCCTATATCTATCTCTCTATATTCAAATCTCTGTGTAAATGAATAAATGAGCCACAGAGAAAATAGGAAAAAATACTTGTAGTACATGTATTTTAAAGAGAACATGTTTCTAAGATATATGAAAAACTCAATAAATTATAATGAATATATTATAAATACTACGTAGAATAAAACATGCAAATTGAATATGTATTAAATAATATAAGCAATATAAATATGATATAACCCATATTATAAATATAAGAACTCAATAATAAAAACACACACAAAAAAACAGGAATGATTGAACGGGCACCTCGCCAAGAAAATATGCAGGTAGAAACATGAAAAGATTTTCAGCTTCATTAGTCATTAAGGAAAAGCCAGTTAAGATCATAATGAAATATCACTTACTTCAGCTAGAATGGCTAAAATTTAAAAGCTTCACAATGTGAAATGTTGATGAGGATATGGAGCAATTGAAACTCTTAGATAAAACTGATAGAGCTGTAAAAGTGTACAACTGTGAAAAATTGTTTGGCAGTATATCTTATAAATTTTAACGTATTCCTATCCTATAGCCCAGCATTTTTTATTATTATTTGTTCAAGAGAGATGAAATCATTTACCCACAAAACATCTCATGCAAAAATGTTGACAGAAGCTATATTTGCAATATCAGTTTATAATAATGAAGATCTTGGAACAACTCAATGTCTACCTTCTGGTGAAGAGATAAACTGTGGTACATTCATACAATGAAATACTACTTGGCAATAAAAAGGAAAGAACTAATGACATGTGCAACATCATGGATGAATCTTATGCTGAATGAAACATGAAATATTATGCCAAGTGAAAGAAACCAGACAGAAAAGAGCACATACTTTATGATTCCGCTCATACGGAGCTCAAGAATAGGTGAAGCTGGCTGGGCGCGGTGGCTCACACCTGTAATCCCAGCACATTGGGAGGCCGAGACGGGTGGATCACCTGAGGTCAGGAGTTCAAGACCAGCCTGGCCAACATGGTGAAACCCCGTCTTTACTAAAAGTACAAAAATTAGCCAGACGTGGTGGCGGGCACCTATAATCCCAGCTATTCAGGAGGCTGAGGCAGGAGAATTGCTTGAACCTGGGAGGCAGAGGTTGCAATGAGCTGAGATCGCGCCACTGCACTCCAGCCTGGGAGACAAAAGCGAGACTCTGTCTCAAAAAAAAAAAAAAAAAATACGGAAGTTAATCTGCAGCAATAGAGATTAGAATAGCAGTTGCTTGGGGTAAGAGTGGGCAGGGGAATAATTGACTGGAAAGGGGCAGGAGGGAATTTTTGGGTGATGAAAATCTTCTATAATCTCATTCATGTGTGGGTAACACGAGTATACATATTTGTCAAAACTCATAGAATTGCATCTTCAAGATCCAAGCATTTTATTGTATATGAATTATGCTTTGTGCTAGGCAGAATAATGCCTCCTCCTCAAAGAGGTTCATGTTCTAATCTCAAACTAGTGAATATGTTTCTTTACGTGGCCAAAGGGACTTTGCTGATATGATTGCATTAAGCTTCTTGAGATGGGGAGATTCTCCTGTATTCTCCAGACGGGTTCTAAATGTAATCACAAGTGTTCTTATAAGAGGGAAGCAGGAGGGTCAAAGTCAAAAGGAGAAGATGTGATGATGCAAGCGGAGGTTGGAGTGGTGCCGTTGCTGGAAGGCCGTGAACCAAGGAATGCAGGCAGTTTCTAGAATATGGAAAAGGTAAGGAATGGTTATCCTCTAGAGCCTTCAGAAGGAGCACAGCCCTGACAACTTCCTGATTTTACCTTTGTAAGATTCACTTTTGGACGTCACAAAAATTTTTTTAAATATTTTTTAAGAGGTGAGGTCTTGCTCTGTTGCCCAGGCTGGAGTGCAATGGTGCACACATGGCTCAATGCATCCTTGATCTCTTGGGCTCAAGCCATCCTCCTGCCTCCACCTCCTGAGGAGCTGGACTTTAGGTGCATGCCACCATAGCTGGCTAACTTTTTTCACTTTTTAAAAGAGATGAGCCCTCACTATGTTGTCCAGGCTGGTCTTGAACTTCTGGGCTCAAGTGATCTTCCTACCTCAGCCTCCAAGTAGTTGACACTACAGGTATGAGCCACTGCACCTGACCATTTTTGGACTTCTGATATCCAGAACTATAACGTAGTACATTTGTGTTGTTTTAAGCCACTAAGTTTGTGGTAATTTCTCTTTCTTTCTTTCTTTCCTTTTCCTTTACCTTTTCCTTTTCCTTTCCCTTTCCCTTTTTCTTTTCCTTTTCCTCTTCCTTTCCTTCCTTCTTTCTTTCTTTTTGACAGAGGCTCACTCTGTTGCCCAGGCTGGAGTCCACATCCCAGGTTCAAGCAATTCTTATGCCTCGCCTCTTGGGTATCTAGTATTACAGGTGTGCACCACCAGGGAAGAACCGCTTGTCATGGTCGGCTTCAGGTAGAGGCAGCTCCTGGGGAAAAATGGCCTGAGGCTCCCAGGACTGTGGCTGTTGGTGACAAACACATGGCCACTTCCTACAAAGCATGCTCATGGTGTCAAGAAGGCTGAGCCAGGAATGTTCCAGAATCATTACCCTGCTGTGCCCAAACCAGGCCTCTCTTAGGACTGGCTGAGTTTGCAATGATTGTTCTGTCCCCCAAGACCAGCCTCTACCCTCTCTGGTGAGTCTTAGGGAACCCTGTTCTCCTCTCCGGCTAGGAGGCCTCATCTGAGGCCATTTTGCCCTTCTGTCATGTTTCATTATGTTGAAAAAACAAAACAAGGCCGGGCACGGTGGCTCACGCCTGTAATCCCAGTACTTTGGGAGGCTGAGGCAGGCCGATCACTTTAGGTCAGGGGTTTGAGACCAGCCTGGCCAACATGGTGATACCCCCTTCTCTACTAAAAATACAAAAATTAGCTGGGCATGGTGGTGCATGACTGTAATCTCGGCTACTCTGGAGGCTGAGGCAGGAGAATCGCTTGAACCCAGGAGGCAGAGGTTGCAGTGAGCTGAGATCACGCCACTGGACTCCAGCCTGGGCAATAGAGCGAGACTCTGTCTAAAAAAAAAAGGGGGGGGAAAAAACCAAAACCAAAATACCTTTTAAAATGTTAGAATTGTTTTAGGTTTACAGAAAAGGTGCAAAGCAGTGTGGGGTTTCTGTATATTCCACATTCAGCTTCCTCTTATTGCTAGCATCTTATATTAGTGTGGTGCATTTGTTACAATGAATGAACCAAATGGATCCATTATGATTAACTAAAATCCTCACTTCCCCTTGTTTTTACCTAAAGTGCCTTTTCTGTTACAGAACCCCATCGGGGATACCACATTACCTTTCATCATGTCTCCTTAGGCAACTCTTGGCTGTGACGGTTTCTCAGATGGTCCTTGTTTTTTATGACATTGACAGTCCTGAGAGGTACTGGCAGGGCATTTTGCAGAATGTCCCCTCAATTGGGATTTTTTTTTTTTTTTGAGATGGAGTTTCTCTCTGTTGCCCAGGTTGGAGTGCAGTGGTGCGATCTTGGCTCACTGCAACCTGCACCTCCTGGGTTCAAGTGATCCTCCTGCGTCAGCCTCCCAAGTAGCTGGGACTACAGGTGCCTGCCACCACGCCTGGCTAATTTTTGTATTTTTAGTAGAGACAGGGTTTCACTATGTTGGCCAGGCTGGTCTTGAACTCCTGACCTCAGGTGATCCACCTGCCTCGGCCTCCCACAGTGCTGGGATTACAGGCATGAGCCACTGCACCTGGCCCCTCAATTGGGATTTGTCTGCTGTTTTTCTCATGATTAGACTGGAGTTATAGTTTTTGTGTGGAACACCACAGAGGTGAAGTGCCATTCCTACCACATCGTATCAAGGAAACATACTGCCAACACGGCTTGTCACTGTGGATGTTGACCTTGAGCACCTGGCTGAGGTAGTGTCTGGCAGGCTTCTCCACTGTCAAGTACCTTTTTTCCACCTTTCTGAAATCTAGAAGGAAGTCACTTTATGGAAGCCTGTTCTATCACGTTTGAATCTCAGTGTGGAGTCTGTGTCTCCAGCTGTTGTTGTGTTTTACAGTCATTCCATAATTGATTTATTAATTGTGGTAACAGTCACATGAAAAAATAATGTTTGGACCCATTAACATGTACAAATATTCTTCGAAGCCTATTGCTTTGCAAAGAGACTACACACTTGCATCAAGCTAAATACAAAATAGCAAAAAAGGAACAAAAAAGAAGCTTTCATTAGTGATGCTGAGCATTGTGTCCTCCACCAAGAGACACACCTGGCACACACCTGGCAGGGCCCAGGGCATGAGTACAAATGGAGGCCTATATACCATGGCTCTTACAAATTGAAAGTTATAAATTAAGCAAACAAACTGTTAAATTATGTCCTATCTACCTGCCAAAACAATACACCTTCACAAAAAAATGTACAAAGTTATATAGTCTTATATTACTGAAAATCGGCAAATATCAAAGACAACTGACTGTAATTATTGTTGCACATGCCTGGGTGTTCCCTTGATGTGTTGGGCATGTTTGGGTGAGTCATAAATTAAAGACATATGTAATTTGCAAATTGTACATTTATTCTAAAATTTTTATTTTTCTTGCCTAACGTCAGCAGTATCTCCAATTATGCTGTTTAATCAAGATTTCCACAAAATTTCTGTTCTCTTGATGGTAATGCCAAATTACATAATCTTTCTTGAGTCATTGAAATTATTATATGGTTTTAAAATTCCAACCTGGGAAACCTCTCTGCCGAGGCTGTAATGATTAAAACTGCCAATAAAGTTCTTCAGACATTACTTAAATTAAAAAATGAACCACAAATATTACTAACATGTTCAAACATTGTCATGGGATTTTGTGTGATAAACTATTTTTATCATAGAAAATACTACTACATATTTTAACTCATCTAAATTACTATTTTTATATCACAACTGTAATTGTCTCTTAATGTCTAGATCCATTCAATATTTTTTCTTTTTTTGTTTTTTTGAATAGTCCTGTTGCAATAAGTATTTTCTTCTTTTAAATTATTCAACACTATGGTATTATGAAGATAACTTGAAAATAGCAGTTTGATACTCAATTTGTTAAAATCTCTCTTCAATTAATAATATACTTCGATTTGTGATTTGCCTTTCTGAAATTTCAGAATTATTTATACATGAATCTTTTTTCATTGTCATAAAAACTTTATAATTCCCTTTTTAAAAGTTCTCTCCCCACTGAAGGAGGAAAAGTAAAATGCGTAGCTGCCTTAAATTGTGTAAGCCAATGACTGAGCCTTTGATCTTAGATTGTCTGCTGGATGGAGTTCACCTTGAACCACATGCTATGCTTACCACTCACTAATGTATGTAAGGAATTTTTTAAAGGACTTTGAAAATGAATATATTCTATCAGCTTTAAAACAAAAGTTCTCTCCCCAACACCCCCCTCCACCTTTTTTTTTTTTTTTTTTTGTGGAGACAAGGTCTTACCGTATTGCCCAGTCTGGTCTCAAACTCTTGTTCTCAAGAGTTCTTATGGCTTGGTATCCCAAAGCACTGGAATTACAGGTATGAGCAACCATGCTTGGCCTTCTTTTAAACAACTCTTTATACTTTATCTAAGCATAACCTTTGTTGCATATTTTATGCCAATTTTTTCAATTAAGAAAACAATTTCTAAAAGTAAACTATATATGTGTATATATAGTTTAATGCCTTTAACAAAGTATCAAACTAGATCTGTTTTGTTTTGTTAGTTTTTAAAAGTTAAAATTAAGCAATAGATTATACTAAATAAATGTGGATGGCACAAACTCAAAA
Source organism: Homo sapiens (assembly GCF_000001405.40). Classification (NCBI taxonomy): domain Eukaryota; kingdom Metazoa; phylum Chordata; class Mammalia; order Primates; family Hominidae; genus Homo; species Homo sapiens. The sequence continues at coordinate 81,557,176 of NC_000014.9, forward strand.
TTAATTTCATTTTTGGTGATTATTCACTCATTTGGGAATGTTATTTTGCCACACTCTCCTAGTGGATCCTAATTGTTCTAACATGTGGTCCAAATTCCCATTATGTGTCAAATGATGGTGTAGGGTCCAATTTCATATGTGTTTCATCATGCTAGTTCATTTTTGGGCTGACCCAGGAGATACTGAATTTTATCTCTGAATTGTTCCAAAGAATAGTGTTGCCATGGGTGCAGATGAGCTCATTTCTCCCAGTAATAAATTCCAACTCTGTGCATATGTAGCACAAAGAAATGCTTCTGGATTTTTGGTAAACATTCTGGCTTAATCACCTTATTCTTTGCCGACCATGTTAGTGAGATTAGGTAAGCCATGAAGTTTGCCCTCATCAATCTCTTAAATCAATGCCTAAAATTGAAAATTATTTTCTCAGCTTTTCAGTAAAGTCTAAACCTATTTTCACAACTGATGTCAACCAGTGGAATACTGTTGCGTTTTGACTTGTTTCCTTTTCTGGTAGTTCAACAACACATATAGTGAATATTACTTCATCAACATTTTGACCCTGTTACAACCTAGTTGAACTGAATAATAGTATCTTTAATTTTATTTATTTATTTATTTATTTATTTAGACAGGGACTCCCTTTGTCCGCCAGGCTGGAGCGCAGTGTTGTGATCACAGCTCACTGCAGCCTGGACCTCCCTGGCTCAGATGATTCTCCCATCTCAGCCTCCTGAGTAGCTGGGACCACAGGCATGCACCACCACACCTGGCTAATTTTGGTATTTTTTGTAGAGAGAAGGTTTCACCATATTGCCCAGGCTGGTCTCAAACTCCTGGGCTCAAGAGATCACCTGCCTCAGCCTCCCAAAGTTCTGTTATTACAGGCATGCGCCATTGTGCCCAGCCAATAGTATCTTTTTAAAAATTACATATGTTTTTTTCCTCACCTTATTACTCATTAAATTAAGAGCTTCATTTTGAATTTTCTAACCTTGAGAGTGATCATTTGCTTCATTATATTTTTGTTCATTTTAGCATCAAAATGTGAAACAATTTCTACTAAACCTAGATATTGTGCTTTTACTGACACAGAAAGCATCATTATGCATAGCAAATTTTGGGTACGTAGTGTCATCCTTTTCAGAACATCAGAGTAAGGTTCTGAGGTGGCATTTCCTTATCTTTATTGAATATGATCAATTATTCTTTATTCATCCTTTTGTTTCAGAAATTGCATTGTACTTTTTCTATGTGCAAATAACATTTTGTGACATGTAATTACATCTTCATTTGGTGAAGAATATGAGGTTGTAGGCATTTCATATGACCTGTGCAGACTGTGAATTGATAAGAATAATTTGCTAATTTTAATTTTTTAATCGCAATTAAGTCTTCATTAAATAGAGAATACGTAATATCTTGGTCAGGACTTTTCTGTGGGGCATACTTGCCAGACATTTGCTCATTTCCCTTGTTTCCAGTTTTAAAATACGTATGCAATCTGCCTCTTTGAGGAACTTCTACTTATTTTCTGGTTAGCTCATTTTCTTTCTGAGTTCCACTTTTGTATATTTTATTTCTAACATGATCTCAATGATCCAAAGCATTAAACAATAAAACTCAAAGTGTATGTAATTTAGACACACTTTTATTTAAAATGTAAGTGGAAGTAAATTTGAAAATAAAAAATTGTAATAAAATATATATATTTTAGAAAATTATATTTCTTTGGAAATATCAAAAATTATATGCTAAAATTAAAGGAGGGTATACCTTTTAATTAATAAAAACATTTTAAATAAAAAAGATTAAAATGAAGTTAAAATATTTCTACTTAATTTTTTGAAAATTTAATTAAATCACATTAAATATTTTTATAAAACTACAGTGATTTACAATTCCAAGATTCATTGTCTCTCCAGTTACCAATGTAAAGAGTCAATGTCAAGCTTTATACTTGTTGTGTCTAGACCTATTTCTATTAAGAGTAATATGAATTGTTTAATATTGCAAAATATTTTATTGCCATTATGCAACTGCTGTGAACATCATGGAAGTTGTGAGAATCTCTAGAACTGTAACTTGGAGTATTAAGTGAATAAAAAAATGGATGTTTGGCACTACTGGGAAATGATAGTATATTTTGAGAAAATCCATTACATTTCTGTTCTCTAAGAGAAATAAATCAATTTGTGTTGTCTCTTACTGAAGCAGTGTCTACCTCTGACATTGGCATCAGAGCAATTCTATTAGTCCATTCTCACACTGCTATAAATATGTGAGGCTGGGTAATTTATAGAGGAAAGAGATTTAATTGGCTTACAGTTCCACAGTCTGTACAGGAAGCATGATGCTGGCCTCTCCTCAGCTTCTGGGGGGCCTCAGGAAACTTACAATCATGGCAGAAGGCCAAGAGGAAGCATGCACATCTTACATGGCTGGAGGAGGAAGAGAGTGAGGGGAAGTGCTACACACTTTTAAGCAGCTGGATCCCGAGAGAACTCTATCATGAGAACAGCACTAGGGGGATGGTGCTAAACATGAGAAACCGCTGCCAGGATCCGGTAACCTCCCACCAGGCCCCACCTCCAGCACTGGGAATTACATTTCAACATGAGATTTGGGTAGAGACACAGATCCAAACCATATCAGCAATACAAAGCCTTTCAAGACTTCTAGACACAATTGCCTTCTGTTTCAAGGTCTTTGGAAAGAAATGTAGAATCCTTTCCCAACCCTGGCTGGTGTTGGTTATGAGTTAGGTTTAGGTTGCAGGTCACACCGAGCCAGAGTGCATTTGTGGCACTTGCAGAAGTGCATGTCCCCTAAAATATAGAGTCTAGGGTGGATCCCCTTTTGCTGAGGTCAGGGCAATCAGTACTGACACCTTGCATCACAGCAGTGTGGATCAAAGAAGATATTGAGGGTTATAAAAGTTATTTCTTTTTTGTGTTAAAAAAAGACTTGTTAAATACAAACATGGGCTGAAACTCTTATAAATTAATAGCCAACACCCAACAAACCAAACCAGATACCAAAAAAACTAGCAGAAAACCCTAACCCCCAAAACACTGTGTAAAGTTTTCTCAAGTGAAGGATAAGCGTATTCTTTTGCCAGATCAGTTGTTTTTTACAGCTCAACATCCACATGTAGCCCAAAAAAGTGTATCCAAAAATGAAAAAGAGCTTGTGCATACTATCAACAAGTGTGGTCTCCCTGTTGTACTTCATGGCGCTTATCCCAACTTGTAGTTAATTTTAAATTTATGTATCATATGTTTAGTGTTTGTTTTTCTTGTTGGAATGTGAGGAAGATAATGAAGCCTACCTTTTTCTTCCTTCTTTGAGTTCAGAATCCATTAAGAAATAAGACAGTTTGGGAGGCTGAGGCGGGCAGATTGTTTGAGGCCAGGAGTTCCAGACCAGCCTGGGCAACGTGATGAAACCCTGTGTCTACTAAAAATACAAAAATTAGCCAGGCATGGTGGTGCATGCCTGTAATCCCAGCTACTGGGGAGGCTGAGGCATGAGAATCACTTGAACCCAGGAGGCAGAGGTTGCAATGAGCCGAGATCACACCCCTGCATTCCAGCCTGGGCGACAGAGCAAGACTGTCTCAAAAAAAAAAAAAAAAGAAAAGAAAAAAGAAAATAAGACAGACATCAGACACATAAAAGTATCAGCCTAATTACTGATAACTTCACTTGCTGCTGGTTTTTATAACTCATTCAAAGGGGGATGGAGTTTTTGCAAATTTAATTATAACCTTGCTGGATACACAAAACACAATCACCCATTCCCGAGTTCTTTTAGGAGATATCTTAAACATTTCCAGAGATTAAAAAAAAAACTATTTAAAATTTCTTTTAATTAAAAAAAATTATCATATGGCTCGCTGGGAGTAGAATTGCAAAAGAATGAAGCCACGCTACACAAAAACAGGACCGTGCTGGGTGATGCATAGAGTGTGTACACAGGGCCCGAACATGTTTGAACACAGAAAGTAGTGACTCTTCTCTGCATGCATGCCGGGTCATTCTTTCTCAGCATGTTCAGCCAAGGGTGATGGAGATGGATATGTAAGGAGGACACCTAAGATTCCAGAGTTCCTGACTCTGCAGGCATCGTAGAGTCTTCAGCATAAAACAAGAGACCTCAATTTTCATTCCTTTTGAAAGGATGGCTTGAGAGAGTTCAGTTAGGTCGTGTGAAGTTGCCAGGGGCCTCATACTGGGAGAGAGATAAGAAACGAGTGAATAAATAAATGGAAGTAGCTCAGAAAGAACGTTCAGACAGAGTAGAAACATATATTCATCAAAAGTAAGTAAACAAAACCAGATTAATGCTTAGAATGAGATTGTGGATTGGGGAGGATTAGTCCCTCCCAGGAGGCCATGAGCCAGAGGTGAGCCTGCCTGCAGTGGTCGTGCAGGGGAAGCTACAGATAGGAGGTGTAGGAAGATGTGATAGGGCTTACAGATAAGAGTCAAAAAATAAAATAAAATAAATAAAATAAAATAAAATAAAAATGCTCTGTCTTCTAAATAAATTGATTCAGAAGTCTGGATATCCTGCAGCACGCCTGATGGGTTGCTGCTAGTGGAACAGACTAAGAACTTGTTGCCTTCAAACGTGAGCTGAGTAAAAAGCCATCGCTAAGAGGAATGTACACAGAAACTTACCAGGTACACCTGAAGGTGAGGCTGCCTTGCAGAAGACCATTTCACCTGTTTGAACTTTGAGAAACATTGGTTCAGATCTAACACTATGTAGAGTTTTGAGTGAATGGTTAGCAGCGTTTTCTTTAAAAGGGGACGTTTCTACCCACAAACTAAATGACCCAAATAAGGCAGATACTATGGGGCTCAGCCAAGTAAACCATTCTGTCCGCACTGGTATCCCAGCCATGTCTTATTTATTTACCTAGCTTTACTTTAGATTTTTATCTTACTACAATTATAGTAGGAGATCTAATAAATCCAGCAATAGGAACAGAGAGACCTTAAATATGTAGATAGCAGCCGAGTAATTTTTTTTTTTTTTTTTGAGACGGAGTTTCGCTCTTGTCACCCAGGCTGCAATGTAATGGCATGATCTTGACTCACTGCAACCTCTGTCTCCCAGGTTCAAGGGACGATCTCCTGAGTAGCTGGGATTACAGTCGCCCACCACCATACCCAGCTAATTTTTGTATTTTTAGTAGAGGCAGGCTTTTGCTGTGTTGGCCAGGCTGGTCTCGAATTCCTGACCTCAGGTGATCTACCCACCTCGGCCTCCCAAAGTGCTAGGATTACAGGTGTGAGCCACCGTGCCCAGCCAGCCAAGCAAATCTTATATGTCCTGTGCAATTTTATGGGGGCAAAGTAGGCTGGAAGGTGGAAATGTCCTTGCAAATCTGCACCTTCTGAAGAATTTGATTTTTGAAGACTAAGGGGTAACAAGGCTGGCTGTTTACTTTCACTCTTCAAAGTGAAAATTTAGCCTTGGATCCATCCTTTGAGATCATCTAATCTCACCTTCTCCTTTCAGAAAGGGTAACAGACCCATCAAGGGCCAATGCTTTGTTAAAGATTCTAACACCCCACTAGCAGTCAACCAGGATTCCCTGTATTCCCAAAATCGTAACTCAAAGGCATCCTCTGATTAGACTGGAATATTGAGGACCAAAAGAATCAGTATCTTCTGGTATGTGTGACATCTGGGCAGTAGGGGCTCCTGAGGCTGCCCTCAAGTCCTTCAACAAGTTTGTCCTCATGCATAGACCTTGTGGGACTCTCCCATTCCCCTGCCACCCACAGGGAAGACTTTGGAGGAGTGATGAGCCCTGCTGGAATGTGCTTCCAGCCACCACCACCCACATGCTGGGGTCCTGGCTTCCTGATGTGGCCCGTTGTCTTGGAGAACACAGAGGGTTTTGTGCTATTTTCTTTCCTTAGTGATTCAGGAAGAGAATTTACACACAGCTCAGTGACACTGGGGGAAAGTGAGGATTCACCTTTAGAGATCTGAACGTCAGATTTGAAATGTTCTGCAATTGATCAGCTGGGTCCGCGAGATTGATCTTCCTGCCAGTCCCCTTCTCACGCCTCTTTTCAGGCAGGAATGTCCTCTTTATGGTTTAACTCACCCCCAGAGACCTCCTCGTTCCCTCTCTACTATACTTTGGAGGATTTTCAGCCTCAGGAAAGCTCTCTTGCCTCCTGTGACCCCCCTCAGATAAGAGAGAAAGAGACTTCCAGGAACTCATCAAAGGGCTGCGAACAGCCAGCAACTTCAGACTACCCAGGAAGAATATAAAGCAAGATGTCAGCTTTCCTTCCGTGTAAAATCCAACCCCAAAGCTATCTTAAGGTAGGGCACACGGCACGATTCAACAGATCTTTGTTGACTGAATGAATGAATTTGCAGTCACAAAGACTGAGATTTCAGAACATGGCGAGGTCTGTTTAACATTGATTGTCTGATTTCAGAGAAAAGGAAACAGAGAGGCAAATTTCCTCTAATTTCAATTAGAATATTTTGGAGATGACAGCATTCTTAGTGATTATTCTGTTTCCTTGTTGTTTTCTACAAATAGGAATTTAATGACCTGAATTTCTCATTCTCCGAACTTTGGTTTAATAATGTATATTCAAGTATTTTTATTTTTGACTTGAATAGAATACCTATTGGAAAGATACCCAAACTGCTCTTTCCTCAAATTTCCCATTCCTCGCTCATGCTTCCTAAATACTTGCCTGTGGAGTAGCTCATTAAGCTGGGAACCAGGTGGTGACTTTGGGGTCTTTATGCTTTAATCCTAGGTCTTGCTGTGGGCTCATGATGTCCAAAGTGGGGCCCCTTGACAGTTACAAAACTGCCTGAGGTTCAGATTTACAAATAACGGACAATCCTGCCAAAGCTGCTTTGATGAGTACAATTAAAAAACAACACAGACATTTAAAAAAAGCTATTTTATGCCACTATTAAGTAATTTAGATAATCTAGGATGTTAATAATTAAGATCCATGCCCCAAAACACCATACAGCAAATTCTTACAGATTTGTGGTTCAGTTCCAGCTCTTAGAGAAGCAAAGGAAAAACCAGTACAGTGGGTATGAGGCTTTAGACACATCATTCAAACTATTCAAGCCTCACCACAGCTTAAATAGTGTTCAGCACACAGTAGGTCTTTCATGCATTCTTATTGGATGATGAGTGCACGTATCTGTAAATAGAGAGTGTACTTAAATTCTTTTAAAAAATAAGGCTGGGTGCAGTGGCTCATGCCTGTAATCCCAGTGCTTTGGAGTCTGAGGGTTGGAAATTGCTTGAGGCCAGGAGTTTGAGACCAGCCTGGGCCACACAGTGAGAACCCTGTCGCTACCAAAATTTATATGTGTGTGTGTGTGTGTGTGTGTGTGTGTGTGTGTGTAATATACATACATATATGTATATATAAAAACAGATATATATATATACACACATGTTTGTATATAAATTAAAAATAAAGAATGAGCTAAAGAATACAGCAGAACAAGGCCAGGCGTGGTGGCTTACACCTGTAATCCCAGCACTTTGGGAAGCCGAGGAGGGCGGATCACGAGGTCAGGAGATCGAGACCATCCTGGCTAACACGATGAAACCCTGTCTCTGCTAAAAATACAAAAAAATTAGCCAGGCGTGGTGGCGGGCGCCTGTAGTCCCAGCTACTTGGGAGGCTGAGGCAGGAGAATGGCGTGAACCTGGGAGGCGGGGCTTGCAGTGAGCAGAGATTGCACCACTGCACTCTGGCCTGGGCAACAGAATGAGACTCTGTCTCAAAAAAAAAAAAAAAAAAAAGAATATAGCAGAACAAGTGTTTTTTTTTGTTGTTTTGTTTTTAACTTTTAAGTTCAGGGGTACAAGTGCAGATTTGTTACACAGGGAAACTTGTGACATGGGGGTTTATTGTGCAGATTATTTCATCACCTAGGTATTAAGCCTATTATCCATTAGTTGTTTTTCTTGATCCCCTCCTTCCTCCCACCCTCTACCCGCCACAAGACCCCAGTATGTGTCATTTGCCTCTATGTGTCTATGTGTTCTCATCATTAGCTCCCACTTATAAGTGAGAACAAATGGTATTTGGTTTTCTGTTCCTGTGTTAGTTTGCTAAGGATAAGGGCCTCTAGCTCCATCCATGTCCCTGCAAAGGAAGTGATCTTGTTATTTTTTCATGGCTCTGTAGTATTCCATGGTGTATATCTACCGTATTTTCTTTATCCAGTCTATCACTGGTGGGAATTTAGGTTGATTCCACGTCTTTGCTATTGCGAATGGTGCTGCAATGAACATATGCTTGCATGTGTCTTCATAACAGAATGATTTATATTCCTTTGGTTATATACCCAGTAATGGGATTGCTGGGTAGAAGAACAAGTCTAAACTTCTCCCTGGTTAAGCATAATGAAATTATACATGTACATGGCAGGCACCCAACACATGATAGGTACTGATATAGACTTGCTGCATTTTTAACTGCTGCTGTAAAACCATAAATGCTGGTATTGTCATTCATCCATTCAGTAAATATTTAGTGAGTATCCAGTATCCACCATGCGCAAGGCACTGCAGATATAGCTATCAACAAATTATTTATACAATATAGTGAAAAGCATATGGGCTTTGGCATCAGACACACCAGCTCTCTTACTTAACTAGCTCTAGTGTGAACTTGCTGTGCTAACTTCTCTGAGCTTCAGTTTTCATATCTGTAACATGGGGATAATAGCATCATCTTTGAAAGTAGGGTTGTTATGAGGATTACACGAAATTAGTAATGTCTGAGAAGTTTACAGAATCATAGAATATGGTCTAATTTATCATTAGTGGTAGTAGTCTACTTCCAGAAGTTTTTCTGTTGAAATGTTGCAGCTGCTATAGCATTTCACCACGAGAGGGTGGCATGACCACACTATTTGAAACTTGTCTGTCGTATGCAGATGGCTCTCAGCATTGAACACAGCATTAGCCTCATTTTCTGAGTTTAGCACAACATTTAGAGGTCTGAACAGCTTAGTCTAATATTTTTAAAGTGTCAGGTTTTAACCTCTAGGCTTCTATTCAACTGGGTATCTATGGAACGATTAATTAAGTATTCTACATTCCAGATGTTGAAAATATTTTTCAAATTAGGACTCAGCAGGATCTGAAATTTTGAGTGTTAAAAATTAGGCCAAGTTATCTGAAAGCATTAGGTTGTCTTTGGGTATATCCAGAATTTCATGCAGAGCTGGCCAAGCTGTTAAACTCAGGCCTCCCAGCAGTAATTTGAAGTTCGTTTAAATTCAATTTACTCTGTACAAGCCGTTATAGTAGCTAGAGGATACAAAGCTGGAGTCTTTGATTCAACAGATATTTACAGAGAACCCACGATGTACCATAGTTTCAGCAAGGGGTTAAAAAAAAGAGACCAAAGTTAAGATGTGGTCACTGTCATTAAGAAATCTGTGAGATTTATCAAGCTCCTAAGTGGAAAGTAACAAGCAAGAAGAGAGCAGCTCAATGGGCTGAGACGATAGAGCAGGGTCTGCTGGGTCTTGCACCAGGGGCTGGCTTGCAGCTATCTGTAGGCCTCTTTGTTGAAGAGGCGCAACTCCCTGCCTCACCCATGACTGATGGACTGGACTCTGCCTATATGATGTCCCAGTGGGGAATATTTGTATCAGTGCTTCTAAACATTCATGCCACGACACACAGGTATATTGCTAAGAACCATAATGAGGATGTCAGAGGCAATTTTCTTTTTTCTTTTCTTTGAGACAGAGTACCCCTCTGTCACCCAGGCTAGAGTGCAGGGGCACAATCTCAGCTCACTGCAACCTCCGCCTCCCCGGTTTAAGCGATTCTCCTGCCTCAGCCTCCTGAGTAGCTGGGGTGGCACATGCCACCACACCCAGCTAATTTTTGTATTTTTAGTAGAGATGGGGTTCTGCCATGTCAGCCAGGCTGGTCTCGAACTCCTAACCTCAAGTGATCTGCCCGCCTTGGCCTCCCAGAGTGCTGGGATTACAGGCTTGAGCCACCGTGCCCGGCTGTAATTCTCTTTTACTGTGAATCTCAGCCAAGAAACCAGGGAGCAAAACCTGTAGCTTGCTTTATCCTCCAATGAGTCCTTCTAATTTTATTTTGTCCCCTCAATCTGTTAGGAGGCCAGAGACGTCATCTTAGTCAATTCATTTCTCTTGTTCTGGAACAGGTCATGTGGCAGGGGCAGGGGGTGATGTAAAGGCATCGGTGAGTGTGTGGAGCTGTTAAGCCCTTGACATCACCGGGCCACGTGGGCATTTGTTGAGATGTCCGTTACTCATCTGGTTCTTGGTTATCAGTTTATTCAGGTTGCCTAGGAGACATCCTTTCTCTCCCTGATAAGTTTCAGATTCATTGGCTCACTCTATCTCCTGGATGCTTTGGGGGCACAGGAATTGTTCTGTCCCACTGGAATTCAGCAAATTCTCTGAGGCCACCCATGGCTCTGTCCAGCGGTCCCAGAAACAGCAGGCAACAATGTCCTCTCTGCATCTTGCTGCCTCCCAGGGATCTTCCCCAAGAATGGGGACATTTTCCTGCTCTCAGATGCCTCACACCCACCTGGGGACTTTAGTACCACCCTGGGGTTTGCCCAAGGTGCCCCTTCCCCACACAGTCCCCAACTTCTACCATGCCATTGCTTCCCCTTAGGTTCCCTATCTCAAGCTTCTAAAATCTAGGAACGGGAGGGACCCTGGCTCTTGTATTCGTGATTTGTCTCTAAAACCTGTACGCCAAATTCTCTTTGTGGCACTTACATTTCCTGTCTTTTTGAAAAAACAAAATCCAGAATGAATCTCAAAGGTTGTGTGATTTTCTCCTCGCTGCCTCCTTTCTCCCTACAAAGCAAGTACAGGCGAATCCAGCAGCTTGGGGTTGGGCAAGAGGAGAAGGGTAGAAAGGTGAAAGCAAATATAGGGGAAAATATTGGTTAATATTTCAAATATATTATCCTGCCATACCAATAATAAAGTACCAGCATTTGTGGATAATTTATCTTTTTTTATAAGTTGAAGTGGTTTCAAGGTTATCCCTATAATAACTTCCATCCTATTGTTGCTCTGAATTTCAGCTCAATCATTTCTTCCTCAGGGAAGGAAGGGTCTCCAGACCTACCCCATCTATGCTTTCATAGCACCATTTATCTCCCTCTTACAATACTTAATCTTGTTTTGTAAAAGTTGTCGTGAAATACACATAACAAAATGTACTATCTTAACCATTTTTAAGTGTACAGTTCAGTGGCATTAAGTACATTCACATTGTTGTGATACCGTCACCATCATCTATCCACGGAAATCTCTTCATCTTACAAAACTGAAATTAAATTAATGTAATTTGTGTGGTTTTTTGGATTAACATCTGTCTGCTCCCATGGGCTACAAGTTCCATAAGGGCTTAGACTGTCCTGTTTTGTTCTTCACTGTATGTTACTGTCACACTCAGAAAACACTGGTTGAGCGGGCACTCTGTGGTATGCACTGCATCAGACACTAACACTTACTTTTCATATATGCATTCTTGAGTGGGAAAGAAAGGAAGGAGGTACAATTGTTGTGTCAGAAATTGCTCAAACCTTGGGTGTACATGAAAGTGTGTTGTATAATTCAACAGCATATAGACAAGTATGAGACTTTAGGCTAACATGACTAAAACGGCATGCCTTCCCCAAAATATAATGAAATAAGGAAATAGGAAAAGAAACACAAAAAACACCATAAGCAGTAATCAAACGAAGAAATATAAAATAGTACAATTAACTTTAAAGAAAAAAAACCTGGCCATTATGAAAAGACTCAGAAGATGCTGGAACAGAGTAGAACCCTAGTAATGCCTGAATTCTCCAGACTGGAGAGGCAATAACATTCAAGAATTCTCACTGCTAGCCCCAAATTTGAAGAGAAGCAGATGGAACAAAGTGACCTTATTTTCTCCTTCTGACTGAGGAATCATGGAAATGATACTGGAAGAAAGGAATGAGTGAGGATAGCTCTATAGCTACACATGGGACTGGAGAAATCTACCGAAGCCCAAGGTCACTGAGCAATGGGAAGGAGACGCTTTCATCTCCATCGCCATTAGGTAGGGTGATCCTTTGTACAGCACAGATAGCAAAATAATGGAAGAGAGAGCAGGATTAACTTTTCCAACCAAATCTGCCCTGCCTACCATCTCAAGGGTAAGGGCCCAGTTGGGTCGTCCGCAGAAAACTTAAACTGGTCTCAGACACGGTGAGAGGAGAGCCAAGAAGTCATCCCACTCTGTCAGACCACATAGAAAGTCCGCACAGGGCTGGTGAACATGAGCAAAATGCAAATAAACAGCATAGCAGGAATGCAAACCCACTACAGTAAAAGAAACAACAAGTAAAACCCCAAGTCAAAGCAAGCAGGCTAGATGTATATTGCACAGATTGTGTCTAGAAGAAAACATAAGGGACAGAAGAAGTTCTTTGCAATCACTTTATGTTTTAGAGCAACTTGGCTTTATAATAAAACAAATATAATAAGTCAAGAACTCAAAGATAATAAAACAACAGAATAAAATCAAGGAGTTATGGAAGCACTATGGAATTAGAAGAATTAAACACTATCACTCTCAAACTCATAATTGCTAACTGCAAAGAGCACAATTTAAACATTGCCGAAATTTGAATTATTAACATAGAAGAAAGGCTTGAGGCCGAGCGTGGTGGCTCACGCCTGTAATCCCAGCACTTTGGGAGGTCAAGGCGGGTGGATCACCTGAGGTCAGGAGTTCGAGACCAGCCTGACCAACATGGTGAAACCCCGTCTGTACTAAAAATACAAAAATTAGCCGGGTGTGGTGGCTCATGCCTGTAATCCCAGCTACTCGGGAGGCTGAGGCAGGAGAATCACTTGAACCCAGGAGGCGGAGGTTGCAGTGAGCCAAGACCGTGCCACTGCACTCCAGCCTGGGTGACAGAGTAAGAATCCATCTCAAAAAAAAGAAAAAAAGAAAAACGAAAGGCTTGAGACATTCTAAATAAATTAAATGGAAAAGACAAAAGATAAAGCAATTAAATTGAAGCTAATGGGTGTAAAAGACAAAAAAATTCTACATAAAAACATTGGATGTCTCCAAAGAAGTATTCAAGGAAATAACAGTAACTTTTCTCTGAATTGAAAACAAAACTGAGTCTGCAAATCCATCCCTTGGACACTGTTGGTGGAAATGCACAGTGGTGCAGCTATGAGGAAAGATAGTAAAGGGGTTCCTCAAAAAGTTAAAAATGGAATTACCATATGAATCTGCAATCCCACTTCCAGGTATTTATTCAAAAGAACTGAAATAAGGATCTTGAAGAGATACTAGCGTTCCCATATTCATTGCAGCACTATTCGCAATAACCAAGTTGTGGAAATAAGCTAAATGTTCATCAAGAGATGAATGGATAAAGAAAACACAATAATATAAATACAAACATGAGGAAGAATAGGAGGGAATAGGAAAAAAATTGGAGGATCTGAAAGTTTTCATCTCTCATAGCAAATTGCAAGGAGTGAAGAAAAAATCGTCCCCCCTAAAATAGGTAGCTTTAAACTCCAATCTTCTCATGTTTTTAGTAAACTCATTTCTTAACCTCAGAGATATCTTTTTAAAAATATAGCTTTAAAAAGTGAAAAAAACTTTTATTTGAAGTTCAAAAATTACTTCGATTTCACCGCAGTTTCTTTTACTTCTGTAAAATCAAGTAAATTTAAAATTAATTCTTTTTAATGAAAAGTATGTATATACAAATAAGCCCATTTTTATAAATGGATTTTCCCTCCTCCCTCTCTCTACTTATCAGTTCTTTTTTTCTGTATTTTTGCATAGAAAGATATATGTGATCATTTTAACCTTATATGAACAATAGTTATTCCTGGATGTAGAATTTGGATTTTAAAAAAAATTACATTTGGCTTTGTGATTTTCTGCAGTCTTTATATTTTTTAGAATAGGCATGTATCATTTTTACCAAAACAGGTGATTTTTAAATGTAAAAACCAAAGAAAAGACTAGAAATCAATATGCAAGATATGAATAGTAGTCAGCTTTGGGCAGGGGATAATTGGATGATAATTAGATTTTTTTTTCTTTGTACTTTTCTGTATTTTTTAAATTTTCAAAAAATTAATAGAGGAAAAAACCCAAAAGGATAAGTTGAAAATATCTGCTTTACACCAACTGAATCGAAATCATGCTGGTCTCATTTACGGGCTGCCTAAGAAATTCAAGGACAGGTTGATAGAATGACTGGCTGGCCAGAATGGGTTGTAGGGTCTGTAATAATGAGCTTCAGAATGACAGGCTAGGGTGGCACATGGCCACTCTTGGGTGGTCGAGAAGAAAAGTGACAGTGTCTGAGTACTGAGAGAATCACAGAAATCGCAAAAGAACAGTCAGATCTATTCATCATTGCATGTACTCAAATATGCCATGACTCATTTTTTCCCTTGAAGCATAACACCTAGTAAAGTCTGAACACTCATAGGTGTTAGTTTTTTCATCGACCTTTTAATGGAATCTTATTCTACTTATTAGGCACTCGATAAAGATGGAAATATGTTAATGAAAACTAATGAAACAATTTTAAAACTAAAAACGACAGCAGATTTTGCTAAATTAATAGGAAATGGATATGATTCTCAAGAAACAATAGGTAAAACATAAAACTAGCATGGCTGAAAAGTGGTTGTACAATAGTGATGCTCTAACCATGCAGGCCTGATCCTTCTCTTGGTGCGCTGAGACAGGCAAGCATGGCAAAGCTGAAAGACTGTGGAGTTTCAAGTCAAATTCTTGCCCCCTCCAATTATAGTTTCCTTCTCCATAAGATGAAGATCCTACTGCTAACTTTGCTGATTTGGTTAGGATAACAAGTGCGTTAAAAAACTATCAAGAGTTCAATGGAGGTAACTACTACTGGAGCATGAATGAGGGCAAACCTCTCCTCTTCTCCAGAATGACCACAGACTAGCTGTTACCTAAAATTGTGTGTTTTTTCTTCCTAATTGCTCTCTTTTTTTTTTTTTTTTTTTTTTTTTTTTTTTTTTTAAGACGGAGTCTTGCTCTGTCACTCAGGCTGGAAATGCAGTGGTGTGATCTCAGCTCACTGCAACCTCCTCCTCCAGGTTCAAGTGATTCTCCTGCCTCAGCGTCCCGAGTAGCTGGGATTATAGACACGCAACACACCTGGCTAATTTTTGTATTGTTAGTAGAGACGGGGTTTTGCCATGTTGGCCAGGCTGGTCTTGAACTTCTGACCTCAAGTGATCTGCCCGCCTTGGCCTCCCAAAGTGCTGGGATTACAGGCATGAGCCACAGCACCCGGCCCTAACTACTGTCTTTATGTCCAACTTGACCAATAACCAACCCACACAGCCAGCTCCCTGGGGAATCTGCAAAATTAAACATGGATTAAACCTTATTCAGAGGCAGAGGGGGGACGTTCTGAGCTGACGGCCCTAAATCTATGTAGGAAGTACATGTGCATGAAGCCATGTTCTGAGCTGATGGCCCTGAATCTGTAAGGGAAGAACATGTGTGTGAAGCCTGTGTGTCCGGTGTGTACTGAGAGCTGGAGGGATCACAGAGATCGTTTGGTCCAACATCCTCACTTTATAGAACACGACACCAAAACCCAGAGAGGTGGACTTGCTTAGGCTCGTATTACTAGTAAGTAGCAATCAGCATCCTGACTCAGAATAAGTACTTCTATTTTGGGTAAGCAGGGAAGTTTTAATGGGAGGACTGGCTTATGGAGAAGCACAGAAGTTCAGAAACCAGACTGGGGAGAAAGAGTTGGCCCTGAAAACCCCTGCCATAGCCCACGATTGCAGTAGCGCACACGTCCTTGTGCTGCCTCTCTATATGTGGTGAAATTGTCACTTCCTTGTTGCTAGAAAGACTTGCCATCTTTTCTCCTCTTCTTGGTTCACCTGCTGATGAACACATTGTCCACTTCCAGAAGCATCACTGGGCAACATCTATTCTCTGTGATGTGTGCATGGGGATGGCATGAAAGAGACCTGAATGTGAGCATTCCTGGGTCCCAGAGAAAACCATGACAAGGAGCAAAGCCAGAGCTGGCACTGGGCATCCTCCTGGACACAGAAGGAGGGGCTGAGGGAAAGATGCTGACTGGCAACAGGGGAGTTGGTAGCAGCACAGTCAGGAACTAAGATAGAAATATTCTTTCATCTCTTGCAGCCAGAAGGCAGGAAAAGCTGAAGAGCAGGCTCTGTATTTAATGACAAGATCTGCTGATCTCCGGAGAAGGTAGAATTTTGTGGGTCAGACCTAGAGTAGTTTCTAACAAGACCCTGGGAAGGAGAAAATTGGCAATGAAGTCAGGCCAAGAATAAACATGTAGCTCCACAGATGCTTAGGATCAGGCAGGAGTCGCAGTTACTGCCTCTCCTAACTTCTTAGACATCAGGTCTCTCACCTGAAGTCTGTGGCCTTGGTTGACTGTGCTTCTCTTCCATGGGGACTGAAAGTCTGTGTCTGGAAGCGTGTGCTTCTTTCAAGACGAGCTGTGGGCAGACTCTCTGACAGCACTGGGTTGAGATGTGTGCTTTGCCACATTTTTAATCTTCAATCCCTACTGGCCCCTTCTATCCTCACCTTCTTTTCCTTTCTCCAGGGTCTTCCCATCTGCAGAATTGAGAAAGCACACATTTAGAAATTCCAGGAGTACGGAACAAAAATACTTTATAAAAAGGAGACATGATCTCATAGAAGAGGGATGTTTATTTGCCCCAGCCCGGGAGAAGTTCATTCTGAGAGCATAATTTTAGAGTCGATTGGACAAACATACCTGGGAAGGAGCTGGATAAACTAAATTAGGAATAAAGAATGGCCATTGCCTCGGGCCCCCAAATCTGAAGACACTAGCACAGATTTAGAAACCCACTCTCCAAGTTACTTTTTCCCCTCCACTGGCTAATTTTCTACTTTTGCTATTTATTCATGAACTTTTCTTTATATTTGGAGACAGGGAGGAGAATGTTCTTGGGGATTTGACAGACTTGGGTTAAAACAAGTAGCTACAGACATCAGGTATTAGTAATGACTCTTAGAAAGAGACCGTCCCAGCAGGAGTGGATGTGGGCTTGGGGTTTGGACTTTGCTTTCCTTCATGTCTGTTTTTCCCAGAATCTGCTTTTCCCTTAATTTGCTCTCCATTTGTCCTCTTTCTACGAGGCTGTGGCACGTCCATTGGCCACCTCTGGCTTTCATATGCTGAGCTCAGTCTTCCATAAACAAGGCACCTTCCAACCCCTAGTTCTTGACAAAATAAACCATCGTTAGGCCTGACACATAGTTGGCACTCAGATATTTGTTAGAGAATGAAATGAATAAGTTCCAAGTTTAACACAAATGGAGAAATGGAGGCTCAGAGACCTACTTACTCACTGTCCCAGGGTGCATCCTGGCAAGTGGCAGAGCTTATAGTCTAGTCGAAGTCAAGGAAAAAGCATCTAAAAATACTAGTAAAATTCCAGTGGGCTCAGGGTGTTCTCATGTCATAAGATTAGTACAGGGTGCAATCGTTACAACTTTCCCCAGTGGTGAACTGGGATGGCTACCACTGAAAGAGAATGCACTGGTGGATGCAATAGCTCAGCCTCAGCGGAGGCTTGGGGGAAGTGGTAATTATTGAATTACTACTAAATGAATGCTCTTGTTAGGGGGTATTGATGCACTTGCAAAAGATTGAGGGTGAACAGTGGCCCATTTAAGGCCCTTGACTTATAACAGGCAGAGGTCCTCCTTGGTAGATACAAATATTCTTTCATCTCTTGCAGCCAGAGGGCAGGAAAAGCTGAAGAGCAGTCTCCATATTTAATTACAAGGACTGCTGATCTCCAGAGAGGGTTGAATTCACAACCCAGCAGGTGCACCTCACCAAGTCAAAGCCCCCAGTGGGAGGAAAGAGGACTCTGAGACTCGAATGGGGACATCTGAGTTGGTACGTTCAGAATTTTTTTATCCCCAGAATTCCCTGGACCATCTGGGCTGTGAAAGAGGCTACTTTGCTATGCAGTCATCTGAGGCTTGAAGTGTTAAAAGTCTGAACTAGGATGGTTATAGTAAGACTTGAGAAGTGAAGGGAGTGATGTGGGAGATGATGGGAAGAAATGAGGTTTGTGTTCCAGTGGTCACTAATGCTCCAGTGCTTACTGGGATAAGAGGCAATTTAATACTTTGATGAATATGATATTGTAAGATAAATAAATATAGCTTGTCTACGTAGACAGCAGGTATAGTAACTCTTACATGTCCTCAAGATAGCATGTATTTTTCTTTTCCAATTTCCATTTTCAGTTTTATTTCAAGAAATAATAACAATTCTCACAACAGTGATTAAACTAATAAATAACATTGTGCATTAGTGCATGAGAATGAAGAATGCACATTATTAATAAGTTTATTTATGATACCATCTCTACTCACCCTTTTTTTTCTCCCAACAAAGTGCTTAAGGATCTCAAAAAGCTACCAAACAAATACACCCATACACACGTATATACACAGGAGATAGAGTTATATATGTATATTTCACCACAAGTAAGAAATCTTCCAAATGACAGTTCATAAAGAAAATGGTAATTTTAGAATAAAAATCATTAGAGATGGTGGACATTTATTAAATTTATATACTATCAAAACTTGGTTTTATTAATCTCAAACTCAATTTGAACATTTTCGAAATACAAATAGACAAAAATCTTACTAACATTATTGACTCTCAGGCGGAAAAATACATTCACGTGCCTTTTTTTTCCTGGCAAAGCTATATATATCCCATCAATTTCAAGGGTTTGCAGATGTCTGGATTCCTTGGACCAATACATTTGAAAAAAAAACATTTTGGGGACCAATATTGAGTTTCATTCTTAATTTTGCCAATTAAGTTTGTTTGGAAAAAAAATCACTGGTCTTTTACCACCATTCTTGTTCTTCAAAAGAATGAAGATTTAAAAGTAAAACAGTATGAAAGATATAATCTCACAATAAAAACTTTTAAATTTATTCAGTGAATTAAAAAATTAGCTTCATGAAAAACTCTTGGTTGTCTCATTTATCTCATTCCTCTGGGGATCAACAAAAAATTTTGTCAAGATAGGTATTGATGCTGTACATGAACAGAAGTTTAGGACCCACTAATGTAATGCATTTCTAGAAATTAGATTTAAGAAAGTTTTAATTATTTCCACTAGAGAGATGCAGAAAGCATATCACAGGATGATTTGAAGTCGGTTGCTCTGGGGCAGCTCTTCTCACGTGTTAGCATCAGCATCCCTTACAGAGCATCTTAAAACACAGATTGGTATCCCACCCCAGAGTTTTTTGAGTCAGTGGATTAGGGGGAGGGGGCAGTCAAGAATGTGCATTTCTAACAAGTTCTCATGTGATGCTGATGCTACTGACCTGGAGGTCACCTTTTGAGAACCACTGCTCCATGTTAATAAAAAGGCAATTGCTAAAATGTATTTTTCATTTTCAAGCAATATTATAAGAACTTATCAGACTTCTTATTTCTCAAAATGTAGAGTCACACCTCAATCTCTATTTTATAGAACAGAGAATGCAAATATCTTGCCCAAGTGTTCCCATGGCCTGGGATGCCCTTATTGCCGTGTCTTTTGAGTGAATGCTAACACATCCTTCTAGAGCCTGTTTAAGTCTGATCTCTTTTTTCCTTAACCCCTCAGGTTGAATCTATCTAATCATTCCTTCCCTTTTCTCTTTTCCTTTTCCCTCCCTCCCTTCCTTCCTTCTTTCCTCCCTTCCTTGTATGGATGTTCCTATTAGATTTTGGGCTTGTGGAGAACAGGTGCTGTAGCTCGTTTATTTTTCAATCCTAGCATGTAGCATCAAGCCTGGTGTTACTTTTGTCTGCCTGTTTGGCATATCATGGCAATAGCAATATTAGTGAGTGGAGTAATCGCTACTGGATTTGCTCTCTTAGACAGTTTGGATTATTTAGGTTAAACATTTTGTCTCCCTTGCCCCTTATAATCGGTGTTATTTTTCTGAAATCACACTGATAGCTTCTTAAGCTGCACACTTAAGAAGTATCTACTATAGGGGTACTAGCCAATTAGTCAAATATTGCAGCAAGCATATGGAAGTCCTCAGCTCCCATATTTGTCAATTATTAGCCTAATAGGCTTCCCTGTACATAATCCTATTTACAATATCCCTGGAAAAAACTTGCATACTATTTCTGCCAGCCTTGGGTGACATAAAAATGGGATGCTTTAGATATCCAAATTGAAAATTCTCCAAGTTTTTTTTGAATATCAAAAATACATGGAATAGTAAATATGCTTGGAGTATTTTTCCACATTCCATAGGTAGGAACTGAAAGCTGAAGCCATCTGGTGCACCCAAGTTTTTCAATAGTTCAGTGCCTTTTCTCCTCATTTCTTTACGTGCTATTTTTCTTTTGAAACTAAGGGACAAACATAATGGTATAGCAAAAATATTGACAGGTATGAATACGTGCTAAATGCAGATGATTTTATCTTTGAATTGATGAATCGTTTTTTGCCATTTTCGCCAGATTTTCTTTCTTTAAATTTTATTTTATTTTTATTTTATTTTTTAAAATTATACTTTAAGTTCTAGGGTACATGTGTACAATGTGCAGGTTTGTTACATATGTATACATGTGCCATGTTGGTGCGCTGCACTCATTAACTCGTCATTTACAAGATCCTTGATTGTATGACCCAGGAAAAGGCTGATTGATTGTGGGAAAGTAGGGTTCACTACTTGCATTATATTTATCACAATTTCTGGGCCCATGAAGACAGAGAAGAGGGAGTAAAACATATTTGGGCTATAGACTGGGCTAAGGAGCAGAAAGATATGCAGATAATATCGTGGGATAGAATAGGTAATGAGAATTGAAGTCCTAAAATTTTTAAGTCATTTTCTATAACTGACATAAAACATTTCCCAAAATATCATGTTAATCAAGTGAAATAAAGAGGTAGCATTTTATTAATTTTGGCCAAAAGATGTCATTTTCCATCATACTTAGTGAACAAGAGTTACTCGTTACTTTTTAGACATGTTTATATTGCTCAAACTCTTTCATTTGAGAAACGTAGAGTGTCCTGCCCTCAAACAGAACTACACAATTAATGAACATTTGTTTGAAGTGCTTTGTGACATTTCATTCAAAGGTGTCCACGAGATGCCACATGCTATTAGAAGTAGCAATCCTTGTTTTGTTCATAGACAATTCAATTATAGAAAAGACCCAGAAAGAAGTTGCAAAAGGAATATCATTAAACAACCGGGTAGCTCTCTTCTCATGTATATTTTAGAGAGGGATCAGCTTGTGAGCTTGCAGGTAATTGACTGCAGAATTAGGTTGTCCATTGACCAAGCATTTATGGAGATTGTAAAGGATGAGAAGTAATACATAGCAAGTTCCCTTGTAAAAATCTCTAGGAAGTTCAGGGGGAAGGAAGGGGAGAAGGAAATTTATCTCTAGCCTTATTGGATACTGAGGAACTCTTCTATGTTTAAGAGCAACTCTGGGCCAGGCGTGGTGGCTCATGCCTGTAATCCCAGCACTTTGGGAAGCTGAAATGGGAGGATTACTTGAGTCCAGGGGTTCAAGACCAGCTTGGGCAATATGTCAAGACCCCAATTCTATTAAAAAATACAAAAAAAATTTACCTGGGTGTGGTGGCATGTGCCTGTAGTCCCAGCTACTAGGGAGGGTGAGGTGGGAGGATTGCTTAAGCCCGGGAGGCAGAGGTTGCAGTGAGCTGAGATCACACCACTGCACTCCAGCTTGGGTGACAAAATGAGACCCTGTCTTAGAAAAAAACAAACAAAAAATCCCCCTCCAAACAAAAAAAAAGCCCTATCCCATTATCTCTTTTTATTATTCTGGCCCCAAATAAGTTCACTCTTCTGAGTTTTATAGCATTTTCTGTCTGCCATTTTTCTTACAAATTAATGATACACTGCTTCAGTCATCACAGGGAGAGGTCAGAGTCCCATCTGCTGGTTAGGCTTTGTTTACTCTTGATGAGGGCAACTGTGTGTTAAAAAGTCTCACACACAGGTACTGCCTCCCTCCAGGGGCCTCAGTAACTTAACCATTGTTGGGACAGGTAGCCCGTGACAGGTGCAGTCACCTTGAGTCTCTTCCTTCCTCTTCTCCTGTGGCTGCTCAGTGTGATGTCCCTCGTGCTGTCCCATACAGTCCCTCCAGTTAGAGGGTGAGACAATCCCAAGCTTTGGGTTTGGGTTTAGGAAGATGGAAAAGGCTCATTTGGTGTTCAAGCAGAACACATGTCCACTGACCAGGTTATCAGCCAACTCTTCCCAGGAGTTTAGAGCATAATTACAGGTAATTAAAAATAACACAGTTCTTCAGTTCTGATCTATCATTGTCCCTTTTATGAGAAGCCTTACAGTGTGGAAGGGAGGCCAGCTAAGGCAGGATTTGGGAATTTTTAGGTGTCTTTAGTCAATAGCATCTTAAGCTTCATCAACCCTGCCACTTGAGCTCTTAATTGTGTGTGCGTCTTTTATTCATCTCACAAACATTTATTGAAGGCCCGATCCATTCTTCCACACTAGATTCAACTAGATTGTACATTACCGGAAAGGCAAGGGACTACATCTTTAAACTTCTCTGTAGCTCTCCCCTTTCTCTCTTTATTTTAGAATCTAGCAAAGTACTGTGTACTTTGTAGGCACTCAGTGATTATTTCTAACTAAATGAAACACTGAACAAAGTCCCAGCTTCCTGAGACCTCAGACAAGAAGACAAGTATTGGGTAGATGAGGGAAAACCTAGCAGTTTTCGAGTACTATATGACAGTGCCTTTTGCTAACTACATTATCCAACAGTTCTGCCAGCTAGGGCCCAGGGCCTAGTTCTGGCGATTTTGAAAGGAACTGTTAGTGTCTCCCATGGAGAAAGCTCATGGGTAAGAGCATTCTGGGACCACACCAAATATTGATTCCTGGAATGACAGTCCAAATTGACATGAATGCTCAATTTGAGAGCCAGACATAGATAAAAGATGGAGTACTGGGGACACCAGGGCTACAAAGAGGCTACAATGGGAAGGCCCGAGGAAGAGCTGGATGTGGACCTTGCCAGAAAGAAATAAAGAGAATAAAGAAAGGACAGGTGGTTTGAAACAAACCACCATGTTTTCTAATGCTCCCTGTGAACCAGTGAAAAGAACTGAATTATTATTCTCATCAGAGTCGGAGTCAAGATAAACCCAGGATACTTCTCAGATTGCTAGCATAGAAAGACTGAAGAAATACCAGAAAAGTATATTAAAAATGTAAGTTTAAATTTTAAAAATCTGATTTTTTAAACACACACACGTTTTATTTAAAGAGAATGAAAACAATCTAAACATGAGGCTTTTTAAAATGTGAGGCCCTGGCCAAATGTCCCTCATGTTCACTTGGTGATGGTATCTATCCTCTTAGTACAGATTGGGAAACTGAGGCTTAGGAAGAATAAATGATTTGAAGAAAGTTGAACTAGTAAGGGGTGGAGACAGGATTTAAACCTGGAGCTATTAGATTCTAAACCCCCTGTATTATTCTGTTCTCACACTGTTATGAAGAAATATCTGAGACTGGGTAATTTATAAAGGAAAGAGGTTTTATTGACTCATAGTTCTGCGGGGCTGAAGGAGGCCTCAAGAAACTTACAATCGTGGTGGAAGGGGAAGCAAACATGTCCTTCTTCACATGGGGGCAGGAAGGAGAATGAGTGCCAAGTGAAGGGGGAAGCCCCTTATAAAACCATAAGATCTTGTGAGAACTCACTCAGTATCATGAGAACAGCATGGGTGAAACACCCCCATGATTCAATTATCTCCACCTGGCCCCGCCCTTGACACGTGGGGATTATTACAGTTCAAGGTGAGATTTGGGTGGAGACACAGAGCCAAACCATATCACCTCTCTCCTCCCTTTTTAAAAAACTATACTACATTGTCCAGGCAAGAATAGGATCTGATAGGGATAGGAATGTGACAGGTTGCGAGCAATGGCTCACACCTGTAATCCCAACACTCTGAGAAGACAAGGAGAGAGGATGGCTTGAGCCCAGGAGTTTGATACCAGCCTAGGCAACACAGAGAAACCCCATCTCCACAAAAAAATAAAAAATTAGTCATGCATGGTGGTGCATATCTGTAGTCCCAGCTACTTGGGAGCCTAAGGTGGGAGGATGGCTTGAACCCGGGAGGTGGAGGTTGCAGTGAGCCATGATCACACCACTGCACTCCAGCCTGGGTGACAAAGCAATACACTGTTTCAAAAAAAAAAAAAAAAGGCCATGTTGTAGGTCAGGGCATCCAGAACACACTATGGGATTCTATTGTCAATGGATTTAAAAAAAAAAAAAAAAAAAGATCCTGCTCTAATTAAACAAACAGCATACCATTTGAAAGAGTTTTTCCTTTCCAAGTAATTTGCTTACATCTCAACTGCTTTTGTGTCTACCTATGGTCTGACCCTCGTTTATAGAGCCCAGAGAATGGTGGCCGTTCCCTACCAACACGCTACTGGTTGTGCCTTTTCTGGCAAACCCAATAAAAAATATATTTAGGCTGGGCACAGTGGCTCACGCCTGTAATTCCAGCACTTTGGGAGGCCGAGGTGGGTGGATCACAAGGTCAGGAGATTGAGACCATGCTGGCTAACACGGTGAAACCCCATCTCTACTAAAATTACAAAAAAATTAGCCGGGCATGGTGGTGGCTGCCTGTAGTCCCAGCTACTCGGGAGGCTGAGGCAAGACAGTGGCGTGAACCTGGGAGGTGGAGCTTGCAGTGAGCTGGGATCGCGCCACTGCACTCCGGCCTGGGTGACAGAGAAAGACTCCATCTCAAAAAAAAAAAAAAAAAAAAAAAAAAAAAAAAAAAAATATATATATATATATATATATATATATATATATATATATATATATATATATATAATAGTCTTACAGAGTTTGATTTTGTTGGGTAAAATAACCTGCCACTGCCCCAAAGCAGAACAACATGTTTCAAAGGGCCAAAACAATGTCTTTAATGACTTGGTAATTAAAACAACACTACACAAGAGCAGTTTAAATGTAAGCAAATTACTTGGAAAGGAAAAAAAATGCTCAAACTCTTTCAAATGATACGCTATTTGTTTAATTAGAGCAGAATCTTTTTTTTTTAGCCATTGACAACAGAATCCTAAATGGATTGACAGAAAAAAAGTAGTAATTAAAGACATCTTTTCTGATAATAGCACAGGAAGAAAAATTCAGCATGAATCATGAAGCCAAAGGATACTTGGCATGGATCCTATAAAGAGAGATTGTGAAAATGTTTGGACTGCACTCTTAATTTGGGCCCCTTAAAGCAGAGCTGAGACAAACACTGCACAGGTGACAGAGCAGAAGTATCGCCATCTTGAATAAGCACTGTTATTTTAAAATTCACCTTAATCCCAAACCGCCTAAATCCAAAGGGCATCAGCCTAATGGCTAAGGTCAGCATGAGCATAAACTGCAAATAACATCTCTGACCAGAAACATTCCAAACTCTTCCCTGACCAAAGATGTCAGTCCCAAGATAACCTCCCCTCTGTCAGAGACATTCCAACCCTGCCATAAACTTCTCCCCAACACAGAAACATTCCAAGGTTGTGATAAGCCCCCTCACCCTAAAGCCAATATATACTCTTAGTTTGTAAGAAAAAGCACTCCTGACCGAAATCGGTCAGAAGCCCCTCTCAGGTTTTTTCTCTAAAATAAACCTGTCTTTTCCTATTAAACCTTGTTTCATGTTTCTTTTCTCTTTTTTTAATTCTTACAACAGGGAGTTTATTTGGGAGGTGATCCTGGGAAGCACAAGGGAGGGAGTTGGGGAGGTAAGACAGAATAAAGTCTGTCCATGAGCAACCTGTTGCTGTAGGCAACTGGTGTTCAATTGCACTGGAACCTTCCGAGAGACAATGTAGGACATACCTTAAAATTGTCCTGCTGAGGCACTGCTGAAGATGGGGCATTTATTTATCATCCCTTGAGGGTTACTCTTGGGAGCATTAAATCCTGGGCACTTCCAAACTGTCCTGTGCAATCTCCCATGGTGCTAGAGATGGCTTTCAGGCAGAGAAACAGAGAATGCTCCCTTAAGGTGGAAACTGGGAAGCTCTTAGAATGCCTGTAACTGTCCTTGAAGGCTGCTGGTAAACTCAGAAATGGGCCAAGGGGTCATGGGGCCGTGTACCAACAGCATCTGTTACAGATAGACTTTTATAAGATGTCATCTTTCCAGACCAGCACAGTCTAACAGAAATAACGTAAACTACAAATATAAGCCACACAGGCAATTTTAAATTTTCTAGTAGCTATGTTAAAAAAGTAAAAAGGAACAGGTAAAAATAATTTTAATATTGTGTTTATTTCATTCATTATGCCCAATGCATTATCATTTCAACATGTATTTAATATAAAAAATTATTAATAAGATCTCTTATGTTCTTTTTTCTTTCCTATCTTTGAGATTTGGTATGCATTTTACACTTACAGCACATTTCAATTCAGGCCAGTTACATTTTAAGTGCTTCATGTGGCTCATGGCTACTACATTGAACCACACCATTCTAGATAAATATAAGAAAGACATTCATGTGGGAAAGGGGTATGCAACAAAAGTTTGTGATTTGTTTTTCTGTGATTTTCTTCAAAATATCACTCAAATCATAGTCTTCCAAAATATTTTAGGATTATCCTTTCTTATTTTGAGAACATCATTAAACGATGTCCTTTTATAATTTATGGACTTTTTCAGAAACTTTCTCTGCCCTTTTGATTTCAGACTCTCTTCTTCTGGTTTATGTGGCAAGGACTATCATAATTAATTTTTCCTCTGAACATTGATGGGAGAAGACCCGAAGGGTATCTTGCCATTATCAATTTAGTTTATGGGGCCCATAACTATGGAGGCCTGGGGGAGCGATGGGAAGGCAGGAGCACCATTTGGCCTGGACTCTTAAAGGTTGGTACTGACTAATGAGGTTCTACCTATAGTTACTGCATTTACAAAAAAGTTCATTTGTTATAGATGCATAATATACACATTTAAAGTATGCTACAATTTTTGCAATTTCCCCCATTTTTGCGAATTTCTTTTAAAAAAATCTAAGAATTCTTAAAAGGCCTGTGCCTCTCTTTATAGTTGAGAGGAATAGCAAACGCCTTTCATTTCCAAGCTCTCTTCTTTTGTGTCTATATTAGAGAGCCTATTATTACAACAAAAAATAAAACATGGATTCATTGATTTTCTAGTCCTCCTTGAAGTTAATAGTGGCCATGTGATAGTGTTGGCCAATGAGATATAAGCAAAAATCTTCCGGTGCTTCTTCTTTGTCTTCTTTATTCCTTCCTGGAACTCAGACATGATGGTTGGCATTGTGGCAGCCATCTGGTAACCAGGAGGCAAGCAGCACGGAAATGAAAGCCAACATGCTGAGGATGGTAAAGAAAAAAAAAGATAGAAGAAAATTGTGTATCTAATAGCAACACTGGGCTTCTTTACCAGCCCTAGAAGTACTTTCTGACTTGTTATGTGAGACAAATAATACCTTATATATTTAAGCCACTATTACTTAGATTTTCTTAGAAAAATGAATTCGTATCTGATATAGAGGCACTGCCAAAACCACCACTGATAAAAACTCAGTGTGCATTTGATTTCTTGCTCTTCCCTACAAGTGGCTAATTAAGCAGTCATCCAGAAACACAAAACAAATACACAAAACGCTGTAAATCTGAAGTTCATAATTATCCAGAGAGCTAATTAGATATCTTCTATTTTAGAAAACATATAGACTGATCAGAGCATCTACCTTCGTGTTCCAGCCCCAAAGTCGCGTATTCAAAATGATTGCAATTTCTTCAAATTGTCACTCTTTTCATTTACAGGGGACATAAATATCACTTAAGAGCACTCATCTATCTTTGGGTCCTCAGATCTTACCTTGAGTTTGGCACATGGAAGGCAATCAGCAGATGTTTATCATATAAATACAATGATAATTTATTTATATGGGCAATGTAATGATAATTTATTTATATGGGCAAGTAAAAAATCACTTCCTATGCAGGATTTGTTCATTTTTAGCCTTCTTAAGAAAGCTTCCCCAGACTTTTAATGGGTTACCCCACTTTATGGACAATATTAATGCAGACTGTAACAACCCCAGAGATGTCTCCTGGAAGTTGTCTAAGAGCTTCCCAGAGAGAGAGAGACAGATGGAATGACTGGTTTATCTCAGAATTTCCCCTCCCATGGTAACTGCCCAGCACCTCTAAGAACTGTAAATGAGGAGTTATAAGTATGAAAGGAAAATATCTTTGGCCCCCAAAATCACTAAGGAAAACTCAAGCTGGAAACTGCTTAGGGCAAACCTGCCTCTCATTCTATTCAAAGTCACTTCTCTGCTCAATGAGATAGATGCATATCTGATGTGCCTCCTTTGGAAAGGCTCATCAGAAACTCAAAAGAACGTAACCATTTGTGCATCACCTATGTGTGACCTGGAAGCTCCCTCCCTGCTTCCAAGTCTTCCTGCCTCTGCTTCAAGTTGTCCTGCCTTTCCAGACTGAACCAATGTACTTCTTACATATATCGATTGATGTCTCATGTCTCCCTAAAATGTATAAAACCAAGCTGTGCCCTGACCACCTTGCGCACATGTCATCAGGACTTCCTGAAGCTGTGTCACGGGTGCGTCCTCAACCTTGGCAAAATAAACTATCTAAATTAACTGAGACCTATCTCAGATTATCTGAGTTCTTGTAAGTTTCCAAATTGTCTTTACTTTCTGGGACATAAAAAAAAGAAAAAAAAACCTCAAAATGAGTACTTTTTAAAACCATGTAGAAATCTGTCCCTTTTCCATGTGGGTGAAACTCAAGGCAACTACTATGTAAGGATGAAAGCCTCAGAGTTCAGATTTGATAACCTATACAGGAGGATCAAAACCCAGTCTTAACATTTTCTGACCAAACCCAGCTTCTATAAGTGGTTGTTAAAATAGCTTCTCTTTGGCTCACTGATATTCTGTGATTTCTCTGAGGAAAAGAATCTACAGGATTCTGGCTTTTACCTTTAACATTTTTTTTTTTTCTTGAGACAGGATCTTGCTTTGTTGCCCAGGCTGGAGTGCTGTGACATGGTCACTGCTCACTACAACCCTGACCTCCTGGGCTCAAGCTATCTTCCAGCCTCAGCTTCCAGAGTAGCTGGGACTACATGCATGTACCACCACACCCAGCTAATTTTTGGATTTTTTTTGTAGAGACAAAGTCTCACTATGTTGCCCAGGCTGATATTGAACTCCTGGGCTCAAGTGATCCTCCCAGCCTTGGCCTCCCAAAGTGCTTAGATTATAGACATGAGCCACCGCACCCAGCCAATCTTTACCTCTTGCATGATGGTTGAGCTTTTGCACCTTAACTCTGAGTGGGAACAAATATGCTAGCTGTCTGACCTTGGATAAGTTTCTAAACTTCTTGAGTATCAGTTTCTTCATCTTTAAAATGGGAACTGTAATAATACTGGTTTCATTAGGTTGTTGTGGTAGTTAAGTGAGATAATACATGTATAATGTTTAGCACAGTGCTTTGCATAGACTCAGTCCTTAATCAACGTTAGTCGTTATTAATAAAATTAATATAAAATTGTAAATTATGAATAATTAATAATTATTAATAAAGTACTATTTACAACTGTCTGATTAGAATTTATGCTAGATTAATGTAGATTAATCTAGCAAGTGCTGACTTGTCTTCAGGAGCACATGATCCCCATTTTTTTTAAAAATGGAATTATTATAATGACTTATAAAGAGTTTCTTTGGTTTTCTTGTTTGATTTGCTGGATGGTCTGTTTGGAAACCATATCCAAGAATTGGAGCATTAATTTGAAGAAAGAGGTTCAGAAGTTTCTTTCTGAATTGTCCTTGAAGGTAATGGGAAGTGAATCATTCAAATTCAACTTTCCTTTCCCTGACCCATGCACTTGGATCAGAACAACATACATCATTAGTGTTAGAACATCTTTCTTTTCAAGAATTCTTTGGCTGGGTCTTTACAGCTATGGTGAAGTGCAACTGGGATTTCTAATATCCAGGGAAACCTCATTTCTATCTAGTTCTGACTTTGCTTGGGCCTGAACAGCAGGTGATAGCTTTGCAGTCATGGAAGAACAAAAATTTTCAACATTTTTAGTTGAGAAAGCTTAGCCTTTAATTCAATCAGGGCTTGGAAGAAGGAGGAAGCAATGGGGTTCTTTGTTTTGTTCCAACTAGTTTACCCTGAGTCTGCAGCTGGTTAGAGTTTCTAAGAGGCTGTTAGTTCCAATTAATTTGGTATACACTCCCGTAAGTGTGCTTGATGAATTTAGAGGCAGCAACGAATTTATCTGTGCACCAGCCATAAAATTTCCATTACTTTTGTTAATGAATTTTACATTTGATTTTGAAAGCTTTTTAAAAAGTTGCGCATTTGTTTTTCAGGGCCTTCCCCTCCTCCTTCTACATAATTCGTGTCAAAATAAGAACTTCACTTAGAGAGAGACTGGACATTTCTATGAGGCATTTTGCGTTTGGGGCCAGGGAGACTGCATTTCCCAAATGTCTCTAAATTTTAAAGGCCATCAGGCCCTTCTTGGGCTCCAAAGTAGGTAAAATAGGAAGTCCGAGCTGAAGAGGATGGGTTTCCCAGAAAGTTCAGTTATTAATTGCAGGGGGAAAAGGCAACAATCTATGTAGCAAGTTGTGGTGGGAAAATAGTCTGTTGCAATAAGGTCAGGGTCAGGTCTGAGTTTCCTTTCCTGAGCTCTGTGCCTTTTTTTTTTTTCTCTTTAGCAGAGACATCCCACAAGATGAGAAGCACTGGATGCTCTAAGTCTGACTGTTAGCTAAAATCTGGCCTTAAGATTCTCAAACCCTAGAGAGGAGAGACAGAAGCAGATAAACCTGCAGTTCAAAGCTCGAAGCAATTTTCCTTCAAAAGCAACACTTTTGAAGCAGACTGTTTCTTTGTTCTGGAAATACCATCCAAATATACAGTTTTACTAGGTAAATGTAATCACACCAGAATCAGAAAATGTGTTTGAGAGGCTGTGACTCTAAGGAACTAAACCGTGAATGTTTATGTTGTCAGCTTCTTGCATGTCTGAAGACTCTATTTCATTTAGAGAGATGCTCCTTTTCTGTGTGTTAATTTAGAATGGGCTATGTGTCACTTCTTCTTGTGCAGGTGTGAGGACTGGCAGATGGCAGGAAGGACAGCAAGGCAATAAGAAGGGAGCAGGGCAGGGCTGGGGGAAGCTGACATTGCACATTGTTCTGTAGAAGTGCGAACAGCTCAGACAGACATGGAGCAATCTCCCTGCTGGTGAGTGGGGGTCAAGTCTTATCCTACTGGGTATGATCCATTTGTTTTGGAGGGAGTAGACACTTCTCACATTTCTGTTGCCATTTTTTTCTGTGGGAAACAGCAGGAAATGAACACTTAGAAGGTATATCTTAAACTGGGGCCCCTCTGACCTTTGTTCAACAGGTCTGGTCACGGAGGAGTCTAAACACGAAGCCCACATGCTAAGCATAGGGGGAAGATGGCCTGCCTGAGGACAGAGGCACCTCCCACAGGGGGTTTCTGAGAATGGGCCAGGCTTGGAATCCTTGAGACAGCCGAATCTAGGAGTTGCAAGTTGTTTTCTGCATCCGATATTTTGTTATCTCTGGCCCTTCAATAAAATCATGTTAAAATTGATATGGTTTGTCTGTGACCCCACCCAAATCTCATCTTGAATTCCCATGTGTTGTAGGAGGGACCAAGTGGGAGGTAATTGAATCATGGGGGAAGTCTTTCTGGAGCTGTTCTTGTGATAGTGAATTAGTCTCACAAGATCTGACGGTTTTAAAAATGGGAGCTTTTCTGCACAAGCTCTCTTTGCCTGCTGCCATTCACATAAGATGTGACTTGCTCCTCCTTGCCTTTGGCCATGATTGTGAGGTTTCCCCAGCCATATGGAACTGTGAGTTCTCCATTAAACCTCTGTCCTTTGTAAATTGCCTAGTCTCATGTATGGCTTTATCAGCAGCATGTAAACGGACTAATACAAATATTACAGCCTGGTTTCCAACAAAATTAAGGTAAAATTTGAAGTCACTTTGGTACAGAATAGTAAAAGAAGAGTAGCTGCTCCAGTGAGTGGGAGGAGGCTGCTCATGGATGGAACCTACTCATGGATAGAGCCTGCAGGTGGGTGGCGCCTGTCACTGGGTGGAGCCTGCTGGTGGGTGGGGCCTGCTAATGGGTGGGGCCTGAGGGAGGAGCCAAACTGAGTTTATAAATGCTAAGTAAAGTACATTTTAGAAAATGTAAGGTTTGAACCGACCTTTGGGAGGTAAATATGATTTTAAAAAATGTTAATGAAAGATTGGAGTAAGACAAGGAGGCAGAGAGACCAGGAAGGAGCTTTTACCTGTATGTTGTGGAAAATAAAAGGAAGGGGCAGGTTTGAGAGAGGGAACCAACAGACCACGGGTCAGGCTGTCCTCTGGAAACTGCTCGACTTCCTGTGCCTGAAACAGCAAGTTATCTCTGCCTCATTTTCCCCAGCACAGAATATGACCATTAACAATAAAGCAGGTATCCAGGGCTCCCTCGGTACCAGGCATATTCCGAGTGCTTCTTGTGCCCTATTAGGTAGAAGTTGTTACAGATGGGGAAACTGAGGCAGGAGCTGTAACTTTCCCAAGACTCTTACCACCACACTTACAGTGTCCTGTCATGCTCAAGCTCCTCTTCCCTCCTTACTTGGTATTTTACGTGGAAAAATAAAATAATATTTGTGAATTTATCTCACTTATTTTGGAAGACGAATGTGAAATGAGTTCTTTTTTCTTTTATTATCTTCTAAGCCTCCCCCAAAGTTCGAAATAGAAAATTTGAGCACTCATTGCACAGATGTTCAGCACGACTACCCTATCCCGCATTTTCCCCCTTCTCGACTATAAAGTGATGATACCCTGGTGAAGTTGCTCTTATTTTCTTTCCTTTTTTTTTTTTTTGAGATGGAGCTCCACTCTTGTCCAGGCTGGAGGGCAATGGCGCGATCTCGGCTCATTGCAACCTCCACCTCCTGGGCTCAAGTGATTCTCCTGCCTCAGTCTCCTGAGTAGCTGGGATTACAGGGTCCTGCCACCATGCCTGGCTAATTTTTGTATTTTTAGTATGGATGGGGTTTCACCATTTCATGTTGGCCAGACTGATCTCGAACTCCTGACCTCAGGTGATCCACCAGCCTCAGCCTCCCAAAGTGCTGGGATTACAGGCGCGAGCCACTGTGCCCGGTCAAGGGTTGCTTTTATTTTCAAGAGCAGGGGAAGCATAAGTCAGCTACCTTGGAGTAAGGGGAACCTGTTAACATGACATTTACAAAGCTCATTGACTAATGTTTCCTTAGTTTACCCTAATAACTTGCGAGGTAGGCAGTATTTTGCAGATAGGTGACTGTATTCTCTAGAGAGACTGTGAGTTGTTTAAGATCTGGCCGTGTTAGTGCAGAAGATCAACTTTCTGACTCTCTCTCTCTCTCTCCAGTCCTGTACTCTGACCTATCAAGAGGCTTTGGCTGCCAGTGGAAAATGGTAAGAGCTTCCCTGTCCCCCTCCCCACTGGATTCATGATATTCACAGTATTTTTGCATAACTCTCTGGGTAGTGGTTGAAGATGGTGGGGCTGCTCCATGCTGTTCACTTATAGAGGGCCCCTCTGGAAACCTGTTAAGGTAACACATGGTGTGAAGAAAAAAAGGTCAAAGTTTTTCATGAAATCTGTGTTCACTTGGGCTGCTGAGGAGGGGTGCTAACATTCTCTACTGTCTCACCTAGCAGAACTTTCCTCATCTTTAATTTTGACCCGAGTTTGTGAGACCTTTTGGTTTGGATTTCTGTGCAGGGCTGTATTCCCAGAGGGATCAGACCACATCACCTCATTAGTCATATACACTGATCTTCACAGCAAATCGTGTGCCCACCAAAAGCCAGTGGTTAAGGACCACTTGGGGCCCAGAGCTCTGAAGGGCCAGGTTTATTTCCACATGCTGAATTGTTCCTTGACCTCAATTTTTCCCTCTCACAGCAGGGCACCATGTGGGGAAGAATGCAGACTCCGGAGTCCTGCCAGCAGGACGTGTGAGGAGCTGGGAAATTACTCTACCTCTGAGCTCTCCACAGAACTAGCACACAAGCTCTTTTGGAATAGCTGGGTGTTCACATTAAAGAGGGGGTTGGAGGAAGGGGCAACAGTGCTTGGAGAATAATACTTGTTACACAGCTGTAGCTGAGACCCCTCTGCTTATCATGAAAGCTTCAGGCATTCACTTTCCCTCTTCCTCGTTGTAATTGCTCCGTATCTAAGGCTTCATAGACCTGCAGTTCCTGTGGAGAGTGGGCTCATATTTGAGAGCCAGATCCCTTGACCCAGGTTGTCTGAAAGATGCGCTTCCAAAGGTTAACATTTCATTGAGTGGCTGACAAAGCCTTTCAAAGGATAGCTATGGTCCAATTTTAGGGGGTGCTGTGAAGACCCTGTCTCCTGGTGGGGTCTTTATTCTGGTGTCTGAGATCACAATAGAGGCTGAAGTTTGCCTGAGTGAGTCCGGTGTGGGCTTCTTTGGAATCTTGCATATGAAAAGGTATTGGGTATCTCAAAGGATGAGGGTCTTTCTTACTGCACTCATCTAGGTGGGCAGTTATTTATTTGGGGTACCTGGCTCCCTCTCTACCTCTGTAGATATAAGGTCAGCTTTTGGAGGGCAAGGCTTGCATTATGGACATCTTTATTTATATCTTTGGATTCAGATAAATAGTTTACCTTCAGTAAATGTTTATTGAGTAAAAACAAATGTGTGGTAGATAAGTGCTCTCTAGAAAATGCTAGATAAGACTTTTTTTCTTTTTAAAGCTAGATTGTTATTGTAAAAGTAAAGAAAGTTCATGGTAAAAATTAAGAGTATGAAAAGATAAAAATGAAGTTTCCACTAAGCAGAGATAATTGCAATGAGCAATTTTCTGTGTTTCTTTACAGAAATGTTCAATAAGTCTACATCTCAAGAACATTTTTATTTTCACAAGTGGCATTATACTATAGTTACATTTCTGCAACTAGCCTTTTTGTATAGTTAACTGTATATCTTGAACACCTTTTTATAATAATGCATATAGATTTACCCCAATCTTTATAATAGCTGCAGTCCATTGTATGAATTTTCTACAATTTATTTAATCAATTCTCTATTAATACATATGCAGGATGTTCCTAGATTATTGATTATTACAAAAGACACTGCAATAAATATCTATCCATGTTTATATTTGTGTATCTGTGGGATAAATTGTTTTAAGTGTAAGTTTATGGGATATTACCAGTTGTCTTTCAAAACATGGCACCAATTCATACTCTCACCAATAGTGTATGCAAGCGACCATTTCCTCACATCCTTGGCAATGATGAGGATTAGCAAATGCTTTCATCTTTGTCAATATAATAGGAGAAACAGTAACTCATTTTGGTCACATTTATACTTCTTTAATTTTGAGTGAGTTTCAATCATTCCCCCTTTGGGGACTATTCTATTTTATTTTCTGTGAACCACTTGTTCAGATCCTTTGCTGATTTTCCTATTGAATTGCTTCTCTCTCTATTTTTTTTTTTTTTTTTGAGACAGGGTCTCACTCTGTCACCCAGGCTGGTGTGCAGGGAGATCACAGGTGTGTGTCACCACAACACACCCAGCTTTTTTCTTTTTTCCTTTTTTTTGTAGAGATGGGGTCTCACCATGTTGCCCAGGCTGGTCCTGAACTCCTGGGCTCAAGCAATCCTCCCACCTCAGCCTCCCAAACTGCTGTGATTGCAGGTGTGAGCCACTGCACCTGGCCTGATATGCAAGCCATTGTAGTGCGTTTATGGCATTATTTCTTTGTCATACTTAAAAAACTTGTCAAAGTTTATCATTTACCATTTGACTTTGAATACGACATTACTGTAAATAATTTCAACATTTTATAGACTTAGGTTTACCAATCTTTTTCTTTGTACTTCTAAATTTCATGTCATGTCTAGAAAGGATTTTGTCATTCAAGGTTATAGGCAGAGTTCACTTATTTTTTTCCCAAATATATTTGTGACACTATTATCTATATTTAAATATTTGATCAATAATTTTAACATTTTATATACTTAGATTTACCAATCTTTTCCTTTGTACTTCTAAGTTTTGTGTCATGTCTAGGAAGGATTTTGTCATTCAAGATAATAGACAGAGTTCACTTAATTTTTTTTTCCAAATGCATTTATGACACTATTTATATTTAAATATTTGATCCATCTATAATTTTTTTGGTACGACAAGTAATAAAGGGACAAAGATTAATTTTGTCCAAAAGACTAGCCATTTGCTCCAGCTCCATTTTTCCCTCACTGATCTGAAATGACACTTTATTATATATTAACAAATAAATTTTTGTTTTTCTTGTGAGGTGATACATGGAAGTATTTAAAAGAGACCAGCACGTCCTTTTCCAAATACCACTGTACATATATTTCGCCTACTCCCCAAGTGAGTCCTTTGCAATTTTTCCCAAATATAGAATCAAAGATTAAATTAAAAAAAAAAACCTTTTCTACAAGAAATGGAAAAAGGGAACATTGTGATCTAAGACCATGCTTAATGCTACAACAATTTGGATAGTAAAGAAAGATTTGGGTGAGTTTCGCATTTTGAAAAGATTCCTGGAGAAAGCATGGCTACTGTGTAGGCCCAGATCCCCGGGCTGAGCTGCAGGCCTGCTGGGTTTCTCTTCATTCTAATCCGGTCTTACCCTCAGTCAGTCAAACACAACAGTCTGTTACTTGCACACAACTCCAGGGTCAACATCTGCCTCGTTCCCGGGGGTAGTGCATGAGTCACTGCTTGTGGAGTTTGGCTCAGTGCAGAGGGCTGCCTTCTATCCAGATCTTTTCATTCTAAATGAAAAGGCTTTTGATCCATGTATGCTGCTGTTTACTCTACCATCATTTGTCTGCTTCGAAGCAGAGGATTTGGCTTACTGAGAAGTAATTAAATTAACCCAAAGTGTAAATCCTAAGAAACAAATGAATACTATGTCTCATTCTCAGGAAAGGGACCCCCTACTCAGAAGATATGTGTTTTAGGAGGTGTTTCCTTTCATAACTGTGCTGAAATTTGGATCCCAGAGTTACCCCTGGAAGTGTTAACTAAATACATAATTCTGGGAAGGTCTCCCCTTTGCTCCAAAGAGTCTAGGTCTGCAGATAATAATATAATTATTTACATACCACAAATCCATCATGGAGAACTTAAATTTAATGTATATTGCAGGGGACTTCGACATGGTTCTTTCACTTACAGTTGAGAATAAAAATTAAAAAAAATTCACACTTTGTACCATACCACACACAGATGCATGAGAAAAACCTAAAAGTTTACTCGTAAACCTCAGCTCTATTGTTGAAGCTTTCTAATTTTCTTGTGTTTTTCCAGCCAAAAACGAAGAAATTCCCTAGAGATTTCTCTAGCACTTTTCAACTGATGCTGTCAAAGCACTTTATACCCGCTATCTAATTAAGACTCTGAACACCTCAGTGAGAGAGAGAAGCATCAACACCATAAACCTGACAAATAGAAGCTGGATTCCCTGAAAACCTAACTAAATAAAATAGCTCTGGGTACATGAGGAGAATGCACTGAATCTGAAGCATTGAAAGGTTTGCATTTCACGCGGTTGTAGACTCCTGAGCGTCTTCTAGAGCATTCCCATCATTCCACTAAGAATTCTATGCTGCAAGAATATTTGTAGTGAGTGGTAGAGTTTCAGAGAAATATCTTAGGCTTTAAGAACACCAGAAAAGGAATTGGAAGGCAAAGACATACAGAGGAAGAATTTAGAGAGCATGCTATTGACGTGATATAGTTTCTGGTGGATAACTGGCAACCGGGTCATTGGACAGGCTAGACAAAGTTCAAGAGAGGTATGAGGAGACTCTAGAATCTGTAATACTGTCAGGATTCTTAGTTGCTAGTAGCAGACACCAATTCTAGCAAAATGGAAACTTATTGGTGGGGGTATCAGAATCTTAGATTTAAGAGGAGACTCAAGGACTGGTCTTGGAAAACAGGGAAGAACCAAACAAGCTCCAAAAATCAGGAATGAAAGTAATTTGAAAAACAAGACTAGAGAAAGAACAGTGTAGTTTTTTTCCTGCTGCTACTTTTGCCATCAAGAATGGCCTCCACTATTCTGACATCTTTGTGATACTCACTCATGAGTCTACAGTTTGGAGACAGCATCCAACTGACCTAGCCCAAGTCATTTGTCCACCTTTAGGTTGTGCCCAAGCAGGAAGGAGAGAGGATCTGGCTCTTTCAGCTTTCAGTGTGGTAGTGTCTATAACACAATGGAGTTTTCCTCAAAGTATGCTAGGAAGTGAAGGACCTGGAATGTACATAGCCAGAAAAATTAAAAAAATCACAAGAATCGCCCCTCTCCACTCACTGTTCTCACTTGGAATCCAAGTTCTGAAATTTGAAGTGTGTGATGAGTAATGGATGTGTTTGTGTGTTTCCACATGGAAATTGCTCTGGCTGAGGGGTGACTGGCCTATTTTGTCCTGGTGATGGCAGGAATGCATCATGAAACAGGTCTGTACTTGTGAGATCCTCCTTTTTTTTTGAGATGGAGTCCCACTGTGTCGCCCAGGCTGGAGTGCAGTGGTGTGATCTTGGCTC
The DNA here is from genome assembly GCF_000001405.40 of Homo sapiens. Lineage (NCBI taxonomy): Eukaryota > Metazoa > Chordata > Mammalia > Primates > Hominidae > Homo > Homo sapiens. Next base: position 81,596,119 of record NC_000014.9, read on the forward strand.
ACTGCAACCTCTGCCTCCCGGGTTTAAGCAATTCTCCTGCCTTAGCCTCACAAGTAGCTGGGATTACAGGCACCTGCCACCATGCCCGGCTAATTTTTGTATTTTTTAGTAGAGACAGGATTTTGCCATATTGGCCAGGTTGGTCTTGAACACCTGACCCCAGGTGATCCACCCACCTCGGCCTCCCAAAGTGCTGGGATTACAGGCGTGAGCCACCGCGCTTTTCACTGCCTTCCACCTTCCTCCGTTGGCTATTTCTAAATGTCCACCTTGGCAGGGCACTCAAGCTGGGCAAATTGCATATAGATGCCCTTCTGTTTTCTTTTGGTAAGGACAATAGGGCCCTTGGGCAGGGAACAGAACTGGACAGATACGGCTTTATTATTTGCACTGGCATAAACATTGATTAATCCGAAAACTTCCCTTCAGTTTGCAAGCACTCCACCACCCTGTCATTCCTGAGCCTAGAATGCCTACCTGTCACTCCTTCTAAATTCCTATGGCCTATATATATTATCTATCAGACAATTGAGGATGTTGCTTTACATTACTGCTTTGTGGATGTTAGTCTAATTCATTTCTTCTTTCCCATATTTGAAGAGCTCCTGAAACATAATCTTTGAAAAACTGATTTTCAAAGTGACGTGTTTAGATGAAGTCCAGGCCCGTCAGTCAGTCATACAGATGTTTCTCTGCCACACTTCTGAATATATGTCAACACTGGTTGATCAACTCCACAGTGGGTTTCAGTGATCATTCATTTTGTATCTTTGGTGCTCTGTACTATTGTCAGTCTGAAAATGGAATTTCCTAACTCTGTTTTCATCGTCCACCACGCAGTTCTTTTTTTTTTTTTGGAGACAGAGTTTCACTCTTGTCACCCAGGCTAGAGTGCAATGGTGCAATCTCAGCTCACTGCAACCTCTGCCTCCTGGGTTCAAACAATTCTCCTGCCTCAGCCATCCCAGTAGCTGGGATTACAGACATCTGCCACTACACCTGGCTAATTTTTATATTTTTAGTAGAGACGGGGTTTCATCATGTTGGCCAGACTGGTCTTGAACTCCTGACCCCAGATGATCCACCCACCTCGGCCTCCCAAAGTGCTGGGATTACAGGCATGAGCCACCACACCCGGCCCACTCAGTTCTTTTGATCCTAAATTTGTATTTGTGTAATTGCTTATGCTGGTTCAGGTGTTTCTGATTGATGTATTTTTTAAGTCTATTGATGTCAGTGTCACATAGCTAAGATTATAAGAGCTCACAAAATAAGGACCCAGACCCTTTATTCAGTGTCCAACATGGAGGACAAATGACTTCTGGTGAGGGTAGTATTAGAGATGGTGACGATGATCTGCAGACACAGAAAGCCTGTAACTCTAGACTGATCAGAATTAAATAGCTTGTAATGCCTCACAGAGAAATGCAGACCATATACCTGGTCACCTGTCCAAAACCAGTCTTCCAGTATCTGTCACCCCCTTCCTGAATACTATATTTCACACTAGCAAAATCTCTAGGCATTGGGAATACAGTTTCCTGTTCCATGCTGGGCTCTGTCTAAAGGCTACCATTTGCTTCTATTGACTGAGAGTTTTTGCAGTAGGTTAAAGGATTTCTGTATTTGAGGCCTATTGAGTACTTTCTGTGTGGGCAAGACAGGTGCAAATGTTCAGCTATTAACCTAGATACTTCTTGTGCTGCTGAAATATTTTGTCTTAGATAGGGTGTCAGCCAGGGTTAGCCAAAGCATTATAGTGGCAGGAAGGACATATCCATCACCTTAAATACTCCACACTATGTCCACTTTGCATCTATTAACCTACTGATACAGAAAGACCGGTGGAATAGGATGTGTAGCAGAGGTGCTGAATATTTAAAGAATCCCATCCCCATGACACTGATCAAGGCGTGAAGCTAGATATTGAGGTGGGAAGGCCACATTAAAGTTGTACCTGCTTTTGCAATGACAAATACAAGCTCCTTTCCTTGGATTTACATTGTACTAATTTTAAAGAACTTCAGTTGGCAGGTACAATATTCAATACTAAATCCGGGTTCCCATGTCTAGGAGATTCAAACATGATATAAGAATCCCAAGACCCTGGTTCCATCTCAGGCACTTAGACTTTGCCTGTGACCTTGGCAGAATCATTCAGATTGCCATAAGCAATCTGTTTTACATCTTGGTAAATGGAGAGAATAATACCATACATTTAGCCTTGTGATGCTGCTGTGAAGATGCACCAGGCATTGCTTACAAAGTACTTCCCTGCTTAGAGAAAGCATTAGCGAGAGGCTGAGTGCTTTGGATCAGAGCTGCACTGCACTCTAAAAAGATTTTTTCCCCATCTTTACCTTGCTATTGTGTAGTTCAGGAATGAGAAAAACACTGGTGTAGACAGGCAGAAGCCAGGCATTTTATGAGCAAAGGCATCGTAATTACTTCCTGCATCTGGGAGCCAAAGATGAAGCTGCAGGGAAGTGTTGCTGTGGAGGAGCTCTTCCACGCTTGGCCTGGCTTCCTCAGTATCCCCAGGCTCTGTTGCCCCTGCCACTACTCCCTTCCCCTTGTCTCCAACTCACATTCCATTTGGATTATTTATGTGTCTTCACCAATGTTAGGTGAAAAACAAAAATGAAGCAAATAAAGTTTTTTGTTTGTATAGGCAGGACTGAATTTTTTTTTTTCAAAAGGACTTCTAAACAAGGAATGACAATATACAAAGAAACCTAGAAGTAAGCAAGAATAGATTTCTGATTCAAATCTTATGGTTCACAGAGGTGAGTGGGAGACTTTGCTTCCAGGGAAGTTCAGTGATGGTGGTTACCACAAATAAAGCATTGATAACGGTGCCTGGCATAGAACAGGCTCTTGATAAAGGCTGCTGCTGCTGCTGCTGCTGCTATTACTGATTCCTTTCCTTCACTCTATAACAGGGTGCTGCCACTCTGGACCTTCTTGTTTTCTGAGGTTTGGGATTTCTCTTTTATTTCCTATTTGTTGGGAGCCAGGCTCTCTGGCATTGTCCCTTAGAAGAGCGGTAGAGTTTTAAGTGTCACAGAGGTAGCTGTGCTGCATAAGGCAATCCAATTTAACGAATATTCTTTAAGGGCCGGCTAGGGAATAAAAAGGATGAATTTAAGATCTAATCTCTATCCCCAAGGAGCTTCCTTACTGATGGGGGAGTCAGACAAGTACAATATAGCCTACTACAAAATAATTTGTGATTTTAGAAAATAAAACAGAGCTTTTATGCTTGGCCACATGGAGAACAGTGAGGGTGTGGCTCCTCAGAATTAGCATCCAATCCAAGCCCTTCTGACTACAAGACTCTGCTCTGTCTCCTTCCATCCCACTGCAGAAAAGAGTTTACTGCCCTCCTTTAATAGGGAGTTTTTCTTTTTCTTTTTCTTTTTTTCTTTTTTTTTGAGATGGAGTCTCGCTCTGTTGCCCAGGCTGGAGTGCAGTGGCGCGATCTTGGCTCACTTCAAGCTCCACCTCCTGGGTTCACGCCATTCTCCTGCCTCAGCCTCCCGAGTAGCTGGGACTACAGGTGCCTGCCACCACGCCTGGCTAATTTTCGTATTTTTAGTAGAGACGGGGTTTCACTGTGTTAGCCAGGATGGTCTCGATCTCCTGACCTTGTGATCTGCCTGCCTCGGCCTCCCAAAGTGCTGGGATTACAGGCGTGAGCCACCGCACCCGGCCAATAGGGAGTTTTTCTAAGAGGAATGCTAATCTCCTAAGCATTAAAGGTATAAAAAAGTGAGCTTCAGGTAAATGATCTGTGCTAATCCCAACTTTCACTTACAAAGAACAAAGGAAGTGTTGCCTCAATGGGAAATCCTTGGGGTGTTGCAGAAACAAGACAAAACAATGTTTTCAGCAGCTCAGGCACCATGAAAAGGGAGGGTATGATGAATGGGCAGTCATTTAATTGACCCTCAAGTGTTCCAGTTACCAGGGAAAATAGAAATCTGTCCTTAGTTTATTCTAAAATGGGAAGGCTCAGAAATGAAAGACCTTGTGCTAAAGCCTTGATAGGGTGGAGGCTGGTGGTCTTTATGCTTCAGTATTTCTATTAATGCCCCAGGCAGCAAAGCCAGGATGATGGAATGATTCACGGTTTTGTCAAATGCTCTTGTCATTTGAAATGTCACATAAAGTAACTCTAGTAGCTATCATAACTACTGTGATGTTAGCAGTTTATAGAGAGTGGGGGCTGTGAATTTCCATTTCTTATTATACTTTCTGTATTAATGATGTGTTGTGCATTAATACATGATGTGTTGTGTATTAATGATGTGTCAATAGTTCCCTATTAACTTCAATGGGAACTGGCATTAGGTTCAAGAGGCTGAAGAAGAGACCTGGAGCCAGAGAATGAGACATAGGGCTTATTGGGAACTTACATACGGGAATGGTACAGAGGTGTTGGGCTGGGCAGGAGAACTGTAACGACTTGTAAAAAGTATGCAGTTTATACAGCATGTTCGCTTAGCAGCCTCCCCCTAGCAACCTCCATGTGGCAACCCTCATTCAACCCACAATAAAGGGCCTCGATCCCTGCTGCAGTCCACATTCCATGGGACGGGCCAGGGTCCAGATGTTCCTCATAGATAAGGAATGAGTCTCCAGGTTGGCCACTTCTGGATTTTTTTAGCTTAGAACTTCAAACACACATTCTTCGTCTTAAGTTACTGCTCTCAGGTGCATCTACCATTCATGATGCCTTTTATTTTTTGTATTCTTGATGCTTTGACCCCTGAGGCCTTGCTGACCCTGGGGGGACTGCCCCTTCCAGGACTAGCCACTTTCTAGACATAGTAAACAATTTGACCTTGAGCATCTGGAGCAACCCTTTTACATGCAAACCGACGAATCCAGAGCCCACACTTCCAACCACCTCCTCTGTTGCGCCTTCAACACTCGGTGTCACAATCCCCTGCCCTAATCACTGCAGGGGCCAGATACCAGACAGCTAGGGACAGCCCCTATGCCAGAAGCCACTGAAATTATTCAAATTAGCCAATCCTAAATCGTTTACCCGGTCTTACCTGTGCCTTGCAGCAGAAACCACAATAACTTGTGCTTCTCTGTGTGTTCTCCTCTCGTCTTGGGATCTGTGAGTATGACAAACTATCTCTTCAATGGCAGTCGTGTCCTGATCTGTTGGTTTTGCTATACCTAAATAATAATCACACCTATATTTTAAAACAGTTTCCCTTTTCTAAAGTAGAATCCAAATGAGACAATATCTGAAAAGATCTCAAGGGATAAGTATGGATGTGGATGTGGCCAAACAGGATTGAATGCATTGAGCTAGGTGAAAAAGTCATTTAAACAACCTGGTTTATTTTTAAAATCATTTTTTTAAAAACCTGATAGTGTAGGATATTACATACAAGTGGAAAATGTTCAGACCCCACATGTCCATAGAACTCTGACCCACAACTTCTGCAATTGGCCCAGAATGATCAGGACTTGGTCAGCTTGACTGTCAGCTTCCCGAATTTTCAGTCCTACCTTCAACTCGGAACCAACCAGAGAAAGCCAAATATGCTCCCCAAAACAATCAGTCACACAGAATACCCCTCTTCTAGTCAACAGCCTTCAGCTTCTCTGTGCCAGCACCTCCAGTGAAGGCATACCTAAGCTTTCCCTTTCTTTCACTATAAAGTTTTCCTACTTCTTATTTAGAGTCTCTACCAAACACAAGTGAAGTTGGCTGTCTCCATTGCTATCAAAAGCTCTGAATAACCTCTGTGTTTGTTCTTAGCTTGTTAGGCTTTATTTTCACTCATGCTTTAATGCTTCAACATGAAATAGTGCTTCAACCACTATTTCTTTTTTTTTTGTTTTTAATGCTGTCCTGCCCTGATTTGCCCTGTACCAAAGCAATCTTCCTCAGCTCCTTGCCTCTCTTCATATAGGCAGAGCTACCCTCTCCTACCCCTTGTAGCCCTGGTCATTATTTTGGATTTTCTGCTGGAGCCTATTTCATGTTGCCTAGGCTATATGACTTTATTTTACTTCATATTTAGTGATAATATATTACCACAGCAATGCTTTACTCATGGCTTACACCATACCCTTATACTTTCTGTGTTTGTTTTATTTTTAATTTTTTTAAATTTTACTTTAACTTCTGGGATACCTGTGCAGAACGTGCAGGTTTGTTACATAGGTATACGTGTGCTGTGGTGGTTTGTGGCACTTATCAACCCGTCATCTAGGTTTTTAGCCCTGTGTGCATTAGGTATTTGTCCTAATGTTTTCCCTCCCCTTGCCCCCCACCCCGCGACAGGCCCCGGTGTGTGATGTTCCCCTCCCTGTGTCCATGTGTTCTCATTGTTTAACTCCCACTTATGAGTGAGAACATGTGAATGGGAAGTTTTCACCATGTTGGCCAGGCTGGTCTCGAATTCCTGACCTCAGGTGATCCGCCCACCTCGGCCTTCCAAAGTGCTGGGATTACAGGTGTGAGCCACCGCGCCCAGCCTGTCTGTTCTTAATGTACAGTCTAAAACTGACTCAATAGATTTATCCGTTAAACTGATTCCTTTTCCCAATTTCCCAGTGTGGGGCTGATTCTATTCCAACTCCTCTTTCTCCTCATAAAGTTGTAGACATATTCCAATAACCCTCCATATTTCCTCCATTTCATAGTTCTAATTAGTTACTAACTTCTTCTGACCTTTGTTCTCACAGACTCATCCTTTCCTCTCCATTCCAACAACCATCTCCACTGCTTGATTGCCATCATCTAACTGGTAGGTATCTTTAGATTTTTCTAACACCTAATCAATATTTTGTCAGTTAACATGTTATAAAATAACATTTAATCACTTTTTTTTCCTCCTTCAAGGGGAGGTAGCTTCTTAAAACAGTGGTTTTTTCAATCCTGACTGTACATTAAGAACAGACAGGCTGGGCGCAGTGGCTCACACCTGTAATCCCAGCACTTTGGAAGGCCAAGGTGGGCGGATCACCTGAGGTCAGGAGTTTGAGACCAGCCTGGCCAACATGGTGAAACCCCGTCTCTACTAAAACTACAAAAATTAGCCGAGCATGATGGTGCATTCCTGTAATCCCAGCTATTTGGGAGGGTGAGGCAGTAGAATCACTTGAACCCGGGAGGTGGAGGTTGCAGTGAGCTGAGATCACGCCATTGCACTCCAGTTTGGGTGACAGAGTGAAACGCCGTCTCAAAACAAACAACTACCAAACAAAAACAAACAAACAGAAGTTCCATACCGTACCAAACAGTCTTTGTGAGTGGGATCCAGATACGTTTATTTTTGAACAGCTTCCCCAGGTGATTCTATATATAACCAGAGCTGAGAACCATCATCAGATCAAGCCAAACTTCTGTTAGTCTGATAGTCAAGGCTATCAACTTACTGGTCCCATAAATGGAGAACTCTTTTCAATGTTTCTCAAACTTCTTTGATAAGACTAACATGTAAGTGCTTGATAAATCTCATCTTCTCTTGGCTCTATCTCAGGATGTCTCAAAGCCCTTTACTGTACAGCTTTGCAGACAGTGGCTAGGTTTTTCCAGTCACAGTCTATACATACATCTTCTACTTCAGTGTCTAAACAATGTCAGGAAAATTATCCAAACTTAGAAATAAACAAAAGAGATTACAGCATATTTAAGCCCTGGTCTTGGCTTGACTTTCTATCCACGGGTCTGTTTTACAACTCCAGTTCTCTAAGGGATGGGTCTGGGAAGTTGCAGGTCACTCAAGTGCCCCAGGTGATTCTTATGTTTAGGGATGGTGGGAACTGTCTGCAAAGTATCTTGCAGCTTATCAAATTTTGATGTGTCTACTAATCACCGGCAGATCTTGTTGATGTACAGGATTCTGACTGAGTAGGTCAGGGAGCGGGTGCTGCTGTCTGCAGATCTAACAAAGTTCTAGGTACTGCTAGTGGTTGTCAGTCCATGTGCCACACTTGAGTAGCTGCAAATGCCCATTGAAATCACCTGGGGAGCTGCAGCAACTACTGTGGCTTTTGTGCCATCCCTGGAGATTCTAATTTAATTAGTATGGGTGCAGCTTGGGGATCAGGAGTTTAAAAAGCTCCCCAGGTGAAAGCAATTTGCTGCCATGGCTGAGAACCAATGTTGTATAGCTCTATCTCTGTGCCTACTTTTAATGTCATGCTGTTCTTCCTATTTGGATACTTCTTCTTTTTCATCTTCATTAAACTACACCCTATAAGTTCTACCAAGCTCTGAAGACGACTTCCTTTTCCAAGATGACTTCCTTCCTTAGCCCAGCTTATACTACCTCTCCCCTTTGATTTATTTTAGCATAAATGCATACAATTTATACTACATTACCTGATAACTTATAGGTGCCTTTTAAGATATAAATGTTTCTGGCCGGGGGTGGTGGCTCATGCCTGTAATCCCAGCACTTTGAAAGGCTGAGGTGGGTGGATCACCTGAGCTCAGGAGTTCGAGACCAGCCTGGCCAACATGGTGAAACCATGTCTCTACTAAAAATACAAAAATTAGCTGGGCATGGTGGCGGGTGCCTGTAGTCCCAGCTACTGGGGGGCTGAGGCAGGAGGATCGCTTGAACCCAGGAGGCGGAGGTTGCAGTGAGCAGAGATCACGCCATTGCACTCCAGCCTGGGTGACAGAGTGAGACTCTGTCTCAAAAAAAAAAAAAAAAAAAGAATGTTTCCAAGTTGTGTAGTCTGAAACTTTGAGGTAAGGCTTTTCAGACAGTGACTACGTTTTTCCAGTCACTGTCTATGCATACATCTTCTACTTCAGTGTCTAAACAATGTCAGGAAAATTATTGAAACTTGGAAATAAACAAAAGGGATTACAGCATGGTTAAGCCCTGGTCTTGGCTTGACTTTATATTGACTGGACTATTTTACAATTCTGTAGGGGCATAGGTTAATTTGTTAATTTTGTCCAGTAGAGATGCAAATAATACCTGTCTCTTGGAAGTGCTAACCCCAAAGGTTATGGTAAGACATTAGTCAATTTCATATGTAACCCAGCAATCTTATTCTAACATTTGTTTATTAAAATGGCTATATATACCTCACTTGTTCCTTCATTAATTAATGAGTTGAATAAAACCTTTGGCATATCATTCACATGACAGTCCTGATTTTACCTTTTTAAAAATGTTTTAAAATGCTGAAATGCTTACGTAGGAGTTTAATCAATGCATTGTGAAATTAATTGAATTGATGAAGCAAGTGATAAAGTTTTATTTCTGAAGAGACAATACGTCTTGCAAGTTTAAAACAGAATAATCAATAAATGAAATAACACGTGAAAAACCCTAAGTAGTAATAATTTCAGACAGGAAGAAGCCATGCTGATTTGGATGTTCTTAGTCACGGATTATGAGGGTAATCACTCAACAGACATCTTCAGCTGCTTTTCTCCTTCCTGTGCATTTAATCAATGAAAACAGAGGTTCAGAATGATATGCTAATAGTGGGAGGAACCACAGCAATGGAATCAAACAATCAGTTCAAATCTTGGCTCTGCCCCTAGTAGCTGTTCTCTGTAAATTGGAGTTAATAAATCCCTATGAGAAGTGGCTGGTATATAACGGGTGCTCAATAAATGTTAGTACTCTTCCTCATGAGCATCTCAGAGGATAAGAGGTGGACAACTGCAGCCTAGATTGAAAACCTGAGTTATGGAGAAAGAGTTAAAATGACTTAATACTGTTTATATAGGGCCATAAAAACACCATCTGCTAGCTCTAGCTAGTTAAGTTATTACAAAGCTGACATGCACTAATGCTGCACTGATAGGAAAGGAATGGCCAAGGTTTTGCTGTTTCTATCATTATTCGACGAGCTGCCATGTCGGGACCAGTCGCCAGTTTAACCCATCACATAACCTGGTTGTTCAACGTTTAAAGATTTATTTTGGTCCTTAAATATTTATACTCTCCCCCAACCTTTTATTGCTATAGTTACTGCTGCAGAAAAGACAAGACTCAGGAGGTTACTGTATGGTATATCAGCAGTTCTAGGCTTTATCGTTAGATTGGGGTATGTTTTATGTTGAATTAGACTCAGATGAGTGGATTAATATTAAACTCTCATTTTGCATGATGAGGCTAGATGTGCCTCAGAGAAAAGGATAAGGTCTATTCCTTTTCATATTATCAGTCAGTGAAGAAAAGGCCGCTTGCTCTGCAATGCACATTGCTGAGCCAGAAGTGAATAGCAGCAGATTCTGGATCTTGGAGGGGGGCAGTTTGCCTCCAATAAAGTGTGCAGCTGAAGATTGTCCCAGTGGTAGAAGTGAGCTCAATGATTGCTCCTGCTGCCTCTCATAACACCTGCATTTGGATCCTTGGTACCCATTAGGCATAATGATGGGCTGATTCCACATCCCTGGGACATTTGGCCTCATTTGGATGATTAAAGAGAATGAAATATATGTCCCAGACACCTGCCAACTTGCAATAATAATAGCCTGTATTTACATAATATCTTTCTCTAAGAATCTCAAAGTCCCTTGTCTTTGAAAATCTATTTCTGTTAGGGAGGGGGAGATAATCTCATTTCTGTTTTGCAGAGTTTTAGAGCCATGGTAAAATCTAAATATTTGGTCATTTTAGTAACTATTCTGTGTCCAAAACTTTGCTGCATATTGAAACCAACTGCACATCTGTAACAAATATGGATACCCAGCTCCTATGCCTAGGCATTCTCATCTAATTGCTCTGGGGTTGGGGGTGGGGGATCACCTGGGCATCAGGATTTGTAAAAGCTCCTTAAGTAATACGAACGTACAGAAAAGCCTGGGGACCACATAGGTAAAGACATTTGGTCTGAGACATTTCTGTGAAGTATTAGCAGTAGGAAACATTCACATGGCCGAGCTGTTAGAATTACGCTTCCCCACTGGGTTCTTCATCCTTTTTGCTGTTTTCATTCTGGACCAACTCTATTAATAAGGAAGACAGACATTTAAAATATAGCTCAATGCCAGAATTCTCTCACCTTCAGCCAATAGTAGGTTAGGTCAGATCATTATCTTCCTGTAGGAACTGTACTTTGGTGAAGTAATCTAGAGAGAAGATAATTAAATCAACATATAACTGTAGTTTTAAAAGATGACAAGAAAAAAGTCATCTCCTGGGAACTCTATATACAGCTGTGTGTGTAGCAAATATTTAGGAAATAGCGTTCCATTCAGTAAACTGGTGTTTTAAGGAGGGAAAATGTAAAAAGCCTTTTAGTGACAGTGGGGAAAGGATTCTACAAGTCATGCATGAGTTTAACAGGGGGTTGTGGTGGTATGGCTGGGGGGCTTTTATCCTTAAGCTTATTTGTTGTTCCTGGACTTTCACAAAGATGTTCAAGCATGGCAGAGGGTTGGAAAAGCCAAGAAGCAACCAGTATGTCCCTGCATTACTGCTGGTGATTCAGCTATGACTTCTGGTGTGGGACCAACTTCCCTTGAAAATATATGGATTTGATGGTGACAATTACAGGGCTGTTTTCTGGAAGCAGCTGTTGCCTGCAGGGAGTAAGACTGGCTTCTCAGATGTTGAGCTGCCTTTCCATCTGCTGAAAGGAAGAGAAAACAGAAGTCAAAACCAGAACAACTACAGAAAGTGGGACCTGCACAGAAACAATAGAAAAGAGAGGAGATGATGGGAGAGAAGGCAATAAAACCTTAATTAGTTACCAGGAAGAGTTCATTCTCTTAGTGTCTTTGGCACTAAAGATAAAAGTCATGTCCTCCACCGCCACTAATGGAAAGGAAATGAAGTGATGAGAAGATGCATTAGGGAACCCTGGATTTGGGCCAGCTCACTGGCTCCATGGGCCCCTGGAAGACCCTAGAGTCCATGACTCCCTGACTGTGTCTCAAGTGAACAGTTACCTCCTTGCTAAAGCCCCTTTGGTGCCCCTAAGTGTTAGAATATTTTCAAATTAATTCTGGAAGCATGAGACATCCACGGACATTTAGAATATCTGAGCAATTCTCAGCAGACATTAGGTGAGTTTGTCTTAGGGCGTCTTAGTTTCCCAGGGCTGCCCTAACAAATTACCACAAATTGGGTGGCTTAAAACAACAGAAATTTATTCTCTTGCGATTCTGGAGGCTAGAAGTCTAAAGTTAAGGTGTCAGTGGGGTCGTGCTCTCTCAGAAGGCTCTAGGAAAGAATCCTTCCTTGCCTTATCCCGGAGGTGGCTCCTGGCGATCTCTGACATTCTGTGGCTTGGAGCTACATCACTCCGGTCTTCGCCTTCATCACTCTCTTCCATGTGTGTTTTCTTGTGTCTTCTCTTCTCATATGCACCAGTCTATAGATTTAGGGCTCACCTTAAATTCATGAACACTTCATTTTGACACTCTTGCCTAATAATATCTAAAAAAACCCAAAACTGTTTCTGGCCAGGTGCGGTGGCTCACACCTGTAATCCTAGCACTTTGGGAGGCTAAGGCAGGCAGATCACCTGAGGTCAGGAGTTCAAGACCAGCCTGGGCAACATGGTGAAACCCTGTCTCTACTAAAAATACAAAAATTAGCCGGGCGTGGTGGTACACACCTGTAATCCCAGCTACTCAGGAGGCCAAGGCATGAGAATCACTTGAACCCGTGAGGCAGAGGTTGCAGTGAGCCCAGATCACCCCACTGCACTCCAGCCTGGGCAACAGAGCAAGACTTGTCTCAAAAGAAAAAAAAAAGACTATTTCTAAATAAGGTCACAGTCTAAGGTTCCAAATGAACATTAATTTGTTGGAGGGGGGCAGACACTATTCAGCTCACTACAAAGAGAAGAATACAATAGAAAGAAAGATTGATGTATGGATTGAGAGCAGGGGCTAGAGCTGTGACTAACATTGGTTGTTCATTAGAAACACCTGGGCAAGGGCAGCCTTTAAAATCTCTATCCTGGCCCCAAATCCAGATATTCTCATTTAATCAGTCTGGAGTGGGTCCTGATTAACATAAACACTCTTAGGGGCCAAGCATCATACGGTATATGGATGAAGGATAAAGAGGGTTGGTCTAAAAGGTAATAAGGAGGAATGGTGACTCAGGGGGCGGGAGGAGCCTGGAAACCCACATGCAACATTAAGAAGCATTCAGATTTGATTTTGTAACGTCTCCTGAAGAAAATGGGTTTGCGGGCTTTGAAAGACAAGTTGCCAGTTTGAGATGCCAAGTCTAGACTTGTAGGAATTCTTCTGTAATATCTTGGATCTGTGAAAATGGTAACCTAGCCCAAAAATGCACATGGTGATAATGACACAGAATATGTGGGATGAATTCTGAACTGAAAAATCTAGAATGTGGAATTGACTTACCTAAGAGGACCCTATGAATGAATGTTCCTACTCAGGAACTAGGTCATGTTCTAAGTCTCTTTTGCCCAGTTGTACATACGCTATGCTCTGGAGTGATTCTGCCATATTGTCGGGTTCTATTCTGGGCGCCTGTTGGACACTGTTCTCCATACAAAAATTCAGGACATTTTTCTAAAGCCGAAGCATCTCCTTTTTTTTTTTTTTTTTTTTTTTTTTTGGAGACAGAGTTTTGCTTTTTTGTCCAGTCTGGAGTGCAGTGGCATGATCTCAGCTCACTGCAACCTCTGCCCCCGAGGGTTCAAGTGATTCTCCCACCTTAGCCTCCCAAATAGCTGGGAATATAGGCGCTCGCCACCACGCCTGGATAATTTTTGTATTTTTAGTAGAGATGGGGTTTTGCCATGTTGGCCAGGCTGGTCTCAAACCCCTGACCTCAGGTGATCCACCTACTTCAGCCTCCCAGAGTGCTAGGATTACAGGCATGAGCCACCATGCCCAGCCAAGCATATCTACTTCTAAAAGAGCTAACTCACTGCCCAGTATCCCTTTTTAATAGTGAGATCTAGATTAGTACTTAGCCTTGTCACTTAGTAGTTGCATGACCTTGGGCAGGTTACTTATCCTTGTTTTACAGATGAGTTTATTAATATCTACCTTAATGGGTTATTATCAGGATTAGATTGTTATGAGGTCTAATAAACATTCTTTTTCTCTGTCTCTTCTCCATCCCAGATGATGAATCTGTTTTTTTTTTTTTACCAAATAAACACTATAGATTATTGAATGACATATGCTACTGTTATTTATGTTTTAAATAGCAATGAAATTATAATGGTACTAAATAGCTGACATTTTCTGAGTACTTTATATGTGCTGAAAACTTAAAAATATTTTGGCACATATAATTTCATTATCACAATGATTCTATTACCTCATTGTAAAGGGAGATAAATAATGTATATAATGTGTAGTAGATACATAAATGATATATATTTATATAAATGATATAAATAACATATGTAACTTATATAATGTATCCTTCTTAACAAATGAAGAAATTGCAACTCAGAGACAAGAAGAAATTTACCTAAGGGTGCACAGCTCTTTTGACCTAAAAATTGCACATTATCCACTATACTTTACAGTTCTCCCAACTCACTTGTGTCCTATGTGAGGACAGGGGCCTATGCCAGGCAGGGCCAGTGACCAACTCATGGCTGCCTTTCAAAAAGTCCTTGTAAACACTTAGAACTGTGTCTTCTAAAAGCCCAAATTGAAATGAATGAGCCCTCAAGAGTGCTCAGTCTTTGTTTGTATTTACAAATATTGTGTCAACATTGTCATTTTAGAGTGTGAATTATAAAAAATGATTGTTAATTAAAAAACTAAAACAGGTAACATTCCTTTAGTGTTTCATGAGAAAGAACAGTTTCATGAGAAAGCCTCGTCATTCCTGATATGTTTTTAGGCTATTTATATAAGTAGAGCCAAAGAATCTATAGATCCACAGAGTTGGAGAACCATTAAGAAAGGGGATAAAAGAATACAAAAGGGGCGTCACCTTTCAGGGATTAAAGTAAATCAGTTTTGAAATCTTGGCATAAAGCTTTATAACCCAGGTATTGACATATAAAATGTCATATTATGTTTTTATAGTCATATAATAGGTAATAAAAATACCCAGGCTGTCCCTGGCACATGGTAGGTGCTCAGCAGGGGTCTGTATCTCTAAATTGATTAAAAGGAAATTAGGAATGAATAATGCTTTACATAACTCCCAAAATAAATACATCAAGCAGGATGTGGAGTTAGGGGGACAGACCCCAAAAAGATACAAGCAGAAACAAATAAAACTAATTGTATTGTAACTGTAATATTTTCATTGCCTGTTGCACACAGCAAGTCAGTATACTGAGACACTGGATTTGCAGCAGAGAAAGATGTTTGATCATGAGGTCGCAGAACAAAGAGATGGGAAAAGACCTCAAATCCATCTCCCTGATGAGTTTGGGGCTAGGGTCTTTAAGGGCTTTGGAGTGGGCCAAAGTATGGAGATTGTTGATTGGTTAAAGAGTACAGGGTAGGCTGGGCACGGTGGCTCATGCCTGTAATCCCAGCACTTTGGGAAGCTGAGGTGGGAGGATCACCTGAGGTTGGGAGTTCAAGACCAGCCTGACCAACATGGAGAAACCCCATCTCTACTAAAAATACAAAAATAGCCCGGCGTGGTGGCGCGTGAATGTAATCGCAGTTACTCAGGAGGCTGAGGCAGGAGAGTCACTTGAACTCAGGAGGTGGAGGTTGCGGTGAGCTGAGATTGCACCATTGCACCCCAGCCTGGGCAACAAGAGCGAAACTCTGTCTCAAAAAAAAAAAAAAAAAAAAAAGAAAAGAAAGGAAAAAAAAAAGGGTACAGGGTAAAGTCATGGCACAGGGAGATGAAGAAGCTGTATTCTCATGCTGATCTTCCTCCTCTGTGAGGGTCTTCAAACTGGTTGCTGGAATTCAGGGTCTGAGAAACATCTTAAGCAATCTTTAACCAAAAGCCTATGATTCTAATGTCTGTAGGAAAAATCCTGTCTATAGGAAAAACGTGGATGCAAATTATTCTAGTTATAACTATATTTCTGTCCAGAATCCAGTGTGCAATTTCTGTCCACCTTGTGGGGGTGGTTTCAGTATTACAAATGAACAACATAACCACACTGAAGGGTGAAGGGTTCCCCTTGACCCTCTGAAGATTTGCCCCCCCAAAAACAATCAACTTGCAAAAGGCAGATTAATATGAGAAAAGTATTACAGTAGGTAGTCAGGCAGACATGAGCAGGGCAGGAGAGGCCCCCATTTCCCAGGAACTACAGGCAACCATCAGGTGATGTTCAGGCAGTTGTTAATTTCTCAAATAATAAGTGGTTGCAGCCAGCACTGGGAAAGGCAGTCTCCCAACTGATAGAAACACCTGAAACTGCTGATCAGCAGCTTCCCAATAAGATCTCAGGAATTGGGTGAGTGGGCTCACAGATGCAGATTAAGAGGGAAAATGGCAGAGTTCAACTGGTATATGACTTTCTAAGAACATAACACTGGTAAGGGAAGAATGCCTCAAGTGAGCATGCATACAACTCCAGTAAACATATGCCCCGCCCCAAGTGCTGGCAGGCCACCATGCAAACAAACAGCCCACCCCAAAAGAAGAATCAGGGGAAGAGTAATGCAGACCCTGGAAAATGCCAACATGTAAAACCCCAAGTCAAAAGTCAAAGTGTGCACTTGATCTCTCAAGTGGTCGGCCCTCTTCCAAGTGTACTTCCTTTCATTCTTGGTCTAAAGCTTTCTAATAATAAACTTTCACCTCTGCTCTTGCCACCATCTCTCACTCTGTCTTATGCCCTTTGGTCAAATTCTTTCTTCTGAGGGGCAAGAATTGAGGTTCACTGCCGGTAACAAAAGGGCAGGGCATGGTGGCTCATGCCTGTAGTCCTATCACTTCGGGAGGCTGAGGAGGGCGGATTGCTTGAGCTTATGAGTTCAAGACCAGCCTGGGAAACATGGTGAAACCCTGTCTCTAAAAAAAAACACAACAATAATAAAGTTGGGCATGGTGGCATGCCCCTGTCGTCCCAGCTACTCCGGTGGCTGAGGATTGCTCGAGCCCAGGAGGTTGAAGATGTAGTGAGCTGTAGTCATGCCACTGCACTCCAGCCCAAGTGACAGAGCAAGACTGGGTCTTAAAAAAAAAAATTAAGAGAAAAGGCATACAAATTTATTTAGCATGTATACATGGGAGCCTTTAGACTGAAGACCTAACCCCCTTGTATTAGTCCGTTTTCACACTGCTATAAAAAACTTCCCTGAGACTGGGTAATTTACAAAGGAAAGCGGTTTAATTGACTCACAGTTTCGTATGGCTGGGAGGCCTCAGTAAACTTACAATCATGGTGGGAGGTGAAAGGCAAGCAAGCACCATCTTCACAAGGTGGCAGGAGAAACAGCATGCATGCGTGCAAAGTGGGAAAGAGGCCCTTATAAAACAATCAGATCTTGTGAGAACACACTCCCTATCACGAGAACAGCATGGGGGAACTGCCCCCATGATCTAATCACCTTCCACCAAGTCCCTCCCTCAACACCTGGGGATTACAATTCCAGATAAGATTTGGGTGCCAAACACAGAGCCAAACCATATCACCCCCCAGTGAGATACAGAAGCTTATACATCATTTTAAGTTTACAGAAAGAATGTGTACTCAGGGCATGGCCAAGAACAAGTTATGAAAGTAAATCAAATTTTAGCCATAAGACAGGTTATAGGAGAGAGAAACGAAGAGTCTTGGCTAGCAAAGGTCGTCTTGTTATGCAGATGAAACTTCACAGGTAGGAGTCATTAGAGATAATAGATGGTAAATGTTTCTTTCAGACCCTTAAAGGTGTCAGACTTAGTTAATCTTTCTTAGATCCGGATTGGAGAAGAGCTGACTGGATTAATGGAAATTCTCTACAGTTGAAAATTTCCACCACAGAAGACAGCTTTGCAGGACAACTTCAGTTGGCTGGCCCTGTGGCAGTCATCTCAAAAGATGTCAAAGAAATACATTTTAGGATAAAATATTTTGATTTCTTTCAAGGGGATGCAGAAAACATGAACTAACTTAGGTAACTTTGGGAAACAGCATTTTGACTGGATGCTATAAGGCTAAAATGGAAAGAAGGTGTGTCCGGAATAGGTTCCTTCCGGTGGGTTCTTGGTCTTGTTGACTTTAAGAATGAAGCCACGGACCCTCGCGGTGTTACAGTTCTTAAAGATGGTGTGTCTGGAGTTTGTTCCTTCAGATGCTCAGATGTGTCCAGAGTTTCTTCCTTCTGGTGGGTTCGTGGTCTCACTGACTTCAGGAGTGAAGCTGCAGACTTTCACAGTGAATGTTACAGCTCATAAAGGTAGTGTGGACCCAAAGCGTAAGCAGCAGCAAGATTTATTGTGAGGAGCAAAAGAACGAAGCCACAACGTGGAAGGGGACCCGAGCATGTTGCCGCTGCTGGCTCGGGTGGCCAGCTTTTATTCCCTTATTCGGCCCCACCCACATCCTGCTGATTGGTCCATTTTACAGAGTGCTGATTGGTGTGTTTACAATCCTTTAGCTAGACACAGAGTGCTGATTAGTGCGATTTTACAGAATGCTTATTGGTGCATTTACAATCCTTTAGCTAGACACAAAAGTTCTCCAAGTCCCCATCTGACCCAGAAGCTCAGCTGGCTTCACCTCTCAAAGGCACATGCATACTGTACTCTAGTTAATACATCTTTTTGTCAGTGTTGTTTAGCAATTTTGTAGTGAAACACTATTCTAGGACTGAACAAAAAAGTGACTATATTGTAGATAACAAAAGCCAAGTTTCTCACTGTTGGAAAAAGAAATTATATCTAAGAAAAGGGGACAGAATCGACCTTGTAGTGCTGGAATGGAATTGGAAGTATCAGTATGTACTCATGGTTTCTAATATGTACATATATAAGTTGATAAATAAATATAAATGGGTATATATGCATGAATTAGTATATAACATATATTTTCCTACTATGTCTGCTTAAACGTCCAGGGAACAATGATACTCTGTAGCAATGAGGACTCATATCTTGGTTTCTAAATCTCATTCTTTGACAAAAGAAATTGTAACCACCAGACAGGTTCTTCTTGCCTGTTGCACAGACAAGAGCTGATTTATCAAGACGGGGGAACTGCAAGAGAAAAAGAGTTTAATTCATGCAGAGCCAGCTGTACAGGAGACCAGAGGTTTGTTATTACTCAAATCAGTGTCCCTGAAAACTCAGGGATTGGAGATTTTTTTTTTGAGATGGAGTCTCACTCTGTCACCCAGGGCTGGAGTGCAATGGCACAGTCTCAGCTCACTGCAACCTCTGCCTCCTGGGTTCAAGAGATTCTCCCGCCTAAGCCTCCAAGTAGCTGGGACTACAAGCATGTGCCATCACACCAGGCTAATTTTTGTATTTTTAGTAGAGACGAGGTTTCACTGTGTTGGCCAGGCTGGTCTCGAACTCCTGACCTCATGATCCGCCCCCGCTCCCCTGCCCCCACCCGCCAGCCTCCCAAAGTGCTAGGATTATAGGCATGAGCCACTACGCCTGGTTAGGGATCAGAGTTTTTAAGGCCAATTTGGTGGATAGGGAGGTGGATAGGGAGTTGGAAAGTGGAGAGTGCTGATTGGTTGGGTTGGAGATAAAATCATAGGGAGTTGAAGCTCTTCTCCTGCACTGAGCCAGTTCTTGGGTGGGAGTCACAAGACTAGATAAGCCAGTTTATTGATCTGGGTGGTACCAGCTGATCCATCAAGCACAGGGTCTGCAAAATATCTCAAGCACTGATCTTAGATTTTACAATAGTGATGTTATCCCAAGGAGCAATTTGGGGAGGTTCAGAATCTTGCAGCTTCTAGCCACATGATTCCTAAACCACAATTTCTACTCTTGTGGCTAATTTGTTAATTCTGCAAAGGCAGTTTTGTCCCCAGGCAGGAAGGGGGTTTGCTTTGGGAAAGGACTGTTACCATCTTTGTTTCAAAGTTAAGTTCCTCCCAAAGTTAATTCAGTCTGTGCCCAGGAATGAAAAAGGACCACTTGGAGGTGAGAAGCAAGATGGAGTCAGTTAGGTCAGATCTCTTTCACTGTCATAATTTTCTTAGTTATAATTTTTTGCCAAAGGTGGTTTCAAAATTATGGTTCCTTGTTTGAGAAATGATTGATTCTAAGGCTGGGGCACAAAAATACAAAATGAGCCTGGAGCATCTTACAGTATCAGAAAGTAAAGAAGTTCTAAAAATATAATAAAAAAGATGAGGCAGTGTCAAAAAGAAGCCATCCTAAAAGAGCTCCCAACAGCTAAAGTGGACAATTTGAGCAACATAATAGGTAACAATAATATTCAAACTGCTTTTGCAAAATTATGACAGTAAGAAAAATCTGACAAAGCTGACTCCAACTTGCTTCTAACCTCTAAGCTGTTCTTGTTCATTCCTGGGCATAGGCCAAGCTAACTTTGGGAGAACTTTATAGTTTAAGCTTAAATCAAGAAGGATAATAGCAATTTCCAAAACTACCCCCTTATTTCTTGGGTTTGAAAACATCTTTATTGGCTGGGCACAGTGGCTCATGCCTGTAATCCCAGCACTTTGGGAGGCCGAGGTGGGTGGATCACCAGAGGTCAAGAGTTCGAGACCAGCCTGGCTCACAGGGTGAAACCCCATCTCTACTAAAAATACAAAAATTAGCTGGGCCTGGCGGCAGGCGCCTGTAATCCCAGCTACTCGGGAGGCTGAGGCAGGAGAATCGCTTGAACCCAGAGGGCGGAGGTTTCAGTGAACTGAGATCGTGCCACTGCACTACAGGCTGGGCGACAGAATGAGACTCCATCTCAAAAAAGAAATCACCTTTATAACACTAATAAAAGGCCGCAGGATTAGGATTATGGGAGGGGCATGAACTCTGCTGAGATGCAAGCATAGTTAGAAGATATCAAGCCATTGTAGCCAGAAGACATGAAATTTGTAAACTCCTCGAGTGCTCCTATAGATACCATCACTACTGTAAAACTTAAAATTGGTGTTTGAGATATTTTCCAGACCCTTCATTCTGATGAACGAACTGGCACCACCTGGACTGGTACCCTATACGGAGAAACTGGCTCAGCTTGTCTTGTGATCTCACCCAAGTTGTCAGTTGTCCAAATTAGGGGAAGCTGAATAAAGAAAATACTAGAACTCTGTATTATTTTTGTAATATTTTTATAAATTTAAAATTACTTTACAATAAAATATTAAGAAATATTAATGGGATACCTGGATATCAGTAGAATAAGCAGTAGGATGGGAGTCTATTACTCAAATCAGCCTCCCTAAGAATATTTTATTTTAAAACAGAATTTTATTTTAAAATATTGGAGTATGAACCACTTTTATTCTTTTTCCTCTTAAAAACAGTAGAATATTTTGATTAAAATAAAAAAATGAAAAAGAACTATTAAAAATACCATTAAGAATAGAAGGTTTTAAGAATCAAAATAAAGATGAAAGATTCAACATCTAATACACAATATTTACCAGGCATTAGACATTTTTTTCATCTTTGTTGTAAAGATGTTTGTCTTAAATGGTATAATGTATGTAAAAATGCTTTGAAAGACATAGAACATGCTATAAATATCACTTTCTTATAATCCTCATCTTCTTGTTCATGCAATCATTTACTAGAACTAATTTTGCTTAATTTTTAAGGTGTTGCAGAGAAAAATTATAGGAACCTTGGTTTAAGACAGAGCTGCCTGTCATATAGTAGCTGCACAATAAATATATATTTAGTAAATTGAATGAATGAACATGAATGAGTCTAGATTCTTTCACTTACTTGCTTTGTCATCTTTAGAAGTTGTTTAACCCACTGAAGAGTTTTTTTTTTCTTATATATGAAACAAGGGTAATATCACCTGCTTTGAAGGGTTACTCCGAGGGTAAGTGATAGGAATGTCTGTCCTACGTCAGTGTCTGGCACTTAGTCATTGCCATAATCTTCATTCTCTTCATTGTCATTGTTATCCTTATCCTCAGTTTTTATTCTCTATTCTCTTCAGCTGCTTTCTTTCTTTCCCTTGGATTAAAATACTGTATCGCTCCATCTTCCCTTTGTCAAAAACCTTATCTGTGCTGTAAGGCCCCTCTCATGCAGTCTTTCTCCACCAAATCCCATCATCTTTCATTCCTGCCTTTCCTGTGGTTTATGATGACATGCACAGATGCATGTATGTGTTTCTGTGTGAAGGTATATTTGACTTAATCCTCTTTTACACTGTAAATTCCTTGGGATACCATTTTTTTCTTATCCGTTAGTCTACCACCTGCCACATAGTAAATGTTAAACCATGAACCTGCAATGAAAGGCAGACCATGTCTTTGTGACTTAGTATTATTTCTCCTGAGCTGACTCTTGTGTCAGGCATATAGTAGGCATTCAATCAATATGGGATTCAATAAATAGTAAGTAGCCAGTAGGCAAAAGTCTTTTGAATGTTGAATCATTTTTGTATCCTTTTTATTTGTTCAGAGCAACAGAGGGCATATTGCTGGACAGAGGGCTGTTCTATCCCTCCTAATTTCTGTTAATATAAATTCATTCTTATATTATATATTATTGGAATATATTATATATATTATATTGGAACAGCTATGTTCACTATTGTCTGAAGAGCAATATTCAAATACCCCTGTGACTTAATCCTCACTTCCTACTCAGCTTCAATTCCCACCACACCTTGAACCTTAGCGTGCACCTCAAGTCCCAATTCATTGGATTGTTTACAAATTCCCGGAGAAACTCTGAACTCCTATTACATAAGCCTTGGCTCATGTGTTTCTTTTGTCTGGAACATTTTCCCTCCCATTCTTGCCTGACACCTTCTGGTCACCTTCGTAGGCAGCTTAAAGGGTACCTCAATGAATCCCTGATGTCCTTCTCTTCTTTCCTGTTCTGCAGCTAATTGCTTGTTGCTTTAACCAGCCTCTATTTTATCCTTACTTACTAATACAAGGCAGCTGTTTATTTGCTTATATCTTTTCTAGAATAGAGGTTCTTATACTTCAATGTACATAGGAATCACCGAGACAACTTATCAAAAATGCAGATTCCTGAAATGCAGCCCCCACCTGGGCTTGTCACCATCACCGTGTTGGTCCAAGTGAAATTCAGGAGTTAATAATGAAGGTTCCCAGGGCCCATCTCAAATGCAGGGAATGAGGATCTCTGAGGAGAGGATCTTCATTTGTAACAAACATCTTTGAATTGCACTTGGAGCAGTCCCAGGACAGCGATGAGCATGCTTGGTCACCAGAACCTCATGAAGTCTTGCCCTTGTGGGCCTACAATCAATGAAAGGGACATATATGAACATCTTTATGTCAAGCAACAAAATTACGACTCAGGTCTTTGCCAAGTGGAAAAGGATTTCCAAACACTTGAGGAGCGGAGGGAAGTCATTTTGTGGAGAAATGGGAGACAGGCCCCAAGCCCAAGTGAACCTCAGCCTCACTTCATTAGCAGAAGCTGCTGTGCATCTCCTGTCTCATTCTACTTAGAAAATAAGAGGACTCATTCAGGTCACATGGTTAATAGGAAGGCTAATATAGGTGGCAGTAACTGATGATTTACTAGATCAAAGTCCTTTAAGCCAGGCAATAGAGATGACCCTTGCTTATTGATTATCATCCAATAGCTTTAATTTATCCTCAGTATCCTTGGGGACAGACAGAGATTGCTGGTTAGGAAAGGGGCTTTAAGAAGGTCGATAAGTTATTCTCGAAGAAGTTATAGGCATCAAGCCTGGGCATGCACCTTCCTTCCTTTCAAGTGCGCTTACAAGGAGAGGGGAAATGAAATGGGCTTCTAATTATTTAAATTGGACCTACACTCTGCTGAGCAGTGCATTAGCTAGCATTCTTCCTCCATGCGAGCTGTCGGTTAGGCCAGGAGAAGGAGATTAAACATGTCAGCAATAGGTGTGGAAATAATTGGGGGCAGTAATTGGGAGAAATCCGGGCGCCTGATTGTGACTGCTGTCTAGTTCTCTCTTTCAAAATCTAAATTCACATTAACGTGTTGATGACCTCATCCAAGCTGGATGGATGGAATTTATTAACAATAGAAATAATTACAAAAGGACTTGCATTTAAATAATCAAATGACAAGCCACAACCTCAAAACACTCCTCTAGAGTTACAAAGTGAATACGATTCCTGTTTCTATACAAAAGCCCCTTATTTCTTAGTTTTAAAAAATGTATTTGTTATTCTTTCCCAGTTGTATTCAGGGGTAGTTCTCGTGTCTGCTTTTCCAATTTGGTAGCTTCGATTTACCCCACAGCTGGAATTTTTTGGGTGGCAACAAATATCTTTACAGGTTGTTTGAGAATGTTTGGTATATTTTCCATTGTGTAGGTATTCAACAAAAGTTAGTTTAATCTGAATTTTATTTCCCTAAATAAAATTCTTTTTTTTAAGTTCAAAGATAATTAACTATTTATTCAAATACCAATGAATGTGTAGGTTGTGTGTGTGTAGGGGTGTAGTTTATGAACACACTAAGTGGAAATTAGCAGTCATGAACGACCATTGATGTCTTAAATAAAAAAGTTTACCTAGGCAGGGTGCAGTGGCTCATGCCTATAATCCCATCAGTGTGGGAAGCTGAGGTGGCAGGATCCCTTGAACCCAGAAGTTTGAGATCAGCCTGGGCAACATAGGAAGACTTTGTCTCTACCCAAAAAAAAAAAAAAAAAAAAAATTATCCAGGTATAATGGCATGCACCTGTGGTCCCAACTACCGGGAGGCTGAGGTAGGAGGATCGCTTAAATCTGGGAGATTGAGGCTGCAGTGAGCCGTGACTGTGCCAATGCACTCCACCTCTCCAGCCTGGGTGACATAGCAAAACCCTGTCTCAAAAATAAACATTACCACATATATAGTTATAAAAAAACTATATAAGCTATATATCTATACACACACACACACATACACACATATATATATATATAAAATTCTGTTGCCCAGGCTTGAGTGCAGTGGCGTGATCTTGGCTCATTTTAACTTCTGCATCCCATATTCGAGCGATTCTCCTGCCTCAGCCTCCTGAGTAGCTGGGATTACAGGTGCATGCCACCACACTCAGCTCATTTTTTTTGTATTTTTAGTAGAGACAGGGTTTCACCATGTTGGCCAGGCTGGTCTCGAACTCCTGACCTCAAGTGATCTGACCGCCTTGGCCTCCCAAAGTGCTGGGATTACAGGTGTAAGCCACTGGATCCAGCCTTTTCACTTCAAGGCTCAGAATTCTCCCCTTTTGAAATTTCGTTCAGTGAGGAAATTGATACCAATAATTTGCACTTTTAAAAGTATTTAAAATGATATCTAACATGAATTTAAAAATCTATCTTGTGTTATAGAAATTGAAGCATTTTGCATTCAAAAAGAGGCATTATTTTGGGGACTGGGAGAATCTTCCTAGCTAAAAGATTATGGAGGGTGTATTCGCCTATCTCACTTGTGGGCATGGTGCCCTTGCCTTTTTGGCGAAGGCAGGAAGGGAATATTTCAGCCTGATGCTAACAATGACGCTATCTTACATTGGCTTGGCACTCTCTAGTTATCTAAAGTTGAGTTTGCATCGATGATCTCATTAGAACCTTCCATCAGTCCTAGCAGGAAGTCAGGGCTAATATTTTAGCCTTGTTTGGCTGCAGAGGAAATGAGGTTCAGAGAGAGTGTGATTGGTCGAAAGTCGAATTGTGGAACTGGGACTATGATCTTTCCAAAATAAGCCAGCCCTGCCCTCTTCTTCCTTCCTCTCTTGCTCCCTTTCTGCACTAAACCTCTACCACGTGCCATACAGTGTGCAGGCACCAGGAATTTCCATGAGCTTCCCTTGAACCTTGCATATAAAGCAAAGTTCCTCTGAAGGGACCTATAGTAAACTAAAGAGGAGTAAACACAAAATCAATTAAGGGCACCAAAGTGTTAGAGAGACTGTGTTACAAATATTTACAGAAAGTAGTGTGAGAAGACAAGGGGAGTATTAATCAATTGCATATGGGACTAAGGGAAGTGGGACAGTGATGCATTAGGAAAAGCTTCATGAGACAGTAAAGTTCCAGCAAAGTTTAAAGTAAGAACAGCCACCAGACAGACCTGGAATTAGCCTTTTTGCAAAGTGCATTTCCATGAGAAACTGTGCAGGGGATACATGGCCAAATAATAGCATGCACTATGGTATATCGGAAATTCCTAATTCTTTTTGGGGATTTGAGTACCCCAGGAAGCCCTTCAAAAAGAAATGTTTAACTTTTGTGATCTAGCCAACATGTGGGATTATAGAGCTTTAAATACAAAATTTTAGAGAAAAACTAAGATTTTAAGTAACGTAATGTATTATGTAACTCTGGAAAGGACTAGCTTACAGCTTACGTCCACTTGCAGGCAGATCTTAGCAGGCTGCTGAGATTTGCCTGTGGAAAGTGCAAAAGTGAAGTGCAGTGGAGACCAGGCCCACTCAGATGGGTAATAAACCTTAAACCAGATAAACTAGAACACTGACACTGTTGCTGTCTTACATATAAAACATTGAGCCAACCCAAGAAAGGGACTCACGGTCCAAACGTGTCCGGAATTGGGTTCTTGGTCTTACTGACTTCAAGAATAAAGCCGCGGACCCTTGCGTTGTTACAGTTCTTAAAGGCGGCATGTCCAGAGTTTGTTCCTTCTGATGTTGGGATGTGTTCCGAGTTTTTTCCTTCTGGTGGGTTCATGGTCTGGCTGGCTCAGGAGTGAAGCTGAAGACCTTGGCAGTGAGTGTTACAGCTCTTAAGGCTGCGTGTCTGGAGTTGTTCCTTCTTCCTGGTGGGTTCGTGGTCTTTGCTGGCTTCAGGAGTGAAGCTGCAGACCTTTGTGGTGAGTGTTACAGCTCATAAACACAGTGTAAACGCAGCGTGGACCCAAAGAGTGAGCAGCAGCAAGATTCATTGCAAAGAGCAAAAGAACTAAAGCTTCCACACTGGGGAAGGATACCCGAACAAGTTGCCACTGTTGGCTCACGCAGCCTGCTTTTATTATCTTATCTGGCCCCACCCACATCCTGCTGATTGGTCCATTTTACAGAGAGCCGATTGGTCTGTTTTACAGAGAGCTGATTGGTCCATTTTGACAGGGTGCCGATTGGTGTGTTCACAATCCCTGAGCTAGACACAAAAGTTATCCACATCCCCACTAGATTAGCTAGATACAGAGTGTCCATTGGTGTATTTACAAACCCTGAGCTAGGCACAGGGTGCTGATTGGTGCATTTACAAACCTTGAGCTAGATGCAGAGTGCCAATTGGTGCATTCACAACCCCTTAGCTAGACATAAAGATTCTCCAAGTCCCCACCAGATTAGCTAGACACAAAGCGCTCATTGTTGCATTTACAAACCTTGAGCTAGACACAGAGTGCCCATTGGTGCATTCACAATCCCTTAGCTAGACATAAAGATTCTCCAAGTCCCCACCAGATTAGCTAGATACAGAGTGCCCATTGGTGCATCCACAAACCCCAAACTAGACACAGGGTGCTGATTGGTGTTTACAAACCTTGAGCTAGACACAGAGTGCTGATTGGTGCACTCACAATCCCTTAGCTAGACACAAAGGTTTTCCAAGTCCCCACTAGACTCAGGAGCCCAGCTGGCCTCACCCAGTGGATCTTGCACAGTGCCACAGGTGGAGCTGCCCGCTAGTCTCCCGCCGTGCGCCCGCACTCCTCAGCCCTTAGGCGGTCGGCGGTGCTCCTCCGGGAGGCTCAGGCCGCGCAGGAGCCCACGGCGGGGCGGGGGAGACTCAGTTATGGCGGGCTGCAGGTCCCAAGCCCTGCCCAGCGGGGAGGCAGCTAAGGCCGGGCGAGAAATCGAGCGCAGCGCCGGTGGGCCAGCACTGCTGGGGGACCGGGCGCACCCTCCGCAGCTGCTGGCCTGGATGCTAAGCCCCTCACTGCCCGGGGCGGCAGGGCTGGCCGGCCGCTCCGAGTGCGGGGCCGCCAAGCCCACGCCCACCCGGAACTCTAGCTGGCCCGCAAGCGCCACGCGCAGCCCCGGTTCCCGCCCGTGCCTCTCCCTCCACACCTCCCCACAAGCCGAGGGAGCCAGCTCCGGCCTCGGCCAGCCCAGAGAAGGTCTCCCACGGTGCAGCGGCGGGCTGAAGGGCTCCTCAAGTGCGGCCAGAATGGGCGCCGAGGCCAAGGGGGCACCGAGAGCGAGCCAGGGCTGCGAGGGCCGCCATCACGCTGTCACCTCTCACAGGAGCGATATGGGAGAGGAGGAGGGGGAAAGCCAAAGGTAGGTCCTGATTTTTAGTTCTTCCATCTGGCAGCGTGGCTAACTTGGAGGAAATTCTGAAGTGGAACCCCAGCCCTAGAATGGTGAGGGAGAGGTTGCTGGGGAAAACGATGTGGAGGGCTTAATCAAGGGCAGAGGATACTCATTTTGGGATGTGAACATCCCTCTTCCTGCAGTAAGGCTCTCATCTCCTCTCTTTTGCAAGGTGACTCAATTAGACAACAGCCTGGTGGCTGTCCGTTCTGTCTCCAAGGAGAATACCAGGTGTGTTCCTTAATTTCAGTATTTGTTTATCTCCCCCTCCTCCTTTTTCAAAATCCATTCTGAGAGGTGTTTCTTCTCCATGATATCTCAGACTGAAGTCTTTTTGCCCTGATTTTATATTATTTTCTTCCAAGATCCCTTCATATTACACGGTTGTTCCACCAGGGTGGAAACTTTTCCATCCTCTGAACCTATAATGGTGTTTGGTACACAGTAGGGACTCAGATTTATTGAGTAAAAATTTGAATGCCAGCTTTTAAAAGAAACAGACTCTTAGGTGTCTCATTCTCGTTTGGTAAACACGCAGATAAAGGAGGAGGAGCAGCTAGAAAAGGGAACTAAGCTTTACCATGCTAAACCACGTGTTATTCACTTTTCCCAGAATGCCTCCTTTAGGGTTTATGGTACGTCCCATGAATGGGTATTATTATATCATCACACCATTTGGCAGATGAAGAAACAGAAGGCCAGAAAAGTTTCACTTGTCTTCAGTCACCCAGGCACTAAGCACAGAGCTGGGACGTGTACCTGGTATGTGAGGCTGAGCCACAGCTCCATCAGTTTAGGGTCACCAAGAGGATATTGATCTCAGTGTCAGGAGATTGAAATCTGCTGCAGATCTTATCACTAATTAGTGTTAGATTCTTGTTATGTAATATTTGAATATAGAGGTAATCATGGATTTCTACTAATTTCTTCTTCTTACTTGGCCTACATTAAGATTTCCTCTTAAATGTGACATTAGATCACATGGAGGGGTTCTTCTGAAGGCTGAGGATAACATAATGCAATTTTGTTTAATATCATTCCCATTCTGCACTGAATTTGTCTGAGTAAAATGCATGAATCTTAGATTTGAGAAATCGAGATCTAGGCTCTTTTGAGATACTTGTCATTCACTAGATGGCACTGTTGTATTAACTTTACTTATTTCCTAGCTCTGGTTTAAAACCTTCAAGAGTATATTTCCTGTGATACTGTAGTTGTCCAACTATCCAGACTTTCCAGGTGTTGGTACAAGGACAGTGTAGGGGACAAGCAGATATTGTGTATACATCTTTTTAGTATGGGTCCTAAGTCCTAGTTTAGATTTTAGGACTGTAGTAAAATGCAGTGGGCTCTCAGTATTTGCGGGTTCTGCATCCATGGATTCAACCAGCCAGGAATGGAAACTATTAAACGGTAGGGCACGATGGCTCATGCTTGTAATCCCAGCACTTTGAAAGGCTGAGGCAGGAGGATTGAGCTCAGGAGTTTGAGACCAGCCTAAGCAACATGGCAAAACGCTGTCTCTAGTAAAAATACAAAAATTAGCTGGGCATGGTGGTGGACACCTGTAATCCCAGCTTCTTGAGAGGCTGAGGCAGGAGAATCGCTTGAACCGGGTAGGCAGAGGTTGCAGTGAGCTGTTATTGCGCTGCTGCACTCCAGCTTGAGCAACAGAGCTCTGTCTCAAGAAAAAAAAGAAGAAAGAAAGAAAAAGAAAATATTAAACAACAACAACAGCAGCAAAAAACTAACAAAAATAATAATAAAACAAAAAATAATACAAGTGAAAAACAATACAGCCTGTTTACATAGCATTTACATTGCATTAGGTATTGTAAGTAATCTAGAAATGATTTAAAATATATAGCAGGAAATGTGTAGGTTATACGCAAATATGACACCATTTTATATCAGTGACTTGAGCATCCATGGATTTTTGTATTTTCTGGGGTCCTGAAACTAATCCCCCTCAGATACCAAGGAATGACTGCAGTAGTTTTTGGAGCAATACGTTAATAGCTGGATTCACTGACAGACTGAAAAATAATGTCTTGCTGGACATTACGAAGCAAAATAAAGTCTCACTGAGATATGGGAACTTTAGAGAAAAGGAATAAAAATATAGTTGCTTTAGCTCATAATCTATCTGGTCACTTCTGTAATCTCTGTTACAGACCCTCAAGACCATGTCACCGGGGCCAAGCATTTTCCTCTTTTAACTTATTTATGTGTTTGAGATCGTTAATGGAGGGTTTCTCAATCTTAGCACAATCAGTAATTTGGGTTAGGTAGTTCTAACCCAAACACAGGGATGGTCCTGTGTTTAGGATATTCAGCAGCATCCCTGGTCTCTACTCATTAGATGCCAGTGGCAGCCTCCTCTCCCTTCAAGTTGCAACAACCAAAAATGTCTTCAGTCATGGCCAAATATCTGGTGGGGAATAAAATTGACCTCAGTTGCGAGCCGCTTCTCTAATCCCTGTGGAGATTTGCCACATGAAGTCTTTTGCTTGGGGACAGGGAGAGTGACCTTTACTGATCTGACCACTGGAATTGGGAGCACAGGGTCTTCCTATCTCCAGAGTTTCCAGTAAGATGATTAGACTGCCAGTGTGATTGGGTTGCATTTCTAATGAGTCGAGGTGCCAACATCTGTTTGTGGTAATTGAGCACAGCTGTGATGCTGGCTTGGCTGACCCCTCCACAACCTTTCCCTGCCCCTCCAGGTATTTGAGCTGCCCCCAGCCATCCTGTCCCATCAACCTCTTGCAGGAAGATGCCAGCAAGGTCATTGTGTTTGCTGAGAGTGGTATCAATCCAGATAGTGTCCTAGATTTGATAATGCTGCATTGATTGGGACACAGTGTTCATTCTTGTAAACTGCCTCAGAGGCACAGAAAAAAAAATATGTGTATTGTGTAAAAAGGCCAAACACAACCAATAATAGCAACAACACTGACAACTCATGTATATTTATCTCACATGTGCTAGGTCATAAGAGCTTTATCCAAATAATTTCATTTATTCCTTATAGTAACTTTTTAATGTGGGTACTATATCAGTCACTTGTTGCAGCTTAGACAAAGATAGCAAGAGGTGGAATTAGGATTTATACCCAAGCAGCCAATACCAGAGCTTACACTGTATCCACACCATGTGGACTCAGTTTTCTAAATTTTATTTTAATTTTATTATATTATACAGACACATACTTGTTCATAAGTAACATAACATAAAAGTCTGAAAGCAAACATACCAAAATATTAACAGTCAGTTTCTCTCTGGGTGGTAGCATCAGGGGTGAGGTTTTTTGGTCTCCTTTAAACTTTTCTATATTTTTCAAGTTTTCTGTGTTAAGTGTTGATTATTTTTAATAGAACTTATATAGAAGTATTAAAAATATATGTGTTTGGGGGAGGATGATAGGAAGAGTGGCAGTGAGCTAAATGGATATTTGAGAAGCTGAGTCCTCCTGATTCTGGGGACAGAGAGAACAAGTTGACTACCTGGGGGCTGATGCCCCTTATAGATGTGCCAGTAGCCACTCTCTAGCTGAATTCACATTAAATGACATTACAACTTACCCTAGGGCATTGCAAACTTGGCGGGATTCTAGAATTTCTCTGAATAAATATATATTTTTTAAAAAAGTCTAGCTTGCTATTGCAAGACCATTTTTGTCTAAGGACAGCCTTGGGTCAGTCTTTGTTCAGGTGTACACTCATCGTGATGCCATTGTATCCCAAAGGAGGCTAAGCTTTGGCCAAGCTGTGGGATGGCTTGTGAGAGAAGTGTGATTTCCTGGCGGCCAAGTCACAGTCGCAGCTGCAATAGCTCCCACCCTTCTTCTGTCTCCATGGACAGGGTGGAGACCTCTCCTGGCTTCTCTACGGTGGGCCTTGGGAGTTTGGACCAGAGTGTGGGACCACCCAGAAGACACACCCACACAGATCTCTCCTTGCAGATGATTCTAGAGAGAAGCTTCCTTGGGGGTGAGAATGGCATTCTTATCTGAGGTCTGCTTAAAAGCCTCATACTCTTTTTCTTTTTCCCTAGAAACCTCATTACTTATGGAGCTGGCTAGAGGGAATGATAGCATTGGCTTTGCATAGAATGGAAATTGCAAGACTGGTAGGTCCTGCCCAACCTCATCCTCCTGGAAGTGGTGGAGGCTTCTGGTAACTACCAGTTTGGTTTGGACTTGGGGTGCCAATTCAGGGATGAAAGAGTCCGCCTCTCCTCCCTCATGGCCACCCACCTCCTTCAAAGGAATGTGAAGGAACAAAGATGTGGGTTAGCATTTTTCTCATGAAAGGCAGAGGTGACCAGAAAAGTAGGAAGCTACTGGGAGGCAATAATATTTTCAAAGACACATTATTCTCATTAATTTAAAACCCCAGCAGAGCCCCCAGTGGCTCCAGGTGTGGCGTTAACACCGTGTCTTTTAACTCAGTCCACTCACTCTGTCCCTTACTGCTCCTGGCTAATTAAAACCATAGGGATCTCAAACCCTATTCTTGGCAGTCTGCTTGGATTTCCCAGGTTAATTCCTACCCTTGATCTTCCCTAAATTGCTCCCACACAGCTGTATGCACATTCAGATTCAACGCTCCATCTTTCTTTGCTGATCTCAAGTGCCGACTTGGGCTTGGGCATATTTAGTTTCTCTGTTCTTAACACTCAGTTCTCCCTAAGATGCTGATGCTGATAATGTAATTGCTCTATTGGGGCATAAACATGAAATGGTTTAATTTTTTTTAATGAACTCTCAATCATGTTATGACAAATGCCTTTTTCAAATTCTGATGAGAGATTCTGTGATTTCCTGGCCATTTTTAGATGTTAAAAGCCAAGTCCCTTTGAAACATTAGTCTTTAATATGGTTTAAATCTTATCCCCAGAACACCTCCCTTCCCTCACCTGGCATAAGCTTGACCCATTGCCTGAGGTCTGAGGCTCTTCCGATGTTCTTCCTCTTCTCTCACCCCAGCACTTCGATGGGATTGAGTGTGGGGAGGACCTTCATTAAATTGCCATCTCTTCCTTCTTTCTTTTTGGTATTAACTTTGTTTAGATTGGAGGGCTTTGGGAGTCTGAGAGGAGAAGGTAGAGGCAGGTTCATATCAGGATAAAGTGAGATGCATATCATGATGGGGAGGTGGTCTTGGCTATCTTAAGGCTCAGTGTGATTTTGCCTCCTTCTGGTGACCTCTTCATGGCTGGTAAATTGAACAATCAGCTTCCACAGTTCTGCTCCATTGCTGAGGTTCCCCCAGAGAGGGAAGCCATGTCCCCTGAGACCTCTGAGGTTGGTCCATGTTTCAATCTCCTTTCTAAGGTGGCAGCTTCTCTCTCTCCGTGACCACCAGGATGGCCCCAGAGCTCCTGCTGTTTCGTATGAAAAAGCAGAGATCTTTGCTGCAGGAGAGTAGGGTGAAAGGCTCTCATTGTTTTCTTCTTAGGCACCCTGTACCATAGTCCCTTCTCACCCTGATGCAATGGGCCTCTCTGGTAAGCTTTACATCTTTAATTGGGCACTAGTCTCCATGTTCAAGAATATTATCTATCTTCAAGAGGTGTAGGCCAATTTCTTCCAATAACTCTCTATGAAAGCTGCATAAGACTGGTTCTGTAGCTCTGAAAGCTTCATTCTGGGAGCAAGATGCCAGTGCTCCTATCTGGCAGGCACTCCTAATCTCTCCAAGGATTCTTTTGAAACCCCTTGCTCTGGTTTAAATGTGTCTTCTAAAGTGTATGTGTTGGAAACTTAATCCCCAATGCAATGGTGTTGAGAGGTGGGACCTTTGAGAGGTGATTGGGTCTTATGAATGGATTAACAACATTATTGTAAGAGTGGTTTTGTTATTGTGAGAGTGGGATTGTTACAAAAGTGAGTTCGGCCACCTTTTGCTGCCTTGCTCTTTCACCTCTGGCATGAGATGAGCAAGAAGGCCCTCATCAGATGTTGACACTTTGACATTGTACTTCCCAGTCTTCAGAACTGTGAGAAGTAAATTTCTAATGTTTATGAATTATTCAGTCTGTGGTATTCTGTTATATAATAGCAGCAGAAAATGAACTCAGACATCCCTATTCCTTGTATTGGCGATGGGGACATTACATCTCATCCCAGACTCTGCATCCCTGACAAGGCCCAGGACCCCTGGCGGTGGAAGGGCAGTTCAGGCTTATTAGTCTCTGAGGGAGGTGCCTGGCCTCAGGTGTTGGCAGCTCTGTTTCAAATGTGGAGTTTATGGAGCCTCTTTGTCTACAGCTTTGAGCCTTTGTTGCCATGTTGGGGACACACGAATATTACCACTCAACATTCTGTTACTTTAGCTCAAACTTCTTGATTGTTACTTATATGCCAGGCCCTGTACTGGAATCTGCACTGATGAGTTTGTTTAATCTCAGTAACCCTATAATAGGAAACTATTATCATCATCAGCCTTTTACAGATGAAGGACCTGAGGCTCACAGAAATTGTGTAAAATGTCCAGGGTTATGTGGATAGGAAGTGGTAGAGCCAAGACTTGAACCTGGAAATCTGATTCTAGACCTGTGAGTTGAGAATTCAGCTTAAATCCTCTCTGCCCATGTCTTCCCATGGTCCCCATCATCAGGCTCCTGGCAGCTTTGGATATGTAGCCCCTTGCCACTCCCCAGCACATAGTTATACTCTGACTCTTGGCTCTTTGTTATGGTATCATTCTACCTAGCTGACTAGATCTCTAAAGAGGCAGTTCAAATACTAGGTAAAATATAAGCCTGGAGCAGCAGGCCAGTGAACTCAGGCAGAGGGTGGCTGGAGAAGGCCAGCTGGAACATTGGGGCTGGTATTGTTTCCTGCTTCAAAGTGTACCAAGCCCTGGAGAAGGTTTGGCAGGGAGAAAAGGAGAAGGTTTTGCTTGTATTGGATCCACATAAATTAGGAATACACGTTTGGTCAGTGCCAAACTTTTGCACAAAGTACCAATAGTGGGAAACACTCATGCAGTATCAAGCTAGTTTATTTGTATTCAAATTCTACCTCCTCCTTTCACTAACTGAATAATCCTGAGGAGCTCAGTTACTGCAGCAGAACTATAGTTTCTTTATCTCTGAAATAAGGAAGATTCTCCTTTCTTTCTTCATAGAGCTGTGGTGAGGTACAAATAGGATAACATGGAAAAGCACTTTGCACACAGATACACTGATATATGCAAATAAGAATTATTATTATCCAGAATGAGTGCCTCTCCTAGTGGGTTGCATAATTGAATAACTAATTAACCTTTTTTTAAATTGAAAGTCTATCATGTGCAAGAAATGTGTTGGAGTCTCCTGTTGATGATATAATAGATAAGGTTGAGTTACGGCCTTCAAGGACTTTGTAATTTTGTATTTGAGATGAAACATATTCATTAATAACTGTAATGAAGACAGTTTTTTGAATGTGCCATGAAAAAGTTATAGAAAAAAATGCTATGGAATTCGGAAGAAGGGGATCTTTTTTGACAGAATGATATCAGAAGGTTTTAGAAAGAGATGGTTTTTGAGGTAGATGTAGGGAAATGATTGATTTAGTTGGTAAG
The DNA here is from genome assembly GCF_000001405.40 of Homo sapiens. Classification (NCBI taxonomy): domain Eukaryota; kingdom Metazoa; phylum Chordata; class Mammalia; order Primates; family Hominidae; genus Homo; species Homo sapiens. The sequence goes on from NC_000014.9 coordinate 81,631,977, forward strand.
GAGTTCTTAGGAAAATACACAGCATGAATAAATGTACTTGTTAGAAAATTATATTGCCCTTGGTTGGTGTTCAGTAGAAGCATTTGTACTAGTCAGGCTTATCCGACAGAGAGACAGAACCAACAGAATCAATCAACCTATCTATCTGTCTATCTATCTATCTATCTATCTATCTATCTATCTATCTATCTACCTACCTACCTATCTAGATATGTGATAGGGGATTTATTAGGGGAATTGGCTCATGTGATTATGGAGGCTGAGAAGTCCCACATGGGCTGTCTGCAAGCTGGAGACTGGGGATGCTATTAACATGGCTTAGTCCAAATCTAAAGGCCTCAGAACCAGAGAAGCTGATTGTGTAATTGTCAGTCCAAAGTTGAGGGCCTGAGAACCCAGGGTGGGAGGAGCACTGGTGTAAGTCCTGGAGTAATAAAAGAGAAAGAGCCTGAAGTTCTGATGTCCAAGGACAGCAAAAGAAGAGTGTGTCCCAGCTCCAGGAAAAAGAAACTCAATAATCTTTTTGGGGTCCCAGCTGATTAGACAGTGCCTTCTCACACTGAGGACAGATCTTACCCACTCAGTCCATTGACTCACACACCAATATTCCCTGGAAACACCCTCACCAACTGATATGATTTGGCTCTGTGTTCCCACCCAAATCTTATGTTGAATTGTAATCCCCAATGTTGGGGGAAGGACCTGGTGGGAGGTGATTTCATCATGGTGGTCGATTTCCCTCTTGCTGTTCTTGTGATGGTGGGTTCTCATGATACTTGTTTAAAAGTATGTAGCACTTCCCCCTTTACTCTCTCTCTCTGTCCTGCTGCCATGTGAATATGTGCTTGCTTCCCATTTGCCCTTTCCAATGATTGTAACTTTCCTGAGGCCTCCCAGCTGTGTTTCCTGTAGAGTCTATAATTCTGAGTCAATTAAACCTCTTTTCTTCATAAATTACCCAGTCTCAAGTACTTCTTTATGGCAGTGTGAGAACAGACTAATACACAGACACACCCAGAAACAATTCTTTACCAGTTCTTCCTCTTCTTCTTATCTTCATAGAGACAGAGTCTCACTAGGTTGCCCAGGCTGGTCTCGAACTCCTGGCCTCAAGGGATCCTCCCACCTCAGCCTCCACAGTAGCTGGGATTACAGACGTGAGCACTGTTCTTGGCTATCTTTACAAGTTCTCTAGCTAATACTTAATCCTGTCAAGTTGACACCTAAAATTAATCATCACAAGCTTGCAGAAGAGTAGAGGGCAATCAGATTGAGCAGGTAGGTTGGCAGCAGAACATGGAGGCAGTTGGATATTATGGAGGGAGTTGACAGAGGGGAGCTCTAGAGGGGTTTTGAACAGTGAAATGTAATGGTCAGAGTCTTCCCTTTGTAAGATTAGTAAGCGGGACACGATGTGTAGGATGGACTAGTGCCAGATGTGGATCTGAAGCTATGGGAACACATGGCCGTGGTAATGATTCAGTTGCAGTCACATCTAAATATTAGGTGATAGTAGTAATGAGAAGGAAGATATTTTAGCTAACACAGCTCTCTAGTGCCATGAAACATTTGATTTATTCTTTTCACTTCCTCATTAATTCTTTCAACAAACACTGCTTGTACTCAGTGGTTGCTACATGCCAAGCAAAGTGCTGGGGATAGAGAAGAATTATTTAATGCTCTTGCTCTAAAGATTATTGTCTATTAGCAGGTGATGACTAAGCTGTTTGCCCTGTAGATAAGAGATGGAGTTTGGGAAGAAGGCCAGTTCAGGCTGGAGGAGTAGACAAATGGGAGTGTGTTTACAATTGCAAGTAGTGCATGGGTATGGTCTTCCAGGAGGGTCAGATAGATGGCCAGGTGTGAGATCACAGGCTGATTTGACAGGTTAAATTTAGTCTTTATTCTATAGGGAAAGAAGAGTTACCAATCTCCTTTAAGAGGAGCAGTAATAAGATAAATTTTGCATTTTATTTTATTTTATTTTATTTATTTTGAGATGGAGTCTGGGTCTGTTGCTCAGGCTGGAGTGCAGTGGCGTGATCTCCACTCACTGCAACCTCCGCTTCCCAGGTTCAAGTGATTCTCCTGTTTCGGCCTCTGGAGTAGCTGGGATTACAGGCATGTGCCACCACACCCAGCTAATTTTTGTATTATGAGTAGAGACGGGGTTTCACTATGTTGGCCAGGCTGGTCTCAAACTCCTGACTTCAAGTGATGCTCCTGTCTTGGCCTCCCAAAGTGCTGGGATTACAGGTGTGAGCCACTGTGCCTGGCCAATTTTGCATTTTAGAAAGGCGCTCCTGATAACAACGTGAAAGGAAGTTTAGAGAGTCATGGATTGAGAACATGTCTAGTGGTAAGAGGAACAATTAGGAGTCTATAGCAATGGTCCAGTTGGAAAGCAAAATGGCTCTGACATAAGTAGGGATGGCATAGGGGAAGGGGAAGATATGGACGACATTAAGAAATAAAGTTAATAGGATTTGGGAACTCTATTAACTAAAGTTAATAGAGCATGAAAAGAGTTGAGGTTGACCTACAGATTTATGGTCTGAGAGCTGGTACATTTGCCAAGGAGTGAAGGTTAAGTTCTGTTTTCTAGCTTAGCTCTAGTCCATGTGGGCTGATTCTACCTTGCATTTGCATACAATTAAAGAAAAAATTCTAACCTTTCTGTCTTACAGAAATAATTGACAGAAGAGGAATATGTATGATTAGCTGTAGTTGATGCAATAATGCTCCTGGCTAGTTCTTCTCTAGTTCATGATGTGGCTGCCCACATCATGGCTGCCCCCCACAGGTGTGGTTTTTCCATCCTCCTAAAATGTCATGATAGAAGGGAGTAGGAATCAGGCATTCTCTGCTGGGCCCACATAGTTCTCCTATTGAGCCAGGCCAGATACATTTTTTAAATCACCTTTTGAGATCTGTTGAGTTGGGGGCTACCATTTAAAATGTCTGCTAGTCTAGGAACAAGTTGTCACTTCTTTACCAGGGAAGGGGTAGTCAAGTTGATTAACAGTCAGATTTCAGAATAGTAGATAGTCTGTGGTTGACTGGTGCAGAACCTTGGCCCTGGAAGCAGCAGGAAAATGTAACAGAACTTAAAAGATGTGGGCATAACATGTAAAATAAGTCTCTATTGACTGGACTATGTGTTATGAGGGACTCTGTGAGCCACAATTTCATATAATGGAAATGTCCTTATTTATCACAGCAAGTCTTTCTGTTTCCCAGGTGCTTCTCTCTAAGTGATGCGAAGGATAGAAACTCATCCAGTGTTAAAGATAAAAAAAACCCTAGGGACATCATTTCAGGGCATGTAACCATATGTGAAATATTGGATGGACTATTGTAATTGCTGGTAATTCTTCCTTAGGGAAAACGAAGCAATTGTCACACTTGTAATAGGCCTTGAAAATAGAAATCCATAGCCTCTTTCTCAAATTTTCTCCACTAGAGGGTTAAAATTTTGGCATGCTTGAGCCTGACTTTTGTGTAAAAAGATCTTCCATTTTTCTTAAAAAAAATAAGTCTTAAATAGTGTAGACATTTATTAGCTCAAAAAATAGGTCCAGAGATAGGGTAACTTCTGTCATTATATTGCCAGAATATTCTTCACTTCTTTGATTCTTGTGGCTCTGTCCTTTTCCCTCTATTGGTCTCATCTTCATGCTGATAGCAGGATGGCTGAAGCAACTCCAGGAATCTCATCCAGATACAACAGAGGGATAAAGAGACTCTCTCTTTGGGTATGAGAAGACCTTTTGCTAGGAGCCTCTGCTCCCGTCTTTCCTAAATTTTTCTCACTTCACTGGCCAGAAGTGAGGTAGTGAGTTTCATGTCCACCCCCATACAAATCACTGACAAAAGGAATGGAATTACTGTAATTGGTTTTGACTAAAAAGAATGTATCCGTGACCTGGGGATAAGGTACCACTCCCTGAAGCCTGGGTAACTGAAAAAATTCTGGTTAGCGTGGAAGAAAGGAAGAGATGCTGACTAGGAAATCAATGATGTCTGCTATCTACTGTCATGAAAAGTCAACCAATGTGTATCCAAAGCTCTACTCTAGGAGATGCTATACTTCACCTGAAAAGAAGACCTTCCTCTGCTACTGGCTTCTACTGGTTCCCAGACCTCTATTATTGATGGCCTAAAACCGTATTTCCCATCATGTCTTTATGTCTGCATATATCTCATTCAGAGGATTTAGAAAGCAACCTTTTGTTCCTCACCTCTTTAAGAAATTTCTACTCTCCTTTTATTTTTATTTTTCTTTCAACTTTTATTTTAGATTCATGGGGTACGTGTGCAGGTTTGTTATCTGGATATAGTGCATGATGCTGAGGTTTGGGGTATGAATGATTCTCTCATCTGGGTACTTAGCATAGTACCCAATATGTAGTTTTTCAACCCTTGCTCCCCTCCCTTCCCCCAACTAGTCCCCAATGTCTATTGTTGCCATCTTTATCTTTTTTTTTTTTTTTTTGAGATGGAGTCTTGCTCTGTTGCCCAGGCTGCAGTGCAGTAGCATGATTTCGGCTTACTGCAACCTCTGCCTCCTGGGTTCAAGCAACTCTCCTGTCTCAGCCTCTCCAGTAGCTGGGACTACAGGTGCACGCCACCACGCCCGGCTAATTTTTATATTTTTAGTAGAGATGGGGTTTCACCATGTTGGTCAGGCTGACCTCAAATGATCCACCCATCTCAGCCTCCCAAAGTGCTGGGATTACAGGGGTGAGCCACCACACCCAGCTATTGTTGCTATCTTTATGTCCATTAGTACCCAATATTTAGTTTCCACTTAAAAGTGAGAACATATGGTATTTGGTTTTCTGTTCCTGTGTTAATTTGCTTAGGATAATAGCCTCCAGCTACCTCTAAGTTGCTGTAAAGAACATGGTTTCATTTTTTTATGACTGTAGTATTCCATGATGTACTACCACATATTCTTTATCCAGTTCACCTTTGATGAACAACTAGGTTAATTTCATGTCTTTGATATTGTGAATAGTGCTGTGTGAACATGTGAGTGCATGTTTTTTTTGGTAGAATGGTTTATATTCTTTTGGATATATACCTAGTAATGAAATTGCTTGGTTGAATGGTATTTCTGTTTTAAGTAAAAGATCTTCTTAAAAGTGGTCCATAGGCCGGGCGCGGTGGCTCATGCCTGTAATCCCAGCACTTTGGGAGGCCGAGGCGGGTGGATCATGAGGTCAGGAGATTGAGACCATCCTGGCTAACACAGTGAAACCCCATCTCTACTAAAAATACAAAAAATTAGCTGGGTGTGGTGGCGGGCGCCTGTAGTCCCAGCTACTCGGGAGGCTGAGGCAGGAGAATGGCGTGAACCCGGGAGGCGGAGCTTGCAGTGAGCTGAGATTGTGCCACTGCACTCCAGCCTGGGTGACAGAGCGAGACTCCGTCTCAAAAAAAAAAAGTGGTCCATAATGTGAACAGCAAGAACAGCATAAAGCTGGGTCTGCCTCTTGGGGTTCAGGGAGAGTCCTGTTCTTATGTTCTGCAGGATGGGAGGCAGGAATCAGTTTCTCAGATGAGAAGATGTGGGGCTCCCTGATATTAATTAGGTATTAATTTGTTCACTTGTTTTTTTGCCTGGAAAATCCCTAGGGTAGGGGACTTGTCTATTTAGTTTTTCACTATGTTCCAGTGCCCAGAACATTGTGGGGTACATATAGGCCCTCCATAAATATTTGTCAAGTAAATGAATGAATGAACAAATGAAATCAGTGGATATCTGAAGTCTTTAGACTTTGAATATGAATGCCATATTCAAAGGGGTCAGAAATGGAACTGCAGCTGGAGTCAGCTTGAGAAATTTAGAACCAAGGACAGAGTTCAGGCCAAGCAGATCAAATGCAAATGAGGAGGAATGGAGAATCAGAGAAAGGAGGCTTGGTTACATAGGTCAAGGAGGGGCTGTGCTGATGTGTGGCAGGGTCAGCTGGGCTCACACGGTTAGAACTAACAGTATGAGCTCCAGCATTTCATCCTTGGTCTTCAACACAGCCTTAATTTGTCTTATTCATTGTAAAATTTCCAGAGAAAACTCCTCTTGAGCTACCCATCTTCTACATCTTATTTCAGAATAAGGAGCCATGTCTTACATCGGAGTTTTGGTAAAGCTCTTAGCTCTGATGAAACATAATTTTGGAAAGAAAAACCAGTATCTATAAAGCAGTGACCCAGACCTCAGGCTAGGCATTTCCTGGGTGTCTTTAGGATTCAGCATGTTCAATGTCAAAACAAACTCAGTATCATCTGTTAATTTATTGGCCAGGCCCAGTGGCTCACGCCTGTAATCCTAGCACTTTTGGAGGCCAAGGTGGGCAGATGACCTGAGGTCAGAAGTTCAAGACCAGCCTGGCCAACATGGCGAAACCTTGTCTCTACTGAAAATACAAAAATTAGCTGGGTGTGGTGGGGCACACCTGTAATCCCAGCTACTTGGGAGGTTGAGACAGGAGAATCGCTTGAACCCGGGAGGCGGAGGTTGTAGTGAGCCTAGATCATGCCACTGCACTCCAGCCTGGGCAACAGAGCAAGACTCTGTCTCGAAAAAAAATTATTAAGCCCTTACAATCTGTCTGGTACTGTCCAAAGTGCTTTACCTATATACTATTCATTTAATTCTTATAATAGTTCTGCAGATTAGAAATTATTAGTTGTATTTTACTGATGAAGACTCTGAGGTTTAGAAAAGTTAAATAACTTGTCCAAGGTCACACAGGGAGCAAGTGGTGATGGTGGAATTTGAACTCTGATTTGTTTTATATTCAAGTCCATGGTAATAACAGCGCATAACGGTCCCCATTGTAGGGATGGAAGAAGGAAGCAGAGCCCAGCTGTCCAGATTCCTCTGTAACCACATGTCTTCAGTAATGCCCTGTAACTGTGTTGGCCTCTAACAGAGAACCAAATCCTGCCTCTCACACAAGCTCTCAGATCCTCAGTGCTTTCCTGATAATCTATATTGCATTTTATGTTTTACTTTCATGCCTCTAACTTGTTATGTTTTTTTTTCCACCCCAAGAGAAAGTGGTTTAAAGGATTGTTTTTACTTAATTAGATCCAAGGCTTGGCTTATTTGGTGGTGCTCAGCTTCTTTGGCAGGCTTGCTTTTGTAGCACAAAAGAAGCTTAAGGTCGGCTTGACAACTTGATAAGTCTCATGCCAATTTTTTAATGATAGGAAAGGAAACTTCTAAATTTAAGACTAAATATAGTACTTTGTGAACCAAGACAGTGACTTTATGGCTATGCATTGAAGTTGTTATTGGGGAGTAAAGGGTATTTAATGCTTTAGTTAGTATGTGATGAGAGAAAAATTAACAGCTGGCTGCTAAGACAGCGCTGTGCTGGCTGAAGTTCAGGGTTTGCTCCCTGCCTGACATAGCAGATACCCCTGGTGCCCTGGGCTATAGCCCCATTAGACCACCTTTACTTTCAGCAGTGGTTGCAGCAGACAGTACTATGTGAACTCAGCTTCCCTTGTGCTGACAGTGTTCCACTTCAAGGATAAGCCATGTGTTTCCACTTCCTATCCCAGGGACTTCTCCAAGGTACCCAGAGCTCACTGTGTACCCAAGCATAAGTAGGAAGTGTGTGTGTGTGTGTGTGTGTGTGTGTGTGTGTGCGCGCGCACGCATGCGCACACATGTGTTTAACATTCTTGAGGGCAACCACCAACCAGTTGGCAATACAATCCAATATCTAAATGCTCCAGCCTCCTGTCCATTAGGCAGGCAATTCTAGGAGGCTTTCTCCCCGGTTCTCAGAAGGTCTCAGTGAATTTCAGAGCAGTGACCTCAATAATGCCCCTTTACATTGGCTGCTACTCATTCTTATCTCATTTCCCCCATTCTTTCATTTCTATTTCCTGGGATTATCTTCAAAATAAGTTACTTATACCAAGCTCTTGCCTCAGGCTTTGCTTTTGAAAGAACCCAAACTTATTATTCTTATTATGTAGAATTTTCAGCACAGTAAGAGGGAATCAATCTCTTAGAACTCACTGTGACCAAACTCACATGAGACTAATGTATAAAACACATGTTAGTCCGTTCTTGTATTGCTATAAAGAACTACCTGAGACTGGGTAACTTGTAAAGAAAAGAGGTTTAACTGACTCACGGTTCCACAGGCTGTACGGGAAGCATGGCTGGGGAGGCCTCAGGAAACTTACAATGATGGCGGAAGGTGAAGGGGATGCAGCCACATCTTACATGGCCAGAGTAGGAGGAAGAAAGCAAAGGGGGAATGTGCCACACACTTTTAAACACTCAGATCTCCAGAGAACTCACTTACTATCACAAGAACAGCAAAGGGGAAATTCGCCTCCATGATTCAATCACTTCTCACCTGGCCCCTCCTCCAACATTGGGGATTACAATTCAACATGAGATTTGGATGGAGACACAAATCCAAACCATATCAAACCACAATGAAAAATATTAATTTATGCAGATGATTATACTAGCATGTGGACCAGAACACTCATATCTGCAGACAGAGCACACTCTTTGATCCTGGACAGAGTTGGTGATAGGCTGACATTCCAGCTCTTTGACTCCTCTTTTTCTAACTTTCATGCAAATAACTTGCACTCCATTAAGTCATTCTTTCCTTGGATGTGTTTAGGCTGCCACTTTCTTTTACAAGCAGGTAAGTTTCAATTTGATTTTCAAAATTGGCTTGTAGCAGGATGAGTTGAAGACAAAACTCCTCAGACACCGGATTAAAGAAGGAAGAGGTTTTTATTCGGCTGGGAGCGTTGGCAGACTCTCGTCTTAAGAGCCGAGCTCTCCGAAAAAGAAATTCCTAGCCCTTTTAAGGGCTTGCAACTCTAAGGGGTCCATGTGAAAGGGTCATAATAGATCAAAGCGTGAGGAATGTGACTGGGGGCTACATACATCAGCTAACAGAACAAAAAGTTTTACAGTGCTTTCTCATACAATGTCTGGAATTTACAGATAACACCAGTAGTTTTGGTCGGGGTTAATGTTATTGTTATTATTATTATTATTATTATTATTATTATATTATTTTAAACACCAGGGCCAGGTGATGGCCCCAAGGTTGTCTAGCAATTTATCTTACTTCTGTTTCTTTCCAACTTTTTGCTTTCTCCCTTTTCTCCTGTCTTATAAACTAGGGAAAAGGGGAGGTTGGGGAGAAGCTGGGAAGGACAACAGGAGAACTGGTGGTCTCATTCCATAGGCTTATCAGTCTGCTTGGTTGCATCTGGAGTTTACAATGGTCAGGGACAACCTTTACTGCACTTCCGAAATGAGAGAGTTCCCTTATCCCCTGGCAGGGCGTGCAACAGGGGTCTGGCTCACATCTTCTGTGCCCTGCTGCTCAAATCCCTAGGGGGAGTGTGCAGACGGGCAGCTGCAGAGGCCATGGGGAGTGTTTTTGGGCTCCGGCCCCACAGCAGCGTCTAGGACTCCTGAAGCCCAAGTGGGCATGTGTTACCGGGTGCTCTTGTGGCTTTGCTGTCTGCAAACGGCTTGTGTTAATCAGCTCAATGGACCCTTTGCCTTATAGCAAGGATGGGGCCAGTGTGACAGCCAGAGTTCTTGCCCAGTGTACAGGAAGAATCAGATCACATGTGGGCTGGAGGGTTGAGTGCAAGGTTTTATTGAGTGGTGGAGATGGCTCTCAGTGAGATGGATGGCGAGCCAGAAGCGGGGGATGGAGTGGGAAGGCGGTCTTCCCCTGGAGTCGGGCGGCCCAGGGGCCGGACTCTTCTCCGACCGTGCCCGATTGAACTCCCCTTGGCATCCGCGTCGTTCCTCTGTCGCTGTTCTGCTGCTGTCTGCTGGTGTGTTCCTCTGCTCCTCTCGATGTCCACCTGCTTGTGTCTGTGTCCTCTTAAGGTCTCGGGTTTATAGGGGCATAGGATCAGGGGAGTGGCAGGCCAGAGTGGTCTTGGAAAATGCAACATTTGGGCGTGAAAACGAGAATGCCTGTTCTCATTTAGGTCTGTGGGCACAGGCCCGAGGGTGGAGCCCTTGCCAGGGATTCTGCCCTTCTCTGCCCAGCACTTCCCTGCCCTGCTCCCATATCATTTCCTCATGCTAATGACAACTTACCTTCCTTAACCACCTTTTTTTTTTTTTTTGGTAGAGTGAGAATATGAAAAATATTGAAAAAGCACGAAAGTATAAGTGAAAGCACATCTATCCACCTGAAAGATCACTGAGTGCCTTACTGTTTAAAGCTCTGTACAGAAACTGATATTCACAACGATTGCTTGATAGTAACCCAAACCATTTCAGTATACTCTCTGTGTAATATCTTAGAAAGAGTTTTTACCCTCAAACAATTAAAATATATTTGCAACTCAAAGTATCAAGCTATGGTTATCTGAAACTCATTTGTAAATGAAAGCACATTCTCTGATTATTTTGGATAACCACGTATTACTTGTATTTCTTAAATATTCATTTTGCAGAAGAAAGTAATTACTGGGATCTTCTATATAAGTTCCTATGTGTTGCTTTGTTCCATTCATTCTGCCACAGCCCTGTTTTAGCCCTTCTCTCCCCATTGACTATATCAAGGGCCCCTGAGACAGTCTTCCTGATTACAAGCATCCCCTCTAATCTACTCTCTACAACGATGCCAGAGGGATCTTTCTATGACACGTATCTGATTATGTCACAATCCTGATTAAAATCTGCCAATAGCTCTGGGTAGGTATTACTGATGCTTGCAAATATTTCTAGTTCTCTCCTTCCATGAATATGGAAGAAGTATGTTTCCGTCTCTCCTTGAATTCAGGCATGGCCGTGTGATTTGCTTTGTCCAAGGAAATGTAATGATGGGTCCCTTCCAAGTAAAAGCTCCTGCTATAGACTGAATTGCCCCCCACTCCAACCCCCAATTCCTATGCTGAAGCTCTAATCCCCTATATGACTATATTTAGAGATAGGGTCTTTAGGAGGTAATTAAGGTTGAATGAGGCCATAAAGGTCAGGCTGTCATCCAATAAGACTGTGGCCTTATAAGAAGAGGAAGATCTCTCTCTCTCTCTTTTTTTTTTTTAATTTTTTTTTGAGACAGAGTCTCGCCCTGTTGCCTAGGCTGGAGTGCAATGGCATGATCTTGGCTCACTGGAACCTCTGCCTTCCGGGTTCGAACGATTCTTCTGCCTCAGCCTCCAGAGTAGCTGGGATTACAGTGCCTGCCACCATCCCCAGCTAATTTTTGTATTTTTAGTAGAGATGAGGTTTCACCATGTTGGCCAGGCTGGTCTTGAACTCCTGACCTCATGATCCACCTGCCTCAGCCTCCCAAAGTGTTGGCATTACAGGCGTGAGCTACCACGCCCGGCCGAAGATCTTTCTCTCTCTCTCTCTTTTTTCTCTTCTCTTTTTCTCCCTCTCTTTTTTCTCTTCTCTTTCTCTCTCCCTCTTTTTTCTCTTCTCTTTCTCTCTCTCTCTCTCCCTGCCATGTGAGGACGCAGACAGAAGGCAGCCATATGCAAGCCACCAAGAGGGTCTTCTCCAGGACCTGACCGTGTTGGCACCCTGATCTCAGACTTCTAGCTTCCAGAACTGTGAAAAAAATTCTGCTTTAGCCACTCATTCTATGGTGTACTTTGTTATGGCAGTATGAGCAGACTAATACAGCTCCCTTTTGATTTGATAAACTCTGAAGCCTTGTGTTGAATATAACAGCATCATAACATGATGAAACTTTCATAATTTGAGTTCCTGGATATATTTGACTAAATAATAATCCCCCAAAGATGTCCATGCCATATTCTCTGGAACCTATGCAACGTGTTATATGCCAATACCTTATATGGCAAAAGGGACTTTGCAGCTGTAATTAAGGTTATGGACCTTGCAATGGAGAGATTATCCTGGATTATCTGAATGGGCCAAATCTAATCACAAGTTCTTAAAAGTGGAGAACTTTCTGGCTGTAGTCATACAAAGATGTGATGATAGATGAATGATTAAATAGAAGCTTTGAAGATGGAAGAAAGGAGCCATAAGCCAAGGAATGAAGGCAGCTCTAGAAGCTTAAAAAGGCAAGGAAATGGATTTTCCCTTAGTTCCTCCAGAAAGGAATGTGGCCTCGCTTATGCCTTGATTTTAGCTCAGTGACTTTCGAAATACAGGAATATGAGATAATAAATTCATGTTTTCTTAAGCCATCAAATTTGTGGTAATTTGTTACTGCAGCAGTAGAAAACTAATACTTTGAGTGTGATAGATTGTATAAATGGTCACAAATTTTTCCTTTTCGCCATTCGTATTTTTACTAGATAACATTGCAGATTCTTCCATCAAGAGGTGGAGGCTGGCCAGGCATGGTGGCCCATACCTGTAATCCTGGTTTTCTAGGAGGCCCAGGTTGGGGTCGGGGTGAGAGGGATGATTGCTTGAGCCCAGGAGTTTGAGACCACCCCGAGCAACATAGTGAGATCCTGTCAAACTTTTTTTTTTTTTTTTAAAGGAGGTGGAGGCTATTTCTTTATGCCTTAAATCTGGGTTGGTCATTCTTCCCCTTTCTGAGTGGGAGTGACTACTGAGGTTATCTGGTCCTCATTCTATCATTGTGTGTTGAATGTGTGTCTATAGTGATGATGGTTAGGAGGAGGAGGCCATAGTTATTTTAACTTAACTTTTTAAGTTCACAGGTCTCTGGTTCAACAAGAGCCATGGGTCAGAACCTAATGCCAAAACTAATGTTCGTCTCTCCATCCCTGCCAGTGTAGAGAGTACTGAGTCTAAGTCCAGTGTCCTAGGGCTCAATGCTACAATTGTGTGGTACTCTGGATTGTCTATCTGGCATTGGATTTAGTGTTTTTAGGGTGTAGAAGAGTGAACCCAATATACGATGACCAGAAAGATAGCTTGTGATAGTATAGTAATGTTTTGTGCTGATTCATGTCTGATTTTCCTCTCCTTTTGGGCATATGAGAAGATTAAATTTCTCCACCTCTATGGCAAACATGTGGAGCTGTATGACTTGTTCTGGCCAATAGATTGGAAACTGAAGTGAAAGTGAAATGAAAGTGAAACTTTCTTCTCCTACCTTGGTGCTTATGGAGGCATGTGTTAAGATGAGGTGCCTGGGTTGCTGACCACTGTGTGGTGGTCAGATGCTCATAGTAGACTTTGTATGAGTGAGAAGTAGAGTTCTTCATATTAAACTATTGGTATCTTGTTGCTTTTGGTACTGCAGGATAACACTTAACCACTATCCCTAATACAAGATCCCTAAGCTCCTAAATGCTCCGTTAGAATTAGATGATTTGGAGTTGAGCATTGGCTCTTACTATGTGGCCTTGAAAAAATTGCTTAAATTTTCTAGGTTTAAATTTTGATATAGTGTCTATTTCATGGAATTGCGTGCATTAAGTTAGGAAATGCATATAAAGTGTTTAGCATGATATCTGGCACAAAGGAATAAATGTTAGTTACTGTCATTATCAACATGACTATTATTATTATCATCATCATGAAAGAAAGGCACTGAGCTTCTGACTAAGTGAAACTGAAAAGTATAAATGAAGTAAAGACCTCCTTGGAGGGTGAGCCTGACATGCTCTTTACCTTTGAACTACAGAAGTGGTGAAGGTTGGTAATCTCTAATTTAAATAAATTAGAAGCAAAACCTGAAAATATAATGAACATTTCCAGGTAGCATTTCAGCAAGGGAATCAGAAATATTAGATTAGGGGCTTGATTGTAAGAATTATCTCTGTGAATCTTATCATTTTTACTGTTCCATATCTCTTTTAAATCGCAATAACAACTTTGAAGTGCCTGGGTTCCTGCGTCACTTTAAAAAGGAGAAGGAGCACTGAATAGGCTGCGTCCTACTCTTTGAACAACTCCAGATCAGAAAAAGGGAATAAACGTAAATAGGTCAATATAGCAGGGTAAGGAGAGGAGCAGATAGAGTCCCAGCACTCTGTGGAAAGAAGAAATAGGATTTTTTTTTTTTTTTTTTTTTTTTGAGATGGAGTCTCGCTCTGTTGCCCAGGCTGGAGTGCTGTGGTGTGATCTCAACTCACTGCAACCTCCGCCTCCTGGGTTCAAGCAATTCCCCTGCCTCTGCCTCCTGAGTAGCTGGGATTACTTGCATTTTTAGTAGAGATGGGGTTTCACCAGGTTGGCCAGGCTGGTCTTGAACTCCTGACCTCAAGTGATCTGCCCACCTTCACCTCCCAAAGTGCTGGGATTACAGGCGTGAGCCACCATGCCTGGCCAGAAATGAAGAATATTGAAGTTTGATTCTGGCCTTAAATATTCCTTGGACTTATGATTTGAAAAGTCAATGTAATCCTCCCGAAGAGCACACTGGGGGAATGGAAAAGAAAGTATTGAGAAGGAAGGAAACAGAAAAATCACAAGTGGTTGCAATAACAAAAAACAATAAAGGGTTGGGGCTTTTAGAGTTGAGATAAATAGCCCAATGTAGTCAAAAACTCTCAGAGGACATTAGTGAGTTGCAGCATTGTAAAATTCTTTAATAATGACTCTGAATCATCTGGGTAAAAATAGGCTTAAAATATGGTTTTATAAAAAGGTAGGCCAGTATGTAAATACACATTATGAAATATTTTGATTAAGATAGTTAAAGCAAAAATAAAATAAAAATTTTATGAATTTAAAGAAGAAAGTTTCATTTATTTGGAATAGTCATTTATATGGAAAAGTGAACTTTCTTATGACTTATTCATTCAATAGATCATGGGTGGGCAAAATCTGGCCTCTGGGCCAAACTGGGCCACATTCATTCCTTTATATATTGTTTATGGCTGCTTTAGAGCTACCATAAGAGAGTAGCAGAGTATAGTTGAGAAGTTGCAACCAAGACTACATGGTGTGCAAAACCTGAAATATTTACTACCTGGCCCTTTATAGAAAAATTCCTCAACTTCTGCATTAGATAATTACTGTGCATCCCCAATGTTCTGGGCACTTTGCTACAAATGTGCCTAAAGCCAATGATGCCCACTTTCCTGAAGTGCCACAGTAAAAGGCATCATAGCATCCTCCCAAGTTGATGTATATGAAAAGTGGCCCTGTGACTAGGAGAGACCATTGTGTGTGACTAGTGGCATGCAGGAGTGGCCAGTGGTCTGGCCCTACCCTTTGAGAATGTATAAGGGTGTCTGTGTAGGAAATTACCTGAGGGCTAAATGTTATTAGATGGTCTCTTACAAGCTGCCAAACTTGCTAGTATTTGTTTGTAAAAAATGGTTGAAATGTCATTTCAGAGTTAAATCCTCCCCTGAAGTTTTGCCTTTGTTTCTGAGCGACATCCATTGTTTAAGTTGACTTCTTCAGGCCATCTTTGTTCCTAAAGGAAGTTGTACACCAAGTTCTACTCTATCCTAATGGACTCCACTTTTCCTGAGGTGAGAGAGGTACATTTTTCCAAAGAAACAGACCTAAACAGTAAGCAATAATAACAATAGGAATTGCATACAAAGAGCTGCTTCTGGCAAATACTTAACAGCTGGAGAAGTTGAGGACCTCTAACCTTATCCAATCATTATCTTCCAGAAATGCCTCACACAGGGAAAGTATGAAAATGCAGAGAAAATCAGTTATACATACACATACAAAACAAACCCACAATTAAGAAAAAATAATAGCTCTCAACACCAAGCAGCTTTTTGTTGTAGATACAAATTTGTTGTAGATACCAATTTTTGCCTGGAGTCTTTCTTCATTATGAAAAACCAATATAATACTTTATAGGAAAACAAAACACTTTTCTTAACCTTTAGCAGGTGCATAATTAGGAATATAATATGAAAGATGGCCCCTTGCATGGTTCACAGAGGTCTTGTCCTTGAAGACTTAGGAGGGCTTGGAATTACAACAGGCAAATTCAAAGACGCTAATTAGAAATGCAGCAACTGCTTTTACAGACATGCCGAGAACATCTAAGCTTTCCAGAAATTATTCAAGCTAGAGGGATTGAGTCCATTTTGTCTGATTCCTAAAGGTTTCTAATTTGAGGAAGAAAAGAACAATGGTGAGGCAACCAATGTGTTATGTCTAGAATGAAACTTGTGCATGGCCGCAGCAAGAAGAGTATTTTCTGGTTTTCTGCTACTGGTAGCATTTCTCAAGGCATCTGGAGATTTCTTTTAAAGTTGCCTGCTAGTCATTTGCCCTTTATTTCTGGTACTTCTCTCTGTTATTTTCAGTACTATTCTTTGAGCTAACAACCTGGTTAAGTTTCATAATTACTTATGAATGTAAAAAGTCATAGTTGTATATGTAGGAAAATATTTATGCATATAGGTTCTTTAAGTAACCTGTATTATTTTTCCTATGAATTCACAGTGCCTAGCACAGACTCTGGCATATAGTAGGAACTGGATACATATTTGCCAAATGAATGCATGAATTTCTCAATTCAACTTGATATAGTTTACCACAATAGTTATTTTTAAAGAAATCACTTAAGATTTTGGTTTCTAGTTTCTCACCTTCACTGCTACACTCTTGGTGCTATTTGGAAGCTCTCTATTTAGTGCTTTTCTTCCCTGGGAAATAAAAGGTGTGTTTAGAATCTCCACCTTGTTAGTACAACCACTGTGAAGATGTCTGGAGGTTTCTCAAAAAACTAAAAGTATGATTCAGCTATCCCTCTTCTGGGTATATACCCCAAAGAAAGGAAATCAGTGTATCAAAGAGATATCTGCACTCCCACATTTGTTGCAGCATTGTTCACCATAGCTAAGATTTGGAAGCAACCTAAGTGTCCATCAGCAGGTGAATGAATAAAGAAAATTTGGTTTATATACACAATGGAGTACTATTCAGCCATAAAAATTAATGAGATCCTGGCATTTGCAACAACATGGATGGAACTGGAGATCGTTATGTTAAATGAAGTAAGCCAGACACAGAAAGACAGATGTCACATGTTCTCACTTATTTGTGGGATCTAAAAATCAAACAATTTAACTCATGGAGATAGCAGAATGGTTACCAGAGGCTTGGAAGGGTAGTGGGATGCTGCGGGGAGGTGGGAATGGTTAATGGGCATGAAAAATAGAATAAATAAGACATACTATTTTATAGCACAACCAGTTGACTACAGTCAATAATAACTTAATTGTACATTTAAAAATAACTAAGAGAGTATTTCCCTTTCTGCAAATGGGAATGAAGATAGAATCTATCATAGAATTATTGGAAAGATTAAATAAATACTTTAACTTGTCCAATGGCAAGTGCTTAATACACGTTAGCAATTTAATAATAATAGCTATTATTATTATAAATCAGATTCTTGAGGACAGGGACAGTCTCATGTTTCATATTAGATAGTGCAATGTTCAATCGATATTTGTTGCGTTAGTTTTATCTTACAAAGCAGTGAGAGGTTTCAACACAGAGCACAAAATAACTCTGGGGTTGGTATTTCTCCATAGCATCATCAAAACAAGCTGCCTTGGCTGATAGAAGACCAAAGTCTTTGATTCAAGAGGCTTAACCTTTGCATTCTTTTCTCATAGCCTCCAGTTCAAGCGCTCAGCTTTCTACCTCCCATTGTCTCCCAGAGGATGAGTTGGTTTAGGCTGATTGCTGGCTCCTGATCTTTGGAGAAAGACTCCTTATAGGCCGGGCGCGGTGGCTCACGCCTGTAATCCCAGCACTTTGGGAGGCCGAGGCGGGTGGATCACGAGGTCAGGAGATCGAGACCATCCCGGCTAAAAAACGGTGAAACCCCGTCTCTACTAAAAATACAAAAAATTAGCCGGGCGTAGTGGCGGGCGCCTGTAGTCCCAGCTACTTGGGAGGCTGAGGCAGGAGAATGGCGTGAACCCGGGAGGCGGAGCTTGCAGTGAGCCGAGATCCCGCCACTGCACTCCAGCCTGGGCGACAGAGCGAGACTCCGTCTCAAAAAAAAAAAAAAAAAAAAAAAAACAAAAAACAAAAAGAAATGCAGGTGGATGAGGCAGTTTCATGATTTCAATGATCTACAAATTGATGACGCCAAAATCTGTACTTCCAGTCCCTGCCTTCTTCCTGTGTTCTAGATCCACACACCTAGCTCTTTATTGGATCACTTCACCAGTTCACAGGTGCTTGAACCCATGTCCCCAAACCAATGTGGTTATTTTTGCTTTCTGAGTCCCCTCCTCAACCTTCATTCCCTCAGTGAATGACACCACCGCCTACCTTGTTATTGCTCATGCCAGAATTTGGGGAATTATTCTTAAATCATCTCCTTGTGTCACTCACCTCTAGTTATCCCAAATTCTGTCAGTTTAACATCTTTAATATCTATTTAGTCTGTCCATTATTTTCCACCTTCATGTACAAGAAAAGGAAGTAGAAGTAAGGTGCTGAGCTACCAAGACAGGGTCCTGTAATAGAGTGTAAGATTTCAGAGATGCAGCAATTCTAATTGATTAAAATTACTTCTATGTAGTGGCTGGAAATTATAAGATAAGGTCTGATCTAGAGAGATCACAGCATTGAAAAAATGAGGTGCACACCTCTTTCCTATACATAGGAGAATTATCCACCTTATAAATCCTTAACAGTTGAAAATGGCAGATACTCAACTTTTAAGCTGTACTTGCAGTTAAAACGTGCGTGGAACCCAGCTGCCATCAACTAGATGTAGCCACTGTAGGCTTTGAATTTGGAGTCACAGTAGCAGAAATAGTATATGGTGCTGCAAGACTGTGGGCCTTACACAGAAGTGACAGTGTTGACTGTGGTGTTAGTGGTTGCAGTAAGATTACGCTTCTGGTGCAGAAGTGGCAGCAGTACAAACAGCAGTGTCTAGTAGATTGATGGCCCTTATTTGACTAGCTCTGTAGTGTGCTTTTGGGCATTGGTGCTAGCTGATTAGACTTGAGCCCTTCCAATTAGTCAGAAGATGTGGCAGGCATTTTTGCAGCTGCAATAACAGAAAACATCATTAGTAGTGGCTTAAGCCATTAGGATTTTAAAATAAGTTTGGTGTTAATAGCTACTGACATTTTTTTTTTTTGAGACAGGGTCTCACTCTGTTGCCCAGGCTGAAGTGCAGTAGTGCAATCTAGGCTCACTGCAACCTCTGCCTCTCAGGCCCAAGTGATCCTCCTGCTTCAGCCCCCAAAGTAGCTAGGGCTACAGGCACGGGCCACCATACCTGGCTAGATTTTGTATTTTTTGTAGAGTTGGGGTCTCACCATGTTGACCAGGCTGGTAGCAAACTCCTGGGCTCAAGCAATCTGCCTGCCTTAGCCTCCCAAAGTGTGCTACTGACATTTTGTCAATAGGTTGACAGTGTCAAGGTTCTCTTTCAGCCTCTTGGCCTTTCCCTTAGGCTGCCATCTTTGTCAAGACAAGGATCAGAAGAGGGGACAGGTTAGCACCAGTTGTGTATTTCATTTTAATCAGAGGAGCCAAAGGTTCCTGAAACTCCAGCAGACTTAGGCGTACATGTTGTTGGCCAGAGCTGAGTAACATGGTCAACTAGCTGCATGGAAATGTAAGAAATGAGTATTTAATGAGCATTTGGAGTGTCCAACCTCTATGATACAACTGGAGATGAAGAAGTTGAGAAAAGGAAAGCTAATCTACAATGTCTGCCGCTTAAAATAACCTTTTTAAAAAGATATTGTGGATATTGTTTCAATCAACCAGAATCAGTCTGCTGCTTCCCACAAAGAATCCTGTATGATAATCTAAGGCTTGACAACTAATAAGATCAAATATGAAAGGAGACAGGAATTAATGATGATTCTAAAAGCAAAGAATTAGAGAATGGTGCCTCTATTGATTGAAATAAGAAAAACATTTACTAAGGGGTGAATGATGTCTAGGCTTACTCTGTTTACTTCTTTACCTGCTTTTAAAATGAGAAGTATGTTGCCACAGCTGAATCTCTAATTGGTAAAATATGTGGCAAAGATATTTTTGAATTGGAAAAGCTCACTTTACCTGTTTCAGGTGCCACAGTCACCTCTTCTACATTTGGCTGGCTTCTCCTGGTACATTTAAAGGTAATTTTGAATTTTCAGTGTTATCATGGTTGCTTTGAGAATGAGACTCCAGCTTGTCTTTGCATAGGGCTTGTTACATAAGTGGTAGAATTAATTGTTCATTAAGGCAGTAATTGAGGTTGATTAAATAGTGATTTAGTGAATCAGTTACAATATAAGTTCATAAAAGTGCAGCCCTTAGTTATTGATTTTCTTTTTGTTACTTTTTCTTTGGGGCAAAATTTATTGAAAATTGACAGTAAGAAAACCCTCTCAGAGTCAACTAACAATACCAAGGTCCTCCCACCACCACGGACTGCTTGCTACTTCAGTGCCTTTGAATGTTCACTGCCTGTACTTGGCTAACTTTTGTTCTTCCTTTAAGACAGCCCACTTTAAAAATTATGAATATTGCTTCTTTTGGCAGAGTCAGTCACTATTGCTTTCCCCAAGGAACCCTGTGTGATAATCCAAGGCTTGGCACCTCATAAGAACATGAGTTGGTTTCACCTTCTCCAGAAAGCCCGTCCCTAAATTTAGATACCCCTTCTTTTAGAGGGGAAGGCCCCTTGCTTTATTTATCTCTTTATTCCATGTACCTGAGACAGGTCCTCAATGAATGCTTGTTGAATATAAAAATGGGTCCATACTGGAGAGCTTACAAGTAATTGGATATTGTCTTGATCAATGGGGGGATGAGAGTGTCATACTAAAGAAAGACAGAGAGAGAGAGAGAGAGAGAGAGAGAGAGAGGGAGAGAGGGAGAGAGATCCAAGCCATTCCTAGTGTATGAGAAGGCCAGAGATTAAGAGAAGGGTGAGACAAAAGTATAGGCAATGTCTACGTAAAGCTCATATTGCCTTGGATATTAGAATATTGGAATCTTTACTTGGCTGTTATGTTAGAGTTTTTCACTTGCCTACAGCTATAAAAGTTCATTTGCTTTTTTGTCACCTGCTTTAATTTTTCAAATCCCCAGAGGTCTTACTCCCTGATATGGTATGGCTATGTTACCACCCAGATCTCATCTTGAATATTAGTTCCCATAATCCCCACATGTTGCAGGAGAGACCCAGTGGGAGGTAATTGAATCTGGTGGCAGTTAACCCCATGCTGCTGTTCTTGTGATAGTGAGTGAGTTCTTGCGAGATCTGATGGTTTTATAAGGGACAGTTCTCCCTTTGCTTGGCACATCTCCTTCCTGCTGCCATGTGAAGAAGGACGTGTTTGCTTCCCCTTCTGCCATGATTGTAACTTTCCTAAGGCCTCCCCAGACATGTGGAACTGTGAGTCAATTAAACCTCTTCCCTTTATAACTTACCCAGTTTCAGATATGCCTTCATAGCTGTGTGAAAATGGACTAATACACTCCCCCAGCATGACAGAGTCTCCCAAACCATGGCTCCAATCTCTCATACCCTCCTTGGAGAAGCCCATGCCTTCTCATCTCTCTAACTCTATGCAACTTTAGCAGCTTTGGATAGAAGCTATGATGATGGCATCTCTCTGCCCTCTCTAATCTTCTAGATTGGCAGGCAAAGGAAGTAGCTGGATCTATTCCATATCCCTTACTTTTCTATGTCTCTTCAGAACCAAAAAGACTGTCTAGTAATTTAGAGCCCCAGATCTGGCTTACCATTAAGCTGGTTTATCCAGTATACTCACGCACTTTGGAACTTAGAGAGGCATAGTCATTTGCCCTTATAGCTCAGTAAAATATATTCCAAGAAATCTCATTCTTTCAGGTTCCTGAAATAATTCGTGCTTAGTTTCCCTTTCTGCTGCCCCTTCCCTCCCAACTTAATCTATAGTTAATTGCCTTTTTCATGTCAGCTGGCATAAGGACAGAAATGTTTCAGCTTTCTTAAGACATCTTTTCCTAGCTTGATCCAGCTGCCTTTGTTTGTGGCTCTATTTTGATGCTTGATATGATTGTTCATACTGTGATTTTTAAATCTGAATAATTCTCTTGTGTTTTTAGGAGTAAAGTGCTATTTGGAAATCTTACAAATAAATAGACTCAGGTTTCCTCTTCCTATCAGAAGAAAGAAGAACAGGCTCCTCCCTCCCCATGTTCCTGTAATATTTTTTGTATAGTGGAAGTCAACAACTCACTTCTTCTACCTGCTGTCCATGTCCTTGTTTAGTGACAGCCATTGGCTAGTGATTTTTGGCTGAACCAGAGGCACCCCCCAACCCCAATGAGAAAATTAAGGTCAAACTCAATCTTCTAATTTTAGAAACAAAATCAACTGGCTTTTACATTTCAAAGGCCGTTATGCCATTTATTTCAAAAGTGATGTGTTATTTGTACTTGGCTTAAACTGGGCCAACCTACTGGAGTATTTTGTGATCATCGGCTACCAGAGGCTCCAGAATCGCTGCAGGATCTTGTTAAAATGGCTGCCTGCTCCTCCTTGGAGAATTGTGAAAGTACAAAAAGAAATCATTGTGGTTAGAAAAATCTTTTTCTGCTTTATTATTCAAAAAGCACTGCTGTTAGCTTCTTCTGTGAGAGTGTTTCCCAGGGATAGTCTTAATTATTGATGGCTAAATTCTCATTACTTAATGGAATTTGAACTTCAAGGGGAAACAAGAGGGAACTTTTCTTGCTAATTGGTGACACACATTGTCTCCTCTACATCCATAGAAGAAGATAATGGCTTGGCAGAAAAGAGCGATCAGAGACTGAGGAAAGACACAAGGGAAAGGTGAGACAGGAGAGAGAGGTATGCATTGACTTCTCATCTGGAACCCTACAAGATGTTTTCTGGTTCTAATTAGAACTTAACACTACTCATCTCTCCCATGTATGAGTATGTAATAGGGAGGAAAATCATTGTGAATAAAACATTGTTGTTCTTCCATAGAGATGCTTCTGTTACAGGAGAAGTCCTTGGTGAACTTGAATATGAAAAGGTGGCCTACAGGGCAGAACTCTGACTCGTTCTTCATCATATATTAAGGAGATTTTAGAGTTGGGAGGGCTGTAGGGATCTCGGGGAAATAATGTGTAAAGTTGGAAGGAAAATAGTACAACTCCTTAGGATGACCCAGGCTGGATAATATCTTTCAAGAACAAGGATGTCTAATGCTTAATTTGAACTTGTGTATATTATTGTGATATATACCCCTTTCCCCGGAGAATTCTTTAAGTCAGCTTTTTTTGTTTGTTTGTTTATGTATTTTTTTTTTTTTTTTTGAGACAGGGTCTCACTCTGTTGCCCAGACTGGAGCATAGTGGCACTATCTTGGCTCACTGCAGCCTCCGCCTCCTGGTTTCAAGCAATTCTCCTGCCTCAGTCTCTAGAGTATCTGGGATTACAGGCTCGAGCCACCACACCAGGCTAATTGGTTTTTTAAAATATTTTTAATAGAGATGGAGTTTCACCATGTTGGCCAGGCTGGTCTCAAACTCTTGGCCTCAAGTGATCTACCTGCCTTGGCCTCTCAAACTGCTGCGATTACAGGCATGGGCCACCATGCCTGGCCTAAATCAGCTTTTGCTGAAACAATATTGCACAATAAACAACCCCAATCTTAGTAGCTTCCAACAGCAAACATTTATTTATTTTGTTTCAGTCTGTGGGGTTAACTGCAGTTAACTGTGCTCCCAGCTGCAGGTCAAATTTAGGTCTGTTCCTATGGCTTTCATTTTTTGGCCCAGGCTGAAGGAGCAGTAGCTCCCTGAGGCAAGCTCTTCTCTAGGAGGGCTGGAGCAGAAGTAGCCAAGCCAGACTGGGCAAGCACTTTTAAAGCCTCTGCTCAGAGGTGGCTTACATCATGTCTGCGTCCATTCCATTGGGCAAAGCCAGTCACATGGCCAAGTTCAGTATCAAAGTGGGAGGGAGCGGAAGTCTATTCCTTCCTCAGAGGAGGGGAGGAGGGAAGAGTGAACA
Source organism: Homo sapiens (assembly GCF_000001405.40). NCBI lineage: Eukaryota > Metazoa > Chordata > Mammalia > Primates > Hominidae > Homo > Homo sapiens. Next base: position 81,655,883 of record NC_000014.9, read on the forward strand.
TTTAAGAACAGTATTTGCTAAATAATGCCACCCACATCCTCTAACCTTCAGGAAATCTGGGGAAGTTCACTGGCATGCATGCACATGCACTGCCTTGAATTAGGATTTTTATTTTATTTGTTTATTTACTAATAGAATAAGGGAAAGTATGAGTTGCAAATCAGGTTGCCACAGAGTGAATTCAGATGACACAACACTGAGCTCATTAAGTAGGAATCCGAAGCCAGGTGACCTTGAAAATCCTCTATTTGCAGAAACTGTGTGTGTGTGTTTTGCACAGTTAACCCTTCAAAATCCACAGACTGAGCATTCAGATCAATCCTTTTTCTTTTTTAAGGGCTGAGAGACCATAGTTTACATCTGGACTACGTGTAAGCTTTGAGACCAGTAAAATTATTCTCTCTGGTTCTGCTTGTCGAAAACCAATTCATGTTCTCAAGTCTATCTCATTTTATACTGCCATTTCTTTTCCCCAGATAAAAATCACCTGATTGGCTCTCCGAGACTCACTGAAGCCCTTGGATGAGTCAATTTCCTATCCAGCCTTTTAGTGTCACCTCTGTTTTCACTAAGATATCTGGCAAAGAAAAGGGAGAGACTTCTTTTGCCAAAGGCTGTGAACCATTGAATTTGAGAGTTCAGCTCCTGTTTTTTTCTTACTTTTTGCTACAGGCTCAATTAGGGGACTCAAAAACCAAAAGAAAAGCAAAACCCCAAGGCTCATTGTTTGTCTCAGTTTTGCACCAGCTTTCTGCTACCTCCTGAGCCCAGATCTTTTCAAATCTTTTTTAAATTTGAAGATTTGCAGTCTGTTACTTTTTAATAAGTGCACCATCCACACAGTCATTTTTAGACAACTCACCCACCCCAACCATTTCTTTTCCCCGAACAGAAGCTTATTTTCGGTTTGATTTCTTTTTTACTTTTTGCAGAAGAATCCTTTGCCTGAACTAATAAAGAAGAAAAAGAAAGTGCCAGTATTCTTTTGCTTCACAATACGGCAGGAATGAGGAGGAGGCAAAGTATATCTTTTAAGGAAGGAAAAGATGAGGTTAAAGGAAATGGATGGATCCATTGAATTTGATGACGTCCACCCCACACGACCTCCCTGCCTGGCTCAGCTTTGCATGGCCTTGTTATTGTTTTTATATTCCCTTTTCATAGCAACTTTTCCAGAGAAAAGAGACTGGACAAAGGGATTATTTCAGTAATTTTCCTCATTGTTCCCTTGGCTCCCATGGCCGTCTTTTCCAAGGCTGATTGTTTACTGCTAGCTAGAGTGGGCTCCTCTCTTTTCTGCTGTTATTATTTCAAAAGACAGTTGTGTGTTGAAGAAAAATATCATACCAGGTTCTTGTTCTTTAGAATTGAATTAACTAGCTGAGAAAATGACTATCAGCAACCAGTTAGCTTTTAAGTTGGAGAGTTCCTCGTCCATAAGAACATAGAATTTTAGAGCCACAAGGTATTTAGAGATTGTCATTTCCAACCACCTTACTTTATAGATGGAGTTCCAAAGAAACTGAAGGCTTTCCCAAGGTCACACCACTAGTTATTGGTAGTACTGGGACTAGAGCCCAGCCGTCCTAATTCTATTCTTCCCATACACCTAATTTAATTCCAGAATCTAGATTACACTTAAAGGCACAGACATATTAATCTTTAACTTCTAAAGTGGCAGACTGAGTTTTAACAGAGAGAATGCTGAAATTCTCAGTAGAGATAATAAGGGGGGTCTTTGGGGAAAGAATAAAACTGTACAAGAATAAAACAGTTTCCCAGCTTCTTGCTTTTGGTAGAAATATATCTAACAAGAGAGTTCCAAGCATGCAAATGTAAAGAAAAGAGTTTGATTGTCAAAGCTAACCTGAAAAATTTTCTCCTGCATCATTCTGGGAGACTCCAGAACAAAGAAACACAATGTCATTAACAAAGGAAGGAGGGATTTGAAAGGGCTCAGTGCTTTTACACTTAAAACATATCCTTTTTTTCTTCCAGGTTATAAACATGGTTTTGGTGATGGAAATTTCTTACAAAGCAGCACAGTCTCTTTGCCCTATTCCTGTAACAATAACACTGAATTTAAATAACTCTAATCTTCAAATAGGCTAGAGTATCTTGCAGATATCTTTGAGTTGTTTGATCACTTTCTCTTTGCCAGTTTCCCCTGCATCACTCAGCTCTGCATGGCCTTTTAATTTTTTCCCATATTTCTTTATCACTGCAACCTTTTCTTACAGCAAGAGAAGACTGGGAAAAGCAATTTCAATCATTTCCCTCACCACTCCCTTGGAAAGTAGAGGGTAGAGGGTGGAAAACAGCTGTTGTGGATAAGGGTGGTGGGGCAGGAGTGAGGAGTTGTGGAAATATTGATTATTTGAGTCTTAATTTATTTCCTAAAGGGAGAAGTCTTGAGCCTTCAAAATTGAGGAAGTTATTTAAAGTTGAGTGTTCAAATTGGTAGAAGGGAAGGAGGTAGCATTAATAGGCACAGATAAGTCTGCATATTTTAGGTGTTGTTGCAAAAACATGTGCCCCCTTTTGCTGTTTTCCCCAGGACCTGGAGCATACAGTCCCCGAGTATAGAGCTTTCCTGGAGGTCCCCTCCTTGCGTCACCAGTCTTGTCCCCTTCCCTTTACCTTTCCTTCCTCCCTCTTTGTGTTTCTCTCTTGGTTTTTGCTTTCTTTCCTTCTTTCATTGAATCACCTTTCTTTTATGTCTAAGATTGTTGGGCGCGTGTTTTCGGGTTTATAGGCCTCTTTTATTTTATTTTAAATAGTATTTAATTTAAAAATTCATAATCATAACAACAGTGTAAATACCAGCTGCCTTTTATTGACCATATTTCTAAGGGCTTTCTGTATATTTAATCACCACCACAGAACTACTGATCACTGCTCTTTCCTCCATTTGACAGATGAGGAAATGAAAGTTAGGGAGTTGAATAACTGATTTACAGTTTTTTGTTTTGTTTTGTTTTTGAGATAGAGTCTTGCTGTGTCACCCAGGCTGAAGTACAGTGGTGCGATCTTAGCTCACTGTAACTCCTGCCTCCTGGGCTCAAGTGATTCTCCTGCTTCAGCCTCCCAAGTAGCTGGGACTACAGGTGCCCACCACCACACTCAGCTAATTTTTATATTTTTGGTAGAGACATAGTTCCACTATGTTGACCAGGCTGGTCTTGAACTCCTTACCTTAAGTGATCCACCTGCCTTGGCCTCCCAAAGTGCTGGGATTACAAGTGTGAGCCACTGTGCCTGGCCATTATTTATGTTATTTCTGTTGAAGAGGCAGTAATTGGAAGAGCTGAGATCTGAACACATGCTTTTCCAGTTGGAAAGCCTGTTTTCTAGATGTTACTATGCTATCAATAACCATCTCCTTCCTCCCCTTCCTCCACCCGCACCATCTCCAAAATCCCTGGAACTTAAATCTTTGCCCTCTATGTGATTTCTACACGTGGCATCAAAGTTTCTGGCCAAAAAGCATGCTGTGTGATTGTATTCACCTTTGACAATCAAGGTGGAGCTGCACTTGTGTTTGTGTATTAAGGATGAACAGAGCAAAAGAAGAGATACCTTGGTTAATTAGAGTGTCAGATTCTGGAAGGTTTCTTAGAGAAAAACAAGAGAGACACAAATTCATTCAATTTGTTCCACAGATAGTTATTGTCATTGAGTCTGTAGCTTTCAGAAAAGAAAGGACTCCACTTGAAAAGAAAACCACTCAAACAGTCTTCCTCATTCCTACTTCCAGGTGCTCATTAAGGAAGTTTTGTTTCAAAATACTTTGATTTTAAAATGGAGTGTCAAGGGGTCCTGGATCAACAGGTCTGACAGGAGCTCAGTCTTCTATTTATTTTCAGAAAAGGAATAAAACACATTAGGCTAAGGAATTAAATCTCCGTCCCACCCCCACCTTCTCTCCCCTCTTTTCCTTTCTCCCTGCCCTGACCCTCCATCTGAATGTCTTTGTCCTGGCTATGCAGAGAGCATGAGAGAGACTTGAAAGCAGTGTGGTCAAGTGTTGTGTTCAGCACAAGCTCTGCTTGGTTGGCAAAGCGCTTCTTTTCTCCTTGTCAATATTTCTGTAAGTGAAGAGACAGGCACATGAAAAGAGAAACACACCTCTCCTGCTTCCTTAGTGACTGTTTTCTGTACCTATGGCAGTTGCTGTGATACTATCTAGGGATCTCCCCAGCATGCCACAGTCCTGTGTTTGAACCTCAAATCCCTGGAAATCTCACCCCCAGTGCAGCAGGAGTTTGCTTGATCAGTCCTGAAGTGCTTTGGAAGCAGAGGTCATGATGGCTGTTGGCAGTGGTTGACATATATGAAAGAGAATAAAGATGAAACCCATCAAGTTTAATTTTATTCTAGACTTTAGATGGAATTCCACTACTGAATTCCAGAGGGTAGAAGGCCAGGGCTAGCTCCCATGCCTGCTGGCCTTTGTAGAAGAATGTTAATTTGAATAGCAATGTGAAAATGACTGCTGTGTTATTTGCCTAGCTTTAGGTAGAATATAATTGATGATAATAAACAATATTTGAGTGCCTTCTCTGTATTAGGTTTTACAAATATTATTTCCTTAAATCTTTACAACAAATCCACGAGATGGGTAGGTCATCTTTTACCCATTTTTATGTATAAAGAAACTGAGGGCCGGATGTGGTGGCTCATGCCTGTAATCCCAGCACTTTGGCAGGTGAGAATTCTACCACTGAACCACCAATTTAATCTCAGCAATTTGGGAGGCCAAGGTGGGCAGATTGCCTGAGGTCAAGAGTTCGAGACCAGCCTGGCCAACATGGTGAAACCCTATCTCTACTAAAAATACAAAAATTAGCTGGGCATGGTGGCAGACACCTGTAATCTCAGCTACATGGGAGACTGAGGTGAGAGAATCACTTGAACCTGGGAGGTGGAGGTTGCAGTGAGCTGAGATCCCACCATTGCACTGCAGCTTGGGTGACAGAGTGAGACTCCATCAAAAAACAAAAACAAAAACAAAACAAAACAAGAAAACAACAACAGAAAAACAACAAACCGAGGCTCAGGGTTTTTGGAATATTTCCCCAAAGACATTTAGCAAGGACTGGGACTCAGAAGCCCAGGAATGCTCTTTCAATTTGATGCACTGTATATATTATATGTATCAAAGTATTTTCTGTCTTCTAGGAAGGACTATATCCTGTGGAATGGAATATATGTGGGCAGAAGTAGGAAATGGCCAAGAGCTCAACATTATACTATTTAGATAGTCAGCCCTAGAGTCCTAAGAGGAAACTAGAGTAAATGATGCTTTGCAAGAAGTCATAAAGTCTCTGAAAGAAAAATACTTATGGTATTCACAGGTGATAGTGACTTGGAAGATAGATATTTAAAAGTTACAAGGATAAGAGATTCAGAATTTGTTAAGTGGACTAGAACATAGAAATGGGATGCACCTTCAATATCAGTAGTCAAGAGAAGGCTGGAAAGCATCCATTACAATAAAGTTTGGGTGTTTTCACAATGGATTTGCTGCTAGAACACAAGTGTCATGAAAAACATGGCCTAAAAGCCAAAAGGGGAAAAGAGAAGACTCCAACCAACATTGATGTCATTGGACACTTAGGTTCAGGCAAGTCCACCACTACTGGCCATCTGATCTACAGATGTGGTGGTATGGTGGTATCGGCAAAAGAATCATCAAAAGATTTGAGGAGGAGGCTGCTGAGAGGGAAAAAGCTCTTTCAAATATGGCTGGGTCTTGGATAAACTAAAAGCTGAGCCTGAGCCTGATGTCATCATTGATATCTCCCTATGGAAATTTGAAACCAGCAAGTGCTATGTGACTATCATTAATGCCCCAGGACACAGAGACTTTATCAAAAACATGGTTACAGGCATATCTTAGGCTGGCTGTGCTGTCCTGATTGTTGCTGCTGGCATTGGTGAATTTGAAGCCAGCATCTCTAAGAATGGGCAGATCCAGGAGCATGCTCTCCTGGCTTACACACTGGGTGTGAAACAACAAATCCTTGGTGTTAGCAAAATAGATTCCACTGAGCCACTCTACAGTCAGAAGAGATACAAGGAAATAGTTAAGGAAATCAGTACTTTCCTTAAGAAAATTGGCTACAACCTTGACACAGTAGCATTTGTGTCCATTTCTGGTTGGAATGGTGGCAGCATGCTGAAGCCAAGTGCTCACAGGCCTTGGTTCAAGGGATGGAAAGTCGTCCGTAAAGATGGCAATGCCAGTGGGACCACACTGCCTGAAGCTCTGGACTGCGTCCTATCACTAACTTGTCCAACTGTCAGGCCCTTGCATCTGCCACTCCAGGATGTCTACAGACTTGGTGGTACTGATACTATCTTTGTGGGCAGAGTTGGTGGTACTGATACTATCTTTGTGGGCCGAGCAAAGCCTGGGTTTCTCAAACCCGGCATGGTGGTCACCTTTGCTCCAGTCAACATTGCAACTAAAGATGTGTTGAAATGTACCATGAAGCTTTGAGTGAAGCTCTTCCTAGGGACAATGTAAGCTTCAATGTCAAAAAGGTGCCTGTCAAAGATGTTCATTGTGGCAACACTGCTGGTAACAGCAAAAATGACCCACCAGTGGAAGAAGCTGGCTTCACTGCCCAGGTAACTGTCCTGAACCATCCAGGCCAAATCAGTGTTGGTTATGCCCCTGTAATGGATTAACACACAACTCACATTGCTTGCAACTTTGTTGAACTGAAGGAAAAGATGGATCACCATTTTGGTAAGGAGCTGGAAGATGATCCTAAATTCTTGAAGTCTGGTGATGCTGCTATTTTTGGTATAGTTCCTGGCAAGCCTATGTGTGTTGAGAGCTTCTCTCACAATACTCCTCTGGGTTGTTTTGTTGTTTGTGATATAAGATAGACAGTTGCTATGGATGTCATCAAAGCAGGGGACAAGAAGCCTGCTGGAGCTGGCAAGGTCACCAAGCCTGCCCAGAAAGCTCGGAAGGTTACATGAATATTATCCCTAATACCTGCCATGCCAGTCTTCACCCTTTATGCCTGACGTTGCATTTTTTTTTTTGAATTTTTGCATTCAGACCTTGGCAATGACCTTGAGCAGTAGGATATAAATAACTCCCACATGCTTAGCATTCCAGTAATGGAACAGTAGGCATAAATGGGTTTTAATCAGTGGTGGAAGAACAGTCTCAGAATTATTTGTTTCAATTGACCATTTAAGGTTAATAAAGGCTGGTTAATGATAACAGTGCATTGTAAAAAATTCACAAGGAAAGGAGAGTGTTTTGTGGATTTGTGTGTGTGTGTGTGTGGCAGTTTTAAGTTATTAGTTTTTAAAATCAGTACTTTTTAATGGAAACAACTTGACCAAGAATCTATCACAGAATTTTGAGACCCATTAAAACAAAGCTTAATGAGGAAAAATAAAGTTTGGGAGATAAAGGAATACGAAGAAAATTTCAAGAGCCTAAATTGCTTCTGTGGATCAATCCTGGGGTCACAGAGTTGAGGACTGAATTTCTGATGCCTATAATCCCAGCACTTTGGGAGGCTGAGACAGGCAGATCGCTTGAGGCCAAGAGTTCAAGACCAGCCTGGCCAACATGGCAAAACCCCGTCTCTACTAAAAATACAAAAATTAGGCAGACATGGTGGCATGCATCTGTAATCTCAGGTACTCAGGAGGCTGAGGTAGGAGAATTGCTTGAACTGGGGAGGTGGAGGTTGCAGTGAGCTGAGATCGCGCCACTGCCCTCCAGCGTGGGTGACAAAGTGAGACTCCGTCTCAAAAAAAAAAAAAAAAATAGTGAATGCACTTTTAGCCTCCTTGAGTCTCGGCTGTCTGGTGTATCAGGTCCAAAACATAGTGATCTAAGCCCGTCAATCCGAGGTCTGTGTTCAGGTGTGGGTGTCATACTTTATGAGGAACATACACATATGGAAACAAATTCAGAGAAAGGTGACTGTGGTGGTGGAGAATAGGAAATCATGCCTGGGTTCTTCAGGCAGCTTTCACGTCCAGGTAACAGAAAACTCAACTCAAAGGATGAGTAATGACAAGATGGTTGGTTTTCTTAAAATATTAGGAATTCTCACCAGATATATTCCAACTTCTCTAAGTAATTTATCATGGATTCAACTATCCATCAATTTTTCAAACATTTCTTTTAAAAAATTAATAAGTTTAAAAATATTAAAGGCAGTATTCATGGTATTGAGAAAAAGTCAAACAATGTTAGATGGGTATAGGTGAAAAGTAAAAAAATCTCCTTTTTCATCCCCCCTTTTTCCTGGGCCCACCTCTCAGATGTAACCATCTTTTTTTTTTTTTTTTTTTTTTTTTTTTTTTTTTTGAGACAGAGTCTCGCTCTGTTGCCCAGGCTAGAGTGCAGTGGCGCGATCTCGGCTCACTGCCAGCTCCACCTCCCAGGTTCACGCCATTCTCTTGCTTCAGCCTCCCGAGTAGCTGGGACTACAGGCACCCGCCGCCACCATGCCTGGCTAATTTTTTTTTTTTTTGTATGTTTAGTAGAGACGGGGTTTCACCGTGTTAGCCAGGATGGTCTCGATCTCCTGACCTCGTGATCCACCCGCCTTGGCCTCCCAAAGTGCTTGGATTACAGGCTTGAGCCACCGTGCCGGGCCAGATGTAACCATCTTTAATAGTTTTCTGTATTCATGCCAGCATTGTTTCATGAGTATGTTAGCACATTATGTATGATTTTTTCCTTTTATCAGTTTCAGACCAATGAGTTGTTCTGCTAACATTCTCTAACCACGACAGATGTGGGATTTTTTCATATTATAATGAAGTTATTTTTCTAAACAGATTCTATGTATTTCAATATATCGCAGTTTTTATTCTTTTTGATGCTTAGACTGAATTTCCTTCTGAGTGCTATTGGTAAAGTTTCAGTAATCTTTTATAGCTTTTTTACTTTCTAGTACAACAAGGTTTTCTAGGCTTTCATGTACATTCTCTGTCCTCTGCCTGAAATCGACTATTTTTTGAAGAGCCCTGTTCCTTTCTTGGGAAATAGAATTTAGAAATTGCTATTAAGGCATTAGAAGTGGTGACTGGTCATTTTTTTTTTAGATTATTTTAATGGAAGGAGCTAAAAAACATATTTTTAAAAAGAAAAGTAAGTACTGTATTTCCAATTGAAATGTAATGTTACAGGGTTTTACCTTTTTGAATATAATATTTTATGATTTCACGTTTGCTAAAAGTCAATGTAGTTAGGTTACGTCCTAACTACATTGACTTAATTATTACGTGATCAATCCGGCTGTGTGTGTGTTGTGCATATGTGAATTTTACACACATAATAGTATCACAATTATCTAAAGAATATTATTACTATCGATATGATAGTGGAAAAATTTAAGAATTTCTTTGCAGTTATTTTTTACGATATATCACATTAGGCAGATAGGCTCAAATTATTGCGTTTTTTTTTTTTTCTGAGATGGAGTCTTGCTCTGTCACCCAGGCTGGAGTGCAGCGGCGTGATCTCGGCTCACTGCAAGCTCCACCTCCCGAGTTCACGCCATTCTCCTGCCTCAGCCTCCCAAGTAGCTGGGACTACAGGTGCCTGCCACCACGACCGGCTAATTTTGGGGTTTCACCATGTTAGCCAGGATGGTCTCAATCTCCTGACCTCATGATCCACCTGCCTTGGCCTCCCAAAGTGCTGGGATTACAGGTGTGAGCCACCGTGCCCAGCCAAATTGTTGTGTTTTAAAGTCATTTGAAATAATTATTCTTTGCATGGTACACAGTTTCTTTTGTTTCAGTTTTGCTTTTGATTTTAAGGGGCTTTCATTTCTGTTTAATTTTGTTTTAAACTTATGATAAATAGTTACAGGCTTCAAAGTCACATTTTCAAAACAAAGTATATTCAGTATATTTTGTCCCTGTCTCCTCACCCTGTTCTTTCTCTTGTATAGTCTTATAAACTTTTGGTTTATGTTTCCATTTAAAATTTATGAGCAGGCGGGTCGCAGTGGCTCACGCCTGTAATCCCAGCACTTTGGGAGGCCAAGGTGTGCTGATCACCTGAGGTGGGGAGTTGGAGACCAGCCTGACCAACATGGAGAAACCCTGTCTCTACAAAATTAGCCAGTTGTGGTGGCGCATGCCTATAATCCCAGCTACTTGGGAGGCTGAGGCAGGAGAATCTCTTGAACCTGGGAGGCAGAGGTTGCGGTGAGCTGAGATCATGCCTTTGCACTCCAGCCTGGGCAACAAGAGCGAAACTCTGTCTCAAAAATAAATAGATAAATAAATAAGTATTAATGAATAAATAAATTTTATGAGCAAATACGTATATGTTTATATTATTTCCCACCTTCTTAGATTAAAAGGTAGCATGCCCTTCACACTATTCTGCAACTTCCATTTTTCTCTTAACATATCTAGGAGATGGCTACATAGCTGAACATAGAGATTTCTTCATTTCTTATTGCAGTTACAGGGTACTCCATTTGTGGATGTATTTTACGTTATTAAACCAGCTCCTTATTAATGACAATTAAGTTGTTTCCAGCCTTTTTGTATTAAAAACAATTGTCTTGTGCAAAAAATATTTAATAATTTTGCCACTGGATATTTGGGATAGATCTTTGGAAATGGAATTGCTGGTTCAAAACATCTATCACTAAGAACATCTTTGTGAAGGGGAAACTGAATTTAATATACATTTAGTGTGAGTTTAGGATGATCTATTTATGTAGTTTGCCATCATTTTGTGCATGAATTACTGCTAGCTGTCTCATAGTTGGAATGCCTTCCAGGAATATTTCTCCTCATTCACTGTGCCAGATGACCTGCATCAGGATGCCGAGTTTTAGGATCCAACATAGAACCCTCACTAGGCCATTGCAACAAGGACATCAACAATAAATTAGTTAATAAGTGCCATAAATTCAAAGTATGTATGACTAGTCACTGTACAGAAATTACTAATCAGGAGTTTGTGAGGTTGAAATAAACTTTTCTTAACTATCCATCATGAAAATATAAATTTTGATCAACCAGGTTAAGGGGAAGAATTATTTTTTTTCTCTTTAGGAAGAATTGTTTCTCTTTTTACAAAATCATTGTCATGTAAAAAAACAAAGCAATGTAACCAAAAATATATAGGAAAAAGTATTACAGATGTGTGTCAGTCTAAATACTATGCATTTTTCTGGACTTTGTGATTGATAACTTTGTCAGCTTTTTAGAATTTGTAACTTTTTTACTATTTTCATTTTAAATAATCATTTTCACTTGTAACTTTATAGTCACAATTTTGTGTTCTTTTTTTAAAAATACAGTCACCCAAACTGCATTGGTTTCAGGCCACATATAGCTGTGCTATGCCTTTGCTTGTTGGAGTGATAGATCCTGCGGCTTTCAATAATGGAGCAGAAAATTACAGGCTGAGTTCTAGTGGGAAGCGCACTCTTCTCTTAGGAGGCTCTGCAAGTCATGGCAATGGGTTAGTATATGTAATTCTCTGCAGGAATACCCCTTTCCTGCAGAGGAGTTCACACCAGCACATCTAGTAGTAAATACTTAAGCAAAATAATACAACCTACATAGTTGCTGTCTTGTTTGCTCCTACATAGAAATTCCCTTGCCCTTTCCCAAAGTAGATTTCTCCAAAGTTCCATTCAATCTTGATGTTGGCCCAAAGATTAGTATTTTGTGATCATATTTTATTAGTTCCAGATGTGATTCTTGAGTGGGAAGAGAATGAACAAAAACACTAAACGATAAGCCAACAAAACTACCCAAAACTAGTACCATTGTGTCCGAAATTGGTGGATTCTTGGTCTCATTGACTTCAAGAATGAAGCTGCGGATCCTCGCGGTGAGTGTTACAGTTCTTAAAGATGGTGTGTCCGGAGTTTGTTCCTTCTGATGTTTGGACGTGTTCAGAGTTTCTTCCTTCTGGTGGGTTCGTGGTCTTGCTGGCTTCAGGAGTGAAGCTGCAGACCTTCGCTGTGAGTGTTAGAGCTCTTAAGGCGGTATCTCTGGAGTTGTTCGTTCCTCCCATCTGGAGTTGTCAATTCCTCCCGCTGGGTTCATGGTCTCGCTGGCCTCAAGAGTGAAGCTGCAGACCTTTGTGGTGAGTGTTACAGCTCACAAAGGCGGTGCAGACCCAAAGAGTGGGCAGCAGCAAGATTTATTGCAAAGAGCGAAAGAACAAAGCTTCCACAGTGTGGCAGGGGACCCAAGCGGGTTGTTGCTGCTGGCTCGGGCAGCCTGCTTCTGTTCCCTTATCTGACCCCACCTGCATCCTGCTGATTGGCCCATTTTACAGTGAGCTGATTGGTCTGTTTTACAGAGAGCTGATTGGTCCATTTTTACAGGGTGCTGATCGGTGTGTGTTTACAATCCCTGAGCTAGACACAGATTGCTGATTGGTGTATTTACAATCCTCTAGCTAGACCGAAAAGTTCTCCAAGTCCCCACTAGATTAACTAGACACGGAGCCCTGATTGGTGCGTTTACAAACCTTGAGCTAGACACAGGGTGCTGATTGGTGCATTTACAAACCTTGAGCTAGACACAGAGTGCTGATTGGTGTATTTACAATGCTTTAGCTAGACATAAAAGTTCTCCAAGTCCCCACCAGATTAGCTAGATATAGAGTGCTGACTGGTACATCCATGAACCCTGAGCAAGACACAGAATGCTGATTGGTGCATATACAATCCTCCCGCTAGACATAAAAGTTCTCCAAGTCCCCACCTGACTCAGGAGCCCAGCTGGCTTCGCCTAGGGGATCCCGTGTCAGGGCTGCGGGTGGAGTTGCCGCCAGTCCTGCGCCATGTGCCTGCACTCCTCAGCCCTTGGGCAGCCGATGGGACCAGGCACCACAGAGCAAGGGGCAGCGCCCGTTGGGGAGGCTCAGGCTGCGTGGGAGCCCACCATGGTGGGGGGCTTGGGCATGGCGGGCTGCAGGTCCCCAGCCCTGCCCTGTGGGGAGGCGGCTGAGGCCCGGTGAGAATTCGAGCGTGGCGTGGGCAGGCTGGCAGTGCTGGGGGACCTGGTGCCCCCTCTGCAGCTGCTGGCCCGGGTGCTAAGCCCCTCACTGCCCGGGGCCGGCAGTGCCAGCTGGCTGCTCGGAGTGCGGGGCTTGCAGAGCCCGCCCCCACTTGGAACTCGTGCTGGCCTGTGAGTGCCGCGCGCAGCCTGGTTTCCCACCTGCACCTCTCCCTCCACACCTCCCCACAAGCCAAGGGAGCTGGCTCCGGCCTCGACTGGCCCAGAGAGGGGTTCCCACAGTGCAGCAGCAGGCTGAAGGGCTCCTCAAGAGTGGCCAGAGCGGACGCTGAGGCCAAGGAGGCGCTGAGAGCGAGTGAGGGCTGCTAACACGTTGTCACCTCTCACTATCACAAAAATATGATTAAATTTTTTAAATTAAAATAATTTAATAAAAAAATTTTAATTTTAATTTTTGTAGATTCACAAGGTATATGTGCAATTTTGTGCTGGGTCTGTCTTGTGGACCCTGGCCGGCCTACAGATGAAAGGAGTACTCAGACACAGGTATGCAGTGTAAGAGCAGCTAGGAGACTGGTGGGCTCTAGTGGCCGAAGTGCAGCAGCCCTGAGAAGCTGGAGCTGCTTGCCTTTATTCAGTGTGGGCACAATGCCAAAAGCCTGGAGCAAACACAATCTGTGGGTAATTAACATTTATTGTTCCTCTTTCAGGGAACCTCATGAAGCCTGGATGATAAAACATTAGCTCCTGGTCAACATAAGTAAACAAACCTGTTTAAGATAAATTCCCCTACACTCCCTTGTACCTACTCCTTGCCCTCTGCCTCAGGGCTAGAGAACAGCTGCCTTCATCTATTCTCCCCCAAAGCTATGCAGAGCCTTCTGACCTTTCAGAAGACCTACTCCTTTTCCTATAGTTTCTCCCACCACTCTGACCAATCTCCTACAGTTTTGTTTGATGATATATTGCATAGTGATGAAGTCTGGGCTTTTAGTGCACCCTTCCTTGAAGAATGAACATTTTATGCAGTAAGTAATTTTTCAACTGTCATTCCCCTCCCACCCTGCCCTCTTGTGGAGTACCCAGTGTCTATTAGTCCTCTGTGTATTGTCCGTGTGTACCCACTGCTTAGCTCCCACTTATAAGTGAAAACATGCAGTATTTGATTTTCTGTTTCTGAGTCATGTCACTTAGGATAATGGCCTCCAGCTCTATCCATGTTGCTACAAAATACATGATTTCATTCTTTTTTTTTTAATGGCTGTTATCTGTGATATATGTGCCAAATTTTTTTTTTTTATCCAATCCACTGCTGATAGGCACTTAGGTTGATTCCATGACTTTGCTATTGTGAATAGTGCTGCAATAAACATACAAGGCAGGTGTCTTTTTGCTAGAATAATTTATATTCCTTTGGGTAGATATCCAGTAGTGTGATTGCTAGGTCAAATGGTAGTTCTAGTTTCAGTTCTTTGAGAAACCTCCATACTGCTTTCCCTAGAGGTTGTAAACGTAAATTACATTCCCACCAGCAGTGTGTAAGTGTTCCATTTTCTCTGCATTCCTGCCAACATCTGTTGTTTTCTGACTCAAAAAGATGATTTGCCTGTTTACCTCCACCTCTCCCCAGCATATTTTGATGGAAGAGTGACAAGGTAGCATCAATAAATACTCTCATTTGGAAAGAGAAAAAAATGGATGGCACATAGCAGTCACCAGTTCCTACCAATTTTTAAATATTGCTGAAGAAACATGTTGAGGATGTTTACCATGGGGTAGGAAGCGTTCCTTATGTCTTCTCTCTTTTTCCCTTTGATCAATATTTCCAGACATTTATCAATTTTATTGAATTTTCAAAGAAGCAGCTTTTGAATTTATTATTTTTTTCTACTTTCTGTCCACTTCTATTTCATTGACTTCTATTATCTTTATTATTTCCTTACTTTGTGTACTTTGGATTTAATTTGCTTTTCTAGTTTCCTGTGGTTACCGTTTGGATCATGTTTTAGATTATGTATCTTTTCTAATATAAGTATCTCAGACCCTAAGTTTTCCTCTAAGAACTGTTTTAGCTGCATCTTTCAAATTTTGATGTATTTTTATTTTCATTTGGTTCTAAATAGGTAATGCAATTTCCCTTGTGATTTCTTCTTTCACTCTTGGGTTATTTAGAAGTACATTGCTTAAGTTCCAAATATTTGGAAATTTTCCAGATATCTTGTTATTGAATTTTGTTCCATTCTATTGGAGCCAGATAACCTTCTCTGTATGATTTTAATCTTGTAATTTATTTGAACTTGTTTTATGGCCCAATTAGAGTCTCTTATGATGACTGTCTTATATGAATTTGAAACAAAAGTCTACCTTGCTATCTTGGGGTTGTGTTTCTATAAATGGCAATTAGGTTAAGTTTTTTCATAGTATTCTATATAACCGTGTGTGTGTGTATGTGTTTGTGTGTGTGTGTGTCTGCCTGTGTGTGTGTGTGTCTGCCTGTGTGTGTGTGTGTGTGCCTATGTATGTGCGTGGTTTTGGTTTTTTTTCTTCTTTCATCAATCTCTAGAGAGCAGAGCATTGTCCAGTATAATCATTTGTCTCTATCTCTTTTCAATTCTGTAAAGTTTTTTTTCCATATATTTAAAAACTCTGTTATTTGGTGAATATGCATTTAGGATTCTTATGTTTTCTTTCCATCATCATGAAATGCCATTCTTTAAATCTATATATTGTTTGTTCTAGAGTCTGTTTTGTCTGATATTAATATGGCCATACCAGCTTTTATTGAGTACTTGCATGGTATATCTTTTCATATGCTTACCTTTAAACTATCTATATCTGTGTATTTAAAGTGAATTTCTTATATATAGTAAAAAATTGGATCTTGATTTTCTTAGACTTTTTATCAATATGGTCTGGCTTAAATCTAATATCTTGCTGTTTGTATTCTATTTGTCCCATTGTTCTCTGTTCCCTTTGACCTCTTTTCTGGTTGTGGGAGCTCAGAAAACAATAGCCCCAAATGAAGCCCAAAGAAGCAGCTTCAGAAGTGAAAGTTTTTCTCTGACCTTCCTTTACTCTTCTATCTCTGGCCTCTCATTCTCCTTAAAGGCTAACGTCATAGAAACTAGAATCCCTGTTCCCCAAGGCATGTCATAGAAACCAAACCCCTTTTTCCAAAGACAGCTGTACAACCTAAAAATATTACCCTATAACTTTCTCCCTGCCTTTCTATGTAAAAACTGGCCATAAAGGAATTATCTGACCTACCTTGTTTGAGTGTAGGTCATAAGAGCCCCCATTCCAGAGAGGGTCCTACCACATGCTGCACAGAGAGGCCAAGAAGAATCTGAACAGACAGGCCTTGCTGGGTTTCCCCACTGTTTGTCAGCATTAAGACATTCCATTATAAGCCGAGCATGGTGGCCCACGCCTGTAATCCCAACACTTTGGGAAGCCGAGGTGGGCGGATCACCTGAGGTTGGGAGTTCGAGACCTGACCAATATGGAGAAACCCTGTCTCTACTAAAAAATACAAAAATTAGCTGGGCGTGGTGGTGCATGCCTGTAATCCCAGCTACTCGGGAGGCTGAGGCAGGAGAATCACTTGAACCCAGGAAGCAGAGGTTGTGGTGAGCCGAGATTGTGCCATTGCACTCCAGCCTGGGCAATAAGAGTGAAGCTCCATCTCAAAAAAAAAAAAAAAAAAAAGACACCATTTTTGTCCACTCATATTTCTACATGGCTGTCCATACTTTGTTGACCATAAGCATAAAAATGGACATTTATTTCCCCTGTATCTTTCGGTCTTCATTTTGAAAGCTACCATGTCGTGTAAAACTATAATAAAAAATCGTATGCCTTTTCTCCTATTAATCTGCCTTTTGTCAGGAATTTTCAGTGAACCTCTAGAGGATCATGGGGAAGTTTCCCCTTACCCCTACAGTGTCTTTGATGGATTAACTGTTTATTTTTTTGTGACTCTACTTTATTTCCACTATTGGCTTTTTGGCATACCTTTTTGTTTTAGTTTTTAGTGATTGCCCTAGGCTTTACAATACATGTCTTTGACTTACTACAGTCTGCCCTCAAACAATATTATGCCACTTCATTCTAGTTTTTCCCTTTTGTCCTTTGTGCTATTGTTATTATATATTTTACTTCTACATATATTATAAGCCCCACAATTTACTGTCACTATATTTGCTTTAAACACCTATCTTTTAAAGAGTTTAAAAATGAAGAGAAAAAAGGCCTTTAAAAATATTATCTGTGGGTTTTTTGTTTGTTTGCCATTCTAGTTACACCATCTATATATTTTTTGATTGTTTTGTTTCTCATGTTTGTTTTGGAAAGACTCAAAAGCATAGTCAGGCTGACATCTTGCCGTCTCTCCTTAGGTCATTTTTAATCTTATTTATATGTGCAGGCTATGCAACCTCTTAGAGGTGATGAATTATATGACATATTTATTGTTTAAAGTAATATTTCCTCCCTAATCCTAATATTAAAAATATGTCTGTGTGATCTGAGATAAATGAGTGCTCTAAAGTTAGATACCAGTTTTTAAAATGAGAATTTGAAGGACAGCCTTCATTGCCAAAACTATTGCAGAAATACCACAAATATCACTTAACATTCAGGCTTTATGATACAGACACGTTTGGAAGTGTGGACTAACCGCATAAGCTTTTATTTACTATAATATACCAATTCCTCACTTATCCAGAGGTAATTACTCTGACAACCTCATCTGTTTGGAACACTACAGAAAATAATAAAGTAAAACAAATTGCTTCCAAACAGTTGAACTAGATGCATCAAGGTTATTAAAAATAAATTTCATGCGTTTTACTAAAAGGAGAACCTCTGACTCAGAACCCACTTGCTTCCATTAAAAACATAATTTCAACCAGCTTGGCTAATTGGTTTCTTTGCTTTCAGCAGAAGGAAGAAAGACAGAAGTTTGGGTGGTGGGGAAAGAAATGTAAAAGAAACACACATATTATGTAGAGTAAGAGATAATAATCAACATTTATATATTCTTTTATGTTGCAGTCTCCTTTAGGGCAGTTAATAGTGTCCTATTTATCTTTGCGTTCTCTGCACAATCCCTGACACACTATATTTGATAAACACTGCCCAAACAAACAAACAAGCAAATGAGAGTAAGAAGCTGGGGAGACACAGAACCACATGTTGAAAGAGGAATTTGAAAAGGATAGCAGCTAGAGGCCGCTCTGTGCAGAGGCAGAGAGTTCTTCATACTACACTCCACTGTGCAGTGAGAACATTTCTATTTAGGGAAAATAGGAGCCAGCGTGGAGCAATATAGCTCATGTTGATATCAGTGACATGTCTTTCAGGAAAGGTTACATTTTAAAACCCAAGTGAGTTCTTATTGCCTTAAAAAATGATTTCCATTAATACTCCCCCAACCCCCTTTCTATCCCTCTCTCCTAATCTCTATCTCTGGCTCTCTATTAAAAGTTTCACCTTTTCACATTCAGAAAATTCATTTATGCAGCAAATAGCTCATTACCTCATGATGTGGCTAAAATGATCTGTTTCTGTACACAAAGTAGATGTTAGAAATTCTTTGTTCAATCAATTTATGGAGGAAAAGAAGTTTATACATACCCATGCCTCAAGTCTGAAAAATGCTATTCACCTTTAGTAAATGTGTAAACTCTATATAGGTAGACATATCTGCTCTCATGCTGATAATTTGTTTATTCAATTTGCCCTTGATACGTTATTCCCATCAAGACTTTTAGACTTAGAAGTGGTAATAATGGTAATAATAGCAGCTGGCAGACCCTGAGTGGGGACATCTGTATTTGCATGTCTGTACACCAGGAACTCTGCAAACAGCTGTCACGGTTTAACTTATTATTTAATTTTTACCACACTTTATGTGGTAGGAACTGTTGTCACCCAGTCTTACACATGGGGAACTCAGGCTTGGAGAGGTGTACTTATCAGCCCAGCAAATGGCAGAGCTGAGATTTGAGTCTCAGTGATCTGACTCCAAAACCTATGCTCTTACCGTTTGTGCTATATGCTTCCTCTGTCTACCTGTCATCTCTGGGAACAAAGTGGTCAACAATAGCACAATTTCTATTTTTATCACACAATAAAATATTGCTCTACTTTGCTGTCATATGGTCATGATGACAGGGATCAATTAAATAAAGTAACCCTTAGCTGGAGGGGAGAATAGGAAAATACATATATCTCTAGGCATTGTTTATTAATTTAATAATGGCTTTATCGCTCTCTTCCGCCCCCCTTGAATTTGATTGATATGTGTAGCTAAATCAGGTAAGTCATGAAACATTACCTTCCATCTCATCCCCTCCAGTTTGCTGGCTGTACTGAATTACTTGGATAATTTCATTATTTCCCTTCGTTACTCCTCTTTGGAGCTTCTTGGTCATAGATTTCTTTTTCTTTTCTCGACCTAGTTGAGTTTTGTTTATATCAAAATATGTTTCTATAGATCTAGATCATATTCTGGCAATATAATTTTGAAACTTTTTTTTTTTTTGAGTTGTAGTCTCGCTTTGTCACCCAGGCTGGAGTGCAGTGGCGCGATCTTGGCTCACAGCAACCTCTGCCTTCCAGGTTCAAGCGATTCTCCTGTCTCTGCCTCCTGAGTAGCTGGGACTACAGGCGTGTGCCACCACATCCGGCTAATTTTTGTATTTTTAGTAGAGATGGGGTTTCACCATATTGGCCAGGCTGGTCTCGAACTCCTGACCTTGTAATCCGCCCGACTCGGCCTCCCAAAGTGCTGGGATTACAGGTGTGAGCCACTGCCCCCGGCCTGAAACTCTTTTAATTCACAGAACCCAAAGAATAAAAACCGGCCACGCTGATTGGAATGGCTTTGTGTAAGTGCCATCAACTGAGAGGAAGATACCCAGTTTAACTATTTTGACGTCCAGATGTGGAAGAAAATACAACACTGATTTCTTTTCCTAAACGAAGCAAACCAATATGTACACTTGCCAGAGGGCAAAGGACCCAGGGATGCTTTGTATATGACTTTAATAAAAAACATGTTTTTCTTTTAAAATCTTCCATGAGTGAGGTGGGAGTCAGGGATTTGAGGAAAAGCAAAAGATGGCTGCACTGGGGAATAATGAAAAAGGAGGGGAGGGAGAGTGAGAGGAGCTGATAAGATGAAATGTGTTTAGGCTGTCTATCAGATGTCAGAAGCCATGCCCTGCTGTTCTGAAATTGCCTTTTCATGTTGCATTTCTTGAAGGTGAGCTCAAAGTGCAACCTTTAGTGTTCTTTTGGGAAAGAGAAAAATAAGAGTAAACACAGTCGTAAGTGCATGCCCATGATTTGTTCACAGTTTATCAAGATTATTGACATGGCCTTTTTAGACAAAAATGAGAGCAACTGTTTATTTTTTGATTGTATTGGTTCTCTCTGCTCTGTTGCTTCTATTGCTTCTTGCTAGCCTGGTCCTCTCTACTTGAGGCTACACATTTTGAGTATCATTAAGGATGTTACTATCTGCTCTCCAACTCTTGCCCTGACCTGAATAGTTACATCGGAGACATTATTTTCTTGCCTTCTTTCTTTTGCTGAAGTAATCTCAGTCATTCCTTGAGCTTATTAATTTCCCCCCTCATGTTTGATAAGGATATTTTACAGTGCAATCATGACTCAGAGTGAGGGATGGAATATAAAGTTAGAACTCCATTTTTTGAGCACTTAATCAGAGAGTGAGCAATCCAAAGTTGTTCCCTGACTGAAATCTTCACATCTGATTGCTTTTCCTACTCAGCCCCACTGTCTGATGCTTCTGGGTGCCTCAAACTGCTCGGTAATGGTGGCACCTGGGTTGCTGTAATGCTCATGGTCCTGTTTTGATGGTTTGTTTTATGTTTTTTTCTCAGACTTAAATAGCCTGCATACAGGTGCTGTCTGAGGAAGCTAAAGGCTGTCGTATTATGTCTAGAAACATTTGAGATCTAAATACCTGTGAACTGAGCTCTTAACTCTCTCACCTCCTTATGCTTCCCTGTGGTCTTGGCGCTACCAAAAAGGGCCCTTAAAATCTGAGATCTCCTTTGCTTATTGATCTGCAGAGACAGTGACCTTGATAGAAAACTACGGGCCTCTTGGAAGCAGTGTGGGAACTCAGAAGAAATCGCAGGTGCTGCACTCTCATTTTATTCTGCGTTCAGGCTGGCAGGCAGATCTATTCATTCCCCTGCCCGTGGCTTGACATCAAATTCTCCACCAGGAGGACCTCAACTCCCAGTGGAAAGCGGGGATAAGTGATGAACGAATCTTTTACTGCTTGTAAGAATGTGCCTGATACAGGATTTCTCCCTTATTTCCTAAAATCCTTCTGCATTTTTCAGTCCACTTCTCTCAGCAAAACCACGCAAATGGAAAGATGATTAAGTCTCAGAAGAGGCATGAAATGGCCTGAAGCTAAAAAGAGGAAAAGTTTAGGGTGGACGTTTTGAAAGATGAAGAGTAAGAGAGATTAGACAGTGGAATAGAAGTCCCATCACTGCAGAGAGCCAAGGAAAGGTTAGATAAGATATTAACATTAATGAGGTAGAGCAAAGCCCTGGAGAGTAAAGGAGGCTTGACTAAAAGGAGGAGGGCTGGAGAGAGTCATAACAGCCAGCTCACAATAGATTATTTCCTCCCTGTATCCTGTTATGATTTTCACAGGACAATTTTTCAGGGTATCTAGGTTGCAATCCCAGGCAACTAGGATACTTGTTTGTCTTATAAAGATGATTATTTATTCAACAAATATGTTTTTAGCTCCTACTACATGCCAGGCACTCAGGCTCCAAGAATATAACTATGTAAAGA
Source organism: Homo sapiens (assembly GCF_000001405.40). Taxonomy (NCBI): domain Eukaryota; kingdom Metazoa; phylum Chordata; class Mammalia; order Primates; family Hominidae; genus Homo; species Homo sapiens. Next base: position 81,677,735 of record NC_000014.9, read on the forward strand.
CAGAAATGATAGAGAGAACCAACAATCGGGGCTGTGGCCTGATGGCCCACTCTGGAAGAGAGATGAAAAAGATTGTCTCATGAATGACCCTGGAAATTCATAGTGCTTGGAAGAGCTTTTTTCTCCCCAGTGGAAGGCACAGCACACAATCACAACTGTTTGTGGAATTTTGCCCAAGGTTGCCTGGTGCTGGCAGCTGGCACTCTCAGACAACTCTCTGCAGACCTGGTACTCCTCTCAGACTGCCTGGGACCTATGTCCTTTGTTCTCCTCCTGATAAGGTGGTTCTCAGGCTTGCACTATGGGAAGGTAAAATAGCAGAAGGGCAGTGTCCCTTTCCAAATAGACACCTTTTGAGTCCATAAACACCCTCCTCTGCATGCATTCTAAGGGATGATGAGATCATAGACTTCTTCTCGATAAGCCTCCGCTTGCAAGTTTCCCCAGCGAAGTCCACCCCTTAACTCTTGCTACATGATTTAGCATTTGCCTTCTCTCTCCTTTGCCAGAGCTCCACAACCACTTAGTCGAATTTGGCCAACAGATATGTTTATCAATGTGGTTAGCTAGTGCATGTTTAGAAGAAAGTGAGTTGAATGCCTTTGTGTCCAGAATTGGTGGGTTCTTGGTCTCACTGACTTCAAGAATGAAGCCACGGACCCTCATGGTGAGTGTTACAGTTCTTAAAGGCAGCGTGTCTGGAGTTTGTTCCTTCTGATGTTCGGATGTGTTCGGAGTTTATTCCTTCTGGTGGGTTCGTGGTCTTGTTGGCTCACGAGTGAAGCCGCAGACCTTCGCGGCGAGCGTTACAGCTCTTAAGGCAGCGCATCTGGAGTTGTTTGTTCCTCTCGGTGGTTTCATGGTCTCACTGGCTTCAGGAGTGAAGCTGCAGACCTTTGCAGTGAGTGTTACAGCTCACAAAGGCAGTGTGGACCCAAAGAGTGAGCAGTAGCAAGATATATTGCAAAGAGCTAAAGAATAAAGCTTCCACAGTGTGGAAGGGGACCTGAGCAGGTTGCCACTGCTGGTTTGGGCAGCCTGCTTTTATTCCCTTATCTGGCCCAACCCACATCCTGGTGATTGGTCCATTTTACAGAGAGCTGATTGGTCTGTTTTATAGAGAGCTGATTGGTCCGTTTTGACAGGGTGCTGATTGGTGCATTTACAATCCCTGAGCCAGACACAAAAGTTCTCCAAGTCCCCACTAGATTAGCTAGACACAGAGCACTGATTGGTGCATTTACAAACCTTGAGCTAGACACAGGGTGCTGGTTGGTGCATTTACAAACCTTGAGCTAGATACACAGTGCTGATAGGTGTATTTACAATCCCTCAGCTAGACATAAAGATTCTCCAAGTCCCCACCAGCTCAGCTAGACACAGAGTGCTGATTGGTGCACAGAGTGCTGATTGGTGCATTTACAAACCTTGAGCTAGACACAGGGTGCTGATTGGTGCATTTACAAACCCTGAGCTAGACTGGGACTGGGCGCTGCGGAGCAGGGGGCGGTGCTCCTTGGGGAGGCTCAGGCTGTGCAGGAGCCCACAGTGGGGGAGAGGGGGAGGCTCAGGCATGGCGGGCTGCAGGTCCCCAGCCCTGCCCTGCGGGGAGGCAGCTAAGGCCGGGGGAGAAATCCAGCACAGCACCCATGAGCCAGCACTGCTGGGGGACCCGGCGCACCCTCCGCAGCTGCTGGCCCAGGTGCTAAGCCCCCGGCCGCTCGGAGTGTGGGGCCTGCCAAGCCCACGCCCACGCCCACGCAGAACCCTAACTGGCCTCCAAGCGCCCCACGAAGCCCCGGTTCCCGCCCGTGCCTCTCCCTCCCCACCTCCCTGCAGGCTGAGGGAGCCGGCTCTGGCCTCAGCCATCCCAGGAAGGGGCTTCCACAGTGCAGCGGCGGGCTGAAGGGCTCCTCAAGCGCGGCCAGAGTGGGCGCCAAGGCTGAGGAGGTGCCAAGAGCGAGTGAGGGCTGCAAGGGCTGCCAGCACGTTGTCACCTTTCACGTTTACATGGGGGTAAGTACTGCTGTGGTCTCAGACCCTCACAGGCTCACTCGTTTGTGTTACTGCCTGACCCCTAGTTGCACTTGAATGTGCCTTACCTGTGAATGCAGGTGTGATGTGCTACAGAGGGGCTGCATGAGGAACCATGGAAGCATGTGAGAGGGGCACCTACCTGTGGGACTTCAGAGGAAATGGCTTTGAAACCAAGACATGAAGGACAAGAGGGAGTTAACTAGGGGACGAGTTGGAGATGGGAGTGGAGCTAGTGACAAAAGTGTTTTGTGTAGAAGGGGCCAGGTGGGAAGTCCTAAAAAGAGATGACTTGGTGTCTGCTGGGAGTAGAGAGTCCAGCATGTCTGGAGTGATGAGCCCAAAGGACCTACAACAGTTTGAAGAGTTTTTCTTGGGTTGGTGACAAATTGCTGCGAAGTCTTTTTACACCCTCTTTCCTGCTTCCCCCTGTGACCAACATTTGGGGGATTTCAGACAGAGTGAGAGGAAGGATCTGTGAATAGCCTGGGAATAGGATAAAATTAATGGAGACAAAACCTTTACTTCCTCAATTTTCCTTTTTTAAAATCAAATCTCTTTTCCACAATAGAGATCCGTTTAATAACTGCTAAATAACTTGAAACAAATCTGTGAACTGCTGGTATTTCCTTTTTATTTTCTTTATATATTTTTCTCTTTTATCTTACCCCTCCTTGTCTCCTTTCTTTTTTTTTTTTTCTTAAGAAGGACTTAGATATAACAATTAACTAAATAGTTCATTGCACTTAATTTTACCTTCAGTGATTTGGGAATCTGAGGAAGTGCCTAAGTCCCTAGGGAAGCCCTAACACAGATCATTGAAAATAAGACCTGTAGTAAAACAAACAAAAAAACAGAATGAAAAACAAAAGGCTTAACTTCTCCTATTGAAAACAAGAGATTTCCCGCCCCTTCCTTTTGTAAGAACATTTACCTTAAAAAACTGGTAAATGTAAGTACTTTCTCTATCTTTTTGAAATACATCTTTTTAGAAAAAGTCTTTTGTCAGCTTTAGGACCTGGGAATGTTTTTCTCAAGGATCTGGGGGCCATCTCTTTGAAATGTAACATCAAGAGAGATAGTGCCCTTATCTCCCTGTTTCTCTGGAGTTATTGGAGCCTAACTTCACGGCTACCTTGCTCCAGATGGTAAAACTACTTCCTGTCATAAAGACCTCCTTATCCCCGACTTTTGGTTGAAATCAATTAGCTAACAGAGTCCAGCACCCCAATTACCAAGAAATTTACCCCAATTACCAAGTATAGTTTGGATGGACTGTATTTGGGATCAGCAGTCGTCTTCCTTGAGGACTAGTTATTGTTCATCTTGAAAACATGTATGTGATGAGTCGCGTTGGATTTCTTTCTGTTTTTGTAATTTCTTCGTGGATTGCCTGTGACACGCATCACATTGTGGTTTAATGCCTATTCCTTAATAAAACTGGTTTCTTTCTCTGCTACCTTTGTGGAGATAATTTCTGGGTTGGGACAAGATTTTGTTTATTGCATTTCCCCCAACAGACCTTACAGAGAGTAACATTTTGTTTGTCCTCTCCCAGAGTCTTTTAGGAGAACCTTGTACTATGAAAATGGAAACTGTCACCCTCTGCTTCTCAGTTGCTAAGCCTGGTATGAGTTCTGTTTGGCAGATGGAAGGCCAGCCCTTTCAAATTTTCCCAGGTGGACTAAGCACTGTTTGCTTTCAGAAGTTCTCAGCGAGGCTTTCATTTTAAATTCATAAAAGTTATCATCCAACTCCCAACAATTGTTTAATAAAAGGCAATTAGCCAGCCAAAAATATAATGGCTTTTATGTCAAAATATGCTGGAGACAGCTGCTAAGCAGGCCACTGGCGTCCTCTGGGCCATATGGTGTGAGTCCCAGGCATATGTACAGCCAGGCACAACAGCACAGAGCATATTGGGAGTAATAAACCCAGCCCCCCACTCTCTTCCCTCTCCCCCAACTCAAATCTCTCCACTCCAGAGAAACTGACAGCAGGAAATTCTCTGGAGTAAATTGCCTAAGTCAAGATTCACGAAACTCATTTATTAGGCAAGGATCTAATCTGGCAATAGATGCAGAAAGCCCTAGTTCCCTAGCCTGGTTTGGATAAAATCCATGCAAACCTTATTGCATTGCAGAAAAACGATTAAGAAAAAGCCTCCACAAAACAACGAACTCAACAGCACTCATCAAGAAAATTGAACTCAGATTATAAACTTAAAAAAATCTGTTTGCTTCTTCTGACTTAATATTTGCATGGAAAAAGTTCCTGGAATTTTCTATTTCTTGCAAAGATAGTTTTATTCTCCCCAGCATTCTTGAAAGCAGTCGTTCATTGCCCTGCCTTGCTCGTAAGGAGATACTCCGGTGATTGATATCTTGGTGATGGCCCCATATGTCTTCTGTTGTCCTTAGAAGCACAGATCCAGATATGTGCTTATTTTAATCATAGGAGGTAGAGAAAAAGGAAACTTTCCTGATTTTGTTTTTTGCCAGAAAGGTCTATTGTCATCAAAGGCATGCTTATTTTGAGAACAAAGCACAGGCAAATCACCTTTTGTTCATAGAGAGCTTTTCCATCCCAAAGGATCCTAGGGTTTGTAAACATTCTGAGGCTGTTTTTAGAGCATTCACATTGCCAGTGTCCTTAAGGACAGGTCCTGGAGGCTGCTCTATAATCATGCTTTCTGGCCATTTTGGAGTGCCAGCAAAACTGTATTCTATAGATAAGAAAATATATAATGTTTTTGAGGATAATATATTTTTTCCTGTAAATAAACCTTTAAGAGCATAGTGTGGGCAGTAGCGTTCCGGAATAGCCCTTGGAAAGGGGGCAGCTCATACCTAGGAATCCCCGGACTCCAAATTTCAATTTATTCCTCAGTCCTCTCTTTCCCTAAGAAAGTTTTCAGCAAAGTTGCGATGATGGCGTGTGTTGGGGTCCCTTAAGAACACTCCCAGTTTCCATAATTTCCTAGGAGGACTCACAGGACTCAGCATGGGGATCATGTCAGTCATGGAGATCGATTATAGTGAAAACATACAAAGCAGAGTCAGCAAAGAGAAAAAGCACAGGGAATGAAGTCTGAAGGAAAGCAGGTGCAAGCCTCTCCCAGGGGAGTCACACAGCTTGTGCTTAATCCCCCCAGCAGAGAGTTGTGACAACACATGTGAAGTAATAGTCTAATGGTGAAGCTTATTAGAAACTCAGTGCTCAAGGTTTTTTATGGAAGGTTGGTCATGTAGGCACCCTCTGCCTAGTGTGAAAGGAAAGTATCTTGGGCCCCTTCAAACTGGGAACTGCTCAGGACAAAATCTGCCTCCTGTTCTATTCAAAGTCATCCCTTTGCTCACAGAGATAGATGCATATGCTGATTGCCTCCTTTGGAAAGACTTACCAGTAACTCAAAATAATGCAACCTTTTTTTTTCTTTCGAGACCGAGTTTTGCTCTTTCGTCCAGGCTGGAGTGAAGTGGTGCGATCTCAGCTCACTGCAACCTCTGCTTCTCAGGTTCAAGTGATTCTCCTGCCTCAACCTCCTGAATAGCTGAGATTACAGGCCATGCCCGGCTAATTTTTGTATTTTTAGTAGAGATGGGGTTTCACCACGTTGGCCAGGCTGGTCTCGAACTCCTGACCTCAGGTGATCCACCCGCCTCGGCCTCCCAAAGTGCTGGGATTACAGGCGTGAACCACCGTGCCTGGCCAAGAATGCAACCATTTGTCTCTCACCTACCTGTGACCTGGAAGCCCCCCGCGGGGTGGGGTGGGTGGGGTGGGGGTAGGGATTGCTTTGAGTTTTCCTTGCCTTTCTGGATGGAACTAATGTACTTCTTACATATCTTGATTGATGTCTCATGTCTCCCTAAAATGTATAAAACCAATCTGTGCTTGACCACCTTGGGCACATGTCCTTCCTGAGGCTGTGTCACGGGCGTGTCCTCAACCTTGGTAAAATAAGCTTTCTAAATTAGTTGAGACCTGTCTCCGATTTTCTGGGTTCACGCTAGCATGTACTGGAATGCCAGCCTCCAGAAGAAACACATGTATCCAGTACAAACCATATTGTATGCATGAATAGTTTAGGCACATCGAACCATTCTTACCAGTTCTGGGAATAGTGGTAACCCTCCCCAAATGCAAGTTCCCAGTTGCTAGTCAAGAGCCAATCTTGCAAAAAATCTTTTCTCACGATAGCAGTCGCTACACATACAGTTGGCTACGTTAACTCTTCTGCACAAGTAGCATTATAAACTGATTGTTCTAGCTTTTTTACATCCCCTCTTCATCCTCCTGCAGAGAAGTACGAAGTACTTTTTTGGTGCTCCTAGGAAGGTGGTAGAAATGGAGTAGACAGGTTGATGAAAAGTAAAAGGCATAGCTTGGGCCTTGATGTAGGTCTAGTATAGTGAGGACTCTAAGAGAGGCAGTATGGCGAAACTTACAAAGCAGTAGTTTTAGAATTAGGCCGACCTGGGTTTAAATTCTGCTCCATATTTCTATACGACTTTAAAAATTTCAAACCTTCCATGTTCATGTACTTGTGGATAATCTACCAAGTGTTTAATGCTCTAGAAAAGCAAGAGTTAGATAAATTTTGTAGGAAGTAAGAGAATCTTCACTTTAGGAGAAATATTATATTGTAGACTTATGGGCATGTAAATTAGTAGGTGAGTCAAAAATAAAAGGAGCGTTCCTGTATGTGGAATCCAATGGGGTTTGGATTCTCATTCCATCTTTAAATGAATATGTCTACACACTCAGTGTATATATGAAAGAATATGCTAAGAGGACTACAAGATGTCAGCGATGTAGTCTGTGTCCTCAAGATGCGTATAGTCTAGTACAGGATCTGATGGGGTGACAGAGATTCTGAATGAGATAGTGAACGGAGCCATAAAATCCCAGACACTTTTACTCGAGAATCACAAAGGATAGAACAAAGTGAGCGATAGAAACAATATTTTTCATGCACACTAGTTTCTTGTAACTCACCATTAATGTGTCACTTATGAATTTAACTCTTCTTATAAGACTTGTTTTCAAAAAAAATTTGGCTGTGTTTTCAGATTATGTCATTCCATGAGTCAACACACTAAGCAAACTAGTAGTCCTGGGGAAGTAGAATCTTGATTTACTTGTTCTGATGTGTTAACCCAAATAGTATTGAGTTTGATTTTCCTGCCTCCACCTCTCTAGGCTGGGGGATCTTCCTTGCTTATTATCTTCAGATATGAGGTCACTAATTCCCTTAACTTCCTTCTAAGCTTTATTTAAGCTCATAATTTTCATGAAGCATGAAAACCAGAACAGCAAACATGTTCTCAATTTGGGCTCTCTGTGGCTTGACATGATGCTTTGTTAATTTCATGGTGGGAGGGAGGAGTCCTCACTCTGGACCTTTGTTTTCAGAACTGTCAGACTTAATAGCTCAAGCACCTGGCCAGTGGTCCTGGTTTTCAGGTCTCTGCTTCTGTCCATGATCTCATATTCAGTCATACAAACATATACATCTAGAGTCTTATGAACTCAATATATAAAAGGCTTTTGATTGATCTGCTCCATATTTTACAATGATCTCTGGATAGAAGCTGTGAAATAGATTACACAGTGGTTGGTGGTATGAGTTCCTCAGCTTCAGTGTCCAGTTCTAAACCCAGTTCAGATAATTAGCAGCTGTGAGACAGTGGACAATTTACTTGATCTCTTTGTTCTCAGTTTCCTCACTTATTATTTTTTATTTTTATTTTTTGAGACGGAGCCTTGCTCTGTTGCCCAGGCTGGAGAGCAGTGGCGTGATCTTGGCTCACTGCAATCTCCACCTCCTGGGTTTGAGTAATTCTCTGCCTCAGCCTCCTGAGTAGCTGAGATTACAGATGCCCACTACCAAACCTGGCTAATTTTTGTATTTTTAGTAGAGACAGGGCTTCACCATCTTGGCCAGCCTGGTCTTGAACTCCTGACCTCGTGATCCACCCGCCTCAGCCTTCCAAAGTGCTGGGATTACAGGCGTGAGCCACCGTGCCTGGCCAGTTCCCTCCCTTATAACATGGGGAATAAAATATTAGTGTCTATCTCAGGAGTAAACACAAATATTTTTGACAAGCTTAAAGCAATGTCTGACAGTATATTATGCTTTATAAATATAGAAATTAGAAAAAGAATCATGCCTTATTATAATATCTCTTAGTTTTTTTTCTTGGATTATAAATAATTGCTTTGTGTTGTGTCTTACAATAATTGCAGGAGACTAACTAGTATAGACACCCGATTCTCTCACCAATTTACCCTTCTTAGTCCACAGTCTAGTTTCCCATGGCAGAACTCTGATTTATGCTAAATAGAAAACAGAAATGAGAACTTCTGAAAGAAGATTTCATTATTTTATTATTAACATGAGAAAGAATACTAGAGTACTGTTAGTTCCTTTTTTTCTGGTTAAAATGTGGTTACAAATCTTTTATTCTGGAAAATTCTACAATGTTTCTTCACCGTTTCTGTCACAATAACATGTTGAACTTATTCTTCCCACCTAATGAGGCAATGAGGTGCAGTGGGCGCGTATATCAATGTTGCTCTAAGGAAAAAAAGTGCTGGTGTGTGATCCCATGCAGGGCATCACAGACACACACACAAACACACACACACACACAAACCATGGAGATTTCTTTGAAATGAGAAAAAAAAATGTATCTAGCACATAGTAGGTACTAAGCAAGTACTAACTCCTTTTACTTTGCCTGGCTGCCAGAAGTAATTTTCCCTCTCAATATTTAAATTGACCTTTCTTTCCTGTTAGTAAGGAAAACAGAAGGATTTTTTTTTAAGCTCATACCATAAACTGTGTGATGTTTAGTTTCTGCAGAGGTGTGAAGAAGTCCTGCTGTTAAAAGTGGAGTAAGACTTTTTTTCTTGGGTGGAAGCCCAGAAAATGTTAGATAAGCCAAGGTGAAGACTATTCGTGATAAAGGATAGCGTGGATGCGTGTGTGTGTGTGTGTATGGGTGTGAATGTGCATGTCAAGGCTTTTGGAACCATTTTGACAAGGAGAACTAAGGACTAACAGAGAGGAATTAATCCAAAGTGCTAGACTGCAAAATGGTTTGACTCACCCCACAAGACGCAACAATGTGATTTCCCTGCTTAGCGTTCTATACAGGCTGGAGTTAAACATCTTTAAATTACCTATCTTAGAAATGCACAATCAAATTAAAATAACGTTTTGGGAGCTGAGCAGACCATGGTAGTTTCTCCGGCCAAACTAGAGACCAAGACTTATTACTTGAGTCTTGCAGAATTTTAAGGACCTAGGATAAGAATAGCAACTCTTATCCACTGAAGTTGAGTGCGATCGGGAGTGCCCATAAGGGAACAGCTTTGTGGTTAGACAGGTTCCCTATTTTAAAAATGCCTCTCAATTTTCTATAAGTTACATACACAGCTTTAGAAAGGAATGCAATAAAATAAAAAGCTTCAACAGCAAATGTTTAATGTATAAATTCCCTTGCTCACCATAGATTGTTGAAGGTAGTGAGATGGACAAAAGTAGAGCCCTGAAGATGACTATAGATAAAAGTAGACATTTTTGTTTCATTTTCAACACCTTCTAGAAAAAACCTATTTTAAATAGAAGAACTACGTACTAGACTCTTCTAGTAGAGTCTTTTTTTTTTTTTTTGAGATGGAGTTTTGTTCTTGTTGCCCAGGCTGGAGTGCAATGGTGCCATCTTGGCTCACTGCAACCTCCCCTTCCCGAGTTCAAGCGATTCTCCTGCCTCAGCCTCCCGAGTAGTTGGGATTACAGGCAACTGCCACCACACCAAGATAATTTTTGTATTTTTAGTACAGATGGGGTTTCACCATGTTGGCCAGTCTGGTCTCAAACTCCTGACCTCAGGTGATCCACCCACCTTGGCCTCCCAAAGTGCTGGGATTACAGGTGTGAGCCACCACACCTGGCGGTAGAGTCTTTTTCAACCGCTTCTAGAAAAAACCCATTTCAAAAAGAAAAGCCACATACTAGACTCCTCTGGTAGGGACACAGATGAGTAGGCTTCTCTTTCCTAATGAGGAAAAGTGGGGGTTTGGTTTTGAAAAGTTGCTGTCAACCCCGGATCAAGCCTGCACACCTCACAGCTAAAACCAGGCAGAGAGGGTGGCAGTGGTTGCAGCCGTAACATGGCCTCCAGTTGGCTTGTTATATGATCCTCACCAGCTTCCCTGGGAGGAGGAAAAACATTTTTTTCTCTAATGGCTCAGATTGTCTTCACTACTTACCAGCAGGAGTTTGTAACAACTTTGTTCTCACAGGTTTTAAGGGTTTGAAGAGAAACAAAATATCACACATTTCTAACAGGCAGGAAGAAGCCAAAATCTACCTCATTAGTGAATGGAAAACAGTGTCCCCTTTGGACCAGATCAAGAGGTCAATGGGTATATGACTGAAAGACCCTATTTATTAAGCAAATACCCATTACATGGGTCAAGTCCAAGGCCAGCATGATGGGTAAGCAACTCCCCATATGGTTTCATTTCAGGGACTGAAATACCACTCCCTTGATCCTCTACATGCCAAATACAGCTCCTATGTGCCCACTGATGCCTGAAATGTCTTTTATAGGAAAAATATCTTTCACTTAGCAGTCAGTAACAAGTTTCATAATGAAAGCACCTTAGGTGTGACTTTAAGAACACACTGAGGTGCGAGCGACTAGAGCCCGGACTCTCTTGAGAGTAAGTTTAATGATTGAGGGAAGAAAGAGCCTCTGGCCTGGATGGAAAGAAAAAAAAGAAATGGGGAGAAGGGGCAGAATGAGAAGAATGGGGAGCAGACCGATTGTTCATTTGCTGTTGCTCACTTCCAAAGTGAGATGGAAAGTACTTATCATAATGTTTGGCTCATAGCAAGCTCTCAATACAAGTTAATCATTCTTATTTATAGTTTTGACAGGTTCAGGTCATGTCAGTTTGGAGATAAACCTAGAGATTCTCTGCTCTGAAGTTATAGTGCTTATGCATAAAATCTACAGCCTTGAAAATCATTCTCTTTCCATTTTCTCTATCCTGTTCCCATCCTAATATTTTCTCTGCATTATTCTTTAATCCTTTGCATAGAGAAGAATCTAAAGGAATCTTAACAGGCTATGTATCAAGAAGAGGGTTGCAATTAGAGCATACCTAAACCAACTTTTGGTATTCAGCCATATACCGCGTGTCTCTGTCACATTTGTATAGCAAATTTTCCCTGTACCATTGGAGGATCTCTGATTAATGTCTTTCTAGTTATGGGGCCCTATGTCCATAATCACCCATCCAAAAGGCTCACCTCCGGGCACATCACCTCCATGCAGCCTTCCCTGATGACTCCAGCTCACAGTGAGTTCTTTATGTGAACTTCTGAAGTAGAACCAATTGCCATTACCTCTCACTGGGCATTCATATATATTCTAGTTTTATTATTAACATACACATGGTTATTCAGCATTTAATATATGTGTGTGTCAGTTTTTCTCTCTCTAACTAGGCTACAAACTTCTGGTTAGGATCCATGTGGTGGGCAGCCTCTGAGATAATTCCCAGTGATCCCTGCATCCTGGAATTCATAACCTTGTCTAACCCCTTTCCCTATAACTGTGTGATGGACCTGGTCACTTGATACGAGTGACTGGAATAATGTAAAAGTTTAAGGATGCCACTTTTGAGATTAGGCTACGAGAAAACCCATAATTCCTGTCCTGCTAGCTCTCTCTGGCTCACTCTTATTGCTCAATGAGATGGAAGTCAGTTGCCATGTTTTTAGCTGCCCTCTGGCAAGAAACTGAAGAAAGACCCTGATCAACAGCCTGCAAGAAATTGAGACCCTCAATTTAACAGCTTGTGAGGAACTGAATCTTGCCAGTAATCACACAAGTGATCTTAAAAATGGATTATCCATCTGTTGAGTCTTCAGATGAGAATGCAGCCCTGACTGACACCTTGAATGCAGCCTTGTAGGAGATCTTGAGGGAGAAGCACTCAGGTGAGCTGTGCCTGGATTCCTAATACACAGAAACTGTGAGATAGTAAATGACTGTTGTTTCATGCTGTTGAAATTTGGAGTAATTTGTTATTTAGCAATAGATAACATACTCCATATACCTATGCGCTGGAGCAAACAAATGCCTGGAACGCTGAAGAAATCTGCTTTTAGGTACCTGGAAATCATCTGTTTCCTTCCCTCTCAGGTGGGTGAGGGTGAGAGGTGGAATCTCTAATTTGGTCTGAAAGGTCTTTGTCCTTTAATTGGGGTCATGTTGCATGGAGCCAGAGGCCTACTTTTATTTTATTTTATTTTGAGACAGAGTCTTGCTCTGTCGCCCAGGCTGGAGTGCAGTGGTGCAATCTCGGCTCACTGCAAGCTCCGCCTCCCGGGTTCATGCCATTCTCCTGCCTCAGCCTCCCGAGTAGTAGCTGGGACTACAGGCGCCCACCACCACGCCCGGCTAATTTTTTTTTGTATTTTTAGTAGAGACGGGGTTTCACCATGTTAGCCAGGATGGTCTTGATCTCCTGACCTCGTGATCCACCCGCCTTGGCCTCCCAGAGTGCTAGGATTACAGGCATGAGCCACTGCGCCTGGAGTCAGAGGCCTAAATAATGGATGGAGAAATTTAAGAATAACAAAACCAAATGAAGTTGATCATTTAAGGGGCTAAGTGACATTGAAGGTTGAGGTTTAGCGCTAATATAAAAAGGTCAAAGAGTGAGCAACAGTGGGAGAGGCTTGGAGACATCTCGTTTCTAAAGATGGAGTGAGTAGAGTTTGTAGAAATGTAGAAATATTTGTCAGGATGAGAAACAGTGGTAGATCCATGTACAGATGAGGTTGCAAACACTAATAGCTATGGTCCCAGGAAATGAGTCAAGTGGGTGGGTTAGGGGCTTGGTGAATTGGAGAGGTCAAGCTTAGTTTTAGGGAATATAGTTCACAATGTGGTACCCTCCTCAAATCTCCCTCCACAGGGGTAATATACCCAGTCTCCAGCTCCTGGAAATATTGGCTGTTAGTGGTTCACAGGTTCATTCCTCACTGAGCATTGCCTTAAGCCACAGGGAAGTACCTCACCCGAGGTTATGTCTCATCCCTGGGGTGGCTTGTGGCCAAAGACTGACAGATGAAGGATTACAGAGAACTGACTCCTGTGTCTCATTGTGGGACAATCCCCAAAGCTCATCTCCATTCCAGGGCTCCCCATATGATTGCCTGAGGCCTAAAAGGCAAGTGCATTTCAGGCCGGCTTTTCCCTCTGCTAAATTCTTTTTCTCCCCAATTTCTCACAATGTATCTCTCAGGAGCAACCACCAATCAACCTTTTGCATGCAACTCCCATCTCAAAGTCAATTTAAGACAAGGGGATAGCAACTGTTCAGCTCCACCAACTGTTGCCATGCACAATCATGTAGACCCATTGATGTCAGATCTTGTTTTTCAAGAGAAGCTAGAAATGCAAGTATGTAAGTGAAATATTCTAATCCTTCTATATTGGAAAATAACTCTAAGAGAACATCTCTGAAGTGAAACAAAACACATCTGTGGGCCAAATTCAGCTAATGAGCCATGAGTTTGAGTCCTCTAACACTTGCATGTGAAGTTGGATTTTATATTATTTCTTTCATATTTCTGTTAATATTCATCATTTGCTTAAGAATTGGACTTTCTTTATGAGGGTTGGAGAGGGGAAAGTGGAGGAGGTTTAATTTTCTTTGATCTCAGTGCCACATGTAAGTAATTAAGTAAACTTAATTCCTTTTCTTCCCTTCAAAATGGGCTGAAAAAGCAGACTTCTAGATTTTCATGAGTATTGGGGATAGAGAGCCTTCTCACCCATCATTTTTTGGCACTCTTCCTAAAGGCATTAGATACTAAGGATGACCCTGGTTTACACCTGTTATTCTAGTGTAATTACCTTCACTCCCCAGAATTCTGGTCCAGTTTGGTTAATAAATTTTGTCTCCTTCATGAGGAAACCATATATTCTTACCTCTCTAGGTATATTTTCTTCCATGAATAAAACCTTTGGATTTCCAGAATAGTTAAGATATACTGCCTTCTAAAGAATAAAATTCGTTAAAAGTAACATTTTTCTTCTGCAAGTTGAAATCATCTGCAATGTCCCAGTGCAGCAATTTGACCCAATACCACTTTTCAGGGGAATAGTTTTCACACTCACTTCATAGTTTAAACCAATTTGAGTTTTACTACTAATTTGCCTTATTTTAATTTGGATACGCTGAAGTAGTTCAGGCTGCTTCCAAACACTTAGTGCCTCATTAGCTGATAGCTGTAGTCTAATGACTTTCAGACCAAATGAGAGCTTCCAGGGTGTTGGATACCAGCGGAAACAGCTCTTTGCAAATGAAAGGAGAGGAAGCCAGAATTGGATTTAATTCCATCCTTTGTTAGTTTTGGGTTTATTTAAATAAAATTGTAATTATTTTTAGTGGTGCTGATTGATGAGAAATCCCTGGGTAAATAGACCGAAGCCATCACATGGTCCATCACATAGTTGAGTAAGTACCTAACAAGGGAAGCCACTTCTATTAGAGGGTTCAGTGTAATTTTCAAAGTTCAGCCATGGCAATAGATGTTAATGTAAACCTGTGCATGTGTGTGTGTGTGTAAATATCTATACACTTGCATATATATAAACACACATTTCCACATACATGTACATGTATGTATACATACACATACATAAAATTATATTCATTAAATATATGACTACTTTTTAATTCCTTAGTGTGTAGATTAGGCTCCTTGGTTACACTGAGAGCGTGAGACTCACTCGGCCTATCTCAAGCACAAATGTGAGAATAAGGGAGATGGGAATCTTTCAGGGAGAAGATCAACCAAGATTCCAGGACACACAAGGTTCTAAAAAGTAATTCAGGATGTAGACAGTCACTCTTAGTTGCCTATCTAACCTCGATTCCCACTCCAACTTTTATTATTTTTAAAACCTTACCTTTTATCTTCTCCCATGGAAGATAAGCTACTGCCCAACCTCAGAGGATAAATTATGTTTTTTCTAGGGCTGGCAGCATAATCCAATTCCTTTTGCTAATGATTGCTTTAGGAATGCACATGAGAACTCTTTCTAGGCAATGATGCATATAAGAAAATCTGTTGTGGTAATTTGGGAAGGGTTTTGCTCCCTGGTAAGACAAAAAATGGTAATGAGGATGGTCCTATTTTTTTTTTTTTGGCCATGCAGTGTTGTACAAGGATTTTATGATTGGAGCTAAGCTTTCATCTTGAAAGCATGAGGCTAAAAACCTAGAGATGAAGAATCAATATGTGAATAATAGTCTTGCAGAAGGATAGAAAAGACTCTGTCTTTTACAATGCACTGAAACAGTGTCCCCAAACCTGGACCACCTACCTCCAGATTTCTTGTCATGTGAGAAAAAAAAAAATCCATTGTTTAAGCCAATCTTGGTTTGGTAGTTCACTGCTTACAGCCCAAAGCATCCTTAACTGACAATGCCCAAAGAAGTTGTAGGGGCCAGGTTATCTTGTTTCCTATTCAGTATCAGGGCTTTGTGGCTATTAATTTCCATATGTTCAGGGTGACTTTAATCAGAATCAAGGGAGCTTTCTGAGCATTATTAGTTCAGAATTCTAGTGGCCCTGATTAGATTTCTTCCTTCCTATGCTTCAGAATTGAGCAGTGTTACAGCCCTCCCTTGGACGTACTGCAGGTTTATCCACTAAATAGAGGTCCAAGGGATAACATGAAGACTTTCTGCTTTGGTACATTTTGCCTTCACACTTTCCTTAGTTGATCATTCACAAGTTGGACACATTTGTTGAGCACCTGATATGTCTAGGTTTGAAAATTTGGTAGGAAAATACAGAACTGCTTCGTGCCTTCTTAGAGTTTACATTCTAGTAAGATTATGCAATTTCTAGATTCATATTCACCTGACTTTTTAATGCAGAATTCCAGGGACCCTCAAAATGCTGAGCAGCAAGAATGCATTATGGAAACCCCCAGAATGAATGTGTCTGTCTTTGAATGTGATGATGATGATAGTAGGGAATTCCTTTTCTATTATTTTCTCCTTTTTGCTGTGATACTGCAAGCAGTTGAGAAGTGGTAAAATATTTTGGTATGTGTCTGGTGGCAAATCTTTTTTTTTTTTTTTTAGATGGAGTCTCGTCTGTCTCCCAGGCTGGAGTGCAGTGGCGCGATCTCGGCTCACCACAAGCTCCGCTTCCCGGGTTCACGCCATTCTCCTGCCTCAGCCTCCCAAGTAGCTGGGACTACAGGTGCCTGCCACCATGCCCGGCTAATTTTTTTTTTTTTGTATTTTTAGTAGAGACAGGGTTTCACCGTGTTAGCCAAGATGGTCTCGATCTCTTGACCTCGTGATCCGCCCGCCTCAGCCTCGCAAAGTGCTGGGATTACAGGCGTGAGCCACTGCGCCCGGCCGGCTGGTGGTAAATCTTAACAAAGGTCTCCCAGCTTTTATGTTGGTATTAAACCAGTTGCAAGTCCTAGGATACCAGGACTTCCATTTGGGATGAAACAGGGAAGGAACTGTGCCTTAACTGGCTTCTCCACTTACACATCTGGGCAAGAATATTAAATTTGAAAGTTCTTGCCAAAAAAACAACTCAAAACCAAAAATTACATTCAGTTTGTTTCAATTTTGCCTGTAGTTTTTATTGGATGGGGGCATCATTGCTTCTTGTCCTAAGTCAGCCTCACTTCATCATGGAGTGAGTGCCTTGGGCTACTGGATGGCCAGGGTTGGAGCTGTTATTTCTTGCTTGTTTATCTCCCTTTACGTATTTGGCACCATGGGACTATTTGACTACCCAGGGAAAATATTTACAGAGAGCCTTGGATCAGACAAGGATGAATCTCTGCTTGGTGGCTTACTGTGGTTCTTTTGGCATTCCACAGAACAACAACTAAAATAATTCTTTACAAGTATATTTATGGAGAGTAGGTTGATAGTGTTTTCTTTGATACTTCCTTTGCTTTTTCACATAGTCTTCTTTAATTTTCTATTTGTTGGGATTCTAATAGAGATATTCTTCAAACACCCCTTTAGCAAAACTTCCTTTTAAATCAAATTTTATTTTCTAGGCAGTTCTCTGGATTCTTTTTTTTTTTTTTTTTGAGATGGAGTTTTGCTCTTGTTGCCCATGCTGGAGTGCAATGGTGCAATCTCAGCTCACTGCACCCACTGCCTCCTGGGTTCAAGCGATTCTCCTGTCTCAGCCTCCCGTGTAGCTGGGATTACAGGTGTGCACCACCACGCCTGGATAATTTTTTTGTCTTTTTTTTTTTTTTAGTAGAGAAGGGGTTTCACCATGTTGGTTAGGCTGGTCTTGAACTCCTGACCTCAGGTGATCCGCCCACCTCAGCCTCCCAAAGTGCTGGGATTGCAGGCGTGAGCCACTGTGCCTGGCCAGTTCTCTGCATTCTTTTTTCAGAGTCTTGCTCTGTCGCCCAGGCTGGAGTGCAGTGGTGCGATCTTGACTCACTGCAAGCTCTGCCTCCCGGGTTCATGCCATTCTCCTGCCTCAGCCTCCCCAGTAGCTGGGACTACAGGCGCCCGCCACCATGCCCAGCTAATTTTTTGTATTTTTAGTAGACACGGGGTTTCACCGTATTAGTCAGGATGGTCTCGATCTCCTGACCTCGTGATCCGCCCACCTTAGCCTCCCAAAGTGCTGGGATTACAGGCATGAGCCACCGCGCCTGGCTGTTCTCTGCATTCTTAATACCAGCCTAGAGTAGTAATTATCCTAACCATTCCTGTTCCCCTTTACATTTGTAAGTTA
This sequence comes from Homo sapiens, assembly GCF_000001405.40. Lineage (NCBI taxonomy): Eukaryota > Metazoa > Chordata > Mammalia > Primates > Hominidae > Homo > Homo sapiens. The sequence goes on from NC_000014.9 coordinate 81,695,613, forward strand.
AGCCTCTCAATCTTTTTCTCCCATCATTTTTTAATCTGCATTTCACAGGTGGTGACTGGGGTTGGTTCCTGGGGACCATGACTTTGCCCCACTAATTATTTTAATATTTAAAATCTTAGAAATGATTTTAAGAATGAAGTTCTGTTCTGGATCTTGGCCTACCACAATGGCTTGGAGGTGTGACTAAGTCCAACTGTATTTTTTTTTTCAATTTTCTCAGGGAAACATTTGTATTTATTTTTTATAGTACTGTGTTTCAAATAAATTTGCTTCATTAAAAAATTCATTTCATCAGTTAGAGACACTGGGGCAGAAGATAGATCAGTCCTGTGATGAACTGTTAGCTATACATGTAGTTATAAAAAACATTTAAGGTAAATTTGAACAGGAAATCAGTTGATAGGCTGCATTGCTATTAGCTATATCTATGAACTAGGTTCACAGTTGGTGGTTGGTGGAAAATATTTTGCTTCATTAAAGTCCACTTTTTTTTGTTTTTAAAGTATGTACCCTTAGTATAAGACAAAGTTGTATCTATACATAAAGGGTGAACATTTTGCTGAGCTTTTCATGGATTTGATCAATCAGATATGTACATTACATTGTGTATTAATTAAGAAATTATTCAGATTTGGCTTTAGTATTAATTTGGTACTTGAACTTAAAGTAACAAGGACTGGCAGTCTATTCGTGGCTTTAAGAAGTAGAAGATAACTGAAACAAAAGTATAGACTTCCTAATTTTAAAATGTGCATCTTCTAAATGGAAATTTATAATTTTTCAAGTAAAATTAAGAATTGACTTTGGGATGTCTGATTACAAGGCTACTAGGCCTCTTCTCTATTCCCTCAAACCTCTCCCTTCTTAATTATTCTCTGCTGCTAATAAGATGCTAGGGCTGAATAAAATTGTCCCTTAGGAAGCCCTTAGTCATCAGCTAAGCACAGCCCCTCTCCCTCTCTCTCTCTCTCTGTCTCTCGTCGTTCACATTGAAATCATTTTGGGAGCGAGAAATGCAGTATTAAATATTTTGATTTCACAGACCTTTAAGCTTCCTTGCTAGCAAGGGAGTTAGATTAAACAGAAATAATATTGTCCAAAACAAACTTGTTAAATAGAATGCATTAACAAGAAGCTGAAAGACTTGCATAGCACAAGGTCAGGTGTGCAAGGAATTGTACTTGTTCATTCTTCTGTAATACAACAATTTTTTTAAGATTCTCATTTAGCTTAGTTCCCCATCAGATCTAAGTTTAGGAGGATTTATGTGTTGCTGTGGCAGTGTGTGTGGTGGAGGAGAGGGGGGCTTATAGCTTTCCCGGTCACGTGTCCACACAGGATCTCTGACATCCATTGTCTAGTTTGGCCCTTAATCCCCGGTCAGTACAAGCAGCTGTAGAGATACCTTTTTTTTTTTTTTTTTTGCGACAGAGACTCGCTCTGTTGCCCAGGCTGGAGTGCAGTGGCATGATCGCGGCTCACTGCAACCTCTGCCTCCTGGGTTCAAGCAGTTCTCCTGCCTCAGCCTCCAGAGTAGTTGGGACTACAGGCACGTGCCACCACGCCCGGCTAATTTTTTGTATTTTTGGTAGAGATGGAGTTTCACTGTGTGACCCAGGATGGTCTCGATCTCCTGACCTTGTTATCCGCCCACCTTGGCCTCCCAAAGTGCTGGGATTACAGGCATGAGCCACTGTGCCCGGCCAGAGATACTCTTGATTTGGTAGGCAGGGCCATTTCACTATTTTCTGCTGTCTGCTCTGTGTCATGCTTGGTGCAGGCCGTAGTCTTCCTCTTTCACATCTGCCTCTGGGCTTTAGAATTCCTTATTTCTAATTTTGTGTTTATTCTGTCTCATTTATTATTAATTAGACAGGCCAAGAGTTTGTCTATTTTATCATCTATCTTCCCCTTTGCTGAGTCCCCTCATATAAAAAACCTATATAATTTTCTTACTGTATAAATTTAAGATGTAAAACATGATGTTTTGATATACAGATACAGTGAAATGGTTACTAAAGGTAAGCAAATGAACATATCCATCACCTTCCATATATCTTTATTTTAGTAAGAACACCTAAAATCTGCTCTCCTAGCAAATTTCAATTTACAACGTACTATTGACTACAGTCCTCATGTTGTACATTAGATCTCTAGACCTAGTCATCCTATGTAACTGCAAGTTTGTACCCTTTGACCTACATCTCCCAATTTTCTCTCCCTCCTCACCTCTGGTGACCACTATTCTATTGTTTCTATGTGTTTAACTTTTTTTTTTGATTCCACATATAAGTGAGATCATGCGATATTTTTCTTTCTGTGTTTGGCTTATTTCACTTAGTGTATGCTCGCCACGTTCATTGATGTTGTTGCAAATGGCAAGATCTTCTTATGTCTCAAGGCTAAATTGTGTTCCATGTATAAGTAAAAAAAAAATATATGTATACACACAAATATATATACACATGTATACAAATATATATAAATATATCTATACAAACATAGTTTATCTTCCTTAGTTCTATGCCGTTATTTTAAATTTTCTTTTTTGCTTTTTTTCTTATAATAACATTTATCATATTTTCATTTGTTGTTCTTTAAATTAATTTGTTAGTCTCTCTTTTTTTTTTTTTTTTTGAGATGGAGTTTTGCTGTGTTGCCCAGGCTGGAAGTGCACTGGCACGATCTCAGCTCACTGCAACCTCTGCCTCCAGGGTTCAAGTGATTCTCCTGCCTCAGCCTCCTGAGTGGCTGGGATTATAGGCACATGCTACCACACCCGGCTAATTTTTGTATTTTTAATAGAGATGGGGTTTTGCCATGTTGGCTGGGCTGGTCTCAAACTCCTGGCCTCAAGTGATCTGCCCGCCTCAGCCTCCCAAAGTGCTGGGATTACTGGCATGAGCCACCACTCCCAGCCAATAGTCCCTCTTTTAATAAAAAAGTTTAGGTTGTTTATATTTAATTTAAGAATTGAAAACTTAGTTTTTTCCCTTCATTTTACTTTGTTGTTTCCTCTTTTTCTCCTTTATTTTTGTATGTTTGATCAAGTTACTGATCATTTCCTTTTTATTCATGTTAATTAGTTGTTTCTTGGTATTTTTCTCTTCTGCCATTTGGAATCTTTTTATTCCCAACACACATAATTGAATATATCTCTCTCTACTATTATATGAAATAAAGAAATTAAGCATATTCCTCAACCAAGGCTATCTACCATTCCCAATTATTAAGTTGAGACCTACAGATACAGGATGGTCATATGTCTTGATTTACTTTTGAAAATCCCAGTTTATTTCTGTTACCCTGTCATAATTAGTAATTGTACCCTCTTTTAATCTAAAAGTGTTTCAGTTTGTATGTGAAATTATATGTATACAGTTAAATGTGCATGATAAACATCTTAGATTGTTTTTGTCTTCCCACCCTTCTCCTACATACACAGGAATATATATGTAGAGGAATGCATACAAGCAAGAATACATGCAAGAATGCCTTTCATTTTCTTGTGTTTACAGCATAGTACAGTAGTTAAAAGTAGACTCTAGAGCTGTGTGCAAGCTCTACAATATTGAGCAAGTTGTCTCTGCCTCAATTTACTCATCTTTAGAAAGGGGATAATATCATTTGCTTCATAGGGTTGTTGTGACAATTTAATTAAATAATGCTACACATATTATGTGCTACAAAATGATTGGCTATAATTCCCTGTTCCCTCCAAAGTCATAGTTAGTTGATTACATTTAGTCTCACACCACTGTTAGTTTCAGCTTTGCTCTGTGACTATTCTGGTTCAAGTATTTGTAATATTACAAATTCCTAATGAGTCTATCATTTCTACTCTGGTTTACTGCTGACCACCGTTATCTCACCTTCTGTTCCCTTATTTGGTTAGAGTTCTTTCCTAAGTAATTTCCTCAGTTGGGTTCTCTGGGTGACGTGCTCTCAGAATCTTTTATATGTCTGTAAATATACTTCGGTCTGGATAAAAGATGATTTTCTTATAATCTTTTTACATCATTAACCAATAAAACTTATTCTTCTGTTTTCTAGTATCTAAAGTTACAGATGGAAAATTAGTGTTAGTTTCTGTATTAGTTTTGTAGGGCTGCCATAGTAAAGTACCACAGACTGGGTGGCTTATGTAATGAAAATTTATCTTTTCACAGTCCTGGAGGCTGTAGAAGTCTGAGATCAAGGTGTAGGCAGGGTTGGTTTCTCCTGAGTCCTCTCTCCTTGGTTTGCAGATGGCCCTCTTCTGCGAGAGGTCTTCACATGCTTTTCCCTCTGTGTGTGTCTGTGTCCTTAGTTACTGATACGGTTAGGCTTTGTGTCCCCACCCAAATCTTATCTTGAATTACAATCCCCACAATCCCCATGTGTCAAGGGAGAGAGACCAGGTGAAGGTAACTGGATCATGGGGTTGGTTTCCCCCATGCTCTTCTCATGATAGTGAGTTCTCACAAGATCTGGTGGTTTTATAAGTGTTTGGTAGTTCCTTCTACATCATTCTCTCTCCTGCTGCCCTGTGAAGAAGGTGCCTGCCTTCCCCTTTGTCTTCCGCCATGATTGTAAGTTTCCTGAGGCCTCCCCAACCATAGGGAACTGTGAGCCAATTAAACCTCTTTCCTTTATAAATTACTCAGTTTCGGGAAGTTTTTTTATAGCACTGTGAGAATGAACCAATAATTACATTGGACTAGGGCCCACCGTAATGACTCCTTTTAACAAAATTGTCTCTTTAAGGTCCTGTCTCTAAATACAGTGACATTCTGAGGTATTGGGAGGAGTTCAACATATGAATTTTGGGGTAACAAAATTCAGCCCTTAACAATTTTATTCTTTTCTTTTTGTAAATATACCTCTCTTTCCCTCTCTCTCTTGCTTGCTCTCTCCCTCCTCTTCTGCATCACTCTGGAACTCGGCCCTTTTAATCTGCAGCCTCAAGTGTTCAGCCAGAAACATTTCCTTAATTATTTTTGCTGGTTCTCTAACTTATTCTTTTTCTCTTTCTGAAACACCTATTACTTCTCCATCTTTTAAGACTTTTTTCTTCTTTATTTCCATCTCTAGGTGTATTTCTTCTAAGTTGTGAGGTATTTCTTACAATTAATCTTCTAGATCGCTAATTTAATTTTCAATAATAATAATAGTCACTTTCAATTAATATATTCACTTTGTAAGTTTGAAATGTATGTTTTCCAGTTAAGGAATACTTTTATTGTGCTAACACTGATTTACTTTCATTCTATTTGATTGCATTTTTGTTAAAAATTCAACTTTCTCCTCTGGAAATCCTCTCTCTCTTCAAAGTACATAATCACAAATTTCTATGTTTTTGTCCACTCTTAGATTGCTGGGTTGGTTCTCTTGGGTGCATTGTTAACTTCCTTTACCTAGGTTTTACTTATTCTTAGTGCTTGGGTAAAACTAATGAGTACTTAGTGCTTGTGTGCTTGGGTAAAACTAATGGGAAGCCCATGAGCGATGGTCACAACTTCAAAGAGAGAAACAAAATCCATGCTCACTGTTCTGTCTCATGCTCTTACCTCAATGGTGTCTCACATTTGAAAAGTGGCAGATTGGACTTGGAAACGGCTGACATATTCTGCACTGAGGATTGAAATGGAAAGAAAGTGATAAAGATTTGGAAGTAGGTATAGGTACAGAATTACAGATGGTTACCACATGTCTGTAAAGGAAGCTTTGGAGTCACCTGGTAACCTCTGAATCTAGAAATGGAGTTAGAAAACAGCAGTTTAGCATGGGTTATGATACCTGATCCAGAAAGTAGCCCTCTGTTATGACTTTGTGTGGTTATTTTCTGGTAACTTTTATGCTCTGGTAACAATTCACTGCTTCTGTTGAGCAACCTCTAATATTCTGTAGCTTTCTTTCTGGGATTGTGACCTCTACTCATGCACATCGGTTTGGGTGGTTGAGACCCTGAGTGATGACAAGTGTTTCAGTTTCTGCAATGTGCTTTTGTTGTGGAGTCGTGCTTAAGGACATAATCTGCAAATCTGTGATATCATATGTTTGGAAATAGGCATGATGAAAACGCCTAAGGAATTTATCAGAAACATTTAGAGGTATCCCGAGAAAGAGGAAGAAGGAAAACATACCATTTCCCATTGCTTATTTACTGATCAATACAGGAAGTTTAGAATTGAAATTATGACCTAACTCTGTTTTTTAATTGCCATTACAATAGATTTTGGGATCATGAGCTTCCAGAAATAATCCTTGGCTATAATTTCATCTTCATTAGCTTGGGGGAAGTTTCACAAACTCAGTCAATTTCTATGTTGGTAAAGTGAAAATAACAATACAGATGGGATATGCTAAAATAATGCAGAGGACCTTTTGACTGGCACATAAGGGCACTCAGTAGTATCAGCTATTATTGTTTTTTCAATTTTATTGTTTATCTTACTGTTACATTAATAAATTATGCTTAGAATACTTATCTGCAAACACTGGAAAGTCACATCCACTTGGGTTAAGCAAAAAAGGAGACATTTATTAGATTATATAATGGAAAAGTTCAGGAATAGATCAGACTTCAAGAATAACTGATTCACACTGATACAATGTGACAAGGATGTCTTTCTTCCTTCTTTATTTCTTGAGCCATAATAGCTTCATTCTCAGTCTCCGTGTGGTGGCAAGATTGTTCAGCCAGTTCCAAGACCCATGTCATAAGAAAGATTGAGTATCTTAGTCCCAGCAGACATAGATGTGTGTTCAGAGTCTGACCAGACAGCTTGGGTCAGTTGCCCACCTCTGAGGCAAACTACAGCCTCATGCACTGGATCAGATGTGGGGATGGAGCCCACCCCGACTGTGTTGGCTGAGGATAGGGCAGAGCTATTGAGAGAAGGGGGAATGGGTGCTGGGGGAGATAAGCAACAAAGATCCAATCAGTTAAGAAACTGGAAGAGTAAGGAGAATTCTTCCCCAATTGAACTTATAGTTCATCTTTTTGTACGTTTGCAAGTCAAGGATGGAGGAATAACTTCATAATGATCTCTGAATGTAAGCAATATTATGGGGATGAGGGCCTGTCATTTTCCATCTCCACTTAGGATAGCACTAACCAATGTGGTGACAGGAGAGCATTGTGAATTAATGAAGAGCTCAGGGAGGCAGTGGGAGACTTTTCACTTAACGGGGCCATTCTAAGCAATGAAATGGAAAAATGCAGGCATCCCCAGAACACAGGCTGAAAGGATTAGATGAATTTTGACCAGATTTAATTGTGACCAGATTGTGGGAGTGAAAGTTTCAGTTTGAGTCAAGTTAACTGTTTTATTTCATGTCCCATTTTTTATGTTTCCATATAGCCATCTTGCTTTTTCTAAATTACATGGCTTATTGTATTTGAGTTCCTCCTGCTTTTGACAGCTCCATGGCTTCCAATTTTGCTTCTGCTGCTTTGATTATTATTCCTGATTTTGTTGTTGATGAGACGTGTGGTTTTCTTCAATTAGCTCTGTCACTCTTACAAATGTGTGTGTCTCGCAAGTGTCCTAATTAAAGTCAGGAGGAGGAGGGGGGAAGATTACAGGCAATTACAACAGTGCCATCCTCCTTTCTCAATGCGCTTTTCTCATCATTGGGGTGCATTCTTCTGTATCTCCATTTTGTAAGCACATTGAGCAGCCTCTGTCTTTAAAATCCCATTAATTTTTTCAGAACGTGTTATGCAGCTGTGTCAGTGTGTCATATATTAGCTCTCAGGAAGCCCAATAGATTTCATTTAGTTTTATTAAGTACAGCCTCCTCCCTACCCATTTCCACCATGCTTTGAATTCATCCTGAGACAGAAGGCTACCATCACCACCACATATGGTCCTGTAAAGTCTCCCCAAATCTGTGGCCTTGTGAGTTCAGTCTCCTCTTGTGTGGGCTCACATTCAGCTCACTCCAATTCAATACTACAAATATTTATTGAGCCTATGTAATGTGCCATGCATTGTGCTGGGAGCCAGAACTACAAAGACGAATAACTGCACAGAGGTTAAGATGATGTGGGATAGTGAAAAGAGTTTGGATTTCAGAGGCAGACAAGACATAGATTCAAATGCCTGCTTTGCCACATGCTAGCTTTTTGGCCTTGGGTAAATCACTTAGTTGGTTTTGTCATCTGTAAAATTATGTTAATAATACTTACCTTGCAGGGTTGTTGTGAAGATTGGAGATAATGTATGCAAAGTAGCTAGCTTGGTGCCTGGTATAGCTCAATAAATGGTAGCTATAATTATTATCATGAATAAGATATAGTGTACTTAAGGAAGTCTACTCAAAGAGAGAGAAGAGTAAATTAACTTTTAGAATATATTGTTATATGTATAATAATGGAAGTATGTAGGAGTTAATGGGATAGACTCCCTAGAGGCTCTCCATGCTCTCTTCCACCCACTTCTCTGTCTCCTACTACTCTACCCCCAACATACTCCAGCCTCCTAACCTCTCGTCATCCCGTCTCTTTGCATTTGCTCTGCTTCTTTACCTGAAAGCCCCCTTTTCAGGTCCTTACCTGGCTGGCTCTTTCTCATTATTTAGATTTCAGTTTAAATGTCACCCTCTAGAGAACCTTTCTATCACCATCCAATCTAAAGTAGGCCCATCCCTTCACCCTTATATTTTAAAACCAATTTTTTTTTTTTACATCATAGAAATTATCTGCAATGATCGAAGTTGTTGATCTAGATGTTTATTTTCTGGCTCTCCCCACCAGGATGTAAATGCTATGAAGGCAGGGACTAACCTTGTTTTTGTCCATAGCTATATCTCCAGTGACTAGAACAGTGGCTGTGGCACAGCACATGCTCAATAAATATTTGGGGTAAATAGGGGTGAGGAGATGTAAGCCAGAGATGACAAACAAAAGGGATTCTGTAGTGGTTTGTCGGCATTTTGCTGTGGCTGCCAATATTGAGAACTACCTACTGCGCTACACATCCTCCATCATGGACTCCTACGTCTAAGGCAAGAGGTCAAAGTGATGAAACAGGAGTATTCCCTGACCTCCTTGTGGGACTTGCAGCAGGGGTGTGGCTTGTTTGTTCAGCCCCTTACGAGAGAGGGAGCATGCAAACTGGCAGGTACAGGAGACAGGGTGAGTGCTTTTGGGCTCCAGCCCCACAGTAGTGTCTAGGGATGTGTTACCATTAATGATCCTTTAGCAGTTGCTGTCTGAGGATGGCTAAATGTTCACTAGCTCAGTGGAGAGTCAGGGTGACAGCCTTTTACACCCCACCTTCTTGGTACCTAGGTCCTTGTCTGGTGTCCAGGGAGAATCAGGTCACACGGACTTGAAGGTTGGTGAATGTGGGGATTTTATTGAGTGACGGAGGTGGCTCTCAGCAGGATAGATGGGGAGCTGGAAAGGGGATGGATTGGGAGGATGATCTTCCCCTGGAGTGCAGCTGTCCCGCAGCTGATCTCCTCTTTGACTGTCCCCAGTGGAACTCCTCTTGATGTTCAGACACTCCTTCTCTTCTCTCCTTCTTTGCCACACTGCTCTGCTGCTCTTCTGCCCATGGAGCCTGGGATTTGAGGTTTTCGTGGGTACAGGATGGCGGGTGTGGCAGGCCAGAGTGGTTTCGGTAAAAGCAACATTTGGGTGGGAAACAGGGATAACTATTCTCATTCAGGGCCATGGATCCAGGCTTGAGGGTGGAACCCTCACCAGAGACCCCGCCCTCCTGCCTTCTGTCTGTATCAGTGGGAGGTTTGCAAGGTGGTATCTGACTTTGTATCATCTCTCAACCTAATTTTGGAAAACTGGATTTAAATAAACATCCTTCTCAGGTCATCTGCAAAGTGATTTTACATGACTGAGTCGTTGATATTGGACTCAAATCACATTGCCTACAGGGATCTGATCTAGGAACCAAAAGGTGGCCCAAAATAAGTTTTCATGGAAATCCATCTTTTATTGGCACGTTTTTTATGGCTTACCAAGGGGAATATGAGGATGTTTATAGGAGGAAGGTAGGTAGGAATTTGGGACTTTGAGGCTGAGTATTTAGCTTTTTAGCTTTATGAGCGCTAGGCATGGACTTCTTGAAGCAAATGCAACTTTAACAGCTGATATTTCTCCCCTAGCGTTTGAGTTGGGCTTATAATGTCAAGGCATCAAGGAGTCCTAGCCACACATTTAAAAATGTGCATGACCTTGATCAAAAGCAGAGACTACAAAAGATACAGAAGGCCCAGTAGGAATCTATTCTACTGGTAGGAAAAACAGTTAAAAGGTAAGAAGCACACATCAAAGCTTCCAATATACTGAGAAGATCAGTCACACCATTTTCCTATAAAGAGGACAAAGTTTTTTAGTTCTACCAAGGTTTGCATCTCTTTTATGCAAAAATATCTGCAAGGCATCCACTTAGCTTCCAGTAAGTGCTCAACTACGTCTTTATGGTTACTTCATTGGTGCTTCTGGAGCTTCTCCCCACTCACTCACAATTTTAACATGCATTCAAATATATTTATGCTTTTTGTTAATTGTCTCTCTGTCTCAATCCAAAAAAGAGCCTGAAGACTTAATGCAACTTAAGTTTTATCTTCGCATGATTACATTTAAGTCCAAGTATAGGTTTTATTATGACATGGGGCAAATAGATAGATATGGCTAGAACTTAATCTAATTCATTGTAATTCATCTTTAGGCCTTGGCACTGCCATAAGCTGATCATAGTCTGGCTGGCTTTATGTGGTCAACTGTAGTCCTGCCGTGGGATTTTCTTTCTTTCTTTCTTTCTTTCTTTCTTTCTTTCTTTCTTTCTTTCTTTCTTTCTTTCTTTTTTCTTTCTTTTATTATACTTTAAGTTCTAGGGTACATGTGCACAACGTGCAGGTTTGTTACATATGTATACATGTGCCATGTTGGCGTGTTGTACTCGTTAACTCGTCATTTACATTAGGTATATCTCCTAATGCTATCCCTCCATCCTCCCCCCACCCCACGACAGGCCCCAGTGTGTGATGTTCCCCACCCTGTGTCCAAGTGTTCTCATTGATTAATTCCCACCTATGAGTGGGGAACATGCAGTGTTTGGTTTTCTGTCCTTGCGATAGTTTGCTCAGGATGATGGTTTCTAGCTTCATCCATGTCCCTTCAAAGGACATGAACTCATCCTTTTTTATGGCTGCGTAGTATTTCATGGTGTATTTGTGCCACATTTTCTTAATCCAGTCTCTCATTGATGGACATTTGGGTTAGTTCCAAGTCTTTGCTATTGTGAATAGTGCCACAGTAAACATACGTGTGCAGGTGTCTTTATAGCAGCATGATTTATAATCTTTTGGGTATATGCCCAGTAATGGGATGGCTCGGTCAAATGGTATTTCTGGTTCTAGATCCTTAAGGAATTGCCACACTGTCTTCCACAATGGTTGAACTAGTTTACAGTCCCACCGACAATGTAGAAGTATTCCTATTTCTCTATATCCTCTCCAGCACCTGTTGTTTCCTGACTTTTTAATGATCACCATTCTAACTGGTGTGAGATGGTATCTCATTGTGGTTTTGATTTGCATTTCTCTAATGGCCAGTGATGATGAGCATTTTTTCATGTGTCTGTTGGCTGCATAAATATCTTCTTTTGAGAAATGTCTGTTCATATCCTTTGCCCACTTTTTGATGGGGTTGTTTGATTTTTTTTCTTGTAAATTTGTTTAAGTTCTTTGTAGATTCTGGATATTAGCTCTTTGTCAGATGGGTAGATGGTAAAAATTTTTTCCCATTCTGTAGGTTGCCTGTTCACTCTGATGGTAGTTTCTTTTACTGTGCAGAAGCTCTTTAGTTTAATTAGATCCCATTTGTCAATTTTGGCTTTTGTTGCCATTGCTTTTGGTGTTTTAGTCATGAAGTCCTTGCCCATGCCTATGTCCTGAATGGTATTGCCTAGGTTTTCTTTTAGGGTTTTTATGGTTTTAGGTCTAACATTTAAGTCTTTGATCCATCTCAAATTAATTTTTGTATAAGGTGTAAGGAAGGGTTCCAGTTTCAGGTTTCTACATGTGGCTAGCCAGTTTTCCCAGCACTATCTATTAAATAGGGAATCCTTTCCCCATTGTTTGTTTTTGTCAGGTTTGTCAAAGATCAGATGGTTGTAGATGTGTGGTATTATTTCTGAGGGCTCTATTCTGTTCCATTGGTCTATATCTCTGTTTTGTTACCAGTACCATGCTGTTTTGGTTACTGTAGCCTTGTAGTATAGTTTGAAGTCAGGGAGTGTGATGCCTGCATCTTTGTTCTTTTCTGCCATGGAATTTTCTTAAACTCAAGCTTGGAGAGAGAAACACTTTTGTCTTTGAGTCAGGTAACTGTTAGAATGTGAGCCCATTGATCCAGGCAGCCATATTTACCACAGTGTGGAGGAAATCTGTTTACAGTAAAAGAAAATCAAAGCTAGTATTCAGAAAGAAGCACAGACAAGAGATCTGGCAGCGCTTTGAGTGTCTGGTCTGGTCATCCCAGCCACACCTTTGTCTGTGCAGGACATATGAGCCCATAATTTGTATTTGTCTGAGGTAATTTGTGTAGGGACTTCTGACAAGCAATCAAGGAGTCTTGCTAACACAAACGCCAATTCACACCAAAGAGTCAGTAGGAACAAGGTTGCCATATACTGCCTATGAAATCAGCATAGAGCATTGACACTTTGATTAGGATAGAGAAAGTGAAACACAAGCCCAAAGTTAAAGACAGACAAAACTATGGGCATTTTACAAAAATAACAAAGGCCTGGAAATAGAAGGAAACATTTCCCCACGTACGGTAAGTAGAAACCCAGGACTACTTGCTCAGATACATGGGCTAAGTAAGGTTCCTACCATCCCACTGAGAAGAGTTGCTGAACATTTACACAACCTTCTGCATACTAGAGCTATTATATAGCTATAAAAAAATTGTTAATACCCAAATGGCTTTTATCTGTAAAGCCTTTTTATTAACTTTCGATGGTTGCCTAATGTCTAAATTCTTGATATTTTGAATTTATCAACCAATTATTTTTAAGCAATAAATAATAAACATTCTTTTAAATATTCACATATTGGTAGATTATGATAAATAAAAACATATTGATTCAATGAATTTTCCCAAATTCTTAGACATTGGCTGCAAAGTTAAATTTGTCCCATAAAACCCTTCTGATGATTTAATTAAAAGCACACATCTCCAGAAATTTTTCAAAATGCTTTAAACATGCTAGGATGCAGACAGAAGACATACAAAATACTTCAGTGATTAATACATTAACACACTTACAATAAAACTTACTACCATAATGCAAATAACATGAATTGAAATGTCATGTTCCACGTCTTTATTCTCATGTTATTTTTATTCTTATTTCTATTTTCATTGTAATTCTTATTTCCATTCTTATTCTTACACCTTAATTTTGGTTTCTTCTCAGAGTTATCTTTCTAGAATTACAGTAAATTTACCACATACAGTATTCTATTTTCATCCTAGGCTTGTGATAATCTTAGCACTCTCAACTGAAAAATAATAGTCTCCCAGACTAGCTAAGATGAAGAGTCTGGGCTGCTGACCAATTGGTTGCACAGACCAGAATTAGACGTGAGTGTTGGGAAAAGGTGAAGCTGCTGGTTTTGGATCATTGACAGGGATGGAAAATATATTTCCTGTTTAAAATGATGAGTTCAGATTGATTCTTTCAATGTAACAATTTCTATTTCTGTCCTCCTCTACTTTAAGTATGGATTTTCATTTTTCACTCAGACTCTCTATCATATTGAAAATTTGTTTGCAGTTTCATGTACATTAAAATATATTTAGTTCTTGTTCTGTAAGATAGTAAATCCAGTCATTCTCCAAAATCTTCTGCCATCTTCGTGAATCCCAAGTTATATTGTGATAGAGGGGTTCTTTCACCATGCCAGGTTGGGCTTTCTTCACTGTTGGAGAGAAGCCTGAATTCAGCAGTCTTCTCCAGCTGCTTTATTTCTGTCCAAGTGTGTGGGACAATGTCCTTGCACTTAGAGCCCCATTGACTTTCTGCAGACAGATACTCATATGAAAATGGGTAGGTTTCTGCTTAAGGACCTGAAATAAAACTATCGCCTCATTTCCTGGATGTAGGTCAATCGGCATTCCCTATTTTTATAAGAACTTTGGAATACCTACGTAGGAAAGTTACCATGGAAATGAAAAGTGCAAACGGCTAGTTATTAGTTTTTATTGCCCTGTGGAATGTCTAAGTAGAATGTTTTAAGAAGGAAACCAAAGAGGAGTCAGAGCCTTTGTCTCTTCATAAATTCTGGGAGTAAAACTGTTGTCCTTTTGAGAGTGACCACACAGTCTGAGACGCCTTGGAAAGATGTTCTGCAAGGCCATATGTACAATTCCTGCAACCAGTTGCCGCTACAGCTCCTTACACCAGTAGACCCAGTCTTCTGTCTCAAGAGTTTCAAAATGCCACACTCCCTCCAATTCTGATAATCAGTCCACAGCTTGCTCTAAATGTTTTCATTTTATGTCTGGAAGTTAATAGGAGCATGGTTTGTTACATACAAAACACATTTGGACTAATGAAAAATGGATAAGACCACCTGGTGGGCGTTCCCTTAATCTAGACCTGGGGCTCATTTCTGCCCCATTTATTCAAGGTTGGGGCAGAATTCTACTTGCCAAGTATAACAAGTGCAGTCATTTCTGTTTATTTTTTTCCAGCCTGTACATTTTCTGACTTCAGTCCAGGTGAATACAGATTTAAGAAAAGGCAAAACCAGAGTATGTGACTTGAAGGAAGCTTCACATTCATTCAGCTCTGCCATTAGGTGGCAGCAGTACAACATGGAAAACATTTAAGGCACTAATGGAGTAAAAATGGTGATGATCATATCGTGATGGTGAGGATGGTGATGATAGTGAGTGAGGCATATCTTCTTGGTTTTTATACACTGTCTTTATTCTAATACAATGTATTGCTGTTTCTCAATGATTCTCACAACACATGGAAGATGGAGAAGTTAATCTTTATATATATTTCTTGATGAGATTAATTAAGCTCAAAGTTGTCCAGTGACTTCCCTGATCCAGTCCTTGACTTTAGATCTTGGGATCCACCTCCAGCATTTCTATTCACCTGCACTTCTTTCCACAAGGCATTAATCCTTTTGCATGGATTTAAATTTGCCAATTATATTTCACCGTCTAGATAAAAGAACAAAGTAGAAGAAGGCATGAATGTGTAGGGTTAAAAAAAAGATCTGCTATGCCTAAAAAAGTGGAAGAAAAATGTTGTCTTAGGGTAACAACATCTGTGAACTTTTTGAGGCCAGATTGCCTAGTTTACTGAATACCAGACATTTGTAGTTTCAGAGTCTGTTCCTTCCATGTCATTTATGACATGTAGGAGTTCCTGTGTGACCTTCAGTCCACCTGAAATAACATTTGGTGGCCTACTGCAGGGGCTGGGGGTTGTAGGAGTGTACAATGCTTATACTGGCCAATGGATTTGCATAATGGAAGGAAAGAAGCAATGCATATAAGAGGGCAACAAGCCACCCTAAGGATAAGAACCACACTTCTCCCACATTTACTTTGCAGTCTGTGAGTGGGATGAAGTCTGAACCATATCCGGGTATCAGGTGTCTGGGCTTAAGGGAATTGGAAATAGAAAAAGTTATCTTTAGTTTCTGTTTTCATTCCTCACTTTGATTTTGGAGTCTTGAGTCCAAACCAGGAACTTTTTCCTCCTCTTGAGTAAAAGTCCAGTCCAAGATCTGTGTCATGAACTCGTAAAGGTAACCTCAGGGTACCTAGAAGCAGAACTTTTTCCAAGTTTATTGAGAGGTGCTATAGCACACACACAAGTGGGAATGAAACAGTTAAACTACAAAGGCTGAGGCACCACAGGTAGGTTAAGGCCTTTGGGCAACACATCATTTAGTAGTCAATGAAAGAACCTCAACTCAAAAGAACTTAAGCAAGAGGGAGAGTTTACGACCTACAGTGATTGCTTTCTTTGAACCACATTTCACATTTCTATTAAAAAAAAAAAAGCTACCCTAAGTGCCTGACTGGGGTGGCTTCATCTTGAAGGCTTTTGTCTTTCTCTCTCTTTCAGTTTTAGACACTGAAAGATAAAGTAGAGGGTTGATTGCTCCTAGTTTGCCCAGTCCGCACCCCGTGTGTGTATATAGGCAATGCTCATTTACAAGTCTGTCTTTCTTTGTCATTTTTGGTTTTATCTTTTTAAAAAAATGATTCATCTCATCATTAGACTTAAATAAATCTCTGCTTGTCATCCTCCAAATTCTTCAAAGTCATATTGAGAGGTGAAGCCAGCTGGACTTCTGGGTTGGGTGGAGACTTGGAGAACTTTTTGGTCTTACAAGAGGATTGTAAAATGCACCAATCAGCACTCTGTAGCTAGGATTGTAAAATGCACCAATCAGCACTCTGTGGCTAGCTAGAGGTTTGTAAAATGCGCCAATCAGTGCTCTGTAAAAATGCACCAATCAGTGCTCTGTAAAATGGACCAATCAGCAGGACGTGGGCGGAGACAAATAAGGGAATAAATGCTGGCCACCCCAGCCAGCAGCAGAAGCTTTGTTCTTTTGCTCTTCACAATAAATCTTGATGTTGTTCAATTTTGGGTCTGTGCCATCTTTAAGGGCTGTAACACTCACCGTGAAAGTCCATGGCTCCATTCTTGAAGTCAGCGAGACCACGAAACCACCAGAAGGAACTAACTCCGGACACAATATGTTTGGGAAAATCGAAGTAGCTACTCAATAAAAAAGAAGGAAAGGTCTTTCAGACCTACTGCTTGGTTCTCATTGTGTCCTTTCCTACCAGACAGACCCTGAAGTAGGGATGCTTTTGTGTCACTGATTTATCAATATAGAACCGAAACTCCACAGGTTTTGGCCCATTGTCCCTGTGGGATACTTTGTCCCTGTAAGTCTGTATGTCCTGGTGGTGTCATTATAATATAATCCACAAGGGAAGAGTAAGGAGTTTCCCTTCTTTTTTTTTTTTTTTTTTTTTTGAGATGGAGTCTTGCTCTGTTGCTCATGCTGGAGCGCAGTGGCATGATCTTGGCTCACCGCAACCTCTGCCTCCTGGGTTCAAGCGATTCTCCTGTCTCAGCCTCCTGGGTAGCTGGGATTACAGGTGCACACCACCACGCCTGGCTAGTTTTTGTATTTTTAGTGGAGATGGGGTTTCACCATGTTGGCCAGGCTGGTCTTGAACTCCTGATCTCAGGTGATCTGCCCGCCTTGGCCTCCCAAAGTTCTGGGATTACAGGCATGAGCCACTGTGCCTGGCCAGGAGTTTCCCTTCTTAAAAGCTGAGTGGATGCTCCTGATGCCCTGCTACTTTTGGGGCCAGTGATTTGAAGCAGACACCTTCTGTCTAATCTTTGCTCTTTCTCTCTGGCATTCACCAATGCCTTAAACCTATACTTGTCTATAATGGAAGCACTGTGTGGGGTGTGCATCCTCTGCAATGGAAAATAGATGATGGGAGTTTTGATTGCTGTGATCTTCATTGACTTTGGGGTGTCTAAACTTCTAGAGGAATGTCCTCAGGTTAGAGATTTAGAATAGAGTAGAATGCAACATGAGTTTGCATAATGTTCTTCATAGAAGCTGTGTCACAAAAATGCTTCAGCTGTAAGCAGAGAGCAAATGGAGAATGCGTTATAGAAGGCAGCTTGATTGAAGCATTTATAAAAAGTGGAAGCTGCAGAGAGCAATGGAGAGACCTGAACAAAGGAGAAAGATGTGCTCCCTGAGACTTTTTCTTTTCCCATTGGGAAAATAAATTATTGACAGTTAGCAGTCCCTAAGTGAGCAGAGAGGGAGAAAGGGAAATTCTAATGGCTGGGTGGGGTTTGGATGGCTGGTAAATACGGTGAAGGGGTGGGGCTCTGATCCAGAACCTAAGGACTTCCTGGCTTGGGGCTAAGATCTTCCCAGCTACTGTGCTACAGAGAGACCCAGGTATTCACCTCAGGCTCTAGGAAGGGATATGGCAGCTTTGAACAAGAACCCCATTTCCTCTGACCACGTTTGTGCCAGGCATTGAAATGAGCATTTTACTTACATTATCTCATTTAATCCTCAGAACAAATATATGGGGGTAGATTATTTTAGTCCATTTCTACAGGAGAGAAAACTAAAGGTCTGAGAGATTCATTCATTTATTCAACAAAAATAATAATTATAATAACAGTTAACATTTATTGGGTACATGCTATGTGCCAGATACTGTTGGAAATACTTACATGAATTATTTCATTTCAATCTTCATAACAACCCCAATGAAATAGTCACCATTTGTATAACCACTTTACAGCTGAAGAAGCTAAGCAGAAAATGTTTAAGTAACTCACCTCAGTTCCCATGGTAAATGTCAGCCAGAGTTCAAATCCAGACCGTCTGACTCCAATTCCAAGACCTTACTATGACATAGCTTGAGTGTCAGTCATGCTCCCAGAACTACGCTGGGCACTGGGGACAAAGCATAAACAAGGCAGACAGGATCCCTCCCTTCATGAAATGTGATTCTCAGTGCCAGAGAGGTTAAGTGAGTTGTCTGGGGTCAGGCAGATATTCAGGGTTTGAACTGAGATGTCTCAAAAAAGCCACATCTTAAAAGACACCTACCTCTCTGCTTCTAATATTCCGTGCACTTCTGATGGGGCTGCTAAGCCCTCAGAGCTCCCGGAAGGCTTCCTTACTTTCGTAGTCTTTGCTTTGCCATTTTGCACTGTGTTTTCATCTTCCTTCTGCTTGTGTCTCTGACTTTTTCTCATTTTCCCTAACTGAATGCAGCAAACCTAAAGCTCCTGGAGAGCTGTGTAGGACTTCTTAGGGGGAAGAGATACATTACAGTTTTTTTTTTTTCCCTCTGTAGCCTGAGGCACTTTGGAGCATACAAACTTCCCGCACTGGGTCCCGCTCTGACATATGACTTTAGGTGTGTGAAGCGGGTATACCTCAGTCTGAATGAAACAGCTCACTATGCTCAAGATAGGTCCTCTCAACAGTAACCTCCTAGGAGTTAGCTACACTCTTCTAAGGACTTTCACGCTGTCACTCAGTTACTTACTCTTCCAGTTGCCGTTTATTAAGCTCTTACTACATACCAACCAAACACTAAACTGTAATCACAATGAAGCCATTGATGGTGCCCCCAAGGAGCTCACTTTCTAGAGAGGCTGACACCCTTGATTAATGACACATTAGAGAGAGAGAGAGAGAGAGAGAAAACACACTGTGGGATGGTAAAATATAGCTATTATTTATTGAGAGGTTCAGGCAACCTTGGAAATGCATTTCTTAGACCTTCCTTCAAAAAAGACCCCAAGGTAAGAGGCACAGTTAGCTGACAGTCTCCAGCTCCACCTTTGGGGTCCAGGGCATTGCTCACCTTAAGGCCACATTCTCCCTAGTTTGCTCCCAGCCAACAACTGAGGACCTTGGGGAGCTTAGAGGTGGGCTGTTTCTGCGCAATACAGGACTACCCTGTGGGCCGTCTTTGCTATGGGTTCCCTTGGCCTAGAGCTCCACAAAGCTGCACCATACAGTCTGAGACTCCTGCTACCCAATCCTCCACCTCTGCCCTTACCTTCTGAGTGTGTCGGACCTGCATCACGGCCTCCAGGCTCTCACTCCTTACTCCTGCTTCCTGTCCTCTTTATCTATTGCAGGGGCTTCCTCCCATAAATCTCTTGTGCTTCTAACTCTGTCTTGGTGTCTGCTTCTTGGAGGACTTGAACTGACCCAGGGAACGTTTGTCAGAAAAGGCCTGACTATGTTGCAGTAACAAGTTAATTTCAAAATCTCAGTAGCTTAATACAAAAAGGTTGATACCTCTCATGCTCTGTGTTTGATGTTGGTGGGTGGGTAGGCCTTGCTTCTCATAGATGCCCAAGCTGACAGGGGCCCAGGCCTATACATGACTTCAAGGCTTGCCGGAGAGATATGGAGGAAGAGAGAACCTTTATAGCAGGGTCTGGAAGTGGCTTAAATTACTTCTGCTTGCATCCAGAGCTCAGTGACATGGTCCCAATTGTATTAGTCTGTGACGTGCCATCTTCTCTGTGCCCTGGACAAGGCAATATAGCAGGAAACAAGCATAGTATTTGCCTTAAGTGGTAACCATGTGCTAAGCTCTGTGTATTCACTGAGTGCTAAGTTGTCCTGTTTTATAAATGGGGCACCCGAGGTGGAGAGAAGCCAAGTATTTTTCCCAAGCTCACAAGATTAGCAAGAGATAGAGCCTGAATTTGGAGTCACATATGTCTGACTACAAATCATACCTTTATCCACTCTGCTATGGGTACAAAAGAAATGACTAAGTGCCAGAGGGTTGTTGGTGGATGACAGGTCTCTAAATCTAGACCATCCACACCCTAATCTGTCCAGAGTATTTTGAAGCTTCTGTGAAATGTCTGAGACATGGGAAACAGGACTGAGATTTATGCCAACTCCATTATACCAAGTGCCTTCCTTTACTGTTATGTGTTCATTTGTGAATAGGAAGATAGCTTTTGAGTGACTCTTCTCTCCACAGCTCCCTATTCTGGGGGCAGGATGAGAGTATCTGTTTGGCTTTCACTTCTTTAAGTAAAACAGCCTAAGTGGCAAAAAAAAAAAAAAAAAAAAAAAGAAATTGTTGAACAAGTTCGGGGATTTTTTTTTTTTTGGTCTTTTTTGATTGTATTTAATAGTTTTGAAGAGTGCTACAAAATAACGTGGCTGTTGAAAGAAATGCTTTTTGCCCAATTTCTTTCTGGCCACGGTTTTGAGAAAAGAAAACTATAAATAGCTGACAATAAAAGAAAATTGCTGCTGTGATCTGAGAAGAAAGAAAGGGAAATACAAAAGGACCGCCCTGAGAGGTTTTCAAATAAAAATTATGGTTCCCCTCCCTGGGCCTAAGATTGCTACTTCTTGGAAGACAGAAAGGGTGGGGATGTGCTGGATGTTTTGTCTCTCTTGTTTATTTTCAAAAATGTTTTGACTTAGTTGCTTTATTCTACAAACCTCAGAGCTCTTCACATCTATTAAACATTTTAAATGAGCTGAATTTTCTCTAAACATAGGTAATTTACAAATAGAGGTTTATTATTCATAAGGCAGCCATCCAGTTCTTTTATTTCTCTGTCTAAATTTACATGTCTCTCCTTTCTTCTCCCGTTCTTACTTGCCTTGTAGAACAGACATGTTGGGTGGAGGATAAGTAACAACTAAGGTGGAAGGAAAAATTGGCGCCAGTTTGACTGTTAAACACATAATGCCCTCTTGTTTATTTCTCACCAATAAATCATTTTCAATTTCCTGCCAAAATGTTTCATTGATTAAACTTTACATTTTTATTACCCAGAATTAACTATAACGCTTATGAAAATGGAAGGTGGAAAGAGACAATTTCTCTGCGAGTTGTTCTACTTTTCTGTAACCAAAGAGCTTCACTAAGCAGAATCGTCTCCCTTCTGTTTGAAACGCAGTTCTTATCAACTGGAGGTAATTGGGCCACAGTTCAGATGTGCAGCCACTGTTTTGAATATCACATGGAGCTCTTTTGACTGTTTGTTTTCCGTTTGATATAAAAGTTGGTTTCCAGAGGTTGTCTTAAAATAGAATGTCCGGGAAACTGTGATCTCCAGATTCAATGAAGACAAACTGCTTTTCCTTTTTATGGACCCATTGATATGCATACACACTTATCCTTTTCTTTCGAATTACATCTATCTTCTGTGCTGGGGACCCTTCCTGCCCCTATGGAAATTGAGCAGGGACTGATCTTAGACTTGAAAGAATTAATAGGTTTCAGTAGAACTGTCTCATGGTGGCAGGTGGGAGTCAGGAAGGGAGAAAAAGTATGTCTCTGAGATCAAAGTCATCCTGACAATTTGACATGGACAAAGGAAAAAAAATAAAAAGGAAGTTGAAAATGAGACAAAGTAAAGTCAGAGAAGAAACTTGCCCAGGGGCATTTCAGACACAGATCTTGTGATATTAACATTTCCTTTATTTTTTAAAAAATGAAATAAATTGCTTCCCAGTGACCCTAAAGGTCATTAGTACCAGCTGCTTTGTACTGCTGAGAGCAAATGACAGTGAGGAGAAATGATGTAGGTGAGGACTTGGGAGCAGAATCAGATGAGTGCACGGCTTAGTAAGCCTGAACATTTGCAGCAAGTTCAGAATGATTCAAACTGAGCTGTCCCTAGAATCCAGTTAGGTGTCACCTCTGGGTCCAATTAGAGGGCACACTGGATTAGGAGGCAGAAGACAGGGATGTAACCTTAATTCTGTCCCTAGTTGTATCATTTGTTGTATAACTTTGCATATTTGTGTCTCAGTGTCTTTATCCATAAAGCTAAAGATTTAGACTAGATAATGAATAATCCCTGAGGTTCTAGCTAACTGTAAGATAGAGAGATCTATATGATTAGACTTATTATTTGTTTTGGTTAAGAGTCTGATCAGAGAATGAAAATACTTTATGCACTTTCTCTGTGCTAGGCACTGGTGGTGGGAAGGTTGTGTAAGGAAATAAAGAAACCTAGTTCTTATATGTGAGACAGAACTGTGACTTTTTAAAGCCACTGTGTCCCCAGAGCCTAGCACAGTGCCTGACATGCAGAATTCACTCCAGAGATGTCTGTTGGTTGATGAAGACATATTATTTTGTATCTAATTAGAGAGATAAGACATAAAGAAAAGATGCCCAACAATGCAATACTTAAAAAATTGGTACCAAATCAGAAAGCACGGTGTAACTGTTAAAGAACTGCTGAGAAGGTGGCTGTCTTTGGGGAGAAAGGGTATGAACATTTTCCATAGAGAAGGGGAGATTTATCCTAAATGGCTAAAAACCAGGCATCAAATTCCTTGTGGATCCTGGAGGTAGAAATCAGTTTCAAAGTTTAGACAGACAGATGGCACAAGTCTTGTTTGGCTACTTTCTTACCACAACAGGTATTCAGGGCTTTGCAACCTTACTTTGTTATACAGAATGGATCGCCGTGAGACTTCGAAGATGTAAGTCTGGGGACTGTAGGCAGAAAGCAGCAAATGTTTTCTATATCAAGGTACAGACGGGTTTATTTCTCAGGGCAGATTATGTGAGAGTGATGGATACACTTAGGTCCAGGAGTCTCTCCATTAAGTAGCAGTGGAACTTGGGTCACCTTCTCATGCCCCTTTTCTTCATCTCCTCTCTCCTTTGCTCTGGGCTTGGACATCCCTATAGGCCAAGCATGGTGCCAGGTGCTAGAGACATCGAAATGAGAAAAAAATATGGTATCTTTCCTGGAGAGACTAGGTCAATGGAGGAGGGAGACATGAAATCAGAAAAGCAACAATGCTGTGGGTGCCATAATAGATGTAAATAAATAACTGCTGAGAAAGCTGGGAGCTCCAGGGAACGAAGGGCCTCCGCAAATTGGGAAAGATATGTGAGTGCCAAACTTGTGCTTAGTGTGGTGAACAAATGCAAAGATGCAGTTGCCATGAGGTGAGTTTGCTGCCTCCCCACCTGGAATCTGAGGCACGCTGCTTTGAGATGCCTCTGCAGTGTGCAAACAAACACTGCTTGTCATTAGCATGGGGTAAAAAAGAGTCCATGCATTTTCTTTGTAGAGGGACCTTATTAGTTTTCTATTTTGCTATTGTAACCAATTACCACAGATGTAGTGTTTTAAAACAACACAGATGTATTCTTGTGTAGTTCTGGAGGTCAGAAGTCCCCAAATCAAGGTTATCAGAGGGCTGTACTCCTCCAGGCGGCTCTAGGGAGAATCCATTTCCTGCCTTTTCTGGCTTCTGAAGGCTGCCTGCTTTCCTTGACTCGTGGTTTCCTTCCTCTATCTTCAAAGCCAGCGGTGTAGCATCTTCCAGTCTTTCTGTGTCTCTGACCCACCCGCCTTCCTCTTATAAGGACCCTTGGGATTACATTGGGTCCACCTGATAATATATGAGAATTGCCCCATCTCAGGATTCTTAATGAAATCATATCTGCAAAGTTTCTTTTGCCATATAAGGTAATATATTCATCAGTTTGGGGCATTAGGGCATGGACATCTTGGGGCGGGGGGGGGGTGCATTTTTCAGCTACCACAGTACCCAAGTGTTCTCCTGAGAGCTGGCTTCTGCTTCCGCTCTCCTCTCCCTAATTTCTCAATTACACTATCTGGATCTATCCACAGAAAATGTGGAATGGAAGCATAGCTCAGTGGGTTCTGGATTCAACTGCTAGTGCAACAATGGACAACTGAAACTTTCAGAGCCTCAGCTTCCTTATCTGTAAGGTAGAAATAATAAAGGTGATTATTCATAGGACTGTGGTGAGGAGCGAATGAGGTGCCATATATAGTATATATTTTTTTGGTTCAGGAGTCTTGCAATGTAGAATGTGTTCAATTAATGTTGGTTATTATTTTTGTTATAATTATTAGGAAGCAGGGAAAGGATATAGACAGAGAAGAGGAAGGTCTCCCCAAAACCTAAACTGTACTTAGAACTCAGCTTTATCTTGGTTTGGTTTCATAAAAGCCAATTCGCACTAACTCCTTCCCTCATCATCCTAGGTATAGAAAGTCAACTTCTTCAGGTTGTCATCACCCCATCCCTGCACTCCCAGTCCAGCTTCGGGGACCTACAAAAGAAAGGGTCTCTTTAAGGCTTTCAGTGTTATGGGAATTTTAATCCTAGATGCTCTTTGGAAGCATCCCTACATTTATCTTCTGATTTTAGCCTGATATTATGTGGAAAACAGTCTTGTTAATTTATTCACTCCAATATGTGCCTATCTGATAGCTCAGCAACCCTTTATCTTTTTACAAATGTTGGTCATTAAACTAATAAAATCTCTGAATGGTGAGATTTTAAGAGGAATAACAAAGGGAGACAAACATAATCTGGAAATGTAGAGGAAAACATATTTGGGCAATATATCTGCCTGGTTATTAGGTATGTTTTTGCCTAAGGGTGCAGCCCTGGCAGTTGGTTGCTCTGAACTATTCTTGCTTTTTCAACTTCTTCATTCCTCCAGTTTTGTGAACCTACATCTTCTCTATTTCAATTTTGTCAAAGTGGTTCCAAAGCTGAGTGAAAACTGGGAGGAATGGGTTATTTAGCACCTGGGATTGGAGTGATGGTGGGTGTCTCTTTGTAAGAATATTGTAGATCCTGAGTTTTTAAGTAAAGGGCCTGCCTGTTCTGCAGTTTGCTTCTTGTTTATTTTCCTCCGCTTTAACTAGAGATGTTTTAAATTCTGCTCAGTTATTAAATATCCCATATCTCAGGATCACACAAGCAGCTATAACTTCAAAAATTTTATTATTTTTTTGAGCTATCTTTCTGCAAATGAAATGTTACAGTAATCTTCAGGCACCAGGTTTGATAAGCCCAATAAGGACATGGAATTTGCACCAGTAGCTATAGCAAATGACTGGGAAGCACATGGGGTTTTAAACTCTAAAGAATCTCTCAGAGGAGAGGAGATGGTACATTTATTGATGGTGCAAGGTGTTAGTTGGAAAGGCCTAAGAATCCCAAATCCCATTCAACAGTGAAGAGACCTTGCCAGCTCCCAACAGGTATGACTTACTTTGGAGTCATAGGGGGTCCTTCCTAAAGGGTATAATCAGAGTTTGCATCAGAACTTTCATTGATGCACAGTTTTATCTGTAGCAGAGAATTTTGATGCCCTCTTTTACGTGGATATCTGAGAATGCCTTAAAAATATTAACTGATAGTTCTCCTAGCGGTCTAAGATGATAGTAAAAGTTATCATTGGGCTGGGTGTGGTGGCTCATACCTGTAATGCCAGCACTTTTGGAGGCTGAGGTGGGCAGATTGCTTGATCCCAGGAGTTCCAGACCAGCCTGGGAAACCTGGTGAAACCCCATCTCTACAAAAAGTACAAAAGATTAGCCAAGTATAGTGGCATGTGCCTGTAGCCCCAGCTACGTGGGAGGCTGAGACAGAAGGATTACCTGGGCTGGGGATGTTAAGGCTGCAGTGAGCCCTGATTGTGCCACTGCAGTCCAGCTTAGGCGACAAAGTGAGACCCTGTCTCAAAAAACAAAAAACAAAAAACAAAACAAAACAAAAACACACACAAAAAAACAAACAAAAAAATTGGTTGAGCATCTATGGCCAAGTGCTTTTAATGCATTTTCTCTACTCCTCCGCCAAGCTTTATAAGAGGTGGATTAGGACTCTTACAGCTAAGGAAAGCAGCATTCAAGATGGTTAAATAATTTGTCCAAAGTCACATGATACTAAGCTATAGAACTGGGATTTCTGGAAAATTTGGCTGCAGAGTTGTTAGTGGTGGAGGACTGCATTAATGCTCTCTACTTTTGGAAGATAAAGGGTAGATTAAATTTCGGAACAAGTAATTTGAAAAACTACTCATTTAGTTAAAAACAAAGTAAAATAAAACCAAACTCCACTTAAGTACATTAATAATGATATATTATATAAACAGTACTTTTAAAACTGTAGTTTGCAACCAGATGGCAAATCATGAAATTTACTTAGTGTATCACAAACACTTTAATTTTAGGGAAAAAGGATAATATAAAATAGAAGAGCAAATACCAGAGAGTAACATATGGCATAGGATGAGTGGCTTCTGAAAACATAAGTGTATATGTCTGTGTATATGTTTATTGGGGCAAAAGGGAAAATGTATTATTTTACTCTGAGTTGTGGTGAAAACAGTATGAAAAACACATAAGGGATTTCCTTAATAATATTGACCCTCATCTATCCATTTTTTAGAAAAGGAAAGATCCCAGTCTTTGCTTTTTGAAGTTAACCATTGCCAATGAAACAACCCTCCCCGCATGTGGTGTAGTGCAGTAGTCTGAAGCAAGGTCCACTTTCACAGGAAACCTGAGGGTCAGAGAATTGCTTGAAAAGGACTAAACAGTCAGCCAGAGAATTGCTTGAAAAGGACTAAACAGTCGTGAGCAGCTGCCTATTGGGTTAATAGATGTAAACGGTTGGCTCCTAGGATGATTCATTGATGAAACCTTTTGATTTTCATTATCTTTGTCTTGGTTATTTGGTTTAATTTTGGTTACGTTGTACTTATATGAGCGATATAGTTTGGATATTTGTCTCCACCCAAATCTTATGTTGAATTGTAATCCTCAGTGTTGGAGGTGGGGCCTGGCGGAAGGTGTTTGGATTACAGGGGCTGATCCCTCATGGCTTGATGCGGTCTTTGCAACAGTGAGTTCTCAGGAGATCTGGTCATTTAAAAGTGTGTGGCATCCCACCCCCCCAACTGCTACCCCTTGTTCCCGCTTTCACCATGTGCCGTGCCAACTCCCTCTTTGCCTTCCACCATGATTGTGAGCTTCCTGAGACCTTATCAGAAGCAAAGCAGATGGCTGGTGCCATGCTTCCCACACAGCCTGCAGAACTGTAAGCCAATTAAACCTCTTTTGTGTATGCATTACCCAGTTCAGGTATTTCTTTATACCAGTGCAAAAACAACGTAATACAATGAGCATACTTATGTAAGACTTCATTTATTTGAAGAAGGTATGATACAAATAAATACATCAGATACACAAATGTCAATGTATCTCTAATTCATTTGGTGTTTACTGAGTACCTGTTTTTGCCTGTCACTATGCTAAATTCAAGAAATGGAAAAAAAGGGTACCCCATCATTGATGTTTTGGATGAGTTTATACGGTTATAGAAGAGGTACATACATAAAGAAATAATAACACAAAAAATGTGGTGCACACTCTGGTGGATGCAAGTTTGGAAGGACACCAACAACCTAGCTGTGTGAGCATGTATGGTATGTGTGTTGTGGGTGGAGGTGGGAGAGGGGACAAATGATTAGCTATAGAAGCCTTCTGGTAGGTGGTGATGGCTGGGGCTCTTACAGTGTAGACGTTCTCAAACTGTAGAATGCATCAAAATGTCTGGAGTGCTTGTTAAAACACACTGCTGGGCTGTACCTAGAGTGTCTGATTCTGTAGATCTGAGATAAGGCCTGAAAATTTGCTTTTCTAACAAGTTTCCAGGTGGTGCTGTACTGTTGGTCTGGGGACCATACTTTGAGGACCACTTTCAAAACGATTTTAGCTGCAGATACTTCCTTTTTTTGTGTGAAGTCTTATATGGAATATTCAAGTATAACATAGAGAAAATGGAGATGGCTGGAAGGAACCCTCAGGCTCTCTCTGGCCTATGCTCTTCCATGGTGCTGGCTCCTAAAACTCCTTTATGGAATTCCATTTTTATGAAAATCACAAATCTAGAGAAAAATCTAGTTCTACAATTTTGCAGTTTTCTCCTTGTTTCCTCTCCCAGTTCCTCTCCCCCACCCCCACTGAGTTGAATCAAGTTGTTTGAAAAAGAAGCTGTTTGAGTGATTTTTAAAGAGCCCTGTAGATCAGTAGGCAAAAGTTTTGGCAAAGAATATGTGGATTTCAGTTTTGATTTCTGCTTTTTTTTTTTTAAATTAGTGTGTATGTTCTTGGACATTTTCTTCCAAAACTTTGCTTTTTGATCCTTTATTTAGAAAAGTTGTGGCATTTGTTTACGTAATCTATAGATACTAGCACCCCATCATAATCTTCTGAAGACTGCTTTAACTCTGCATTAGTAAATACCAGCGTGAGAAAAATGCTTTGGATAAAACACATAGCACAGCTTGAAAACTCTTTCTTTGAGGACCACTTAAAGTTAGTCCACAGGAAGGCACTGTCTATTTGATGCCTAAAGTCTTGATGTAAATGGAAAAAATTGATTAATTATCCAGATATCCAGAATGTTAGAAAAGGTTTAATAATTAATTGAGGTGTTCATTGTCCAACCAGACGTTTTGCATCACAGAGCAAACGTAGTTCATTTTTTAAAGTGGAGAACTGGCTGTAGTATAAACCTTTGTGCCCATATTAACGATCTGTAACTGTAATCACCAAATA
The DNA here is from genome assembly GCF_000001405.40 of Homo sapiens. Lineage (NCBI taxonomy): Eukaryota > Metazoa > Chordata > Mammalia > Primates > Hominidae > Homo > Homo sapiens. Next base: position 81,724,595 of record NC_000014.9, read on the forward strand.
ACCTTTCACTGTCTTCATTTTCATCATTGGTTGAAATGAAGACTCTACTGCAGAGAAAAAAAGATAGATTTCTACATTGGGGAAAAAAACTCAAACTCTTGATAGCTTGCTTTGGGACAATTTCAAGTTTGGCTTTATTAGAATATTTATGTTCTCTTGGTGTAGACATTGTTATATTTATCAAAAATTAAGGGTTTGCAAAAGCCTGGAGTTTTAACTAAGTTTTAATAAATGCTTGGAAGCTTGGATGCTTAGCTGAAAGTTGTCCAAACTTCTTGTCTGGTTTGGGACTGTGCAAGACTCATCTATTAAGGTACTTGGCACTTTTGCTTGGAATCAAGAAATTCAAAGGTTCGTAGAAATAAAAATTGATTATTAAACAAAACATGATCAGTATTTTATGAAATGTCTAGGTCTAGCCTACTTCCACACAGTTTGAGATGCTTATTATATTCTGTTCACTATGTCTATCTCCAATGGCAACATTAATTCATTTTGAGTTAAGCCTGGGGCCCTATCATTTTTAATTTTACAGTTTCACCAAGTTATTATTTATACAAGATACAAAAATGATGGGACCAGGTTACTACCCTTTGCTAATTTGCATCTGTTTTTCATTTTCTAAAATCAACTGGTGACATTGGCGAGGGACTGGTGGTTAGCATGTTCTACTGTTTATAGAAGCCACTGTTCAATTTTATTTCTCTAGAAGAGGGGGCACTTCTGCCACAGAGACGTCTATGAGAGATCCATCAGTGGTCATTGAATTAGAAAAGCACTCACATACTCTCCTGGAGTTGACAGAGATGTGTGGAAACCTAACACATCTGGAAGAACATCAATCCTTACAATTAGTCAACATCTGGGAATCTAACCACCCAGGGTTGACAAAACTGGTGATTAAATGTAATGGAAGTTCACCATCCATAGACAAGTACAGAGTAACTAGCTGTGAATTGTGAGAACATACATGCATCTTGCATGCTATAATGAGCCATTAGCACCCAGCTTGCCTGAGTTGGAAAGCCATCAGAACACTGAGGTATGTATGGCGACGTTTTCAAAGCTTTTCCAATTTGTTTTTCTTTCAGAGCAATGTATAAAGCCACACTATGAATTCAGACAGAGCTAAACATATAGTCTAGCCTCTCTTGCTTCCTCACTCCTTATCCTTCATGTTTCAACTTGCCATTTTCACTTTCTGGTGCCATGCTCATTCTCAATCCATTTTCTTTTGTGTTTGAGTGTCAAATACCAACATTGCTGCTACTTCTGGGTCTTTCCTCAGATGCATTTTATCACCCTTAGGGCAATTTCAGATGCCCCATAACATTAGCCAATATTCATATTTTATTCTGTTTTAAACATAGAAAATAATTCATGTTATTAGATAACCATTTAATTACTCTTCAGCAGAACACAGGCTGAACAATAATGAAAATGATTTAACAGCTTCTCTCTCTTCTGTGATTTTAAAACCCCATTATTTTACCCTTTTCTTTCTGTTATTTCCCCTTCAAGTTTCTCTCTAGGATTTTTGTGGCTCAAAAGATCAGCACAAAACCACATAAGAGACATGCTGTTTTGACTTTTATCTTTTCTCATTTTTTCCTTGCTGGAAGAAGAAAATCAGTGCCTTGTGGCTAAATGAGAAAGAAGTCCAACTTTCTTATTGAAGCTGAATTTGCTCCAGTAGAAGAAGCAGTTTTGTTGTCCGCAGTTAATGGCTAAAGACAGGAGGTTCACAAAAGTTATTCCCACCACTTCGTGTTCAACAAAATCTTACAAAATGCTACAAATGTTTCAAAATGAAGGAAGTAAAATTGTGAAAAACCTTAACTATGTTCTCAGTAAGCACATTCTAAAGTGCATCCTTGTGGAAAATTTCCATGGAACAAACTCTCAACTTCATTGAAATAATAGAATTCGTGGTCCTATCTGCTGTGCCTTTAAAATCAGGTGTCCCCACCAGCTGGTAGACAAAGAAGAACCTCACTGAGAATGAAAAATTTCATAAAGCTTTCAGAAGTTGCTGACCCTTGATTTAATCACGAATATCAAGCGTTTAGGGAGAATAGAGAGAAAAGATCTTTGAACTAGTGCGAGGTATTGAGTTAAAACTCCAGGAAAAAGTGGTGAACACTTTGATTAACAGAACCTGGAGCCTCATTCTCTAATTGAGATGTACCTTTTGGAATGGGAGAAAAGCACTGAACCACAAATGTGATGAATGTGGTAGGCCTAATTCTCTAGTTCTTTCTTTTGCTCTCTTTTCCTTTTTGCCTTTCTACTTTTTCCTTCTTGTTCCAATTTTCTCCTTATTATTTCCCACAACTTTTTAGACTTGTGTTCATCTCTCATTCATATGCATATGAATTCTTTGAGAATGAGGTTGGAAGAAGACTTCTGCATCAAAAAGCAAAGTTTTTGTCGGCCAGTTTAAGTAGTTTGTACGACTAGCAGCAATGAAGAAAGACACATATTCATGTCAACACTCTTTCCTAGTGCCACTTCAATTACTGAAGAGTCTGCAATCAATTATGTGATAAAACATTTTCTAATTGATGGGCTATCTGTGTATGTTAGTCCATCATAATAGATTAGCTCTTAACAAGATAAAACCATCATGTGGAACTCTCTGCCTGCCAAAAACAGGCTTCTGCCAAACCATCTGATCGATGTTATAGAATTTTCAGGCATTTATACTCTGAAAAGTGACTGTAGAAAAACAGAAGCTTTACACTCAGCATATTTGCCCTCTCTCTCCCTTGCTTTGAGTCACATCTGCTGATTTCATGGTTTGACACTTTTTTTAAAAAGAAATTCTTGTTAGCTCAGTTGAGCTTCTTGGATCCCGTCCAGCCTCCCAACCTTACACACTAAATCAACAAAGTTCAGATCAGGCTTTCTGTTAAGCAGGAAGAAAGAAATAAGCAGAGAGGAGCATGGAAACATTGTACTGAACTCTGGTAGACTTGCAGAATAATTGCACTAAATTGACCCCTCACACTTTGAACCCAGCAAACTTGTGTGGTATTCATAGTCATATTGTGGAAAGTACAGTATTGAACTGGACTTGGTTCAGACCATACCCCTAACTACTTCTAGGATCACAAGTGAGTCACAGAACATCTCTGTTCCTCAGGTTTTTACAAAATATAAAAGATGGATTGTGAAGTTTTTGAGGACACATTTCAGCTTTGTATTTTGAAAATCTCAGATGACATCCTTTGAAAACCTTTTTTGATTCTAAAATTGGTAGCATTGCATTTAATTTCTGAGATTCCGTGTTCTGGTTATCTATTATGTAACAAACCACCCCAAAATTTTGTGGCTTATAATATTAACAGCACATACTTTGCCTGCAAATCTGCAATTTGGGCAGGAACCTGTGAGGACAGTCATCTCTACTCCAGTCAGCATTACCTAAGACAGCTTGAAGGCTGGAGGCTAGAATTATCTGAAGGCTTGTTCACTCTTACACTTGGTGGTTGATGCTCGCTGCTTAGCTGAAACCTTAGCTGGGTTTTAGCCAGTGTTCCTATTGGCTGGTATATCTAAATGTCACGTTTTTATGTGTTCTGAGCGTCCTTACAACATGGTGGCTGGGTTCCCAGAAGAGGCATCTAGATAAAGAAAGTTAGGAGAAAGTTGTATTGCTTTTTATGAGCTAGTCTTGAAAGTCATGCAGAGTCCTTCCTACCACATACTATTTGTCCAGGAATTCACAGAGGTCTGCCCAGATCAGCAGAAAAGGAAACAAACTCCCCTCTTGATGGGGGTTGGCAAGGTGCTGGAAGAGCAAATGAGACTGGAAATATTGCCATGGCCGTGTTTGAAAAACATAATCTGTTACATTCTGCGTATACAGTCATAAGCCATATAATAATGCTTGGGTCAATGACAGATTGCATATACAATAGTGGACCTGTGTGATTATAATGGAGCTGAAAAATTCCCATCACCTGGTGGTGTTGTAGCCCATCTTAACGTTGTAGTGCAACACATTAGTCATGTGTTTGTGGTGACACTGCTGTGCACAAACCTACTGTGCTGCCAGTCATACAAAAGTGTACAGTAATGTCCTAGGCCTTCACATTCACTCACCACTGACTCACTGACTCACCCAGAGCAACTTCTAGTTTTATAAGTTTCCTTCATGGTAAATGCTCTAGACAGGCATTCCATTTTTAATCTTTTTTGCCATATTTTTACTGCACCTTTTCTATGCTTAGATAGATTTAGATACACAAATACTTACCATTTTGTTACAATTGCCTACAGCATTCAGTAAAGTAACATGCTATAAAGGTTTGTAGTCTAGGAGCAATAGGCTAGACCATATAGCCTAGATGTGTAGTAGGCTATCCAATTTAGGCTTGTATAAGTACACACTATGATGTTTGTACAACGATGAAATCACCTAATGACACAGTTCTCAGAATTTATCCCCATCAGTCACTAAGTTATATATGACTGTATTTGAATAAAACTACTGTCGCTGCTTTCTCATCAAAAATTTAAAAAGAAAAAAAGTGATTCTATATTCTAAAGTCTCCACTTAATGTCCCAATATGCCTTCTCTCATTTAATCGTCATTTTTACAAATGAGGAAACTGAAGCAGGAGGCGGTCAAGTAACTTACATAAGCCCTCATAGCAGTCAAGTGCATAATAGAAAGGTGGCATTGAGAATCAAGCTCACCTAGTTTCAAAGCCTATGCTGCTTCTGCTACCCCACACTGCCTCACTCATAAAACTCTTGTTCTCATGTCTCAGCTTTATTTTTTTGCCGAAAGAGTATAGAATTCAGATGAGATTTTAGGTGGGACTTATGAAGGAGGAGAGTTGCCAAATATTTCAACAACGGAAGCAACTCTATATCTAAAATTTGATTTTGCACAAGAATTGACTGTTAATATCCATTTTTTTTCTTTCACTGGAGAAGGCAAAGCAGAACAGTGGTCTGGCTGCTTACTGGTACAGTAAGGATTGGAGAGAATAGTGAAATATGTTTCTGATTCATAGCTGATGGTTTATAGGACCATAATGTGAGTACAAAATTATACATGAGTGTTCAACAAGGGCTAATGATGAATAAGTACATAAAGTGTCTTCAGAGTCAGATATAGGACATTGAAGAGTAGACCAAAGCTGGCCAGTGGCCTGGACTAGAAGGGAGTCTTTTGTGTACATTGGCCAGGCCCATGTAAGGGAATGGAGCAGGAATTGCTTGTCCCTGGATTAGGTTCTTCTACTGAACTCGTGTGTCAGGCACGTGCCCAAGATTGTCAGCAATTTTAAACAGAGGACTTTGCAAAGGCCCTCTGCCTACACAGGGTAACACTGTTGACAATTGCTTACCCAGTTCATGTAGGAAAAGCAAAAACCAACATCAACAACAATAACAAAACAAAAACCGGCTTACTTGATCCAAGAATTTTTTCATCTATTTGCCATTGAATTGACCCCACCAACAGTGTTATGGTATCATATGAACATAGTCTTCTGAAATTGACCCTCCCCTGTTTCTTTCTCCTTGCATATTAGCTATAGATAAATCTACGGTCTTTAGGAAATTTATTATAAGAATTTTTGGTCCAGGCATGGTGGCTCATGCCTGTAATCCCAGCACTTTGGGAGGCCAAGGCAGGTGGATCACAAGGTCTGGAGTTTGAGACCAGCCTGGCCAATATGGTGAAACCCCATCTCTACTAAAAAATACAAAAACTAGCCGGGCATGGTGGCGCGTGCTTGTAGTCCCAGGTACTCAGGAGCCTGAGGCAGGAGAGTCACTTGAACCCGGGAGGCGAAGGTTGCAGTGAGCTGAGATCGCGCTACCGCACTCCAGCCTGGGCGACAGAGTGAGACTCTGTCTCAAAAAAAAAAAAAATTGTTTTTGTGACAATAGGTTGTCTGTTAAAAACCCTTATGAGTTCAGTTGACAAAATGTTTTGCTTTGCTAAAAACATCAGCACACTCCTGAAACGCAAATAGTCTCCTGAAGACAATTTGTGAGTCTTAATTGTGGAATTTTCTTTTTTTTACCATGTGCTTGCAACAATCACAATTGCTTCCTAGCTCAACATCTGGAAGCACATTTGGCTTCATTGTTAGAAAATAAATTAGCATCCCTGTTCATGAGTAAGAGACTGGACAGTGGGGACTGTGTCTCTGGTTGACAGACCAGTCATCCTTGACAACAAGGAAAAAGCTGAAATGCATCTCATTTCTGGCATTCGTGCACATCTCTCAGAACACCGAGTCTACTCAATATAAAATGGACTTTTGCCCTAGGACGTGGAGCAAAAGATGACACTAATTGGAAATTGGCATCCTGGAAAACATTGTCAGAGTCATCTCCTCTAGGAAAATAACCATTATCTTGTGCCAGCACTGAACTGTGGGCTCCAAGGACCTGCCCATGTCTGCTCACACCTGTTCCAACATGGATGCCAATAAATGGGGGGTCAGGAGGAAATTAGACACACAGAAAAGCCACCAGAAGCCAGAGGGCCCTTTGAAAGTCTTTTGGAATTGTAATAGATTGGACAAATAGGGGATGACCTATGTAGGTGTATTTGGCTGTGGTCATGACCATTGAGAATCCTATATCAATAACTGAACTGTAAAAAAAAAAGATTTTTATGGAGCCAGAAATAGATACTATGAAAGAGACAGAGGATTTAAGTAACCAATATGTTTTTAAAAATATTGCAGCCTTTTCTTTTTAAATTAGGTGTGATGTACAAATATGGAGATTGAAATATGCATATGTATTTCCATTAGTATAAGTAGATTTATACCCACTAGTATCTTGTGCCATCTCATGAATTTGGGCAGATTGTAAGTCAAATCATGTCCCAAGAAACATAAATTATGCACACATATAAAATGGAAAACATCACAATTAGCATAAAAGAGGACGTTAATTCTGTTAAGCACCAGTAATATAAAGTGATTACACATTGTGATCACACTTTTCTCATTTTATCTCCCTACCTTACTGTCATACAGGGTTCCCAAAACTTTTAATTTTATGACTCCATAAGATGCAGAAGTGAGAAACAGATATAGATAACTGTTGGGTAGACAGCAGAGATGCTGCTTCTTTTTCACTATGGTATATTAATTCTTTTTCCTGCTATTTAATTAGTTAAACAAATGTTTAGGTTCAGAGACTGTGCACTGAGCACTTGGGATACAAAGTATACAGGCCACTATTAGCTGTTTATCAGATTATTGTACCACTGTCTTCGCCAAGGGTCTTGCTTCTGGTCTCACCACTTCATCATTACACCGCCTCCTAATTCGTTCTTTGCATTACAGTTTGTTATATTTAAAAAATGCAAATTCTATTATGTTACTTGCATGAATAAAACTCTTTAGTGGTTATCCGTTGGACTCAGGATACAGTGCCAACTCCTTGGTGGAGCACCTGAGATTCTCGTGAGAGGGCTTTGGCTTGCCCTCTATCCTCACCTTGGGCCACACTCAGCGTACCTCTGATTTGATGTCACAGTTAAACAGAACTGCTTGCAATTACCTGAAAGCATCACATGGTTTCTTATCTCTAGGTCTTTGAAAAAGGCAGCCCCGACCTGGGCTGCCTTCTGCCCCTCTTTGTGTAGTTAATGCTTACTCATCTTTCCTGTCTCAACCGAGATACCATTTCCTTTGGGAAGTCTTCCATTACTTTCTTCCTACATTGCTTCAGTTCACATTGGCTTAATCAAGTACCATCTCTTGGTAAATAAAATGATTTATTTCACAATTCACTAGAACATGTATCATACCTTTATATCTTTCTCAGTTAAGTTTTAGGTTAAAATATAATAAATCTATGCACCTCTCCTTATTTGTTTTGTCAGTGTTTGTGCACACACCACCAGTATTTTATTATAGCTTTGTTCAGATTGTCATATTTATTTAGCACTTACTATAGGCAAGAACAACTTTTCATCATCATCATCATCATTTAATCATTAAAACAATTCTTTGAAGTAGGTATTATCACTGTCATTGCATTTTCAGCTACATTTAATTAATTTTCCCAGTGTTATAGAAGCGGCAGCACTAACATCAGAGCCTACTCTCTCATGATACAGTATTATAAGTTTCTTCTTCTCTCTCTCACAATTTAAGATTTAACTTTTTGAGGTAAGGAATAATGTCTTAATCATAGTTATGTCTCCCATCAAGCAGCACATTTTGAGAGCATAGAGAATGATTGAAAATAAAGTTCTTTGCACTTTTCCTTAAGTTGCACATAGGACTAGAGGGCAGACACCTAAAACAATAATTTGATATAATGAGATAAATGTATTATTATAAATAGTTGCAGGGCCCTATGATATGAAGAGGAGGGATACATAGCCCAGACTTCAACTGCCTGGTCTTGTAGAAGAGACAATGCCTGAATTGAATATGAATGCACTAACTTATGATACACATTTTCACTAAATTTGTATCTAGTAGGAATTCAGGTAAAATAATCCCCTTTATGAAAAAAATTAAGGATAAACTTCAGTTATATTTTGGTAAAGGTGATAGATGGAGTATGAAGCTATTGGTCATGTTTTTGAAAAAAATGTTTCATAAGCTGTTATAACATTGTCAAGCTATTGTTAAAAAATGGCAACATGTTATGATCAAGGGCTAGATTTTCTCTAGCTTTTTTGTTTTGGCACTTTTTCTTTAACTTTTTTGTTTTGGCATTTTTTATTTCACAAATGATTTCACGAGACTCTCAGGTGCTCTGCCAAGGAGCTAGCACTGTATCCTGAGACCAATTGTTAACCAATAAAGAGTTTTATTCATGCAAGTAACGTAATAGAATTTGCACTTTTGAAATATAACAAACTGTAAGGCAAAGAATGAATTAGGAGGAGGTGTAATGATGAAGTGGTGAGACCAGAAGCAAGACCCTTGGCTAAGAGACTGGTACAATAATCTGAGAAACAGCTAAACAAATTATGTACACATATAAAATGGAAAACATCACAATTAGCATAAAAGAGAATGTTAATTCTAACTGTTAAGCACCAGTAATATAAAGTGATTACACTTTGTGATCACACTTTTCTTATTTATCTTCCTACCTTACTCTCATACAGGGTTCCCAAAACTTTTAATTTTATGACTTCATAAGATGCAGAAGTGAGAAACAGATACAGATCACTGTTGGGTAGACAGCAGAGATGCTGCTTCTTTTTCACCATGGCATTTTAATTCTCTTTCCTCTATTTAATTAGTTCAACAAATGTTTAGTGTCAGAGACTGTGTGCTGAGCACTTGGGATACAAAGGATTTTTATGATTTTAGGTCTTATATTTAAATCTTTAATCCATCTTGAGTTAATTTTTGTATAAGGTGTAAGGAAAGGGTCCAGTTTCAGTTTTCTGTATACGGTTAACCAGTTTTCCCAACAGCATTTATCAAATAGGGTATTCTTTTCCCATTGCTTGTGTTTGTCAGGTTTGTCAAAGATCAGATGGTTGTAGATGTGTGGTGTTATTTCTGAGGCCTCTGTTCTGTCCCATTGGTCTATATATCAGTTTGGGTACCAGTACCGTGCTGTTTTGGTTACCGTAGCCTTGTAGTATAGTTTGAAGTCAGGTAGCGTGATGTTTTGTTCTTTTTGCTTAGGATTGTCTTTGGTATACAGGCTCTTTTTTGGTTCCATATGAAATTTAAAGTGGTTTTTTCTAATTCTATCAAGAAAGTCAATGGTAGCTTTATGGGAATAGCATTGAATCTATAAATTACTTTGGACAGTATGGCCATTTTCACGATATTGATTCTTCCTATCCATGAGCATGGAATGTTTTTCCATTTGTTTGTATCCTCTCTTATTTCCTTGAGCGGTAGTTTGGTCACTGGCACCTACGTTAAACTGAGAGCTGCTGTCTTTGGTCCTGATGGCAGTTTTTACAGAGATGCTCATGAGGGGTGTGGAGAAAGATGGGAGAGCCTGAACATTTTCTAAGATTTAGAAAAAATTCTCCTCTCTCATTCATTTAACTAGTAAGCCTTACCTTTATTCTGCTAAGCCTATGAACATAACTTGGGAGATTTTTCTGATATTCTTGTCTTTTTAATACTGACCATATTCTTAGATGAGTGGTTCAAAATGCTTTCTCCCTTAGTTTTGCATTTTCCACATTGATTTCTCAATAGTCTTTGTATATGTATCATGTTAGGGAGTTTCATATTACATTATTCCTTCGTGTTCTTTTCTCCACAGACATCAGTTCAGCCTCTGTGAATTTAAAAATAAATCAAGGTGTAATTAACCTATTTATGGAAATGAAAAATTCTCTATCACATCTCCTTTCCTCCCCTACAACAAGGTATCTGCTCCTCCTGTTTGTTCTCAATAACAAACAAAATTCCTTGGGCCGATGATATTATTTGTCAGCCAGCATGGAAGAATACTGTGAGTCATTGTATTTCCTGCTATCTGTTTCTATCCTTTTTAAATATATGAAGCTTTTGCTCATCTCTTCATTTCCTTAATATTTCCCTCATTGTAGGTCAGTAAGCTTCACACCAGCCACTATCTTTCTCGCCAGTTTACTCACTCCTCCTTTAACTTTCTTTAGACAAATCACAGATTTATTTTTGTTTCCCATTCTTTTCCAGTTATCTTAGAAATATTTTTCTCCCTGTCTTTGTTCCACTTGTGAGAAAAAGGGGGCTAATCCAGACTATTCTATATAGAGTATTGCTGGCAATATCTCTATAGTAAAGAGAGTGAAACCTGGAAGCTTTGATGTGGAATTAGGGAGAATAAAGAACCAGTGCCTTGAACTTCTAAACCCAATGAAAATACACAGTAAATGCATTCAGGGTCTTTGAAAGTCAACGTTTGCTTCCTTATCTTTCTCTAATTAAATCTACTCTCACAGAACAGAATCTTGATTTTTGTTTTGTGTTTCTCTTTGCTGTTTCAAGGATATTGTTTGCTACAATTGTTCTAACACAATTGTACAATATTTCAGTTCCCATTGAGGTTAAAAATGCTTTTGCTAAGTGGACCCTTACAGATGATGCATAACGTTTCATTTTGTCTTTGAGGTCAAAGCAATCAGCATATGACTTTTTGAAAACATTTATTTCCATCAAGGGACTACTGTGTACTAATTTCTTATGCTTGATGAATTTTATTAAATATTTTATTGCCAATCGTTTATTTTCAAAACTGAATGCCTCCACTTCCTTTGCATCAAACAAATAACCACCTTAATAGGTAGGTTACTAACACTCCAGTTTTTAATGTCTATTCATTTATTCATATGGCAATTCTTTACAACAGTTAATCATAGAATGCTTAGTACATACCAGGCATCATGCTAAGTCCTGAGACAGAGATATTTAAGAAATCCAAATTTCAGGTGCTCACACTCCAGTGGAGGATGTCAGATGAGTAAAAAGAATTATAAGATAGTGACAATTATAAGATAGTGACAATTATAAGATAGTGACTAAATGATAACAGAGATATAAAGTGCCCTAGGAACACAGAAGAGGGTACTAACTTATGCACTGAGGTCCAGACCTGGAAACTTTACTCTCAGAAGGGTTTTACTTGTATGTTAGGCGGTGGAAAGAAACTAACAATTGTAATGTAACCTTGAAGAATTAACCTCATTGGACTAATAGCTGAGCAGTGATTTCTAGGCCTGATTGTCATACATCTGGTGTAGTAGTATGGGCTTTGGAATTAGACACTACTTACTAAGTAGTGGCCCCTCTAAGATTCAGTTTTCTTATCTACAAAATTGGAATGATGACACCTGCCTCATTTAGCTTGAATGAGATAATGATGTTTCTATCTTTTCTTTAAGCCCCTCCTGATGGAATTTAGAAATAACAAGAGTAGTGGAAAAATTGAACTCTGATAATCACACTTGGTAAACTCAAGCCCCAGGTTAAGCAATTTACATACCTAATTCTTTAGATCATCATCACAACCTTATTAGGTACATATTATTATTTCTATTATCTTCAGTTAACAAGAATGAAAATCAGGTTTACAAAAGTTCAATGATTTGCCCAAAGACGTGGTTAGTAAAAGATATTGCAGGAGCTTGAATTTACACCTGCATGGCACTGAAGTCCAGGTTCTTACCCACTCTTTTGCTCTTGTTCCCTGTCTTGGTTTATTTTGATTGATGAATATGGCCACACTTGTCTCACATGTTTTGTTCCCAGACAGAAGATTATGGTAGACATTGGATTATACTTTCCATGGGGACATGCACTATGTGTGTTTTGCTAAGCAGAATTGTCATCATATTGCACAGAATCTAGTACCAAGATGGCACACCTATTTGTAAAGGTGCAGGCTATGCTGATGTAACAAAGGGACTCTAAAACACAGATATTTATTTTCCTCTCACATAATAGTTTATGGCTGATGGGTAGGCTTGACTTTGCCATTTTCAGTAAGTAGGCAAGAGTGAGAAGTCCAGGTCAAGGATTTTCTTCAAGGTAAGTGATGCTGAAATTGCCCCCACTCTTTCCACTCAGTTGCCATTAGTGCATACTTAGATCACACACCTGTAAGATCAACTGGAAAATGTAGGTTCTAGTTGGACAGCTACCTGCTCAGGAAGGAAGTGCGATGGTTCATTTTAGGTGTCAACTTGACTGAATTCAGGAATACCTAGCAACTTAGTAAAGCATGATTTTGGGGTGTGTTTGTGGGGGTGTTATCAGAGGAGATTAGATATGAGTCTGAAGGATTAGATGGAGAAGATCTGCCCTCAATGTTGGCATGAACCATCCAATCTACTGGGGGCTGGGAGAAAACAAAAATAGAGAAAAAGTGAGTCTGTTAATTTTGCTGCTGGGGCTGGGATAACTTCTTCCTCTCCTATTCTAGGACAATAACTCCGGGCTCCCCAGCCTTTGGACTCCAGTGCTTAACAAGAAGGCCCCTTCAGGATTCTCAGACCTTTGGTTTTGGACTGAGAAATACACCATTGGCTTTCCTGGTTCTGAGGCTTTTGGTCTTGGACTGAGCCACGCCGTCAGCATCCCAGGGTTTGCAGCTTGCAGATCGCCTGTCATGGGACTTCTCAGCCTCCGTAATCACGTGAGCCAATTCCCCTAATAAATCCCCTCTCATATATTTATATTTATCTGTATATATCCTATTGGTTCTCTCTCTCTGGAGACCCCTGAGTAATACAGGAGGTGAGAATAGATTTGGGGATACTACCAGCAATTTCCATTACAGTGCTCAATGAATATTTATGGAATGAATGAATGAAGACAATCAAAGCATGTAAGTCAACCTGGGCCCCAATGAGATCAAGGCAAAGATGTTAGTTTGATCCGCTAGCTTAGAAATCTATGCCAGCATGCCAATGTGTCTTTCCAGCTAATTCTTGCCAAAACACATCTTTAGTCAGAGCTACCTATTGTAAATATCTCTTCACTATAGTGTTTTCCTTTAATCTATGACTGTCAACTTTTCTCCTGAATGTCAGAATGGGATCGAAGCCACAGAAGAGTTTATGTGAGCTCCATGGATTATGCTGCCCTCTTAAGGAAGATAAAGTGACAGGTTATACAGTACTTATCTATATCACCTGTCAGAGACTCTGTATCTGGGGGCAGAGAGAAGATCAGGAGTTTTAGCTGGTTATTTGTGATTCTCTTTCACAACTACCTGTGAAACTACCTTGTGTATCTCTGACATTGGCAAAATATAGTTTTAGTTCTCCTAAAGAAAGTGCTGGAAGTTTATTCCCTATGAACTTCTAGACTCTATCAGATCAATATTCTGAGTGGGAAGTCTATCCTAGCAACTTCTTTTCTGCAATGTGACAATATCTTGTTAGAATTTTTTTTTTTTAACAGCCAGTGTAGGAGCCTGTATAGTGTGATGTCCAACTGGTGGCAGATAATTTGTCCCACATAGAGTGTGACCACTCTTCTTTGTTTTCCAAGTATGTGGCAGAGTTTTTAAAATTTCACTGAGTCAGTAGTCAGAATTACAATAGACTTTGTGAATGTAGAAGAGGCAAAGCCACAGATCTGGGGGGGCTTGTAAGCGAGGCGGTATTCTTCAAAACTTACCAAGGTGGAACCTTTCTCACTTGTAAGGCTGAAAAAATAAAGAATAACTACGGAAACCTTATATCTCTTTAAGCTCTTTCATTCCTAAGAGCTTAAAGTGACACTCTAGACCTACATCTCATTTATTTTCACAACATCCCTGTGGAGTCAGAGGCTAGTTGTTCTTCACTGTTCATGCTGTTCAGAGGGAAGCAATGCCCTGAGAACTCAAATGACTTGCATTCAAGGTCAAAAAGTGAGAAGTTGTAAAGCCAACACTTGAATTCAGGTGTTCTGACTCTTCCCCTAGTAGCTGCTTTAAGATGAATCCATTTGGGAAAGAAATTTAGCTGGGAGAACTAAAAATGTATCATAAATAAACATGATGTCATGATACATGAAGGTTCAGATCTGGAAATGTTTCTTAGTCTGCAGATTAAAAAATGCTTTTGATGAGTCGACAACATTCAGTGCTGTGAACTGTTCTTACTCCATCAAGCCATAGGTACAGAGATCATCATTCTGTATTTAGTTTGGAATGATGCCCCAGAATCAGAGTTGCTAAGTAGCACTAATGATTTCACAGATTTCAGGAAGAATAGGGGACATTGACCATGACACATAACGATTCTTATTACATGGTTGCAGAATAGAATACTTGTTATTACCAATTAAAAAGTGGGGTGAACAAAATCTAAATTCATGGACATGTAGGGTTGGAGCAGAGTCTCCTTAGCCCTAATGGTAGCTTTATGTGAATCAGAAAATGTGCTTTTCTTCCAGGTGGACACAACCTTAAGCCAGGGTACACAGGTTAGTGAGCAAAGCTTTGGCTGGATTCAGCTTTGTTTATTCATCTCCTCACATGGATGGTCTTTGTGGCCATCTAAGATAGAAAAACACCCTTCAAAGTCGCCTAACTCACTTTCTCACATTCAGGTAATATAATATCATGTCTACCTCGCAATATAAATTAGTTCACTTTTTAAAAACTCTTGGCAAAAATATTTTCACAACTGCATCATATTGCTTCTCATAATACTTTGAACTCCTTGATGTTAGCATGTGTTGAGGAGGAGGAGAAATAGATGCAACTATAAAATAAAAAATGGTTTGAATATTTTAACTAGCTTTTTACCAGAAAAAAAAAAAAGGACTTAAAAGATACTTGAGGTGACCTTGCCTAAGTTGTCTGAAAATTCCTTCTCTTAAATAAAAAAATATGGGTATGGTTCATCTTTATATGAAGGAAGATATCATGAGTGTCCAATATTGAGAGGAAGCTGACATTTACATGTAATTTCTTAGGAAGTCAACCTTAGGCAGGACACAACTTTCAGCATTGGAAGGC
Organism: Homo sapiens; assembly: GCF_000001405.40. Lineage (NCBI taxonomy): Eukaryota > Metazoa > Chordata > Mammalia > Primates > Hominidae > Homo > Homo sapiens. The sequence continues at coordinate 81,740,015 of NC_000014.9, forward strand.
CAGAGAGAGGGAAAACTTACGTTGTAGTAGGTCCATCTGATACATGCATCCTTGTAAGTAAAGGGATAATTTGTCCTACTTTTCTGAAAATCTAAAATTACCAGCTTTCACTTGGGACCTGAGTTAGTATGATCAATCATAAAACAGATGGGACAAAAAGGAGATTAAAAGAAATAAACTACATTAAAAGTAGACACAGCCAATCTCTTTGATCCCACTTACCTCAAATTAAAGCACTGTATGATGGACAGTGACTTCCTCTCTGAAAAGACAGCAACAATCAGTTTTATATAGATTATGAATTTGCAGCATATTTAAGAAGCTTCACAAGAGGTGCGTTTATAATGTGCTCCCCGTTGAAAGTGAAGAACAGCAGAGGGAAGTGCTGGGATATAGATATGTAACCTGGACAAACTTCAGACAGCCCAATAAAAGAAGAGGGCCTAAATTTTCCATGAATCAGGATTTTAGATAAATGTAGGCCTGAAGATCAAGAACGACTAGCGCCTCCAAAATATAAGTAGTTGTGATAAACAAAACAAAACAGAACAAAAAAACCCTAGTTCCTACAAAAGTTGCTCTCTTTTTTAGACTCTATTATTCTTGTAAGAATATTATTATAAACATGTGGTCATGCAAATGTTTGATGGGTGTATCATAATTCACAGCTTAAGAAAAGGAGGTGGGCAGAAATTAATTGATTTGTTCAAATGGCATTAGCAAACAAAATTTCCAATTTCTGATTTCCATATGTTTCCATAAACTTGACAATTTCTAGAGTTTGCCAAATAAATCCATGAAATACCAATAGGTACTATTTGTTAAGTGGATACAATATACTAAGGTTTGTGTCCCCTCCAAATTAATATGTTAAAACCTCATCATGAATGTGTTGGAACTAATAGGTGGAGCATTTGGGAGGCAATTAGGTCATTAAGGAGGAGTGCTGGTGAATGGAATTAGTGCCCTTATAAAAGAGATTCCAGAGACCTAACTAGTTCCTTTCACCATGTGAGGACACAGCAAGAAGGCACCGTTCATGAACCAGAAAATAAGTCTCACCAGACATCTTAATCTGCTGGTACTTTGACCTTGAACTTCCCAGCCTCCACGACTGTGAGATTTTTCTGTTGTTTATAAGCCACTCAGTTTATGGTATATTGTCATAGCATACTGAACATTCTAAGACATTATGTGAATAATTATTATGTGTATTAATTACTATGCTAAATTCTTTACATAGTATGATGGACTGAATTATGTCCCCAGTAAAATATATATGTTGAAACCCTAGCCTCCAATGTGACTGTTTTTGGAGATAGGGACTTTAGGCAGGTAACTAAGATTGAATGAAGGGCTGGGTGCAGTGGCTCATGCCTGTAATCCCATGCACTTTGGGAGGCTGAAGAGGGTGGATCATCTGAGGTCAGGAGTTCAAGACCAGCCTGGCCAACATGGTGCAACCTCTACTAAAAATACAAAAATTAGCCGGCTGTGGTGGTGAGTGCCTGTAATCCCAACTACTAGGGAGGCTGAGGCAGGAGAATTGCTTGAACCTGGGAGACAGAGGTAGCAGTGAGCTGTGATGTGCCACTGCACTCCACCCTGGGCGACAGAGCAAGACTTTGTCTCCAAAAAAAAAAAAAAAAAAAAAGATTGAATGAGGTCATAGGGGTAGGGCCCTAATCTGATAAGGCTGGTGTCATAGTAAGAGAAAAAGAGACTCCAGAGATCTCTCTCTGTCTGTCCTTGCATGAGCACAGAAGAAGAGCCACATAAGGACACTGCAAGACAGAGGTCCTCTGTAAGCCAGTACAAGAGGCCCCACTAGAAACCAACCCTGATGACACCTTGGTCTTAGACTTCTGCCTTCCAGAACTGTGAGAGTGTATATTTTTGTTGTTTAAATCACCCAGTCTCTGGTGTTTTGTTATGGCAGTCCCAGTAGACAAATATATAATTAGCTCAATTTAGCTTCTTAATGGAAATGTGGTATTATTTTAGAAATTCAATATAGTGACTAGCAGTAAGGCTGTAGATCCCAGTTGCCTGACCTCCAATCCCAGCCCTACCACTTTCTACACATGTGGTCTGGGAAAGTTCTCAATCTCTCTATTCACATGATTTTTTCATCTGCAAAATGAAAGTAATAAGAAGTATCTTTCTTATTGGGTGTGGAGAGGGTTAAATGCATTAATGTTTAGTATGATAGTGACAGGCATAGAGAAAACACTCAATATGAATAAGCTATTTTTATTAGCCCCATTTTCAGATGGAGAAACTGAGGCCTAGGGAGATTAAAGATCAAGATCAAGATTATTCAGCTACTAAGCTATTAATCTGGGAAGTACCATTATTAGAGCCAGATTCCTTATTTTTAGAAACCAAGGCCTTCATCTTTATACTGTGTTGACCTTCAGGCAAAGCAGAATCAAATGAGATATGCAGTTAAATTTTTTTCTAAATAGACTAACAATCTAAACATTTTGCAATTTGCCTGCTTGCATTGCAGAGCCAGAGCTCTAGTGGGGCATTTTGAACCACTTTACCTTGCTAAAATCACCAGGGCTTTGAATGTCAGGCAGGAAGAAATCTATTATTTCTCCCCAACATAATCCCAACTTGCTTTCTCTTGTTTCAGCAGTTCTAGGAAATGTCCAAAATATAGGCTAAGCGCTCTGGTAAGTGCTTAAAGTATATGAGGAAATTTAGCTATAGAAAATGCTACATAAAAACCATGCAGTGGGCACTGAGAATTCCGAGGTAACCTCAGTCTACTAAGTTTATTTTACTTCATTCCATTGGGCAGTGAGACCTAGATGGGTTTGTAAGACATTGAGAGATGTTGGTCTTTTGGCAGCTTATTTGTCTCTATGGTAAGTACTGCATACTGGGAACAATTAGGAAATTCCTCCCATCTTTGTCTCAGGTAAACCATTATCTCTGCCCACTTGGTTGGATTTCTGTTGGCTCTGGCCTTGGTTCTCTGGTTGCTTATGGTATGATTTGTAAGACATGACTCACCTTCTGGAAAGCTAGAGGCCACATCACTGTCAACTATTGAATATACTCTTGACCTGAGACCATGATGCATGTTAAATGCTCTTTGGTGTGGCCAGAGGGAGAGGAATTTAATTGCTTTGGCTTATGATGGGCCATCTTCTCTTTGCTCTTGATGTTTTGCCAGAGGCGCTCAGTTGATCTTCCATGATCTCGTCTCTGTACACAGTTGGTCCTCCAACTCCTACTTCTCTTCATAGTATATCTTTGTGTTTCCATCATTTAGCACATAATAATTATTTGCTGTACTTCGAGGTCATTGAAGGTAGGAAGTATATATATATATTGCTATATATATTCATATATATGTACACACACATATATTAGTCTAGATGCTATGGGCTATGCTGGGCATTGGAGATAGTTTCAAGGCACTCAAAATGTATTTCCTGAATGAATGCACCAGTGAAGGGATTAATGGGTTCTACTCAGTTGCTGTTGAATAAAGAGGACCTAGCAATATACATTTCCATGTTATAGGATATTGGAAGATAAAGGATTGAATAGATATTTATATATGTGCACTTCTTTGAAACATGGCCAGAAGTCAATATCTTCTCAGGCCAAATGGCAATACTTAAGAACTGGATAACTTTCAAATTTGTAGGTGCTGGAAGATACTAAGTATGTTGGCTTAGTGGAAATTCTCCAGCTTCTTCAATTGTCAGAACTAAATGCTATTCTGAGAAGGAGCTCTGATGTCCCCATGGTAACAGGGCCCCATTAAAGGCATGACATCACAAAGCTGTCCTTGTTTGAAGACACTTGGGAATTTCAGGTATAAACGGAAATACTGTTAAAGGCAAATTATACATACATATTCTGTGTAATTATGTGCACATGTATAGATATGTCTAATTTAGCCACATCTCTCATTTAGTTTTGTTTATCATTAGGCTTTTTAGTGACTTAAATCTCAGATGTGGATATAGCTCCAGGTGCTTAAATAAAAGCTCATTTAAATTTTGGAGTAAATATCAATTCCTTTGCTTATTTACTTATTATTACTCTTAACACAGTGAAGAGAATGTTGATTCTTAACATAACCTCTGAAATGGACACATATACTGTCTGTATGCAAAATCACCCAGCACCTTTGCTGGCCATTCATAGCCTGGGCCAGTACTAGCAGCATGCCCGAAGGAGGGTATTTTAGAGTTAAGAATTGTCCAGACAACTTGGGCAAGGTCACTCAAATACCTTTTTTTTTTTTTTTTTTTTTTTTGAGATAGGGTCTCACTCTGTCATCCAGGCTGGAGTGCAGTGGCATGATCTCGGCTCAGTGCAATCTCTGCCTCCCGAGCTCAAGCGATTCTCATGCCTCAGCCTCCCGAGTAGCTGGGAATACAGGCGTGCACCACCATGCCCGGCTAATTTTTATATTTTTAGTAGAGCTGGGGTTTCACCATGTTGGCCAGGCTGGCCTCAAACTCCTGACCTCAGGAGGCCCGCCTCGGCCTCCCAAAGTGCTGGGATTACAGGCATGTACCTCAAGTATCGTTTAAGTCTTTTTTTTTTCTGATAAAAGCTAGTCAAAATATTTAAAAAATTATTTTGTAGCTGCATCTACTTTGCAGTGTCAGAAAAAGAACAGTTTTTTTTTTTTAAAAGAAAGAAAACATAAGGTCCATGGATTTGGGAAGGGTCTTGATTCCCTCACCAATAGCATTATCCCTTTGCCTAGTTATGGATTCCCTTCCTATCAGAGACAATGCTTTTAATGGTTCCATTTTTATGTTATACAGTGCAGCCAGGAAAGATGTTAGGCAGACTGGATTAGCTCTGAAAATGCAGAAAAATATGACAAGGTGAAAGCCTAGCCATGAAGCTGGTTAGCTCATAAATGATAAAAACTTGACAGAACTTGTAAGAAGAAAATGTGAACAATTTGCATAAGTGTGTTGTAGGAACAAGTGTGTCTAAGTGTTTATGCTGGCTAAAGAGATGCTCTGAGCTGGAGTATTTGCCAAGGTGACTCTTCTCTCTATGGTGCTTTTTTAAAGGTTCTTGCTGTAGTTCCCCCCACCGGCCCCACTCTCATCCTCCCACTGGCCCAGCAAATTCTTCGGAATTGTTAAAGATATGAAGCTGAATGTTTTTGGCTTTGCTTATGACATTGAGCCACACTAAATTTTTCTGAATGAAAGTCTAATGCTGTTTTTCTAAATAATATCTATGTATTGTTCCTTCATTGACATTCATATAAGGAAAAATGTTTTACATTTTCTATATTTCAAATGACTCCAGAGAAGTGGGCTCCGCGAGGATTTTCCTGAGGGCTAGCGTGAACAAAATACCTGAGGATCAAAAATCACTTTCTCTATATCTCTCAAATCCCATGCAATTATAAGTAAATTTCTGTTTCTTCCCAGTGGAAAAAAGTTCAAATAGGAAGCTAAAGCTGGGAGGAAACTTAGAAAACATGTTGTTCAATGCCCTCATTTTCTAAAATGAAGAAATGAAGCCAGAAGAAGAAACTAAGCCATGATATGAATTTGTGGCAGAACCAGAGCAGGAAAATAGGAATCCCAGCTACAAATTTATTGCTAGCATGAGGGAATATCTATATCTATATATGTATACATGTAATATATGCATATGTATGCATACAATATATGATACATATATCCCCGCATGTTCAGAATGAACTAACTGTACATATATATGTGAGTTCACGTATATGTGAATATAGCTTAAATTCTAATTTAATCTAACCTCCCTTACTACTCAAAATGTGATCTGGGGACCAGCAGTATTGCTGCCACCAGGAGCTTGTTAGAAATGCAGAATCTCAGGCTGTACCCCAGACCTACTAAATCAGAACCTGCATCCTAATAGGATCCCCAGGAGATCCACATGTATTAAATTTAAAAAGCACTGTTCTAACAATTCCTGATTTTTATGTTAATAAAGTATAGTTATTGAGAGTCCCCCAAATAATCCAAACTTTCATTTTATGTGTTGATTTTGCATCTATCTTTTCTCTCCTTCACTAAATTTTACAGGCACTTTAAACTACTACAAAATGAAATGATATTGAAATTTGTCACTTCCATTCCATCCTTGCCTTTTAGTAGAAAGGGTTATCTTCAGTTCAGATTTTGCCTCCTCCTATTTAAATAATTGTTAATAGTATTGCATGTTTGTTCTTCTCTCAAAAGTGTGCTAAGTACATTGTACCCATTATCTCATTTAATCCATGCAACAATTAATGAGGTAATAATGATCACAGTCTCCATTTTACATAAGAGAAGACTGAGGTTGGAAGAGATCAGCTGACAGCTACAATGTGTCAGAGCCTGGACTCGAACCTTGATTTAACTTAGTCCAGAGTATGAACAATAACTACAATATTTATTGCTTCTGTAGTCCAAAATTCTAATTTTTTAATTTTTTCCAACATTTATGCCTCTAAAAAATTTAGTTATCTTACCAAGTAAAAATTAGACATCAAATTTAGCACAGTTCTGAGTGCCTAGTGGCTACTTGAGCAATATTTGTCAGATAAATGTGTGAATAAATGAAAGACCCAAGTCTCTCTGAGAAGAAAGCACATGGTCTCTTCATAACACCAGGAGAAAGAAGAGATGTCCATCAGAACAGACGTTTCCCATTTGGGGGTTGTGTTCACTTGTTGTCTCTAATCCTTCCACCCCCTTTCTGCTTTTCCTTACCTCTGACCTATATGTTACTGCAATACCCTGTAGTTCTACTAAATTTTCAGGTTTTACTCTCCTATTGTAGAAAGTAGCCTGCCTGGGGGACTAAGGCCAAATCTAGTGACATCCTTCCTTGGAATCCCTGAACTACTATTTTAGGGATTCTCAGAAAACCCTCTGAAGTCTGAATCCTCTTTCATCTCCTGGGAATTTTACAGCTAGAGCATCAGGCTTTAAGGCTTTGAGACCTTTGCACTCTAGTGTCAGTAAAAAGATCAAGAACCAATCTCCGGGGAGGGAATAAAAACATAGGGACCCTGAATGCATAGGGCCTGAGAGGGATGGGGGATGAGGAGAAACCAGGGCTGAACCATTTCAGAGTCATTCCATGAGGACTGATGATAAGTGCAGGGCTGGCTTTGACAGGGTAGAAGGTGGCAGGAGTCAGGGCAGTGCCGGGAAAGCCCTGAGTACCCAACTCTATAGCTGCCACTTTCCAAGGATGTGGTACAGGAAGACAAGGATCACACCTCTCTGAGCATTACTTCTTAATCTAAAAAGCAATGGGCTAGGGTGTTTTCAGTTCCTTTTGTTTGGGAAGGTGTTTGTTTGTTTGTTTTTGGTAAAGGAGCAAGACGCATTCTGGAGACAACTTCCCTGGGGCCAAGTTAGCTGTGTACAGCTCGATTTGGTCTGTGGTCTCTCCTCTGGCCTGGCCTTTTACCCTCATCAGTGGTTCTCTTGATTCTGGCGAACAGTCTCAGCACCCTATGATGCCCATTGCACCAGCTGATTTTCAGATGTTGAAAGGCACTGCAGTATGTATGTTTCCACCTCCTGGGGAAACAAGAGAACAGGTACACCTAGCCTAAAGGGATGTTTCAAGATTTGCTAAAGGACTTTTTTTTTAAACTTCTGAGCTGACAATGGTGATCTGAATGTCAACCATTATTTTACTATTTTATTTTGTAAATGATTAATATATTAAAGAGTCCTTGCCACATATGCACTCATTGATTCCGTGTGTGTGTGTGTGTGTGTGTATGTGTTTGATTTGATTTAGTTTCCAGAGTGGAAAAAAACCTGTTTGCTTACAAATTTATAGTCCTTCAGCAAGGAATATATGAGAAATTGATTTAGGTATCCTCATTCATTCAACCCAGATATGTGGAGCATCAGCCATGTGTAGATATTATGCAGGAGTTAGAGATAAAGATAAACAAAAAATACAGCCTCTGGTTTTAAGGAACTCCTACTACAGTGGAGAAGAGATAGATATGCAAACAGGTAATTGTAATACAAAGTCAGAAATCATATAGAGGAGATGGCAATAGAGTGTTGTGGGAACACGCAGGAGGGTGGAGCAGGCTCTGGGAAATTAGCTGAAGTTTCATGGAGGACATGCTATCTGCAGATGGTGAAGCTGCAAAAGTGGAATTGTACATTATTTCTCTAACCTTGAGATGACCTTTGATTGCATAAGGGCTTAGTAATGAATCTTTCTCCTTCTCTGTGCTCTCTCTGTTCAGCAAACAATTACAATTAGCTGAAATGAATCAAAGTAAATTGTGTAGGGTTAAAAGTAAATGCTACCCTTTGTCAACATAGGTTGGCTCCTGGAAGCTGCAGAGAGCACTCCATTTTATAGTTTTTGTGATTAAAGTTTTCTCCAGCAGTCCCTTTACTGGAAATAGGTAAACAAAGCAAGTGGGCTAGCATGCAACATCACAGATCCTAGTATTTCATTCTTCCCTGCTTCTGGCGGACTTAGCAAGATGTCATCTGCCCAGCGCACAAGGAAAATAAAATTGCTTGTATGAGGCCCTGGTTACAGTGAAGAAGAGAGGAAGAAGGAGGAATTCAATCTTTGGCTTAGAAAAATCTAATTCTCTCAAGGTATATTGAAGTTTGCAAGGCAGTTATCTTTCTGAGCAGCTAGATGCTACCTGGAAATGTAGCTTCTAATAGCCTTGGTGAGATTAAGTGAAGTTTCTGCAACTGTGGTCATCGCACACAGGTCACAAAGGTTTTGATGCCTTTCTCCCATTCCCCGCAACCCGAGTCAGCTGTACTTGTGGTCTCTTCCAGGCTCCTCTACCCCATGAGTTCCACCTCTTCCCCGCTTCCCCCAATCCACTGACACTCTCCATAGCAGGAAGGAGAAATAAATGGCTAGACAGCTTTGAAGCATCAGTTTAATAGAAATTGATGGAAGTGATTCAAGAGGGCCACCATTCTATTATTCTTGCTGCAAGAAAGGTTATCAGGGCTTGACAGAGCCATACTCTCTTTCTGAAGTATTTTGTGACTGAGGAGTCATGATGTTTACTGGACTTGCAAGGGAATTGGGACAGAAGGGAATTGTAAAGGAAATTGAACTGTAATTGATATAAGGTCAGTCACAAGATGGTGGGAGGGAATAGAGCTATGGGATGGTTTTTGGATGGAGTGGGAAATTACTGCTCCAAAGTTGGCATGAAGACCCTTTGTTGTAAAAAGTGTAATTTGAGAAGTCAATTTGTGGGTCTAGTTTCATGATAGAGAATGTAGTCTTTCAAACTGAAATATATATTGGTAAATATGCAAACAGACTTGGTGGCACTATCTTATGTCTAATATTCTTTGCATGTAAGTTAATCTCTGAAGAAATTTAGGCTTCCTAGACAAAAGGCACTTTAGCAGCCACCGCCTGGAATTCTGTATAATTGTATTTGGATTTTGATTTAAATTTAGTGTTTCTTCTTTTGTTTTTACTTATTTCCTTCCTTTCGTCCTCTCTTCCTCACTTCCTCCCTCTTTCTCTCCTACGTCTATGTTTCTTTCTTATTTACTTATAACTTCAGTTGCCCTTTCCAACCATACAGAAGGGATAATGTTTTATAAGTATACCCCCAAAGTCCTTGCCTATACCACAATTCAGGCTGAGAAGTGACCTTCCTGAAAAATGAGATACCCGCAGACTCACAAGTAGCATAGCTTTTCTTTTTTGATCATTTGCAAAACAGGCATAAACTTATTATTACCTAATGATTCTTGTAATTCTCAATGAAAGAAACCAAGTTAAACTGCATAAGAAAGACAAAGGGAGAACTATTGGCTTACAAAAATGGGAAGTTCAAAGATAGCTCTGAGGTTCCCTCTGCTAGAGGGAAGGTCTCCAAGTATACTGTTGGGGCTGTCTCTGCCATCGTCTCTAGACTCTGTTTCTGTTTGTGTTCTTCATGATGATAGGCTGATGGCAGCGTTAAGCTCATATCCCACAGTAAAGAGTCAAAAAGAAGGGTTCTTTTTCTGAGTTTTAGGTAGTATTCTTTTGGAAGGAAACTGACATGCTCTGACTGGCTAATGTGCCCACGGTGGCTTAGGGAGTGGAGGACAGTGATAGGTCAGGTCTTTATTCCACTCTTACAGCCAGTGAACAGGTGGGCATTGTGATGAACAGTCTTGCTGGAATCAAATGGAATAGGAAAGAGACAGTGCCCAAAAGGAAAGAGCAGACTAAAAAGACAAATATAGCAGATGTCTACTATTTTACTCTCCTGGTAGTCTCTCTTTTACATGGCTTTCACTCTGGGGAAGGATGACATTCTCTTGGTAGGAATATGCTTTGGTTCTTCTCTTTAGAAATCCAAAGTCTTATATAGACTCTGACCTCAACTTACCTTTTTGCCTTTATTTTCTTTTATTCCTAGAGTCATATCTAGGCTCCAGCCAAACATGATCAGTCATTATTCTCTGAATATTTCCTTTTCCATGGCTTTGTTTTGAGGACTCTAGGTTGTCAGACTAGGGTGCTTTCACAAATTAAAGAATAGAATTTTTAAAAACTTCTATTTTTTTATTTCTGAAATTGTACCAAGGGTTAGAATTTTTTTCAAGATGCAATAACCCTGACTGGCATTTGAATAATGTCATTTTTTTCTGGTTCTTTTGTTGCTCTTCCAGCAAATTAAAGACTGTTGTGTTATATACCGCATTGTCCTAATTTGTTATATGTCTCTCTAATTAATTTTTTTCATATTTCTTTTTAGAAATATTTTTATATCTTTTTTCTTTCATTGTAAGTATTCTGAACAATAGCAAAATACATAAAAGACGTAAATTATTGTGTTGTCAGAGGAGACTGAAATAGAGATAGTGCCCATGAATGTCTAAGAACAAAATCAGGCCCTAGATAAGAAAATCCCCCCCAAATCTTCTGTAGCATTTTGGCTAATAGTGCCTGTTTTTCATTTTTGAGTGTGGATTGCCACTGTGACAGATGCAACAAAAGAGGTAGGAAATTCAATAAATATATTGCAAAATTAGGATCTGGGGGAACTCCTTGGAAAGTTTGCTTTTTTTGAGTTTTTCAAGCAATGTGAAAATGGGAATATCTTCATTTCCTGTATTGTATTCTTAGATCTTTAATAACCACAATAGTATGGGGGCAGGGAAAACATTTTGCAGTTTTAGCTTATTAACTAGTACCTTCTTTGGTTTCTAATACCCTCTTTCTCTTATTTCCCACGCTGCAGTCTTTAGTCCTTCAAGATTCAATTTGTGCTTGGCAGTCTTAGTGAAGCTATCTCTGATAGCCTGGGCTGAAAATACTGTTTCTGTCTGTCATCCTCTAAAACAGTTGTTCACAAACTGTGGTCACTGTGTCAGCAGCATCAGTAACACCTGGGTACTTGTTAGAGCTGCAAATTCTTGGGCCTTGCTCCAGACCTACTGAATCAGAAACTCTGGCGGTGGGGCTTGGCAATCTGTGGTTTAACAAGTCCTCCAGGTGATTCTGATGCACACTAAAATCCAAGTACCCCAACTCTAAAAGTTAGCATTCTGCCTCATATTTACATGGGGAAAGTATTATATTTGCCATAGTAGATAACATGCTACTGGGAGGAGCTTTATGTCCTATTGCTTTTTTAGGCCCGTGTAAAATGTAGAGGACATTGCAAACTGAAAGTTTGTAGACGAGCGGGCATAATAGGTTGTAGGGCTTACATAAGAAAGAGATAAGGGATCAGGATCCTAATCCAGTTTCTCAATTTTCCAAATTGCCTTCTTCTTTGACTGAATGGACTGGATAATTATTAAATTCCTATTAAACTTTATGGCCAAATCCCTATTTTGCTTTATGTGGTGTCTGCCTGAACACAGAATAGATGTGCTCTCACACTGTAGGCACTAGATATACATTCGTTGATGATAATCTGCTCCATTTTTGTATTCTAGCAATTGCAGTACTATTGTTTAGAGCTTTTGTGGAGTCTGCTGGTCAAGTTTAAGTAAAGGGCAAATCTCCTTTAATTTAAATATATAGAACAGTCTATTAAACATTTTTGTTCTTCAGAAGACACTGTTCCGTTCCATCAAAATAGACTTTCACTCATTACAGGTGTTGCCGTAAGTCTACTGAGCTCTCTGGGTGTCTAACCTTGCCTTCTTGTCATCAGCTATTAAAACTACTAAAACAGAAGAATGCTTAACCACTACAGCTGTTAAAACATTAGTACGTGCTTTGGTAAGTGCAAATTTAAATACTTTGAATGGCCCCTTTAGGGGATCTTCCTTCTCTTTTTTAACTTACAATTCCATCAAAATTCAGCCATAATGTTACCTTTTTCACTCCCTGAATGTACTCATATTTCTCCACTATTCCCAGAAAAGGTTCAGTTAGCCATTGGTCTAAGGAATAGTGTTTAAGCTGTTAGTTTCTTATTTAAAATTCATCAGCCAAAACTTCAGTGACTTATTGGCATTGCCTTCTGTCTTTGACTCCAAGCTTTTATTACCCTAAAATTTCAAATGATGCTTATAGAATGGGTCAGGATAAGACTAGCAAAAAGGGAATCAAAGGGGATTGTTTTTCATCTTACCTGTCTTATAGAACTATAGTGCAATATCTAGCTCACAACCTATTTCTGATTCTTGAATTCTACATTTATCCCTGTTTCTCTCTTCTTATTTTAAATTCACATTCTGTCTTATACAAATGTTGGCTTCTTGTACATTGTCTACTAAATTTTATAGGATTTTCTTCTAAACTCTCTGGTTTGCTAATTCTTCTATATTTTCTCAATTAATTTGGGCTTAAAGGAATATATCAAATGTTACCAAATTTTATAACTCAGTTTCTTACCTTTCTATACAGCTCTAGATCACTATTTTAACTATAATCCACTTGGTTAACTAAGAACTTGCTACTGAAAATGTGGTCTGTGTAGCGGTATCACTGACATCATCCCAGAAATGTTGTTAGAAACGTTGACCCCTGAGCCCACCGAAGACTTAACTGAATCAGAACCTGAATTTTAAAATTTGAAAAAAACAGTTCTAATGGGCACCTTCCAATTAATGAAGCCTAGACAGAATTTTTGACTTTGTTCTCCATCCAGTTCCCCACCGGGTGTCCTCCCTTCCTTTTCCCCATCTCCCGCTGTCCCAGCCCCATTTCTTTCTTTCCTTCACTCCTCTCATACAATCTATTGAAAAGTCTTATGATATCTACCTGCAACGTACATTGCAAATGCATCCATTTGTATCATTCTTCATGATAACCACTTTCTATCACTGTATGGTATTCACTATATATGGTCACTCATCATGAATTAAAGTTATATTTCTACAATTGTCTTTCGTCTTCAGTGCCTCCCTTCCTCTCGTCCCAACTAAAACGTAAAATCCTTCAGAGCAGGATCTTGTCTGCCTTGTTCACCTCTGTATCTCTAGTAAATAGAATGATAAATGGTGTGGAGAAAATGGCCAAAAAACATTAATTGAATTACTAAATGAATTGTGAGGGTTTTCACTTTCTCAAACAACATCAATCACAAGTTAGATGCTCCATGATAGTACAGATAGTTGAATTGGGACTCAACAGTGGCTTCTCTCTGGGTCTCATATTCTGATATGGAGAAATGATTCCACATTGAAAAGGGCATTTCCATTATGAGAAAACAAACAAGTAAATTAATAATCAATACAGAGGATAAAAAGATTTGGGTCATATCCATATTTAGTAATGCACCAACTGTGTGACTTGAGATGTTATTTAAGTTTGGGTTTCAGTTTCCTCATCTATAAAAGGAAGACATTGCACTACATGCAGGCTGTTTACCATGTGTCATCCTGACCAAAGGTATTCTATGGTAAATGTTTTACCTACCCATCTCCCCCATTTTTCAAAACTTTTCTGACATACGTCAATGAGTAGGTCATTTGTGCTCATGTGTTATTGCTATCAGGGGTCATGTTAGCAGCTTTGAATCAATTATAATTTTTAATTGAAGCTGAATGTATTTAATTATATAATTTTGAGCTGTCCAGTTTTAATTCCACCAAAATTACCTCAAGAAACTGGGACACTATGAAAGATGACTGACAAAGAGAAAAAATAGCATGACTAAAGCTTTTATATGCACGAACTCATATGTTATGTCCTATTTTTGTTATGTGTGCTAGGGGTGAGATTATTTATTAATCTTATCAACAAAATAAGCTTAGTGTAGCCCACGTACACAAAGATTACTGATCATCTAGCCTACAGTTTAAAAAACAATAAATTTTGAAGCCTTTAGACTGAAGATTCTCTAGGATCTCTCTTTTGAAACACATAAACATGTACATACATAAACATACAAATTGCTTTCAACGGTTTATGGAATATCTTATAGCAAATTAAAGATGAGTATGTTTGTCATTCAATTATGAAAGATGTTGATATAAATAAATTTATTCATATATTTCAAAAAGTATGTAGGGCTTCCAGCCAAGGTAAAGAAACAGAGACCACATTTACTGTCTTCCCTATAATAGAAAAAACCCAGAAAATTTATGAAATGACTGTTTTTTTAGACATTGGACAACAAAGAACAGTGACCTCTGAGACATAGGATACAAGATGAGCCCTAAAAGTGCCCAAGATTACTACCTGTTGAAAGCTTCAGGCTGTAGCTCAGGGAAGGGGAGACTGACTAAGCACAATATCCTCCCAGAGTTGAGATGGAGCTGGGAGTCTGGGGAGACTAAGGCAGCTGGAACAATGGAAAGGGGAGAGCTGCAGAGAAAGGAGCTTTGGAGATCCAAAAAAGACCCTATCGAGTCTTCATCTGAATATTGAGCAGTGTATGTATGAGGAAACTAGTCAAGACTGGGAAAATAACCATCCAAAACGATTAGCAGGAAGCATGCTGAGAACTGACACAGGACCAGAAATAGTTCCTGCCCCATTAGCCAAAGCAGAAAACTTCATAATTCATGGTACATTGGACAGAATACTCAGAAGAGTTTTGCTTCAATGGTGGGTTAAAATCAGACCTAGCCCTACATGCTGCAATGTTACTGCATAACAAAGCTTAAAAGTGGGCCAGAAAGTTGATTCTCTGTAACCTAACTTTGTCCCAGAACAAAGCTCAAGAATATGTACAGGAATACCAAAGTCTCCAGGACTCATTGAAATAAAATTCACAATGTCTGGCATTCAATAGAAAATAATTAAGCATGTGAAGAAGTAAGGATATACAATCCATAACCCAAAATGTCACAGAAGACTGAATTAGTAGATAAGAATATTAAAACATATATTTATTTTTTCAAAATAAATTTTATTGTGTATATTTGAGGCTTAAAACATGACGTTATAGGATACATATAGATAGTAAAATCTTATTAAAGTGAAGCTGACTGATACATCTATCATCTCACATAATTCCTTTCTTCTTGTGACAAGTGCAGCTAAATTCTACTTACTTAACAGAAATCCCTAATGCAATATAATTTTATTAACGTTAGTCCTCATGTTGTACACTTGATCTCTAAACTTGTTCATCCTACATATCTGCCATTTTGTATCCTTTAGCATACAGTATTTCATATTTTCAAGGACTTAGAGGTAAGATTGTAGATGTTAAGTAGGAATATAGAAGATATAAAAAGATCCAAATTAAACTTCTGGTCATGCAAACTATAATGTCTGAGATAAAAAAAAAAAAAAAAAGAAAACTGCCCTGGATGTGACTAACATCAGATTAGGCATTGTAGAAGAAAACATAAGTAAATTTAAAGATTTAGCAATAAACACTATCCAAAATGAAATACATAAAAGGCAAAAAAAATGAAAAATTCAAGATAACTTGAAGTTGTTTAATGTATGTGTAACTGAAATCCTCAAAAGAAGAAAGAAAGAATTGAGACAGACAATTTTTAAATAAATAATTGTGGAGGAATTGAATGTGGACACAAACAACGGTCATCAAGTCCTGGAACAGGTAGCCACTTGAAGCATTTATCTGGCACTGTTTCGGAGAAATCTTTATTTCAATCTATTCCTGTGTGTTAGTTATTGAAAAACAACAGACAGTCGCAAAACAAGCTGATCTTTTTGTGTTCTTTGAGCCCAGTCATGAAGGGCCCTAGTGACTGGGCCTCACACCAAGCAAATAGTTACAAAAGAGCTAGGGTCCCAGACTACACCAAAGCTTCATGAGACCTCTCCTCATCTGTGCATGGACGGGCAGCTGACTCTGGAGCCCAAGCTGTTGCTTCCTGGTCTGGTGATGCTTCCTCCATAGTCTGGTGCATATATATATATATATTATATATATATATACATATATATATATATATACACATATATATATATATATATGTATATAATATGTATATATATGTATTTTTTCTTCTCCCTTTCCCACTGTGATTTGCTTATTATATCTGTATTGACATATACTTGGGATAAAGGCTGTTTACCCTCATACATTTCCAGCACAGAACAATAATGTCTGTTAATTTTTAGAATTTGAGGAAAACTTTAAACCCACAGATGCAGGAAGTTCAAAGTATAAGAAACCCTAAATACATCATAATTAATTATTTAATGATTTTCCAGAAAAGAAAAATCAGACGCTGGAGTCCTAGAACATTATTGAACCTACAAGTGGTTTGGAGACTCCTGACACAATAAATCTCAAAAATACTATGCTGAGTGACAAAAGCTAGACCACCCCTCCCCACTAAAAGAGTACATACTATATGTTTCCATAAGTATAACATTCTAAAGAATAAAAACTATAATGACAGAAATAAAATAATTTGTTTCTTGAGATGCAATGTAGGGGAGCGATGGTGAGAACAGAAGGAAAGAAGTAGAGAAAAAGACACAAGGTAACTTTTTGGGGGTGATGAGTGTGTTCATTTTTCTAATTGTGGAGATGGTTTAATGAGCCTATGCATATGTTGAAACTCATAAAATTGTGCAACTTAAATATGTGTAGTTTATTATAGGTCAGTTATACCTGAATAAAGCATTTCCTTTAAGCAAAAGTATATGGTACTTCCTATGTGTTGGTTAACATGTTAAGCACTTTATGTGGAGTGTGTCATTTTGTCTTTATAAAACCTTGTGAGATAAACACTATTATTATTCTCAGGAAGCTTAATGATATTGTTTGGCTTTGTGTCCCCACTCAAATCTCATCTTGAATTGTAATCCCTAGGTATTGAGGGAGGAACCTGGTGGGAGGTGATTGAATCATGGGGGCAGTTTCCTCCATGCTCTTCTCATGATAGTGAGTGAGTTCTCACAAGATCTGATGGTTTTGTAAGTGTTTGGCAAGTTCCTTCTTCACTTGTTTTTTTTTCCTGCTGACTTGTGAAGATATGCCTGCTTTCCCTTTGCCTTCCGCTATGATTGTAAGCTTCCTGAGGCCTCCCCAGCCATGCGGAACTGCGAGTCAATTAAACCTCTTCCCTTTATAAATCACCCAGTCTTGGGTATTTTTTTATGGCAATGTGTAAACAGACTGATAAACTGAGTCTTGGCTAAGCAAAGTTACTAACCAAAGCACACAAAGTCAGAGAAAATGTCTAGACCTCAACTCAAGTCTTGCAGAATTCCAAAACATCTTCCCCATCCACTATTTTACATTCTAGGGTTAAATAACTGAGAAATTATTTTTGGTAATTATTTAAAAATTTCTCTTCTATGAAAGATCTTCCATTAGCATTTCAGTTTGGGGATTATAGGACATTATTAGTTTCCATTCATATTCTCTAACTCTTCGGCTTTTTCAACGTTAACTGCCCTGCCATGATGGCCTTGGGCCTTTGGGCCGACAGAGGCCAGTGGGTTCTGTTTCACAATTGCTTACACTGACTCCTGCCTGTACTTTATTCAAGGTTTCCTACTCTCCTCTCCTGCTCCTTCTCTCCTTGATTCTATGCTTCAGGCCCCAATTTTTGGTTTAGATTTTCTATTGAATTATTGCCTCATTAGGTCTCATTTTCCCAGAAAACTGTCTTTGGCCCTCTCCACCTTATATTTTGACTATTGATTCCATGGGATTCTTGGCGGTGACAGCACACAATGCTCTGGGCAGGAGACCCTGTTTCCACCAACCTAGGCCATGCACAAATCCCATGGCTCAAATATCTCCAGAGAACAAAAGTCAGATACTGGAGTCAGTGAACCAGATAAACTTTCAGAGATTAAACAAATTTGTTTTAAAAAAGAGTGTCTGCTATTGTGTATTGCTGTTCGGAGCTGTGCTGTACATCATCTGCTATTGTTACATTTGTTATATCAATCAATCAGAGGCAGTTATGAAACTGCCATCTCCATCCTTTTCATTTAGCAAGGCTCTCTAATTCTGCAACTATTAATAACCTTTTTATTCCTCTTAGTGTATCATCCTTCTTTTCTCTGCTGCTTTTTTGCAACTTTTTTGCTGGTACTGACTTGGCTTATGAGACAGTTGCATGCAGAGGATGTTAAGAAATTAAAAAAGGCCGGGCACGGTGGCTCTCGCCTGTAATCCCAGCACTTTGGGAGTCTGAGGTGGGCGGATCACAATGTCAAGAGATTGAGACCATCCTGGCCAACATGGTGAAACTCCGTCTCCACTAAAATTACAAAAATTAGCTGGGCATGGTGGCGCGTGTTTGTAGTCCCAGCTACTCGGGAGGCTGAGGCAGGAGAATCGCTTGAACCCAGGAGGCGGAGGTTGCAGTGAGCTGAGATCGCACCACTGCACTCCAGCCTGGTGACAGAGGGAGACTCCGTCTCAAAAAAAAAAAAAAAAAAAAAATTCAACAGTATTGGTTGCACCAGCTTGAAGTAATAGAGAATTATTTTCATAGTGGTGCCTAGTATGTACGTGACACCATCAATTATGTAAAGTATTTTTAGATGGAGAAAAAAAGATAATTTTCTTAAGGTCTGGATCTGAATATGATCATTGGATTGTATAACAAATAATTTCACTGGTAGAGGAGAGTTGGGTGATTTCACCAAAAATTTCATGTCATGTCATAAACTTGCAGTCTGGCCAAGAAGCAGAGAGTTCACATTTATCTTTCTCATATCTAGTATACTAAGGAATAATAATGAAAATAAATGTTTGCTTCAGTAGCATGTGGGATTTTGAATTGGCACCTAAAATTCTGCTTCAAAAAGCTTCATTTCTGTGGAGTCAGAGATTTTAGAGATGAAAGCCAAATGCTAAGTGTGTGCTTACACCTGGGCTGTAAGTCTCTCTGCCCAGTGTTTTGCTTTCACTTATCAAATGCTATGTAGGAAGAGAGGGATGCAACTTCATGGCAGCTGATAGGAAAGAGGAAAAATTGAATATCTAGAATTACAACTGTCCATCTTGATTCTTTTGTTTATAAGCCATTAGACATTGGATGAAGTCCTTAACCTTTATAATTTTGTTTCTTTATAAAATAGTGGTATAATACGAGCGGGCTTCAAAAAGATCATGGGAATGTGTATTATGAATGGATTTCAAAAATTTTTTTCATTCAAATAAACTCATGCTAACATCTTATAACACGTCTGAGCAGAATCTAGTTTGAAACACTCAGAAGGATAAGGCATCAGTTTGAAAAGAGCCCCTCTAAGTGTAATGTGAATTCTGCTAAATATTTTTATTTATTTATTTTTTAAGACAAGTTCTTGCTGTGTCATGCAGGCTGGAGTGCAATGGTGTGACTATGGCTCACTGCAGCCTCAAACTCCCAGGCTTAAGTAATCCTCCCACCTCAGTCTCCTGAGTAGCTGGGACTACAGATGCATGCTACCATGCCTGGCTATTTTTTTTATTTTTTGTAGAGAAGAGGTCTCACTATTTTGCCCAGGCTGATCTCAAACTCCTGAGCTCCAGTGACCCTCCTGCCTCGGCCTCCCAAAATGCTGGAATTACAGGCATGAGCTACCACAGCTGGCCAAATTCTGCTAAAATTGAAACAAGAATGAATGTCAAATTTATGGTCAAGCTTGGGTGGAAGAGTGGCAAAATCACTGATGCTATATGAAAAGTTTATGCAGACAATGCCCTAAAGGAATCAGAAGTTTACAAATGAATGATTTGTTCTAAGATGTTCACAGCAGCATACCATCCATATCAATTTTTGAGGAAAAAATTTATCTTTTTCATGTCCAAATTGACGAGGACCAATGATTAACAACATTAACAATAGCCAACACCATAGACATCTCTACTGGTTCGGGTTACACAATTCTGCCAGAAAAATTAAAGTTGGGCAAACTTTCCACTCAATGGGTGCCAAAACTGTTGTGTCCAGATCAACTGCAGACAAGAGCAGAGCTTTCAATTGACATTTTTAAAAAGTAGGGTTAAGATTCTGATGCCTTTCTTCAAAGAATTGTTATAGGAGTTGAAACATGGCTTTACCAGGATAATTCTGAAAACAAAGCACAATCAAAGCAATACCAAGAGGTGGAAGTGGTCCAATCAAAGCAAAAGCAGACGATCTATGAGGAAAGGTTATGGCAACAGTTTTTTTTAGGATGCTCAAGGCATTTTGCTTGCTCACTTTCTGTAGGACCAGAGAATGATAACATCTGCTTATTATGAGGGTGTTTTGAGAAAGTTAGCCAAATCTTTAGCAGAAGAATGCCCAGAAAAACTTCACCAGAGACTCCTTCATTATGACAATACTCCTGTTCATTCTTCTCATCAAGCAAGGGCAATTTTGCAAGAGTTTTGATGGAAAAATCATTAGGCATTCACCTTGCCATCCTGATTTGGCTGCTTCTGACTTCTTTTTGTTTCCTAATCTTACAAAATCTGTGAAAAACTTCCATGTTAATAATGTAAAGAAGACCTCATTGGTTAAATTCCCAGTACCCTCAGTTCTTTAGAGATGGACTAAGTGGCTGGTATGATCATTTATGAAAGTGTCTTGAACTTGATGGAGCCGATGTTAAGAAAGTTTATGTTTACATCTTTCAATTCAATTTTTCATGGAGTTTTTGAAGTTCCCTTGTATTATCTGAAAGATTAAATAAATGAATATATTGCTGAACAGATAATGGGCACTTGATGATCGGTAACTAAAATGACAATCATATTGACCTATCCTGGTGCTTTAAAAAAACAACAACAATCGATTGAATTCCAAAAACACATCCACCATGGAACATGTTTTCTTCCCTACTCACAAAGAAAATGGTTAAAAAGTAGATCTTAGGTTTTTATTCTCTTCTGCCTGATTTACATTTTAGTGATTGCCGCATCACTGATTTTATACTAAATTTAGAGGTGTGACTAAATAATTCTGTTTTGCAGCATAAATTAAAAAATAATATACTTAGAATTGTACTTCTCCTTATTTTTCTCTTACTTCTCCTTATCAACATAAAATACCATTTACTGAACACCTACGCACAGTGCATGGCATACCATTCCTTGCTCTTTCTTAATTTTATTGGCTTTTTCTAAAATGTCTTCTATTAGAGAAAGGAAATAAAATCATTGAAATGTATGACATTTCTTTAAATAAATAGGGATTTATATAACTCTTGAAAAGAGATAATATAAATATGTATTTTAGTAACATTTTTTCACAAACATTGGTGACAGTAGTTTCCTAAAGAGTAACCATATATTCAAAATAATGAGCAAAACTGTTAGATGTTGGAAGAAAGAGGCAACTATTGTTTGTTTTCTAGTTTTTTTGGGTACTCATCAAAATATGATTTTTTTCTCCTTAGTGTATCATCTTGCTTTTCTCCTAAAGGAGAATTTTACCAACTTCCTTAAGAAGTAAAAACAACAATATAAAAATATTATGGCGTGCCTCAAAGTTTGACTGTTTGAAGAGGTAACTAAAGTAGTTTCTGATAAAATAATGGGGGATCAGAAAATGGAGTTTCCTTCTTGTTTGATCAAAAAGATGTTTGGGAGATAATATTTAGCTGAAAATATGGAGAACACTAAATGGAAGTTTTATCCTTTAACACAAAATGTGGAAACAACCCATAACATATTGCTTAATTGTTCTGATTATGTACTCAAAACCAAAATTTCACTTAACCTGGCACTGGGTAATCTATGGTCATGTAAAACTTGCTCAAGTAGACTAACCATGGCAGACTTTCCATATGAGTTTCTTTGGCCTATATTCTCTAAAATCGTGCACCGAAAGGAGAATTGACTATGTCTGCAGGAGATTTTGGCTCTAAAATTGGCTGCCAGTATGTAACTGTGGGAAAATTACCTAGGAAGCAGATCCATTCTCCTGATGATCTGTTAACCAAATAACCAGTTCTGATAGTTTTTAACAACAATGTTAGTCAGCTTAACAGGAATATGAATTAAACTAAGTCTAATATTGTAACTGAGAAAAATGGTCAAGAATTTAAAAAATCATAAGAAGTTCAATTAAAAATGCTATTTTCCAGCCAACATTTTGACTTTTATACATGTTAGAATTGTTTCAGTTACTTCTTTTGGATGTGAATTTGGATGCTTTTGAATGTCATTTTATATTTTTTCAAATTTCAAGCACTTTTAATATTCTGCTGCCAATATCTCAAATGGCATATCAAGTTTCAGTTTGTATCTGTAACAATTTAAAATTTAAATTTAATTCAAAAGCATGTGAAATAATCACAATTTCAAATTAAATTAAATTTTAATTTTAAATTGAGCTTCTATTTTAAGTGGAATTAAATCTTTATTTTAATTTAAGTTCAATTTTTAGTTATTTTGATTAAGGAAAGATTGAATTACATTAACTGTTTAAATTAAATTAAGAATTTAAAATTAAATCTAAAAGCATCTTAAATAAACATAAATTGGAGAAAAATCTCATCAGATGGGAAACACAGAAATTCTATTTGCCAATAAGAGACAATTGGGATAGTTATAAGTTAATTGACATACTGGACATAAAAGGGTTAAAAATTTCAAAGTGTGTAAAGAAAGTGGAGCTGTTCAGAATATTTTATTATAGTAGATTACATGATTAGTACCTCTAATATTCCTTGACTATAAATTAATAAATGCAAAGAATTTTAAAAAATGACTGAAAAATTCCTGAAACTGCTAAAATCTGACAAAACAGAAATAATGTTAAAATGGATCTAGAGATCAACAGAAACTGAGAAATTCCCATTATAAATGTTGACATTTCTGTTTTGCTAGATCGTTTATCGTGAGACACCAAAATTCAACCTTCCTTTTAAGTTCTTAAAATATTCCTGTTTGATTTTTAGTTTTCTCATCACTTAAAGGTATAAAAAGCATTTTCATCAAACCAGGAAACTTAGTAAATAAAACAAATTAGATGTTTAGAAAGTTTGGTTTTGCGGAGTTAATTTTCAGGAAAACATGCTGCCGGTTGCTAACATCTCTAACCATTGGTTTTTGTATCTGTAAAATGAGAATGATGATAACGTTGCCATCTTCCTTCATATCTGACATTGTGAAAATACTGTACCTAATTAATTATCTCATTTAATCCTGACCACCAGCCAGTGAGAAAGGTATAAATGAGGAAATAGATACTCAGAAAAGTGATTTACGAAAAAAGAGACACAGGTAGCAAATGATGGAGCTGAGCTTCAAACCCAAATGGTATCACTCCAGAGATCAGGTCTTTAGGTGTTGGGCTAAGGTCAGGCCATGTTTTTTTTGTTTTGTTTTGTTTTTTTGAGACTTTTTTTTTCTCTGTCGCCCAGGCTGGAGTGCAGTGGTGCAATCTTGGCTCACTGCAAGCTCCGCCTCGTGGGTTCACGCAGTTCTTCTGCCTCAGCCTCCTGAGTAGCTGGGACTACAGGCACGCGCCACCACGCCTGGCTAATTTTTTTTCACCTTGTTAGCCATATGGTCTCAATCTCCTGACCTTGTGATCCACCCGCCTCAGCCTTGTGAGCCACCGCGCCCAGCCTCTTGGTCAGTCCATGTTTTCTGTATTGAATTCCTAATGATACCAATAAGCTAACTTTTTTTAGTTGGATGTGTATATGCACATATATATATATCCATGTGCCTATATGTATATGTGCATGAATGTAAATGTACATATATATACACATATAAAACAGTACTATTAAATTTTCTGGTCATTTTTTTTCTCTTGAGACTAAAAATCTCAAATGTAAGCCCTCTCAAGAGGCTAATATGGCACATGAACACAGACATTTCCTCTGGTGTGTATGTGGACCATGTGAAGATGAGGGAGAGGGAATGGTGGGATGGACGATAGAAGGAAATCATTAATTACAAGGGAAAATGAAACGCCTACCAGTGGACTACTACCCAAAAGCAGGTATGCCTTGAACAAAGTAAGATTGGCATGGATTATTCTGAAATCAAGAGAACTTCTGGGCCATTAGTCCTCATTGCTTCTCATTAGCTTCTGTGGAGTTACATAAACTAGATTTGTCAAAGATGTGTGATGAGCTAGGGCCACAGACATCTCTGTTCTCTCTGTTTGCGGGGAGTTTTCCTTTGCCATCTGCAGTTTACTGCTATGTATATGGTGAACTTACCATGTTCTGAAAATTAACAGAGAATACCTGGCTATTTTTTTCTAGGCTGAAAATCTGATGTAAAATGTTAGCTTGCCCAGTGAAAAAACTCTTTCATCCATCTATCCCTTAAAAATATAATGTATTAGTACTGTGTTTCAGATACTGATAGGCTTCAGGGCTACAAAGATGAAAATGATATAGTCTCTGCCTTTTGGGGTTAATAGTTAATAGGAAAATCAGACAAACAGAAAATTGTAGTATAATCTGATAAGTACAATGTAAAAGATACAAGGTAATAATAATATCTAACGTTTATTGAGCGCTTACTTTGGGTTAGACTGTCCTAGCATTTTGCGGTACTAAGTGGTAGTTACTCTTATTATACTGAATTAAGATGAGAAAACCAAGACACACAGATTTTAAATTACTTGTCAATACAGATAGCAAAGAGATGGACTTACATTTGAATTCAGATAATCTATTACCAAAATCAGGGTACAAGAGACACTTTGCAATATTGCCTCTTGTATCGGAGTATAAATAAAGGCCCTGATAGAAAGCACATTATCATTATGTTCAAGTTAAAATGAAGGTTGGAGATTTGAAATAAATTTCTGCCTTTGGGAAAAGAAATACAAAATTAAAGAAGCATGCCTCAATTCAGACAGTAATGTATAGTGCTTATGAGTCAGACTGGTCAACTGAATCTGGTTCAGCCACTTACTAGTAGCTGTGCGACCAAGAGAAGTTATTTAACCCCTCTAAGCCTTAGTTTGCTCATCTGTAAAATGAGACAATATATAGTATATAGTATATGGTTTGTGAGGATGATTATATGAGATCATATTTGCAAATACTTAGAAAGAGGATTGGAGATTAGAGGGAGTGACCAATAAATATTAATTTTTACTAAATGCAACCAATGAATTTACAAATTATTTCTTTATATCACAGAAACTAGTACCATATCCATTCTGCCTGATTTCTGAGGGCAAGTAAAGTATGTCAGTGGTGAAGTAACTTATAAGGTGGCTAGTGGAGCAAAATGTAGAAGAAAAATACTGCAACCTAAGAAGGAAAATGGTTCTAAGATAAATTCTAAGCTAAATATTAATAAGCTAAACTTCACACTTAATGAAACTTTATACATTTGTATTGGCATACATTACTTAAAAGACAGGGGTTCAGCCAATTATTTCCAAAGTGGCAGAATAAGTTCAGAGAACCCCAAGAATGATAAACAAAAAAGATCTGAATCATACGTATCACAGTCAAACTGGTGAAGGCCAAAAACCAAAAGAGAAACTTGAAAGCAGCAAGAGAACAATGACTCAACATGTAGAAGTGAACAATAACATGAAAAATGCCTTATAGTTCATCAGAAACAACAGAGGCCAGAAGGCAATGGAATAACATATTCAAAGTGCTAAAAGAAAAAGACCTGTCAATCATGGTTTGTATAATTAACAAAACCATCCATCCAAAGTGAAGGCAAAATTAAGACATTCTTCCGTAAACAAAAACTGAGCCAGTTCCTTGCTAGGCACTTTACATATACCATCTGATTTAATCTTGACCACAAACTTGTAAATTTTCTTTTCTTATTTCTCTTTTACAGTTGGGGGAACTGTGAAACCAAAGAGAAGTTGAGTAAATTGCTTGAGGCCATAGAGCTAGTGAATGGAATTTGAAGCCAGATCAGTCCACTGATTCTGCCTTCCCATGAAGTTTCATTGTGTTAGATTCTCTGCCTACAAACGACTTTTCTTTAAATGAGTCTACCTAATGCTGATAGATGGATCCTCCTAAATATTACTTTTTGATGTTACTTTACTAAGAACCCTTGAATGGCTTTTTCTTATTTGTAGCGTGAAGGCCAAATTCTTCACTCTGATGGCTTTTAAATTTCAGCACTAAAGTGTCATTTAAACATGATTTCTTAATATTTCTCAATATTTCTCAAGTTGACTGGGTTATCTCATATCTGCCAACCTGTTCTCCATCAGTTGAAATCCTCCCTGTCATGGGTTGTGACTGACTGGGGCTGGCATTGTGGGTGGCAAAAGAATTTACCAAGACAGTAGTGAGTTAAAGAAAGCAGGTTTATTAGAGAGAAAATATGTTGCAAGGAAGCAATGGGCAGCACAGCAGAGAAGGGGTTGTTTGAGAAGAGTCAAGGGCTTGAGGGAAGTTTTATAGGGTCACGCTCTAGGGGCTATATGTGGTTAGGGTCATGCTGCTTTGCTAAAAATACATTGGGGTGATTTTTAACTGGCAGGCCTTTCCACCCCAGGCATCCTGTGACAGGGTGTTTGTGCAAGGGTGTTTAGTCAGCCTTCTTGCGAGAACTGGTTTTCCTCTCCCCCTTTTCTTCTTTCTTCTATCTCGACAGCTAGTCTCCATCCTTGTTGCTTATCAGGACTCCACACTCTCCATTAAAAAAAAAGTATCTATTTTTTTGTGTGTGAGTTGGGGCTCATATCTTTTGATTCTTCTCTGATATTTCCACTCTTCCTTTTTACATATTGCCATTCACCTATTGGAGCCTGTATGCTGTCTTATATTGTGAGTTATTATAGCATCTATCTATCTGTCTGTCTGTCTGTCTGTCTGTCTATCTCTATCTATCTATGTCTATCTATCTATCTGTCTCTATCTATCTATCTATCTATCATCTATCTATGTATTTTTCTCTCTATAGAGTGAGAAATAAAAATGAAATTCTGTTCTATCCAACCAATTGAACTGACCCCCTCTTGGCCAAGGGGACCCTAGGGAAACCTTGAAAACAGAGTTCCTAGCCGTAAAGTGATAAGAGGGCAGATTCACCTCATTATACACCCTTCTTTGCTAACTGCCATTAGACTTTTTTCCTTGAGGGTTAAACAGAAACCAGCTCTTTTGAAAGATTCACTCTACTGCTGATTTCAACCAACCCCTGAGGCTGCTTCTCCCTTTTTGTGGTTTTAATACAATGGCTGAATGGCATTCCTTGCTGATAAGAGACCAGGGACCATGGAGTGGTTCTGGCCAGTCTATAGAGGGTATACAATGAGGATTTTTGTGTCCTCTGCTTTATCTTTTGACCTCAGAGGGCTGAAAACTCCATCCTCAGATCATGCTGATGCCATCACTTTTTGTACATGTGACCCATGAAGGGATGTAAATCTCAATTGCACATGTGCATCTTTCTCCATTCATAAATATTAATGACTCCTCCTATAGCTTATTAAATGTGTATACTTGGCCACTCCACTCAGCATAAATTTCTGTTCCCTTTAAGTCTCCCTCAAAGTTCCTGTTTTTGGCTTGTGACTGGATGCTACACTTTCTGGCCTGTCAGAATGGCCACCTGCAGGCTGCAACCATTTAAGAGAAATAAAGCTCTTCCTTCCAAATTTATGAACCTTATTATTCTTCAGTTGATAATAGATATAGACAATAGATATAGATACATATATACGTACACAAAAATGTGTGTGTGTGTATATATGAGTGTGTATATATATGAAGAAAAGTGGCATATTTAAATATTAAATAATAGGATAATGGGACATATATATATAGAGAGAGAGAGTTTGCTTCTAGTTCATTTATGCTCTCACGTATATTTAACTGCATTACATGTATATGAAATGGCATAACTGGATTGGAAACAAGTCATGTTTTATTTTCCTTTACGTCTTCAGCAAGACTTAGCAGGGTACTTTCTATATTATAAGAGCCTATTAAATATTTATTGAATAATGCCTTATGGTTCCTAGTTAAAAAGTGAAATACTAAAATCAAATAGTAAGAAAAAATCACCATATCCTGGTATTTAAATTGGTCCCACTTGGTTGGAAAATCATGTCAGTCTGGAATCTTGTTAAAATGAAATCTGAGAGAAACAGAAACTTCCTCTCTTTTCTTACTCCAGTCTCATGAGGCCAACACAGTACTTCAAAACCAAACACTTAGGAATTTCTTCTCAACCATCATTGCTGCAGCCCCAGGGAAAATCAAGACAGCTGTGAGTGGTCATGGAAGCTCACAGATCATAAATTTGGTAAGCTAAGATGGTAACCAACTGATGGGGCAGATATGTAAGGTTCCTTCAAATTTGGAGTATAAAATATTGTGTAATGCTCATGCTTATCATGAAGAGTGAGCTGATCCAATTAAATGATCCAATGATAGACTCTATCTTAGACAAGTTGGAAGAGTATAGGACAGAGTAAGTTTACTATTCATGAAAAAGTAATTGATTTCATAGTGGAAGCCAAGGAATTAAAAAATTGCTGTTTGGGAGAGTTTTGTCTGTGGGTCTGCCTGCTTCTCAAAATGTGTTCTATCTTTAAAGACACAACTGGGTCATTTCTTAGTACAAATGTCGCTTTCTTTTTTTCTCTTTGATCCCTTTCTCACTTCTTTTTCTCTGAAAAAAAATTCAAATCATTTTGGGAATATTGTTTGTCTCAATATATACCAGTTTCATTTAATATGTTAAATATTAAACATGCCACTTTTATTTATCTAAGTCATTCTTATAACTCTATATTCATTTAATTTACCAATAGTAAAACACAGTGAGTATTGGTAATAAATATTGGTCTTCTGCTCAGTCCCTGATTGGATTTCTTCTCAGGGAGAGAGAGGAGACTCGTTAGAAAGGGGAGGGTGAGATCAGGTGAAGAAATGGCAGGGAATGTAGGCTCTTTTTTGGTTCCAGATGAATTTTAGGATTGTCTTTTCTAGTTCTGTGAAGAATGATGGTGGTATTTTGATTGGAATTGCATTGAATTTATAGATTGCTTTTGGCAGTATGGTCATTTTTATACTATAAGTCCATAGTCACCACAACAGCGTGGTACTGCAATAAAAATAGGCACATAGACAAATGGAACAGAATAGAGAACCCAGAAATAAAGTAAAATATTGACAGCCAACTGATCTTTGACAAAGCAAACGAAAACATAAAGTGGGGAAAGGACACCCTATTCAACAAATGGTGCTAGGATAATTGCCTAGCCACATGTAGAAGAATGACACTGGATCCTCATCTGTCACCTTATATGAAAATCACCTCAAGATGGATCAAGAACTTAAATCTAAGACCTGAAACCATAAACATTCTAGAAGATAACATTGGAAAAACCCTTCTAGACATTGTCTCAGGCAAAGACTTCATGACCAAGAACCCAAAAGCAAATGCAACAAAACAATGATAAATAGATGGGACTTAATTAAACTAAAGTTTCCACACAGCAAAAGAAACAATCAGCAGAGTGAACAAACAACCCACAGAGTGGGAGAAAATCTTCACAGTCTGTACATCCGACAAAGGACTGATATCCAGAAGCTACAGGGAACTCAAATTATCAAGAAAAAACCAAACAAACCCATCAAAAAATGGGCTGAGGACATGAATTGACAATTCTCAAAAGGAGATATACGAATGGCCAACAAACATGTAATAAAATGCTCAACATAACTAATGATCAGGGAAATGCAAATCAAAACTACAATGCAGTACCACCTTACTCCTGCAAGAATGGCCATAATCAAAAAATTAAAAAAAAATAGATGTTGGTGGGGATGCAGTAAAAAGGGAACATTTTTACACTGCTGGTGGGAATGTTAACTAGTACAACCACAATGGAAAACCGTGTGGAGGTTCCTTAAAGAACTATAAGTAGAAATACCATTTGATCCAGCAGTCCCACTACTGGGTATCCACCCAGAGGAAAAGAAGTCATTATACGAAAAAGATACTTGTACATGCATGTTTATAGCAGCACAATTTGCAATTGCAAAAATATGGAACCAGCCCAAATGGCCATCAATCAATGAGTGGACAAAGAAATTGTGGTGTATATATATGTATGTATGTATGTACATATATATATATACACACACACGCCATGGAATACTATTCAGCCATAAAAAGGAACAAAATAATGAAATTTACAGCAACCTGGATGGAACTGGATACTATTATTGTAAGTGAAGTAACTCAGGAATGGAAAACCAAACATCATATGTTCTCACTCGTAAGTGGGAGCTAACCTATGAGAATGCAAAGGCGTAAGAATGATACAGTGGACTTTGGGGACTTGGGTGAAAGGGTGGGAGGGTATGAGGGATAAAAAACTACACTTTGGGTACAGTGTGTACTGCTTAGGTGATGGGTGCATCAAAATCTCAAAAATCACCACTAAAGAGCTTACTCATGTAACCAAACACCATTTGTTCCGCAAAAACCTATGGAAAAAAAAAGAAACAGTAGAGAAAGTTTTTCTTGGGAAGTGTGGAGCCAGAGAATGGGTCCTCATATTTCCAAAGTTCTTTATTCCTACCCAGATAAGGAGGGGAAAAGGTGCAAAGATATGTCTATAATTGTATTTCCCATCCTGGAAATCTCAGGCAGCCAGAAGACCTGGAATCAATATTTAAGCCAGAGAAGATGACAATGAAGTGGGACCAAGTCACAGCCATGGGACTAGATGAATTTAGATTGCACACCCAACAGCCTTGAGCTAGCAAACTGCATAGCCTTTTCGTTAATCTTGCAATAATGCAATCAGGCATTTTATGGAAATCATAAAATGGAATCACATCCATCACTGGAAGAGTTTTACTATACTTACTAAACTCCTTCTATATTCCAGGCTCTTTACTACGTGCTACAAATGCCCATTGGTGTACAAGATAGACATAGGCCACTCCTACCATGCTTGAAGTTTAGTGGAAAAAGGAAGTGCTACTCTCCTCTTGAATTTTTTTCTGTATATCTCAAATTAAGGAGAACAAACATGTCTACTTATAATCAAAGTTTATACTATTGTCTGCATTACTGTAATCACATAGGCGTAAAAGCTTAATATTTTGTTGGGGTAATCTAACAGTAACAACTACAACAAAATGCATGTAGAACTTTGGGATTTACAAGGTACTTTCACTTGTACTACCTCTTTTAACCTCACTGAGTTTCTTCTCTCACATTTGGAAGATAAGGAATAGCAATGTCTTTCTTGTACTGATGACATAGCTAGACAGCCAGGCAAAGGTTGTGCCTTCAATTGTGAGGATATGCATTTTATAGATGCTGAACCTGAGCCTCAGAGAAGAAACGTGAATTGTTTGTAGTGGAATATAAAGCTGAAAGAAAAACTGGGACTTAAAGTATAGTCTTTGGACTCTGAAGTCTATGATTTTTTCATTATATGTCAGCTGTTGCTCAACTGACCCATCAATCAAATGGGAGCCAGGAGTATCCCCTCAGAATTTCTCCAGACTTAATGTTCCAGGAAAGCTGATCACACTTTACTCCTTTTGGCAGCCCATATAATAATAGTGCAACCAAACAGGAAAAGAATAAAGAGGAGAGACAGAGAACATTAAGGTAGTAATAAAATTCATCCACAAGCTGACCACCCAGAAATAATCAATTTTGTGCATATCCTTTTTGTCATTATTTTAGAATCCATTATATTTCCTGGCTGATATTATTTCCTTAAGTTCTAATCATGGGGAACTATTTTTGTCTTTGTTCCATAGAACATTAGAACAGAAAGTGACCTCTGAGACTATTTAGTCAAACTTCCTTAATATTCAGATGAGGAAGTCACAACTAGAAAAATGTATCTATAGACCAAAGCAAAGTCCTAAGAAGAAAAACAATTAGGAATTTAATGAATTATTTTCTGTAAGTAATTGCTTACAAAATGAATGCTCTATGGCTTGACCATAAGATAATAACTAAGATTTTGCCTGAATGTAAATTTAGATGAGATTTTGATGTGTTACATCATTGTTTTGGGCCCAAAAGAGATTTTTCAGGGCTTAATATATGGTAGGCTTACAGCTGCATGAATGAATGAATAAAGCACATATGATTTACCTGTATACTTTGAAAATAATAAATACAGTTTACTAATCTAAGACCATTATGTTCATATTCAGTCATATTAGCATCGTCATCATCAAGGAAACTTTATTGAATGCATCCCATGTGTGATTGTTATAGGAATGGAAAAGAGAGGATGTGGTGTTGAAATATTGGGCAGTTGAAGTTAGAAAAGATTTGTGTAATGACTGTGGTTTGAGTACTTGTGTGTATGTGTGTGTGTGTGGTTTATTGAGTAAGAAGATGGGGGTGGGACTAATTCAGGGGAAGAAAGAGTTTAAAATATTACCATTTGTGGACATGATGGTGACATAAACTGATAAAGAAAATAGAAGTATAATGATTAATATTATGCAGTTCTGTTCCTGTTGTTTGTTGATAACAATTTGTCCACATGTAGGAGTCCATTTACAGGTGACGGTGAGATAGTAAAAAAATGTTAATTATTTTACTATGTAACAGCTCACGTACTGGACTGATCACCATTACTTGAATACCATGTACATAGAATCCTAGTATAATAATTGCAATCACTTACTGAAAACTCATTATCTTCTGTCCTTGATTAGAAGCACTTTGCATATATTAAATTATTTAATGCTCACCACAGCCCTATGTATTGAGTGCTTTGATTATCAACTCCATTTCACAGATGAGAAAAATGGAGCACAGAGAGATTAAAGAAATTTCTGAAGGTCCTTGTGTATTATGTGAAGGATACAGCTTTTGAACTTAGGCAGCCTGATTCCAGAATCTGTGCTCTTTAACACATTGTTGTACTACCTACTAGAAGTTTGCAACAGAAGGAAATTTGGGTTCATTACATCTGAGAAACCCAAGGCTCAGAGGTTAGTTACTTGCCCGGGGTCACATAGTTATTTTGTGACAGATGTTAAACTATGACAGTTTGTGCTCTTGTGTGCAAGGCTGAATTAACTGGAGACAGGGTATGCTGACATAAGCCTGCAGGTACCATGCGCTTTTATCATCACTGTCATTCATAAACTAGTCTTGAAAAGATGGGAAATGGGGTGGTCTACAGAAGTTTTCAAGCTTTCTTTTCTTATGAAGCATATACATAATTCTGTGTATGGAAACATCATTTTGGCTTGCTCTGGATAAAATGTCAGTTTCCTTGGAGAAATACGTAGCATCAGTTTATTGGCTACTCAGGCCTCTTGTATAGGGAAAGACAACTTCCTCCAAAACGAATTGGTGGCTCCATGTCAGGGGAATTAACAAAAGATGCAGGAGATTGAACCAATTATCTCTTTCCTTCTTCTCCTCCCAGGTAGTGCCCTCCACCTCCTGTCACTCGAGAGGGAAATCTGTCCACAATCTTCCTGGGAAAGAGATTCTACCACTTTCTTTTTCATTGCTGACAAAATAGTAAGGAAGATGAGAAGGTCATATCTGGTACCATTTCATTCTTCCAACTAGAAAAGCTCCTCTGGTAAATGTCTTGAGGCTAACTGGGACATGCGCATCAAAGAGAATTTGGCTATCCTGAAATGTCATATTTCATGGGGAGTTCAACAGGGCCATTTATCACAACTGACCCCATCAGAGAAGGACCAACCATCCTTAGTAGACCCAGGGTTGCAAAATGCCACCACATTTGGCCATAAAATTTATCATGTCAGGAGATCTATAGTCAACACTAGGCACTGTGAAATATGGCAGTACTGCTGGGATATTTATCTTGGTTGGACCTGACAGATTAGCCCTGCATTTCCACTTAGTCCACATTCCTACCCCAGTGCAATCTATTATGACCCATCATGGCAATCTGCTTGGAAACATGACTTGCAGCATCAATAAGCTAGATGCGTACAGGAAGAGCCCACATAAATGCACATATTTGTGGAGTGCTCCTCTTAAAATGCTGAAAAATTATTCAGTGACTTTCTTCTTTTCTGGTAATTATTTTAAGAAAAGTAACACATTAAAAGGGGATTTGGACTCTTTACAAATTAATGCTGTTGGAGACATGTTTACCTTTCGGTTTCTTTTTTTCATTTCACAGAAAAGATGCAAAAGTGACAGACATGGTGAAATTCCTCTTTCATTCCTGAGTCTCTCCTTGGGCAGGATTGTGAAGGAGGCAAAACTGATTATCAATGCTTCTGTCTTACAGCTCTCTACTTCTGCTGGTGTGGTGCCTTGCCGTCCTTGTGTTCTTGGCATCTCTGCACTATCTACCTTTTCCTAAGCTCTGCTCAAGGGACAGTCACTTACCCTACTACATTGTAAGGGATGGATATAGCTTCATAATCCCCTGTGTGTTTTTATTTTAATAAATACAGTAGATATAAAATCATTTAAATAGAAGAATTTTGGAATTCCAGTCCTTATCTTCTTCCTGGTAGTAACAGTGATCAGATAGGAGGTCTATCAGTTTACCCCAGAGCACGGCAGCTTGCATGCTAGGAATATTTCAGGGGAAACTCCAGACGTGGGTGTTATGAATTTTGGGTTTGAGCCCTATCTTTATGATTTGTTCTGATTGATCTTGGGCAAGTCCTGAAACCTCTGAGAGTCTTAGATTTGTGAAACATTTGGATAAGTAAAAACAACTCTTTCTTAGGATTGATGTGAAGATTAAATAGAATTTTATACATCTCTGTGTAAATAGACACAGATATATATGTTTTCATAAATTGAAGAGCATAATATAAATTTTTTTTTTGTAGAGGCAGCAGAGAAAGCTGGATTTGCAGTCAGAATTTTTGTGTAAAACTCATTTTTCAATGACTAGTTGGACTGTAGGACTCACATCCTTTAAATAACTTTCCCAGTGACTATAGCACTAAGAAAAGAATACCATCTTCTCCAGCGGAAGATCCTGGTCAAAGATGATCATTCCTTGAGCATGTGGCTTGTATCTCCATCCATGACATTTATTTTATTCTGCCTTTTCTTAGAGTTGTGTACCTCTGTTTCTTCTTTGAGTGAAATCTTTATAGAGATTTAATTTCATTTATTTCTGTATTTCCCATAAGGTGAACTATATGTGATTGAATAGTAGGTACTTAACAAACATTTGCTAACTGAATAATAGCATGTTGGCTGTTGTGCATTTGAGGAATGTTATACATGTAAAAAAGCCAAAACAGAGACGATGCAATTTTCTTTGTTTTGATTCATATTTTCTGCCAGGCAGTAACATCTGGATTGAGACCCATTTTTATGAAAATTTATAGCTAAATAAAACAGGGTTGGAACTGCAGGCTTGTAGGAAAGTGGTTACTCTTTGAACATAGTTCAAAATTCTTGAACATAGTTGCATTTAGCCCTGGCTCTGAAAGGATTTTAACTTCTCTGTTCCTTTCCTTTCAGCCCATTTAACGTTAACACTGGCAAACAGAGAAGAAAGTTATGACGGGAAAGGAATTTATTAAGTGTGCACATTAGCTCCTTTATTTCACAGAAGTAGAAACTGAGGCTCACAGCCTTTAAGCGATTGCCCAAACTTGTACTATCATTTTACAGTGATCCAGGAGTAGAACCTGAGTTCTAGTTTGGTCTGGCATCTGTTCTCTAGGTCAACATTGCCTTCTTGCCTTCTTGGATGACTTCCCTTTCTTTGTATCCTTTCTTTTTTCTTTTTCTTTTTCTTTTTTTTGAGACGGAGTCTTGCTCTGTCACCAGGCTGGAATGCAGTGGCGTGATCTCCGCTCACTGCAACCTCCGCCTCCCGGGTTCAAGTGATTCTCCTGCCTCAGCCTCCCGAGTAGCTGGGACTACAGGCACGTGCCACCATGCCCAGCTAATTTTTTTTGTATTTTTGGTGGAGCTGGGGGTTTCACCATGTTGGCCAGGATGGTCTCGATCTCTTGACCTCGTGATCTGCCCGCCTCGGCCTCCCAAAATGCTGGGATTACGGGCGTGAGCTACCGCTCCCGGGGTAAACTGTGACACAATCTCTGTGAAGTAATTGAAATAAAGGTACATTTTCCCACACAAAACTTGGAGTGAGTCCTTGCTTCTCAAACTAGTGTTTATATGCACCCTGCAGAACTCCCTGAGGCCACTGTTTAAACATCTTACATTTTCCTGGGAGTATGTTTTTTTTCCAAAAGATTTTTTTGGGGCTGAAAACTACTATTTTCATACTATAACAAACATAAATTTAAAAGAATTACTAGGATAAAGCTAGAGAAATTTTGTATTTGTAGGATCCTATACCCCTAGACATGCATAGATTCCCACCCCGTTTTGCTATAAGCAATATTTTGGTGGAAGAGTCTCAGAAGTACTGGGCTAGGTCATACCTTTGTTACATGGTTTGACCTTGCTAGGCAGAAACCTAAGCCACAGGTAAAAATAGTCTATCTTTGCTATTTTTAACTCTTTTACAATCTGACCTTTGCCGCAGCCATTCTTCAGAAATGGCTCTGTAGGTGGCTGCTAAGGAGAGAACCTTACTACTAAATCCAGTCCTTCCTTCCCTCCCTCCCTTCCTTCCTTCCTTCCTCCCTTTCTCCCTTTCTCCTTTCCTCCATCCCTTCCTTCCATTTTTTTTTCTAACAATAGAGGGCTTTTATTGCATATAAAAAATATCACAAATAGGTCTTAGAAATCATCCAGCATCTTCTCGTTTCCATAGCTGGATAACTCTTAGACCTTATTCATCAGACAGCGGAACTGTTCCTTTCTTAGAGACATAGATACCATCCAACAATTTTTTGGTATCCTTGTTTTTAACTGCTGTAACTTGCTAAATCAAAGAAGCTGAATTTGGTACAAGTTTACTGTTATTAGCTTCAAAAATGAACTCCTCTTTCTGGGCTTGACATACTGATGGAACAAGCCACACTTGGCCTCATCTGAACCTTGCAGATGTATTTTTCACTTAAGAAATTTCTAATGTCAACAAGAGACCCATTCTCCTGAATGACAATGCTGAGTAGGAAGTAAGCATACACAGACTTCATCCTGTAGCATACACAGACTTCATCTTGTAATGGAAGCCTAGTGTAATGTTCTGGATCCTGTTCTGTACATGACTATGGATAGTGTGAACCAGAGCAAATTCCTGTCTTATTTCTCCACTGTGCCAACTTGAAGCCTCTGTTTTCTTTCCAAGTAGACCGAGTTCTACATTAATATGAGTGAAGTCTCTCTGCAGAGTTCCTCTGGGGCCCTTCGTAACTGTGAGTCCATTCAGAGTGATATTGACATTTTCTGGAATGTTTAATCTGATTCCTGAGAATGGTCTTCATTCTCATGTAGAAGCAGCAAAGACAGAATGTCTTAATTCTTTTTTGACCTCTCTACTGTATTTGACACTGCTGACTCGCTCTTCTTTGAAGACGTGCTTGCGTCTTTTGGCTTCACAAGGGTTCATTCTCTTTCTTTGTGTCCAGATGCTGGAAGAAGACTTTTCATGCTATTCTTAGAGACAGGGTCTCACTCTGTCACCCAGGCTGGAGAGCAGGGACGCAATCAGAACTCACTGCAGCCTCCAACTCCTGGGCTCAAGCAATCCTCCCACCTCCACCTCCTGAGTAACTGGAACTACAGGTACACACTACTACATTTGGTTATTATTATTTTTTCTTTTTTTGTAGAGATTGGGTCTTGCTATGTTTCCTGGGCTGGTCTTGGACTTCTGGCCTCAAGTGATTCTGCTGCCTCAACCTCCCAAAGTGCCGGGATTATAGGCATGAGCCACTGTACCTGGCCATGCCTTGTTTTTTAAGGTGCTTTTTCTTTCCTGTTTCTTTGAGCTCCATATTCACATACACAACTGAGTTCTGCACAGTTTCTCTTAGAACTTGCAAAGACATTTTAAACTCAGTAATTGAACAAACACATTCTTTTCCCCCCTTTCACCACCATACCCCCTTGTTTTCTGGACTATATTATTCTGGCCCTAAATTACTATTTCTCTATTGGTTCCTATTTTGTGGTGTAAGTAACCAGTGCCCAGCCAGGTATCTGAGCATTTATCTGCACTTTTCCTTGCCTCTCACTCTCCTCATTCATGCCATCATCATGAACTACCTCCTAAATATTTTTCAAAGCCATTTGCCATAACCACAACAACTACCCCCCATGTTCAGACTATTATCTTTTACCTTGTTCCCTTCAGCAACCTTTTCATTTATTTCAGTCTCAGGTCTTGCTCTCTTCATAAATGTAGGATTGGGAAGAAGAAAATTTTCTAGGAACTGTTGGAAATGTAATAAAACTGTCAAAAGTGTTAAATCTCAGTCTACTGTTTTGTGACAGTTTGTTAAGAAAGTAACTTAAAAAAAATCCAGGTAGGAAACACAAAGAAAAAAATACAGACATTTTGATATATTAACTGATAATGGCACTTTAATTATACCACCCTGTGAAGACAAAGATAATTATCAAATCCAAGTCATCTATGTATCCATAAAATCTTAAGCACACCCTGTCTATTCTCAATTACACTATGCTCTTCAAATCCAGAGGGAATCTTTCTAATGTGCAAACCATATCTGATCCCCTGCCCTACACCCTTCAGTGGCTCCCCATTGCCCTCAGAAAAAAATTCTAAATGTCTTAATTTGGCTTACAAAGGGCTACATGATTTGGTTCCCACTTGTTCTTTATCCTCATAACCCCTTCCTGCTCTAGCTCAGACAAATGCCTCTCAGTTTCTCAAATCCACCATGCTCCTTGCTTCCCTCCACATTCCTCCTTCAGAATTTGATTGGTTAAAGCAGTGTTTTGCTGGTAAATATTTAACAACTGCCTTTGGGAGAGGGGAAGAAGAGGACCCCAGATTTGCAGCATTTGATGGTTTTCATGGCATAAACATTCTCACCATGACTTTTATCAAGCTACCCATGTGATGTCATTGCACACAAAATTGGGAAGAAATTTGCACAATGGGTCCTAGAGAGCGGGTGTGTGCTGGCTTCAGTACACCACTGGGTTAAATCCTATAAATCCTTTAGATTTTGGCTCATCTGTCTACTTCCCTGATGAGGCTTTCTTGATCATGATCATGCCATATGCTTCCATTGCTCCCTGGAATCAGGAAGTCTGTTTGCACGCTCATCACATGAGATTGTGATTTCTTGTGCATGTCTTGGACTTTACTGCAAGATGGTAAGCTCCTTAGAGGCAGGGATTGTGTCTTGTTGACCACTGTCTCTCCAGAACCTTCCAGAGTGCCTAACACATAGTAGTTCTTCAATAAGTATTTGTTGACTAAATGAATGAACAAGTAAAAACCAATAACAATAACTGAGAACAAGTGCTTACTTTGTGCCAGCTATGGTACTAATTAAGTGGTATGCATTACCTTATTTAATTGTCCTCAAAACCATATGGTAGAGTTATTTGGTTATCGTCATGTTACAGGTAAGAACGACTGAGGATTAAGGCAGCTACATAACCTGCCCAAAGTCAGTCAGAAAATAGTGGAGCCATATACAAATTCACGCAGCATCATTCAACCCTGAACACTTATCCTCTAGGTTATACTGACTTCTTTCACTTCAGGTTGAATAAAGCTAGCCCTTTTTGACTAGTTGGCTTCTGTAAGGAAGATTCAACATCTAAGTCACTTTTAATCAGGGTTCCTAACAGGGACAGACTCACTCAAATGCTGTCACTGACATATTAAATTAGTGCAAAAGTAATGGTAAGTAATTGGCAATAGGGCCCCTTAAAGTATTCATTTACTTTTAATCGGTAATTCCAGTTCTCAGAAAATAATCAGAACTATGGACAACTCTTTGGGGCCAAAATATTATTCTTAATCGTTTAAAACATAACTATTTTACTTTAGCATAGTTTTAGATTTACAGAAATATTACAAAGATAGTATAGAAAATTTCCATATGTACTACATCCATTTTCCCCTAATATAAATATTGATAAGGTCCATTTGTCCCAGTGAATGAACCAACATTGATGGTAACTAAAATGCATACCGTATTCAGATTTCCTTAGTTATTACCTAATGACATTTTATTGCTCCAGGATCCTATCTAGATTATCATTACATATAGTCATCATGTCTTTTTAGGTTCTTCTAAGATGTGAATTTTTCAGACTTCCCTTGTTTTTGCTGACCTTGACAGTTTTGGGGAGTACTGCTCACATGGTTTTTTTTGTTTTTTTTTTTTGAGATGGAGTCTCACTCTGTTGCCCAGGCTGGAGTGCAGTGGTGCGATCTTGGCTCACTGCAAGTTCTGCCTCCCAGGTTCACGCCGTTCTCCTGCCTCAGCCTCCCAAATAGCTGGGACTACAGGCGCCCGCCACCAAGCCCAGCTAATTTTTTGTATTTTTAGTAGACACAGAGTTTCACCATGTTAGCCAGGATGGTCTCAAACTCCTGACCTCGTGATCTGCCTGCATCAGCCTCCCAAAGTGCTGGGATTATAGGCGTGATCCACCGCATCCGGCCTACTGCTCACATGTTTTATAGGATGTCCCTTTATTGAAATTTTTCTGAGTTTTAAAAATGTGATTAGATTGAACTTGTGGGTTTTGGAAGGAAGACCACAGAGATAAAGTGCCATTATCATCACATCTTTTCAAGGGTACTTACTATTAACATGGCATCACTGTTGAGTTTGACCTTGATCACCTGGTTGAGGTAGTGTTTATCATGTTTCTCTACTGTCAAGTTACTCTTTTCTTTCCCCTTCTCCCAGTGTACTCTTTGGAAGAAAGTCACTGAAAGTAGTTCCCATTTAAGAATTAGAAAATTAATTGTCAAATGTAAGGGCAGAATAGTTACATAAATTACTTGGAATATTTCTTTATGGAAGATATATCTATTTTTCTCCTATTAAATTTATTTAACATTTATTTATAATAGTATAGATGCATAGATAGTTATTTTATGTTTTGAGCTAAAAATCCAATACTACTTTATTTTGTTAGTTAAATTGTTTCAGCTTTGACTTCTGAAAGCTCTTTTAGTTGATGTCTGTGTCATTTTGACATATCTTATCATTGTATTTTTTAAAGCTCTTTCTTTGTGGTATGACTGTATGCTCCAGGGTCATCTTGTGTATTTCTTGCCCCAGTCCTAGATTCAGCAATTCATCCAAGGAGCCCTTGTCCTTTTATTGAAGAATAGTATTAGAAACCAAGATTTGGGCACTAAGTGGGCTTATTGCTACTAAATGTCAGTGTTTCTAGGTTCTTTCAGTTGACAGAGCAAGGAAATATATGTGTATATACTAACCCCTGATCATATGCATAACTATAAATAATAAATATGTAACCATCTGTATCTGCATTAAGCTAAATTTGAGTTCATGCTGATGTCTTTAATCTATTGCTTCATGGATCATTTTAGTTTACACCTCTGGTTTATTTGTAACCTTATACTTTAACAGTGAGAAACCTGATTCTCATCATTCACTATGTATTTATTTAATTTCTTCAATTCCAATATATATATATATGCCAGGTCAGACCTGCAGACCCTGAACCAGCGACAGATGAAAGACGTGCACTGACACAGATATTTTGCCTGTCAGTGTGGCTACGGGTCTCTGCTGCCTGCATCCGCAGCTTTGGCCTCAATTAGCCGGCGAAGTTTGCATTTATTTAGTACAGATTAAATGACAAAGGTCTCAGGTAAACACCACTAGAGGGTAATTAACATTGCCGACCTCATGAGTAGAGAGCAATCATGGGCCCACAGATGATCAAAGGTCAGTCTTAGGACCACATGAGTAAACAAGCTATTTAGATAAACTCCCCCACATTCCCTTGTTATTTGCTCTTCTGCTATCAACTCAAGGTAAAGAGGATTAGGCTGCCTTCAGCCAAATCTTTTACTGAAGCTATGCAAACCTCCTGGCCTTCCAAGAAGGTTTGTGTCTATTTTCTGTAACTTTATCCTCATAATTTCTCCCACCACCCTGACCGATCCCCTACATATGTATAGTGGTTTTAGAATTGTCAATTCACAATCCCCAGAGACAGTTTTATCAGTGAGAGTAGAATGCTTTTGTGTATTTTCTTTTGACTTCAGTCTTACAAGGTATTTAGGTCATTTCTAATTATTTAGGTCAGAACCTTTCCCCCTACCTATTAGCAAATATACATTATGAATTTAAGATTCATCCATGTCTTTTCAATGACCTTGATATCTGATTCCTTTCATTGCTGTGTAGTGTTATATTCTATAGATGTACCATAGTTTATCCACTCACTTATTGAAGGACATCTTAGTTGCTTCCAGGTTTGGTGATCATAAATTCCCAGTGGTTTTTAAAAAATCATTGTGAATCATTGGAAAGAACAAAAATATTTAACATTGAGCTATTTAACACAATATTACACGCATAACATGATGTATTAAGAGAGTTTTTAATGGCAATGGAAAAACAAATGTAGGACATAAAACTTGTATATTTAATATGTTCTCAATTACATAAAACATGAATATGTATCTATATCTGGAAGGATATACAGCACAATGTTCATGGAAGTTATCTTTGGGGATTTAAATAATGGGTAATAGTTACTCCTTAAATTGTTTTCCACAGTTTTCACACAGGGGAATTATGACTTTCACAATGAGGAAAAAACAAGCCCAAATTATTTCTAAATCATGAATCATGCTCTAGGTTTGGTAGGGAATTGCAGTTACACATATTCAGGGAAATCTTTGGAATTTTCCTACACTTCTCTCCATGTCTTGCAGGTTGTTTTTCTGCATCAGTTCTTCTATGCTCCAGGTTAATTTTTATTCTTCTGGCTCTCTAAAAACTCTAAGGGTTTTTATGCAACTTTGTTTTCCCTTCACACCTTCCTCTCCAACTCTCATTAAAACCATGATGAATATTACCAGTCAGACTCTCTCCTTTTCCCAATAGCAGCAATACATTTGACCTATGTGGTAGTTAGAACCCTCATTTCCTAGAATAACTTACATACCATATTTGTAAATAAGATTCTTCACATTCTCTTGGCACTGGGTGTCATAGAACTTCTGATCCATTATGTTTTTAGGTATTTTTGATGACTACTTTTGTAGTGATGGGTGGAGAACACAATTTCTACTATCCCATGGAAACAAAAAGGATAAAAATGAATTAAAATGAATACATGGAAACTTAGCATACTACTTTTGAAAGGGTAAATGCTTCAGTCACTTCAGCCAGCTATATTTTCCTGTCAAGGCAAAACTAATGAAGAAAATTCATCATGGGTATATAGCTGGATGATTACAAGATTAACAGAAAGTGCAGGCTCTCAATTCTTGCACTTTTTAAGGAACTTTTAAATTTCTGTTTGAAATAAGTTTGGTATAGCATTCATTTCCATGGAACATTGCAAAACTATTTAGACAAACCTTATTTCTTATTGTAATATTTATACAAACCTTATTTCTTTTGTAATATTAAAATTTCATTATGTCTTCACCAGATATTAAAACTTTAATTTTAAGATTTCTTCCCTCTTTGTGCTAGAGACACTGGGAAAAAATTTTTACATTAATTTTAACTTGCCAGCCTAACCACCTTGGAACTTCTACAATCGATGAAAATAGATACATACAGATGCTCTCAACACCTGGGCTCTGCTCTCAGCAGATTCATTTTGAAAGAACCACTTTGAAATGGAGAGAGAGGGCAGGCTCAGTGGCTCATGCCTGTAATCCCACCACTTTGGGAGGCCGAGGTGGGCGGATCGCCTGAGGTTAGGAGTTTGAGACCAGCCTGGTCAACATGGTGAAATGCTGTCTCTACTAAAAATACCAAAAAAAAAAAAAAAAAAAAATCAGCCGGGCATGGTGTCACATCTCTGTAATCTCAGCTACTCGGGAGGCTGGGGCACGAGAATCACTTGAATGCAGGAGACGAGATTGCTGTGAGCTGAGATCACGCCACTGCACTCCCAGCCTGGGCTACAGAGCAAGACTCCTTCATAAAAAAAAAAAAAGAGAGAGAGAAAGAAATGGAGAGAGAACCACATGCCAATAGGGCATAAAATGATTCTTGCCAATTTCTGACTCAGCAGTGATTTTCCACAAAGCCTAATTCTTCTGGAAACCATGATTTCAAGCCAATTTTGGTTGGTTAACATTTTCTGAGCTTCTACTTTGTTACAGACAGTGTGTTAATTGCTGGATTTCACCTGTTGGAAGGTGAAAAAACCTTAGTTAATTATTCCATTCAAGAAGTTTATTGTCTGGTAAGAGAAGTAGAAACACAAATAGCTCTCTATAAAAGTAGGCAATAAATGATATTCTAGAGATGGGAAACTTGGCTCTATGATATGCAAAGGAGACAACATCCCAACATGCCTCTAAGTCTTTCTTCTGTATATATTTTTTGAAGTTTCATGGAAGAAGAAAACTATTCTGTTGTTTCCAGTTCAAAGCTGAACTTTTGGGCATAGGTCATTGCCAGTATTT
The DNA here is from genome assembly GCF_000001405.40 of Homo sapiens. Lineage (NCBI taxonomy): Eukaryota > Metazoa > Chordata > Mammalia > Primates > Hominidae > Homo > Homo sapiens. Next base: position 81,784,762 of record NC_000014.9, read on the forward strand.
TAACCATGTGTCAGAAGTCAATTTGTCAATGTCGTGGCCACCGTTTCTGAGGAATTAAAGGCACTGGAAAGGATTCCATAGAGCCATTACCAACTTCGCCATTACCAAATAATTACTATGCTTGTCCATAATAATTCTTTAATTTTATATCATTTCTGGTTGATAGAGATGATCTTGGAATGACATGGATGATTTGAGGACTGCTAAGCATTTGAGTAATTTTATAACTAAATGCTGAGAAGTCCTTAACAAACATTATAAATTGCTTTTGAAGAATGACATCTACTCTTCGGAGTCTGGAGCAGAGACTTAAATTTGTTAGAAGGAAAGGGAGAGAACTACCTTAAGTAATGAGGCTGGTTCATGCTTCACAGAACAAACTCCCCCACCCCAGGCATGCACCTTTGGACATCTGGGTTATGCTTAGAAGTTCAAAAACAAAGTACAATGGGAAAACGCTGTCTATACATTACTACACATACATGTTCAGAAATACTTGAAGTGAAAGACTGATGCACAGTAGTTTTAGAGACATCTTCTATTGGCCACAGAAGGCCAGGACTTAGGTCAGCAGGTAGAAATGATTCAGCAATATCAATAGGTAGAGGCTTATGTAAGAAAGATGCTCAATAGGCATAAATGCACCTCTAGGTATATTATGGGCGTATCCAATTTCCCACCTACAATTTTCATATAACATGTTTCCATTGATATACATTAATAGACATTATGAATTGCTGTAAGCAAGAAATCCTATCATTATTTCAGCTGTGCTTTGACAAGCACTCCCTAACATATAATGCCTCTGCTTTCTAAGAGTTAAAATGAGGGCCACTGTTTGGACTTTATACAAAATTTCCTTCCATTAATAATACTGGAGATATGAAAGTGGAAAGTGGAGGTCCTTATTTATTGGATTGATCTACGCATTAGTCTGTACCTCTCTTAAGTTTTGTTATGCAAATTTAAACATAGCATAAAAGTATAAAGAATATTATTTACAAAAGCTATTCTGTTTAAGTAAATCATAACATTTTGCCATATTTGCTTCAGGTTTAAAAAAGCTGATTAAACATAATAAGAAAGAGTTGTCTTGGCAAGAAACAAGCTTCCTTACTGCTCATGACATATTCAAAAGCAACCTTTTATTGCTAAGTTCCTCCAAACTTTGAAATTGGCTTAAGTGAGCTCTCATGATTTGGTTCTGCATTACCTCTCTACTTTCATCATTTTCCAGCTCTGCTTCTTGTCAACCCCAAATATACTACACTCCAACCATATTGCATTTCTTTCAGTTTCTGGAAGGCACATCTTTCTCACTTCCTCACTTTCTCTCTCTGCCTGGACATTCTCTCTGCCTGGAATGTCTTCTCATTTGCCTCCCCTCCTGAGCAATTTCTATCGAGATCTTAGTCAGTATATCTTCTGAAAGTTTCATCTGACATCTAAGTCAGGTGACTTCCTAAGGTTCTTCCTCCAACGGAATGTTTTCTCTTTTCCAAGTCAAATACTGGCTAAAACAGCGAGGATAATAAATATGGTAGATAACACTTAGTAAAGAAACAAAAACATATGTTTTGGTATTTATAAGCATTTTTGAAAATTTGCTTTTAGTAAGTTTATTTAATAAGCTGAAGACTACTGATCCATTGAAAGTTACGTGTAATATCAACTTATTTTATAATATTCATGTAACACTTACTGTGCACTACCTTGTATTTGTCTTTCACATACCTGTCTCACATATGTATATACATACATACATAAATGTATGTGAAACCACCTTTGCAAAAATGATAACTGAGGAAATTATAACAGTAAACGAGATCAGACCTAATTGACTCCAACTTGCTTCTAACCTTTAAGCTGTCCTTGTTCATTCTTAGGCACAGGCTGAACTAACTTTGGGAAGGAATCCAGTTCATAGTTTGAAATAAAATTGATAATAGCCCTTTACTGAAAAGACCCCCTTCCTGCCTGGGAACCAGTCTGCCTTTGCAGGACTAACAAATTAGTTATAAGATTAGAGAGTATGGATTAGGGGCCATGTAGCCTCTGATTCCAAGAGTCTGAACCACCCCCCCAAATTGCTCCTGGGGATAACATCACTATTGTAAAACCTAATTTCAGTGCTTGAGATATTTTGCAGACCCTGCACTGGATGGATCAGCTGACACTACCCAGACGGGTAATCTGGCTCAACCAGTTCTGCCATCCCACCCAGGAACAGAAGACAGCAAGAAAACTTTACTTCAACCCCTTATGATTCCATCTCCAACCTGACGAATCAGCACTTCCCACTTCCCAAGCCCCTACCTGCCAAATTATCTTTAAAAACTTCAATCCTTGAATGCTCGGGGAGACTGATTTCAGTAATAATAAAACTCTGGTCTCCCGCACAGTGGGTCTGCATGATTTACTCTTTCTCCACTGCAATTCCCCTGTCTTGATAAATTGGCTCTGTTTAGGCAGCGGGCATGGTGAATCCATTGGGCAGTTACATATGTATGTTTATATTGTGAGGGGCAAGGCTGTTGGCCTCCTGGAGGTTTGCTGAAAATCACTTACATGAGAGATTGATTAATAGGAGAAAAAGCATACAAATTTATTTAATGTGTATACATGGGAGGCTTCTGAATAAAGAACTAACCCCTTAATGGGGTACAAAAGCTCATATACTACCTTGAGGTTACAGAAAAAATTCAGGCTCAGAGCATGGCCAAAACCAGGTTATAGTGGCAAGACAGGTAATGGGAGGGAGAAAGGAAGGGTCTTGGCTAGCGAAGGTGGTCTTGTTAGGTAGATGAAGCCTCATAGGCAATAGCCCTCAGAGAGAATAGATGGTAAATGTTTCTTTTCAGACCTTTAAAGGGGTCAGACTCTGTTAAGCTCTTCTAGATCTGGGAAAAGCCTAGAAAGGGAAGGCCTTGCTGCGTTAATGGAAATTCTATACAGATGCAAATTTATCCTACAAAAGATAGCTTTGCAGGCCCACTTCATTCTGCTGGCTCTATTTCAGCCATTTCAAAATATGTCAAATAAATTTATTTCGCAGTAAGATTATCTATCTATCTATCTATCTATCTATCTATCTATCTATCTAATCTATCTACCACAAAGTTTAAAACAATTGAAGACCTAGAAACATACTGGGTATTTCTCATCCTTCCCCTATGGTACCACAATGCCATGTTTTCTATCTCTAGAATATCATTTACTGCCTTATTTTATAAAGGATGTCTGAGTATATATTATAAATATAAATAGAATGTAAGATTTTGAGTATATATCTCATGCATTTACTAATATTCCACATAATCCCTGTATGATATCAGCACATAATAGTTATTCAATTTACTAATTTACAATTAAAAAAATGAAAACAAAGGTAACTAAAGTAAAAAAAAACAAAAAAACAGAATTTGAAAATAAATGATTATACATTTTTTTTTTTTGAGATGGCGTTTCACTATTGTTGCCCAGGCTGAAGTGCAATGGCGCGATCTCAGCTCACTGCAACCTCCGCCTCCCAGGTTCGAGCAATTCTCCTGCTTTAGCCTCCCAAGTAGCTGGGATTACAGGCATGTGCCACCATGCCTGGCTAATTTTGTATTTTTAGTAGAGATGAGGTTTCACCATGTTGGTCAGGTTGGCTGGTCTTGAACTCCTGACCTCAGGTGATCCACCTGCCTCAGCCTCCCAAAGTGCTGGGATTACAGGCGTGAGCCACTGTGCCTGGCTGATTATACATTTTGAAAAGCTTAATAAGATACTTTTTGTAATCAACCTCAGGAACAAGTTTCTCCTTATATTTTTGAACTTGTTCATTCTCTCTCCAAATATTTATTGAGAATTCTGTGGTTTGGTCTTGAATTTACAATGGCAAACAAAACAAATAAAGAACTTTTAATTTAGCACAGACTCAGAGATTAAGAAAATAAATCAATTATTTAGGCCAAAAACAAGATAAGAACAAATAAATAATAAATGAAGTGCTTCTATAGATTGAATGGTTGGGAAAGGCCTCTCTGAGGAAGAAATATGTGACTTGGGAACTGAGGTAGAATGGAAGAGAAGTGCCTTTAGAGAAGGAAATTTTTTGTTGTTGTTAATTTTTTACAAAGGGAGAGAAAAGGGAGCCCTATTGAAGCCAAATAGTATGGAGGTCATACTGAGCTTTTCAGACAAAGTTAAAGAGTGTGTAGGGGAAAAACCACAAAACCAATCCTGACGTTCTATGATTTAATGCTATTTTTCTTTCTGTGGGTGTTTGTGTGTGTGTCTCATATTATTCAAGGTATGCCTTTAGTACAATAACAACCTAATGTATATGTTTATGTTTTTTAAAAGTGACATATACGATTACTATTTGATATAGTTTGGCTTTGTGTCCCCACCCAAATCTCTTCTTGAATTGTAATCCCCATGTATCAAGGAATCACCTGGTGGAGGTGATTGGATCATGGGGGTGGTTCCCCCCATGCTGTTCTCATTATAGTGACTTCTCATGAGATCTGATGGCTTATAAGTATTTGGCAGTTCCCTGCCCTCTCCTACCTCCAAGTAAGATGTGTCTTGCTTCCCCTTCACCTTCCACCATGATTGTAAGTTTCCTGAGGCCTCCCCAGCCATGCAGAACTGTGAATCAATTAAATCTTTCTTCTTCATAAGTTACCCAGACTCAGGTAGTTCTTTACAGCAGTGTAAAAATGGACTAAGACAGAAAATTGGTACTGAGAGTTTGGGGCATTGCTATACAGATACTTAAAAATGTGGAAGCAACTTTGAAACTGGGTAATGGGCAGAGGTTGAAACAGTTTGTAGGACTCAGAATAAGACAGAAAGATGTGAGAAAGTTTGGAACTTCCTAGAGACTTGTTGAATGTTTTTGACCAAAATTCTGATAGTGATATGGACAATGAAGTCCAGGCTGAGGTGGTCTCAGATGGAGATGAGGAACTTATTGTGAACTGGAGCAAAGGTCACACTCTTGCTATGCTTTAGCAAAGAGACTGCTGGCATTTTGCCTCTGTCCTAAAGATCTGTGGTACTTTGAACTTGCAAAAGATGATTTAGGGTATCTGGCAGAATAAATTTCTAAGCAGCAAAACATTCAAGTTGTGACCTGGCTTTTTCTGAAAGTGTACAGTTATATGCATTCACAAAGAGATGATCTGAAATTGGAACTTACGTTCAAAAGGGAAGCAGAACATAGAGGTTTGAAAAATCTGTAGCTTGACCATGCAGTAGAAAAGAACAACTCCTTTTCTAGGAATAAATTCAAGCCTGCTGCAGAAATTTGCTTAAGTAATGAAGAGCTGAAGGTTAATAGCCAAGATAATGGGGAAAATGTTTCTAGGCATTTCAGAGATCTTCATAGCATCCCCTTCCATCACTGGCCTGGAGGCCTAGTAGGGAAAAATGGTTTCCTAGGACCCAGGTGCTCTGTGCACCCTCGGGACATGGTGCCCTGTGTCCCAGCCATTCCAGCTTTAGCCATGGCTAACAGGAGCCAAGATACCACTCAGGCCATTGCTTCAGAGGGTGCAAGCCCCAAGCCTTGGCACCTTCCATGTGGTGTTGGGCATGTGGGTGTGCAGAAGACAAGATTTCAGTTTTGGAACCCCTCCGTCAATTTCAGAGGATGTATGAAAATGCCTGGATGTCCAGGCAGAAGTCTGCTGCAGGGGCAGAGCCCTCATGGAGAACCTCTATCAGGGCAATGCAGAGGGGAAATATGAGGTTGAAGCCCCCATACAGAGTCCCCACTTGGGCATTGCTTAGTGGAGCTGTGAGAAGAGGGCCACCATCTGCCAGGCCCCAGAATTGTAAGTCCACTGACAGCCTGCATCATGCGCCTGGAAAAGCCACAGGCACTCAATGCCCACCTGTGAAAGCAGCTGAGGGGACTGTACCTGGCAAAGCCACAGGGGTGGAGCTGCCCAAGACCTGGTAGCTCACCCCTTGCATCAGCATGTCCTGGATGTGAGACATGGAGTCAAAGGAGATTATTTTGGAACTTTAAGATTTAATGAGTGCCCTGCTGGGTTTCAGACTTGCATGGGACCTGTGGTCCCTTTGTTTTGGCCAATGTCTCTCATTTGGAACAAGAACATTTCCCCGATGCCTGTTCCCTCATTGTATCTTGAAAGTAACTAACTTGTTTTTGATTTTACAGGCTCATAAGTGGAAGGGACTTGCCTTGTCTTAGATGAGAATTTGGACTTGGACTTTTAAGTTAATGCTGGAATAAGTTAAGACTTTGGGGGATTGTTGGGAAGGCATGATTAGTTGTGAAATGTGAAAAGGTATGAGATTTGAGAGGGGCTGAGGTGGAATGATATGGTTTGGCTCTGTGTCAGCTCATCTCGAATTGTAATCCCCAACATGTTGAGGGAGGGACCTGATAGGAGATGATGGGATCATGGGGGCAGTTTCCCTCATGCTGTTCTCATGATAGTGAGTTCTCATGACATCTCATGGTTTAAAAAGTGTTTGGCAGTACCTCTCAACCACCTCCATATAAGATGTGCCTTGCTTCCCCTTCTGCTATGATTGTAAGTTTCCTGAGGCTTCCCCAGCCATGTGGAACTGTGAGTCAATTAAACCTTTATTTCTTTATAAATTACCCAGTCTTATGTAGTTCCTTATAGCAGTGTGAAAACAGACTAATACACTATTTTTATGTCTAAATGAACTGAGATCAGATATTAAAGCCAATCTCACGGGGTTAACAAGAATTCTTGACAGAAATTTAGTTATGATTAAGCATTAATGAGGCTTTACTTTGACCCACTTCCTTGGAACTGAAAGTCAGGTAACGTTAGATACTAGCCATTTGCATCCCCATTGTTCCCATAGATAAGATTTCTGATGTTAGATAGATAGATCTCTGGTGTTAGAATCGTACAGCTTTTGTTTTAGAATTGCTTCAGTGGATCTTGAATTCCAGCAGAACAGCTGATGGATGTTTAAAGACCCTCACAGAAAAACAGACTCAGCATGAGAATGCAGTTTCTTCATCTCCTTGTCCTATGACTTTATCCTGCACTCCTCAACCAATCAACAATCTCCACACTTTGGCCCATTCCCAGACTCTTAAAAACCCTAGCCCCAAACTCCTGAGAGAGATGGATTTGAGGTTTCCTCCCATCCCCTTGTTCTGTGGCCCTACAATTAAAACCTCTTTCTCTGCTGCAACTCTGTCTTGGCATATTGACTTGCCCTGCACATCGGGCAATGGACTTCTATTATGGTTACAATAGGAGGAGTTTAAATGTTGAGGAGAAAATCTCATTGATAACCATTTGGGAAGTCGCCTCAGCGTTCTCAGAGATGCTCCCAATTTTTGTCTTTGTTATGTTGTATGTGGATTCTGCCACATTCAACAAATTGATGAAGGTTTAGAGCACTCTTGGTAATATAAGAATGTTTTAATGACTTTTGATAGAATGTGTTTTGACTTCTGCTAGTAATTAATGCAATCAAATTAGAATACCTGTATTGAGTATTGGTAAGGACTTTTAAGGTCTTGTAAACCCAACAACAGATCTGTTTAAGAATCCCCATCAGGTCTTTCAGTTTCTACTTTTATGCTTCTAGTATTAGAAGCTTATTACTTCTCAAGTTTGTCTGTTTTATCACCTGGCAACTGTAGTTTGAAAGCCTTTTTTATGTTAGTGTAAAATCTGGCCTTTTGTAAACTCCACTCATTTTCCTCTTGGGGCAACACAAAACAAGGCTACTTCTTCTCTTACTTAGTGGAATTTCAAATATACAAATGCAATTCAATTTCTACATTCTTTCTTTCCTAGCTAAACATTGTCTTAGCTCCTTTGAATTTCATATGAAATGGTCTATCTCTTACTGAGTAAATCATCTTCCTGTATCTTACTCTACTCTTGAGTTTTATAGAATTACCCTTTTCAGTCACTGTAAAACCTCTGGTTAGCTCCAATTATCATTCACAAGTCTCAGGCACTTGCTAATTTCCTTCCTAAGGAAATGTATTTTATTTCCAAAGGAAATGTAAATATTTTCACCTGTAGAGAGCTATGACTTTTTAAAGAGTTTTGTGGGTTTCACAACAATAAGTCCTTCCTTGATGCTTTTTCTTTTCTTCAATGCTATAATCTTCCAGTGTGTTCACAGGTTCTACCAACTTGAGATTCCTGGTGGAGATGTTTTATCAATGGGTATGTCTAAAGACATAAAGGCAATATTTCCCATAAAAGTGTATTTCAACTGTCATCCAGTGAGTGAAATCTTATTAGATGGAGATGATTTTCTGTAGAATGGTTTTAAAAGGAAAGTTAATGGGCCTATTGTCAGTGAGCATAAATACTTCATCCAGAAGACAACAATATATTGTGTGTGGTTTAAATCATTGGTTTCCAAACTGAGCTTGGCAAGCACCCTGAGAGTTCCTTGAAGTTGTTCACACAATCACCCATGGGGAATGGATGTGTGTACAGTGGGTAGCGTCTGTCTTAGCTGGGCTGCTCCACTTCTCCACTTTTTTTTTTTTTTTTTTAGAGAGAGAGATAGGGTCTCACACTCTCTCCCAGGCTGGTATGCAGTGGGATGATCACAGCTCACGGCAGCCTTAACCTCCCATGCTCAGGTGAGCCTCCCACCTCAGCCTTTCAAGTAGCTTGGACTACAGGGGCCTGCAACCATGCCTGGCTACTTTTTTGTTATTTCTTGTAGAAATGGGGTTTTGCCATTTTCCTCAGGCTGGTCTCAAACTCCTGGGCTCAAGTGATCTGCCACCCTTGGCTTCCCAAAGTGCTGGGATTACAGGCTTGAGCCACTGTGCCTGTCCTGTTTTTGTTGTTGTTGTTGTTGTTGGTTTTGTTTTATTTTGAGATGGAGTCTCACTCTGTCACCCATGCTGGAGTGCAGTGGTGCGATGTAGGCTCACTGCAACCTCCACCTCCTGGGTTCAAGCAATTCTCTGTGTCAGCCTCCCAATTACCTGGGATTACAGTTGCGCACCACCATGCCTGCTAATTTTTGTATTTTTAGTAGAGACAGGGTTTCACCATGTTTGTCAGGCTGGTCTTGAACTCCTGACCTTGTGATCCACCCGCCTCGGCCTCCCAAAGTGCTGGGATTACAGGCATGAGCCACTGTGCCTGACCCTTGTTTGTTTTTTTAATTTGTCATAAGATTTAGTTGAAGAGATGCTAAAATATTTTGAAAACTACTGGAATCTTTTGAATATTTTGGATACTGTCTTGGGGCTTTTTTCCTTATAATTAGTGGAATATTTTCATTAAGTATCTTGCTAAACCTGGGATCCTTTGTGACATTGAAGCTTTATGTGTAACAATTAATAAAGATGCCACCTACAAGGGCTAATGATGCTAAAGGAAGAAATAAGGATTAGGAATAGGTAAACTCAGGAACTGTTAGGGCCCTGCTGTCATGCAAATGTCATTGATAATGAAGAAAGGGGAATGAAATTACAGTTCACATGGTTGTATAGAAACAGAATTGTTCCTATACAGAGTGCTTTCTAAAGGCTACCCAAGGCTGTGCAGCTCTTTAAATCAGCAAGCCCTTTTTATTTTCAACCACAAAGTGGAAAAAAGCACCTTCTTTTTTCTTTTTCTCTTTCAAGAAATCCAAACTATAAGTATTGTTGAGTCACCTTATCGCTTATTGAGGAAGGAAATGCCAGTCCTTTGTAGGTGAATGTAGAAGATTTATGAGGAAAAACCACCAAGAAAAGAGTAGAGAAATGGATCATAACAGCATTGGATTTAATATTTTCTTCATTTTACAATGTTCTGTTTTGCTTGACATGTTTACCTTACAAACACTTATATTCCTGGCTCGGAGTTGCTCTCTAAACATCATGGTGCATAATTAATGTCAAGGTGGAAGGCGATTATGCTGCAAATGCTGCTCCCTCAGCTCTAAAAAGCATTTTGAAAGCCAATTTAGGTCACACATGGTTCAGTTTCTTAGAAATTTTTCTTAATTGTTCAGCTAAAGAGAATGCTTCAGGGTGTTTATTAACAGACATTCCAATGATTTGTGGATACCGGGGTGTGTGAATATGTTGGAAGGAGAGGACGGTATCTCATGGGGTGCAGTGGGGTGGAATGTGGCTGGAGAGAGAGACCCCAAGGAGGTTTTTTTTTAAGTCTTATAGAAATCTAAGCAAAAGAACAGAGCAAGGAACATAATTTAGCTAAAAAGTGTATGAGAAGTTGTGCACTGATTTAAAGAAGAAAATTGTACTTATGTTCTTCACCCCAGTAAGTTTCTGAGGTCGACATGGCAGGAGGCACGTCAGGCTGGGAAGCAGATACAAAATACATTTTTAAGTGGACCATTTTTTTTTATGTTCAGTTGTCATTTGCCTCTATTTCTGAGCCTGCTGCTGACTGGGGGTAACCTGACAAAGCTTGCAGCATCTGTCAATGTAGTCAACCTGATGAAAGCTTCTTTTGGAGTCTATGGTCATCAAGCCTGGAGCCAGAAAATGTGCTGTCCTAGGGGTGACAGTTAATGTTCCTGGTGGGGAAAGGAAAGAAATAGAGGATTGCACCAACTTACAGTAGGATAGCACTAGGCCACATCTCCTTCCTTCCATCTCTTCCTTCCCAACTCCATTGCATAATACACATCATATCTCCATGCATTTCTCTTAAATTATGTATAGACATAATAAATACTTCTCCTACACACGGACACAGGGAGGGGAACATCACTGCCTGTCGTGGGGTGGGATGGAATTAGGAGAAATACCTAATGTAGATGATGGGTTGATGGGTGCAGCAAACCACCATGGCACATGTATGCCTATGTAACAAACCTCCACGTTCTGCACATGTACCCCAGAACTTAAAGTATAACAAAAAATAACCAAATACTTCTCCTATGTAATCACCAGGTGTATTAAGCAGGCAATTAAGAAGTGGAATCTACAGCTGGGATTCTTCAGCAAGGAACTTGGTGAGGAAGGGCTCCCAGGTGAAACCCGTAAAGAAATGAAAGAAGCAAGAGAGCAGGAGACCGTGGGGAGAAAGCTCTGCCTGATTCCCCAGGAATCTCTGGATTTTGGCACCACAGGCTTGTCCTACTTTGAGGCAAGGAAGAGCTAGCAATTTATATTCTGTTATTCTAATATCCATTCATCGTTGGCGATGGGCTACCCCTGGAAGGAGAACAAAACCTCTCAAGCATTTTCTAGGGGTGGCTCCACTCAGGTTGCTAAGGGGGGTTCTCATGAGAAGAAAGCATTTGTGAGCTGCTATTAGTCAGACTCAGAACAGTCGGAGGATGAAGACACTACTATCAGGTAAACATATCTTGCCAAGGGCATCAACAGCATTAACTACACCATGCAAAATGTCCATTTTGTTTAGCAATTTGTTTATGGCAGGGATACCCCAGGACAGAGAAAAGCTAAATCTTCATGTGAAGAGAATTACTGGAGATATGGGGCAGGGGTTTTTTGTCCCACACAGTTTTCTGTCTGTATCTTTAGTTTTAGTTTTATGAAATCCTACAGCAAACATTGACTGTACGGGCAAGATAATAATTATTTTATACTTTGCAGGCCAGATGTTCTCTATTAAGCTCTGCTGTTGTAGCATTAAAACAGCTATATAAACAGCTATATAGAACACATATAAACTAATGGGTAAGGCCGTGTTCTAATAAAGCTTTATTTACAAAATCAGGTTGTGGGCTGGATTTGGCCAGCAGGCTGTAGTTTTCTGATCCCAATATAGGAGGTAACGCAGAGAAGGAGGATCACTTTTTAATTCATCTAACATAGCATTAACTTTTCACTTCCGGCAAAGAGTTTATAACTAACATATCTTCCAGTTTGGGTTAAGAGTATATGCTTTGCAGTCATAAAGACCAGAATTGCATTTCTGTCCCTTTCTAGGTCACCCATTTCAGAGGGTCATATTGAGGAATATATAAAAGAATATATTTAGTGCACTTATAATATGGTGGCTGGCACTAAATAAGTGCCTAAATAAGTGATACTTTGTTATTATTATTGTTCTCTTCCATGGAACATTGTTTTATAATTAGTGTTCCCTGGAATGATTATTATTTTTGTTCAGTGTCTGATTTACTTCTGAGACCTTGTGAGTTTGATAATTAAGTTTTGCAGAACAAATATGGCTACAAAGGAAAGGCCTGTTTTCTCACATCGAGATCAAGACCAAGACCTGTGCTTCGTGATTTTCTAATTTCTCTCTTCCTTTTGCTTGGCAGAGATAGATGGGATAAAGATTTATAAAATAGATCCTCATCTAGAGATGGAATTGATGTTGTGGAGGAATTAAACCAGATGGGAGGCTAGTAGAAAACTGCACATATAAATGGGTCCTATTTGCTATAACAAATAACTACTAGAGGGGCAAAATGAAAATGACCTGTGATAGCATCTTATTTTGGCCATTCCTATGATCACCACTTGCCTCAATGACTCACTGAATGCTTGAATGAGTTTCGAACTCCATTGGGTGTAAGTCAAAACAATTTTCACTTGTTTCATTTACCTTCCAATATAGCATGCAGGCAAGCCTTGGATTGAAGGCTTGATCTAAAACAGAGCTGCCTCTCTGTGTTTCTCAGGGAGGAAAAAAATGTGAGCAAAAATGTTTCTTGCCTCTAAGGAGCCTCTGAAGTTGGCCCCTGTTCCAGGGAAGAAGCTGGAAGGCCCAGCGCTGCTGATACAGATTCATTGAGGAAGTATACTCCTCAGAGGCAAGCCATCCATCATTACTTACTGGCTGGGCTTTCCCTTCCCAGACAACTACATAATGTCCAAGTTGGACTTACAACTTTGCATTAGCTCAGGGGAAACAAATGGCACACCTTCCGTAGGTTAAATGGATTGGGCCATCCAAGAAAATCTGTTTTATGGAACCATTTGGCTTACTGAACAGCCTCATGTTACAGATAAATGAAACCCTACAGCAAAGGAGCCAAACCTGCATTTTAGTTATTTTTGCAGAAGTGGAGCCATTTGTTGCCAGAAAAAGTTCAGCTTCATGAAAATGGACTTTGAGAACACTAGACTGGGAATATGCTTTGCTTTTCAAATAAAATCCCTGTTTCTCATTATGGCTATAAACACCTCAGTCTTATGCCACTTTTCCTCTTATGCATACTCTCTAGCCACACTGGTTTCTCTTTGTCCCTCAATTCTATCAGATGTGTGCCATTCCAGGGACTTTGCATCTGCTGTTCCTTTGCCTGGAACGTATTTTCTTCAAGTATGCATAAGACTGGTTCTTTGTGATCATTGATTCAGCTAAATGTTGCTTTCTTGGAGAGGTTTTAGCTGAAAATTCCCTCTAAAGAGGTACCCACATTACTCTCTGGCACTTTTTTTTTTTTTTTTTAACAGGGTCTCACTGTCTTGCCCAGACTGGAGTGCAATGGCCTGATCTTGGCTCACTGCAACCTTCACCTTCCAGGCTCAAGAGATTACCCCACCTCAGCCTCCCAAGTAGCTGGGATTACAGGCACACACCACTACTGCCTGGCTAATTTTCATATTTTTTAGTAGAGACGGGGTTTCACCGTGTTGGCCAGGCTGGTCTCAAACTCCTGACCTCAAGTGATCCTCCTGTCTCGGCCTCCCAAAGTGCTGGGATTACAGACGTGAGCCACTGTGTCTAGCCAGATTTTTATCTTTATAGCACTCTTTATTTTCTAGATATTTCCAAATAGTATTTATATTTATAGCACTCTTTATTATCTGGATGTGTCTTTTATTTATTTGTTTACTTATGGTAACATAAGTTTTATGAGAGCACTGTCCTTTTCTGTCTGCATCTTTAGCATTTAGAATAATGTCTGATACAAGATGATACTTAAGTGATATTTGGTGAAAGAAAGAGTCAGATAATCTGGATCATCTTCAAAACTAGTCCTGTAAAAATTGGAAATTTTCATATTCTTTATGAGTCTCAGTTTTCCCAAAATGATGGGATTGGAATATTAAGGAATTTATACTGATACTTTACACTTTTATTTTTTATTCCAATGAGCTTTTCCTTTTAACTGATTTTGCTAGACATTAGAATATATAATATTGGGATCAGGAGTTAGTGCTCTGCATCTTTCTCTGTGGCTGTGTCCTCACAATGCCAACATAACCAATTAATTCTATCAATTCTGTTATTTGACATCAAAAAAACCTGTTTATTTTCAGGTTGTGTAAACACAATTCAAAGGAATAGTTAGGATTACACTAGAATAGTTGATCCTTAAAATCTTGGGATTTGAGACAAATATTAATTTTCTCAATTGTTAGCAGATTATTTTTCATTGAGAAATGATCTTTAGTGGTGATTGTAAAATATGGCATGCTCACTAGAGCTTATGTCAATAACATTTAAGAAATGACCAGCTTTGACTTCAATTTTGATTATTTGAGGATGATAGAAAATCTCTTGTAACACACATCCACACACATAGTATCAGCCCTGCCATTTATCTTGAAGATCACAGTTTTATCAGCAGGGTGTTGAATTTCTCTTTCTAGAAGACTGTAGTTGTCTTGTCCAATTGCTCATGTCTGTGCTGCAATCACATGCTGTGTGGTAGTGGTTGATATTATTTGGTTGATTCCATTAATTCGCATTTTTTATTCCATGCACATAGGAGTGTGTATAATAAAGCATTTCTATCAGTATATTTCACTGTTACTCACTGATATGGTTTGGCTGTGTCCCCACCCAAATCTTATCTTGAATTGTAGCTCCCATAGTCACTACATGTCATGGGGAGGGACCTGGTGGAAGGTAATTGAATTGTGAGGGTGGGTTTTCCCCATGCTGTTCTCGTGATAATAAGTCTCACGAAATCTGATGGTTTTATAAAGGGGAGTTCCTCTGTATAAGCTCTCTTGCCTGCCCCCATGTAAGATTTCTGTTTGCTCTTCCTTCATCTTCTGCCATGATTGTGAGGCTTCCCCAGCCATGTGGAACTGTGAGTCCATTAAACCTCTTTTTCTTTATAAATTACCCAGTCTTGGGTATGTCTTTATTAGCAGTGTGAGAACAGACTAATACACTCACAATTATTTATTAAGTGTCTCCTGTGCTCAGCACTTTGGGGAGTGTAGACAAGAAAATAGATGACATGGACCCTGCCCTGATTTATACTTTATATTAGATGTAATAAACATTAATTAAATACCTACTGTTTACTAGGTGTCAGCTGGATACTTTTCCATTAGTTTTGTCATTTATTCCCCAAAACCGTTATGCTTTAAAGGTGTTATTGTCCAAATCTGGCAGATGAGAAAACTGAAGGTTAAAAGTTTTTCCAATTTTCCCAAGATTAAATTATGTCAAAGCTAGAACTTCAAATTAGTTTTCCAATTATAAGTCTGGTGCCTACTTCATTAGACTACAGAAAGACAAATGATATACAGCATTAGTGAAATGACTATAGAACGAGGTAAGCTACTTTAAGTACAGCAGGGGAGGAAAAACGTGTACTTTAATATCCTTACTTTGGAGAGGTGAGTGTATTAGGGTTTTCCAGAAGAACAGAACCAATAGGAGATCTATCTGTCTGTCCGTCTGTCTGTCTGTCTGTCTATCTGTCTGTCTGTCTATCTATCTATCTATCTATCTATCTATCTATCTATCTATCTATCTATCTATCTATCTATCTATCTGGAGGGAGAAAGGGGGAGATAGAGAGAGGCAAGTATGTATTATAAGGAATTGGCTCATACAGTTATGAAGACTGAGATATCCCAAGATCTGCTGCTGGTATGCTGGTGACCCAGGAAAGTTAATGATGTAGTTCTACTCTGAATGCTGTCAGGCTTGAGACCCAGAAAGAGCCAGTGTTTCAGTTCAAATCCAAAGGCAGGGAGGAACTGATGTCCCAGCCCAAGACAGTTGGGCAGGAGGAGTTCTGTCTAACTTATGGGAAGGCCAGCATTTTCTTTTTTTTTTTTCAGGCCCTCAGCGACTAGGGGAGGCCCACCCATGCTGGGGAGGGTAATCTACTTTACTCAGTCTATGGATTCAAATGTTAATCTCATCCAGAACCACCCTCACAGACCCAACCAGAATAATTCTCCACCAG
The DNA here is from genome assembly GCF_000001405.40 of Homo sapiens. NCBI lineage: Eukaryota > Metazoa > Chordata > Mammalia > Primates > Hominidae > Homo > Homo sapiens. The sequence goes on from NC_000014.9 coordinate 81,800,857, forward strand.
TGTTTCGGTACCCTACAGTCTAGTCAAGTGGACACATAAAATCACAGTGGGTTTGCCTTACTCTCTCTTTATATGTATCTGTCACAATAGCTCATAATTGGTTTTGCATTAAAATTCTTACGTCAAGATTAAAAAAAAATTGAGTCAGGTGTTTGCTTTTGTTTGTTTCACTCCCAATATCCATCACCCTTTTATAACAATTTCTGATATCCTTCTATAAAACTCTCTCTCTTTAATGGACTGTTCTTAGAAGGATTGTAAGCCAAGATGGCTCCACTTTTCTCTATCAGAAGGGCACACATGTGACCCAAGCTAACCTCAACAGACTCTCTCTGGGACTGGGAATATTGAGTAAAGCAACACAAGGTGGGAAAAATGATTGTATGCAACTATTTCAGTGGCAGAGGCTCTTTGAGAAATTTCTGCTGCTTAGATACCTGGAACTGCCAAATTTTAAGCCTGGTTTCTGCCTTCTCATCAAGATCCTTCTGATAAATTTCCTTTTTGCTTAAGCTAGCCACATTTGTTTCTGTTGCTTGCAATGAAAGTATCCTATCAGATACAAAAACATTATGTGATTCCCCAGCCTTTTCTTTTCTATCTAGTCTCAATGGGTATGAACATCAACTGTTTTAGATTTACCACTGGGATGAATTTCCCAAAAGATTAAGTATTTATCTGAAGCCTGGACTGCCACTGAGAATTTTGTAGCAAAGCTATTTTCTGAAGTGCTTTCATTTTTACATTATCAAATTTGGCTTCCTTTGACTTGCATGGTCTCTACATCCTGAGACCAGGACTAAAGCCATTATTTTTGCTTACTCTTAAAATCTTATAATGCACACTTTTCAAGTGGGATTCCTGGGGTTATTTAACCTTTTATATTGTCTGCTTTAACAAGGATTAAAATGGCTGATTATACACACTTTTTCTATACCTTGGTAGAGTTTGGGTACAGTAAGAACCCATTACCAAACCTCTCCCTCCATGATGAAGAAACAAAGACCACAAGAGCCCTAGTGACTAGGTGAGAACTGAACAGTGTGGAAGAGGATCCAGGAACTTCAAGTTTTCTCCTTCATTGGCATTAACAACCTGACTGTGTAGTGTTGATCTCTCTTCCTTTCTCTTTCTCACTGAGCTATACAGTTCCTAGAAGGCTCTGGGGTGTCCGCCATCCAGACTCCCGCATTGGCGAATTGCATGATGTATTTTAGAACTGAATCCAGTCAGGGACATGGGCCAGAAACCAGAAGCAGCATCTGTTTTATAAAACCGTAGCATGCCTGCCATTTTTCCCATTGTTCTGCTTTGTGTTGGCAGATGAAAACATTCCCTTCTGGCAGTTTCATTTTGTTCTTTTCTAGCCTTACAAATCCTCAAGTTCTGTCTGGGTTCTCTCCGATTGTTATCAAGTGGATCTCAACATTGCTGCTTTTTTTGTGTTCAGCATATTACACCTCTGTCTCTTCATTCTCTTTGGCTCCTGTTTTAGCAGTGTTGATACTCAGTACCCAGTCTCATCCTTACTTTTCTCTTATGCATATAGAGTGTGTCATGGATAAAACTTCAGCTCTTATGATCACATCAGCAAACATTTAATGCTGCCTTTTATAACCTGAACATGCTTTTGTTATTCCTCTCACATTTCATGCCTCAGTGGTGATTGTTAAGTTCCCTGCTGTATTCTAACGGCCTGTTCAGACACTTAATCCTCATATCCACTGGGACATCACATATTGCTAAGGTCAGAATTTTCCGTTCTGTGAAAGTGTGCAGTTTTACCCCTTAAGATATACCAGGTGCTTAGGATAAATGCTTTAAACAAATTCAAGTAACTTGCCTCTCTTACTTGAAAATATTCACAGGTCTACAGGGCTGTGTGCTTAGGGTAAATGCTTTAAACAAATTCAAGTAACGTGCCTCTCTTACTTGAAAATATTCACAGGTCTACAGGGCCAATTCAGATTTTCTGACCCATCCAGAAAATGAATGAGTAGGGTGCTTACAAGTCTTGCTTCTTCATTGTCTCTTTCCCACCCTTGTCTCATATCAAATAGCATCTACAACACATTTATCTTTTTTTGAGTGTATGTTTATGCTTTCATTTTCAGGAATTACATTTGGCATTTCAAATCAAGCATAGGAAGCTTTTTATATGAGCATTTTCAACAACCTGATTTAATTCGGCATAATTTTCATCTTTATACCTCTGAGGCAGGAATGAGTGTTTTCTTCTCAACCTCACATTTCTATTCCCATAAGCAAGGTGAGAAAATGTCTTTTTCTTGGAAGTGGCTGTGGGAGGTCAGTGGGTATCCAGATTTCTCAAAGTTGTTTAATCCCTTGTAGGTCTTCACCCCAGGATTATAGTAATCTCATCTTCTCCTTTCCAAGACTAACTCTTCCTTCTTCTTTTGTGACTTGAATTGCAGACAACTTCTACCTTGCTTACTTTTTTGATCTTCTTCTCTCTTCTAACTTGTGGAACCCAGCTTCCATCTGTCTACAAATGTGCTCAGGGTTTTTCTTATTAAAATAATCCACTTCTCAAGGCCCCTGGTCTCATTTTCTGTTTACCACCCACTGATTGATATTTGAGCTTGGACTCAGTGTGGGGAAGGGCACCTCAGAGAGATGGAAGGTCAAGGACAGAACCTGGAGGCAAGATTTAAAAGATCCCTTTTGTCAGAATTGAGTGCAATGGTAGGACTTTCTGTTTTAAAGAAAATCGAAAGCAAAGCAAAAGTCTGACTTGCTACACAGAGAAAACTGAGCAGGCAGGATGACCCTGTCCTTTCTCTGACATCTCCCATCCCAAGATTTATTCATTGTCCAAATGATGATTAGAAAACTCACCTTTAGACTCCATGAATGTGCGCACTGGTTTCAACAACCCTTGGGTGGCTCCCTTTTAGGTGGACCCTTGGTTTATCTACAGACACAAGTCACCAACTGCAAACCCCTCTGGTTTATTGATTTTACTGTATACTTCTTGTTAATAGCTTTACTTTGCCTAACAGATATGGTTGCCTCTCTCTCAGCAATATATAGTCTGGAAAAATGTTTCTTGTCTTCTGGACACGTATAAATGGAATCCAGCTTTATTTTGGAACCACAAAAGTGGCAATGTGCATAAAAAAATAAAATTTGACAGATAAAATTTAGAATGGCCATGTTCAAATGTGGCTCTGTTCAAGTCAGATGTTTGTTTAACAATCATTTATCTTTCTTTGATGACTTAGGGTGTCTCCAGTTGGAATTCTGGCTTCTCCAATTAAGCATAATGGTGTCAGGTTATAGCCTCTCCAAATATGTTTACCCATGTTGTCATATATTAGCTTTTTTCTAATACTCAATGTGTAGAATCCATGTGAGCAAAGACCCTCAAATCTGACGATCAATGAGCCTGGCTCATGGGAAATAATAGTTTGATGACTAAGAACATGGACTCTTGTGCCAGATTTCCAAAGTGGAAACCTAGCCCTTCACTTACTAGTTTTTTAACCTTGAGCAAGTTGCCTTACCCTTTATGCCTCATTTTCTTCATTTGTAAAACAATAGCAATAGTGATTTTTTGTCATATTGTTGTGTGAAGGTAAAGTGAATTAACATGTGCACTGTGTTTAGCACAGCACTGTGAAGTAGTAATTTCAAGGTCTTATGTTATTATTTGTATTATTATTATGGATGAGTGTCAAAAGATATCAGGAGCACCTGATGGGTTTGAAAGTAACTTTCTAGGACAAAAAGAAGAGTTCATAGTGGCAAATCACCAATTGATCCCATTCTTCTCTATGATACTCTCCACTCCCCCTACATGTCATAAGATGTGGGTAATTATATTCCTTTCTTGGAAGACAGCAGGAATGGAAAGATAATTAAAATATTCTGTGCTGGGAAAGACATTTCTTGTAGTATCTATATATCATGAGAAAAATGTTGTAGACCTTTGAGGTAGGCATGGAATGCCCCAATGCCTGTTTCTCAAATGCCTTGCTGTCCCTCACTCACCTCACTGTAGGTTAATAACGGTGAGTGAGTAAACAAGACCTACTTTGGTCTTTTAAATTATCCCAGGGCCTAAAGGGATATAACTATTGTGAAGGAAGCCCTGGTACAAATAACATGATATTCACGGGTTAAATTAATACCAAATCCTGAGCCCTTGGGACTAACAAGTATAGTTAAGCTTCAAAGATATTTCTTACTTATCTTGGAAACAACTAAGAGGACAGGTGGCTAGATAATTCTGAGGAAAAATTGGGAATGTCAGTTTCATGGAGTTTCGAATCTTTCTTTTCTCTTTCCCCTTCCATGGACGGATTTTCATCGTTAGAACAAACTCTTGATTTAGAATTTCTTATACGTGGGCTTCGGGATTGTTTATATTACATGTTCTATAAAAAGTATTTGATACTTCTCTTCCCTTTCCTGTCCTCTGCCCCTAGCTTAATTTGATTTTTCCCTTATGGCGGGAAAATCTGAGTGGCTGTCAGCACTCAATATTGCTCTGAATGGCCATGGGTAATGATGGCACTGATAGGAAGTTCTGCTCAGCTGAACCTTTGAAGCACAGATGTTCCTCTAAGATGTTGCTGAAGCTGGCAAACCTCTCCAATTTTGTAGGCAGAGAAAGTCTTCCAGCATTTCTGGCTTTCCTGCTATTAGAAAGAGTTGGAAATACTGTAGAGGCAGCCTCTCTGTTGAAATTTCTGCATTTTGCTTTCCCACTAGTGGCTTAGATATGCAGCTTGACACTTTGATACCAGCAAGAAGGTCAGTCAGTACTCCATGCTGCACTGTAATTGGGAGGTTGATTTCTTCTGTCCATCCAGCTCTAACTTTACTTTTACTTTTTCTTCTCAGTTATTACAGTTGTGCTGTATTGTCACTGTAGTCTACAGTAATATATAGAGATAATTAAATGCTGTAGATGTTCTTTGTCATGCTGCTTATATAAAAAAGTACATGATATTGAAGCACTCTTGAGACTTTGCTTTTCAAAGCTGAAGACTGTGATCTCGTATCTCTGCCATCTAAGCATGGGAAACAGGTTTAGCGAGAGTGAAAGAGAATTGTGTGACCTTCTCTCAAAACCTTGAACTGAATCAAATATGCTTTTGTTGGGAGAAAGATAATGACTGAACTGAGGTCATCTGAAAATGTGTTACAGACTGTGTTGTCAGTACAACACAATGCCCCATTCTTGGGAGAGATTATAAATTCTCCACCTTTGATGACAATTTTTCCATGATCATTTTTAAAAATAATTTCCTTGAAACTTTTCTATGAAGTGATGTTTTTTTCTAATTGCATCACTTGTTCTGATTTATATTCAGAGGAAAGAAGATGATATTATAAAATAAGAATTTGGAGGTTTCTGAGAACTAAAAGTGAACTAAATATGTTAAAAGTTTGTGATGAAACCCCTTGGGAAGAAGAATTTCAAATAATTTATGTAAATGCCCTTTCCTTAAGGAGGTGAAGCATAACTCTCTATTCTTTAAGTGTGAACTTCACATTGTGATTTCCTTCCAAAGAGTACTGTATAGAAAGGAGGAGAAAAAACGACTACACAGTAGAGAAACCTGAAAATCATTTCAGCTAGAAAATCAAGGTCAACATCAACAGTCATAAATCATATTGATAGCATGAACCCTTGATATGATGTGATGAGAATGACATTTTACCTCTGTGATCTTCCTCTCCCAAACCTATAAAATCCAGTCTAATCATGAGAAAAACATCAGACAAATTCCTGAGAGACATCCTACAAAACCTGACCAGCTCTCCTCAAAACTGTCAAAGTCTTCAAAAATAAGGCAAGTTGGACAAACTATCACCGTCAAAAGGAGTTTAAAAAGTCATGACAACTAAATGTAATGTGGCATTCTGGATGGAATCCTGCAACAGAAAAAAGAACATTCAGTAAAAACTAAGGAAATCTGAATAAACTATGGATTTTTCTTAATTAAAAAAAATTATGATACACCAGTCATTTTCTTATATCACAACTGATTTAATTCTAATAGTGAAACTATGTCTTCTTTAAGGAATAGAATATATGGCTGGGAGCTTAATATCCTAAACCTATGCTTAGAGAGAGGTAAAGTGACTTGTCCAAAGTTACACATTTCCTGAATAAGCCTAAGACTACATAACAACAGAGAATTGTAGGATTTGCCACAACCCTATGATGATTTATATATTAATTTTCTATTGCCACTGTAATGAATTGCCATAACTTTAGCAGCTTAAAACATCATCCATCTATTATATCACCATCTATTATATCATCCATCTATTATATCATCATCTATTATATCTGTATGTCAGCATTCTGGGTATAGCATGGCTCAGTTGGGTCCTTTCCTCAGAATCTCTTAAGGCCGAAATCAAATATATCAGCAGGGCTACCTTCCTTTCCATTTGTTCTGGGATAATTTGCCTTTAAAGTCATTCAGGTTTTTATCGAAATTCAGTTCCGTGTGGTCATAGAACTGAGATTCCCATTTCCTTGCTGGTTGTACGAGAGAAACATTTCTCAAGTCCCAAAGGCCTCCTGCATGCCTCCTCACAATGCCTTCTCCATCATAAAACAAGCGGCACAGTGAGTCTTTCTCATGCCTTGAATGTCTTCCACTTCCTCTCTGGTCACATCTCTCTGTCCTCAGCAAGGAGTAAACATTGATTTTTAAGAGCTCATGTAATTATATTAGGCTCACTGGATAATCCAGTATAATGTTCCTATCTTAAAGTCAACTGATTAGTAATCCCATGTCTACAAAATCCCTTTTTCCATATAGTGTAACATATTCACAGGCTTCAGGGATTAGGGCAGGACGTCTTGCAGGGGTGGCATTCTGCCTACCCCAGTTTAGTAAGAGTATTCTTGGCTGTTTGATGTTGATTACTATCTTACCATCACCATCTATTACCTCTGACACTCTCTGAGATATACCCATACATTTATGTTCAAGGGCTGGTCTCAAGTACATCCTAAGGTAGTCAGTTACCTTTCCTTGACTACATTTCAGAATCCTGCCATTTCTTCTCCCTGATATTTCAGTTATCACTATTTTAAATAAAAACAAAACAACACTCTTTTTTTTTTTTTTTTTTTTTTTTTGAGACGGAGTCTCGCTCTGTTGCCCAGGCTGGAGTTCAGTGGTGTGATCTCAGCTCACTGCAAGCTCCACCTCCCAGGTTCATGCCATTCTCCTGCCTCAGCCTCCCGAGTAGCTGGGACTACAGACGACCACCACCGTGCCCGGCTAATTTTTTTGTATTTTTAGTAGAGACGGGGTTTCACTGTGTTAGCCAGGATGGTCTGGATCTCCTGACCTCGTGATCCGCCAGCCTCGGCCTCCCAAAGTTCTGGGATTACAGGCGTGAGCCACTGCGCCCGGCCACAACACTCCCTTTTTTGTGTATACCAACTAACCAGTGAACCATCCACTTGGCAAAAAATTTCTTTTGAAACTCTGCAATATAATTAAGAAATACTCAAATGCCTGATAAAGGCCCCTCTCTCTTTTGCTCTGTCTTTCTCTTAAAGTTAATATGTGCATGATGGAGTTTGGATATATGTCCCGTCCAAATCTTGTGTTGAAATGTGATCCTCAGTGTTGGAGGTGGTGCTTGGTGGGAGATGTTTGGATCATGGGGGCAGATCCTTCATGAATGGCTTGGTGCCCTTCCTGTGGTAATGCTTTCACTTGAGCTCTGGTTGCTAAAAAGAGCCTTCTACTTCCTCCTTTCTCTCTCTTGCTCCCTCTCTCACCATGTGACATGCCAGCTCCCTCTTTGCCTTCTGTCATAACTGTAAGCTTCCTGAGGCTTCTCCTTTCTTTCTCTTGCTTCCTCTTTCTTACTCCTCCTCTCACCATGTGACATGCCAGCTCCCTCTCTGCCTTCTGACATAACTGTAAGCTTCCTGAGGCCTCACTAGAAGCAGATGCTATCACCATGCCTGTACAGCCTACAGAACTGTAAGCCAAATAAACCTCTTCTTTCTAAGTTACTCAGCCTCAGGCATGTCTTTATAGCAATGAAGAATGGACCAATAATTGCATATCTGTGCCCAACTCAGTACCTGATGCATTGTGGTATTTAGGAAATATTAGCTTAAGGAACTTGCAAATCCTTGCTCTAATTTGTCCCTCATAGATGACTAGGAGTGAAGATCTCATTAACCTTACCTTACAGAAGAGCAAACTGATGTTGAGAAGTCAAGCAGCTTCCCCATTCCCACTTGGCAAGTCCAGCCCTCTGGGGAGCTTGACACAGGTTTAGAGAACCAGGTCTGCATCCCAGTTCTTTCTACTACAAGACAACATCTTCCTTGAGGGCTAGGATAAATGCACAGTGTGGCCACTCAGGGCAATGAATTTACAGGCCATTTATTGCATTCAGATTCTACCCCTGGATATTTTGAAAATGTTAAGTCCATAATTTCTCTCCTTTAAGGTAGAGTTTTTCAGCTTAAAGTTGCTGAACTTAGAAGTTGTTTTCCAATTCTTGTGTAGGTGGTAATATTCCCTGCCTCCAGAAGCTGTAAATACATTCCTTACAATTTCTCTTCTGATTTTCTGCCCCTTCATCAGATTATTACTTCCTCACCTTTCCCTTCTCTAGTGGACTGGAAGCACCACAGGAGCAAGAGTCATATCTGTTATGTGCAGCTGGAGCCTGGTATAGTCTCAGTCTCAGTCATTGTGGAATGGATGAATGGGGCAGCACCTTAGAGTCAAGGAAGTGGGATATTCTGAGGGTTTAAGAAGTCCTCACTTAAATTCACCTTGTGTCTGCCTCCTCCCAGGGAAAAAAGAGCCCCTTAATCTGAATGTTGGGTCCCAGGAACCCAAGTGGGCCACATTTGCAGGGCTGGTGTCACCGTGCACTGAGGGTTATGAGCCTGGGTATGAGGCTCTCTTCCTGGTGCTCAGGACTTTCTTCCCCTTTCTCATGGAAGAAGTTGTAAACTGACATAGCAAAACACTCCTGTAACCAACTCTCCAGCACTCTCTTTCCTAGGGTTTCTTCCATGTAGCAGGGCTGACGGGGGCTAAACTTTAGTTTTGAGCTTAAGGGGAGATAAGGAGTTTTTAAAGGAGGATCGGTTTTAATAGTCAAACTGCCTGGGTCCATACCCCAATTCTGTCCCTTAATAGCTATGCGAGCTTGGGAAAGCTGGTTATCCCCTGATTTTTTGGTGAATTTCCTAATCTGTAGAGTGATCAATAATTGTTGCTAGATTTTCAAATGTTTTATAGGGGTAAAAATTAGATCATGCCTATGAAGCATTCAGCACAGTGTCTGGCATCTAGAAAGTGCTTCTTCCTTATACCTACTTGGCTCACACCTTCACCAAATAATTATTTCTTTAGATCTTCCCTTCTCAGTGAAGCTTTCCCTGAGTATCCTACTTAATACCTCAAACCCTTCCCACCTCATGATCCAATTGGCACTTCTGATCTATCTTGCTCTTGGTTATTCCCTTCTAATAATAGCCATTTTATAATATTCTGATATATTACTTTCTTTTTTAATGTAGGTTACATTTTGGAGATAGAAGAGGGGCTGAGCAGGGGAGAAGGCTACTCTTCATGAAAATTTTATTTTTCCCTTTTAGAGATTAAAAACAAAAATTCTCTAAGTTAACTACATCCCTATGGCATCATACTTGAAGCTTCTACTGAGCTTTAATTTAAACATCAAATCGCCCCCACATGGTAAATAAACAGCAGACAAATATCTGGTGACTTTGTAATGTCTTTTATGTTTTCCACAAGTTCAACTCCTCCATTCCTAACTATGGTTGCCACTAAGCACAGATTGTACCCACGTTATAAATGAGTCATTTTGTGGATTTACTTGAATTAGAGATGTCAGCAAATATTCCCCTTGGTCCTAGCCTGTCATTAGGGGAGGCCCGTTTGGAACCACAGAGACTCTACTAGTCCTACACATTTTTCCGGGGTTGAAACTCTGCTTACTTGGTATTTTTCCTGCAGCACTGTGAACTTCTTTCTTCTATAACTCCTCTTATTGATGGTTAAAACACAGGCACCAACCCTTCCCCCTCCATCTCTCTCCATACACAGCTTTTTCTGTACTCTCATCCTACTGATGCAGCAGCATCTGCCACCCTTTTTCACTCTACCATTGTGTCATTTAGAAACCCACTTCAGCAACTCTTCCACCTGGTCATCACGAATGAAACGAAATTTTCCTCTCACAATTTCCTGTTCCTGGTAATTCTCTCCAGGGTTAAATCTTATTTAACCTCTACACATTGTTAATTGTCTACCAAGGTTTAATTAATTAATTAATTAATTTTTGAGACTGGCTGGAGTGCAATTACGTGATCTTGGCTCACTGCAGCCTCTGCCTCCCAGGTTCAAGTGATTCTCCTGCCTCAGCCTCCCGAATGGCTGCGATTACAGGCACACGTCACCATGCCCAGCTAATTTTTGTATTTTTAGTAGAGACAGGGTTTCACCATGTTGGCCAGGCTGATCTTGAACTCCTGACCTCAAGTGATCCACCCACCTCAGCCTCCCCAAGAGCTGGGATTACAGGCGTAAGCCATTACGCCTGGCCTCAGGTTTAATTTAAATTTCAAATTACCCCCATGGCAAATAAATACCAGAAAAATATCTGGTAACTTCTTCTTACAATCCCTTGGTGTTTCCTAGAACTTTAGGGATCAAGTCAGGATTTGGTATATTCCTTGCAACATTCAGTTCAACCTTACTTGCACTGCTCAATAGACAAATCCTTTATTAAAAAATGACTTTCCCAAAATTCCTGAAAAGCTGTGGTATCTGCGTTTAGTTGAATGTCTTCATTCAGAATTATGCCTTTTTTGACGTCCTTGCTAGCCACTTCTCTCTTTTCTCATTTTAGTCATCTCTAGTGTTTTAAAATGTAGGTTTGGTTATTATTCAGACTATTGAAAAGACAGTTTGTTATTTGTAATTCTCGAGAGGATAGGGAGGTCATGCCATGTAGTGCCACACAGGGAGGCACTGCGGTCAGGAGACAGAAGGAGTGAGGGGAGAACACAGTCACGTGCCATTATTGGTGTTTCTGTGGAAAGAAACAAATAAGGCAGAGTTAACAGTTTAGAAATGGCTAGTCTGAATAATTTCAACAGACTCTGGAGTATGGGGCTGTCCCTAGTTGCCTGGTCCCTGGCCCTGGGGTGATTAGAGCCAGTGGCTTGTGGTCCAGAGTATAAGAGCCCGATAAAGAAAATAGCTGAGGGGTTTGGGCTCCTGATTTGTTGGTTTGCATGTGAAAGACAGTTGCAGGCGAGTCCTTTACTATTTTTAGGAATTGGCTCACCCAGGGAGGAGCAGACTCTCAAGGATCAGTAAGGCCCGAATGTGAAAGAAAATACAAATAATAATAATAATAAAAAAAACGCAGTTAACACATCTAGTCTCATATATTCTCTCCAACTTACCTAATGGTTGGATTTCTGTCTTCTTCTGCACATAACTCTCTCCTTTCCATTTCCCACCCAGTTAACTTGATATTCTGTTTTTATACTTGGCAATTTAGCTTTCAACCAAGTCCCTAACCCCTCAGTTGTAATGATTGCCATCTTTACTAAAACCACCCAGATGAAGCACTATATTAGATTAATATGCGTCACATCAGTTTGGTTCTTGTTTTCCAAAATTGTCCTTTCCATCTGCATACCTCTTTTATTTTCCATTTGTTTACCCCACTCAAAAAGTTCTTCCTGTTTATTCAAGCCCATGACACCTGGGATTTCTCTCAATCCACCCTCTCCATTTTGAGTTCACAGACTTCTCCACCACTTCCTATTAATTTCCAGATGCTACCGACTGACCTGCATGACATCTTCAGTTTAGCTACTCCCTTACACTCTCACTTCCATCATGTAGTGTGTAGGCCTGGTTGCTTCCCTTTATCTAGGACCAACAGGCTTATCCCTCCAACTCTCTAAATAGTTTACCCATGGCTGCTAGATTCATATTCCTTAAATAAAATTTCTATTATGAGACTCTCCTGTACAAATTCCTTCACTGACTTCCCTACATCCACTGAGGAAAAACAAAAAAACAAAAACAAACAAAAACAAAAACAACACAAAACAAAAAATAGATTATTCCCGGATCAGGATGAGTGGCCCTTCATGGTGTGGATTTTTACCCTCTTCTTTGATGAAGTTGGCTTTGATTTTCCCTGGCCAGATACAAATTTTCTCTCCAAAGAACTGTGTAACTTTATGGAGGCACTCGTATTCTGTCTTGCTTCAATTATTTTGTATACCATTAGACAGTAAGCTTTTTTATGACAGGGGCTTTATCTTATTCATCTTTGTGTTTTCTGTAGTGATTAGCAATAAGCCTTATAAATAGTAGGTGTTAATGATTATTTTTAATGAAATAGCATCTCAAAACACTATGGTAAGAATCCTGAGCACTCAGCTAAATCCTTAATTAGGTATCATTTAAAAAAATAAAGATAATTTACAAGTAATTGAACATACCCAAGCAATTACTCTACAAATGTTTGTTTGAATCAGTTTGAACTTCCAAATTGCCACATGCACCTTAGTTTGCTCTATATTTTGTATTATATGTGCTCCTTGTGCTTTTAACTGTACATTTAATATTTAGAAAAGGGTTAAACAAATGTGATGTGTTATATCCAAGGAAGGAGGGAAAGTGAGACAAACTAAGTCATTTGTATAAAACCAAATAATTCTAAGACACAGAAATAATCAAATACATCATGAACTCCCACACATTGCAGCTTTTGAGGGGGTAGCCACATTATCTTGCCTAGAGACAGTGAGGGGGCAGAGAACAGCGGAAAGTCTCATTTATGTTCCTGTACTGGGTAGACTGACCACTCCCTAGTTATCCATCAAGTGGAATCAGTGCAGGTGAGAGCAAGTAAGAAACAGAGTAATAGAATTTCAGAAGTCAGAAGGCTCTTAGAGGTCATCTGGTTCAATCTCCTGCCAGTAGCAGGAATCTTTTCTAAGTGCCATGGACATATGGCATGTTTTGAACACCCCACTGAGAGAGATGATTGCCCTATTGAGGGATCTCATTTCACTTTAGGACAGAGCTAATTATTAGGAAATCCTTCTTTCTGTTGAGTTGAAATATGCTTCCTATAACTTTTACCCAGTGGCCCTCGTTCTATCCTCTTGAGTAACGCAGATTAGATTAAATTTATCTTTCTTATAATTGCGCTCAAAATAGCTGAAGCTCACTATCATGTCCTCTATCAGTCTTTTCTAGAGGCTGAATAAAAATCTCCATTTCTTACACAAACAACAATTCCAAAGCACTTTATTTGCTTCTTGCATTTAGAATTTATATCATGTTAATTAGCATATTAATTTGTATGTATTTCTCTTCTCTTTCTTCCTATGCTTTGTGCTGAATTTAATTGAGGAAAAAAGATATTTTCTGAATCTTTTATTCTTCAGTCACCTTTCTCAAGATCTACCCCAGGTCTGCTATGTTTCCTTTAAATATAACTTCCAGAAGAGAAAGGGAACAGGGGAAGCAATATTCTCTTAAATGAATGACTTTACAATGATTTTAAAGGGAAATGTGGTGATATCAAGGGAGTTAAGACTATGATGAAATTATTTTAGAGGAAATAATATGGAGAGACCAGGAAAGACTTAGCACAGGACGCAAAGCCTGGAGGCCTCAAAGAGGGCTTGCCCAGGCATCTTTCCACCTGGGGTGCTGCCTTTCCCTCCTGTCTAGGCTATAAGACTCTGGCTGTCCCTCTGTCTGAATCCTAGGTAATTTGGGGTGACTATAATTTCTCCTGATTATGCTGCTGTAGTTTCCTCTAGTTACAACTTGATTAATAGAATGAAGCTGGTATTCATGGCCTACAGAGAGGGCAAGGTCAACTAGGGCCTTTAGGATTTGACCTCCTGAACCTCACTTGACATAGTGATACAAATTGAAGAAGTATCCAGTATCCCAAAATACTAAATGGAGTGCTTGGCTTTTATTTCTGCTAAATTTTATCATGTTAATTTTTGTCTTTTTTTTTTGTTCAATCCCTTAAGAATCACTTATGGCTTGATTCTCTTCTCCAGTGAAAATTTCTGTCATCTTTCATCTGATAAGTATGACATGTATGTCTTAATCTAAGTGTTAGATAAAGTCACTGAATAGGGTGGAACCAAGAACTAGATCCATGAGTCTGCCATTTGGACCTCCTTCCAGACAGACGTAGACACTTTAATCAATATTATTTAGGTTTCATTGTCCTGTTCTTTGCGAAAAGTTGTGACAGTGTTATTAGTCAGCAAATATTTCCTCATTTTGCCAACAAGGATGTCCTAGAAGCTTTTGTAAAAGCCTTGCTGAAGTCTGGATATGGTGTGACTACAGCATTGTTTTAAAAATTTTCTTATGAAAAGGAAAAATATGTGTATTTTGTTGGAATAAGCCTATTCTTATACCTAAGAATCATTACATTTTCATCTTTATGTGTACACCAATGCCACATGTGTATCATTTACTCTATTGGTGTGCAAGCAAAACATATTAATTTCATTAGTCTGGCCTGGTGCGGTGGCTCACACCTGTAATCCCAGCACTTTGAGAGGCCGAGGCGGGCAGATCACCTGAGGTCAGGAGCTCAAGAACAGTCTGGTCAACATGGCAAAACCCTGTCTCTACTAAAAGTACAAAAATTAGCTGGGCATGGTGACATGTGCCTGTAATCCCAGCTACTCGGGAGGCTGAGGCAGGAGAATCGCTTGAACCTGGGAGGCGGAGGTTGCAGTGAGCAGAGATTGTACCACCACACTCCAGCCTGGGTGACAGAGATGCTGTCTCAAAAAAAAAAAAAAAATTCATTAGTCTGTCATTTCTAGAATCTTTTCTAATTTTGAATTTTTATTTTCATGTAGTGATTTTTGCCTTCTGAACATCTTTAGGCAGTAACTTCATAATCATAACTCAAGGTTCATTTAACATCGTGATTTAACTTATTGTGGACTGGAAATTTATTTAATTTTTTATGGTGCACTCAGATTTCTAAGTAGTTCTAGAAAATCCCCATTGGCTGGAACTGTACAAATAGAACTTTTTATGATGTTGAAAATGTTCTATTACTCTGTCGTCCAGCACAGCAGCCACTGGTAACACATAGCTATTGAGCACTTGAAATATAACTAGAGCAACTGAGAGAGTGAATTTTAAATTTGATTAATTTTAATTAAACTTTAAATAGCCATGTGTGGCTATTAAAACTGAAAAGCTTCTGAATAAAGGTGTTGTTCAACACAATTCTAGAATGCTGGACCTTTTATGAACAGCACGTTTATTCAGAAGCCTCTCATTTGATTACTGGAATTCTTTGTGATTGTATAGTCAGATTTTTAAAATTTTTTAGCAAGGCTCTCATCATGACATTACCTCTATTACTGAAGATGTTTAAAATCTGCTTTTCTTGGTATATACAGATATTTCTACTTTCTGCTCCTCTTCAGGCTTCCTAGAACAAAAATGTTAACATCAGGCACGGTACTCAGGAAGAAAACTATTTCAGCCACAGATGGCTGAATTCTACCAAAAGGAATCGGCCCCCGCTCTTCATTCTTTCAATTTGCAGAGATAAATTCCTAAGATTTCAGGGGCTGGATACAGTCTTGAGAGTTAGAGAAATATCTTCAATTAGAAGAGTACAAGATGTTAATAAGAAATTAATGCTTACTACAGGTACACGTTTCTTACATAAATTATTTAAAGATTGGAGCCACAGAGTGTTATAAAGAGAAATTATTGCTTTACCAGGGCTCTGATATAATAAGAACTGGAAAAGTTTTACACAGGGTTATATTGGGAAACGTGGCTTACATCCACATCTTTGACTTTGTAGCCTAGGTTGCTAGATGGGCATGTCTTATAAGACGTGTGCGTATGTACATAGGAACACATAGAATCATTTAAGCATGTGTAGGCAAATCCATGTCTATAATGGCATAAGTTTATTCCTACATCTGAGTTTATATTCCACATTTTTTTATAAATAATTAATTCTTGTGACAAGAAAACCAGGAGTCATCCCACAATATGTTAACTGTGAAACAGTTGTGGGAACTGAATGTTTTATCCTCAGAAATTCACAGATTGCCAACAAGGGGCAATAATCATACCCTGCTTGGCAGTTTTGACTGTGGAGAATGTCATGCCACCCTGGACTCCCTCCGATGTGACTTTCCTATGTGAAGTAGAGGTTAAGTCAGTCTTTAACTGCCTAGTTGTGACAAATCTCAGATGCCACATGCCCTCAACCTCTGTTTTCCTGCTAATAGACTTGAGGGATTAGCAAAGTGACCAGACCAATCTCCTCAGGATGTTTGTGGGAAAATGTATTGGTAAGTGATCAAGCGTTCTGAAAAAATAATGCCTAAGTAAAGTGCTAAGTCTTGTTTTATGCCTCCTGATACAACCCACTTACTGGTTCAGTCCCCTTATTTTTTGACACAGTTGGAGGAGGAAAAATTAACTCTGGCGACTGTATTCTAAGTAATTACTGATTACTCCATAGCTTCTCAGAAAATTATGCAGGATGGAAAATGAAACCAGTGACCCATAGGTGTTTTCTAGTGTTTGTGGCGAACACACAGCTGCACCCCAGCTCTCTTTACACCTTTGTTGCTTTACTGTCTCTAGCCAGGGAGGATCGATCATAGTACTTGAATTCAGAGAAAGGAGCCTGAGGCCTATATCTTTGCATCACGACACTAACGGATCCTGAACTTGAGGAGAGAACAATTAATTCTTAGGCCAGCTAGGCAGCAGAGGCTTCCAGAGCTGACTTCTTTTGTGTGTCCTGAAACCAACCATCACGTATCTATCCTTGGCTCCTTTTTGAAAGGGAAAACATATATAGAGCAGGAGGAAAATAGAGAATGTGAGTGAACTCCCCTCCCACCCAATGTCTTTATGTCCTATTGTTTGGCATATACTCAACCTCTGTGGTAAATGTCCCCCAAGAAGGTGGGCAAGCCTCTTAATAAGGAGTACTATTTCTTTTCTTCTCCCTTCCTTCCCGTCCTCCCCCTCTCCATCCCTCCCTCCTTCCTTCCTTCTTCCTTCCTTTCTTCCCTCCCTCCTTCCTTCCTTCTTCCTTTCTTCCCTCCCTCCTTCCTTCCTTCTTCCTTTCTTCCCTCCCTCCTTCCTTCCTTCTTTCCTTCCCCATCCTGCTGTCCTACTTCCTAAATATTGACTGAGTACCTACCATGGGTCAGGCATCATGTTAAATGGTGGTGACTGTATAAAGGACATAGAGATCAAGAAGGTGTCCTCGTGAAGCCAATATTCTCTGAACTGTTGCTGTTCCTTCTCCGTATTTCTCCTGTCACCCCAACCCAGGACCTTGAAAATAAGAAGTGCTGATTTTAGTCGAGGGAGGAAGATTTACTAGAATCACAACTGAATTTGGGATAGGAGGAGAAGCCCAAATGAATAAAAGGAAGCAAGGCATTAAGAGTCTTTAAGTAGCACATTTAAAGGTTGGCTGCTTTTGTGTTAAAGCCATTAGACATGATTAACACTCTGGCAACTCAGTAAATAAGAGCTTTAGTTCTTTTCAAAGAATTCTGGGTGGTGGGTGGAGAGAGAAGAAGGAGAAACATAATTAGGGGGTAGGTGAAGAGGCAGGAGGGCCCTTCCAAAGCCTTTACTTGGGGGACTTGCTTTCTTAACATGCAACCCAGCCAGTTCACCCTTCCATTGTTACATGCTAAATGATGCTTTATTCTTGTTCCATAATTGACGGAGATTATAGTTTAGAAGTAATATTTAAAAATGGATTATCTAAATGTATACTGCTTATTATGTTGGCTCAGTACATTATGTGTATAGGTTGCAAAGAATTTTAGGGATTAAGTTGTAATTAATTTTTTATCACTTGAATTCTGTATATTGTTTCCCATGCCCCTGTGGCTGTAGTATTCTCTAACAGGATTTTTTGGAAGATAACAGAATATTTTTATCCAACAGCTAAGAAATATCACTTGGTACAACTCATATAAAGCCAACCTAGATGAAGATAGACTTAGAAAAAGGAACAGTTTTTCTTCACAAAATTCCTTTCTAAATTTATTGTAGGATTACTTGAACTAGCTCTTTAAACTATTTTTTTTAACTGAAAAGTTGGGCCTGAAAAATGAGTAGTGGTGGAATTTGTCTTCATAAAAATGTAAGTAATAAGCTGGATACACATCATAGGCTCTTAATATTTACCAAATTGGTCATAAATGAGAGGTTTCTTTACCATGACAATTACTTTTTACACTATAATATATTCAAATTGAGGGCTTTGTTGGATTAATGCAGTATTCTAACGGCATCCTGGAAAGGTTCTATGTTGTGGACTTCTATTTTTATAAAATAAATGTCCAGTTACTGAAGAGCCACAACACCATGCCCAAACACTAAAAGAAATTGTATTCAAACTGGATTTTTCTGCGATGATCTGATTTTAAACAAACAGCCCTATTATCTCTATAATTACTCTATCGACAATCTTAAATTTGACCTGAGCCCTGTGCTCTTAGAAAAGAGCAAAGTGTGACAAATCCTCTCATTCTTTGTGTTCCCAGAAAGGGCTTAGTGCAAAGAACCACCCTTTCCCGTATGACTTAGATAAGACTCATGAAAACATGCCTTGTTTACCTTTGACAAGGCCAGACATAAACCCTCTAAATTCCCGTTCTTCACCACGTAAATGATTAGCTGAATTGCTCTGCCTGCACTAATCAATCAAAACCATCTGTTGGTTAAACCAACTTTAGGTTAAGTTTCCCTCCTTCTATCACATTACTAAACTATGGCCCATCTTCAGCCTGAGCTTGCACACAACCCCTCCTTGATAGCACCTACCCAACTGAGGATAGGGGATACTGAGGACTCATGATAAAATGTTCTCTGGCCCAGTGTCCCATCACACCACCTTTTATTCAGCTTCCCCACACTTGGATTTTTGTAGCTATGAGCCTTAGTCTGTTTTGTGCTGCATACCTGAGACTGGGTAATTTATAAAAAACAAGTGTATTGGCTTACAGTTCTGGAGACTGGGAAGTCTAAGATCAAGGCTCTGGCAGGTTTGGGTCTGGTGAGGCCATTCTTTTCTTCCAAGATAGTGCCTTACATGCTACATCCTCTAGAGAGGAGGAGCACTGGATCCTCACGTGGCAAAAAGCAGAGGAGCCAAGGCAAAAATTTGAATTTGCCCTTTTATATTGGCATTACTCCCACCCTCCATCTTCATGAGCTAACCACCTTTTAAAGGTCCTCCTCTTAACTGTTACAATGATAGTTAAATATCAACATGAGTTTTAGAGAGAACAACCATTCAAACAGTTCCACTGTGTTCACTCCTCTCTATAAAAGAAAAATCCTTTTTGCCTAACTCTTGAGGTGTTTACAGATCTTATAATCAGAATGTTCTTCCTATTGCAATAGTACCCCTCTCTCTATTGCAATTGTTGCCCCACAGGTATTCCTTGCAATAGTTCTTTTGAATAAAGTTTCTCCTTACCAAGTCCAGATTTATTTTTTATTTGACATTATTTATACTTGTCAGATATTATATCCTCCGAAACTCAGAGAAACTAAAATACTTCCAGAGGACCTTCAGGAAAATAAATCAGATATAATTTTTTTTGTGGTATTTAATGTTTTAGAATAAATTAAGATGATAGGGTAACAAAAACCCTAGTTTCTCATATAGTCTACACTCAGAAATTCCCCATCCTGCCTCTATCTGGCCATATTTTGTTTACTACTTTAAACTAATGGGCTCTGTGTACCCATTTTCTTCTTGAAAACAGAGTATATAATAGGCCTTAGGCACTGAGGATTTGTTTCTAGTTTTATTATTAAAACCATTAAAACCTATAGAATAAAGTAACCTTTGGTTTTGCTAAGGCACCAATTTGAAGCTTACCTTCTCTGAAACTGGTGTGAGTGGAGTGAGAAATTTAGCCACCAGAACTTCACTGTGTCTTTATTGTCAAGAAACAGTGTTAATGGGGAAATAATATTTTAGTTATGTTCACATATTTTGGTATTACATTGGAATGTTGACTTTCTGCTGTAGTGGAGAAAAACATTTTATTCCACCGTCCTAGGTTCTATTGTTGGAGCCTGTGAATTAAACTGACAAAAGGTGGTCAGGCCAATGGTTCACACCTGTAATCCCAGCACTTTGGGAGGCTGAGGCGGGCAGATCACCTGAGGTCAGGAGTTTGAGACCAGCCTTGCCAAAATGGTGAAACCTCTTCTATACTAAAAATACAAAAAAAATTAGTCAGGCGTGGTGGCGGGTGCCTGTAATCCCAGCTACTCGGGAGGCTGAGGCACAAGAATCACCTGAACCTGGGAGGTTCAGGTGCCCAGCATGCATTAGCTATTTTTCCTAATAACAAAGGGTGATAAATTTATGGAGAAGCGGCTTGGAGTGAGCTGAGATTGCGCCACTACACTCCAACCTGGGCGACAGAGCGAGACTCCATCTGCAAAAATAAATAAATAAATAAACTGACAATAGGCAAATTTGTAGCAGAAAAGGCATATACATCTTATTTTTAACTGTATGTGCACAGGAGCCCGCACAGAAAAGGAGTGGAAACCTAAAGATGTGGTTAGATCTGGGGCTTATATACCACTTTAACAAAGGGCAATAAACTTTTTTTAAATTTTAAATTTTAATTTTAAGTTCTGGGGTAAATGTGCAGGATGTGCACATGTTAAAAACATAGGTAAACGTGTGCCATGGTGGTTTGCTGCACCTATCAACCCATCACCTAGGTATTAAGCCCAACATGCATTAGCTATTTTTCCTAATAACAAAGGGTGATAAATTTATGGAGAAGCAGCTAGACAAAGGAAAAGAAGTTTGGGCTCCTAGGAGCAGTGAGTTGTGAAGAAAGACTAGAAAATATATATGAGATAAGGGTTGTTAAGTTTGTTATACACATAAGAGTCATTGCTCTTTTCCTGGTACAAGAAAGAGAAACACTTTTGCAAATAGAAATTTATGTCACTTTTACAAAGGGTAATTTATGTCCTGCTTTAGGCAGAAAACAGGGAGGGCAGAGGGGAGCGATCTCTTCCATGTCTGCTATTTCTTAATTACCTTTAACTCAAAATAATCCTTTTGCCAAAGTGGCATATTTTGGAGTGGTATTTTCTAATCCCCTTCAGTGCTATTTTCATTACTTCCCTCATCACTCAGGACAGTTCTTTATGTGCCAATATACATTTCCTTCAATGTTTAGTAAAAACAGCAGACATTTCCTTCAATATATTAGTAAAAACAATTTTATTGCAGGGCCTCTCACTGCAGATCAAGAGGTAAAACCATTTTGTGGCTCTTAGTATTGGGTTGATAGCACAGCAGACAATAGGTAAATAAGGAGGATTTTCCTCCTGATTCCTTCCCCAAGGTCAGAGCAGGAAAAGAGTGCTTTTACTTTGCAGAACATTCTTCATATGACTGTTCCCTATCCCGTTGGGCTTAATTCTGTTCTTAATGAGCTGCACACCTGTGTCCCTGGCTGGCTGCCCTCCACACAGTGGGAAGAGGTGAGGGAGGGTGACTTCCTCCTTCATCCTGAGCCCTAGGATTCAGAGCTGTGTCTGCCTGTATTTTGTTGAACATCCCAAGCGTGGGTGGTATTCTGAATATCTTCCCATTATGCTAAGCAGCTAACATCGACTTTGTTATGCAGATTGAGGTTAAAGATAGTGAAATTTCTCAGTTATATCCAGGCTTACCACAACCAAGCAAACTTTCCAATTGCACAACATATTGAAGAAAACTATGCCTGAGTTGTTTCTGTTTTTGTTTTTTAAATTTCCTGGCTAGTGGATACTGAGCTCAAGTCAAAGAAGATGGTGGTAAAGATTACCCATGCCTTGGGGTTTGGGGAAATGGCCTCACAATAAAAAATGCAAAATGAGTCCTGAGAGCTGTCACAGACTTACCCCAGCCCATCATTCTTTGTGGGGCATTCAAATAATGATCTTGGGTGAGGATGGAGAGGAATAGTAGCAGCTCAGATTTCTATTTGACCATTATCATATCTCAAGAAAATGCCTAGATGGATTTTTACCAAATTTAGATGGTATATTTGGGATAGTAGAACCCAAAATGTACCCTATGTGAGACATGCATAATTTACTTCAGGGGGCCTTGAGAGGACCTTAAAAAGATGAACAGTCTTTCTCTGGAGAACCCGAAACTGGGTATATTAGTCCGTTTTCATGCTTCTGATAAAGACATACCTGAGACTGGGCAATTTACAAAAGAAAGAGGTTTAATGGAGAACTCACAGTTCCACATGGCTAGGGAGGCCTCACCATCATGGCAGAAAGGCAAGGAGGAGCGTCACATCTTACGTGGATGGAGGCAGGCAAAATGAGGGAGAACTTGTGCAGGGGAATGCCTCTTTTTAAACCGTCAGGTCTCATGAGAGTTATTCACTGTTATGAGAACAGCATAGGAAAGACTTGCCCCCATGATTCAATTACCTCCCACCGAGTCCCTCCCACAACATGTGGGAATTCAAGATGAGATTTGGGTGGGGATGAAGTCAAACCATACCACTGGGGCATAATTAAAAGTCTGGTGGTGGACCATATCTGTAGAGACTTGCCAGATATGTTAAAATGTGGAGGGAAAAGAAAGCCTGGTGTCTGCAGTGTGACCCCAAAATCTGAAGTCCTAGAAGGACACTGATTGTGACTGCTGGTTTGTGAATGTGTTTCTCCCCAAGGGAGCAACGCTATGCAGCATCATCTGCAGAGAGGGACACCCTGGGTATAAAATAAACCAGTCTATGCCACTTCAAAATACATCTCTTTGGCATAGGACTATTTTGCCCTCTTCCCATCTACCTAAAAGCAGGATATATGGTTCCTTTTGTGAAGGTATTGCCTCTGCCCTCCATTATACCAGGATCAAAACAATCCTTATCACTGCAGACAGAATGTCAGCATCAAAATGAGTCTGCACAGACAAACTTTATAAAAATCACTCTTATATTTTATTGTTTTCTCTTACATGTTTCTTCCCACCATTTATTGCCCTTAAATGTTCAACCTCTTCTCTTTTGACTTGTCACTTCTTCACAAATTTATCATCCTTTGTTAAAATGGCATAGATGCCCCTGTGTCTACTCATTCTTTGGGTCTCTACTTCATTTCTATGAAGACTTCCATGCATGTAAAAATTAGAATGTTATTATCAAATAAAATTGTTATACCTTTCTCTTGTTAATTTTTTGTCAGTCTAATTCTCAGGTTCTAGCCCGAGAACTTAAAAGGGTAGAGGAAAGGTTTTTTTTTTCCCTCTCTTACATATAACCATCTCAAATTCCCCCCTCTCGTTTTCTCCATGGGCTTCTAACTTGCCTGAGCTATTCGTTACCTTGTATTTTTTGATCCTGTGCTCTTATCCTTTTATCAATGAGGACACACTTCCAATACATGTTTGTTTATATGTTAACATTATACTTGTAGTACTGCACTAGTATTTCTTCTGCATTATAAATATGCATAAGAATAGAAGTTCTGATTAAAAAATACCAGTATTCTGATATTTCCTTTCTTACTCACCAATGGATCTTTGAGCCTTCATCCTACTCTAGAGTATCTCCTCCAAGCTAGTTTTATTTCAAGAGTCAGAGAGAACTTTTTGAAATGCAATTTTAATCCTATTGCTCACCAGCTTAAGACAAGTTAGGTGTTTGCACTGAGAATAAAATTTTATTCCTGGTGGCCAACGAGCCCTCCCTTGCCCTGCTGCTACCTAATTTGTGTCCTGCTTCAGTCCCTCTCTGCCACTTTGTCCCTGGCTTATTAGGTTTCTGCCATATTGAACTCCATTTGGTTTCTCAAATGCTACAAGCTTGTTCCTGTCACTGAGCCTTCATGTAGGATTAATTTTGTAGAGAAAAAAAGTATCTTTTCCTTGTATTCTTCTAAGTTCTCCTCTGGAGTCCTTGAAACAAAAGGCAGATCAACAAGAGAAAAAAATATACATTTATTTAATATATGTTTTATGTGACACAGAAATGAAGATTCAAACAAGAAATGAAGATTCAAAGAAACGCTTAAACCTGAGCATATTTATGCTAGGTTCCACGAAGAGTAAAAAGGCGTGGAAAATGTGATAGGACAAAGGGTATGAGCGAAGGGGAGTAAACTAGGGGTAACTTGCCAAGACCTCTTCATGCAGGTTCCTATCAGCATGCCTCCATCTTTGGAGCAAAGGATGGTTTTTACTTATGGCACTTCTCACTTGAAGGTCTTATGACCTGCTTCAGGGGAGAAGTGCTAGGGAAGGTCACAGAGTCCTTTCTGTCATTTCTCAAATTTCTTCACCTTAATTGAAAATATTCAGTATTCCAAGGTGCCATGTTTTGGGGTAGCATGTCCTGAAACCCATCAGTTTGAAGACCCAGACTTTTAGTCCTCTTCTGAAAAATTTTAACTCATTTGTTGAATCTCATCTTTCAAGTTATTTCCTCAAAAAAAGCTTCTCTGACACCAGCCATCTCCTTTCTCACTATTCCCAATCAGTTTTTCCTATATTGACCTCTCATCTCGTTGTAAAAGTTTTTCTTTATAGCGCTTACTACAATGGATAAGTTTACATATACTCATGGCATTGTTTGATTAATAACTATTTCTATCAATAACTTCTGTGTACCCTGAGATTGTGTCTTTTTTTTTTTTTAAATCGTATCCCTGGTTCTTAGATTGTATTTAACACATAGTAGCTACTTGATGTAGTTTTGATAATTGAACAAACAATGACCATATATTCCATATCATGGCATGTGGTTTTGAGGAATGAGGGCTCAGCCTATATGGGGCAGAAACTTTTCCATAAAATTCAGAGTATAGGACTGGTGAGTTTTCTCTTCGTTCTTGTTAACCATATATCGAGTTGTTATTTGTAGCTATAGTGATATAAATATCAGAAAGAGATTATATTCAAAGAATGAGCATATTGCAGAATTCTGTGGGATAGTGCTTTTTCTTCTAAATGTGCCTATCACTTTCCTTATTTTAATGCTGTCATTTTTGGCAGGGAGCTGCTGATACTACAAGGCCAGCTCTTACTGCCATTCAGTTGTCTTGATTAGGGAACAACTCAGCATTCCTAAATTATTCACAAGTCTCAGGCATTGCTGAGGACTAGCAAATGTCAAATATAGTAATTGTCCCCATCCAGGCAGAAAGAAGAAGTTGATTTGAATGTATGCATTTAAATTAATAGGAAAGCAGAACTGGGAAAGTGACCCTACCTCTTCCTTAAGTGCCCAGACAATTAAATGCAAATGGATTCCCAGAGGAGTCTCATGCCAGCTGCTCCTCATTCCTCTCAAACAGAAAGGGAAATGCCATTCACAGTGTCCTTCTATGGCAGAGGGTCTGACATTGACTGAAACCCCTATAGTGCTTGACCAGTGCTAATCTGCATAAATACATCTAATGGGAGCATATTTTGAAACATCGATTGGGGCTCTTTTTTTTTAAGTGCTGTCTGTGATAATCAAATTCCTGGTGACTTCCCAACAGCCCAGGCAGCTGTATACTGCTTTCAGGAGAAAAAGGGAGGTACCATATAAATCAGGGCATAAAGGTCAAATAAACTTAGACATTTATTCATTTATTTTTTTAAACAAATCTTATTAAGTCTTACAGGCAGTTCTGGTTCTAGAGCTACTGTGTGAATAAAATAGGTTCTCTAACTCATGGAGCTTACATCTACTCAGGTGGATACATAATAAACATAAACTAATAAGCAATTAATACAAGTGCAATAACAGTAATATTAATAATAGCATCAGGTTAAAAAGATAGAAAGTGAAGGAGGTGAGGGTGTTTAGATACCTCATTGAATAAATGTCATTTAAATAAGATGGCCAGAATTAGCAAATAAATATACAGGATGCCCAGTATGTATTTTCATGGAGTTATTAGAAAGGGGTCCGGGTCCAGACCCCAAGAGAGAGTTCTTGGATCTTGGACAAGAAAGAATTCAGGGCGAATCCATACAGTAAAGTGAAAGCAAGTTTATTAGGAAAGTAAAGGAATAAAAGAATGGCTACTCCATAGACAGAACAGCCCTGAGGGCTTCTGGTTGCCCATTTTTATGGCTTTTTTTTTATTACATGCTTAACAAGGGGTGGATTATTTATGCCTCCCTTTTTTAGGCCACCTAGTGTAGCTTCCTGACATTGCCATGGCATTTGTAAACTGTCATATTGCTGGTGGGAGTGAGGCAGTGAGGACGGCCAGAGGTCACTGTTATTGCCATCTTGAATTGGTGGGTTTTAGCTGGCTTCTTTACTGCAACCTGTTTTTATCAGCAAGGTCTTTATGACCTGTATCTTGTGCCAGCCTCCTATCTCATCCTGTGAGTAATAATGCCTTAACTTACTGGGAATGCAGCCTGGCAGGTCTTAGCCTTATTTTACCTACCCCCTATTCAAGATGGAGTTGTTCTAGTTAAAATGCCTCTGACAATGGGATATACTTATAGTAAAAAATTTATTCATTGTTAATATGAAATTCAGATTTCACAAATGTATTCAACTTCATCTTGCTACCCTACATTCAAATCACATCTTAAATAATATGAAGCAGCTGACCATGGGAAGACCTGGAGAAAATGCTGTATGGGCAGGAGATTGGTGTGTGTAAAATGCCCTAAGTGAGAAACAAGGAGGAAAAGATGTTTGTAGATAGGGTTGGGAGTTTGTCCAGATCAGACTGCATAGGGCCTTGCAAACCATGATGTGGATTGTGAATATTATTTTAAGTGTGTGGAAAGCCACTGAAGAAGCATTTGGGAAAAAAGTGTCATGATCTGCTTTTTGTTTTAAAAATAGCACTTCGGGTTTCAGGATCGAGAACATCCTGGAAATAAGAGCGGAAGCAGAAAAGCCAGCAGAGCAGGCCATCACAATAGACGTGGCGTGAGATGGTGAGTGCTGAAGGGGGATGGGAGTTGCAGATGTGATGAGAAGTACTTCAATTTGGTATATATTTGAAAAATAGAGCCAAAAAGTATTACTGAAGAATTGCATATGGGGTGCTGGGAAAAGGAGAATCAATAATGATTCCAAAGTTCCTGGCCTGAGTAATCATTTCAAAAGTTGCTAATGTTGGTAGGAAGAACATCTTCTTATTCAAATTTCTAGAGCTTTCCCAGTTCTGAATCAGATACAAGATAGGCTGGAGAAAAAATGGGGAGAGAGGGAGAAATGGTTATTCGAAATGAAAAGATGTTAAATCTCATGGATTATTCAGCATCAAGAACTACCTCCAGGGATCTGTATGAAATCTGAGTCACACTTGTCCTTCTTGTAGCCTTCTGATGATATCAGACTATCCACTGACAAGGGGTTTGCTATGTTCTGAGACTTGAGTTTGAAGACTTAGTTCTGCATCCAACCTACTACACTATCTACATCCAATTGTTTGAGACATTCAGAAATATTTCCTCTCTTTCACTCCGAATATTTAGGGTATGGTAATGTGTCTGGAATTGGTGGGTTCTTGGTCTCACTGACTTCAAGAATGAAGCTGTGGACCCTCGCAGTGAGTGTTACAGTTCTTAAAGGCGGCGTGTCCAGAGTTTGTTCCTTCTGATGTTCAGATGTGTTTGGAGTTTTTTCCTTCTGGTGGGTTCGTGGTCTTGCTGGCTTCAGGTGTGAAGCTGCAGACCTTCGCAGTGAGTGTTACAGCTCTTAAGGCAGCGCGTCTGGAGTTGTTCATTCTTCCTGGGTTCGTGGTCTAGCTGGCCTCAGGAGAGAAGCTGCAGACCTTCGCGGTGAGTGTTACAGCTCATAAAGGCAGTGTGGTCCCAAAGAGCTAACAGCAGCAAGATTTATTGCAAAGAGCAAAAGAACAAAGCTTCCACAGTGTGGAAGGGGACCCAAGCGGGTTGCCACTGCTGGCTCAGGCAGCCTGCTTTTATTCCCTTATCTGTCCCCACCCACATCCTGCTGATTGGTTCATTTTACAGAGAGCTGATTGGTCTGTTTTACAGAGAGCTGATTGGTCCGTTTTGACAGGGTGCTGATTGGTGTGTTTATAATCCCTGAGCTAGACACAAAAGTTCTCCAAGTCCCCAGTAGATTAGCTAGACACAGAGCACTGATTGGTGCATTTACAAACCTTGAGCTAGAGACACAGGGTGCTGATTGGTGCATTTACAAACCTTGAGCTAGACACAGAGTGCTGACTGGTGTATTTACAAACCCTGAGCTAGATGCAGAGTGCTGATTGGTGCATTTACAAACCTTGAGCTAGATACAGAGTGCTGATTGGTGCATCCGCAATCCCTTAGCTAGACATAAAGATTCTCCAAGTCCCCAGGAGATTAGCTAGATACAGAGTGCCCATTGGTGCATCGACAATCCCTTAGCTAGACATAAAGGTTCTCCAAGTCCCCACCAGATTCAGGAGCCCAGCTGGCTTCACCCAGTGGATCCTGCACCTGGCTGCAGGTGGAGCTGCCCGCCAGTCCTGGGCCATGCGCCCACACTCATCAGCCCTTGGGTGGTTGATGGGACGGGGGGGCCCCGAAGCAGGGGGCTGCGCTCGTGGGAGAGGCTCAGGCCGTGCAGGAGCCCAGGGCTTGGGGAGGCATGGCAGGCTACAGGTTCTGAGCCCTGCCCGGTGGGGAGGCAGCTGAGGCCAGGCGAGGATTCGAGCACAGCGCCGGCGGGCTGGCACTGCTGGGGGACTCGGCGCACCCTCCACAGCTGCTGTCCCGGGTGGTAAGCCCCTCACTGCCCGGGGCTGGTGGGGCGGCCAGCTGCTCGGAGTGTGGGGCCCGCCAAGGCCATGTCCACCCAGAACTTGCTCTGGCCTACCGCGAGCAGCCCCAGTTCCCGCCCCGCGTCTCCCTCCATACCTCCTGGCAAGCTGAGGGAGCCGGCTCCGGCCTCAGCCAGCCCAGGAAGGGGCTCCCACAGTGCAGCGGCGGGCTGAAGGGCTCCTCAAGCGCGGCCAGAGTGGGCGCCGAGGCCGAGGAGGCGCTGAGCGTGAGCGAGGGCTGCCAGCAGGCTGTCACCTCTCAGTAATAATGGCATGAAAGCAAAGCTTACATCCCTGTGGTAGGCAGAACAATTGTCCCCCCAAAATGTCTGCATCCTAATACTCGACTTTTAAATGCGTTATGTAGCAAAGGAGAATTGAGGTTGCTAATTGGCTGATCTTAATACCAGGAGGTTTTCCTGGATTACCTAGGCAGGTCAAGTGTAATCACAAGGGGCCTGTAAGTGTGGGAGGGGGAGGCAGGAGAGTTAGTACCAGAATGATGTGACATGGGAAAGACTTAACCTGCCATTTCTCTGGCTTTCAAAGTGGAAGCTGGCAAAGAGCCAAGGAATATGGAGACCCTCTAGAAGCTGGAAAAGGCAATAAGGCAGACTGTCTCCTAGAGGCTCCAGAAAGGAAGACAGTCCTACTGACATCTTAATTTCAGCCTAGTGAGACTCATTTCAGACTTCTGGCCTCCATAACGGTCAGATATAAAACTTGTGTTATTTTAAGCCATTGAGTTTATAGTAACTTGTTATAGCAGCAATAGAAAATTAATACACTGACCGAGGTAGAAGTAGATAAAACCAGCTGGACATCTTCACTGAGGACATCAGTGATAGAACATGTTCCTTATTTCGTACACAAAGGAGTCTTCAAATTTGCCCTGGCAGAGAGAACTGAAAATGAGAGAATTACCTGGATGATTGAGGAAAACATATCAAATGCCACATTTCTTCCAAATAGGTTTTTCCTAGTCCTTGCCTTAGTTACCAGCTAAGCTTTCCAGAATGAGTCTGAAGTTTTTGAGTTTAGATTATTCTACGTAGAACATTGACTTTTCTGTGATCCTTACCATTATACTATAAGCTTTTTCAAAGTGCAAGAAGCTATGTCTCATTCAACAGTGTGAGCTTAGCACTCAGCAAATAATTGTTGAACAAATGAATGAATGTCTGCTTCCATTTCCTTTCAGTTTTGACAGTGAATATGGTAGATCAATGTCTTAGTTCATTCTCACACTGCTATAAAGAACTGCCTGAAACGAGGTCATTTATAAAGGTTAAATTGACTCACAGTTCCACATGGCTGGGGAGGTCTCAGGAAACTTACAAGCATGGTGGAAGGTGAAGGGGAGGCAAAGACCTTCCTTATGTGGCAGCAGGAAAGAGAGAGCTAGCAAGAGCAGGGAAAACTGCCTTATAAAACCGTCAGATCTCGTGAGAACTCAACTCACTACCATGAGAACAGCATGGTCCAATCACCTCCCACTGGGTCACTCCCTCAACATGTGGGGACTATAGGGATTACAATTCAAGATGAGATTTGGGTGAGGACACAGCCAAACCATGTTAATCAGTGTGTGTATAGCAACTGTTGAGTTGGAAGATCACAAGTTAAGCTTGAATTCATCCAAGTCATTTTGCAAGACCTGGTTTGACAGACCAATTTGTTAAGCAAGGTCATATTGTTGTAATTATTGTCCCTCAGCATATACATGGGCCAGGAACCAAGCATTAAAATGCAGTAAGTCCTTGGCATCTAATCTGTTTTTTTTTGTTGCTTGACCTGATCTGTGACAGACTAGAGAGCGAGCCTGAAGAGTCATCTGCAGCCCTGCCAGACTGCTGTAAGAATGACAGCTTTGGCTCGCCACTGGGAGCAGGATAACATGAGAGGTGATGCAATCAGTCTGCAGGGGAAATTGGAACTCAGTTGTCCAGGAAGACTTGGACTGAGGACAAAGCAGGGAAGAATGAGAGAACATTAAGAGAACTGTGGGAAGCCTTGGGTTGTTTAAGGTTAAGTTTGAGATGCATTCATTCAGTGATTGTTTGCTCTATAGGATGTTTTATGTAAGGCATCATGCAAAATACCAAGAGGGAGGCAATGATGAATAATCACAGTTGACATTTATTTTCTGTTTATTATGTGTCAGGCACTGTGCTAAGCATTTTAAAAGCAGTATCTCATTTAATCTTCAAACCGATTTTATGAGGGAAGAACAACTATCATACTCATTAAGTTGATGAGAACAATTAAGCTTAGTGACAATAACTTGCCCAAGGGCACCCAGTAAGTGGCAAAACTGAATATTCAAACTGAGGTCTGGTTTAAAAGTCTATTCTTTTAACCACTACACATAATGGCCTGGTCTTTAATCACTGAACCTAATAATCTAATTGCTCCCCTTTTATTCTTGGAGAGGAAATAAGATACACAAATAGAGAAGTTATAATATGAGAAAAATGCGGTAAGTGCTGTACAGAAGGACTGAGCTCAGCATTATGGAACACAGTACTTCTGAGAATGTAATCCAGACAGGATTTAAGCAGCAGGAGTTAGCAAATAACAGTAGAAGCCATTGAGTATTTATTGTAAGTTAGGTGCTTTACCTCCACTTATTCATTCATTCAAAAAATATTTACCAAGTACTTGCTAGTCACCTGGTACCCTTCTAAGTACTTGGGACCCATTAAAAAATAAGAATTAGTATACCTGCCCTCTTGAATCTTGTATTCTAGTAGAGGGAGAAAAACAGTAAAGAATAAACTGCACACGTACAGTTTATACACACAAACACACCTGTGTATATACATGTTTACACAAACTCACACCCACACCCACAGTTTTAAATGTTCAAGGGCATTATATGCAATGGAGGAAGAAAAAGTGGAAGAGTGCAATAGATACTTTAAATGGGGTAATCATGCTTTAGGGTATAACTAAAATATCTCACTGAATCCCCAAACTCTTTTGAGGCACATATTATTTTTGTGCCCCCTTTTCAGAGAGTGAAACAGGCTTACAGAGGTTAACTAGTTTGTTCAAGAAGTAATGGAATTGGGATACCAATCAGGAATATGGACTCCAGAAGCTGTGTCCTCAATCCCTCTGCTATTCTCACTCCCCAAAATGTTGTCTCCTCTTCTTCCTCCCCACTCTCCTTCTCCTCCTTCTCTTTCTCCTTTCTTCCCTCCCTTCCTCCTTCTTCTAGAAACTGCGTTTGTGGCTATCAGGATTAACATTCTAACTACTTAACATTCTCCAGAACTTGCTGAACTTGAAGACACTGACAGCCCTTCCTCTACTGGCCCAGCTTACTCTTAGTTATGGAGACCCCAGCAAAAATCACAAGGGCTTCAGTCACTTCACCCCTGCCTCCCACCATCTGCCCACCAGAAGCCACCTCCAGCACAGCAGAACCACATCATGTGTAGCCTCGTGGATTTAGCATTTGTTTCTCCATTTTTTTTCTGCTTTTTTTTTCCTTTTGTCAGATCTCCTGATTACTGAACCATATCTATACTTACCATGTCCTTGGGAAACTGGGTCTTGGGTCAGCAGAGGCCAGGGTAAGAACCAACTTTTGAAGCTGGGCTATTGCTTTCCAGCCTAGGGATTAAAGAGTCTTTCCTGTCCTCTCTTTCACAATGACCCAAGTCCAATAGATAACTTGGGGCCATGACAAATCTGCTCCTATTATGAGGTGGATATAAGTGAAAGAGAATTGGATTGGAGATCTCCAATTAGCACCACAACATGTTCCCCTAAAAAGCCTGTTCTTTGAGACCTCTGCCTAGTCTGGTTTCCGAGGTCTCTACTAGTATTGTAATTAATCTTTAGTGTACAAGCAAGTACTTTTGTTGGTATTAATCAGTCCACCAGGGCTAGCCAGGTACAAGATTATCAAGAAGTAGATATTTTTATTTATTAATCAAGCAGTATATTTTGTCATTCAATTCTTAGTACTCAATGAGATAGGCACCATACTATTCCCCCTTCTTTATAGATGACAAAACTGAGGTACATGGAGGTTAAGTTGCCGAAGGCTACATCACTAGGGAATAGCAGGGCTGGACTAGAAACTGAAACCTGTCGTAACTCATTTGTGATATTTTCTCTAGATGCTGAGGATCTAGGCAAGAGATCCCTGATTTCAGGAACCTTCCAGCCTAGTGGGGAAGATAATCAAGTAAATTCAAAATATTAATAACAGGCCATTTCTTAAAAGTTGGGTAGTGTGCAGGTAGAATTGTGGGATAGAGCAACCAGGGAAACCAGTGGTATTTTTTTCTTCTTCCTCACCCAGACCATTTTTATCTTACCAGTAGCACCATATGCTTCTACGACTTACACTTTCCATGAAGTGGGTCTGGCTGTCTCTCACCTCCTCATGATTCTGTTAGAAGACCATCCTGAAACATGTCCATGAGGATGGTAGCCAGTCATACCAGCTAATTTGTTGCCCTAAGCTCTGGTTATCTATTATTGCCTAATAAACTACTTTAACACTTAACAGCTTAAACAAATCTATTTTATTATCTGTCATGATTTTCTGGGACAGGAATTTGGCAAGACGTGGCT
Organism: Homo sapiens; assembly: GCF_000001405.40. NCBI lineage: Eukaryota > Metazoa > Chordata > Mammalia > Primates > Hominidae > Homo > Homo sapiens. The sequence continues at coordinate 81,834,336 of NC_000014.9, forward strand.
TTGCTATTCTGCTCCACATGGCAGAGACTCTGGTTACTGGGTGGTATATAACTGGTGCCTGGATTCATCCAGAGGGCCCAAGATGAGTTCATCCTACATCCTGGCACCTTGATGGACACCTGAAAAGCTGAGATCCCTCTCCACATACCCTCAGGTGATCTCTCTAGCAGGTTGTCAGAATTCTTATGGGGTGAGTCAGCTACCAAGAGATGCCAAAGTTGAAGCTGCCAGCTCTCTTAAAGTCTAAGCCTGGAAATGGCATCACATGACTTCCATCAGCCTTCATTGGTTAAAGCAGTTCCAGTCAGCCCTATCCAAGGGAAAGAGAAGCACACTCCACTTCTGGATGGAGGCATGTCAAAGAATTGGTGGCTGTCTTTTATCTATTACTGTTTCTAGTAGACTTTGCATTAAAGTTTCTATGGGTATATGTGTGTGCATGTATATATATATAAAATATGTGTGTGTATATATATATATATATATATATATATATGTATTTTTTAGACAGGTTCTTACTCTGTCTTACTCCCAGGCTGGAGTGCAGTGATGCGATCACAGCTCACTGCAGCTTCAACCTCCCAAAGTCAGGTGATCCTCCCATCTCAGCTTCCCAAGTAGCTGGGACCACAGGTGCATACCACCATGCCCAGCTAAAATTTTTTTTTTTTTTTTCGTAGAGATGGGGTCTCACTATGTTGCCAAGGCTGAGCTCTAACTCCTGGGATCAAGTGATCCTTCCACTTTAGCCTCCCAAAGTGCTAGGATTCCAGATGTAAGCCACTGAACCTGGCCAGATTCAAAATATTTCTAATAAAAATTGCCTATTTCTGAAGACTCATTGAAGCTGAGGTGCCACAACCTTCAATATTAAAAATATTGAATTCAGTATTAAAAAATTGAATTCAATATTCAAATATATTGAATTCAGTATTCAAATATATTGAATTCAGTATTCAATATTGATATGATTTGGCTGTGTGTCCCCACCCAAATCTCATGTTGAATTGTCATCCTGAGTTTTGGAGGTGGGGTCTGTTGGGAGGTGATTGAATCATGAGGGTGGTTTCTAATGGTTTAGCACCATCCCCCTAGTGCTGTTTCATGATAGAGTTCTCATGAGATCCAGTTGCTTGAAAGTATGTAGTACTTCCCCCTTAACTCTCTCTCTCCTGCTCTACCATGTGAGGATGGTGCTTGCTTTCCCCTTTCCTCCCACCATGATTGTTAAGTTTCCTAAGGCCTCCCCAGCCATGCTTCCTGTACAGCCTGTGGAACTGGGAGTCAATTAAACCTCTTTTAATCATAAATTACCCAGTCTCAGTTATGTCTTTATAACACTGTGAAAAGGATCTTATACAGAAATTTGGCACCAGAGAAATTGGGCATTGCTATAATGATACCTAAAATGAGCAGAGGTTGGAACAGTTTGGAGGGCTCAGAAGATAGGAAGATAAGGGAAAGTTTGGGGCTTCCTAGAGACTTTTTGAATGGTTGTGACCAAAATGCTGATAGTGATATTGACAGTGAAGTCCAGGTTGAGGAGGTCTCAGATGGAGATGAGGAATTTATTGGGAACTGGAGTAAAGGTCACTCATGCTATGCTTTAGCAAAAAGACTAGTGGCATTTTGCCCCTGCCCTAGAGATCAACTTATGTTTTAACTTGAGAGACTTGACTTAGGGCATCTGGTGGACAAAATTTCTAAGCAGCAAAGCATTCAAGATGTGGCCTGGCTGCTTCTAATAGCATATGTTCATGTGCATTCACAAAGAGATGGTCTGAAATTGGAACTTATATTTAAAAGGGAAACAGGGCATAAAAGTTTGGAAAATTTGTGGCTTGACCATGTAGTAGAAAAGAAAAACCCGTTTTCTGGGAAGGAGTTTAAGCTGGCTGCAGAAATTTGCATAAAGAGGAGCCGAATGTTAATAGCCAAGACAATGGGAAAAACGCCTACAAGACATTTTGGAGATCTTTCTGGCAGCCCCTCCCATCACAGGCCTGAAGGTCTAGGAGGGAAAAATGGTTTCATGGGCCAGGCCAGGGGCCCCACTGCTCTGTGCAGCCTTGGGACATGGTGCCCTGCATTGCGGCTGCTCCAGCTCCAGCCCCAGCTGTGGTTAATAAGGGCCAAGGTACAGCTTGAGCCATTGCTTCAGAGAGTGCAAGCCTCAAGCCTCAGTGGCTTCCACATGGTGTTGGGCCTGCAGGTGCATAGAGAGTGAGAATTGAGGCTTGGGAGCTTCCACCTAGATTTCAGAGGATTTATAGAAATGCCTGGATTCCCAGGCAGAAGTCTGCTGCAAGGGTGGAATCCTCATGGAGAACCTCTATTAGGGCAGCGTGGAAGGGAAATGTGGGGTTGGAGCCCCCACATAGAGTCCCCACTGGGGTACTGCCTAGTGGAGCTGTGAGAAGAGGGCCACTGTCCTCCAGACCCCAGAATGGTTGATCCACCAACAGCTTGTACTGTGTGCCTGGAAAAGCTGCAGGCACTCAATGCCAGCCTGTGAAAGCAGCCACAGGGGCTGTACCCTGTGAAGCCAGGGGGTGGAGCTACCCACACCCACCAGGCATCAGTGTGCCCTGGATGTGAGACATGGAGTCAAAGGAGATTATTTTTGAGGTTTAAGATTTAATGACCACCCTGCTGGGTTTCAGACTTGCGTGGGGCCTGTACCTCCTTTATTTTGGCCACTTTTTCCCTTTTGGAACGAGAGCATTTACCCAATGCCTATAACTCCGTTGTGTCTTGAAAGTAACTAACTTGCTTTTGATTTTATAGGCTCATAGGCAGAAGAGACTTGCTTTGCCTTACATGAGACTTTGGAGTTGGACTTTTCAGTTAATGCTGGAATGAGTTAAGACGTTGGGGGATGTTGGCAAGGCATAGTTGTGTTTTGAAATGTGAGAAGCACATGAGGTTTGGGAGGTGCCAGGGGTGGAATGATATGATTTTGTTCTATGTCCCTGCGCAAATCTCATGTTGAATTGTGATCCTGAGTGTAGGAAGAGGGGCCTGTGGGAGGTGATTGGATCATGAGGGCAGTTTCTAATGGTTTAGCACCATCCCCCTAGTGCTGTCTTGTGATAGAGTTCTCGTGAGGTCGGTTGCTTGAAAGTGTATAGCACTTCCCCCTTAACTCTCTTTATCCTGCTCCACCATGTGAGGATGGTGCTTACTTCCCCTTTGCCTTCCACCATGATCATAAGTTTCCTAAGGCTTCCCCAGCCGTGCTTCCTGTACAGCTTGTGGAACTGGAGTCAATTAAACCTCTTTTATTCATAAATTACCCAGTCTTATGTATGTCTTTCTAGCAGTGTGAGAATGGACTAATACAAATATATATTCAATATTCAATATATATTCAATGTTTAAATAAGACAACCAGACTTTCTTAGACCAGTGAATGTACAGTCATTGTCTTTTAATATTCATATGTAAATTTTGAATTTCAAATGGTATTATGAAAACTAGTGGGGGATATTTAGATCTCCCTTGCAATTTTGGCAGCAGGAGTGACTGTTTTCACAAGCCATGGGCTGAGGATTAAGATGGACAGCAGGCAGGTTTGGGAATCATATGAGCTGTTAAAGGAAAACTGTGGGAAGATATTCAGAGAGAAAGTGGGCTACACTCATTCCAAGAGGAGGAGTTGTGGAAATTTCCGAGAAAGGAAAAGAGAGCAAAACTTGAGAAAATAGGATTCCTAGGACCAGTGCCAGGGAAAAGCAACTTCTAGAACCATTCCAGAAACACTATAGGTGTCAGTAGGTATTTGTTTAATAAGAGAAATAATTAGTAAAGAGATGACTGTGGACATGTTCTAGGCCAGGGGCCTCACAGAGAGTGGACCTGGGAATAAAGAAACTCTTAGACTACTTTGGGAGAATTAAATGAAATTATTTGTGTGAACTAAGGGCCCATGCCTTGCACATGACAGACACTCAAAAAATATTAGTTTCCTTCTAGTCCTTAGTTTTTTTTTTCAAAAGTAGAAAAAAGGCGAAAGCTTTGCATTGAATTGTGAGAATAGGTAGATAAAAAGAGTGGGCTTAAAAGATAATTTTACTTTTGTGGGTTAAGGTGTAGAGCAGAACTGTCTCATAGAGCTTTCTGCAGTGATGAAAATATTCTATATCTGCACTGTTCAATATGTTATCCACAGACCACATATGAATATTGAGTTGTTGGGATATGCTAGAGTGGCTGAAGAAGTAAATCTAAAACTTTAATGTTAATTAATTTAAATAGTTTCATGTGGCTGGTGGTTGTTATATTGGACAGAAGGATTTACTTAATATTTATTTGAAGCAAAGTCCATAATATAACATAGTACTTATTAACCTCAGATATATAATATCTGCATCTTGAAAGCAAGTTTAATTGTTTATTGAGGTACATTAAGCGGGTAGGAGAAAAAGTTAGGCCTATGGCTAACAGGGAGCAAATGTAGAGGCCTAAATACAAGCATTAAGACAAAGACTGAAGGACGGGTAGTAATTTAGGGACCAGTTCGTTGCCCTACACAAACAAGACCCTGGTGCATATCAGTAACTATGTATCAGAATACTATGGTTTGGATTTGCAAAGAAGTTCAGAGTGCTTTCTAGCCCTGTTGCAGGTAGCAAATTGAACAAAATGAGTATTATTTATATTCACCTGGCATAATTTGTTATTCGACTTTTTCTGATGGCAGTCATGGAACTGGAGCAGTTAAACCTCATTCTCCAGGGTACTGGTGCTACTGCCAAGAGCGGAAAACTTTCATCTTCCAAAACCTCAATCAGCCAGTTTCTCATCTGCATCCCATAAATCATCAAGAAAGAACAAGCTCATTATCTCAGCACCAGGGACAAAAGTCTTTTACATGACACTGAACTTCTGACTACTGCAAAACATGGCAGCTTGCCATCATATGTTTAACAGGTGTGTTGGTCCCTTTAACAGACTGGGCCAGAAGTTTGAGGATATGGTCTGAAATTTCAATTTTGTTACGTGTTGTGACTTGCACTGGGCCCAAATCCAGAGGTAATTGGGCCTAGTGGTCTGAAGAGTTACTTGGGTGTTCTGTAATTTTAGTAGATTTGGAGAAAGAGAGGTGGGGATGTCTGTCCCTGAAGATATTTTCTCATAGAAGCAAGGAATTACAGGAACTTCTCTGTTGTGTTTTGGGTAAGTGTTTCCATGCTGCTACTCTGAATAATAGGGTAGATATTTCCAGGTACAGGCTGTTAAAATTTGCTATATTACCTCCATTCTGTATGTAGTTCCTTCTCTACATAACAGTGTTGGTTAGGTAGTGGAACCTTCTAAATGACGCACTATGTGATTCCTGTGTCATATAGAATGTTCTATGATTCTTAGCCAGATAATCATATTCCCAGAAAAGGCCTCTCAACTTTCACCTGCCTTTCTAAGGACTGAAATACTCTGAGTGTTGCATAAAGGGTGTTCCAAATATGGGCATTCACCTGTTTCCTGATTAAAAAAAGATAATTTGGTATGAATAAAAAAAAAGGGACGCTTTGTAATGGGTTTGGTAAATCTTTCCTGTAACAGGTTAGATAATAAATATTTTAGGCTTTTGGGATATGTAATCTTTATTTTAACTACTCAAATGGGCAGCAAAGCAAAAGCAGTATGTAAATGAATGAGTATTGCTGTGTTCCAATAAACTTTATGGACTCTGAAATTTGAATTTCATGTAATTTTCACTTGTGATGAAATAGTCTTTCTCTTTTGTGGTTTTTCAGCTATTTAAAAATGTAAAAACAATTGTAACCTTTCAGACTGTTAAAAAGAAAAGAAAAACAAAACAAAACAAAAACAAAAACCAACGAAAATGGCAGGCCAGGTTTGATCTGTAGGCAGTAGTCTAGTGACTACCAACTCTAAGATACACACATAAGTAAATAGAGTGTAAATGTTTCATACAAATTATTATAGATATTACCAGGTTGTAGCCTTTTAGAGTGAAGGAAGACTTTATATTTCCACCTTTATTTATAGAATTCAAAACCACAGTTTGTTTATAATGAGTACATTTGTGAGTATTTTTTTAAAAATGAAAGAAGAATAAAGCGTAGTTTTATGGCCCAGTAGAAAAGATAACTGAAAAGATAACTGTCTTAGGAGTCCAGAATTTTTTGCTCAGCTTTGACTCTAGGTAAGGGCTTATAATACTGAATTTTCTTATCTCTAAAATGAGAATGATGCTGGCTCTCCCACTCTCATAGGGCTGTTATAAAAACCAAATGAGATTGTGCTTTGGAAAATGCTTGCAAAAGATCAAGTGCTACATGTGTGTAAAATAATTTTCCAGGAATATCCCCAAAGTTTTTGGGCTGGTATATCATATAATTTCTTTCAGTAATTGTGTGGAAAAATACTTTATAAATGCATAGATATAGATAGATATTTTCATATAATACATGCAGTGATGATCTGATGAGAAAAATGATGTACCCTGAATGTTTTATCTTTTAATAGCACTGGCAATCTTGATATGCATGAATCTTTTAAAACCATGCTACAAACCTCTGTTTCATTTAGAATATTATGTCTTTTTTGACTTACCCCAAACCCCAAAATGACCAAATGGGAATGAAATATGCCAGCATGCACCTCATGCCTGGGAAGATACATAAAACAATGGGTTGAGGATTGGATTAAAGAAAGACAAAGGCCTTCACACAAGTGATTCTTCCTAAAATTGAAAGGTTACCAGCTAACAAGATAGGAAGGTAGTCTCTTTGACCTTCTGCTATTCAGAGAGATATTGGCAATAAACAATTATATGTGTGTGTGTGTGTGTGTGTGTGTGTATGTGTGTAGTGTAAGTGTAAATGAAAGTGAAAGGACATATACAATATACTACAATGAGGGAATAATTTCAAGTGTAAAAAATGTTCATCTTAAAATCATTCAGTTTGTTTCATTTTAATTTAATCAATTTTGTCAATGGCTTTTTTTTTTTACCTGCAAGGAATAATTCACTGAAGACCAGAAAATATTTTGTAAAGGGTAAATTTTTGTTTATGTTTCTTAGTATATGAAATCGCTTGTCCCCTAAATGGAGAGTTTTAATTAAAATAAACGAGAAACCAGGGAAGCAAAGGAGAAAGACATTTAAGCATATTTTTCTTGTGTAAGGTTTTTCATGTTTCCTTCATAAAAGTTGAATTTCCCTTCTGGGCTTTGCAGTATAGTTTGTATAATTATTCTGGAGAAATGAGAAATGTGAGAAGGAGAATGGTGTATTTGAGAACTAACCCGAAATATTTGCTACATGCGGCTGATTTCAGTTAAGTCTCCAAGCACCACAATAATGGTGTAGATGTCATGAATGATGATGGTTTGAAGTTTTATATTACCCACTTCTGACGCTCATTTTCAGTTGGTTTCTGTAGCATTACAGTTGGTTTCTGTAGCAACTTGTTTTTACTCATTCTGCTGGAGATGTATATATAGATATGTATGTATACGCACATATATATATTTAAATATTCCTTATCCTTTTTCATTCTTCTGTATTTTTAATCTTAATATATTTTTAACAAGGGTGATACATAACATAAGGTAATATAAGGTAATATGTAATTTAATGTAATATAAGGCAATATAGTAACATGCCTAACATTTTCTGATTTGGATGCATGTCTGTGATATTGGCAGCCACACTCAGGAAATTTGATTTCAGGTGAGACAGACCTAATGCTTGTCTGTAATGCACAGTGTGATGAAAGAGCCTTTAGTGATGGGTCAATGCTAACGAAAGTTTTTCTCATTAGGTATACACTGCATAGTCTGGCATAGCTGTTGCTAGCTTTAGCTTTAATGAGAGAAGACCATAGCACACATTAATCTCAGATTCAAAATTTCATAGTGTAGAACTTGTAGAGACTATAAAACCTAATGATGCCAAATATATGAGTTCAGAAACCTCCATCCACTCTGCCATCTTGTTATATCAGAAACCCACTGAAGGATCAGTGAAACAGTTCAAAAGGGGGACACAATGTATTAAATTCCAAATCCTTAGGCATAGTTTGAAAATTTGAATCCAATTTAAACTAAAAGAGTTTCATAAATTTTTCTGTTTACCCTGGGTTCGTAGTCTATTAAGGTCAATGTAAAGTGCCTGTACCAGGAAGAGAGAGACACCACTTCCCCAGTGGATGAAAAATAACTATGGAGTCAGACTTACGTGATTTTAGTCTCAGTTTTGTGCCCTGCAAGCTGAGCAACCTTGAACAAGCTACTTGTTGTTTTAAACTTTGGCTTCTCCCTATTTAAAATAGGGATTAAAATGGTACCTTCTGGGGAAAATCCAATGAGGTAAAGCATATATAATACTTAGCACATTTAATGTGCTTAGTACAGTGCCTGGCTCATAATGAACACCCAGTAAATGCTATTAGTTATTCAAAGAATAGTGTAAGTCCTTCTGGGGCAGTACAAAAAAAAAAGGTTCTGCCTGCTTTCAAGGAATTCATGTTTGTGTGTGTGTGTGTGTGTGTGCGTGCGTGTGTGTGTGTGTGTGTGTGTGGAGACAGAAGCCTTAATCTCAGGAATGATCACAGGAACAGCGTCAGAATGTGTATCACTGAGGGACCCCAGAATAGATGTGGCCAACTGGGAGTATATTAAGGATTCCAAGGAGGGAAAAATCACAAGGGGATAGAGTCACCTGGAAGACTTTCTTAAGGTGGTAATTGAGCTGGGCCTTGCAAAATTTAATAGGCCTGGAGAAGGCAACTGAGTTGAGGGTATTTTAGGCTGGGGAAGTGGAAACCATGTCCTAATAATGTCTAGCTGATATAGGTCTGAACTTTATGTGAGAGGCAACTGACTTTAAACCATACTCTTTTTTTTTTTTTTTGAGATGGAGTCTCGCTCTTGTTGCTCAGGCTGGAGTGCAGTGGCACGATCTCGGCTCACTGCAACCTCCGCCTCCCAGGTTCAAGCGATTCTCCTGCTTCAGCCTCCCGAGTAGCTGGGATTACAGGCATGTGCCACCATGCCTGGCTAATTTTGTATTTTTAGTAGAGATGGGGTTTCACCATGTTGGTCATGGTGGGTCACCATGACCAACATGGTGAAACCCTGTTTCCTGACCTCAGGCGATCCACCCACCTTGGCCTCTCAAAGTGCTGCGATTATAGGCATGAGCCACTGTGCCTGGCCCACATTCTTTTAAACAAGCAGACCTTGTGTGAACTCAGAGTGAGAATTCACTCATGACCAAGCCATTCATGAGGAATCCACCCCTGTGACCCAAACACCTCCCACTAGGACCCCCTCCAACATTGAAGCTCACATTTTAGCTTCAGATTTGGAAGGGACAAACATCCTCACATATTCCACCCCTGACTCCCCAAATCTCATGTCCTTCTTACTTTGCAAAATACAATCATGCTTTTTTAATAGTCCTCCAAATTCTTAACTGGTTCCAGCATCACTCAAAAGTCCCACGTCGCAAGTCCAAAATCTCATCTGAGACTCAAGGCAAAGTTCCTTCTACCTATGAGCCTGTAAAATGAAAACAAGTTATTTACTTCCAAGATACAAAGGTGGTACAGGCATTAGGTAAACCTTCCCATACCAAAAGGGAGAAATCAGCCAAAGGAAAGGGGCTATAGGCCCCCCGCAAGTCCAAAACCTTGTAGGGCAGACATTAAACCTTAAAGGTCCAAAATAATCTCTCTTGACTTCACATCCTGCATTGTGTGTACGTTGGTGTAGGGGGTGAACTCACAGATAAGGCATTCTGTGAGTCCACAGATGGTAATCTTGGCAGAAGCACTGCGTGCAGGATAGGCAAACCCATATCCAAAGTAAGTGTCTACACCTGTGAAGACAAACCAAATCACTGCCCTTTCCATGATGGAAGAGGTTCAATATAATCACCAAGTGGCTGACTGCCACCAAGTAGCTTGCTGCTCACCATGAGGAATGGTGCCATATTGAGGGCTCAATGTTGGTCTCTGCTGCTGGCTAATTGGGCACCCAGCAGTGGCTGTATTCAGGTCTGCCTTGGTGAGCGGAAGTCTTTGTTGCTGAGCCCATGCACACCTCCATCCCTGCCACCATGGCCACTTTTTTATGGACCTATTGGGCAATGACAGGGGTGGCTGGGGAGAGAGGTTGAGTGGTGTCCACAGAAAAAGTCATCCTATCCACTTAATTATTAAAATCTTCCTCTACTGAGGTCACCCTTTGGTGAGCACTCACATGGGATACAAACATCTTCAAAGTTTTTGACCACTCAGACAGATTTATCCACATACCTCTTTCCCAAATTTCCTTGTCACCAATTTTCCGATTATGCTTCTTCCAAGTCCCTGAACATGCAGGCAAACCACTGACTACAGTCCATGAATCAGTATATAATCGCACATCTGGCCATTTCTCCTTCCAAGTAAAGTGTACAACTGGGTGCACTGCTCAAAGTTCTGCCCACTGAGAAGATTTCCCTTCACCACTGTCTTTCAGGGATGTCCTAGAAAGTGGCTGTAGTGCTATAGCTGTCCACTTTTGGGTGGTGCCTACATATCGTGCAGAACCATCTGTAAACTAGATCCTAGTCTTCTCTTCCTCTGTCAACTCATCATAGGGAACTCCTCATGAGGCCATCAGTGCAGGTGGGAGAGAGAAGGCAGGGTGGCAGGAGTGGAGACTATGGGCATTTGAGCTGCTTCCTTATGTAACTTGCTTGTGCTTTCAGGATCTGCTTGAGCGTGATCACTTATATTCCACTTCCATTTGCTGATGGAATGCTACTCTGCACATCCTACTTTATGGCTAAATGAGTCAGAAAGCATCCAGTTCATGATAGGCAGTTCAGGTCGTGTGGTGACTTGATGACCCATAGTCAAACATTTAGTTTCTACCACAGTCCAGTAACAGGCCAACAGCTGTCTCTCAGAAGAAGAGTAGTTATCTGCAGAAGATAGCAGGTTCTTGCTCTAAAATCCTAGAGTACTCCATTGTGATTCACCTATGGGGCCTGCCAAGGGTTCCAAACAGCATCTCTATCTGCCACTGACACCTCAAGAACCATTAGATCTACTGGGTCATATGGCCCAAGTAGCAGGGCAGCTTTCACAGCAGCCTGGACCTGTTGCAGAACCTTCTCCTGTTCTGGATCCCACTCAAACCTGGCAGCCTTTTGGGTCACTTGATAAATGGGCTAAAGTAACACACCCAAATGAGGAATGTGTTGCCTCCAAAATCCAAATAGGTCCACTAGGCATTGTGCCTCTTTCTTGGTTGTAGGAGGGGCCAAATGCAGCAACTTATCCTTCACCTTAAAAGGAATATCTTGACATGCCCCAAACCACTATACTACTAGAAATTTCATTGAGGTAGAAGGTCCCTGAATTTTAGTCAGATTTATTTCCTATCCCCTGGCATGCAAATGTCTCACCAATAAGTCCAGTGTGTTTGCTACTTCTTGCTCACTGGATCCAGTCAGCATAATGTCACCAATGTAATGGACCACTTGATATCTTATGGAAGGGAAAAGTGATCAAGGTTTCTGCAAGCAAGAGTATGACACAAAGTCGGAGAGTTGATGTACCCCAGAGGTAGGACAGTGAAGGTATATTGCTGGCCTTGCCAGCTGAAGGCAAATTGCTTCTGGTGGGCCTTATGGACAGGAATGGAGAAAAAAGCTTTTGCCAAATCAATGGCTGCATAGCAGGTACCAGGAGATGTGTTAATTTGTTGAAGGAATAAAACCACATCTGGTACAGCAGCTGCAATTGGAGTCACCACTTGGTTAAACTTATGATAATCCACTGTCATTCTCCAAGATCCACCTGTCTTCTGCACAGGCCAAATAGGAGAGTTGAATGGGGATGTGGTGGGAATCATTACCCCTGTGTCCTTCAAGTCCTTGATGGTGGCACTAATCTCTGCAGTCCCTCCAGGGATGTGATATTGTTTTTGATCTAGCATTTTTCTAGGTAGAGGCAGCTCTAATGGCTTCCATTTAGCCTTTTCAACAATAATAGCCCTCACCCTACCAGTCAGGGAGCCAATGTGGGAATTCTTCTAGCTGCTACATACATCTGTGCCGATTATGCATTCTGGCACTGGGGAAATTACCACAGGATGAGCCCAGGGACACACTGGACTCAGTGTAAGTCAGACCTAAACTAAAACTCCATTAATTACCTGACCTCCACAAACCCCTACTTTAACTGGAAAACCACAATGATGTTTTGTGTTCCCTGGAATCAACACCAGCTCAGAGTCAGTGTTCAGTACTCCCTAAAAGATCTGATCATTCCCCTTTCCCCAGTGCACAGTTACCCTGGTAAAAGGCTGGAGATCTCCTTGAGGGAAGATGGGAGAAAGATTAACAGTATAAATTGTTGGTAGTGTAGTGTGTCATTCCTCAAGGGGACCCAAGCTCACCTTCATTTAAGGGGTTCTGGGTCTTTAAACTGATTCAAGTCTGGAGATTGATTGAGGGGCTGAAATTCTCTGTTTTTATAATTCAAATTAGTCTTTTGTCCACTCAACCTGGAAGTTTTCTGCTTATACAAATTAAATAAGAATGTGGAAGGCTTCCCATCAGCTTCACTTCTAGGAACACCATGATTAAATAGCCAATGCCAAAGCTCTACACAAGTCAGACTAGTCTGATTGCTGCTTTGCCTCTACTTTCCATTATAGTAACTATCTCATCTTGCTGTTGACGGTTGAGTGCCGCCACTTGGCCCCTGTCACCTCAGGATTTAATTATTCCCATTGTGTTTAAGTTCTCAGTTGAGTGACTGCAGTTCCCACTGTAAGATCTGGCATACAGAGAAGGGAAATCACAGAGCTCTTCAAGGATGCATGTGCTGCCCTCACAAATCTATTTTGCAAGGTATTGGTGAAGGGTATGTCTTCTGGACCCTCCCAGTTGGGATGAGTAGGTCTAAAATGACTAATCCACTCGCATTCCAATCTCCCTGAGCCTTTGGATTTCTTTCTTTGTATTAAGTCAATGGAGATAGGTATTTCCAGCCCACTCACAATGGGCCATCTTTTGATCCATGTTTCAGCTAACCAAGCAAATATACTATTATAACCTTTTTAACTCCCTGAGCTGCAACATTAAATGTAGAATCTGTGCTTAGTGAGCCCATAGCAATAAATTCAGCCTGATCCAATTCTGTGTTCCTTCCACCATTATCCCACACCCTTAATATCCATTTCCATGCCTGTTCCCCAGATTTCTGCTTATATAAATTAGAAAGCTTGAGCAGTTTTTTTGGAGTGTAGTGCACCTCATTGTGGGTCACACTTTGAACTTCACCTCTAGGAGTCTGCTGGGTCTTGAGTCTAGTTATAGGTCTAGAAGTAAACAGCCGTGTTGGGAATGGGTCCTGAGGAAAATCAGCATTGTTTTGCCTGGCAACTGCATCAGCCATCACTGTTGCCTCAGGCAGTGCATGGTTAATCTCCTCAGACAAAGGTGAAAAGGCTGATGGCAGAGTGGGTTGGGGAGGGGATGTTGCCACCACTGGGGTTGGGGAGGCTGTCTCCTCTGGGAAAAAAGTCTCATCAGAATGTAGGAGCTCAGTGCTCTCAGCCTCATCTGGGTCCTCCCACACGTCTCCATTCCAAGTTATAGGGTCCCATTCTTTTCCAATCAACGCCCTCACCTTAACAAACGGTAGACACCTGGCAAGACTGAGCATGTACCTTTCATTGCAGGTCAGTCACTTTCATGATGAGAACTTGTGTCTGATCTTCCACAATTGCAGGTCTTTGTCTGCAGGAGATAGGACTCTCTCACTCAGGGCAATCTTAGAAGATTTGAAGCTCGGTATGTGCTTCTGGAGCAGGGAGTTAGAATCCCTAAGCTCATCATTTTCTTTCATCACTTTGTAAACTTAGAAGAAACCCACCAATTTCATAATATTCCTTGGTTCTCCACATATGGTCAAAGATATATATAGAGTCACTAAATTTCTTGCCTCTCAAGAGCAGTGAATCAGGAGTATCAAATGCACTTGTTTTGCATAACTCTCCAAACAGTTCATGCCAAAGACTATCAGTGTTCTCCATACTATTCGAAGTACAGTCCTTAACATTTTTGGGTCTAATCAGATTAAGCAGTCAATTCCAGAAACCCCAAAACCAACTAAAAAAATCCATCCTTAAAATTCTGTTCCTCCAGAACCATTTCTGGTACCAAAATCTGTATTAGTCAGGGTTCTCTAGAAGGACAGAACAAATATTATAGATGAATATATGAAAGGGCATTTAAGGAGTATTGACTCACATGATGACACGGTGAAGTCCCACAATAGGCCAACTGCAAGCTGAGGAGCAAGGAAGCCAGTCTGAGACCCAAAACCTCAAAAGTAGGGAAGCCGACAGTGTAGCCTTCAGTCTGTGGCTGAAGGCCTGAGAGTCCCTGGCAAACCACTGATGTAGGTCCAAGAGTCCAAAAGCTGAAGAAGTTGGAGTCCAATGTTTGAGGGCAGGAAGCATCCAGCATGGGAGAAAAATGAAGACCAGAAGACTCAGCAAGTCTGCTCTTTTTACCTTCTGCCTGCTTTTTCTAGCCATGCTGGCAGCTGATTAGATGATACCCATTTAGATTGAGGATGGGTCTGCCTTTCCCAGTCCACTGACTCAAATGTTAATCTATTTTGGCAGCACCCTCACAGTCACACCCAGGAACAATACTTGGCATCCTTCAATCCAATCAAGTTGACACTTAATATTAACAATCACAGATGGCAAGGACTGTCCAGAAGACTTCTGAAATGCCTTTAGGGCATTTTCCCCATTGTTTTGGATATTAGCACCTGTCTCCCTTTTAGTCATCTAATCTCCATAGCAAGTGGTTGCTCTGGAGCCTGCTTGGATTCCTCTCCTGAGAATGCTCTTTCCTTCTCTACCACATGGCCAGCCTGCAAATTCTTTAAACTTTTATGCTCTGCTTCCCTTTTAAATATAAGTTCCAACTTTATGTCATTCCTTTACTCCTGCATCTGAAGATATGATATTAGAAGCAGCCAGGTCACTTCTTGAATACTTTTCTGCTTAGAAATTTCTTCCACCAGATACCCTAGGTCATCACTCTTAATTTAAACCTTCCGCAAATCCCTAGGACATGGACACAATGCAGCCAAATTCTTTGCTAGGATGTAACAAGGATGACCTTTGCTCCAGTTCCCAATAATTTTTTTGTTTTCATCTGAGACCTCATCAGCCCTGGACTTTCGTTATTCATATTTCTATCAGCATTTTGGTCACAACCACTTAACAAGCCTTTAAGAACTTCTAAACTTTTTCTTGTTTTACTCTCTTCTTCTGAGCCCTCTAAACACTTCCAACCTCTGCCCATTACCCAATCTCAAAGCCGCTTCTGCATTTTTAGATCTCTTTAAAGCAATGCCCCACTCCTCAGGTCCAATTTTCTACCGTATTTGTCTGCTTCTGCATTACCATAAAGAAGTACCTGAGGCTGAGTTATTAAAGAGGTTCATTTTGGCTCATGATTCAGCAGTCTGTACAGGAAGCATTATGCAAATATCTGCTCCCAAATAGGGCCTCCTTTGCTTCCACTCATGGGAGAGGGCAAAGTGGATCCAGTGTATCACATGGTAAGAGAGGAAGTGAGAGAGAGAGGAGGGGGTAAGTGCCATACTCGTAAACAACCAGATCTCTTATTGTTAACAGTGGAGGGTGTCCAGGTTCTTGGTGTCTTGAATAAAGAATTGAACAAAATGCACAAACAAAGCCAGGAAGGAATGAAGAGTTTTACTGAAAATGAAAGTACACTTCACAGTGTGGGAGTGGGCCTGAGCACACAGGCTCAAAGGCCCTGTTGCAGAATTTTTTTGGAGTTTAAATACCCCCTAGAGGATTCCATTGGTCACTTGGGGTATGCCCTATGTAATTGGAGAGGATGAAGTAAAGTTACAAAGTTACTAATGGCATATGCCCTATAGAGAGGATATTTCCTGTTATAGCTGAAGTGTGAATTGGCCTATGTTCCCTGCCTCCAGACCCTATTTTTCTGCCTCATCTCCCCACTGAGAGATGTGATCCCCATAAATCTTTATGGGAGGCAGAGGGACCAATGGTCTTTTTTCTGTAACCACTTCATGCTGGCTTGGAGTGTAGACCCTACCTATTGGGGATTATGGAACTCTCACCCTGCTGTATCTAGTGGAGGCAGGGTAGCTTCCTGATGGCCAGGAGTGGTATCTTCACCTGGAGGTGTCTGAAACCTTTGTTGCATGATCACTTGAAACTTGATGGTTTCTAGGCGAGAGGAAATGAATTTGATTAAAAGATTTAATGGAGACTTCAGGTGGTGGATACCTATGCTGTTAGAAATGTTTGTTACAGAGATTTGCAGGAGAAAAAATGTGGTTTGTTCTAGAATCTATGTGTTTCTTAGCACAAGCAACTCCATTTTGGTTTGGTTTGTTGGGGCCTAGTGCATGAGATTAGTCAAAAACTATGGCCTCCCGGAATTTTGTTTAAAAAATTCTCCATTTTTGGTCAGGTTTGGTCAGGTGAGAGTGTGACCAAAACTTAGGGCCCTAGTGCCACTCTCAGTTACCATCATTTTGGGTTTCTGGTCTCAGCACGTCATTTGTAGGTTCTGGTGTCCTCATGGTTGAACATTTCTTTCGGCTCCATTATTCCAGCTGAAGAGAGACCATTTGACATTCTAGAGATGGCTGCAGGCAAGCATTTAAAACCTTTGAGACAGCACACCAGGGAGATTATTATTATGACTATTGGGAAGATAATACCAAGAGTTCAGAGTATGCTCCTTACCCAAGGTCCTCCTAAACCAAACCTCCTAAAATCAAATAGATCAAAGAATGAGCTAGATAAAGAGTTTGCTCACTTTACTAAGCAGTCTCTTTGTTAATCTCCTACCAATGAATTTCTATAATCTTCATTTGGTGTATTTCTCCATAGGCCACAAGTGCCAGCAGCTACACAGATATTTCTCCGTTTAGCCAATTTTATCATAACTTTCACAAGAGAATTTAGAGTCTATTGTATAACTGTAGCCTTTACAGTAGAATTTGCTATAGAACCTATCATGAGGGATACATTTCTAATCATTGCTTCTTTTATTTTAAACCATGGAACTAGGACCTAACAAATGATGCCCCTTTAGAATAGTGAAGGCCTTCTAGCAATGTTTTCTTTAACCCACGATGTGGGTTAAGAGGGGTGAACCAATGTTTTGTTTTTGACTGATTATGAGGCCACATATATACCATTAAAGTTTCTTACCTACATTGGGCCTTCATCTTTTATTGATCAAAGTATAAGGTTATCCATGTATAAGGCTGGCTGCAAACTCCTTCACAAATAAAAGTACACCCCATTAGTGCACATAACAGGCCCTGTTTCCACATCTATTGTTCGTAGAGGCATAAGCAAGAAAAAAATATTCAAAGATAAGAGTTTAATGACAGTAGACGTCAATCTGTGGACTTGGCAAAAGCTGTTCACATCAAGGATGCCATCCTTTTCTTGGGAGAAATTTTCCTGCTTAGTTTTACCTCAAGGGTTCCAGTGGGTGCGCAGTTCTGAAAGTGTGGAGGGACCTTTCTCATTGTGAGATTATGAACCCAAAGTTCAAGGTCTTGAAGTTTTGTTGTAGTGTGCATGGCAAGGACAGTCTTCTTCTGATGTTTCCAGAAGATTCAAACCATGAAAAGCTTTCTTTACCTGGTGAAAATACACTGTAGCATTATTATTAATCTACTGTTATAACATCAGTCCTCTTGCATGGGATAGCTTTTATACAACCAGAAAACGTGCATTGAAAATAACAATAGAATGAAATCTCTTTATAAAATGTTTAAATGGCCCATCAGGTGACCAAATGTACCTGAAGCTTTAATTGTTTTCCCAGGAATATGGTATCAAGAATTGGTTATAAACCATTTTAAACAATTTGTAAGTCACTACACCAATGTATTCAACTTGGATCATTTTATCTTTTCCATGATGAGTCGTGGAATGCAGAACTCTTAATAATAAAATCTTTAAGGACTCAGGAAGAACAAGGCGGCCATCCTGGTTCTCCATGAGTCCATGCTTGATTAACATTAGACTTATATCCTCTTGGATACCAGTTGTTTTTCCAAATTAGGTGCATAGCACTGACAAGAACATTTGTTTACTTTTATGATGTACAATAACTTAACATAATAACCATAATTATAACTAATAACATATACTTAGACATTAGAATGTTAGAAATCCCATATAATCTTGGAACATATATTAGTATTACTCACAAAAATATAACCTAAAGAAGATTGAACATCATTTTGGCAATCCCATCTATCTAAACCAGTCAAATAATCCTGTTTACCTCTCTTCTGGACACTTCACGGGCCCTCTGAAGTATTTGAAAAGTCAGGTGCCAGGGAGGGCAATTTTGAAACTGAAGTTTGATTTTGGAATTCCAGATTACCATAGTTATTTATTTTGCCAAAATGGTGAGTTAGAAATTTTAAAGAAGCAAAAACCTTTTATAACCCTTTTGAATGTAGTCAACATGTTCTCATGGTGAACCTCTTCTACAAGATTAATTTCCACTATTTTTCCACCACTTCTTCAAGCCTTTAGCTTTTCCCATCTAACTTAAAACAATCCTTTAACCCTAGGCAAAATTTACATTTCCATACCTTCTTATAACCTTTTAAAAAACACATTTTACTGTTCTTACACACTTTGCATGTAAATCTATTTCCAGTAGTCTTAATTGCATGTCACAGTGGCGACTCTTAGCAATTTTAACTTTAATGTAAAACCTGGTAAGTTATGTTCTGATAAGGTTTGACTGTTTCCAGCATAGCTAGGGTGTGGCCAACTCCACACGTCCCCAGGGCATACCTGGAAAAGCAGGTAAGTGAAACAATTTTCAAAAGCCAAAGAAGTAGCTTATGACCTTAAAGCATTTAGCAAACCTAATATTTGAGCATAATTTAGACCACATGTTTACATTTTGAAGACAATTGTATTTCACCAATAATCTTTAAAACTGTCTTTATTTTCCAAGGATTACTCAAGTCACATGAACTAAATAAAAGGCATTATGTTTTTCACTTTTCAGAGAAAATATGTGATTTAAGATCTTATTATCACTAAACCAATTAATTTAAAACTTTACAGAGGAGCTATACAGTGACTTTTACTTTATATTTAACCAGTTTACATGAAGAGAAAGAGGCCAGAGACTGACTGGTAAGAAATTCTTACCCTTTTGCTGGCATGCCAGGTTTCTGGGTTCTCTCTTCCTTAGTGCCCTGGCGACCCTGCTTGACTGTATGCAAACAAACACATTGCCATGAATTAAGAATATTCACATATACTTCACAAATTTTGGAGAAATTAGGCAGAGAGAGAAATATTACTCAAATTCTATTTGTCTTCTTGTCTTCTTTTACTTTAATCAAAACTAAGAGCTTTAACTATGAAAATGTTAATTAGCCAAATGTTTCCAATTCTTTATCAGGTTTTAAAGAATATTTTATTATTTAAACTTTTTCCACATCTTGTCCCCTACTTAATGCTTCCTTACTACATTGTTTTATAAATAACCTTTTAAAATCTGAAATTTGAACTAACTTTTACATAACTTCTAAATTAGACAAAATTTTTGTTTTCTAATAACATAACCCCTTCTGGCATATTTTGTATACAGAATTATGTGTTAACTAAAATTTTTATCCTTAGTAACCTAAAACTTTAGTGAAACCCTAAAAAGCAAGAAATCCTGAGCTATTTGATATAGGCATTTATAGATAAGAAAAATTCTACAATTTTAGAAACATATTTCCCCATGTTACAACCCTTCTTAACTGGAAATAACCCAGATATTAAATGAGCATTAAAAATGACTTTAAAATTTTAATTTACACAAAAAGTCTACCTAAAACATTTATCTCATGCACTGTACTTAATTTTTACTTGTCACAAGGGAGACATTAATCAACATATGTAAAATGAACATTGATTTGGTCCAGAAAAGCGGAACAACTCCAGGCAGGAAGGGGGCTTGGGGGCTTTCAGACCACAGGTGGGAGACAAACTGTTGCATTCTTCTGAGTTTCTGATTAGTCTTTCCAAAGGAAGCAATCAGATATGCATTTATCTCAGTAAGACTTTGAATAGAATGGGAAGCAGACTCCCCCTAAGCAGCTCCCAGCCTGAATTAACACTGACATTTTAAAATATCTAGCAAAGACAAACATAAAATTCAGACAAAATTTATGCTGACAATTATGAAGGCATTTCTATTTTAATTTCACCAAAAATTTTAAAGCTAGCTTGTTTAGTAAAGTTATACTTAGGTTATGTGAACTTGAAAATCACTTAGACTTACTAATTTATGAGTGCTCTTTTACTTATAAGCCAGTTTGGTAGATACAATGTATAACAGTAAGTGTACATACAAATAAACACATCTAGACATGTATACACACACATAAACGAAGACCCAATAGCTGGAACCTTAGCCATGAGATAGCCATACAAGCTTGCTGGTTTTACTTTGCCCCAGTAGATAATCCAAGTGTTGGAAATAAATGCTCGGTGCCACCAAGTGAAAATAGCACTCAGGCAAAAGTTTTCTCAGCAAGGCAATTTACTTCTATAGAAGGGTGCATCTCATGGATGGAGCAATGGCAAGAGCACACCGGACAAGGGAGGGGAAGGGGGTTTTTATTCCTGATGCAGCTAGTTTCTACTTCTGTGTCTTTCCCCTACTGGCTAGGGTTGGACCACACAGCCTAAGCTAATTCCAATTGGCTATCATAAAGAGAGCAGGGTTATGAGCCACAGTGGCAGGGTGAGTAGTTTCACCAGGAAGGACAGTTACAAAGCAGGTGACTAAGGATGACTAAGGACAGAGCAGGTGAATAAGGGTGACTAAGGACTGAGCAGTAGATAGAGGGGGTTGTTTACTGAAACTAGGGGCAAGGAGACTTAAAGAACGAGGAAGTTAAACTTAAAAATGGAGAACAAAGAACAGGGAAGCTGAACATACTGACATATTGGTTCTTTGAAGAGGAACTCAGAACTCATTGTATTTAACAATTGTCCCCCTCTTGAATTTTAAAGGAAGTTAACAGGCTAAAACCTTTGAATAGGAATTTACTGTATCCTACACAAGGAAGGCTGTGAACCAAAATTTTGGGTAAAGCAGTCTCGGTGGCTTTGACTTTTAGAGGCTAAACTTCCCCAGACTCCAAAGAGCACTGGGGCCAAATAGTACCAAAGGAAGGCATCACACGTTAACCAGGCCCCCTGCTTATAACAGCAGCACAAAAGCCTGGATACATGCAACGCCATTCCACTTTCGCATTAGACAGTAAACTTCAGATTCTAAACAATTCTGGGGCCAAGCCAGCATTGCAACTGCGAGAGAAGATTCTAATGAGGGTTTAGTACTAGACCTCAGAACCTCTGCCAAGGGTAGCCCCTTTGAAGAGTTTGAGGTCCGCAGAACCCATGGAACATCCTCCTGTGGGGTCCAATCTTAGAATTCTAGATGTGTCTGGCCTTAAGTGCACACTCCACATGCAGGTTTCTCCTCCAAAACATACTATGAGATTTGTAAGAATAGCCATGAACTGTAACAAGAACTGGATGCCGGGTGGGCCTTTTTGTTCCTTAGCCAGTTGAGTACAATAAAGGAAGAATTTAGCATAAGGTAAGTTTTAAGTTCCCTGAAACCTGTGCGAATTTGCTCCCAGCTGTGAGCTCTGCTGCCACCGTAGGGATTAGGGACCATGCGTAGAAAAGATCCTTCACCCTTCGGGCCAGGGCAATTATTCCCATTCATTCCTAGGCCTTCAGGCAGCACTAGGGAGTGACCCCACCCAATTGCCCTTAATTTCCAAGGGACTACTAGGAAACAGCTGCTCAAAGACTGAAAAAGAAAGAGAGGAAAAGAAAATGAGAAAAGACCCAGATTCCTGAAGTGAACTGGTGGTGGCAGTCAGGCTTCTCCACATGGAAACCCCTTAGTTTCACTGGCCATGGCCAGAAACGTGCAGTTGCTTCCATGTTTAGGTCCTGCCCCGCAAGGGTTTGGAAAGGAAAAGAAGAGAGAGAGAGAGAAAGAGAGAGAGCCAGAGAGAGCGAGGGAGCGCCGCTGTATGGAGAAGAAAGGAAAGGGAGAAAAATGAATTCCAAACTTTGGGCTTACCATTTTCTCCTGGCTGGCTTGCCAAAATATGTTAATGGTGGAGGACGTCCAGGTTCTTTGCATCTTGAACAAAGAATTGAACAAAATGCACAAAGCAAGGAAGGAATGAAGGGGTTTAATTGAAAATGAAAGTACACTCCACAGTGTGGGAGTGGGCCTGAGCATAGGAGCTCAAAGGCCCTGTTACAGAATGTTTTGGAGTTTAAATACCCCATAGAGGATTCCATTGGTTACTTGGGGTACTCCCTATATAAATAGAGAGGATGCAGTAAAGTTACAAAGTCATTTATGGCATATGGCATATGGAGACGATATTTGCTGTTACAGCTGAAGTGTGAATTGGCATTATGTTCCCTGTCTCTAGACCCTATTTTCCTGCCTCAAGGTGAACTCAGAGTGAGAACTCACTTATCATCTTGAAGAGAGCACTAAGCCATTCCTGAGGGATCCACTCTCATAACTCAGACACCTCCAACTATGTCCCACCTCCAACATTGGAGGTCACATTTCAACCTGAAATTCAGATGGACAAACATCCAACTGAAGTTTGGTCATGGATAAGTTGTGTGACCCTGAGCAAGATACTCTCTTGGTGCTTCAATGTGCTTATCTCTAAAGTGGGGGCAACCATTTCTCTTTCAGAGGAAGGTTTTAAGAGTAAAATTAAGTATGACAAAAGGAGATGCCTAGCATGACACTCTAAATAACTAGACACTGTACTTGCCTAATGATTATCCGGAATCTTTCAAATCTTCACTTCCCTGTTTAGACACTGGTTACTTGGGGAAGCATTCAGAAAAAATTGGAATACACTTCACTAATTCTTCAAAGATGATAGCCCCATTTTTAGAAAGTTTTGGCAATTAGAGCCCTACAACATCATCTCATTTGTTCTTCACAATACTATAAGGTGGACAGGGAATTCCACAAAGGGAGATTCAACAGAGGGGACAGGAGTTGGCTTCTTGAGGGACAGTGGGGCTATCAAGAGAGACACAGGCCTTGCTCACCTTAGCCTCAAGGGTATTTGGCTAACAGCTTGTCTCATTTACTCTGTGAGTGCTGCATATCTGAGAACTACACTATCATCAAAGCAACACAAGGGCTAGGGTTTTAGCTTTCCATATGCTGAAGAGCCCCAAAGACTGGGACACAAAGGATAATTGTTTTGGTAGATACATATTTTATTCCATAGACAGCCTTTTAAAACTCCTGTGAGGCTGGGCCTGGTGGCTCACACCCGTAATCTCAGCACTTTGGGAGGCTGAGGCGGGCAGATCACCTGAGGTCGGGAGTTTGAGACAAGCCTGACCAACATGGAGAAATCCTGTCTCTACTAAAAATGCAAAATTAGCCAGGTGTGGTGGAGCATGCCTGTAATCCCAGCTACTCAGGAGGCTGAGACAGGAGAATTGCTTGAATCCGGGAGGCGGAGGTTGCGGTGAGCCAAGATCACGTCATTGCACTCCATCCTGGGCAACAAGAGTGAAACTCCTTCTCAAAAAAATCAAAACAAAACAAAACAGAACAAAAACTCCTGTGATTATGTGAAGTTTTACTTGGAAGGCATTGCACAACTTCAAAAAATACATTGTATAGCCTAGGCAGACCATATTAGGAAAATGGCTTCCAGAAAAACAGCATATATATAACTGGGCTCATGTCATTCCCTTTGGGCTGGGGGTGTTGAATGGGAGTGACCGGGAGAAGTACACATATAAATAGGTGTTTTCACTTGTGTGAAGACCAGAAGGCAATTTGACAAAACAAAGAGAGCAGCATATACCTGCTAGGATGTGATTTCAGGCCTGGCATTGTCCTTGGAGATTTTCTTGTTCTTCCATACTGTTTAGTTCATTTTCTGCCCAGGGCACACCTTGACAAGCCATTTGTTCATAGAAAACATCTACAGAGCTAACCTTCAACAATTACAATGGACATCCATTCTCTAGAGGAAATACATGCAGAATATTGCTATGCTCATTAAAGAGCAAATGTTCCGTTCTGAGAGGGCAAGAATCAGTTTCTCCTTTTGCTCTCGGCACACAGACTCATCACCACCACCTACCCCCATACTGCCTGTTGCTTCTAGGGGGCCATGCAGAGTTATTTACTTTATTACATTATTTATATTTTCAGATTATTCCTGGGATTAATTGTTATGGAAGCCCAGATTTAATTAGTGTAAACTTCAGTTACAGCTTAATATAAATTGAATTACAAGCCATTTCTCTTTGAGAAATATTAGGATTTATTAGCAGTCCCCCCAAAACTAATTAGTTTGAACGAATACATTTCAGCATTAATGGATGAGGGAAGCTTTGTTTGCTATTGTTTGTAATTATATTAGCGTATTACATCCTTCCCCTCTCCCCTCTGTGTGTCTACTTTGATGATTAGCCTGGATGGGAGAAGCCTTGTCTGTTCACCCAAGGCCTTAGGAAAGCAATAATGGTCACGGAGAGAGAAATTGGCTCCACTGAGATAAAATGGAGGGGAGGGAGAAAAAGCCTGAGTATAAGAAAATGGTCAGATCACAGCTCATGATTTAAATTAAAAAAAAAAAAAAGCCGAAGCCAAAAGATGTGTGAAATGAGCATTTTAAATCCAAGAAGTATGAAATGACTCTCTCATAAATCTCTAAATGGGTAAAAGAAACTGTAGTTAAGCATTCCTGCTTGTGGGCCAGGAAAAAGACAGTGCATGCTTCGTGCTGTTGCCAAATTAATCTTCCAAAAAAATAGCTTGATTATGTAATTCTCCTGCTCAGGAACAAACAGTTAAGGGAATGGGCCTTGGAGTCAAGCAAGTTTGTTTGAGTCTATATTCTTCTATTTGTCCATTTGACCTTGGGCAACTCACTAACCTCTTGTTACTTTGGTTCTTTCATGTATAAAAAAAGAGAATGATAGAACCTACCTCACAGGGTTATTATGAAGATTACATGGGCTGGGCACAGTGGCTCATGCCTGTAATCCCAGTACTTTGGGAGGCTGAGGCAGGCAGATCACCTGAGGTCAGGTGTTTGAGACCAGCCTGGCCAGTGTGGTGAAAACCTGTCTCTACTAAAAATACAAAAATTAGCTGGGCTTGGTGGCAGGTGCCTGTAATCCCAGCTACTTGGGAAGCTGAGGCAGGAGAATTGGTTGAACCCTGGAGGCAGAGGCTGCAGTGAGCTGAGATAGTGCCACTGCACTCCAGTCTGGGCAACAGAGCCAGGCTCTGTCTCAAAAAAAAAAAAAAAAAAAAGGGGAGGAGCCAAGATGGCCGAATAGGAGCAGCTCCAGTCTACAACTCCCAGCTTGTGCGACGCAGAAGACGGGTGATTTCTGCATTTCTATCTGAGGTACCGGGTTCATCTTACTAGGGAGTGCTAGACAGTGGGCGCAGGTCAGTGGGTGCGCACACCGTGCGCGAGCCGAAGCAGGGTGAGGCATTGCCTCACTTGGGAAGCGCAAGGGGTCAGGGAGTTCCCTTTCCTAGTCAAAGAAAGGGGTGACGGACGGCACCTGGAAAATCGGGTCACTCCCACCCGAATACTGCGCTATTCCGACGGGCTTAAAAAATGGCGCACCACGAGATTATATCCCGCACCTGGCTGGGAAGATGAAATGAATGAAATGAAGCAAGAAGGGAAGTTTAGAGAAAAAAGAATAAAAAGAAATGAGCAAAGCCTCCAAGAAATATGGGACTATGTGAAAAGACCAAATCTACGTCTGATTGGTGTACCTGAAAGTGACCAGGAGAATGGAACCAAGTTGGACAACACTCTGCAGGATATTATCCAGGAGAACTTCCCCAATCTAGCAAGGCAGGCCAACGTTCAGATTCAGGAAATACAGAGAACACCACAAAGATACTCCTCGAGAAGAGCAACTCCAAGACACATAATTGTCAGATTCACCAAAGTTGAAATGAAGGAAAAAATGTGAAGGGCAGCCAGAGAGAAAGGTCGGGTTACCCTCAAAGGGAAGCCCATCAGACTAACAGCGGATCTCTCGGCAGAAACCCTACAAGCCAGAAGAGAGTGGGGGCCAATATTCAACGTTCTTAAAGAAAAGAATTTTCAACCCAGAATTTCATATCCAGCCAAACTAAGCTTCTTAAGTGAAGGAGAAATAAAATACTTTACAGACAAGCAAATGCTGAGAGATTTTGTCACCACCAGGCCTGCCCTAAAAGAGCTCCTGAAGGAAGCGCTAAACATGGAAAGGAACAAGCGGTACCAGCCGCTGCAAAATCATGCCAAAATGTAAAGACCATCGAGACTAGGAAGAAACTGCATCAACTAACGAGCAAAATCACCAGCTAACATCATAATGACAGGATAAAATTCACACATAACAATATTAACTTTAAATGTAAATGGACTAAATGCTCCAATTAAAAGACACAGACTGGCAAATTGGATAAAGAGTCAAGACCCATCAGCGTGCTGTATTCAGGAAACCCATCTCAAGTGCAGAGACACACATAGGCTCAAAATAAAAGGATGGAGGAAGATCTACCAAGCAAATGGAAAACAAAAAAGGCGGGGGTTGCAATCCTAGTCTCTGATAAAACAGACTTTAAACCAACAAAGATCAAAAGAGACAAAGAAAGCCATTACATAGTGGTAAAGGGATCAATTCAACAAGAAGAGCTAACTATCCTAAATATATATGCACCCAATACAGGAGCACCCAGATTCATAAAGCAAGTCCTGAGTGACCTACAAAGAGACTTAGACTCCCACACATTAATAATGGGAGACTTTAACACCCCACTGTCAACATTAGACAGATCAACAAGACAGAAAGTCAACAAGGATACCCAGGAATTGAACTCAGCTCTGCACCAAGCAGACCTAATAGACATCTACAGAACTCTCCACCCCAAATCAACAGAATATACATTTTTTTCAGCACCACACCACACCTATTCCAAAATTGACCACATACTTGGAAGTAAAGCTCTCCTCAGCAAATGTAAAAGAACAGAAATTATAACAAACTATCTCTCAGACCACAGTGCAATCAAACTAGAACTCAGGATTAAGAATCTCACTCAAAACCGCTCAACTACATGGAAACTGAACAACCTGCTCCTGAATGACTACTGGGTACATAACGAAATGAAGGCAGAAATAAAGATGTTCTTTGAAACCAACGAGAACAAAGACACAACATTCCAGAATCTCTGGGACACATTCAAAGCAGTGTGTAGAGGGAAATTTATAGCACTAAATGCCCACAAGAGAAAGCAGGAAAGATCCAAAATTGACAACCTAACATCACAATTAAAAGAACTAGAAAAGCAAGAGCAAACACATTCAAAAGCTAGCAGAAGGCAAGAAATGACTAAAATCAGAGCAGAACTGAAGGAAATAGAGACACAAAAAACCCTTCCAAAAATTAATGAATCCAGGAGCTGGTTTTTTGAAAGGATCAACAAAATAGATAGACTGCTAGCAAGACTAATAAAGAAAAAAAGAGAGAAGAATCAAATAGGCACAGTAAAAAATGATAAAGGGGATATCACCACTGATCCCACAGAAATACAAACTACCATCAGAGAATACTACAAACACCTCTACGCAAATAAACTAGAAAATCTAGAAGAAATGGATAAATTCCTCGACACATACACTCTCCCAAGACTAAACCAGGAAGAAGTTGAATCTCTGAATAGACCAATAACAGGATCTGAAATTGTGGCAATAATCAATAGCTTACCAACCAAAAAGAGTCCAGGACCAGATGGATTCACAGCCGAATTCTACCAGAGGTACAAGGAGGAACTGGTACCATTCCTTCTGAAACTATTCCAATCAACAGAAAAAGAGGAAATCCTCCCTAACTCATTTTATGAGGCCAGCATCATTCTGATACCAAAGCCTGGCAGAGACACAACCAAAAAAGAGAATTTTAGACCAATATCCTTGATGAACATTGATGCAAAAATCCTCAATAAAATACTGGCAAACAGAATCCAGCAGCACATCAAAAAGCTTATCCACCACGATCAAGTGGGCTTCATCCCTGGGATGCAAGGCTGGTTCAATATACGCAAATCAATAAATGTAATCCAGCATATAAACAGAGCCAAAGACAAAAACCACATGATTATCTCAATAGATGCAGAAAAGGCCTTTGACAAAATTCAACAACCCTTCATGCTAAAAACTCTCAATAAATTAGGTATTGATGGGACGTATTTCAAAATAATAAGAGCTATCTATGACAAACCCACAGGCAATATCATACTGAATGGGCAAAAACTGGAAGCATTCCCTTTGTAAAGTGGCACAAGACAGGGATGCCCTCTCTCACCACTCCTATTCAACATAGTGTTGGAAGTTCTGGCCAGGGCAATTAGGCAGGAGAAGGAAATAAAGGGTATTCAATTAGGAAAAGAGGAAGTCAAATTGTCCCTGTTTGCAGATGACATGATTGTATATCTAGAAAACCCCATCGTCTCAGCCCAAAATCTCCTTCAGCTGATAAGCAACTTCAGCAAAGTCTCAGGATACAAAATCAATGTGCAAAAATCACAAGCATTCTTATACACCAACAACAGACAAACAGAGAGCCAAATCATGAGTGAACTCCCATTCACAATTGCTTCAAAGAGAATAAAATACCTAGGAATCCAACTTACAAGGGATGTGAAGGACCTCTTCAAGGAGAACTACAAACCACTGCTCAATGAAATAAAAGAGGATACAAACAAATGGAAGAACATTCCATGCTCATGGGTAGGAAGAATCAATATCGTGAAAATGGCCATACTGCCCAAGGTAATTTACAGATTCAATGCCATCCCCATCAAGCTACCAATGACTTTCTTCACAGAATTGGAAAAAACTACTTTAAAGTTCATATGGAACCAAAAAAGAGCCCGCATTGCCAAGTCAATCCTAAGCCAAAAGAACAAAGCTGGAGGCATCACCCTACCTGACTTCAAACTATACTACAAGGCTACAGTAAGCAAAACAGCATGGTACTTGTGCCAAAACAGAGATATAGGTCAATGGAACAGAACAGAGCCCTCAGAAATAACGCCGCATATCTACAACTATCTGATCTTTGACAAACCTGAGAAAAACAAGCAATGGGGAAAGGATTCCCTATTTAATAAATAGTGCTGGGAAAACTGGCTAGCCATATGTAGAAAGCTGAAACTGGATCCCTTCCTTACACCTTATACAAAAATCAATTCAAGATGGATTAAAGACTTAAATGTTAGACCTAAAACCATAAAAACCCTAGAAGAAAACCTAGGCACTACCATTCAGGACATAGGCATGGGCAAGGACTTCATGTCTAAAACACCAAAAGCAATGGCAACAAAAGCCAAAATTGACAAATGGGATCTAATTAAACTAAAGAGCTTCTGCACAGCAAAAGAAACTACCATCAGAGTGAACAGGCAACCTACAAAATGGGAGAAAATTTTCGCAACCTACTCATCTGACAAAGGGCTAATATCCAGAATCTACAATGAACTCAAACAAATTTACAAGAAAAAAACAAACAACCCCATCAAAAAGTGGGCGAAGGACATGAACAGACACTTCTCAAAAGAAGACATTTATGCAGCCAAAAAACACATGAAAAAATGCTCATCATCACTGGCCATCAGAGAAATGCAAATCAAAAGCACAGTGAGATACCATCTCACACCAATTAGAATGGCAATCATTAAAAAGTCAGGAAACAACAGGTGCTGGAGAGGATGTGGAGAAATAGGAAGACTTTTACACTGTTGGTGGGACTGTAAACTAGTTCAACCATTGTGGAAGTCAGTGTGGCGATTCCTCAGGGATCTAGAACTAG
Source organism: Homo sapiens (assembly GCF_000001405.40). Classification (NCBI taxonomy): domain Eukaryota; kingdom Metazoa; phylum Chordata; class Mammalia; order Primates; family Hominidae; genus Homo; species Homo sapiens. The sequence goes on from NC_000014.9 coordinate 81,864,372, forward strand.
AAATACCATTTGATCCAGCCATCCCATTACTGGGTATATACCCAAAGGACTATAAATCATGCTGCTATAAAGACACATGCACACGTATGTTTATTGCGGCACTATTCACAATAGCAAAGACTTGGAACCAACCCAAATGTCCAACAATGATAGACTGGATTAAGAAAATGTGGCACATATACACCATGGAATACTATGCAGCCATAAAAATGATAAGTTCATGTCCTTTGTAGGGACATGGATGAAATTGGAAATCATCATTCTCAGTAAACTATCGCAAGAACAAAAAACCAAACACCGCATATTCTCACTCATAGGTGGGAATTGAACAATGAGATCACATGGACACAGGAAGGGGAACATCACACTCTGGGGACTGTTGTGGGGTTGGGGGAGGGGGGAAGGATAGCATTGGGAGATATACCTAATGCTAGATGATGAGTTAGTGGGTGCAGCGCACCAGCATGGCACATGTATACATATGTAACTAACCTGCACAATGTGCACATGTACCCTAAAACTTAAAGTATAATAATAAAAGAAAAAAAAAAAGAAAAAAGAAAAACATACTGAACAAATGAATTTGATGAACAGACACTTCTCAAATTCATTTGTTAAATATGTTTTTCTTAAATCCTCACCATGTGGCACAAGAAATGCAATATACAATGACTCCTAATGAACCAAAATTGTTCTTGTTCTCTATTCTATAACCTCTCAAAATTCTGTAACCATGTCCAGAAATAAAAACTTGAAGAATCTGTCAAAAAAAAAAAAAAGATTATGTGAAATGATGTAGCACATTAGGCACAGGGATATATAATAAAATCGGTTTGTTGTTGGTAATAGATAAGGTCCAGTTCCCTTGGCATAGTATTTGAGGTCTTTCATCATCTCTCTTCCACCTATCTTTAAGCATAATGCCCTGCCGGTCCATTCTAGGATGCTTACCCTCCGATTAAACTAGTGTCTTGGATTACAGTTTGCTGTGTCTTAATTCCTCTATTATATGGTAGATGCCGTAGACGCTGTGTGAGTTGGAGAGTAGGTCTTTCTCAGCTTCTGAGCCCCCAATGGCCAGGAGAGTCCCTAAAAAATGCAGAGGTATCACTGCTTATAAAAAGATTAGGTTTGCAAGGTCTGTAAATTTGCATCCATGTGTTTGTAAATCCACAGTGTTTTAGGAAGGGTTTAAGTTTGCAAGTAGGCCTTGAGTTTTCCTGTATTTAAAATGAAAGAGTTAGATGATATGGTTAATCAATAGGGCTCTCTCCACTTAAAAATGTTGTGATTTTACTTAATCTGTTTTAACTTTATTGTTGTCATGTTTTCATGATACCAAACATCACCAACAAGAAGCTTAAAAGATTAGAGAAAAACATGATATTTTTCAATACCCAAATGTTTCTCATTAGATGGATAACGTATCTTTTTTTTCCAACATATTTTTCTGATTTCACTAGGATGCCTGAAACTATTCTTTATTGTGAATTTGGTAGGAGAAAGCCAGCCAAAGTGAAGCAGATGTTTGGAGGGTTTCGAAGATGTAGGTAATTCTTTTTTTTTTTTTTGAGGTGGAGTTTCACTCTTGTTGCCCAAGGTGGAGTGCAGTGGCGCGATCTCAGCTCACTATAGCCTCTGCCCCCCAGGTTCAGGCTATTCTCCTGCCTCAGCCTCCCAAGTAGCTGGGATTACGGGCATTCGCTATCATACCTGGCTAATTTTTGTATTTTTAGTAGAGACGGAGATTTCACCATGTTGGCTAGGCTGGTCTCAAACTCCTGACCTCAGGTGATCCACCTGCCTTGGCCTCCCAAAGTGCAGGGATTACAGGCAAGAACCACCGTGCCTGGCCAGATGTGGGTAATTCTTACATATTTTTTTTTCCTATTTCTTGCCTTCTTGAATATTACCTACAAGAAAATCGTAAAGGCCAAGATTTCTGGTCATTATCAATTTTCCTTGACTTTAATTAACAAAGCTAACCTTTATTTGTGGAAAAACTTCAGAGAGAATGTTGATATCAGGATAACACTCCCTCTTAAACAGGAGATGGGTTGTTGGTCACACAGGTAATAGCTCCGCAAAGTTGCAGAAGGTATTAGTTTCCCAATCTGCAACTGATCTCATCTTCAGAGGTGTGCTGATGAATCAGGTGAGAGGAGTGTTTCCTGCAAACTGGAGTAAATACCTAATGTTTAGTAAATTACTTAAATTACTAAATGGAACACTGGCTTCCTTGAAGAATTAAATTCATCTCATGTGACTGAGTGAGAAATTTTTTTTTTCAGTATAGGTAATTTACTCAAGAGCAATCTCAGCCAGTATATGGTAATACAGGTCAAATCCTATTGAGGGAAATGAATTTGCATTTTAAAAGTCTTTCCAATTTCTCAGCCAGTGGTTTGATTCTTTCACACAATATCTGAATGCATAAAGCCAGTAAACAAGTGCTTTGGTCAGCTGCTTGCAGGTGGATGAAATGGTGTTTGACAGGTATCAAAATTAGTCCCCATATAATTGTTCCATTCTTATGGTAAAAGTACTGAATGATTTATTTCAGACAATCTTTTTTTGTGTGGGTCCATGCACTCTTTAATTTGAAGTTAAAAAAAGTGAGAAGGCCAACTAACACAAAATGTGAATTATAGAATAAATTTAAAGAAATTGAAAGAGGCTGTTTTAGTTCCTTCACATTTTGTGGGTTGGTATATTTGAAATAGTAACTGATGTCTCTTTCCCTGACATCTCCTGTTGCCCAACCCCTCCCACAATTTAAGATTCAGTCAGAAGATATAATAATAAAAGTAGTACCTATTTTTAGTTCTTATTATATGCCAGGTTCTATGCTAAGTACTTTACGTGTATTAACCCATGTACTCATAACAAAAGCCTCAATCTGAGGCAAATACAAATAGTACCTTTATTTCATAGATGTGGTAACCTAGGCATAGAGATGTTAAGCCTCTTGCCCCGAGTCACACAGCTCATAAGACCGAAGAAGTCTGACTCTAGAAGCTAAGCTTGCACTATGTTTGTCAAACTTGAGCTTGCATTAGAATCACCTGGGGGGCTCCTTAAATCATAGATTTCTGAGTGCCACTCCCAGAGCTTTGGAGTCAGTAAGTCTGAGGTGAGGACTAAAATTGTACATTCTAACAAGTTCCCAGGTAATGCAGATGCTGTTGCACTGGGAGCGCCACTTGAAGGTGACTGCACTATGACTCGGTGTATCCAATACCCGTGACCTAGAAAAGGGTTGTTATGGCAGAAAAAGTCAAGGCTTTTGCATTTTGGAAATTCAGGCTGGGTGTGGTGGCTCACGCCTGTAATCCCAGCACTTTGGGAGGCTGAGGCAGGTGGAAGACTTGAGGTCAGGAGTTCGAAACCAGCCTGGCCAACATGGTGAAATCCCACCTCTACTAAAAATGCAAAAAATTAGCTGGGCATGATGGCGGGTGCCTGTAATCCCACCTACTAGGGAGGTTGAGGCAGGAGAATCGCTTAAAGCCAGGAGGTGGAGGTTGCAGTGAACAGAGATTGTGCCACAGGACTCCAGCCTGGGAGACAGAGTGAGACTCTGTCTCAAAAAAAAAAAAAAAAAAAAAAGAAAAAGGAAAAAGAAAATTCAAACTGTGAAACGACTGAGGATATAGAAAGATATGTAACCACTTATATCTGGCACTTTTGGATCCTGAGACTAGAAAAGTTTCCCAGAACAGAGGGAATGAAGGAAAGTGTAGATATTGGTAGGTTTCTGAAGAAGGGACTTGGAACCTGTCTTCCCAGGGGAGGATGAGGATATATGGCAAAAAAAATAGAAGTCTTAAATAGGCTTGGTGGAGCTGAGCAGAGAAAGCCTGTGTCTTCTGCTAGACAGAGCCCATGGAAGCTGCGAGGCCTTGGAGTTCCCATTTCTTGGCATCCTGGAGAAGCAGCTATATGAAATGCCTCAGTAGACAGGTGTGGCCTATCAGTACAGAGTTCCTGGAGTCTCCACAAGGGGCAGAAGCAGGAAAATTGTCTCTGCGTGTGTTTAGGAAGACTTGGATGTGGTTGCCAGAGGGCAGCGGCTTTGATGAGACTGTGGAGTTGCGTTTAGGCTGACCAGCATTGATCTGCACTTGGTCGATGACAAAAACTGTAGGGGGATGAGGATGTCTCATAGATTCAGTGTGGAGAGGCAACTACATGAAGGACTAGAAGCACACCCTCTGCCACCTCTCCCACCTCAAAGGAACCATATAACCCTCGGCACCTGCAAAAACAAACAAACAAATAAAGAAACAAACAGAAAACCTCAGAGCCATCCCTGGGAAAAGGAGATGGGTGGGTTATTCTCAGTATTTTGAGATAAAGAAGTACGAGTTTATCAGATGAAATCTATACCTACTACAAATTGGTTGCCGTGTGGAAATTTAAAGAATTCTAGTGCAGGGGACATATATGCCATAGACTGATTAAGAGACTCAGGGGGAAGATTTAAAGCCAATTCATTGTGAATCAACAGAGGTGACCCTGTGGAAGAATGGGCATCCAGAGAAGTCAGGGTAGAATTTAGAAATATCACTCCTGGACCATAAAGAAACATAGCTTGAAAAAGAACAACCGCATGCTTTAAATTTACAAGGCACATATAAAATACGTGTCTGAAAGGAGACAGAAGGAGCAAAAGTAGCCTTGTAACAGCTTATTGACACAGTTCATCTAGGACACAGTCTTTCTTTCCTTGGGAAGCAAAAGGAGCTTCCAGTGCTATTAGCGCAGACCAAGAAGGTAGTGAGAGGCCATTACCCAGTTAAAATAGCATCCATCTTGACCTTCAGTAAAGCAGTGAATTGGAGCCTGTGTGGAAAGCCTATAATTTGAAAAGAACACTAGACCCCGAATCTATCAAGTTCTGGAGGGTTAGACATTGGCATCCCTGAGCTACAGTTTTCTTGCCTATAAAATGAAAATAATACCCCCCGATAGAGTATTAACTTTTATATGACTCCATACACATCACACTTGACATGTAGTTGCTACCCTATTGCTTCTGTCTTTTTGCAAATATCGACTATTGTAGTCTTCCCTTATCCACAGAGCATTCGTTCCAAGACCCCCAGTGGATGCCTGAAACCATAGGTAGAACCAAACCCTGTATACATGTTTTTCCTGTACACATACCCATGATAAGTTTTGATAAACTAGGCACAATAAGAGATTAATAATAAGGAAATATAATAATTATAACCATATATTGTAATAAAAGTTATATGAATGTGGTCTCTCTCTGTCTCAAAATATCTTACTGTTCTGTATCCACCTATTTTTGGACCACAGTTGACCATGAGAAACTAAAGCCATGGAAAATCAAATTTTATAAGAAGAAACTACTGTAATATGTTTGGCATGTAAAAGGCCACGTTATCATACTTGGAAGCAACAAAAAAATTTATATGGCAAAAAGAGATATTTGACACTAAAACTTTCTGTTAAATAAAAATTATTTGCTTTAAAACATCAAGATTTCTAATTTTGCTTATCATATATTATATATATATGAATGAAGAATTTTTATTACTATAGATATTTTGCAGTGTTTTTATAGAAGGTAGATTTATCACAGTGTGTGAGCCCATTATTTGTCTCTTTTTAAGTAACAGAACCTGATTTATTAAGAGTAGAAACATACCCAGACAAAAGACTACATTTTCCAGTCTCCTTTGCAGACAGGTGTGTCCATATGACTAGGTTCTGGCCAATGAGAAGTGAGTAGATGAGTTATGTGGTACTTCTGGAATGTCCATTTAAAAAAGGAGAGTGTAAGAGTTCTGGCTAATTATACAGTTTAGAGGGAGCACAGATAACATGACTTTCCTCACATGTGACACAAATTTTAAATTTGGAGGTTCCCAAATCATCCTCAGGTTTAATAATTCACTATAAGCAGTCACAGAACTCATGGAGTAAAGTAGCCATAGTTCCAGGTATGGTTTATTACAGGGAAAGGATACAGATTAAAATTATTCAGTGTAAAAAATGTGTAAGACAGGGTTCAGGAGAGGTCCAAATACAGAACTTCTAAATGTTCTCTTCCCATAAAGTTATGGACAGTGTTTACTCCTTCTGGCCATGATGTGTGGCAATATACTTGAAGTATTGCCATCCAGAGAAGCTCACTCAAGCCTTGGCATCCAGAGTTTTTTTTTTTGTTTGTTTATTTTGAGACCCAGTCTTGCTCTGTTGCCCAGGCTGGAGTGCAGTGGCGTGATCTCGGCTCATTGCAACCTCTGCCTCCCAGGTTCAAGTGATTCTCCTGCCTCAGCCTCCTGAGTATCTGGGACTACGGGTGTATGCCACCACGCCTAGCTATTTTTTTGTATTTTTAGTAGAGACGGGGTTTCACCATGTTAGCCAGGATGGTCTCCATCTCCTGACCTTGTGATCCACCCACCTTGGCCTCCCAAAGTGCTGGGATTACAGGCGTGAGCCAGTTCAGAGTTTTTATTTGGGCTCTATCACATATTGCCTGTGTGACTGATCTGTAGTCTCCATCCCCTTGTAGAGGTTGTTGGCTAATACCTTCAGCAATCAGAATGGATACGAGGTGGCCTTCATCATACATCACATTGTTAGACTGTCCAGTGGCCAAAACGCCCAGGCAAACAAACACAGTCCTATCACACAGAAGATTTCAGGGACCAAGAGATTACCTCCCAGTAACTGAGGGCAAAAGCCAGACTCCTCTTTGGATAAGGTTAATTCTTCACTACACAGAGTGTCAGGACTTTCTTCCTCTCTTCATCTTGTTGCCTAGAACTCCAATTTGGTGGCTGAAGCTCCTGCAGTCATCTTTGTAAGGGAAAAACCACATCCTAGAGATGTTGGAATGGTGTCTGAGAAGAAACCTGGACCTTTGATGACTTTATGTGGCTGAAGTCATCCATCAGCATGGACTTTTTAACACAAGTCAAAAAAAAAATACTGTCTTAAGCAAGCGATTTATTTTGACTATTTTTTCCTCAGAATCATTATATATAATCCTAACTGAAACTGCATGTTCTTGACTTTCCAATTTAGAAAGATAGTGCCTACTCTCCTTTAAAAATGTCCTCATTAGAAAAAATCTAAATAATTGTCAGGGACACATGATTTCAATTTTCAACCTCAAAATACACATTTTTGAGATGTATTTTTATTGCATTTGGAAAGACTTCTTTGTGAAGGCAAAAATTCTCTCCATGCTCAGTGTGTGGGTGGCTTTAAGCTTTCATCAGAGTATTCAATGTCCATTTTACTGAGGACACTTATGAGTGCATTAGGCAGGCTTAGTTTTGGGAATTTTTACTTTTATACCAAAACTAACATTTCCCGTATTCCGATTCACTATATACTTATATCATGTGGCTCCCCTTCCCTTCTTATTCATTGTAGGGGGAACCTTTTAGTGACAGGTTGCAATTGTTTTCTCTATAGTCACCTTTTGGTGCACTTGTGTACTCTGTCCCCATCCAACTGTGTCTTTCCCCACTACCACTCATAAAACAGAGTTATGATAGCCATAATTCTTTTGTAATCAGTCAATTGCTGCAGTTAACAAATGGTTTATTAGAGTGTTAACCTCCATTAGCTGAGAGGCTAGGTCATTAGCTGCCTCTGATAACCATTTCTCAAGGTTTATGACTTAAATAATCACTTAAATGATGACTTTTATTCTTCTATCTGTACTAAAACAAAGTTTCATAAGAACTTAGAATTCAGGGATCAAATAAGTAATATTTGTTGAAAATATTTGTAGACTTGGGCCCTCATTTTGTTTTGGGGTCCTGGTGTTTGTTTTAGAGCCTGTAAGCAAAGATGAGATACAGATTATGTTACTACCATGTACCAAGGAAGCGTTCTCAATAACAATATGCTTTCGTTTTCTGTGGATTAGGGTGTATGGATAAATAACTGTTTTCTTTTTACCTCCCAATTTCTTGTCCTGGAAATACTAGTAGTTTTAACTCAATGTTTTGTGACTTATTCATTGCTAAAAGCAATTGTACTTGACCTGTATTTAGTTTTCTCTTGGTTAGAAGAATATTCTTATAGGAGTGAAGACAGCTGTTACTGCTAATCTCTATTTGGCATTTCTGGTGATTCAAGATAAGCCATAAAAAGGACAGTGAAATCACAGGTTTGATCATGCCACACCACTGCTCACAGACCTTACCAGTTTTAAATTGCCTACAGAATGAAGATTTTATACGTAGAGAAGGTGGTAGGTTTAGGTTGCTAACTCATGGAGTACCAGTTTTCCTATTTCTGAGGTGAGTATGACAGTATTAATACTTTTATTCCTAGTTATTTTGAGAAAATAAAATGAGATAGCACCTATGAATTTATGAATGAAATTAGAGATAAAAATACCACATCTATTTCCATAGTGCTAATATGCCTAGAAATTAATACTTTAGAAAAGGGAAATGCATATTTTTTCATTGCATTTTCACATTAAATCGTTTAGATACTTTTAACTATACAAATCATATACAAATTTGCCATGGGACTACTAAAGCTATTTTCACAATTATTAAGAGTATAGACAGTCTGTTTCTCTTTGTATCCCCGATAATCCTAACGTAGTGTAATATTTCCCAGAGGGTATTTCATTCAAGACTAACACAATAGGATGTTGTATTTGTTTCTTATTACTGTTGGAATAAATCACTACAAATTTAGTGGCTTAAAGCAACAAAAATTAATTATCTTACAGTTCTGCAAGTCAGAGGTTCCAAATCAATCTTACTGTGCTAAAAAAAAAAACAAAAAAACAAAAAAAAACCCCACAAACCAACCAACCCAAGGTGTCAGAATGGCTGGTTCTTTCAGAAGCACAAGTGGAGAATCTATTTCTTGCTTTTTTCAGTTTCTAGAGACTTCCCTCATTCCTTGCCTTGTGGCCTCTTCCTCCATCTTCAAAGCTAGCAGTATAACATGTTCAAATCTCTCTCTGTTTCCTTCGTGTTATTGCCTTTTCTCTACTTCTGACCCCTCAGGGACTCTTACGATTATATAGTTTAGTTACCTAGTTAATTCAGGATAATCACCACATGTCAAAATCCTTAATTTAATCACATCTGCAAAGTCCCTTTAGCCAGTAAGGTAATATATTAATAAATTCTGGGAATTAGGATATGGACATCTTTGGGTGTCAGTATTCTGTCTATCAAGATGTTGCTAGGAAATAAGAAGGGAATAAAAGGATTCCATAGTCAGATAAGTCTGGGAAACACTTGGTATAAATAACATGAACATGTGACTTTCAATGCAGGATTTTTCTCAGCCTTTATTATAACTAGCATACATTTTGATTTTTGTTAAAGCAATATAGAACCTAATATTTCCTAAACTTTTTGGTAAGGGACATATCCCCCCAGGCAAAGAGTATTAAATGGACTAGCATTTGTGGTAACATTATGGGAAGTAGCATGGAAAGGAAATCTGGAAACTTTCATTACTTTCCATTAACTACAGATGGAACTTAAATACCAGAAATAAATAATAAAGTTTCTAAAAGGACCTCAGTTCTTTAAACTTTGACTATGTCTTGTTAATCAAATTTTAATTTATTGTTTATTCTGTTTCTTACCAAAGTGCCCTTATCTAAAAGGATGATTCCTTTCAGTTTTAGCTCTCACATGTAAAGAGCTTAGAAGTTGTCACTCTCATCCTTACAACAATAACAACAAAAAAAAAACCTGGACAAACTGAAAATCATCCACATTGCTTGGACTCATTAGAGAACTGAGGCTTCAGATTTACCCTGAATTCTCGAGAGGCAAGAAGATACAGAACGATGCAGCCACTGAGTTTTCTTACCTAGAGCAGAAGGCACTGGAGCTGTAAACTCATAGGAACACTTAGATGAGATTTTTGACAATTTGCTGCAGGATGAGTGTGGACTTTCTTGAGAGTAGGGCTTAGTCTGGTGTATGTTTGTTGGGGTGGGGTTAGGCCACACTTTTCTGGGTTTTTCTTTCTGGAACCCCACCAGGTTTACATAGTAAAGATCCAAGAAAGATCCTCTGGTGACCCTGACAGGGAGAGGGAAAAAGTAATCATTTTGAAATATGCCCTGAGACTTTATGATACAGGCACATTCTGCAGAGGAAAGGACTTTGGCAGAGCACAATTCTGAAATCTTATCCCAGCAGGAGGAAGGAAAATTCTTCCTATTCTCTTAAACTTCCTTCATTTTTCTTGTTTTAACTAAGTGAAGAACTAAAAAGATAGTCAACAGGAGACAAGGTTTGGAGGAAATAGATTGGGAAGGGAGTAGGGAGCAGGGGAGAAAAGATATACCACTGTAGGAGGGAAAGAAAAACTTGTGAAGGCCACAGTCCTGAGATACAAGCCTGCTCACAGATGGAGAGAGATTTTAAGCATTATAGAAGCCCCTCACCCCCATGCCCTAACACTGCACCAAAAGGCTTCAGTGAAATAACAGTGATAATAGCTGAAAGCACTTAGAGAAGCCCCACAGCCAAGACGGGAGATAAAAAGAAGGATAGTTGAGGAATTTGAAGCCTGTGGTGCTTATAGTTATAGCAAATATTAAACACACCCAATTCCTAACCAGATGGTGTAGTTTGGCTCTGTGTCCCCACCTAAATCTCATCTTGAATTGTAATCCCCATAATCCCCACATGTCGAGGGAGGGACCATGTGGGAGGTTATTGGATCATGGGGGTGCTTTCCCCCATGCTATTCTCATGATAGTGAGTGAGTTCTCATGAGAGCTGATGGTTTTAAAGTGTGGCACTTCCTTGATCATGCTCACACTCTCTCCTGCCGTCTTGTGAAGAAGGTGCCTGCTTCCCCTCCTGCCATGCCTGTAAGTTACCTGAAGCCTCCCCAGCCATGTGGAACTGTGAGTCTATTAAACCTTCTTTGTTTATAAATTACACCGTCTTGGGCAGCATCTTTACAGCAGTGTGAGACTGGACTAATACAATAAATTGGTATTGCAGAGAGTGGGGTACTGCAATAAAATTACTTGAAAATATGGAGGTGACTTTGGAACTGGGTAATGGTTGGAGGCTGGAAAAATTTAGGGGGCTCAGAAAGAGGACAGGAAGATATGGGAAAGTTTGGGGCTTCCTAGAGACTTGTTGAATGGTTTTGACCAAAATGCTGATAGCGATATGAACAATGACGTCCAGGCTGAAGTGGTCTCAGATAGAGATGAGGAACTTATTGGGAACTGGAGTAAAGGTCACTCATGCTATGCTTTAGCAAAGAGACTGGTGACATTTTCCCCCTGCCCTAGAGATCTGTGGAACTTTGAACTTGAGGGAGATGATTTAGGGCATCTGGCAGAAAAAAAATTTCTAAGCAGCACAGCATTCAAGATGTGATTTGGATTATTCTGACAGCATTCAATTTTTTGTGCTCACAAAGAGGTGGTTTGTAATTGGAACTTATGTTTAAAAGGGAAGCAGAGCATAAAAGTTTGGAAAATTTGCAGCCTGACCATGTGGTAAAAAAGAAAAATCCATTTCCTGGGGAGAAGTTCAAGCCTGCTGCAGAAATTTGCATAAGTAACAAGGAGCCAAATGTTAACTGCCAAGACAATGGAGAGAATGTTTCCAGGGCATGTCAGAGGGCTTCATGGCAGCCCCTCCCATCACAGATCTGGGGGCCTAGAAGGAAAAATGGTTTTGTGAGCTGGGCCCAGGGCCTCTGTTCTGCATAGCCTCTGGAGATAGTGCCCTGCATCCTGGCTGCTTCAGCTCCAGTCATGGCTAAAAGGGGATAAGGTACAGCTCAGGCTCTTGATTCAGAGGGTGCGAGCCCCAAGTTGTGGCTTCCATGTGGTGTTGGTCATGCAGGTGCACAGAAGTCAAGAATTGAGGTTTGGGAACCTCCACCTAGGTTTTAGAGGCTGTATGAAAATGCCTGGATGTCCAGGCAGAAGTCTGCTGCAGTGGCAGAGCCCTCATGGAGACCCTCTGCTAGGACCATGAGGATGGGGAAGGTGGGGTTGGAGCCCTCACACAGAGTCCCCACTGGGGCACAGCCTAATGGAGCTGTGAGAAGACGGCCACTGTCTTCCAGACCCCAGAATGGTAGATCCACCCACAGCTTGCACAATGCACCTGGAAAAGCCACAGGCACTCAATGCTAGCCCGTGAAAGAGCTTCCCAAAGGTGTGGGAGCCCCCCAGTTTGCATCAGTATGACCTAGATGTGAGACATGGAGTCAAAGGAGATTATTTTGGAGCTTTAAGATTTAATGACTACTCTGCCAGATTTTGGACTTGCATGAGGCCTGAAGCCCCTTTGTTTTGACCAATTTCTCCCTTTGGGAATGGGAGCATTTATCCAATGCCTGTATCCCCATGTGTCTTGGAAGTAAGTAACTTGCTTTTATTTTACAGGCTCCTAGGTAGAAGGGACTTGCTTTGTCTGCGATGAAACTTTGGACTTGGATTTTTGGGTTAATGCTGGAATGAATTAAGACTTTGGGGAACTGTTGGGAAGGCATGATTGATTTTAAAATGGGTAAAGACATGAGATTTGGGAAAAGAGGGGAGGTGGAATGATATGCTTTGGCTCTGTGTTCCCACTCAAATATCACCTCGAATTGTAACCCCCATAATCACCATGTGTTGAGGGAGGAGCCAGGTGGGAGGTGATTGGATCATGGGGGCAGTTTCCCCCAGCTGTTCTCATGAGAGCTGATGGTTTTAAAGTGTGGCACTTCCTCAATCATGCGCACACTCTCTCCTGCCACCTTGAGAAGAAAGAGCCTGCTTCCCCTTCTGCTATGATTATAAGTTTCCTGAGGCCTCCAAGCTATGCAGAACTGTGAGTCAATTAAACCTCCTTTGTTTATAAATTACCCAGTTTTGGGTAGTATCTTTATAACAGTGTGGGAATGAAATAATTCACCAGATTAACCAAAATTATCACACTAATGACCTATTTGATTCTTCAGTTTCTATTACTTGATAATATATCTCCAGCCTTCAACAAAAAATTACGATGCATGCCAAAAGGCAAGAAGTCTATAGAAAAAATAATAATCTGAAACTAACTTAGATATGGCACAGATACTAGAATTATCAGGCAGTGTATTTAAAATAACTATGGCTAATATGTTAAGGGCTATAATGGAAAAAACTAGACAATATGCAAAAACAGGCACAATGTGAGCAGAGGGATAGAAACTACAAGCAAGTATCATAAGGGAAAAAATACAGTAACATAAATGAAGAATGCCCCTTGGGGACTCATGAATTGATTTGACACAGCTGAGGAAAACAAAATAGTGAAGTTGAAGATACGTCAATAGAAACTTCCTAAGCTATAAAGCAAAATTGATAAAAAAAATTGTGACTCAATATCAAAAGATATAACATACACATAATTGAAATACTAAAAGGAGAAGGAATAGAGAATAGAGCAGAAGTATTTGAAGTAAAAATTGCCAATAATCTTCCAAAATTAATGACAGACATCAACCTACAAATCCAGGAATCTTAGAGAACCACCAAGCAGAATAAATTTCAAAAAACCCCTTCCAAACCTAGGTGTGTCATATCAAACTGCAAAAAGTCAAAATTTTGAAAAAAGCAAGATAAAAAATATTCACCTTTTCTGCAGAGCAATAAGGCAAAAAATTATAGCATAGTTCTCATCAGAAAACATGCCAGAAAGAAGAGAGTGCAGTTAAATATTTAAAATGTTGAAAGGAAGATAGCACCAACCTAGAATTCTATATTCAACAATATCATATTTCAAAAAGGGAAGAGAATAAAGACTTTCTCAGACAAACAAAAATTGAGGGAATTCATTACTAGGAGGACTGCCCTGTAAGAAATGTTTTAAAAACTTCAGGCAAAAACAAAAAATAAAAATTTAAAAAATAAAAAAAGATACAGGTGAATAAATTGGATCTATATTAAATATAGAGGAGGAAAAGTTTTTCCTATCTCCTCTTAGGTTCTGTAAATTGGGCCTGTGAATTAAAGTGACAAAAAACAGATCAACAGGAGGAGAAAGCAACTTATTTACATGTGCAATGTGCATACACATGGTAGATCTCAATGATGAGTTACTCAAAATGGTGGTTAGAGTTTGGGGTTTATACCATCTTAATAGGTGAAGGGTAGTAGGAGAAAAGCACTTATGGGAAAGCAAATGACTATTTAGAAAGATTATCAAATTTTCAGCAGAACAAAAAGGAGATAAAAAAATCTGTGATAATATTTGTCTATACAAGTTTAAGTGGTCTGTCTCCTTTAGGGCCATGAATCCAAATTGCTGGAGGTGGGTTTTGGTTTAGGTTCTCTTGTCTAGGAGTAAATCTGCCCTGAAGAAGAATTTAGGGCAGACGTATTTCCAAGAAGTTCCTCCTTTTGTTTAGATAACGGAAGCTCCAAGAAGGCTTTATTTTCTGCACCTGTTGAATCTCAAATGTCTTCAGCTTAAAATAATCGATATGCCAAAGTGGCATATTTTAGGGTGGCATATACTGATTTGCTTCAAAAATAAGGGTGTCAGAGCAAGAATAAATGAAGGCAATAAAACCTTTCATTTTTCTTATTCTTTATTAATCTAAAAGATAAAATTGTATAATAATAGTAACAATGTGTTCATTGATTATAGCACACGGATAGGTAAAATGAAAGACAGTAATGTCACAAAGGATGGGAAAGTGGAATTAGAAATACTTTCTTACATGGTACCTATACTACATGTGAAGCAGCATAGCGTTATTTGAAGGTTGCTTTAGGTTATTTAAAAAATACATTGTAAATTCTAGGGTAACCACGAAAAATTTTTAAAAAAATAAATGATATGTTAAGAGAGGGGATATAATGAAATTTTAGAAAATGGTTAAAACCAAATAAGGCAGTAAAAGAGGGAAAAATTAATCATAGAACAAATGTAACAAATAGATAACAGTTACAAAGATGGTAGGTATTAATACAATTATATCAATAATCACTTCAAGTGTAGATGGATTAAATGCACCAATTGAAATATTGAGATTCTCAGAGTGAATAAAAAGATAATGTCAACTATATGTTGTCTTTGAGAAATCCACATTGATCATAAAGATTCAGGTAAGTTAAAAGTAAAGAGATGGAGAAAAATATACCACTAATAACAATGATATATCATAGTTGCATAGAATAGCATTTATTTTTCCTCTGGCTTTTCATAAAATGGAAACTCACTTCTTACTCTCCTTCCTTGGTCTTTATCTTTCTATTTTGTAGAAATTCTGTGATCCTTCCCTGCCATTTTCTTCTAGTGTTTTTATTTTCACATATTATATCTTCTCACGCTGTGTATGACACTATAATATAGAGTAGTTATTAGATGGAGTCTAACAGTTTAGCCATAGATTTAGCAGTAATTAGTAAATGATTGTGTCAGTCAATACTGGGAAATTTAACAAATTATTCAGATGAGTTCAAGCAATTCTCTGGAGTTAACTTTCTCTTGCTCCAGATGAAAAACTACAACAAAAGAAAACAACTGTTTGGAGAACGTGAGTACCTTCTAGGCTTTGCATTGAGTCTTATGATTGACACAGGCCAGGAAGAGTGTTTGTCAGTGAAGCTTCAGAAAATAGACAGGCTAACTATCCCTTAAACATTATTGACAAGAATGAAGAGAAACAATGTAGTCTTCCAATGCAGTCTAAAGAAATTGGTGAAAATTAATTCCCAGTGATCAGCAATGAATTAAATAAATTGCTTTTCTCACACTTATGGCTTGGAAAATAAAATTCAAATCCCTAAACTCTCAGTTGCCAAAATGAATAACAATAATTATAGGAAGGCTGCTATATAATGGTCACTTTAATTACCATGTTTTTGCTTCTGTGATATAATTAGTTTTTTTCTTGAGAAATTTGAAGGAGATACTTTTCCAGCTGGTTTTAGGTCTTATATATTCTAATCGGTGTAATTATATCTTTCAAGCAATAATGTCCAGAACCCAAGGAAGTAAGGAGGATTAGACACTGAACATCTTGTATCACAAAGGAGAATCCAATGACAAGTTTGCTAAAGCCAGTTGTTCTAAAAGCCTTTTTCAGCTACTGAGCCAGTGGAGGAAAAAAGAATTGGCCATGGTATAATTTGTGCCTTCCCATGTGAGTGCTACACTTTCTCAACTTTGGTCCAGGTTAAACTCTAACGTTGAATGCAGTAACACCCTAAGCAGTTATTGAACAGAAGGCTATGGAGTCCTCCACCACGATTACCCATCCTTCATTGGCAGATAGAGTTTATAGTTGGTCTTTGATATTGTTCTAAACTATATACATAAAGAGCCACAACTGTCTCAGTCAGATCATTGACAAGACCACAGACAGGTAATGAAGTGTCTTGCTGTAGCATAGCTCTAGACATAAAGGAACAGCTATGATCCACTTTATTAAGTAAGAAGTTGATTGAACAGTATTCCACCATGGAGCATCCTTTCTGATCACAAGCAATTAGAATGGGTTGCAAACCCTGGGAGATGGGAATACTTGAATTTTATATTATGCACCATGACTGCAGTTGCTCTTTGGGAAATGCGTGTAGGGCCCCAAGGTAATGCCCCATGGTAGCAGTTTCTGGAGGCTAAGTAAGTATCACATAGAAAATTGTCTCTCGATATCTGCTTTAAATTTGATGCCTGTTAATTTGGAGCAGTCTCTAGTTCTGATGTGAGGGGATAGTGTAATTAGAAGTAATTTATTGCTTGTTTCTAGATGTTTCTAGATGTACAGAAAGCATCTCCTTGTATAGAAAACAAAGCATAAAGCGAGCCGTTTATTGCTTTATGGCTATGGCAGACTATAGCTTCCAGTTTTTAATGAGGACCTCTCCTGAAATGAGGGATAACAAGATGATAATGCTTCCCATTTGTACCATGCCTTAATCTCAGCAGAACAAAGGCCTTCACTCAGATCTTCTCATTATCTTCATTGTGTACTAGCTTTATGGGGCAGGGAGGGTAATAGGTGCAACTTACTACTCATGCTTCTGTAGCAGAGATGGCTGGCCAACCCAGATCACTTGGAATTCAGCTCCCTAGGTTGCTCTTATGCCTTCTCTATTCTCAAGCCTTGGCCCCTTCTTTGCATTCATATCCCTTATATTTTCCCTTTTACAATGGAAAATGTGAAAAGCACAAAGCAAGAGACAGAAAGCATCTCTTTGTTGGTTTCTTTCTTATTTGAAAAGATAAAAATTCTCAGAATCTTCTAGGCTTTCTTTAGGCCAGAACTAGGTCTCACATCCATCTCTAGAACAGTCACTTTCAAAGGGCTGTAAAATTGCTAAGACTGATTTAAACCAGTTGTCATTCTTCTCCTGGGACTGAGTGGATTGCCTCTGGACAAAATTGGGGTTCTTATGGCCAGGAAAATTGAGAAAAACGGCTGATGACTGGGCACCCAAACTTGGTGACCATGGCTACTTAGTCACTATGGTTTGTTCAGAAAGTCTTGAAGCTTCCTTGCACTCTAGGATATCATGGCTTCCTGCTGGGGGTGCTGGGGCATCAAGGCCTTCAAGATACCCGATGGGGGGCACGTGAGGGGGCTCATGTCTGTAATTCCAGCACTTTGGGAGGCCGAGGCGGGCAGACCATGAAGTCAGGAGATCGAGACCATCCTAGCCAACGTGGTGAAACCATGTCTCTACTAAAATGCAAAAAATTAGCTGGATGTGGTGGTGAGCGCTGGTAGTTCCAGCTACTCAGGAGGCTGAGGCAGGGGAATCGCTTGAACTTGGGAGGCAGAGATTGCAGTGAGCCGAGATCGTGCCACTGCACTCCAGCCTGACGACAGAGTGAGACTCCATCACAAAAAAAAAAGTACCCGATGGCTTTCTTTCAGTTACTTTTTGCTGGAGCAAGATTGTGTCCCCCACAAAAATACAGAAAGTGGTCTCTTTTCCAATGTAGCTGTAATATCTATAAGGCACTCAAAGAGCCCCTTCCACAATGTTGATTCTGATGATTTCAGTATGACAAAAGTATGCCCACAGTCACTGACCGTTGTTTTTATCTGTGAATAAATAGATATATTTTTTTTAACTGAAAAATCTGAAACTCCTTTTCTATGGAGATCAGGGCCAGGCCCTGGAGTTAGGGCTGGGAGCAGGCATCTGTGCCTCCCCAGCCCGGCATTCTCTGGCAGGAGTTTGTCACCTACCCAGATTTCATTTTAGGTGCAGTTGTGCCTTATGCTACTGGGATAATAAATATGAACAAACCAAAACTAAAGTTAAAGCTATGCTTTTTAAGAGATTGAACTTTAAGGATCACAAGCTAGAGAAATACCCCCAGAATATCCAGAATATTTGACTTGAAGAAACAAATCATAAGTTGTATGAATTTGAAAACAATCAAAAAGCTTGCACTAGACAAGCAGATTAGCGTGTAATTGAGACAGGCCACACCAGAAAAACCTGGGTCTGGAAACTGGTCAGGCTCATCAGGATGGGGTATTCCTATGATTCAGGCCGTGTTTTATATAACGAGAGGAAAATTAGGCAGGGAAAATACAGTAGTCAGTGACTGTAGGCATACTTTTACCACACAGACACACAGAAATAATCAGAAGCAGCAAATGCCAATCAGTATGTTGTGAAGACACCCAAACGCAGATAGAAACCAAACACACAGGAAGCAATAAGTGGTTAATTGCTATCATAATTACCACCAATATGTTTGTTGATAACATGCATATGTGTATTTAGCCATTACTATCAGATAGTCCCTCACCCGAATCCCCCAGGCTCCTGCATCATAGATTCTACCAGTACCATGTACCCCTCTGTCACAGTCTTGTCACTGTGGGGGTGTGATGTTTGTGAGAATGTTTGACTGCTCTATTCCTCACTCTGTAGACTGTAGCTCCATGAGGGTAATGACTGTGGTTGCCTTTTTTTTTTTTTTTTTTTTTTTTTTTTGAGGCAGAGTCTCTCTGTCTCTCAGGCTGGAGTGCAATATTGAGCGCGATATTGGCTCAATGCAACCTCTGTCTCCTGGGTTCAAACGATTCTTGTGCCTCAGCCTCCTGAGTAGCTGGGATTACAGGTGTGCATCACCACACCTGGCTAATTATTTTGTATTTTTAGTAGAGACAGGGCTTTACCATGTTGCCCAGGCTGGTCTTGGGCTCCTGACCTCAGGTGATCTACCTGCCTCTTCCTCCCAACGTGCTGGGATTACAGTCATGACCCACTATGCCCAGCTGGTTGCTTTTGTTTATTACAGCATCTCCACATCTGTCGCAGGGCCTGGCTTATCAAAAATATATTTTAAATTAATAAATGCATAATACATAAATGTACAGATACATTTTAGAGTTAGTCTTTGGTCGTTAGAGAGTGATGGTGAGAGAAGAAGAGAGTAGGGATAGAGCTGAAGCTGAAACTTTTATTATGAATTGGACACAAAGTCAGAATAGAACCAGGTTCAACAGAGATTTGAAGCTGATAACCTCAATACGAAGGAGTTCTCTGTCGTGAAGTGGAAGTCAGGAAACTTCTCTTTTATGGGTGAAAATGTGGAGTCAGAGAAGTTGTTTATGCCCTAATAATTATTTGACAGCTTGTCTTACCTTTCCTGCTTGATCAAAAGGTCATTGAAGGTGGATGCCTTGTCTGGTTGATACCAGCATTACCTTGTGTTTCTTGCACAGGTAGGCACGCAGGGATTGTTGAGTGAATTAATGAATGAATTAATACAAATTTTCCAGGTTAAAAATTATCAAGACACATGAATGCAAAGTAGGGAAGTTCAGATGTACAACCATGCAATACGTAATATATTGATGAGTATATGCTTTGATTCTGCAATGATTAACAATTCTGCAACAATTAACAGTTAAGTGACAGGAATTCTGCAACAATTAACAATTAACTGAAGTGACAGAAATTTCTCCCTTAAGTTAATAAATTTTAGGCTCAGCTGCTTTCAATATCCAACTCCAATTTGACAGTTGCATTTTTGCCAAACATTCAATGACAACCTCTAGATATGAGAGACATTTATATTTTATCATAAATGGAAAATTCCAAATTGCAAATGGCTTGCCCTGAATTTTTTATAATCTGTAAGTGATTTTTATCATAGCTAAGTATTGTGAAATATTCTTCCTTTCACTGTATATGTCAAGTGCTCTCAGTGTGCAAGTATCAGAGATAGTAGACAATGAATCATACACAGCCTTTCCCTTCAGGAACACATCTTCTTTGGTGGATAGAGTTACATTTGAGTCCTAGCTATACGACCTTTTGTGAGTCACTTAACCTCTAACAGCCTCAGTTTTTGAACCTGTAATGTATTTGTTTTAAAAATTAAGAGGGGCCATATTTGCAGTCTCAGAGAAAGAAATCTGTTTAGGCAGGACTTGCCTACTATGCTGGGGCAAAGTTTAAACTACCTCCCTTCTCCGTCATCAAGATTCACTCTGATGGATTCTTTCACTCCATCTATCTTTGTTCATTCTGCTGCCAGACACAATTATTCCTTTTAAAGAGACCCAGGCTGTTCTTGTCTTGTTATTTCCTATCACACCAAAAGCAGTACAGGTATTTAGTTCTTAAAAGCAATGGATGGATGAATTTGGGATACGTTGTTTTCTGGAAGAAATTACATCACCCCTCTCATCCAGTATGAGAGAAAAGAGGAGTTAATTACGACTGAAGATTGGCACTTGGAGGTGTAGGATTGAGCCAGAGTATTAAGATCACTTTTAGTGTCCATGTCCCTTTGAGCTTTTTAAACATTTTCTGCACACAGGAATGGGTCTTAGTTATTTTGGCAGTGTGCTCATTGTATACGCCTTTTATTTAAGCAAGGAAGGACAAAAAGATTTCACATGGTATGCTAATGCCTATTGTTTAATAGTTGCCCCTTGCAGCACTGGATTGAGAAGAATTCTGAGAAGACAGCAGGCTCAGGAGGGTGAGTATCATGATTGACTGGCCACGTGTGCCCTGTATGCAGCATTGGGGAGTGGCAGCAGATGTGCAAGATAGCTTATGTTTCCCAGTTAAGGAATGTGGTTAGCATGAAGCGACACTGACTACTCCCATGCTTCTTCCATTTTGGTAAGCTCTGGTCTATTTCATTCTGGAAGACAAAGACTAGATTTCCATCTGGAACTGAAAGGCAATGTTAAGTCATGGCTATGACCTAGAAAAAAACCTACCAATCCTTATTGGCATGCTGAGCACCTAAAACGCTGTAGGCCAATGATGGACACCAACCTCCTGAAGCTCTGGTAGCCCAATTTCTGTTGCTATGAATTAGGAGCAAAAAACGAAGGCAGAAGTGAGGTAGGGAAAGGCAGAGTGACAAATAGAGACCAAAGGTAAGGATACAAGCCAAGCAACTATAGCAAAGAGACCAAAAAATTGTTCTTTTAACATGATACAAGTTTATTTGTTCCATTTACATCACATTGATTAAAATTTAGGAATATGGCCACAAAGTTGTAAGGCATGCAAGAAAATGTAGCTTCTAGTGGGATGACTATCTGCTTAATTAAAATTCAAAATAATGGATTATGTTCTGCAATTAGTGATTACTACCACACCAAGAAAGTTTTGGATGCATAAGAGGAAAGAAAAAGAAAATAAAAACAACTCAGAAATGTTAGGTGCTACTGGTTTTCTATCCTGCTATGGTTTGAATGTCCTCTCCCAAACTCATGCTGAAATTTAATTGCCATTGCAATGGTATTAAGAGCTGGGACCTTTAAGAGGAGGTTAGTTTATGAGAGCTCTGCTCTCATGAATGGATTAATGCTGTCATCTCAAGAGTAGATCAGTTATCCCAAAAGTAGATTCCTGATAAAACGATACAACTCAGCCTTCATCCTCTCTTTGTCTCATGTGCTCACTTGCCCTTCCACTTTCTGCCATGAGATGATGCAGCACAAAGACCCTGGCTGTATATCCAAGCCATGTTCTTGAATTTCCCAGACTCTAGAACTGTGAGCCAGATAAACGTAATTGTTTACAAATTACTCAGTCTTAGATATTCTGTTACAGGAGCAGAAAATCTCCTAAGATATCTGATATGCACTTTGTGCTTCTCCCTTGCTAATTCATCCCAAGTTTTTGGTGTGTAATGTACTGAAATAAAAATGATTCTCATCATCCTTTACAGCTGGCTGACCAAGTGATAGTTCTGAGCCAATGATATATGAAAAGGAGTTGCTAGCTACAAAGGTGCAAAGTGACATTCTCTTGACTTTAAAAAATTATTTTATTGTAGATATATTACCATTTTAATCATTTTTAAGTGTCATAACATTAATTACACTCACCATGTTGTGTAACCATCACCACTATCTATTTCTACAACTTTTCCATCACCCCAAACAGAGACTTTGTACTCTAATTAAACAATGATTTCTCATTCCACCCTCTCCCCAGCCCCTGGTAACCTATAATCTACTTTAAACTTAATTGCCATTGTAATGGTGTTAAGAGCTAGGACTTTTAGGAGGGGATTAAATTATGAGAACTCTGCCCTCATGAATCGATTAATGCTGTTGTCTCAAGAGTAAGTTATTTATTTCAAAAGCGGGTTCCTGATAAAAGGATAAAATTCAACCCCCATCCTCTGTCTGTCTCATATGCTAATGAAAAAATTAATTCGCCTATTAAGGATATTTTATATAAGCGAAATCATACAATATTAGTTTTCTTGTGTGTCTGGCTTATTTCATATCCCATAATGTTTTCAGTGTTCATCTGTGTTTGTAGCATGTATCACAGCTTCATTCATTTTTATGACTGAATAATATTTCATTGTATGTGTATACCACATTTTGTTTTTTCTTTTTGTTGACAGTCACATAAGTTTTGTCTATTGTAAATAATGCTGCAGTAAACACTAGTGTTCAAGTATCTGATTCAGTCCTTGTTTTTAATTCTTTTAGGTATATGCCTAGGAGTAGAATTGCTGGGTTATATAGTAATCTTATGCTAAACTTTTGGAAAAATTCCAAACTATTTTTCCACAGTGGCTGCATCAGTTTGCTTTCCCATTAGATTGCTAATGGAAAATAAGTGCTAACACTTATTTTCTGTTTTTAAAAATTATTAGTATATGAAAAGGTATTGTAATAGGTATGGGTTGTATCTCATGGTTTTGATTTGCATTGTCCCAATGACTAATAATGTTGAGCATTTTTCATGTGCTTATTGGACATTTGTATGTCTTCTTTGGAGACGTGTCAATTCAATTCTTTTGCCCATTTTTAAGTTAGGTTGTTTACCTTTTTGTTGTTGAGGTGTAGGAATTCTTTTTTTTTTTTTTGAGACAGAGTCTTGCTCTGTCGCCCAGGCTAGAGTGCAGTGGCGTGATCTCGGCTCACTGCCAGCTCTGCCTCAGCCTCCCCAGTAGCTGGGACTACAGGCGCCCACCACCACACCCGGCTAATTTTTTGTGTTTTTAGTAGAGACGGGGTTTCACCGTGCTAGCCAGGATGATCTTGATCTCCTGACCTCGTGATCCGCCCGCCTCAGCCTCCCTAAGTGCTGGGATTATAGGCGTGAGCCACCGCGCCTGGCCAGGAATTCTTTATATGTTCTGGATATTAAACCCTTAGCAGATATCGGACTTGTAAATATTTTCTCCCATCATGCGGGTTGTCTTTTGAGTCTGTTGATAGTGTCCTTTAATGCACAGAAGTTTTTAATTGTGGTGAAGTTCAGCTTATCTATTTTGTATTGCTGTGCATGCTCTTGACATAATATCTAAGCATACATTGCTAAATCCAATGTCATGCAAATGACAATATGCTTGACTTTTACAATACAACGTTAGCGCTGTGTGAGTATTCTTGTTTCCTGGATTACTACTAAATATTGATTTTCATTTAAATCCTAAGAATTTCCCTGACATTAACCTTCCCATAAGTGATTAACATCACAGCCACATGCAGAATGAAAAGCAGTGGTTTGAGGTAGAAACCAGAATCCTAAAGACTTGTGATCTATTTCAGGCTCTTCCAACATGGCAGACACTGTTGACCTTCCTGTCATCCATTTTCCTCCCTGGTAACAGCCTCTGCTATTTGAGACTCTATGCCTCCTCTGTTCTCAGTTCATGTGCTACCTGTGGGATGTCACCTCTACCTTAGAGCTGGGCACATGGTTCAGTCACAGACTAGTCCTGGCTACAAGCAGGGCATTTTGGTTCAAGTAGAACATTTTATTTTTATAGACACATCAAGATACAATATCTATATATACATATATATATATATTTTTTTTTTGCTGGTAACTTATGGTGCACAGGCAGATGCTCCTTCCTACTAGACTTCAACCCAAGAGAATAAGGTCTGGAACTACTGTCTGGGATCTTGCACTGTAAGAAGAGAACCAGCTGGGCACAGTGGCTCACACCTGTAATCTCAGCATTTTGCTAGAGCAGGCAGATAGCTTGAGGTCAGGAGTTCATGACCAGCCTGGACAACACAGCAAAACCCTGCCTCTACAAAAAATACAAAAATTAGCTGGGCATGGTAGCATGCACCTGTAGTTCAAGCTACTTGTGAGGCTGAGGTGGGCCACTGTGCAAGATGGAAAATCAAGAGCTCTGGAGAGAAGAATTTGGTCCTGGTAAACTTTTTTGAGACAACAAATCAATTTAAACCTGAACTCTTGAACAAATAACTCCCCCTTTTTTGTTTAAATCATTTTGGGTTGGGTTTGTAGTCATTTGCAACTGGAAGAGTTCTCCTGGACACAATTACTAGCTGTGGGACCCTGGATGGGTCACCTCACATCTCTGGGCCTCTGACTTTGAATCTGAGATGCATGAGTTTTGTTTTGGAAACTGGGAAAACATATTGCAAGGTGAAGTAACTATCTCCAAGGCCACACATTATATCCTCAAAATCACTGAAATCTGTAAGCTCAAGTTTTGAATGTTCTAGTGCAGAAAGAACATTGTTTTTCATTTATCAGGCGTTTGACTGATGCTATCTTCTGAAGACTTGCTCGGACCTGAAAATTCCAATATTATAGAAAAGAATCTGAGCCATTAGGTAAATTACTTCATATTTTTACCCTGCTGAGCCATGATGGACAGTGCAGTACAAAATGTACTAGGAGCAGTGCATGCACCCACAGCTGATGTCCTATGGGATCTGCAAATTATGCTTGACAAAGAAAATTAAACTTGACTAAAAGAAAGCTTTAGGCAGTTCTGAGATATTGAATGAGCTCTCTCTTTCTTTTTAACATCTCAAGTTCATGAAGTCATTTTCTTTGGTTCATATTTCATCATCTCCCTAACAGATGGGGTTATTGCCTACATCTTGGCTAGGATAAAAATGTAAGACTGCCACTTTCTCTTGGACAGTTCCCTTTTTCTTCAGGCTATATTCAACTGGCACACACCTGCTTCATTGAAAAGACCTATTCTCACACTGGAAATGCTTAGGAGTTCTTCCTTTCTTCGTCTCTCTCCTCCCTCCCTTTATTCCTTCTTTTATCTTTTCTTAGAGAAAACTCACCTTTCGAATCCCCCACCTCCCACCTCCCACTGGCTGGAAAGAATTTTATTTTTCACTGTCTTCTGGATAGCTTACAGTGTCAATAGTGGACCTTCCTCCAGGGGTAATTGAAATAAGTTATTTTGATGGTTACAAAATAGATTTTTTTTGCTTGAAACTTAAGGGAAAAAATAAACTTGGATTCCTACAGAGGCAAAATTTGCAGACAGCAGTTGTAATCATAAAAAATACTGAAAATCTAGCTCCATCTCTTCATTTTACAAATGTTTGCATGAAAACCAGATGACAAAAGGGGCTGCACAGAATTGTGCAACTAATTCCTGGCAGGATTAGCCCAATCCAAGCCAAATGTTTTATTGATACAGTGCCCTGAACGTAGCCAAGATCCTTCTTTATAAAGAAATCCTGAGGATTCTAGGTTTTAAATTAGAAAATCTCTAATTAGAAAAGGCAGGGACTGAATCCCAGCACTTCAGGAGGCTGAGGTGGGTGGATTACCCAAGTTCAGGAGTTCTAGACCAGCGTGGCCAACATGGTGAAATCCCATCTCTACTAAAAAATACAAAAATTAGCTGGGTGTGGTGGCATGTGCCTGTAGTCCCAGCTACTCGGGAGGCTGAGGCAGGAGAATCACTTGAACCTGGGAGGCGGAGCTTGCAGTGAGCCAAGATCATGCCACTGCATTCCAACCTGGATGACAGAGAGCAAGACTTCGTCTCAAAAAAAAAAAAAAAAAAATTCAGAGCCTTAGTATTGAGGGGGACAGAACAGATGGCCAGTTTTATGTGATATATTTTAAACATGTATGACTGTAGGGTTATTTGCATAACCTCTGGCTTATTTATGTTTTCAACATTTAAATTTATTCTATTTTATTTTAAAAATGTATTTATACATACATACATAAATTACAATTTTACATAAATTCATAACTATTATATCAGACCTACTCTCTGTTTCTCGCCTCTTCCTTTCTTTTTCTTTTCTCCCCATCCATTCAAATTATCTCTCACCCTCAGCCTTTCAATAAAAATCATTGCTTTTCCTTATTCCCATGCTTATGTAACAAAATGATCTATGTACATATAGACATTGTACACATGTACATATCCCTAAATAGCATTTTTATATTGTTACCAAAATTGGATCATATTAAACACACTTTAATAATCTTGTTTTTAGCTACTGGAACTCTAATATTTTTCATAGGAATGATCCCTTTGATTATAAATTGAAGGAGGTCTTGGATATATTAATCTTAGTCATTTTCTAGTCTCGTACTAGTTGCCTATACTCTCTTCCATAAACTCACCCAACTGTTTTTCACACCCATTTCAGTTAGGATAGAGATGAAGAGGACATTGAATATTGTAGATACCGAAATTAATAGTTGAAAAATTAAAGGCAGAGCTCAAGTTTTCCATGGAGACTGAGATACACTATCAAAGGGAAATGATGAAGTGTGTTGGGAGTGGGATTTGTCAAGATTGGTATTTCAGTTTGTATACGTATTCCAAAGCAAAGATTATTGCTGGAAGGCCTTAATGGTAATCAACTCCAGTGCACTCATACTTAGTGAACATAAAAATAATTTGAAAAACTTGTCAAGAAAAATCACGGCCTTGGAGTCTGATTCAATAGGATTGGGTGTGACTGAGGAATCTGCATTCTTAAGAAGCACTCCTTGTGGTTTTGATTTGCATTTCTCTGATGGCCAGTGATGATGAGCATTTTTTCATGTGTCTGTTGGCTGCCTAAATGTCTTCTTTTGAGAAGTGTACGTTCATATCCTTCACGCACTTTTTGATGGGGTTGTTTGTTTTTTTCTTGTAAGTTTGTTTGAGTTCTTTGTAGATTCTGGATATTAGCCCTTTGTCAGATGAGTAGATTGCTAGATTGCAAAAATTTTCTCCCATTCTGTAGGTTGCCTGTTCACTCTGATGGCAGCAGTAGCAAAGATTTGGAACCAATCCAAATGTCCATCAATGATAGACTGAATTAAGAAAATGTGGCACATATACACCATGGAACACTATGCAGCCATAAAAAAGGATGAGTTCATGTCCTTTGCAGAAACATGGATGAAGCTGGAAACCATCATTGTGAGCAAACTATCGCAAGGACAAATAACCAAACACCGCATGTTCTCACTCATAGGTGGGAATTGTACAGTGAGAACACTTGGACACAGGAAGGGGAACATCACACACTGGGGCCTGTTGTGGGATGGGGGCATGGGGGAGGGATAGCATTAGGAGATATACCTAATGTAATGATGAGTTAATGGGTGCAGCATGCCAACATGGCACATGTATACATATGTAACAAACCTGCACGTTGTGCACATGTACCCTAGAACTTAAAGTACATATATAAAAAAAGTACTCCAGGTGAGGCTGTATATGGGTGATCCTCAACTGAAGTTTGAAAAGCTTCTTTTTCAACAGTCAAAGAAAGAGAGGTCCAGAAAATTGCTGACTTGCTCAAGGTCAAATAATCATATTCAGTGATAGAAATGGTACTAGAAACTAATTTTTCCTCGAAAATTGAGTACTAGGGATTCTGAACATCCCTCAGGTGTCTTATTTTTGTAATCTCTGATAAATCCTCTGGTAAATGTTCCAACTGGCTTCCTTTCTCCAAGGATTCATTTGCAAAAAACATTTTAACAAATGAGAGATAGGACTTTTAAAGTTATTATAGAATGGTTTTTGGGTGATGGAGACTGAATCTTATTAAATAGGCGATCTCAAAATAATGATACTTTTCAGATAATCAAAGAAAAGAGATTTCAGTAAATGACTTGCCTGTCCATCCAGAATATTCTGTCAAAAGAATGTTAAATAATCTTATTCCACTTACTGCTTGGTTATTTTCCTTAGAATTTCAGGAAAAGAACTCTGTTGATATCTGCGAAACAAAATTTGAATCTTCTGATTCGAATGTGGCTTCATGCAGGTAGAATAAAAAATCATTTGGAGAAATGGAATATGGGTTAGTATTATTAAACTTCTGGGGTTATGTTATGTATTCATGGCTCATTATGAACTATTTTTTATATCCCCTTGTGCTTAGGAGATGAATAATATCACCCATATAATTTAACAAAGTTTTATGTTTAACATAAAATGGTTTAAGACCTCATGGGAATCTGGTTTACAATTAAAATATCTTGGGCAGTCGGTCCCTCATTAAAAACACAAAGTAAAACTTAACTCACACCATTAAAATACCTCCATTCATTACTACAAACATGCACCATCTGGGGTTGTTTTGTGCCTCCCAATTTCTTATTAGCAGGGGAGAAATAGGAGTTGACTTCCTTCAGAAATTAGTGTGTCTTATATAATGCAAATGCCCATTGCTGATTGCAAGCACTCCTTAATTACTAATGGGAGCCTCTGACCAAGTGCTAATGCTGGAACATGTCCTTCACCAGTGCTTTAAAAATGACTCAAATTGCAAATTCCTACTGAGGTTTGCTTTTCTTAATGATGTTGCATTTTATGACTAGAAAAGATAAAGTATAATTATTGAAAGTTAAAAAGAAATATCCATCTTCCTCAACTTACAGTAATGTAAAAAGAATTCCTCCTTACTGTGTGCCAACTTTTATATACAAGGTACTATACCGGCATGATCTGTCTCATTCTCTAGTGTGGTAGAGTTGCAGATGTGGGCATGGTGCTTCTCAGGGGGAACATTAAATCGTAAAGATGTTATGAGGCTGCTCTTTTGGGGTCATGGATATTGGATATATAAAGGATTAATGCACAGTGACCCCAGCTGCATTGAAATACCTTGGTAATTTAAAGCAAGAATTATAGTCTACCATCTATGCTACTTGAAATGTGGTCTGTGAACCAGCAGCATCTTCATTATCTGGGTACTTGTTAGAAATATAGAATCTCAGATGCCATCCTTTGCATGTTTATAGCAGCACAATTTGCAATTGCAAAAATAAGGAATCAGTCCAAATGCCCGTCAATCAACTAGTGGATAAAGAAAAAGAAAATGTGATATATATACACACCATGGAATACACACACACACACACACACACACACACACACACACACACACACCATGGAATACTACTTAGACATAAAAAGGAACAAAATAATGGCATTTGCAGCAACGTGGATGTAATTGGATACCATTATTCTAAGCGAAGTAACTCATGAGTGGAAAAACAAACGTTGTATGTTGTCACTCATAAGTGGGAGCTAAGCAATGAGGATGCAAAGGCATAAGAATGATACAATGAACTTTGAGGACTCGGGAAAGGGTTCGACTGGGGTGAGGGATAAAAGACTACACATTAGGTACAATATACACTGCTAGGGTGATGGGTGCACCAGTCTCAGAAATCACCACTAAGAACTTATTCATGTAACCAAACACCACCTGTTCTCCAAAACCTATTGAAAAAAAAAAAAAGAATCTCAGGTGCCATCCAAGAACTGTTGAATCTGAATCTGCAATTTAAATAAATCCCCAAGTGATTTGTTTGCATTTTAATGTTTGAGAAGCATTGGATTAGATGATCTTTAATTGACATTTCACCAGTAGTCCTGTGGTTCATTCAAAGAGGGGAACTCTAAGTCTCCCCTATATACTATATATCTTTTGAGAATAACAGCCCATCTCCCACAGCATTTAGCCCTATGATTTTTTTTCATAGTTGCGTAACACATTCTTTTTTTTTTTTTTGAGATGGAGTCTAGCTCTCTCACTGAGGCTGGAGTGCAGTGGTGTGATCTTGGCTCACTGTGACCTCCACCTCCTTGGTTCAAGTGATTCTCCTGCCTCAGCCTCCCGAGTAGCTGGGATTAACAGGCACGCACCACCACACCTGGCTAATTTTTGTATTTTTACCAGATACGGGGTTTCACCATGTTGGCCAGGCTGGTCTTGAACTCCTGACCTCAGGTAATCCACCTGCCTCAGCCTCCAAAGGTGCTGGGATTACATGCATGAGCCACCGTGCCCAGCCCAACACATTCTTTTTAAAAGTGATTTTATTTATTTTAAAAATAGTTTTAAATATTTATTTTTTTCTTAACTGACAAAAAATTGTATATATTTATTGTGTACAACATGTAGTGTTGAAATATGTATATATTTGAAATATGTACATGGCTAAATTGAGTTAATTAACATGCATTACATCACATACTTATTTTTTATAGTGAGAATACTAGAAATCTACTCTTCTAGCAATTTTCAATACAATACTTTGTTATAAACTGTAGTCACTATTTTTTACAATAGATTTATTGTATTTATTTCTCCTGTCTGACTGAAATGTTGTATCCTTATACCAACATCTCCTACCCCTCTGCACCCCTCCCCCTGTAACCACCATTCTACTCTAAACTTCTATGAGTTCCACTGTTTTGGATTTCATATATAAATGAGATCTCGCAGTATCTGTCTTTCTGTGTGTGGCTTATTTTGCTTAGCATAATATCTTCCAGGCTCATCTATGTTGCAAATGCCAGGATTTTCTTCTTTTTGGAGGATTAATAGTATTCTATTGTGTGTGTATGTGTATATATAATATCACATTTTTTTTAATTCATTCATTAGTTGATGGGCAGACACTTAGGTTTATTTCAAATCCTGGCTATTGTGAATAATGCTGCAATAAACATGGGAGTACAGATAACTCTTTGACACACTGGTTTCATGTCCTTTGGATATCTACTCATTAGTGGGATTGCTGGGTCATTTGGTGGTTCTATTTTTAATTTTTTGAGAAACCTTCATACTGTTTTCTATTGTAGCTGTACTAATTTATATTCCCACCAATAATGTATAAAGGTTCTTTTTCTTTATATCCTTGCCAACTCTTGTTATTTTTTTTTTTATGATAGTCATTCTAACAGGTGTGAGATGATATTTCATGGTGGTTTTAATTTGCGTTTCTCTGATGATTAGTGATTTTGAGCATTTTTGCATATACCTATTGGCAATTTGTATGTTGTCTTTTGCGAAATGTCTATTTAAATTATTTGCATATTTTTAATTGAGTTATCATTTTTTAATTTTTAATTGAGTTATTTATTTTCTATTGAGTTGAGTTCCTTATATATTTTGGATATTAACCCTCTATCACAGCGATCCCCAATCATTTTGGCACCAGGGACTGATTTCATGGAAGACGATTATTCTATGAACCAAGGGGTGGAATGGTTTGGGATGATTCAAGTGCATTACATTTGTTGTGCACTTTATTTCATTATCAAAACATTGTAATATATAATGAAATAATTTTACAACTTACCATAATGTAGAATCAGTGAGAGCCCTGAGCTTGTTTTTCTGCAACTTGATGGTCCCATCTGGGGGTGATGAGAGACAGTGACAGATCATCAGGTATTAGATTCTCATAAGGAGCATGCAACCTAGATCCCTTGCATGCGCAGTTAACAGTAGGGTTCATGCTCCTATGAGAATCTGATGCGGCAGCTGATCTGAGAGGAGGCAGAGCTCGGGTGGTAATGTGGGTGATGGGGAGCAGCTGTAAATACAAATTCAGCTTCCCTGGCTCACCGGGGCTGCTCACCTCCTGCTGTGCAGCCTGGTTTCTAACAGGCCACCGTACCCTTGCCCTGTCAGATGTATAGTGCTAGTATTTGAATGTTTGTCTCTGCCAAAACTCATGTTGAAATTTATTTACCATTGTAACAGTATTAAAAGGTGGGACCTATAAAAGATGATTAGGTCATGAGAGCTCCACCCTCATAGGTGAAATTGGTGCCATTATAAAAAGGCAAGTGTGGCTCCCTCTTGCTCTCTTTTGCCTACGTGGCCTTTCTGCCGTCTGCTATGTAATGATGGAATAAGAAGGTCCTTGGCAGATGCCAGCCCCTTGATCTTGGATTCCCTAGACTCCAGAATTGTGAGCTAATAAATTTCTGTTCATTATAAGTTACTCATCTTAGGTATTCTGTTATAGCAGCAAAAACAGACTAAAACATACGGTTTGCAAATATTTTCTCCCATTCTGTAGGCTCTTGCTCTGTTGATTGTTTCCTTAGCTGTGCAGAAGCTTTTTTAGTCTGATTTAATGTCACTTGTCTAGTTTTGCTTTTGTTGCCTGTGCTTTTGGGTTCACATGCAAAAAATAATTGCCCACACCAATGTCATGGAGCTTTTCCCCTGTGTTTTCTTATAGTAGGTTTATAGTCACAGGTCTTACATTTAAGTCTTTGATTCATTTTGAGTTGATTTTTATTTGTAGTGTGAGATAATGGTCTAATTTCATTATTTTGCATATGGATATCCAGTTGTCCCAACACCATTTACTGAAGGGACTTTCTTTTCCCCATTGGGTGTTCTTGGCACCTTTGTCAAAAATGAATTGACTATAAATGTGTGGATTTGTTTCTAGGCTCTCTATTATGTTACATTGATCTATGAGTCTATTTTTATGCCAGTACCATGCTATTTTAATTACTATAGCTTTGTAGTATAGTTTAAAATAAGGCAGCATAATGTCTCTGGGTTTGTTCTTTTTGCTCCAGATTGCTTTGGCATTTATGGTTTTTTGTGGTTCTATGTAAATTTTAGAATTGTTTTCTCTATTTCTGTAAAAATGTCTTTGGAATTTTGATAGGGATTGCACTGAATATATACACAGCCTTGGGCAGTACATATATTTTAACAATATAAATTCTTATGATCAATGAACACAAGATATCTTTCCATTTATTTGTCAATTTCTTATTCAATTTTTTAAAAAATCAATATTTGATAGTTTTCAGTGTGCAGGTCTTTTACCTCCATGGTTAAATTTACTCCTAAGTATCTTATTGTTTTGTAACTATTATAAATTCTTTTTTTTCTTGATTTTTTTCCAGATAGTTTATCATTAGTGTATAGAGATTCTACTATTTTTTTCTTTTCATTTTCTCTTTTTTTTTTTTTTTGACATGGGGGTCTCGTTTTGTTGCCCAGGCTGGAGTGCAGTGGTGTGATCTTGGCTCACTGTAACCTCTGCCTCCCAGGTCCAAGTGATTCTCCTGCCTCAGCCTCCCAAGTGGCTGAGATTACAGGTGCATGCCACCATGCCTGGCTAATTTTGTATTTTTAGTAGAGATGGGGTTTCACCATGTTGGACAGGCTGGCCTTGATCTCCTGACCTCAAGCAATCCGCCTGCCTCGGCCTCCCAAAGTGCTGGGATTACAGGCATGAGCCACTGTGCCTGGCCAAGATTCTATAAATTTTTGTATGTTAATTTTGTATCCTTCAACTTTACCAAATTCATTTATTTTAATAAATGAATTTATTGTAGTCTTTAGGGTTTTTCTACATAAAATATTATGTTGTCTGAAAGCAGGAACAAGTTAACTTTTTCCTTTCCAATTTGTATGCCTTTTATTTCTCTCTCTTGCCTAAGTGCTCTGGCTAGGACTTCCAGGACTATGTTGAATAGAAGTAGTGAGATTGGGAATTCCTATTTTGTTCCTAATCTTAGATAAAAAGCTTTCAAATTTTCACCTTTGAGTATGATGTTCACTGCTGGTTTGTCATATATGGCCTTTATTGTGTTGAGGTACATTCTTTCCATACTTAGTTTGTTGAGAATTTTTTTTAATTTTTAATAATTTTTTGTATTTTTAATTTTTGTGGATACATAGTAGGTGTATGTGTTTATGGGGTATATCAGATGTTTTGATTCAGGCATGCAATGCATAATAATCTTATCATAGAAAATGGGGCATCCACCCCATCAAGCATTTATCCTTTGTGTTACAAACCATCCAATTATACTTTATTCATTCTTTTAAAATGTACCTTTAAATTCTTTTGACTATAGTTATGCTGTTGTGCTATCAAATAGTATTATTGATTCTTTAGAACTATTTTTTTGTACCCATTAACCATCCCCACCTTCTGCCCCATCCTGTCTACCTTTGCCAGCCTCTGGTAACCATCTTCTACTCTCAATCTCCATGTGTTCAATTGCTTTGATTTTTGTATCCCAGAAATAAATGAGAACATTCAATGTTTGTCTTTCTGTGCTTGGCTTATTTCACTTAACATAATGACCTCCAATTCCATCCATGTTGGAACAAATGACAAGATCTCATTCTTTCTTTTTATGGCTGAATAGTACTCTGTTGAGTATATGTATCACATTTTCTTTGTCCATTCATTTGTTGATAGACACTTAGGTTGCTTCTAAATTTTGGCTATTGTGAACAGTGCTGCAACAAATATGAGAGTGAGGATATCTCTTTGATATACTGATTTCCCTTTTTTTGGGTATACACCCAGCAGTGGGATTGCTAGATGATATGGTAGCTCTACTTTTAACTTTTCGAGAAACTTCTAAACTGTTCTCTATCATAAGTGTACTGATTTACATTCCCACCAACATTGTACAAGGGTTCCCTTTTGTTGAGATAAGTTTTTTTTTAAATCATAAAAGAATGCCGAATTTTTCATCTATTGAGATGAAAATATGGTTTTTGTCTTCATTCTGTTAATGTGGTTTATCACATTTATAGATTTGCATATTTTGAACCATCCTTGCATTCCTAGGATGAACCTCACTTGGTAATACTGAATAACCCTTTTAATATGATGTTGAATTCAGTTTGCTAATATTTTCTTGAGTGTTTTTGCATCTGTGTTCATCAGGGATATTGGCCTGATATTTTCTTATCCTGTAGTGTTCTTGTCTGACTTTGGTTTTAAGGTAATGCTGCCTAGTAAAATGAATTTGGAAGTATTTTTTTCTTCAAATTTTTTGGAAGAGTTCAAAAAGGATTGGCATTAGTTCTTCTTTAGATTTTTGGTAGAATTCAGCAGAGAAGACATCAGGTACTGGGCTTTTCTTCGATGAAAGACTTTCTATTAGTGATTCGATGCCCTTACTCAGAATTTCTATTTCTTCTTGATTTAGTCTAAGTAGGTTTTGTGTCATTTCTTCTAGGTTATCCGGTTTGTTGGTATATTCTATAATGCTTTGTATTATACTTCCGTGGTGTCAGTTTTAATGTCTCCTGTTTCATTTTTTCTTTTTAAAATTTGAGGCTTCTCTCTTTTTTCTTGGTCTAGCTAAAGGTTTGTTGATATTGTTTATCTTTAAATAATCTCAGTTTCATTGATTTTTTTTGTATTTTTAAATCTCTATTTCATTTATTTTTGCTTTCATTTAATGTTTTTATTCTGATATCTTTGGGCTTAGTTTGTTCTTTCTTGAGGTGTAACATTAGATAGTTTATTTACAATTTTCTTTTTGATATAGGCATTAAGGCTGTAGACTTCTCTGTTAGAACTGCCTTTGTTATATCCCATACGTTATAATATGATGTGTTTCCATTTTCATTTGTCTCAAAACATTTTTAAATAACTTTTAAAATTTCTTCATTGACCTACTGATTGGGAGTATGTTGTTTAATTTTCATGTATTTGTGCATTTTTTGAAATTTCTCTTGTTATTGATTTTTGGTTTCATATTATGTGATTAAAAAGATACTTAATATGGGCCGGGTGTGGTGGCTCACACCTGTAATCCCAGCACTTTGGGAGGCTGAGGCAGGCTGATCACAAGGTCAGGAGATTGAGACCACCCCGGCTAACACGGTGAAACCCCGTTTCTACTAAAAATACAAAAAATTAGCCAGGCGTGGTGGTGGGCGCCTATAGTCCCAGCTACTCAGGAGGCCGAGGCAGGAGAATGGCATGAACCCAGGAGGCGGAGCTTGCAGTGAGCTGAGATCTCGCACTGCACTCCAGCCTGGGTAACAGAGCAAGACTCCGTCTCAAAAAAAAAAAAAAGATACTTAATATGATTTTAATCTTATTAATTTGTTAATTGTAGTTTTATGGCCTAACATATGTTCTATTCTGGAAAATGTTCTGTGTACACTTGAAATGAATGTGTATTCTTCTGCTGTTACATAGGAGGTTCTATATGTGCCTGTTAGGCTCATTTGGTCTAAAGTGTAGTTTAATTTCAATGTTTGCTTGTTGATTTTCTGTCTAGATGATTTGTTGCTGAAAGTGGGGTATTTAAGTACTCTATCATTATTGTATTACAGTCTTTCTCTCCAGATCCATTAATATTTGTTTTATATATTTAGATGCTCCAATGTTGGATGCATGTATACTTATAATTGCTATATCTTCTTGCTGAATTGACTACTTTATGATTATGGAATGGCCTTCTTTGTCTTGTTTTACAGTTTTTGAGTTAAAGTCTATTCTATCTGATACAAATATAGTTTCCCCTGCTCTTTTTGTTTCAATTTCCATGAAATGTCCTTTTTCATACCTTCACTTTCAGTCCATGTGTATCTTTACAGGTGAAGTGAATCTCTGTAGGAAGCATATAGTTAGGTCATATTTCTTTTTATCCATTCAGCCACCCTATGTCTTTTGATTGGAGCAGTTAATTCATTTACATCAAAGATTATTACTGGTAGGTAAAGAATTACTACTGCCATTTAAACTGTTTCCTTGTTGTTTTGTAGAACCTTAGTTCTTTCTTGTTGCTGTCTGCCTTTGTGATTTTGTGATATTTTTCTAGTGATGGCCCTTTAATTCTTTACTTTTTCTCTGTTGTGTATTTACTACAGGTTTTTGCTTTGTGGTTACCATGAGGGTTACAAAAACCATAGCTATAACAGGCTATTTTAAGCTAATAACAGCTTAACTTTGATTGCATAAAAAACTCTTCACTTTTACTCCACTCCCCTTTCCAGGCATTTAAAATTTTTGATGTTACAATTCACATTTTTTTCTCTTGTGTATCCTTTAACAAAGTATTCTAGCTATTATTATTTTTAATAATTTTATCTTTTAATCTTCATACTAAAGTTATAAGTGATTTGCACATGACCATTATAGTATTAGAGTGTTCTGAATTTGAGTTTGTACTTACTTTTACCAGTGAGTTTTATACTTTCATATATTTTTGTTTAACTAATTAATATCATTTTCATTCAGCTTAGATAACTCCCTTCAGCATTTCTTGTAAGACAGGTCTGGTGGTGAAGAACTCCCTCAGCTTTTGTGTATCTGGCAAACTCTTTATTTTCCTTCATTTCGAAGGACAGATTCTCCGGGTAAAGTATTCTTGGTGGATAGCTTTTTTTCCTTCAACACTTTGAATATAGCATCCCACTCTCTTCTTGTCTGTAAGGCCTCTGCTAAGGAATTCTCTGCTAGCCTTGCTAGAACTACTTTTAAGTGATTTGCTTCTTTTCTGTTGCTGCTTTCAGGGTCCTCTCTTTGTCCTTGATTTTTGACCATTTGGTAATGTGCTGATATAGTCTCATTTGGGTTGAATTTGATTAGAGACTTTTAACCTTCCTTTATGTGTATATTTATATATTTCTCCAAATTTGGTATATTTTCTGGTAGTATTTCTTTAAGTAAGCTTTATGCCACTGTGTCTCTCTCTTTTTACAAACTTCTATAACTTAAACACTTATAGCTCAAATGTTTGCTCTTTTGATGCTGTCCCATAAGTCACTGTAAGCTTTCTTTTTTCATTCTTCTTTTCCCAATTGATTGTATATTTTCAAGTAATGTCTTCAAGTTTGCAGATACATCATTCTGCTTGATCAATTCTACTGTCAAGCCTATTACATTTTAAAATTTATTCATTGTATATTTCAGCTCCAAAACTTCTGTTTGATTTTCTAAAATAATTTCATTTTCTCCATTGAATTTCTCATTTTGGTCATTTATTGTTTTCTTGTTATCACTGAATTGTTTGTATTTTCTTGAAGTTTGTTAATATTCCTTAAAACAATTATTTTGAATTATTTGTCAGGCATTTTATATATCTCCATTGCTGTAGGGTGAGCTAATGGGAGATCATTGTGCTCTTTTCGTGGCATTACATTTCATTCGTTTTTCATATTTCTTGTTGCCTTATGTTGACATCTTCACATTTGAAAAGGTAGGGATTTATTTCAATTTTTTGCAGACTTGCTTAGTCTGGAAAAGTCCTTCACCAGTCAGCTCATTCAGAAATTCTAGGGAGGCTGTCTTTCATCCAAGAGTGGGCTTGTTTGGTGTCTGGGTCTTCAGGGATATGTCTGAATCTGGATCTGCGAGGGTCAACCTGTTGATTGGGT
The DNA here is from genome assembly GCF_000001405.40 of Homo sapiens. Classification (NCBI taxonomy): domain Eukaryota; kingdom Metazoa; phylum Chordata; class Mammalia; order Primates; family Hominidae; genus Homo; species Homo sapiens. Next base: position 81,903,012 of record NC_000014.9, read on the forward strand.
CTGCAGTGATAAGCCTGGAACCCAGTTCCACTGGGATGATCCTGGAGCTTGAATCCATGGAAGCTAGACTGACATGAGGTCAGGCCTAGTGCCTGGGACCACTGGGACAGGCCTACAGCCTGAGTTCACCAGGGCTGGTCACGGCACTGGGTTTGCAGGGGTGGTCTTGTAGGCTCAGTCCATGGAGCCAAGCCTTGCACCAAAGTCTGCTGGAGTGGACTTGGATCCTGGGTCTTCTTGAGCAGGCCTAGACTCAGGGTCATTTAGAGCCTGAGAGCAAAGGAATCATCCTGGATCCTGGAGTTGGCCTTTTCCTGTGGCTAGTGTAGAGACTGGATTCTCAGAAGCTAGTTGGGAACCTAGGATCATAGGTCTTGCTTGATGCCTGGAACCACTGGGGCTGGGCCTGGAGCCTGTGGTTACTGGTGCCAGACTAGAAACTGGATGCGCAGATGCTGAAATAGGGTCTAGGTCTGCAACAGCAGGCCTGAATCCTGGGGTCTCTGAGACCAGCCTGGAACCTGGGTACATAGGTCAGTCCTGGGTCTGTGCAGACCGGTTCAGCGCTGGGGTCTAATGCAGGCCTGGGCTCCGAATCTGCTAAAGCTTAGGTCCACACGGGCTGGCCTTGCACTGGGAAGACTTGGAGCCTGCTTCTGTGGGGATAGACCTGACACTGGGGCTTGCCCAGAGCCTGGGGCTGCAGGATCTTGCTTGGCATTCACATGGGCATGGAGGCTTAGTCCACAGTTGCTGGCCTGGAGCCTGGGGCCTCAGGTGCCTGGAGTCAGTATCTGAAGAGGCTAGGACCACAGGTGCTGGCCTGATGACTAGGGTTGTGGGGGTTTGCCTCGTGCTGGGGCAGGTTTGAAGCCTGTGGCCATAGTGGGTAAACTAGTGTTGAGGGTGATTTGAAGCCTGAGGCTGCTGTCAGCCTGGTGTTGGGGCAGGCCTGAAGGCTCAGTTTAGGTACTTGCCACCTGGAGTATAAGGGTATGGGGGCCTTCACAGTGTTTGGTTTTACTGGAGAAGGCCTGGTTTTGAGATCCAAAACAAAGCTTAGTGTTTCTTTTTCTTTTTTCTTTTTTTCTCCTAGGTGGAGGGTATCTTTCCATGCTATGCTGTTTGAGGTTCAAGGAGGGGTGACATAAGTAACGTAAAACTATCCTTGCTACCGTCTTCAATGTGTCTTTTCTTATCTGTGCTATACCCAGGTGCTGTAATCTCTTACTTGGCTTCCTTAGCTTTTGTGAACTTATTTTTGTACATTATAGCTGTTAAAATTGATGTTTCTGTGGGGAGATGAGTGCTGGAGAGCCCTATTGTGCCATCTGGCTGACATCCCCTTAATACGTTCTTAAATAAATTAATTAATGACTGCCTTCCTTATGGAAATGTAATGAATACAAAAGTTTGAATACTAAAGAAATCAACAATGGGTGCCATTTAATTAAGCCTCTAGGTACAGTGCCATTCCATTTTTTCTTTTCTCTGTTTTCCAGCGTTTTCAAGGCATGACAAATAATTTTTGTTTAGTATGTAAGACTAAGCATTAAGCATTTCAGGCTGAGGATCCCAGTCAAGACAAGCCCTTTCTGCTATGCATATTGCTGCCTCTCCCCAGCTCAGAAACAAGTTGCAATTCCACCTTTCTCATTGTCTTGTCTACATTATCGATTATAAAGCCCCTCTCATTTGTGTCAGCCTCATAACCCTACCTTTTGACTAATTTCTAACAACATGAGTAAATAATTCAGATTTCCTGGCGAATTCCTCACCCCTATATTTACTGCAGAAGGAATCAACTAATAAAATTGGCAAAGATAGAATTGATCGAGTCTCCCAGTTGAACACATATTACCTTCAGAGTATAATTAGGACTTTTAATGAAAACAAACAAAATATTTCTTAAAACCATAAAAAATACAGTACGCCAACATCTGGTCCACAGGAATAGGTCTGGGAATTTCTTCTGTCTGGACTTGACTGACCTTTGCACCCTGAAAGCATCCCAAAGTGCACTGCAGAAAGACAGCACAAGCAAGGATGCAGTGGGAGTGAGGTATCCTGAAAAAAGCCCGTGCATGCATTTCTGTGCACTGGAGTAGGTGACTAATTGTAGGACTCTTCAGAGGTAGCAATCAGCCTCTAGAAAAATACCACTCTGTCTGAGGTTCAAAACTCTTGCAGCTTGAATTTACAGCTAGGAATGTGGTTATAGAAGTGTTTTAGTCCAGTTTCTATTGCTGTAACAGAATACTGAGGATGAGTAATTTATACAGAGAAGAGATTTATTAATAAGCTCATGGTCCTGGAGACTGGGAGGTCCAAGATCGAGTGGCCACATTTGGTCAGATTCTGGTGAGGGTCTCATGCTCTTGCATAGCGTGGTGGAGAAGTGGAAGGGTAAGTTAATACATAAACAAGGAGACCTAACATAAGAAGCAGGCCCACTTTAAAACAACTCACTTTCACAGTAACAAGGAAGAACTCAGTCCTTTGATAAAGGCATGAACCCTTCTTAATGACTTAATCGTCTCTTAAAGGAACCACCTCCCCGTATAATCACATTTGGTACCAAGCCTCAACATGAGCTATTGTGGAGACAAACCATATCATAAACATAACAGAAAGGGAAAAAGTAAATGGAGAATGTAGGAGAGGGGAGGAATATGATGACTAGAGCTGGTCTGATGTATTTTAAGTTTATTTTATTATCATAAAGTTAGGATTCTTGAAATTGATATGATAATTTATGCATAGTAGAAATTCTTGTTTGGTGTTAATTAGTGCTATTTTTAATAGGCCCCAAAAGCAAAATGCATAAAAGTAGAAGAGACACTAGAGATATGTATTTTTACTGCTCATTTATGGTGTGTGACTAGAGGGAAGAGGTTGGGAAGAATGAGAAGAGTAATATTTTACATCACTTTTAGGTAGCTTCAGTTCTTGCATTTATGCCTTGGAAAACCACCTTTTGCCAATTCAAGACTTTACTTCGTATTTTTTTCCTCCCTACTTTATTCTTAAGCTCACAGAGAATATAAAGAAAAGTTAGAAATGAACCCTTTATTAAATTACATGAGAAAAAAACATTCTGATTCTTGTTTTTGACTTTTCTCTCTCTCTTTTCATTTTAAAAATCATCAAAAATCAGATCATGGCAGCTTATATTCCAAAAGCTGGGCTGAATAGTAATACACTGAACTCACCTGGCCTCTAAGCTTGCCTCAGTAATTCTCTAAATAATATCCTGGTTGGCAGAGTAGAGTAGTGGCTAAGAGGGTGGATTTTGCAGGTTGGCAGCCTAGTTTCATAACTCATCTCTGTACTTTCTTAGGTGTGAACTTTAGAAAAGCAGTGAACCTCTCCATGCCTGTTTCTCCACTAATAAAATAGAAATATTGGTAGCACCTACCTTCTTGTGATTAAATAAAAGCACTTAGCACAATGCCTGGCACATAGCAAACAAACATTAGCCACTGTTGTAATGTTAACTATGTCAATTACCATTTGGACACATTCACAGGACCAAGGATATTAGAGCAAGGAGGTTCTTATAAATCAACTCATCTATCAGCTGTTGTTTGTGGGAACCCCATGGAACTGCACAATTTTATATACATAAAGGATGCTGAATATAGGAGGGTAAAGAACTGAATCCATGTGAAAGAAGATTAATGACATCTAAGTCTTGTCTAGTTTCCTATCTTTGATGGGAGACTCAAGGCGATTCAGTGATTATTGTTTTTTGGCTCCAATCATCTAGGTTCAGGCTTACTACCTGGCAACATTGAATCTTTGTCTATTTTCTATCCAGAGCCCAGAATGAAACTAGTTCTGAAACATTGTTTTCCAGAGTGAGCCTATTCAAGCTGTAGTGAGGAAGTAGAACCATCTTTCCATATGGTGTTGTTAGCCACACCAAACGTGATTACTAATTGTGTAACAAATGACCATAGATTATACTATTTCTTTTTTTTTTTTCATCTGAGCTTTGGATAAATGGGAAGGTGATGTTTACCTCATTTGTTAACCATCAATGGCTATAAGATTTAGCAGATGTAGAGGGAGTTATAGTTACACAGGTGTAAATTATCCATGGAAATAACCCTCCACCTAGTTCTCAGCTGTTAGAATTCATTAAAATTACTCTGGGACAAGTGATAAATCTGTTGGCAAGCATCATAGAGAAGGGGTAAATTTTCAGAATCTGATTTAAATATTCTACAAATATTATGTGCATACTTTGTGTTAGAGATTTATAATCTATCTTTTCTTTCAAACATTACAAGTATTTAAAAGATGATATTCCTCAGAAAAAAATGGAGCAAGAGATGCAATGGAATTGGAACTTAGGTGTGTCAGTTATCAGATCCTCTATTTTTTCTGATTAATTTTTTGCTGCCACAACACATGGATATGGGAACTTGGCTTTAGTTAGCTGAAGGAAGCTTCTTTCAATAAGTGATGACATCATATTTGTCAACATTGCTAATAAGTGTTCACCCTATCAGTTGATTGAACAGAAAGAATGAGAGTGGGGGCTCCAAAGTTAGTTTTTGGCTCAGTAATGTTGCCTGGAGACATCAATGACATGTGTTTCTAAGAGAGTTTTGTTGGCGATAAGGGAAAAAAATTTCCTGGAATTCATTTAACAAGTATCTAGTGAGTTCCTACTGTGTGCTGTGCATTGTTCTAAGCAAAGGCAATAGAGTGTAAAATTTATAACGATTCCTGCGTTTAGAATGCTTTTTATGCATTCTTTTACATCGTCAAATACTTTTTCTTATAGACTACTATTTGAAAACCATTTAAACTCATTACTGCTTTTTGATGCTTTTAGTGCCTGCTATAAGGAAACTTTTATTAGGCAACTTTAAATCTAGCCAGTTTACCACTTACTAATTATTGAATCAGGAACTACCAGACAGTAAGAGCTTTAGGCATTAAAGCAAGAGTAAACAGAATTTTATCTCATTAGATTGTTAGGGGAAATGGATCTTTTCTTCCTTTTCTTTTTTTAAAAAAATACCATTATAAAATGAGTATCTCAAATCTTATCTGTGGTGATTTCCAGACGCTGCTTGCTTTTGCAATTTAATGCATTGCAGCAGCCATTTTGCTAACTTTTCTTCATGTCACTGTTCTCCAGTTTAATCTTCAGATGATTTTTCTTTGTATAAGCTAAAATACTATCTCATTAAAATTATCTTAACATGGTTGAGTACTCAGGGTAGAGAGACTTAGGTTTTAGTCCCAGAATCACAATTTATCAGAAAAGTAACAGGAAACAAGCTAGTTAAACATTCTGGGGTGAGTTTCCTCATATTTTTAGTTTTTTTTCTTTGAAAATTAAAAAGAGAATAATTAATGAAAGTTGTTTTTCAGATTGCCCAAAACTAGTATGTTAATACTAGTTTAACTATTTTTATTTACACTTTCTTTGGAAATATGTATTTTCTTTTCCAAACTAGATTATCACATCTTTTATGTCATAAATATTGTCACACACCTTTTAAAATCTCCTGATACATTATTATGCTAGTAATACATGTTTGGTGAAATTTTGAGTGACTTTAAGACAGGAATGAGCGGAAATAATGTGAGGAATTAATTCACTCATTTTAGCTATTTGCATTCATGAGGCATTTTTCTGTCTAAAAGAGGAAGGAGGAGTTTTGATTGAGGGCAAGGCTAGGAAGAAAATGCATATAAAGAATAAAATGGAGGCTGAGCATAGTGGCTCATGCCTGTAATCTCAGCACTTTGGGAGGCCAAGACGGGCAGATCACCTGTGGTTGAGACCAGCCTAGGCAACATGGTGAAACCACGTCTCTACCAAAAAATACAAAAATTAGCTGGGCATAGTGACACATGCCTGTAATCCCAGCTTCTTGGGAGGCTGAGATTTGACAATTGCTTGAATCCGGGATGTGGAGGTTGCAGCAAGCTGAGATCGTGCCATTGCACTACAGTCTGGGCTACAGAGAGAGACTCTGTCTCAAAAAAAAAAAAAAAAAAAAAAAGAAATGGGAAACAACTATCACTTGGTACCTTGACTGATTTCCAGCTTCTGCAGAGAGGAAGGGTGGGAGGTTAGTCTTTAGGAGTGTATTAGTTCATTGTTGTACCCAATATATTACACCCAATATTATAATTATACCCAATATTATAATTCTTATACCCAATATTATAATTCTTATACCTAGTATTACAATTCTTTAATTATAAAGAAATACAAGGATGAACTAATACTCTCCTAAAGAGTATATTAGTTCACTCTGGGTAACTTATAAAGAAAAGAGGTTTACTTAATACAGTTCCACAGGCTGTAAAGGAAGCATGATACTTAATACAGTTCCACAGTCTGTAAAGGAAGCATCTGCCCAGCTTCTACGGAGGTCTCAGGAAGCTTACAATCATGGTGAAGGTGACCAGGGAGCAGGCACATGGCAGGAGCAGCAGCAAGATAGGAGGTGGTGCCATACATGTTTAAAGTATAAGATTTTGTGAGATCTCACTCAACGATCATGAGGACAGTACCAAGAGGGATGTTGCTAAACCATTCATGAGAACCACCCCCATGATCCAAACACCTCCCACCAGGCCCCGCCTCCACCATTGGTGATTATAATTAACATGAGATTTGGGCAGGGACACAGATCCAAGCCATATCAAGGAGTAAGTGGAATTGTGTTGGGGAGCATATGAAAAAGCAAGGCATACTTAGAGAAGATGATGTTGTCCTCACCTTTGTAAGGAGCTCAACAGTACTCAGAAATTCTAACAATTCAAAACTTTGGAATATCCTGAGATAACAGCCCAATAATGAACATTTGTTCTTTCATAATAGGTTGTAGAAGTGTTTAAGAGTCTGAGAGTAGCTTCTAGGGGCAATGTGCAAGGACAAGTGTGAGAGTATTGGGTATTTTTTGTGCACAATAACCCACCTTTTTGGTCATACCTTGAAGGCATTATATTAAAAAAGCTAATTTTTAGTATTCAAATATTGGCAGTGTTCTGCTTTCAGAACAGGAAGTCACAAAATCAAGTGAAACTGAACTTCTGCTCAGGGAACATGCAGTAGACATACTTCTTTCTATTGCTCTTGTTAAGTACAAAAAAATCTAGAAAAAACATTAGAGAACTCTTTAAAATGGAGAGAAGACAACTAGGGGCCTGAAGACCCAAGGAACAACATGGTATTGAGTTGCCTGGGTTTTTGTTATGCTCCAAACTTGGAGCTAAACTTGGAGCTAAAGAAGCTAGCAATCTAAACATGCCAAAAAGTACAGGAGACAATAATAGCAACAACAACAACAACAACAACAACAACAACAACAACAACAACAACAAAATCCTGCTGTCTTTACCTACAGGACCAGAATAATAGAAGCCTAGGAAGGCAGAAAACTTATGAATTTAATTCCAGCCAAACTCCACAGAAAAATCTGCACCCCCATTTCCATCACCAGCAGCAAAAACCATGTGCCGAGTTTACACCTCAACTTCTTACCAGTCATATATAAGAAACCTCCAAATCCATCACTAGTGTGGTACTGAAGGGCAAGTAGAGAGCCGGGACTTAAAAAAAATTGTAGGTACATAGTAGTTGTATATATTAATGGGGCACATGAGATATTTTAATATAGGCATACAATGCATAATAATCATGTCAGGGTAAATGGGATATCAGTCAACTCAAGCATTTATTCTTTCTGTTACAAACAATACAATTATACTCTTTTAGTAATTTTAAGATGTACAATAAATTATTATCGATTATAGTCACCCTGTTGTGCTGTCAAATTCTAGATCTTATTCATTCTACCTAGTGATATTTTTGTACCATTAACCATCTTCCCTACCCCTGCCCCACTACCCTACCTCTGGTAACCATGATTCTACTCCATGAGTTCAGTTGTTTAAATTTTTAGCTCCCATAAATAAGTGAGAATATGCAAATGTGTCTTTCCATGACTGGTTTATTTCACTTAACATGATGACTTCCAGTTTCATCTATGTTGTTGCAAATGATAAGATCTCACTCTTTTCTATTGGCTGAAGAATACTCCATTGTGTATATACACCACATTTTCTTTATCCATTAGTCTGTTGAGGGAAACTTAGGTTGCTTCAAAATCTTGGCTATTGTGAATAATGCTGCAGCAAACAAGGTAGTGCAGATATATCTTTGATAGGCTGGTCTCCTTTTTTGGGTATATATTCCTAGTGATGGGATTACTGGATCATTTGGTAGCTCTATTTTTATTTTTTTGGGGAACCTCCAAACTGCTCTCCACAGTAGTTGAACTAATTTCCATTAACCCCAACAGTGTATGAGGGTTCCCTTTTCTCCACACCCTCATTAGTATTTGCTATTGCCTGTCTGTTGGATAAAAGGCATCTTAACTGGGGTAAGTTGATATGTCATGGCAGTTTCAATTTGCATTTCTCTGATGATCAGTGATGTTGGGCACCTTTTCATATCCCTGTTTGCCATTTCTATTGCCTTCCTTTGAGAAATGTTTATTCATATATTTTGACCATTTTTAAATTATATTATCAGATTTTTTCATATAGGATTGTTTAAGCTACTTATACATTCTGGTTATTAATCCCTTGCCAGATGGGTAGTTTGCAAATATTTTCTCCCATTCTGTGTGTTATCTCTTCACTTTGTTGATTGCTTCCTTTGCTGTACAGAAGCTTTTTAACTTGATGTGATCTCATTTGTCTATCTTTGCTTTGGTTGCCTGGGCTTGTGGGGTATTACTCAAGAAATCTGTACCAACTCCTATGTCCTGAATATTTCCCTCAATGTTTTCATGTAGTAGTTTCATAGTTTGAGGTCTTATATTTAAGTTTTTAATCCATTGTGCTTTGATATTTGTATATGGTGAGAGATAGGCATCTAGTTTCATTCTTCTGCATATGGATTTCCAATTTTCTCAGCACCATTTATTAAAGGGACTGTCCTTTCCTGATGTAAGTTCTTGCTACCTTTGTTGAAAATGAGTTTACTGTATAATATGGTTAGGCTTTGTGTCTCCACCTGAATCTCATCTTGAATTGTAATCCCCATAATCCCCATGGGTCAAGGGAGAGACCAGGTAGAGGTAATTGAAACCTGGGAGCAGTTTCCCCCAAGCTGTTATCATGATAGTGAGTGAATTCTCATGAGATCTGATAGTTTTACAAGGGGCTTTTCGTCTTTTGCTCAGCATTTCTTCCTGCTACATTGCAAAGGAGATGGCTTACTTCCCCTTCACCTTCCACCATGATTGTAAGTTTCCTGAGGCTTCCCAGCCATGCTGAACTATGAGTCAACTAAACCTCTTTCATTTATAAATTACCCAGTCTTGGGCAGTTCTTTATAGCAGTATGAAAATGAAGTAATACACTGTAGATGTATGCATTTGCTTTTGGTTTCTCTATTCTGTTCCATTGGTCTATGTGTCTGTTTTTGTGCCAATACCATGCTGTTTTCGTAACTATAGCTTTGGAGTGTAATTTGAACTCAGGTAACGTGGTTCTTCCAGTTTTGTTCTTTTTGCTCAGGATAGCTTTGGCTATTCTGGGTCTTTTGTGGTTCCATATAAAATTTAGGATTTATTTTTTGTTTCTGTGATGAATGTCGTTATTTCGATAGGAATTTCATTGAATCTATAGTATCAATCCATTCAATGCATAAAAATGTAATATCTTTCCTTTTTTTGTGTCCTTTTCAACTTCTTTCATCAGTGTTTAATAGTTTTTATTATAGAGATCTTTCACTTCTTTTGTTAGGTTAATTCCTAGGTATTTTATTTTTCTTTATTTTGTTTGTAGCTATTGTAAATGGTGTTATTTCCTGATTTGTTTTTCAGATTGTTCAGTGTTGGCATATAGAAATGTTAGTGGTGGCCAGGCGTGGTGGCTCATGCCTATAATCCTAGCACTTTGGGAGGATGAGGCAGGTGGATACCTGAGGTCAGGTGTTCGAGACCAGCCTGGCTAACATGGCGAGACCCCATCTCTATTAAAAATACAAAATTTAGCTGGGCGTGGTGGCTCATGACTGTAATCTCAGCTACTTGGGAGGGCTGAGGCAGGAGAATTGCTTGAACCCAGGTGGCAGAGGTTGCAGTGAGCCAAGATTGTGCCACTGCACTCCAGTCTGGGCAACAGAGTGAGATTCCGTCCCCCCCAAAAAAATGTTACTGACTTTTCTGTTGATGTTGTATCTTGCAGCTTTACTGAACTTGTTTGTCAGTTCTAATAGTTTTTTTCGTGGAATCTTTAGGTTTTTCCAAATATAAGACCATGTCATCTGTGAATAAGGATAATTTGAGTTCTTCCTTTCCAATTTGGATGCCCTTTATTTCTTTCTCTTGTCTGATTGCTCTAGGTAGGACTTCTAGTACTATGTTGAATAACAGAGGTGAAAGTGGGCATCCTTGGGGTATTCCATATCATAGAGGAAAGCCTTTTAGTTTTTTTCTCTTCAGGATGATGCTAGCTGTGGGTCTGTCATATATGGCTTCCATTGTGTTGTGGTATGTTCCTTAGGTACCCACGTTTTTTAGGATTTTTTTTAAATTATGAAGTTCTGTTGAATTTTATCGAATGGTTTTTCAGCACCAATTAAAGTGATAATGTGGCTTTTGCTTTTCATTCTTTTAATATAATGTAACATATTTATTGATTTGTGTATGTCAAACCATTCTTGTACCCTGGGATAAATCCCACTTGGTCATGATGAATAATCTTTTTAATGTATTCTCAAATTCAGTTTGCTAGTGTTTTGCTGAGGATTTTTGCCTCAAAGTTCATCAGGGGTATTGGTCTGTACTTTTCTTATGTTGATGTGTCTTTGTCTGGTTTTGGTATCAGGCTTCATAGAATGAATTTGGAAGTTTTCCCTCCTCCTCTGTTTTTTAGAATAGTTTGAGTGGGATTGGTATTAGCTGTTTTTTAACTGTTTGGTAGAATTCAGCAGTGCAGCCATCAAGTCCTGGGCTTTTTCTTGCTTGGAGATGTTTTATTATCACTTTGATATTGTTACTTGTTATTGGTTTATTCACATTTTGGATTTCTTCATGGTTCAATTTGGTAGGTTTATGTATCTAGGGATTTATCCATTTTTTCGAGGTTTTCAAGTTTATTGGCATATAGTTGTTCATGGGTCTCTAATGATCTTTTGAATTTTTGCAGTATCAGTTGTAATATCTACCTTTTAGCCTCTGATTTTATTTATTTGAATCTTCTCTCTTTTTTTCTTAGTCTGGTCCATTTGGTCTGTGGTGTACATTAAGTCCTTTTTGTGTTGATTTTCTGTCTGGATAATCTATCTAATGCTGAAAGTGGGGTGTTAGTCTCCAGACATTATCATATTTGAATATATGTCTTTCTTTAGCTCTAATAATATTTGCTTTATATAACTGGGTTCTCCAGTGTTAGGTGAATACATATTTGCAATTGTTATATCCTCTTGCTGGATTGATACAGTTATCATTATATAATGACCTTCTTTGTCTCTTACAGTTTTTGTCTTATGATATATTTTGTCTGTTATAAGTATAGCTACTCTTGTCTTTTTTGGCTCATGTTGGCATGGAACATATTTTTCTATCCCTTTATTTTCAGTCTATATGTGTCTTTACATGTGAAGTGTGTTTCTTGTAGGCAACAGATCATCGGGTCTTAGTTTTTTAATCCATTCAGCCACTCCTCTATTTTTTAAATCCATTCAGCCACTCTATTTTTTAAATCTATACGGCCTTTCAATTGGAGAATTTAGTCCATTTACCTTCAATGTTATTTTTGATAAGTAAGGACTTATTCCTGCTATTTTGTTATTTCCTTTTTGATGGTTTTGTGGTCTTATCTTCCTTCTTTACCTCCTTCCTGTCTTCCTGTTAGTAAACATGATTTTCTCTGGTGGTATGTTTTAATTTCTTGCTTTTTATTTTTTGTGTATTCATTTTATGTTTTTTTCATTTGAAGTTTTCATGATACTTATAAATACTATCTTATAACCCATTGTTTTAAAGTGATGATGACAACACTAATTTTATAAACAAACAAGCAAAGAGAGAACTAATAAAACTCTGTACTTTTCATTTTTTACATAAAAGGAAAAAAAATCCTAAAATTTCTGTGGAAAAAAAGAGCCAGAATATACAATGCAATCCTGAGCAAAACAAGCAGAGCTGGATGCATCACACTGCAGACTTCAAAATATATTATAAGGCTATAGTAAACAAAACAGCATGGCATTGTTATAGTAATAGACACATAGACCAATGGAACAAAATAGAGAAACTAGAAATAAAGCCACATATTTACAACCAACTTGTTTTTAACAAAGGCCCCAAGAAAATACACTGGGGAAAAAACATTATCCTCAATAAACAGTGGTGGGAAAATTGTATATCCTTGTGCAGGAGAATGAAACTGAATCCTTTCTCTCACCATATACAAAAATCAACAAAGATGGATCAAAGGTTTAAACATAAGGCCTTAAACTATAAAACTACTAGAAGAAGCATAGTGAAAAATACTTTAGAACATTGGTCTAGGCAAAGATCTTAAAAGCACAGACAACTAAAAGAAAAATGGACAAATGGGACTATATTAAACTAAAAAGCTTCTGCAAAGCAAAGGAGACAATCAACAGAGTGAAAAGGCACCTGCTGAATGAGAGAAAATATTTGAGAACTGTTTATCTGACAAGAGACTAATATACAGAATATATAAGCAACTCAAGCAACTCAATAATAATGATAAAAACAGCCAGGCTGGGCATGGTGGCTCATGCCTGTAATCCCAGCACTTTGGGAGGCCGAGGTGGGTGGATCACGAGGTCAGGAGTCCAAGACCAGTCTAGCCAAGATGGTGAAACCCCATCTGTACTAAAAACTATAAAAATTAGCTGGGCATGCTAGTAGGTGCCTGTAATCCCAGCTGCTCGGGAGGCTGAGGCAGGAGAATTGCTTGAACCTGGGTGACAGAGGTTGCAGTGAGCTGAGATTGTGCCGTTGCACTACAGCCTGGGTGACAGAGTGAAACTCCATCTCAAACAACAACAACAACAACAAATAATAATAATTTCATTAAAAAGTGGGCAAAGGACATGAATAGACTATTCTCAAAAGTAGACATTCAAATGGCTAGCAAGTATATAAAAAATGCTCAATATCACTTTCTGGTGGTGTTTGTGAGCCCGGCAGCCATGTCTTATCTCGCGATGATTATGAGTCTGAGGAGGCTTATGATCCCTATACTTATCTGGGCGACTATGGAGATCCAAAAGCAGGGCCTTGCTTATGAACGTCAGTATGAATAGCAAACCTATCAGGTAATGCCTGAAGTGATCAAAAACTCCATCTAGTATTTACGCAAAACTGTCTCGGATTTGACTGACCAGAAAGTGTATGAGCTACAGGCCAGTTGTGTCTCCAGTGATGTCATTGACCAGAAGGTGTATAGGATCCAGGACATCTATGAGAACAGCTGGACCAAGCTGACTGAAAGATTCTTCAAAACTACACCTTGGCCCGAGGCTGAAGCCATTGCTCCACAGGTTGGCAACAATGCTGTCTTCCTGGTTTTATATAAAGAATTATACTACAGGCACATATATGCCAAAGTCAGTGGGGGACCTTCCTTGGAGTAGAGGTTTGAATCCTATTATAACAATTGCAATCTCTTCAACTATATTCTTAATGTTGATGGTCCTCCTTCCCTTGAACTACCCAACCAGGGGCTCTAGGATATCATTGATGAGTTCATCTACCAGTTTCAGTCATTCAGTCAGTACTGCTGTAAGACTGCTAAGAAGTCGGAGGAGGAGATTGACTTCCTTTGTTCCAATCCCAAAATCTGGAATGTTCACAGTGTCCTCAATGTCCTTCATTCCTGGGTAGACAAATCCAACATCAACCGACAGTTGGAGGTATACACAAGCGAGGTGACCCTGAGAGTGTGGCTGGGGAGATGCTTGGTTACTTCAGCCTTGTGGGGTTTCTCTGCCTGCAATCCCTGTTAGGAGATTAGTACCAGGCCATCAAGGTGCTAGAGAACATCGAGCTGAACCAGAAGATCATGTATTCCTGTGTGTTAGAGTGCCAGGTCACCACATACTATTATCTTGGGTTTGCGTATTTGATGATGCATTGCTACCAGGACGCCATCCAGGTCTTCACCAATATCCTCTTCTACATCCAGAGGACCAAGAGCATGTTCCAGAGGACCACATGTAAGTATGAGATGATTAACAAGCAGAATGATCAGATGCATGCGCTGCTGGCCATTGCCCTCATGATGTACCCCATGCATATCGATGAGAGCATTCACCTCCAGCTGCAGGAGAAATATGGGGACAAGTTGCTGCGCAAGCAGAAAGGTCACCCACAAGTCTATGAAGAACTTTTCAGTTACTCCTGCCCCAAGTTCCTGTCGCCTGTAGTGCCCAGCTATGATAACGTGTACCCCAACTACCACAGAGAGCCCTTCCTGCAGCAGCTGGAGGTGTTTTCCGATGAAGCATGGCAGCAGGCCCAGCTTTCAAGCATCTGCAGCTTCCTCAAGCTCTACACCACCATGCCTGTGGCCAAGCTTGCTGGCTCCCTGGACCTTACAGAACAGGAGTTCCGGATCCAGCTTCTGGTCTTCAAACACAAGATGAAGAACCTGGTGTGGACCAGCAGCATCTCAGCCCTGGATGGTGAATTTTAATCGGTCTCAGTGGTTGACTTCTACATCGATAAGGACATGATCCACATCATAGACACCAAGGTCACCAAGCGCTATGGGGATATCTTCATCCATCAGATCCACAAATTTGAGGAGCTTAATCGAATCCTGAAGTAGATGGGACAGAGACCCTGATGACATTCACACATGTTATTCAGGAACCTGTTTTGATATATTATAGGCAGGAAGTGTTTTTGCTACCATGAAACCTTTACCTAGATCAGCCATCAGCCTGTCAACTCAGTTGACAAATTAAGGACCGAAGTGTTTCAAGTGGATCTCAGTAAAAGATCTTTGGAGCCAGAAAAAAAAATGCTCGACATCACTAATCATCAGGGAAATGCAAATCAAAACCATGAGATATCATCTTACCTTAGTTAGAATGGCTATTATTAAAAAGACAAAAAATAACAAATGCTGGCATAATGTGGAGTAAAGGGATTCTTATACACTGTTGTTTGGAAAGTAAATTAGTACAATCACTATGGAAAACAGTATGGAGATTTCCCTAAAAACTAAAAATAGAACTACCATAAGATCCAATAATCCCACGGTTGGGGATCTATCCAAAGGTAAAGAAATTAGTATTTCAAAGGCATACCTGTACTTACATGATTATTGAGCACTATTCACAATAGCAAAGATCTGTAATCAACCTAAGTGTCCATCAGTAGATTAGAAGATAAAGAAAATGTGGTATACATACACAATGAAATACTATTCAGCCATTAAAAAGAATAAAATGATGTCCTTTGCAGCAGCAGCATTGATGGAACTGGAGGTCATAATATTAAGTAAAATAATCCAGGCCCAGGGAGACAAATATCACATGTTCTCACTCATATGTGGGAGCTAAAAAAGTTGATGTCATAAACATAGAGAATGTAATGATAGATATCAGAGGCTGGGAAGGGTGGTTGGTGGAAGGGGGGATGAAGAGGGGCAGGTTGATGGGTACAAATATACAATTAGATAAAATGTATAAGTTCTCCCATTTGGTAGCAGAGGAGAATGACTATAGTTAGCAAGAATATATTGTATACTTCAAAGTAGCTAGAAGAGAGGAGTTGAATTGTTCCCAACACATAGAAGTGATAAATACTACAAAGTGATGGACACCTCAAATACTCTGACTTGATCATTACACATTCTATGCATGTGACAAAATATTACATATATCTCATAATTATGTAAAATATTACATATTAATAAAAAAGAAATTTAACAGGGAAACAAATAGAATAAAAAACTTAAAAATTGAATTAAAAAGAAAGCCGAATGTATTACTTTCCTAGGGCTGTCGTAAAAAGTACCACAAACTTGGTGGCTTAAAACAACAGAAATTCATTACTTCATAGTTCTGGAGGCCAGAAGTCCAGCATCAAGATGTTTATAGGGCCATTCTCCCTCTGAAACCTGTAGGATAGAAGCCTTCCTTGCCTCCTTCAGTTTCTGCTGGTGGCCTGTAATTCTTGGAGTTCCTTGGCTTGAAGCTGCATTACTCCAATCTCTGCCTCTGTCATCACGTCTGCCTTCCCTCATGTGTCTGTATTGCTTCTCTTTTTCTCATAAGGACACCAGTCTTATTGAATTAGGGGCACACATTACTCCAGTGTGAGTTCTTCTTAACTAATTACATCTGTAATTATCCTATTTCCAAATAAAATCCCATTCTGTGGTACTTCAATGGATGTTTTCAGGGGACACAATTCAACTTATAACATTGAGAGAGTAGAAGATGTAGATTTAAGAGAGCTGGGTTATTTTCCATTAAAAAGTACAAAAGCTCAATAAGCAAAATTAAGTGACATATGATGGTCAATTCTTAGTACTTTCCTTTGTATTTCCAACTTATTTTCTAAAATTCAGAAAATATTTTTATGTGTTGTTTTTCATTAGCTGCCATGGTAATGATATAGTTTCCCTGTGTCTATATATTTTAATTGAATTTCTATAGATTTATAATAATAAATATTGCCAGTAATGAGAAAGGTTATGAGAAATTTCCTTCACAATATATTTATGATTATCTCACCATAGGAAAAGAAGAAATAACAGTTCAAATGCAAAAAAAGTAACTGAAATGATATAGAGTGTGCTTTTTGTCCACAATGGAATCAATCTAGAAATTAATAATAGGAATATAATGGGAAAATTTCCTAACACTTGGAAATGAAATACCACACATGTAAATTGTTCATCAGTCAAAGATGAAGTATCATGTGAATGTTTTAAAAAAGCATTACATGAAAAGGGAAATACAGTATATCAAAATTGGTAGAATACAGCGAAAACAGTGCTGAGATGAAAATATAAAGCACTAGATACATATATTAGAAAAGAAGAAAAGCCTCAAATTAATAATTTAAGATTCTACCTCAAGAACGTAGGAAAAAAGAACAAAATAAACCCAAAGCAAGCAGAAGGAAGGAAATAAAGAGCAGAAATCAGTTAAATTGAAAACAGTAAGACAACAGAGACCATCAGTGAATCAAAGTTCTGGGTTTTCAAAAAGATCAATAAAATTGACAAAACATGTAGCAAGATTGACAAAGATAAAAAAAGTAAATTACCAATATAAGAATAAACTCACTACAGATCCTGCAGACAAGAAATAGGTTATTAGGGAATACTGCCAACAACTCCACACATATTTGATGACCTAGTTTAAATGGACCAATTCTTCAAAAATCACAAACTACTCAGATTTATGTCTTAATTGTAGGACAATTTTTTAAAGGGAACAAATGGAAGAAAAAAATCTCCACAATCTAATACAAATCATTCAATACAAAATAGATAATTTGAAAGCACTATAGCTATTAAGAAAATTGAATTTGTATTTTAAAAGCTTTTCAGAAAAAGGCACAGGTGGTTTTGCTGCAGAATTCTACAGATGTTTAAAAATAACTAAGACAATTCTACACAATCTTCTCCAGAAAATAAAAGAGGAAACACTTCTTAATTCATTTTGAGACGCTCACCAAAGCCAGAAAAAACAATACAAAAAATGAGAATGAAATCCACAGAACAATATGCCTCATAAATATAGATGCAAACATTTAAAAAAATTAGTAAACATAATTCAGCAACATATAAGAATTACACATCATAACCACTTTGGTTTTATTTCAGAGGTTTAAGCCTGCTTCAACATGTGAAAATCAATAAATGTAATCCATCATATGAACAAGCTAAAGAAGAAAAACCATGTGATTGTATCAATTGATGCAGAAAAAAGCATTTGACAAAATTCAATACACATTTATAATAAAATTACTGTGAAAAAGAAATAAACTGGAACTTCTTCAACTTGATTAAAAAAATTCTACAACTAACATTATAAATGGGTATTAAAAAAAGGAATGTTAATGTTTTATCTCAGATTGAAAGCAATGCAAGGATGTATGCTCTCACCACTCTTTTTAAACATAGTAGTTCTGGAAATGTTGGCAGGTTCAAGAAGGCAAAAAAAAAAAAAAAAAAAAATCGTGTTTATTTACAAATGACTAGGAATCTACAGAAAAACTCCCCGAAGTGTAAGTGGATTCAGCAAGGTCAAAGAATACAAGCTGAACGTTCAATAAAAAACAATTACATGTCTACATACTAGCAATGAATCTATGAGACCCCATAATAAAAATGCAATGCAAATTCTAATCACTCAAATAAAATACTTAGGTGCAATTCTAAAAGAGACATGTACAGGACTTTTGTGTTAAACTACAAAATGCTGATTTAATAATGAAGATCTAAATAAATGGAAAGACGAACCATGTTAAAGGAAAGACTCAACATAGTAAAGATGTCAATTATCCCCAATTGATATACAGATTTGACACAATTTTGATATGAAAATTCAAACAATAATTTTTGTAGATATAGACAAGATTAATCTGAAAATTTTTATAAAAGTACAAAAACACTAGAATTGCTGAAACAATTTTGAAAGAGAAGAATAAAGTGGGAGGAATGAGCCTATCCAACTTCAAAATTTATTAGATAACCAGAGTAATCAAGATTGTGTGGTGCTGGTGAAGAGATAAACACACACATGCCTTAATGGAATAGTATAGAAAGGCCAGAAACAGACCACACAAACATGCCTAACTGATTTTTGCTAAAGATATTAATTCAATAGAGAAATAATAGCTTTTACAACAGAAAGTTCCAAAGCAATTGAACATCCACAGGTAACAGCAACAGCAACAGAATCCCTTGACATCAACCTCACACCTTGCACAAAAAATTAACTCAAAATTTATCACAAACTGAATTCTAAAATGTAGAATTGCAACTTTTTAGGGAAAAATATAGAAAAAAAAACCTTTGGGAACTAGGGCTAGTTAAAGAATTCTTATACTTAAAAGCAAAAGGTGATCCATAAAGGAAAAAGTTACAAAGCCATCAGTTGAATTTCATCAAAATAAAAATGGTTTCCCTGCAAAAGGCATTTTTAATTTTAATCCTGTTAACAGAGGATTAAAAAACAAATCACAGACTGGGTGACAATATTTTCAAACCACATATCTCACGAAGGACTATTACATAGAATAAATAAGGAACACAAAAAATCCAACAGTTTTAAACAAAAACAAAACAAAACCCATCCAATTAGAAAAATCCAATTATGTTTTATAGTAAAAGACATAAACAGAGAACCTATCCAAGATGATACACAAATGATATGTTAGCACATCAAAAGGTATTTAATTAATTTAACATCATTAGCCATTAAGGAATTCCAAATTAAAACCACAATGAACTGTTACTACATATGTATCAGAATATTGACAACACCAAATGCTGACAAAGATTTGGAGAAACTAGGTCACTTACATGTTGCTGGTGGGAATATAAGATGGTACAGCCACTTTGAAAACAATTTAGTGGTTTCTTTAAAAAGTAAACATGCAACTGTCATCCAACCCAGTGATCATAATCCTGAGCATTTATTTCAGAGAAATGAAAACTTTTACTCACATAAAAATCTGCACATGAATGTTTATAGCAGCAGTATTTGTAATAGCCAAGAACTGAAAACAATCTAGATGTCCTACAATGAGTGAATGTTTAAACAAACTGTGGCATCTATGCCATTGCATGCTATTCAGCAAGAGTAAGGGAAAGAAAAATGGATACATTCAGCCACCTGGATGAATCTCTAGAGAGTTATGCTAAAAATTTCCCAAAAGATTATATACTATATGATTCCATTTATATAACATTCTTGAAATGTCAAAATTATAGTTACAGGGAGCAGATTATTAGTTTCCTGGAATTAATGAGGAGATGGGGCAGAAGAAAGTGGTTGTGGCTAAAGGGAATATATATATATATATATATATATATATATATATATATATATATATATATATATATATGAAGGAACTGTGGCCAGGGGAATGAATGATTCCCAAGACTTTGCCTAGGACGTGGCCCAGAGGAAGAACATATGAAACATTTATTAAGCAAATGAATGAATGAAATTATTTGAATAAAGTCATTCAGTGAGGAAGAAACAGGTCTGACTATAGAATCCAGATGTCCTATTAGCCCTCTGTCAAATGTTCCAGACTTCTGCCTTGGGCCTATAAAATTAAGCTATACTTTTTTTTTGTTTGTTTTTAAATTTTTTTTTTTTTTTTTTTTTTTTGAGAGAGTCTCGCTCTGTTACCCAGGCTGGAGTGCAGTGGCTCAATCTTGGCTCACTGCAAGCTCCGCCTGCCGGGTTCATGCCATTCTCCCGCCTCAGCCTCCCAAGTAGCTGGGACTACAGGCGCCTGCCACCATGCCCGGCTAATTTTATTTTTGTATTTTTAGTAGAGAGGGGGGTTTCACCATGTTAGCCAGGATGGTCTCGATCTCCCGACCTTGTGATCTGCCTGCCTCGGCCTCCCGAAGTGCTGGGATTACAGGCGCTAGCCAGTGCGCCTGGCCTGTTTTAAAATTTTTTACTGTTGTCCCTCCTTATCCATTCAGGATGCATTATATATATACACACACATACACACACACACACACACACACACACACACACACACACATATATGCACACCTTATCCATTCAGGATGCATTATATATAAACACACACATATATACACACACACACACATATGCACACACACATATATATATATATATTTTTTAGACGGAGTCTCGCTGTCACCCAGGCTGGAGTGCAGTGGCATGATCTTGGATCACTGCAACCTCCGCCTTCTGGGTTCAAATAATTCTTGTGTCTCAGCCTCCCAAGTCACTGGGACTACAGGCGCCCGCCACCATGCCTGGCTAATTTTTGTATTTTTAGTAGAGATGGAGTTTTACCATATTGGTCAGGCTGGTCTCGAACTCCTGACTTCAAGTTCCTTCATTTTTAAAGGAGGTGTTAGACTCTAAGGTCTCTTCTAACTTTATAAGTAAAAAATCCAAAGGTTTTCAAGTTGATCTAGTAGCCAATAATCATTATTAAGCATTGAGCTTGGTTTCTATTTGAGCTACAACTTGCTCTATAAACCGTTTGATTCAGAGATTGCCTCTATAGCTCTTCATTTACCCAATGCTACCAAAATAGCTTTTAACATAATAGGCACTCACTTAAGTTTTTATTGATGTTTTATATAATTACTTTATCACAAGGTCAGTACTTCAGAACTAGCACTTCCTAAAGTAATTATCCATTCTCAGATGCACACCAAACTTAAATGCCAGTCTAAAAAATCTTTTTCTATGCTATGTAGTCCACCAGCTGTTTTAAGGCAATTATGTGATGTTTAAATGTTCCATATTAATACTAATATAATTCAGCTTAAATGCATTTTAAAATTGTAACCATTTATAACTAATCTTATACAACTATATGGCAAATATGATAAGCATCCATATTATAGAAGATAGGAATTTGTAGAGACCATCAGGCTGCAGATAACAGCTTATTGGTCTGAAAATCAAATCTCTAATGCTTAAAGAAGCCAGGAAATGCTTAAAGAGTTCTAATTTTCTCAGAAAATTTTTCTCTGATTTTCAAAGTAGAAAGTTCTTCATAGTGCTTGGTAGTTTTAATGGATATTTTTAATGACCCTCAGATACCTGGTGAAGTTGTAGAACTAGTGTCTGTTTAGGAGTTAGAGACACTTTGGCTTAATTTTGCCTAGTTTATATCTGCCTTTGTCTTCAAATTATGGATTTGTTATTTAATACAGTGGTCTTGAGGAATTAAACACAGATGCCACATGGTCTATGAGTTTAGGTTGTGGGCTTATACTCAAAAAAGTACCCCCTGCAATACTCCTTATGCAATGTCAACAGACTCATTCTCTATAATGCTATACAGCTTATTTACTTGTTTTTAGAGTTCATTGGTGGTCAGAGGCAGAAATCACTAGAAGACATTACTCTGATAGCAGCAAGAATGTCCAGAAAATTTTCTAGCAGTATGGGAAAAAAAGCAATAAAACTTACAGGTACTACCTCAGTCTCACTCAGATCTTACTTATCGATGGAAATGTTGAATCAATAGCTCCTTCTGTCAAATGACAGAACCCCAGTCCCCACCCCCATTCTCCTCTGCTTTTCCCTGGGATGCCCTGGAGATATGAGTGAGGGTGGGGTGGACTATTCGTATTTGAAATCAGCTAACTGAACCTCTTTGGATTCTCTACTCCAAGTGCTTCCCCTGAGACTCTATTCTTAGCCAATGTCTGCTGTTGCTTTATTGGCCCCATTGACACTGCCTGCTATCACTCTCTGGCCTACTAACTACTCTCTGTTCATAGTTTGCTGGCCATATTGCACCCCACAGTATTCCACAGTTATGACATTCTATAGGTCAAGAGACATGATCAAATCCGAGAATTCCCAGGGCTGAGAAAAAAGAGTTACAAAATTTGATTCTCTTTGTTGATTGCAGGCAGGCTTCACTTCAAATATCATAGCCCCAATTTTTTTTCAAACAAAATATCTATTAACCTCATGAAAATAGGAGAACCAATAATATAACTGGAGAGTGTTGAAGTAGATCATTCAATTCTACTTGCTATAATGTATAAGCCAGAGGTCTGAACTACCCAGAACCACTAAACATATAACTGAGAAAGTGTAAGATCTCAAAAATTATAAAAGCCTGAGACCCTTTAATGAAGAAGGAAATGGTCTATCCACCTCAAATTTTCTTTCAGGTATTACAGTAATACTGCATTAGTGTTGTAAATATCATGATAATAAAAAAGCAATAAATATTTAAATCATTTGTCATTTCTTTTTATAAATTCACAGCAGTATATAATCTTTTCAGGAATAAATTTCAATTAAAATGGTTAAAACAAAAACGATTTGATCCTAAAGTGTAAGCCTCAGGTAACTTGGAAATTTGCATGGAAGTTCTTCATTCTTTGTAACAGATGCATAAATAAGATCCCATTGAAATCAGTGCTGTTAAAAGACCTATAAATGCTCACAATTATAGTAATTTTTATAATGTTCTTTGATAGCCTAAATATCCAGTGCTCAGTGCTAGGCTTGGTACATACATTATCTCAAATACAACAATTCTGTAGTGTGATGAGTTAACTGAGGTTCAGAATGGTGGAGTGATTTACCAAAGGTCATACTGGAGAGACAAAATTTGAACACTATTTTTTGTATGAGTTCAAAACCTTATTCTTTTTCATTTTCACCACACTATAATACTAGATTCCTCTTGCCTAGCCAAGGCAAGATGAATCTGAGATTTATGAAAGATTATTAGAATGATTACAACAAGCTATATTCCTTCATCATTTCCTACCAGTGGGAGGAGGAAGTATGACAAACAGGTGAGAAAAATATGGGGATATATTTGCTCAGTAAAACCTTGGAGATATTTGGATACTTGCCGTAGAACTTTGTTTCCTGCCTCAAAGTGTAGTTTCTTTTTGCTACAAAATTTATCTTTAAAGAGAGTCATTGTAGGCTGGGTGTGGTGGCTCATGCCTGTAATCCCAGCACTTTGGGAGGCGGAGGCAGGTGGATCACAGGGTCAGGAGTTCAAAACCAGTCTGACTAATATAGTGAAACCTTGTCTCTACTAAAAATACAAAAATTAGCGTGGCATGGTGGCATGTGCCTGTAGTCCCAGCTATTTGGGAGGCTGAGGCAGGAGAATTGCTTAAACCCTGGAGGTGGAGGTTGAAGTGAGCTGAAATCGCGCCACTGCACTCCAGCCTGGGCGGCAGAGCGAGAATCCGTCTCAAAAAAAAAAAAGTCATTGTATTATGCCATTGCCAGACTATGTACTAGCTAGACCATGAACAAAGTGAACAGCTTAAAATATTTGAGTGATACTGTCTTTCTGTTTTCTTTGTCTTAAGAAAAATGAAAGAGCCAAAAAGGTGTGATAGTCTATTCATCCTTCTTACACTGTACATAAAAGAACACATAGTGGGACTCAACACCCTGCAGTATGTTCAGAAGAGAATGATTTGGTTGATGGAATGAGCTAAAACCCTACCAAGCATCAAAGAACTAGAAATCTCCAGCAGAGGGAGTGGTGTCCTTTCAGTCGTCTTCCAATAGTGAGAAATTCTTATGCTAAAAAGCCTTAGCCTTCCTCTCTGTGGTCTGAGAGGCCAGAAATAGAATGGAAGTTAGAAGGTAGACCTCTTCTCTCCACAAGAATGAGTTTCCTTACAATTTAGCCATATAAAATTTATATCATTGTCTCATAAGGTGGTAGAATCCTTACCACTGAGGAACTCAGGTGTTTGTACTCACATACTGGGTGAGTATTATTAATACTTGGGGAATAGTAGACCATTGGTTTCAATGTAGGTTTTTATTGAGTTTTCTGCTCCCTCTTCTTATCTTCCTTCTCCTCAGAATAAAATCTTACCTGGAATGCTAATCCTGTATATAAATCAGGTAAATGTGATATTTCTCAAGCTGGATTAGGGCTGAAGCATCATTGAGGAACCACAGAGCTCCATGAAACACAGCTTGAAAACCACTAAAAATTCCTGTAATCCCAGCACTCTGGGAGACTGAAGTCCAAAAGTTCAAGACCATGGAGACCTGTCTCTACAAAAAATACAAAAATTAGCCAGGCATGGTGGTATGCGCCTGTAGTCCCAGCTACTTGGGAGGCTGAGGTAGGAGGATCGCTTGAGGCCAGGAGGTGGGGGCTGCAGTGATCTACTGCCCTATAGCGTGGGCAACAGAGCAAGACATTGTCTAAAAAGAAACACACACACACACACACACACACACACACACACACACACACCAAATTAAGCTTTGGATGGGAACTAGATATTTATGAGCCACCTTACTCTTCTGAGAATCTGAGTGAATGGAAACTTTA
The DNA here is from genome assembly GCF_000001405.40 of Homo sapiens. Taxonomy (NCBI): domain Eukaryota; kingdom Metazoa; phylum Chordata; class Mammalia; order Primates; family Hominidae; genus Homo; species Homo sapiens. The sequence continues at coordinate 81,928,091 of NC_000014.9, forward strand.
GATGTAGTGATGTTGACCTTCTAAACCTCAAACCTGAATTTGAACAAGGCAAACAATCTTAAATACTCAGTCTGTTTCTTCTCTCTCTTTTCTCTGTGTCTTAATGGAGCTGAAGGAGGCCAACAAGAAGATTATCATGGAGATTTTATTTAATATCACCTCTCTCCCTGTTTTCACCCCCATCCCCATTTTACCAAAAGAAACAAGTGTGACAAACAGGTGAAAAACAAGGAGACTTGCTTGACTATTGCAGTGCTAGAGTCTGACTGCCAGGCTTCTTCAGAACTTTCTTCCATGCTCCAAAGTGTTTGCTATTGCTACAAATGTTGTCTTGAGAAACAATCATTTTATATTGCCTTTATAATGGAATTTTGAAAGGTTTTCAACCGTCTTTTGAAAATTGAAGCTGGGTAAGGATTTTCTGTTTGGGGTGGAGGAAACTAAGTCTTTTAAAACTTATTTTACCTAAATAAAAGTTCTATGACTACTACATTTCATTTACTCATCCTCCCAAAGGTCTATTTACTTCCAAATGTCATCTCTAAATTATATATCTTCAAGGATTCTCATTAGTTGTGTTCCCTGAAGCTCCATGGTGCCTGTTAAGTTGAATTATAATTTTAAAGAATGACAGGTTGGAATTGAACTTTTTTTTCTTTTTTTTAGCATGGATCAACACAGAGTTCTTTCTGAAACCACCAGAGTAGGTAGAATTGAAACTTTGGCACCTACCACAACTTAAGTTGCTTTGTCAAGTCAGGTCTGGTTCCAGAGTATGATCTACTTCCTCCTTTTCTCAAAAGTAAGGCCACTCTAAAAGTTAAGTTTGTCAGAGCCTGGATGGCCAAGGATCAGATCCTGGATCCTACCTCTATGAGTCCTTAAGAGTTTCTGGGTACATTTGGCCGTACTGTATGTTATTTTACTAGGAGAAACCTTACTCTATTTCTAGACAAGTAGTGAGCCATTGATCTGTATTTATTGTTTAGCAAATATTTAATGAATGCATTGATATCATACTGGCGTTAGGGCATATCCCCTGGACTAATGGAAATAAATTTCACAAGTGACTGTTTTATTAAAATTAGAAATATATATATATGTGTGTGTGTGTGTGTGTGTATTAGGTTGATAATGATAATGATGATGTTTACATGTACCTTAGACTTCTCTTTCAGTCAACCGAAAAAAAAGTGGACTCTTTCACTAACAAGATAGAAACTGGAAAAATGAAATTTCCAGGCCCTATACTCTAGAAAGACATTTTTTAATCCTCCCTATACAGCAGGTGTGATAAATTGTATTCATCCAAACTTATGATGATCCAGCTGATTATCATCTAGTGGAGATTGCTCCCATAACTTGGGCACTAATGTGATAATAACTGTTACCATTTATGGAATGTTCATATTTTATTATCTGTATGCATTATCTAATTTAATTACAGCAATTATAGTAAATGATTTTATTATCCCTATTTTACAGATGAATAAATAGAGATCCAAGGGTCATAGTATTTGCCCCAAATCACAAAACCACCAATGTCAAGAGTTAGTTGTGCTTGGTTCCAAAACCCAAGTTCTTTCTGTGGTATTGCCTGGCTCACACTGCCCTTCTCATGCCTTTGGAATAAATCAAGACCTCATAATTGAGCAGGTGTGAATGTTGTTCAACTAGTGGCTATGCTGCGGAGGGAAATTTTTTATTTTAATTTTTAAATTTTTGTGGGTTGAGGGGAAAAATTTATGAGAGATTATACTACTGCTCTATTGGATCAGGAATCAATGCAGGTTCAGAGTCTCCCAGAGTACAATTCTATGTTTCCTCATGACCTGAAGAATAATCTGTGCTTAATGTTTACTGATGGTGTTGAAAAAGCCTCCAGTCACTCTATTCCTAGAGTGTTATTGTGAAAAGTTTCTTGACATGCTTTGCTAGAGTTTGTTAAGAACCAAGGGAGATCCCGGACTGTAGGAAATAACATTTTCCTTCAATTAAAAGACAGAAATACTTCTAGATCATTTATAAAAGATGTCTGGTAACTTCCAAGAAGCACATCTTACCTCAAGGGCTGAGATTTAATCTGTTGGAGGGAATATTCCAAAGTAAAGTTGTCAGCACCTGCTAGTTAAACCCTACATTTTGAAATGGTGGAAAACATCCATATTGACATAAGAATTTTGTCTCTGAATCCTGTAGACTTTATCAACTTAATTTAGCACAATTAATGCAGATCATCCCTTATGGATGGGCCTTAGTTCATGAATTATTTGGTTTGTAATGAGCTTTTTCAAATGACGAGAGACGCTTTGTGTTGAGCTTGCATCTTTGCCATCAATACAGCAAATTGCCCATCATTCATTAGGGCCCCATGCAACTTCCAAGTCAACAGGGAATAGAACAGAGGAAACACAGGACTGAAGGGGAAAAGTATATTGAGGAGTAGAGTTTTCAAGTTTCTGCTTGTGCAAGTTAACCTTTCACAAGGATTGAAGCCAACTAAAATTATGTATAACGAAATCCAATTCTCCTCTCCCTCTATCCTTGAATTAGAGGTATAATTAAAATTTCATCAGAAAAACAAAAGCAAAAAACTCCACCTGAGATTTTAGAATACTGTTGCTGTTATTTTTATCTCCTAACTTTAACTGAGCGTCCCCTTTGGATAATATTTATCCCTTGATATTCTTCTTAGTACTCTGAAAAACCACAGAGATGCCCCCCCCAGTCTAAAAGACAACAGCTCTACCTGAACAATCCAGGCAATGAAGAAAAAATAACAAATAATGACAAAAACATCTACCTTGGTTTAGTTTTGAATTTTGCATCAGTCTGGATGTTTGTTGTTAGGTGTTTGTTCACATTTAATAGACATTGTTTGTATCCCATAGATAGATTTGCTAGGTTTGGACTCAGCATATAGATTCATTTATTTGTTTTTTCATAGACTCAATCTATGAGGTAGCTATGATGATTATTAGCCCCATTACAAAGATGAAGAAGCTGTAATTTAGTAGTAAGTGATTTCCTTAAAGCATTGTATTAGTCCTTTCTCACACTGCTACAAAAAACTGCCTGAGACTGGGTAATTTATTTAAAAAAGGAGGTTTAATTGACTCACAGTTCTGCATGGCTGGGGAGGCCTCAGGAAACTTAAAATCGTGGCAGAAGGGGAAGCAGGCACATCTTACATGGCAGCAAGTGAGAGAGCATGTGAAGGAAGCGAAGGGGAAAGAGCCCCTTATAAAACCATCAGATCTCATGAAAACTCTCTCACTACCATGAGAACAGCATCAGGGAAACTACCCCCATGATCCAATCACCTCCCTGCCTTGACACCTGGGGATTACAGATCCCTTCCTCAACATGTGAGGATTACAATTTGAGATGAGATTTGGGTAGGGACACAGAACCAAACCATATCAAGCATGTTCCCCCAAAGTTTTACAGCTGGGATTTTTAATCCACTGTTTCAAATTACCTAAAGTTGGTTACATTTGGAAGAAGATATAGTGGTGGTATAGTCAGAAAAGGGACAATTGAAGTGTAGTCTGCCACCATCGGCTTGACTAGCTGTTACTGGATGGAGGATAACTTTGTTCAAAATTAGTTAACTCTTTCAGGATATATAGCCTGAGATATCTATCTATCTATCTATCTATCTATCTATCTATCTATCTATCTATCTATAGATATAGATACAGATATATATCTTGAGATATAGATATATATCCTGAGATATAGATATATATATCCTGACATATAGATATATCCTGAAAGATATAAATCCTGCATATATATATATATATGTACAAACTTCTCATGAAAATTTTTAAGCTCTCAAGTATTTGACCTCTGAAGATTTTTCCAGAATTAACTTTTTGAAAATATTCCCATATGTATTCCCACTTTAGCTTAATTGCAATGGAATTCTTACTATTATTATGACATTTGGGTCATGCCTTGTGCCTTTGTTCATGGTGCCACTTATGTAAATTTTTCACATCCTTAAGTGCTAAAATGCCACTTTCTCTGTGAATCCTTCCTTGATATTCTGTCACAATTAAATACTCTCTCATTTAAGTGCTTTCATCGAGTTATGTATATTATTATGTCATCTCCCTGTATTTGAGTTAGTTATTACAAACTCCTTGAAGGCCAGTCCTTTTTCTCTTCCAAACATTTTTACTAGTTTTTAAATAAGACAGAAAAACAGGAACAAAATGTGAAATAATTGAATAGAAAGAGAGATTTTTTTTTCTTTTTTAACTTAGGCATCAAAGGAAGAAAAAACTTCATGGAGGAGAACTCATGTAGCACACTTTTCTCTATTTTCATCATTCTTAAAAATAAAGATTTCCTCTTCTCCATTTGCCTTTTGAAAATAAATGTTGAAAAGTTTTTTGCTTGGTGAATGAGATCTAATTATGTGCTAGTAATTTCTTGAAAGAGGCAAGAGTTTACTGGGTCTCCTGATATTGACTAGCATTTGGGTCTCTTGTGCAGTCACACTCAGGACCCCAGTGTGAACACCACTGTGCTCGTAGATAATTGGATCTGTGTTCAGAGTTTGATATATCTGCCCAGAGAGGATTGGCTTAAAGTCAGAGGCAAAGTTTAAAATAGTAAAAGTAGAAGGAGTAAAGTAAGAGGACAGGTTTTTTGTTTTTCTTTTTTGAGTTGTTAATTGAATCATTACAAATGCCATTTTGAAACAGGGAAGGTAGTGTGTATAATTGCAAGCATTAAAAAGAGCAATAAATGTTACAGCACCTCTTTTAGACATGAATATTGAGAGCTGTTAACAGAATTTCACAAGTGGAAGATTCATCCAAATGTATTTGAACATTTGCATGGTTGCCTTGTGCCTGGCAGTGTCTTGAGTTTGAAGAAATCTTACCTACAAAAGGTTGGGATCTGTTGTGGGAGGAGAGATCATGCAAAAATTGGAGGGGTTGACATAGATGTCTGGAAGCACCAAGGAGGGAACAAATAACTCTCTCCAAAGAAATCTGGTAAGGCTTCACCTCAGAGGTGACATCTGCCTGGCCAAGAAAAAAATAGTGAAGCAGAGCATGTTATGCAAAGGGTACAGGCTATGCTCAGCTTCGGAGGTGTTAAAAGGTGGGGTGTGTTCAGGAATAGTGAATAATCCAGTGTAGTAAGATGCAGTGCTGGCAGCCGTGTTTCCTGAAGTGAGGCTGGAAATGTAAGGTAGGGAGGGATGATGAAGAGTCGTCTATCCTGTGACAAGAGGTTTGAACATTATCCCAGGTAATAAAGCCTTTAAAAGGGAATTTAGTGCAGGAGGGGAGCGTAGTACAACCATATACCATTATATCTTATAAGGACTTTTTATTATTTCAGTCCCTTAGGACTAAATTTACAAGCATGAAAACAACCATCTAAATTAAAAGGAAGTGTCAATGCTTTAAGGCCAGAGGAACCATCAACCAAATAACTAGCAGCATTGTTTAGGGTGAAATAAATCAGGTCCTGTCCCTGAGTGGGTTTGCCATTCTCTTCCAGTTTTTCCCATGAGTACAGATTGTAAGCTTTCTGGAGAATTATTTCCGCAATTAAAATGCTAGAGTCAGTGCTAAATTATTTAAACCTCAATAATTGCTTGATGACTAGTAATTGTGGACTTTGGGAACTTTTGCAGAGTTAAATATAAGGATTCTGAAAGGTCATTAAAATTCCCTAATGTTTTTCCCCACGCGTGCAAGGCTTTTGAGTCTTTACACCTCAAGTCTTAAGCAGGAAAAGAGCAATGAATACTTTTTTGGAGGCTTACTAGAATGATCAAATCTGTCTAAGATGTTATAATGAAATCTGTGTAAAGCTCATTCTTACTCTGGAAAGGGGCCACATCTCTTACCACAATGGACTGATGAATGCACAGCTTAATTAGCAACTCCGCCTCCAGTGGGAGATCAGCAACTTTTCAAAATATCTTTGTTCAATGTCATTTTTTCCCCAGCCCTTTGACTAAACAGATAAATATTAAAATTCATTTTCCCCCCTCCCTCTGTGTCTTTCTTCAAGGGTCTTTTCTTTTTTGTGTTATCTCCCTCTCATAACATGGACTGTTCATCTTGAGATTCTAGTTGGAAGAACAGGAGGATTCTGGCAGGGTTAGAAGTTGTCTCTTCTGACTTCTCTATTTCAACTTCACTTAAAAAGTCAAAGGTGTAGGTGCAGATTTGAGGAATAGAATTAAGGGTTTGAAACATGGGCTTTAGCAGGCTTTTCTCTTTGGTTCTCCTTCTGGTCTCTAAGGAAGTAAGAAAGTGTGAATTTTGAGATGTTTTTCAACCCAATCATTTACCCAATTGATACAGAAATAAAATTAGGTTAAAAAACCAGACAAACAAACTGATCACAAAATTCTATCTATATCTTTTGAATGTAAAATATTTAATAAACCAAAAGGATTAAACTCATTAAATGAAAAATGAATGGAGGAAGCATTCATAAAAGGGCATTATACAAACTGCGGGGATAGACAAGAGAAGTAACTAATCCCACAACGTTTCTTTTTTTATTTATTTTTTTAACCCTGATAAGAGATATAAATAAGGAGAAAAATTCAAGCTTTTTCTATGTATAAAACTTCCTTTAAAGAAGCCAGAAGAACATTTCTTCCTTCTCTACAGGCTGAGTTGAAGTGGGGAAGAGGCAATAGCTTAGCTCTGGGAGTGGGCTCTTCATTTTTCTACAATCCGGGTAGGGTGAGGTGGGGTTGTACTATTAGTGTTATTTTTGTTTCCTGAAGTTCCTACTTTTTGCACCTGGTGAATAGGGCTTAAGTTGTACTTCATTGCTATTATTTGAACACTAAATATTATTTTTGTAGTAATTACATCTTTTAGTGCATTCATAAATGGTCTAAAATGATTACTGTGGAACTCATTTTACTGCCAAGATTAAATTTATAAGCAATATGCTAAGCAACTCAATTCAACAAATATTTATTGAGTGCTTCCTCTTTATTAGTACTGGAGTTAGATCAATGAATAAGAAAATGGTCCTACTTGCAAGGAGGTCACAGCCTGGTAAGATCAAGGAAGAATTGTCGAAAAGAGCCAAACTAAATGCAATGAACTCTGTAAGTATGTAGGGGAATGTAGATCCTAGAAACCATTTTTCGTTTTCTTTTGAGGTTAAAAATGAATGCTTTTTGGGGCAAACTTAATTATCAGATGGCATGGGACAGCTACAAGCTAATTTTATTTTATTATTATTGTTTGGGACAGGGTCTCACTCACGTCACCCAGGCTAGAATGCAATAGTGTGATCATGACTCACTGTAGCCCCAACCTCTTGGGCTCAAGTGATCCTCCCACCTCAGCCTCCTGAGTGGCTGGAACTACAGGCACACACTACCATGACTGGCTAATTTTATAATTTTTTGTAGAGATGAAGTCTCACTATCTTACTCAGGCTGGTCTCAAACTCCTGGGCTCAAAGGCTCCTCCTGCCTTGGCCTCCCAAAGTGTTGGGATTACAGGTGTGAGCCACTGCACCTGACCTAATTTTGATATTAGGTTAATATTAGGTTTAAAAGAAAATCTTACATTCTAAATATAGAAATTGAGATTTTTCCCCAGAAGGAAAATGAAGAGTTCAACACAAAGGTATTGGAGGCCCAACACAAAGAGTTCAACACAAAGGTGCTGGAGGCCCCAAAACATGGTAGAAGCTGAGGCTCACTTAGAGGAGATGACCAGGAAAATCATTCTGGAAGCACAAATAGCTGAGGCACCTTGAGAAGAGGGACATCAACTATTGATTTTTATTGTTTAATTTTATATTGTTTGCTGGGCCATACATGTGAAGAAGTGACATAAGTTCCTCACCCCAACTTTCTCAATTGACCTAAACCTTTGGAGTTATCTACTATATATGATGTTGACTTAGTGTATTACCTAATATGGACATTCTCACACATTGAGAAAGCATGTGAGAAAGAGAGAGAGAGAGAAAAGTTGAATTTGGCAATATTAAAATTTAATAAGAAGCCTTTTTATTTCAGCATATATGTAAATTGTGACATTTCAAAAATAAATTTTATTTTTATTTTTTTGATTTAAATATAGGGAGATTGTGGGTACCATCCTTTTTTCAAAACTTATGTCCTTTAAATGACTTAATACAGCTTGCTCAGTGTTATGTTATAGAGTGACAGGATTGAGGTAGTGCCCACCGGGTCACACTAAGAAAGAAGGGAGAACACACCAGAAGGTAACATGAAGGACAGATTGTAAACTCAGCAGATGCAGGTACTTGGAACCTGAGATACTGAAGAGAAAAGTAAGTCCTCTAAGAATCTCAAGGGCTAGTGCTGGGATAGAAATGTAAGCCAATTCTTAGCTTCCATCTCAAGGGACAAGGAAATTCTGCAAGCTGAACGACTTGAGAAAATGCAAGGCTGACAGCCAGGTTACACATGCCACTGAAGTGTAATGCATATTTAGTCATGGTGCTTTCCCTAAGCAGTCCTGGAAGGGAAGGGTAATGTTTGCAAATGGGATTCTGAAAATAGCTATGTGAGATCTTTATTAATTGCTTCTCTTTATTGAGCACTTTTAAAAAGATAGCTCTGACTTCTGGGTAGAGAATAGACTGTATGAAGTCAGAGTAAGTCAGGGACCTGTTAGGAGACAGCCACAAGTTGTGTCACACTATGGCACATTAGAAGTTTGTATAAAACCTTCCTTGCATAGCATACCTGAAAACACTGGATAAAAAAAGAAAGCTCATTATCTTTAATGTATAATGGAATTTAAGGAAAAGTAATGGAATTCCTCCAAAGTCAGAAAGTAAATATTGAATGCACAGGGTTAAACATACTCTGGTGCAGGAATTGGCCTTGGTATTCTGTTATCTACCATCCTTGACAGCCAATGATTTCAATTTTAATGGGGCCAAAGCATGGTAGGAGGTCATATCTGCAAGTCCTGCAAAAAGCTGGGTGCCCCATGGAATAGTGACATCATTGGGTAAACTAGGAAAAATCTGTCCCTCCTCCCAAAGGAGCATGGCTGTAGGGATACTTATCTATATTGACTTTGGCTCTGAATGTTGTAGAAAATAAAAAAGTCCCCTCTGAGAACTGCTGACCATAGCCCACACTTGTGCAGATTTAGTTTCTGAATTAACAATCTCTGGAAGCCCTGAAACTCTAAAACCTAAAATTTCGTGTTTATTAGACTCTCAAGATACTGAAAAATGCATATATAAACCTTCCCTGGAGGGATGAAGTCAAAAATTCCACAGCATTCTACTATGAGCCCACAATCCTAAAGATATGAGAAATCATCGAAACTAACAAACTACAGTCATACCACAAAATTACAGCTATTGAAATGATCAAATACAGATTATAAAATAAATATATTTAATTAAATTAAAAAATAAAAGAGTAGAAAGAAACCATCAACATTGACCTGGTAGATCTGAAAAAGAACCAAATATAACTTATAAGGTGAAGAAGGTAATTGTCATTAGAATAAATGGACAGTATGAACAAGTTAGACACAACTGAAAGGAAGATTACTGAACTGAAAGATGGAGCTAGAAAAGTTGCATAGAATGCAGCAAGGAGGTGGACAATATGCACATGATTTTAAGAGACATGAAGGATAATATGAGGAGACCCAATATGAATCCAGTCATTGTTCTAGGAGATCATAGAAAAACATGGAATGAAGCACATGTTGAAAATTTGATTGAGATTTGATTGAAGAAATGGTTGAGATTTTCCAAGAAATGATGAAACACTCCATTTCTCTGATTCCAGAATGTCAATGAGTCTCAAGCATAATAAATAAAAATAATTCCCTGCGTAGGCATATAGGGAAATGGGAAGACTGCCAAGGCAAAATGAGGTTATATCAAACTTCAGGGGAGGTAGCTTATAGGAGTAATTGTCAAAGTGAAAAGATGTGGGCAGATTCAGGCAACGTTTCAGTGCTTAAATTGGTACAACTCGCTGATGGGATAGGTTTAGGGGATGAGGAGAAAGTGGGTATCAAGGATGACTGCTACAGCTGGGCTGATGACCAGGAAAGGAAAGATGGATTTTGCCCCTTGATGTGTGGGCATGGCACCCCCATTGAATACATGGGAGGGAGGAAAATATAGTCAGTGTTTCACACTTATCCAGGTCCAGCTTACCAGTTTCTGCCCACAGAGCTCCCCAAGTCAGTCCGTTGACTGACGTGCAAGGCCATAAAATAATCCGGGGGCTCAGCCTCCAGACAGTTGTCTGGAGCTGTGGGGCTTCAAAGAGGAAAAATGGGTGGTTGTCAGGAAACTCAGTCAATGTGTCTTGGAGAGAGCCTGAAGCCAATGCCTTGAGTGAAAAGGTGACATTTCTGCCCGGGCTCTTTTCTGAGACAGCAAGTAATTTTAGTTCGATTCCCACCAGGGTTTTCCTGTCACTTTATCCTCAGGCGCAATCTTAAGCTTGCATTGTTCAAGCCAGTCAGTCACTGTCACTTCTCCTTGTTTCAGCAAGATATTTTTTCAGAGCTTTCTGGTTTTCCTCAAAATGTTTTCAAGGGCAATGTATGCTATTATAAGCATGGCTAAAAGAAGAAAGGCTTGGTTCTGAATCTACAGCTTGTCCTGGGCTTCTGAATGGGAAATAGAGTTTTCTGGACATTTGGATTGCTTTCTGCATGAAGCTTTCAATAAAAAAGAAACAATCATTTTGCAAAACCCTGTAATAATGTTTTATACTTTTTAAAAAATTTAAATCACATTTTGAAACAGGCTCAAAGGATATGTTTTCTGTTTTCTAGTGACTGACTCTCCAGCTTCCTCCTTATCCCCGAGTAAATTCTCTGTCCCCTTTGAAGCATCTGGGAATTGCATTCCCAGACTTCTCCAAACCCATCTTCTGTTTTCCCTCCGAAGTTTCTTTGCTTACCTTCAAATTCAGAACCTTGGCCCTTGACCTTGGATTTGAGTTTTTAAATTAAATGTTCTAATATTAGAATAGTGTTAGATTTGAAAAAAAAATGCAGACAGTACAGAGAATTCTGCATGCCCTTTACGTAGCTTCCCCTATTCTTTACATCTTACATTTATTGTAACTAAGAAATCAACGTTGGTACATTACTGTGATATGAGGGAAACTCCTCACTTTATTTGGATTTCACTAGTCCTTTATCCACCCAGGATACCACTTTACATGTAGTCATCATATCTCCTTAGGCTCCTCTTTACTCTGACAGTTTCTCAACTCTGTTTTGGATGACATTGACAATTTGGAGGAGAATTAATCCAGTATTTTGTAGAATATTTCTCCATTTGGGTTTTTCTGACGTTTTCTCATGATTAAACGGGAGTTCTAGGTTTTGTGGAGGAACATTACAGAGCCAAAGTGCCATTTTTTTTTTTTTGAATCAGATTGTACCAAGGGCACATACTGTCATCATGACTTACTGATGTTGACCTTGATCATGTGACTGAGGTAGTGTTTGTCAGGTTTATCCGCTGTTAAGTTACTTTTTTTTGTTTTCCCCTTTCCATACTCTGTTCTTTAGAAGTAAGTCACTAGGTGTATTCACACTTAAGCAAGTGGGTGGGGAGGGATCAAATTCCACCTCTTGGAGGAAAGAGTATCCACATAAATTATTTGAAATTCTGTAAGGAAGATTTGCCTTTTCGCTAGATTTCTGTATTGTTATTCAATCATTTATTTATATAATTGGACCTGATTTCAATTTTCAATCCCCTGTCCAGTCTCCCTTATAAGGTTAGATTTCATTTTTGTTTTTTAAGTCTCACTTTGTCACCCAAGCTGGAGTGCAGTGGTACTATTATAGCTCACTGCAGCCTATGACTCCTGGGCTTAAGCGATCCTCCTGCCTCAGCCTCCGGAGTAGCTGAGACCACAGGTGTGCACCATTCATGCCTGGATAATTTTTATTTCTATTTTTTGTAGATACAGGGCCTGGCTCTGTTGCCTAGACTGGCCTCAAATTCCTGGACTCAAATGTTCCTCCTGACTCAGCATCCCAAAGTGTTGGGATTACAGGCATGAGCCACTGTGCCAGGCTCATTTTGATTCATAAGGCTGTTTTGCTTTGGGTACTGACTGTTTCAGTTGTGAATTCTCCAGACCTTACCTTTCTCTTTGAGGAGAAAGAGAACAACGGACGGAAGAGAGTAGATAAACAAGAAATGGAAGAGTGGGGTAAACAGATGTAGAGGGAAGAGAATATGGCTGGATTTAAGATAAGCGAGGAATGAAAAAGGAGCAGCTGGAGGTCATTAGAGCAAGAGGTGACTGAAAACATGTTCCCAGGGAACCTCCAGAAAACATGGAGAGAGCACTGGGATTTCCATATTTTAAGGTAAGGAGTGATTCTGGAAAGATTCTGTGGGCATCTGGGTGGCAGATATCCAGGTAACACTTAAAGGTAAGGAGATGGGATCATTGAAGCCTTAGAGATAAACCCATAAACTTCCTAAAGACGAAGAATCTTTGGACTTAAGTGTTTTTGTGGATTGCCTAAGGTCCAAGTTGTTACCAGCAGAGCTAGAATTAGAAGTGAGGTTTCCTGATTCCCCATCTAATTCTTATTCTAGGATGCTGCAGCTGTTTCCTTGTAAGCTGATTCTGATACTAATAGACTGGGGTTTTCCATTCCCCTGGGAAGTTTGAGACTATTACTAGAAATAGCCTCAATGGGATAGAAACAACTCACAGGGGCCCAATTCCCTTCTTGGTGATTTAAATGTTAATACCTTGGCACTTCTCCAGGCAAGTAGGAGATCAGAAAGCAGCTGAGGAACTGGGCCCATTCTAGGAAGCCCCAGTCTGTGTTGTTGGTTAAGTGATGCTTTGTAGTCCTTGAAGACAGAATTAGAGGCTTATAAGAGATTCCTAACAGAACCCAACCATCCTTTCATCGTGTGTCAATGGCAATATTTCTCCCTTTCTCTCTAGAATAGTAGAGGCATCCAGGAAGCTACTGAATCAGACATGCTTATATTAAAAATCTGGACCTTTCTTTGGAAGCAATCGGTTGCTCTAGCACAGATGTAGTGCAGACAGGTGCTTGGTAAACTTGTATCTGTGTGTTTCTCTGCCAGAGCAACCTGCTCCATTTTCTCAGACATTTTAGCTGACTTTGTTGTTTCAACATCCAGCTACTTGGAAGCAAAACATCCAAATGGAAAATAAAACTAGGCACTTAAAGATGTGGTGACTTAGTTTACTCTCCAACAAACATCTGGAAATTTGGAACATCTGGGTTGTTTGCTTTGAAACATTCAGTTTTCATCTATTTATTGTTCTATATATTAATTATGCCTGATTTATCCTGGTCCAGTTTTAGGCAATGACTGAGAGAAAGCCACCAATCAACAAGTGTGGCTTAGGAGCCACACTTTGGGTTTAGGAGCTCATAAACTTTTGTAAAAGAACAGTAGGAAAGTACTGAAAAATATGAAGAAGAAAGAAAAAATGGTCCATTTTTCTACTACCAAATATGGTCACTGTTTTGACATTTTAGTAATATTTTTATCTTGTCATTTTTTTCTATATGTGGTTTTGTCAAAGTATAATTCTGACAAACACATTATACATCTCTTGTCCATATTTTATTTCCTTATATAACAAATTAGCATTTTCCATGCTAACAAAATATTAGAATACTATTTTAATTACTGTATTAATTATATGGCCACATCATAATCTACTTAAGAGATTATCTCTCATTGTTTATTATTTAGATGATTTCCAATATTTGGTGGTACAGATAGATTTTTTAGCTTAAGCTTTTTCTGGATTTGGAATTTTTTTATTTGGACAACTACCTAAAGTTGGAATTAAAGGTTATTTTTTAAAAGGTTTGGGTTGACCAGGTCTTAAAGAGACTCACATCTTCTAGATTTTTTCCCTTGAAGACAAAATCAATACCTAAATTATACCTAAAATCAATACCTAAATAGTGATTCTCAAATTCTTTATCACTGAGAATCTTAAAAAAAATGCTTATGTACTTTATCTTTTAAACTACTTTTGTCTGCCACAACTAATTGTGCAACATGTGATTTCTATTTTCATTTATTTGCTTTCAAAGGCATACATAATGAAGTATATCCTTATCTTCTGTCATCTCTCAAATGACTGAGATGGGCCAGTTGACTCAAATTAAGGGTTTCTGTCCATCAGCTTGAGCTGTATGTTTTCTTGGTATTATTAGATTGGAAAGGGGTCCAGAAGGAGTGGGAGGTAAGGATGGTGAGTTGGAGCTAAATTATTTAGGGAGAACCAAAGTTTAAGGTAAGGAAATAGGAATGGTGTCAGATTAAAAGGGCAGGAAGACAATGGTGAGTCTATAATTTCTATATAGAGTATGACTAAACTAGAAGGAAATTTTATATTTTAATTTAAAAAAGTTCAGAGACAGAGCAGTTCCAAGGTTACACAATGAATCAGTGATGTCACCTAGAATCTAGGCTCTTTCTTACTTATTTCTTTCTTATTCTTCCACACCCAGGATGCTAGCTTTGTCTTGATGCGTGTTTACTTAGGGTCACACTATGGCATCATGTTCTTGATCAAAGGAATCCAAAGGCGTCTCAAAACTTTCAAAGGCATTCAGAGGCAGAAATAAAGAAAATAGTTTGTATCAGATATCTGTCTCTCTCTTTATCATAAGGAAAATATTTTCCAGGAGCCCCTAGCTAACTTGCTCTCAGATGTCACTGGACAGAATTAGATCTTCCACCCATATCTGAGTCAACCACTGGCTTGGTAGTCTTAAACTAATTAGAGTTCAATCCTTGGGGGAGAAAGTGGCCCATATTCTCTGAGAGTTTTGCTGCCCCATATCTGAAAAAGGAATGTTATCGTTATAATTTTTTTTGCAAGAGTGGAGAAATGGATTTGTTAGGGATATTGCATACAGCATCTGCTATAGCCAGCATCCTTATTTGAGGAGGATGCTAGGTGATTTCTTTATGCTATTTTTGCATAAAAAACATTTAAAATTTTTTGAAGGTCTTTTTTTCTTGGAGAAATTTGTGTGTGTGGTGGGGGAAGGGGTGATTAAAATTATGGGGCTAAAGCTTCCAAAGCCACTTGATGGCTTCTACATAGAAGGATGGGTAATCAAGCTCGAAATTCAAAAGTAGTTTAAGTGAAGCAAGAGAGAAATAGACTTTGAAGCAAGATAGAGAGGTTTGGGTAATTTTTACGAACAATGTTGGAGATTACAGGAATTGTCAGAAGGGCTATCTTCTCTGATGCATTCTGGGTCACACTAGTATAAAAGTTCTGAGTCAGGGCTGCCAGTAGGTAACAGACAAGAATAAAGAATAGTAGTTTGTTTCTACTAGGTTGTTTGAAATATTGGAACTAGTTTATGGAACTATAGTTGTTTGGGACCCCAGGACAGAAGTCATAAAATCAGAGGTCTCCAAAATTTTTTGCTTGTTTCACGCTGTCCTTAATTCACTGGGAAGGGTTTGAAGTTCACAGAACAGCTAGAGGAATTGGGTTTACTGTAAGTGTGTGTTATGATTTGAATGTTTTTGTCCCATCAAAAAATGGGAAATGTAACCCCAAGGCGACAGTGTTGGGAGGTGGGGCCTAATGGGAGGTATTTAGGTCATGAATGGATTCATCCACTAAAAAGGCGCTTGTGGGAGTGGATTCTCATTCTTCCTCTCTTCTGCCATGTGAAGAACAGCATCCTTTCCCTACAGAGGATGCAGCCTTCATCGTGGGAGTGGAGACTGGGCCCTTTCCAGACACCAAACTTGCTGGCAACCTCGATTTTGGACTTCTGAGTCTTTAGAACTATGACAATGCACTTCTGTTCTTTGTAAATTACCCAGTCTTAGGTATTCTGTTATAGCAGCACAAAATGGACTGAGACAGGATGCTCTTATTGTTTTCCCAGGATTAGATATCATCTCTTCTGGCAAGCTTGCCTTGACTTTCAAGGTGGTGATTGATTCCTGTTCTGTGGGACCTCTGTGCTCACCCCTGAGGTTACACTTTCCACCCCTACTTCTATAGCCTACGGTCTGATACAAGGAACACATGGCATTTACTATATGAATAGTGGAGAATGAATCCACAAGTGAATGGAATTAAATAAGCTATAGCATGCAAAAAAGGAATTAATTCCCTTTGTTCTTTTAGAAGAGTCACGATAACCAGAGTAGAACATTTAAAAACCTACTTACACATATACAGTAAATTTTCTTAAACATTCTTCTTTCATTTCTTATAATCCTATTTAAACAAATCCTTGAAAGCAGTGGAATTTCACCCAGCCTTGAAATTAACAGCTAAGTATTCAAAAAATAAAAGGGACAGATTGTGTTATCAGATTTGTGCCCTGAAACCAACCATCCCCTGCCTCTTTTGTACAGTTATAAAGACCTAAATATGTTTCCAAAAAGCCTGTTTACTCAATCTGTATGCTAATAAAGATGGAAGTCTGGAATTTGACCTTTCTTGTTTAAATACATTCTAGAGGAATATGTTTGGCTTTTGAATCTCAGTAATGAGTTAATTTTTGAACCTGAATTGCCAAAAAAAAAAACCCTACATCAAATCAGATTGTATTCAATGTACTAGATACTCCTAGAAACCTAGCACATGGTAATATTTATTAATAGTATTACCTTACAATTCGTGTCTTCATAATCTATATAATAGAATACTTAAGCCAAGTATGAAAGATGATTTAAGAGCCCTCAGAAATAATGCCACATATGTACAACCATCTGATCTTTGACAAACCTGACAAAAACAAGAAATGGGGAAAGGATTCCCTATTTAATAAATGGTGCTGGGAAAACTGGCTAGCCATATGTAGAAAGCTGAAACTGGATCCCTTCCTTACACCTTATACAAAAATTAATTCAAGATGGATTAAAGACTTAAATGTTAGACCTAAAACCATAAAAACCCTAGAAGAAAACCTAGGCATTACCATTCAGGACATAGGCATGGGCAAGGACTTCATGTCTAAAACACCAAAAGCAATGGCAACAAAAGCCAAAATTGACAAATGGGATCTAATTAAACTAAAGAGCTTCTGCACAGCAAAAGAAACTACCATCAGAGTGAACAGGCAACCTACAGAATGGGAGAAAATTTTTGCAATCTACTCATCTGACAAAGGGCTGATATCCAGAATCTACATGAACTCTAACAAATTTACATGAAAAAAACAACCCCATCAAAAAGTGGGCAAAGGATATGAACAGACACTTCTCAAAAGAACACATTTATGCAGCCGAAAGACACATGAAAAAATGCTCATCATCTCTGGCCATCAAAGAAATGCAAATCAAAACCACAAAGAGATACCATCTCACACCAGTTAGAATGGTGATCATTAAAAAGTCAGGAAACAACAGGTGCTGGAGAGGATGTGGAGAAATAGGAAGACTTTTACACTGTTGGTGGGACTGTAAACTAGTTCAACCATTGTGGAAGTCAGTGTGGCGATTCCTCAGGGATCTAGATCTAGAAATACCATTTGACCCAGCAATCCCATTACTGGGTATATACCCAAAGGATTATAAATCATTCTGCTATAAAGACACATGCACACGTATGTTTATTGTGGCACCATTCACAATAGCAAAGACTTGGAACCAACCCAAATGTCCAACAGTGATAGACTGGATTAAGAAAATGTGGCACATATACACCATGGAATACTATGCAGCCAGAAAAAATGATGAGTTCATATCCTTTGTAGGGACATGGATGAAGCTGGAAACCAT
Organism: Homo sapiens; assembly: GCF_000001405.40. Classification (NCBI taxonomy): domain Eukaryota; kingdom Metazoa; phylum Chordata; class Mammalia; order Primates; family Hominidae; genus Homo; species Homo sapiens. The sequence continues at coordinate 81,945,869 of NC_000014.9, forward strand.
CATTCTCAGCAAACTATTGCAAGGACAAAAAACCAAACACTGCATGTTCTCACTCATAGGTGGGAATTGAACAATGAGAACACATGGACACAGGAAGGGGAACATCACACACTGGGGCCTGTTGTGGGGTGGGGGGAGGGGGGAGGGATAGCATCTGGAGATATACCTAATGTTAAATGACGAGTTACTGGGTGCAGCACACCAACATGGCATATGTATACATATGTAACAAGCCTGCACGTTGTGCACATGTACCCTAAAACTTAAAGTATAATTAAAAAGAAAAATAGAAAATATCAACAACAACAAAAAAGAAGCTATGAAGGTGGCTAATGTTGCAAGTTTAATTTTTGGTAAGAATATAAGTTTTTCATAAAATAAATATTATTTTAGCCACATAGAGAGCCTTTTCATTATTAGACAATTATCTTAGAAAGAACACTGGCCAAGGAGTCAGATAAGTCAAAATTGGGTCCTGAGTGTACCTTGAGTCATCCATTAATTCTTTCTGGGCTTCAGTTTCTTTTTCAAGAAGCTGAAGGTAGTGCTACAGGTCTTACCTATCTTACTGTTTTTGAGAGAAAATGAAGTGATTATGTCAACGGACGCTGAAGTCTGTAAAGGTCATAAAATTGCAAAGTCTTCCAGTTAGTCACAAGAGCCCATAGGCAGACTTCATGGAAGAAGATTATCTATTCTTATCAAGAGAAAAACAAGCAACAGGCCAGTGAAATCATATCCATATATGAGAACAGTGCTTGCATTTTCATAAGGAAAATTTCATTGGTTAAATGTGGTATTTTTGCCATCTTGTCTTGTCTTAGACATTATTTCCATTGTGACTTAATCAGAGATACGAAGTTAAGCAGTCCTCAAGGAAGACAGTATCTAAAGTTTGCTATATATTTAAAAGTAGTGAGAAAAAATAAAACCTAGAGATATAAACGGAAAGTGGAAGAAGGAAAATAAATCTATTTTCTGTTAAATAGTGCACATAATCTCTGAAATGTAAGTTTTGGGGCGGCGGTGAGGGTAGGGAGGAGGAAGACAAAGAAAGAAGAAATCAGAACACACTGTTTTGATCGCTAAGGATGAAGTGGAGCTGTTTAATAGCCAGATTGCTCCCATACTGTGTGTATCTATTGTGCTGTGGCTGAACTCTGAAGAGGCAGTTCTGTTGTGCCTGTTAATTTCAGCACAGTGTGAAACCCTTTCCCCCCTCCCCTTTACTTAAAGGGAATCGTTAGTTCAGTTGATGCACATTTCACTGAATCCACAAATCAATAAACCACTTGGAAAGAAGTAAAGTGTGAATCTTCCTGCATGGTCTCCTGATAGAAGACACAAAGCACAGCAATAAGATCTGAAATCCCCAACTGGGAGTTAAGCCTGCTTTTACTTGTCTGGCTTAGCAGATGACGTCAATTGGTGATGGCTTATGAATGTTATCTCTGTTACCCTCTTTCTGTGGGCCTCTCACTCTTCCAGCTCAGTGTCTAATGGCTGGCTCACAATTTCATGTCGTATCTTGAGAATCGGTGGAGCATAGCTTTTTACCAGTGGAACTGGCAATAAGACAGAAGCCAGTGGAACGAATCCAGCTGCAGGTTCAGAAATATGAAGTAGTCTGCTGGGTAAGGTACAAGATCATAGAGTATGGCAAACTTTGGGCATAGTCCAAACCATGGACAAAAACCAGTCTGTATCTGGTCACAGGGCACAGCACTGGACTGGGGTTAAAAGGCAGGGCTCCAGGAATGGGAGCCAAGGCAGTAGTCCATTTTATCAGCCAGGGCTCTTGATTGAAAGCAACAGAAACTTATGCTGGCTATCTGAAGCAAAACAAGAATTTATTATAAGATGACAGGGGACTTTCAAAATTGATTGGGGGCTTGAAAACCTGGCTTGGAACAAAAGCAAGGACTTTCACAAAAAATCAATTCCCAGTGGATTAAAGACTTACATGTGAAAGGTAAAACTATGAAGCTTTAGAAGGTAAAGCATGAAAATATTTTCATGGAGTCAGTTAGGAAGGATTTTCCTATAAGACACAAAAAAATGCTATCTATGAAGGAAAAGATTGTTTTTTCTTAGTATGTTAAAATTAAGAACTATATACATCAAAAGGCTCCTTAAAAGAGTGAAACAGCAGAGTAGAAGATAATATTTGTGACACTTAACCAAAGATCCGGATCCAAAATAAATAAAGACTTCCCACAAATATGAAATATGAAAAAGCCATACAGCTCAATAGAAATTTGTACACAGGACCCGGACAGGCATTTAGCAAAATAGAAAATTGAAATGGCTACAAAATTTATGAAAAGGCCCTCAACCTCACTGATAATAAGGCAAAAATAAAACCACAATGAATTATTAGTACACACTCACCAGATGGGTAAACATTAAAAAATCAGATGATACCAAGGGGAGGTGAGGAGGCACTACCAGGCTGACTATCCTAGAGGACATAGAACAGAAAGGTTTGCAAAACAAGATGCTCCGATGACACTTATCCAATCCAATGAAGTGAAGACAAACAGAGAGAAGCAAGGGGAAAGGGATGGGGTGAATTAACTGACTTAGGATAAGTGCATGTGGGATGGAAGGACAACATAATCTGAATCTTAGAATATGCAATGTTCATATATCCTGCCACATCAGTCTTTCACAAGTGTGGTTAAGGCCAGGCGTGGTGGCTCACACCTGTAATCCCAGCACTTTGGGAGGCTGAGGCAGGTGGATCACCTGAGGTCAGGAGTTTGAGACCAGGCTGGCCAACATGGCGAAACCCCATCTCTATTAAAAATACAAACATTATCTGGATGTGGTGGTGTGTGCCTGTAATCCCAGTTACTTGGGAAGCTGAGGCAGGAGAATCATTTGGACCTGAGAGGCAGAGGTTGCAGTGAGCCGAGATCACACCCCTGCACTCCAGCCTGGGTGACAAAGTGAGACAAAGTGAGAGAGACAAAGCAACAATGTATGGTTATGAGGACCAGAGCTGAGGTTTGAGTAAAGGAATCCACAGATGGATGACACCGTGGGCCCAAGGCACACACTTGCCCTATTGGAGACACACAGGGACAAGTACAACTGGCCACAGCTGGAGCTTACCAATTAATTTGATGAGAAGCCATGGGTTTTATTTGTTTTTGGGGGGGCAGAGGACAAAAGGAGCCAGAATGAGTGTCACTATTGAGTGATTATTTAAAGCCTCATGAATGTTAAGTGTTCATATATAGTTAATGTATCGTGAATACTTAGTGCCTTCTGTATAGCCTCATGTGTGCTTAGTATCCGGTGCCTTCTATATAGCCTCATGTGTGCTTAGTATCCAGTGCCTTCTATATAGCCTCATGTGTGCTTAGTGTCCAGGTGCTTCATGAACATTCAACATTTGTTGCTCCTTTCATTCCTCTCTGACACATACATTCTTTCTTTGTTAGCTTCCTATTACCATGCCCCGTAAGTTCTACCTCCATCTAACAAACTTTTTGCTTACCAGCTACTTACCTGTACTTAAAATACCTTAAAGGGTTTTGCCTATGTTTTATAAACTACAAACTTATTTATCTAGTAGAATTGAATATTCTCAAATGCAAATGCACATGACATATGATTGGCTGAAACTAAGTAATGTACCCACCTCACTGGCTATGCCAGGGTAGGGAGAAAAAAAGTGCAACTCCTTTGGGTTAGGACGCAGGAGGTGAGCACTGCCTTCCATCAAGAATACTTGCAAGAGAGAATTTCCTCTTTAAGAAGATGAGAATGTAAATAGGGAGGAGGAGATTGAATACTAGATGACCCCTAATGAACAAATGCCTACAACATGTATATAAAAAGAATATTTGCAAGGGAGTGGGGCTTGGAAATAAGGTTAAAGCATGGTTATTGGAAAGAAGACATTGCATCTGTGTTGCCTAAGCAGCAGGAAGGATTTGAGTCTGAATAGAGGCAAAATGAACTGGAATAGTTTAGAACTCTCTTTAGGTCAGGATAGCTGCATGACTGCTATTCTGAAGGTAGAGCTAAGCTTCCAGGTAGTGATTAAATGTCTCCAAGTATGGAGAGTAGAAGGAATGCAGAAGCTATGATTAGCCTGTGTATGACAATGTCTCTCAGATTTCCTGGAGTCCTGGCCAGCCATGAATTTCTGCATGTTGGTAATTGTTAGATAAACTACTTAGTAGAAAGTCCAACAATTGCCACCAATCATTTCTCTGGAATGTTACTTACATAATAGACTAATGGAGGATCTTTATCTCTTTCTTTCTCTTCCTTCTTTCTCTCTCTCTTTCACATGTACACAGGCATACATAGACACACACACACACACTCACATATTATTTCCAAAGAAAGTTATACTAGAATATTCTCTTAACAGTAGAGTATTTGGTGGCTACTAACTACTATTAGATGATACCTGAGGTGCTTGACACTTTAAATAGCCTAGAGGAGCTCTTGAGTGCCATAGTAGCCTGATTTTTCAGTTATTTATTCTGTAAGAGCCACCTTGGAAAGTTGCTCAGAAAACTATACCAAGACTGAATATTACTCAAGATTTGAAAGATATTTGAGGAAGTTGTTCATAGCCCTTTGCTACTCTGGTACTGTGCAACTGTGTGTACTACTTAAGGTATCTCGCTTTTTTAACCCCATCCAGGGCACAGAAACATTCTCTAAAGTGTCTTTTCTCCCTAATTACAAAACTGAACTCAGTAAGAAGAGACAACACTGTACTTACTCTGTAAGTAGTGTCTGAGCTATTGCATGTAAGACTTAGCAAACTTATGACTTCCCTTTTCTCATGTGCCTCCCACAGAGCACAGTAAAATTAAGGCCCTGGAAACCACTCTAAAGGTGCCTGATTAAAGATTTTATTTTACTCATATATGAATTGAAGGGGATCAGAATATGCCACCCTAGAATATATCACTTTGGTATAAGGATTATTTTGAGTTGAAGGGCATTGGGAAGGGAAGGGCAGAGAACTCTTCCCTTAGCTGCTTAAAAGCAGGGCATGCATTTCCCTTTGTCAAGTTATCCTCTTGTCTACCAGGAAGAGAAGAGCACTCTTATTCCCTGAGATGGAGAGCTGACACCAAGATGAGTTCACATAAACAAACCTTACTAAAATAAACTTTATCTTCTATTAGTTCCCCCATATATTTCCTAGTCATTTTCCCATGATTTATCATTCCTTGAAGCCCAACCCTCGCTTTCTTTCTTAAAATGATATATAAGTCCCTGAGTCTAACTATTTCTTTGAGTTTCACTTCTTTTCTATGAACTGTCATGCACATAGATTTTAATAAAATTGTGTACCATTTCTCCTGTTAACCTTTGTTTTTTAGTTTAATTTTCAGGGCCCCAGGAGAAAACTAAGGTGGTAGTAGAAAAGTTTGTCCTTCTTAACAGCGGAAACCAGGCAGATGTTATAATTGGTTTGAAGAAAAAGTTTAAAAAAGCACAAACTTATCTGGCAAGCAAAAACATGTGGAAATGAATTGCCAGTGAAGCAAAAACTATTTTTGCCCTGGAGGGTAGGGGAGTCAATTAAATCTCTGTCAGATCACACAAAATTTACATGTCTATTTGTTACTTACAACTCAAAAGTGTTACAAAATAGCTCAAAACCAATGAAAGGATAGAATTTGATAACCTGGAAGGATGTGCTGTATGTAGAAAATGCACAGTTTTTACTGAAACACATTTTTTTTATAATATGCAAAATAGCGAGTACTGGTTTTTGTTGACTTCTTAACTGTTAGTATTTTTTTTTTGACTCAACCCTTTAACAGGCTCATTATACATAAGGGATTTAGTCCTAGAAGACTTTTAATATTCTCAAGGTTAATGTGCTGAAGATTTCAGGATTTTTGGAGGGGCACTTCAAGAAACCCTTGGGGCTGCTTGAGATTGGATTTTAGGTATTAGTTTTTGAGAACTGGGAAATCAATTACTCTGCCAGCTTCCTGGATGTCAAGAATCGCCACTGTTTCACACAATGCCTGCCAAGAAATGAAGCAGTTAACGTTTTCCCGATTCAATAATCTTTCATACCACTGTCCAGCTTGACATTCTCCTTAAAGAAACCACTGTATTTGATACCTGTGCCTGAAGTATTTAGAATTTAAAAATGTTTATCTTACATATTTTTGCAATGCTGATCTGTTTATATTATCCCAAAGGTGTTATTTACTGCATATGCTGTTTCTAAGGAAAAAATGATACAGTCAATCCTCATTATTTGTGAATTCCATATTTGCAAATATATCTACATCTTAGTCCATTTGTGCTGCTACAACAAAATGCCACAGACTGGGTCATTTATAAAATATGGAAATTTATTTCTCACAGTTCTGGAGGCTGAGAAGTCCAAGGTCAATGTGCTGGCAGGTTCAGTGTCTGGCAAGGGCTGCTCCCTGTTTCCAAGATGATGCCTTGTTGTAGCATCCTCCAGAGGGCAGAAATGCTGTGTCCTTCTATGAAGGAACAACAGCAAATAGTGAACCTTCTCCCTCAAGCCCAAATCCCATAAAAGCCATAATCCCATCTGTGAGGGCTCCAACATCATGACCTAATCACCTCCTACATGTTCCTCTTAATACTATCATGTTGGCCATAAAGTTTCAACATGTAAACTTTGGGACATGCATTCAGACCATAGCATTCTGTCTCTGGCCCCATGAGTTCATATTCTTTTTGCACACAAAATGCTTTCATTCTATTCCAGTAGCTCCAAAAGTCTAAACTTGTTCCAACATCAACTCAAAAGTCTTAAGTTCAGAGTCTTCCAAATCAGATATGGATGAGACACAAAGTAAGATTCATCTTAAGGAAAACTGCTCTCCATCTGCAAATGTGTGACAGCAAACATTGTATATTTCCAAAATCCAGTGGTGGGACAAGCATAGGATAGACATTAGAAAAGGGAGCAACAGAAAATAAGAAAGACCAACAGGTCCCAAGTAAGTCCTAAACCTAGCAAGGCACACAGCATTAAATCTTGAGGCTTGAGAATAACCTTTGACTCCATGTCTCACCCTCTAGAAATACTGGGGCGGGGGCTGGGCCCCCAAGGTACTGAGGGGACCTGCCCTACCAGCTTTGCTAGACACAACTCACAGCAGCTCTTATAGGTTGGATGTAGGTACCTGCAGCTCTCCCAGGCTAGCGATGCTTGCAGTTGGCTCTACAGTTATGAGGTCTTGTGGGGCAGCACTGCTTCTAAGACTCCTCTAGACATTGTCCTAGTGGACATCTTCTTCAGCAGCCCTGACTGCTTGGCTCCACTGGGCATCATGCTAGTAGAAAATCCCAGTGGTAGTCCCAACCCTGTGGCAGTTCTCTGCCTGGGCCCTGGGGTTCTTTGAGATGTCCTTTGAAATCTGGGTGAAGTCAGCCATGTCCCCACAGCTCTTGCACTCTGTACTCCTACAGAGTCAGTACTATGTGGATGCCATCAGAGCTTACTGCCTGTGTCCCCTGAAGCAGCAGCCCAAGTTGTACCTGGGTCTGCTTGAGCCATAGCTGGGGTGGCTAAGAAACTTTGTGCCAGAATACAGACAGTAGACTTGAGGTAGTGCTGAACAGTGAGCCTCAAGTTCTACAGGCACCTTGAGCCCCTCCGTTGAAACTGTTCTGCCCCCAAGGCCTTGATACTCTGGGCCGCTGATGGGAGTGGCAGCCTCAAAGATCTCTGAAACGTCTTCAGTGATACTCTTCCATTGTCCTGATGAATAGCATCCTGCTTCCTTCTCTCTACACTAATCTCCTTATCAAAGGATACTACAGAATACAAAGGTGTGGTCAAGTGAGATTAGGCCACTAAGGAGATTAGTGTAATGTAATCTCCTTAGTGGCCTAATCTCACTTGACCACACCTTTGATATTCTCTCCTAAATATGCTTTTTAAAAATTCTTTACATTGCCAGGGTGAGAATTTCCCAAATCATTTAAGTTCCACTTCTTTTTGATTATAAATTACCACCTTTAATTTGTTCCTCTTTCTCACATTTCACTAGACGTAGAGAAGCCCTGCAGCACCCTGAACTCTTTGCTTCGACATTTCTTCTGCCAAATATACTAGTTCATTGCTCTTAAATTCTGTCTTCCACAGAGTACTAGGACATGGACACAATTCAGCCAGCTTCTTTGCCACTTTGTAACAAAGAAGACCTTTCCTCCAGTTTTCATAAAGGTATACCAGAATGGCCTTTACTGTTCATGTTTCTACAATCATTCTGGTCACCAACACTGAAGTAATTTCTAAGATTTAGGCTGTCTATAGCTCTTGTATTCTAAAATATCAACAGAATTACCCTTAGCACTCTTTTCACAGCAGACTAGGCTTTTTCTAATATGGAGCTCCAAACTCTTCTTGCTTCTCTACCTGTCCTGCAGTTCCAAAGCCACTTCCACATTTTTAAATTTTTGTTACAGCAGCGTTCTACTTCTCTGGTACCAATTTCTGGTCATAGTCAGTTTTTGATGCTACAATAAAATGTCACAGGCTGAGTAATTTATAAACAATAGATACTTGATTCACATAGTTCTGGAGGCTGAGAAGTCCAAGATCAAGGCACTAGCAGATTCAGTGTTTGGTGAAGGCTGCTTTCTGCTTCCAAGATAGCACCTCATTGCTACACCCTTCAGAGGTGATGGATGCTGTGTCTTCACACAGTAGAAAGAAGGGAAGGGCAAAACGAGGATAAGCACTATATTCTCACACGATAGAAGAGCAGAAAAGAGTGGAACTATTCCTGCAAGCCCTTTCATAAGATCCCTAATCCCATTAATGAGGGCTCCACCATCATCACTTAATTACTTCCTAAAGACCCTACCTCTTAATATTATGCTGTCACATTGGCCATTAAGTTCCAACACGTAAATTTTGAGGAACGTAGTCAGACCATAGCCATCTACTTGGTAAAAGTTATTTGTAACCCCACAATCAATACTTGAGGTGCTTTTGCAGTAATACTTGAACATGTGTATAGGCAGGGTGACGAAAAACTTGCAGCTGAGGTCCAGCAAAGATGTGTTCTACCTTTCTGTTTCGGTTTTTGAACTGTAACAAAGTTTTCTTTCCATGGTTTATTTTGTGTCACTGTGTTTTTGCATTTTTGTGCTTTTTATTGTTGACTTTGCTGTTTAAAATGGCTCCAATATGAAGTGCTGAAGTACTGTCTAGTGTTCTAAGAGTGAGAAGGCTCTGATGTGCATTAGGAGAAAATATGTGTGTTAGATTTGCTTTGTTCCATCATGAGTTATAGTGCTGATGGCTGTGAGTCCAATGTTAATGAATAGACAATATATATTAAATAAGGTATGTTTAAACAGAAACACATAAAACAAGGTTTTGTATTATCATTTGACAAAAAAAATGCTTACAGAAACCTACCTCTGTATTTTCCCCAGGAGCAATGATTCAGTATTTGCTAAGTCAGCATTTGTGGTGACTTTATAGAACCTAAGTACTAGGAACAAAGAGAACCAAATGTATCTATCTCAGAGAATGTTGGTATGTATAAAGGGATGAATTTTCTTACTGGTCAGCATGTGATCCTAATTCTTAGCTATCCTTCTGCTACTGTAATTTACATCGTCTGTTTTGAAGAGATTTTTCTGTGTCCTCAAGACAAGATACAGACAAATTGAGGCAAGGAGAGGAAATTGTTCTTTGGAGAATTTTTGCCTCAACTTTTTGGAAGGACTAAAAACAACATCCAAAAACTGTAGCGCTCTCATTCAATTACTAGTGCTGAATTGCTAGTGAATTAATTTTGAGAACACTTTTAGTTGGAATCCTATCTATATGGCTTTCATTGCCCTGTAAATTCTGATTATTCTTTTCATGGACACCCTGGCCTTTTCACTTATTTGTAGTTTTTGGAAAATTATAATGAAGACATGAGAGCTGAGCAGACCTCACTTATTTTACAGTTCTGTGCAATTGTTTTTTTGAAGGAAATTATGCCCACCCCTAATCCGCGACACACACTAATTGGGGTCATATGGGATCAGGGAGCAAGAGATAGGAGGAGGGTAAGATGACAATATTCCAAAAGGAAACTTGTTAAACATCACAGAACAGCTTTAGATATAACAGTTGCTCTCTTGCCGTTTCCAACCAGACTCTCAGAGGCTGACACAGGCTGATAAGAGGTTACTGTTGTAACAACACATTTTACCTTCACTTTTGACAACAAAACACAAAACAGATTGGAGGTGGTAAGGAAGAGTAAACCATGGAAATGTACTGAGTATTGAGTTAGATGCCTGACTGCCCTTAGGCAAGCTCATTTTTGTTTTTTGCCAACCTCCCTTTGAACCATCATTCCTTGTTTTCTCTCCAGTTGTACATAAATGACTTGAGCTCTTTCTCTACTCGGGGAATGGGGTCTATTCCCAGACATTCCCACCTTCACACAAACTTAACTGCTTATGTATATTTTTCTTTCAGGCATGTTTCATTTTAAGCCTTATCTTTCACTGTTGCATGAAAGAATTATCCCTTCCTCAAGAAATCTCAAGCATAAGAGAATGCAAATGGTGGCAGGAGGGGCTTGTCTTTAAAAAACTCAAAATCATGTCGTTTAGAAGCAAATCTGGCTTTGGACAAGCAGAAACAGGATCATTGACCTCTGAGGATATATGGGAGGGGGGTAATGAGTTTGGGCTTTAGCACTCACTAACAGTGTGAATTTGGGTAATTTTTATAAATTTTCAAAGCCTATTCTTCTCATCTGTACAGGTCAGTCATCTATTTCTTTAGAGGGACAAATAATAAATATTTTAGGCTTTGTGGGCCACACTGTTTCTGTTACAGCTATTCAATTCTGCTGTTGTAGGGCAAAAAGAGCCATAGATTATATATAAACTAATGAGTATTCTGTGTTCCCAGTAAAACTTTGTAGGCAACATCAGGCTGCAAGAAAACATTGGCAGGCCTGACTTCACCCACTTGGCTGTCATTTGTTGACCCTAATTTACAAAATGGGAATAACAATAGCACCCAACTCTTCGGGTATTGGGAAGATGATATGAGGTGCTACATGTAAAAGGTTTAGTGTAATGTTTGGCTTATAACAAGCATTTTTGTTAAAAAATAATTAAAAATAGATAAAATGATTTTGATACAGATATAAAATAAACATATGCTAAAGATTTTACTTAACTCGTTATTAGTGAGGGAGTTGGGCAGATATTTTAGTTGGCTCAAAGAAGATATAAAGGAAACAGGTTTGTAGATCAGAAATTATAAAATTAATTTGCAAATTGACACAAACTGGCTTGGAGGAGATAAGTTGTTCCACTACCAGATGATTCATTTGCATGTTCATTGTTTAGAGTCTTTTGCATTGCACTGTAATTTTCTACAACTTACAAAGCTGAAAAATAGCTCAAAGATGATGAAAAGCCAGAATTAGATGACCCCAAATAATATGCTCTGCAAAGTGCATAACTTTCCACTGGAAAGGAATCTTATTTGCTTATTCCAAGTTTTTTTACACACTCAAATCTTAGCTATTATCATTACGGTTTAGATAGAAAAGACAGGGTTACCCTGTCCTTTCAGACTAAAATGTAATTGACTAAAATCTCCATCTGTGTATTGTAGGGAATTCAGGGGCTAGCTCAGATTTTTTTCAAATTGAGATTGACTTAAAGTTCTTGCTTCTTCTGAGTTCAATGTGTGAATTTTCTCACTGAAATGACCCTACATGAGGCGCCTTCTCAATGACTCCATCCTAAGATACCACCAATCCAAAGCTCTATGAATGTATAGGGCAGCAGAACATTTACATCTCAACAATACAAATAGCTTAAAATTATGATGGTTCCATTGGTTCCCCTGTTAGGGATTTCTTAGTGGCTGACTGTCTTAGTTTGTTTAGGCTGTGAAAACAGAATACCATAGACTGTGTGGTGTATAAGCAACAGAAATTGATTTCTCACAGTTCTGGAGGCTGGGAGTCCGAGATCAAGGCACAGGCAGATTTGGTGTCTGTTGAGGACTTGCTTTCTCATTCCTGCATGACTATCATCTTTCCATGTGTTCTCACATGGCAGAGGAGCAATGTAGTTCTCTGAGGCCTCTTTTACAAGAACACTAATCCCATACCTATTCATTTCCCAAAGGTCTCATCTTCACATACCATCATGTTGGGGATGGGGTTTCAATATATGATTGTTGGGAGGACACAAACCTTCATTTATAGCACTGACATTTCTCTGTAAGCTTCAGCCAACCTGGTATCTAAGCTCTTTCTTTCTTCCTCCCTACCTACCTTTTTTCCTCTCAGGGTCTTAAATTCTTGTTCACTTATTATGTTAAATAGTTTAATGATCTTTTTGTTTTACTGTGTCCTTAGAAATAATGAGATTTTAGTCTACCTTTAATACTCAAAGCTACTCATCAAGTTACTTTGTAAAAGGAAAGGGCAAAATGCATAGTAGAGTAATTCCTAGTTCCTTTGCTGAGCAGAACTTACTGTGATTATAAACTTTCATTTTAAATGGAAGTCTTTTATCATCATCATCATCATCATCATCATCATCATCATCATCACTAGGAGGATGTAAATCAATGGTCCAAATAGGATTTTTATGGATAAGCAATTACTTCTGTTGGCTGCTATTTGGCTTTCCATGTTTATTACTTAGTTACCATTTCTCTACTTTTCTACTTTGTTTTTTTAAAAAACACCTCTTTATACAAAATTTAGGTATATTTTTAAACTGTAAATTAACATCCTCTCTCTTCGGGAAATCACAAGACACACAGAGATTTCCCTTGTTTTGTTACTATATTAACTAGATTTTTATTTTCATCTTGTGCAGTTGGTCCTAATTTATGAGATTATATCAGCTGAGATGAACTAAATTTTGCTGTAGAAATAAGTAATTTCCAAATCTTAGTGGCTTAACCCAGTGATGTGGTTTGGCTGTGTCCCCAGCCAAATCTCATCTTGAATTGTAGGTCCCATAATCCCCACGTGTGGTAGGAGGGACCCAGTGGGAGGTAATTGGATCATGGGGGCGGTTCCCCAATGCTGTTCTTGTAATAGTGAGTTAGTTCTCATGAGATCTGATGATTTTATAAAGGGCTTTTCTCCTCTTCACTCATTCTTCCCCTTCCTGCCGCCAATGTGAAGAAAGACGTAATTGCTTCCCCTTCCGCCATGATTGTAAGTTTCCTGAGGCTCCCCCCACCACGGAACCGTGAGTCAATTAAACCTCTTTTCTTTATAAATTACCCAGTCTTGGGTATTTCTTCATAGCAGCATGAGAACTGGGACTAATATACCCAACAAAAGTTTATTTCTCATTTAAATTTAATTTCTATGGTGGGTTCACCTAGGCCTGAAGGCAGGGTGGGGATAAAGTGAGTTTCCATTCAGTTTTTCTTGGATCCAAGTTGGTTGAGTGGCCAGCATCTTGAATACTGCTGTTCCTGGTGCCAGGGGGAAATGAAAGCTCTAAAGTAGTACTTGTCTAACTACCTGTGGTGAAGGACCAATTTTTTTTATTTATTTTAGTTTCACTCTGTTGTGGACCAATACTTTTGTGAAATATAATAAAAATAAATTACAGAAAACATGTTTGGATGTTGCAACAAAGTTAAATTACTATAAAGTTTTCTAAATAATCATTTCCATTTTTGTAGTAATCTTGTCAAGGACTAGGAAAAATTAGTGGGTGGAGTGGCACCCAGTTTGTTGCCCACACTTGGAGTAGCATTAGTCTAGAGGGCCTTACACTGGTAATTTAATATTCTTGCCTGAGAATGACATATAGTTTCCTTTCAAAACTAATTGGCCAAAAATAATAATATGTTTCCTCCCTCAATCATGAAGGAGTCAGGGAATTGAATCCCATTGAGTGCCTTCATGCAGGGAAGCATTAATGGGGGGAAGACGAGCCAGTGGGGCTGTAAAGGAAATATTGAACATCTCTAATAGGTACCACACTGACTGCAAGAGCTCCCTCACCCCCCAAACCCCCAAACTTTTTAAAAAATAAAATGCAGAATTTTAGGTCTAAGCTTTTGGGGATTTTAATACAGTAGGCCTGGGAGGGGTAATTGGACTTAACACTTTTTTTTTTTCTAGTTGATTCAGTTCTTTAAGGGGACTATTACCGTAGGTGAAAAGCATAAAGTCATTTCCTAGATTGTGAAGAAAACTTTATACCAACTCATATTATTAGTCTAGGTCCTCTGAGAAGCAAATATAAAGATAAGATTAAATATGCAAGGAATTTATTAGGGGCAATGCTTGTGTGAATGGAAACGGGGGGGGAGTAAAGAAAGACTGAGTGATCAATTGGACTGTCATGTAAGTCTGATTACCAAGTGAAGAAGAGACAGAGAAAGATAAAAACTTCGTAGACTGCCACGCAGTCTAAGAAAAATGCAGCAAAGTTGTGGGGGAGAGTCAAGGTTGGAAGACATTGGGAGTACTGTGAACTATTACGTTCCCAGGAATGGGTGTGCCATTCCCGCTATACTCAATCGTTGTCCAAGAGCAGCCTTGACAAAATCAGGCAATGGGTTGCAAGGGGCAGAAGCTTAGCCCTTGGTCAAGTTTGCTCCGTGTGGAGGAGGTCAAGGTCCATGCCCATGGCTGCCACATCCCTGGTCTAGTCTCCTGCCTTCAATGACTTAAAGTATTTATTCCCATTTTATGAATTAGTTACTGAGGTCAAGGGAGTTTAATGGATTAAGATAGTGGCACAAGGTCCCAGAGCTATTAAATTTGGAAACAGAGACCAGCCCCACTTACACACAACTGACTCTTGTGATATATTCATAGTTCCCCTAATCGAAAATATGTTTAGTAGATATTAAATTATTTTTAATTTTTAATCTTCCAAGCACTTTTCTTTTCTGCTGAAAGCAGTACTTCCTTTTCGCAGCCGTGAAAAAAGTGTAGTATCCCAGCCTGCCTGACCACTATTGAGTTGTCTAGGAAGGAGCATCTACCCAAGCTGGGCCAATTATGTTCTTCCCTGGGACTTTCAAAGCTTGAACACCCTCTGAGTGCTGAGAGTATAAGGCAGGGAAGCTGTTGGCGGTCATGCTCCCTACTGTGTTCTAAGTTAGTCTCAGAGAATGAAATCAAAGTGCACAAAGAAGCAGAGATGAGAGACAGTGACAGTAGTTCTAGTTGTCCTTGAGGCTCAGCTGTACTGCCTTTCCTTCTAGCTTTTATGTAAGATACATCAGTATCCCTCCAATAATTGCCCTATTTTGCCTAAACTGCAAGTGAGTTTCTGTCATTTGTAACCAAGAGACCATGACTAATACAGTTCTTCAGAAATGCAGAGTTTGAGATCTGTTCTTGTAGTGCTAATATGATGTGGGGATTACTCTTTTTCTATTTTCTGCTTTCTTTTCTGTTTTTTTAAAAAATGCCCTTGATTAGCTATCAGGGACACTATGAACCCCTAGATAGAAAGCAGACTGTTTAACCTAGCATTGCGCAGGCAAGGAAGTTCGGTATACCAAGGAACCACCAAAAACTAATTATTTCCATAATAAAGGGATTAATCCTTTTCTTAAAGCTTCCACCTAGCTTCACAATTAACCCATGTGCAATTAAATGCTGATAACCCTGAGTGTTCACTGAAAAATCAACATTGTATTTCTGAAGGGAAAAAAGATAATAACAATCCAAGCATGTCAAATGAACTTAAATTTTAAAAACTGTAGAACAAGTAGATTATCGTTAGGATTAAGCTTAGAAATGATATTTAGAATTGGTGTGTCATTGGTCTGTGCTCCAGCCTGTCCCCTGAATAACTGTAACCTAAAGATATAAATACATTTTAATTATTTATTTAAATAAATAAATACTTTTTTTTTTTTTTGAGACAGAGTCTTGCTCTGTTACCCAGGCTGGAGTAGAGTGACATGATCTCAGCTCACTGCAACCTCCACCTCCTGGCTTCTTCTCCTGCCTCAGCCTCCAGAGTAGCTGGGACTGCAGTGCTACCACACCTGGCTAATTTTTGTACTTTTAGTAGAGACAGGGTTTCACCATGTTGGCCAGGCTGATCTCGAACTCCTGACCTCAGGTGATCCACTCGCCTCTGCATCCCAAAGTGCTGGGATTACAGGTGTGAGTCACTGTGCCTGGCCATGATAAATATTTTTAGCATCCAAAACTCAGGTAAGTAGATTACATTTTAGAAGTGAGAATAGCCAAGGTCAGGAGAGCTGGACTGGTTTTCAACTTGGCCTCAAACAGGGGTATGATTTTCTTCACCTGACCATTAGGTTCTTTCAGTCTCAGTTTTCCTTATTTTTGAAATGGGACTAGTAGAATAAATGATCTCTAAAGATATTTGTGGTTCTATAATTCTCTTATTTAAAAGGAAGTTCTGTTTTTGAGGAGGATATTGCTTCTGACTTTCATCTTTTGGTCTCATTTCATTTATAGAAAGTTGAGTCCTGGGTAAACAGATTGATATGTGAGGTAGAACTTTCATGCAGCTCTTCCTGGATGGTAATATAACCGGGTTTTCCTTACGGTGGCTTATAAAGTGGTCTAAATAGCTGCATTCTTGATTCAGGACTTGATTCAATGGCAGGAAAAAGAAAGTTCAGAATAACTCTAGAGGTAGCATAAATAATGTTTTGTACTAGAAATAATCTAATAAATGACAGCTCTATTCTATGCATATACATTTTATAATATTTTGGCATAACATTTTAATTTTTAAAAACGTTTTACAATAGTTTTTGTCTTAATTTTTACAAGTTTTCTAATGCAAAACCTGCAATTGGGAAAAGTGTTTTTTTGTTTTGTTTTGTTTTGTTTTTTGTTTTCTTTTTTTGAGACAAGTTCTCACTCAGTCACCCAGGCTGGAGTACAGTGGAGCAAATATGGCTCACTGCAACCTCTGTCTCGTGGGCTTAAGCAATTCTCCCACTTCAGCCTCCTGAGTAGCTGGGACCACAGGTGTGCCACTACTGCCAGCTAAATTTTGTATTTTTTTGTATAGATGGAGTTTCGCTATGTTGCCCAGGCTGGTCTCCAACTCCTGGGCTCAAGTGATCCTCTCTCCTCACTTCCCAAAGTGCTGGGATTGCAGGCATGAGCCACTGCACGCAGACAGGAAAAGCTTTTTATACTCTAAAAGGCTGCCTGCAGTTTCAGTTGGTTAGCTGGGGAAGAACTCAGATGAATAAATTCTTTTTTGAGAGAGAATTATTTTTAAAATGCCCAAAGAGACACGAAATGTAGCCTTAGGAAGTACATCCTTATTTATACCTCATAAGAAATACCTTAGGCTATTTTCTATTTGGGACCAATTTAGCCAAAAAGAAAAAGATTAAAACTTACACAGATTAAAATAAAGATTATAATATACGCAGCAAAGTATAATGAATTTTACCACTGTCAGTTGGTTTAAGAAAGGGTGTAGCAACCTTAAAGAGGAAATGGGAGGAAGGTTCTAGAGATGAGGCCCCAGGATGGAAAAGCTTGGGTCCTAAGAACATTCATGTCCTAAGGAGAAGTACTTCCTGGGCAGGACATGTTTGATAAATTTTGAAATACAGTGGTATCTGATATCACATTCAAAATCATATTTGGCCCAGCACTGTGCCAAACTCTTCTTTAATTATGAAAATATTCAGTAAAAACTGCTGCAGAAAATATCCTTGTCTGAATGTTCTTTTAGAAAATGAAGTAAGAGGCTCTATATCCTAGGCAGATGGGGAGGAGAGAGGACTCTGGTTGCCAGAGGTGAGCTATCAATTGGACAATCAAGAATTCAGGGCAGCAGTAATTTGGAGTGAAAGAGGGCTGTGAGGTGTAGGGCCCTCTGGGAAATCTCAGTAAGTAGGGTAGGTTGGGCCTTGTGCCGTTTTGTGTAGAGTGTAAAGATGAGAATTGTCCTAGAAGTCAACTCATTTTCAGTACGAGGAAACTAAAGCACAGAGAAATCATCTGAGTTCTTCTTGTTTAGAAGATTATTACAGACAAGGATACAACTAGAAAGCAGTTTTTCTGATGTCTGTCTTTGGACAGCTGTCTGCTGGATGCCAGTCTACTCTAGATGATGGTTTTAGGGGCAATTGTATAACTTGCATTTCTGGGCAGATGGCAATTGTCATACTACCTGTGACATATGTTCTTCCTAACTCTGAGAACCTCCCCTTATGTTCCATCCCATTTGGTGCCTGCTTTGTGTATGTGGAGCTAGAATTTACATCGAACTTAGAATTTACATTACTGTATATGAAGCCAACTGGCAGAACAATGTAGACTCTAAAGCTTATACAATTTGAGTGGAGGCCTCTGTAAGAAAAAGAATCAAATTTTATGAATATGTTATTAGACATAAAAGTGAATATTTATCTGGAAACAAACCACAACCACGTATACATTTTTTAAAAAAGGTGACAAATGCCATAAACACAAAGAAATCCTCAAAGATAATGATTTCTACATTATTTAGTAGCCTGCCACTTGTCTATCATACATCTTTTCTGCATGCTATTTCTTCACATAACAGCATTTTGTAATACTATTTTTTATTGGAAGAATATAAAGATAATTCTGTTTTCCTCTAGAGGGGCCGATTGATACTTTTTTGTGTTTTTGATAATAATAAATATATAGACATACTCTCTGTTTGTAGGACAGCTATAGATTTGTACCCTTTAACCATAGGAATTCAGTTTAATTCTACTTTGCATGATTCCCATCAAAAAAGAAAAGACATATGTGGTGTTTGTAATCGCATCATACGCACTATTGTGTCTATTCCTGAGAGAACTTTTTTGATTATGCATCCTTGAGAATGGAATCTATTTATAATTTAATATATCTGATATATACAATTCTTCACATTATGCCACTTTCAAGCATCCAGCTACAGACCTTTCAAACCTTGTTTTTCCCCTGCTATAGTCTAAATGTTTGTGCCCTCCTAAAATGCATGTGTTGAAATCCTAACCCCTAAGGTGATGGTATTAGGAAGAAGGGCCTTTGGGAGGTAATGAGTTCATGAGAGTGGAGCCCTCATGAATGGGACTAGTGCCTTATAGAGGAGACCCTGTGAGAACAGAGTGGGAAGGTGGAAAGCAGACTCTTAACAGATACTGACTCTGCTGGTCAGTATCTTCGATCTTGGACTTCTCAGTCTCCAGAACAATGAGAAATAAATTTCTGTTGTTTATAAGTCACCCAGTTTATGGTATTTTGTTATAGTAGCCCAAATGGACTAAGACATCTCTAATTCCTTCATGCTACCAGTTTTGGGCAACATGTTCACCTCAAATAGCAATTTGGCCCAGCACCATTGTGTCCAGTGCAGGACAGGTTGGCACATTGGGTGGTGGGAATATTCCTGGAGGCCATCCCTACAACGGAAGGGCTTATAATAGTTTAACTATATTCAGAAGTGACTGAGAACTGTTTACGTATACCGCATAAACCAAAACTAGATGTGTGCCCAACTGAACTTCTGCTTAGCCAAATTGTAAAAATGCCTGTAGCCATTCAAACTTTACCAACACAGTGGGAAGTCCAATGGTGAGAACAGCAGAGTGGAAAGAAATAACAGTCTTCACTAATTCTGATTAAAATTCTTATATTAGCAAATTTTACAAACACATATGGACCATGTGGATATATTACAGGGCTCCTCCCAGAGCCTTGGAAGCAGTCTGTGCAATTTCTGGAGCCTGAAATTTAAGCTTTATTTTGCTTGGTAAATACAGCTCTGCTAACTGGTTGAGCAGTTACTTATTAGGTGAGTTTCACTTTGGACCAACTGCTTGGGCAAAGGCCTATATTCTAAAAGCACACTATTGCTTACTTGGGTTTTTTTCTCCCTAAGAGAATTCTGGCTTTGGCAAGTAGTGGTGCATAATGAAGACTTGCTTACTTTTCTCCCTGGAGAGATTGTTATGATTAGATGTGATAAACCTAATCATAACTTTAATAAGAAAATGCTTTTATATTATTATTTGCCCATGCTCTGTGTGTGGGTTTTATTGGCCGTATACTGTATTTACTAATTCCTTAGGCTTATAAACAAAGATGCTCAGGGAAAGCTTCCTGGCCAAGGGGTTTCTGGGTGGATCAACTACTATGCATTCAAATGCTCCAAAGAATCAGAAAAGGGTGTTAACTGTGGCAGAGAATTGAGAGGGGCATCCCTAGCAAAATGAAGACACTTGCTGTTTCTCATCAAAGTCAGCCTTATTAATTGTGTTCTAAGAATTTTCTCTCCTATGTTTCCTCCTTTTGTTACAGTAGATCTCTTTATTGCTTTGAGGTGCATTAGTGAAGAGGCTTCAAAAAAAAAAAAAAAAATAAGTGAATTGTCAAGATCCTAGCAGGAAGAGGTGGAGTAATTAAGGGCAGATTAGTGAAAGAACTTTTTTCATGGGCATGGTCAGGGTTAAGGAAAACCAATATAGGATGGTGCTATACCCCCTATTGTAACAACAAGCTGTTGCACCTGTAAACTTGAAGGGTCTAGTGGAGGGGGCTGCTACTGACACCTGGAGAGAGAGCTTTAGCTATAGGAGAGGGACATCCAGCAGGAAAGCTGGCCTCTAGTAAGGAATTACTTTCGACCTACAGCCTGGCAGGGCTGAGTTAGGGGAATAAACACCCTGATACTCCTTCTTCTCCTGTCCTTTGGTCTCCTGTGGGTGAATATCAACAAATCTCAACAATAAACAAAAGGGCAGTAAAGCCCACTGATAAAGTCAATAAAGGCCAGCTTTCTAGGTCTTGGGTGAAGATTTTGAGGGTAGAGGGCTTGAAGAGGTAAAGAGAAAATAACCAGTAGAGAGGGCTATTTAAATTGGAGTCATACCTTTACAAAACTGGCCCAAGAAGAAAAGATCTGCATATCCTTGCATCAATTTAAATATCTGCCTCTCCCTTGCATTTCTAACATCCTGAATTTTTCTTTTTTGAGGAAAGACTGGCTGCCCACCTTAAGGGAATACAGTCAGCAGGCAGCCCTCAACCTGTCAGCTCCATCAGAGTTTGTCTCAGCTGCAAAAAGCCATCTTGCCAGATGTCAAGTTATCGTTTCATTGGGGCTTAGAAAATGATACCCCAAAGTATGGTGCTTTGAGATGTTTAGTACAAAAAGATATTGGAAGGGCACAGAAGTAGCCTCAGAAGCAAATTCTCTCTCTGACCTTATCCTGCCCTCCTGTCTCCCATCCCTCTTTGTCCCCTGAAGCAAGTCATAGAAACTAGAATTTCTCTTTTCTAAAGTGGATCACAGAAACCAGAACCCTGATCTCCCGAAGGAAGCAATAAAACCTAGAAAGATAACTTTTTTCCCTCATCCTTCTCCCTTGAAGATCCTCATTCCAGGGGTGTTCTGTCTTATACCTGGGGGAAGTATGCTGTGTAGAAAGGCCAAGAAGAATCTAAACAAATAGGCCTTTCCAGGATTCCCCTCTTAATCTGTTACCATTGGATTATACCCTTTTGTCAAATCACATTTTTATATGGCTGTCCATTCTTCATAAAACCTAAGCATAAAACCAGTTTTCCCTGCGTCTTGGGTCTTCATTTCTGAAGTCTCCTGTGTCATGTAAAACTTTGATTAAATATATTAGTTATGCTTTTCCATTATTTGCCTGCCTTTTGTTACAGAAATGTCAGCCATACCTCTCATGATGGGTAAGAAAAGGTATTACACCTTTTCTGCTTCTACACTTTCTAGCATAGACTTCCTTTCAATCAAATCAAGTAGCTTAAAATCCTTCTTTTCACATATCTTTTACAAAGTATTCTCTACTTAATATCGTCCTAACCTTACCACTGTTCATTACAGGAAAACTTGTGAATAGAATAAGACATTAAATTTTTCTTTGGAATATTTTTACTGGAACAAGTCTTTTCTCATTTCAATGACAATAATAAAAAATTTTGCACATGCTAGAATTATCTTTTTTTCTATTTCAATTAGTGATTTTTTAAAAAATTCCATATATTCTGAACATTGATAATTAAGTTTCCTTGAGTTGGGAGAAATATGTCAACATTTATGTTGTGGAGACATTCTTGTCAACAAATTTGTATATTTCCAAGATAGAAATGTCCTGAATTCTACCCCAGTATCCTCTAATGCTTTATGTGACTTATTCAGAGAAAATTCCATCTGATCTTGGCTCAGTCTGCTCACTTTATGATCTGCAATGAAAACTATTATGCTGTGGCATGGGAGCTATCAGCAAAAGAAGATAATTTGGTGTTTTCTGGTTTTTAGTCATACTGATATCCTTTTCATCTCTCTTAGGATATTTATGAATGATCTAATTGGCAGTTTACAAAAAAAGCTTTCTAATTCTTTAATGTCACATTGTTTTTCCAGATCCTACCATGTATTGATAATAAATCTAAATTCCTTTCTTAGTGGATTTTACTTTTTTTAAATGCATTTTATGGCTTTTGATTTTTTTCTAACTGAGGCTGTTTATGCTTGCAGTTGGGAAATAAACATGGAATTGTCTGGAAAGCTGGTAAAATCACTAATAATATAAAACAATATAACATTTTGGTACAAAACACACATTGATTATGAGAATGTTTTGCCATGTTATGTGAAATAAGAGGGAGAGTCAGTGAAATTAATTCACAACAAAAACTTTTTATAGAATTCTAATACTAAACAAAAAGGCAAGCACATTATAATGCCATTTATATAAAGGTTTTAAGAGTACAAACAATGCTCTATGTTATTTGGTACACATACACATATATATATATACACACATATTTAAGTAAATATATATAGGCATACATGGATATATAAACATTGAATAAAAAATAGTTACTTTTAGAATGGGCAGGAGTAATGGAATTATGGATAGATAAACAGAGAGCTTCAGTTGTATTCATATTTTTCATCTCTTTCTCTGTCAAGCTTCAATCTGGTTATTTTCCTTTCATGTATCTTCTCATTTACTAATCCTCTGTGTCTAATTTTCTGTTAAATCTGTCTATTGAGTTCTCAGTTTTAACTTACTTTAAATCCTGTGATTTCCATGTTGTAATACTTTTCATATTTCTGCTAAAATTCTTATAACTGTCTAATTTTTGTCAAGAACTGACAAGGGTCTAATATTTAGCCATACTTACAGCCTAACAAGTTAACATGCCAAAGTTTCATGGATCCTTACAGAAGACATGAGACATCTGGATCAGAGAAATACGACTTTATTACTCACAGCACAGCAATGTGCATGTGATTCCTGGTTGCATTGGTTTCCCTTGCTCCCTTAGTCCCATAGGATGATCATGAAGAGCAGTTTAGCTGGATACTGCGCATGAAGTGGGTCTGTGTCAAAGTTGAGCATCTCCAACTTGAGAAACCAAAATCTTTTATAATGGGCTAGAAGCAGATATTTTCTTTTTCCTTGGAAGGGACATTGTTTTTATTATACCATATAGTAAACCTATCTGCTGCTTCAGAGGGAGACACTATCACTCTTTTGCAAGGTTGTTTGCTGCATTAGTATATTTTAAAAGCTATTCTAGAACAAAAAGTGTCAATGCTTTTATTGCAACATGGTAGAAACCCAAGAAACCCATTAAGAACTATTTTTCAACAATTTTTTAAACTTAATCACATATTTTAAAACAATTTCTAATATCTGCATCTTCCATGTGTCTCTTTTTACTGTCTGTTTTTTGTCCTTGGTTTTTAGTCCATAGCAAATCTGTAGTGGTCATAGAAGGTGATTACAAAGTAAATTTTTGATGTTTTGTGACAATGAGGTGTTATTACTTGTTACTGTAGCATGCCCTGGCTTACTCTGACTGATTCAGAATGTTATGTTTATTTTTGTTGCTGCTCTAAT
The DNA here is from genome assembly GCF_000001405.40 of Homo sapiens. Taxonomy (NCBI): domain Eukaryota; kingdom Metazoa; phylum Chordata; class Mammalia; order Primates; family Hominidae; genus Homo; species Homo sapiens. The sequence goes on from NC_000014.9 coordinate 81,969,738, forward strand.
TAGTGGATGCCAATGAATTCTTCCAAAACCAAAATGGAGCGTGAAAAACTTTTGAATTCAGATAGCAAAGTGTACACATTTCCATGAATGATACTCGCACTCTACTTTCCACCTCTTACTTATTGCTTCTCCAGGATGAAGAAGCATGTTCGATTGATGACATGATGTAAGGGGTCTATAATCTTTATTCCTAGGCCCGCTTTCTCTTTCAGGACACACGTATTCTCCTTATCTTACTGATGTAAGTTTCTGAGAGCACAGGCCTATTGTTTTCTAGTGCTCTGCTATCATTGGGGAGGTATGGTGAATTCTGATAGAGGAATAGTGAGAAGTCTAAATGTGTCAAGAGGCCAAAGTAGGTGCTCTGATCAAGTTTACTGGCAACTAAATATACTGTGACGTTTCATCTACCTATGTCTTCTGTTTTGCCATTGGTTGCACATGGTTACAGATGGGGTATAATTGTCCATTCTTAGTCCCAACATAGAGGATCTCAGTAAACAAAATTTGTGAATCCATTACTTGCTTACAGTTATTTTCTGTTTGGCGGGCTGTTTTGCATATTGCTTCATGGACGTTAATGCAAACAGGCAAAAAAGTATAAAATAATGAAGTCACATTGAGAAGTAAATACTGAATTCAGTTATCAGCAGGCTCACTTCTGCAACCCTCCCCCAGTGTTAATCATGCTGAGGTTTCAGCAAAAGGACAACCAGAAGTCAAAGACCTTCAAAAGTTGCTTGGAATGATCAACAACACAAAGGTCGAATCCACAAATGCCAAGGGTCAGCTGTGTGCGGGTGCTAGTGTTTAAGTCAAACCAGTGCAGAAATAACATGAGCATTGCAAGCCCCTTAACCTGCGAGTTGAAAGTTAGAGGAATTCAGGCTGGCACAGGGCTTACTCCTTTTGCTAGAGGGCCTTTCTGTTCGGAGTTTTTCTTTTTCAAGAACCACAGACATTTATTTTATTGCCACTCTATTCTGCAGCACAGTTTTTCCTTGGGCTAAGAATGGAATTACTAACATTGCTTGTTCCATACTCTGAAAATCGCTGTCAGGTGTGAATTAAATGCTTTATTTGAAGATTTAAGCTCCTTCTCATCAGTCACAAAGGGAATTTTTATGAAATAATACTCATTGGCACTAATATAATTCTTTTCATTTTAGACTCTCTGAGTGCTTTGTAACAGTTTTCTCCCTGCCATCTACATTTCAATGACTCCTAACACCCTCCATCTAAGATCGCTGACAGAAACTCTAACCTAACTCCTTCAACTCTTTCAGAGCTGCTTTAGTTGACTGCAAGTTGAAAACATTTGAATAATTGTTTATGGGTCCCTAGAGGAAGGAATAAGACAACTTTGATAATCTTCTGACATATTGTGAATTCAGAAATTTAGGAGAGATGCTAAGGGTAAAAAGTGTCCCCCTGAGCTGACAGATTAAAAACAAGCAAGCAACCAGTCACCCCTACTGCTCCCTCAGACATACACACAAACCCACCAAAACTTTTCTTGATCTTCAAAAGATTACAAATCAGGACTTTAAATTATTCCACATTCCCACATGGGTGTTCAATCATAACTATTTTCTAGTTACTTTTAGTCATGGCATGTTTGAGTTGGAAGAAATGGTAAACACCATTAATAATCATTAATAATTCAGCCAAATCATTCTATAGATGAAGGATCTAGGATCAGAGAAATCTACTGATTTATTTAAGATCAAGCACAAAACTAATTAGTGCAAAACTGGGTCCCTGTATTCCTCACTTCTCTTCATTCCCACAGCCTTATACCAACTCTTATGTTCTACATCCTTCCCTTCCCTTTCATTCCCTTCACCTCCTCTTCCTCTTCTTCATTCTCATTCCTTCCTTCTTTTTCTTCTTCTTTAATGTGGTAGCTAGATTTTAATCACATGGACAAAAGTTGTTTTCAAGAATGAGAAAAAATATGCTAATTCAAATGCAACTCATAAGTAGACCTTCTCCCTTGTCACTGAGAAAGGCTTTTACTTGTACATTCTGTGTCATCAAAACCTTACAATATGTCATAGGGCTTCACTCACTAATTAAGGATTCTGTAAAATATAGGTTGTCATGTGAGGATAGAGCCTGGAATGTGCCATATCTTGAGATAAGAACTTTAGGAAAAATGTCTTCAGTGTATAATACAAAATAACCACGGAAACCACATTCTTCAATGAATGGTCATCTTAACCTTTTATTCACCAGCAGTTTTTAACCTTCTTAGCCTGAAGTCATCCTTTAGAGTTTAGATCATTTTAAAGCATTTTTATTTTATTCATTTAAAAAATCCTGTGGAAGAGGCAGTATAAGGTGTTGACAGCTAAAAAGGCAGTAAGCCAAGGAAAAAAAGCCTGTTGGCTGACGTTTTGAAGGGGATCTGAGCTGTATGCTTCTAACTGCCTTTCTTAGTGGTCTAGTGTTCTTTCTTACTCCTGTGTGATTTATATAACCCTCAATTACTGGGTAGCACCTGTACAGCAGAATCACATGATGTTAGTGCTGGCAAGGGACTAAGAGATCCAACAACCTTCATTTCATTGATGAGCTTCGGAAGGGTGAAATGACATATCCAAGGTCACTTTCTAATTCTTCTCTTGGATTTGATTTCCTTTGGATATAAAGGTAGGTTGTTCTTTACTTTCTGGAAAGATGGAATTTCAATATAAGAAAGATCTTTATGGCAATTTGACCCTGGAGACTTTAAATGGAGCAGGAAATTCCAAATTATGATTCCCACAACAGTTTTAACTTGGCCACGGTCGGCATGATCATTAAGGTACAGTCTGTGGGATTACTACGTTAGCGTGTTTTCTTATAGCTTTAAAAAATTTAATTGAATTTGTATTATGTGTAAGCTTGGTAGGTGCCTTTGTAGGGAAGAATTTTTCTGTCAACCAAACATATTGCTTTAGGAGAAAAACAGAAAGGGCAAAAGTAACTCAAGAGAATCAGGTCTGTTTCAACAAAGGACTCTCCCTGGATATGGGATGCACAGAGCTGAGACTAGGCAGAGTGCCACTGAGCTATTTTGCCAAGCTCATTAAATTCTCTCTTGCCTGCCATAATTACCAACAAGTTAAGAAGGTGTTTTGTCGTCCTCATCTTTCTGAGGCATCGGAGTTGTAGGATTATTCCCCTGCCAAAGTGGCAGTCCTGTCTGCCTTGGTGAAGTTTGACTTTCTACCCATGACTGTGTAGCACTACTTGGAGACAATTGTGAACAATTTTAGAAGCTTGTCAGGGGATTAGAGTTTAAAAAGTCTTGACAAAATCCAGTTGAATGTAGTTAAAGGAAAATATACTGTATCTCCAAATAAAATTAAAAAATTAAAGTTTTAACTTGCATTCTTTTCCTAAAATTGTGTGCGTTCCTTTAATAATCATTTCTTTCCACCCTGTTAATTTACACAAGTGGAAATGGAGGTGTAGAGGCAGCAGGAGTCATGGCCAAGATCAGGAGTGGCAGGGAACAAAACAGAAGCCTACAACCTATCATGTAGCACAGTACTTGGAAATAAAATGGAATTGTTAAAGAATGAATGAATCCAGGTTTACGAATTTCCACTCATTACTTTTTTCATTACACCATGATTACCTGCCCATTGGGTCCCTCCTCTCATTCGCTTATCTCCTCTAGTTTCAGATGACCCCATTTGCATTCTAGCTGACCTGCATTCAAGTTGGGAAACTTGAGTCCTCATTCACCAGGGCAGTCCCAAGATCTGTGTCTTTCCACATGGCTTGAACAGGTGCTTCAATCAGTGTGCTAATTTGGGATTGCTGAGAGCACAAATCCCTATCTACTTGTTTCTTTTACCACGGACATTTTTAATCAAGCATCTAATTTGGTCCTGGGGGACTTCACTCTGCTTTAATAATACATGTGACAAAATTTACCTCTTTGCTTTCAAAGTTGTTAATTATGGAGTGAATTTCAAATGAGCTATTGCAGCTGAGAAATCATCCCTTTTAGTTGCTTATATACTTTAATACTGGAAAGAAGTAAAAAGCCATGAAGGGTTATAAAATACCTCTCCATATGGACAGTAGTGCTTTGGGGGAACCAAACAGGGTAGTCATGAGGACTTTTTGGTGCTGGGCTTATATCAAGTTGTTTTCAGGTTATGCTGCAGACTTTACATGACCCAGAGGGCTTAACCCACTTTCAAAGCAGATGGAAGAAGATCAGATTTAGGGAGGGAGCCCTCAGATAGATGAGTGAGCTAGGTCATTGATCTCTTTAAGGAAGTAGAATCAGTTGCTTCAGGGGAAGACAGGTTCTTTATGCCTTCCAAAGTGAGCATAGCCAATTGCAGGTTGTTCCAGGCTTCTGGTGAACCTCGGGTGTATTCTCAAAATTATGTGTTGTGAATTCTTAAGGTCACTAAAGTCATTACTTCTTAATAAATTACCAGTGGGTTTCCAAGAGATTTTTAACAGGGCTTCTGGTCTTTCAGACATACAAATGCAGTTTAAATACTGATGCAGTTAAAAAGATTTAAATAATCATGTAAATTACTGTGTGTTAAAATTAGTAGAACCTAGCCAACTCATTTGCACATGTTAGTCTCAAAAGATGGCTTTTAGTGGCTTAGTTCCGGAGCTTCTGCCATTATTTTCCCATTACCTGAAATGATTACTGGGCTTTGCAAAAGACTTTGGGTGCCATACAAAATATTTACTTTAATTGTCTATGGGAACATGTCCTAGAAAATATGATTGCTTAGGAGTTGAAGTGTGAAATGGATCTTCATGAGGTAGTCATTTCATGTCATCTACTGAAAAAGTATGCTTAGTCTGGTACCAAGAGAAGACAGAAGAGAAGACAGGTAAGAAATTCTTTCCATTTTGTTTTATGAGAAGTCCAGGCATTTTTTAACGAACCACAGATTGAACCCAGATTTACTAGGCATTACAGGGCCTGTGGAAAACAGTCTGAGTGAGCCAGTGCAATGTGATCCTGTCTTCAGATCCATCAGCAACCAAAAAAGTAGGTTAAGTTTTGGAACACGTGGGTGATGTTAATTTTCCTCCTGGGAACTGGCCTAGTAAGAGAAATGTTGCCAGTAGAAACTAGCTATTTTGTGGAGTAATAAAGCTGTGATAGAAAAAGGGTGAAATCTGATTAGTATTGGGCTAGACAAGGAAGAACCATCACTCCTGTGTTTGTTATGTAAGGAAAACCTACGGTGACTATAAATAGTTCTAGATGGGAGTGATTCACTTCACCACCACTAGTTTGCCATCAGTTTCCTATTTATCAGATGAGGAGTTAGGAGAAGATAATGACAAAAGGCCCTTTCACTTCTAATATTTGTTTGCGTCTAGATGGTAGGCTGTAGCGTTGTATAAGGGAAAGCCCACTATCAGGATCTCAGGAGGCTGGTGGTAGTTGTGACTCTGACACTAAAGTATTGCCACTAGTTTTGGGTATTAAGAAGTATTTTTGGTTTTGCACAATATTTTACATGAATCTTTTTTTTTTGGAATGAATTCCTAATGCTAGATCAAAAGTACTCATTTATAAAATGTTTATTCTATTACCAGAACAAACCCACCACATTACACTCATACTAGTTATATAATTTTGCCTACTTCACTACAAATTCTCCCCAAATGAATATTATAATGAAAATAAATCAAGATCAATATGAGAGTTTTGAAAATGACTTAGGAACACAAAAGATATGAATGCCTTCAGAAACATTTAGATGGCTTAAAGTATTGTTTTGTAGCTTTTTAATTTATCTGTGGCTAATATTTTACCCAAGATTAGTGTGTGTGTATATACACACACATATATGCGTATATATGTATATGTACATGTATATAATTTGTTTTTCTTTTCTCTTTTTCTTTGATGCTCAATTCCTTGGTGTAATTTAAATAATCTTGCCCTATTTACAAAAGCTTTCAGATTTTGGTAGCCCCTTTGCAATGCTTCAGTGACAGATCCCAATTGTGTTTGAGTACAATAAGAATGTTTGTTGTATTCTTAAGACTGACATCACAATGAAAACCTACTGATATAGGGAAAAAAAAAGTCTCTCCATCAATGTCTAAGCTCTCGGAGTCATCTATATATATATATATGGATGATATATATTCACATTCTCTCTCTATATATATTTCAATCTCTTTTCTTTAACAAGTATTACCAAACCCCACTCTAATCCCTCTGTTGCCCAGAGTGTATGCAGAAGGGATCTTAAAGTCATCTAGGCCATGTTCCTTATTAGAATCAAAATCAGAGGGGTTAAATGGCTTGTCCATCATTGCGCAGCTCTTCATAAATTAAGGTAGAGAATTCTGGAGTGATGAATGTTTGTGAAGAGTTTTCATGGTGGTAAATACAATAAAGTGATATGTGTGGCATGCAAAGAAGCAAGATATTGAGTAATTCTCCACCCTTCTCATTAAAAAAAATACACATTAGACTTGTTGTAAGTCCCAGGCCTGTTGTTTATAAGACTTATGGTACCCTTATGCAAATCACTTCATCTCTTAGGAACTCAATTTTCTTAATTATAAAATAAACAATCTTAGATCAAATGACACCTCAATTCTCTTCTAAAGTTAATATTCAAGCATTTTCTCTGGGTCACACCAAAGGCCTGCTCCACAGGCTGTTGTATTAGCACAGCATTATGGTGAGTCCATGAAGCATCAAGATTTTCATCTTTGTGCATTTTCATTGTCTACAAGCAAAAGATGACAGATTGAAGGCCTGAATTTTATTTTCAAAGTCACATAACCAGGCCAGAGCTTAAATGTAATGTTGAAAAATAAAGTAGTAATGTGCTCTATTGAATTGGGGCTTGGGGCCTATAATAGAAATTATTATACTTTATGGGGCAGAGATTGAGAGTTGTTCTCAAAAAAATATTGGGATTTCTTCAGTCAAAATGAACTTAAAAAGATTTTCACACAATTTCACAGGTGGCTATAGTAGAGTTTTGAGTATTTTAAACCAATCATCAATAAGTCTTATTTTCTTTCATAGATTTATTTTACAAACAGGCATAAGACATTGGCTCTGATCTCGAGAAACTTGGTGGTGCAAGAGGCAAATATATGCACAGTAATTATAAAGCAATTTAATAGTTCAGGTAATAGAGATAGGATTAAGATGTAAAGGAATCAAAGGGTTCCATCTATCCCAGCCTTGGGAGGGGAAGAGCAAGTAGGGACAGTTTGTAGGGAAGACAACACTTACAAATGTTAGATGCTTTGGCAAAGGTGACATCACTAATGATAGAGTAAACATTAGAATTTCACAGTCTCTTTCCTGAGGGTTTAAGTTCTTATTCCACTTTAAGGAATTGAAATGGGAGAATCCTTGATGATACAGTATTCTTTCCTCTACCGTATGTAACCTCTGTAAGTGTACTTAACATTTGCCTGCAAGAGAAATATAAATATCTTCAGGATAGTAATTGTTCTGTTTCCCATTATCAAAACCTCTCTCTTTTGTTAAATGCACCTGTTTATTGATTTGGTGTTGTCCAGGTATCTTCGTCTGAAGAGCACTTCAGGATTTCCTAGTCTCAGGGAGTATGTTGTCCTTCTTCTCTCACACACACTTAATATACCTAGTGTGACAATCTGAAGGGATGGAGGTAAAAGACAGTATGTAATAATTTGCTGCTAACAATAATCAAAGCATGTTAGCTGATTTTATCATTAGTTCATGCAGAAGCATATTATGAAATTAAATGTATTGTCTTCCTAAAGGCATTCAAAGTCAAAGAATCACATTTTTTTTCTGTTTTACTGTTTAGTCTGAATCATTCTTCTTTATCTCTCAGCATAGATAATCCATTAGGCAGTCAAGAGCAAAGGAAACTTTTTACTTAATTTTTTCATATCTCCAGAATATTAGGTGCATAAAATGCACAGGATATACTTTTGTTGATTATATGGATTAGTGAATGGAATAACCAAGAAATAAAAGTAGAGTTCATTGTATTCATTACTTCATTTGACCCTAAGTCTAATCAAATGTCTCTTGACTTCCACTTAACAGATTCCCTGGATTAAACACTCTGCTTTTTCACTCTGTAAAACATTGGAGTAGATAGAGATATTGGCCCCAATTCTTCACCTGTTAGAGAATTCTGGAGCCACTCTCTTGACATGGCCCAATGACAGATTGAGTGTGCTTTCCTTCTCTGTGACTTTGGACTTGGCCATATGACTTTACTTTGGCTGATGGAATGCTAGTAGATCTGACGTAAGAGGAGACTTGACATGTATTTTTATGGTTTAGCTTGGCTCTCTTGTCCTACTGTCATCATGAAAATAACAGGTCCCAGGTAGCCACTACCCTTTCATTCTGGGATCTAGAGTGAGATACAGAAAGCATGCCTATTCTAACCTGCAGTCTGAAACCAGCTCAGCTGAACCCCAAAGTATCCAGAAACCTGTGAGTCAGAAATGTAAATATTTGTTGTTATGAGACACTATGGTTATGTGTTTATTGCATGATTATGGTAATAGCTAACAGATATAGGCATATGATTGATGGCCCCAGTATGCTGAACTTTCATAAAAGTTAAACCCTCCAGTTGCGTTTTATATTTACTAAGAGTCAGTTGTCTTTGTTTCTAAACTTGTCTATCAGTTGTGCCCATTATTCTAATTGTGTAATTTACCTAATGTTACATAAGCCAATCAATCATATGTTAGAGAACAAACTTGTCTCTGTAAAACTAAGTTGAATGCTTTTTAAACACTTAATAAAGATAAATTGTCAACAATATGAAATCAAATTAGATGTTGGTGAGAGTTTTTAAAAGACTGGAGAAAAATAAATATCTAGAAGGATCTTGCATTGAGATTGCTTTGTAACTGCCTAAATTCCCTCTTTTCTTTAAAGAAATGAGAACTGAGAGTCTTGGATGATACAACACATATGGTGTTACGCAAGAAAAGTAGGCTAAAATTTCATTTATTGGATATGCTTTCAAAGAAGAGAGCTTGACCTTCAACAAAAGATTGCTTAGGCTGGGCACCGTTGTTCACATGTGTAATCCCAGCACTTTGGGAGGCTGAGGTAGCCAGATCATTTGAGGTCAGGAGTTTGAGACCAGCATGCCTTTAGTCCCTGCTACTTGGGAGGCTGAGGCAGGAGAATTGCATGAACTCAAGAGGTGGAGGTTGCAGTGAGCCAACATCCATCCCACCACTGCACTCCAGCCTGGTGACAGAGCAAGACTCCATCTCAAAAAAAAAAAAAAAAAATTGCTGAGTTATTCTTTATGTGTTTAAGGTTAAAAAAAAGTTTAATGTATGTTTGCCTAAATTTTTATTATTCTCTTCTTTAAACAAATTTTCTGATTAATTGAACAAAAATCATCCCAATTCCTTTGTATTTAAGAATACCATAATTTTGATACCACAGTAAAAATTGCTTTTTTCTTCTTTGAATGTATTCTAATGTTGTTAGTATAAATTATAAGAATCAATATTAGAGAGCACTCTTTTCTTCATAATGAATATATAAAGAGTAAACTTTCTTTTTCAGCTTTAAGCTCTCTTTGCAGGCTTAGATTTTATTCTGGTTTATAGATTTGCAGTTTGATTAATGCCTTTTGTTCTAAGTAAGGACACTTCTTAGTCCAGATTACAGTTCCTCAGTTTGCTCACTTAAATTGCATTTTTCATAGCAGTTGACTGAATTTTATGAATGCTGCGTGCTTGTGGTCATTTGAACTTTTTGTTGTTGTTGTTCCCATGAAATTATACCCTAGAATTATTTGGAGCTAAACAATCTATGAATGAAAAAGAAAAGTCAGCCATAAGCCTCCTTTTTTTCAACTGGCTTTTCGGATGCTACCAAATAAAACCATTAAATACATTATTTACCTGAAATTCTAAATCTTTACAAAATAGGGATGAAACAGAGCCAATTATGGGGAAAAATCACTAACATTTTCCATGCATTTGGACTTGACTTTGAGTTTGGGAGAACTTGGACTTGTTTCAGAATTTTAAAGAAAGTATTGCATATATTGATTGATGAAACATGCTGCTGGTAGTGGTTTTTGAGATGCTGATGGTCACCTCCTTGGAACAATTCATAGATGTATGCTTTATGGCATTTTAGGATCAAAAATTGATCTATAGGTGATGACATTTAATCAGCATTGACTATGGTTGGAATTGAAAAGACAGCTCCAATTGGAAAAGCAAGCTTCACACCACATTACCCATAAGTCCACTGCTTGGAGTGGAGGGACTGACTATACAAGGAAATCCAAGAGCCACTCAACTCCAGCTCACCAACAGTTTGGGACACGTGAGTAATTTGGATAGAAAGACTGTTCTGGCTCAGACATTTGGGTTATTTCAGTTTCAAAAGTGTCAGTTCTCACCTGGACAGAAAAGGTAGACAAGAAGGGCTTGGCTTTAATAAAGTACATGAACTCTAGACAGTTTTTAATACAATGAGATTAGCACAGGTCCATAAACCAACAGATTCAAAGACACCAGACCATGGCTAAAGAAAATCAGGCAGTAGCTTTCAAGGAAATGGAATATATTCTTTCACTTTGGGCTATTACATTTCATTAGGGTTTCTTCAGATTTTGCGAAAATAGGGACATTGAACTAATTTCTTCCAGGCAGATATAGGAAATTCTTGACTTGGTGGTATGAAAAAATGACATGAAAAAAAGTGACTGTGGGTGCAGTGTATTGGCGTTTATAAGCACGTATGGGACAATTAAAATATAACAGGCTGGCACAGAACCTTGAAGACCTAAAGTTGTTGTTCTTATTTAATTAACATAACAAACGAACACATGAAGATATAGCCATGAGATTGGTTTAATATTAGTGATATAAACTCTCTCCAGCATTATTGTGTTTGAAGATATCCATGTAACAACAACAACAACAAAAACAAAAATGCGCTAGCTGTGATACAGTGGAAAACTTGTTGGAATGAGAATGAAAAGATCTACAATTCCATCCAGACTATACTACTTCATGGTCCTGAAACCTCTGAGAAAATATTTGGAATACCATGCTGTTATCTGAAAACTGTCAATATAACGAACCTTCCCGAGTTGTTGAGATGTTGCAATGTAATATCTGAAAGCCATGTGTATTTTAATACCACCTGACACTTGATTAGCACTTTATAATTAATCAAATGATACAAAGGTTGACTCATTTGGATATTCATTTAGCACTTAGATACTCCAGTGTCTCCAGTTGTTTAGTGGAATTATTTGCTTTCATAACAGGGGCGTTTGGTGTCTTGTAGACAGCACTGGCAGTTGTGACACTGATACTGTCAGAGGGAAGTATGTAAAGGCACTCCATTGAGCTCTGGCCATGCTGACTCTGCACAAGGTTCAGTGGCCTTCAACCCCTACAGTTGATAAGCATTCTTGGTAAGCAATGGCTTTATTAAGCTCTCTGCTGACAGGCTGCCCTCTATGATCTGAGCAGATAGCAGCCACTGCTCTCTTTGTGTCTTGCCTCCTACAAGACCAACTGTTTTTATGCCTAGAGAAATCAAAGTGAATAATATATAGCTATTGGTAACGAATAAACACAAACTCCAGCTTTTTTTGTTAAATTTTAATTGGACCCTCAAGCAGGGAAACAGGAAGAGAGTGGCAGCTCCAAAACTCAGCCTCAGATGCGTGATGGTTTATCTTCTGCAGATGGAAACAAAGAGTCCTTTATTCTGATCTCAGCGTGGTTATTTTTTGACATAGAAAGGGATGGGGGCAGTTGATGTGGATAGGTTCCATCCTTGTTTGATTTTATTCCGTCACATCTCTAGTATTCCTTTTCCTTCACGTTAATTATCTTCTTAGTGTCTGTGCCTTAGAAATATTTGTAGATGCTTTTTATTGTTATGCTCTATTAACTGACAACAAGCCAAGCTCTGTGGTAAAGGAAATGAGATTGGAATCAGACTTGATTAGTATTCTCCATTTATTTTGGGGCATGCTGCTTAGCATTGGGACATGTCTCCCAATATGCATGCCTCAACTGAAAAAATGGGGGAAATAATAGTACCTTTGTCAGCGGATCGTAGGCCCATTAAATGAAACAATTACTTTAACATAATTTCTCAGTCCCAGACAATATGCTAAAGTGCTCAGTAAAAGTTTTATAAAAATATTTTGATTCTTATGCCTGAAACACTTAAAATTTCCCAATTCCAGGCAGATTCGAGCCTTCAGTAATTTATAGGTAGCAGTATATGGAAAGAGATTTTGACATTTATGCTGGTTGGTATCATCAAAGCCGATGGTCCCTCCCAGTTTAGGAGACTAAGAAAGCAGCTTTATTTTATTTTATTGTTTTGGAAGAGAAAATAGCTTCTAAATGGTGAAGCATAACCACTACATAAAAGGAAAGAGCTAATGGTATGTGGAGTCTTCCTTTAAGGCCGTCTTAGGAAAACATGGAGTCAGCAAACTTTCCAACTCGTCATGAATTCCACAGCTTGAGAAAGTTATGTTAATGTGCACTAGAAGATGGTAATGTTTTAGGATAATCTATCTGCTAAAACATTCCTGTGTCATCCATTAAACTTGTTACTCAGTGGGATATCTATACAATTGATGAAAGAACCAGCAGTCTCGCTGGTTTTTATTTGAACTGAAATACATTTTCTTGGTAAATTTCAGCGTTAAGATTTTATTTTCTTAAAATAAAGTTGGATTGAAGCAGAGAAGAGAAAGCATGATATAAAAGACAAAGTAAAAACAAATAGTAATACTTTTTTTGTGCTCACTATGTCTGTTCTCTGTGACTAATTATAAACTTACATTTCTGACATGAAGGAAATTTCTCCTTGCCTTGCCATTTCCCCCTTTCTCTTACGCTCCGCCTCCCTGGATGAAATTGGCAGGAACCCATATGGTTAGAGCAGAATAAGTTGCATTCATTTCCAAGTTTTTCAGCGTCTCATATCCTACACTGCAAATTGTAGAGTACTTGGTGGTCCTCAGTGTCCATGGGACTAGAGAATGGGTGGGCTGGAGGCATATTTAGTTTACCTTCATTTAATCCAAAGGCCAGCATGACTTTTGAAATTAGTACATTTCGCCATTCACACAGCCCTGACTGAGGATAACTACAGAAGTAGCTGAGGGTAAAGAGGAGAGTGGGGACATTTTACCGTTGGCACAAAACCAATTATCAGTCTGTTTTTATCCCCGTTTTGTTCCGAGATGGACTTTCATAAATGATGGAAGAACAGAATTGCCCTCCCAAGGATTTTTTAAAAATATGTACTGTAATTAAAGAAGAAGAGAAAAAGATGGCCATTTGGGCAATTGTGTAAGTTAAGGCTATGAAAGCTGTAATTTGAAAAACTACATCGGTGGTAATGCTGTTTTAAGAGGGGAAAGAAAAATTAATTGTGAAAAAATAAACCTTGACACACAAATCAGAAGATATTAATACATAAGATGGTTAATTTAGGAAATAGAGCTGAAGTAGAGTGAAATCTTAGATGACTAGGTGACTCAGATCTTTTTTTTTGTGATGGAGTCTCACTCTTTCGCTCAGGCTAGAGTGCAGTGACATGATCTTGCCTCACTGCAACCTCTGCCTCTGGGGTTCAAGCAATTCTCCTGCTTTAGCCTCCTGAGTGGCTGGGATTACAGGTACCCGCCACCACGCCTGGCTAATTTTTGTATTTTTAGTAGAGACGGGGTTTCACCATGTTGGCCGGGCTGGTCTCAAACTCCTGACCTCAGATGATTCACCCACCTCCGCCTCCCAAAGTGCTGGGATTACAGGTGTGAGCCACTGTACCCGGCCGACTTAGATGTTAAAGCAGCAGCAAAATAATCGCAGACCCTGGGATAATCTGGCATCAGTTTTGAAGAAATAAAAATATTAATACTAGTGGTGGCTAATATTAGTTGAGTGCTTACTACATACCTGGTATTGTGCTTTTTAATGTTTTATCCTATTTCTTTTTAAAAACAAACATTTAAATTAAGTGTTAGATTTTCCCCCATTTGTCAGAGAAGACAACTGAGGCATAGAGTGGTTACTTTATCTGAGCCAGGACTGGAACCCAGGTCTTTCTGACCAGAAAGTCTCTTTTATTTACCAAGCACTTCTTCCCAGATAATAGTACTATAATTCTGCAAATAAGAGCTTCCTCAGGGAACCAAAGCATAAATCCAGAAGCTTGGCTTCAGAAAAACCCAAGGAAGCTGAAAGGAACCTGTACTCCTGTCACTGCCTGTCTATAATATCCTTCATTTTTGCTCTTTCTATTCTGGGGCTTTTTATTACTGTTAACCAATTTTAAAACACCAAAAGGTGTTCTTCAAGAATTAATTAAAAAGTAATAAAGGCATTATTCCTTAATAAATATTTAATGTAATATCTTATATGGCTAGACTCAATAAAAATTAAATCTGTCTTTGAGACACTTAACTGGAAGAGGTGTCCAAATCAGTAATATGGTAGAACTTTGCCCCAGGAAGAGGGCCTCCTCCCCTAAGGAAGTTTAGAACCATAGAGAGACGTAGAAACCCCTATCTCTATGTGAATAGTGTCTTGCCTCTTATTAAGACCAACTCCATTTCATCTCTTCAAAAATGTATTTGCTGGTTTCTGCACAATGACTTCAATTTTTTTTAGCATCTCAAATATTTATACCAATTTGTCAGCAGCAAGTATCAGTGGCAGGTGGAAATAAAGTATTATTTAGGCTGAGATATCCAATTTTTACTTGCTTGGCTACTTTCTTGAAAGATGATGCTTTAGAAAATGAAATACAACATTTATCATTGTTTTGTTGACTACAAGAGATGGAGTTTGCTCTCTTTGCTGTGACCCAGTTAGTTCACATAGCAGGGCCTTTACAACCCCCATCTCCAAATCCCTCCACCGCAGCACAGGAGAAATGTTTGCAAACCATTATTTGAAAGGCAGAGCAGTGCTGTTTTTTAATGCAGCATTGTGTAATCTACCTTCTGCAAGTTACAGTTTGTTTCAAAGTAGTGGATAATAACCATTAATGTTTTTGGATTTGCATGTGGACTGCAGCATCACATGTTACTAAATATTCAGGGATGAGACGAGGAGAGAGAGTGTGTGAATGGCAGGTAGAAAACGGTAAGATGGTTAATCGAGTTTCAAAGAAATGATAGGGAAGATTGTCCATCTATATTTAGCCCCCACCATAACATTATTATTTATGGAATATTTTGAAAATGACTTTCTTCATTCATTGAACAAATATTTTTTTGAACACTTCCTACTGGACCCCTTCACACTCCCTGATTCTTAACTCAATATTTGATGGGTTATTTCATTTGAACAAATAATTCAAATCATCCTTTTGCTAAGTTTAATTTTATTAAACTGCTTAGTCTGAGACTTCCCACTTTCTGTGTTGCAAGAAGCTGTGGTCATTGACTATCTCCTGATTTTGGACTTTTCTTGCCAGTGACTTGCAGGTGACATAATGTGAGTGCTCCAGTTCTCTCACTTGGAATCTCAGAGAATATAATGTTGGTGATGAAAATCAAAGACATGTAGACTTTCTATGTGAACAACAGATTCCCCATGAATGCACTGTGAAATACATAAATTGCTATGTTAGTTTCTTTTTGTACATTGACTTTTGGTGTAAATACCCTGAGGAGGACTGACAGCCATAGCCAACTTCTCAGTGCATTGCATAAAAATAATGAAATCACTTTTGCCTCACGTTTGTTGTTGCATTAGACCTAACGGGGTAATTGATGTTGAGCTTGGCTTTTTACATATACAAGCTTGAGATGAGGCAGAACCAAGGATGTGGATTTAGTTAACCTTATTTTAAAGCAGTTACTTAACCTCTATTTTAGATCACTATGTTAAAAAGAAACAATCTTATGTGGGACAGCAAAGACAGAACAGAGAATTAATCGTTTTCTCTCTTTTTGTCTTTGATCAGTTATTCAATCAGTTGACCAATTTTTGACTTAATACACACAACTCCTAGATGCCATTGGGCTAAATAATGTTGGGTATGAAAAAAAGGAGGGCTAAGTTCTAACATATGAGGAGCAAGGTGGTGTTGGCTAGGTAAACCTAAGTCAATTTGAAAAATCCCAACTGGTGTACAAGTAAATGGTAACTCTTGTGGTTCAAAGGTCTTGAGGAATTAATTCATAGTTCTTCACTGCAAGCAGAGAAGCTGTGTCTAGTAGTTCAAGCAAAATGAATTTATTTTATCGTGTAGCTCACAGAATTACTGGGAGAACAGAAGAAAAGACCAGCATGCCTCACTCAGAACATATCTGTCAAGCAAACTGCTGTCCCCACTGCCAAACACCAGATTCTAGAGTTGGTATGACTACTAATTCTGGACCAGACACTCAACCTTGCATCCCACACAGTACCTGCTGCCATGAACAAACAGAGAGCTCTCCATTCTTTCTCTCTTGCATCACTAGCTACTGGGTCAAAGTCAAACCAGGATATAAATCTTACTGGAGGTCCCTCAGTCAATGTCAAGTAAATAAGCAATGCTAAAAAAGCAATCAGAGAGCATTGCCATTTTCTAAAGCAGGTCTTTGCTGTCCACTCAAACTAATAAACTGTGGAATTCTCCAAATATGAAAGGGGGTTCAACCACTGAGCAGCTTAAATAAGAGATAAATTGTCACATACAAATCAAAGTAAATATTTTCCTGCAAGGCTTGTTTATTCATATATACCTATATGGGACATGGTGAAGGAATTTTAGACTACATCTTTATGGTTTATTCTTTGTAAGGTTACAATTATCCAGCCAACCAGCTAATTTTGTACTTCTACTTCATCTACTTATATGAGAGGTTTTCAGATTATTTTATATTATATTTCCCTTTTCAGAGACCAAACAGGAAACTATTGGGTTGATTTCACTGTTGGGTTTATTTTTCACTGGAAAAATAAAACTTTTTTGAATATTTTCATACTTATGGAAAACATTTTGGCAGATGACAGAAAAGTTTTGTTTTCTAAAAAACTCAATATATTCTAACCAGAATAGTATTTTAAACATCTTAGATTATATTACAAATGAAGAATAATTAGAAAACTTTTAGTGAAGCAATCACTAATATTGAGTGGCATAACAGAGCATACAGAATTAAAAAAAAAGGAAATTATAGAAATTAAAAATTATGACCCACTGAAAACAGAAATATAGCTTGGAATGTGTTCTAAAACTTTCAAACAATAAAACTTCCATGTAATTCTTATATCGAACAAACTATAAAAATGCTTATGCAAGTTTGGGATTAATCTTCTACAGAGATAAGAAAAATGATTTTTAACCACTACAAACATAAGGAATAAAATACACATGCCAAAACATTTAACATTTTTACTGGTGTACTCAAAAGGAGCTACTTTATAAGTACTGAAATTATTAGTTTTTTTGCCATATGCTGATGTAACTTTATTTAGAAAAAGTAGCTCTTTGGATAGACACATTCAAGAAGCAAAATTAGTGCTGTTGGCTGAAGTTCAAAGCCACACTTTTTAGAGGGCACCACCACTGGCATCACCAACAACAGCTTCATCATGAGCAGAAGCATCATTTTCTCAGCCTTTGAAGATAAAAGACTAGTTAGCATAAGGAAGGACAGTAGGCTAGGAAGTGAGTCTATTGTCCTAAGACATATTTTATTAGTTAGCTGTCAGACTCAACTTATATCCACATAGCTGGGGCTTTATGGCCCAAGGACCAAGGAACTCCAAGGCTTGTAAAACACGTTCCAATTACCACAACGGTGCACAACTGAGTTGTTTTACTTCCTTATGCCATTTTGCGACGTTGAATAACTTTCCATATGTCTCACACCACCCCCCAACCCCGGCAGTTTGAGGATCAACTAAATGAATAGCAAACAACTAAACAAAGTATGAGAGTTGGTGAACTGAGCATTTCAAATTCCTCTATGCTTGCAAGTAGAGTCTATATTGAGTCTTTTCATCACCTGTGACCTAAGAACCAATTCCTGACAATGCGAGATGCCTGCGAGGGCACGAGAAGAAGTTCTACATCTTTCTCCATTGGTGTTTATGGTTCCATTTGCTCAGGTAAGGGCTATTTCCAGAAGAGTTCATGCTGGAAAAATACAAATGGCCAAAATAAGTGATTTTCTCACTGATCTCACAGGTTTCCAGGGATCCCCTGGTTCCTCTGTAGTGCAGTAGGAGCGAGTCTGGGGACATTTTGGTGTTTCCTGGTCTCCACTGCTGCTTCAGCTAATTCAGTGTGTCTTTTTTCTTTTACATATCAGGACATGAGTGTGATATCATTTTTTGAAAAAGGAATTCTACCATAACAAAAACAAACAAGAAAAAGCAAAAACCTTTGTGAGTCACCAGCAGAAAGAAAACTTCTGAAGGATCAACAAAGCCTAAATGATAGCACATCTGTTTACAGCATGGTTACTGAACATATTAGCCCACTGTTGAGACCTTTTGTTCAGGAAAAAAAGATTACTGTCAAAATATTACTGCTCATTGACAATGCACCTAGTCACCCAACAGCTATATAAAGGTGTGCAAGGAGAATGCACACCTTGTAAATGTTGTTTTTATGCCTGTGAACACAATATCCATTCTGCAGCCCATGGAACAAGAAGCAATTTCAACTTCCTAGACATATTTTTAAGAAATACATTTTGTAAGGCTATGGCTGTCATAAGTAGTTATTTGTCTAATGGAACTGAACCAAGTAAATTGAAAGCCTTCTGGAGAAAATTTATCATTCTAGATGCCATAAAGAATTTGTGATTTGTAGAAAGAGGTCAAAATATCAACATCAACAGGAATTTGGAAGAATTTAGTTCCAACCCTCATGCATGATCTTGAAGGGCTCAAGGCTTCCGTGGAAGAAGTCACTGTAGATGTGATCGAAATAGCAAGAGAATTAGAATTGGGAGTGGAGCCTGAAGATGGGACTGAATTGTTATAATCTCATGATCAAACTTGGATGGATGAAGAGTTGTTCTTATGGACGAGCAAAGAAAAACAATGTTGAAATGACAGCAAAGAACTTAGAATATTACATAAACCTAGTTGATAAAGCAATGTCAGGGTTTGAGAGGATAGACCCCAGTTTGGAAAGACGTTCTACTGTGGGTAAAATGCTATGAAACAACGTTGCATGCTACAGAGAAATAGTTCATGAGAAAAGGAGTCAATCAATGCAGCAAACTTCACCATTGTTTTATTATAAGAACTTACCACAGCCACCACAATCTTCAGCAACCACTACCCTGATCAGTCAGCAGCCATCAATGTGGAGGCAAGACCCTCCACCAGCAAAAATATTACAACTCACTGAAAGCTCAGATGATGGTCGGCATTTTTTTTTTAGCAATAAAGCATTTTAAAAGTAAGGTATGTACGTTGTTATTCTCAGACTTATTGCCATTGCACACTTAACGGACTACAGTACAGTGTAGGCATATAATGGACCTGTTGGAGGAAGTCTTATGAGTATGGCATGATTATTTTCCTAAATCTTTTTAATAGTGATGATTATAAGGCTATTATAAAGTAAGTGCTTTAAAAATCTCACATACTTACATATTTCGCCTGTTGAAATTCATTAGGAAGTGGTTCTGTTTCTACTTCCTTCTTGCTCCCCCTCCCAAGAGCATAACTTCCCATTTTTCCTGAATCTACATATCTGGCCAAATTGAAAGTGCTGCTCATAAAACAAATATGTATAACCAAAGTGAAATAACCTGAGTATAATAATTTTTATCTTCCACGTACATTCATTCTTTTAAACTTCCAAGTCTTATCGAATCATTTCACCTTCTTTGAGACTATTGTGATAACTGGATGGGAATTCAGATATATCCTACCATTCGTATAGACTCAATGCAGAAATCTTCTGATCAACATACTTGTCTTTCTCTTTTGGCGTCACCATCCTTTCTTCTTGTTACAGCCTTCCTTGAGGCACAGAAAGTAGATTTCTAACTTCTCAGGGAAACTTATGATCCAATGAGCTCATTCTGGGTAGTTTCTTCCCTTCAATATTACAAATTTGAAATCATTAGTCACTTTACCATGAAGAGAAGTTAGGGGTGATGATGTTAAGAGGTGAAGATTGGCCTTTATTGGGAGCTTATGTGTGTCAGGTATTTGCAGGGAACTTTATGTGTATGACCACATTTAATCCTCATGCCAAGCATCTCAGTAAGTGTACATGGAATGAATGGATGAACAATGGCACTGAAGTGTTGCCCATTTTCTGTATTAAGAAAAATAATATTTAAAGATGTGACATAACTCCTGAATTTCCAGGCAGCTTATAATTGTTCAGAGCTTGTTCTGACAACAAAAGCTTATATGAGTAACCAAATGGTTATGCTATTCCTTTTCAGTTTTAAGCTTCAAGGGAATGAATATGAATATAGAGATGCTCAGATTTACTGTGGTTGAAGAAATGAGGGGAAAGTGACTGCCCTTCTCATGGGTAAAATAATTAGATTATAGGTGAGGGTTGCTATTAAAAATTCTCTAGCAGAAGGTACCTATGGTCCCATGACTGGCTGTAGAAATTCCTCTCTACAAGGACTTTCATACCTAATCAAAAGAACGCTTTCCCTCATCTCCCAACTTTGAATTCTCTCATCGCCATTTGAGAAAGTTCAGAAGCATATGTTGCTCTTCCATCACACACCAGTAGATGGCAGCAAAAGTCCATCCTTAGCTCCTAAAAGTTTGCCTCTGAGTTCCTGCACAATGCAAAGATAAAGGCAGCTTTTAAAAATATAATAATCTACCTCCTTACCTGACACGTCGGAAGGGCTGATTTTCCAGGTCACACATGTCTTATTACTTTCGAAAATAATCATGTGGAAAGGCTTTTCATTGTGTTTGCTGTTACATTTCTGCACAGTGGTGACTGCGAAGCCAAAATCAAACTAATAGCAGGGGAAAAAAAAAAGTGACAACCCAAGAGAAGTGCATATAATTTCCGTTAAGAATGTTCCTCATGGGTTTTCAAAGAAGCTTTCATCACCAAATCTGATCAGTGAAGCAGTCTTGTTCATAAATAATTTATCAGTCTCTCTTCTCTATCTCATCCTTCCTACCAGTGAAACAAGCAAAATGCAACTTTGGGTGAATTCTCTTTTAAGAATATCTGAGGAGAAACATTTTTCACCAGTCTTCACTGTTAGAAATGTAGCTACAGCATAATGTAAACCATATACAACAAAAGAGGGTTTTTTTGTTGTTATTTAATTGGAATTTTCTTTTTGAAGGCTGTTACCCTTGGCATTTAGCATTTTACGTTAGTATTTATTTGATTTTCAGCCTGTTGCTGGCTAGTTCATCTGGGCAACATGCTTTGGATATTATGGATAATGTACAGTGATTGGCCTGAATTTAAAACAAATTGGTTTCCTGACCTGGAAGAGAGGAACCGTTAGTATAGGCACAGTGTTGCTACTGCCTAACTATTTGACAAGCAAATAACCTCTCCTAGCCTTTGTTTCATTTTTCCCTAAAATGAGGATAAGCGTAGCTTATGGAATTGTTGTGAGGATTATATAAAATTAAATGCATCAATGCAATAAACTTCTAGCTTAGTTATATGCTAAAAATTCGCTGATAACTGAATGTGAATTGAAAGAGAGGAGACTGGTGATAGCTAAGATGACTCCAGTTTTAAGTGTCTGTGATTCTGTTAGTTTCTTTCCACTCAACCCTAGAGTTACTGATATTCATCTTAAGAGGGGAAGACACTTGAAAGATGCTGAGATGAAAATGTTACGAAGGATGAGAGAATTTGCCGTGGAGAAGAGTGGTCTGATTTTTACTACTAAGAAGTGGCTTTAGTTCATCCTTGCCAAAAGTTCATCATCCATAAGTGAGCACTGTTGGAAAAGAAGGAGAAGAATGATACCATGAGGAAGAAGCAAAATATGAAAAACAAAGCCTCTGAAGGAATAAAAAAAAGATACTATCATTTTTTGCACTTGATCCATGGAAAACTGTCTAGGATCTGAAAACAAGGAAGATGGTGTTGAGGAATGCCTCAAAAATTAGGTAAAGTACAAAATAATAGAGACTCTTGCCCAAGAGTCTCTTATTTTAATTTTGCCATTTATTTTGGAACTAATTCTTGCACCAGGAAATAACATCATTTCCTTACTGACGTCAGCCTGGCAACCGACCTTCACAGGTGTGGTATTTTCTCCAGCGTTTTGGGACCATCCATCCTTTTGATGCCATAGCACTTCACAAACATCACCACACTGCAGCTTCTGAACACTCAAGTGAACAGGTGCTTTAAGTCCTAGTTTTGCTGATGAAGAAACAGAGATTCAAAGAAACTGATTTTGTCAAAGATTGCCTAATTCTGAAGTCAGGATAGGGTATCAGAGATCTAGAAGTTTCTCTTATTACCACTGCTGCCCCACTGAGGCCATAGCTAGTAATACAATTAAGAAATAAGCTGGGCATGGTGGCTCCCGCCTGTAATCCCAACACTTTGGGAGGCTGAGGTGACTGGATTACCTGAGATTGTGAGTTTGAGACCAGTGTGACCAACATGGAAAACCCCATCTCTACTAAAAATAAAAAAAAAATTTGCTGGGTGTGGTGGTGCATGCCTGTAATTCCAGCTACCTGGGAGGCTGAGGCAGGAGAACTGCTTGAACCCAGGAGGCGGAGGTTGCTGTGGGCTGAGATGGCGCCATTGCACTCCAGCCTGGGCAACAAGAGTGAAACTCCGTCTCAAAAAAAAAAAGAAATAATGGTCAAACATGAGGTTTTTGAAGGTAGAGCGACTACTTGGGTTCCAGTTTCCATTGCCATTTCCAGCCTGTGTGACTGCAGCCACGCTACTTTTCAGGAAGGAAGGACTTAATGATCACTTAATGATCACCCTGGACAAGGGTAGTTGGGTTTTTACTGCTGAGAGGTAGTTGTAGTTCACCTTTGTTTATGCAACAATGAATATTAATTAAAAATGGAATACATGATAGCTTGAAGAAGAGGAAACAATACTTTTGATAAACCAAGACCTTGATGGAAATAGAAAGGGTACTGTTACCATTGTCTGTTCTTGGGAAGTACAGAGGAAATTGCTCAGGATTTGAGCAAAAAGGAAATCAAGACCAGCTTTGGGTCAAATTCTGGGTGAAATCCTGGCTTCTAAACAACCATGTAGATGGGCCACCTCTGAGAGCTTCCTCATGTTAAAATGGAAATGGTAACAGCACATCTTTTAAGAGTTAAATTTTAAGTATAAAATGAGCTTATGCGGGGTGAAATGCTTACCACAGTGTTGTCACGTGGAAGGTGCTTGATAACATGTCAGCTCTTGCCATTACCACTGCATACCACTACTACAGTCATAGCTCCATCTATGGGAACTTGGAGTTCTTGTTAAGGGCTGAGGACTAATTTGGCCTTGAAAATTAACTTGGTCATATTTAGGGAGATCAACAGTAAACTTCCAAAATTTCAACTAAAGTGCTTTAAAAAATCCTTGCGTTGCAAGTATAGTATTATCGCTCTATCTTTATTTTGGTCTTAAATTTGAAACATATCCATGGAATATGCATACCCCGTAAATGTCTCTCTTTGCCAGTTATGGTTACAAATTGAATTTCCTGCCCCTCAAGGTAGTCCTGATAATGAAAATAAAACAATTATGATACAGGACTCTGACCTATTTTCTAGAAATGAATACCCTGTTTAAACCTGAAAAATATAATTAATTCTTTGAACAGCAGATGCTATTTTTTGATGAACTGCTAAAACTTTTGACTCAGTACTTCCTTATCTGAAAAATGTGAGGCTAGACTGGTTCCAGCTATCATTTTTTGAGCATTTATCACATGCTAGGTTCTGTGGTAAGTGTATTACATACATATCTTTATTAAACTGACAGCCACCTTTGTGAAGTACATGCTATTTCCGTTTTATAAAGGAGGATACTCAGGCTCAACATTGAAGTAAGCAGCCCAAGATCTTATTGGCCAGCAGGAAGATCCGGCACGTGGCCAGCACATGGTACAACTATGATCTGCACACAGATTTTGGGAATCTGAAGCTTGTGTTTATAACAACTTCGGAAATCTAACATTACTTTGAAGATCTCTTCTTTATGTAACATCCTGGGATTACACTTAAAAGACTCTTTATTGTAATAGGTAGAAGTGTTTTGACATGTTGCCTTCAGCTTGAGGGGGAACAAGACAATTTAGCAAAAATCAACATAGTGTATCAGGTATACATTTACACATGATCACTCAGGGGCACAGAAATATAACTTTTTAGTTTTTTATACTTAAACTCCATTTTGTTCTCAAGTTCTCTCAAGCTGTCTAGAGCAGACAACTTATTTTATGGCACTCTGGTATATTCAGTCCAAATTGGTCAAATTTGCAGTCAAATTTAGGTATTATTCTTTTAGCCACAATTCTAGTTTAAAGTGTCCTCACTGTTGAGGGGCAACTCAACGTTTCTGGCTTCTGTTATCTCCCTTATTCATCTGAATCAGTCCATTTTCAGACTGCTATTAAGAACTGCCTTAGACTGAATAATTTTTTTATTTTTAAATTTTATTATGTTTTGAGATGGAGTCTCACTCTGTCACTCAGGCTGGAGTGTAGTGGCGTGATCTCGGCTCATGGCAACCTCTGCCTCCTGGGTTCAAGCGATTTTCCTGCCTCAGCACCCCGAGTAGCTGGGATCACAGGTGTGCGCCACCACATTCGGCTAATTTTTGTATTTTTAGTAGATCTGGGGTTTTGCCATCTTGGCCAGGGTGGTCCCAAACTCCTGACCCCAGGTGA
Organism: Homo sapiens; assembly: GCF_000001405.40. NCBI lineage: Eukaryota > Metazoa > Chordata > Mammalia > Primates > Hominidae > Homo > Homo sapiens. Next base: position 81,994,586 of record NC_000014.9, read on the forward strand.
TCCTGAGACTGGGTAATTTATAAAGAAAAAGGCTTACTTGACTCACAGTTCCACGTGGCTGGGGAGGCCTCAGGAAACTTACAATCATGGTGGAAGCCAAAGGGGAAGCAAAGGCCTTCTTTATATGGCGATTAGAGAGAGACGTGCAAGCAGGGGAAATGCCAGACTGCTTATAAAGCCATCAGATCTCATGAGAACTCACTCACTATCTCAAGAATAGCATGGGAGAAACTGCTCCCATGATCCAGTCATCTCCCTCCCTCCACATGTGGGGATCACAGGTCCCCCCCGACACGTGGGGATTACAATTCCAGATGAGATTTGAGTGGCGACACAGAGCCAAACCATATCACCAGCCCTTTTCTTTCTCTTTGTTCCCATTTGGGAAGAGCTAAAACCCATAGTCATGGAGAGGAGAGGCATCTCTGGTCAGTGCAGTAGCCTCTGGATTTGTGCTAGTGTTTGTTGGCAAAGAAACTGCTCCTACTTGATTGGTGACTTGTTCTAATATTTGCTACAGACGGACAAGTTTCATGAACTCTGCACCTTCTTTGTTCTGACTATGGACATAATTCAGTGGATTTCTAGTCTCTATTTATTTATTCCTCATTGGAGTATATGAGAACTCCTGGATCTGTTGCAAGCCACAAAATGTTGGTCACTGGAGAAATGGGAGAACCATCTTTTTTTTTTTTTTTTTTTAGACGGAGTTTTGCTGTTGTCACCCAGGCTGGGGTGCAATGGCTCGATCTCAGCTCACTGCAACCTCCGCCTCCTGGGTTCAAGTGATTCTCCTGCCTCAGCCTCCTGAGTAGCTTGGATTACAGGCGTGCGCCACCATGCCTGGCAAATTTTTGTATTTTTAGTAGAGATGTGGTTTCTCCATGTTGGTCAGGCTGGTCTCGAACTCCTGACCTCAGGTGATCCACCCCACCTTGGCCTCCCAAAGTGTTGGGATTACAGGCGTGAGACACTGTCCCCTGCTGGGAGAACCATCTTAGTCCTTCTCTCTGTCTTGTTATACCACACCTTTCTTTCGCTCCACTTTGACTGCCTCAGATTGGCATGCCTCCTTGCTGTAAGTCAAAAACCAGGGAATGCAGAGCCTGTTGAATACAGAAGTAGCATTGAATCTTTGTCTTGCTCCTTCTAAATCTCTCTATTTCTCCACTTACTCTCCTTTCCCCCTTCCCATGTCTCAGGCTACAAAGAGCTTTTCCCTTTATTTATGGGGAGGAACTTTCTTTATGTCATGTCCCATTTCCTTCCTTTTCTGTAGTTACTATATAGTCACACTTTGATGCTTGCTTTGTATTACATTAAAAATCCAGCTTTCTGAGTTTTCAGGAAACCCTTTTATTTGAAGCCTTGGCTCAGAAATACTGTTTAATTATGGATATATGGAAGTTTAATTTGATAAAACAAAAATTAGGCAATGGCTCCCTTATTCTTGGCATGGAAGCAATTACAAATGCCTTGGCTATAATTTGCTGATGGGCATAGATCCTAAGGACACTTGGAAACGATTAGGAGTTCCAGATGGGGTAGAGAACTCCAGATTTGTGCTCACCTTCTACAGCACAGAGCTTTCCCTGGATGCTCAGCATACATTGATATTTTCCACTTATATACCCTTGTAAGTGTGTCCATGGGACTGGTTCTAACCAGTGAAATGTGAAAGAATTATTGTCTATCAATTCCAAGTTGACATGGTTAATACATGGGTGTGCTTTATCTGTCCGCTACCTGGATATTAACATCAGTGTTGGCCCCAGGGTTAATACTAATTAATCCTGTATTAATACTAGTTAATCCTTTGTCAGCTTGGGTTTCTGCACACCTGTATGAATTAGACAATTCTTGCCCATTCTCTTGTGCAGAGGGAAATAACTTGTATTGTGTTACCCACTGAGGTTTTTGTATTCATTTCTTGTATCAGCTAGTGCTACTTCAACTAACAATGAAGGACTGAAAAGACATTGGTATAATGTATTTAAAAAATTATTCCTGCTATAATAACAAAGTAAAATTTCCTTACAAGCAACAATAGGTCTTCAAAAAAAGAAGAAAACATTATTGCCTCCACTCTTTATTTGGACTGTGCATACCTAATATACTTTGATGCTGGGTGTAAGTCAAGGGTTGGCAAACTCTGGCCCGTGGTTGTTTTTGTATGGTCCATGGGCTAAAAATAGATTTTTACTTTTAAGCAACTGTACAAAACAAAGAAGAATATGCGGCAGAGATCATACATGGCCCTCAAAGTATAAAATACTTGCTATCTGGTCCTTTACAAAAAATGAGCCATGCCTTGGAGTAAATGGCAGGAAGGCCAATGAGCTTCATCTACATGGTATAGAGAAGACTTCTCTGAACACGAAGAATTGAATATTCTATCGTGGGTTGAACTGTGATGTTATGATTCAGGCCTTTGATATTGATAGACACTATAAAAATTGTACGCTTGACCTAGCAACGTTAGTGGAAAAATGGAAAGATTTGCTCAGTCTTCATTTCTTATGTCTGTAGGACTAACAGCAACTTGACTTGTTCATATAATTGACTGATTATTTTTGAAACTGATAGTCAATTTGGTACTATCCAGACACAGCCAGAGAGGAGAAACTGTTCGTTTTTGTTTATTTTGGATTGGTGGCTCCCTAAACCAAGACCAATGGCTCTTAAATTTATAGGGTGGATGAAACATTTTCAACACTTCAATAGGGAAAACAAATTCACTTGAGACTCGAATAACTGAAACATAGTAATGTTTTTTCCCCTCCATTTATAGCCTCGGAAAAGCTAAGCACAGTTGTCCAGAATAATCTAGATTAACCATCAGGCTTTAAATTTATTATAAATATATGATTTTTGGTAAGTTTGTAGCCAAACCTGCTCATTTTATCCCCCTGGGTCATTGATAATAATTAAGAGGCCATGCTTGTTACTTTCTATGGGGACCAAAATCAAGACTGTATTTTGATTAAGCTCATAATATGTGCCAATGAGCAGGATTTGTTTAAGTTGGCAGATTTTCATGCTTGTGTGAAATATTTTTTATTTTCCTGCCACTAATTATGTTATTATTAAGTTACATCCACTGGAGTATAATTATCTGTTGTATAATACTTTTTATACATGGGTCTCTAGAAATTTGCCACTTCAGTAGTGCTGACTGAGACTTTGCTGCACCTTCTTAATGATAGAACTTTCTCTGACACAGTTTGGCTTATCTTCTTTTCCCTAGGAACTCCTCAATAATCATTTCAAAAGAATAAAATCCTAGTCTAATATGTTTATCTTGCAGATAGGTTTTTTTTTTTAATCTGGCCCTTATGAATTCTGGGGCAATCATGACTGTAGTGGGTTCCAGGGTTGAAGAAGCCCACTCCACCATGGTAGTGGGAGACGTCACCAAGAGATGGCACTGGGAGTCCATTTTCATCTTCGTTTATATTTTGATAACTTTTAGTTTTTCCAGGGTAACAGACCAATGGAACTCTGACATAGGTTTCACAATGGCACCACCTATTTCGCCTATTCTTGTACTTCGCTATGTCTTAGATAGTTATACAGTTATACATATAGTTATACAGTTTTCTTTGTCTCTGAGACTAGGGAGCTTTTTACTAGTTCATGGGTTGAGGGGACCATTGTGTCCCCCAGGATAGCCCAATCTTGATTCCTCCTCTCTCTCATCCCCCACATTTCAGCCTAACTGCCACGATGCCAAAGGCCATGCCTGTTTTCCCCCATCATTTGATTCCCAAGAATCCAGGTTAATGTCTGGCACCTAACATATTTGCTGAAAGAAATAACAAAAGACATCTTTCCCCTCCTGTGGCTTCTGAAATCCTTCTTGAAAATGGCATTTTTCTCTCTGTGGAGCTCGTTTTATAGTTCTGGAAATTAAGTAGTTGGATTCGATCACCTTTTAGTTTTTTGGCTGCTCTAGGATTCTGTGAATTTCAATATATACCTTATGATTGATTTAGTCTACTCAGTCTGCCAACACTTATTATGCACCTACTGTGTGCCAATTAATGTTGAAACCTAGTTGAAAGGGGCCCGGCATAGTGGCTCATGTAATCCCAACACTTTGGGAGGCCGAGGCGGGCACATCACCTGAGGTCAGGAGTTCGAGACCAGCCTGGCCAAGATGGTAAAAACCCTATCTCTACTAAAAATTTAAAAATCAGCTAGGCATGGTGGCAGGTGCCTGTAATCTCAGCTACTCAGGCGGCTGAGGCAGGAGAATCGTTTGAATCCTGGAGGAGGAGGTTGCAGTGAGCCGAGATCGTGCCGTTGCACTCCAACCTGGGCGACAGAGCAAGACTCTGTCTCATAAAAAACAAAAACAACAAACAAACAAAACCCCCAAAAAAACAAAACTTAGTTGAAAGGGTTCCTGATCTCATGGAGCTTACGTTCTTATTATGAGAGGAAGAAAATTAAATGAATCACAGAAGTATTAGTAACAAATGTGTGGAAGAGAATGAAAGTTGAGCACCGTGAGTGAGAGTCGCTGGGGGTGACTTTAGATTGGGAGTTTGGAGAAGCCCTCTCTAAGGAGGTAGCATAAATGGGTTAGGTAGGGATGAGGTGAAAGAATATTCCAGGCAGAAGGAGCAGCAAAGGCAAAGGTCTCATGGCAGGAACAAGCATGGCACACTCAAAGATGGACGGCCAAGGGAGCCGGGGACTATAGAACAAATGAAAAGCTGAAACTTTGAGCAGGATTTGGAGGTGGGTGGATGGCGTCAAAGTGGAGTGGGGACAACCTAGAGATAACATTACTAATTCATCATGAAAACATTGGCAAGAGTGGTATTTGAAAAGTATTCTTGGGACAAAGGGCAAAAGGTTGAAAATTCATTCTTGACCTTAGTCCATCTTCTACATTATCAACCCCGAAAGCAGACAAACCTTGCAGAAGGTTTGGGTATTGCAAAAAATATCCTTATATAAGGGCCAGGAAATTAAAAAAAGAAAGAGAAAGTTCTACAGCATTTAATCCAAAATGGATTCACTGGGGAGGTCTTTCTTCTTGAAAGCAATTATACTTTACAACGTGTTCTTTTCCCTGGTATTTCCATTTCCCATGATGCCTGACTTCATTAAGGAAGGCAGAAAGCAGGATTTTCTGTGATGTGCTGGTAGAATTATATCTTCCGAGCTGCAACTAATTATTTTGATGAAAACAAAAAGCACAGTATAGCGCCATATGAGAAGAAGATCAATGCTTGCATACTGGCCAAACTCAACAAGGAAGAAAACAAAGAAAAAAGTAACAAAAATAAAACACATTGTTTTATTAATCACATTTTGTTTATATAAAACAATAAGCTAGGAGAAGATAACTTGGCTTAATGACAGGTCAGAATGCCATTTGAGAAAATCCTTATTGTAGCTTTGCCCATGTATTTCTCTCTCTCTGTCTCTCTCTATCTCTCTTTCTCTCTTTCTTTCTCTCTTTCTCTCTCTCTCTCTCTCTCTCTCTCTCTCTCTCTCTCTCTCTCTCTCTCTCTGTCACTCTCTATGTGTGTGTGTGTCTCCTCAGGCAAGTTATTTGCTTATTCTGTTACCATCTCAATTTCCTCAGTTTATAAAATGAGAATATGTATGTTTATTGTTATCATATCTCAAGAAATGCAGACAAAATATAGTTGTAGTTAATGAAAAATGCTGGAAAAACAAACTGCATTGTTACTGTGGTTTCTTTTCTATAATAATAATAATAAACTCAAAGTAAACCAAGCTTATCTTTGTAGGTGTGAGAAAAACTGGGCTCTAGTGTTAGCTGTTCTCTGACAAGACTGAGTGTTTGGTCAAGTCTCCTCCATTCTGGGAGTCCTACCCAGGGCAATTAGGGTTTTATCAGATCAACATTGAAGGCCTTCCCTGCTCTGAGGTTTTGTGATTTTAAATATGTTTCAATCCTTAATATTTTCACAATGTATTTTGACTGTATAAATTCAGGGACCTATGATTTATCTCCCAAATAATGTTCTGATCATTGTAAGCAAAGAAGGATAGGAAGTGATTATAAAATAAATACATGGCATCTGTTTTCAGAGAACACAAAGCCTTTGTATCTACCAAATCCTTTCCACCTCTTGTCACTTTAAGAAACAAAATTGTCGTTGGTATTAGAGGCATGATTGGTCTGTTGGAAGTTTTTGCTGCTCAAGTGTGGTCTGTGGTACAGCAACATCCACATCACCTGGGATCTTGTTAGAAGTACAGAATCTCAAGCCCTGCTGAAGACTACAGAGTCAGAATATTCAATGTTACCAGGGACCTATGTGAATCATTTGTACATTAAAATGCCTATTTTAGGCTGGGTGAGGTGGCTCACACCTGCAATCCTAGAACTTTGGGAGGTAGATGTAAGAGGATTGCTTGAGGCAAGGAATTCAAGACCAGCCTGGGCAACATAGCGAGATCTCATTTCTACAGATAAAACATAAAATAAAAAATTAGTTGGGTGTGGTGGCATGTATAGCCGTAGCTACTCAGGAGGCTCAGGCAGGGATCATTTGAGCCCAAGAATTCAAGGCTGCAGTGAGCCATGATTGTACCACTGCACTTCAGCCTAGGTGACAGAGTGAGACCCAGCCTTTAGATAAAAAAAAAGAAGTCCTATTTTAAATGAGCGATCAGTAAAGGGAGCTATTGCAAATTATTCATTCTAATCCCAAACAGAGTGACAAAGTTGTTACTACAAGAGACCCAACTCACCCCCACTGGTTGTTCTTGGTCCATGCACTGAAATTAGTTTTCTGAATCACTTATAAAATATTGAACCATCCAAGATTTGGTACTTTCCCTTTAGCTTTAGAACTGAGTCAGTAACCCATATTGCTGTTAGAAGTTACCCTTCAATCTTCAAACTGTAACTCACATTTCTGCTTGCTGAGATGAACATATTTGAAGACATGTTCATGCTGGGAAAAAACATTCACCTCAATTCCTCATCTAAAGGCTATAGAATTGATAAGCAATCTTTCTATCCATTTTTCAAAGTAAAATTCAAAATCACTTTCCTTCTCTTTTGCATGCAGTGAATGCTGAATTGTCTGTGTGAGTGTGTGTGCACGTGCATGTGTGTGTGTGTACATAAAAAAGGAAGCAGGTGAACATCAGCTTCTGTTTAACTGAAAATGTACTTATTTTTGTTCTGTGTTTTGAGTCACAATGCAGTAGTCTCACCAATGATTGTCTGGAATAGATTTTTTCCACTATTATTAGGATCTGAAATTGGATAGATGGCTTTTGTACCACAGAGGTGGTGACTTCACAATAGAAGGTAAAAATGAGCCACCTGGAATGCTGTTCTGTTGCTCATTTCAGCTGAGGTCTGCTATATGGCTCTGGAAGGTTAGATGTACTTTCAATATATCACTTGGATGCTTCTTTTTAGAGAAAAATGACCAGTGAATCTCAAAAGAATGCATGTAAGCCATGCCCTTAACTTAAGTAGAAGCAGACCAGAGACCACACAGGGCAGAAGAAAATCTTATTGGCAAGAAGTGGAAAATGTTCTGAAGTCACCAGGGTGATATTTGAATTGGACTGCAAGAGAAGTCAATAGACCTCAGAATGTGGCTTTAAGAGCTGAATATTTCTGAACTGATGCTGTACTTATTGTGAATCTAGAGACTTCATTTATAATACCACAAACTGTTCTGGTAAGACTATATAGGAAAGGAGCTCTTCAAGAAACAGAAAACCACACTGACAGATCCTTTGGGCCCAAGGCTCCAATAATAACCCAACACATTCAGCTCTTTGTCTTGAATAGGTGATCTTATGGGGAAGAAGTAAGAAGTGGGGAGAAATTCAAAACAGTTGGTTAATTATATTCATTTGGTCATGGGCTTGATGTATGTTAGAGCTTCACAATATTTTAGATTTCCTGGAAAAAACCTTGAAGATATGCTAGTTAATTCATTTATTTTACAGATTAGTCCACTAAGTCCCAATGAGTCTGAATGACAGGGAAAAGTAAGAGTTGGTAGCACATTTTGGATTAGAACTTGGGTTTTTTTGAATTTCAGGGCATTGACATTTTGCTACATGAGAAGACGTAAGCAAGGCTATTAGAGGATATAAGACATAGGAGAGGGTTAAGCCATAAAAACTTAAAGCAGACCTACAAATTACAAGAACTTGGGTTCAATTGTTCCAGACTGAAGATGTCCATTTGCCTAGCAATCAACACAATGATACAAAGGATCTGAGATTTTCTAGCCTGGTATACGTGTGTGGCAAAGGCTTCCATGACCAAGTAGAATGAATGGACATTTGCGTATTGAACTAATAAAGTGGTATTAGGGAACTCTTTCTACCTCCCAGAAGGTAGAGTGTGGTGAGGGTGCTTCCATCTCTTCAAGGATCATTCCTTTGTTCAGTAAATCGATCTTAACTGTGAGCCAGCATCTACTTTAAGTAGTAGTAATATGAAAATAAACAACACACCTCATCCACAGAAAACTTATAATTCAACAGAGTAGAGAGGTAGATAACCAATTCAGTTATTCAATGTATTCGTTGAACTCTCTGTTAGGCACTCTGTCAGGAAATGCAATAAAGAACAAGATAGACACATTCCCTAGACTCAAGGAGCATGCTATATAGCCTTGATAGCAGACATTAAAGAAATTCGCATATAATTAGTACTGTGATAAAGATTTACATCTGGATTCTGGGAGCACAGAGTAGGGGTGTGTGACACAAGTGAGGATGTTGGTCAGGGAAATGTTTTACTTAAGTTCAGTCATGAAGAGCAGTGATTGATTGAGCAGGAGATATCCCTCAGGGTTGATGGTGTCCCTAAATTGTTGGAGGCTCTTTTCATAAGCCATGGAATGCCTTTGAGAACACACGTTGATGAAGATAGACTTGCTTCCTGAGCTTGAAACAATTCCTTCCCACTAGGGCCATGGAACTTGAATGAGACAATCATTTCCTTTGATTTCTTTGGCTAGGAAGAGAATTTTTGGCCCATTCCCCAGAAGGCTGTTTTCCACATTCATCACTTTGTGTGACAGCTCAGCCATGTGATTAGCAGGTACTGACTTAAGCAGGAAACATCCTGCTGGATGTAACTGGACCAGGGGGCTTATTGTTCTGGGCTGTTTCCATTGGAATAATGGAGACCTGAGATGATTTGTTTTTGTTTCTTCTCTCAAAATGCTCCTGTCTGTGGCTTTGGGAGTCTGAGTCAGGCTCTCAAAGACTGTTAAGGTTTCTGGAGAGTCTGTGGTTGCCAAATGGAGTAATTTAACTCAGAAGATGGTTTACAGATGAAGAAACTGAAGTGTAGAGAGGTGAAGAGGAGCTATTCAAGGTGGGATGATGAATTAATAACTGAGCTGCCCAAACTCATGACTCCTGTCTCTGGAACCCAGTCTAAATTTTTTTTTTTTTTGTAACTTTAAGTTCTTGGATACATGTGCAGAACATGCAGGTTTGTTACATAGGTATACGTGTGCCATGGTGGTTTGCTGCACCCATCAACCCTTCATCTAGGTTTTAAGCCCCACATGCATTAGGTATTTGTCCTAATGCTCTCTCTCCCCTTGCTCTCCACCCACCGACAGGCCCTGGTGTGTGATGTTCCACTCTCTGTGTCCATGTATTCTCATTGTTCAACTTCCACTAAAGAGTGAGAACATGTGGTTGGTTTTCTGTCCCTGTATTAGTTTGCTGAGAATGATGGCTTCCCGCCTTCATCCATGTCCCTGCAAAGGACATGAATTCATTCTTTTTTATGGCTACATAGTATTCCGTGTTGTATATGTGGCACATTTTCTTTATCCAATCTACTATTGATGGGCATTTGGTTTGGTTTCATGTCTTTGCTATCGTAAATAGTGCTGCAATAAACATACGTGTGCATGTGTGTTTTTAGTAGAATGATTTATAATGCTTTGGGTATATACCCAGTAATGGGATTGCTGGGTCAAATGGTATTTCTGATTCGGAGGCATCACCACACTGTCTTCCACAATGGTTGAACTAATTTACACTCCCACCAACAGTGTAAAAGCGTTCCTATTTCTCCACAGCCTTGCCAGTATCTGTTGTTTCCTGACTTTTAATAATCGCCATTCTGACTGGCATGAGAGGAGCAACCCACCTGCCAGTCTTTCTCCTGGAGGTTTAACTGAGACGTAATTCTGAGTGTTTAATGCAGTTGTCTTAAAGCAAAATATAGCAGTGATAGCAGAAACTAGATATGTTTCATCTTTGTATCTTTAATCTTTAACACAGTATTGGCATGTAGTAGGGTTCTAATGTACATTTTTCAAATTGAATAAAAAAGGTATAATTTTGGTCAATGGAATTTGCAGTCTTGTCTCATTAATGCCACTATCCAGCTGTGTGATCTTAGCTTTTCTAAGCTTCTGTTCTCTCGGCAGCAAAATAACAGCATTTGTCCATTCATTCTTTCAGTGAACATTTATTGATCTATTACTAAATTTCAGGAAACATAGAAGTCTGTAGATGGTGATGAAAGAAACAGTTTCTGCTCATTGTGGCTTCCTGTATACCAAGGATGAGAGACAGTTAAAAAAGCTACTGTAATAGAAGCCTACTCATCCACCATGATGGAGACCAACAGTTACTTGATTAATAAAATGGAGTCAAAGTGAGGGATTATAAAAGTTTCCTTGAACATACTATTATTATTAATTTGTTTTTAAATTGTAAAATACACATGATATAAAATTTTCTATTTTAGCTATTATAAAATGTACAGTTCAGTGACATGAAGTATATTCCCCTTGTTGTAAAAACATCACCGCCATTCATCTCCAGGACATTTTTATCTTCCCAAACGGAGACTCTGTACCCACTGAACAATAACTCCACAATTTCCCTTTGCCCTTGGAAACCACCATTCTATTTTCGGTCTTTGTAAGTTTGATTACTTTATATGAGTGAAATTATATAATCTATAACCTTCTGTTACTGGGTTATTCCACTTAGCATAATGCCTTCAAGGTTCATCCATATAGTAGCATATGTGACATTTTCTTTCTTTTTAAGGCTGAGTAATATTCCATTGTATGTATATACCACATCTTAAAAATCTACACATCCATTGATTGACATTTAGGTTGCTTTCAACATATTATTTTAATGTAGACATTTTAATGAGGACTGCTAATTAAAGTTTTCTGTCATTATTCTTACATAATATCTCATCTAACATTTCCAGTTTTGGCTTCTTTATTGGGGAGAGAGAATCTAAGCACTTGTGAAGCCATGTGAGTACAGATGTCTAGATTTAAAATAATTTTTTCCAAGTCTTTTACATCAGTCTTGATCATAACAAATGATTGACTCATTTTTGGCAACTTGCTTTAATCTATTCTTTTATGGAAATGATTCTGTTACTTAGTCACATTTCCTTAGTTATGTACAATCTAATTAAATTATGTAATTAGAATAACAATTATCCCTGACATACAAAATTATGGAAACAAACACAATGGTTCTTGGTGGACGTAGACCTCAAATAATGGAAGCCAAAGGATACAGGTCTGTTAGAGAGCAGTCAACTAGCCAAAAGTGATCTGTACCCTGTGGGTATTAGAGTTTTTTTCAGGAAGAGTTGAAAGGACTGGTTAATCCAGTTGATTACCTTAGTGGATGTTGTTTTTAAAGAACTTCTGCTGTTAAGAAAAGTGTTGGTGCTATTAGAGGGTTATACACAGAAGGATTTGGAAGCACAGGGCTTCTAGGAACTTAGTCAAGAGATGAAGAAGCATATCCACAGGTATTCAGATTCATCTTGAAGAATGGGGAAAAATTAGCCAGACAAAATTAGGGAAGATATTCTTACTAGAAGGAATAACCAGCACAATGGTATGAAACAGCAAAAACATATGGGACACTGAAGTATTGTTTTATGATGGGAGTAAAAGCTGCACTTCTTAATTTAAAAAGAGCTTGTTATGTGTCAGGCACTGGGGGATGCAAGCTCAACAAAATAGACAAGCAATTACCCACATGAAGCTTACTGTCTAGAGGGGAAGAGAGATACTTTTCAAACACAAATGAATAGGACACTATGGAAAATGCTAGAAAAGACAAACAGAAGATGTAAATGAAAGCCTGCAATGGGACAAGCAATATATCACAAATTTCGGGGCAAGGAGCCATACACTGGCTTTGGCAAAAAATTGAAAAGGTTAGAGGTGATATTGAATATTTCAGAAAGAAAAACCCACATATGCAAAGACCATGTGACAAGAGGCATTAGGACAAGTAAGAGAGCAAGTTGGACAAGTACAGACAAGGTCCTTGTGCAATAGTAAAAACTGTAATATTGGAGCTAGGTGATTTCTAAGCCTTCAGTTCATTTCTAAACTTTATCATTCTCCAAATGTTCTATATGCCAATCAGCATATTCCTTCCTGCCTTTCTCCATCCTACAATTGTATTTCTTTCATGCTTTTAGGGATACAAGGAATGCACCTCAACTGTATGGTAGTTCCAGTGTTCTACAGGATTCTAATGACTTGTCAAAGAAAGTGAATCTCTGGTGACTTAAAAAAGACATGAGCTTTTTTTTTGTGTATGTATGGATTTTCTCTACAGCTTCACCTTGCTTAGCAGCAAGTACAAGAAGTCATTCGATACAGCTTCCTGAGTCCAGATTAGACCATTTCTACTGTCTGCTAAGTACTCTGATCCTAATTGCTTGGGTTACTCCAATGCAGCACACTCAATCCTGGAAGCAGACAAAGTAGGCTTTTCCCCCTGTTCCCCTCTTGTGTAGCTAGTATATCACACTGGATTAAATGATGACAGCTGATCATGGTTTATCCTCAGTCTATTGGTTTAGTTTCTCTTGTGGAATAGTTATACTTCGCTCACAACAATTATTTCACTCAATGTATCCTTTGTGGCCAAAACTTCCCTCTTGTTATAAAAACAGCTAATAGAAAATGACAGTGCCCACCCAAAATGATCAAAGTAAATTTCTTTGTTTCTTTTTAAAGGCAAGGTAAATATTGATTTCAAACATTCTCATGTTTACTTTGTGTGTTCTCCCAGGGGCCAAATGGGTGAGCATGATGAGGTATCATAAATCACCAATATTAATAATATTGTTTGAAAGTGTCATTATAGAAATACTACATAATGATAATGAATGCAGGGAGATTCACCTTTGGTCTACTGCCAAAATTACATTATTTCCCTTAATTTTATATGTGAAATGTGTTTTAAAATCTCTGATCCATTCTAAGATGTTGCTGCTTAAGTTATGGATTTAATTTTGAAATGGTACTTCTTGTATATCTTTGTACCAAATCAACTTAATCATATTTGAACCTTTCAGTTGCATTTCATAATCTTACATGTGTTTGCTGTAAAGCAAGAAGATGCTTCTGCTTGAATAATAATACATCCTTAGCATTCTGTAGCGCTGTGAAACTACTTCTGGTTCCCCAAATATGATAAGACTTTTTTAATGTCTCTGGTTTTGACTCCGCCCTTTTGTCTCCTTAGGATGCTCTTCTTCTCCCTTGCCTCTTAAGCACCTACTCAGCCTTTAAGACTCAGCTCAGTTGTCACCTCCACTGGAAAGACTCTATCCTTTCCTAGGCATAAGTGCATGCCGCCCCCCATCCCCTCGCCCCGCTTGCCTGCAGTCTTAGAATAACACATATGCTTTATCACTCCTTGAAGTTATTCATTCAATTGTTATGGTACTAGATTTACTGTATTAGGCATACTACAGAACTTCCTCGACAATGTTATCCACAAGTTGTGAACTCCCTAAGGCAAGAGGTTCTCTGACACTGAATAGGAACTCAGTAAATCTTTGCTGAATGTATAGATCAGTGATAATAAGTGTGGCTAACCTGTATCGAATCATTATTTTTACCTAGTGAAAGCACCGTACTCTTGCCAATTTATTTAATGCTGAGAACAATCTTGGTGCAGGTATCATTATGTGTATCTTACCTTTAAAATATCAAAGACATACCAAGGTTAATTAGTTTGCCCAAGGTCATTCAGCTACCAAGAAGGGAAGCTAATATTTGACCCCCAGTTCTGTATTCCTAAGGCCATATGAGCTGCTTCCCACTGATATGATTTATGTTGAAATCATAGAAGCAGCTGGATAGAAAAAGTTAACTATTAATTAATCATAATTAAGAATAATAACTCATCTGACTAGTACTTTACCACTTCTTTTAATATGTAGCATATTATTCAATTAAAAAGCATAATTTTATTGTATATATATATATATATAACACCTTTCCAATTTGGAGGAATTACCAATAAAATACAAATAAACAACCTTAAATTTCAACATCCAGAGATAACTTTCTTCAAGATTCTTTAAAAAATAGATATCTGGGTGCATATTTTGTTTGTTTTCTCCCTGTATATGTACGTGTGTGTATGTGTGATGCTGTTCATGTTTCTTTAATAATATAGCAAATAATATCAGTAACTTTTCTTCATGTTCACAATATTTCGTGGTATCCCATTTTGTGGTTGTGCCATAAATCATTTCTTTGGCGTTTATATTGACTCATTCACTTTGATCCCTGAGGTTTTTGTTTTCTTGTAGCATTGCACCCATTTTTTTCCCCTAGGGGGCAGTAGCTGAACCATTAGTTGTTCTACATCTGATTACTCCTCAGCTCATTTGCATGAGCCTTTTTCTCATTATAATATTATTAACACAGTCTATGCTCAGGCCACAGTTCAAACGTTGCTGGACCCTCTGCTCAATTAGGTCAAACTCCAACTGGATTACTGACCCTGTCCTCTTGGAGTCAGAGTGCAAACATTCCAAGTTTTCTTCTTTGCTTCTGCACCAGGTACTTGCTGACTTGTACATATTTCTTGGACTTTAATAACTCAACTCATTTTATTTTTTGTCAGTTAAATTGAAACCATTTTTTAATCCATAAAAAATTCTTTTGATGAATAAAGCCTCTCAAAAAATTAGGTTGTTTGCAATGATCACTTAATTTTTCCGCAATACTGTGTGGTCTGTACAGCAGATATTACCATCATCACTCATTGACAGATAAGATTATGAAGTGTCAAGCAAATCAGTGATTTAACCAGTGACATTAGATCCTAATGGCAGTTTCAGAGCCTGAGGACCCAGGACTCCTAACGCCAAATGTGAATGTCTTACCTTTAGTCACATTAGCTCCAATGGTAAGAAATACTATGAATTTCTGAGCTATAGAAAGAAAGCATGGGTATCATTTTTGTTTACTGAATTACATTATGTTCTCAGTTTCAAATTTTAACTGACTTGAGAAGTGGTTAACTGGTTATGACTAAGTACAGAAACTGATATAAATTTTTACTGTGATTCTCCTGTTAATCAGATTTCAATGACATTTCATTGCCTGCCTTCGGGATAAAGTTCAAAGTTTTTGATTTGGCATTTAAGATACTTTACTCTCTGGGTTCAGTCTATCCTTTCTCATTCCATCATTTATTACTTCTTTACAGGAATACATTGTCTCATTTAAACTTCTTTCCTCACTGTAGTCCAAATGCTTCATGGGTTATCTTTACCCTACACAGAACTTTAATGTTTAACCTTTCCCTCATTTACCTACCAATAAATGTCTTACGTAACATAGTTCACAGTTCAAGCTAATTGGCACCTCTCCCATAAAGCCTTTCCTTACCAGTCCAGCTAAAAGAGATCTCTTATTTCCTTAGAATCAGAGAGGATTTAGCATCTCTTGAATGAAATCTTTATGCTGTATTTTCTTAAATAGATTACCTGTATTTAAAATGTTTCATTTATACCTCAAAGGGATCTTACCAATAATCTCTACTTGAGAGAACTGCATTCTTAAAAAATAGTTTTGATTATTTGACTGCTAGGAAATTATAGATGTCAGGGACAACTTTAAATAAAGGGGCAAACAAATGCTTAACATGATTTTCAGAGCTCTAAGTTCATCTTCCTGTCTCAAAATATATCCTTTATCTCCAATGATGTCCGAAATGTCTTGCAGAAGTCGTGGTAGCTATTAAAGATTAAATTATTTTGGAATTTCATTTTATATTTTAGAACAAAATACTTTATGGAGAGGTTCAAGGTAGTTGATTAGATGTAGCTGGGATGCACCTCTTCCATAAAGAGGAGCCAAAACATTGAGTAAAACATACTTCAAACACATCTTTTGAGAGGGAACACTGAAATTCAATAGGGAGGTGATGGAAGACACTGTGATTGAAGAAGGAAAAAACAGGGCTGCCTACTTAACATCGCTGGGTGCCGGGACCAGCCCTCAGACCCAGACCCAGGCCCAAGGAAGGGGTAAGTGAAGGAACCCCAGGATACCACATTCCTGCTGCTGGCCCCTGGGATCCTAGCTACAAGAGAGTTCCACGACCCCCACAGACCTTTGGACTGGCAGAAGGAGCTGCCCAGAGACCATGCAGAGGCACTGCTTGAACTTGCATGAAACCCCAAAGGCTTCAGTGTTCTGGGGAGCTACAGCAAAATGCAATCCTTGGTGCCTACCCCCCAAGGCTCAGCATCCTTTCCTATGCAGCTGCAGCTGCTGCTGTCTGCAGGGCTGAGGAGTGAGCAGGGCACAGGCATGATCACAAACCCCGAAGAGAGGCTCCATCACTACTGCTGAGGGACAGAGGTGCATTTGAGTCAGATACCCCATGCCGCCTGTTCTTCCCAGGACTGCCTGCCTGGCCATTCCCACAGGGGGCCAACCCTGTAGCTGCCATTGCCCCACCTGAGTGTTTTGTTGGTGCTCTGGGAGCAGTTCACCCCTCCCTGTTACAGCCAGTGCTTGGGTTTAAGAGCCAGAAGGCAAATCTCCTGGCCTAGCCCCAGTTCTCCAGCACTTGAGCACACTGCCCAGGGGAATGGAGATGAGGTCTGTAGTCTGTCTGACTTTGAGTGGTGGGGAGGAGCCCCACTGCAACAACACAGAGAAGGATATGGCATGAATTCCTGTAGTGACATGGGAGGTGGGCACCGCTCTCTATGAGACCAGACTGGAAATGGTATGGCCTGATGCCCCTGCTTTCTGCTCCAGCGAGTCTCATGGCCCAGCATGCCTAGACCAGCTTGGCGATCTGGGTATGGACAGCTTGGGACTAGCTAGCTGTTCAAGCCTGCCACTGGGGTGGACACTGGAGGGAGACCCACTGGGTCAGGAATGTGGGAGTTGGGTGGGCCCTAAGATCACCTGCTGGGCAGAAAACCCCAGGGAGCTCCCTTTTCCCTGAGGGTTCTGTGGTGCAGGAGCGATGCTTCCACCTCACCCTGGAGGGTTGTCCCAGTGGTCTGAGAGCTGCCCTAGACCCACACCACGTTTGGTGCTTGCATCGGCTTCTGAGAGCCTGTCACAGGCTTACCGGACCCAGCTCTGTCCAGTTTTGCCCACCCCCAGCCTGAGCCACCTTGGCAGTATAGTGTGGTACATATCTCCTGGGAGCTTCATGCCCCACCCATCACCCGGGACACCCTGTTACTTCCCATGATTAACAAAGATCAAGTTAAAAATTTCACTGCCACCACTGCAACTACCTTCTGCCTGTAAGTGCCACCTATGGGCCGGGAGGTCAATTTGCACAGCCCATCACAACTTTCGACCTCGTTGTACAGAACTCAACCAGCTCTGTCCAAGTGCTACCTACTGGTCTGTAGGGTAAACTGTACAACCCAATATAATCTATTAATAATTCATGCTGACAGAAGTACACAGCACCAGGGAATGAGGTAAGCCTCCTGAGACCTCTACTTCTCCATCTCTGTAGGAGACAGTGAGCCTGATCACACACACAGTATACAACTGCTACAAGCTACAAACCATCTGCATTTGAGAAAACAATTAAATGAAGCTGTCTATAACTAAGGAATTCATACAGAACTTTGACCCCTTGAAAGCATAAAGAAGCAAAGCCAAAGAGCCCTACCCAACATACACAACAGTCATATCCTCAAGGGGGAAAAATCCCACTTATACAAAAGTAAATTCAAAAATAAGAAGTGACAGCTTCTCTAGATGGGAAGGAACCAGTGTAAGAACTCCAGCATCATGAAGAAACAAAATGTTGTGACATGCCCAAAGGACCACACTAGCTCTCTAGCAGTGGATCCTAACTAAAATAAAAATTCTGAAGTGACAGATAAAGAATTCAAATTATGAGTTGTAAGAGAGCTCAATGGGATCCAAGAGAAAGTTGAAAAGCAACAGAAAAAAAATCAGGAAAACAATTCAGGATATGAAAGATAAGATAGTTATATTTAAAAAAAATAACTTCTGAAAATAAAAAGTTCACTGAAGAGATTCGAAAACACAACTGAAAGCTTTAACAATAGACTAAACTAAGAAGAAGAAATAAATGTCAAAGCTTGAAGACTGGCCTTTCAAATTATTCCTTCAAATATGTTTTCCAAACTTCTTACTTTTTCTCCTTTTCCCTCAGGAATGCATCTAAGTCATAGGTTTAGACACTTTGCATAATTCCCTATTTCTTAAAGGCTTTGCTTATTTTTTTAAAAAAATTATTTATTCTTAATTTTTGGCAAATTCCTATGACTTGCAGGAATTTTTGAGGGAGAAGAATAAAAAGTAAGAAGCTTTTAAAACATATTTGAAAGAATAACTTAGGAAAATTTATCTGATATTACTAGAGATGTAGACATCCAGATACAAGAAACTCAGAACATTTGAAAGACACAAGATGAACATCACCAAATCATATAGCTACCAGACTATCTAACGTCAATGTGAAAAAAGTCCTAAAAGCAGCTAGACAGAAGTGTCAAATCACCCATAAAAGAAACCTATAACAATGAACATCTCAGCAGAAGCTCTACAAGTCAGAAGAGATAGCCTATTTTTAGACTTCTAAAAGAAAAAAAAAATGACAGCCAAGGATTTTATAACCTGCTAAATTAAGCTATATAAACAAAGGAGAAATAAAGTCTTACCCAGGCAAGCAAACCCTGGGGGAATTTGTCACCACTTGTTTCCTACAAGAAATGCTCAAGGGAGTTCTAAACATGGAAATAAAAGGATAATAATCATCATCATAAAAACACATGTAACTACAAAGCTACAGAGGA
The DNA here is from genome assembly GCF_000001405.40 of Homo sapiens. Lineage (NCBI taxonomy): Eukaryota > Metazoa > Chordata > Mammalia > Primates > Hominidae > Homo > Homo sapiens. The sequence goes on from NC_000014.9 coordinate 82,013,703, forward strand.
CATAAAGCAATTACACAATTGAGACTACTGACTAGTTAACAATAGTTAACAACACTATAACAGGAACAACACTTTACATATCAATATTAACCTTGAACATTAATGGCCCACATGCTCCACTTAAAAGATATAGACTGGCAGATTGGATACAAAAAAAAAAAATAAATAAAACAAGCCCCAACTATCTGCTGCCTACAAGAGACCCACCTAAGGGGTAAAGACATCTACACACTCAAATATAAGGGTCGCAAAAAGATATATCATGAAAATAGAAAACGAAACCAGCAGGAGTAGCTATTCTTATATCAGATAAAACAGATTTTAAATCAACAACAGTAAAAAAAAGACAAGGTCATTATACAATGATAAAGCGTTCAATTCAACAAGAAGATTTATCCTAAAGTAGACCTATTGTTCACCCAAGCAATCCTACTACTTGGTACCTACTGAAAGGAAAAAAAATTATGTAACAAAGACATCTGCACTCATATGTTTATTGCAGCACTATTCACATTAGCAAAGTCATGAAATCAACCTAAGTGTTCATCAATGAATTATTGGATAAAAAGTTATGTGTGTGTGTGTGTGTGTGTGTGTACACACACACCATGAAATATTATGTGGCCATGAAAAAGAATGAAATCATGTCTTTCCGAGCAACATAGATGGAAGTGGAGGCCATCATCCCGAGTGAAATAACTCAGAAACAGAAAATCAAATACTGCATGTTCTCATTTATAAGTGGGAGCCAAAGAATGGGTACACATGAACATAAAGATGAATAACACAGACACTGAGGATTGAAAAAAAGGGAGGATGTGAGAGATGGGTGAGGACTGAAAAGTAACCTGTTGGGTACAATGTTCACTATTTTAGTGATGGGTTAACTAGAAGCCCAAACCTCATCATTATGTAATATACCCATGTAACAAACCTGCACATGTACCCTTTGAATCTGAAATTAGAATAAAAAACCAAAAGCAAACAAAATACATAATAAGTCATGTATTATTTTTTTTGTGCTGCATACAAAATCCGCAAACTTAGTGGATTAAAGCTACACATTTATCACAGTTTCTGTGGATAGCTAGTCTAGGCTCAATGTGGCTGGGTCTTCTTCAAGGCTGCACTCAAGCTGTCTGCTGGGACTTGATTCTCATCCGGGAAGCATCTGATTGACTGGGAAGCATCTGATTGACTGGAAAGCAACTGATTCTTAGCTTTCACAGGTTGTTGGCAGAATTTATCTCCTTGCAGTTGTAGGATTAAAAAAAGCTTGTTTCTTCCAAGCCAGCAATGCAATGGAGAGAAACCAAAGTGAGTCTGCTAGTTAGATACAGTTTTATATAATGTAACATAATCATGGGAGTCACATTTCATCACATTAGTCATATTTTAATGATTTGAAGCAAGTTACAGGTCCTGCCCACTAAAGGGTAGAAAATTATAGTAGGGCATGAATACCAGAAGGTGGAATTCATGGGAGCTACTTTAAAAGTCTATCTATCACAGTCTTCTCTCTGGTTTACAGTGATTCCTGTTACTTCCACATGCAAAATGCGTTCACGCTATCCCAAGGTTCCCAGGAGTCTCATTTCATTAAAACATTAATTTAGAGTAAAAATAAAAGTTTTATCATATACATCAAGTTCAGGTGTGAATGAAACTCTCATGTGTACTCTGTTAATTATAGATTATAAGGCACATTGTTCTCTGTGGACCTGCATCACTACAGGGACGAGTTATCTTCCCCCAATATACCTAACATGTATGTGTGGGACAGACAGAATAACAGATATAGACATTTTAGTTCTAAAAGAGGAAAAGGGAAGGTAAGTAAGTATGAGTCACCAGTCAGTAGCAGTTCTGAAATCCCAATGGGTAAATGTCAGAAATTTGTTGATTAGGCTTGAAGGCCTGGGAATGATTCTCTGTGGTTCTAAGCTCTGCCCTCTGGGCTCTTCTTTCCATTCTCTGAGACATTCTTCTTTTTCATGAATGTTAGCATGTGTTTTCCAGCTGAATAGTTTTATCAGCCTGTTTCCTGCAAATAGAATTTTGAGAATATGACAAGATTCTTTTCATTTTTTACTTTGTCTCTTTCAGTCCAATTTGGCAGTTTGTGCTGAAATAATTTTCTCAAGAACTTTGTGGACCTCAATTGTGTTCATCCCGTTAGACAAAACAACACACAGAGGATCTTTTCAAGTTAATCTGTTATTTAATTTGGGTTCCTGTTGAGATGGCTGAGGCACTATGATGAGTGAGAGGATCTCTGAGACAGTCCTTTAATCTCTTAAAAGACCAGCCAGTATGACTGAATACTCTAAATTTTTAGCAAAAGTTCTTTCTTCAGATTTTTCTCATAACCATGCTCTCTTAATTTCAGCATTTTTTGCCGTCTGGTAAGACTGAGAATGTTCAGTATTACGTCCTGGCTCCTTTTCGTTCATCAGTTCTTCCCTCAACTTATCTCTCTCTTTTTAACCTTTTACTATAATTAGCAAGAAGAAACAAAGTGGCAACTTCGCCACTTTTTTTAAAAATTATCCTTACCTAAATATCCAAGTTCATCATGTAAAATTTCTGCTTTTCATATCACTTCAGGAGACAATTTTGTTTAGCTGTCTGCCATTACACAAATATGATCCACTTTTCTTCAGTTTTCAGTATCTTACTTTTACTTTCTTAGCCCTCACTGGCAGCATTTTTACTAACAGTCCAGGTCCAGATGTTTTACTAACAGTCTGTTCAATGCCATTTAGGCTTTCTCTATTACGCTGCTCAAAATTTTTTTAGCCTCTGCCCAATGCTCAGTTCTAAGGATACTCCCATATTTTTAGGTATTAGTTATATAAGCACCCCATTGCTGACATCAAAATCTGTATTAGTTTTCTACACTGTGTAATAAATTACCACACATTTAGAGGCTTAAACAACAACCTTTTCTATCTCACAGTTTCCATAGGTCAGGATTCTGAGCATGGCTTAGCTGTGTTCCCTGAAAGGCTGCAACCAAATTGGCAGCCAGGGAGGGTTCCCATCTGGAGATAGAGATCACAGGGACCACCTTAAAGTTTATCTGTCATGGATGGTTTAAATAATTATATGTGAAATCAATAGACAAGTAATTATCAAGCCATTAAGTAAAAATAGACAAAATATAGGTGACTATTTATTTCACCCTGCATGGCAAATGATAATGTAAACATAAGGGAATAAAAAATAGTTAATTTAAAATATGATATTTTACTATGTAAAAATGTAAACATTTCTGATTGCAAAATTGATGGAAAAATTATAAAAAATAGTGAGACCAGTGATTTTAACAGATATAATTAGCAAAATGTTAATATTATAAACATATACGAAGTTCACACAGACTGATAAAGCAGTAAATAATCAATAAAGAAATGGGAAAGAACATGAAACAAATCACAAAAGAGAAAATATAAATGGCTACCAAAATACATATAAAGATTTCACTGGCCAGGCACGGTGGCTCATGCCTGTAATCCCAGCACTTTGGGAGGCCGAGGCAGGTAGATCACAATGTCGGGAGTTCGAGACCAGCCTAACCAACATGGTGGAACCCCCATCTCTACTAAAAATACAAAAATTAGCAGGGTGTGATGGCGCGTGCCTGTAATCCTAGCTACTCGGGAGGCTAAGGCAGGAGAATTGCTTGAATCCAGGAGGCTGAAGATGCAGTGAGCCGAGATCATGCCACTGCACTCCAGCCTGGGCAACAAAGTGAGACTCTGTCTCAAAAAAAGAAGAAAAAAAAGGTTTAGCTTTGTTTGTGATTTAAAATGCTGCAGAAAGAATACTTTCAACTATCAAATAATAAAATAAGATGCAAAATGCTCAATACCAGTAAAGATATAGCAGTTGGCTCTCTCTTGCCACTGCTAAGAGTGAAAAATTTAACATTACTGTCAGGAAAGCAATGTTTATCAATCTGTTTCAGCAGCCTCAAAGTTGTACATATTGTTTTACCTCATAATTTCTCTTCTAGGAATCCATTATAATGAAATAATCAGCAATGTAGTCAAAGATTTATGCACAATAACATTTATTGAACTGCTTATAATAAGGCATTGAAAATAATCTAAACATTCATCAAGAGGGAAAATGTTGAGTAAATTACGATGTGTGTACAGTAGGGAATATTGTGCAGTCATTTAAATGATATTTAAGATGAATATTTAATGATGTGGAAAATGCTTAGTTAGGTAAGAAAAGGCAGGATATAAAATTGCCTATAATGTGGAACTAATATGTCAAATAATTTATTATTAGGAGAAATGCAGAAAGCTGTTAACTTTGGTTTTCTTTGGGGTTTTGACTTGTCCCTGTCACACAATTGTTCTCAATAAAGAGCTAATTGCCTTAATTTAGAACCTTCACAAAGTTTCTCATACTATGCATGCTTCTTCACTTTCCTTGTTTTTTTGAAACAGAAAATTATTGTTGAAGAAGCACATTAGCCTGAAATGACCTTAATCAAAGATGGTTTGGGTTGTTACAGAAGTCACTTTACAAAATTTGTGGAAATGGAGAAAAAAGTGACTTCAGGATTAGTTTATTATTGGACAAATGACCTTAAAATTTACTGTAGAATGCCGTAGTAAACAGTACACAAATATAAAGACCATTTTAAAAACAATAGGGTAAGTAAGGTTTTGTGTGTTGTTTTTGTGCTTGCATTGTGAGTGTATTATCTATGATAGAAAGAAGAAAACAAAATATCCTAATTTCATGAATGGGCACTTTTAGCTTGGAACAAAATATCTAGTGAGCACTGCGTGTATTTTGAAATGTCTTACTTGAAATAACTCGGTAGAAGTGAAATGATATGTTCCAGGATACTCTGTTAGATAAGTATGTGAAGGGTTTAGATAAAATTGTTGCAAGGAATGTAAGACAGAAAAAATAGCATTTTCTATCTTCTATGTAATATGTGATTTAAATATGCACACATAATTAAACTAAGACTAAATATTATAGGTATACATTTGACCATTCACTTTATACTACAACTAAGTGAATTTTAGCTTGGCTAAAATAACAATAAAATCATCCAAAATTTGTATTGATCTTCCCATTGTGAAAATTAGCCAATGTGAATTGCCTAATGTTCAGGGTCACTTTGTATTTGACACATACTGTTTTATATTTTGTATTTTTTTTTTTCTGCAAAGAGCAGAATGCCAAAAGAGTCAGCAGGAGTTTTTAGTTTATAATTTGAAAGAAAACTTAAAATTGCCAACACCTTTGGACAGGAAAAACATCCTTAATTTTACTCTAAATTAAAATTAACATCTCAAATTCTTTCTACATAGGTGGTTTGGAACTATGTTTAAGAGGCACAGAAATTTCAGGAAGCCTAAAGTGAGGGAGAAAGAAGAGGAGGGGAAAATATGTAGAGTGGGTCTGCTGTGAATGCTGAAGATAAAGTTTTCATTTTTTACAATTGTTTTATGCTATTCTCATATGGAAAACTGGTGTGCCTTTTTTCTTCTTAACATTATAACCTAACACTCAGGACCTTTGTTTCCTATGCTAATGTTCACAAAGAACTGAAGAGAACTTCTTTCTCCAGAAATGGTAATGTAGACTTATTGAGTACATTCAGTCATTGATCTAGAGAGGGAAGTCAGCCCATTGAATTAACTGGGATCATGATGGTAGCCTCTGTGTGGGGACCTGCTCCTTACTGGGTAATGAGCCCTAGTTACAAAGTTAACACAGCATGATGGTCCTAGCCCAGCTTATCTGAAAACTGGTCATATAAAGATACTGATTTCCTTCTAGGTGTATTTGTATGAAGTGATGTGTACGTGGATTTTTGTTATGCTTTGTATTTTGATTGGTGGAGGAAGAAGCCAAAGTTGCATGGCCAAGCCCAACATCAATGGAATGGGTAAATATTCTCCTCCCATGCACAAGGTAGCTGGGCTTACTCTTTTGTGCTTATTCTAGGGAGGATACTTCTCTCACTTAGGTAGTCAATTTTTTTTTTTTTTTTTTTTTTTTTGAGATGGAGTCTCACTCTGTCGCCAGGCTGGGGTGCAGTGGCGCAGTCTTGGCTCACTGCAACCTTCGCCTCTGGGGTTCATGCCATTCTCCTGCCTCAGCCTCCTGAGTAGCTGGGACTACATGTGCCCACCACCACGCCCGGCTAATTTTTTGTATTTTTAGTAGAGACAGGGTTTCACCGTGTTAGCCAGGATGGTCTTGATCTCCTGACCTTGTGATCCACCCGCCTGGGCCTCCCAAAGTCCTGGGATTACAGGCGTGAGCCACCGCGCCCGGCCTAGGTAGTCAAATTTTTTAACAACCAACTACTACAACTTAGAGTCAGACTAGGAATGTGAAGACAAATGAGCAAATAGAGGATTCCATGCTTTCCCCCTAATTCTAGCCCCAAGAGCCTAGGCCTGGCCTTAATCAAAATAAAATAGCTACAGTTGGAAGCAGAAGGGATATTTTTGAGTCTCTGGACTTAAATTTCAGGGTTCAAAATACATATGATAAAAGACAACACAGAGAGTGGTATCACATATTTTGATCCAATTCTCATTTTTTGTGTTCTCCTGATTTTTCTCTCTGCTTTACAATAAATTTAAAAAGATAAATTTTTACCTTGAGGAATTATATTATACTGAGTACTTCATAAAAACTTTGTCAGCCCTAAACAATTAAAAAAATGCCTCTCCTCAGCTTTCATTTTTCCTCCCTCCCATCAAAGAAACAGGAGTTAGGCATAGCATGCTGTTCTTCCTATTAAACTGCCAACTTTTGGTTAAAAAGCAGATGAAGACTTCCATCAGGCTGCTAATCTTTTTTCTTGAGTTATTTATACCTTGAACAAGTTCCACATAATAAATTATCTATTATGCCTTCACTGTGGGCTTGAATTTTATTATTCTCATTGAGATGTCATTTTTAGAGCTCTTCATTCATTTAAATTTTTTTTTTAAAAATTGCATAAAAGCCTAGGCTTTGCTAATTAATTATAGAAATATCTTTCAAAATTATATTAAAAATAATGGCACTTATAGCTTATATTTACCAAAATATATGCCCTATGTATAAGGGATAACAAAGCAGATACTTTCAAAGTCTTCAAAGTCAATTGATGTGTCTATGAACTTTTGATGGTCATTGCATACTATATATTAAATATTTTACATATGAATTTAGCTGTTAGGAAAAAAATATCTAGAAGTAGATCTATAATCTATTTTCTCCCTTTACTGAGTGGTGGTCCAGGAAAGAAAGAATGATCATCCGGTCAAATCCTTTTTGAAACATGCTAATTACAGATCTCCTGGCAAACATATGTGGTATTTACTAGATGAAGAATCCTTATTTATGGAATGCTTTTAGAATGTTGTACCTGATCTGCTTAGGATAAACTATGATAATCAAACCTAGACTCTATTAATTCATGAAGAGTAGCTTTGTGAAAAATGTGTAAAATATATAACAATGAGGATACAAAACGGAAATGCGTCAGGACCAAACAAACTCCCTTTTCTGTAAGTTATGTTTCTACAAGCATCTCTTGGAGACTATTTGTTATATGGGAACTACAGTGGGTCCTTATGTGCATGCATGGAAGAAAGAAGATTTTTTTCTTTCCACCTGTACCTTGTGATTACTTATATCCTGTATTAGTCCATTTTCACACTCCTATAAAGTGTGATTTACCCAGTCATTCTAGTTCAGGATCAAGGGTGATCAGGCCGCCCTTGAGCCTGAAGTAGAATGATTGGGTAAATAATTATCTGACTTGATTTTCTATTAATCTTTCTTAAATGTATGCATAGCTCTCATTTATTTCAATGTTTAATATTAGAAGTGTTTTAGTCTTTATGTAGAGGTTTGGTAGGCTGGGTGCAGTGACTCACACCTCTAATCCTAGCACTTTGGGAGGCTGAAGTGGGCAGATCACTTGAGGTCAGGAGTTTGAGACCAGCCTGGCCAACATGGTGAAAATCTGTCTCTACTAAATGAGCCAGGCATAGTGGCATATTCTGTGATCCCAGCTACATGGGAGGCTGAGGCAGGAGAATCACTTGAACCCAGGAGGCGGAGTTTGCAGTGAGCCAAGATCACTCCACTGCATTTCAGCCTGGGTGACAGAGTGAGACTCCATCTCAAAAAAAAAAAAAAAAACAAAAAAAATAAAACAAATACTACCTGAGACTGGGTAATTTATAAACAAAGGACGTTTAATTGACTCGCAGTTCCACATGGTTGGGGAGGCCTCGGGAAACTTACAGTCATGGCAGAAGTGGAAGCAGGCACCTTCTTCACAAGGCAACAGGAGAGAGGGTGAGTATGTGTGATCAAGGAAGTGTCACACTTTAAAACCATCAGCTCTTGTGAGAACTCTTTCACTATCATGAGAACAGCATGGGGGAAACCACCCCCAGGATGCAATCACCCCCACTTGGTCCCTCCCCTGACAGGTGAGGATTACAACTGAAGATGAGATTTGGGTGGGGACACAGAGCCAAACCATATTATGTCTTTAAAATTGTTAATACAGGTTGACAGTCGGAAAGATCCCTGATTCTTCTAAGTCTGATTGGACATTCTAATTCTTTGTGCTGTTTCAGATGCAGACGTACTTTAATGTTGGTAAAGGATAGGGAAAATTGGCTTAAGTGCCACCCTGAATAGTTATACAGATTTTTCGTTTTACTCAGAGTCTTTAAAGGTGGGAAGCTATAGTCTACTGCTGAAAATTCTTAACTATTAAGTTATCAGACACTGATGAGGAGTCTAGAGGTTGGCACAAAATAGTTCTTTACTTTTATCCTTGTTTAAATTTTGGTTCATATGAAGGCAGGCGCTGAGACACAAGGTAGAATGTTGGGAAGTGAAAGGGACTCCTGTAGGAAGTGGGGAAGTGATTAAATACAGTGGAAGCAGTCAATAAATGGTGTGCTATTAAGTCAGCTACAATGTGGGTGATTAGGGATAAACTCCATGGGAAAGCTCTGGGAAATGATGCCAATCACATAGAATTATTTCATCTGAGGACTAAAGTAGCTGTAGCATCTGTACACTGAAACTCTAGGGTCCTCGGATAAGCATTACTGTCAGGGGGTACTATTTTCCTGGAACTTCTGTTCTGTTATCCTTGGACAGCATGGTCTTCTGTATAGCCCTTCAGGTACACAGAAGTATACACTAGAGGTTAGGAGTCTCTGGAGCATCTAAAACTCCCTCTGAGGGACAAGAGCACCAACAGGATTTGCTCCATCACACAGATCATCTCTTTGACTATATCTTCTTCATCTGGTTGGTCAAAAGGGTGTCTCTGCATTCATTCATTCAACAGATAGTTATTTATTTATATTGGAAGTATGGCAGGGATACAGAGAGAAATACACAATAAATAAATATATAATATAATGCAAAATGATGACATGCGTTACTAAAAGAAAATAAAGTAGTGTGGGGGAGGTTAAAAAATGGCCCCCAAAGATTTTACATTTGAATCCCTGGAACCAGCACATGTTACCTTATTTGGAAAGAGGGTTCTTGGCTGTTGTGGAAACAATAAGTTAAGGATTTTGAGATGAGATTGTTCTGGATTATCTGAGTAAGTCCTAAATGCCATCACAAGTGTTTTTGTAAGAGAGAGACAGAGGGGGATTTCACAGACAGAACAAGAGAAGGCAACATGAAGACAGAAACAGATATTAGAGTGATAAGGCCAGAGGCTGGAAGACAAGTAATGGATTTTCCTCCAGAGCCTCTGGAGGGAGCATAGCCCTGCCGACACCTTGATTTAATTTGATTTGATATGTATTTTGTGTATCATTATTATTATTATTAATTATTATTATTTATTTTTCCTTTATTTCTTCTTTAAAAAATGTGATATGGCTGGGCACGGTGGCTCATGCCTGTAATCCCAGCACTTTGGGAGGCTAAGGCTGCTGAATCACCTGAGGTTAGGAGTTCGAGACCGGTCTGGCCAAAGTGGTGAAACCCTGTCTCTACTAAAATTACAAAAATTAGCCAGGCGTGGTGGCAGGCACTTGTAAGCTCAGCCACTTGGGAGGCTGAGGCAGGAGAATTGCTTGAACCTGGGAGGCAGAGGTTGCAGTGAGCCAAGACCACAGCATTGCACTCCAGCCTGGGTGAGAAGAGCGAAACTCCATCTCAGAGAAAAAAAAATGGGTTACATGTGCAGAAGGTGCATGTTTGCTAATAGGTATACGTGTGCCATGGTGGTTTGCTGTACCTATTGACCCGTCCTCTAAGTTCCCTTCCCTCAACCCCACCCCTCAACAAGTCCTGATGTGTGTCATTCCCATCTCTGTGTCCATGTGTTCTCATTGTTCAACTCCCACTTATGAGTGATAACATGCTGTGTTTGTTTTTCTGTTGCTGTGTTAGTTTGCTGAGGATGATGGCTTCCAGCTTCATCCATGTCCCTGCAAAGGACATGATCTCATTCTTTTTTATGGCTGTATAGTACTCCATGGTGTATATGTACTACATTTTCTTTATCCAGTCTATCATTGATGGGCATTTGCTTTGGTTCCATGTCTTTGTTATTGTAAATAGTGCTGCAATAAACATGCATGTGCATGTGTCTTTAGAGTAGTATGATTTATATTCCTTTGGCTATATACCCAGTAATGGAATTGCTGGGTCAAATAGTATTTTTGGTTCTAGATCCTTGAGGAATCGCCATACTGTCTTCCACAATGGTTGAACTCATTTACATTCACACCAACAGTGTAAAAGCATTCCTGTTTCTCCACATCCTCACCAGAATCTATTGTTTCATGACTTTTTAATAATCACCATTCTGATTGGCGTGAGATGGTATCTCACTGTGGTTTTGATTTGCATTTCTCTGCTGATCAGTGATGTTGAGCTTTTTTTTCGTACGTTTGTTGGCTGTGTAGCTGTCTTCTTTTGAGAAATGTCTGTTCATATCCTTTGCCCACTTTTTGATGGGGTTGTTTGTTTTATCTTGTAAATTTGCTTAAGTTCCTTGTAAATTCTGGAAATTTGATCTTTGTCAGATAGGTAGATTGCAAAAATTTTCTCCCATTCTGTAGATTGCCTGTTCATTCTGATGACAGTTTGTTTTGCTGTGCAGAGCTCTTTAGTTTAATTAGATCCCATTTGTCAGTTTTGGCTTTTGTTGCAATTGCTTTTGGCTTTTTTTGTCATTAAGTCTTTGCCTGTGTCTATGTCCTGAATGGTATTGCCTATGTTTTCTTCTAGGGCTTTTATGGTTTTGGGTTTTACATTTAAGTCTTTAATCTATCTTGAGTTAATTTTTGTATAAAGTGTAAGGAAAGGGTCCGGTTTCAGTTTTTTGCATATGGCTAGCCAGTTTTCTCCGCACTATTTGCTGAATAGGAGATCTTTTCCCCATTGCTTGTTTTTGTCAGGTGTGTTGAAGATCAGATGGTTGTAGATGTGTGCTGTTATTTCTGAGGTCTTTGTTCTGCTCCATTAGTCTATATGTCTGTTTTATTTTTGTACCAGTACCATGCTGTTATGGTGCTGGTCACCCCTCCCCCAGGGAGTTCAGCAGGCTTAAGCAGATTCCAGCTGAGAAGCTGTTGAGAAACTGTCCATTCCAGGGTTGGGATGCTAGGCCCTAGTGGCATGGGTTTGCGAGTGGGATCTTCTGATCCATGGGTTGCACAGTTCCTTGGAAAAAGCATGGTTTCCCTGGCTGGGTAGCATGCTCACTCACCATCTCACTTGGCGAGGGGGAGGGGGTTCCCCTGCCCTGTGTGGTTCTCAGGTGGGCTAATGCGCCACACTGTTCTTCCTTCTGTCTGTGGGTCATGCCAGCCTCCTAGTGAGTTCTGATGAGAGAACCTGGAAGCCTTGGCTGCCAGTGAAGGATTCACATGCTTATTATGTTTTTTTTCGATGGGAGTCTCTGAGCACCACTATTTCTAGTTGGCTATCTTGGCTCTGCCCTGACACCTGGATTTTAGATCAGTTAAACAGAGTTCAGATTTCTGACTCCAGTCATTTACTCTCTTCTCTGCTTTCTGTATTAGCTCCCAGTAGCTGCTGTAATAAATTCCCATAAACTTAGTGATTTAAAACAACATAAATATATTCTCTCACCATTCTGGAAGTCAGAAATCTGAGTGCTAAGGGACAATGTATCTCACAAGTGGACATTTGAGCAAATATTTGAATGAATGTAAGGGAATCAGTCATCTAAGGGAAGGGGTCTCCAGGTAGAGGGGTAGCAGACACAAAGATCCTTGGGTGGGAGGGAACTTGGTGTGCCTGAAGAACTGCAGGAAGGTCAGAGTGGCAGGAGCTGAGGGAGCTAGGATGAGAGTGGCCAGAGATGAGGCAGGCTAGGGAGGGGGGCCCAGATCATGTTAGGACCTTGCAGGACTTAGAATTTTATTCTTCACGGGGTGGAAAACAATAGGGGGATGTTGAGAGGAAGAGTGACTCCAAATGACAACATTTCAAAGCCCTCAGTCCCACCAAAACGCCCTCTCACTTAGTCCATCAGTCAGTTGGTTTCACCTAATTTTTCCCCTCAGTGGAATTGGAGGAACTGCTTCACATCCTTTCAGGTCCTTGAAGGAAGAAAGTGAGTGGATATTCCCCCTGGTCCACTCCTAGAATGAGTGATCTGTAAGCAGACACAAGTTTCCTTCAAGTAAAATTACTGTCTTCTTTCAGCTTGACTCTTGTGCATCCAGAGTGGGTATGAGTCCTGCCCCAGATCAATGAGAGAATGAGGTGATAGATGGGCATGTAGGGATTAAACAGACAACCATCCATACCTGTATCCCTGATTTAACTCTTGGCATAAGCTGCAATATGTGACCGTGTGTCTTTTCCTAGGCATGTCTGGTGTCTTAAAATACCTCATAAGGTCAACAGTCATGTCTCTGTGCATGTGACGTTCCTCACAGTACCTAATGCATTGCTGCATTAATTTGTTTTCATGCTGCTGATAAAGACGTATGTGAGACTGGGCAATTTACAAAAGAAAGAGGTTTAATGGACTTATAGTTCCACATGACTGGGGAATCCTCACAATCATGGCAGAAGGCAAGGAGGAGCAAGTCAAGTATCACATGGATGGCAGCAGGCAAAGAGATAGCTTGTGTAGGGAAACTCCCATTTTTAAAACCGTTAGATCTTGTGAAACTTATTCACTGTCACAGGAACAGAATGGGAAAGACTTGCTCCCCTGACTCTGTTACCTCCCAGTGAGTTCCCTCCACAACACATGGGAATTCAAGATGAGATTTGAGTAAGGACACAGCCAAATCATATCATTTCACCCCAGCCCCTCCCAAATCTAACGTCCTCACATTTCAAAATGAATCATATCTTCCCAGTAATCCCTTAGAGTCTTAACTCATTTCAGCATTAACTCAAAAGTCCAAAATGTAAAGTCTCATCAGAGACAAGAAAAGTCTTTTCTGCCTATGAGCCTGTAAAATCAAAGGCAAGTTAGTTACCTCCTAGATACAATGGGGGTACAGGCATTGGGTAGATACAGCTATTCCAAATGGGAGAAATTGGCCAAAACAAAGGGGCTTCAGGCCCCATGCAAGTCTGAAAACCAGCAGGGCAGTCAAACCTTAAAGCTCCAAAATAATTTCCTTTGACTCCATGTCTCACATGCAGGCCACACTGATGCAAGAGGTGGGTTCTCATGGTCTTGGGCAGCTCCAACTTTCTGGCTTTGCAGGATATAGCCCTACTCCTGTCTTCTTTCATGGGCTGGCCTTGAGTATCTGCCGCTTTTCCAGGCACACAGTGCAAGCTGTCAGGGTTCTACCATTCTGGGGTCTAGAAGATGATGTCCCTCTTCTCACATCTCCACCAGGCACTGCCCCAGTAGGGACTCTGTGTGGGGGCTCCAACCCCACATTTCCCTTCAGCACTGCCGTGGCAGAGGTTCTTCATGAGGGCCCCACCTCTGCAGCAAACTTCTGCCTGGGCATCCAGGCATTTCCATATATCCTCTGAAATATAGGCAGAGATTCCCAAGCCTCAGTTCTTGACTTCTGTGCACCCTCAGGCTCAACACCATGTGGAAACTGTTGAGGCTTGGGGCTTCCACTCTCTGAAACAACAGCCCAAGCTCTACATTAGCCCCTTTCAGCCATAGCTGGAGTGGCTGGGATGCAGGGCACCAAGTCCCTAGGCTGCACACAGCAGAGGGACCCTGGGCCCAGCCCATGAAATCATTTTTTTCTCCTAGGTCTTGGGGCCTGTGAAGGGAGGGGCTGCCACAAACGTCTCTGATATGCCCTAGAGACATAATCACCCATTGTCTTGGTGATTAACATTTGGCTTCTTGTTACCTATGCAAATTTCTGCAGCTAGTCTTAATTTCTCCTCAAAGAGTAGGATTTTCTTTTATATCACATTGTCAGGCTGCAAATTTTCCAAACTTTTATGCTCTGCTTCCCTTATAAAACTGAATGCCTTTAACAGAACCCAAATTACCTCCTGAATGCTTGCTGCTTAGAAATATCTTCCACCAGATACCCTAAATCATCTCTCTCAAGTTCAAAGTTTCACAGGTCTCTAGGGCAGGGCCAAAATGCTGCCAGTCACTTTGCTAAAACATAACAAGAGTCGCCTTTGCTCCAGTTCTTAACAGGTTCCCCATTTCCATCTGAGACCACCTCAGCCTGGATTTTATTGTACATATCATTATCAGCATTTTGGTCAAAGCCATTCAAGAAGTCTCTAGAGAGTTCCAAACTTCCCCAAATTTGCATGTCTTCTTCTGAGCCCTCCAAACTATTTCAATCTCTGCCTGTTACCCAGTTCCAAAGTTCCTTCCACATTTTCAGGTATCTTTTCAGCAGCACCCCACTTTACTGGCACCAATTTACTCTATTGGTTCATTTTTACACTGCTAATAAAGACATACCTGAGACTGAGCAATTTAAAAAAGAAAGAGGTTTAATGGACTTACAGTTCCACATGGCTGGGGAAGCCTCACAATCGTGGTGGAAGGGAAGGAGGAGCAAGTCATGTCTTAAATGGATGGCAGTAGGCAAAGAGAAGAGAGCTCGTGCAGGGAAACTCCCATTTTTAAAACCATCAGATCTCGTGAGACCCATTCACTATCATGAGAACAGCATGGGAAAGACTTGCCCCCATGATTCAATTAGCTCCCACTGGGTTCCTCCCACAACACATGAGAATTCAAGATGAGATTTGGATGGGGACACAGCCAAACCATATCAACTGCCTTATATAGATTAAGTGTTCAATACAAATTTATTGAGCAATGTGTGGTTGATCAGAATTTGATGGGTAGAGAGCAAAAAATGACTGAGCTATGAGGTGGAATGAATCCAACCCATTGCTTCCTGCTTCCTCCTCTTAGATTCCCTTTCACAGATTCAGATCATAGGAATTGGCTGCATACCAGATATCAGTGTTGAAAACTGAACACCCACCTTTCTCTCTTCCACATATATTCTCATGAGAGAGTTCTGTGGGTGCCTTTCAGAGGCAGCTGCGGGGGTAGCCTTTTCAGTTTGAGTACCAGAGCTGACTCATTAGCACTGGAAAGTCTTAGAGTTATGCTAGAATTACCTTCTCCTCTCCACCCACCTCTTCCCACCCAATACCTTAATAAAGAAGAACATTTAGATCTAGATTATTTTAAAATATATATTTTTGGTGTTATGAACACTGAAGTCAGAATCTTAATGGCTGGATAATTTTAATTCACTTATCCATTATCTATTTCAACCCAAAAAGGTTTTGAAGTAGTATTATATGTATCTGCATATTGTAAAGGAGGAAAATACAAATGCTAGGTTGTTTAGTACAGATTAGAATGTAATAAGTGTGCGAATTGAAGAATCACAGTGGGATGGAGAAATCAGGAAATCTTTCTCAGAGCCAATTAATCTATTACGACATTCATATCGGTTTATTAATATCCCTGGAGTTATTTTTCTTTGGTTTTCTACTGAGTTGCTCTAACACTGATGATATAATGGGAAGGTCCACACTTAACTAATATTCAAAGTTTTCTTCATGTTTATCTCCAAAGAGTGAGAGAAAAAAGAGAGTCCTCTAAAGGGTAAGAGTGTTACATCGTGCTTTGGTAAGAAGCCTAGCTATTTCATAGAGCACATTTTTTTAGGATATTATAACAGAAATAGAGAATGACCTTCGGAAGGAGAATCAGAGTTACTCAGGAAGAAAACAAAATCAGGAAAATGGAAGAAACTTCAAATAAAAGGCAAACTTTTGAAAGACTCATGCTATGAAAATAAATGATTATGGTCAAACCAGCTCAAAGCTTTGCTTTTCATTTTGGAGATCTGCAGGGACAGACCTTAGAGTTCATTAAATTTATCCCCTTCATTTTACAGATGACAAAGCTGGGGCCCAGAGAGGTGAAGTGATTTTTTTTGTGGTCACACAGCCAGTGTGGTATGGAACTACAACTGCATTTCATTTTGTCTGACCTTTGGTCCTGGGCCTTTTCATACTACTTCTCATTGCTGCCTCTAGCCAATGCCAGTTTGGGAAGGAGGCATCCAGGTGCCTGAGCAGCAACATGCACTTGCAGGGAAGAGGATAGATGCAGAATACACTGGAGGGCTGAAGACACAAGGAACAATGGCAAAAACTCTACAGAGAGTGTGACAAACTTTGATATGGTCCTGGAATAAAGCAACACCAGGGATTTACTACAGTGAACAGGGCAATGGAGGAACTGTAAGAACAAGTATATTAGATGACGGGGCCAGGTGCGGTGGCGTGCGCCTGTAATCCCAGCACTTTGGGAGGCTGAGGCAGGTCGATCACCTGAGGTCAGGAGTTCGAGACCAGCCTGGCCAACATGGTGAAACCCTGTCTCTACTAAAAGTACAAAAATTAGCTGGCATGGTGGTGCACGCCTGTAATCCCAGCTACTCGGGAGGCTGAGGCAGAAGAATCTCTTGAATCTGGGAGGCAGAGGTTACAGTGATCCGAGATTGCGCCACTATACTCCAGCCTGGGCGACAAAGCAAGACTCCATCTCAAAAAACAACAACAACAACAACAACAACAACAACAAAAAAAAAAGACGGAGTCTGAGATTTGAGATCCTCATTTTACAAAACGCAGTCTCTAGTTGTGAGTTGAGGTAAGAAGATTCATACCCAGAGAAAGGCTCTGGGAAGAACAAAGTAGCATGTCAGAGCATATCAGAACTTCAGCAGTTTAAGGTTAGGACAAGGCCAACTCCAAATCCAGGATGCAACTCAGATGTCTAGTATGGAAAATTTCTATACCCACATTTTATCTGATAGATAAAGATTGATACTTGGAAACAAGATGAATAATCAGGATTTGTCTCTTTTATATGGGTTACCATGAATTCAGCAATCTTCCCATACTAGTCTGTAGGTGTAGTTGAGCCAAATATTATTTCTTTCCCTTGTCAGGAATGACTACTTAAAAAGAGGAGGGGAACATGCAGATTGAAGACCTCTTGAATTTAACTGACAGAGACTGTGGACAATTAATGTTGGCATCCTAGGCATTTGCATATTGTATGAGCCAGGATACATTTGACTACAAGTACAGATCACCTGGTTAAAATCAGCTCAGATCATATGGATGCTTATTTTTTACTTAACAAGAAATCTGATGGTAGGCAGTCCAAGGGTTGTTTTGTTGACTCAAATGCAATTACCTAATTTTGCCACTGTACTATTCTTAATATCTTGACGGTGACTCCTCCCTTAGTTGCAACATGGTGGCTGCAGCTCCAAGCATTAATCTTTATGTGACAGAATTCTAAACTAGGTATAGGAGTAAAAGGGAGAAAGGGCTTTCTCTGAGTGTTTCTCTCATCATCAAAGAAAAATAAATATATATTTTTTCAAATTAAAAAATAAAAAGCTTCTCTTGGGGAATTTTCATTGCATTTCATTTTCCAGAACTGGGTCATGTGACATACCTTGACCAATTACTAGCTGTCAACAGATTTGCCATAATTTACTTACGCCAACTACAGTTTTCACTTCTGCAGATGCTGCAGATGTAGTGACTCCAGTGACCCATGTTGCCTGCGTGGCAGGGGACTGTGGATCAAAATTCATCTCCTACAGCTAGACATACTTTCACTTGAGCAAGATTTGTTTCTCTGAGTATGGAAAATTGAAAAGAAAGCCAACAGTCAGCCACACTTGTTAACTGACTTTAACATTTCTGTCAGATTGTGAGTCAGATTCAACTAGAGAGAGTGCCTGATATAAACCAAATTTCCATATATATATTTTGAGATGGAGTCTCGCTTTGTCACCCATGCTGGAGTGCAGTGGCATGATCTCAGCTCACTGCAACCTCCGCCTCCCGGGTTCAAGTGATTCTCCTGCCTCAGCCTCCCAAGTAGCTGGGATTACAGGCACCCGCCACCATGCCCAGCTAATTTTTGTCTTTTTAGTAGAGATGGGGGTTTCACCATGTTGGCCAGGCTGGTCTTGAACTCCTGACCTCAGGTAATCCACCCGCCTCGGCCTCCCAAAGTTCTGGGATTATAGGCATGAGCCACCATGCCTGGCCCATATTGTTTTACCTAAGCACATTGTGACATGAGAAATAAAACCTTCAAAGTCCATTTTTTAAATACCCATCTGAAATTTCAGAGGTCACCCCTTTGATTTATTACAATAATAAAATGATGAATTAAATATGTTAAAGAGTAAAAGCATATAATTGGATTGTTTGTAACACACCGGGTAAGTGCTTGAGGGGATGGATACCCCATTCTCCATGATGTGATTATTAGGCATTGCATGCCTATATGAAAATATCTCATATATCCCATAAATATATACACCTACTCTGTCCCCACAAAAAACTAAAAATGAAAAATTTAAAAAGTAAAAATTTGAAAAATTAAACAAAACAATAAGAACAAAAATTATCATATATCTTTTTTTCTCTAACCCAAGTTGAATAGTCAAGTATATGAGGCTGGAAATCATCCCAGGTTCCCTTTTCTACTCATATTCTTTCTTAACACACTTTTCTAGCATTTTACTCAGATCCTAGTTTAAGAACATAAACCTTTTCATGGATAAAAATGTAGTTCAGTTATTTTTAAGTATATATATTTGATAATATTTAAAATTAACGACAGTGTTTTTAATATATTTCACCAACGGAAGGTCGAGGATTGAATAGCTGGGTTGCACAGTGACTGCTTGTGGCGCAGTCGATGTTACATAGTCACCAAACCCAGTAGATGAACTGTATTCCTCAGACTTCCTGCCTGATGGGTGAGATCATGTGACCGAGTTCTAGCCAATAAAACAGCTGTGGGTGTAAAATATACTACTTTCGGGCCTGGACCAAAGAAAATTCTCTATTGCTATGACTTGAATCGTGTAGGGTGTGTTCTTAATCCAGTGTGACTGGTGTCCTTATTGGATTAAGGACACCAGTCACATGTTGCTATGTAACAGAGGAAACAAATACTTGAAGTGCTGCAGCTGCAAGACAATGAATGCCTGGGACTACCAGAAGCTAGAAGAGTCTAGGAGGAATCCTCTCCCAGAGGATTAGGCAAGAGCATGACCCTGACAATACTTTGATTTCAACTCCCCATGCCCAGAACTGTGAGAGAGGACATTTCTATTCTTTTCAGACACTAAAGTTTGTGATACATTTTTACAGGAGCCATAGCAAACTAATACACTACATTCTATGCCCTCTCTCATTTATCTCACCAGTTGGACAAATGCAAATATCCAGTAGAAAATGGAATGGCAGAGCTACTTGTTGGAAGTAGCTTGGATTTCAAGTAACTGCATGAACCAGGGACTATACCATATCTTCCTGTATTTGTCAGTGGTATGAAACACAAACAACCTTTGTTTTGTTAAGTCCTGAATTAGGAACTTGCCTGTAATCTCAAGCCTCTTTGATTGAATATATCATAAAGCCTGGCCTGTAAAAGTTGTGAAATTAGTGGCAATCACAATGCAGATTATTTTGGAGTTTTCACCTCTGGAGATGCTGCGGATGCAATGAATCAAATAATCCAACATATTGCCTGCATGTTAGGAGGCTGTGGATCAATACGGGTTCACCTTTTCATCTCAGGTCTAGTGATCAGGACTGTAGAGGCCACATTGTTCTGCCTCATAAATTTACGACCCATGTGAAATAACATGAGTGACAGTAAGGACAAGGAGATTGGCTGTAACTTGGGAGGGTAAAACTACCCTTTCATCTCCTTTAGTACTATTGTCAAAGTATTCAGTTTTCTTTGATAGTGTTGGTACTTTTTCTGAAATTATAACACAAGGAGAAAGGGGAAATTACTATTTATAGCTGAACAATTAAGTTTCTGTAAATACAACCCATGGATGTATGTAATTGCACAAACCCTCTTCATCTTATGACATCTAGGGAAGATTTTGGAAGTCAAATATTCACTTTAACATCTTTAGCTATTTGTGCTTGGAAAGGCAAAAGAGTAGACTATTAAAGGAAAACACGCCCAATTTAGCGAGATGCAACCAGCAGGGAATATAATCTCACCTGGATTTAGCACTCTGTATTTGAGACCCTCATTGAACACTAACTAGTTAGCTGCATGAATTGCTGGGAATTTGCCCAGACCCTGTGGTCTCCCTTCTGTCATCTGTTGACAGAGAGATTGGAGGGCTTTTTCAAGGTGTTTGGAGAAGCCAAAGCTTTCCAGATGTTTCCTCAGAGCCTAACTCAAGAAGCTTCCACTAGAGTTGTCCTGCCTTTATGTGTTTCACACACCGTTTCAGGAGAAAACAAACAAACAAATAAACCGAATGTAAAATGGTGCAGTTGCTTTGGAAAACAGTTTGGCATTCCAGAAAAAGTTAAACATAGCAATAGAATTTCTTACCATATGACCTATTAATTTTACTTGTAGGTGTATACCCCCCAAAACTGAAAACAGGGACTTAGATACTTGTGTGTTTATTGCTGCATTATTCCCAATTGCCAAAAGGTAGAAACAACTCAAGTGTCCATCAACAGATAAAATAATAAGCAAAACTGAGGTATATACATACAGTGCAATACTACACAGACGTAAGAAAGGATGAAACTGATACATGCTACAGCATGGATAAATCTTGAAAACATTATGATAATTTAAAAAAGATGGATATTGTTATTATTACACTTATATACAGAGACAAAGTAGATTAGAAGTTGTTAGAAGATGGTGGGGAGGATAAATGGTGAGTTATTGCTTAATGTGTACAAAGTATCTAGAATTATAGAAAAGTTTTGGAAATAGTGATAATTGTACAACATCACAAATGTTATTTATATTACTAAATTTTATTAATAATTGTTGAAATGGCAAGCTTTATGTTCTATTTTACCACAATAAAAATAATTAAAAATGAAAAAATATTTTTGGAATTGAAAATCAAACAAGTGGATCTTAAATGTTCTCATCACAAAGAAATGATAAGTATTTGAGGTGATAGATATCTTAATTAGCCAAATTTAATCATTCCACAATACACATGTGTATCAAAGCATCTGATTGTGCCCTATACATAGATAGAATATTTGTCAATTAAAAACAAAATAGAACGTGAAAAAAATAATAAAAAATATCCTTTGACCAAAGTGTTCCATGTCAACAAAAATTTGGGGACTGAATGTATCATGCCCAACAACCAATACAACTTTTTCCTTGAAGATCAGGACAGAATCTTTTTATAGGATTGCCTCACTCTTCCAGAGTTCATATTTCCTTAGACATAGAGATAATTCTGCCAGATGAAGCAACTTGATTTCCATCAGCTCTGGCTCTCAGAAGGAGAGCTGTGTAATGATGACAGTTTGGAGCCAACAATGGTTGCCTGGGCAGCTCTGGCATTGTGCCGTGAGTTGAGTTAGTAACTCCATCAGTAACGGTTTCAAGGCTAAATGCTTTAGAGAGAACACATGGCTCTAGGTTCAAATTAGAGCGTTGTTGTGGTGTCCCTGAATATTGGAGGGTCAGTAGGGGAAGCCAAGAGACACTTTGAGGCTTTCTTTCTTCCTTCCTATTTAAGTAAATAGGGTTCCTGAGGGTTGTCAGGAGGAGGACTTTTGAGTGTTTTATGCAATGGTTGATGCTGCTACATATTTTATTAGAAATTATCCTTACCTACAAAGTGCCTGACAATAGTGATTATTCTATATAATCTTCAAAGAAGTACATGTTCCTTTATCTTTTTCTCAGTGTATGGTCAACATGTGTGATGGTTGACTGAGCCTCTAACTGGGTAATGTGGAATATGTTTTTCCCCTCCACACCCCTTCTTTTTGCCTTATGTTCAGGATCTATCCATTGACATAGGCTGATGAAGAAGGTTTCTTTAATGAGATTAGCCAGAACTGTCGACAGTCAGAAAAACCTTATATTGTTTTTTTTGGGCTTTCCCATATGATGGAGCCCCACCATTAACGAAGTCTCTTTTCATTGTTTTTTTTTTTTTTTGGTCTTAGAGAAGAGAAACGTTTAGGGACATACTTGAAGAATTATCAATATACATTCCTATATTCATTGAGAACAACATTTGCATAGTATTAACATTTTACCATTTGCCAGTTATAAAACAACACATAGCAAGGTGAAATGGCTATTTATCTTTTCTTCTTATATTTTGTGAAGCAATGTGAATATGCAATTATATGAGAATGCATCTTATTTATGTTAAACCATTGGCAATAAAGAAAGTAATTGGCAGCAGAGCTCTCTTTAAGGCAATGTTCAGCCATAAATGCCTGGGAAAGAATTTACAAAATGTTAAAGTAAATTTTTAACATTCCACTTTTATTAAGAGATGCCCCATCAGGGTGAGTGTGCCCTTTTCTTTGCTCTGCTAAATTCAGCATATATCATTAAAGATTATTCTAAATCCCCAAGAAGTACCAGGCCCCATTTATAAAAGACAGGACTTATGTTTCCAAATAGCCATCATCAAAGAATTTTGTAGCAACATCATAGTGAATTTGACTGGCCAATCTTAGATGCATATATATATAGTCTGAATAAAATCAGCCTTTCAATGCTCAAATCCTTTCAACATTGCATCTCTGTCACCCCAGTGACTGAGCCTCAAAACTTGCTGGAGGTAGAGCAGACATCAGAGAAATAAAGTAGGTGGCATATTGAATTACATGTGCATGCCAGCTGGATTATTTTTCCTTAGGAAAGATGAAACCAACAGCAAAGGTGAGGTCATTTTTTATTAGGATGATATTAATAACAATTAGAAAATTTTTAGTACCTATTGCTTAGGAGAAACCTCCTAGAGCTATCTGCTTTAAAATTCAAATATGATCCTACATGGTAACTACTGTGAAGGAAAAATGTACATTGTTCTGCATCAGTAAATTGGGGAGAAACTACATATTCTAAAGGTTTTCCTGAGAAACAAACATTGAAGCAAAAATCTGAAAATGAATATCCACTAGAAGAATGGAGAAAAGGATGTTCCTGGTAGGTGATGGGGATATACAAAAATCCTGAGGTAGGAAATAATTCGGGCTATTCAAAAAGCAGAGAGCAGGCCACGGTGGCTAAAGATTAGTATAGGATGAGGAGTATGACTTCAGAGAAGCAGGCAAGGGCTAGGTCATGAAGGTCGTATCTCTGAACCCCTCATGGGAATGAGTTGTTTATGTTGATTATTGCACAGATGTTATCTATGTTCTCTACCATGTTGAGTGAGTGAGATAGGACACCAAGCTCCACCCCCTTTTTAAAGACAAGTTTTCACTCTATAACCCAGGCTGGAGTGCAACGGCATGATCTTGGCTCATTACAACCTCCTGGGTTCTGGGTTCAAGCCATCCTCCTCCTGCCATCTTAGCCTCCCAAGTAGTAGGGACTACAGGCATGCATCACTATACCTGGCTAACTTTTGTATTTTTTTTGTAGAGATGGAGTCTCACCATGTTGGAACTTCTGGACACAAGCAATCCACCACCCTTGGCCTCCTAAAGTGCTGGGATTACAGGCATGAACCACCATACCTGGTCAAGCTTATAAAATCAACATAATTTGAATATTGATTGGACAGGGAGATAAAAGAAGAGAGAAATTAAATATGAATCCCAGATTTCTGGTTAAAGAGTGAGTGGTGGCCAGGCATGGTGGCTCGTGCCTGTTATCCCAGCACTTTGCGAGAACAAGTATATTAAATGACGGGGCTGGTTGCGGTGGCTCACACCTGTAATCTCAGAACTTTGGGAGGCCGAGGCAGGTGAATCACCTGAGGTCAGGAGTTCAAGATCAGCCTGGCCAATATGGTGAAACTCTGTCTCTACTTAAAATAAAAAAAAATTAGCCAGGTGTGGTGGTGGGCACCTGTAGTCCCTTGGATTACAGGCACCTGTAATCAGCTACTCGGGAGGCTGAGGCAGGAGAATCACTTGAACTCTGGAGGCAGAGGTTGCAGTCAGTGGAGATCGTGCCACTGCACTCCAACCTGGGCGACAGAGTGAGACTCTGTCTCAAATAAATAAATAAATAAATAAATAAATAAATAAATAAATAAATAGATAAATAGATAAATACAGAGTGAGTGGTTTGATAATTCCATTTACTAGGCATTGTAGAGATTTAAAATTTCCTCCTGTGTTTGGAAATGTTTACATTCTGAATAAGTCACACTAAAGTGGACACTAGAATTTGTTTACACAACTTTCTGTATTGCTAAGTTACATGACAGGAGACCTTTTTCCCCAAGAGGAGGACAATGAAGACAAAGCATATGCAAGATCAATCTTTGGGTTCAGGTAGTGGTGGACAGGTTGAATTCTTCAGGAG
Organism: Homo sapiens; assembly: GCF_000001405.40. Lineage (NCBI taxonomy): Eukaryota > Metazoa > Chordata > Mammalia > Primates > Hominidae > Homo > Homo sapiens. Next base: position 82,038,556 of record NC_000014.9, read on the forward strand.
AAGAAGTCACAGGATGTTTGGCTTCCAATGTGGAGTGTCTTCATTTGAGCTAAAGTGTTGCAGCCAAGCAGCAGAAGCCATAGTGCTTTTGCTAGAACAACTCTAATGGGATATGACCGGGTCTAATTCTTAGCTACATAACTTCCGGTTTTATTGCTACAATCTTTAATTTCTGTTCAACAAATCTTGCTCCCCTGCCAGTCTTTATTTTCCAGTGTAGTCAGTCATCATTTTAAGCTTTAAATCTGATTGTATTGCTCCCCTATCAAATCTCGCTGGTGGCATTTCTTTCTGGCCTAAGTCAAAACTCCTAAGGAATTTATTTTCTAGTTCTACTATAATAAATTATCACAAATGTAATGGCTTAAAACAAAAGAAACGTATTTTCTCACAGTTCTGGAGGCTAGAAGTCTGTAATCAAGGTGTCAGCTTGGCTATGCTTCCTCCCAAGCCCCGAGGGAAGGGTCTTTGCTTGTTTCTTCCCACTTCTGGTAGCCCCAGGTGCTCTTTGGCTTGTGGCAGCCTAAGTTTTGGATCTTGTTGGAGGCTTCTAGTATTTAATCAGTAAATACTCTTTAAACACAAGTTCCTGATGGGGAAATATATTGTAGTTGGATGAAGACTGTATGTCGCAGGACCCTTCCACAACCTTGTCTGTCTAGGAATGACCTTGGATAATAGTCCTGTGATAATCTCTTATTGGTAAACTGTGTCCTCTAACAACTTAATGAAAATGCAATTCCATAGTACCCTTTTAGATTGTGTCCATGTCTCTTGATTTATTAAAGCTGTTTTATAACTTAATTTTACACTAGTCATTACAATGATAATTAATTGATTACTTCCTAGTATTATAATCATTATTAGTTTCTAGTAACATCAAGGCTTCAAATACAAAATATAAAATCAGTGGTTCATGCAACCTCCCTAGATTTACTGACTGTTTAGATGGACTCCTTAGAATTCAGGACTAAGAGTTCTGATTTCCACTCTATATTCTATGTCAGTGCCCCTCTCAATTACACTGAAAGAGTAAGTCTTGGTATTCTTCAAGAGGCAGCTGGTACAAAAGTATTTTATATTCATCCTTGGATCCTGTTTCTGTATTTATGGATGAATATGAATATGTCTGCTTGGGAGATTCGAAAATGTATGTGAAAAACACCAATTTAACATTAGTATCTCATTCTCTGAATACTCCTGCCCCTTCTGCTAGCTTTTTGGTTCTTGAAAGAAATGTGCCTTAATGGTTTTATTTTTAAGCTCCTCTTATTGTATGTATAGGTTGTGTGAAGAATTAAAAGGAAAGAAGAGATGAAAGTTTATTAGAGAAAATCTTTCATCTAATTTTTTGCTAAATTAATTTAGGGAGCACTTGAATGCCAGCATTGCTTATGTAATAAAACATATAGTAACAAGAAGATGCTCTTTAGTGGCATAAATTGTCATAAGAAACTTCTAAATGTCAACATCCCACATAATACTTACCACCATAATGCTGATCTTGACACAATGCAATTCATGTAATCAATTTCAATGTCTGTCCATCCTCCACCTCAATACACCAATAAATACATGCACACACATACACATAATTGGAGTTACAGGAGTGTGGGAATCACTATTTGCTGCTGTTTATCCATTTGCGTATTTAGCTTAAACTGCATAGGGACACTGGGTGAACTTTAAGAAGTGGAATCCCTCCCCATTGCTCCTACACTGAATATTTTCATTTTCCTGTCTGTCTCCAGGCGTTATGTGATTCTGCAGAGTGTGTGTCAAAGAATTTGGGGCTCGATTAGTTTGAATGGAAAAAATTTACATCTTGGATAAAGCAAATGTGGTATAGAAGTGCAGTGGAATATTAGCCGTAAAAATAAAGGAAATTCTGCAACAGTATGGATGAACCTAGAAGATATTAAGTACAATAAACCAGTCACAGAAGGGCAACTACTGCATGATTCCATTTATATGAGATATTTAAATAGTCAAACTCATGGAAATGAAGAATAAATTGGTGGTTGCAAGGGAGTCAGGAAGAGGGAAAGGGAAAATTATTTTTCAACAGGTATAAAGTTTCTGTTATGCAAGATGAATAAGTTCTAGATCTGTTGTACAATGTAGTATTTGTAGTCAACAATATGATATTGTGCATTTTAAAATATATGAGGATAGATCTCATGTTGTGTTCTAATCAAAAAACAAACAAACAAGCTCATACGCACAAAAGAACACAGGAGATTTTTGAAGGTGATAGAAATGGTGATACCCTGATTGTGGTGTTGGCATCATAGCTATGTATTCATGTCCAAACTCATCAAGGTGTATACGATAAATATGTACAACTTTCGTATAACGATTATGCTTCACCAAACTAAAAGAACACCAGAAATATTTCTTACTACGATTGTCTCATATATCTGAAAGATGTTTTTGAAATTGTGGCAGTTACTCCAGCAAGATCTTATCATTTAGTGTGTGATATAGAAGATGCATATATTATTTCATAAAATTTGTTTCTTTATAATAATGTTGTTAACTCATTTGGTTTCCTTTGTCATCAGTTGCCTATTATGCATTTAAAAATATTCTGGCTAGGCTCAGTGGCTCATGCCTGTAATACCAACATTTTGGGAGGCCGAGATGGGCAGATCACTTGAGCTTGGGAGTTTGAGACCAGCCTAGGAAACATGGTGAAGCCCTGTCTCTACTAAAAATGCAAAAAATTAGCCAGGCATGGTGGCATGTGCCTGTAGTCCCAGCTATTCAGGAGGCTGAGGTGGGAGGATTGCTTGAGCCCGGGAGGTCAAGGCTGCAGTAAGCTGAGATCATGCCACTGCATTCCATCCTGGGCAATGGAAGTGAGACTTTGTCTTAAAAAAAAAAAAAAAAAAAAAAAAAAAGTCATTCTGTTGCCAGAATGACAAAGGGATCCATGGAACAAAATATCTAAGAATTTCTGCTGTAAGTCATGTAAGCTGTGATTTTTGTTTCTTTCATCTTATCTGAGAGGCATTTACCTTGTGCTTTGACAAGTTCCAACACAGTAAATCAAAGGCTACAATAACCTGGGCCATTTGCTGTGGTCACAAGCAGATGATACAGCTCTGTAAGTCCTAGGATAAAATCTCCTTCATTCTCCCTTACTCCCAAGATCATCCTCAGCTCAAAACTCTTTTCTGGCTTTTAGTTGCCTGCACATTAACTCTTTCTCTTATTTCACACTTGTCGCAGAGCCATTTACCTTTTAGGCAGTATGAAAATCTGTGTTTAAGTCCTGGCTCTTTCACTTGCTAGCATTATGCTAGTAAGTTACTTAACCACTCTGTGCCTCAGCTTCCTCAACTGCATGATTATATTCTTCCATTGGTTGGTGGTGATGATTAAATGACTTAATATATGTAAAGCCATTAGATGGATATCTGGCAAATAGAAACTGCCATATGAATGTTTGCTATGAATGTCTGCTACTACTCTTAGATGACTGTGTCCATGAGTCTTGTAACCATGTAACAGGTCACTATAATTTTTAAAGTTACAGTGCTGTTTAAAAAGGAAGCCCTATATTATGGGCTGCCTGAGTTCATCTTCGCCTTGTGCTGTTTTATTCCAGCTGCTGCTAAAGCAACCAGCAATCTGTGGGCTCATCTCATGCTTCAAACCTCTCATTTCCTGCACTGGGCTTTCTTGATGTAGAGGATTGGAGACGCTGTACATTTACATGTACATCTTAGTGCCCAATCCAGAAGCACGAGGGAGTTAATGTCCTAAGGGAGGGTGGTCAATGCATATATTTTTCACGTTTCCTTGTTTCTTGGAGAAGATGAAGTTCTTTCTTTCCAGAGCTGTACGTACCTCTTCTAGATTGGAGTTTGTCTTCATTACCCCCTTTGTATTTGCTAGCACCATCTTCAGAAGGCACTTAGAATGCCTGATCTGATGACATTGCCTTAGATCAAGAAACCCACTGGATGGCAAAGAAGAAGGATATACTAGCTATTGTGTATGGCATTATCCAGAATTGGCTGAAAAACATAATGATGGATTGTCTGTTAAAGACTTGGCTAGAGTACAAGGTCAAGGCTAACAAGTGTGGATTTGGGATGCTGACCTCCAAAGTGTAGCACAGGAGCTGAAACAATGACCAATATAAAATGCTGTGCCCCCAATACCTGGAATATATGGATTCAAGAACCAAGGGAGAGTAAAATTGGTCCATCTCACCCTAACTCTAAAGGATCCATTTGAACTGAAGATTTGTGCTTCCCATCCCACAACATAAGCCTCTGTACCAATAGTTTCCAGTTCCCAGAAAGAAACACTTCCATCAGGAGACAGTAAATAATTTAAACACTGCACTTTAAACCATGATTGTCGTTTAGTTTCTTCAGCTTTTTTATACTAATGGATCAGCAAGCAAAGAAAGAAGCTAATGAACTAGTAATGTCATCAGCCTTGATTACCATGAAAAACTAGGGTTGCTACCAGATAACGGGGGTGAGGGAGAAGTATGTCTGAAACCTGGGGATTAATTTGGGTATCCTTTCCTTCTTCCATGCCCAGTGATGGCAAACAGGCAATCACAGAAACCATGGCCCACCAAAGGCCAGGCAACTACAGGCTCAACTCCCTATGCAAACTCTTATGCTAGAAAAATGTTGTTCATAAATAATTTAAAATGTTGAAAAAAGAGGAAGAATTAAATAAAGGAAAAAGTGAAACAAAAATGAAGCAAAGCAGAAAGGGTTAGAGCACCTTTAAAAAACTGTGAGAATCTATAGCACTTGATTCTGGGGATGAACTTAGTGCACACTCTTTTTAGTAACTACATGTTCTTACCATGTTTACAGAATGACTGTGGATTTTCTGTCAGTGGTAGGTTGGTACTAGATCAATGCTGGTATTTTTGTTTCATTTGCACTTCTGTGCTGGTTTCCTGCAGTGAGTTGTGTGGAGGTGGGTCCAGAATAATTGTTTCATTGGTGTTTGTTTATTCATTCACTGAGTGTTTTATTTCCATCTATACCAAGTGGGTTGGGAGCTCGAAAGAAGAAAAAAAGAACAATTGTTCATAACATAAATTCATGTTAAGAACCACTGATAAACAACTTAATTATCTAGTAATTCCACGAATCCTGAATTTTAAATTGATTCCTCAGGGGTATATTGAAGGGTTCCCTATTAGTCAGCCTGCTTTTTTAACAGTCATTTTTAAGGTTTTCATTTTCTTTTAAAAACTCTATTTCATATAAGCCATATTTATATTAACATTTGAATAAATGTTGGTGTACAAGAACAGAGTTTTCATATACCTTGTGAAATAAAATGTTCATACAATTATATAATCTTCTGTTCATCATGTGAATAGGGTAAAGAATGTAGGTATAAATTCCAATTCTACAACTTTCTAATGAAATAACATGGGCAGGTCCTTTCTATAAGATTTGTTTTTTTATCTGTAAACAAGAGAATGCTTCTACTAAGAAGAAAAAAAGAATAAAAGATTGAACATGCAGAGAATATATGCACTTGGGCAAGTTACGAGCCTCGTTGTGATTTGGCTTTCTGACCTGTGAAACATGGGTAGTAGTATCTACTTTGTAGAGTTGTCATGAGGGCTAAATTAATTAATTATGTGAAGCACTGGTAGCTGCACCTGGCATGGAGTAAGGTGTTTATTATGGGCCAAGCACTGTGCCAGCCACTTCACATATAGCATGTCATCTATTTGTCTCCCACACACCAGGTACTGTCAGTCTAGAAGGAAGAAGCTGAGGCAAAATTAATATAAGCAGAGAATGTATCTGAACCCAACTTGAGGATTGCAAACCAGAAGGAAGAATAGATTCAAGTTGCCCTGAATATTTACTCTGATTAGCAACAGCTACCAGTGAATTTTTAAAGGCAGTGAAAAAGGGGACAGGGAGTGGGTTGATACAAAGTTGTTTTTCAGGAATTCTCATTGGTTTACAGAAATAACATTGATTAGTGATTGGCTATCCATTGTTAAGCTGTAGAGTGTGAGTTAAAGTGTCTGGTATGGCATTATTAGGTTGATCTATAACTACCAGCAGCAATAGAATGCAGTTTCAATAGATGAATACATAGTTCAAAGGGGAGAGTAGGATATGATTGCAGTCTCATTTTATTGTCTCTCTGGGCCTGATAATTAAAACGACTTGTATTCCTCAGATAAAAGTTCTTTTCTCATTACTATTATTGTCATCCCATTTTATAGTTGAAGAAACTGAGTCCTAAGAAGATTGTTATTTGGTTAAGTTTGTAGAGACAATAAAAGGCAAAATCAGATTTGCAACCCAGACATTCTGGCTCCTATTCTATTCTATTCTATTCTATTCTATTCTATTCTATTCTATTCTATTCTATTCTATTCTATTCTGCCTCTCTAATGAGCACTTGCCAAAATCCTGCAAATATTCTAAGAATCCTATAAGATAATGAATGCAAAAATATTTGGTGTATTGTAAACTGAAACACAAATGTTAAGAAATTAAAAGTTAAACAGAAAATTGTGTCATTTTGTACTTACTACTTACAAATTGTCCAGTTTAATTTTTAGTTGGCCATTGGCAATCCAATGTTGCATGAAATTTACATCACATATTTTGAAACTTAACTGTTTTCTTACTTTGAGAACTTATCTTACTTTGATTTTTTATGTTACTTTGTTCTTTTTCTAATTCTAAAAGCGGTTTCAGACTCCAGTCAAACACAGTTCTGTATTGAATAAGATTCTGCATCAATAAGGAGAAGTGTCACAGGTAAGGAAACTGAGGTAGTTCAATGCTATTGACCAGAAAGTTGGCAGGAGGTGAAAGAAATATGTCAATGTGTTTAGGGCTCTTCTCAGACAAAAGGTATCCTAGGGCCCCTGAAACAAGAACCCATCTCCAGTGCTGAATGGTTGAGTTTATTTATCTACTTTGCACCTGGTTATATGCCAGGAAAATGTTCAGCTAACAGACTTGTGAAATATTCCAGTGTGTTGAAGGCACAGCCTTCTAATTCCTTACTGGTTACAAATGTACCTCACCTATGTTTTCTCAGACCATTAAAAATAAAAGTTGAGTCTAAGTGTATTCACATGTAACGTGGTGGTACTTATAGAACCTATCTTATAGGTTTGTTGTAGGTATTGAATGAATATAAGAAAAGCAATTAACACAATGTCTGATACCTAGTCATTGCTCAATAAATAATAATTATCATTATCTATCTCAGTGAGGCTTCTGCACCCTGAGAAATCTCCTTGTTATTTCTGGAAGTGACCAGGTCATGTCTCATGTGTGCTCACAAAGAAGTCATAGTATGAGCTCATGGTTTTCGGCTTTCTCTTCCCCTGGTTTGGAACCTGCCTCTGGAGCCTTCAGTGTCTGCTGGGCTGTGGGTGCCCCCTCCCCACTGCCACCTCAACTGTGGTTCCTGGTATTGGTTCTGAAGTATGCCATGAAGCCATGATTCCATGGCAGTTCTGCGGAGTCTCTGGTGTCTTAATGTGGCAGCACCTTCCTCCTTTAAGCCTGCCCTGATTCTGGGGTCCCAGTGTCTGGCAGCAAGTTGACTGCCTCATTTCTCAACATTTTACAATTAGACATAGATCTTTCAAGTTGTATGCTGACAATCTTCCCTATTTAGATCTGGCTCAGTCCATGGGGGATGCTCTTTAAGACAAATTTGGATAATATTCTGTCCTCAATTTTGGTCCTCTCCTTGCCTGCCAGACTTTGTCTTTTCTTAAAATGACTGCTTTCAGGGATAACTTGTCCATTACTCCTGAAAAAAATAAAGACCTTTAATGGGCCACTCTCACATAGCCTCTAGATGTTTCTTAATGTCATTAGTAAGCAGTGCTTAGTATCAAACTGAACTATGCCCCAAACACACAAGGAACATTTATACTAGCAAATAAAGAAACAGTATTAAGTATGTCAGCGGCATTGGTATTTTCTTCTGAGTATTTTTATAAAATGTTTATCACTTTATTTCTTTTCAATTCTGGTAGATGCTGGCTTCTGTGACTTCGGGTGGCATTGCACAGTATAATTCTTTTTCAGTAATAAAGAGCTGCTTTGTTGAAGGTCATTCTTTTTCTAGGTTTACTTATAAACAACACAAGAATAGATCATGCTGCCCACTCTCCTTTGAGTCATAGTCAAGCTTTCTGTTCTCTTTTGAGTGTTCAAATAGTTGATGGCTGTTAATATTTGTTTAGAAATTGCTAGTAATTTTTTTTTGGCATCTGTTGTAAAACCAGTTTCAATTGATGAGCTTTTTGGACATTCCACACCAATAGGAGAAAAAGAGAATATTGATATATTCCATACTTTTTCAAAGCTGGTACAGCTAGAATCAGTTTCAGTCTGTAAAGAATTTATTTATCTATAAGATGAACAGAGCAAAGAAAACTTGAAAGTACCAAGGCACAGATGAGTCAACAGGCAATAAGTATTTTCTTATGACTTTGTACCATTGCTGTTCATATCATAGTAGGGCAAGGACACATTCTTTCTTGAATGTCTAGTCAGAAATGTCAACTCTGTTTTCTTGCCTTAACTTGGAATAACTTTTATCCCATCAACAACTTTAGTAATATTAACTTTCATGTCTTTATCTACTTGGACTGAACTACAATGATACACATAAGTTGATGTGAAGACCTTGAATTTTTATAACTTTTATTTTTTAAAGTGTTTATGCAGCAAATGATAAAAAGAAATGAGTCTACTTTTAATAACATACAAGAAAGTCAGCCTAATTTGCGTATCAAACTATGTAGTTACATTAGCATTTCTCTGAGAATAAGCTATATATAAAGCTACAGTCGTATTGTAATTTTTCCTAGATAAGAAGAGGTTTTAAAAACTTTACAGTTATAAGTCTCTTAAACCCAAGATAGCTGAATTACTACTTGAAACCTCCAACTTTATATTTCAGTGAGTAATGAATCTTCTCTTAGAAAGATTTAGTGCTGTCTCCCACACCAAAAAGACCCACATTTTTTTAAATCAGAAATTTTCTAACTCCAAGCATTCCTTGGCTCAGCTAATTCCTACACATCTTTCTAATTTCAGCTTAGATGATTTTCTAACAGAAAGCTCTTTCTGATGGATTCACTAATTTACATTAGGTGTACTAACCCCCCATGTATTCAACAGCACTGCTTACTTCTTACAGTTTACCTTATCATAAGAAAACATCTATCAATTGCATACACCAATTTCATGTTTTATATCTTATTTCTTTAATTTCTTCTCCAAACAACCCTTCTACTGGTAACAACTTAATCTTCAGATAAGATACAAGAAAACGATGACCTGAAGTTACTGAAGAGTGAAAAACAGGAAGCAGATTCAGGAGGAGAGGTCAAAAATTGTTAGAAGGGGTCAGAGTAAAATGAGTTTCCTGTTTTTATGGCTTTTATTCTGAGGGCAGGCCAAGGTCAGCAATGTATGCAGTGGTTAAAACTATGATAAAAATCTGAAGTCTTTTTGACCTGAAAAACAGAGGGCAGAGGTGGGGGAATATAGCCATGACAATGAGGGAGGGACTCCTGAGATATAGAAAGCCAGAGAAAGGGAGCTCCAAATTCTCTGTAAAAATACTGTTCAAGCCCCTGGCTGACCCCTGATCTGTGCAAGTGCAGAAAGACTCAAAGCTTCCTAGCTAGTGATGAAACACTGAACTGAAATTGAGCTGCTACTCAAGAGACATAATTTGCATATTTAGTGTAACCAAGTTAATATCCTGTAAAAACAAAAACATCAATACCCTTTTGAGGAGCATGACAGAATGTAGAGTCTCTACAACACAATATTTACAATGTCTGGGATGTAATACAAATTTGTTCTCTGCCTGGACAACCAATCTCAAAAAATAATAATAAAGAAAATTCTATTGAGATCAACCATGAGATGATCCAGATGTTGGAGTTAGCAGATGTATATTTTAAAGCAGCTATTATAATTATATTCAATGAAGTCATGGAAAATAAGTTAATAATACATGAGAAACATAGAAAATCTCAGTAGAGAAATAGAAATAAATGGAAATTCTAGAACTGAAATAGAAGAAGCAAAATTAGAATTCCCTAGATAGGTTTAACAGCAGAATGGAGAAGATAGAGTCATGAGTTAATTTAAAGATGGTTAATAGAAGACTAATCTGAAGACAGGTAAAATAAGATTGAAAAAAATGAACAGGACTTTGGGGACCTATGAGGCAATAAAATGATAACAATAACAAAAGCATTGCATAATCAAACTGTTGACAACCAAGGGTATTGGGGAAATCTTGAAGCAGCCAGAAAATAAAGAAATTTCATATACAAGGGAGGAAGAAAATTAATATATGAGAAAATAAACCGGAACAGTGGAGGAATGGGGGCAGGGGGAATCTGGGAATTGACATGAAAAAATTTAGGGGTTGATATCATGATAGAGGTTTGGGTTGCATAGGTGTGTACATTTCTTAAGACAAGTGCATACTTAACATTAGTATGTTTCATTGTGTGTAAATTTAAAGTTTACATCAAAAGAGGAAATAACTAAATAAAAAATAGCAGTTAACTCCCACTAGCTTGAGGTACTGTAAGGCAGGAATCACTTCATTCCCATCATTGTGTTTCTTGTGGGGACTACAGTGCATGACATAGGGTAGATGCTTAGTAATTTTTTTCAGTTACATTTAATTCCACATATTTCTTTTTCATTTCTACTGATGTAATGCAGATGAGTAGAACACAACCAAATTCCTGTAAAATAAACAGAAGGGTAAAACAAAGGATCTGTATAATCATGGGCATCATAAGCTAATGAGAACTGAAATATTATATTCAGTGTATGTCATATAATAACACATTAGAGCTTGCATTTTTTCTATTTTCTGTTGCCCTGTATCAGGTGTCTAGTGTAAGCCATGAGCTTAACAAACATGGTACCAGACAGCATGTAACGTATATTATCTATAAGAATACTGCAAATATTATCCCTATTTTTTTTCAGTAGACCAAACAGTAAACCATACTAAAGAAAGGTAAAGGATCAAGATTATATGGCTGATAAGTGAGTAGCTATATCAGTCAGGATATTGGCAGGAAATAATTCTTCCCAGATGGTTCAAATGCACTGAGGTTAATGATGACCTATATATAGAGAGAGATGTGGGTGGGGTAAAGGGAGTGAAAAAGGAAGGACAAGGTTCCTTCTGGCAGCCTCAGAGACCAAGGGAGGAAATTAGCACCCAATGAGAACTAGAACTAGAGAGGAATGGGAAGACTGGTGGGGACGCTAGTAGTGAAGGCTTGCAGGTGTTGCTCATTGCTACTGCCTGCAATGTGGTATGGAAGAAGGGAAAAGAAACCCAGCCCCTCTCATTTCTTGCTGCCTTATGTACTGCAATTATTTTCCATTGGATAAACCCAACCAAATGCCAACATTCAAGGGAGCTAATGGGGCCAGTGTCCCAGGGCAGAGAGTAGATTATAGGAGTGTAGAGAATGGAATGGAGGGGTTGGGAGCAGTAACTGGAAATTAACCAGTAATTGTAGCCACAATCAGATTTGATCCCATGTCACTGTGTCTTACAGGCCCATGTTTTTTCTTATTTATCACACTGGCTCTCAGTTTAGACACAATTTTGGTAGCAACCATGAGTTTTATTACAGTTAGAGACTTGTTGCACTAGGCACTCTCAATTTCTTTTCCAGCAGTCAGGAAGTCATCACAAAGCTCCTGAGTTTAAATGCAGAGTGGAAGATGGGAACGAACCACTATTACTTAACTTAGTTCTTAGATCATGAACTCAGACATTGCCAACAATCTTCCAAATTCAGTGTACCCTTGTCCCCAGGTTAGTGGACTCTTTTAGGACTTTACATGAATTAAGCTGAGTTATTAATTAAATGCCATAAGGCTAACTGATGGATGGTTACTCTTTCATGTGACATTTTGGAGTCTAGAAAAGATAGGGATTAAGATAATTGTTCTCCAGCTAGCTAGATGCAATGCAGCTAAGGAGAAGGGCTATGGTGCAGGGTCTGGCTTCAATTATTTTCAGCCCAGCAGGTCTTTTAGAAATGTCTTTTAGAAGTGCCAGCGGTATCCAATTGTTTCGGCAACATTAGACACAAACTTTTTCGTATGAGATGTGTTGAAAATACAGAACAAATGAAATATTTTTTGTAAGTGTCCATTAAATTAATTAGTCTCATTGATCCTTAGTTTCTTTTATGCAAATGTGGATAATAATAATATATACCTCATATGATGGTTGTGAAATTTAATGAGGTAACAAATATAGAGCACTTATAATAAAACTCAATAAATGTTAACTATCATCATCATCAGTATTGTTTTTGTTTGGGCTCATTCTGATGAGGCTGTCAATAACAGTTTTTTTTCCCTTTGTCTTCTGCTTAAAGGGCTGGGCAAGGAATTCAGCCATGCCTGACCAAACTTACTCAGCAGTGGGTTCAAAAGATGCTGCATTAATGTCCTAGGGCTGCCATAATAATCACAAATGGAGTGATTTCAAATAACAGAGATGTACTCTTTCAGAGTTCTGGAAACTGAAAGTCCAAAATCAAGGTGTCAGTAGGCATCATGCCTTCTGGAGGCTCTTAAGGCGAGTTTGTTTCACGCCTGTCTCCTATTTTGTGGTTGCTGGCCATCCCTTATGTTCCTTGGTTTGTAGACACCTCACTCCAATATCTGCCTCCATCTTCACATTGCCTTCTCCTCTGTGTTTTCTTCCTTTTGCATCTCATATGAACACATGTCATTGGAGTGAGGAAGCCAGCTGGTTAATCCAAAATGATATCATCCAGAGATCCTTTACTCAAGTAGATCTGCAAAGGCCCTTTTCCAGATAAGATCACATACGCAGGTTCTGGTGAACATATCTTTTGGGGGCCACCATTCAAACCACTACAGGTGAGCACCTAATCCAAGCAGGGCCTCTCCACAGTCATCAAACTCATAGGGAGACCCTGTGTAATAATCAAGACAGCATAGAGGGAAGTAGGGCCTAATATTGAGCCAATGGGGAAAGAGAAGGAAAGGGAGAGAGAGGAAAAGAGAAAGAGAGAAATGATGAGAAAGAGAGAAATGGAAAGTATCAAGGAAACGCCTGGATCTAATTGAGACCTAAGTCATTTCTACCTCTGGACTTCTCAGTTCCATGAGCCAATTAAGTGGTTGTTTGTTTGTTTGTTGTGTGTGTGTGTGTGTGTGTGTGTGTGTGTGTGTGTGTGTGTGTATTTTGCCTAAGCTTGTTTAAGGTGGGTTTTCATTACTCATACCTGAAAGAATAATCAATATTACAGCTGCTAATACTTACAGGTGTTAATTCCCTTCCTGTATCTGTCCTTGGTAGGAAGGGGGAGAAGGAGCTGTTGAAAGGGCTTCCTGGTGAGTGATCACTTCAGCTTAAGTTGAAATTGGAGTAGATAGACTCTATCCCTCCTTACACAGCATTGTAGTTGACTGCCTACATGTCTGTCTCCCTTCCGGGATGCTCAAATCCTTATGAGATATCATACAGAGTGCTTTTTATTTTCTAAGTACTGCATAAAATCTTTGCATGTATTATATTTTTAATAACCTGACAGTAAACCCATGAGATTAAATTATCCTCATTTATAGCCAACAAATGGTGAAGCTTGAAAAGTTTGTTTTGTCAAATTTCTTACAATTAGCTTATGTCAGGCAGCAACTATATTTCTTCACTGTTGTGTTGCAAGGATTATCCCAGGGCTTGACACATAGTAGATCAAGGGTTTTCAAGGTGTGTTCCTTGAAGAAGCAGCATCAGCATCACCTGGGGTCTCGCTAGGAATGTAGATTATCGGGCTCCATTCCATACATACTGTGATCAGTAACTTTTGGGATGGGACCCAGATCTGGGATTCTGCTGCACTAAAATTTGAGAACCACTAAGTAGATATTCATTATGAATAGAAAAATCATGAAAATGTTGAACAAAAAGCTGAAAGCCTTTATGAAAGGAAAAGGTTTAGCCTAAAGTCTGTAGTTTCCCAAGAAATAATATGATTTCCAACATCAGAGTGACAGAAAATGTCTGCTGCTTCCCTAAAATTACGACTCTCCTTTATGTGATCTCAGCTGACTGCTGTTATACCCTTGCATACCCGTGGGTGTGGTTAGTGCACAGCAGCTTAGAACTCACCTGCTATACACTTGACACAACCACAGGTACCAAGAGAGCAATGACTTTCTTGCCATCCAGAGAATGGAGGGCTTCTCTTCTCACTCATAGTCCTGAGCTTCATTCCCCCCTTTTTTTTTAAAGCACAAACTTGCCAACTTGCCAGGAAAAAAATCATCTTTTTACACCATTTAGGCCATTGCTTACCTAATGGGACATATAATGTGATAAAATTGCCACCTGCTGGTTGAGATATGAGACAGTTCCCAAGGGTATAATTACATATGCTGGTTTTTTTTAAATATTTTAACTGTACCTACTCCAAAGACATGTCTGTAGAGTAAGTTAAGTTGTGACAAGCTGTAGATTAGAACTGAGATTTTTGACACTTTTAAAATGGCAGAACAACAATCTACTAGTTTTGTGGCAGAAGAAAAGCCCATCCACTTGATTTTAGAGAAAAATGTGTCATAGATGTAGGTGTATATAACGTGTAGAATAAAACTGGACTAAAAAACAAAAAGAAAGGAGCAGCAAATAGTACTTCAAAGCTTAAAACTTTGGCACATACATTCATTTTGAAAACAATGTTTCATTTTATAAATGTCATATTATATGTAGAAATAAGGTAAGATGAATGGAAAGTTAAATATCTCTTTACAACAAAATTTTAAAATATGTATTTCTAGGAAATTTCAAAATGATTTAGGCTTTTAGATGCAGTCCTTCCCTGTGGAGTATTGAAGTGTTATACTAGTCAGGATAAAATAGGCTTTGCTCCAAAAAACAAATTAGACTTAAAATATCAATGACCTTACAACAAGAAAACCACCAACAATGGTTAATTTCTGTCTCATCCTGTATGTCCCACACAGTTGGTAGAAAACTCTTCTCCATATAACCACCCTAAACCCCATGCTAATGGGAAGCCCTAATAACTTGTGGTTTCATCATCTCAACACTAGCCTCCAGTGTTACCAGAGCAAAGGATCACAACATACATTGGCTCCTCTAGGCTCTGTCCTGGAAGTGATCCACATCACGCTCCACTCATTGGCCAGAACTTATCAGTGGCCCCACTTAAGTGTGAGAGACTTGGAAATATAGGTATAGTACCTGGATTTAGGGGGTGTAACAAATGTCTTTACTCAATGTACATACTTGGTTGAATTAACTTAATCTTCTTTTAGGTTACCCCATAGCTCAATACACTATACATTCTGATAGCCTGTTGGAATTTCAGGTAAAATATTCAATTCTCATGGTAAGATATAAACATTCTCTCTGCCTCCTTGCATAACCAGAACATGTGAATCTGCTTTCCACAGCTGATATCCAGCTTCTACCAAAACACTAAGAGATAAAAATGTTGCCTTATGGGATTTTACAGGACTATTTTTTTTCAACTATTTTTCCAAGACTAAGTAAATTCTCGGAATTAGATTATGTCACCAAAAAGTACGATTCCTGGACCTTTTTAACTTAACCTTCTCTAGACATATCTTTAGTGAGTTAAGTTTTAATGTAACACCCTCAATGTTTATCAAACGTGAATACCAGAACACCGACATAGCATATATATAAGTTCTTGGGTCTTTTTGCATAAAGACCCATGGATACCCACAATGAAATGCAGTGGGACTTTGGAACTAGTTAGTTCTGGGTTTGAACCCTGAGTCTGGCAATTTTTGTCTTAGTCACCTGTTTAAGTCACTTTCTTCTCATCCTTCTTAGTATCCCAATATAGACAATTAAACTGCGGACTAGTCTAGCCTTGTGATTAAGAGTTTAAATCCTGGAGTCAGGCTTAGGTTTGAGTCCCATTTCCATCGATTACTAGGCCTTGGACAAATCACTTAATTCTTTGTGCTTTTATTTATTTATTTATTTATTTATTTATTGAGACGGAATCTTGCTCTTGTTGGCCAGGCTGGAGTGCAATGGTACGACCTCGGCTCACTGCAACCTCCACCTCCCAGGTTCAAGTGATTCTCCTGCCTCAGCCTCCTGAGTAGCTGGGATTACAGGCACCTGTCACCACCCGGCTAATTTTTTGTATTTTTAGTAGAGATGGGGTTTCACTATGTTGGCCAGGCTGGTCTCGAACTCCTGACCTCAGGTGATCCACCCACCTCAGTCTCCCAAAGTGCTGGGATTACAGGCATCCGCCACCATGCCTGGCTATGTGGTTTGATTTACTCACCTGTAAAATGAGGATAATAGTAGTGGCTATAGCAAAAGTTATTTTGAAGAGTATATTGGTTAATATGTGTAGAAAGCTCTTAGAACAGTGCCTGGCATGGAATAAGTACTATATTAATTAGTGCTGGCTATCATTTTGATGAAATAAGATAATGTTGGTGGAGAATCGTCTACAAAGTAAGTGCCTTATTATATAGAATCAGTAAAATTTGAGTCATTCATAGTGATATCAGATCCTTTTTTATTATCAAATAAAAACGTGAACCTTTTTGCTCTTTTTTTCCCATTGGCTACTAGGAACTCAGAGCTAGATTTAATGCTCAATTGTAATAGCTGCGCAACCTTACGCTGTTGGATTTATGCATGTATATAAAATGCTACAACCATCTTCTGTACTATAAAATGCTACAATCCTCTTTTGAAAGTAGGCAGGCTATAGATAACTTTTTTTTTGGTAGTAGCAATATACTAAGAACAAAATATTTTAAAAACAAAAATATGTGACTTTTTTTCCTTTTTTTGTAAGGCAGGTCGTACTCGAGATATATTCATCTTACTGTGTTACCTGTGTTACAGAAACAACTTCTGTAGGAGTCAGACATTCTTCTAGAAGGAAGGAACTAACTGAAATAATACTTCAAAAACACTCACTATTTAAGTAACTGAAGATCTTTAAAGTTTTACACACTATTTTCATGTTTTAATGACTTCATTCTCCTCTCACTAAAGCTACTTCCTTCCTCACATGTCCTGTGTTAGTCACTGATTGGCAAGTAGTTTGCTCACTCTAAGCTCTGCTCTCTATAATAAACATGTGTGATTAAATACCCCAATTATGAAATACAGAAAGCAGAAGAAGAACTGAGAAAGTTTATTTCAGACCACTCTTGATTTCCTTTATCTGGTTTGTTTCTTTTGCTTGCTGGAGAGGCAGAGTTCCAGAAAGATGTAAGGCTGTTGGAAAGAGCTCAGCAAAATGAAAGAAAATATGGTCTGTGGCAGGTTGAAAGTATTGCGTTCTTAGGAACTGTCAGAGGCCAAGTGTGTAATGAACTTGAGTAAATGACAAGCTGATGGGGAAGAATAATTGCCCAGAGGTTTGTGGTGAATATAAACACCTAGGAGGAAGAGAAAATGGAGAAGAGGATTTCAGGCAGCATGGCTGGGAGCAATTGAAAGAAAGGAAGCTCTCTTTCTGCCAAACTCCACGTACTTATTGTTTATACTGTTCTTTATGGAATTAGTCATTTTTATTACCCAGGACATTTCTTATATGGTTTTGTTTTATCATCCAACCTTTTACTGTGTATGTCTTATTTCCACAACGTAACTGTAAGTTACTAGATGGCAGGGAACACAGCTATCCTTCTTTGTCTCCCTGTCAATGAACAAATCACATGGTTCTAACACTAGCTGGGCTGTTCACTAGTAGCAAAAACTAGAACAAATTACATGAACAAGTTACATTTTCATTTCTCCTGCAAAATGGGTTAATGATATCCACACTGTAATGATTCAGAGAAATTTAATCATATACAAGATGCTTGGATAATAACATTTACAAGATGTAAATGCCAGTTATTATCTTTTCCCTCTCACAGTGGCGAATCCATGTCTTTCACAGAGCAAGTATAATATATTACACTGTTATAGTGCAGATCAGTTCAATATATAGTATATAAATATAAATATATAGCTAACATATATTCTACATATGTAAATATATAGTATATTAATGTAAAAATATATTGCTGTATTAGTTTTTCAGAGAGAGAACACCAATAGAAGATAGATAGATAGATAGATAGATAGACAGATAGATGATAGATATGTAGCTATATTAGAGGGGATTTATTAGGGGAATTGGCTCACACAATTATGGAGGCTGAGAAGTCCCACAATAGGCCATTTGCAAGCTGGAGAACCAGAGAAGATGGCAGCATGGCTTAGTCCAAGTTGGAAAGCCCAAGAACCGAGTAAGCCAATGGTGTAACTTAGTCTAAGGCTGAAAGCCTGAGAGCTCTGGGAGGCTGCTGATGCAAGTTCCAGAGTCCAAAGACTGAAGAACTTGGAGTTTCAATGTCCAAGTACTGGAGAAGAACAGTGACTTATTCCAGAAGGGGTGGGTGGGGTGGTGGGGGTGGGGGGAGGGGCCAGGTGGAAGAGAGAGAGAGAGAATTCATCCTTTTTTCACCTTTTGGTTCCATCCTGGCCCACAGTTCATTGGATGATAGCTGCCCACATTGAGTACAATCTTCCCCGCTCAGTCCACTGACTCACATGCAGATCTCCTGTGGAGCACACCCTCACAGATATACCCGGAAACACTTCACCACTCATGGAGGCATCTCTCTCTCCAGTAAAGCTGACACCTAAAATTAAGCATAACGAGACCACCCCTTCTCAACTTAGCACCCATACGGCATCTCCTTAAATTATACTTAATCTGCAAATAAAGACAACAACAAGGTTACAGTTTTACTTAACATGATACAGCTATCTTATATACAATAAAAAATGCAATAATTCCATCCCCAGAAGAGGAGGTAAAGTTCTTGGGTGACGTTTACTGTTCTCCTGATATCCCATAATTTAAATACTATTATGTAAATTTAGCAATACCTAAATACTGGTACAAAGTTGATAAATCTTATATTGTATGATAAACGAGTGAGAGGGAAAAAGGTATTTTCTTAATATATGAATATATAAACACATAAATACATCCTTAGCAATACAGGGGGAAAATATTTATGATAATGACAATTCTCATTTCTGTAACTGACCACATTTTGGTAGCTACTTGTTTCTTATGTTTCTTAAGAACCATAAGAAAATCATGGTTCTTATTCTGGCAGTTTGATCCAAACTTTCATTCTTGGAGGGTCTGGCTCATTTGTAATCCTGCCTAAATTAGGTTATTGTAGTTTCCCATTGATATTAATTATAGGACATGGTAAGACTAAGAGGCACTTTAAGAGATCTCCTGTATTCCAGACATGCTCTTCTTTACCTTCATTGTGGAGTAGTAGTCCAATTTCCACTTTGTAGTCTGAATCAATTATTCCACCCAATAGTGTATCTCCCTTCTTAGCCTGTTGACTCAGAGTCATGAGGAATACAAAATGGCTGGGTGATAACCTTAACTTCCAGTTCAATTGAATCATTGTGTCTCCTGCTTAAAGCATTCCTCCCTCTGGAACTCAGACCTTCAGGCCAGCAGAATATAAAGTCACAGAAATAGGAAGGAAAATATTTGTTAATGGGTCACTATGGGTAATGGTAAGTGGTATCGCTCCCATTTCCATCCTTTGATTCCTGGATCTGTGAATCTTGTCTGTGGAAGAAACTACTATATGTTGGATGCTGACTTAGAGAGTATAAAGCCTTCTGAAAAACCTTTCCCCAATCTGCAAAATATTGTCACCTACCTGGTCCTGTAACTGTATCTTCAAAAGGCTATTCTATCATTCTCTCAGAGCAGCTGCTTCAGGATGGTCAGAAACATGGTAAGGCCAGTGAATTGCATGAGCATAAGCCATACTTCTTTGGCTGTGGAGCAAGTTTCTTTGTCAGAATCAATGCTGTGTGGAATAAAATGACAGTGGGTGAGGCATTTTGTAAGTCCGTAGATGGTAGTTTTGGCAGGATCCTTGCATGCAGTGAAGGCAAATCCATATCTACAGCAAGTGAGTCCAGTAAGGACAAATGCTTCCCATTCCATGACTGAAACAGCTCAATGTAATCAACTTGCCACCAGGTAGCTAGGTGGTTACCCTGAGGAATGGTGACATATTGGGGCTCAGCATTGGTCTCTGCTGCTGGCAGTTGGGGCATTCAGTGATAGCTGTAGCCAGGTTGGCCCTGGTGAGTAGAAATTTATGTTGCTGAGCTTATGCATCAACTCCATTATTTTCACCGTGGCCACCTTGTTCATGAGCACACTGGCAAATCAGAGTGGTGGCTGGGAAAAGGTGCTGACTGGTATCTACAAAATAGGTCATCCTACCAACTCGATAATTAAAGCCCTTCTCTGCTGAGGTCACCCTTTGGTAAGCATACACATGAGACACAAATATCTTCATATCCTTTGCCCATTCAGAGGTGTCTATCCACATACCTTTTCCTCAAATTTGTTTTGTCATTAAATATTCAATCATGTCCCTTTCAAGACTCTGACCATCCAACCAAACAGTTGGCTACAGCCCGTGAATTAGCATATAATTACACATCTAGCCATTTCTCCTTCAAAGCAAAGTATACAGCTGGGTTCACTGCCTAAAGTTCTGCCTATTGAGAAGATTTCTCTTTACCACAGTCCACAAAGAATGTCCCAGAAAGAGGCCATAGTGCTGCAAATGTCCACTTCTGGGTAGTAGCTGCATATGCAGAGCAGAATATCTGTAAACCAGGTCCTAGTGTTCTGTCGTTGGATCATAGGGTACACCCCATGAGCCCATAGGTGCGGGCTGGGAGAGAGAAGGCAAGAGAGCAAGTATAGGAACTATGGGAATTTGGGCCACTTCTTTATGTAATTACTTGTCACTTCAAGACCTTCTCAGACCCAATCACATTTACACCACTTCCATTTGGTGATGGAGTACTGCTATGCACATCCAACTTTATGGGTTGGTGGGTTAGAGCAAACTCAGTTTATGATTGGCAGATCAGGTTGCATGGTAACTTTGTCAAACATTTCATAGTAGGCCAAGAGTGGTCTCTCAAAAAGATAGTAATTATCTGCAAATGATGGCAGGGCCTTTCTCCAAACTCCTAAAGGCCTGTGCTGCAATTCACCCATAGGTACCAGAGTTGTGCTAATTTGCTCAAGAAATAAAGCCAAACCTGGTATAACAACTGCAATTGGAGTCACCATTTGGTTAAGCTTATGATAATCCACTGTCATTCCCCAAGATTCATGTTTCAGCCAACCAACCAACCAACCAAACTGTTAGCACCTTTTCTAACTCTTTCAGCTGCAACATAAATGCAGAATCTCTGATTAGTGGGTCATATCAATAAATTCAGCCTAATCCAACTTTATGTTTCTTCTACTACTATCCCACGCTCATAATATCTATTTCCACATGTGTTCTCTAGATTTCTGCTTGAATAAATTAAAAACAAACAGAAACCTCAAGTAGTTTAGTGAAGTGTAGCACACCTCCTCAGGGGTTGCACTTTGTACCTCGCTTTTGGGGGCTGCTGGTACATGAGTCTGGTTATAAGTCTAGAAGCAAAGAGGAGGGGTGGTGGAGGTAGGTCCTGAAGAGAAACAGCACTGTCTTGCTTGGCAACCCAGGAGAGGCCATAGCTATTTTCTAAGGCAATGAAGAGTTAATTACTTCAGAACAGGGGAGGGAAGACCAATACCACTAGGGGTGGGGTGGGGAAGTCACTTTATCCAGCAAGAAAGACTCATCAGAATTTGAATGCTCAATGTCCCTAGTTTCCTCAGGATCTTCCCACACATTCCAATCTCAACTTACAGGATTCCATTCTTTCCCAATCAATGCTCTCACTTTAACAGTAGATACCCTGCAAGGCTGAGAATTCGACTTTCACCGTAATTCAGGCAGTCACATGATGAGTGATAGCTTTTGACTTTCAGCAGATTCAATCCTGTGGCTACAGGGAAGAAGTTTCTCGTTAAGGGCACACTTAGAAGCTTTTAGGTGATTTGTGTGCATCTGGAGCTGGAAATTTATATTCTTGAACTCATCTGTTTCTTTTATTACTTTGTCCAATAATATAGGAGCAACCAACCAATAAGATTATATTCCTCAGTTTTCCAAAAATGTTCAAAAGTTCCTTGCCTCTTATAAGTGGTTGATGAGGTGTATTCAATACAAATATTTTTGATAGCTTTTTAAACAGTTCACATTATGGACTATCAGTGCTCTCTGTATTATTGGAAGTAGACTCCTTAATATTTTTAAGTCCAATTTAATTGGAGAGCTTTCACTTGCGTCCATGTGAAGAGACCACTAAACAGGCTTTGTGTGAGCAACAAGGCTGTTTATTTCACCTGGGTGCAGGCAGGCTGAGTCCGAAAAGAGAATCAGCAAAGGGAGACAGGGGTGGGGCCGTTTTATAAGATTTGGGTAGGTAAAGGAAAATTACAGTCAAAGGGGGTTGTTCTCTGGCGGGCAGGAGTGGGGGTCACAAGGTGCTCAGTAGTGGAGCTTTTGAGCCAGGATGAGCCAGGAGAAGGAATTTCACAAGATAATATCATCAGTTAAAGCAGGAACAGGCCATTTTCATTTCTTTTGTGGTGGAATGTCATCAGTTAAGGCAGGAACCGGCCATCTGGATGTGTACGTGCAGGTCACAGGGGATATGATGGCTTAGCTTGGGCTCAGAGGCCTGACATTCCTGTCTTCTTATATTAATAAGAAAAATAAAATGAAATAGTGGTAAAGGGTTGGGACGGCAAAAATTTTGGGGGATGGTATGGAGAGATAATGGGTGATGTTTCTCAGGGCTGCTTCGAGCGGGATTGGGGCGGCGTGGGAACCTTGAATGGGAGAGGTTAAGCTGAAGGAAGATTTTGTGGTAAGGGGTGATATTGTGGGACTGTTAGAAGAAACATTTGTCATTTAGAATTATTGGTGATGGCCTGGATACGGTTTTATGTGAATTGAAAAACTAAACCGAATAAGAGAAGGAGAAAAACAGGTATTAAAGGTCTAAGAATTGGGAGGACCCAGGACATCTAATTAGAGAGTGCCTAAGGAGATTCAGCATAGTCCTGCCAGCAAAGATTATGTATTTACTTCAAGAGTTGAGAGTGGCAGTTTGGGGATAGCACCAGGAGATATCAGCTGTGATGGCTTGGAGAAACAGTCTAAACCGGCAGTGTAAACAAGAGCAGGGCACGTATGAGTAGTTGAGAACGGTGAATAGGAGTATGACTAGACAGAAGATAGAAGGGGTGACAAGTTTTTTGGGGCATAGTCCAAGTTGGTCTGGTGTCTGGAATGAGACTGGGGCTTAATAAAAAGGAGCGTCCATACAGAAGCTCAAATGGGCTGTATCCTGTAGCATTCTGAGGACAGGCGTGAATTCTAGAAGGGAAAGTGGTAAAAGTATTGTCCAGTCCTTTTTAAGTTGGTGGCTGAGCTTGGTGAGGTGTGTTTTTAAAAGACCATTAGTCTGTTCTACCTTTCCTGAAGACTGAGGACCGTAAAGGATATAAAGGTTTCACTGAATACCAAGAGCCTGAAAAAATGCTTGGCTGATTTGACTAATAAAGGTCAGTCTGCTCTCGGACTGTATAGAGCTGGGAAGGCCAAACCGAGGAATTATGTCTGACAGAAGGGAAGAAATGACAGCAGTGGCCTTCTCAGACCCTGTAGGAAAGGCCTCTACCCATCCAGTGAAAGTGTCTACCCAGACTAAGAGGTATTTTAGTTTTCTGACTCGGGGCATGTGAGTAAAGTCAATTTGCCAGTCCTAGGCAGGGGCAAATCTCTGAGCTTGATGTGTAGGGAAGGGAGGGGGCCTGAATAATCCCTGAGGAGTAGTAGAATAGCAGATGGAACACTGATAAGTTATTTCTTTGAGGATAGATTTCCACGATGGAAAGGAAATGAGAGGTTCTAAGAGGCGGGCTAGTGGCTGGTACTATAGCATAGCCTGCCTTTGCTGGTGTGTGGCCATTAGGCTTTGTGGAACTGCCATCAATAAACCAAGTGTGATCAGGGTGCAGAACAGGAAAGAAGGAGATATGGGGAAATGGGGTGAATGTCAGGTGGGTCAGAGAGATACAGTCATAGGGGTCAGGTGTGGTATCAGGAATAATGTGGGAGGCTGGATTGAAGTCCGGGCCAGGAACAATGGTAATTGTGGGAGACTTAACAAAGAGTGAGTACAGCTGAAGGAGCTGGGGAGCAGAAAGTATATGTGTCAGGTGTGAGGAAGAAAATAGATTTTGGAAGTTATGAGAACTGTAGAGAGTGAGTTGAGCATAGTTTGTGATTTTAAGGGCCTCTGAAGTATTAGGGTGGCAGCAGCTGCTGCACGGAGACATGATGGCCAGCCTAAAACAGTAAGGTCAAATTGTTTGGACAAAAAGGCTACAGGATGCGATCCCAGTCCTTGTGTAAGAATTCTGACTGCACAGCCCTGCACTTCGGCTGTGGGTAATGAAAAGGGTTAGGATGAGTCAGGGAGAGCTAGGGTGGGGGCAGTCTCTAAAGCTGTCTTCAAGGAATGGAAAGAGGAGTGGGGAAAGGATTTAGGATCTATGGGGTCAGCTAGGTTTCTTTCTGTGAGTTTATATAATGGTTTCGTTAGGATGCCAAAACCAGGTATCTAAAGTCGAAAGTATCTAACCATGCCTAGGAAGGAAAGGAGTTGTTTTGTAGAAGGTTCTGGGGTTTGAGAGATCAGCTGGACATGATTGGCAGGGAGAGCACGTGTGTTTTTATGAGGATTACGCCGACATAGGTAACAGATGAGGAAGAAATTTGGGCTTGACTGAAGTAATGGGGGCTGTCCGTGAAGCTTTGTGGCAGTACAGCCCAGCTAATTTGCTGAGCCTGATGGGTGTCAGGGTCAGTCCAAGTGAAAGCGAAGAGAGGCTGGGATGAAGGGTGCAAAGGAATAGTAAAGAAAGCATGTGTGAGATCCAGAACAGAATAATGGGTTGTGGAGGGAGGTATTGAGGATAGGAGAGTATATGGGTTTGGCACCACGGGGTGGATAGGTAAAACAATTTGGTTGATAAGGCGCAGATCCTGAACTAACCCGTAAGGCTTGTCTGGTTCTAGGACAGGTAAAATGGGGGAATTGTAAGGAGAGTTTATAGGCTTTAAAAGGCCATGCTGTAGCAGGCAAGTGATAACAGGCTTTAATCCTTTTAAAGCGTGCTGTGGGATGGGATATTGGCATTGAGCGGGGTAAGGGTGATTAGGTTTTAATGAGATGGTAAGGGGTGCATGATTGGTTGCCAAGGAGGGAGTAGAGGTATCTTATACTTGTGGGTTAAGGTAGGGGGATACAAGAGGAGGACACAAAGGAGGCTTTGGATTGGGAAGAAGGGTGGCATGAGATGTAGCTGTAGTCTAGGAATAGTCAGGGAAGCAGATAATTTAGTTAAAATATCTCGGCCTAATAAGGGAACTGGGCAGGTGGGGATAACTAAAAAGGAGTGCTTAAAAAAGTATTGTCTAAGTTGGCACCAGAGTTGGAGAGTTTCAAGAGGTTTAGAAGCCTGGCCGTCAACACCCACAACAGTTATGGAGGCAAGGGAAACAGGCCCTTGAAAAGAAGGTAATGTGGAGTGGGTAGCCTCCGTATTGATTAAGAAGGGGATGGACTTACCCTCCACTGTGATAGCTACGCAGAGCGTCTGTGATGGTCCTGTAGGCTTCCGAGGCGATCAGGCAGTGTCAGTCTTCAGCTGCTAAGCCAAGAAGATCTGGGAAGGAGTCAGTCAGAGAGCCTTGGGTCAGAGTTCCAGGGGCTCTGGGAGTGGTTGCCAGGTGAGTTGAACAGTCCGATTTTCAGTGGGGTCCTGTACAGATGGGATGCGGCTTAGGAGGAATCCCAGGCTGCGGGCATTCCTTGGCCTGGTGGCCAGATTTCTGGCACTTGTAGCAAGCTCCTGGGGGAGGCAGGCCTGGAGGAACGCCTGGCCACTGTGGTTTAGGCGTTTGGAAGTTCTTGTGTGCTGGAGATGTGGCTGGGGTTTGTCTCACAGTGGAGGTAAGGAATTGCAACTCAGAAATATGTTGCTACTTGGCTGCCTCTACTCTATTATTGTACACCTTGAAGGCAAGGTTGATTAAGTCCTGTTGTGGGGTTTGAAGGCCGGAATTTAATTTTTGGAGTTTTATTTAATGTCAGGAGTGGATTGGGTAATAAAATGTATATTGAGAATAAGACGGCCTTTTGACCTTTTAGGGTCTAGGCTATAAAGCATCTCAGGGTTGCTGCCAAATGAGCCATGAACTGGGCTGGGTTTTTATATTTGATGAAAAAGAGCCTAAACGCTATCTGATTTGGGATAAAGAAAAAGGAGCATTAACTTTGACTATGCCTTTAGCTCCAGCCACCTTTTTAAGAGTAAATTGCTGGGCAGGTGGGGGAGGGCTAGTCACAGAACGAAACTGTAAGCTGGACCAGGTGTGAGGAAGGGACGTGATAAAAGGATTATGGGGTGGAGGAGCGGAGGCTGAGGAAGAATTGGGACCTAGCTCAGCCTGGCAAGGAGGGGAGAGGTCAGATGGGTCTGTAGAAAAGGAAGATTAGAAAGACTCAGCCACGCTTGGGTTGGGACTGAGGGGACAGACGGGAGGGAAAGAAGGAAGATTTGGGACGAGTTGCATTGGGAACAGAGACTAGGGAGGGACTGATGTGTAAAAGAATGCCTGGACGTCAGGCACCTCAGACTGTTTGCCCATTTTACGACAAGAACTATTTAGATGTTGTAGGATGGAAACATTGAAAGTGCCATTTTCTGGCTATTTGGAACCACTGTTGAGTTTGTATTGGGGTCAAGCGGCATTGCAGAAGAAAATAAGGCATTTAGGTTTCAGGTCAGGTGTGAGTTAAAGAGGTTTTAGATTTTTAAGAACACAGGGTAAGGGAGAAGAAGGGGGAATGGAGGGTGGAAGGTTGCCCACAGTGAAGGAGGCAAGTTTAAAGAGAAGAATAGAGACACAGAGGGAAGGGGTTCAGGGGTTCTTACCCTCCAGAAAAGTGGGAAAGGGGTCAGGGTGTGGAAATAAGGGGTTGGGACACAGAGATAAGAGGTGGGGGAGCAGAAATAAGGGATCGGGGTGCAGAGATAAGAGGTCAGGGCATGGAAATAAGGGATCGGGGCACAGAGATATTCTTGTATGGCCTGCATAACTGTGAGCCAAATAAACCTCTTTTTAAATAAATTATTCAGTCTCACTTATTCCTTTATAGCAACACAAAAAGGGACTAAACACTAGGGGAATTGGCTCACTTGACTATGGAGGCTGAGAAGTCCTAAGATAAGCCATCTGCAAGCTGGAGAATCATAGAAGTCAGTAGTGTGGCTCAGTCCAAGGTGGAAGGCCCGGGAGCCCTGGGAAGCCACTGATGCAGGTCCCAGTGTCCAAAGGCAAAAGCACTTAGAGTTGTGAAGTCCAAGAGCAGGTAAAGAAGGGCGTCCCGCTCCAAAAAAGAGAAATAATTCACCATTTCTTTCCTTTTTCTTTCCTTTCTTTCCTTTTTTTTCTCCTTCCTTCCTTCCTCTCTTTCTCTCTCTTTCTCTCTTTCTCTTTTTCTTTCTCTTTCTTTCTCTCTCTCTCTTTCTTTCTTTCCTTCTTTCCTTCTCTTTCTTTCTTTCCTTCTTTCCTTCTTTCTTTCTTTCACTCTGTTGTCCATGCTGGAGTGCAGTGGCTATACTCATGGATCACTGCAGCCTTGAACTCCTGGGCACAAGCAATCCTTCTACCTCGGCCTCTCAAGTAGTTAGGACTACAGTCATGTGCCACCACGCCTCGCTAGTTTTATTTTTTGTAGACACAGAGTCTTGCTATGTTTCCCAGGCTGGTCTCAAACTCCCCAGCTCAAGTGATCCTCCCACCTCAGCCTCCTAAAGTGCTGGGACTACAGGCGTGAGCCACTCTTTCACCTTTTTGTTGCACCCAAACTTCCAGCCGTTTGGATGGTGGCCACCAACATTGAGGGTGGATTTTCCCCATTCAGTTCACCAATTGACAGGCCAATCTTCCTAGAAAACACCCTCAAGAACACACCTAGAAACGGTTTCACCAGCCATATAGGCATCCCTTTATGCAGGCAAAAATTCCTCTAGGTATCCCTCTATGCAGACACCTAAATTCGACCATCACAGTAGCCTGTTCACATATTACAAGCTTTTTACAACTTGCCACAACTTTTGAAATTTTGTTTTGACATTTCTGTATGTAATATAACATACTATATACTATATATTGATGTATGTATTTAATATAAACCTGAAGCCTCAAAAACTGGAATTAGCCTGAACATTTCTTGCCTTGGGAAGACCCTAAGTAAATTCACCAGACCTATTCTCCAATTTCATGTTTCAAAATTTGGCTGTATGTTAATTGCTGTGAAGCAAATTTTGACTGTGACATAAAGGTCCTCAGTGTGGGGAATGCACCTGAATTGTCCAGAGTTGGACTGAGTGAAGTTGAACAGACCACTGGGAGCTAGCTTTCTTTAATGGGGAGGGCTACAAGGAGTCTGGATAATGTGACCTAATGTGGAGTTTTCATTTCCAATCATCATATCTATGAAATCTCTCCTAATTGATTGCAGAATCTGAATTCAGAGAGAACACTCAGCTGTCAGTAATTCCTTTTAAGCTCTCTGCAGACCCAAGCACCACTTTTCTCTTTGAGTGCTCTATTTTCTGTGAGGGGAATAAGGCAGCAGAGGGAGGGAGGGTTAAGTGGCTGGTTTGCATGCGGTGCGGACAGGCAGCTCAATCAGGCTGGCACGGGTGTCTTAATCAGAAGCCTGCGGTTCACCGCAGTGGTTGAGTGCTACCTCTTTGCCAATGGCATCTTCTGTTTAGAGACGCTATTGATTGCTCCTCTCCCCTTCTCTTCTGGGAGAGTTTCCGGCTGCAAGGCGATGTCAGGAAACGGGCAAGGGAAAAGGTTTTTTTTTTTTTCTTTTTCTTTTTTTTTTTTAATGGTGCCTAAGATTTGGAGCAAGGCTCTAATTTCCCAAGCAGCAGATGTAGTGACACTCAATGCAGACTCTTTAAAACGGTGATGAGTGGGGAGATATGAGACAGGAGTGATGAGCCAAGGATGCCAGTAAAAGAGTAGGGGAGAAAGATTCCATGAGTGGATAAGAACTGGCTTCAGTTTAGACAAGAAGACAGCAGGCAGTGCTCCGAAGGAGGTCAGACTGAGTGCATTAACTCTGCCTGGAAGAAATAGGAAAGAGTGGTTGGTTAAAATACTTTGTATTTTATGGGGAAATGTATGATCTAGAAATCAGGCAGAGACCAAAAATATAATGGATCTCTTTGTAGACTCTGGGTGTAAATCAATATTTTTATGTGAGCATTGGTGAGCAAGCAGAACATCCTTAGAAACTGAGACCCATCACAGAAGAAACTTAAACTATTTTGAACGTGGCATGGAGCTAAAAAATATAGAAATTAATTATTCTTGATTCAGAGTTTGCAATGAGAATGAAATATTGAATATAATAAGGACATTTTTTCTTCAAGCAAGAGGAGTAATGCCGGGGGAGAGGCACAGTGAGAGGACGATTCAAACCAATTTGAGATCATAAATGAGGAGATAACAAAATCTTATATATTTAATGGTTATAAATATCAGGAATGATTCTTTATCATCTGATTGCTGTTAAACAGTTCAAAGGCAAATATATAAAATGAGGCAAATTTGAATTCTAAATGTTATAGTAGAAAGCCTTGAGAGAAATATAGGGGATGTTCAAGACTCAGATATGGCTTCAAATTTTGGATCAGCCACATATCGCATTGCTTTGGTTGGAGTCTCATTTTTGTATAGATAATATTGGGACAATATGCAC
The DNA here is from genome assembly GCF_000001405.40 of Homo sapiens. Taxonomy (NCBI): domain Eukaryota; kingdom Metazoa; phylum Chordata; class Mammalia; order Primates; family Hominidae; genus Homo; species Homo sapiens. Next base: position 82,068,487 of record NC_000014.9, read on the forward strand.
GGTAGCTATTACTCCTCCCACCTACCAAGGCTTCATCCAGTTTCTACCTTTCTCTGTCCTGCTCTGCATTGGATACACTGGTCCCTGTGATTGTACCCCCTGGACTCACCTGCTGGCTGACTTCAGATTGAGATTAGACTATGGAGGTATCAGTAGGGGGAGAGAGAAGTCTAGGTGTTCAGGTGTTTCTTTGTCACTCTGTCCCTTCCTTTTTTTTTTTTTTTTTTGTTGTTGTTGTTGCCCAGGCTGGAGTGCAGTGGCATGATCTCAGCTTACTGCAACCTCTGCCTCCGGGTTCAAAGGATCCTCCTGCCTCAGCCTTCTGAGTAGCTGGGATTACAGCGTGTGCCACCACATCTGGCTAATTTTTGTATTTTTGGTAGAGATGAGGTTTCACCATTTTGGCCAGGCTGGTCTTGAACTCCCGACCTCAGGTGATCCACCTGCTTTGGCCTCTCAAAGTGTTGGTATTACAGGCATGAGCCATTGCAACTGGCTTTTTTTCTTTTAAGAGATGGGGTCTAACTATGTTGCCCATGCTGGACTCCAACTTCTGGACTCAAGTGATTCTCCAACCTCAGCCTCTTGAGTAGGAGTAGCCAGGACACTGGCACACTGGACAGTGGCACAGGCCACTGTACCTGTTTCCCCTCCCTACTTTAGCAACCACAGCAGCAGCTTTGTTCTGTTCTGATAGATCTCCTGTTGAGTGAAACCTACTCCATAGTTGCTATTCTCACTGGGCTCCAGTGACATCATTTTTTCTCCGTGCCCCAAAGCCCCAGGAAGTCAAGTAACAGTATCCCACTGTTGCTAATGTTCTGATGTTTGAGTGTCTTATATTTATTGTTTTCCTCCTTTCCTCCCTCCTTCCCTCCCTCCCTTCCTTCCTTCCTTCCTTCCTTCCTTCCTTCCTTCCTTCCTTCCTTCCTTCCTTTTTTTTTGGGCACGGTCTCACTTTGTTGCCCAGGCTGGAGTGCAGTGGTGTGATCTTGGCTCACTGCAACCTCTGCCTCCCAAGTTCAACTGAGTCTCGTGCCTCGGCCTCCCTGAGTAGCAGCGACCCCAAGTGCATGCCACCATGCCTGGCTCATTTGTGTATTTTTAGTAGAGATGGGGTTTTGCCATGTTGGCCAGGCTGGTGTCAAACTCCTGAGCTAAAGTGATCCACCTGTCTTGGCCTGCTAAAGTGCTGGAATTACTTTGGCGTGAACCACCATGCCCAGCCATTGTTTGTTTTCTTAATCTTGTCCACTACACACTCCTTTGAACCATCTGAGACAAATCTTGTTTTCTGTTGGAACCCTGGTTGATACCTAATGCTTGTAGAGTTTCAAAGAAAATATTGAAAGATCTGCCAGACAAATGCAGAAAGGGGTATGTACTCAGTTCTTGATACATCCAGCAGGTTTTAGTTGGAGAGGCCTCAAAAAAAAGGTGTGGTGGGCTGAATAATAGGCCTTAAACGATACCCATATCCTAATACCTGGAACCTGTGACTCTTACTACATATGACAAAAAAGATCTGCCAGATGTGATTAAATCGTAGATCTCAAGATGGCAAGATTATATTGGATTATCTGGGTGAGACTTAAGTGCTATAACAAGTATCCTTATAAGAGGCAGGCAGAGAAGAGTTTGACACAGAAGAAGAAGGCAACGTGATCACTGAATTAGCATGCTACACACTGGCTTCGAAGATGGAGGAAGGGGCCAAGAGTCAACAAATGCAAGGAATGCAGATCTAAACTCTGGAAGAGGCAAGGAAATCAGTTCCTCCATAGAGCTCCAGAGGGAGCATGAGCCTCAAGGCACCTTGATTTTTGGCCCAGTGAAATTGACTTGGACCTCTGACTTACAACACTGTAAGAGATTAGATGTGTGTTGTGTTAAGCCACCACGTTTCTGGTAATTTGCTACAGCAGGCACAGGACACTCTCAGCAAATACCAAGGTTCAGGGCTTAGCTTTCAGGTTGCAGATTTGGAATCCAGCTCTCAGATATCATGTCCCTTTTTTGGGTTACACTCATGTGAATCAAGATAGGAGATTGATGCATGAAATTACAATGATGATTCATCAACTTCCAATGAGATGTAGAACTCTCTTGTTGGCTGGAAGACATGTCAAACTGACCAGTCCATTTTCTGTCTATTGACAGACAGGCTTAGGAAATAGTTTGTAATCAAGATTCCAGTATACTGATTAATAATTAAAAATAAAATTCTAACATATAGGTGGAAATCTTTAACATTTCCCCAAGCACCTTCTTTTCCACCAGCCAACAGACAAACCTGGAAAGACAAATCACAGCTGAAGGTAGTTTCGAGAACACTGACTCTGAACAAGGGCAGTTAGATTAATGCTTTGCTGAATGGCAACAGGATGAGACACCCTGAGACATATCTTTGGGACTGGAGAATGCGAAGTGCTTTGGCTGGAATCCTATTGTCCACCTTCCCTTTGGGGAAGGACTTGGCAATGTGACCAGGACAGCTGTGCTTATTTGATAAGGATCCCTTTCCCTCGTTCATGCCTGGATATTCACTGCCAAGTTAATCTCTGCCATTGTTCTTTCTCACATGGTGACTATCCCTATATCCCTTTTTGGGATATGTGGATGCTTTCCTTCTAAGTAAAAACAAGTCTTGCCAGCAAGGATCCATTTAGTTTCTTTTGGCATTGCATATCTCATTATGTATTGATGTAATAATAAATGGATTATTATATTTTCCTTCTTAAGTTATAGTTGAGAAATGTACTTTAACATTTTTTCATAAACTGATAAATTTTGTGTCACACAAAGATATATATATTATATATAATCTTTGCATCTTGCATAGAGTATGTGCACATAAGTTGTAGTTTATTGTTATATATATATATATTTAGCTGTGTTCCATATAGAGGACAATCAATAAATATAATTTCTCATGCCTGTGTTCCTCAGATGTCTGGAGTGTGGTAAGGACATGTCACAAGGTTAAAATTCAGAATGGAAACCTCAGAACCTGTCATTCTCTGCAGATCTGTAACATCTCAGGGAAGCAGAAAATCCAGCATTTAGAGCTCTGTTTCTTTGTTCTTTTGATGAAACACTTATTGTTCATGGAAAAACATCTATTTTTGTTTTCATTTCGCTCTTGTCTGTCTACAGAGATACTTTCAGGCAGAGGCAAGATTTCGTTATTTCAGAAACCTGTGAGATTCTCAGTAGGCAAACACATCTTTAAAAGACAATATTTCAGTTTTGCGTGTTAATATATTGCAGAAAAAGAAAATTCAATGATAAATATATTTCATTGAACTCAAAGGTTTGTAAATCAGATTATTGTATGATAACCATCTTTCCCTCATTTATACTATAATTTCTGAAGTATGATCCAACCAAAATTAAACCCTGGAGAATAAAAAGATTAGTCCTCAAGAATATAACAAACTTAAAATTATACAGTTAACCAAGCACTGATAATTTCATAAGAAATATCCTCACAATTTGTCATTTTCAATGTTATGCTTTGGCCATAGTATAGCAGAATGAAGTGAGTTCAGATTTCAGAGCAAGACAAATCCATATTTAAATACTGGTTCAGCATAATAGTCTTCATCTCTAAAATGGGGTTGATAAATAAAATCATGTAAGTATTTTGGTTCATAATTAGATATTTGTTAATAACAGGAATAAAAATTGCCTCATATTGGTAATGTTACTGGCAAACTCAGAAAATGTACAGAAGCAAAAAATTAACAATGATATATGGGAAAACAAAAACAAAAACCTTTTATAAAAAATACTTTTTTTATTTTTAAAATTTGCCGTCTTTGAATAGTCTTTTTTCCCTGTACCCACCTTATTCTCCTATCTACTGTCACTAGAAATTTTTAGTAGAAGTAGTGAATTTAGCTGTAATAGAAAAACTGTGCTATACACTGATACTTAAACACTTTTTTAAAAAATTAAGAGTCAGGGAAAAATGCACTTTAATATCATAGGGGACTTCAGGCACTATTCCAGGTGTTTATATCACATCACCTGATACTGAGCTAAGTCACTATTTGGTGTTGCTTAGCTACATGAAATGGGGCCCTATGATAATGGGAAAAGCAGGAGTGTTTTGTCACCCAATCTCCTAAAATGTTTGGAAAAATCGTTAATGGAAATCTTCCTTCACCCGCGTATTTTTATCTCCACACAACAGCTAACATTTTTATATTGCCTTCTATATTATTTGATGCAATTTCCTCAAAACCAGAGTAAAGGCAGTTGGAAAGACTATTTTTATTGTATCCTCCTTTTTAATTTGTCACACTGTGTTTTCCTTAATAGCTGAGGAAACAGAGGCGCAATTGGTTAGATACTATTCCAAGTTAATTCAGTTGAACTCTAGAGGAGTTTCCTTTCACTCAAAAATACTTGGTTCAATTATTTGTAGATGATAAGTGGGTGGGGCAAGGAAGTGGGCAATGGATAAGAGCATTAGACTGAAGCTTCTAGAGCATAAACCAGAGGATAACACCAGGATAAATGATTAACGTTCCTCTTGGTGCCTAGAAATAGTTCATTTATGTCACAATAAATGTCACCACTGTATGAAGAGTAAAGATAATTCAGGCTACTAAGTATATCACCATGTGTTCTTGGGAACAAGACGGTCATGAACTCCAGGGACTTCTCCTTCTTACTTCAGTGTTAAAGTGTGGATGCCCTGCAGAGTCTGTGACTTTATTAAGAATTGTCGATATTCTTACTACTGATGGCAACCATAACTGAAGAAGCTTGCAAAATATAATTCAAAATCAGATTGAAGTTAACTAGGTAACATCTTGCATAGAGTATGTGCATACAAGTTGTAGTTTGTTTCCCATTCAATATAGTATGCTTGTCTTATGCATTTATTTACCTAAATTTACAATTCAGGTTTCTATACAAGGATTTTTTTTTTTGCAATCTCTGTCCCATCTTCCAAATAATCCATGCTTTTCTCTGTTGTCCTTTTTTGCTCCATGCCCAGAAATCTTCTGTCTGTGAAATGTAAATAAATAGAAATAGAAACTGTATGAGGTTATGAGATCTACTCTGGAATTAGATGGGTTTGATTTTGAATTCTGGTCTGGCTATTTGTGAGCTGTGTGACCTTTGACAAGTTACTGAGCCACAGTTTCCTTATTATAAAATAGTCATAATAATAGAACCCACATGGAGAGTTTGTCATAGTAATTAATCGTTACTCAGTGTAAAAATAAAAGCATCATGCCTGCCGTATAGTAAGCACTCAATCAATGCTAGGTCTGCTGCTGCTGCTGTTGTTACCAATGCTAAGGAAAGTGTGATTTCATAATCATGTGTCTTTCAGGTTTAAATGCTTTCACTATCTCTGTTTTTTATGTATTTGTTTATTTACTTATTCATTCAACAAATATTTTGATGATTTATTCTTTCAGGAGGCCTCATGAGACTGCAGATGACCAGTTACAGGAGAATCATCAGAAAGAGAACAAGAAAGACTGAGGTAAAAATGACTAACGGTGTTTTTGTGCTCCCTTCCTGCTTTCCTTTGAAGGATAATCATTGGTTTATCAAAAAATGTACTTGCCATGAATTATATCACATGCTCCTAGAAATATGAGTTATATAGAAATGTTGGAATATAAGCTATGTTATATGGAGTCTTTTTGTTAACAGGAATTTTCCTAATTCTTTATGATTCTCTGTGCCTATATGAATCCAAAGCTGTTTCATTTTATTTTGTGCCCAAATACTTTATTATAATCATAATAACAAGCCTACAATAATTTTGCAGGCTTGCTAATAGAGAGCCTACAGTTTGTTGTTTATCAAGCCAGCATTTGAGTTAGGCCTCATAAATATGCCCACACCTGAGGCATAAATTGTATGCTAAATAGGAAGGGAAGCCTGTGCTCTGCAGAATAGTTCACTGAGGAGAGCCTCTCTAAGCTGTGAGATTCTAAAAAAGGACTAAAAATTTGGAGATAATTGTCTCTACTCCATGCCCAATGGACACATCCATATAGAAAATATCCCTTTTATTAACTTCACTTTTTTTTAGAACAAACTTTTCAACACACCCCTTGCCATGAGCAAGGTGGATATGATAAGGCAACCAACACTCTGACACAATAATAGAGCTCTAAGCCAAGACAGTTTCAATGTGACCTTTCATTTTCTCTAATTGCCTTTCTCTTATTAATCCTGATCTGCCTATTATTGATAGTATCATTACGCTATGCTTCTAATGACTTTGCCTGGGAGGATCAGGAGTTTTTTAAATATTTGGAATGTTATTTAGCAGAAAAACTTGGTGGGGAAGGAAAAGTATCATAATTAAAAGTAACAGTTCTCAGGCTTTCTCACTACTCTTTCTACCTAAATCCTAACCATCTCTTAAAATATACCTTAGCTGCTGCATCCTCCATGAATTTTCTTGGACTGCATTAGTCCAATGATTAGATTTTTGCTCTTACTATTCATTTGACTCAACTGATACTTTTTATGCCACTCTAATCTATGGTACATTATTTATATAGATTGTCTTAAGTCCTTCACTGAGTTGTAAGCTCTTTGAGGTTAATACTTAGGAATATGATAATACAATGTGAATAAGTCTCATTGTCATTTCTTGTCACTTTCTTGTTACTTTCTCAATAAGCCTCATTGAGGCTTATTCTCATTGTATTCTCATGTTTCTAAACACTATTCTCTCTTCCAATAGTAAATTTTTATCATAATCATATTGATAATATTAATGCCATTTTATATTTATATTATTTATTTGGTTTAACAAAATATTTTCTTGTATATGATCTTTTCAATTCTCCCCACTGTCCTGTGTGTGAGGTGTCTACTCTAATTTTAGAGATGAAAAAGTAGAATCAAATGAAAATTTAAGTTATTTATCAAAAGTCAAAACATATCATAGAATTTATTGATTACTAAGTAGGAAGATTTCAGTATTGTTGTTATCTCAACTCTGACTTTATTGTGATTAATGCAGTAAAGTAGAAATAAACTCACAAAATTTTTACACTTGGAAAAACCCAAGAAGGATAAAGGCTCTCAGATGAATGGGGACAGGTTACATATGACTCATTATCTTTGGATATGCATATGCTGTTCCCCCAGTAGGAAGAAAAAAGAGGAGGCAAAAGCAAAGTTACTGCTTCCACCTGAATCACTTTTATGTGAATTAGAAAGAGGCTCCTCCTCTGCGTAGTGCAGCACTGAGTTGATGGTGCATTGAGCCATTTACCTCCTGCTCAGCACCTTGGACAGCACCAGCCTGTTCAAATGCACGGCAGTCAGGTGTAAATGCTGGGAAATAGATGGCTGTGGAAGGGATTATATGGTCCAGTGTGGGTACTGGCATAGAAGGAATAAATTATATTGGACACGTGTATTGAGAGGGTCAATTAAGAAAGGAGTATAAGCTAACTGATACCTTTAGAAGTACTCCTTTTTTTGGCATAGGGTAAAAATTATTGTTACGGTTCTTTAGACCCATGTACTCTGGAAAAATAATTTTTCATAGTAAACAGAGAACAGAATTTAGGAAAGTTGATTCTATTTTTGGTTCAACTCAAGAGACATGAGCTCTTAAAATACCCAAAATCTTTTAGCATATGAGTTATTTTAATTCATGTGCTATCCCATTCTTGAAGGTACATTTGAGAATCTCAAAAAGGGAAGTCATCCTCTCTCCAGAAAAATAAATAACACATGCACGTAACTATTTCACAATTAGTTTTAGTGGTTACATGGGTGCATTTTGGGGTTTAGTGAGTCTGTTTCCAAACCTGGCTAGTTGTCACAATTATTGGAGGTCCTTTCAAACATGCAGATTACCTGCCTCCACCATGGCAGATTCTGATTAATGAATTTGATAATAAGCCGAATATATTTGAATTATGCTCTCACATACAAGGTGAGATCGAAGGAAGAAAAAGTCAACCAAGAAGAAGTGACAAGAAAAGTAGTTAAAGGCTGTTTTTATGCTGCCAAGCATAAACCAGAGACAAATGTAGATATTTGAAAAATATACTTCAAGAGTGATTTTCTCATTAAAATATTTCTCTTATTTTGTCTATAATACTCATAAAATAAAGTAGATAATGCAAGGCAATGGGCAGAGGAAGGGTTTTTACAATATAGTGTGTAGAGGAAGGGCTTGCAGGAGGTAACACAGAGGGGAAGGTTCTCTTTCCATAGTTGGTAGCTTCCATAGAATCCCTGGTAGTATGACTAACCTGGAGGCATAAAACTTCTAGAAGATGATGTTGTGTTTTCACTTTGTTGGTGTGAATAGTTGAGTGAAAATATCCAACTCATTTTAGGTGAGGAGGTGATTAATCAGTCATACAAAAATGATCAGTAATAATGAAGTTATAAGCAACATTCTCTGATGAAATCCACTCCCACCACAAAAAAAAAAAGCCTTGTAAAAGTTAACAGATTTGCATCGAGATGTTTTGAAATATTGAAAAAGTTTTCTTCATGAATTTTCACTGGGAAAACAAAATATACCATTTGTAAGAATTGCTTCTTTGCTGCCTCACACAAAGAAAACAGTATTGGGCTAAACATTACATGTAAAAGGATCCTTTGGGGGCAAAATCCCTATCATCAAGCATTGATTCCTTTCCTGTCTTCTGGTTTAGTACCAATTACAGAGATTAAATTTTGGTTTCTAATATTAATTAATATTGCAAATACAACAAATTTACACGTTGATGAAAACAATATGTAGGGAATTTTTTTTTCTGTCAGTAGAACTTTCCCCTAATTTGTTCCTCTTAAATTTAACTTGTTAAGAAAAAAATTGATGAGGTGTTTTATAGCAGAGTGAGAAGGACAAGGAAACTCATTAACACATTTATATGTAAACTGTTGGAGTTGCAGAGTATCATAGGGAATATTAAATCTGAAGAGATCATATATCTCAATTCTTGTTCTGTGGACCTGAGGCATCTTATTTCTCTTCTAAAAGCCTCAGTTTTTATGTCTGTACATGATGAATGGTTTTTGTGTGTGTGGTGGGAAGTACCCCAAATCCTGGAATCACATGTTTATTTATTAAACATTAGCAGAGTGCCTATTATATTTAAGTATGATGGTAGACCCTGGATGTCTAGATGTGATTATGACTCAGCTTTCCAAAAAATGCCTGGAGCCTAGTGGAGCAGAGAGATGATAATTAAAGAAATTACAGGATAGTGTGATAAGGGGAAGGAAACAGAAGCAAGTGAAATGTGTATGAATCCATGAGAAGCACGGCTTGGGGATTATGTGATTTCTAAAATTTCTTCAACTATTTTTTAAGATGGGTCTTAATTTAGGACTTGATGGCGGATAGGAAAAGGATTCAAAAATGTGGCAGGGAACCAGTGCTCAAATTGGTGGGAAGGATTGAGAATCTTTGGAGAAAATGGAACTCTAACATTTGTTTCATTGTTGTGGCCTAAGCCTTCCTACCTCCCTCTGATTGTTGAGTAAAGTCTGTTCTGTGCACACAAGCCTCATGCAGTGGTTGTAGAAATCGAGGGAAAGCAGCCAAGTTGTAAGTATGAGGTGACATGAAACAGTGATAAAATGAACATCAGAATTAAACCAAAATAGAGTATTAAATTCAGAGGTGACCAGGAGAATTATAAACCTGTGGGAATTTAAAGAAATCTCATGCTGGGTTGTTAGTAACTTTTTACAAAAGAAATAACAAAAACTGTGCTGGATTTTTTCCCCCATTGAAAAAAAAATCCACCTAGAATCACTCTTTATGCTTCTTCTCCATATTCTCTGCCCCAGCTGATCTTTATGGACTTTATCAGAGGGTTCTCTTGTCCTGTGGCTTCTTATTTGTTTTGGGCAATAGGGAGCACTAGCAGGGAATGAGAGCAAGGAGGAAAATGAAGTGGGAACTTTAGTTCTCTAACTCCATTTCTGCAGAGTTGCTACAGGCTGGTTGCCTACCTCCACCAAAGGTTGCATCTCAGTAGGCCTTTTTCTTCTGTCCCATGGCCTCTTCAGCCCTAAGAATAATAGCTCACTTGCAATTATTAGCCCCAGTGCACTTCTCTGCTCGTGATGATTTTCTTTACAAATGCCCTCACTTTAAAAATGAACTCTTCTTATATTACCCATTTTGTGTGAACTAATTGTCTACTTTTGGAAGCATAACTAATATAGAAGTTAAAACACTCACTTACACCATAGCTAAATATTGATAGGAAATCTAGACACACACACACACACACACACACACACACACACACACACACAGCATTATTTAGATATAACTAAGAAATAGCAGCCGTTGGTGTTTCAACAATAAGTTAATAACACTAACACAGGCACTACAGTGAGTTCTGTGAAATTTTTGGTAAATGAAATCATAGATAATTTTGCCAAAGGAAATTTAGTCAAATAACCTTATTTTGCAGGTGACAAACTTAGATTTTCCAAGAGACTAACTTGCTTGTTAACTCTTTTATTTTTATTTTTCAACTTTTATTTTAGGTACGGGGTGCATGTACAGGTTTGTTACACAGGCAAATTGCATGTCACTGGGGTTTCGTGTACAAATGGTTTAGTTACCCAGGTGGTGAGCACAGTACCTGATAGGTAGTTTTTCAACCCTTACCCTCCTCTTTCATTGGCCCCTCAAGTAAGCCCCCATGTCTACTGTTCTCATCTCTGTGTCTATGCATACTCAATATTTAGCTCCCATTTATAAGTGAGAATATGTGGTATTTGTTTTTCTGTTTCTATGTTAATTTGCTTAGGATTATGGCCTTCAGCTGTATCCATGTTTCTTCAAAGGACATGATTTCCCTTTTCATGGCTGTGTAATATTCTGTGGTGTGAATGTACCACATTTTCTTTATCCAGTCTACCATTGATGGGTATCTAGGTTGATTCCGTGTCTTTTCTATTGTGAATGGTGCTACAATGAACATACATGTACATGTGTCTTTTTGGTAGAGTGATTTATATTCCTCTCATTACTCTGCTTTTAATGGCAGAATATGTATGTGTGACTGTGTATGGGTGTATGTGTATATGTGTAGGCAAATTTCCTTGTTGCTTGTTCTCTCACTACTAAACAACAGCTGAGAATCTGAGAATCCTGTGGAGTAAGCTCAATTTCATCTGGCTTTTCCTACATTGTTCTTCCACAAAGCTGTTATGCATCTCTACATTTTCCCTTTCATTTGACGACAATTTGCCATAAAGATAGTTTTTATTTATTTATTTATTTATTTATTTATTTATTTATTTATTTATTTTAATTTGTAAGTCATTTCATGAGAATTCTTGCAGAAAAATGTGGGCACATAAAAATAAAGCCATCACCTTGAGATGAGCAAAGAGTTTATTGGTGTGTATGAGTTTCAATTTGGCGCCTCAGGTACAAAACATAAGACGTTCACATTGTGATTTGATCACTAAGAGTCAAAACTGAGAATACATTTAGTCTATGGATGATAAATGTGTAAATGCCAATCACGTATTAATCAATGTTTCTCAAATTCTAGCTCAAGAATTTCCTGCATCATAATTGATTGAGCTCTTTTTAGTATTAATACAGCTTCTTTGGTCCCACCTAAGACATCTGTCCTCAGGGCTTCTAAGGGCTCAGTCCAGGAGCTTTCATTTTAAAAAAAATTCTTGAAACACTTTCTGCATACACCTAAGTTTGAGACTGTAATAATAGGTTTGGTAGAAAAAATTGAAAATTAAGTACATAAAATCATTGAGTTCACTCAGCCTGATGTTCAATTGTTCATTAGGCAAGAAAGCTGGCTTTTAAAATGTAATGAAAGACAATGGCTTTCTGGTATGGAATGGGTAAACAGATAAATTAGGTCCCCGGCATGTACTGAGCTCTGTGCTTTTGTGTTTTGACTTCGTTCTCCAGCAACAATAACTTTCCAAGTACAGCGGGCTGAGTGAAAAACACAATCACTGATTGATGGTCAGACCCCTATGGTGTTTTGAACCTTTAAAGAAGCTAAGGCTGGTGGCTGATTTGCGGTTGAAAGGGGCTAAATGTTCTCTCCTGGAGTTCAGGGAACCAGCTGCTTCCTGAGCTGGCAAAGGAGAGAAAACCTTGAGACAGAGCAGCTTCAATTTGCATGAGATGTACTAAGCAATCCTCCAATTAGCTGGCTGTTGCCTCTCTTGATGGCTACCTTGGGGAGGAGATGGGGGTTGTGAACTTTGAAGTGGATTATTAATTATTCATGCCTCCTTCGCCCTGATGGAGGTAACCTGCATCTCAGGAGCCAGGTCCAGCATTCATTATCTTCCTGTCTGTGTTTGCAATAAAATAACACTGAATATTAATCCTTTCACCTTCATTCTTAACTCCCTCTTCCCCCTTCTCTAGTCTCTAGACAGATTATGCAGAATCATGCCTCTCCTTTAATTCTTCTCATCCCTTGTCCTCCTACATCATTTATTGTTTATTCAATTATTTGGAGGCCCATTAAACTGAGAATTAAGTTCAAGGGCTAGTTGCTTTCTTGAAAGCTCACCAGAATGCAATGTTTTCCACTCAAGTTTTCAATTTATTTATTTTTTAGCCTGTTTGTGATAATCCTGTCATGATTAGTGACTTGTCACCTGTTTTTTATTTCTATATTCTAAAATTTTAGGAGTTTCATGCTTTTTCTTAGAGTTCTCTAGAGACTTTACTGTCAGGTTTAATCGGGGTTTTCTAGTAAAAAGCAGAAGACTTGTTTTCTTGTCAGGTGTGGGTGTTTGTGTGTGTGAGTGCAAACCTATGTCTGTCTGTGCATTACTTTTCTTTCAGGGAGCCAATACACAAATCTACACAAATCGGTACTTCTGAAAATTTAAGTTAATTAAATGAGAGATCACTAAGTTAAGTCTTCATAACAAAGAATAATCTCATTATATATCAAAAAGGGATTAATTCAGAGGTGGGTTAAGATTAGCTTGCAGAAGACTTGGTATGAAGATTTTTTTTAACTGAAAAGGTAAAACATAAAGAATGTTATCACGACACGGTAATAGTTAATTGACCAAATGTAACGATAGTCACTGAGCTAATGCAAGAAATGTATTTGGTCAATCTTGGGGATTCTCACCATTACCTTCTTGACTTGGTTCTAGCTTTTTTTCTTTCTTCTTCATATTCTCTCTCTTTATCTTACTTTCTCTTTCTTTCTTTTTCTTTTTTATTAACTAAAACACATAGTTTACACTTGGGTTCACACTTTTAATCATACAGTCTATAGGTTTGACATATGTATAACGTTATGTACTCACCACTGTAGTATCATACAAGATGATTTCAGTGCCCTAAAAATTCTGTGTGCTCCATTTATTCATCCCTTCCTATCTCTGCCCTAGAATCCCTGGAAATCACTAATCTTTTTACAATCTCTATAGTTTTTCTTTTTCTAGAATATCAAATAGTTGGAATCGTACTCTATGTAGACTTTTCAGACTGGCTTATATCACTTAGAAATATGCACTTGAGATTCCTCTGTATTTGTCATGGTTGGAGAGCTCATTTCTTTTTATCACTGAATTATATACAGTTGCATGTAAGTGCCACAGTTTATTTATCCATTACCTATTGAAGTACATCTTGGTTGCTTTCAAATTTTCACAATTTTAAATAAAGCTTCTAGAAACATCCATTTGCAAGTTTTTATGCAGGCATAAATTTTAAGCTTAATACCAAGGAGTGTGATTACTGAGCTTATGTAAGACTATGTTTAATTTTGTAAAAAGCTATCACACTGTCTTGTAAAGTGGCTGCACCATTTTGTACTCCCAGCAACAGTGAATGAGAGTTTCTGTTGTTTCATATCCTCTCTAGTATTTAGTGTTGTCATTTTTGAATTTTAGCCATTCTAATACATGTGTAGTGGTACCTCATTGTGTTAATTTGCAATTTCCTAGTGGCATGATCTTGTGGATCTTGTCATGTGATTATTTGCCATCTGTTTATTTTCTTTGATAAAGTGTCTGATCAGAGAGTCTGCTCAAAGTTAATTATGATATTTTCATATTGCCGAGTTTTAAGGGCTCTTTGTATATTTTGGATACAAGTCTTTATGAGATGTGTTTTTAGCAAATATTTTCTCCCAGTCTCTGGCTTTCCTTTTCATTCTTTTAACATTGAGTTTTACAAAGGGTTTTGATTTTAATGAAGTCCTATTTATGATTTTTTAAATGAATCATGCATTGTACCTTTTTTTTTTGCATCTTTCTTTCTCCTTTTTTCCTCTCTTCTTCAGAATTCAAAATAAATCCTGTGTGAGTCATGACTTTGTCACTTTCTATTCACATGATTTTGGATACATTTTATTTTTTATCTAAACCTTAGGTTCCAAGTTCCTTGTCTATTTAAGGGGAAATGATAATGTTGCTTACTTCCTGAGTTTGTTGAAAAGGTTATGTAAGATTATTGTTATGGGCTGAATGTTTGTATCTTGCCCAAATTTGTTGTTAAAACCATACCCCCATTGTAATGGATATATGGGGTGTGTGTGTGTGTGTGTGTGTGTGTGTGTGTTACATGATCCCAAATCAAATGTAGGTTTAACAGTGATTTAAACTGACTGTTTGCACCTAGTTCAAATTGGGAGGGTGAATAAGTTTTTGTTTTTGTTTTTGTTTTTTTTCATTTTGATGAATGAACTTTGGTGCATTAGTCTACTGAACTTGGATGGGTACTCAAAAAATGAGCCCAAGGCCATGTTTTAACCCTAGAATTGATTTGGTCAAGAGAACAATTTCATGTTAGATCCTTGTTGAGGCAGTGGTTTTCAAACTGTGTTCTGTGGAGCCTGAGGGATTTCAAAACTCCCCAGCTATGAGGAGAGAGCAGTGCTGCTGGGACTCTGAAGACCCCTCCCGCCTCCCACTGATTTCACCAGAACAGCTTTGCTTGTGTTAATAAGTTTTCATGTAAAATTATGCATGAAGGAATGGTTTTGCTGCTAACAAAATGTTTGGTTTTCATCAAAATTATAAACTGGAGTTCAAGATTCTAAATGAGTTTACTGGTACTCTGTGTTAGAAAATGACTCATATATTTCAAGCCTTTTTTTCTGGGAAGAATTATATTAAATGCATTAGTTGTTCTTATATGTTTAGAAGGCCACTGGATCTGTTTTACTAAGTATGGTGGTTGATCAGTGAACTGTTTTTATTTGAATATCTTCAGTTCTTAAAACTGCCTATGACAGAGCCACTATATCTTGTCACGGATTCAACTCAAGTTGAAATACACTGAGGCTCATGGTCTAATATGTTTTCTCTCTCACTTGATTTATAAACTTGGCCTTTATATTTTGAGAGCCAAGGATGTTGATGTAGACTGGAGACATAAATGATGAGGTTGTTTATTATTCTCTTTCTTCTCCAAAGAGATAGATCAAGCAAGGGTTAGAAGAACTTTATGAATAAAAATATAAAAGAAAAAGCCTCAATGGAAATGAACTAACATCTTCAAATTTTCAATTGACTAATTTTGACTTATCCATCCTTTGAAATATCTTGTGCATCTCGTCTTTTCTATTCCCAAAGCTTCCATCTTCTTTCAAATATTTTTCAACTATTTTTCAACTCATTCCATTTTTTCCTGTCTTCACTTCCTGTCACTTTTAATTTGTTCTACACATGACCTTTAAAACTAACTTTCTAAAATGCCAATTACATACTATTGTTCCCATGATAAAAAAATCAAATAACTACTTATGACATCAAGATTAAATCCTTGCTCAACAGCATGGCATTCAAGTTATCAGCCATTTTTATTTAATATTTAAAAGGATCCAAATTCTACCTTTTGGTGTATAACAATCTAATTTTTTATTCCATCTAGATCAGTTTATTCTCTCTCATCTAGTTATGTAATACTCATTCCTTTTTCCAAAACGTTGCCTATGCTTTCTCCCTTACCATCTCTTCTGAGTCCAAAGAAATATATAATTCCCCCTTCAAAATTCAGTTTGACTCTTCACTCCCTCTATAACCATTTTTGGATCATGATATATTTTTTTCTATTGGTGTTTCTCTAAATATATTGTCTGAGACATTTATTTCTATTAGTTAATGTTATCTTTTTACTGATTATATTATATTTCAAAGTAGGTTGTCCTCTATCAAAAAGCAAAAATGTAACCAGGTCTCATCATACTAACACAACCACTGACAACAGTAATAACAACTGCAATTTTTGTGAGTATATATTCTGAGTCAGGCAATGTGATAAGCACTTTGTTTCTGTCATTTCCTTTAATCTTCAAAATCATTGCAAGCTAGCCTTTATTCTATTTGACTCACGAGAACATAAAGGCTTTTAGATGTTGAATAGCTTTTTCGAGGATGCTACAGTAATATATGGCATAGCCAGGATTAAAACATAATTCTGTTTGATAAAAGGAAAGAAAAAAATAAAAGAAAAAAAACCCTTTCAATTCATAAATTGTACAATATTGCTTTGGTATTCACTTCAGCACCCAGGACAGTGCCACCAAAAAGGGAAACCCCCAAACCGAGTTTTTGAAATCCTGCCTCAAAGAGAGAAATATGGGTCACAATAAGGCATCAGAGTAAAATATCTCCAGGATTCTTTAAAATTCAATTCCAGTTAGATGGGAAACTGTCATTGGAGTCAAGTAAAAATCCTTCCTAGTGTCAGTTATGCTCTGATAGGGAATTGTCCTGCATCAGTGTTAAAAAGCTTTGTGAGTAGGGATGCCTGAGGGTAGGTGCTTGGAGAAGGCTGTGTGGAGGACAGAATTTAGATTTTTCTTATCTAAGTCAGAAGAAGTATGCTAAATATTGTCTAATGCTTCTCCTAGCTAAAGTACTAATGAGGCCAGAAGTAGCAATATTTCTGTGGAATAAATAGCAGAATTATTTTGGGGTCCCTCCTTCATTCCTCTGGGAATAAACACTTGCAGAGACAACAAACCATTCACTACATAGTCATTGGTAAACTTTTCTAAGGGAAGAGTAAGCCCTTTGTAAGCTCCTTGATCTGCAAAGATGTTTTCCTTTGATGTTTGGAATACTGAAGACCTATTTGATGATGATTTATTTGCTGATTTTTAAGTTTGATTATTTTCTCTAGTCTCCCCTTTTTTGATTATTATCAGCTTCTATTTTTTTTTTACCTACAGTGCCTTTGGCTATTATAAATACATATCACAAATATCCAATAATTATAGAAAAAACATAAGAGTTTCACTAGTGATCATAAATATGAGAAAAGGCATTTTGAAAGCTCCAGGTTTGTCTTCCTACTTATAGCTCCTTCCCTTTTTTCTAAGCCCTTAATTTAAATCAATGAGTAATTGCAGCTACACTTTGTACTGGAGTTCCTTAATATTCTGCTAGACAGTTTTGCTATCTCTCTGAGTCAGACATTTTCTGGTTATAATCTACTTGTATCAGATTGTTGACTAAGAAAACAAGAGCTTAAAGAGTGATTGAACAATTCAAAACAAAGAAACAAGGAGGCCTAGGGAAACTTGAGTTGATTCTTAAAAAAAGAAAAGAAAAGAAATAAAATAAATGATTTCCCTCAAGAATGTGATTCATTTAATATTCAGAACAGATCATTAATTGAGAGGTGTAATATCCATTGAATATTTTTCAACTGAAATTTAAAAGAAATCTGTTTTTAAAATTTACTGTAAATTAGTATGTGTGTGTGACCTATCACTTCTACATCGTTCCTTTTACGTAGGCAAAATAAGAAGTTTAGGTTACCAGTTGAGAAGGTAAATAAATTGGTTGTAAAAATTTAGAGATAAGAAAGTGATCTGGGTAGTCTTGGGCAACAAATCTGAAACATAGAGAATTTCACGGAAATTAGAATTATTCAAATAATATGCCTCTTACATTTTTATACTGTTTAATTAATTGCTGCAAAATTCTTATGGTGAAGAAACAAATCTATTTTGAATTTAATTAGGCTTCAAATCATAGAAATGACTTTGACAGCTTTGGAGGACACAGCAGGATTTTTCTATGCTTATTAATTAGATAATATTAGTGAAACACTCTAAAGATGAACAGTGTTATATAAACAGTACCCTTATTATTTGGGAGCATTAAACATGAGTTGATGTACACATATAGAACGGATAAATCTTTCTTAATGAGCTGAATTTCCCCACTTTATATGTACCTTGTTTTTGAAACCCTTGTTGAATTTTGAGTTGTAATTTTTTAAAGAACTATACAAATATGAGTATTATTAGAACATTATTACACTCTAGAAGAGTGGCCCCCAACCTTTTTGGCACCAGGGACCAGTTTCTTGGAAGACAATTTTTCCATAGATTGAGAGGGTGGACTGTGGGGTGGGGGCAGGGAATGGTTTCAGGATGAAACGGTTTCACCTCAGATCATCAGGCATTAGATTCGCATAAGTAGCACACAGTCTAGATCCCTCGAATGTGCAGTTCACAATAGAGTTCACCAGACTGGTACAGCCCAGCCCAGGGATTGAAGACTTCTGGTAGAAGATGTATGCATTCTGTGAAATAAAATATATTGCAATATTTTGGTAATTTTTATTTATAATTTTAGAATTATCTTCACTAGTTTTATTTTATCACACATTAACGATCTCTACATCAATACATTTCCCTTAATTTGAAAACTAAAGTAGTACAAAGGAGAGTAATAGCAACTTAATTATCTACTTTAGTAAGAAACAGTCAGATACCTAACTGTGGTGAGATAATTTTATATTACTTTGAATGAAGGGGTTTAAACTTTTCTCTGTGTGAGCAGCATACAAAATGGGAAGTATGTTTGCTATGTAAGTATGTATAACTAAAAGTTTGGAAGTATTTACATATTAGAAATGTAAAATTTCATACTTCTTTCATTTTAAACATTTTTAATTTAAAAATTTTATAGCAACTGTTAGAGAAATTTTCCGTTGACATAAAATAAACCTTCAGTTTGATAATGAGCTTTATTTTTAATAAGATATTATACTGCATATTATTTATTGTATTTGTTTTATGATGCATTAACTTACTAAAAGACACCCGTATTAATAACATTTAACTCTAATAATACATTTCTCTCTAATCAAATAATTTACTTCATTAAAAAAATAAAATCCACACATGTAGAAGGTCGAAAAGTGAAGTGGAACATTTATTAAATAGTGTATATAGTCCATTCTTATAATTGTCTATTCATTCAGCATTTATTGATTACCTGTTTGTTACTAATTTGAAGAAGAAGGGGGGTTATTATAAAAGTTTGCTTCTTAATTGGTGACATTTATTTCTGTCCCTAAATTCACCAATCTATCATCTATCTGTCTATCACCAATCTATCTATCATCTATCTATCTATCTATCTATCTGTCTATCAGTCGTCTATCTAACTGTCTACGGAGTGTGATTTCCTACTTTTTTGTTGTTTCTCTGATGTAACATTGACCAATACAAGTTTGTTATACTATTCCACTGTAAGTATCACCAAAATATTCATAAATGATTCATAAGGCCTCATAACTTTCTTGTGAAGGAGTGTGTATTAACTATACATTTATGTTGCTTTCACATGGTGAGGTCTTGATATCCATGGAAAGACAGCCCCTCCTAGGGGTAGGCAATTCCTAGAGATATGAAAGGGCTCACATGGAAGAGTGTCTTTTATTTAATCCAGAGGGTATACCACTAAACCCTTCCTCTGTCAGATTCTCACACTCAGAGCCACTATTTCCCTGTCCAAATCACCCCAGGTCTAGCATCATAGTCCATTTGTGCTGCTACAACAAAACCTGAGACTGGGAAACTTACAAATTATTTTATTTCCTTTTACAAAACATTTAAAAATAGCGATGGAGTCCCGAGTGATCTTCCTGTCTTGGCCTCTCAAAGTTCTGGGATTACAGGTGTGAGCCACTATGCCTGGCTGAGACTGGGTAATTTATAAAGGACAGAAATTTATTTCTCAAAATTCTGGAGGCTGGGAAGTCCAAGATCAAAGTGCCAGCAGGTTCAGTTGTCTGGGGAGTTTCCAGTCTCGACTTTCATGATGCTTCAAGATTAATTCATTCGGCTGGGCGCTGTGGCTCACGCCTGTAATCCCAGCACTTTGGGAGGCCGAGGAAGGCGGATCACGAGGTCAGGAGAGTGATACCATCCTGGCTAACACGGTGAAATCCCGTCTCTATTAAAAAAAAAAAAAATTAGCCGGGCGTGGAGGCACGTGCCGGTAGTCCCAGCTACTTGGGAGACTGAGGCAGGAGAATGGTGGGAACCCGGGAGGCGGAGCTTGCAGTGAGCCGAGATCGCGCCGCTGCACTCCAGCCTGGGAGACTGAGTGAGACTCCGTCTCAAAAAAAAAAAAAAAAAAAAAAGATTAATTCATTCTGCAGAGGGGACAAATTCTGTGTTCTCACACGGTGAAAGCCTAAATAGCAAGAGAGACGAACTCCTGCCCTCATGCACTTGTATAAGCACACCTGTATTCACAAAGGTTCCACCCTAATGACCTAGTCAACTCGTAAAGGCTCCGCCTCTTAGTACTATCACCTTGGCAACATCTGAGTTTTAGAGGGAATACATTCAAGCCATGGCAGCCAGGTATCATACAACTGGGGACAGCCCCTGTGCCCTAGAGCCTGCTGAAATTATTCAAACCTGTCAAACCAGCCAATCCTAAACCTGCTTACCCTGCCTCACACTATTTTTCCTCAAAGAAACCACAATAAAGGCTCTTGCCCACTTTTTTTCCTCAGCTTTCCCTATCTCCTGACACTGATGCTTCTCCATGTGAATCCCCATGGTATGGTGTGCCCCGTCTACTTGGGACTTGTGAATTTGTGAATATAACCAACTATCCAACTACCTTTTTTTTTTTTTTTTTTTTTTTGTGAGGCAAGGCCTTACTCTGTCGCCCAGGCTGGAGTGCAGTGGTGTGATCATGGCTTACTGCAACATCCGCCTCCTAGGCTCAAGCAATCTTCTCACCTCAGCCTCCTGAGTAGCTGGGACAACAGCCACGCACCACCATGCCTGGCTAATTTTTGTATTTTTTATAGATATGTGCTTTCACCACTTGGCCCAGGCTGGTCTGGACTCCTGAGCTCAAGCAATCCTCCCGCTTTGGCCTCCCATAGTGTTGCAATTATAGGCATGGGCCACTGCACCTGGTCCCAAATATCTTTTCAACAGCAATTATTCCTGTCTAAATAATAATATCACTCACATGTTAAAACAGAGGAAAACATTCTATTAATTTAAAGATACACTATAGAAAAATACTGTAATATTTTAGTGCTATAGATTGTGAATTTATTTTGCTTTTAGAGTGTTTAAATTGTTTGTCATACATTTGCATATTATTCTTTTATTTGTTTTAAATCCAATGCATGCCTTTCTAGTTATTTTTTAAACTCCCAGTGTTAACTTTATAGTAATAAAAAAAGACTGTGAAATATATTTCTTGGTTCTTAATTACTACTTAGCTGATTTTATATTTGGGGACTATTTCTAGATTGTCAAACAACATGTGAAAAATTCTCTAGAACTTTTTTTCTTTTTGATAGTGTATAGGCAATCTTCACTGGAACAGAGTTCTCTCATCTTCACAAACAACATATATTTTTTCCAAATGCACACCCACATACATTAGGCATACCTGAATCTTTGTTGCTGCATTGGATACTAGACAAAAATATGAAATTCTATTTTACTTACCTGGTAGGTATTTATATATAACCTAAACTGCAAAAAAGGACTTTATCTATGTATATGCTACCAACCTGAGCATCTGAAAATTGGGATCAGTAATTATTCTTATTTTCAATGCTGTTTGCATGTTTGTTTTTATATGCTAATTCTAGCTTGACTGTCATCTTAGTCCACTCATTGTTGCTGTAACAGAATACCTGAGACTGGTGAGACTGGGTCATTTATAATGAACAGAAATTTATTAGCTCACAGTTTAGGAGGCTGGGAAGCCCAAGATTGAGAGGCCAGCAGCTTGCAAGTGCCTTCTTGCAGTGTCAGCTAATGGTAGAAGGCAGAAGGGCAAGAGAGGGTGTGAGAGAGAGAGAGAAAAAAAAGGGGGCTAAACTCATTCATTTGTAAGGAACTCATTCCCACAATATAGACCCACTCCTGTGTAACAACATTCATTCATTCATGGGGACAGAACCCTCATGGTCTAATCTCCTCTCAGTAAGCCCCACCTCCCAAGGCTGTTGCATTGGAGATACATGTTTCTAACACATGCTTTGGAGGACACACTCAAACCACAGCATTCATCTCCTGGCTCTCCAAATTTATGTTCTTCTCACATTCAAACTACATTAATTCCATTCCAGTATCCCCAAAGTCTTAACTTGTCTATATATCATGTGGCTTGGACTCAAGGTATGATTCATCCTATGGCAAATTACTCTCTAGCCATGAGCCTTTGAAATCAAACAAGTCATTTACTTCTGAAATATGAGAATAGGACAGACACAGAATAGATATTTCCATTCCAAAAGGAAGAAATGGGCAAAAAAAGAGGGGTATCTGCTCCACATGAGTCCAAAACCCAACAGAGCAAACAAAATTAAATCTTAAAGCTGGAGAATAATCTTTTTTTGACCCTTCTTTTGCCTTCTGAGTACACCAGAGGTGGGGGTTGGACCCTCAATGCCACAGGCAGCCTGAACCCTATGTTTGTGTGCTCATGGGTTGTTGAGCCCTCATGTGCTGGCAGCACTCCCAAGCTGGGGCTCCATGCTGGCAGCTCTGAGGTCTTGGGGGTGGCCCCGCTCCTGTGGCTCCACTAAGCATTGAACTCTGGTGGCTCCACCTCTGTAGCAGATTTCTGTCTGGGCTCCCGGGGTGTTCACAACATCCTTTGAAATTGAGGTGGAGGCTGCCATGGCCTCACAGCTTGTGTACTCTGTGAGTCTGTGGAGTTAGCACCATTGCTTTGTGTGGCAGTGTTTTTTCAATTATCTTTTTAAGGTTGTAATGTCTTTCCTTTTGAAATGAGTAGAAAATTGAAAGTACTACAAAGATGGAAATATTAAGCATATTAAAAGTGAAACTTTTAATCCATTTGAATATTCATTATATTTAATTCAATTGTAAATCAAAATAAAAAGCTAAACTATATAATCCTAAAAATCTATAATTGAAAACAGCCTTTGAAAGGTGAAGCTTAGTGATGAATTTATAGAAGAAGTTATTAAACTGTGGTTTGAGTAATAATTAGTAACGTTATTGCTAAAAATTTTGAATGTTTCTTTGCCCAAGCATAGAGCTAAGGGTTATAAATAGATTATATAATTTGATTCCCACAACAACCGCATGAAATGTGTCCCTAGAATTTTGAAGGATTTGAGATTTTACTCTACTTGCTAACTAACAGGTTATCGTGATACAGAGTCCAGGTTACAAGCAGAAGTTATAAGACTCTTGGGTCAAAGACAGAGAACTACATATTCGAGAAACAGCAGAAGCCAGAGCATCAGCATTTGAGCCAGTTGCCAAAGTCCAAATTCCCCCAGGGCAATGCAGTGAGGGCCAGGCAACTCCTGGGCTGAAGAAGGAAAAAAATCCCGAGTTTAGGTAGTCCAGTGTTTTAAAGGGGCTATAAAAGGAAGCCTGCCAAATTTTTGCCCTGGAGGGAGACATTATTACTATTATTCTGGACAGCAAAACGTAGTGTTTCTACTCCAGCACTATCTCTGTTTTCCAAGATTGTTTGCTATGCAAATATTGTTGAAAAGACAGTCTAAAATAATATATTGTCCGGACTCTTATTCATGTTATAATATATGCAGAAATACGAAGGACCCATGAGAAATTTTCTTCTAATGATATATGTTCTATTATTTCCAGTTTAAACATTGGGACACTGAGACTTTGAGAGCTTAGATTACTTAATTATGGTCACAGAAATTTGCATCAAAACTTTATTCTAGGGATCTAAATGCAAAGGAAAGTTCATAGTTTCACATTGGTATTAATAGGATTATAACCCACCAGAGAATCCTTTGTTTAGAGAATATTTCCATTCATAATCATCTGATTACATTTTGTTACCTATGGACTATTCAGAAAAATGAATCAGCCTCACAATTCCAGACTTAATCCATGCTTAATCCAAGGCTTTGCTATGTTTTCAGTCATAGTGCCTTCTTCCCAATATTGGAACAAATTTCTTCCTTGCACTCAAGGTCACTGTAGTTAAGCTAAAATTCTAACTTTCTAAAATACTTAAAATTTATTTGTGTGGTCTGTAGCAAATAGAAATCCATGTTGTTAACCTTTGAAATAATTCTAAAGATTGGATAACATAAAGTAAAATAGTAGCAACAACATCAGCCAGCCTGCATTGTTTCAATAGTTTTCTGAAAATGAAATCTTCACTTGATACATACAAGCTTCTCGTTTCTGCTTTTGGAAATTCAACTATCAAGTACTGATACGGTTTGGCTTTGTGTCCCCACCCAAATCTCATCTCAAATTGTAATCCCCACATGTCAGGGGAGGGACCTGATAAGAGGTGATTGGATCATGAGAAGGCTTCCCCCGTGCTGTTCTCCTGATAGTGAGTTCTCAGGATAGTTAGTTAATGGTTTTAAAAGTGTTTGGCAGTTCTCCCTTGGCTCTCTCCTGCTGCCTAGTGAGGAAGATGCCTGCTTTCCCTTCGCCTTCTGCTGTGATTGTAAGTTTCCTGAGGACTTCCCAGCCACGAAAAACTAAGTCAATTAAACGTCTTTTATTTATAAATTACCCAGTCTCACATAGTATCTCTATAGCAGTGTGAAAACAGATGAACATAAGTATCATTTCAAAAATGCCCAGTGTACTAAAGTAATAGACTTTCTCTATGTAAGCATCAGTGTGGGGCTATTCAGGAAGATCATCAATACCTCACTTCCTATTAGTTGGGAAAGCCACAGTGGGAGTGTACCTTGGTGGTGGGAGAGAAGGGGTTACCTTAGGAACAGAATACAGAGTCTGCAGTCCCTGATTGGGACTGTGTGAGTTAAGTGGAGTAGGTGGATGCGTAAACAGAGGAAAGGAAGAAAACTTCCTTTCTTTACTGGTTTATCTATGCTGCTTACGTAAATCATGCTTGGGATTTAATTTTTGCTCTAAACTACATACTTACTGTGACATAAGAATACTGAGGAAACTTAACCCTTTCAAGGGAAAAATAGCCATTAAATCTGTTTAAATGTTACTTTGAATGATCTCAAGTTGGTTCATGGGCTGTATACTGTGTTTGTAGAATTGGTTTCTGGGTTTAGTTTCTTTTCAATGGCATATTTTCCCCCTTTCAAGATTCTATTCTGATTCTCTAGTGAGACAGCAGGTATGTAACATATTCTTGTGAAATGGTACTAGATTACAGAGTAACCTCCAAGGTGTGTATGTGATCTTGGGGGAATTTTTCACCTATACTAATGTATTTAATGTATGTTCATCTATTTTATTCCTATAAATAATTTATAATTGGTATAATGTACTGTAACTGCAATAAATATGTACATACATGAAGAGAAAGTGCGTTATTTTTTTCACTCAAA
This sequence comes from Homo sapiens, assembly GCF_000001405.40. NCBI lineage: Eukaryota > Metazoa > Chordata > Mammalia > Primates > Hominidae > Homo > Homo sapiens. The sequence goes on from NC_000014.9 coordinate 82,094,069, forward strand.
CACAAACAGAAGCATCTACCAACAAGAATTCTCTATCAGTTCCCCATGAGCCTAAACAGCACATGCTCCCTTTTATACTGGGTATATGTAAATTGGATTAAATTCTGTACTAAGTTTTATACTGTTTTGGAGATTTCTTGAACATAATTAAGCAGTCATGTCTTTGCAATTGTAAATGATGTTTCTGTGCCACAGAATAAAATATCAGCAAACAATTCAGTCATCTGATCAGCTGCCCATAAATTGTGAAAGCTCTGTACCAAATCAGACTTATTCGTAAATCCTATTCATTTCTCACCTGTATAAAGAGCCTGAATAAAATTTTCTCCAATTTCTATAATGTAGTTCAGAGAAGTGCTTCTATTTTCAGATAATGTAAAATCCAGCAACTGAGTTACAGTACACTGTACCAGTTGTCCATTCTTTATAAGAATAAAATAGATGAGCATACACTAGATACAACCCTACCTCATAAGTGTATAACTACATAAATTGCATACAATTTTGGTAACTTCATGGAAGTATAGGAGAGCTAATACTATGAGACCCAGGTCCTTTTTACTTCATAAAATGTCTCTATCTCTGTGTGGTATTTAAAAGAAGGAAGATATAAAATGTTTGGATGTTTCATACTGAGAATCAGTGATGATTGTTATCCTCTTTCCATTTCCAAGGGTGAAGGACATTATCTTGAGAGCATTAGTAGACTTCAGCTGTGAAGAAACAGCCTTCCGAGGCTTGGAAATGATATTGGGGAAGGTATAGGACCAAATCATGCAGGAGACATTGAGGGAAAGAATCAGTAAAAAAAAATGTTACATAATTAGAGTTGGTGAATGAAGCAGATTTGGAGCTTGACATAGATAGAATATGACGAGAAAATAGCAGTCTTTAAAAATCATAGACATAGATGGGAATGCTTACTCTGACACATGGCAGAGGAAGGCTAAGCAAATCCTGGCACTCACTCTGAAAAACATGTATGCATATGTTAAATGGTAACAAAAGGAGCCCCCTCTGTTTTTCACCCAGCTGCAGTGGTTTGTCATTTTCAATAAAAACTTAATGCCTCTCCCTGAGAATGAATGCGTATCCTGGTTTTAAAGGGATAATGTACTGGGCTTATTTCCAGTGTCTGACAGATCAGCAAATACACGTAGGCACAACTGCCTATTTGCTATTTACTACTATGGTAAATGGCAAGCCATAAAATGCGATCTGTTTAAATTGCATTTTGCAAACAATCAGTACTTCGAGCCATACACTCTGTGAAACATTATTATTATTATTTATGAGGCACAGTTAAGGGTGCCTGGTGCTAGGAGAATTGTGGATTTCTTTTACATTTAATTTTGCAGAAGAAAGGGACCCAGAGATTATCTTGTTTGAGGCTTTCATTTTATGGTAGAAGAAAACTGAAATGTAGTAACTTGACCATGATCATACAGATAATTAGAGATAAATGCCAACAACAAAAAAGTTCTGGCATCTTTTATTTTAAATTGGACAAAATATCCGAATTCCTATATTAGGTTGGTACAAAAATAATTGCAGTTTTTGCCATTAGTCTTAATAGCAAAAACCATAATTACTTTTGCACCATCCCAAAAGTTAAAGCAATTGTTGGTGGAAGAAAGTAAAATCCTTGGTAAGAGTGATTGCTACTCTGAATGAGCATTTTGAATGTGCCATTCAGAGGAGGAAACACACATATATATGTAATATTCATTTATATATTTGGATAACCTGCATAAAAAGCTTGAGTGAAAAGCTGAATTTGTGTATTATATATATATTATTTATATATTAGACATTATATACATGTGTATAGGTGCATGTGTATATATGTATTTCTCTCACTGGTTATCACTGTTTTGGTATTTCAGATTGGAGAAACTTATCAATTATGAACAGGTTTTCAGGTTCATCAAGTGAAATGATTGTAGAGATATAAAGAAATAGGAGACATAATCTCACATCTCTTATTAGGGGGGTATAATGAAGAATCTCCAAAGACTGTGAACGTAAGTGAGATGTATCTATTCTCTGGGAGTTATGCGTTAAAATACAAATATAATGGACCAAGTGAAGATTTGTGAAATTTCTTCTAAGAGGCAAAATATTTCTTAGGCTTATGATAAGCCAGAGTATAATCCTATTTTAATATATTTCAGGTCAGTTGATAGCTTTGTATCTTCACTTGGGTGTCTGCCAGGCATTTCAAACTAAAAGTAAATTCTTGGTTTGTCCATGTAAACCAGAATCTCCTTCTCTCATTTTTCCACCTTTCTGTAAAGAGCTCTGTTGGCATCCAGGCTAAGAAACCAAATTCTAGGTGTTATTTTAAATCTATTCCTGTCTATATCCTCTATCTCAAAGCCATCAGTCCATGCTGCTTACTCTTTCTCCAAAAGCCTGTCCCAAACCATTTGCTTCTCTCCATTTCTACTATTGCTACCTTAGCCCCCTCTGGTCTTGATAAATGCAAAAATCTCCTGAGTGCATTCTATTTGAATCTTTCTGGTTGTAACTTTTTTTTTTTCTTTTTAGAGACAGAGTCTTTCTTTGTCGCCCGGTGGCATGATCTCGGCTCACTGCAACCTCCGCCTCCCAGGTTCAAGTGATTCTCCTGCCTCAGCCTCTTGAGTAGCTGGGACCACAGGCACACACCACCAGGCCTGGCTAATTTTTGTATAGTTAGTACAGACAGGGTTTCACCATATTGGTCAGGCTGGTTTCTAACTCCTGACCTCAGGTGATCCATCTGCCTTGGTCTCCTAGATTTCTGGGATCACAGGCGTGAGCCGCTGCACCCGGCTCCTGCTTGTAACTTAAAACTTTCCATAATTCATTGTCTATGCACCAACACAAGTCATCTATAAATATGATCACATTATTCGCTTGATGAAAAATAACACATAGCTTCTCATTGAATTTAGCACAAAACACACAAACGAATTCTTTTTTCTACCTTGTAAAACCCTGCAAGATCTGGTTCTACCTATTTCTTTGAACTCAATAGCAACTAACTTTCTCCTCACCCTCTAAGCACTCATTTAATGATATCCTTTATGTTCCTAAAACAAGTCAACCCTTTTCCCCACTGTAGGGCCTTTCTGTGAGCTATTCCCATCCTGGGCTTTCTCAGTCTTTGTATGGATGACTTCTAATGGTCATTTAGCTTAAATATCACTCTTCATTCAAGTCTTCCATGACCCCACATTCTGAAGTAGTCATGTAGTCCTTTCACTCCTGGGCTCTTTTTCTTTCCCCATGACCTCACAGGGGAAGAGCAAAGTTTCCCACTAGAGCCTGCTAATTCTTGTTTCATCTTTTTTCTCTCTCCCTCAGCGGAGGAGGAAACAAGAAAAAATATTAGTTAGTGAAAAGTGCTCTGGGTAAAATTAAAACAAGAGGAGCAAGACATGATCAAATAATTACAAGAGCAAACCCAGGGCATGCACAATACAAATGCCAGTAAGTATTATGAAGGGAAACCATAGAGTAAGGTGGTATATGCACTTTCTCACCAGTGCTCCTACCTGTCACCTATGGAACTACCTATACCTTTCATTGATATTGACCCAAGTGGGTTAGGGGACTGTGGGTAGCCAGGAAAGCCTAATACCTGTTTTTCACATAAATTTATAAGGTGTATTTGCATTTTTATTAGGCTGGTGCTTTGAGCAAGCAAGGGACAGGAAACTCATTACTGATTCACTTGAGTTGTGAATTACAGCAAGCCTAAATGGCTGGGATTTAGAGCCTGGATGTTATTAGCACACAATGTACTAGATTGCCCCAATGTCTAGACTTGAGACTACTCCCTGGTTTTATTAGTTTTTAAATAATTACTTTAGGAAATTGTAGTAAGTCTATTCAAAATCCCTTGGTAAGTAATATGATTCATGGGATGAGAAGTAGGTTGGGCATCAGAAAGAAAGAAAAGCCAAGACTTACATGGATTGAGCATTTGCTGTATGCTAGATTGTTAGGTACTATTACTTGTTTTAGGATCCCAAACTACACTGTGGATTTCCTTTTATACTCATTGCCATTAATTTATGTAGTTATTTGATTAATGTTTGATTCACCAATTAGATAATCAGTAAAATGAAAGTTGAATTTTTCTTTTTTTAACTTACTACTAGGCACTGGGTCTGACATATAGAAAACGCTTGAATGAAACTGTTGAATGCAAAATATGAACATATATTATTTCATCTAATCGTCTCAATAATTTCTTCAGGAAGCAATATTTTACAGATAATATCACCACTCAGAAGTAAAAAAATTAACATTTTGTTTCATAACACTTATAAAAGTCTCTTGGACAACAAAACCCACAAAACTTTAGCTAGATAGATCTATTCAATACCTGAATAGAATTCTATTACATGAAAATATTACCATTAGCCAATAATGTTTTTCTACTGAAAATTTAGGTTTCTACATTGCCACCATTGTAAATAATTCTCTGATAAATACACGTGTATTTTTCGTGTGATTTGAAAGTCTTTTCATCTTTTAAACCATTCATGATTTCTAATTTGTTGTTGTTGTGTTTTTCTCCTTTTTTCTTAAGTAGACAGTTAGTGGTTTATCTATTTTTTTGTTTGTTTGTTTTCAAGGAACCAATTTTTGGGTAAATATATTGGCTGTACTGTTTGTCGTTTTAGAATTCATTTATTTCTATGCAAATTTTATAAAATTCCTCTCTTCTTTTTTGGCTAGATTATTTTGTATTCTTTTTATGATCTCTTGTATTAAATGCTTAATTTATTCTTTCTTCCTTAAATATAAAAGTATTTATAGCTATAAATTTGCCCATAAATATAGCCAAGTTCACATTTTAAGTTTTCATAAGTCATGTTCTAAATTTTGGGTTTTGGTTTATACTTTGATTCTTTTATATTTTGATGAAGTTTTACTTGAAGTAAAACATATCCAGAAAAATTATGACTGTACAGCGAGGCGAATTTTTCCAAATTGAACACATCTAATGTCTTTTCTCCCAGGTACTATTTTCAAAGTTTATTGCTATATAGTCATAGAATACAGTTTGTGTGTTTTCTATTGGAAGAAGGAGAGGAAAACATATGCTTTTTGTATTCATCTCACTCTCAGGAACAAAAGAGAAAATCTGAGTTAAGCATGCCCTTTTCATTTTTCAAAAACTCATTGACCAATTATGTCACTAGGCTTGCCCTGGGAAGGAGTGGCCCAATAGAGAAAGCCAAGGAGGGCTATGCCAATTAAGTGCTCACTATGAAAAAGGAAGGATCATGAATAGGAAAGGTGGCCCATCAGGAATGTTTCTTTATTCTTGTTTACTTGTATTCATCATCTTTAATGTAGGACTAAATAACTAAGTAATTTATCTTTATGTTACTACTTTATTAATTCAGCAGCTCTGGGAAGAAACAAGGGAACCTGGACCATAAAATTGCTTTTATAACAAATTTCATGTTTAGTTTCTTCTCCATGTGCGTGGAAGCCACTGACTCAAGGGTATGTTTTCTGCTTTACTCAACCTCTGATGAAGATAACTGGCATGACTAAGTTTGAGTTGTTTCCTGTGCTATCATCTACCAAGCTTCTGCCATATCAGGAAGCCCTTGTCATATATTGGTCCTGTAGGTACAGGTACTATGTTTGGCCAAAGACATCCAAATTTATGACATAAAGATCATACTTGCTCCTAAATTCCAACATTTTACATTATTTTTATATTGATTTGTTTATTTTAATTGGGCTCTGATGGAGTGGGGACATGGAGATATTTGCACTCAAAATACTGTTTGACCTGTATATTCTCTTTTTTTCTTTAAATAAGTTCTGAAACCTTGTTCATTTATATAGTCTGAAATTATGAAATTATAAGCATAAATGCATTTGCAATGACCTGAGTTCTCTGATTAAAACATAACAATAATGATTTTTTTCTAAATTATTTGGAGACCCATATCTGAATAGAGTACCTGGTTTTGTCTCAACATTCTAATTTTTATATATAGCTTTATTATAATTTATTATACATTTTTACTTATAATTTTTCTTCTAACATATTCTAGGTCATCTGTGTTTTTGTTGGACTTTTATACTTCAAAGTAAAAAGTAACAATCATTATCATTTAGATGTCTCACGTTTTTAGTAAATCTTAAAATCATTCAACTGGCCCATGAAATTTATAGGTATGGAAGCTCATCAGAAGTAATACTGAGAAGCCAATATTTTCCTGGATAACATTTATTTCCTTCACTCTCTAAGCCATTTAACTCTGTCATGTTCAAATGTTTCTTTCCTTAGAAAAAATAAAAATAAGTATAAGAAAATATATGTTTAACTATTGTCAGGCTTTGCTTTCTCCTAGATGTATATTAAAATGGAGGAAATGTTTTTAAATAAACAAGTTTTTAGTTTTTAAGCATGAAGCAATGACAGAGAAAAGTGGTCAGTTACATAGAGTTGACGCCATTCTATAGTTTCATTTTGTGGCTGGGTGATGCACAAGTCTAATTCTCTGAACTTTAAAATGTGTCTCCATGTGTAGGTTTGTAATTTTACTGATATTTATGTATGATTTTGAGGGCAGTTATGGCTTTTAGAGTTAATTGCATCAATACCATGTAGTCCTGAATTTGGAAGTCCCAGACATAATTATTTAAAGATATACACTACAGCTGATAAAACTATTTTTACCACCTGAAGTCTATTCCATTTAATAATCTGGCACTAACTTAAGCATTCTTCAAAGGTGTCACATTCTGTCTTTATCTTTGACACTTATCTCTCAACATGTTTATATTTAAAATTAAGAGAATGGAAATAAATGTTATAGTTTGTATTTGTCTTTTCTCAGAACTCAAAATAGTGAATTGGTTTCTGTAGGGAGAAATGGAAAACCTTTGGAGCTTCTGTTATGATCTAACCCAAACAACCTACTCTTCGCATTTGTAGTGAGATATGATTGAAATGTGATTCATATGATTTCATCAAATGCCTACTATTTGCAATTATCAAAGTCAAAAATCATAGATCCCTTTTTAAAGGAGTCTAGTCTATTGTTGAGGTTTCATGTTATATTTTGTACTGTAGTTATCTGTCTAAAAGCCATACAATTATTTTGAGAAATTGTATGCTATTTTAGGACGTGGAATGATTACTAACTTGGGAATAAAAAATATCTTCACAGAGGAGGTGGCCTTTGTTTGCAGGCTGGAAATCTCCACTTGGGGATTTCATGAGAAATATAAAGTTTAAAACATAAAATGGTGGTGAAAAACCTGTAGACTTATAGAAAGGATTCAACAGAGGAGAGTAAAATTCAGATGCAAGGCGATAGAGTTCTGGAAGAGAAAGTTGGAATAAGAAAGGAGTTAAAGTTTTAGATATGAAGAAAAGAAAAATATATGCTATTTATCTCTATTGGGAGAAGGAAAATTATATAGATATGCATGGAGTGCCATTTTAAGGTAGAGATGATAGAAGACAGTAGATGCATATTTGCTACAACACTGTAATGTGATTGATGAAAAGCTAATGTAAATGTGAAATCTGAAAATTCTTGCTTAATGTCAAAGAATATAGCTATGCACAGTTAATGTGTGGAATGAAGAGTGTAAGACCATTTTACCATTTTTGGCAATCTTTTTTACACTCTCATAGATTCCCAAAATGCCTTTCAAATCTCAGTATACATGCCTGCTTGTCTGCCCATTGGTGATTATCAGATAAACGTTCCGAGTGTTTCAATGAGCCAATTTATCGGAGCATCCACTGGTAGGTTCAAGTTGTAGGTTTGCCTGGTGTTTATTCCTTAGCAGAAGAAAGGAACAAACACTTATTAACACCTTAACACCCTCACAAGTGCAAGACATTGGCTTATGTAATTCATATCAATTAATTGTATATTACACATATACATATTATGGCCTCTTTTATGATTAAGGAAATGGAGGCATATATTTTAAGTAGGTCTTCTTGGTACAATATAGCACTTACGTTTTTCTGAGCAGCAGAACCTAAGACCTAATTGAGGATGGATAGAGGTAGACTCAGTAAGATTAGCTGTAAAATTATCCCCACTAATACTTGGCTGCTTTGGAATGTGAATGAAAAATGTGAACATAGTAGACTACCTTAGCTTTTTATATCACAAAGCGATATGAATAAGCAAGCAATATGAATAAGCAATATGAACATTTGTTGAGTACGATGACTCTGAGTCCAGTAACTAACCAAGATCACATAAAAAAGCAAGTGAATTTTGAAAGGAGTCACATGTTACAGAGATAAAGAGAGGCTGCAGGAGGGAGAAGAATATGTACAACCCAATGAATTAGTAGAAAAGTAGAAAGATAAAAAGCATGGCCAAAATAGGGAAACTTATATTTTATATCTTGGAAGTAGAGATCTTAAGATATGGCCAGTGAAGTGTAATGAACTTATGGTTGCTGGAGTTCAGAAAGTTAAGGATCTATAAGGTTGGCACTTCAATGATCATTGATATGAAGTTGCCATCACTGATCATAGAGAAACTGGTGGACTGGAAGCTTATGCATACATGGGTAAATTACCAGAGTTTAGAAGATGATAATGAGACCAAGGAGAGGGTGGTTTAAAAGCCGGTGAAAACTGGTCACATATTGTCTTGGTATGATTCCAAATCTTAAAGCTGCCTATGGGCTAATGATCAGATTTTGGGTAGTGGTGCTTTAGCTGGATTTTGGCTCCTACAGATGAGCATCTTTGTACGTGGCACAAATTGCACAATCAAACCCAGTGAGCCTATATTAATTGGTGGTATGAATTTTAAATGAGAAAACACATTGAGAAATGATAAAACATCAATGGTCAGCCAAGACTTGGCAAATATACTACCACATCCCACAAATTCTCGCAATAATGATATCAGATTGTGGATATCCACAATCTAGAATATATATCCTCTCACCCTTAGAGAATTATAATCATCCTAAGGCTATAACCACCAGAAGAACAGTGATGTGAATTAAATAGACTGACACATTGTGCTTACTCAGGGTGTCTGAATGCAAGTAATAGCTTTTTATTGCACTAGGTTCTATTGCACCCTGTATTCCAAATGTGAAAGCCAGTTTGCACTTCTGAACAGAGGGGGGTTGGAGCCGTGTTTGAAAGAGAAGCCAAAGCATGGGTCCTGACAGTCACAATGACAGCGCCAGCCAAAGGAAATACTTGAATAGGGCAAAGAAGGATGGACTGGAGTTTCTAGGAATGAGATTCCAGTGATAAATCATAGTGATGTAGCAATATGAGCTAAAAGAATTTCTTTTCATTAACTCAGTGAATGAAGCAGGAGGATGATGAGTAAGAATACCTACCCATTAGTGATGGGTTTCGGGAGGCAGAAGGTAGAAAATGGTAGTTTACTGGAACAACTGGCTCTACAGATTCAAATAGAATACAATTATTTCCCTTTCCTGGGGACTTCATGTGCTGTTGCTGATGCAGTTGGATATATTGAACAGAAAGAGCCAGTGGTGGCATAGACTGGTGCATCTCTGGCCCCAGAAGTTGGTCACGGCATTGAAATAATGGACTGTGGGGTGAGAAGGTTAGACAAGTATGTATTTGCATGGTCTTTAAAGTATCCAGACTCAGTTTCTTTTACGGTGTTCAGAAGCTAATGATACATGCTTTTTATTTTGTTTATACAAGGAAGATCATGAAAAAGTACTGGCAGCTTTGTTAGTACATTTCTGAAAATCCATGGAAATGTCTACTACTACATCCCGAGTTTCCTGGGAGAACTAAACCTTACTAGTCTCTGCATTCCCAGCATGTAGTACAGTGCCTGGCACATAATACATTTTTAAATACATTTTGTTGAAAGAATGAATAAATTGGGTCAGAATTCAGTCTTACGGAGTTGAAGCTATCCTTTATTTTCAAATCCTTCTGTATCAGAAGTTTCTATTGAATTTTAGGGGTAGGACATAAATGCCACTTTGTACACAGTTCAGCCACAGACACTAACATCATCTTACTCTGTTGTTTTAACTGAATTCTGGGGCAATGGACGTGGTCCCCTTGATTAACTGATTGACAAATAATCTACAAATGGGTGACTGGATTGGTTTGACTGCATGGGAGCTGCTCTGACTCATTCCACCTCATCCTTTCTGCAAACTCTCAAGATAATGAGCCTCTCAGAGTTTCATTCATTCTAAAATAGACTGCTAGAAAAGGGAAATTAAAATTATTTATAAGAAAGCCTGGGAGAAAAAAACATTCTACAATTCTTGACTGCAATGATAGGGGACTCATTTAGAAAATCAAGTGCACTAATCAATTTATAGTTTCCCTGGTAGAAAAGAACCAAGCTATCTTATGCATGGGCTAAGCATTTTTTCTGTAATTTTAAAAAATTGTGAGCAGATGACAAATTACTGCATGAGTAACACATTATGAGGACTGAGTATGCATGTTTATATTTCATTGTTTTAATCTAATCTAATACAACACACACTAAAGTCCCTCATACACACATTTAATGGCATGCATAATCATGATTGTGCTGCATAACAATTAGGCATTAGTGATAAGCAGTTCCCATAAATTACTGTAATTAGTATTACTCTTATACCACCACAGCAATTTTTTTAGGTTTTCTCTTCTAATTTTGTTAATTCTTTAGTATCAATCATCAACACAAATATCAGCAGTTTCCCTAATGCCATGTGTGACTTAATTATCATTATTCTTTGCCCAGAGTAAGGTCTCAATCAATGTTTGTTGGATTGAATTGAATAAAATCATCACATAGTAGCTAACATTTGCTATGTTGCAAGGCAGACAAGTTGGATTTGCTCTTCAGAGTTTGGGGTTTCTATGTACATTTCCCAGGGCGAATGCAATTTTTCCTATCTCATATACCTTTACTCTCCCTACTTCTTCCTTGACAGAACCATGAGTTTCAGGTCTTGATGAAACATGGGTCAGGAAATGCATGTCTGGAGCAGAAAGTAGTGACTATTGATCATTTCCCAGCTGTGTAGCTCACAAATAGGGGAGCTAGGCCAGAGACTGAGCAATACAAAAGGGAAGGCGAACAATGAAAATGTATCCTTGGTACCAAGCATCTTGCTATGTTGGGCTGAGAAATAAGCTAAGAGATTAGTTCACCAAACTGTTGGCTCAAGGTTAACAGAGATCTGAGAAAAAATTTAACAATTTAGATACCCTGCAACACCATCAGAACCAGCTATCAGAGATTCCTAATACAAGGTAAGGACAATTTATCTGCTGGAGTAGCCTTGGCTTTGAATAACTGGAGTGAAGAGAACTCTCTTGATTTTTAAAATATTTCCTCTTGTTCCATCTGCAGGAGGCAGAGCTTTATTTATTTATTTTTTTCCATCTTAAAAACAGGTTTTGTTGCGTTTGATCCACATTCAGTATTTCACATTATTACATGGTGCAGAGCCCCTGGATGGGGGTCCCTGTGCAGTACTTGGTGGGGCGTGTGGCAGGGGGAGATGGAGCAGAATACCTGGTCAGGCTCGGAAAGGGAGAAGGAGGGCTGGGGCTCCTTAAAACCTACTGAGGGGCGAGACGGGGTGGCTCACCCCTGTAATCCCAGCAATTTAAGAGGCTGAGGCAGGTGGATCACTGGAGGCCAGGAGTTCGAGACCAGCCTGGCCAACATGGCGAAACCCCGTCTCTACTAAAAATACAAAAATTAGCCAGACATGGTGGTGTGCTACTTGGGAGGCTGAGGCAGGAGAATCGCTTGAGCCCGTGAGGTAAAGGTGCAGTGAGCTGAGATTGCACCGCTGCACTCCAGCCTGGGTGACAGAAAGAGAACCTGCTCCCCACCCACCTGCCCCCACTGTGGCCCTCAGTAGGTTTTTTTTTTTTAGCTTTTTTTTTTAATTTGAGAAAAATAACTTAAAAATTCAAATAACTAACAGAAAACATTCATGTAAATAAGTTTCAAACAACTCTTGAAAATGAGATCAAGTACTTTCTTGGATGGTTTAGGAGAGTGGACTAAAAGTAAATGTGTAAAGTTAGCAGAAGTGCAGGCTGGGCAAAAGTTAATGTTCCCTCTACACTACATGGCCTGGCATCTGGGTTCCCTGGCCTCTTTAGAGTAGCCACATATACTGATAGTACTCGACTATGTTTCTTGGAACAAAAGAGACACAAGCCAGTGAAGCACTGGGTGGCTGCATTAGTTTTCTATTGATGCTGTAACACATTACTGGCTTAAAACAATACAAATGTATTATCTTACAGTTCAGTAGGTTAGAAGTCCAGAGTGTGCTCATATAGTAAAGAAAACCAAGGTATTGGCAGGGTTTCATTCTTTCCTTTAGGCTTTAGAGGTGAATCTGTTTCCAGCTTCTAGAGGTTGTCCACATTTCTGGCTTGTGGCTCGTTTCCTCTGTCTTCAAAGCCAACATGAAAGCATCTTCAAATCTCTCTGCATCTCTCTTTAACTTTTAAGGACCTTTGTGATTACCTTTGGACCACCCAGATAATTCAAGATAATTTCCCCATCTAAAAGTCTTTAATCACATCTGCAAAGTTCCTTTGGCCATTTAAGGTAACCTATTTATAGATCTGAGGATTAGGATGTGGACATTTTGAAGGGGGCGGGTATTATTCTGATGACCGCAGCAACAGATAGTCCACCTGACCGATAAATACTGAACTGCTTAATAAGATCCCATGATGTAAAAACCTGTGGCAAAGCATTCTTTCCTCTTCTCTGGAGCTGCCTCCTGCTTCCCTAGCCTCTTTATGATTCACATTAGGGTTCATGTTCTCATGGGAATTCCTTCCCTGCATTTTGTCTAATACAGAAAGAGATTCATGGTCATTGAGTTCCTTGGAGCCACCATCTTTGCCAGGTTCACACTCCATGGATTAGACATCCTGACCAATTCTTTTGGTGACTCTCACTGGCAATTTAGGCTTAGGAAACATAAATAATAACAAAAGTAAACATTTCTCTAGAGATTAGTATGTATTCAAAACCGTTTAAAATGCTTTACACAGACTAAGTCACTTAATCTTCACACACTTCTATGAGAAAAGTGATGTTATCACCATTTTGCAGATGTAAAAACTGAGGCCCAGAAAGCTTATATAAATTACCAAGTCCACACCTAGTAAATGACAGAGGCAGTATTCAAACCCAGGCTGTCTGGCTCTGGAGTCAGTGCTTTAAATCACTACACTATATATGCCTCTCACAGCACAAAACTAAAGCTTAATTTAAAAACATGGACAATGCTATACTAAACCAAAATAATGCTGGAGAGATGGAAAGTGGGAGGGGGAATGAGAGGAAGGTTTGCATAAAGAGTGAGCATGCATGCACACACACAGTAAGGAAAGAGAGAGGGGAAGGGGGCTGGGAGAGGGAGGGAGAGAGGGAGAAGGGCAGGGTGCGGGGAGAGAGAGAGAGAGAGAGAGACAGAGAGAGAAATGCATTATTTATACTCCCAGTGTTTGAAAGCTTATAAGATTGGGAGATAGTTTCATGGCCATCTCTGCCTGTTAGACCCCCAGATTATTTCCAAATGGAATGATGAGGTTTGCTCATGTGAAGACCACCTCACCATTGCCTCCACCTCCATTGTCTCTGTTCATACTGAAAAGAACATCACTCAGTATTTCTCTCTGATTTATTTCTCCCTAAAGACTTTATGACATAGAATAAGTCCTAAATAGTCCAGCTTCTCTCTTGTTAAGATAATTAATGCATAATTAAAATGCATTCCATGAGCCAATAGAAGGTAAGGCTTGGGACTTACTCCAGTCAGAAGACTCAATAGGATAAAAAAAGGTTGATTTGTTTCTTGGTCCTACACAATTGTGTTCTCAAATCTTTCTTCATAAGTTGCAAAGATTTTATAAAGCTCTCCAATTTCACTTTTGTGTAAAAGTAATCTTAATTTTAAAAAAGATGTAAAAAATTTATAACTGTGATAAAAGTCTCCATATATTTCTTACTAATACTATGTGTATATATTGAGATGTTAATTTATTGATGTTATTTACAGTATGATTTAACACCCTTTGGGATAAATACAGACCTTGAGCTTCCTCTCATTTTCTCTTTTCCTCTAAGCATAGTAATTTATAACATATGCTTGTTAAATTGCATCTAAAGTATTTAGGGCTCAACTATACAGTGGATAAAGCTATTGCTGAAATAAGACATTTTAATCTTAAAAATATTTTAACATTTCTCTATGATGTTTTCCCTTAATGGCCTTTCTTATATGTCATTCATATTATGGAGTGACAATTTAGGTTGACAACTAAACAGGCACCAAGATTGATAATCAGTATAAAGTACATTACTTGATTTTATCAGTTTCCTTATGGATGAAAAGGCCTGAATAATTTGACAATATGGCTAATGTTCCCTGCATGTTCTAATAGGTAGAGAAGCAAGTGGGAAGGGAAGGGAGAAGAGCTTCTTTTGAGGTTCTGTTAATAGAAATGGCAAACAGTTTTTTTGTTCTTATGAAGTGTCAGGATTTATGCTAAATGCTTTGCATGTATTTATTATTTAATTTCATCCTTGCAACAGTCCAGTGAGATCAGTATTCTTACTTTGTCTAGTTTGCAAATAAACAAATTGATGACTTTTTCTTAAAGTCAAATGATATCAATCAGATCAGGTGATTAAATCTAATGTACATCTTAAAAATGAGCTTCTAGTTTTACAATAATTTTAGACTGACAGAAAAGTGCAAAGATCCCAGAGGAACTGCTTTTTTCCCTTGCACAAAGGTGCCATCTAGGCTAGCAGCAACTCTGTTCACAATCTGATGAGTATATAAAAGCAATTTTCTTGACTAGAGAAATAGATTTATTTAATATATATTTTAAGATTCAAGAAATATGTTTTCTAGCATTAGGACTATTGGATTCCCATCAGAAATCCTAGGGAGATATTTAAGGGACGAGAGCACTGAGTTGATTGTTGGAAGATCTGGTACCTACATGGTACCAGCACTTTCACTCATGGGCCATTGGACTCCCAACTTGTATGAATTACTTCCTCCTCTGTAATTAAGAGCTTAAAGATCAAGGTGCCAATCATCTTTCTAGGTCTAAAATGTTGTGATTTTTGTTTCTTCTTGTTGAGACATAAATAGCTCTCTAATGGAGAGGTGCTATCTTCCTTTGAGGCTACTTTGAAATGCTGTGGTATCTGTAAGTGTTATTTATGTCCCTGCTTAGGCTGTTAGAGTATCAACTTTTCAACTAAAAGATATTCCATAGAAATAACATTAATCATTGGTTTATAGTGACTAGATAGCAGAAATTCAATAATCAATGAATTTTAATCCTGAAATATTAATTCTTATCACTCAGTAGTTAAAATATTTAACAACCTCAAATTAGTTGTGCATTAAAGCTGCTCTTTAACACAATGGCCATTTCTGGAAATGCATGGATGTGGGAAATAATTGCGTTTCTATTGAAGCTATTAGAATGAATCACAATTGGATTTCACATAAAAGATTTTAATGCACAGATATTTCACATATGTTCATAGTTAAGGTTTCTTCAAATAAAGCTGCTTTGTCCTTAAGGGATTTTAGTCAGGTTTACCTCCAGTTAAATCAGATATTCTTGCTTTTTCTTTTTGTTTTCTTTTTAAATTTCCTACTTAAATTGTTTGTAGGCAATGTGATAACACCTATAGTTCTTATTATGTTCAGGCTGAAAAAGAAGGATGGACCTCCTCATTCAAAATTTGGTCTGGATGTCAAGACTGATACCATATGCACAACAAAAGAATATGAAAGATTTATTACTCACATACACACGCTTTCGGGGGAGAGCAGGGCAGGCCCCCAAGCTGTCCAAAATGTCTTGGGAAATAAGGAAAGGGGAATGGTTTGGGGTTTTTATGGTGATTACATAGGTAGGACCAGGTGATCGCTCCTGCAGGTGGTTTCTTCCTAACAGTCAAAGGAAGCACCTGGGCTTTGTTTTCAGCATGACTGTATATGCTCCAGGAGGGGAAGGGAGAGGGGAAGACTTAAAAGCTATCAGCTGTCAAGCATGTTACAAAATGGAGTCAGAGTCTTTATTACAATCATTCACATTAGAATATATTTTTATAATACACTTTTCTAACTGTCATGTGAATAAAGAGCAAATTTAACATGCTTTTTGTGTATGTGTGTACATATATATATATATATATATATATATATATATATATATATATATGCATGTGTGTGTGTGTATACCCACCCCTACCATATTATACAGATATGGTGACAAAAGCAAGACTTGGAATCAAATTTAAAGACTGTTGATTACTTGCTGTGTCAGTCAATATTCAGTATTTAGGGCAGGAAACAGAATCCACTGTAGGTATTTAAAGCAGACGGTAGGGTAATACAGTGGATTAGATACTTACATGATTATAAGAAGGGCTGAAAAAACAGCTTCTAGTGATTCCAAGAGTGAGACACATAACAACTCTCCTAGGGAAGTGTTACTTCTGAGGTTTCCCCAGAGACATGCTGGAAGCATGCATCTCTTCCAGCACCACTGCTGTAACTGCCTCCCAACATCCAAAAGATTGGGCAATGACATGGGATTGCTACTACAGAAAACCCTCAGATTTTCAAGGTGCTTGCTTGTCAGCAACAAAAGCCAAGAGCCACAAGAAGGCAGCCTTGGCCTCATTTCCACTGTCCTAATCTTGCATTGGTATATGTAATGGGTAGGAGTGAATTTATATTTAGAACTCTAGCTTGAAGGAGGTACGAGAAATGTTTAAGCATGACAAAGTCAAATGAGGATTGACTGAAACAATCTAGAGTCTTGTGTACATTTTCCTTGTGATATGCGACAAGTATTTTAACCTTAATTTTCTCTTCTGCAAAATAGATCTAATACCTAGATCGAAGGGCTGTTCAAGCACTAGAGATCATGTAATTCGTAAGGAAAGAAAAAAAAGAAAACTTTTTCCTTTACCTTCTTCAGATCAGTGGTTGGGGTCCTACAAATTAGACCAGCAAAAGACAGATTACATAGGAGAAAAGATTTATTAGTATATATGCATACAGAGGTCTTTGTAGGAAAATATAGACCTCAAAAAAGTGATAAGCCTGTGACCTTATATACCTTTATTTTTTAAAAACAAAGAATGATAAATTATGAAGATATGATAAGACAAGAGAAAAGGGATTTGGGTTGGGGGTGATAAATTGTAGGAAAGTAACTAGAAAATACACTGGAGCTTATATATAATGAAAATTATGTCATAGAAGATAAGGGTGAATTTTAGTAAGATTTGTTTGCAGACCCGTCTAGGTGCTGTCTCTCCATATCTTCATGGCCATGAAACTCCTCTAGGAGAGAAGATTCATGGCAGTCCTCATTTCTCAGAAATTTCTGCTCTTAGTTGGATAAGGGAACCTCTGACAAGTCTTTCTCTATCTGTTGATTCTCATTTGCATCCAGATCAAAATAATTCTTATGTCAAAGTGGCATATTTTGAGGTGGCATATTCTGATCCCCTTCAAATTAAAGTATCTAGTGCATGGTAGTTGGCTAAATAATCATATCTATTATTATGACTTTTTGGTACTATTTTGGAACTTCAAAA